>NC_000009.12:80720552-83220552 GCF_000001405.40 Homo sapiens | reverse complement strand
TGTCATGATGGCCACCCTGCAAGCTGCAACTCGTTATAAGAAATAAAGTCTCCTCTCCAAATTTAAGATCTCATGATTTTAAGCTGACAATGCCTATACATGAAATAACAGAAGTCAGACCTATAAACAGGTTATCAAAATAAGGTACAGTAAATGCATGAGGTACTAGAGACCCATAGATTATCCCACTCTATTGAGCTGAGCGTCCCGTAAACCTCTAAGACAGGCTATGCAGATACGACAGGTCCTGATTTTATAGTCATTGAAGCTATGGCGATCCCCATTAGCGCAGAAGCGAGTCCTCTCTCACCACCACGCTGCCTCCTGAAGGTGGTCAGGTGAGGCTCATAGTTACTCAGTGTGCAGCCAAGGCTAACGCTTGGCTCCATCAATCCTGAAGTCCCACCTGATTGCCCAATGAAAGATAAAGCTCGGGGGGGCTGAGAAATAATACACGTGAACTGAAGGGCAGTGTAATGTTCCCCTCAAGGGGAACATTATTGCTTTACAAGCGTGGATTCTTTGTTCTGAACCCTAACTGTAAACTAGGAATTGGGGCTGAGAGCTTCTTCCATTTACAGCCCTAGGCTCTGCTCTGCATCCAAGCTCCGCTTCCTAGAAGTGCTGCTTATATTATTAACCAGGCTGCAGCCGGAATTAGCCAGAAACCACACTGTCGGCTCTGCTTTGCGGAAGGAATAGGAGCGAAGGACGAGGCTGCCCCCCAGTGGGAAACCCACAAGAAGCAGCGACGCTTCCAATCAGCTCACAACTTTCAGTATTGCAAGGAGAGGAATGGGCTCCGCATTTCCAGCTCCAAGCACTCCATTTCAGAGCCGCTGGGGAGGATTTTGGGGTGCAAATTCTTTTACCATTACGGGGTAGTGGTATGGCGTTGAGAAATAAGAATAGGCGAACCTCGTATCTACCAATCTCCCAACTCTATAAACGGCCCCTGGTTAAATCCAGATTCCGGATCCTGGCTGGGAGATTTTGATTTAGCAGGGCAGGAGTGGGAAACTAGGGAGGGTTTGGGTTTTAAATCAGCGTAATTCTGATCATCTGGCAAATTTGAATATTCTGCGCTGGGAGGCGACTTTCTGCTTCACTTTCCCAGAACCCGGGCAGGGGTCAAGCCCTTGCGAGTCAAGGGAACCCAGGAGTTGCTCTCTTACCTTTGTATTCCCGCAGCCTCCAACTGCAACTCCGGCGTCGCCCGGGCAGCCCGACCCAGCCAACCTGCCCAGGATCCGCCCATCCGCCGCGATTTCCATGGCGACCGATGGCGCCGCCTTCCGCAGCCTTAGGGCGGGGTAAGCGGGGGACCTAACTCTCTGTCCAGGCACTCAGTGCCCGACCTGCAAGTGGGGACGGAATTCTCGTCCAGGACAGTCAGGCTAAGAAGTAACTTTTATTATTATTATTATTTATTACTTTGAGTACTTCTTGCGCCCATTATTAAAAATTAAGTGTTTCTTTTTTGTTTTTGTTTGGTTCGGTGGGTAGAATATATGTGACATGTTTTTCTAGGATTTTCTTCTTAACATTTTATCTTCAGATTCAAATGCTTTGGACAGACTCACCGACTGCCCGGCTGAGAGAATCTGTGAGGTCTACCTGCCTAGCAATTTGCCTTTGCACGGTCCTCCTGTGAGGAGTGAGGACACACAGGTATGTGGCTTCTGTAAATGTCCACGCTGGGATAGTTCCCAGACCGTCGACTTTCTGTCCCTTTCTTGACTGTCCAGTCTCACCTTTCTCTCAAACACTGCTGCTTCAGCCGAATCCAGATGTGGGAGGCCAGGTTCTCAGGTGGCCTGGTGGGAATGCAAGGGCGGTGCTCTCAGAAACATCTGGGGGCGAGCTTGCCACTCAGAAGCAGGGAAAACTGTTTCAGCTTTCTTTATGAGAGAGACACACCTGGCTGGAGGTGCTGGTTTTTCTGCTTGACAACCCTGAGGCCTGGGCATACCTCAGAGGTGCTTCAGGTAGCTTGGTCAGCATGTTTCAGCTAGTCAGGTCCTACCCCCACGGTCTGTGGGCTTTTAGTTTTGGAGTGGGTATGATGGAGTCCTAGGACCCTGGATGACCTCACATTCAGGGTGCTTTCTTGGGGGCAGTTTGGCTGTTCAAGCTGGCTGGAGGCCAAATGGAAATCTAGACATCTCAGAAAACTGGTTGATATGCTGGGTTAGTGAGGATGAGGGAGGGGAGTGTTGTTTTACTTTTCACAGTAACCCAAAAGAGTTACCATCTATTACTATCTCCATTTTGTAGAAGAGGAAAGGGAGGCGCAGAGAATTTCAGAAACTCCCAGGATCTGGCTTCCACGTGCACACTTGGTACTTTGAATTTAGCTTAATTTTCTTTTTCCCTAATGGAGTGTTTATTCATGCTACCTTTCACCCACTCCTATTAATCTAGCCAAATTCATTCACTCATTTATCAGTAAGCTGTTTCATTTCTGCCCCCTCCCCTGTCACTGTAGTTCCACAGGACCAGAGACAACCACATGTGTTTTATGAAGTTATGTATCTGGCATGCAATTAGGCTCCAAGGAAAGTTTGATGAATGGATAAAGAGCAAAAGACAGTGAGTGCCTCAGAGTTTTTGCATTTATTGGATAAATTAGGAGGAGAAGGAAACATAAGTAACATTTATAATTACCTTTTCTGGACCAGACACCTAAGATATTTTATCCCCCTTTATTCCTGTACCGTGAGATAGGAAAAGTTTAAGACCCACTTCCCCACCCCCCAACTCTATTTTTATGAATGAGGAAACCGAATGTATTAGTCTGTTCTCACATTGCTGATAAAGACATACCTGAGACTGGGTCATTTATAAAGAAAAATAGGTTTAATGGACTCACAGTTCCACGTGGCTGGGGAGGCCTCACAATCATGGCGGAAGGCGAAGGAGGAGCAAAGGCATGTCTTACATGGCAGCAGGCAAGAGAGTGTGTGCAAGGGAACTGGCCTTTATAAAACCATGGTAGTGAGAAACTTATTCACTACCATGAGAACAGTATGCGGGAAACTGCCCCCATGATTCAATTACCTCCCTCTGGGTCCCTCCCATGACGTGGGGATTATGGGAGCTATAATTCAAAATGATATTTGGGTGGGGACAAAGCCAAACCATATCATTCTGCCCCTGGCTTCTCCCAAATCTCATGTCCTCACATTCTGAAACCAATCATGCCTTCCCAACAGTCTCCCAAAGTCTTAATTCATTTCAGCATTAACTCAAAAGTCCACAGTCCAAAGTCTCATCTGAGACAAGGCAAATCCCTTCCACCAATGAGCCTGTAAAATCACAAGCAAGTTAGTTAATTTCTAGATACAATGGGGGGTAAAAGCATCGGATAAATACCCCCTTTCCAAATGGGAGAAACTGGCCAAAACAAAGGGGCTATAGGCACCATGTAAGTCTGAAACCCAATAGGGAAGTCATTAAACTTTAAAGTTCCAAAATGATCTCCTTTGACTTTATGCCTCACATCCAGGTCATGCTGATGCAAGAAGTGGGCTCCCACAACCTTGGACAACTCTGCCTGTGTGGCTTTGTAGGGTACAGACTGCCTCCCAGCTGCTTTCACAGCTGGTGTTGAGTGTTTGCAGCATTTCCAGGTGCATGGTGTAAGCTGTTAGTGGATCTACCATTCTGGGGTGGGGAGAATGACTACAGTATTGAATTTCAGACTTACATGGGGCCTATAGCCCCTTTGTTTTGGCCAGTTTCTCCCATTTGGAAAGGGTATATTTATCCAATGCCTTTACCCCCATTGTATCTAGAAATTAACTAACTTGCTTGTGATTTTACAGGCCCTCTTCTCATAGCTCCACTAGGCAGTGCCCCAGTGGGGACTCTGTGTGGGGGCTTCAGTGGCTTCAACCCCACATTTCCCTTTCGCACTGCCCTAGCAGAGGTTCTCCATGAGGGCCCTGCTCCTCCAGCAAACTTCTGCGTGGACGTTCAGGTGTTTCCATACATCCTCTGAAATATAGGCAGTGGTTTCCAAACCTCGGTTCTTGGCTTTTGTGTACCCGCAGGCTCAAGACCACGTGGAAGCTGCCAAGGATTGGGGCCTGCATCCTCTGAAGCCACAGCCTGAGCTGTACCTTGGGCCCTGTTAGCCATGGCTGGAGCAGCTGGGACACAGGGCACCAAGTCCCTAGGCTACACACAGCAAGGGGGCCTGGGACCTGGCTCAGGAAATCATTTTTTCCTCCTAGGTCTCTGGGCCTGTGATGGAAGGGGCTTCCACAAAGCTGTCTGACATGACCTGGAGACATTTTCCCCATTGTCTTGGTGATTAACATTTAGCTCCTCGTTACTATGCAAATTTCTGCAGCCAGCTTGAATTTCTCCCCAGAAAATGGGGTTTTCTTTTCCATCACATTGTCAGGCTGCAAATTTTCTGAACTTTTATGCTCTGCTTCCTCTTGAACACTTTGCTGCTTAGAAATTTCTTCCACCAGATACCCCAAATCATCTCTCTCAAGTTCAAAGTTCCACAGATCTCTGGGGCAGGGGCAAAATGCTGCCAGTCTCTTTGCATAGCAAGAGTGACCTTTATTCTAGTTTCCAACAAGTTCCTTATCTGTATCTGAGACCACGTTAGCCTGGACATTATTGTCTATATCACTATCAACATTTTGGCCAAAAGCATTCAATAAGTCTCTAGGAAGTTCCAAACTTTCCCATATCTTCCTGTCTTCTGAGCCCTAGAAGTCTCTAGGAAGTTCCAAACTTTCCCATATTTTCCTGTCTTCTTCTGAGCTCCTCAAACCATTCCAACCTCTGCCTGTTACCAAGTTCCAAATTTGCTTCCACATTTTCAGGTACCTTTGCAGCAGCACCCTACTGTCTGCAGTATCAATTTACTGTATTAGTCCGTTCTCACACTGCTAGTAAAGACATACCTGAGACTGGGTAATTTATAAAGAAAAAGAGGTTTAATGGACTCACAGTTTTGAAATGGGAGAGTTCCCTGATCCCCTTAGCAGGATGTGTGACAGGAGTGTGGCTTGCCCCTGACAAGGGGGAGCACGCAGACAGGCAGGAGCCAGGGGAGCACTATAGGCTCCAGCCCTGTGGTAGTGTCTACTGTCTAGGGGTGGGTGTCTGTGGCCCCAGTGTTACAAAGCTCTCTTACCCTTGCCATCCACAGATGGCTTGAGTGTTAACCAGCTCAATGGACCCTCTGCCTTTTTGCAAGGGTAGAGGGCCAGTGTGATAGCTTTTAATACCCTGAGCTCTTGCCCAGCATCCCAGAAGAATCGGGTCACACATGGGCTTGAAGGATGAATGTGAAGTTTTATTGAGTGGTGGAGGTGGCTCTCATCAGGATGGATGGGGAGCTGGTAGGAGGGGATGGAATGGGAAGATGATCTTCCCCTGGAGTTGGGCTGTCCAGTGGCCTAACTCCTCTCCAACTACCCCCAGTCCAACTCTTCTTGGTGTTCAGACGTTCCTCTTCTCTCTTTCTCTGCCACATCATTTGCTGTCTTTCTGCTTGTCTCATCTCTTTGTCTGCTGGTCTGCTCTGGAGCCTGGGGTTCAGGGTTTATATGGGTACAGGATAGGGAGCATGGTAGTCCAAAAAGCAACTTTTTGGGTGCAAAAACAGGAATGCCTATCCTTGTTTAGGGCTGTGGGTCTTTAGGCTTGAGAGTGGGGCCTTTGCCAGGGAACCACCCTTTTCTACCCAGTGTTTCCCTGTCTACTGTCTGTATCAGTTCTACATGGCTGGGGAGGCCTCACAATCATGGTGGAAGGCGAAGGAGGAACAAAGCCATGTCTTACATGGCAGCAGGCAAGAGACTATGTGCAGGGGAACTGCGCTTTGTAAAACCATCAGATCTTTGAGACTTATTCACTATCAGGAGAACAGCATGGGAAAACCCACCACCATGATTCAATTACCTCCCACAGGGTCCCTCCCATGACACATGGGGATTATTGGAGCTACAATTCAAGATGAGATTTGGGTGGGGACCCAGCCAAACCATATAACCAAGGTTGAGTCATTTACCTAAAGGGACATTGATAGCTCATGGTAGACCTGGGATTTAAACCCAAAATTGTTTGCCTGACTCTAGAATCCACACATATTCTTTAAATATTTTTAAAAATTAATTAATATTTATTTATTTATTTTTTGAGACAGAGTCTTGCTCTGTTGCCCAGGCTGGAATGCAGTGGCATGATCTTGACTCATTCCAACCTCTGCCTCTAGGGTTTTAAGCAATTCTCATGCCTCAGTCTCTTGAGTAGCTGAGATTACAGATGCACACCAACATGCCTGGCTAATTTTTGTATTTTTAGTAGAGATGGGGTTTCCCCGTTGGCCAGGCTGGCCTTGAACTCAGGTGATCAGCCCACCTCAGCCTCCCAGAGTGCTGGGTTACAGGTGTGAGCCACTGTGCCCGACTTAATTAATTAATATTTAAGGATGAGGTCTCACTGTGTTGCTCAGACTATAGTGCAGAGGCTTTTCACAGGTGCAGTCATGGCTCACTACAGTCTTGAACTCCTGGGCTCAAGTGATCCTCCCACCTCAGCCTCTCAAATAGCTGGGATTACAGGCATGTTCCACTGTGCCTGGCAGAATCCATGTATTTTTAATGTGCTGTACCACCTGCTGGAGCTTCCAAAATGATGAAGTAGTGGCCAAGGGGAAAGTAGAATATTTTTTTCCTGAGTGAAAAGTTAAAAATGAAAATTTGATTGTTTAGATCAAATTAGATTGATTCTTTAGCTAGTTAACAAGAGTGTGTTGAGGTTCTACCATATACTCGGCATGAGAGGAGAGATAAATATATGTAAAATAACAAAGTCCTGAGGCTGGGGAGAGAGTTCTTCATTTAGAGGAGACTGTTCTCTCACCTGGGTCCTGGCTTAGAGAATCCTGAAGCTTTAGCCTTAAAGTAGGGGTGGAGAAAATGAGGAGAGTTTTATCCATCAGCTACTTCCGTTATAGACTTGTCTGAGATGGAATTGCAGGTTATTTTAAATGAGACAGATATTGTATAAGCACCAGAAATAGAACAACGGTGTCTGTTAGATTTGAGGAGGGAAAGTCTTCTTTTAGAATATGTAGTGTTATTTTGTTTTACTTTTTATTTTTATCTTTTTTTTTTTTTTTCAGATGAAGTCTCGCTCTGTTGCCCAGGCTGGAGTGCAGTGGTACAATCTCAGCTCACTGCAACCTCTGCCTCTTGGGTTCAAGTGATTCTCCAGCTTCAGCCTCCCAAGTAGCTGGGACTACAGGCACATGCCACCATGCCCCTCTAATTTTTGGATTTTTAGTAGAGATGGGGTTTCACCATGTTGGCCAGGCTGGTCTCGAACTCCTGACCTCAAGTGATCTACCTGCCTTGGCCTCCCAAAGTGCTGAGATTACAGATGTGAGCCACTGTGCCTAGTTGTTTTCTTTCTTTTTTTTTTTTTTAAAACGTGTGCATTGTGCATTGTTTCCCGGTTTATCGTACTAAAAGAAGAAACTATTTTGTGTTCTAATAATTTATCACTGTGCAGGTAGTTTGGCTTTTGGTAAAAGACAACCTCTGTTTCCAGTTTGTAACTGATGTATCATTCTCCTTGTTTTCCCTGCCCTTAATTTAATGTGGTTACGCTTCTGTTTTCTTTCCTTAAATTCACTTGCAGCTTTTCTCCCCACTCTCTCTCTTAATGTCACAAGTTTTGCGTGAACCATTCCCTTTGCCTCTCCCTTGACTTCTGCTCTGCCTGCTACAATCTTTGGGGTTTACAGCCCACTAAGCAGTCCCACTGGCTATGCTGGAGAAAGCAAGCATCTTTTTCATGCCTATAGGTGGCATGTACAGACTGCACCCTGCAGAGGAGCTGGGAGGCAAAGCTTATTTCTTGGAAGTTTTCAGTCACTTGCAAGGAGCAGCTATGGACACAGTGAAGCGCAGAGGTCCAAAGAGAAATTCTGTCATTCAAGAAGGAATGAAATAAAGGCTTATTAAGCAACTATCTGTTTATCTATATATACCGACACTGTCAGTTGTATACAATGCTCTTAAGTAATTGCAAATCATAATTGTAAAACTTTTTCTTTTTTCTGTTTGGCTTCAGATATTTTCTTTTCCATGGGCAGACCAGTTTATTTGTGTTTGAATTAATGGCTTATGAATTTGGGTTCTAAAAATACAACTTGAGCTATACATTGGTTATGACAATGCAGAGCCAGCTAAATAATTAAAAGTGAGAGGTAATATATCCAAGAGTTAAGAAAAACAAGAACTCTGAAACCAGTAGACTTGGGCTGAAATTCTGGCTTTCCTATCTACAGCTATGTGACCTTGGGCAAGTTACTTAACCTATCTGTCTTCTGTTTTCAAAGCATTAAGTGCTATGTGTTAACAGCTACTGTTATTATTTTGTTGTTATTGTTATCACACATTTTTCATATCTCTCACTGGACCCTGATTTTATATACATATATACATACATATAAATATATGTACACACACACACACATACACCCACACACTAAGGGTTTATTTTTTTCAATTCAAGTACTAGTTTCTGGGTTTCTGAGGTCCTAAGTATACAGTGATACTAATTATACATGAGTACAATTTCCTGACAATGGGTCTTCATGCTGTTATTGTTTACAGTGAGAAAGCTGTGGAAAGAGCGCTGGGCTTCCAAAAGCCACGGGTTCCTTTATAAGTTGGCTACTTACTTCTTGTGGGCATAGCTGTGGTCCTACTTTCTGGATCTGAGTGTCCATCTCTAATAAGTGACAGGCACAAGTGGCCTAGACAATAGCCAAGTCATCTTTACTCCACTGTGGCCCTAATGACACCCTTATATGCATCATGATAAAAAATAAGGTTAGTGCAAGGCAATGTGCAATGTAATGAGAAAAGGGTAAAAAGCTGAAACCATATGGTCTTCAGACTAGCTTCCACAGTCCCAGTATCTCACTCTTTGATGAGCTAGTCCAGTCTGCTGAGATTATTGATTGGGGCCAGCCTAGATGAAATGTTCTTGGTTTCAAAGAAGAGCTGAAGAGTAAAGAGTCTTCTCGTTCTTTGACTTTGCTACAGTGTGAAAACCAGACCCTTTGGGAGTTCAAGTTGTTGCTGAGAACAACCAGTTCAATATCCCAGCAGAATCATGGCTACCTTCAGTTATGGAGTCTGGCTGACTTCATGCTTGTTGATCAGTTATTTATGAAGCACATTCTACATGGTTAAAAAATGTTATTGGTGCTCTAAAAATATAAAAGAAAAAAAAACCCATAACCTACTATATGTGCCCTAAATCAGAGAGACTAGATGTGGCTACCTTAAAAATTAGATACATCATTAAGTCAAGGAAAGACTGAGGATCTGTCCAGATTGAAGGAGACTAAAGAGGCATGGCAACTAAATGCAATGCATGATTTTGAATTGAATCCTTTGCTAGAAAGGACATTACTGGAACAACTGGTGAATATTGAATGGAGTATGAGGATAAGATGGTCATAATGTATCAATGTTACTTTCCTGTTTTTGCTGGCTATGTTGTAAAGTATGAAAGATAATGTCCTTGTTTGTAGAAAATCTACACTAAATTATTCAGGGATGATGGACTATTAGGTTGGCAACTTACTCTCAAGGGGATAAAATGACTTTTTACCTGGGGTGACTGACCAGCTTCGTTTGTCTGGGATAGTCTCAGTTTTAGCATTGATGGCCATGTGTCGGGGAAACCCCTCAGTTCCAGGCAAACAGGGATGGTTGGTTACCCTATTTATACTATACCTATAACATTTTGTAAATTTGAGTTGTTTCAAAATAAATGTTTTTGTAAAACATTAGATAACTCAAGAAACAAAAATTAAAATGACCAATATAATAAGCATGAGTAAAGAAGCAATACATGATAGTTTCTAAGCAATGTACAGACACTAAGTGGTATCGTTTGTAGAAGGTGTCATTCATGGTGAGCTGGAATGGTCAGATATGGTAGATGATACTACATGAGAGATTGCAGGCGTGCTGCCAGTCTGAGGATGTCCCACTACTGTGGTGCAATGGAGACAGGGCCCTTATCATGCATGACCTTGCTGTTCTCAACCAGGCTGACCTTGAAGAAGTCACTTCATCATTCTAAGCCTCGGTCCCCTATTCTGCAAAGTAAGAATATTGTACAGAAGATTTCAAATGCTTTTTCATGGCAGTTGAATCCTTTCCTTAAAGGAAGTCTTGCCATTTAAAATGTACTAGAATTGCTCTAGTTGAAGTGCATGAAGGGTTTCAAATCCTGCAGTCCCCTTGGCCCCCTCCAAACCCCTTCTGTCATGATCTCTGATTTTCCTTGCAAATATGGAGCTCTGCAGAATGCATTGCAAAAGCCACTGGGCTAGAAAGGATTTTTCATGTATAATCACTCCTTTGCCTTCTAAGATAGATGGCTCCTTTTTCTCGTGGAAAATTCCATGACGCAAATATCTGTTACTTCCAGAACAGACATGATGTCTTCAGAAATTATTTGTCAAAGTGCATAAATACATATTTCAAAGTGTCTATTTAGTGTTATTTAGTATCAACATTATGTGTATAAGATTATAACTTCTTGTAACTTAGCAACACCTAAACATGCATTTATTTATGAGATTGATTTCCTATTGGGCATAGAGTCAAATGCAGCCTGAGAACACTAAACAGGGGTCAGGGAAGCGGGAGGGCACAGGCTAAGTCTAGGCCAACATGGACCATGACTTTTTTAATATAAAGTCATGGTTTCATCCTGAAATTTTTTCTCCAAAAGTGACATGACAGTCATTATACTTTTCGTCATTATACTTTTAGTATAAGGATTAAGAAAATACACAATGTCAAAAGGCTTCTCTGAGTTCAGAAGTCATTTGCATATGAATATGTATTTCATGAATTGCAGTGTTATTTGTTTATTATTCAGGCATTTTTTAGCTCACATATGGATTCTCCAATGACTTGCAGCAACTGTGACTCGCTCCACCCCAGGGGTCTGCAGCCCTTGGCCTGGGCCAGTTTCTTCTGGCCAAATTTGCTCATCTGGAAGCCTTCACACATGCTGTTGCTTCTGCCTGAAACAGCATGTATTTAAAAAATGTCTCTTTTTAAAAAATTTGCAGATGAATCCATTACCTCCCATACAGACTGCACATTCTCCACAGAATGAAGCAGACATTCCTCAATCCCATGGCCTAAAGCTCTCACGAGCCAAGTGTGTAACTTACTGTGAAAGCATTGGGATCCTCAAGGGTGATTCTTCCAGAAATGGCAGCCAATCAGTGTTGATGGCTTCCCAAGACATCCAAGTGAACCCCACAGAACATCAGACCTTCAGGCTGAGGGGCCTTCAGGCGTTACCTCATTATTTAGCAAATGGAAAGAAACCTCTGCTCCTTGAAGTGTCCAAAGTGACTCCCGGAGAAGCAGAGCAATACTGGGACCAGAGAGCCCAGTGGGGGCCCAAGAGAAATTGCTGCCCAACTGAATGGCATCTCCATATGGTGGCTGATGCCTTTGTCCCTGAGGCACAGAAGCTGAGTCATGTTATAAATTGGGCCCAGAAGTTCTTGTGCAGCTCTCCCAAAAAGCACAAGTTGAAAAGTCCCCAAACTTCTGTAGGACTCCCTTGGTCTAACCTTTGCCAAAGTTCAAATGCTCTAGGAAATAAGAAAAAGGGTTATCTGAGATCATCTGATCCTCCCCCTCTGCTCAGAGACCAGTCTGGTACCCAAATGGATATTCATAGCTTCCCTTTAAGCTCCCAGAACAACTTGTCAGAAATGGCCTTGTCTTTGGAATTTTCAAATTCCTTCCTGGAGAATTTTCCTGGCTATCGGTCTTGTGGGCGGCAAGAAACTACAGTTAGGAATGAGAGGGAGGGAGGAGGTGCCATGCCCCCTGCTAAAAGTCTTAAGCAGGAGGAGTCTGCTGAACAACAATATGACAGAACAGGAAATAGACATATTCAGAACTCCAGTGAGGATGAGATGTTTCCTGAGAGGTTGGGGTTCAGCCACAACTCAGACACACCTATGTAGATAGTAAGGTTTTAGAGGAGACTGGGCAGAGCCCACCCAGAAATGGTTACTTCTGGAGTCCACTGACAGACAGCTCAGAGGAGGAACTTTTAGAGGAACCTGGGGGAGGGAAGAGAACTCTCAGAAGGGGTGTTCTAGGCAGGAAATGCAGAGAGTTTCCAGGAATTTTCTTATCTCCCACAAGGGGTAGCACACTGGTACCAGAAATCACTCTGCTGGAAAGTAGTGTTTCCTGTCCTGGAGACACGCCCCTGGGAGAGGATGTCAGGGCAGAGTTCAGAGTACAGCCTGCAGGGACGCCCAAGGGTGCCATAGCAGGATGGCCGGTTGACAACTGCAGAGGTGACGACCCCATCCAGAGGCTGCCTGAAGGTCAACGTACAGCCCCCTGCGACAGCGACAGCTCCAATGGATGGAGAAAGGAATCAGACAATACAGCGTTTGCTTTAAGGTCCCCCCAGATTGATATTAACAATAAAAATGAATGGAGACATGCCACTACAAGAACAGAAGGAGAGACTGATGGGGAGTGTACCAAGAGGCGGTCAGAACAGTTGTGTGCAGAGTTCTGTTAAAAGCAGCCCTTGGCCAGGCGCGGTGGTTCATGCCTATAATCCCAACACTTTGGGAGGCGGAGACGGGTGGATCATGAGGTCAGAAGTTCAAGACCAGCCTTGCCAACATGGCGAAATCCCATCTCTACTAAAAATATAAAAATTAGCCGAGTGTGGGGGCACATGCCTGTAATCCTAGCTACCTGGGAGGCTGAGACAGGAGAATTGCTTGAAGCTGAGAGGCAGAGGTTGCAGTGAGCTGAGATTGCGCCACTGCGCTCCACCACCCTGGGCTACAGAGCAAGACTCCGTCTCAAAAAAAAAAAAAAAAAAAAAAAAGCAGCCCTCCTGAGATAACTCTGAGGCAGTTTGATCTAGTACATCCTGAAAGTTATCGGGCCCCTCAAGTTGCCACCCTCTTGCTGAATATGTTAGAGGGCCCCCTGGAGAATGTGGCCTTTCACATACATTCAGGCTCTGGTAACTTCGATGAACCCACTGCAGATGCACATGGTATATGCAGGGCAGCACTTGGTTTCACCAGTTGCCACCACCTGGGATGGACTGAAGATTAGTGCAGACACCCTGAGCGGAGACCCAAGGAAATAACTCGAGAGCAAAAGGAAAAGCCCCTGCCTTCAATTTATCCCACTTCCAGTGACTTTTTCACAACCGGTGTGAAGGCATCCTTCCCATTCCAGGATGTCTGTGATAGCCTCTCTTGGAGCAGAATGTCCGTGATAGACTCTCTTGGAGCAGAATGTCCGTGATAGACTCTCTTGGAGTAATGACCCGTCCCGTAAACCAGAGCATGGGGCCAGTGTACTGGAGACATATTTCTGCTATTTCCATGTGCGGAGCAAGATCAGGGGTCTCTTTTCAGAAGAGGGAAACTCCTCTTTACCTTTCCAGGGTCCTAGACTATCTGAATCAGAGTCAGGTGTCATATCTCCAGGAGGGAAAGGCAGGTCTGAAGGGACCGGCCTAGACGGGAAGACGCAACAGTGGAGAGATGGGAGCAGGAGTAAGGCAGCCATGGAAGGTGAGGGGAGCGCCCATCCCCAAGGAGAAGGCTGGGCCAAAGAGGCAGCTCTGGAGGTGAACAGCTTCTGGAAGCCTGAAGGCAACTATGGTATGAAATGAGAGCTGGGCAAAAAAGTCTCATGAGCAGCAATTTGTTGGCACTTGTATAACCTGTCACGTGGCCACTGGGGATGAGACACAGGCCTCCGGGCCTCTGGCTTCATCACGTACTCGCTGTTATTAAGACCTCTAGGCTTCATTTTCCATAAACACCAAATGGGGATAATTATCAGCATATAGCGTATACTGTAAGATGCTATGCCAATATTTGTTGTATTTTGTCAGACCAAAAGCCATTAGCTGGTTAAAAGTAATCTTAGTAAATCGTTATTCTGAAAGGTAAAAGCTACAGCATTTTTCTGATTGGATCTCCCTCTCTCTGAGGTGCTGGCATTTTCCATGAGCATGATGATTCTATTCATTTTGCTGTCTTGTCGTTTGTATGGAAATAAGTATTTTATGCCTGTCATCTGAAATACATTTTAATAACCCAGCATTAGAAAATAGAAATTTGCCTTTCCAGTTTGAATGCTGTGTAGATTAAAAACAAAGATTAATTCCTTTTTCTTTCATAGAATAAACCCAGATTAGGAATATAAAACACTTTGCTAGATCTTAACGAAAAAATATTCTTATTTGAATTCACTTTCCTTGTTTTTTGAACTAGGTTACATGATTTGTTATGAACAATAGTAAAATATAACATTTCAAAGCTATTTTGAGAAATGGCTGAAACGATAGAAGGTACAAATTATTAAAATATGCTTATAATATTTTTTATAAGATTTATGAGGTGGAGGGACATGCCTTTTTTAGTGCAATTAACAGAGGATATCTGCAAAATAAAATCTATGTGCTTAATATGAAAAGTGAAGGATTTTCAACTTCTTATTTCATATTTTTAGGGTAGTTATATTCTACTGCCCCCAAAATGATATTCAGAATGACCAGCTATAGGAGGTCCTAGGAAATGTCTATACGGTGTGTTCATCTAGTAAATGTGGAGAGGAAAGGCCGAGGTTTGACCATTCTTTTGTTTTGTCACATAATATTAACATTTTAAACATTTAAACATTTCAACATTGGCAATCTTCTGAGAAATTAGTTAGCATTCCAGTGTATACAGTGTGGTAAAATTGATTACGTATTGAAGGTCTACCATGTGTAAGATACTGTACCAAGGGAAGAAGAGATGCCTACTCCAGAGGATGAAGTTCTGTAAGAGAAGTGCAAATAAAGTGCCTGGGGAGCAAGAGAGGGAGAAGTGATTGTCTTGGTGGAGTCAGTAAAGGTTTCATTTTGCAGATCATAGTGAGGGGGTGTTTGAAGGATGGCTAGGAGTTCAACAGGTGAGAAAAGGAATACCAGTTGGTAGAAACAGCATGAGCATAGTCACAGAGGAAGGTTGTATGGATTTTGTTGAGAAAGTAGTGAGATGTCCAATGTCATTGCATTTATTGGTATTATTTTGATTGCAAGTGATAGAAGTGCTATTCAAACTAGTGGGACAACAGAAAAATGTATGGCTTGCTTATCTGAAAATCTGTTTGTGCTTCATCTAGCAACTCTGCACAGTGATATCAATTCAGTACTCAACTTTTCTCCATTTCTTCGCTTTGCTCTCCTTCCAAGATGGCAAAAACCTTCATATCTTTCATACTGTATTTGGCCTCAGGCAATCTTCCATAGATGTATTTCTTAAAGCAAACTCCTCCAAAGATTTCATCAACTTTGTTTTGTGTTTCTTCTGGGATCCTTTTAACCAGTGTTGGCATACGGAAGATGAAGTCAAAGATTTGGATGAATCATGGCCCTGCCACTTGTTAACTGAGTATCTTTGGTTGAGTTTCTTAATCTCTTTGAGATTTAGTTTTGACATCTGTAAAATGGATATAATATTTGTCTCACCTGCTTTAAAGGATGATTTTGAAGATTACAAAAATACAGTGTATGGAAGAGCTTTGAGAATTATAATTGGCAAAACTAGTATTAACAATATGGCTATTTGGTACATAGCAACTTATCCTAGAACTAAATGATCTTTTTGGCATATGTTTATATCCATTTTGTAAAACAGTCCCATGTCATCATTGTTATCAGTATCAGCATCATCAAATCAGCGAATGTTTATTATGTACTTAGTCCATGTGTGCCAAGCATGCTAATTTTTTCTCATATTAAATTATAGTCATCATGTGCTATTAGATGACATGTTTGTGTGGTGTTTTTGAGCTTTATGACATGGAATCCATTTTTCTTATTTCGTCCAATGTCTTTGGAAAGTGTAAGTGGTCCAATTCTCTGAAACAAAATTTATCAAAAGCACTTTTCCCTGGGAACCTTTTTTGTCCCCTCCAGTGATGAGTTTAGCAATAGAAATCTTTTGTCCTTGTAGGTTCTTAGGACCCATAGCCAGTGTAAGTGAAGGGCTTGAACCTTATATCTTGAACCCAGATGTGGCCTGTGAACTTCAGATACATACATACACCTTTATTGACATACCCATTTGAATGTTTCACAGGACTCCAAACTTTGCAAATTGAAACAACATTGATCAGTCCCTGCCTCACCCCACATGGTATCCCTGTGCCTGTGTCGTGTCCTCCATCTAGTGGCCAACCCTGTGGTGCTCCCAACTGCCCAGGCCAGAACACCAAGGCCTCTTACTCCTTCCTCTTCCTCACCATCCATACTTGGTCCATCTCTAAATCCTGTCCACTGTTACCTCCTAAATGTTTTTGAATACAGCTATTCATCTTCATCCTCACCTTCTTACCATCTGCTCTCCCTGGAGGACTGTGACACTGCCTTGTCCCCCTTAAGCAATCAGATGCTCACTCAGGCTCTCACTTTGATCTGTTCTCCACACTGCCATCAAAATGAGTTTTTCAAACATCTTTGAATGGCACTCTGCAGTGAATTGCCACTGCCCATAGAATAAAGGTTATCTACATCAGCATGTGTTTTGCGTTCTGAGTGTTTCCACCCCTGCCTCTCATCCTCTTGCTCCAGCCATAGGACCTCCCTTAGTTCTGCTGGCACCATGCACTTCCTCTCACCCCAGGGCCTTTGCATTTGCTGTTCCTCCTGACTGGAGTGCCCACCCATAGCCAGCTCCTCACTTACTTAAGTGATACTCACTCTTCAGATCTGAAATTTAGGACCCCAAGAGAGACCCCCACCGTACCACCTTCAGAACAGACCTGGTCTACTTACCTATTTTCTCTCAAGGCATCCTATTTTCACTTTCAACGAACTTACCTAAAATGTAATGGAATAGGCCAGGTGTGGTGGCTCATGCCTGTAATCCCAGCACTTTGGGTGGCTGAAATTGATGAATCACTTGAGATCAAGAGTTTGAGACCAGCCTGGCCAACATGATGAAACCCCGTCTCTACTAAAAATACAAAAATTAGCCAGGTATTGTGGTGAGTGCCTGTAATCCCAGCTGTTTGGGAGGCTGAGGCAGGAGAATTGCTTGAACCTGGGAGGCGTAGGTAGCAGTGAGCCAAGATGGCGCCACTGCACTGCAGCCCGGGTGACAGAATGAGAGTCCATCTCAAAAAAAGAAAAAAAAAAAGGACTGAAATAGAACATAAGGAGGGTCTACAAGGGCAAGACCAAGTCTGTCTAACTCACTAAGAGCTAGAAGTACTCAATATTTATTTAATAAATAAATGTAAAAATAAATGTAAATTTTGTAGGAACCCACACTAATTTTTAATGGATTGCTGTCGATCGTCTATTGATTATATATATGGGGCATATAATATCTATATATATAGATTCCATATATACAATAACTTCCATTTTGCTAGCTTTAACAATTAACAGTTGGGTCCATATAAGAGAATAATCTAAATATGTACATCTTTTTCTTTTAAGTACTGCTGTCCATTTACTTATTGTTAATTGACAAGTAAAAATTATATATATTATGGTGTACAACATGACGTTTTGATGTATGTATACCAGTAGAATGGCCAAATCAAGCTATTTAACATATGTAGTGCCTCACATACTTATCTTTTCTGTGGTGAGAACACTTAAAATCTAATTTCTTGGCTGGGTGTGGTGGCTCAAGCCTGTAATCCCAGCACTTTGCGAGGTGGGAGGATCACCTGAGGTGAGGAGTTTGAGACCAGCCTGGCCAACATGGCAAGACCCCATCTCTACTAAAAATTAAAACAAACAAACAAACAAACAAAAAAACAAGCCAAGCATAGTGGCGGGCACCTGTAATCCTAGCTACTGGGAAGGCTGAGGCAGGAGAATTGCTTGAATCTGAGAGGCTGAATCTGCAGTGAGCTGAGATCAAGCCATTGCACTCCAGCCTGGGCAACGGAGTGAGACTCCACCTCAAAAAAAAAATACTGCTTTCTTTTAATGCCATTTCTTGTTAAATTCATTTTAAAGTGCATTGGAAAGCTTTCTATCATTACAATGTGTGTTAGTTGTAGTTAAATATTAGCTTGACAATTGTTTTTCATTATGAATATTCATTATTTATAGTTCTGTTTTCTCTTTTGTTATCATTGTCTATTACATCTCTGAGTCATTGCAGCTGCTTGACTCATGTCTTTTAGCCAATTTTCCTTTTAAGCTGCATAGATATAGAAATTAATTAAACATACTT
Source organism: Homo sapiens (assembly GCF_000001405.40). Lineage (NCBI taxonomy): Eukaryota > Metazoa > Chordata > Mammalia > Primates > Hominidae > Homo > Homo sapiens. The sequence goes on along the minus strand of NC_000009.12, from coordinate 83,202,218 downwards.
AAGCTTATGTGTTAAATAATAGTTAATAAGGCTTTGAATGAGAACTTAAGGAGCAAAGTGCATGTTGCTATGATGGGTGGTTTTTCTTTTTTTTTTGGACAGGAAGTAGGATTTATTGGTGGGCATTAGGAGGGAGCAGCACATGGGGAGCCCTCATGAGTGCAGGGCCTGCCACTTGTCCAGAGGGCCATAACTGGAGATGTATTTGACCCCATAGCCATCTGGGATGAGCCACTTCTCAGTCACCATGTTTTCAAATCATCTGCATGATGCAGTGTTATGTTAGCATTTTCATCTGTGTCCTGATCTGGCTTCTCGGTGCTTGAAGGAGTCAGACTTAGGAGTCTGATAATCTGGGAAGGGAGATATTATTGTATATATTCATGCCCTTAGGAGCTAAAACATTTAAAACAAAATGCTAAACTACTTGAGAATAGAACTGAAGAGACAACAAACCAAGCATGAAATCCTGCTGAGCATTTTTCCTTACTTACATATTCCAAGCATGAAATCATGCCAAGCACTATTCCTTACCTACATATTAAGTAAAATTAGATCCCAGGCAAGTAACTAATTTGTAGTGAGGAGTAGAGAAATAGAAAAAAGTCCCATTAATATTTACATTGAGTCCAACTGCTATATTGGTCCACGTGATAATACATGTTTCACTCCAAAAACATTTCTTACAATTATATTTTTTAAAAATTCTGAAATAGCACTAGATTGGTTAAGTAGTTGCCTCCAGAATCCACTTACTATTTGGGAGTGTCTCCTCCATTACCAAGGCCTCTTCCAAGAGAATATCCGAACTCTGGCATCCTCTACGTCCAAGGCATAATTCAAAATTATTTCAGCAAAACATGATGATAGGAATATGCTTTCCCCACTGCTAAGAACCCTGGATGGGCTTTTGCTTGTCATTCTCCAGCACCTTTTTGGTTGAAGGCCGAATGCAGTGGGCTGTGTGGAGGAGAACTGTGTTCCAGACAGGGACACATGGACAGTCTGGCTGTGACTTCTGTTCTGCCATCAACAGCCAGGGTACAGCAGCCTGGTCTGACTTGCTAGGCAGGTGTCCTTCTTCCACAGCTTCTCCAGGATTCTCCCAAACCTATATCATTGGGTGGGGTGGATGGCCTTTCTAGGAAGAGGAAAGCCCTCTTGCCTTCACAAGTCTACATTAGCTGCATTTCTCTGTTAGATCCTTTGATCAAACTCACTCCAGATATTGAAAGTCTTTATGTACAAAATCCTGGTCTATGGGTCTATGACCCTTTAAGAGAAGGGAGATGCTCTGGAGTGCTTGGACTCATCTTTGGAGCAAAGTCAGCTGGAGGTCATGTCCAGACTGGCAGCCTCAATGCAGCATTGTTTCCTTGGTAATCTGAGTAAATCCCAGCTCTTTTCTCACTTCAGGGAACCACAACATAGGCTATGACTTAACTAATTCATGTAGCAAGCTCACTGAGGCCCTGCTATGAGCTGACATTGCTTTAGAACCTGGGGATACAGCAGTGAACACAACAGACAAAATCACCTCTTCCTTCCTGGAGCTTACATTCCAGTGGAGTGAGACAAAAATGATGATGACAGGTGTTTTGAGGAAAATAAGGCAGCAAAGGGAGACAATAGCATTGGAAGGACTGATTTTTAAATACAGTGGCCGGAGTGTCTCGCTGAGATGGTAAACGAATAAAAAACTCAGTGGGAGTTGATCTGGGAAAGGACCTTTCTGAACAGGCCAGCAACAAGTGCAAGGCTTCTAATTGGGAGGCTTCTTGTATTTGTTTGTGCATCTTTTTAGAAGGATTTTTTTGTTTTTTGAGACGGAATCTTGCTCTGTTGCCCAGGCTGGAGTGCAATGGCATGATCTTGGCTCACTGCACCCTCCGCCCCCTGGGTTCAAGCAATTCTCCTGCCTCAGCCTCCCAAGTAGCTGGGATTACAGGCAACCGCCACTACACCTGGCTAATTTTTGTGTTTTTAGTAGAGATGGGGTTTTACCATGTTAGTCAGCCTGGCCTCAAACTCCTGACCTCAGGAGGGGAACTGGTTAAAAACACACCAGCCTTGGCCTCCCAAAGTGCTGGGATTACAGACGTGAGCCACCGCGCCCGGCCTTTAGAAGGATTTTATGTATATGTGTGTGCATATGCATCCTTAACAAATTCACACATGTCATCGTTACAGAGCATAGTGTCTACCACTTTCTTACTTAAGCATGTCTTAGAGGTCTTTCCATACCAACAGACAGGCCTACCTCAGTTGCTAGGTGGCGGCATCATGCTCCATGGTGTGCCTGTGCTGTGTGTTTTTAACCAGTTCCTGACTGATGCACAAGGCTGCAACTAGCTCCTAGTCCAGTTCCAGGTCCAGGAACTCCAGAGGCATTTTCCCTGCCCATTTCTCTGCTCTCCTCTCCTGCCTCCTATATCAGATACGCATTTGTGTCCTTGGCCTCTGTCTCACCAGCACCCATGCCCTGCCTCCTCTTTTCCTTCCTTCTCAACTTCAGTTCAGGAAAGAATGGTCCATTTTTGTTCTAGTTTCTGAGTCTTCAATACAGTGTCAGCCTCTTGCTGACAGATGTTGTCCTTTAGTGCCTCATTTACCCACTGATTTGGATGTGGAAAGAAACTGCGTAAGAGGATTTAGAAGTGCATTTTGTTGGCGTGTCACCTGCAATATTGGTGTCACTCCCTGATGCTCTGGTGCTTCCTGAGTCTATATTTGATTTGCCTGTACATGACAGTCTCATTCTGGCCTCTAGTGGATGATGCTGTCTCAACATGCAGGCTGGCCGTGTTAGTTAGCAATCCCTGCTACAGACAGGCTGCGATGGTGCGAGCAACTCCATAGCTACAGATGCACATTCTTTTGTAAAAAATACTTAACTCTTTATAGCAGATCTCTAACAGAAAATAAAGCTGACTTTGTCTTATGAGCTTTTCAAAGGTCAGGTGCTTTTTTTTTTTTTTTTTTTTTTTTTTTTTTAAATTAGGGCTGTCCAGATGCCTCCAAAATATGTGAGAAAAAATGTAACCTTCTTAACTTCCAACTTCCGAATGTGCAAACCAGTTTGTTTCCTGACATAAAACTCATGCCAAACTTTGAAAAAGCATTGCATCTTTTTTCTCTTGTGGAAGGTCTTGGAAACCTTTGTGAAATTGCAATTAATAGCAAAAGTAATTGGGGATGAAGACATTTCATTGCTTTGCATAGTTATTTGACAGTTGTCATGTCTCGTATGAGCCTGTATGCAGAGTGGCTTTTGTGGCAGTTCTTTTTGTTTCTTTCATTGTCTAAATATTTAAGATTTGTATTTCTTTCTATAGTAAATGTTTTCTCTACATTTATCCCTCCCCTACATTTATCCCTCCCCCCCATTCTATTTATAACTTTCAAAATTGCCTGGGAACAGAAAGCTGCTCCTTCTGCCTTTTCTCATCTCTTTGGGCTTTGTCTCCTGCATCTCTGCTTGCTCAGGGACTGCAGTCTGCTCTGTGGAGTGGTCGCTGAGAGCGAAACAAGTTCTGTTTTTCAGGCTCATGAAGCAGGAGTCAGACTGCCTGAAATGTTGCAGGGCTGAGAAGAACAGCCTGTGTTAAGTGCTAGGAGGAAACCTGAGTTTGTTTGTCCTCTCATTGATTGGCTTCTGTATCTCCCTGTGGTGCTGCCTTAGTCAGTCCAGTGAGTTAACAAAATGGGGCCGCTCCCTGGGGTCTGCCATCCAGACAGCTGGCCAGGCAGTCTATCCATGTGTAAGGACATGCAGAGAGTGGAGGTGAAAGGCACTGAATTATGTATAAGGAAAGAGGTTTCCTTATGCATGTTAAAGGGGACAATACTGTTGCCATTGCAGTTTTTAGACAGTAAAGAGAAAGAGAAAGGGGTAAATTCTATTGAGTAGTCTTTACCTAAATTGTATGGTAGGTTGTCTGTTTCCTTTGAGCATAAACTGGTATAAATGTTATGTAGTCATAGTTTTCAGGTGCCTTCTTATTTCTAAATTATATGTTTTGGGGTAATTTTGCAAGGAAAACATTATTTGGGGAGTCCTGATATTGTAGATCTGTATTAAAGGACTAATGAGCTGCGGTCTCTTAACTGAAGTGAATAAAATCATCCAGTAAGTTATTTTGTTCTAGGCATATTTCTCAGACCAGAGTGATGAGATTTTGTGAGTTTGTCATGGCATCGAGGAGATGTACACATTAATTTCCAAAAGATGATTCTCTCTGATAAGTAAGTGCAAAGCCGTGCTACCATTGAGCAATTAGTTTCCTTGTGCTTTTACTGCTGTAGATATCAAAGCATTTCAAGACCAAGCTCAGCGGAAGCAGAGGAGAGACCCTCCACTGGGATTTATCCCGGTGCTTATGCTGTTGGTAGGTGGCCAAGTCGTTAATAAACCAACTGGCCTAATCTGTCAGACTAACGGAAGCAAAAAGGGAACAGTTGCATGTGCCAGCCCCAATTAAAATGTAAAATCCAGGAGGAGCTGATAAGGAGGAGTGAAGAAGTGGAGCTGAGAGCCATGATTCTCCAAGTGCCCAAATGTTAGCATCACTCTTGGAAGAGTACTCGTGGCATCTGTGGTCTCAGGAGGAATTTTTAAAACTTGACTTCCAAGATTTCTTATTACAGAACCATGGTTGAATGGCACCAGCCATTCAAAATAAATTTTTTTAAAAAATCATCATCTTTTTTGTCTCACTCCACTGGAATGTAAGCTCCATCAAGGAAGAGGTGATTTTGTCTGTTGTGTTCACTGCTGTATCCCCAGGGTCTAAAGCAATGTCAACTCATAGCAGGGCCTCAGTGAGCTTGGTACCTGAATTAGTTAAGTCATAGCCTACGTTGTTGTTCCCTGAAGTAAGAGCATTATAATATCCTCTTACTCCTCTTCTTCTTACTGACACTTGAGGAAGGAGGGAGTGTCTGGCTCAACTCTAAAAGCTCTGTGTGATGAGGGATCAACATGCCCATAATAACCTCTGCAAAATCTCTCTGCAGATCAGTCTTTCCGTGGTTTCCATGGCCTGTGCTGATGTGATAATAGAGGTGATTCACACAGTGGTGAATTGACTCCTGTGATCAAGGACTGTTCTGCTCCTGGTGAGAGCATAGCCTTCCAAGGAGAGGGTGGGACCATTGTCTGCATGGTCTGTCTTGGCCTTTGCCATGGGCTGTTTTGTTCAGTGTTTTTGGTGGCCACCAGTACAGAAGAAGAGCTCTTTCTTTCTGTTTAGGGAACCATATGTTCGTCATTAAAGGAGCAGCACTAGAGACATTTTGTGGTTCCAAGTGTTGGGTAAAGATTTAATGGTTCTGACAGTGTTGGATTTTCATGTCTGCAGTTAGCTTCTTGCCTTCTGAGTTACTATAAAGATTAATTTGCACAAATCACAGCCTGAAGGAAACTCCTACCAAGATGGGGAAATTTAGGGAGTCAATAATTAATACCATCCTCTTCCCTCCCCAGTTTTAGAATTAAAGGAGTCAGACAGTCAGACAAGGAGAGATTAAAATAGCTGCTTTATTATGCAGCAGCACAGCTGTGGTTATGGGTTCAAGTCAGCATCAGACTCATAGGACACAAATAGGTTTTAATATTATGTTTAGATGGCTTTATAGCAAGACACACAGCAGGAGATTCAGCAAGCACAGCATCTTCATCTTATCAAGGGGCCCGGTAGTGACCCACATACGAGACCTTTTTGCCCTGTCTCCCACTTGGGGTGTACAAGGCTGCTGTGGATGAGAGTCAGGGTTTATGGGGTCACCTTGACACAGAGAAGTCATAGTTCCTTTTTCTTATAAATGTTTTATATTATTCAAGTCCTTTGCAGTTCTAAGACCTACATGACAGCCCACAGCTCCCCCATCCCAGGTGCAGAGCCACTCAACAAAGGGTGGAAGAGACATTCCCCATTTATCTTAACTCTGCTGTTTCTTAAGAAACATTTCCAGGGAGACCAGGTTTTCGCAGCCCTGACATTAACCGTTTCCTCTCCATTGCTCACTTAACATGTTTCAAATTGAATATGTTCAATTCCACTTGATCCAATTGATCCTTTCCACTTCAACCTGCCCCTCTTGTAGTTCTCCCATCTTGGTGAAGTCCAACTCCACCTGCCAGTCACTCAGGCGAAACACCTTGAAGTAATCTGAGGTTTCTTCTCTTTCGTGTGCCGTGTCCACTGCCACCCCCGGGTCCAAGTTGCCATTCTCTCTGGCCTAGATTATCCCAGGAGCCGCCCAGCTGGGCTTCTGCTTGCACCCTTGTTTTTTGCTGTCCCACTTCCCACTACTCCTATCAGTAGGCTGTTTTGAACATGCCTGACAATCAAAGTGATTCCTAAAAAGCAAGAAAGGAGAAGAAATATATTATTCCTCTGTTAAAAGTCATCTAATGGCTTCCAGTGTCCCTCAGAGTCAGTAGCTGTCAGAATTCAGCCCTTACCACCTCTGTCCTCCCAGGCACTCTCCCGAGCCAACCTGCCCTGCCTCTTTATATCACTCATATATACACGAAAATAGATATGTATCACTTACATATCTATGTTTCTTTATTATCTGTATTCCCTGCTGGTATGTAAGCTCCATGAGGGCAGAAAATCTGTTTCTTTCTTGTCTGTTTTTCCACTGCTGTATCGCTAGTGCCTGGAATAGTGCCTGGCATGTGTAGGAGGTAAATAAGCATTTGTTGAATAAGGAACACGCAAATGAGTGAATGATGGGTTGACTTAGCAGCATGGCCACAGTGGGCCTCCTAGGTCTCCACCCATAAATGAGATTGACTTTCCCACCCGATTGTCAGCTTATTAGATACCCCAGACCCTTTGGACTGTCAGACAACTAATCATTGCCCCTGCTCTTCTGTCAGGCATATTGGAGAGAGAGAACTCTGGAGGATTTGGGCAAACTCAGTTTCCTCTTTCAAAATCCCCAAGCAGGTAATTCACACTACCTCCCATGGGTGAGTGATGGGTATGAGAGAGGGCACGAAAATTACACAAACTGAAATCCCGCCACATAGCTGCATGAAGCCAGAGGCATAAAGGTTGCCTGTGACATATGACGATCTCAATTCAGAAAGAAGATGCGGGCAGCCCAAGGGCATGCTCCAGAGGAAGGCCAAGCCTGTCACAGACAGTTGTAGTGTGATCTCTGAGCGCAGAAAGTGAGGGGCAGTACTCAGTGCACAGGTCTTGTTTTCTAATACTATTCTCTGATAAAGAAACCAGGTCTCCTTGGAGAGATGGCCATTCTAGGGCTGGGGCAAGGAATATGCGAAATGACCTATAACCTTCTGTAGTATCAGAAAATAAGTAATTGCTCAAAGAGCAAAAGAATGGGGCATATCAAAGGGGCACAGGAGTAATCCTGAAAAGAGCTGATCAAAGTTGGAGCAATTTGAGCAGCAAAATAAATAATGTAGTGCTAGGTTATAACTGAAAGTATAAAATAAATGTCCCTGAGGCCATGCTGATACAAATGACTGAATGAGTGATTAAATAAACGGGGGAGAAGAGATAAATCTTTCCTACAGAAGAATCCCAAATATTTTATGTATGAATTGTTAATGTATGCAATAAAGAGGTAGAACTTAGTCCTTCTTTCTGATTTGAGTGTGGTCTATAGTTAGTGTCTTATTGGAGTATATAAGGGGGAAAAAGTGATTTTCCAGGGAAGAAGCCTAGCAAACACTATGGCGGCCAGGTGGTCAAGGCTAACATCATCTGTGACGAGTCATGTTGAAAGCTTCTACCCCTCATGTAGGGAAGGGTGCAGCACCTGTGTAGTGTTCTCCCTCCCACACCTGACCCTAGTGTAACCATGCAGAAAGCATTAGACAAACCCAAATTGAGGAGCAGTCTACAGAATACCTGATTATTACTCCTCAAAGTGTCAAGGTCATGAAAAACAAGAAAAGCATGAGAGGCTGTCCCTGATGAGAGGAGCCTAAGAAGACATGAAGACTAAAGGTAATGTTATATCTTGGATGGAATCCTAAAACAGGAAAAGGACATTAGGAAAGACACTAATAAAATCTGAATACAGTATGGAGTTTATTCAATAGTAATTTGCCAATGCTGGTTTCTTAGTCGTGACAAATATCCCATGGTAGTGTAAGATGGTAACAGGAAAAACAAAGGGAGGGGTATATAGGAACTCTCTGTATTACCTTTTCTGCTTTCCTGTACATCCAAATTATTCTGTAAGAAAAAGTTTATTACAAAAAGAGAAGAATTAGTAAGCTCTTTCACTTGCAGTCCACCTAAGCTCATTTACCCTCGAACTTCATAGGCTGACTCCTTGATCCTTGGGGGAGCTTTATTGAATGTGGCTGAATAGATCTAATATAAAAATGCCTTTGATTTCATCAGGCTTTATTCTGGATGTTTCACCTGTATATGCACATGCTATATCCCTCGGTCCCTGCCCATTTGTCTTCAGTCATTTATTGCCTGATTTACATTCTCTGTCCTTACTTTCAAAGATATATATGATTCTCCTAGTCTCAGTTACCACATTCAATACCACAAACAAGCATGTATTTAGATATTAATATGTATCTCCATATTTATGAGGCCACTTAGAGGAAGAAAACTACCATTTATTAGATGCCTGTTGTGTACCAAGAACTGTGCTAGGCACTGTTCCATTTGATCCAGATTATGGAGAGGATTTGAATTCTGCTTACTCCAGTAATGGATTTTCTCTCTAAAACTTGTTGAAGTACTCAGAGTTACTGGCATTCTAATTTTCTGCATAAAATTCCATTTGTCGTAGTGATACTGGGGAAAAGATACTCATAGGGTGAGTGTCCACAGTACTTAAATTTTCTTCTTTCTCTGATTCTACATAGCTGTAGGTAGTTATACTTTAGACAAAGATGTGAACCCACTCTTCATTTTTCTCATCTTTCACTGCAGGGAAGGATTTCTTTATTGCCCTAGTGTAGGTCTATGTGAGGAGTGTGATGGTTAAGGTATATTGGGAAAGGTGGGGCAGGGACCTGGCACTACAGCTGCCTGCCAGGAAGGCGTGTGGGAGCTCAGTCTGATGGTGCTCTATCCCATTTTCTGTTGTTGGCCACTAGTCTTGTTGCGCTTCATTCGCAGAGGCAAAGTATCCCAACAATTCTGCATGCAAACATATCCATTCTATACTTCACACCTCTAAGAGGTCTAGCATAGAAGTGGATGTATTCATTTAACTGCTGGAGCTTGTAACCTGTTTCTCACTAGAATCCTGGGCACATTGGCCAACACACATTCTCATGGTTTTTCAACAGTAAAGTCATTTTTGTAAGAAATAGTAGTAAAACATCAGTTTGCATATTAGCATGAAATTGCTCTCTTCACTGTTTCAGTCAATCTAGAGCAATTAGCTTTCCTCGCTTGTGATGTAGTGAGCAATCTTTATCACTGTTGTCATTATCTTTTTTTTTTTTTTCTGGTGAAGGTAGCATTTTAATGGAATTTTTTTTTTTTTACTATTATTTTAGGTTCAGGGGTACCTGTGCAGGTTTGTTATACAGGTAAACTTGTGTCATGGGGGTTTGTCGTACAGATTATTTTATCACCCAGGTACTAAGCCTAGTTATCAATAGTTATTTTTTCTGCTCCCCTCTCTCCTTCCACCCTTCACTGTCTGGTAGGCCACAGTGTCTGTTGTACACCTTTCTGTGTCCACATGCTCTCATCATTTAGCTTCCACTTGTAAGTGAGAACATGTGGTATTTGATTTTCTGTTACTGCGTTAATTTGCTAAGGATAATGGCCTATGGCTGCATCCATGTTCTTGCAAAGGGCATAGTCTTATTCCTTTTTACGGCTACATAGTATTCCATGGTGTATATGTACCATGTTTTCTTTATCCAGTCTACCATTGATGGGCATTTAGATTGATTCCATATCTTTGCTATTGTGAATAGTGCTGCAGTGAATATACACATGCATGTGTCTTTGTGATAGAATGATTTATATCCCTTTGGGTATATGCCCAGTGGTGGGATTGCTGGGTTGAACAGTAGTTCTGTTTTTAGGTCTTTGAGGAACCACAACACTGCTTTCCACAATGACTGAACTAATTTACACTCCCACCAACAGTGTATAAGCATCCCCTTTTCTCCACAATCTCGCCAGCATCTGTTATTTTTTGACTTTTCAATAATGGCCATTCTGACTGGTGTGAGATGGTATCTCATTGTGGTTTCGATTTGCATTTCTCTAATGATCATCTAAAGCTCTCTACTGAGCTTTTTAAAATATGCTTCTTGGCCACATATCTAGCTTTTAAAAAACTATTGTGAAATAATTTTATATTTACAGAAAAGTTGCAAAAATACTACAGAAAGTTCCTGTATACCATTCATCCAACTTTCCCTAACGTTAATATCTCCAAATAATGTTTTCATTCAAGTCACTGTAAACAAAACATTTTTTGACAGGGGTGAGGGAGGTGAGAGGAAGTGAACAGCAGTTTGATACTTTGAAGTTGGTAATCCCTCAAACCAAAAAAATGGTCAAGGTAAAGGCTTTTAAACATCATGAGCTTCCATTTTCTCCAAGGGTTGGTGTGGAAGGGGCTTGTAGCTTTGATATAACTAATCACAGACCATGTGGATCTTTTCCATAGACTCTAAATGTTTAAAAAATGATGCCTGAATATTCTGACCAAGATATACCTTACAATTGTCAGATGAAATGACAGAATCCATCCAGTGGCTTTCTCCTTTTCATTGCCTGGTATTCTTTTATTCTTAGTCTGTCAAGAAGTAATAAAGGGGTAGCTATGAAGTGGAAGAGGCTGTTCCTTAGGGCATTGTAATTGGTGGCTGCCAGTTCATCACTCTGTAATAGGAAAACATAATCCAACTAAGATGTCTTCTGTTTGCTGAAAGGCCATGATCTTTTCTGGAGTCTTTGTTAGCAAATTGGTTTTCTCAGTGATTGAAAGTTTGAAATCTGCAGACTTGTCACAGCTTCCCAGGATAGGTTTTCCTTTCTTTGAATTGAATGTGGTTACTTACAGCTTCTTTGAGGTAGCAGGGATAGTCTCTCATTAGACTACAGGGATATATCACTGTTTGGTTTCCTCTGTTTGGCCTTAAGTGCTAAATTTCTTTTCTTCTTCTAGGATCTGTTGAAAAATTCCTTTGTAAGAATGTCTCTAAAGATGTGGAGACAGAAAATAAGGTACCCAGGCCATGCACTAAGTGAATAATCAACATCCTGATATCATTATTATTTAATTTTGAATAATCCTAGCGTTTCCAAAAGGGAAAGACCTTGCTTGAGAAGGAAAGTCACTTGGTAATTTCCTGGGCATGGGACATGGTAGATGGGAGAGGCTGAGTCTATGAATTGTGTCTTTTTTTCCAAAACCAGGTGAGGATTTTAGAGTTTTTCTTCACCAGTCATTGCTTCAGCAGAGTCATGGCAATTGGATTGAAAATGATTTTAAAGTACATCATCGGCAATTATGTATATTAACAAGTGATTTAATGCAGGTGGGAACCTTGGCAAACAGCCATGCCTTTTCCAGGTGTTCCTGCTCTTATTTAGATACCCTTTAAAAAATTCTAATATGCAATGTTGGCATCATTAAGCACAAGATAAAAAGCACAGCTTTCATAAAGTAAAAATATTGAGTGTTGTGAAATCCATAATCATAAGTAAAATAAAAAGCTAAGGTGTAAACCTGAATCCTCAAAGACTCGAGATAGCACATAAATGAGAGGCAAGCTCATCAAAGAACAGATGTTTTCTTGTTTGTCTCTGTGTGTGTTACAAATGCCCATTGATCCACTAGAACGAAATAGATAACTCATAGGTCTCTTTTATGATTTACAAATATATTTTAAAATGGTTTAGTTTAAAAAAAAATCATATAGTGTACTTTCCCTGCTATTTTAAAGAGCATGTTTTCCATCCGGCTTATATTGTACATATAGTTTAGATGCTTCGTGTAACAGGGATAACAAATTTTAAATACAGGAGTACATACAGCGTTTCTGGCTTCTTGAATCCTAGAAATTTGTGTCGCTAATTACAGTATTGTGGGGAAAGTGCTGCAGAATTCAAGAAAGTATAGGCCACTGAGATTTTATACTAGAAAGGAATAAAGCTAGTACAAGGAAATAATTAATCCGGACTGCAGGGGGAGGGAAGCGAAGTGGGCGAGCAGAACATTTGGGGCAGCTTAGAGAGAACAGCAAGAGCCTAGGCCACTCCAGAGTGAGAGAAGAAAGAGGCAGAAACAGCAAAGCAGAAGTTTTAAACGTTGTATTGGAATTGGGTTCCCTTTGATATTTTTTGAAAGACTCCACTAAATATTTGAATTGCCTCTTATTTTTGATGGTTGAATTGATGTTTGTTTAAATGAGAAACAAAGGGACAGGCTGTAGAAAAGATGTAATTACATTTTTGCTACATTAACATACAGGATCCTGGATTGGACGTGAGCATTTCAGATTTATTCCAGAATTGAGACAAGAGCACAGGTTTATCACATCTGCCTTATTTATGTAATATATAAGATTATAGACTGGCCAACAATAAAACATGAAATATAATCAATTTTTGTTAGTTACTCTGAAACCCAGAAGGGCACCATGTTGAATTGGGATTACAGCTTTTCAAAGAATACATGGTTTAGAGCTAGATGTCCCCAGTGGAGACCCAGTTCTGTGTGATATTATGAGAGATCTCTAAAATGAGAAAGTCTGAAAAACTTCCTGATGTCTGATCTGGGAGGGGCAAGAAAGCTGGTGTATTAGTCTGTTCTTATACTGCTAATAAAGACATACCCAAGACTGGGTAATTTATACAGGAAAGAGGTTTAATTGACTCACAGTGCAGCATGGCTGGGGAGACCTCAGGAAACTTAGAATCATTGCAGAAGTGGAAGCAAATACATCCTTCTTCACATGGCAGCAGCAAGAAGTGCCGAGCAAAAGTGGGGAAAGCCCCTTATAAAACCCTCAGATGTCATTAGAACTCACTCACTGTCATGAGAACAGCATGGGGGTAACTGCCCCCATGATTCAATTACCTGCCACTGGGCCCCTCCCACGACATGTGGGGATTATGGGAACTACAATTCAAGATGAGATTTGGTTGGGGACGCAGCCAACCCGTATCAGCTGGTGACAAAGATGCTTTGACCAATTCAAAGGTCTTGTCCAGCACCAGTAGCTGAGGCTGCCTCCCCTCATGTGGGCTGGGCTATGGCTGGGGGACATAGTCAAACAGGGAGCCACAGAACTGTGGCTGGGGTCTCTCCTTGCCAGACATAGTAATATTTGTGGACAGTACCACACCACAGACAGATATGGAAGACCTTGAGCTGTGGTTGACTAATACCAATAAGATGGCACAGAGTAGTGAACTCAAGGGGTTTAAAAATCTTAAGTTAGGCTTCTCTATTGATGTTTTTCATTTTGGTTTCCAAACGCTGGGATGTGGACTCTGTGTTGTGGGTGAGCTGGGCTGCGGTAGGTGGAAGGGAGGAAAAGAGATCCTGGTCTCTGTCCGGTATGTGTGTTTTGTGCAAATGCAGTGCATTTCATTTCTTTTCTTTTGGAGATGTGTGATCTTTCCCTGCTGCACTAGCCTTTTAATGGTACATTGTCTCTTGTTCCATTCCAAGCACACAATAGAGATGCCGATTTCTCACAGTGGCTACTACTGCCTGATGAAATATGGATTTGCATATTTTCCCTTCTGTTGCGCAAGGAGCTTGCTCAGGTTGCACAAGTGTGTTATCACTTCCACCAACTTGCAAGTGACAAAAGCCTCTGTAAGCAGACAAAACAATATTTGAAATGAATGAACTATTACTGGGAATATGTTCATATATTGTTGTCAAGTTTGCCTTCTAATTTTTCTTTTGTCTAAAGAAAGTCCTTGGGCAAGTCCATTACACCTTCCTGGCCATTATTATATTAGTTAATACAATCTTGCTATTTATTCATTTGTTCATCAATCCACCTAACCTGTAAATTAGATGCTAGGGGAATATGAGGAGGATGAGTCATTGTCATGTACTTTTATGCTATCAGGGAGACAGACCTAAAATCAATGAATGGAGGCACAAGTATAATGGCAATAATAATAATATTAATAACCATTAGGGGCATTTATTGAGTACTTAGTTATGTGTCAGGCATTACACTCTTTCATGTACTATATCTCATTTATTTATCTCAATAATAATATGAATCAGAACTTTCTCCACCCCCGTCTTGCAGATGAAGGAAGTCAGCCTTGGAGAAGTTAATGATGTGCTTACAGTCTCACGGCTGGTGGATTGTAGAGCTCTCGTGTTGCTGTTACACAGGGGAAAAGCAAAGTATCGAGTAGCTGTGGAAGGAGGAAATAATTCAGGAGGAGGTGGCATTGGTGCCACATTTTGAAGACTGAGTAGCATTTTGAAAAGAGGAGAAATGGAAGGTAGAGGGAAGAAGGGCACCCTCAAGAGATTGAATAGCATGAGGAAAACACAGGGCCATTGTATCAGCTGGAGATTACATTTGGCTAACTGGTTACAGAGACCTGAAATAACAGTGAATTAAACTAGGAAGGATTTTATTTTTCTCTCACATGACATGAAATTCAGATGTAGATTGTCCAGGACTGATTTAATTGACTTAATATCATCATGGAGCCAGTTTCTTCTTTGTTTTTGTTTTGCCATCCTTAGGTCATGACTTTTATCATCAAGGTCACTGTAAAGCTACAAGGTGGCCCCAGTAGCCCCAACCATCATGTCATAGTTCCAGAAAGAAGATTTAAAAAACAAAAGAAAGAAAAAAGCAGGGAAGAGCAAAAGGGCAACTACCATCTGAGTAAACCCCATATTTTTAATTTTTTTTATGTGATGGCAGACAGAAGTGGCCAAAAGAGAAGACAGGAAAATAAAAGTATAGTATACTCACTTGCCCTTAGAGACAAGAGGTGGGGCACGCCAGACAGGACTACATGGGAAAGATACCAGATAGTCAGGAAGCAGAAGACAGGAGAGAGAAGGCTTAGACCAGAGCCTTTATTGGGGTTTACATAGGAAGAGCAAGGCAAAACTGGGTGAACAGTTTAGGGTTTGCTAGTTTGAGTAATCTGAGGGGCTCTAAGCTATGGGCATGGTCTCTAGTTACCTGGTGCCTGGCCCTGGGATGATTTAGGCAGAGGAATATCTTCTCCTGGGGTGTACAGGCCAGATGGAGCAGGCGAGGCTCTGGGTTGGTTAGTTTGCAGATCGTGGGCATGCTGGGGCTGAACCCTTTGCTATCTCTAAGAATTGGCCAAGGTGTTGGTGGGAGGCAGTCTCTTCCCAGCTAGAAATTTTTTTTTAAGATGTCAAAACATCATAATATATTGAAAATAAAAATATATACATATATTCTATTTAAAGATTGTTTTTCCTTAAATTTTAGAGAAAAAATTTTCTTTAAAAAATAAGTCATTTCCCATCCAATGACTTTCTATATCCCACTGGCCACCACTATTTACAAGGTAGGCTAGGAAATACTGGCTTTTTTGTGTGTGAGTCTATTGTCTTCCCCAACATTATGGGGATTCTGTTAGGAAGAAGAGGAGCAGGATACTGGGCACAGCAGTGTTTGCAGCAGGCAGAAGGAGTACTTGGAGGAGTGAGCATGCTGTGTGTGCAAAGTAGTGCAGGAACAGCGTGCAGGAGGAGGCTGGGGGCTTGCTGTGGAGGGAGTCCCTTAAATGTCATACTAAGAAGCTCAGATTTTAGATAACGCAGAACAGGGAATATTTAAATAACAGAGAGCATTTAAAGGATTTTGAGCAGGGAGTGGCTGTTTGGAAAGATCAATCTGGAAGCAACATGAAATGTAGGGACGCATTTCTAACAAGGGACTGGGTGATGAGTGAAGGAGTTTCCTAATTTAGATTACTTTGCTTTTTTAAATAGCTTACTCCTGGGTGTTTGTTGTAAGCTTTTCCCCTAGGCAGCAGGAAAATTACAGGACTCCTCAAACCAGGGGTTCTTAAACTTAGATCATGAGCCAAATTTAGAAGCTACTTGTTTTTGTAAATAAAATTTTACAGAAACACAGCCACTCCCGTTAGTTTCAGCAGATCTTTCTTATGCAAATGGTTGCTCAGGCAGCCCCTATACTTATCACTGTAGCTTCACACTCAACTCAGTTGAAAGGGAAAACGACGCAGGGATAAATCAGGAATTAACACCCCCCTTGCCCCCCCCGCCACCCATTCCTCAATGCATGTGGCTACGTGACTGTGCTGGGCAATCTCCCGTGGTGGCTGCACCCCAGCATTTAACTGGGTGGAATCTCGGGGTTGCTGCAGTTTTGTGTCAGAAGTTCAGCTGAGAGAAAGTGTGCTTATGGAGGAGTGGTTGAGGCTTTGCAGTTCATCTGTTCCTCTGGGCACCTGAGATTATGTCCCTGGATTGAGTTCAGATCTTCAGGAGCTGCTTATCTCCCTGCCTTAGAGAGTCCCCTCAGAGGCATTGCATCTGGCCTGCATCAATCATCAGCTTATATTGAGAAACAGCCTTGGGAGACTCATTGTGTTTTGGGGAACATTCATGTGTGTTTTGTTGTTGGGAACATCAGACTGCAGGTTACACAGCCATCTCTCTATGAGGTTGCTCCAGGAAGTCTCACTACCAGAAATCGTGCTTCAAAGTGACTTTTCTTCTGAAGGCACAGAATTGATAATTGACTGTGCTTCTTTAGAGAGCACAGAGTCCAATCCCAGGACTTTGGAAGGCTAAGGCAGGAGGATCACTTGAGCCCAGGAGTTTGAGACCAGCCTGAGCACCGTAGGGTCTCCACAAAAAAATTAAAAAAAAAAAAAGAAAGAAAGAAAGAAAGAAAAAGAAAGCACAGGGGCCCTTTAATGGTCCACCTCTGACATGTATAAAGGATTTTGGAGGTATTTATTTTGCACTAGGCACAGTGTTGGCTCTATTAAGTTTTCCTATTCTTGCTTTGTCTTCGAAGCATTTTTTATTCCTATTTAAATTATTTTTATCATTAAAAATAATGATAAAAATGATCACTGTGCTATCTACAGACCCTTATAAGCTGTGTGAACTTGTTTTGGGATTCAGGCTTTGTAGAAAGCAGTGGTTTGTAAGCTTGACCACGTACCAGAATCACCTGAGAGGCTTGTTTTAAAACAGATTTCTGGCCCCACCCCACAGTTTGGGATTCCCTGGGTCTGGGGCAGAGCCTGGGTCTGGGCCTTTCTAACACATTCCCAGGGGATGCTGATGCTGCACGTTCCGGAACTGCCTGTGTGCCACTCTAATAAATAAAACCTCAACAACAGTTGCTGATTATATATTAGTAACCTGCCAATCAACCAGTGAAGAATTTTTTTTTTCAATTCTTATTATGCAGCTGGCACCAAACTGGACATTACAGGGTGACATGGTCCTTATCCTAAGATAATTTTCTGATAGGTTGCAGAGATGTCAAATACATGTAACTTAGAGAAAAGGGCAATGCCTAGCAAGGTGTAGATCGGGGTGGGACAGTTCAAAGTGAATTTGGTCTTTAGAGAGAAACACAGGATGAAATAGGGCTTGAACTTGTCTTTGAAGTGAAGATTGAGTTTGAGTGACAGAGTGAAGGATGGTGAGAAGGTCCTTTTCATTAGAGGACTAGCATGGGCAATGGTCCAGCAATGGAAAGAAAAAGCCCCCATAAAACCACGTAGGGGTGTGTGATGCAGAAGATGGAACTTCTCACTCCACAGAGCAGCACGCCCTCCACAGCCGTGGAGAGGGGCATTCCCCACAAGCTAACACCGCCCTCCCATCTCATTTACCCCTGCTTTCCCTTTGATCAGATCCTCCGTTATTCCCTGACAACATTCTATACTTCCCAAGGCTGTTCCTTTGCCCCCGGTGTCTCCTTCACCAATGTACACGTTTCCCCTATCTTTACCAGTCTCATAAGGTACAGCTCAAATGCTACCCACCACTTAGTAAAAATGCTTCCTTGTCCCTCCCAAGCCCTACCTTAGTGATTGGCCAATAGCTTGCATTGACAAGAACGTCATTCCTTCCCCCATTGACTTGTGGCCAAGCTTTACTCATCCTCTGTCAATTCTAGTTTCTTCTTTGCTCTTCCTCTGTGGCAACTCCTGTTCTCCAAGTGTGGTCCGTAGACCAGCAGTATTGGCTTTCCTGGGAACTTGTTGAAGTGCAAATACACCCCACCCCAGACCTGAATGGAAAACTCTGGGCATGGGGCCTGGCCATCTGAGTTTTAACAAACCCTCCAGGTGATTCTAATACATGCTGCTATATGAGGAAAGCTAATTATTGGCAAATGGCCACCAAAGCCCTCCCAGAGGGACTGCTTTCTGTTCTCTAATTGCTAACAGTCCATTTTAAGAGCTGAGATTTTGCATTTCTTACGAGACGAACAGTTTTAATTTCCTCAGCAGTTTGCTTTAAAAATAAAATGAGAATGTTTTCTCCATAAGTTTAACATTTCACTGACTTTCTTAGTAGTACAAATGCCCTGACCGCTTTTTAAAATGATTATAATTCAAACATAGATAATGAATGCTTTGGACTACTGTAACAAATTGGATAATAATAATGATTTAATGGAAGTCAAGCTATCTAACAGTGGGAAGAAAAACCCTGCTGATTAATTTCGTTTTTCTAAAACTCATGTTCATTTATAGTATATTCATACCAAAAGTATTCCAGTGCCTTGCTTACTCCATGTCTAGTTCATATACTTTCTTATAGGAAGAATTGGAAAAATTACAAGGAACTCTTATCTAAAAATACTACATTGTTCAAAGATGTGAAATATATTGCTTATTTTCTAGTAAAATTGTAACTGCTTGGCCATATACAGAGTATGTAGGAATTTTGTTTTCCACAAAAACACAAATTTGTATATATATATATATATATATATACACACACACAAATCTGTGTATCTGTGAGATCCAGTTTATATTCCTTTTATGTTTTTTTCTTTTTAAACTTTATTGAAGTACAATTAACAAAAGAAAAATGCATCTGTTTAAAGGATCCATTGGATATAGAATATAATTTGATTAGCTTTGATAGCTACACTCATGGAACTGCCGTCACAATTAAAATATAGAACATTTCTGTTACTGTCCCAAGTTTCCTTGTTTACCTTTGCAGTCTATCCCACCCTTCACCCCGGTCTTAGGCAATAAAAATGGAGTAACAGCTATGTGTACTCTTTTGTGTCTGTCTTCTTTCGCTTGGCGTGATGATTTTGACATTCATCCTTTTGTTGCATATATTGCATATATTAGTAGTTCATTCCTTTTCATTGCTAAGGTATGGCACATTCCATGATATGGATATATCATGTTTTGTTTATCCAAAAATAAAAATTTAAGTTTCTTTCCAAAGTTAGAGAATCTAACTTTTTTCACCAAACGTAAATCACCCAAATACTTGCACATATTTATTTTTTACTAGATTTTTATATTCTATTTTACTAGTCTGTTTGACCATTTTGCTAATGATAATGTAGTTGATTAATTGAAACCAAAATTTGGATATATTTGTCTAAGTGTTTACACTAATTCTGATGATGTAATTCTTTACTAGATAATTACTTTTGAATTAAATAGCCTTATTGAAGATGTTTTAATGAAATTATACTTAAATCGCAATTTTGTTAATTAATCACAGATTTCCTCTGATTTACAGTGTAATTTTTGGTTGTTGAATGACAGTGGTGATATGTGTGTGGGAAACTACCAATTTTGATGATCTAGTCAAAGGAAGATTTATGACCATAAACAAAACACTTCTGATGTGGTGCCAATGTCGGTGGATTGGTCTGAACTTCACCTGATACTTGTCAAAGATTCCAGTTTTTGTGACAGTGTCAGGGTGGAATTTGAAGCTAATAATTAACTCCCTGGGTTAACAAGACTGAATGGCTGGAAGCAGCACACTTGTGTCTCAGACCCGATGCAGCAGTGTTTGAGACACTGGGCATGGCATTTTTTATAGTGAGAGGGACTCCTGTGCTTGCATCCTGCAGATGAGGCCAAATGTTTAGAGCTACCGCATGGTTACAGGATGGTCAAGGAGAATGTGTGGTCATCTTTGCACCACCCCAGAGACTCCTTCATCTGAAATGCAATTCAAGTAGCCACAAATAAGAAGGGACTCTGACTCCAGGGAGTGTTCTGAGCAGGGGATGCTGGAAAGAGGGAACTTGTGCTTTCCTGTTTCCAAAAGTGGATCAATGCAGAAAAGCAGTCTGCAGGGGATATTACCATAGAATTTTCATTTTGTTTACCAAAGTGTGTAAGAAAGTAGGTTTATAAACACTTAAAACCATTTTTATTATGTTACTTTCTACTTATTTACTCCCTACTTTTTCCTAAACCAATTTGAGGTGTTTATAAATACATACAAATCAAAGAAATCTTATTTTATAAGATTATGATATCAGGACAAAAGGAAAGTAAGAGTGAGATAGAAAGATAAAGGCAAAGGGGAAATAAACACATAGAAATGCCTGCTCTTTTTATCCTTTAATAACTGTAGAGTTGCTTCACAATTGACTGAATTTTCTTGGGCCTGGAAAAAGAGGTGAGAATGATGAATCTTCTTTTAAAAATCTGTTTCTTGATTTCCTACTGCTTTATCCTAATCCCCGCTTTAGGTCCACCCTGCCTACTCTTGAAGATCTGTCTAATGGGAATCGCATCCCATGACTCTTAGCAAAACCTTTCAAAATCCAAAGATCTCTTCCATTTTGGTCCTTCCTCAATATGATTGAACAAGTCCAGCTGATGCTGATAAATTTCATTCCCATATAGAGATGAAATCTGCTCCTTGTAACTCTACCCATGATACTGGTTTATCTCCTGAAATCACACAAAACAATTCTATCCCCGCCCTTCTCTTTAAGTGACTCTTATGCCTCTCAAGCCTCACGTTAGCTTTCTCTTGGATAAACATCCCTAGTTTTCCCAGCAAATTTTTTTTTTTTTTAAGATCAGGCTTTCCCCATTCTGGACATATACCTCCTGATGTTCTCTTGTTTGCCAAGATCTAGTATTGCCTTATAATTTACTTCTCAAAATTAGAACACATTTGAGAGTAAAAGGGGTGCCTAATAATTAAAATGAGACAAAAAGTATAAACAGGAACCATCCCAGGGCAAACCAATGCATAAGCTCTCCTGGCCAAAATATCACTTGAATGTGTCAGAAAATGAGGCAGACAAATTCTGACCAGCAGAACTGCACATATACTCTTACTTTCTGAGATCTGCATACTTTAATTTTTTTTAACGTAGCTAAAGCTAAATGTTGTAGGTGAGTGTTCCTCTTACATGTCTAGTCTCATTTCCAATTTGGTAACTGCATCCCAATTTTTCTTTGGAGAAGCATTTCTCCCTCAGTTGAGTATACCCTGATTTCCAAGGGTGGATACATGACCCAGGTGTGGCCAATCAAAGCAACATTTCCCCTTACCTTACAATGACTGTTTAAAATTGAACAGAACATTAAACCTCCACCACAGTGCCTGGCACAGTAATACAATAAATGCTAGCTCCTTTCCTTTTCTTAGCTTTAATGATTAGTGCACTTATTAATGTGCTCTAGAAATTTTTCTGTGATTCATGCCATACTTGTTGACTAAATATTTATGAAAGATTTCCCCTTTTGTCATGTTTTGAAAAAAAAAAAAGTAATGTTTACGCATTTCTAGTTCTCTAGGAGCTTCCCCATTTACTATGGCAAGATACTGACTTGAATAAAACTGCTGTGATTTTTCTGAACCTAGAGACCTGGTTGAATTTAAAATAGTTGGTTACTCTTTTACCATATGCTTGCTTCTCACAGCCTGAAATTTCCTCCTTAGACATACTTGCCTTTAATTTTTTGTTTGATTCCAAGATGCAGGGTAATATTATTTTTAACTATCCTAATATGCAGGTACAGGTTATGTGACCTTTTAAAAACAGAATTATTTCCTCTCAGTTATGGACTCCTAAATTTTGTACTTGGCTTAAACCATTTTCTTAAAGTAATACAACTGCATATGGTATATTAACATATGCATTATAGAAATTTAAGTTATATAAACAGGCATATAGTGAAAAGGGATTTTCATCCTCTCTAGAATGAATGCACTCTCTAAGGGTGTATGTGCAGTTCTGTTGCTCAGAATTTATCTGCTTCATTTTCTGATACATTCAAGTAGTATTTTGGCCAGGAGAGCTTACGTGTTGGTTTGCCCTGGGACGGCTCCTGTTTACACTTTTTGTCTCGTTGTAAGTATTAAGCCCTCTTTTACTGTCATTTTTAGGTAGTCTTCACTTTTACTCTGTATTTTTAGGTAGTCACTGTACGTGTGTGTGTGTATGTGTGTGTGTTTTACACAAATGGTGGCATATTATACACACTAGGCCTTGCTTTTTTATTTAGCAAAATATCTGGGTACTTTTAAATATAAAATATTTATCAGAGAAGCTTATTTGCAATTACAGTATATCTTCTTTTTAGACACATTTATTCAGCAAATATTATGCACCTAATACACTATAGGCACTGTGGTCGATAGGATATGTGGTGGTGAATGAAAGACACATGGTCCTTGCCTTGATGCAGTTTGATCTCTGTCAGTTATCCTTTCCCATTGGACTTGTTTGATGCTATAGATACTAAAGGCTTTCCTTTTTAAAAAGAAATAAATGACGATACTCATTCCTTGATATAAATAAATAGTGTGTAAAAGGGTACTCAGGAAGGAAACAGCCTGATGCTTGAACCATAAAATGTACTTTAGTGGGACTAGAGGGTAGGGTGTATGCAGTGGGAGATAAAGTTTGAGAGTCCTTGCTTTATATATAATTCCTATGACTTTTCTCTGGGCCTGTGTGTTCTCAAGTATGGTAGGTGTACTAATGCTGTGATGCAAGAAGCTTTTAGTGGTATACAGATAAACATTTTTTGTTTTAATAGCTATGAATTTATTTTTATGCTTTTCCTATGACAACTGACACTGATTTTTCAAATTCAAAGATCACATATCCTTTT
Organism: Homo sapiens; assembly: GCF_000001405.40. Lineage (NCBI taxonomy): Eukaryota > Metazoa > Chordata > Mammalia > Primates > Hominidae > Homo > Homo sapiens. The sequence goes on along the minus strand of NC_000009.12, from coordinate 83,179,131 downwards.
GTTATAAATCTAAGTATGTAAATAATGGTATAAGTACTGTGAAAATAAACATGATCATGGTTGTTATGTCAAAAGTCATGAGGGTAGTAATCAAATGACTGCAGTTGGGGAACATAGTTGTAGACAATGCTGGTGCTAATGCAATAGTTTTGGAGAGGGGTAAAATAATCAGATTGTGGTTTAGAAAGATCACTTTGTTTGCCCTGGTGAGACTGGATTGGCAGTAGCGGAATATGGAAGGTTATGCTAGCCTGGTTGGCAAACAGTAGAAGCTTCAACTAGGCAGGGGCATTGTGGAAGGAAACCCATTTCTAAAAACAATATAATGTGAGTTGAGAAGGGAGGCAGACCTAAGGAAAGCTCCTCAATTCCTAGTTTAGGTGGCTGGACACTTGGATGTAATCAACCAGAATATGAAATGTAAGAGAAACTAATGAACTTTGGAGAATAAAAGGAATTCAATCTTAGATGTATTTATTAAATTCAAGGTGTCTGTGAGCACTTCAACAGAAATGTCTAGTATGCAGTTGGATTCGTGGTGCTGGAGCTTAAGGGGAGCTTTGGAGATATGCACTGGTAGTTAGAAGACACACATAGCAGTGGAAGCAATGGATGTGGATGAGGCTTCCAGGGCATCTTGAGTACCAAGAGAAGAGAGACAGTGAAAGGGCCTTTTTCTGAGTGCACCAGTACTTAAGAGTAGGTAGAAAGAAAGACAGCCATTTTATGGCTGGGAGTGGCTGGAATAGTGAAACTATGGGAAGGGAGAATTTCAAATATTAATGAATGTGAGCCATAGTGCCAGAAGAGAGAAGCAAGAACTATCTACAAGATTTGTCAATTAGCAGGTGTCTGCATAGTACCTTGGGGTAAGATATGTGGTGTTTTTGCTAGTCAAATGGGCTAAAGAAGAGAAGAGATTTTACCCCTGAAGAGGTAAACAATAAAAAGCAGAGAAGGGAAGTCCACTTCTAAAATGACAGCATGAACAACTCGAAGAACTCACTCCCTATTGAAAAATAATTGCCGGTGAGAATGATAAAAAACAAAACAAACCAACAAAAAACAACCATTTAAAGTCTTTAGAAATTATCAGTATAGGTGCCTAACAGTAAATTTTTACTGGCAAAAGAAAGAATTAGTAAGCTTGAATAAATATTGATGGAGATTATGCAATCCAAAGAGCAGAGAAAAAGGAAAGAATGAAGAAAATCGGTAAGCATGCCAGCAACCATGTAATGGGAGTGCTAGAAGAAGAGGAGAGAAAGAACTAGAAAAAAGACTAGAAAAAATATTAGAAGAAATAATGGCTAGAAGAAATAATAACTTCCCAAATTTCATGAGAAAATGTTCATCTCATATCCAAGAAGCTCAACAAACTCTAATGGGATAAATACGAAAAGACCCACACACAGACACATCATAGTAAAATTGCTGAAAGCCAAAGATAAACAGAAAATCTTAAAATCAGCAAGAGAAAACTAAATGACACATCACATACAAATAAAAAAAAAAACAACTAAATGACACATCACATAATCCAATAAGATTAGCATCTTACCAGAAACTTTTTAGCAGAAACAATGGAGGCCAGAAGACAATGGAATTACATATTTGGAGTTCTAAAAATGAAAACAAACAACACCTGTCAACCAAGAACCTTATATCCAGGAGACAATCTTCCAAAAATGAAGACGATATACAGACACTCTCAGATAAACAAAAATGAAGAATTTGTTGCTAGCATAGCAAATCCACCTTATAAGAAATACTAAAGGGAATTCTTCGGGTAAGTGACTCTAGATAGTTTTAGGTTGGTACAAGAGTAATTGCATTTTTTTCTGTTCCTTTTAATTGCGAAAAACCACAGTTACTTTTGTACCAACCTAGTAATTTGAACCCATTCACACATGCACAAATAAAGAACACTGGTAAAGGTAATTATGTAATTATAAAAGACAATGGGAATGCACATTTATTCCCCTTTTATTAACTGATTTAAAAAGCAACTTTACAAAACAATATGTATATACTTGTATTGTGGAATCTATGACATATAGAAATACAATGTTTACTAATAAAAGCACAGAGAAGGTGATGGGAATAAAGCCATATTGGAGTAAGAAAATGACAAGAGATGGTAATACAAATCAGTAAGAATAAATGAAGAGAACCAGAAATAATAAGAAGGTTACTATAATAAATACTATGAATACGTACTTGCTTTGTGCTCTTCTCTTGGCTTCTTTACAAGACATACAAGTATATAAAGTAATAAATATTACAATTTGATGTTGGGTTTGTACCATATATAGATTAATAGGTTAATATGTATAATGATAATAGCACAAAAAAGGGAAAAGGGTGATAGAGCTATAAAGGAGTAACATTTATAGGTCTCACTTGAATTAATTTAGTATAAATCTTAAGTCGATTTTGATAAGTTAAGATTTATATGGCAAACACTAAAATAACCACCAAAAATAACTTTAAAATATAGTGAGAAAATAATGGAAGGAATTAAATATTGTGAAAAAGTCATTGAAGGAATTAAAATGTTACTTTAGAAAATAAATATTCACTTAATGCTGAAAAAAGCAATAAAGTAGTAATAGAGGAACAAAAGAGAAATGAGATATATAGAAAACAAAATGTGGATAAATTAAATAATCCTATCAAAATGCAGAGATTTTCAGATAGGATAGAAAAAGAGACTCAACTATATGCTATCTATAGGAAACACACTATACATAAAGAAACATAGATTGAAATAAAAAGGTGAAAAAGTTATTTCATGTAAACTATAATCACAAGAAAGCTAGAGTGGCTAGACTAATATGAGACAAACAGATATTAAAACAGAAACATTAGTAGACAGCAAGATTTCATAATGATAAATGGGCCAATCTATGAGGAAGATGTAACAATTATAAACATATATGCACAGCAGAGCCCCAAATGCATAAAGGAGAATCCAGCAGATCTGAAGTGAGAAGTAAACAATTTCACAATAGTTCAAGACTTAAAAACTCCACTTTCAAAAATGGGTAGAATGACTAGGCAGAATATCAACAAGGAAATGGAATAATTGAACAATACACAAACTAGACCTAACGTACATCTATAGAACATTCTGCCTAGCATAACAAAAGCAGAATACACATTCTTCTCAAGTGCAGATGTAAAAATTTCCAGGATACACCATATATTAGGGTATAAACCAAGCTGCACAAGCTTCAGTACATTTGAAATAGGCCGGGTGTGGTGGCTCACGCCTGTATCCCAGCACTTTGGGAGGCTGAGGCAGGCGGATCACAAGGTCAGGAGATCAAGACCATCCTGGCTAACACAGTGAAACCCCATCTCTACTAAAAATACAAAAAATTAGCCGGGCATGGCAGTGTGCGCCTGTAGTCCCGGCTACTCAGGAGGCTGAGGCAGGAGAATGGCGTGAACCCAGAAGGTGGAGCTTGCAGTGAGCCAAGATCACACCACTGCACTCCAGCCTGGGCAACAGAGTGAGACTCCATCTTAAAAAAAAAAAAGGATTGAAATAATACTAAGGATGTTTTAGCCACAATGAAATGAAATTAATATACACAAAATATCTGCAACAAAATACTAGTAAAACAAATCCAGCATCATATATAAAGGATTATACACTACTACTACTAGGGTTTATCACAGGAATGCAAGGTTGGTTAACATCAGAAAAAAAATTAGTTAAAGTCATATGCTGTATCAATAGAATAAAGACAAAAGGCAAATGATCATCTCTATAGATGCAGAAAAACAACTGATAAAGTCCAATGACATTTATGATAAAAATATTAAACAAACTGGGAATAGAAGAGAACCTCCTCAGCTTGCATAAAGATGTCTATGAAAAGTTCATAATTATTATAGTAGTCAAAAGTGTTAGACTGAAGTGTTTCCCCTAGGAAAGAAGCAAGACAAGGATGTCTGATCTCACTGTTTCTGTTATAATAGCTAGAACAATTAGGACAGAAAGAAAGAAATAATAGGCATTCAGATTGAAAAGGAAGAATTAAAACTATCTCTATTCATGGATCACATGCTCTGTTTTTTTGGTAGAAATTCTAAGGAATTTACTATTAAACACCCCAGTAGAACTAATAAATGAGTTTTCCAAGGTGATAGGATACAAGATCAATATAAAATTTAGTTGTATTTCTATAAACTTGCATTGAACAACCTAAAAATGAAATTAAGAAAACAATTATATTTTTAAAAGCATCTAAATAATAAAATACTTAGAAATAAAGTTAACAAAATAAATGCAAAGTAGACTGTTACAACCAGAAAACATTGCTGAAAGAAATTAAAGAAGATCTAAATAAGTGGAAAGACATCTCATGTTCATAAATCGGAAGAGTTAACATTGTTAAGATGGCAAGTGGACTCAATGCTCAACAAAATGCCATTTGGCTTCTTTATTGAAATTGACAAGCTGATACTTAAATTCACACAGAAAGTTAAGGGACCCAAATAGTCAAAACAATGTTCAAAAAGAATAACAAAGTTGGAGAACTCACACTTCTCAGTTTAAAAACTTACTACAAAGCTATAATAAACAAGACAGTGTGATACGGACTTAAAGATAGACATATAGATCAATGGAGTAGAACAGAGAGACCAGAAATAAGCCATTATATTTATATTAGTTGATGCTTTACAAGAGTATTAATTCAATGAAGAAAGAATAGTCTTTTAAATAAATGACACTATGACAACTGGCTATCCACCGGCAAAATAATGAAGTTGGGCTCCATCATATCATATATGATTAACTCAAAATTAACTCAAAATGGACTGAAAATATGAACATAAGAACTAAAACTCTCAGAATAAAACAGTGACAAATCTTCATGACCTTGTACTAAACAAAGATTACTAAGATATGTCACTAAAAGCATAAGCAACAAAAGGAAAAATAGATTAATTGGACTTAATCAAATTTAAAAATTTTTGTGCTTCCAAGGACACCATTAAGGAAGTGATAAGACAATCTACTGAATGACAGAAAATATTTTCAAATTATGTATCTAGTATTGGATTTGTGTATAGAATATAAAAAGAACCCATACCACTTAATAATTTCAAGATGGGAGAGAGGCAGAACAGGATGGCCAAATAGAACCTTCCTGCAAGCAAACTTCCTGCAGGAACATCAAATTGAACAACTATCTACATAAATAAACACCGTATCAAGAACGAAAAATCAGCCCTCTAAAGAATTGGTACAAACAAGGCTAGGCTGTGAAGACTAAAATAAATACCTAACTTTTCTATGCCAGAAATGGACAAAAGTCCACAAGCATCAAGAACTTTCAGGAAAATATGACATCACCAAACAGACTAAATAAGGCACCAGTAACAAATCCTGCAGTGACAGAGACATGTGACCTCTCAGGGAATTCAAAATTGCTACCTTGAGGAAGCTCAGTGAACTTCAAGATAACACAGAGAAGGAATTCAGAATGCTATCAAAGAAATTTAACAAAGAGATTGAAACAATAATAAGGAAATCAAACAGATATCCTGGAGCTGAAAAATCAAATTGAAAAACAGAAAAATGCAGCAGAATGTCTCAGCAGCAAAACTGATCAAGCAGAAGAAAGGAATTAGTGAGCTGAAAGATAGACTATTTGAAAATACACAGTCAGAGGAGAAAAAACAATGAAAAAGAATAAAGTACATTTACAAAATCTAGAAAATAGCCTCAAAAGGGAAAAATCTTGAGTCGGTGGCCATAAAGAGGATGTAGTGAGAAAAAGAAGTTGGGATAGAAAGTTTTTTTCAAAGAAATACCAACTTTCCAAACCCAGAGAAAGGTATAAATATCCAGGTGCAACAAGACACCAATCAGATCCAACCCAAATAAAACTACTCTGAGACATAAAATAATCAAACTCTCAAAGGTTAAGGAAAATGGCAGGACTCTAAAAACAGCAATTGAAAAGAAGCAAATAACATATAAAGGGGCTTTGATATACCTGGCAGCAGACTTCTCAGTGGAAACCTTACAGGCCAGAAGAAATTAGGATGACAGATTCAAAACGCTGAAGGAAATAAAACATTCAACCAAGTATACTATATCCAGCAAAGCTCTACTTCAAACATGCAGGAGAGATAAAGACTTTCCCAGACAAACAAAAGCTAAGGGAATTTATCTTACAAGAAATGCTAAAGAGAGCTCTTCAATCTGGAAGAAAAGGATGCTAATGTGCAACAATAAATCATCTTAAGGGATAAAAGTGACTAGTAAAAGTCAATCTGCAGACAAATTCATAAAACTGTAATGCCACAATAGTGATGTATCAACTACTGCTATCTTTAGCATGAAAACTAAAAGAGAAATCTATCAAAAATAATAACTACAATTTCTTAAGAGATAGACAATATAAAAAGATATAAAACACAAAAAGTCAGAAAATGGGGGAATGAAGTTAGTGTACATTTTTAAAGTTTTTTTCATTATTTGTTTCTTTTCATTGTGTCATCAGTTAAAATAATTTGCTATAGCTATAATGTGTTTTTATAAGCTTCATGGTAAGCACAAAGCAAAAACCCATTAATAGATATACTGAAAGAAAAAGAAAACATACCACCAGTGAAAATCACTTGTCCACAAAAGAAGACAGTAGGAAAGGAAGAAAGGAAGAGAAGACATACAAAACAACCAGAAAAAAAATAACAAAATGACAGTAGTAAGTCCTTACCATCAATAATAATGTTAAATGGAAATGGACTAAATTATCCAATTAAAAGATGTAGAGTAGTCCAATTCTTAAGGCCACAAAACAATTTCAACAAGTTCAAAGAAATAGAAACTGTATCAAGCATCTTTTCTGACAAGAAGGGAATAAAACTAGAAATTGATAAGAAGATGAACCTTAGAAACTGTACAAACAACTAGAAAGTAACATGCTCCTGAATGAGTAACGGGTCATGAAGAAATTAAAAAAGAAATAAAAATATCTTAAAACAAGTGAAAATGGAAACACAACATACCATACCTATAGGATGACACAAAGCAGTGCTAACAGGCAAGTTTATAGCAATAAATGCCTACATCAAAAAAGTAGAAAGACTTCAAATAAACAACCTAACGATACACCTCAAGAAACTAGAAAATCAGGAACACACCAAATCCAAAATTAGTAGAAGAAAAGAATACAGATCAGAGCAGAACTAAACAAAATAGAAACTAAGAAAAGGACAAAGGATTCAATGAAACAAAAAGTTGGCATTTTGAAAACATACAAAATTGATAAACCACTAACTAGACTAACAAAGAAAAAAGAAGACCCAAATTAAATAAAACCAGAGACAACAAAGGAAATACTATAAAGGAGAAATTCAAAGTATCATTAGAGATTATTATGAGCAACTATATGCCAATACATTTCAAAACCTAAAAGACATGGATATGTTCCTAGACACATACAACTTACCAAGATTAAAATATGAAGAAACAGAACACTTGAACATACCAGTAACGAATAAAAAGAAACAGTAATAAAAATTTTCCCATCATAGAAAAGTCCAGGACCTGATGCCTTCACTGCTAGAATTCTACTAAACATTTCAAGAAGAACTAATGCCAATTCTACTGGAACTCAGAAAAATGAGGAAGAAGAAATACTTCCAAACTCATTTTTGTGAGGTGAGCATCATTCTGATACCAAAACCAGACAAAGACACAACAACAACAGAAAAGAAAACTACAGGCCAATATCATTGATGAACATAGTTGCAAAAATCTTCAATAAAATACCAGCAAATTGAATTCAACCACACATTAAAAAGATTATTCATTATTATCAAGTGGGGTTCATCCCAGGAATGCAAGGATAGGTCAACATACACAAATCAACAAATGTGGTACATCACATTAATAGAATCAAGGGCAAAATATATTTAAATCATTTCAATAAATACCATAAATCACTCAATGAAATTTAATATCTCTTCATGATAATATCTCTTCATGATAAAAACTAGGTATGGAAGGAACATATTCAAAACAATAAAGGTCACATATGACAAACTCACATCTAGCACCACACTGAATGGGGAAAAATTGAAAGCTTTTCATCTAAGATCTGGAACAAGACAAAGATGCTCACTTTCACTACTCCTATTGAGCATAGTACCAGAAGTCATAGCCAGAGCAATCAAACAAAAGAAAGACAGAAAAGGCAACCAAATTGGAAAGGAAAAAGTCAAATTATTATTGTTTGCAGGTAATATGATCTAATATTTAGAAAAATCCTAAAGACTTCACCAAAAAAACCTGTTAGAATTGGTAAAGGAATCCAGTAAAGTTGGAGGCTACAAAATTAACGTACAGATATCAGTAGTGTTTCTATACTAGCTAATAGTGAACTATCCGAAAAAGAAATCAAGAAAGCAATCTTGTTTATTGTACAATAGCTACCAAAAATTACCCAGGAATAAACTTAACCAAATAAATAAAAAATCTCTATAATGAAAGCTATAAAACACTGATGAAAGAAATTGAAGAGGACACAAAAAAGAAAAAATATGCCAGGTTCATGGAGTGGAAGAATTAATATTTTTAGCATCCATACTACACAAAGAGATATATAGATTCAATGAAATCTTTTCCAAAATACCAATGACATACATAAATATATATATATTTTTAAATCTGAAGTTTGTATTTAACTTCAAAAGACCCAAATGGTCAAAGCAATCTTGAATATAAAAACAAAGCTGGAGGCATCACATTACCTGCCTCAAATATACTACAAAGCTGTAGTAACCAAAACAGCATGGCACTGGCACAGAATCAGACACATAGACCAATGCAACAGAATAGAAATCCCAGAAATAAATCCTTACATGTATAGCCAACTCATTTTGACAAAGGTGCCAATAACATACATTGGGGAAAGCACAGTCTCTTCAATAATAGGTGCTGTGAAAACTGATAGCCATGTTCAGAAGAATGAAACTAGACCTCTATCTCTCACCACAACCAAAAATCAAATCAAAATAAATTAAAGACTTAAATGTAAGACCTGAAGCTAGGAAACTACTTGAAGAAAATATTGGGGAACCATTTCAGGACATTGGTCTGGGCAAAGATTTCTTGAGTTAGACCTTAGAAGCACAGGCAACAAAAGAAAAAAATGACAAATGGGATTATATCAAGCTAAAAAGCTTATGCCCAACAAAGGAAACAATCAACAAAGTGAAGATACAATCTACAAATAAAAAGAAATCTGACAATGGACTAGTAACCAGAATATATAAGAAACTCAAACAACTCAATAGCAAAATGATAAATAATCTAATTAAAAATGAGCAAAGGATCTGAATAGATATTTCCCAAAAGAAGACATACAAATGACCATTAGGTATATGAAAAAATGCTCAACATCACTAATCATTAAGGAGATGCAAATCAAAACCACAGTGAGATATCATCTTCCCAGAGTTAAAATGGCTATTATTCAAAAGCCAAAAACAAAACAAAAAACAAAACAAACAAACAAACAAAACAAACAAAAAAACCAACCAAACAAAAACCCAAATGCTGTCGAGGATATGGAGAAAAGGAAATGCTCATACACTACACCGTTGGTGGCAATGTAAATTAGCACAGCCACTATGGAAAACAGTATGGAAGTTCCTAAAAAAGCTAAAAATAGAGCTACTGTATAAGATCAAACAATCCCACTCCTGTGTGTGTGTGTGTGTGTGTGTGTGTGTGTGTGTGTGTGTGTGTATGGAAATCAGTATATCAGAGATATTATTTGCACTGTCATGTTTATTGCAGTGCTATTCACAATAGTCAAGATATAAAATCAACCTAAGTGTCTATCAGTGAATGAATGGATAAAGAAAATTTGGTTTATACGCACAATGGAAAATTTTTCAGCCATAAAAAAATGAAGCCCTGTCATTTGCAGCAGCATGGATTGAACTGGAGGACATTATGTTAAGTGAAAGACAAATATTGCTTGTTCTCACTCACATAGGAGCTAAAAAAATGATCTCTCACTCACATAGGAGCTAAAAAAAAAATGATCTCTTGGAGGTAGCAAATAGAATGGTGGTTGCCAGAGGCTAGGAAGGGCAGCAGGGAGGGATGAGACAAAAAGGGGCTGGTTAATGAGCACAAGAAAACAGGCAGATAGAAGGAATAAAATCCAGTGTTCACTAGGAAAGTAAGGTGACTATAGTTAACAATAATTTATTGCATATTTCAAAATAGCTAGAAGATAAGGCTTGAAATGTCCCCAGTACAAATAAATGACAAATGTTTGTCACTTTTGTCTTTAATAATAGCCATTTTAACTGGGGTGAGGTGATATCTCATTGTGATTTTGATTTGCATTTCCCTGATGATTAATGATGTTAAGCATTTTTTCATATACCTGATAGCATGTGTATGCCTTCTCTTGAGAAATATCTATTCAGATCTTCTGCCCATTTTTAAATTGGAGTATTTGCTTTTTTGCTATTGAGTTGTTAGAGTTCCTTATATATTCTGGTTATTAATCCCTCATCAGATGGATGATTTGCAAATATTTCCTTTTATTCCATAGGTTGTCTCTTCACTTTGTTGATTGTTTCCTTTGCTGTGCCGAATGATAAATGAGGTGATGGATATCCCAATTACTCAGTTTTGATCATTACACATTGTATGGTTGTATCACAATATCACATGTACCTCATAAATATTTACAATTATTCTGTATCCATAAAAATAAAAAAACCACAAATAACTCAATTTAAAGTAGTCAAATAACCTGGATAGACATTGCTCCACAGAAGACACACAAATGGCCAATAAGCACAGGAAAAGATGCTCATATCATTAAACATCAAAGTAATGTAAATCAAAACCATAGTGAAATACCATTTCATACCCACTATGCTGGCTACAATAAAAAATAAATCATAACAAGTGTTGATAGGGATGTGCAGAAATTGGGACCCTCATTCACTGCTAGTAGGAATTCTGGTGCCCCTTCTTTCAAAAATATTTTGGCAGTTCCTCAACTTTAAACAGAATTAACCATCTGACCAACCCAGCAGTTCCACTTCTAGGTATACACTCAAGAGAACTGAAAACATATGCCACACAAAAACTTGTACATGAATGTCCATTGAGGCATTATTCTTGTTAGCCAAAAAGTAGAAGTGATTCAAATATCATCAACTGGTGGGTGCATAATAAAATGTGGTATATGACTCCATATAATGGAATATCTTTCAGCAGTAAAAGCGGTAAGTACTGATACATGATGAATCTTGAAAACATTATGCTGTCAGAGAGCCCAGTCACAAAAGATCATGCATTGTATGATTCCATCTATATGAAATGTCCAGAATAGGCAAATTTGTATAGACAGAAAGTAGATGAATGGCTACCGGATTCTCAGGGGAATGTGAGGAATGGGATTACTGCTGAAGAATATGGGGTTTCTTCTGGAGGATGATAAAAATGTTCCAAAATTGATATGGTAATGGTTGCACAACTCTGTGAAAATACCAAAAACCTCTGATTGTATGCATTTAATGAGTGAGTTATATGTGTGTGAGTTATATGTCAATAAAACTGTTACAAAAGAAAAGAAATAAGAAGGCTTAGAGTCAACCTCTGTAGAACACTAGTTTACAACGTGCTGGTGTCTCCATCTCATGGGCTTTTATAGCACTCCTGTAGAGATTGCTATTGCTAGATCAAGTTGAAAAAAAAAAAAAAGGCCTAAAGACTTCAGGTGATTTACTCAAGACATTGGCTAACTTGTGGTAGAGGCAGGAAATGCCAGTCTCCACCCACTCAGGTCAAGCCTGGTCTTCTTTCTAATATACCAGATTTTTTTTTTTCTGAGGTTATCTACTCATTCCTTATTTACTTTGCCTAAATTGCCTGATTTTGAGACTCAAAAGTCTGATTTTGTGTCAGGCACTGTTCTAAGCCTTTCAAGTATATTAACTAATTAAATCCTTACAAAAGCTCTGAAAAAAAAAGTGCTACTTTGATCCCACTTGCAGATGAGAAAATGGAAGTAGGGAGATTAATTTTCCCAGATCACATAGCTAGCAAACGGCAAACCTAGGATTTGCACCTCAAAGAGTCTGGAACCAGGCCCTATTGCTTTTAAACCCATACCCTTAAAGAGAGATTCCCTTTCTTTAAGTCTCATATCTTAGATCTCAGTTTCCACTGTAAAACAAGATAAAGAGATCTGCTCTGTTTAGTGGTGCTGAGGTTTGATACTGGGGGTCTACCTGAGTGTGCCAGTGGCCTTGGGTTCCTCTGCACTACAGCCGAATGTGAATGGTGGTCACTGAGTGAGTTCTCTGCCTAAGAGCTCAGCCAGGAGAAGTGTTTGCTTTGCACTAGCTAAATAAATCATTCCTCTGTCAGTCTGTCAGGTGACCAGGCTGGGGTGGGGGTGCAGTAGGTGGTAAGGAGAAGGAGCTGCACAGTTGCTATATACTCAGAGGTTGTATGTATTCTGTCCAATGAAACCGTACCGCCACATGTTATTTTACACCCCGGCTGTCTGGGTTCTACGTCAGCGTGGGAGTGAGTCCTCAGCTAGTCCCTGGACTTGTCTTTCTGGTTGGTTGTTCAGAGAAGACTTAAAGGTGTAATAGTGCTTTTCTTGTGACTTTCAGTCTCTATTGACAACCCTGTGTGTCAAGTGTAATTAAGAGTTCTTGCCAGGAGACACAGGCTTCTTTCTCCTAGTGTGTCTGTACCTGGATTTCCCAGCCTTGCATACCTAGAAAAATTCCACTTGGTTGTAGTGTATAATTTTTTAAATACATTGCTGTATCCAGTTTGGTGATATTTTGTCGGGGACTTTCGCAGCTATGTTCATTAGAACTATTGGTCTGTAGTTTTCATTTCTTGTAATGTCTTTGTCTAGTTTTGTTATTAGGACAATGCTGGCCTTATAGAATGAATTAAAAAGAATTTCCTCTGCTTCTATCTTCTGAAACAGATTATAGAGGATTTGTATATTTTCTCTGTTCAATGTTTGGTAGAATTCACAGATAAACCCATCTTGACCTGAAGTTTTCTCTTTCAGAAGATTATAAACTATTGATTATATTTCTTTAATAAGTATAAGACTATTCAGATTACCCAATTTTTCCTGTGTGAGTTTTGACAGATTGTGTCTTTCAAGGAATTGGCCCATTTCATCTAGGTTATCAAATTTGTGGCCATAGGGTTTTTAAAAAAATGTATTTATTGATTATCCTTTTAATGTCTATGCAACCTGTAGTGATGTCCCCTCTTTCATTTCATTTCTGATATTAGTATTGTGTGTCATCTCACTTTTTTCTTAGTTATTTTGGGTAGAGGCTTATCTATTGTACTGAAGTTTTCACAGAACCAGCTTTTGGTTTCATTGATTCTCTGTATTGATTTCCCATTGTTAATTTCATTGATTCTTGCTCTAATTTTTATGATTTCGTGTGTTTTCCTTACTTTGGCTTTAATTTCCTCCTCTTTGTCTGGTTTCCTAAGATGGGAGCTTAGATAATTGATTTTAGATTTCTTCATTTCTAATATAAGCCTACAATGCTATTAATATAAATTTCCTTCTACTGCTTTGTGGCTAACAAAATTTGATAAGTTGTCTTTTCATTTTCATTCCGTTTCAAATATTTTAGAGCATCTCTTGAGATTTCTTCTTAGACCAGTGGATATTTATAAATGTGTTATGCAATCTCTGAGACTTGGGATTTCCTGGCTGTCTTTCTGTTATTAATTTCTGGTTTAATTCCTTTGTGGCCTGAGAGCAAACATTGTATGATTTCTATTCTCTTAAATGTATTAAGGTATGTTCTATGGCCCAGAATATGATCTGTTTTTGGTGAATGTCCCACATGTGCTTGAGAAGAATGTGTATTCTGCTGTTGTTAAGTGAAGTAGTTAACAAATGTCCATTATATCCAGTCAATTGATGGTGGTGTTGTTGAGTTTATGTCCATACTGATTTTCCATTTGATGGATCTGTTAAATAGTAATATAGGGGTGTTGAAGTCTCCAACTATAATAATGGATTCATTTATTTTTTTTCCTCGTAGTTCTGTCAGTTTTTGCCTTATGTATTTTGATTCTCTGATGTTAGGCACATATACATTAAAGATTGTTATGTCTTCCTGTTATCGACCCCTTTATCATTATGCAATGTCCTTTTATATTCATGATAACTTTTATTGCTCTGTCATCTACTCTGTCCAAAATTAATATAGCTACTCCAACTTCCTTTGATTAGTATGAACATGGTATATTTTTCTCCATTTGTTTAGTTTTAATCAATTTGCATCTTTATATTTAAAGTATGTTTCTTGATATTTCTGACAATCTCTTTTAATTGGTACATTTAGATCATTGATGTTTAAAGTTACTGATATTACTGTATTTCCCATATGTGTTACCATTGTCTGTTACCATTTTTGTTTGTTCCTGTTTTGCCTTCTTTTTTTTTTTCCTTGGTGGTTCTAATTTGATTTTTTCTCCTGTCTTAGTAAACCAATTATGCTTCATTTCTTTAACTTTTAAAATTAGTTGCTCTAGACATTGCAATATACATTTACAACTAATCCATGTCCACCTTCAAAAAACACTATAAACCTTACAAGTAGTGTGAGTACCTTATAATAAAATGATACTAATTTCTCCCTCCCATCCCTTATATCATTGCTGTCATTAATTTCACACACACACACATATATATATATATATATATATATATACACACATATACAAATATATATATTTGAATACGTTGTCGCTATTATTTTTTTGAACGGACTATTATCTGTTAGGTCAATTAAGAATAAGAAAAATAAAATTTTATTTTATCTTCATTTTTTCCTCCTCTGATGCTCATCCTTTCTTTATGTAGATAGATATAGGTTTCTGACATATACAATTTTCCTTCTCTCTATTCTACGTGACTTCTTTTACATTTCTTAAAAGGCAGCTCTACTGAAAACAAATCCACTCAATTTTTGTTTGTCTGAGAAAGTCTTTATTTCTCCTTCATTTTTGAAGGATAGTTTTGTAGGTTACAGAATTCTAGGTTGGTAGGGTTTTTTTTTTTTCCTCTCAAGTAAGATTTGTTTTCTCTGTTTTTTTAAAATAGTGTTTTCTTTTTCTTTGATTCTCTGTAGTTTAAAAATGATATATCTAGGTGTAATTTTTTCAGCATTTATTTTCTTGGTGTTCTCTGAGCCTCCTGAATCTGTAATTTGTTATGACATTACTTTGGGGAAATTCTCAGTCATTATTGTTTAAAATATTTCTTCTACTCCTTTCTCTTTTTCTTCTCCTTCTGGTATTCCCTTTACAAGACATTCCACACTTTGTAGTTGTTCCACAGTTCTTGAATACTCTGTTGTCTTTGTTTTTGGTATGTTTTCTCT
This sequence comes from Homo sapiens, assembly GCF_000001405.40. Lineage (NCBI taxonomy): Eukaryota > Metazoa > Chordata > Mammalia > Primates > Hominidae > Homo > Homo sapiens. The sequence continues at coordinate 83,163,675 of NC_000009.12, read as the reverse complement.
TTGATGTTCAGTTTTGGAAGCATTGATTGAGATATTCTCAGAGATTTTCCCTTCAGCAGTTTCCAGTCTATTCATACCCATCAAAGGCATTCTTCATTTCTGTTTCAGTGTTTTTGATCTCTAGCATTTCTCTTTGGTTGTCTTAGAATTTTCATCTTCTTGTTTATGTTGCCCATTGGTTCTTGCATGCTGTCTACTTTATCCAGTAGAGCCCTTATCATATTAATCATTGTTGTTTTATATTACCAATCTGATAATTCCTACATCCCTGCCATTTCTGAGTCTAGTTCTGTCTCTTCAAACTATGTGTGATGTCTTTTTGTAAGTCTTGTCGTTTTTTCTTGATACCTGGACATGAGTTACTGGGTAAAAGGAACTACTGTAGACATGCCTTTAGTCATGTGGTGATTAGGTGTATGTGTGTTGGGGGATAAGTGCTTTATTGTCCTACTATTAGGTTTCAGTCTTTTATGAGGCCATGCCTATGGACTGTGGATTGTACAAGTGTTCATAAGTATTTTTCCTTCTCCTTAGGTGGAATAGGATGGAAACAGTGGGCTGGAGTTGGGTATTTCTTTTCTCCCAGGTCACTTAGGCTCTGGTAAAACAATATTAGTTTAGGTTCTGGTTAAATAGTTTCTCCTGTGGGCAGACCTTGCTAAGAACAGAGTACACTGGCATATTTCAAAATGGTTACATTTCCCCTTCTTCTAATTGAAGCACAAGGGTATTTTTCTTTGATATTTACTGTGAGAACCTTGTCAAGTTCCTGGAGGTAAAGTTCAACCATGTGTGGGGGCTCCCCTTTGACTGGGTCCCCTGGAGTTATTTTTAATCCTCAGCCTTGTCTACACTGAGCTGCCAGCAATTTGCCAATTACAGTTCAGATTTTCCTGCCTGGCAGTGGTTCCTGCTGTGGTTTCTGCTCATGAGTGTCTACTGGAAGAAGCTGGGACTCTCTATACTTGCCTCTCTCTTCAGTCTTTGGGGCAGCAGTGTTCCCTGTGTCCTCACCTCTCATACAGACCTAAGAAGAATTGTTGGTTTTTCAGTCTTTCAGCTTTCTACTTATTGTTTGGATGGAGTAGTGACTTTCAAACTTTCTACATACTGGACTGGAAGCCAGAAGTCCTATAGCTACAAATTAATTTTTATATTTGTAGACCTGCAAAATATTTTCATTCAAAAACGATTTCCCAACAAGATTTTTGGTAAATACTAATTTATATCTGTATTTACCAAATAAAGGACAAAAATTATAGTCTTGCCTACACAGTCACATTCTTTAATTATTTTGTGTCTTTCTGTAATACCATCTCCAGCAGTTTTCTGAAGAATGTAATTTTTTTATGTGAACTTCTTTTTAAATAAAAGTTTCTGTTATCTTCTTCAAAGCTTCATTTTATGGCTACAAAATTGAAAATTATTGACACGTTTAATTGATTTTCCTTTGTAAATCATATTTTTATTGAATATATTATACTATGTTCTCTAAACCTGGAGACCTAGTGCCTAGATACCTAGTAAATCCAGAGTAAATTCTGCTAAAGGAAAGATAATCTCAATCTATTTTTTTTCTGTATTAAAATTTGTATGTATAGCAGCCATAATATTTTCACAAATTTTGTGCCTGTATTAGTCCATTTCCATGCTGTTGATAAAGACATACCTGAGACTGGGAAATTTACAGAAGAAAGAGGTTTATTGGACTTACAGTTCCATGTGGCTGGGGAGGCCTCACAATCATGGTGGAAGGTGAAGTCACATCTCACTTGGTGGCAGACAAGAGAGGAGAGCTTGTGCAGAGAAACTCCTGTTTTTAAAACTATCAGATCTCCTAAGACTCACTATCATGAGAACAGGATAGGAAAGACCCGCCCCCATAATTCAATCACCTCCCACTGGATTCCTCTCACAACACGTGGGAATTGTCAGAGTTATAGTTTAACATGAGATTTGGGTGGGGACACAGCCAAACTATCATTTGGCCCCTGTCCCCTCCCAAATCTCATGTCCTCACATTTCAAAACCAGTCATGCCTTCCCAACAGTCCCCCAAATTCTTAACTCATTTCAGCATTAACTCAAAAGTCCACAGTCCAACGTCTCATTGGAGACAAGGAAAGTCCCTTCCACCTATGAGCATGTAAAATAAAAAGCAAGTTAGTTATTTCCTAGATACAATGCAGGTACAGGCATTAGGTAAATGCAGCCATTCCAAATGGGAGAAATATGCCCAAAGAAAGGGGGAAAGGGGCTACAGGCCCCATGCAAGTCTGAAACCCAGCAGGGCAATTAAAGCTCCAAAATGATCTCCTTTGATTCCATGTCTCACATCCAGATCATGCTGATCCGAGAGGTGGGTTCCCATGGTCTCAGGCAGCTTTGCCCCTGTGGATTTGCAGGGTACAGCCCCCACTCCAGGCTGCTTTCATGGGCTGGCATTCAGCATCTGTAGCTTTTCCAGAAAATTAGTGCAAATTGTCAGTGGATCTACCATTCTGGGGTCTGGAGGACAGTAGCCCTCTTCTCACAGTTCCACTAGGTGGTGCCCCAGTAGGGACTCTGTGGGGGGGGCTCAGACCCCACATTTCCCTTCTGCACTCCCCTGACAGAGGTTCTCTATGAGGGCCCCACCGCTACAGCAAACTTCTGCCTGTGCATTCAGGCAAGTCCATATATCTTCCGAAATCTAGGTGGAGGTTCTGAAACCTCAGTTCTTGACTTCTGTGCACCTACAGGCTCAACACCCCATGGAGGATGCCAAGGCTTGGGGCTTGCACCCTGTGAAGCCACGACCCAAGCTCTATGTGGGCCCCTTCGAGTCACAGCTGGAGCAGCTGGGACACAGGGCACCAAATCTCTAGGCTGCACACAGCACAGGGACCCTGGGCCTGGCTCATGAAACAATTTTTTCCTAGGCCTCTGGGCCTGTGGTGGTAGGGGCTGCTGTGAAGACCTCTGACATACCCTGGAGACATTTTCCCCATTATCTTGGGGACTAACATTTGGCTCCTCATTACTTTTGCAAATTTCTGCAGCCATCTTGAATTTTTCCTCAGAACATGAGATTTTCTTTTCCATTGCATTGTCAGGCTGCAAATTTTCCAAACTTTTACGTTCTGCCTCTCTTACAAAACTTGAATGCCTTTATCGGTGCCCAAGCCACCTCTTGAATGCTTTGGTGCTTAGAAATTTTTTCCACCAACCCTAAATCATCTCTCTCAAGTTCAAAGTTCCACAGATCTCTAGGGCAGGGGCAAAATGCTACCAGTCTCTCTGCTAAAACATAACTAGAGTCACCTTTTCTCCAGTTCCCAACAAGTTGCTTATCTCCATCTGAGACCATCTCAGCCTGGATTTCACTGTCCATATCATTATAAGGATTTTGGTCAAAGTCATTCAACAAGTCTCTAGGGAGTTCCAAACTTTCCCCCATTTTTCTGTCTTCTGAGCCCACCAAACTGTTCCAACCTCAGCCTCTTACCCAGTTCCAAAGTCTCTTCCACATTTTGGGATATCTTTTCAGCAGTGCCCCACCCTACTGTTACCAATTTATTGTATTAGTTTGTTCTCAAGCTACTGATAAAGACATATCCAAGACTGGGAAATTTACAAAAGAAAGAGGTTTATTGGACTTACAGTTCCACGTGGCTGGGGAGGCCTCACAATCACGGCAGAAGGTGAAAGGCACATCTCACTTGGCAGCAAACAAGAGAAGAGAGCTTGTGCAGGGAAACTCCTGTTTTTACAACCATCAGACCTTGTAAGACTCACTATCACGAGAACAGTGCATGAAAGACTTGCCTCCATAATTCAATCACCTCCCACTGGGTTTCTCCCACAATACATGGGAACGAGGGAGTTACAATTCAAGATGAGATTTGGGTGAGGACACAGCTAAACCGTATCAGTGCCATTCAGCAAATATTTTTACAAGACAAAACTCATATAATAAATTGTGATTATTTTGAAAATTTTTTCAAATATAAATGGTGCAAATTTGTAGGTTTTCTCAACTGTATTTCATTTCAACATAGAATATAAAATTATGCAATTAAAAGATAGGAGCTCCATAAAATGTCTTACAATAAGTTGACATTTCAAACACAATTAGAAAATTTCAAAGCTAAATATTGTTTACCTTGAGAATTCTGATCATTTAATTTTTTAAGGTTCTCCCTTGCTTTTAAAGGAAATTCATAAGCCTTGTTTTTATAATTGGAGCTTTTCAAAGCAAATCATAAAAGCTGAAGTTTTTAATACTTCATTCATTGCATACTTGACTAAAATATTTCAAATGATGCTGAACAAACCAAAACTTAGGGGACTTGTTCGTAAAATTTTCAGTGTCCATGTAGAACATTTAAGGTTAATTTACAAAGTAGCTGTTAAAGGCTCAAGCTTTCCTAAAATTTGATTAATTGGATGTATCAAATAGAGCAAGTATATTCTGCCTTGCATATAAATTTCTTTTTTTTTTTTTTTTTTGAGACGGAGTCTCGCTCTGTCGCCCAGGCTGGAGTGCAGTGGCGTGATCTTGGCTCACTGCAAGCTCCGCCTCCTGGGTTTACACCATTCTCCTGCTTCAGCCTCCCAAGTAGCTGGGACTACAGGCACCTGCCACCACGCCTGGCTAATTTTTTGTGTTTTTAGTAGAGACTGGCTTTCACCATGTTAGCCAGGATGGTCTCGATCTCCTGACCTTGTGATCTACCCGCCTCGGCCTCCCAAAGTGCTGGGATTACAGGCGTGAGCCACTGTGCCCTCACATATAAATTTCAACATCAGCTTCAAGCATAACTTTGTAATTTATTTACCTACCCCAGGTGAGTGTGTGTGTGTGTATGTCTGTGTGTGTGTATATATATATTTATATGCATATGTGTGTATATATATTCATATGTGTGTATATATACATATATGCATATATGTATATGTACATAAATATATACATATATGTATATGTACATAAATATATACATATATGTATATGTACATAAATATATACATATATGTATATATTTGGACATATATACATATATACATATGTACATATATACATATATGTATATATTTGGACATATATACATATAAACATATATACATATATGTATATATGTGTGTGTGTATGTGTGTGTGTGGAAAGCTTGACAATGTGAATGTCTATTCTGATTAGCAGATGTCACAGCTTATCTGGTTCTAAATATACACTATGTTTGTACTACAACCAATTTCTAGTACATTTCTCCCTCATAAAATTCTTAATTTAGTAAGAAAACTGAATTTTTACTATGACAGTTTACTTTGCCAAAATTTGTATTTGTACTATTATTTCAGAAATAATTTTTTCTTCAATATTATCCTTTTAAATTAATTAACAGTGCATTCACAATAATGCCAGATGTTTCAATTTTAGGAGAATAGTCTTCTAAAAGCTTTACTTTAATTCAATTAATTGGATGAAGAAAATAATCCTTATTGAAATAACCTTGCATGATTGTCCATTTTTAGTGTTTGACCATGTTGAGATAAAACTGGCATCATTTAACTATTATCATGTTGGTTTTCTTACATGTACAGAAAAACGTGGACTCAAAAATGAACTAAATTAATTTTTAAGAGCAGTGATTTAGTTTAGATGAAAATTCATGCTTTCCAGATGATATTTAAATCTACCTTTTGTAGTTCCATGTGTTGATTCATCTCTAGGTATAGTGTTCTTGCAATAACTATTATATTAAATGAATTAAGTGCTGATATTTCTTCAGCAGATTTGCATCTTCTGGTTTTCAAGTAGTCACTGTTATTGCAGCTCCATGGTGGATAGTAAATGTCAACATTTTGTAAAAGTTACACTTTGATTATCAAATATTTTTTAGATTGGTAAATGCAGTGCCCAAGTTTTTATCAAATATGTGCTTTCATTTGTTAGCTCATTGTAGTTGAAAAGATTTATTGCAGAAATTAAAACTATATTATCAAATAATAAAATAATTGTAGATTTATATTATGCAGCAAAATGAGAAAACTTCTTTATCTTAGTCTGTCTTCTGTTGTGATAACATAATACTACAGACTAGGTAATTAATAAAGGAAAGAAGTTTATTTAGCTCACAGTTCTAGAGGCTGGGAAGTCCAAAAGTGTGGTGGTGACATCTAGTTGAGGCCCTTCTCAGTGTGTTATAACATGACAAAGGGCATCACCTGGCAAGAAGGCAAGAACAAGAGAGACAGAAAGAGCTTACTCTTATAATAAAGTCATCCCTACAGTAACAAACCAACTCCTGTGATAGTGGCATTATTTCATTCATGAAGGCAGAGCCCTAGAGCAGAGGGATTAAGTTTCCAACACATGGATTTTGAGGGGACACATTCAAACCATAGTACTCTGTCACAAGAATATGTAGACAGTAGATTACTACTTGTAGAACTGCTAAGTCCCTATTTTATGCATACTTTCACGCACACTAACCTATCACTTACGTTTCCCACAGATCTTAGTTTTGGCTACCTGCATCTTTGTGTGTCTTGCGGGCCATTTTGGCATTACACAGTACAACTGGCTGACTGTAGAAGTAGCTTCCAGTAGTTTTCCTAGAATTAGCTCTCACCAGAAAGAGTTAGCCATCTCCTGTATCTAGGACTTTAAAAAATAAACTAGCAAGTATCCTCCATGCTGTCCTTGAGAAAGAAGCACTAGTTATATTTCATCTGGAAAGTGTTGGGGAAAGAGAGATGAATTATTTAAAATGTATCCATGTGTTACAGTGAAAACTGTTTATCACCATGCATCTTACACATTACTAGACAAAATCATGACAGAACCATGAAGTACAAAGTGGAGGTCTCACTAACCCATCCCAACTTAGCATAATTAAACTAAAAATGACAATGCTTTATTAAAGATGAGCAATCCAGGACTATCAGATGGGTTGCTGCTGAGACCATAGGCACAACCCAGAATTGTTCTGTGCAAGCCAGGAAGGTTCTGGATAAACTGGGATGGATGATTATCCCACTGTTAGTTAAGTGAAGGTAGTCAAAGAGGCAGTTATATAAATGAGTGTGGAATCCCTGGGAGGTGCCTGTTCCAGATCTACAAATTTTGGAGTCATCAGTAAGTTGATCATATTTAAAATCATAAGATTGGATGGGGCCACTAAAGGGAGTGAGTGTAATTAGGAAAGAAGAGGGGTTGAAGATCTATGCCCTGGGCATTCCACCACTGGTAGGGTAAAGAACATGAGGAACCAGCAACAGAGACTGAAAGCTGGAACTGGAACTCCAATTACAGAGTGTCCCTTTATCAGGTAGCAAACAGTGCTCATACTTCAGAGAACCAGAATATTCATTGAGTGCTTGTTATCTGCTAGGAGCTTTCACATTTTTGTGGAATTCCTGAAGAAGAGGTTGAAATTAAATGACCATGGGCTTGAGGAGGGAACACAAACTCCAGATGCAGGTCAATATAAGATCAGAGAGAAGAGTATGTGTGTGCCAGATGGAAGAAGGCAGGCCTCTTCTAAAGAAATTTTTTAGAATAATTTTTGTAATTGTGTGAGACAAGGAAATTATCTCTTTGGACCAGATATGATGCATGGGCCATAAGTTTGTGACATCTGCTGTCTATAAAGTCTTCAAAAGAGATATTATTCTTATGTTTTCAGTCAGGGTAAAGGAATCCCAGGGCCATATAACTATTAAGTGACAGATCCTGGGATGGAAACTTGAGTCTGCTGACTGAGAGCTGGTGTTCTTTTTATTGCACCAAACTGCTGTCCTGGAATTTCTGAAACCAAATCATGCTGGCAGTTGACTGCTGAATCTAAGCACCACTTTGGCTCTGTCTTGTATGACTGTTGCAGTGAACAGATAAAATGGAGAAAATTATGTTTTGTTTGTTCCAGAATATTCTCATTAGTACTTTTATAGTTCCACCTCAACCCATTCAAGCTCTAAATGGAAAATGAGGAAGCTTTGTGTATTTTTCACCAGAAGTCCCTTGTCTTTGAAGTCTGAAGGAAGTGTAGGGAACCCAATGATATGGTTTGGCTGTGTCCTCACCCAAATCTCATCTTGAACTGTAGCTCTCATAATTCCCATGTGTTGTGGGAGGGACCCGGTGGGAGATAATTTAATCATGGGGGCGGTTTCCCCCATACTGTTCTCATGGTAGTGAATACATCTCACAACATCTGATGGTTTTATAGGGGGAAATCCATTTTGCTTGGTTCTCATTCTCTCTTGTCTGCTGCCATGTAAGGCATGCCTTTCACCTTCTGCCATGATTGTGAGGCCTCCCTGGCCTCATGGAACTGTGAGTCCATTAAACCTCTTTTTCTTTATAGATTACCCAGTCTTGGGTATGTCTTCATCAGCAGCATGAAAATGGACTAATACACCCAAACACAGATAGAAGAAGGGTCACAGAGCATCCAGGTATTCTAAAGGCCTTAAAATGTATTTATGGCCCTGTAACCTGACTTGGGAATTGAACGGCTCCAAAATGCTGCCCATTGTTCTTGGACTCAGCTGCCTTTGCCTTTTATTCCTTTCTGGTTTACCTCTGGATTCAGGCTGCCTGTTTGTACTGGGTGACATAAGTGTTCTCCCTTGGCTGTGCCTCTTGTTTTTCTTACTAACCCACAAGAGGTGGTGGGAAGAAGGTTAGCTCTGACTCAGCAGGCTGGTAGATGAGGCTAGACTTTGCTACCTCCTTTCGGTGTGATCTTGGGGCAAGCCACACAGAATTTCTGGGCCTCCTTTTTTCATTCTAAAGTAGGAGTGAAAATACCTTCCTCCATTATTTCCTTAGATAGTTGTGAACCCACAGTAAAGTGTTAGTTATTTCACCTACATGAGAACACTTTATTAATGCAATGAGGCAAGGATTCTTATTTTAAAAGCAAGCAGGAAGAAAATAGTATGCCAATGCAAAGACAGAAAAAGGCAGGCTTTAGAAAAATTGGATTGTGAGCAAGGATATCACCATGGGGTAGAAAGAGAGATGGCCAACCTAGGTAGAGAACTTGTGGAAATCATGCTCTGACTCTTTGTGCTTTAGAAGTTCCTGACTTTTGAGTGTTTCAAAGGCCATCAGGTGCACTCAGGAAGTGGGAACACAGGGTCAGGGCAGAGAAGGGGAGGAGACTAGCTTCTTGCCCAGCTGTGAGTTTTCTCACTGTGACTCATGCAGAGAGAAATCTAGTATTCAGAAGTGACTGGCCTGTCTGAAATTACATGACTGAAAATAAGGACTGTGGATGGTACTTTCAGTGCTGGGAAGAAAGGGTTCTAGAAAGGTTTGAACTTTCAAATGAGACCTTACGGTCAAATAGATAAAGCAAAGAGGCCAAAGGAGGGTGCCAGCCAGTCAATTTGCAGAAGACTGTGTAGTTCACAGGGCTTTCCACATCGCTTCTGTCCTTTCCTCCTGACAGTGACACTATACAAACCAGGCAGGTATTGTCCTCATTTTTAAACTAAGGAATCTGAACCCCATTGATGCAAAGACCTGGTAAGTGGCAGAATGTACACTAGAACTTGGGTCTGCTATCTTAATTTACTCTTTACTTTCCAGCTATCTGGAGTCTGTATTTGCCAACGCCCAGACAAGTTAAGCAACTTCTGAAAGGTCACACAGCAGTTAGTAGCAGAACCAGGGCTCAACCAGATGTTGAGACGCTATACGCTATGCATTCTCCACTATTCCATGCAGCCTGTCAAGTGGGTGGTGGAAATGTTGTTTGACAACTGTCAGGTACTCAGCATGGCTGGGAGAAATATCCTGACCTCAGTGAGATGACATTCCATGGCAGTAGGTGACACACTTGAGCCTATCATATGGGCTGCCAGGGAACGTGCCACACAGTCCTCACTATATGGCTAGGCGAAGCTTGTGGAGTTTTATCTTTTTGTTTCCCTTCTTAAGGCTCCCTTGGTACTGAGGACTAGAAAAGAACATCCAAAGAAGAGAGGCGTTAAACAGCCTTGTGCAACAGGTCTGGTATGAGAACTCTACTGGCAGGGGGTGGCATTTGTAAGTCTTTGACAAGTAGCTGAATTACTGGGTTGGAGAAGAAATGCTGTAACTTCCAGGAAGGAAAGAAGGCAGCTCAGGGTCGCCATGATGGAGAAACAAAGGAAAAGGGGCTCAGATAACTTTCTATTGATGTAGATCTTTTCTGAAGTTTTGATAGCATTAGAGAAGGTCTTCTTAAACTCAGCGACAATTTTTTAGGGTTTTGGGCAATATAAATGGTGGGCTCCTTTGAATGTGCAAGGAACAAGAAATTTCATATAAGCAGTAACATATTAAAATGAAAAAGTGTGTTTAATCAGATATATACCATTTAATAAGTGCCTTGTGGAGAGAGCAATATGTCCTAAACTAAGAGAGGGAGAGTGAAACTGAGAGTGAGAACAAGAGAGAGAAAGAGAAAATATGAATATACATGGTGTATAAGGGAAGTGGTGATGTTAATAATGTATCTTTTAAGAGAAAGAATCGATGGGACCAGCTAAACTATGTCTTAACTAAAATCATTATGGCTGAGTTGAAATTTATCAAACATTTCTAATTCCTACTATATTTTATATTATATAGAAATATATGCAAAAACAAGTTTTCCGAAGTGGTCCTTCATGGCAAAATTAAGCAGCACAGAGTATTTTATTAAGGCAGAGTAGAAGACATTGCCATACAAAGTTCTCCAATGATATGCTTTATTTTGGTCTGAGTGCAGTCACTAACTGCCATAGAAGGGGTGTCTGTGGCTAGCAAGGATTAGTCTTGTCAACAGTGCCTAAAGTTTTCCTAGTTATCTCTCGGTTACAGTTGGCACTATCAATACTGAAGACCAATGGAAAATAAATAAGTAGGTTATGAGTTGGGTTTCAGTTATAGTTTCCTGAGTGTGTGTGTGTGTGTGTGTGTGTATGTGTGTCTGTGCGCACATGCGCATATATATTCAGAGAATCAAGTAGCCTTCATTGATCATTTTCAGTATGTTAGAACATAATGTGAAATTCCAAGGAAGGAACCACTTGGTATTTTTAAAGAGAGAAGCCTGGAAAACCCCCATACAACATTTTCATTTTAGTTCCATGCATGAAGAAAGGCAGTGGATTAAGGCAATGGATTTTTAGGCTTAAGCAGAGGCTTGGGAGGGAGAAGATGTGTATCAAATCCTAACTCACCTTCACCAAGATGTGGTCTCTTTCTCAACTTGGGGTTCCTTAGAATGAGGGGCTAGAGGAAGAGAGATGGTGTATAAGGGCCCTTCCAGCTCTTTATCTTTGAATCTGTGATTCATTGTCATGAATGAAGAGCAAAATACTAATTATTCAGGAATTGGTCATCCTTTCTGTAAAATTTTAGAACTAAAAGAAGCCATTTGGACCAACCTCAGAATAGTTAAACTATTTGATTAAGGCCACACATTTAGTTTTTCCTAGAGTAGGGTCAAGATTTAGGTAATTGATTCCAAGCCTAGTGTCCCATCTGATTTTATCCTCTTACAATTACTGGGCACCTACCATGAGTGACACTCTGTTGTTAGGCACTGGGAATGTCAGAAGGCATAAAATTCAGTCCTGTTCTCAAGGAGATCATAGTCTTACTGGGGGAGGGAAGATAACTGTCTGGGGAGATACTGACAAACACCAGCACAAACAGCCTCTGGTCCTTGAAGTATCTTCCCCTCTTGGTTTTGCGACGCCGTGTTTTGGGGCTTTCTCTTACATCTCTGGCAGCCTTCTGGGACTTCCTGGAAAAAAATAATCTATATCTAGAGGAAAAAAAAGTCTCTATTGTTCCTTCACACCACCTGCTTTTCAGGTCTGAATTCCAGCTGTCAGAGACTGACGTCTGTAGGAAGTTTTTCCCTGGCACAGCAGAGCCATAAGCCTTTGTGTTACTTTTCAGTATCTCCAGAGGTTTTAGGAAGGATGATGTCTTCTTAAAATGCATTTAAATTAAATAACTGGGTGCCCAGAATGAGGCCAAAAATTAATCCTGGCTCTTCTGCTAACTTGCTTTGGGAAAGTGACTTAACTACTCAGTCTCTTGGTTTTCCAGTTGCAAAATGGAGATAATATTTGCCAATGTATCCTCTTTTCAATGTTGGAGTTCATTAAGATTTAGAACTATTATATAACACTGTTTCCCCAGGCAATGGCATCCATTCCTCTGGCTTCAGTCCTTACCTACATACTAAGAAGTCTACATCCTACCTGCTGGCCCATCTAGAAAGCTGGGGGCTAACACAGCCCGTTTCTGGTCCCACCTGCATATTCAATCAGTCACCAAGTCCCACCACCTAAATTCCCTAACAGGCCTCTTGGAAATTCCTTGCTCTCTTTCAATTCATTCTCCACATCAGTGGTGTCCCAAGGGCTGGGTTGGAAGAGAGGTCTGTCCAGGATATAGCCAGGAAGGGGTACATTTACTGTAAATAATTTAAAAGCAATAATAAAACCTATTAAAAGTCAGTCTGTTTTTATTATCATTATGCGCTGGCAATTCTCAACAATTTCAGCAGTAAAATACTAATCCCTGAAAAAAAAAAACAACTTTTGATTGTCTAAGTTCTATATAATTACTGCAGTTGCTATTGAGTATTAATAATATACCAGCTTCAAATTAGTTCATTTTTAATACTTACCTTTTAATACACGTGGTATTCTACATGGAAATTAACTCAGAGAGCTCCCAGTTACATAGTGGCTGACATGTGTGAATTTGGATATATACATTCATACGGAGAGTTAAGTTCATGATGATTTTGGGATCAGAGGAGCTCACTTTGGTTGCAGTTTTTGTCTTCAATTCTTCTGGAACTACACAATCTAGCATTTCATCAGTAGATCCAAAATAAACAATGAGAATACAGTGACTATAAAGATGAATAAACAGAACTTAAATTTATTTCACATAACCACAGAGACTTTATATGTTTAACATTTATTATGGTGAAACTATGAGGTTTAATATCTTTGGTGTGTGCTCATTTTAGTTCATACATGAAGTGATTTACTAAAGTTAAATAATGCTTTTAAAGTTCAGAGTATTGTTTTTAAAATTATTATTTTAAAACCAAATAATTCAAGAGAATAATGATTATTACTGAAAATAATTTGCCCTTGTGGTATAATAAGAAATATATATCTGGTCTTTGTCTCCTGTTCCTGACACAGAGCTGCTCCTGAAATCCCTTGGAATTCCCTGAGTGATAGAAGTGTCCTTTGTTCTAATGAGATGAGTCTTCGTGGGCCCATAGATAGCTTAATTATGGGGGTGGTTGTCAGAAAGACCAAACTTTGATTAGAAGTCTGAAACTTTCAGTACCACACTTCAACCTCCAGGTAATCAATCTCACCTACATGATGAAACCATCATAAAAACCCCTAAATGATGGGTTTCAGAACTTCTGGATTTGGAGGGTGGCACCTGGAGAGCAAGGCAGCTCCACACTCCCTCTTCACACCTTGTCCTGTGCATCTCTTCCATTTGGCTGCTCCCGAGCTATGTCCTTTATAATAAAGCTGGAATAGTGAGTACAGTGCTGCACAACTTCTGTGAGTTGTAGCAAGTTGTCAAGGTTGGGGGAAGGGATGTGGGAACTCCCCATTTGTAGCCAAGTTGGACAGAAGTGTGGGTAACCTGGGGACTTGGTACTCACTAATCGTGTCTGAAATAAGGGTATTCTTGTGGGATAGCCCTTAAACCTATGCAGTCTGAAGTGACGTCCTGGTAGTTAGTGTTAGAATTGAATTGAATTCTAGATGACTTGTTGGTGTTAAATAATTCAGGAATTGGTCATTGGTATAGAATCCCCCATCCCTAACATTTGGTGTTAGAAGTGCTGTGAGTAAAAACAGCTCACTGCCCTGTAGAAGAGGGGGTGTTAAAAACAATCTGCTGCGGTTGGCTGTTGAGTACCTGACGTGGTTGTCGAGTACCATGGTGCAGTGTTGCAGCTTCATGGGGTGGCCAGAGTTGAGATTTTTTAAAGCTCGGGTCTGATCCTTACTCAAAGCCACTGGGTTCAAGCCCTCATTGTGGCCTCTCAGGCCATGCACAGTCTGCCCCTGCCTACCCTGCTGCCTCATCTTGGGTCACTCCTCCCTCACTCTCTAAGCCATGCCTTCCTGCCTCAATGCCTTCTTACACACCATTTCCTTTGCCTGGGGCAGTCTCCATGGGTGCCATGCTCCCCTTTATCCTGTAATATCCAACCTCCTTCCTACTTCAGTGTAATGTCTCTTCCTGGGGAAAGCCTTCTCCAGCTCCCTAATGTAGCCTCCCTATGATCTCCCCACATGCTGTATTTCTTTAGCATTAATCAAGGGCCACTAAACATGGGACCATTTGATTGCTGAAAGTCTTCTACAGCTAGATTCTAAGTAGCCTGAGGACAGGCACAATATCTGTATGGTGACATTTCCACTGGGACTTCAATGTCTGTCCCACTGGTGTGCCATAATCTTTGTGGCCAATAAGAGGACACCTGGGAGCAGGCTCTTTCCTGGAGGAGATGACAAAGGGAGCTCTTTAAGGTCCTTGTGTTTTTGTTTTTCCAGTCTCTAGGGTGGCAGATCCCTATCACCGACTGCCTTGTCTTGGAAGATGATGGGGTGGTTGCTGTGGCTTGTCATCAGCCCCGCTCTCTCACTCTGCATTGCTGCCGTGGGGCCAGCCAAGCTGTGACAGAGCGTGGGCTGAAGAGGCTTTTCTAGCAATGCAGGGATGTTCTTCAGGCACTCAGCATTACCACTTTATAGAATGGTAGATCCCTGCCAGAGGAATCATGTGGACTGGATTTGAATGGTTTTCTCGCTGTCTTCTCCCCAGCTCCCCATGAGACAGTATCTCATTAGCATGGGATTGTATAAAAAATATGCTATGTTGAATGGGTACTACATTCACTTGGCTTAAAAAATTAACACGATATAAAAAGATATCCTTTGAGAAGTCTCACTCTAATCCACATCGTATCAGTTTCCAAGGGCTGTTGTAACAAAGACCACAAACTGAGTGGCATAAATATCAGAGATGTATTGTCACACAATTCCAGGGGCTAAATCTGAGATCAAGGTCCTGGCAGGGTTGGTTCCTTCTGAGGGCTGTGAGAGGGAATCTGTTCCATGCCTCTCTCCCATCCTGTGGTTTGTTAGCAATCTCTGGCTTTTCTTGGCTTGTAAAGCATCACCTCAGACTCTGCCTTCATCTTCACATGGTGTTCTCCCTGTGAGTGTTCCTGTATCCAAATTTTCCCTTTGTATAAGGATACCAGTTATATTGGATTGAGGGCTCACCCTACTCTAACATTCTCCCATCTTACATGCTGGGGCACTGGGAATTAGAACTTCAAAATATGAATTTGGGGGATCACAGTTCAGCCCATAACACATATCTCACATGATATTTTAATATCTGATTAGACATTTATGCAGGTAAAAAACACTTTATGATTTTCTGAACATAGAAAGTAACACTGATACAGATAGGAGGCAAGGAAATACTGGGTAGAAGAGGGCACTTCCCCAGCAAAGGCATTACCCTCAAGACTGGAAACCCTCAGACCTAGATGGGAACGGGCATTCCTCTTTTCACACCCAATTGTTAGCTTTTGGCCTGCCATAGCCTCCTATCCTCTACCCACATACACCTCAAACCCCAGGCTCCACAAGCAGATGAGCAGAAGAGCGGAGGAACAGAAGAGCAGCACAGCAGAGAAGGAGTGTCTGAGTGTTGAGAGGAATTTGGCTGGGGATGGTCGGAGAGGAGTTCGGCAGCGGGATGACCAAACTCCAGGGGAAGATCATCTTCCCACTCCATCCCCTTTCCAGCTCCCCCTCCATCCTGCTGAGAGCCACCTCCACCACTCAATAAAACCTCCTGAATTAACCGTCCTTCAAGTCTGTGTGTAACCTGATTCTTCCTGGATGCCAGACAAGGACCTGGGTACCAAAAGGGCACTGAGCTGGTTAACATTTAAGCTGTCTGTAGATGGCAGAGCTAAAGGAGCACTGTAACACATGCTTACCAGGGCTTTAGGAGTCGCAGGCACCCACCCCTAGACACTACCATGGGGCCAGAGCCCAAAAGTGCTTACCCTGGCTTGTATACCATCCCATCTGCATGCTGCCCCTCCCATAAGGGGTTTGAGTGCCTGACAGCTGAACATATGCACCACACCCCTGTAGCATGTTCTGTAAGGGGGTCAGGGAACTCTCCTATTTCAACACTATTTTACATATAGATTCAAAGTAATTTTTGCACAATTTTAATATGCGCCGACCTTCTCAGAAATGTAGCCACAAGATTTATTGCAGAAATGATGTGCTTTCGTTTGTTTGGAAATTTACCAAGAGTTGTTTGTGTCTTTAGAGAGTCATGTCATTAGCAGCACTGTGCATAGTATTTTTGTCACCAAGAGAACTTACCTAAAGCACTCTAAAAATATCAGGCTCCTGCTACTGTAAAAATGATCTGAAAATGCTTTCTGTTACATAATTGTTCTTTCTGAGGTGGAAAGAATGTGATTGCAAAATGTTCTAATCCGGGTTTACCAATATTTTCTCCAAAAATATTATGAGATGTACATATTTATATATATATATATATATACATATATATATACACACACACACACACACATATACACACGCACACACATACATTTGGTATATGTTACATGTTTGTGGCTCCTGGGAGGTACAGAGCATAGTCATATTGTAAAGTGCTCTGAAGATTCTACTATCACCTTTTATAATTTATACTAAGATGGTTAATTTTTGTTAGCTTCACGTCCATCACTCTCATCCAGTTGCTGGGGGCTCTGTCTGCTCTGCCTAATTTTGTTCCTGAGGTTTCAGAAGCCCAACATAATACTTGTGCCTTCAGTTAAGGATTTGTAATGGTGGGAAATGTTCCTGAGATTTTAGATACAATGACTGTTTAAAACAGAAGGGTGTTAAGTTCCTTGTTTAGCATATGCACCCATACAATTTAGTTTGAAAATTTCGGTCAGACAGAAGCTGTCAAAAAGAGATTTGAATATTCGATAAGAGTTTTCAACTTTCACCCAAGTTCACAGATGAACAATTTAGGAGGGCAGAGGCTGTGTGCTCTCTGTTGACATTCATGGATCAATTGGTGTGCAAATATTGGATTCTTTCTTGCTGTAATAACAAGCAAGTAGCAGCAATTCTACTCTACAAAATAGCGAAATTATGAAACACTCAAAGGGACATATGTGTGTATGTATGGGTTTAGAAATCTTTTTTATTCGGAGAAACATAGCACATAGTAGGGGATTAGTAAAAGTTTAATTAAGAATCACACTTTTTTAGTTCTAGAAGGACCCTTAGGGATGATCTAGCCTATTCCACCTGTTTATATTTCCCTTTTTCAAGTGATGATACTGAGGCCCACAGAGGTTAACTGAATTGCTGGTGATTGTTTTTATCGTTGCCCTGTTTTGAGACATCTTACGAAAAACAAACTTCTTGCTTTTTTATATGGATGTCTTTTGAGGACTTACCTCGTGGGCAACTAGATGGGTCTCCAAGGAGTATCCCCATAAGAACTCTATTTTTGGCTTCTTTAGCACTTCATTTGTTTGCTTCAAATATCACAGATTATGAAACTTTAAGGCAGAAACTTCTTTATAACTACATTTTAAATTATCTTGTTTATGAGGACCCATAAAATAAATTTCTCAGAAAACTCAGACCTAGGGATATTTGTTATTCTTCTGAGTTACTTGTTTGATATTACTTAATGGAAAGTAGGATTCTACTTTTTTCTTTGCCTTGGCCACTAGGGAATCCAGACCCAAATTTGTGAAATTAAACATCTTAATAGCACATAAGATGTTATAATTTTTATTTGGTAAACTAACCTAACTTGTGGCCTTATTTTATTTTTTTACCCATTTTCCCCTCTTTATTTCTATTTTCTCTCTTCTTTATTTTTATCTTACTGAATTGTAGGTATTTTAAAGTTATATGAGATCCTTTTTAATATTAAGCTTAACAATCTTCCTTGGAACTATTATTTATTTAACACCAAAACATGCTAGGCTCTGTCAATAGACCAACCTTAGAAGTTGTGGTAAGACAGGTTAAAATGATAGAGAATCTACATAGCTGTCTTTTTAGTATTGAAATAAATTTTAGGGCCCTACTGGGCCCTAAACGAACTCAGGGTTATTTTCAGCTCTAAGGTCTCTTGAGCTAAATGGGAAAATATAATATTTAATACCTATTAAAATACGATATTCCTTAAAAATATAAGACTGAAATTAATTCAAAATTCTCTTAAGTGGTATAGTAACCCTGGATGGGGGATCTGGGCTCAAATCTGACTTGGAAATTCTGTCATGGTACAACTCCACTCCAGAGACATGGACGTTTGATTATCTTCTTCTATATGTTTTATAGTCCTTGTTATAGTTATAAATAGGGTTCTGTCCTGTCTGTATTTTAAACAAGAATTCAGTCTGCATTCAAACTAATAATTATCTTGTTAAGAAATTTTTTGTGTAGCAAATTGAAGAGGCACCTCCAAAGATTCCTTGAAAAGGTAGCTTCAAAATTGTTTGTGATAATTAAAAAACTTTTTAAACAAGTTAATGGACTAATCCTAGAAACATTCAGAATTAAGACTAGAGATGTTTATGAGAATAAAAATCCATGATATTAATATTTTGTGTAAAAATCTATACAAATTTGTTTTGGCTATTTGCACTATTTTACAGTATTTGGCTTATTAAAGTAACAGATTATCCTTGTCATTCTGATTTAAAATGTATAACTGATTAAGTGTTTTATAGTTGTAAGCCAACATTTTAGTTCATGCCACTCTGAGCCCTGGTTTATCTCTTCTTCCATGCTGAATACTGTAGGGAGTGACTGTTAGTGTAACTCAGTTACCAGTAAGCAAGTGAATGTTTAATTTCTGGGTGCTGTTTCCTTTTGTGCACCAGCTGTCTAATTTTGCCTGGATGTACTGTGCTCTTTCACACCTGTGTGTGGTTTTTCAACCTACACATTTGTTCCAGATACCCACCACCAGTCCTATCTCTGCTTGGAAAAATCCAACCCATCCTTTAAAGCACAGTGGAAATGTAACCTTGCCTGAAATCTTCCCCTTGTTCCTCCTCAAGCAGGATTTTCTTTTCTTTTCTCTTCTTTTCTTTTCTCTTCTCTTTTCTTTTCTTTTTTCTTTTCCTTTCTTTCTTTTCTTTTCTTTCTTTCTTTCTTTCTTTCTTTCCTTTCTTTCTTTCTTTCTTTCTTTCTTTCTTTCTTTCTTTCTTTCTTTCTTTCTTTCTTTCTTTCCTTCTTTCTTTCTTTTAGTGTCAGCTTTCATTTTAGATATAGGGGATATATGTGCAGATTTGTTACATGGGTATATTGCACCAGGCAGTGAGAGTGGTACCCAATAGATAATTTTTCAAGCTACAACCCCGTGCCTCCCTTCCCCTGTCCCCATCCTTACTCCCCTTTCTCCCTTCTAGTAATCCACAGTGTCTATTGTTGCCATGTTTATGTCCATGTATGCTTAGTGTTTAGCTCCCACTTGTAAGTGAGAACATGTGGTATTTGCTTTTCTGTTCCTGAGTTAATTTGCTTAGGATAATGGCCTCCACCTCCAACCATGTTGCTGCAAAGGACAGGATTTCATTCTTTTTTATGGTTGCGTACTATTCCATGGTGTGTATGTACCATTTTCTTTATCCAGTCTACCATTGATGGGCACCTGGGTCAATTCTATGTCTTTGCTATGGTGAATATGGCTATGAACATATGAGCATATGTATCTTTTCAGTATAATGATCTACTTTCCTTTGGTTATATACCCAGTAATGGGATTGCTAGGCCGAATGGTAGCTCTGTTTTAAATTATTTGAGAAATCTTCAAACTGCTTTCCACAGTGGCTTAACTAATTTACATTCTTATCAACAGTGTCTAAGGGTTCCCTTTTTTCCACAGCCTTGCCAGCATCTGTTGTTTTTTTGACTTTTTAATAACAGCCATTCTGATTGGTGTGGGATGATATCTCACAAAATGGCTATTGTTAAACATTATTACTTAACAATAATATTAACAATATTAGCAATAAGTTAAATATTATTATTATTAAATTGTGGTCTTAATTTGTATTTCCCACATTGTTAGTGATGACGAGCATTTTTTCATGTGTTTGTTGGCTGTTTTATGTCTTCTTTTGAGACGTGTCTATTCATGACCTTTTCCTGTTTTTTAATGGGGTTATTTGTTTTTCCTTGTTGCTTTAAGTTCCTTATAGATTCTGGATATTAGACCTTTGTCGGATGCATAGTTTACAAATATTTTCTGCCATTCTGTAGGTTGTCTGTTTACTGTTGATAATTTCTTCTGCTGTGCAGAAGCTCTTCAGTTTAATTAGGTACCACTTGTCAATTTTTGTTTTTGTTGCAATTGTGCAAGCAGGGTTTGCTTCAGCCTCTGTGCTGCTCTTCACTCCTGCCTGAATAAATATCTTTGACTGTCAACTGTGGGATCATGAATCCTTCAAGGACAGATCATGACTTCAGCCCAGAATCTAGTCCATAACAGTCACTTAATACCTGTTAAATTGAACTAAACTGATGAGTTTAATCAGCATAAATTAAAGATACTGACCAGCTAGATAACAGACCATTAATTACTTCACCAACTTTCACTCGGGATCCCATAACATCATAGAGAACTCTGAGAGATGTAAAAGATAATCTTGTTCTGTTTTATAATTTTTGTGTTCTATGGAGAATTCTATTTGAAGAAAGACTTCTATACCCTAAAACAGCATGAAAGCCACTGATTCTTGATAAACTCCTTTATTTTTAGATGAGTAAGCTGAAGTTTTTTAAATGTAAAAATAGAGATACCTGATTTCTCTTAAAAAATGAAAGGATCCACCAACACAGGTTCCCATCCTTGAAAGGTGTTAAGCTCCTGGAATCCTCTCTGGTTTGCTGCAGTCCTCACCACTCCCTATAGTTTCTCTGTTGCAAAAGCTGAATATCAAGAGCAGCACTCAAACCCAGAAATGCTGACTCTGGCATATCATGGTTGTGCACCTGGCCTTCTCACTTCATTGATGTTACTTGCCTGTCACTGAAGATAGTTAAACTTCAGGCTCTAACTTTTGCAATAGATGTATTTCTTTGAAGTATTATGGGAAAAATATTGTTTACAAATCAAACTATCTAAAATGCATGTAGTTTGTTATTCAGAGGAATCAACTGTAAACTCTTGTACATCAAATAAGCACACCTGCTTATATTTCTATTGCTTTGACAAGAGCTGCAACTTAACGTGGCATATAATTCTGAAAGCTCAACTTGTTCTGTTAAAATTCTCCAAAAATTTCTTCCTTTGATGAGCATAACATTTATTTTTCCACAGAGGAAGCTTGATTTCAGTGTGATTGTTTTTTCTTTGCAAGTAATCTGTTTGTATGGCTTTCTTTTCCTGCATGAATAAGATCATATCACTTATAAAATTTTTATCACAAAAATAAAACTGTTGCCAAGACAGGTTTAAGACTGAGCAGCATTAGTTTTTGCCAGGGACATGGTGAGCTCATTAGAGCTGTAGACTCCAACTCTCTTTCATACTAGAAAGTTTTTCCTTTTGTACATAGTTTTATAAAAACAGTTGTATTGGCATATAAATGTCATATAAAATGTACCCATGGTAAGTGTACACTTCAATGATTTTTGATTTCAGAAATTTTCCATCATCCCAAAAAGTTCCTTTGTGCTTATTTAAAGTTATTCCCTACTCCCAACCCCTAGCTCTATGCAAGCCCAAGCCAGGAATGTACTTTTTCCAGTCGTGACCTCAACCTTGGGCAAGTCTAATTATTGACCCTCCCTCTCCCTAATCACCAAGACCATCACCTTCACCAATGCCATTGGGCACGTGTATCTCTACCACTCCAAATCAAATATCTTCACAAATATCTGTCCCCTGCCTGGGCAGACCTTGGTGAGTACCGAGCTGGAGGAGCCTGGGGAAAGAACTGGAGCAGCCCCGGACAAGAACGCCTCAGACTCCCATAGTTTTTACTTGAAGTTCAGCTGCTTTTAAAGCGTAAATCCTTCAAGATTCTTGTTTACAGCTGTTTTCGGGAAGGGGCTTTGCAGACCTCACTCAGCCATAGCCAGAAGTCTCGCCTTTTCATGTATGTTAGATCTTTTCTTCCTTAATTTTTTATTCTTTTTTCTCAAGGATGTCAATGACAACTGATGAGATCTTTGTGCTCTGTAGTCTGTTGCTATCTCTTTTTATCTTGTAATCTTCATCTGTTTTCTCATGGAGCTTTTCTAGTTGGTCTCTGATCTCACCAATTCTGCTTTCTGGGAGGCATCTTCTGTCCTGCACTGTCTTGGAGGAGGATTTTCATTAGCTATTGCAGTATTAGTTTCTTTACACTTGTTTAGTTCTTTACACTTGTGTTTTGTCCTGGATAATTACCTTTTTTTTTTTTTTTTGAGATGGAATTTTGCTCTTATTGCCCAGACTGAAGTGCAATGGTGTGATATCGGCTCACTGCAGCCTCCGCCTCCCAGGTTCAAGCGATTCTCTTGCCTCAGCCTCCCAAGTAGCTGGAATTACAGGTGTGCACCACCACACCCAGCTAAGTTTTGTATTTTTAATAGAGACAGGGTTTCACCATGTTGGCAAGGCTGGTCTCGAACTCCTGACCTAAGGTTATCTGTCGGCCTTGGTCTCCCAAAGTGCTGGGACTACAGCCATGAGCCCCTATCTACCTTTTTATAACAGCCTTGCACCTCAGTTATTTCTATTTCCATCAATTTTTTCTTAATTTTGTAAAGTTATTTTCTTCTATGCTTTTGAAAATAAAAGTGCTTTCTAAATTATTTTTCTGATTCCTTAGTATTTACAAGAATAATTTTTCTCTGCATCTTTAAAGCAATAATTTCTTTCTTTGATGTTCAAATGTTGTATTTATATAATTTTCCTGATTACACAACCTTGAATAAAGTGTGACTCTGTTCTGGTGTTTGCCAGCTGATAGGACCCATATATTCTATTTGGATTCTCTCACTGTCCACTAAGGTACCATCAGAGTTCGTTTTTCAAAATATAAGCTGGAAGTCAAGCAGATACCCAAGCCCCTAGCTTAAGTTGTTCATGTCTGGAAGACTTTTATCCCATTCAATGCTACTCCAAAGAGGCAGGACTACTTTTCTTCCCATTACCTAGTTTTCTATCTATGAGCCAGTGTAGTTATGACTAAAGACTTTGAATCAGCATTAGAGGTCTTGCTGCATTAGAGGTAAAATGTGGGGAACTTCAGTCTCTAAAGTGGATTGCTTCCTGTTTCTGTCCCCACCTGTATATGGCTTGACCTCACAGCATACAGTACACTCACAGGATGACCAAGTTTAATGACTCGGTATTATAGGCTTCAACATCAGTCTAGTAATGAAGCACTGAGGAATTCCTGGGGAGAATTCCTTCAGAAAAGAAGGTCCCCTTCAAGGAAATAGGTCTCTAGCATCATCATGGTAAGTCTTCCTGGCTGTGTTGCTCTCTTTCAGAGAACCATATATGAGCTCACTGAAGACATTACTTAGTATAGTCCATCTACATTACAGTTAGTACTAATTCCCCCCAGTCATTAAGAACATCATTGATTTATAGCCTTAGTTTCCACCGCTATTGTGATTTTTCCTCCATGTTGATATTTTAAAGTGGGAGGAGAAATTAGTAACCAATATAGTATTTGCTAACCAATTTAGTATTTGCTAAAATACTAAAAATATCCAAATACTGATTAAACTGATGAGATACTTTCATATTCAGAGAGAAGTTGTTTTCCATGACCCTTAAGATTTTTAGCATAAATTTCAGAAAAATACATTTTCTGCTCTAGTTTATACAGTTGACCCTTGGACAACACAGATTTGAACTGTGTGAGTCCACTTATATATGGATTTTCTTCCGCCTCTGCCACCCCTGAGACAGCAAGACTAACCCCTCCTGTTCCTCCTCCTCCTCAGCCTACTCATTGTGAAGATGACAAGTGTGAAGACCTTTTTAATGGCTCACTTCTACTTAATGAATAGTAAATATATTTTCTCTTCCTTATGATTTTATTAATAACATTTTTCCTCAGTTTATTGTAAGAATACAGTAGATAATACCTATAACATACAAAATATGTGTTAATCAACTGTTTATGTTATCAGTAAGGCTTCTGCTCAATAGTAGGCTATTAATAGTTAAGTTTTTAGGGAGTTAAAAGTTATATGTGGATTTGTGACTATGCTGGGACCAGGGTTGGAGCCCAAGCCCCCATGTTGTTCAAGGGTCAAATGTATAGAGAGTGATATTTTGGAAGAATGTGTGCTAGAACAGTGAATCTCAAATTTTTATGTACAGTGCTTCTCAAACATGAATGTGCACATGCATCCTCTGGGATCCTGTTAAGAGGCATATCCTGCTTGTCTAACAAGCTCCCTACTCTTATGATAAGGAAGGTGGCAGAAGATCTGGGGTGCTGTGTCCAGTCATTCTTGTTCTGATTGCCATTCAGGAAGACACAAACTGGGAAAATTCTGCAATGCTGCCATTTCCAGACTTACAGAGAGCCTGATGTTTTGTGACCCCTGCTCCCAAAGCAGAAACTGTAACCAAATGGTTGCTCTGTCAATAATTGTGTGTCATTTCATGTTCAAATACTCGTGGCTGTTTTTTTTTAATCTGGGAGGAGACTGTTAGAGTAAGGAGGTGGCAACCACAGATAAGTCTTATCATTTTCATGACACTAATCATAAGTTTTTATTTTTTATAAAGCTTCTAAGGGTTTGAAGTGGGGTTTGTTTATAGCAGGTGACATCTTAAAAATTCACAGACAGTCCTTTGAGGCCTTGGTTAGAGCAAGAGGTCTCAAAGCTCTACGAGGGGATTTATGAAACAAATACAGCTGTCTTTCAAATAGGAAAATAGCCAATTGTGTGTTTGGAGCTATGGGCAAAGACAGTGAGTGATCTGCTTTTAAGGAAGTGGCTCTGCTCTAGAACAGCTGACTTGATGCTTTCGCATTCAATAAAAATGCTCCTATTGATTTGCAAGATATGCTGTGTTTTCTACGCCTCAAAATAGATTCCATTATAATTCTTTGTTTGCAAATTAGGGCATTTTTATGGTGTCAAGTTTAAATCAGAATTAATTTTCAGAATAAGATTGCTTTTATCCTCTTGTCTGCTTGACAGCATGATTACTTCCTTATTCTAATACTTTCTTTAGAGAACTGTTTTCATTGTTGACAATTTCAGTTTATGGGTTATGTTGTGGCTAAGAATTGCAAAGCATTTAGTTGGAAATATCTAAAAAGTAAACTTGGGACCTCATGTAAAAGAAAGATAATAGTGGTATTTTCAGTAACAGTGCCATCTGAAACTAGCCTGCTGGGATTATTTGGACAACAGATTCAGGCAGAAAAGCAACATACCAAGGACGTTTTAGACCTTAGATGCTTGGAAAAGCAGATTAACGTGAAGTACCACTAATGTCAATTCTGTAGACTTGGACAAATCATTGCTGTTGTTATTTAATTTCTCTTAGTATCTAGTATTTGTAAAGGATCTAAAAATTAAATTGTATCTATATCTTAAAATAGATTAGCTCCTTCTGAGGGTAAAGTTCAAGTTTGTATATCCTCTACCAAGGAAGTCAATCCTTTAAGAACCTTTTATCTTTCTCTTTAAGAAACATAATTTGTTGAGAGCTTAACCCACATCCATCTCTCCCTTCCTTTTACCTCCCTCCTGCCTCTGAGCATTTACTGCTTTCTATTCATTTTTTTTTTTCAATCACTTCATGTATAAAAATCCCTTGTGGCTGATCTACCACTACCTACTGCATGTCCAGTCTCCCATCTCTGCCTAATCCCAGACTCTGCCTAAATAACCTTTTCATGCGTTTCCATATAATTCTGATAAAAAGACTTTCAGTGGCTCCCTGCCCCAGCTGACCTAGCTTCTGACTTCGTTCAGCACACCTTTTGATAATTATTTCTAGCACTCTATTTTTCTTATTCCCAGCATGAACCCATCTATTATTGTCTTGCTGCCTTTAGCTCTTTCTCTTTCTTTGTCAGCATTTACCATTGTCCTGCTTTCTGTATGCTAAATGATGTCCCATGTTTTTCAAGATTAACTTTTAATACAGATATTTCACAACTTCTAACTCTCTTCTCCAAATTAACCAGTTGTTATGATTATTATCTTTTTATTACATACTTACTATCTTATTCATTTTGCACCCAGTGACTATGTTCTTTTTTAATATCTACTATCAGGTTCAGTCCATAAACCAACAATCCCCAAAGAGTATTTTGCTACATAAAAGTAGGAATACTAATTAATACCACAGACTGGAGAATACCAATATAAGGCAATTATATGTAGGCAAAACTGTATGTGTTTAAAGAGATGAAAGAAGGAAGAATTGTTTAATATAGGCTATTACAGACATTGGATAACATTTCAGTAAAACAACCAAGGTGAATTCCTACTTTATCATGTTTTATAATTAATCTATATGAAATAAAGAAGTACATATAAAAATCTCACCCAATTATAATAAAAACTGACAAAGGATAGAATGTTTGCTCAATATGTGGAAGAAGAATAACTTTTTCATTTTTGAAGAAGTAAAAAAAATTGTTAAAGGATGATTGACAGCTTCAAAAATAGACATGTTTAAACAGTTCATATAATTAAAAAACCCAAGGCACTGACATAGTTAATATTTTGTAAATGTTATACCCATAAAGAGGACACCTAAAATTTAAAGGATAAATAAAGTGTAAACTATGCAAGGAAAAAACATTTTCTTGTATTTCATACATAATAGATATGTAATACAAATGATTAAATGAGTAAGGGGGAACAAATAGAAAGCACACTTTTAAAAACTTGTCATTGCAAGAATAAATATGTGAAATAAACTCTGGACAGCTCAAATATGCCAAATGAAATCATTGTTAATTTATACCATACAATACCAGTGAGGTCGTAGTAGAATTGGTACATATTTCTTGCAGTGGGTCTTTAAATTGGTTTGTACTTTTTGGAAGGTAATATGGTAATTTGTAATAAGAGCTAATAATCCCCCATGCATAAATTTATCTTAATGAAGTAGTCAAGGTTAAATAGGTCATATGTACACATTAAATGGTATAAATATTTAACATTTGCATATTCAATATCTATTTCTACATTAAAGGTGTTCAATCTAACTTTATTTGCAGTACTATTAGGGGAATGGTTATATGCATTTTCACTTTGCGCAAAGGTATGCTATGAAACCATGCAAATAAAATAAATTCTAAAGATGTGTGAAGACTGTTTCTTAAGTAAAAGCAGAATGCAAATTATTATATGATTGTAACTATAAAGAATTCTATAAGTTCATAGAAGACAATATGCATACATGCAGAAATAAAAGCAGGTTTATGAGGGTGGTAGACTTATGGTCTTACTGTTATTGTTTTTATATATTTTTAATATTATAGCTTTAATTAAAATATACAAAGCAGTCCCGCTACTATATATCATATATATGTATATACATATACACATATATGCAAATTTTATTTACATTCTCATAAGCCTAGTAAAGCAGTTGTTCTCCCAGGGAAACCGTAATAATTACTTATTGACTACTAGATTTTCACTAACAGCATTGATATACTTGCTACTGAATATTTACAAGAGAATGGGAAGGCAGTTTTAACTAAGGGTTAAGGGGAGCAATTCTTTTGAAGAAATCCTTGGAAGAAATTATTTTGAAGCCTATTCTCCTCTAACATACTTGTGAAGCACAAAGCAGGTATTGGTTCCCTGCATACAGAGCATGGGGCTTAGAGACATTCAGGTTGTGTTTGCATCAACAACAGATGGGACCATTTTCAAATGGATTGACTGGTGATTATCCATCAGTAGACAATTTTCAACATTGAAAATATTAACTGTACTTATTTTTATGTCTTGGATTTATGGGTGGCTTTAAAAATAGCTGGTTTATTGAGATATAAATTACATACTATAAAACTCACCCTTTTAAAGTGTGCAATTCAGCATTTTTATTTATTTATTTATTTTTTAAATTATACTTTAAGTTCTAGGGTACATGTGCGCAACGTGCAGGTTTGTTACATATGTATACATGTGCCATGTTGGTTTGCTGCACCCATTAACTCATTTACATTAGGTATATCTCCTAATGCTATCCCTCCCTCTTCCCCCCACCCCACGACAGGCCCCGGTGTGTGCTGTTCCCCTTCCTGTGTCCAAGTGTTCTCATTGTTCAATTCACACCTATGGGTGAGAACATGCAGTGTTTGGTTTTTTGTCTTTGAGATAGTTTGCTCAGAATGATGGTTTCCAGCTTCATCCATGCATTTTTAGTATATTCATAGAGTTGTGCAACCATCACCACTATCTAATTTTAGAATATTTTCACTACCCCAAAGAAATCCTGTACCCCCTAGCAGTTACTCCCCATTACCCCTCTCCCCAGTTCCTAACAATCATCAATCTACTTTCTGTCTGTATGAATTTCCTTAATCAGGATGTTTCATGTAAGTGAAATCATACAGTATGTGGCCTTCTGTGTCTGTCTTCTTTCACTTAGCATAAGGTTTTCAAAGTTCATCCATACTGTAGCATGCATCAGTACTTCATTCCTTTTTATGGCTGAATATTTTCATGATATAGAGATACCACTGGTGGATGGACATTTGGGTGTTTCTACATTTTGGCTGTTGTGAAAATACTGCTACGAGCATTTATGTACAAGTTTTTGTGTAGACATGTGTTTATTTTCAATTCTCTTGGGTGTACCCTTAGAAGTGGAATTGTTGGGTCATATGATAACTCCGTGTTTAATATTTTGAGGAACTGCTAGACTGTTTTCTAAAGCAGCTGGCACTAGTTTATGACCCCATTGTAGGTAGCTCTTACTTTCTTCTTTTGTTTACTTATTCTTCTGTAATGGACATATATTAATAATTAGAAAGAAGTAATTTTTTAAAATCTATGAGCTCCAATCTGTGGGTAACAAGCCTGGTGTAATGAGGTTTTATTTCATTTGGTACCAACTTTGTATTTAAACTGAACAAAGGCCCTATCTTATCTGATATATATATATGTGTGTGTGTGTGTGTGTGTGTGTGTGTGTGTGTGTGTGCGCTATTGTGATCAAAGAGGAACAAATTCTTTGTTGGGGGAAAGAATCTGTTCGCAATCAGTGTGATCAAATGAGAAAGCTCTTTGGTAAAAGGTGTGGACTAAGTGTTCTTCACAGGATTTTCTGGACAAGACATGAGTTTCTATCCCATGTATTCTCTGTTACACTTCTCTGTGAAAGTACAGTAAAACCACCTCTGCTAGTCAGGTGGCTGAGAGTAGGGAGGGAGAGAAGAGGGATCAGAAAGTCTGGATGTAAGTGGGAAAATTCCACTTCGGTACATTTGGTGTATACCTATGTATGTTAGTATTGATATCTGTACAGATATCTACATGTATGTCTATGTGTATACCCATACCTATATTGTTAATGTTGACTATCATAATTTGGACTAGTGCAGAATCCTGAAGTGATTTGCTTCGATAAGTAGATAAGTGTGATCTCTATGTAAGAGAATACCTGTGAATTGCATGGGGGAACTAAAATAAGCATTGGTTTCTTATTTGCCTTAATTACTGTGTATATGATGAATTGGTGGAACTCAATTTGTGTGAGTTTTAGAGCTCAGTAAGAGCACCATTCTGAGCCATATTGGAACCTCAGGGAAAGGGGAAAATCAGTATTATTGATAAATTTTTATTGAAAGTTTTGACCTTTTGTTAATCATAGATTTTGTTTGCATTATTTTGA
Source organism: Homo sapiens (assembly GCF_000001405.40). Taxonomy (NCBI): domain Eukaryota; kingdom Metazoa; phylum Chordata; class Mammalia; order Primates; family Hominidae; genus Homo; species Homo sapiens. Next base: position 83,133,720 of record NC_000009.12, on the reverse strand, counting down.
TTTTTAAAAACAATTGCACTAAATATTATTTAACTTGGTTACTGAGATTTTTGGTGTCCTTTTAAATTTTGCACTGATGGAGAGTGCCTCATTGTCTTCATCCCAGTCCTAGCTCTAACTTTGACTAGACTTTAGGTAAAGGGGCTAGAAAACAGAGTGGCATTTTATTTGTGGAGAAACTGAGTCATAGGTTAGATCATTCGACGTATTCATATAGTGACTAATTGGGAATCAGATGAGTAACTCCTCACTCCTGTTCTTTTATCAAATCAGTAAGTGATAATCCCTTGTTATATATTTACTAAGGTTTGACTCCTTTAGCTTAATTACCATTTCACATATTTGATTTTAAAAATGAACTATTTCTAAATTTTTCAATGTTGTCTCTTGTTTTTAAACAATTAAAAAGTGAGCAAAATTTTCCTAATCACTAGTGTTGGAGTCCTTTTCCTTGGTCTTCCAGGAGTTTCTGGACAGGAGAAGTACTCTATTTTAAAGCCAAGTAAGGAACTGATGCTACACTGGAGTGGAGTTTGCTGCATAATTCTTTCATTCCTCTCAAAGAGGTTAGGAACAAAATCTCTCTCTCTTTCTTTTTTTCTTAGAGCTTTTCAGTTTGAAAGTAAGATAGTCAGAAGAGCCAGAGGATTATGAAATTTCAGTGCATCGAAATGTTTGTTAAGCCCATTGGAAGAACAGTACATCCTGGAACTATTATTGGCAAAGCAAATAGTGAGTGGCATTCAGAGTTTATGCTGTTTGCTCTGTGATACTGCTGGTATGAGTTTATGTCACACACAGGAGTTACCAAGAGGTGGCTCTTTCTGGGCTGGGCAATAGCTGTTTGTTCTTCAATTTATTACCATGGTAAAGTAAAATCTTCATTATCTTTAGCTCAGATCACTGGAAAGAGAGAAATCTACAAATGAGAAGAGAGCATTAATTTAGCCCAGCATTTTCCAAAGTTATCCCTTGATAATAGCTATAGAAATAGTTGCTTGGGGAAATAAATTGGGAAATACTGCATACTAATGTCAGTCTTGAAGATGAACATGCTCATTAGCATATGAAAGCCTCTGAAAAAATCCTGAAGGGGAAAGCAAAAATCTATAGAGTTTGGTTTAACCTAGTTTTGCCCAAATTTTGTTATGAGACCTCTTAGTATTGCTGTGAAACTAATTGCCCTAAAACTTAGAGGCATAAGACAATAATCACTTAATATCACCTAGAGTGTCCATGGGTCAGGAATCTGGGAAGGATTCACCTGGGTGCTTCTTCTGGCTTAGGATGTTTCAAGCATTGTAGTTAGGAGATTAGGAGGTGGCTGTCCAAAATAACAAGTGGCAAAAACCACTGGAGACTTGCTGGTCATCTGTCTTCCTGCCATGTTAGAGCTTTTCCTTGTGGCTTCTCTATGTAGGCTAGATTGGGTTTCCTCACAGCATGGCTTTCTCCAGGTAAGACTATTACATGGTAGCTCCGAGTTCTGATGCCAGTATGGCAACTCACCAAGTAGAAGATGCCATGACTCTTATGACATAATCTTGGAAGTTATGCAGTGCTGCTTTCATTGTATTTTTTTTATTACAAGTGGTCACAAGCCCACCCAGGTTTAAGAACAGGGGAATTCAATTCTACATCTTGTTGAGGAAGTAGTAAAGTTCTAGAAGAACATGTAGGATGGGAAATAGTGTTGTTATTAATACCATCTTTGGAAAATGTGTTCTATCACCAAACCCTCTTTTTTAATTTAATATTGGTTCTATGAAACATACTTTGGGAATGTTGTTTTAGACCATTATTACCAGAGTTGTCTCCAGGTAGAAAGATGAACTGATCAAAAAAGATTTGTCTTTACAAATTCTGTAGACATCCTATATATATGCAAGCCACAAAGGGATGATTTGGGCTGACTATATTAAAAGGTACCATTATTTTAAATCTTATATAGCTTAGAGTATACCCATTTAGATGTTTAGTTTTCATGGATCAGAGAGAGTTAATGCTGTAACTCCTACATCAGTGCCAATGACTGTGTGGAGTCTTGGCATTTATATAGCTAGACTGGAAGAGATTTAAGAGATTTAGAAGTGATCCACTGCAATCCAGAATGGCCCTGGAAAATCTTTGCCGAGCGAGATCAGTCCTTATCAAATTGAATGGCTTCTTGGTAGTATAGCCACATTTTGAGACACTTATCAATAAGCTTTCTATTTTTGAGATTATGTTTCAGTGTGATGAGCTGTCTTCTAACCCTCTAGCTTTCATATGTTGAAAATCCAGTATACAGTTGTTAGAGGATACCTCCTGCTGGGTGACACTGTCCTCAAGTCTGCCTTTTGGATAAATTGTTTCCTTTCAATCCAACAATACCCCTCCTCTTCTCTAACAACCTATCTCATAATTTTTTTGCCCTCAGATGCAAAATAATTTATTTTCTCTGTTATTGGCATTTATGTAATGCCATGTACAATATTTGTTTCCTGTAACTTTTCTATAATTGCTTATTGGCCACATGACTGTTTTGTTCATTGAAAATATTTTATACATAGATGATCCTGTCATTTGTGAACAAATCCTGTTGTTTGAAGAAACGCCCTAGGGTCAGAGTTAGAAAGGACCCAGGAGATCACGTTGTCTGACTGTTTCACTTTTTTTTCACATGAGGAACTAGGAGCTAGAAGTAGAGTGTTACAGAAACATCACACTGCTAGCTAGTGTTAGAGCTAAAACCAGAACCTGAAGCTAAGGATGCCAGTCCAGGACACTTGTTCAGTGCCTTGCACATGGTAAGCCTTCAACAAATATTAGGTGACAAGATAATTTAGTCCCTTTTATTCTCGAATTGTCCTGCCAGCTTTGGAGGAACTAGGACAACCTGGGTATTTGCTCCTTTGTCAGTGTTTTGTAGCACTTATACACATTGCTCATCACCCTGTGTGTTTGTAAGCTGTCTGGGTTGGGTATTGGTTTCCTTTCATGAGGCTGTGAGTCACTGAAGACAAGAACATTATACTTGTTTCCTTGTATGCTGACTGCTTGGCTCAGTGCTTAACACGCAGCAGGTACTCAATAAGTATTGAACAAATGATTGATTGAATGAATGAATAAAAGCTAGTGTGTTGCTCCCATGTGAGTCAGATGGTTTCAATACTGTGTCAGTGTGGTATTTAACAATTGATTCTCAGGAGAAAATGTGGTTTATTCTGCTGAATAGAAAATTACACAAGATTTGTCCAAACCCATAGAATGTACAGCACCAAGAGTGAACCTTAATGTGAACTATGGACTTTGATGATAATGATGTGTCCATGTAGGTTCATTGCTTTTAACATATGTGCAGTTCTGATATGGGATGTTGATAATTGGGGAGGCTATGAACATGTGGGGGCTAAAGGTTTATGTAAAGTCTCTAGACCTTCCACCCACTCAATTTTGCTGTGAAACTAAAACAGCTCTAAAAAGATAAAGTCTTAAAAAAATTACACAAGGATAGATTACAAAGTATTTTAAAAGATGAGATTATCCAGAAAAGCCATTTAGGTATCTGAGATTCAGGGGTAAAATGGAAAATAGAAAGACTGACTTCAAGAATGTGAGCTCTAAAGAATGTCATCTCTGAGCATGGAACTCATATTGCTTTTCTTCACTTTGTACTACTGAGGCAACTGACTTTTCTGAGCCAAAATATACCAAGGCATTTGGTGACATTAAAGCATTTGGTCACACCATGCCTTGGAATCTCATGGATACAGCAGACATATACTGCAGAGTTTCCAGTCATTCCTATAACAAAATAAAATCTATTATGTACCTTAGGATGTATTGTTTCCTTGTGTTGCATATTTCTTTTAAGTCAACGTGTTTTGTTGGTTGTATGGTACTTAACTCAGAAATTAAAACCAGTGCTGTAGCCTTTGGCTCTCATCTGCAACCCTACTTGGAGAGTTCAGAGTGTGAGCAAATATCCAGGATTTGAGGAGGAAGGTATTGAACTGGGTAGAATTTTTCAGTGACTTCCGTGGCTACCTGGATATTTTTCCTCATCCCTTATGTTCTCCATAAATGCTTATTTTCAGGTTAAGCCTAGCTTAAGGAGGAGACACATTCTAAAACTAATGATGAAGCTTCTATTTAATATCACACTCCTGTATAAAGTTTTGGCTGAAACAGGAAGAGTGCAATTCTGTTAGAAATAAATACTCTCTATTTATAACAAAAACTTAAAGCAGTAATTGGTTAATTTTAATTGACTTTAAATAAAGCTACTTAGATTCTTTCTCACACTAGTGATGGACTTTTTTTTTTTTTTTTGAGGTGGAGTCTTGTTCTGTCACCCATGCTGGAGTGCAGTGGTGCAATCTCAGCTCACTGCAAGCTCCGCCTCCCGGGCTCATGCCATTCTCCTGCCTCAGCCTCCCAAGTGGCTGGGACCACAGGTGCCCGCCACCATGCCCAGATAATTTTTTTGTATTTTTAGTAGAGACAGGGTTTCACCATGTTAGACAGGATGATCTCGATCTCCTGACCCTGTGATCCGCCCACCTCAGCCTCCCAAAGTTAGTGATGGACTTTTATTGTGGAACCATTTTGGCCCCAAAGGCACTATTTGAAAGTCATCTGACAAAGGAGTATATAGTTTATGTCAGAAGATAAATGGAATTTTTAATCTTTGTTTTTGTTTAAAGATAACTGACCTATATGGGGATAAAATTAATTGATTTGAACACTTTTCTCTGAATATCTATATGCATCATGCTCTTTGGTGAAATATTGATTAACAAATTACTAGTGTATTAATGCAGAATTTTTCTTGATCACTTTGTCAGCTGGAAACCTCCACTGACTATGTCTCTGCCTGGGCCTCACTCGGCCATGCTACCTGCTACAGGAGGTGGCCCACCCACTCAGCCTGCCTGGGCTGTGCCTGACTTGTGCACTGGCTCAGCTGGTGGCTGGGCTGGTTGTGCCCCAGCCCACTTGTGTTATAGCTCATACCCACGTTTGGTGGTTCCTGAGTTCTTGTCCTGTGTCCAAGAAGAATGAGGATATGCTGACAATTGAAGGGTGAAGAGGACAGAGAAGAATTTTACTGAGTGATGGAACAGTTCTCAGTGGAGAGGGGACACAGGGGTGGCCCCCCCACCCAAAACTGGGTGGTTTATTTCCCAGTGTGTCTGGGTCCAGGGTTTTTATGGGCTCAGAATTGGGGACTGCATGCCGATTGGTTTGTGAGTATGCAAAAAAAAAAAAAAAAGGCTAAAACAAAGGTACCACTCAAAATTGGGCACGACAGTGTAGAAATCCAGTTAGGAAAGGGTAGATATATATGAAATAGGTGAAGGGTGGGGACCAATCAGAGGAAAGCCACCAAATGGGAAGAGAGTTCTCAATCCAGTCTGAGGATTTACCCAGGACTGTCTTCAGCTTGAAGATCGGGTTTCACCAGGGATCTGCCCCATCTGCCTAGGCGTTTGACTGCCTCCTGCCGTTGTCACTATGTGGTTCAAGGAACAAAGTAACATGGAATAAAAACTATAATATTGAAGCCATCATTATTATTTTTAAAGAAGAGTTGCTAAGAATTGCTAAGATGCTTCATAATTCAAGCAGTATGTCCTCCCATAAGTTATAGAGTAGAAGTGGAAGTTGGATATCATTCAAATAGCTTTTGCAAAACAAAAAAAAAAAAAAAGAAAAGAAAAATAAAAAAGAAAAAGCCCTTTATAGTAGCAGGTGTTTCCTGGCTCTATTTCTTGAGCTTTAGATCAAAGAATAGGAACAAATATCATCTCATCTAAGAAATATCACGGGAAATATTGTCCATCACTAGCAGGTTTGATTGTTGTTGAAATGCATGAAGAATTAGGAAAATCATCCCTAATTTGTTTTGGCATCAATGGCTACTGCAGGTTCTGGGGTATGCATCTTGGTAGACTTGCCAGGTTTCCCATATCCTTGTGGTTAATATCCTGTTTCAGAGCTCCTAGCAGACAAAGGATTGCCTGTCCCACCCAAGGACCCAGGACTAGGGTTGTAACTAACCCCATCTGTGGCGCTTTGGAAATAAAACTCTCTTTCTTGCTCCCAGTCTCTTGTTTTGTTTTTGTTCCCGCCATTTCTTTTTCAACTCTTACTGGCAGCGCCTACATGACACTTTCATTTGCATTACTGGAATTTTTCTACTTGGGATCTCAGTTTCTCAATCTCATTCTCTCTCTTTGAGCCCTTTTCTTTTTTTCTCTCTCTTCAACTTTCCTTTCCCAGCTTATCCTAACAGAAGGGTAGCTAAAGTTTCAACTATGGGCTCCTGGGGACCCTAAATAAAATTCAAGAGATCTGCAAACATGGATAGGAAAAAAACACATTTATTTTTACTTCTGTCCTACAGAAAAAAGCATCTCCTTCTACTATGACTATAGGCAACCAATCATCTTGTATTAGCAAAACTTGTGACTTGGTCACCAATAGAAATCATAGTTATTTTAATTTGACATTATAGTTGTTGCAGAGTCTCAAAATGAAATTTATGCTTATCAGTACTTCAAAACTATGGTGGTCACTGGATTAGTGGCTAGCTCATATTTTTTACTGCATTAAAGATGCCCATATATTACTATATCACAGATTATTTTTTCAACTTTTGGTAATGGTAGATGAAGATAGTTGGTTTTCTTTACAATTTATGTATTATATTTTATTCACTTACAAATATTATTCTGATATAGGTCCATAGGCATTACCAATCTGCTAAAGCAGTCCAGAGCATAAAAAGATCTAAAACTTTTCTGCAAAACAAGCAGCGCTGGGAATCCATTGTCTGTTTCTGTGTCTTTCTGGCCCATAATAGCCCTAGTAACTTAAAAAAAGTAATATGATATGTTAAAAGAAAATTATGTTTTTGATAATAAAATTGTGTTTTTAATAAAATTATGTTTAATTAAAATATATCGCACATGATGCTTTGGTGCTGATAGTCAAAAGAGAATGTCTGACAATGTTGGTTATTTGAATTCCAGAAGGTTGCAAGCTGCCATCCAGGGCAGTAGGTAGCTACTGAGAGTCCTCCCAGGGAAAGTGGAAAGCTGTAGATAATGCACCAACTTTAATCTTTACTGCCTGAAGCAGTAATAGGAATGAAAATCAAGATCTATATCTGAGGCATGGGAAGCTATACTCACAATTGTCTGTCCTCTTAATAATCACCTTCAAGGGAAAACCTGTAAGGTAGATTTCTGAGTCTGCTTGGGCTACTGTAATAAAATACTGTAGACTAGGTAGCTTGAAAAGCAAAAACTTATTTCTAATAATTCTGGAGGCTGGGAAGTCCAAGATCAAAGTGAAAGCTGATAGGGTTCCAGATGAGGGCTCTCTTTTGGGCTTGCAAACAGCCACCTTCTTGCTGCATTCTCACATGATAAAGATAGAGAGAGCTCTGGTATCTCTTCTTACAGGAGCACTAATCCTATCATAAGGACTTCACCTCTTCATGACCTAATTACCTCCGAAAAACTCTACCTCCTAGTACCATCACATTGGGGTTAGGGTTCAACATAAGAATTTTGGGGTACAGAAACTTTTACTCCATAGCAATAGGTTACATATTATTCTCCTTTTATATGTAAGGAAACAAGGGATATGAATGCTAAGTAATGTGCCTAGGCCACATAGCTCTTCAGTGGGAGGCCCAGGATAAATCCAGTTCCACAGGCATCCAGATTCCAGCTTCCTCCCTGCTAAACCAGCATTTCTGAGCTATGCCTTCATAGCACTGGTTCATGGATCTCAACACATGCTATGTGAAAAATTAAATCAGAGGTCACAGAACCTTGAGAAACTTTGGGTTGAGCAAAACTAAATGTTTTCTTTTACCACAGGACTTCTCAGAGACTTTAATATGTCAACGGACACAGTGACTCTCTAGTGGAAAATGTACCGTCTGCAACTTTTCCAAACCTTATCTGTGTGTGCAGCTACTGCTCCTGGACCATCTGTTTATAGAGCCTGGGGTCCTACTGTTAGTCTTTCTTATAAGGGGCTAAAGAATAAAAAACGACTTCATTAACAATGTTTGCTTACCTATTCCCCACACTGTTGCAAAAGGGGAGTGGTGGATTTCAGAATGATATATGACAAAATAAGAATTTTAAGGAAGAAAATTGAGAAGAGTGATAAAATAAATTCAGAAAAAATTAGCAAATTGTGAGATCCCTGTGCAGTTATTAGATGTGGGAAGCCAGTGATATCAGTTTCTTACTGGTGCTATAACTAATTGCCATATTCCGAATGGCTTAAAACAACACAAATTTATTATATTAAGGTTCTGGAGCTCTAAGTCCAAAATCCATGTCAGTGGGCTAAAATCAAGGTGCTGACAGGGCTGTGATCTTTCTGGAAGCACTAGAGGAGAATCTGTTTTCATGCCTTGTCCAGCTTCTAGACAGTCCTGCCTCTGTGGGTGAGATGTTCCTTGTCCACTGTTTCTGTAACCTGGCTGGTGATGTGCGGAGGAGAGCCCAGCTGAAGTAGTGCACAATCTGGTATACCAGTATACCAGGAAACTGGCTCTCTCCACCACTGCCCTGCCCCTCCATCAAAAAAGCAAAACAAAAATCCAACAAAACAAAACACCTTATTTGTAGAATTTGCCAATTTGCTGAAGTGTAAATACTTCTATCCTTGCTGATTTCACACTCCTAGTGTGACATCATTGAGCAGGCAGCAAGGAAGAGAAGCAATTGGCGATGCTATCACACGACTGTTTGTAATCTTTTCATAACACCTCGGCTTGGCTTTTGGTTCCAGGTTTTGCTAATGGCCTGTTGTGGGGTTTTTTCTAACTACCCCTGGGTTTGGAATGCATCCTAGAGTTCAGCATGGATCTCTGCCACCTTTGCTTTTTGTCTGAGACTGTTAGATCTGTTGTTCCCTTTCTCTCTTCCACTTTTCCCCATCTATGTTTTCCAAAGCTGACCAGAGAAAAGAAAAAGATAATCATTGAGTTTGTTTCTCTCCAGTTTTGCGTAACAACTGATAAGTTTCAGGATTTTACTGACTCACAATAGGGCTTGAGGAGGGAGAGGGTAGTTTGGAGTCCCCAGATACCAAGTTGCTCCTCTCTGAGCCAGAATCTTCAGTTTGTACATAGTATTGTATCTTCAAGGAGGGAGAAACTGCGGCAGCTTTATTTACCATCTTAACCCTGAAATCTCACCAGTAAGCATTTCTGACTAATTTATAGAACAGCTATAGCCTTCACAGATATTCTCATTTATATTGAGGTAACATCTCAGAGGAAGGTTTGGCCCATTTAATATGACACAGAATAGTATTAAATTTGGTCAAATGACTGAATTCTCCTAAAAAATTTAAACAGAATTACCATATGATCCAGCATTTCTACTTCTGGGTGTAATACCCCAAAGAATTGAAGGCAGGAACTTGAACAGATATTCATACACCCATGTTCATAGCAGCATTATTCACAATAGCCAAAAGATAGAAGCAACTTAAGGGTCCATCAACAGATGAATGGAGAAATGAAATGTGGTATATACCTACAATGGAATATTATGCAGCCTTAAAAAGTACGGAAATTCGAACACATGCTACAACATGAATGAACCTTGAAGACATTATGCAAATGAAATAAGCCAGTCACAAAAGGACAAATACTGTATGATCCCACTGACATGAGGTACCTAGAGTAGTCAAATTCATAAGACAAAAAGTAGAAAGGTGTTTGCCAAGGCTAAGGGAGAGTTAGTGTTTCATGGGTACAGAGTTTCAGTTTGGAATTATGAAAACTTCTGGAGATGGATGGTGGTGATAGCTGCACAACAGTGTGATTGCACTTAATGCCACCGAACTGTACACTTAAAAATAGTAAAAATGATAAATTCTATGTTACATACATGTTACTGCAATAAACAAAAAAGGACTCTGTTCTTGCTGTTACGTTAATAGTGTGGAAGCCTGATCAGTTAAAGAGGACCAGGATCCAGCCTGTAGTCTGAGGAAGTCAGATTTATTGACCTGAAATAGCAGAGGGTGGGGTGAGGGCGCTCCAGAAGACTCGAAGAGCACGGCTCAGTGGGAAGGAGGAGGGAAGCATCTGTTGGAGGGTTTGGGCTCCTTGCGAATGATTCTGAGGATGGGCTGAGGAAGCAGGATCAATTCTGTATCTTTTGCTGTTTCTGAAGTGAGATTAGGAGAAGTGAGGATTAACCAGGGAAGGGTGCTATATGAGGCATGGGCAATTCAACTCCTGGGTATGTATCCCCAGTGTTAGATGGGAACAGCAAGGCAGGTCTCCCCAGCGTTAGAAGGGAACAGCAAAGTGGGTCTGGGACATCACTGGTAAGAAAGCAGTAGTCACCTACAGAGGGAGTCTTTAGGACAGCTTATAGATAGGCATGACCTTGGGAGGGAGAATGCTATTCCTGTTATGGTCTCTTGGCTGCTTTTTTTTTTTTTTTTTTTTGATGGAGTCTCGCTCTGTAGCCCAGGCCAGAGTGCAGAGGCACAATCTGGGCCCACTGCAACCTCTGCCTCCCGGATTCAAGTGATTCTCCTGCCTCAGCCTCCCGAGTAGCTGCAATTACAGGCATACGCCACCACACCCAGCTAATTTTTTGTATTTTTAGTAGAGATGAGGTTTCACCATGTTGGCCAGGCTGATCTCGAACTCCTGACTCAGGTGATTCACCTGCCTCGGCCTGCCAAAGTGTTGGGATTACAGGCGTGAGCCACTGCGCCCAGCCCCTTTGTTGAGTTTTGACAAGTGCATATACCTCACCCCATTCAGATAGAGAATATTGCCACTACCTAGATAGCTGCCACTCATCTCTTCGCACTCAGTCCCCCAGAAGAAATCACTGCTGTGTTTGTGCACTATAAATTGGTTTTGTGTTGTTGGTGAATAACATTATTTAGGCTATAAAATTAATACATATTTATTAAAGAGCTCTTTAAAATAACGTTTAAGAAACATAATGGAGATGATAAAATACATAAAACATTTTGTAGTCATTATTTTTACTTGTTTTCTCAATTAATTAAAAGCTCTTTATAAATATAATTTTTAATGGCTACATAATGGCTGGCTGTCTGGACAAGCTCCTATAGCACCATAATGGCTCTTGAGGTACCTCCCGCTCTCTCACGCAATCTGAGGCCCTCACAAGGAGTGGGGGAGCCAGTGCACAGGCGTGGAGGGAGACTGGCTGGCCTACAGAGAAATATACTAGCTTTAATTGCTCCAGTCATTTTCTCCCTCCTCCTTTGGCTGAGCTGCTTACACCTCAGCTGTTGGCTTCTATGGTGATTTCTCTCACTGCCTCACCCATTATGTTATTAGTTACTAAATCGCCTTTTGATTATGCCCTGATCAAAGAGATCCTGAAAGAGTTTTAATGAATGCTCGCTTGGTTTTAACCACACAGGAGTTGAACGTGAAAAGCTGCAGGGGTCCTGGGCTCATGGGGGACAAGGTCCTGTTCCATGCTGGGGCCCTTTGCAGCTGACTGTCAGTAGTGGACGTGAGCTGGTCCAGGGCCACGGATGTGGGTGTGCTGGCTCTTGTACAAGGAGCCACAAGGCACCTCACCAAAATTTGCCCTTCCCTTCCCCCAATTCAATAATTGATAATAAGTTTTTAAAAATAATAACACTTCTTATTATGTACATGGCACTTCCTAAATACTGTATCTGCATTAATTATTTTAACCCCCAGAACAACTCTACAATGTAAGTGTGTATTCTTATTATTTTCCTCATTTTACAATGAGAAAACTTGGGCACAGTAATGTCAAGTGACCTGCTTAACTTCGTACCTATGGTAAGTGGGATAACTTGTGGGAACCTAGATAATGGGATTTCAGAGTCATTGCTCTCTGCATTAGTTCTGTTTCCTGCAGAAACAAAATAGTGAGGTCTTTTCTTTTTGACTTGATGTTTGGCTCTAATAGAGTCATCGTTTTTGTAGCGTCAGCTCTCTTAGTCTCAGTTCACAACCAAGAGTGCCAGGTTTCTAAATGGAGCATGAGCCAGAGCAGGGATCAGAGTGTTTTATCAGTAAAGGGCCAGGGGAATAATTCAGGCTGCAGGGGCCACACAGTCTGTCATAACTACTCAACTCTGCCTTTGTAGCAGCCATAGACAATATGTAAATAAAGAAACATAATTACGTTTTAGTGAATTTTTGAATCAGATGGAAGGCTGCATATCTCAAGGGCCATGGTTTGCTAACCCCTGGTCTAGAGAAGTGCTTCTTAAAATGTAATGAGCAGCAATGTTTTTGAGAATCAGATGAAAGCAATAGATTCCCTCCCTATAATGAGCCAACTAAACATATACCTAAAACCTTTCATATTGATATCTGTGTCATAGATATCAATACATAGAAACATATCTAGATATATATTATATATATGCACACCATCTATATATGTCAACTGATATACTTACGTGTGTATTATTAATGTGAAATATTTACATATGTTGATATATTGCCTTGAACATTTTTTTCTTCAGAAAAAACAGAATATAAACCAATCTTTACAAATAATTTATCTTGTAGTTTTCATACAAGATTTAATTGCACTCCTTGACAAACTGAAATAACTACAAATTATATAATTAAAATAGAAAGCAAAAATTAAATCTGCTCCAAAGCAACTGTAATATGAAGGCAGATTTTGAATGCAAACATCATCTTTAACTACTTAATGGTTGTGACCATTTTGTTCTAATGGTAACAAAACCTGAGAGCTGAGCCCTGGCCTATAGAGGTGCATAAATGGAATCAGAAATCTAGTAGGTCTGCGTATCAGATGGTGGTTGATATGTATCAAGGAATTCCGGGTTTCTCAAAGGCTCTTACATTGAATTAATGCTGTATCACCTTCCTTTGTTCTTAAAAGAATGAGGTCATCCTGGCAGGGTCTTTATCACTGTTACTGTCCATGGCATCAACAAAGTGATTACCAATCTACATTTTTATTTTAAGGGTCATCTGAGTTGAAAGACTTCTGATTATCTTCAGACTTCTACTTGAAGAAACACTTCCTCTAGTAAGGAAAATTTGGCATCATCTTTGTGTCAGTCAGGAAAAGCTGGATTATGTTGTGATAATGAACAACCTCCAATTCTTAGTAGCCTGAAAGAACAAAGGTTTATTTCTTGCTCATGTCCATTTGGATGGGTTAGAGGCTTCATTCCACAGCATTGTTAAGCTTACTCCCAGGTCCATGGCTGGCAAATTCTAGGGCTAGGCAAATTCCATGACTGACACCTGTCTTGGAAGAAGGGAAATAGAATGTGGTGAGGCAGGCACTAGATCACAAAGCAACTGACTATATTTCTTGGCCAAAGCAATGAGCTCCATGGGATGAGGAGTTACAATCCCACCACATTTTTAGAAAGAGAGAGAAAAACCAAACATTTGTGGAACAGCACTCTCAATATCACAATTGACCTTCCCTAGTCACTTTTTCCTGGAGTAGGATTGTGGCCAAAGCAGTTTTAGTTTTCCATCTTCCTCTCTGACTGCCCAACCCCTAGGTCTGATGAAGTTGATGACAGATAATTCCTCCAGCAGTTGGCAAGGCTTCTTTCAGATTTGTTAACAGAATCTTAAATGTCAATATATGTCAAATGCAGAAAACAATGAGTCACTGTGGATTTTCCCTTCAAAGCAGCAAAATCAGATGTGTTGTGAAATATTACAAGCACGCGTTCTTCTTTCAAAAGAACTTTGTCCACAGGGTCCATAAGAACTGTGTAGGAAATACATTTAATATTGTTTTGAATATTCAATGGTTTTAATCACATTTTTAAAAGGTGAAGTTTGTCTTTGAAGGTGTCTACATCTACAAAACAGATGAAAACCAGGAAATAGCTACTATCAGATCTCATGAGACCCATTCACTATCATAAGAACAGCACGGGAAAGATTTGTCCCCATGATTCAATCATCTCCCACTGGGTCCCTCCCATAGCACTTGGGAATTATGGGAGCTACAAAGTGAGATTTGGGTGGGGACACAGAGCCAAACCATATCATGGCTGCACTGAGAGATATCAATAATTTTGTCCTGTTGTCTGTGTAAAGAGAGTGGTGCAGCTGCCAACTCCTCCATGGCTTGCTTCAAAATTGCCAGTGGTGTACTTGATGTGGAGGGGAAGTCTTCAGACCAGAGCTGTTGCTTCAGCTTTCTTCCCCTGCACCAAGCCATCATGTAGGATAACCATTGGTAAAGCACATTACTTTATTAAGGGTCCTCTGATAAAGCTTTTCAATGTGAAAAGTTTCCTTATAGGATGTTTTAAAGCAAGGACTTTGTATTGAAACAAATCCAATTTTTAGTAAAGTTTCAGCCTTTTAAAATTGAGCTTTCTTGGGCCAGGTGTGGTGGCTCATGCCTGTAATCCCAGCATTTTGGGAGGCCGAGGCAAGTGGATCACTTGGGGTCAGGAGTTTGAGACCAGCCTGGCCAACATGCTGAAACCCCGTCTCTACCAAAAATACAAAAAAAAAAAAAAAAAATAGCCCGCATGGTGGCATGTGCCTGTAATCCCAGCTACTCAGGAGGCTGAGGCACGAGAATCACTTGAACCTGGGAGGTGGAGATTGCAGTGGGCCGAGATCACACCACCACACTCCAGATTGGGTAACAGAGCAAGACTCCATCTTTAAAAAAAAAAAAAAAAGAAAAGAAAAAGAAAAAATTGAGTGTCTTCTTTTTACAAAGATTTTTTACTGCTGATATAATTTTGTAAGACGTAGGATGCTATTTCAGCTTTTCTGATTTTGTGCATCCAATGGGACCCAATGTGTCATAGCAAAAGCACTGTGGCTTTTATGTCCTATTATATTTGGTGATAAATCTAAAATCAAATGTTAGGTAAAACTCATATTTCATTTGTCAAGTTTTAGCTGGAGCTTGGCTTAGTGATAAGCAAAGGTAATCTCTATAATGATCCTAATGTCATTGTATGCTTTTCTTATTTTATCTCCCATAAGAAACTATATGGCTTAGTAACTTGGTGGTGATGATGGAAACTATACTTTAAATGACCACACCCAGGAATATTCCATATCCTTCATGCAGCCATATCCCTGCATATCTCATATGGACACAACCATATGGATACAACTAAAACCTGATAAAATAATTTGAAATGAAAATATGTTTTCTATGCAAGCAAAAAAAATCAAAGCAACAGGAAAGAAATACGAGAAATAAAAAATATGTATTTATGCCTGACTTATTGACCCCTTCATCCGAAAGTTGATCCATAAACCAAAATTAAACTGGATTATTTACCAAAACAAAATCCCTCTTTAATTATTTTTGAGGCTATTTGAATAACTAATGAACTGCAAGTTTTGGGTATAAAGTCCTTCTTTTTAAAGGAAAATATTACTGTGATATAACTTTTTTTTTTTAAACTTTCAGCCTTCAAGGACTCTCCATTAATGGATGCCAGACTATAGACAAAGCCATTAAAGCTTTAGTTAAAAAGCACGGAACCAGGTAATAATGTTAAACTTCTCATTTACATGTTACTTTACATTTATGCATCACCTATCAGCCTATAGAATGGATTCTTATATCTTATTTGTATTACATTATTTGGTATTTTATTAAGCACCCTTTGGAGTAGGCATCATCCACATTTGTCAGTTGAGTAAACTGAGGCCCAGAGACATTAAGTGATCTACTAACAAGCAGAAAATTACAGAAGTTAGACCTTCCAGTTTCAAGAATAGCCAAACTTGAAGCAAACATGTTGAAAACATTTCTGCCACCTCCTCCAGTTCTGCAGCACATTTATCATAGAGAAAAGCAAATCACAAATAACTGCAGACTTTCCCCAACATGATTTGATTTCCACTGTCTTGGGCTGAAAAAGTTAATACCATGCATTTACTGCACCATTATGGAAAGATCATTAAATGACTGTATCTTCAGGAGTTATCATTCTCCCACATTTTGGGGAAAAATGTATTCACCCACTAAGGTAGGATGATCACTAGCAGATGGCACCTTCATGAAGTCACTCTACACATACAGGATTCACAAAAGACTGATGAGATTTGACTTCTTAACCTGAAGGCTTATCAGGCTGGGGTTTAAGAAATCTTCAGATAAGGTGGCATTAGAGACCCATGTCTGGTGCCAGAGCAGCAGCTATTGTTCCCACGCTCAGCAGGAAACATCTAGAAAGAACCTTAATGGAAAGCAATGTGGGCTTCTTTTGTATTTCTGAGGTGGAATGATCCTGAGGTTGAAAGATTTTCATTCATCTAATTTGAGTCAGCTTCTAATTTGTGGACAATCCAAAAGGAGTCATTTTGGCCATGGTGGAGACCAACGTATAGGCTCTATGCATAAACAACACCTGGACAAACAGAACTTTGTCCCCATTGTACCTCTATAACTAACTCCCTGTAGAGAGAGGCTGCCATCTTCTCTTCCACTTTTTGTTTGTTTTAAAATACATTTCCCCAAGGCTATCAGTCTGGGAAAATCTAATTGAATAATATACTACTTGTGATGATACTTTAAAAACAAAGCAAATGATGGCCCCAACATGAGTTGAAAGTTGGTTTATTCTCAAGAATTAGTTTGAATTGTCCTTACTTCAATCGACTCTCTTCCTTATAATTTTTATGTCATAAGGCATAGAAGTAAGTTGATACTGTGTTGCTGAGGAGTAGCTTGGGATACCCTAGATACTTGCTTAAGACTGGTTAGTTTGATGCCTTAGACTTTCTACTTTATAAGAAGAAAAATATTCTGCTAGATGAACGAAAGTAATTGGTCAACTTGTTACAAGGAAGAGGTGTTGAATAGATTATAATTTGCTTACAGAATGCCTATTCTTTACCTATTATGACATATTAATGATTTTTCCCCCAAATCCTTATCTTTGAAGCCATGTTTGAGTTACAGAAAAAAAAGTGGGAATCACATAAACCTGTTCATTATTTGAATTTGAGAAATTTGTGTATTTTCTGAGCCTCAGATAACTTATTTATAAAGTGTGGGCCATGATGGTCAGGGAGAGCTGTTGTGAAAATTCAAAGAGAGAATGTATATAAAACCTCTAGTGACTAGTACTGAGCATGTGCTCGATAAATACTACTTTGTTTTCTTACAGCCTACTTTGATTATACCCTTCTCTGAATCCCTGTAGCTCATACTGTTCATTCCCAGTATTTCTATAAAGATAACCCTGTCTCCTAAACCAAGGTATAAAGCAAGAATACCTTATATGTTTGCAGGATTTGGCACAATGCAAGAAATAATTTGGGGAAACACCATGAATCCTCCCAAAGTGAATAGCCTGTGAATTGCATAATAGCTTATTTGGTAGAAAAAAAATCACCAAGGAGTGTGGCCCATGTCATAAAAACGATGCAGCTGGCCAATAAAGACCTCATCAAATTGAATTCTGACTGGCAAAGTATACAAGTAAATGAAGAAAGCCAACATTTCTTAAATAAATTGGCAACCAAGTTGTGGTTTCTCCAAATTATCTTGAATCTTTTGAATCCTGGTTCTTGAAGAATTTTGACATAAGTCAACATTAAATGGAATGATAAAACTGGAAATGAAGCCTTGGCAGGGAGTTCCAAGAATCCCTGTAGCCATGGTTTCAAATCTCCACTACATTAACTTTGGAATACTAATGCCAATGCTTTGGTTCAAAAAAGGCATGGTATACTTTTTCTATTTCTTTGTTAAAACTGTTACTATTTAGATAGACATGGTTTTAATTATTTTTAATGCATAGGTTTTAAAAAATAGTTGTAGCTTTTTTTTTTAGCAATTTAGCAAATATTTTCCTCATTATTGAAAACTCAGCATAATTTTAATATTAGCAGTATTTATAGCTAGTTCTTAAATTTTGAACATTTAGTTATTTCCAATATTTTAAAGTAAATGCTGTCTCAGTAATACTTTTTGCTTGTTTGTTTGTTTTTGCACAGAGATTTGCATCTCCCTTTTTATGACTATGTATTTAGGCTAGATTTCCAAAGTAGATTTCTAGTTCTAATGGGGAGTGGTTGGTGGGGAAGAGGGGGCAAATTAAAATCTTGATTCACATATTCAAGTGTTCTCAAAGACTGAATTAATTTGTATTTCATCATGAATGGAAGAGAAGAAAATGCCCATTTATCACACCCTTGCCAGTGGCTGCTCTTCTGTTGTTGGATGGGAAATTGACCAGTGGAGACAAAGTGAACTTCAATGATTTGAGTAGGAAAAAATGTTGTGTTGTTGCATGATTGCTTTGATACTCTTATCTTTGATTACTTGGTTTTATATTTATCCATATGTTAGCTTTTGTATTTTTTCAAGTAAATTTTGTGTTCAAGTTCCCTTGAAGATATATTGGTTTTTGTAACAAATTTTATTCATTAACTTTAGGATAACATTCTTTACTATCTAGATATCAGGTTTATTGGGGGAACCAACCCCCAATATTTCAACATAGGTTCTTTTCTATTTTTCCTAATATCAGGGGAAATTCAGCTAGATATCGGGTGAAATTCACCCCCGATATTTCACGTAGGCTCTTTTCTATTTTCCCTAAGTGTTGGCCGGTTTGAGAAATAAAAGGACAGAGTACAAAGAGAGAAATTTTAAAGCTGGGTGTCTGGGGGAGACATCACATGTCGGCAGGTTCCGTGATGTCCCCCAAGCCGTAAAACCAGCAAGTTTTTATTAGTGATTTTCAAAAGGGGAGGGAGTGTATGAATAGGATGTGGGTCACAGAGATCACATTCTTCACAAGGTAATAAGATATCACAAGGTAAATGGAGGCAGGGTGAGATCACAGGACCACAGGACCGTGGTGAAATTTAAATTGCTAATGAAGTTTCAGGCACACATTGTCACTGATAACATCTTATTAGGAGGCAGGGTTTGAGAACAGACAACCGGTCTGACCAAAATTTATTAGGCGGGAATTTCTTTGTCCTAATAAGCCTGGGAGTGCTACAGGAGACCGGGGCTTATTTCATCCCACCGCTGTGACCATAAAAGACAGCCACCCCCAAAGTGGCCATTTCAGAGGCCTACCCTCAGGGATGCATTCTGTTTCTCAGGGATGTTCCTTGTTGAGAAAAAGAAGTCAGCGATATTTTTCCCAGTTGCTTTTGAAAGAAGAGAAATATGGCTCTGTTCCGCCCAGCTCACCAGCAGTCAGAGTTTAAGGTTCTCTCTCTTGTTCCCTGAACATTGCTGTTATCCTGTTCTTTTTTCAAGGTGCCCAGATTTCATATTGTTCAAACACACATGCTCCACAAACACTTGTGCAGTTAATGCAATCATCACAGGGTCCTGAGGTGACATACATCCTCCTCTGCTTACGAAGTTGACGGGATTAAGATTAGAGCAAAGACAGGCATAGGAAATCACAAGGGTATTGATTGGGGAAGTGATAAGTGTCCATGAAATCTTCACAATTTATGTTCAGAGATTGCAGTAAAGACAGGCGTAAGAAATTATAAAAGTATTAATTTGGGGAACTAATAAATGTCCACGAAATCTTCACAATTTATGTTCTTCTGCCATGGCTTCAGCTGGTCCCTCCATTCGGGGTCCTTGACTTCCCACAACACCCTAAGTGTTGGCCGGTCTAAGAAATAAAGAGTACAAAGAGAGAAATTTTACAGCTGGGTCTCTAGGGGTGATGTCATGTATTGGTAGGACTGTGATGATGACCCTGAGCCACAAAACCAGCAAGTTTTTATTAGGGATTTTAAAAGGAGAGGGGGTGTACAAACAGGGAGTAGGTAACAAGGATCACATGCTTCAAAGGGCAATAAAGATCACAAGGTGAAGGCAAAGTTAGAATTACTGATGAGGGTCTGTGTCCCACTGTGCACGTATTGTCTTGATAAACATCTTAACAGGAAACAGGGTTCAAGAGCAGAGAACCGGTCTGACTAGAATTTACCAGGTTTGAATTTCCCAATCCTAGTAAGCCTGAGGCTACTGCAGGAGACCAGGGTGTATTTCAGTCCTTATCTCAACCGCATAAGACAGACACTCCCAGCGCGGCCATCTATAGACCTCCCCCAAGGAATGCATTCCTTCCCCAGGGTTATTCCTTGCTGGGAAAAGAATTCAGCAATATCTCTGCTACTCACACATCCATTTATAAGCTTTCTGCAAGAAGAAAAGTATGGCTCTATTCTGCCAGACCCCGCAGACAGTCAGACCTTATGGTTATCTTCCCTTGTTCCCTGAAAATCACTGTTATTCTGTTCTTTTTTAAGGTGCACTGATTTCATATTGTTCAAACACACATGTTTTACAATCAATTTGTGCAATAGTGGTCCTGAGGTGACGTACATTCTCACCTTATGAAGATAACGTGATTAAGAGATTAAAGTAAAGACAGGCATAAGAAATTATAAGAGTATTATTAGGGAAGTGATAAATGTCCATGAAATCTTCACAATTTATGTTCAGAGATTGCAGTAAAGACAGGCATAAGAAATTATAAAAGTATTAATTTTGGGAACTGATAACTGTCCATGAAATGGTCACAATTTATGTTCTTCTGCCTCGGCTCCAGTCGGTCCCTCCGTTCAGGGTCCCTGACTTCCTGCAACACAGGTTATGATATCAATATTTTATCTTATTTTATTTCTTATATGTGTGTTGAAAATTGACTTTTAAAACAATAGAAATTTTAAATACAGTGTTTTTTAAACTATAAAAACAATTTTTTAAATTAGAATCTACAGAATTACAGAAAAAAGGTTTTAAATTGCCCATAATTCTACCACCTAGTGATAAACACAGTTTACATCTTTGTATCTCCATTGTCTTTTCTCTATGTGTGGAAATTAAAAAAACAAAAAACAAAAAAACCCAAAATTAGCATCCCAAGTATAGAGTTTTGTATCTTTTTTTTCATTAACTGCATTGACAGCATATTCACAATTGATCACTTCTGATTTATTCTCAGCTAAATATCCTTTTAAAACATACTTTTTTTTTTTTTGAGACCGAGTTTCACTCTTGTTGCCCAGGCTGGAGTGCAATGGTGCGATCTTGGCTCACCACAACCTCCACCTCCTGGGTTCAAGTGATTCTCCTCCCTCAGGCTCCCAAGTAGCTGAGATTACAGGCATGAGCCACCATGCCCAGCTAATTTTTTTGTATTTTTAGTAGAGACGGGGTTTCTCCATGTTGGTCAGGCTGGTCTCGAACTCCCAACCTCAGGTGATTCACCCGCCTCGGCCTCCCAAAGTGCTGGGATTACAGGCGTGAGCCGCCGCGCTCAGCCCTTAAAACATGCTTTTTAAAGGTTACATGAAATGAATGTGCCAATTCACTAACGGATATTTGTATGGTTTCTAAATGTTTACTTTTATATGTAATAGGATGAAAAATCTTAAGATAGAGTCTTAGAGGTATAATTACTGGATTAACAGACATGAACATATATATTGTAAAATAGCTTTCTAGAAAGTAGTAAAACATTTACTTCACCAGAATGTGAAAGTGTCAATATGATCTCATTTGCTAGCATTATTACATTATTATATATAATTTTAAATAAGAATCTGCTTATTTGATAGATTTAATTATATATTATGTTTGCTTTGCTGCTGCTCTTTAATAGCAAAGTTGAACATTTATTAATACATTTATTTATCATAAGTTCGATTATTTGCCTCTACTCTTCAAATACATGTTCATATTCTTTTCATATTTAAATATCTGTTTTATTTAAGAGCTCTTAGTATAGAGAATATTAGCCTCTATTACAGCTATTACAAGTATTATTTAATTTTGTCATTTATAGTTAAGAAATTTATGTTCAGAATTACAAAATTTGTTATTTATTAATCTCCTTTATGCTTTCTTCCATTGTTTTTAGTTTAAAAGGCTTTGATACCCTAAAATTATTTACATATTCATCCATTTTTTTCTGTTTTTCAATGTTATTTTCTCAACTAACTCTTAAGATATTATATTCGGAAACCAGAAATGCACAAAAAAAAATGACAATTGTATGTATTCTTTTTTCCTAACTTTATTGAGGTATAATTGACAAATAAAAATTGTATATATTTAAGGTGAACAATGTTATGTTTTGATATATGAATATATTATGAAATAATTACCACAATCAAGCTCATAAACATGTTCATCGCCTCACAGTTACTTGTTTTTTTGTGATGAGAATACTGAAAATCTACTTTCTTAGAAAATTTCAGGTGTACAGTATATTATTATTAAACTATAGTACCATGCTATATTTTAGGCCTCCGAAACTTACTCACCTAAAACTGAAAGTTTATACCCTTTGAAGAACATCTTTCCATTTTTTCCACTCTCTCAAACCCTGGTAACCACCCTTCTACTCTCTTGTATTTATTTTTGGAAGAATTGATGTCTTGTCAGCATCTGAATCCTGCACATTGTCTTCAGATTTATTTTTGTTTCATTAAGTATTTCATTGCATGCAATTTGCCGTTTAATCTATCAATTGAGTTTTAAATGTTATTACACTGTTTTCTTAGAAGTTTTCTTTTTGCCCCCTAAATCTGCCTAACCAAGTTTGATTGTTTCTTATTATTTGCTCGTACTTCAATACTGTTATTTCTTTAGTGACATTGTGCATTCTTATCTTATATTCTGCATCTAAAAATTCCAGCATCTGCAGGCTTTATGCATCTGAATCTGCTGCTGGTTGTTTCTCACAGTTCTTGCTTATGGTGTCATGTGGTTTGTGATTTTTTTTTCATGTAAATTCATGTTTGATGTTTCTTTTGGGAATGCCTGGAGAACTGGGTGAATGTACATTTCTCTAGTGGGGATTGGTTTTTTCTTTTTCCTGATTCCTGGAACACAACTAACCCAGAATTACTGTGAAAGAAATTCTTGGGGCTTTTCAGAACAAACAGGTGGTATAAATTTAGGCCACCAACAGCATGAGAGCCAGCTACTGATTGTGAGTAATCAGGTCAGGGAAGACAGGCAATTTCTACTCTGCCTCCCTTTTTGGGGTGAACATGGTTTATTCTTTCGCTGAAGAATCTGTTTAAGGCCTTGGCTCTATCTCTTCTGACTCTCCTCTTTGTGCACACTCTGGGCCTCATAGCTTGTCTTCTGTGGTGCCCTTCAAATATAAAGTTTGAAACAAGTCCCCACCTTTTCATTCTAAGTTAAGGTGCTAGACCATCCAAATAGGCCATGCCAAGAGATTATAATATTAGGTTTGCCAGCTCTTGGCAAACATCTATTCTCAGCCCATATGACAGGATGTGGAGGTTGAAGAATTGGGAGAAGGGGTTTTTTAAAAAATAAATTATTGGTATACTCTGAAGGGAGAGGGAAGTGCCTGCTTGACCTCAAGCCAATTGGGAAGGGGTGATAAGAACCACTAGGAAAGTTTGTTCCATGTCCCCTGTGGTTTAGGGACGACAGGAACTAATGTCTGCCTCATATTCTTTTGAGTTTCTTTGGTTCCAAAATATGGTCGCTTTGCTGGTCATCATCTTTTCATTTGAAAGGGCCGCTTTGCATAGGCTGAAGCATGCTAATTGCTCTGAGGCTTTAATAATGCTACCTACTAAAAATGAATACAACAGGAGTTTTGGTCATTTAATTTTCTTCAAAAATATGATTGTTTAAGTAATAAAATGTTTTTTTGATAAACTTATAAGAGTTGAGTATCAGCATGGATCTGTACATTCTTAGCACACAAATTGATACAAAAATTGGAAAATGGGAACTGAAGTGATATGTTTCTTCCACTTCAGAAGTTGATTCATTGGAGTTAGAGAGATTCAGCCTCTTATGAATCCATAAAACCTTTCAACTGTTAGGAAAAATAATTCAGTCTTATTGAGGGGGGAATTTATAACGCGTCTGGGAGGAAATGTACATGGCTTTTATAAAATGGGCTAAAGCTTGCACAGTGGTAAAAATGACAATTTTTGATTAACAAATTGTCAGCATGGGGCACATTCCTTCAATTTTCAGCAATTTAAATCCCAGCATTAATCAGCTTTTGTAGATGCCACCCACTGTTCATACAGCAGCTATGAAGGCAGTAATGAAGAACTGTAAAATTAGCATTAGATCAGTGATCATGCTGACTGGAGTATTCTCATTTTGTGTGAAGATAGGTTTTTCTTATTATTCAGGAATTGGTCAAAACATGCCATGTCCTCATTAAATGACGTCTGCGAGTGCTTTCTTTCAGGACAATAAATGGTGCTAATAAGTTGGCAGGCCTCCCACCAAGTAGACCTTTGATATATGTTTTGTGAGCACATTAATATGAAATCAGAGTTACAGAAACACAGGGAGTATTCTCTACAAATAATTGTCTTTTTCTGGAGTGGAACATAAACTATCACGTTGCTCCCAGGAAGCCTAAACCATTTATAAAATAATGACTTTTGTTTTTATAAACTGGCTTAATTCATCCATTTCTTTATTACTCATTAGGTTCCTACAATGTGCAAGGCACCACGGGGGCTAAATAGATGCATAGGCATAGCCCTGCTGTAAAAGTGCTTACAATGTCCACATACACTCCATTGTTTGGTACACATGTTTTTACTTCTTCTATATTGAGACTGAGGAATTGAATAGATGTGCCAATATTCTTCCAGCATGCAACACTGCTAATGAACTCCTTTGTCTGTAAGCTATTGCCTTATGGTTTTTTCAATATTGATGCTAGAGACTGCCAGTTCCTCACTTCTGGTGCTCTTGGTTTATCTTGGTACTAGACTACATACATTTTCAGAAAGGCTTCTCAGAGTTGGGTTGTGTGTAGATTGTTCCCTTGAGGGAGAACAAATGGATTGATAGATACAGGATGAGATATTGTGATCAGGATAACTGTTATTGGCTGTCACCATGAGTAGTTCTGTGGAGCAAGCAAGGGTGTGAAATAGAAGTTCAATCAGATGTAGTTCAAAGAAAAGAGAGCCCACCTGTGGATGGTTCTCAGTAGAGTAATTTAGTAATTAGTGACAAAAACTGTGAACAGAAGGTCTTAAGTTGAAGTTCGATGACTGTGCTTCAGAGAGTACATGAACTTCCTAAAATTATATCACATTTTTTACTTAAGAAGCTGTGTTTTCTTGGGGAGATAATCTCTTAGCCTTCATTGGATTCTCTCAGAGATCCATGAACCCCCACAAAAAAATTCTGAACCACTGGCTTAGGTCAGGAGTAGGTGAACTTTTTCTGAAAAGAGCCAGATAGTAAATATTGGAGGCTTTGAAGAAGATACAGTTTCTGTCAACAAATGAGTGTGGCTGTATTCCAATACAACTTTATTTACAAAAACAGGGTTGTCCAGGGGGCCATAGTTCTCTGACTTCTGGCTTAAGTGCTCAAGTAAGTACATCCAAGTTTTCCCTTTTATATAGATTGTATCTGACATGAGGCATATTTATTTAATTTTGTTGTTTCTTTCTTATTGAGGTATAATTCACAAGGGGTAAAATGAACACATCTGCTTGTACTTGACAATTTTTTACACATACATACACCCATGTAAACACTACCCAGATCAAGGTATAGAACATTTCCATCACCCCAGAGAGCTCCCTCATGTTCCTCTCCAGTTGTAATCTGCCCTCCACCCCTGGAAGTAACCACTTTTCTCTTTTATATCACCATGACTTAATTTTGCCTTTCCTTGAACTTGATTTAAATGGGATTATAGACCAGTGTGTACTTTTTATGTCTGGCTTTTTTCACTCAACATGTTTTTGAGATTCATCTGTATTTTTCAACAGATAGATTTTTAAAACAGGTTTTCCTGGGTCACTCATATTGTTGTTTCCAAAGACACTGCTCGTTTAAACAACAAGAGTTTATTGGTCCTTTTGGTGTTTGGAGTGCTAGACTAGGGGCCACAAGAAGAGGCAGGAATATTTCTTTCTCCACCCTCCCACTACATGGAGTTAAACCATAAACACACATTTAAACATGTGAGTTTAAATACAAAGAGGAGAATGGTTTAAGAAATGAACAACAGTAACAGTGTCCAGGACTGCCTAAAGTATATAAAACAAAGCGTTAAATATGTCTGTTGATTTAGCTTCTATCAATAATTAGTGATCTTCATGAGAGTTGTTTTAGGAGAGCGATAGGTCAAAAACCGGCTTGGCATGAATTGATGAAAATGGGAAATAAGAAAATGGAAATAGAAAACAGAGGTTTTGTCCAGAGGGCAAAAATGAGAGAGGAGGTGATGACTGCATAGAAATGTGAAGTCGAAGGAGCCTTTTGATTTCTAATTGATGAGACTTGAACATGCTCTAATTCCAGTGGGAAAGATTCATAGATTCATTTGAGATGGAACAATTGGATAAGAAAAATAGATGATAGTAGTGTATGTTTCTGGAAAATGCTAGAATAGATGGGATCCAAGGATTAGGAACTGGCTCTGGAAAGGAAGAGAATTGTTCAACCAATGTAAGAGAAGTGGAGAAAGATGAAAAATTGCACAGAAGAATGTGGTGGTAGGTATGGAGGGCTTTAACATTCTCCATGAAGTAGGAGGTCATTGGCTTTGAGGAAAGAGGAAGCTGGCACTCTATGGACATGTCTAGGGAGAGATGCCATAGATTTGGAGTAGACATTCTAGAGAGGGCAGTATGTTGACCAGATGAGTGTAACAAGTTGCTGCTCATTTGTTTAAAATGTCAGTATGTTGTGTGACTTGCTGCAGTGCAAGGCCAGAGAACATGGATAATGTTCATGTGGATTCTGATTATGCCAGACACGTGTGACAGGACCTTGGGATACTGGCCAGATTATCGCTGAAATTGTGGATCTGGAATTTAAGCAGGAAGAGAATGAAAATGAAGAAATTAGAAGGCTGATGGTAGAAGTGACAGTAAAGCAGATAATTATTTGGAGGCCCTGAAAAGAAGGATGGTCACAATGGGAATATTTAATAAAATGGTTTATAAGTAGGAAGGAAAAGGAGACAGGGTCTAAATGTCAGATGTCCCGGTTAGTAATTTCAGGGTATGACAAAGTCTAAAGCCATCCTAGTGGAGCAGGTGGCTGATGGGACACAAAGGAGAAGATCAGGTCATGAGTGATAAGGACGTCAAGAGCCCAGGGTCAAGCTGTTACATGGGTCATCCACTTGGTTATTGAAGTCACCCAGGATGGTGGGAGGACTTGAGGTGGAGAGGAAGGGTATGAGCATGTGCTGAAGTCTCCCAGGAATGGTGGTGACTGAGGGAAAAGGAAAGTGATGAGTCACTGGAAGGATGGCAGATGGCAACTGTCACACATGACATAGGGGTAGATGATCATTGCTGGCAAGGGGTGATGGGAAGCACAGAGGACAAAAACTCCACCTCCTGATTTTCAGCTACTTTGACAGTGAAAGAATAAACAGTGTTCTTTTGACAGTGAAAGAATAAACAGAGAGATACGGGCAAGTATTTGCATCAGGGATCTCTCTTAAAACAAGGTGGAGGGATTAAGCAAAGAAACAGATACATTCATAGAAAATTAGTGTATGGAGCAGCATTTCCGGAGAGCTAGCCCAAGGATTTAGATGGGTGGGGGAGGAATAGGCTGGATCTAGGGCCCAAAAGTACCAGGTAAGAGAGATGAAGGTGGAGGAAACAATAACTGGCCAGAGACTTATATTTTGGGTATTCCTGATGAAAACACATGGTTGTTTGCAGTTAATCTCTTTGAGGGGAGTGGTCACTGGGCCTCATGTTTAGATGACTTTGGGCTTAGATGATGATGATCTCAGCAGCTGCTATTTCTGTAGCCACTTGGCCTT
This sequence comes from Homo sapiens, assembly GCF_000001405.40. Classification (NCBI taxonomy): domain Eukaryota; kingdom Metazoa; phylum Chordata; class Mammalia; order Primates; family Hominidae; genus Homo; species Homo sapiens. The sequence goes on along the minus strand of NC_000009.12, from coordinate 83,105,895 downwards.
GGGTGGTGTTCTTCTAGGCTGCAGTCCTGCAGCCGGCACATGGGATGGTGTAAAAGTCCTATTATTATTGAGTCTTATAACCAAAATTCCTGGCTATGATTATTTTCAGCTTTTATGTCTTAGCATTATGCCCACTTGGCATTAGTTGGCTTGGATTTGTAATAATGCAAGCACACATTTTCGTAGCGTTTACAGGCTTTAGAACAGTTTGCAATGTATTTTCAAGCACATGATCCCATATTATACCATGCGTTTTCCTTTTATAAATGCAACAATTTTGTCTTAGTGTATTTGCTATTCTGGGAAAATTCAGGTCAAGAAAAGAAAATTTTATTTTCAGTTAATCACTTCTGTTAGATTAATTGGTTTGTCAAGTGAAAACACAAATACACTGAGAGGAATTTAGATTTGATAAATAAACTTGGGGAGTGACAGGCAAGGTACATTGTGTCGATTCTCAGTGACCCCAAATGAGTGTAGTTGAAACTAATCTTATCAAGTAGGACTTCCTGTCATTTTCTAGACTTGATAATGGCTGCTGTCTATCTTTTTATTTATTCATTCGTTATTTTTTTCACTTTTAACATAGTGCTGCTCAGTATAGGATTCTATACTATCTCATTTGACTTTGTGACTCTTTGAGGTAGGAAGAGGTAGCAGATATTTCAAACATTTCACTGCTAATGTAAGCCTCAGTTTGGCTTCAGAAGCAGCAAAAGGAGGTGGAAAGAGCATGAATTGTTGAAATTTAGCCTCTTGTAGATGCCCAGGCTTGAGTAGGCTACATAGCAACTCCTAAACCTCATTTTCCTCCCAGTTAACAATGAAAATTATGAATACTTATTTAGCTTGTACCATCAATATGGACACTCAATAAATATGAAGCTTTGCTTTCCTCCTCCTAGCTCATCTATATTTCTTTATTCTTGTCACCAAAGTGAGGTTTGGAAGTGTAGAAGGGATGTAAAATGGTCTTTTGTTTAAAGCACACTGGCCCTGGTATTGGGCAAGTGCTAAATAATGTGACCCGTATTTCACACTTTTGGATATTCTATAAGTTATCCAGCAGTTTCAGCAGTTAAATGTTTTTAGAGAACTAATAATGTTTTAACATAATTGTAGGCTATATTGAAGTACACAAAGTTAAATGAGGGGTTTGAAAGTTGATACATCCTACCAAGAATGTAATGACTTGGGAAATGCAGAATAATTGGGTCAGATGAGGCAAAGATTTTTCAGGATTTGTCACTGAGATTTTCTTTTTATGGGAAGAAAAAGGAAATCATTCTTTGTAGTTCAGATGGACGGATACCACCACGTATATTTATGTAGATTCATCTCCTGTCCTTTTCTGTGGCAGACACATTGGTTATTGAGTGCTCTGTGGTTGCATACAACATTTTGATTGAAGGGGCTCTTATATTGTCCATCTCTTTATTGCATGGACTGACTCAATGTTTCTCGCAAGCTCTCTCAGTTTCTTAACCATGAAGACATTATGAAGAGGTAAATCTCAGAGAATTGCTGATTTTTAAATTTTCTCTGTTGATTGACTTACAATTATGGTTCATGGATTTTTTTTAAGGATTCTTATTTGTTCAAACAAGAATAATGAATTCAGAGAAAAAGTTTTCTCAAGCAAAAAGCTGGTCATTTTATGGAAAGCTTAAGGAAATTCTTACGTAAAGCCAAAATCTAGTATATATCTAAAGAAAAATTCATTGATATTAAGATCAATATATTTTCCTTTATCTTCTGTCAATAAGTCTTACAGAAATTTTCACACCAAGATTTCTGAGGCTGTGTTTGGAGGATTCTTTCATCGCTTGGCACCGATAGAAATGTCATCTTGACCTTGTTTCTGAAAGATGTTTTAACCTCACTAATTAAGCAGCCTCCACTTGCTATTCAGTGAAGCTCTCTTGGGAGTGAAGGGCCTTTGATTGGGGAAATTCCCTAATTGAATGGGACTTCTCATCATGAAGCAGTCATAACATGTTGATTATAGTTTTACCATTAGGAATTCTATTGCTTAATACAAATGTATTATAACAAGAATTTGATTAACCTAAGTCAATATTAGCCTATAGATATTTGGAACTAGTGAAAAGATCAAGGCATCTTAGCAATCCAGGGGTCTAAGGAAGAGGATGGGCTTTTGATTCACAATCATAAAAATAAGTCTTATACAATAGTGTTTGGGTTTTTATATAATAGTAATTCTCCAATGATTGCTAATATCTAATACCTCTTTTTTTCTGTGTCTTTCACCCTGCATTAAGAAATTTTTATTATGCAAACATTCATGAATACTCAAAAGGAGAATTTTAGAATTAATTGCCCTATACTCATCATACACCTTTAATAATAACCAATATTTTTTTCAAATATTGAAAAGTCAGTCCCTTTCACTTTTTTGTCCATTTGCTGGAATAATTTAAAGCAAATCCCAAATATATTATTTCACTCATAAACACTTCAGTTTTCACCTCTGTCAATCTGTTTTACACTGTTAAAATAACTATAAATACTAACACCTACTCCTTTATAGTCTTATAGTGCCTTATCTCATTATTATCATAAAAATTTGGTAGATATTATCATCACTAATAAGCCGATTGTTTAAAAGAACCTCAGAGGTTCTAAGTGGCTAAATGATATTCTCAGGGACTACTGAATGATGACAATGGGTTTCAAGCCTGGGCCTCCTACAAACACTTCACTCAGCTTTACACTCTGCAGTGTGTGTGACCATATCAAGCAAAAGGCTGCTGCCTTGGGTATTTGACTTCAAATGCTCAGAGCAGAGGATCCCTTCTTTTGGTTGTGTGATTACTGGGGACCCACTGAAGGAGGAGGAGGGCCAGAGGGAAGTGGCCCGTGTAGATGTACACTAAGCATGGCTTTTTATTCTGATGTTTTGATGTTTGGGGTCATGCTGACTCTGAAGAGACTGTCCCTCCCAGGGCTAGCCAATTCCTAGAGACAGCAAAGGACTCGGCTGCAAATGTGCTTTCCCAACCAATCCAAGGCTTGTACCCCCCAACTACCTCCTTTATCTAGCTCTTACCTTTCCAAGCTACTACCCGTCTGTCCTCATCACCCCAGGGCAGGGTACCAGACAATAAGGGGTGGCCCCTGTGCCCCAGAGCCTGGCAAAATTACTCAAACTAGCCAAGCTTAAGCCTGCTTACCCTGCCTCTCCCATGTCTGTCTTCCAGTGGGAACCACATTGAAGGCTCTTGCCCACGTTTTTCCCTCGTTCCCTCTGTCTCCTGCCTGAACTCGTGTGTAGCCCTGGGTGATGTAGCATGCCCTCTCCTCTTAGGAGCTATGAGTATAAGAAACTCTCTTTTCCACACCTGCAAATTTGACTGCTTTCTAAAACATATTTGTAACCCCCATATCAATACACAAGGTCCTTTTGTGGCCATTTGCAGACATGTGTACGGCAGCAACAAAGCTGAATCGCTTAAGGTGTGTATTGGCAGCTAAGGTCCAGCAAGATGAGGTTTTGCCTTTTTGTTTCTGCTCTTATACAGTAAAGAAATGTCCTCTGGGAGGCCGAAGTGGGTGGATCACCTGAGGTCAGGAATTTGAGACCAGTCTGGCCAATATGGTGAAAGCCTGTCTCTACTAAAAATACAAAAAATTAGCTGGGCGTGGTGGCGGGCGCCTATAATCCCAGATACCTGGGAGGCTGAGGCAGGAGAATCTCTTGAACCCACAGGCGCAGGTTGCAGTGAGCTGAGATCATGCCAATGCACTCCAGCCTGGGCAACAAGAGTGAAACTCTATCAAAAACAAATGTCTCTTTCACCTTTGTGCCATCTTTTTTTTTTCACATTTTGTGCTTTTTGTTTGTGATTTCACTGTTTAAAATAGTCCCAAAACATAGTACTGAAGTACTAGGTGTTTCTGAGTGCAAGAAGGCTGTGATGCGCCTTACAGAGAAAATATATGTGTTAGAGAAGCTTCCCTCAGGCGTGAGCTATAGTGCCGTTGGCCATGAGTTCAGTGGTAGTGAATCAACAAGATATGTTGAATAAATGGTCACTAAACAGAAACACACATAAAACAAGGTTATATATTGATTGATTGATGAAAGTGTTGTGACCAGAGATGAAAATGTAGCAAGAACTTAACTGTTTTTCCCATAAGAGCTATGGTTCAGTATTCACTAATTCAGTGTTTACAGCAACGTTATGGAAGGTTAACTACAGTGAATAACGAGAATCAACGTGGTGTGTATGTGCTGAAGATAACATGCCTAGAGAATTTTATCCATTCATTGAATCATTTACACACTCTTTTCACCTTATCGGCACTATATATTAACTTCTCAAATGTGACTTTATAATGCAGGCTTTCCACCATGGAAAAATAAAAATATTGTTCAAGTAACTTTAGTGACCTGCTCATGCATAGTGGATCAGGGTGCCCAGTACGATATTTCACAATTTGTTTTCTTTATCAGTCTTCACAAAATAGAAGTATTTGGCTGCCTTGTGCTTACCACCAGGAGTGTAGGGTCCTTGGCCCTGCAATGTCCGCACCTGCAGACCCCGAATATCAGGAGTGTCCCCAAGGTTTCTGAGGCCTGCCTAGTCAGGAACCTGGAAAATTTATAAGAGGTAACTGTGCTTAATGTTGCTGTCTTCAAAATGGTGAGAGTTTCTGGACTCAGAATGACTTTTTCAGTGGTCTCCATGTTTCTATATTGCCAGAATATAAGGCTAGTAATGCTTTTGTAGCTTCCTCATGTCATCGTGAAGTAATGAACTGAAATGCACATTTAAAGGGGGACAGAATCTCCTAGTATCTGTGTGATAAGAAGGGTTTGCACATTGGATTATGACTACTCAAAAAAAGAAATATTTGAAACTGGAGGAGCAAATGTAATTCTCCTAAGGAAACATTGCTATTTAGTAGGTAATATACCTAATAGTTGACCAATCAACTGAATCTTTTGCCATTTGTGTAACTGAACTAACATTTACAGGAATCAATAAAACTATGAAAAACATAAGAGATAATAACAATGATAATAGTTATCATTTATTGAGCCCATTCTATGTTCCAGGAACTGTACAGGGCACTTGTTATAATATTATTTCATTAACTTCCTCTCTTCCCTGTGTCAGAAGTAGCAGCATCTCCAATTTGCAGGCAGAATGATTGAGGTTCTAGGAGTTGCAAGAGGTATGGTACAGGTCACAAAGCTAGCAAGCATGGAACCAGGCTTTCTGATTTGTTATCATGAAATCCCATTGACTTCCTTCTGTATGGAAGGAGAGGGGGTATACTTCTCCTTCCAAATATGATTAGTTAAAAATGATATGACAATGAGATGGGCTGATTTTCATAAACTGAATATTGATTCACATAATATTCTGTGAATTTAGAGTGGAGAGTATTTCTGGCTGAGAACAGATGATCACCATGTAACTTTTGTAAGCTTTGTGATACTGGTTGGTTGAAAGCCAGTGAAAAGATGTTCTGATGTAAGCAGCTGAATGAAAAATTTTATGAGTTCAGTTTTATCTTTTACTAGCTTCATCTTGGGCTCTGAGCTGTTCTTGCCTTGAATGCTCTCTGAAGAAGCAATGAGAGAACAATACTATATTTCTTTTTCTTTTTAATAGAAATGTCATATACTTGAAAGAAGTTATTCATTAAAAGTTGAAAGTCTGTTCTCAGCTTGCTAGATAATGTATTTAGATATATTTGGGAAAGTCTTTCACAAGCTCAAAGTTCTGGGAAGAAATAAAGTCTCATTCTTAGTCTGTTTTCACTCAAAACTGCAAACACACAGCAACAGTAGCTTAATCTTACTCAATTTCTAGACATTCACTTTTAATGCACGAAAAACTCTTAAATTAACAATATGTACATAATGTTGGATTGCTTGATATCTTAAATAAGATGATGGATGCTGTGCTATTGCTTAAATTATTTGCATCTGATTTCATAAGTGCTGTATCACCATAATATTTGAGGTCACTTAGTTACTTTAAGCATAATATGGGATAAGCACTTCCATGACTCTCTTGATTTTTATTTTCCAATGGGGATTCTGCAGATTCTGGCACTAATGTATGCAAGCTCACAAATTTAGAGGCTGCCCCCAAAATATCTTTGTGCGTGCTCCAGGTGCTGCTCACCAAGCAAAGCGCAGTTCCTGGGACAAGGTCAGTGCTTCATAAATGTGTGCTGAGGACTAGACTGAGACCAGGTCATCAAGACCATCTCATGGCAAATTATGTATAAATTGAAATTTTGTGAATCAAGTCTCATTTTAACTACTGAGTAAGGGCTTGCTATATTTTGGAACTATGCCTCAAATTATTTGTAAAATGAATAGCTACTTCTTGATTTACCTGCTATATAAGTTTGACTTTCTCTTACATAAAATTACCTTAAAGGGTGGATCACCTGAGTATATGAGAAAATAACTTAGCGTAACACGGTATGGTGAACAGGATCTCGCCTATGATTTTCCATCTTTTTATGCCCTGGAACATCAGACCCTTTCTGTGATGTTCTCTGAATGCCAAGCTTTTCAATAAGTTCTTAAAAGAGTCATCATGGAAGAAAAACATGCTAACTTTGCCCTTGAGATTTTTTCAGCTTTGGAGTTTAAGGTTTTAAAAGTGGGCTTTTGTAGTCACTTATGTAGAGAGCATAAGTATATATATGTGCACTTAAATCAGACTATAACAGGTACAGGGAATATTACAGCATAATAATGAGACATCATAGATATATGGATAGATAGAACATATAATAAATATAGATATATGGAAAGACAGAGATAGATGTCAGGGTGGATGAAGGATATAGAGGATTTGATTATCCTTTCTCTGTGGGTGTGTACATCTACAATAAGCCACTATTCTCAGATCCTGCTCTATTATAAATTATGAGAGGAAAAATCTGGGTCTGTGTTCAGTTCCTAGAACCATCTGATATGGTTTGGCTCTGTGTCGCCACCTGAATCTCACCTTGAATTGTAATAATCCCCATGTGTTAAGGGTGGGGCCAGATGGAGATAATGGAATCATGGGGGGTTTTCTCCCTTCCTGTTTTCACGGTAGCAAATAAGACTCACAAGATCTGATAGTTTTATAAATGAGAATTCCCTGCACAAGCTCCCTCTTTGCCTGCTGCCATGTAAGATGTGACTTTGCTCCTCCTTGCCTTCCACCATGATTGTAAAGCCTCCCCAGCCATGTGACACTGTGAGTCAATTAAACCTGTTTCTTTTTTAAATTACTCAGTCTTGGGTATGCCTTTATCAGCAGTGTGAGAATGGACTAATACATCATCTTAGTTGCAATTAGGCACTTAATAATTTTATGATTATAATGATATTAGGGAGATAAATAAAATCTTTCTGTCAACAGAGTAGAAAGTAGTCATAATCATGAGGGTTAAAATTATAAACATAGTAAACAGTAGTTAAACTAAGCAGAAAAATCACATAAAATCGTGGGATTAATCATAGGTTAGATTTGATTTTTCCTATGTTTATAATCTTCCAGTTTGGTATATTTTGTTCTTTTAATAACACTTCAATTTCTTAGTGTTTTATAACTCATTTTATTCTGATAGTAATTGTAAATGAAACCTATTAGACCTAAACTTGTTTTTAATCTTAGAATCTTACAGCCAACTCCATATAAAATGGACTTGGCTAGTATTATCAAGTCTCTCTTAGTTGCTGATTGTATTAATAGAGAACCTGGTTGCTTGCATAAGATGACTGACTCTTATTAGTTTAGTTCTCAACTGAAAGTTCATTCAGTGTGGACTCTGGAGCTATCAGCCCTAGATTTGACTGTAGCTTTGTCGTTTACTTAGGGATAACCTCAATGAGATATTTAACTCCCAGACTCACAATTTTCTTATTTGTAAGAAATAAGAAATAACATCTATTTTATAGGACTGTTGTAAGCACTAGAACTAGTGCCTATAAAAGGCCTACCTAGGAATCTGGCATACTTAGGCACTTCTCAACTGGGAACTATAAATATGACGATGACGACGATGACAATGATGATGATGACGATGCTAATTCATCTGAACAAATTCATATCATGCCTCTAGCACACTTGATTTATTGCCCTGTCCTCTGTGTGCAGAAAGACCTGAACTTGAAAACAAGTCCATTCTAACTGGTGTGAGATGGTATCTCATTGTGGTTTTGATTTGCATTTCTCTGATGGCCAGTGATGATGAGCATTTTTTCATGTGTCTTTTGGCTGCATAAATGTCTTCTTTTGAGAAGTGTCTGTTCATGTCCTTCGCCCACTTGTTGATGGGGTTGTTTTATTTTCTTGTAAATTTGTTTGAGTTAATTGTAAATTCTGGATATTAGCCCTTTGTCAGATGAGTAGATTGCAAAAATTTTCTCCCATTCTGTAGGTTGCCTGTTCACTCTGATGGTAGTTTCTTTTGCTGTGCAGAAGCTCTTTAGTTTAATTAGATCCCATTTGTCAATTTTGGCTGCTGTTGCCATTGCTTTTGGTGTTTTAGACATGAAGTCCTTGCCCATGCCACACCAGTTAGAATGGCGATCATTAAAAAGTCAGGAAACAACAGGTGCTGGAGAGGATGTGGAGAAATAGGAACATTTTTACACTGTTGGTGGGACTGTAAACTAGTTCAACCATTGTGGAAGACAGTGTGGCGATTCCTCAGGGATCTAGAACTAGAAATACCATTTGACCCAGCCATCCCATTACTGGGTATATACCCAAAGGATTATAAGCCATGCTGCTATAAAGACACATGCACACGTATGTTTATTGCGGCACTATTCACAATAGCAAAGACTTGGAACCAACCCAAATGTCCAACAATGATAGACTGGATTAAGAAAATGTGGCACATATACACCATGGAATACTATGCAGCCATAAAAAATGATGAGTTCATGTCCTTTGTAGGGACATGGATGAAGCTGGAAACCATCATTCTCAGCAAACTATCGCAAGGACAAAAAACCAAACACTGCATGTTCTCACTCATAGGTGGGAATTGAACAATAAGAACACATGGACACAGGAAGGGGGAATATCACACACCGGGGCCTGTTGTGGGGTGGGTGGAGGGGGGAGGGATAGCATGAGGAGATATGCCTAATGTTAAATGATGAGTTAATGGGTGCAGCATACCAACATGGCACATGTATACATATGTAACAAACCTGCACGTTTTGCACATGTACCCTAAAACTTAAAGTATAATAAAAGAAAAAAAAAAAGAAAACAAGTCCTTGTTTCCCCCTGTAGGTGAGGGATCAGCTCACCCATCTCACTGTGACACAGTGTCCTTAACTGGACAACCTGGTCCTCAGCTCCTGTCCTCAAGTAACAGTCATGAGCTTGGTGGAAATCAGCACTAATCTGCGAGCCCTCAGGTGCTTTTTCATGCGTAAGCATCTTAACCAGACCCCAGCAAAGGTGGGTCTGTTCAGTTTTATTTGAAATCTGCCCATAGAAGTCTTGTTTATATTATCCTTAATGTCTTTTTTTAGATCATTCTTGTAATCTTAGATCACTGTTAGGATCATAAAACTCTGTGAAAATCTAGGGAAGGCTAAACTTCTCTAGATATTTAGAGCTCATGGTGTTTGACCAAGCAAATGTGGGGAGGATAGAAAACAGAATTCTTTTCTTGCTTAGAAAAGGGAGACTTGGGACAAGGCACAATGTGACTGGAATTGCACTGGTATGTTTCATCTTTATAACAGCAAACTCCACTGAGGCATCCTCTCAGCTAGTTGTCCAATTCTTGTTCTACAGATAGGAGAAGGGAAGCTAAGTGTGACCACTTGTGAAAAGCCTCTATTAAGTCCTTTTTACTTACACTCTAGGTATCTCAATGTGAGTGGTTGCTGACAGATTACCAATGCAGGAATCCATGTGCTGGCATGGAGCTGTCACCAGCTCAAGTATCTGGACCTGAGCTCTACAGGGATAAGCAAAAGAGGGTAGGAAACTTACAGATTATATATTTTTAAAAAATCTGGTTGCTCTAAGAAAAGGGATCATGAATTAGTTATTCATTTCATTTTATCATTTTATGGGCACCTGTGAGTCTATAGTGTAGACTATGATAAGATAGGCCAAAGGAACATCTATAGATTCCTAAACAGAGAAAATACGTGATAAATGCAAGTATGAAGGAAGGAGATTTATTCACTCAGCCGTAAAGAGGGTTATTTTGTAAGGGGAATATATACAAATTAGGTATTTTGTATAGTCTGGTATGAACTGCTCTATAAACTTCGAATTAAAATATGGTCATATTTCTTTACTTTCATAATTAATTGTTTACTTAAGCAATTTCTGCTTCATTTATAGGAAATCCATTTTCTTCCTCTCTGGTTTACCTTCTCACTAAATCATACTAGATCCCTTGGGGCAACACAGTCTAAGGTGGGAAGGGCCTATCCAGCTTCACCCAAGTGAAGAGACTGAAATCTCAGTAGTCCACTACTGCCATTGCTTCCTGCTGCCATAGGGGTGACGGTAAAAATTCATGATTCACCAGATTCCAGAGTCCCCTGCTTCAGTGATGCTTCACTTGAGCCAACTGGGTTTGTTGAGATTCATCTCACTATCTCAGTTCCAAGCAGTGCGCCCCAAGACTGAGGTATCAAGACTGTAACTACTGGTGTTTTATTCCTTAATTCCCTTATACAGCTACCTTCTAGGATATTAGTTGACTGATTACAACTGGTCTGGCACTTGTCAACTAGTGGTTCCAGAACTGCCATCTTTCTTCCTCCCCAGGTAGCATCTCCTTTTAAATTCTCAAACCATAAGGGTCCTAATTGCCCTTTCCCGGGATATTGGAACTAATAGGCCTCTCTTCCAATGGAGATTACTGCAGTAATTTCCAGGGACCCTACATTCACCAGTCTGAGGGAGATTCCCACGTATGCTTGGACGTGAGGCTACCTTAATTATTATTGAGTAAAGTAGAAACAAGAGAAACAAGTAGCCTAAGAATCACTACCAGGGTGTATGTCATTCCTGTAAGTAATGTTAATTAGCCAGGTCCCTTGTTAAAACACCAATATGTAATTAGGTATCATTGTCCCATTTAATAACTGGAAGTGCCAACCCAAGAGCAGGAGTTGTACACTATCCAGACTCTTCTTTTTAAATACCCTCATTGTATTTTGGTCATGTGCTGATTATCAGAATTTTTTTTAAAAGAAAACTTAACATTAAGGAAATCTAATGAGTTCTCTCTTTGATATTATGTACGCCTGGCTTTTAAAAGACATAGAAACAAATCTGTAAATTCCTAGAGTTGATAAATAAAATACAGGTTTTGAACTGGTTTCAGACAATGAGAAGAAATTCCCAGGAAGTCTCTAGAAATGTATTTTCAATAGAAATATAAATCAATCCACATGTATAATTTAAAATTTTCTAGTAGCTACATTAAAAAAGCATGAAAATAATTTTAATAATATATTTTATTTTAACCTAATATATTTGAAATATTATCATTTTAACATATAATCAACATAAACAATATTAATTAGACCTTTTATAAGCTTTTTTTGTACTAAGTGTTCACAATGTTGTGGGTATTTCATATTTATAGCACATCTAAATTCAGGTGGACATATTTCAAGTGATCAAGATCCACATATGGCTAATGGCTATGATATTAGACAGTGCAAGTATAAACTATAGGATCTTGTGGAACAGGAATGGCATCTCATGATAGTATGTTTCCATTTTAATCACTGGAAAACCAGTTCCACAAAGCAAATAGTTTCATGGTTAAGTAAATTTGAGAAATGTTGCACATTATCTTCTGAATAGAGATTTATAATAGATGACCCATATATCAAAATCACCGAGAAGTCTTGCAATAAAGAAGTCTGTTAAACATTTTTCAACCCAATGTTTTATAACTTACTTGATTATGGGACTTTCAACTAACATTTATGAAGCTATCATTCTGTAGAATATACATTTAAAATGCTATCTCATACTGAGAGGTGACAGCGTGCTGGCAGTCCTCACACCCCTCGCTCGCTCTCGGCGCCTCCTCTGCCTGGGCTCCCACTTTGGCGGCACTTGAGGAGCCCTTCAGCCCACCGCTGCACTGTGGGAGCCCCTTTCTGGGCTGGCCAAGGCCAGAGCCAGATCCCTCAGCTTGCAGGGAGGTGTGGAGGGAGAGGCGCGAGCGGGAACCGGGGCTGCGTGCGGCCCTTGCGGGCCAGCTGGAGTTCCGGGTGGGCATGGGCTTGGCGGGCCCCACACTCGGAGCAGCCGACCGGCTCGGCCAGCCCTGCTGGCCCTGGGCAATGAGGGGCTTAGCACCCGGACCAGCAGCTGCGGAGGGTGTACTGGGTCCCCCAGCAGTGCCAGCCCACCGGGGCTGCGCTTGATTTCTCACCAGGCCTTAGCTGCCTTCCCGCGGGGCAGGGCTTGGGACCTGCAGCCCGCCATGCCTGAGCCTCCCACCCCCTCCATGGGCTTCTGTGCTGCCCGAGCCTCCCCGACAAGTGCCACCCCCTGCTCCGCGGGGCCCAGTCCCATCACCACCCAAGGGCTGAGCAGTGTGAGCACACGGCGAGGGACTGGCAGGCAGCTCCACCTGCAGCCTGGTGCGGGATCCACCGGGTGAAGCCAGCTGGCCTCCTGAGTCTGGTGGGGAGGTGGAGAACCTTTATGTCTAGCTCAAGGATTGTAAATACACCAATCGGCACTCTGTATCTAGCTCAAGGTTTGTAAACACACCAATCAGCACCCTGTGTCTAGCTCAGGGTTTGTGAGCGCACCAATCGACACTCTGTATCTAGCTACTCAGGTGGGGCCTTGGAGAACCTTTATATATAGCTCAGGGATTGTAAATACACCAATCGGCACTTTGTATCTAGCTCAAGGTTTGTAAACACACCAATCAGCACCCTGTGTCTAGCTCAGGGTTTGTGAGTGCACCAATTGACACTTTGTATCTAGCTACTCTGGTGGGGCCTTGGAGAACCTTTGTGTCCTTACTCTGTATCTAACTAATCTGATGGGGAGGTGGAGAACCTTTGTGTCTAGCTCAGGGATTGTAAACGCACCAATCAGCACCCGGTCAAAGCAGACCACTGGGCTCTACCAATCAGCAGGACGTGGGTGGGGCCAGATAAGAAAATAAAAGCAGGGTGCCCAAGCCAGCAGTGGCAACCCGCTCGGGTCCCCTTCCACACAGTGGAAGCTTTGTTCTTTCGCTCTTTGCAATAAATCTCGCTACTGCTCACTCTTTGGGTCCACACTGCTTTTAAGAGCTGTGACACTCACTGTGAAAGTCTGCAGCTTCACTCCTGAAGCCAGCGAGACCACAAGCCCACCGGGAGGAACGAACAACTCCAGACGCGCCGCCCTAAGAGCTGTAACACTCACAGCAAAGGTCTGCAGCTTCACTCCTGAGCCAGCAAGACCACGAACCCACCAGAAGGAAGAAACTCTGAACATATCCGAACATCAGAAGGAACAAACTCCAGATGCGCCACCTTAAGAGCTGTAACACTCACCGCGAGGGTCCGTGGCTTCATTCTTGAAGTCAGTGAGACCAAGAACCCACCAGTTCCAGACACAATACTACAGCACATTTTTATCTGGAATTTGGAGGGACATAATTGGTTCACGTTTGAAGATTTTCATGTTAACTGAAGCTTTGCAAGATTGGTCAGTGAAAATGACAGAGTAAGGACCTTCAAAAATATCCCTCTCCATCATAGCAATTAAAAAACTGGAAAAAATAGCCAGAATCAACTTTTTTCAGAACTCTGACTTCCAGCACTCCTTGGGGCATTTATGCAAAAAACAAGATAAATAGCAAAAAAAAAAAAAAAAAAAAAAAAAAAAGAAATAAAAGAAAAAGAATATAAAAATGTAACATAGCTGGATCTTAGTAAGAACAGTGAGCTTTGTAGTTATTGTTTTAACTTACTCTAGTCCCATCTCCCTCCCCAGCTCAGTGGCCACTTAAAAATAACATCTCAAAATTTTGGTACTGATGGAAGCAGTAAACAATTCATTCCCAAAGAATTGCCATTGTTTGACTGTCTGGTAATTCCCTGGAAGACCCCACTCAAAAGACTAGTCATTATTTTACCTCACTCAAACTGAGTAGAGCTAAAATCCTCTTCCCAGGGATTGTTTGTTGAATGTTTTAATGTCACAGCTACTTGAGGAAATGGATAACAGCTGCGGCAAACAATACACTGACCAAAAAGCTCAAAAGAAAAGGCTGAGTAGTTAGATGTCCATAAGGAGTTCATTTTTTAAAAAATTATTTTTATTTTTATTTTTTTCAGTCAGTGTCTCCCTCTGTCATCCAGACTGGAGTGCAGTGGTGCAATCTTGGCTCACTGCAATCTCTGCCTCCCAGGTCCCAGTGTTGCTCCTGCCTCAGCTTCCTGAATAGCTGGGACTACATGTGCGCACCACCATGCCTGGCTAATTTTTTGTATTTTTAGTAGAGATGGGGTTTCACCATGTTGGACAGGCTGGTCTCAAACTCCTAATCTCAAGTGATCCACCTGCCTCTGCCTTCCAAAGTGCTGGGATCACAGGGGTGAGCCACTGCACCTGGCTAGATGTCCATAAGGACTTTAAAAGCTCCAGTATATCCCTAAAAATATGGAAGGTCGTGTGCAGGTATAGGGCTGTGTGCATGCACAGCAAATACCTGAGAAAAAACCAAACACTCATGACTGGTTGATCTTGAGACTCTTTGCAAGTAGAAAGTGAAGTTAAAGCAGAGTTAAAAACCACCTGGCTGGATGAATGTTGAAAGCATGTCACAATACATACACAGAGCCTGTCAGTAAATATTAGGAGATTTAATGGTTCTAGATATTTTAGGCACATTCTGTCCAATTAGTAGCTAACCATAAGCTAACTGAGCAGAGACTTCAGTGGTCATACGTGAGAGATAATATAGACTTTATTATTATTCTCTGGAATAATAATAATAAGATCATAATAATAATTATTATTATTCCAGAGAAGTTACTAAATAAGGAACACAGTAAAAACTAAAAGCAGCAACAACAAAAACTCTGGGGAGGGAAGATAATTTGATTTCCAGAGTTTCCATATTATATACTTTTAAATGTCCAATTTTTAACCCCAAATTACAAGGTATACAAAGAGACAAGAAAGTATGGGCCAGGTGCAGTGACACACCTGTAATCCCAGCACTTTGGGAGGCTGAGGCGGATCACCTGAGGTTAAGAGTTCAAGACCAGCCTGGCCAACATGGCGAAACCCCATCTCTACTAAAAATACAAAAATTAGCCAGGTGTGGTGGCATATGCCTGTAATCCCAGCTACTCAGGACTCTGAGGCAGGAGAATCACTTGAACCTGGGAGGTGGAGGTTGCTGTGAGCCAAGACTGTACCACTGCACTCCAGCCTGGGCAACAGAGCAAGACTCTGTCTCAAAAAAAAAAAAAGTATGGCTCATACACACACAGGGGAAAGAAAGCAGTCAATAAAACAATAAAACTATCCTGGAGGAATCCCAGACATTGGGTTCATTGGATAAAGACTTTAAATCAGCTATTTTAAATATGTTAAAAGACCTAAATAAAGCCATGCCTAAAAAACTAAAGAAAAATCTGATAATAATGTCTCATGAAATAGAGAATGTCAATAAAGAAAATTATTTAAAAAAATAGAAATTCTGGAATTGAAAAGTATAACAATTGAAATGCAAGATTCACTAGAGGGGCTCAACAGCATATTTGAGCATGCAGAAGAATGAGTTGATGAACCCGAAGATAAGTTAACTGAGATTATCAAGTTTGAGGAAGACAAAGAAAAAAGAATGAAGAAAAATGAACAAATCCTCAGTCATCTGTGGGACACCATTAAGCAGACCAACATATGCATCTATCTATATCTATATATCTATATCTATCTATCTATCTATCTATCTATCTATCTATCTATCTATCTATCTATCTATCATCTATCTATAAAGTCCCAGAAGGACAGGAGAAAGATCAGGAACAGTATTTGGAGAAATAGTGGCCGAAATGTCCCAAATTTGATGAAAAACTAATCTGCACATACAAGAAGCTCAATAAACTTCGAGTAGGGTACACTCAGATTCACACATAGAGAAATTGCAATCAACTCTTGATACTCAAAGACAAAGAATCTTGAAACCAACAAGACAAACAACAAATCACCTACAAAGGATCCTCAATAAGATTAACAAATGATTTCTTATCAAAATATGGAGGCCAGAAGACAGTAAGGTGACATATTCAAAGTGTTGATAGAAAAAGATCGACAGACTTCTCTATCTGGTAAAGCTCTCCTTTAAAAATGAAAGAGAAATTGAAACATTCACAGATAAACAATAGCCAAGAGAGTTTTTTACTAGCAGATCTTCCCTACAAAAACACTAAAAGGGCTTTTTAGGGTGAAATTAAAGGATATTAGATAGTAATGTGAATCAACATAAATAAATAAAGAGCACTAGAACAGGTAACTACATAGGTAAATATAAAAGACAGTATAAATTTTTTTTGTTTATAGCTCATTTTTATTTCTATCTTATTTTTAAAACTCTATGTAAAACAATAATTATTAATATATGTCAAGGGAACAAAATCTATAAAGATGTAATTTGTGACAATAAAGCATGTAGTAGCAAGAGAACAAAGCTTTTTAGTGGCAATTTTTTTGTATACTATTAATATTAAATTGGTATTAATTTGAACTTGATTATTTAACGCTCAGGCATTACTTGCAATTTCTAGAGCAATTGCTTAGAAAATAAAAAATAGTAAAATAAATTACAAGGGATTAAAATGGTAGACTAGAAAATATCTAGCACAGAAGATGACTGTAATGAAGGAATAGAACAAAAATCACTTGGCATAGGAAACAAATAGCAAAATGGCACATGTAACATCTATCTATCAGTAATTAACTTAAATGTAAATGGATTAAAATCTCTACTTAAAAGGCTGACATTGGCATAATGGATAAAAATGATACAACTCTATGGTATCTATAAGAGATTCACTTGTGATTCAAAGACAATAAATGAATTAAAAATAAAAGGATGAAAAAAGATATACCATGCAAACACTAACCAAAAGAGAGTAGGAGTAACTGTAATTAGTAGCTAGTAATATACACAAAATAGACTTTAAGACAAAATGTTTTGCTAGAGACAAAGACATTTTATAATATGAGTCAATCTATCAAAAATATTCAGCACTTAAAAACATATTTGCATCTAACAACAGAGGCCCAAAATACATGAAGCTTATTTGACAGAATTTATGGGAGAAATAGGCCATTCAGCAATATTGATTGGAGACTTCAATACCTCACTATCAATAATGGGTAGAACAACTAAAGAGAAGATCAGCAAGGTAACAGAAGATTTGAACAACACTATTAGCCAAGATAGTTCACATATTATCTGTGTATCTATCTATCTATCTATCTATCTATCTATCTATCTATCCATCTATCTATATCTCTGTGTATATAGATAGATAAGAGATATAGATATATCTAACTCTAGATATATAAATATAGAGAGAGATACCTATGTCTATATTTATATATAGAGATATATAGATATCTACATCGATATAAATATATAGAGAAAACACTTCACCCAACAATGTCAGAATACACATTCTTCTCAAATGGATATGGAACATTCTGCAGGAAATACCAGATACTAGGACATAAAACAAATCTCAATAAATATAAAAGAATTCATCACACAAAGTATGTTTTCTGACCACAATGGGTTGAAATTAGAAACTAAAATAAGGGAAATTCACAAATATGTGGAAATTAAATAACACATTCCTAAATAACCAATGGGTCAAAGGAGAAATCACAATGGAAATCAGAAAATAACTTGAGATCAATGAAAATAAAAATACAACTTACCAAACCTTATGGTATGCAGTGAAAGCAGTGTGCAGAAGAGAATTTATTCTATATATTAAATAACTCAAATCAGTCCCCTAACCTTACTTTTGAAAATATAGAAAAAGAAGAGCAAACTAAACCCACAGCTAGCAGAGGAAGGAAATAATATTAGTGTGGAAGTAAATGAAACAGAGAATAGAAACACAATAGAAAAAATGAATAAAACCAAAAGTTGGTTATTTGAAAAGATTAACAAAATTGACAAATCTTTAATCTAGACTGGCCAAGAGAAAAATAGACAAGACTCAATAAAATCAGGAATGAAAGAAAGGACATTACCCACCCTACAGAAATACAATGGATTAAAAAAAACTGTAAACAATCACATGCCAAGAAATTAGATAACCTATATGAAATGGAAACATTCCTAGAAAAACATCAACTACCAAAATTGCCTAAAGCTGGAAGCCACCTTCAAGCTGTGTTCTCACATGGCAGTAGGGGAGAGACAGAGAGAGAGAGAGAGAGAGAGAGAGAGAGAGAGAATGAATGAGAACATTTGTATGAGCAAATTCTCTGGTGTCTCTTCTGATAAAGGCACTACTCCCATCATGAAGGCTCCCACTGTCATGACCTCACTAAATCCAAGTGCCTCCCAGAGGCTCCAACTCCAAATACCATCACACTGGGGGTTAGGGATTCAACATACAAATTTGGGGGACACAATTCCGTCCACAGCAAGGTAACTTTAACAATTTTGTCTTCAATGTCCCTACCATTCCTCCCTATAATCTAGCTTCTATTGCAATCCCCACCCTTTAATAGTCAGACACATCTACTTCTTTCTTATTGGGTATTCAAGTCCCAAGGAAATCAGAAAATGTGATAAAGTACTTGTTTTAAGTGGCTCTGTATATTCTATCACAGTTATCCTTTTTCGCAGCCAACTTCCAAGATGGCCCCAATGATCCCCAACTCCTGGGATTCACACCTTTATGTAGTTCCTTCCAACATTGTGTTAGCGTTGGTCTGTGAGACCAAAGAATACAGCAGAAGTGAAGGTATCTCACTTCTGAGATTAGGTGATAGATAGCTCCATCCTGGGCTGCTTGATTTATCTCTCCCTTTCTTGTTCTCTTCTTTCTCTCTCTCTCATCACTTCCTCTGGGAGAAGCCAGCAGTCTTCTCATGAGGACACTCAGGCAGCCTATAAAGAGGCCCAAATGTTGAGGAACTGAGTTCTCCAGCCAACAGCCAGTGAGGAACTGAGGCTTGCTTGCTGCCAACGCTGTGAGGGAGCTTGGAAACAAACTCCCTCAGTCGAGCCTTTAGATAAGACTGCAGCCCCCACAGCAACTTGACCTCAACCTCGTGAAGCACCTTGAGCCAGAGACACCCAGTTAAGCTGAACCCAAACTGCTGATCTAGATAAATTGGTATAAAACATAGTTATGGTTTTAAGCTGTAAGGTTTGGGGGTAACTTGTTATGCATCAGATAACTACTAATATACATTGAGAACTGTTCAGTATAAATATTCTGGCTTGCTGAATAGGACATTGATGACCTCCAGACAGTTTCTGCTTGAGCCCATTTATCAAATCCAGCCCCTTTATGGATATTTATTTTAACAAATATGTTCTTGAGCTCTGAGTTGCTTCCTTATAAAAAAAATGAATCTACGATCTTTATTTTTCTTCTTGTTATCTTATTCTTGGATCTCTTCCAAATAGTTGAAGCTTCTAAATACATGGTCTCTGATTTTAAGATATTAATTCTACCTCTTCACATACGCATAACACCTAGCACATTTTGTACACCACTAGGTGATAATTCTTAATTGATTGCTTAAAGCATCTTCTTTGCCAAAGCCACCTGAAAGTTTTTTTAAAGATAAAAATAATGAAATGAAGAACACACAGGAGGTCTCAGTTTGGAATGTGTGCAGTGTGAAGGGTCACATACACGTCATTAGTTACTGTTTGAAGATTTGTAACTTTTTTTATTTTTATTTTTTATTTTTTTTGGAGATGGAGTCTTGCTCTGTCACCCAGGCTAGAGTGTAGTGGCGCAATCTCAGCTCACTGCAACCTCCACTTCTCGGATTCCAGCGATTCTTCTGTCTTAGCCCACCGAGTAGCTGGGACTACAGGTGCATGCCACCACGCCTCGCTAATATTTGTATTTTTAGTACAGATGGGATTTCACTATATTGGTCAGGCTGGTCTTGAACTCCTGACCTCAGGTGATTCACCGCCTCGGCCTCCCAAAGTGCTGGGATTATAGGTGTGAGCCACTGCGCCCGGCCATATAGTTTTGAGACAGGGTGTCATTCTGTCACTTAAGCTGGAGGGCAGTCACATAATCAGGGCCCACTGCAGCATCAATCTTCAGGTTCAAGTGATCCTCCCATCTCAGCCTCCTAAGCAGCTGGGACTACCAGTGTGCAGCCACCATGCCTGGCTAATTTTTGTATTTTTGGTAGAGATAGGGTTTTGCCATGTTGCCTAGGCTGGTCTTGAACTCCTGAGCCCAAGCAATCCACCTGCCTTGGCCTCCCAAAGTGCTGGGATTACAGGCGTGAGCCACTGTGTCCCACCAGCAACATCTTTTTTATAATGCTTGAATGATTTCATGTCATGGACATTGAGATTTTATGTCTATAAAATGATAATGGTTTAGAATAACTGAATTTATACAGAATTAATGTCTGACTGATTATAAGAAGTTGATGGCCTCCTGGCTTCTAGGTATTATTACTATTACTATTTTTAGTTTGAAGTAAAGTGGTTGGGTATGGTGATAGCTGTGGCTTACTGGAAGCAATTTTGTTTTCCTGAGAACATTGAATGATGTTCTTGTACCTACTTGTTCTTACTGGGATATATCTTTTTAAAATTTCAAATAAATAAAGGACCGCTTTGTGGTTAAGTTTTCATTTCCTGGAATCACAAAGCCGAGTATTCCTGAACTAGGTGTAGCAATGCAGCTCCTGTCATTTAATTAAATGAGCATATTTTAAATATATAATAAGTTCAAAACAATTATGATGAGATGTTTGCAGTGAGGGATAGAAAAAATATCCAAGACAAAAATATCCAAGACAAGTTCTTCCCTCAAGATAATGATCCTTTAATTTGAGAGAAAAAAATCATATATGCATGCAAAATCTAAATGTCATACATACGTGAAGATGAAAGAAATGGATGTAGCTTTAAGAGTGGGGGTGTCTTCCTGGAAAAGAGTTTAACCTCAGATAGTCTTGAAGGACCAGTAGGATACAGACGGGTGGGAAAAAGGAAAAGGAACTCCAGATGAGAGCAAATTGTCCCACATTGTGATATATTTTTTAACAGTTTATGGTTGCCAATAGCTTCCCTATGCATCAAGTCGCCCCCACAATCCTTTGAAGTGCTTAGTGCAGGTATGATTATTCCCACCTAACAAATAGGACATTTTGAGTCAGAAAACTACTTGAGACCTTTCCAGGTTAATTCATGTAAGACATGAGTTGGCAAATGGTAGCCAGCTGCCTGCTTTTTACAACTTGAAGTGGTGATATTTTAAATAATTATATAAGAAGCTATATAACATTTTTGATTGTGCCTCTTGGCCTATGATTAAATATAAATTAAACCCTGCAAAGACTAAAATATTTACTACCTGTAAGAAAGTGTGCTGATTACTAATTTAGGATCTTCATAATGTTTCAAATAAAACATTTTAAACTTATTGTAGTAAAATAAATATTTTATCATAATGAAATAAGATAAAAAGATATGGCACTATTACAGTAGACTTAAGTATGGATCATTCTGTAAGTACAATTTTATCTCTGTGTCTTTTACATCTAAACTTATACCACGTTCTTGTTATCCATCATTTTTTCAAAAATATATTGATGCTTGCGTAATATTCCATTATATGAATATAAAATAAATTATTTATGTATTATCCTGTTGTTGAACCTATAGATTCTTTGAATTCTAGTTAGTAAAAATAACATGCTAATAAATATCCTTGTACACAGGTATTTGCATCTTTGATTGTTTCATTGGTATAAAGCCCTAGAAATAGAATTACTAGTTCAAAAGTTATGAACTTACCATTTTTAAGGATTGCAATAAATATTGCTAAGCTTTTTTAAGAAAGGCTGTACCAGTTTATTATTCTAATAGTAGTGTATGAAAGTGCCTATCTTGTTACACCAGAAGAAAATCCAGGGTTCCCTTAAATATGTAGCCAGCATTACATAGGGGGTGTCTTATTTTATGGTTTTGCTGATGATTCTTGACATTAAAAAATTCTAGTATTCTTAATGGCATTTTACATTTTTAATTTCTTTTGTATTTTGTGTGTGTCTATATGTGGGTTTTTTGCCTCTTTTGTTGTTGAAATGTACATCTTGTTTCACAGATTCATAAGTAGTCTATACATATGATGATAGTGATGCTTGGTTTTTGAAATATTTTGTAGATATTTGTTCAAGTATATCATTTTATGTAAAGTTTTTCACTTGATTCTCGTGTTTTCTTGATATATTGAGTACATTTTATGATAGAATATGGTCGAATGTGTACAAAATATATGCGTTTCAAAATGTGTTATAGTGATACATACATTCTTAAACCTGAAAAATCTCTTCTTAAAGATAATATATAAGACAATCATTTACCAGTTTGGATGAGATCAGGTGTGTTCATGGTAGTATGGCCATAGACCATTTACCAATTTGGGAGAGTCACAGACAAACCCCTTTATGGAATTCATCTGCTCTGGGGCAGAATTGTAATGTGTAACCAACTGACGTTCTAGAAAAAATATAACAATTGTTCCTGGTTCCTAGCTGTGGTACTACATATATATTAGATAGAGGATGCAGAAATGGATCTGAATGGAAAAAATAGGGCCATATTGGATAGGTATGAATTCGAACTACCCATGTATTTTTTGCTCGTTTACTACAGGTATGTTTGCTACAGATATGTGTCTCTATACTTACAGATCACTGGGCGCATGATCTTATATTAGATTTATCAGACTGACAACCTTCTACCTTTGTTTTCTACTTCACCAGTGTCATCCCTCTTTCTAATAATAGTTCCATCCGTTACCTCCTTCATAATTTATGTAACAGTTGGTAGAGAAAGTAAACTTGTCAGAGTCCAATAAACTTTTATATGAGAAAAACTGTCAAAACAAATAGAAAGGGAGACATAATATATTTACTCCATTGTAGCCTTGAAGTCTTATTTTAATTTAGGCCTAACTTGTTGTCTGTGTTTAAACCCTGTTACAGTTTGAAGTTTGCCTTTCTGTTTCTCTCTCTTTCTTTCTGCCTTTGTTCCTTTTTGTCTTGCATGTTGGACTATCTGGATAAAAAATTGTTGTTGTAAGCCCTTTGATCAGTCTCCTACAAATGTTTGAATTTCACTTTTAAATCTGACTGAAATATAATGAAGAAAAAAGTGGTATAGGGTGTGCTGGTGCAAACGATAAAACCAGTTAGATTTGTACTACTGATTTCATCTGCTGAGATAAAAGGAGCTCCCATGGGTGATGTAGGGCTAATCAAGCGTTGTTATTCAGCTAGAACCATCATTCTCCCTGGGATACCAATGGTAGTGGGCTTCCATGAGTGATAGATAGGTCAGGTTCATTCTCTAATTAGGAAATTATCTTCATTTTAGAAGGAGGCTGTTTCTCTAATTACGTTGATGTGAAGTAGAGGTTGCAGAGAGAAAACTTCCTAAGTACGGATTATTGGCAACCAGCAGAACGAGGATCGTTTTTTCCGTCCTGGCCTGGTTCCAAGGGCCAAGATCATACTAATTAAAGTACAGAGAAGAGAATGACCCCAGCCTTAAGAGCTTATTTTGCCACATTTTCAATCTCTTACTGACGCTGGGTGTCTAGGCTACATTTCCTGGTAACTATGGCAACATCCCCATTTTTGTTGGCTCTCCTGGGACTCTTTTATAGGATTATCTGATTTATGCCTGCTCAGTATTTTCCATTTATATTTTACTTCCATGTCTTAAATAAAACATTTAATTGACTGAAATGTGAATTCAAAACCAGTTACATTGCACTGTTTATTGTACCCAAGCCTGTACTTCAGGAGTCTTATTTATGGAGAGGTGATCATGTTGGTAAATACATGACAGGTACTTGGAGATGCTGGTATCTCCTTGTTTTACTAAAACTCTCGGAGCAATGGTACCTCCTGAACCCGGCTGGCCTAGTTTAGCAGGATTTACTCTGTTATGAAGAAAAGAATGTTCTATTCTAAAAGTGATGGGAACTTCCAACGGTGGTTGAATCATTTGAGAGAAATGTATTACAAGATATATAAAACCTTTCCTTATGTGGTCTTCCTCAGATGAGGGAATTTGTTTCCTTGGAAGAAAATGTGGAACATCATTCTTGTGTTCATGAAAATGCTCAATAGAAACCAGTGTCTCCATCTGGTGGTGCCATCACGAGGTTTTTATACTATTTTTCAGGCCAGAAATGAACAGGAACAATTATAAAACAAAACAAAACAAAAACCAGAGTCATGTCTACTCATTTACTAACAGACTATCAAGAATGAGAGGCAGATTACTATTTTTCTGTACGAAACAATATGTTTTCTAACTAAAATATTCAGAAAAAGACTGATTTCATGCTTGCACAAGTCCAAATCATCTGTTTCATTTACTTTGAAAAGAAGAATTGCTTTGGAATGTGGACTTTGGAGGCAGAGTCCCTGGTCCAGGTCCCAGCTCTTTAATTGTCGGTGTGACCTTGGATAGGTTAATCAAGCCTCTCTGTGCCTTAGTTTCCTCATCAGTAACATGAGGATGATAGCACCTGCCTGAGGATCATCGTGGGCATGAAGTGAGCTAATACAGGAAAGGTCTTAGGGGCTTGGAACACAGAGAGCACTCTGTTAGGCATTAGTATTTTCCTAATGCTATTGAGTTTTCCTTTATTTCAAAGAATATGCTTTATTTATTGTACATAAACTCATATTGCTAACTTAAGAAAAGGTGGTTATCCCTTCTCTTACTAACATTTTTTAAAAAACAAAAACTACTTAGTATTACTCAGTTGAAGTAAACTCATTATGAAGAATTTTGTATTTTCATAATGATTGCAGGGAAGATTTATTTCCTAGATTGCACCAATCTAATGACTCACTGGAACCTAATGAGATACCAGAATTTCAGTACTTATGGATAGTACCATGAAATTTTTCTGTTATTAACAGAAGTTAATGTCCATTTTAAAGATGGGGAAAGAAATGTTTTGTGTATGTATAATTTTTTTAACATTGAGAGGCATAGATTTCTTACTAGATACATGTGTTCTGTTACTGACACCTGAATAATTCTTTTAGGGAAAGTCCTTGGAAGTTTTCCATGCTCTTGTTAGCTTTATGAAGTACCCTCCTTAGTATGTTATGTGAAATGTTCAAAATCTAACCCAGGCCATCTTTGATAGTGTGTGCGGGCCACATATACTATCTGGCTCTATCACCTGGGGTGGGGCAAAGACCATCATACTTAGGATTTAACCAGGAAAGTTCCTTTGCCTTTGATGTTGGCACAGCCATATCTGTATGGAACTCTCTTACATTTCCATTCTTACCATCTGTGATGCATGACTGTCTCCTTTATGTAACAGGTCTGGGAAGTGGAAATATGTTTGCTACAAATCTACTTCCCCTCATTTCTATCACTTTCCTCCTGTTCTCCACTCTCACCTGTCCTCCTACAGTTCCATAATTTTTGCATTGAAACCTGGTAACTAGCCTAACAGAAGAGTTTTAGATAGACAGAGGAATTCATGCTTTTGGAGGGCACAAATGTGGTACTGAATAGGGATTTTGTTTATTCCGAATTATTTTTAGGAAATCCAACCAGTGGTAAATTAAAAATATTGCTTAATGAGATTTTTAACATTTCTACCTATACACTTATTTTAAACAATTTGTTGTTTAGACATATAATTTGTTAAGGTTGGTGGGATCTTTGAGGATGATTCTCTGAGTATTTTTTTAATCATCATATCGCAAGGCTGTTAACATAGTTTAGCTATTTGTCCATGCCCAAATCTCATATTGAATTGTAATATTTCTACCTATACACTTTCTACCTATACACTTATTTTAAACAATTTGTTGTTTAGACATACAATTTGTTGTTTAGACATATAATTTGTTGTTTAGACATACAATTTGTTAAGGTTGATGGGATCTTTGAGGATGATTCTCTGACATGAGTATTTTTTTAATCATCATATCGCAAGGCTGTTAACATAGTTTAGCTATTTGTCCATGCCCAAATCTCATATTGAATTGTAATCTCCAATGATGGAGGTGGGACCTGGTGGGAGGCGTTTGGGTCATGGAGGCGGATTCCTCACAAATAGTTTAGTGCTGTCTTCTTGATAGTGGGTGAGTTCTTAGAGTTCTGGTTAAGTGTGTGGTATCACCCGACTTCAAACTATACTACAAGGCTACAGTGACCAAAACGTCATGGTACTGGTACAAAAACAGGCACATAGACCAATGGAACAGAATAGAGAGCCCAGAAATAAGGCCCCACATCTATGATCTTTGACAAAGCTGACAAAAACAAGCAATGGGGAAAAGACTCCCTATTCAATAAATTTTGCTGGGCTAACTGGCTAGTCATATGCAGAAGATTAAAGCTGGACCTCTTCCTTACACTCTATACAAAAATCAACTCAAGATGGATTAAAGACTTAAATGTAAAACCTAAAACTATAGGAACCCTGAAAGACAACCTAGGCAAACCATTCTGGACCTAGGAATGGGCAAAGATTTCATGACAAAGACACCAAAAGCAATCGCGACAAAAGCAAAAATTGACAAATAGGATCTAATTAAACTTAAGAGCTGCACAGCAAAAGAAACTAACAACAGAGGAAACAACAGAGGAAACCTACAGAATGGGAGAAAATATTTGCAAACTATACGTCTGACAAAGGTCTAATATCTGGCATCTATAAGGAACTTATCAAATTTACAAGAGAAAAACAAACAACTGCATTAAAAAGTGGGCAAAGGATATGAACAGACATTTCTCAAAAGAAGACATATATGTGGCCAACAAGCATATTAAAAGAAGCTGAATATCAATGATCATTAGAGAAATACAAATATAGTTACCTTATCCTGCTGGGAAACTCCTAGTACTATAGCTATAAGTTAATTGGCAGCTTCTGATTGGTTAGCCTGAAGTGTCATTTCTCTCTCTCTCTCTTTTTTTTTTTCTTTAGACAGGGTCTAGTTCTGTTGCCCAGGCTGAAGTGCAGTGGTGCAATCTTGGCTTACTGCAACCTCCATTTCCTGGGTTTAAATGATTCTCCCACCTCAGCTTCCCAGGTAGCTGGGACTAAAGATGCACGCCACCACGCCCGACCAATTTTTATATCTTTTAGAGACAGGTTTCACTATTTTGGCCAGGCTGGTCTTGAACTCCTGAGCTCAGGTGATCCACCCGCCTCGGCCTCCCAAAGTGCTGGGATTATGGGCTTGAGCCACTGTGCCCAGCCTCATTTCTGTTTAATAGAGGTGTTTACAAGAAACAGCTCAAGGTAAGTTTTGCTTATATTTACAAATCAAGGCAGGCTGAGGTCACTTATGAAGCCTAACTGGCTTTGTCTGCTCAGGGGTTCTTCAGGCCTGGCCTCCATTTTAATTTACTTTGACAGCTGCAAACCATTGTATGAGGTCAGTGATTCTCAAGTTTTATCTGCATCAGAATCACCTGGGGGACTTGTTAAACACACACGGTGAGCCACACCCGAGTTACTGATTCAGTGGGTTGAGGGTGACACCTCAAAGTTTCTAACAATTTCCCAGGTGGTGATGATGCTGCTGCCCCAGGAACTATCCTTTGAGAACTAGTGATTGAGGTTATACAGAGATCCCTTATCCCAGAAGAAGCCTTTTTGACTCTGAGATAAAGGTAAACATTTGCTTAAGGGGATCAAAATTGTCCATGATTTTAACAAATTCTGGAGTGGACTTAGTTCTCATGTCTCCTTCTCCCCACCGTCTTCCCTTGTTTCCTGGGCTGCTGTTCCCTCCTACCTGGTTAATGTTAATTCAGGCTCTTCTAGTTCATTTGTGAGCAAAATTAACGTGTCATGGTATTATCCAAAACAGATGGTTCCCTCCCATGAGTAATTCTGGTGCTAGAGGTTAAGATAATGATTATTTTCACCTCGTTATTAAATACACATGATGATGATAACACGGTAATAATTCTCTGGATTATTTCTCTAATAATCTCAAAATGAAACTCAGGTGTCTTTAGATCTTTCCCTCTTTTTTGCTTGTTTTTTTTCCCCAATGTTTTCATTTTTTGCAGTCTGGACATTATATCAAATGTCTTCAAAATGTGTACTTAAGAAGTTCAATTTGCATTTTCACTCTGATAGGGGAGGGGAGAGTTTGTGGATATGTCAGGGCTAAGGTAAGTTTGAGGGTCAAATTCAAGAAACTATTCGTAAAAAGTATATTTAATGACCGATTCTAATAACTTTTTCATCCTCTTGTTCCTATCCAGGGGTTGTTCAGTGGCTAATTATTGTCATATTAATTTGGCATGTGTAAAATTCAGTTTCTGTAAGAATGTCACCCTGGATGCAGCTGAAAAACTTTGCAAAAATTGTAGATGATAAGAGAATGTTGATTATGCCCACTCATGTCTCTTTTAGTCTTATTTGTCATCATAAAGTGAAGAGGAAGCCTGACATTGGCTGTGTACTGGCTTGTGTTTCTTCATAAGCCCTCATTGTTTCCATTGTATTAACACAGAATTGTAGCAATCATTAAGTATTTCCCAGAAAATAGCTTCTGGTAATTTCATTTAAAGATAAACCAAGTTTTCATGACCTTTCCAATAGCAGAAAATACATTAGTTTCTTTGTACTTTGGAATTCATATAAAAATTCCAAAGTGAAAAATATTTGGAAAAAATTAAAACTAAAAATTTTTCAGTCATGAGTGACTTCTGATTTTGGAATACTGTTTATCAGAATTATATAATAAGCTAATGGGAAAAAAAATCAGGACTTGTCAGACTTGAAGTTAGCATTTCAGGTGTCCCATATTTCAAGAATTATGTGAGTAGTCCTACTTTGCTCTGTGAAATCCAAGCTTTTTGAGTAAAAGCTGAGGTTTTTGTAATGAATTTTTCATAAAATTGGGGAATCCATTGAGCAAACACTTCTATAGGGCACTCTGGGCCTTTTTAGATTTCAAAGCAAACAAAATAATAGAACAATTTGAGAAAATTTGGTTTGCCAATAGTAAATATCACCTAGAAAAATAAATAATTTGTTTATTGCTGGAAAACATTGAGAGCTGAAAGGACATAATAAAATCTACCTTATCTTTAAAAATCTTCTGTAAAGGCATGGCATTCTCAACAAATATGTTGGTGGGGAAAGAATCTGTCTTCTACCTCATTTTGTGGCAAATGTGACCTTTTTTTTTTTCTTAACTAGACCTTCACTTTATCCACATATCTTCTATGATATTAAAGACTTGCAAAATCAAGGAATTCATGTAATATCATTAGGAATCTTGATTCTGTATTTCTAATTACTACATTAGTGAAAATTAGTGTCCTGGTTCATTGTTAATCTAAGACTCAAAAGTATTGGTAAAGAGAGATTTATTTGAATATCTTATCTTTTAAATACTGAATCATATAATGCTTTCCAGAGGAATAGGAGTGGCTTTAGATTTTTTTTTTTTTTTCTGAGACAGTCTCGCTCTGTCACCAGGCTGTAGTACAGTGGCGCCATCTCGGCTCACTGCAACTTTCGACTCCCTGGTTCAAGCAGTTCTCCTGCCTCAGCCTCCAGAGTAGCTGGGATTACAGGCACGTGCCACCACGCCCAGGTAATTTTTGTATTTTTAGTAGAGGCGGGGTTTCACTGTGGTGGCCAGGCTGGTCTCAATCTCCTGACCTTGTGATCTGCCCACCTTGTCCTCCCAAAGTGCTGGGATTACAGGTGTGAGCCACCGTGCCCTGCCGGCTTTAGAATTTTTTAGATCTCTTTCTGACTTATCTAGTTTGTCTTATTTTGTACTTCTGGGAACAGGAGCTTTAATCTTTTTTTTTTCTAAATATAGATGAATATTTTAACATCTCTTCATGTTATAGCATTGGTAACTACTTTCATGTCACACAGAAAATGTATATTTCTCCATTATTTTGGAGGACTATGAATGTATCTATGACCTAACAATGTACTTATTACATCCCCTAGAGCTAAAATAAATTTTTGAGTGTTTTGAGATCAAATTCATAGGCTTCCGTAGGAAGAAATCTACTGTGGTCTTCAGAACATAATTTGTCTTTAGTTAGAATATTAGCTTGGGAAAAAGGTGTGTCCTAAGCAGCTGTAAAATAGTAAAATAGGAAATGTTGACATGCCTATCATTCTGATAGTTCTAACATTAAAATGAGCATAACTGCCTAAGAATTGTTTATAATTATTTATAATGTATAAACCCTGTCTACTTTCAAAAAGACTTTGAGGCTTTTTATAAGTAAAAACATATACACGCACACACATACAACTGAGCAATTCAAAATTATATTAAGAAAAAGTTGATTGGAAACCAATTACAGAAAGAATATAAATAGAATTGGGGTTAAGCTGAGAACTGCAGTTTAACAATGGAAGTCTATACAGACTCAATTCAGACTGTAAGTTGGAATTTGCTGGAAGGTAAGGCAACATGGGGAACAAAATAAACATCATGATTCTTTCTGCCATCTAAAAAGAGGCCTACCAATACTTCACAAAGGCAAAATTAATACTCTTGAAGGAGAATTGATCATAGGATCCTTCTGTAATATTAAGAAGACAAAATTGCATAAGGTTATGCAGATGATGGTCAGTTGGTATTTTCTTATTTTTAAAATTTTAAGTAAGTTAATATAATTTCCAGTCTTCCTGCATTCTACCATTTCCTTGTGATGACTTCACTTCTTTCCCTACAGGTTGATTACTATGTTGTTTTAAAAAATTTTAGAGGTGCCGGAGGTAAAAGACTGGTTTGAAAATAAGAAGGTTCCTTAGCAATGCATAAATTTAACTTGTGCTATGAGAATACATGAAATGTGTTCATCCTTCCCTTTTTCCTACAGTGCAGGGTTGACAAACTTTCTGTAAAGGGCCAGAGGGGAACTATTTCAGGCTTTGCAGGCCATATGTGTGTCACAGCTACTCAGCCATTTTCTTGCAGTGTGAAAGCTAATGAGTGAGACCATGTTACAGTAAAGCTTTATGGACACTGAAATTTGAATTTCATATAACTTTCACATGTCCTAAAATATGTTTCTTTTGATTTTTTTTAAACATAAAAACCATTTCAGTGAATGGGCCCTACAATAGTGGGTCATGGGCTGGATATACTGACATCTGATATCTCTCAAAGGGCCAACATCCTTTCCTTTGGAATATGGCTGGTTTTTAACTTAGGTATTCTCAACATCCCCTCACTAAACACAGACAGGTGACAAATTCTAACAACAGACTTGTAATTCTCAAGTTTGATGCTACCTTTCTCCTTTGAGAAACAGTAAGTACTAGTCATAGTCAAGGTTATTTGAAAGATTTTTCATGCATTTATCATGCTTAGAATCCAGGCTCAGCTGTATCCACTCCAGATAATCTGTGATCCTTTGTTTTCATCTTCTTTTTTGTTGTTGTTAGATTGAAGATTCTCCATCTCTGTGGCTGCACCATCACTTCTGACCTGAGCAAAATAAAAGGAGCTTACAGAAGTGTCAAAGTATTTCATGACATATCTGCCCTTACCTGCTAACATTTTCAGGAAAATAGAGTTTCTGCCAACAAAGATATTGAAAATATACATAAATATGCCCAGGAGTTTTCACCATTAAAGTGAGGTATACATTATTTTTCAGTTCGGAAATAATCAAGAAATAATTGTATGTGAAGCTTCAGCATCATACCAAATAATGCATTTTTCTATGCCAAACACCACCTCCTCCAAATAATGATAAAGTTAAAAAGTACTAAACTTTAAATATTGGTATTTTCTTGCTTGTTTACATTATTGGTTTGTAATGGTTTTAACTCTTGACTAAGATTACTACTAATTGGCATATTGTAATCTACTTTCCTTTAGCCACTCAACATATCATGAGAGAAGAGTAAGTCAGATAGCTCTAGAAGGAATATTTTACTCTTTAGTATTTAATTGTATGCACAGTGGCTTTATATGTACACTACAGCAAATATGGTATTGATTTCTGCAGGCCTTGTGCCAGGATATTGCAGTGGCTTCCAGATAGCCCACACATCACATAGGGTTCTTTCTCAACTGCACCCTTAGACATGAATCTCTAGAAAATATTGCATGCCAAGGAAGTGGTTGTACACTGCCTTCACTGGGTTACCATTAAGAGGAGGATTCATATCAGTGTGGAAGGTTGAGGGAAGTAAGAAAGATAAGCAGTAGTGCAACATTAACAATAAGCACCATGGAGGGGTGGGGTAGAAGGTGGGGTGGTGGGGGTGGTGACTTTGTCTCAGTATCATTGCTGAAGATTATGGAGATCAACCTTAAAGGTATTCTGTGTAGAGGGCAAGTGAGTTGGGGTATTTATTCTACCATGCATTGTTTATGGGCTTCTTCCAGAGGGGATATAAATTTCCAGGCACCTATGGCTCTCTGAATATACAGGTAAAGCAAACCCTACCAGCAGGAGGGTACTCCTCCAAGAAGTGATGCAGGGGCTGGTTTGTGGAAGTGCATGGGGGACTTATGGGGATGGGGCTGAGCAAAACAGCATCTGCTACATGCGTGATGGAGAGAAACGTGCCACAAATTTGAACTGGGTGATCTGGGCTTGAACCCTACTTCTACTAGCTGTGTGATTTTACTTATATCACTCAACCTGATGCTTAGTGTTTTCCTCTCTAAAACTGAGAAACCTACTTTATGAAAGATGCTTAAAAGAGTAAATAACATAGCTGTGATGGTTGAGTGCCAACTTGATTGAAGGATGCAAAGTATTGTTCCTGTATGTGTCTGTGAGGGTATCACCAAAGGAGATTAACATTTGAGTCAGTGGACTGGGAGAGGCAGACCCACCCTCAATCTGGGTGGGCACCATCTAATCAGCTGCCAGTGTGGCTGGGATAAAAGCAGGCAGAAGAAAGTGGAATGAGCAGACTTGCTGAGTCATCTATTTCCCAAGCTAGATGCTTCCTACCTTCAAACATAAGACCCCAAGTTCTTCAGCTTTTGGAATCTTGGACTTACACTAGTGGTTTGCCAGGGGCTCTTGGGCCTTTGGCCACATACTGAAGGCTGCACTGTTGGCTTCACTGCTTTTGAGGTTTTGGGACTCAGACTGGCTTCCTTGCTCCTCAGCTTGCAGATGGCCTATTGTGGGACTTCACCTTGTGATCGTGTGAGTCAATACTCCTTAATAAACTCCCTTTCATATATACATCTGTCCTATTAGTTCTGTCCCTCTAGAGAACCCTGACTAATGCAGTAGCAAAGTGGCAAAGTGGGGAAAGGATACTGGACAGAGGAAACAGCGTGCAGGAAGTATGGAGTCTTAAAAATAGTGCATATTTTGGAAACAGTATTGCTGGAGGGCAGGGTACATGGGCAGAAGGTATGAGGATGGTGTTGGGGTCCTGTGGGATACTTAGAAGGGAAGCCTAATCTCTGTATGGAAGGTCAGGCAAATGATACTAAGTTAAGGACTAAAGTAGGGGAGGAGAATACCTGGTCAATAGGGTGGACTGAGCTGATGTGGGAAATACATCATCCTACTTCAAACATACAGAAATGTCGAAAATAATTTAAGAAAAAGATTAAAGATGGTCTCAAATTTTTAACTCCTCCTCCTGCATCGAGAGGTGGAGACTAATGACCTTCCCCTTGAGTCTGGGTTGGCCTTAGTGATGAATAGAAGGTGCCACACCAATAGAAGGTAGCAGAACTAATGTCCTGGGACTTCCAAGGCTAGATTGTATAAGAAGTCTTGCAGCTTTAGAAGAAGACTCATTGAATATTCATCCTTAAAACCCTGAGGCAATAAGACACCCACTTACCAGATGGAGATACCATGTGAAGCAGCCCTGAGGCCACATGGAAAGTGAGGGTTGGATTAGAATGAAATCCATCAGTATAATTCACCACTGTTAACAAAATGAAGGAAGCCGTGTGCAGTGGCTCACACCTGTAATCCCAGCACTTCAGGAGGCCAAGATGGGCAGACTGCTTGAGATCAGGAGTTCAAAACCAGCCTGGGCAATGATGAAACCCCCCATCTCTACAAAAATATAAAAAATTAGCTAGGTGTGGTGGTGTGCGCCTGTGGTTCCAGCTACTCAAGAGGCTGAGGTGGGAGGATGGCTTGAGACCTGGAGGCAGAGGTTGCCATGAGCTGAGATGGTGCCACTGCACTCATGCCTGGGTGACAGAGCCAGACCCTGTCTCAAAAAACAAAAAAACAGAAACAGAATGAAAGAGCAAAAACAACACGATCATTTAAGTAGATGCCAGAAGCATCTAACAAAATACAAAATCCACTCATGATAAATATTCTCAGCCATGTATGAATAGAGAATTTCCAAACCCAATAAAGGGCATCTACAAATAGACCCTCTAGTCACCATCGCAATGGTAAAAGATTAAATGATTCCTCCCCATCCCCTGTGACTAGGAATAAAGCAAGACTATCTGTTCTTACTATTGCAATTCTACCTTGTATTAGAAGTCCAAATCAGTGCAACAAAGCAAGAAAAAGAAATAAAAGACATACAGATTGAAAATGAAGAAGCAAAACCATCTTTTCTTCCCCATAGATGACATAATTGTGTATGGAGAAAATTCTAAGAATTCTATAAAACAGCCACCACAACTAAAAAGTGAGTTTAGCAAGGCCTCAGAATACAAGTTCATCATTATAAAAATCAACTGAATTTTTATACACTGGTAACAATTGGAGATTGAAATTAAAGTGTTATGTCTTCTACAATAGCATAAAATCAGAATATACTTAGGGATAAATTTAACAAAATATGTGAAAGACCTATAAATCATAACCTACTCAACATTGTTGAGAGAAAATAAAGAAAATTAAACAGAGAGATATAATCTCATTGATGGGCAGATTCAATATTATTAAGATATCAGTTCTCCCAAGATTGAGCTGTAAGATTCAACACAATCATGATATCTACAGAA
Source organism: Homo sapiens (assembly GCF_000001405.40). Lineage (NCBI taxonomy): Eukaryota > Metazoa > Chordata > Mammalia > Primates > Hominidae > Homo > Homo sapiens. The sequence goes on along the minus strand of NC_000009.12, from coordinate 83,070,673 downwards.
TGTATTTTTGTGTAAATTGACAAACTGATCTTAAAATTTCTATGGTAATACCTAGGACCAGGAATATCCAAAACAACTTTGAAAAATAATAACAAATTTGGAAGACTGATACTACTTGATTTTGAGACTTATATTCAATTTATTATCAGGCAATGTAATCAAGACCATATGGTGTTGGTGAAAGAATAGATGAAAAGTCAATAGAAAGGAATGTAATGTAGAGCCCAGAAAGAAACCCACACATATGTAGTCATTTGATTTCTAACAAAGGTGATTCAACAGGGAGAGGATAGTGTTTTTAAAAAAATAACACTGGAAGAACTGAATATCCATACAGAGAAAAGTGAACTTCAACTTTTTATTCATTTAATACACAAAAATTAACTTAAAATGTATCATAGAAGCAATGGTAAATAAAACTATAATATTTCTAGTAAGAAAAGGGATATCTTTGCAACTCTGGGTAGACAGATGCTTCTTAGATGGGTCATAAAAATACATACTATAACTGAAAAACTGATAAGTTGAATTTCATCAAAACCAAAACTATCTACTCTTAAAAAGTTACCATTAAAAAAATGTAAAGGCAAAGCACAGATTTTCAAAGTACCTATATATGTGACAGAGGACTTGTTTCCAGAATATGTAAAGAACTCTTACAACTGAATAAAATGACACAATAAAAAGTGGACAAATGATTTGAACAGACATTTCATAAAAGAAGATGCAAGAATGGTTGATAGACATATGAAAAGTTGTGCAACATCATTAGTCAACAGAGAAATGCAAATTAAACCTATAGTCCATATTACATATCCATTAGAATTCTTAAAGAGACTGATGCTACCAAGGGTTGACAAGAATGTGGAGCAACTGGAATTCTCTTACATTTCAGGTAGGAATGTTAAATTGTACAGTCACTTTGGAAAGCACTTAGTTGCTTTTAAAGCTAAATATATACCTACCATATGACCCAGCAATCTTATTGCTAGGAACTTCCTCAAGAGAAAATAAAACGTATGTTCCTTAATACAAAGACTTGTACAGGAATAGTCAAGGCAGTTTTATTCACAATAGCCAAAACCTGGAAATGACCCAAATATCAATCAACAAAGTAATGGATGCACACTCTGTGGTATAATGTATAATGTGATCCTATTCATTACTAGAAAGAAATGAACTACTGAATTAATCTAAACACCTTCTGCTGAGCAAAGAAAGCCAGGCATGGAAGAGTGCATAGTGTACAATTCTATTGACATAAAACTCTAGAAAAGACACATCACATTAAATCTATATTGAGCAAGAGTAGGTTGGTGGTGACCTGGGGTCTGCAGTTGGGTGAAAGAAGGGGAAGGGGGTCAATGGCAATTTTGGCATTGTGGAAATATTCTATATCTTGATTAAGTAGAAGTTAAACAGATATTTACATCTGTGCAAGCTCATTAAACTATACTTTAAAATTGGTGCATTTTATCGTATGTAAATTTTACCTCATTAAAAGTGATTAAGAAATAATTTCATTCTCAGTAACAGTGGTCGAAACGCTCAAGTTTATTTATGCTGAAGAAACTTAAGTAGGATCCTTCTTAGTATCCTCACAGTTTCATAACACATTACTTCTTCTCTACAGTAATATTTGCTTTAAAGGTTTTAACAGTTTCTGTTTGCAAAAAGTATTATCAGTTGGACAATATTAAATGGCATGTTTACAAGACCAAAAATGAAAGTCCTCAAAAGCTACTTATTTTAACATAAACTTGCATGACAAATAGTTTCCAGTGCAACAACCTGTCATGTTCTGCAACCAGCCTTTTGTCAGAGTTTTGATCCTTTAACACTTACCTCCTTCCCCGTTTTTTTCTTCTTTAAGAAAACAAACTTACACTTGTGTATTAGTTTACAATTACTGTAAGCAAATGACCACAAACTTAGCAACTTGAAACACCACTCATTTATCATCTCAGTTCTGTGGTTCTGAAGTCCAGGAACAGCTGAACTGTGTTCTCAGCTCAGTATCTCACAGTGCTAAAATCAATATGTCGATTTGATTTCAAGCTGGGGATGTGTTCTCATCACAAGCTCAGAGTCCTCTGCCAAGTTCATTCAGGTTGTTGGCAGGTTTCAATTCCTTGCAGCTATAGGACTGAGGTACCCATTTCCTTGCTGGCTGTCAGCAGGGTGACATCCTCAGCTCCTTAGAGGCTATCTTCAGGTCCTAGCCACCTGGTGTTCTCATGACATGGCAGCTCACTTCTTCAAAGCCAGGAGGGGAATGGAATCATATAACATAATGTAATCACAGGAGTGATTATCCCATTATATTCACAGGTCCTGCTCACTTCATGCAGAGCATGTACACCAAGGGGTGGGAACCAGCGTGCCATTGTAGAATTCTGCTTTCCACAGTTTGCTTTTTCTGCTGTCCAAAAGTGAACTGAGGTCCATTTATTTTTATTAGATTTGATTTCTCTACTTCTTGCATATATAATATGAAACAGCGACCAGGTATGGCGGCTCACGCCTGTAATCTTAGCACTTCAGAAGGCCGAGTCAGGCGGATCTCCAGCCAAAGTGTTTGAGACCAGTCTGGGCAACGTAGAGAAACTCTACAAAAAATACAAAAAAAATTAACTGGGAGTAGTGGTGCGTGCCTGTAGTCCCAGTGACTCCAGCGACTGAGACGGGAGGATCACCTAAGTCCAGGGAGGTTGAGGCTGCAGTGAGCCATGATCACACCACTGCACTCCAGCCTACGAGAAAGTGACACCCTGTCACAAAAAATAAATACATAAATAATAAATAAAAAACACAAACTTTTGTCTTAACTGAGAGGAGCAAGATGGATGAGACATACAGTTTGCTAATGTGGGAAAATGACATGAGTTTTGCTTAGTCATCACAAAATGGAATCAGAAGTTTGAAATACAATACTTCTTGCTCAGTTCTAATAATGAACGCCAACTCTGCTCTGGTTCAAGACATGTAATGGTATTTGATATTGTTTGAAACATTACAGATACTTAATTTTTTTAAATGAAAGATTTTCCAAAGTCTGATAACTGCCAACACAACACATACACAACAATGCTATACATTAATTATAGAAACAATATGCAGTCAAAGGGGAAGTTCAGCTGGGTCTCTAATGCTTCATTTTAAAAAATAGATCTGAGGCAAATAGGATAGGATGTTCACATTTGCTAATTATGGATAGCAGTATATAAGTGTTATTATTTTCTCTTTTTCATGCTTTACATAAAGGGTCAGTGGATCACTATGATATACGCTGACACATTCCTTTTCGCAAAATCTACCTTTTTCCTGTAGCTTCCTTAGGAATAGTAAGCTCTGAGTATATATTCATGAGAAAACTAAGACTCAGCTCTTACAGGGGTATGTATGTTTCAGAGTGTTCCTGAACCTACTAGTGGGTGCCTCAGTGGTATGCCATTACTAAGGTATCTAGTTCCATTTTCAATGGCATTTCGGATCTTTCTGGGGCAAAGTAACTGCAGTGTTAAGTCATGCTCTGAGAAGCACTCTCGTACCTGAAGGAAATCTTACAGGGTGGATTACAATAGGTTTCCACTAAAAGCTTTCCCTACTTACCAATGAAAAGCAGGTTAAAGTGGTATTGCTCATTCCCGTTATGGGAAGTTGGGCCAATTTATGATGTAGGAGCAAAGGATCACTTCTCATGACTCACCACCCTAGTCACTGTCTAACACGAGGTCTCCTCAAGTATGTTTTGAGAGCACTAAGTCTGTGGAAAGCTCACGGAAATTGAAACCAAACCAAACCAAAACCCCAAACTCAAAGTTACCATAGTCAAATACATTTAGGAAATATTCGATCAAACAGCTTTATCTCAAAGGAATATAATAGGATTCTTTCTAAAATTTATTTGTGTTTTACAAATGTATCTGATCACAAAATTATTTCTTTCCAAAGATGTCTTTTCACTGCTTTGAGAAACATGCTCTAACAAGATTATCTCTGATTTTTAAAATCTTTGAGCAGCCAGAGAGGAAGCTGATCTTTCGAAAAGTCATGCTGACAATCATGGGCAAGCTCTCCTTACCTACTAATTCATTGGCTCTCAAAGCCTGCTCTGTTATCTCCAGTTCCTGGCTAGCTGTTTCTGGATGCTAAAATAAAAAGAAGCACCTCCTATTTCTTTCTTTTCTCTTTGCTGTTTGTTGAAAATAATTAGAGACAGATTATATGACCGTGGCTTTCCCCTGAGTATATTGCTGGGGTTATTCAAAAACATTCCTGCTGCCTGATACCTGAACTGACATACACACTAAGTGATGTATTTATGAGTGGCAGGTCACAATGCAATTGTGTAAACGTTTGTAGAAAAAGCAGGATCCAATTCTTTTACTTAAGCTGGGAAATGGTTTGGTTAGACAGAAGAGAGAAAAGCTAAAAGATCTGCTTGATATTTACATTTTGTCCTGATAGTAAGGAGCTACTAACGTAATCATGTGATGAAGTGTGGCTTATTTGGGGGACAATAAAAGCCATGATAGAGACTAAAGGGTGAAATATTTGATCTATGTAGTCAGAGCAAATTACAGAGGGCTGTGGATGCTCGGATTAAGAGTTTACCTTTAGTTCTCTTTTTATTGGAGCACCACTGGGGGTTTATGAGTTAGGGTACAGGCTTCCTCAACCTCAGCACAATTGACATTTTTGGCCAGATAATTCTTTGTAATGGGAAGGAGGGGAGGCTCTGGCCTGTGCATTACAGGATATTCCGTAGCATCCCTGCAGCTACCTACTAGAGGCCAGGAGCATCTACCCCTTATCAAATTAAGACAGCCAAAAATGTCATCAGACACTGCCAAATGTCCCCTGCGAAACAAAATTGTTGACTGATTGAGAATTAAAGAGTAGAGAATGATAGAATAATTGGTGTTTGAGAAGGACTGTCCAGCTGTGGTTGTGCAGAATAAACAGGATGTTAGGACAAGAGCCTGGGAGAATATATTAGAGGCTGTCTCTTTACCTTAGGTATGGTATATTGTAACAGTAAGAGCCTCCAATGAAGTACATTTCTCTGTATCCCTGTTTTTTTTGTAGTCCCTTCCCACACTGACTTAGGGCTTGGCCATGTGACTTGCCAATGTGACTTGTCAATGGAATATCAGCAAATATGACATAAGCTAAAGCTTGAAGAGCACTTGTACACTGGGGCTTACTCGCTTGGAACATTGCCACCATGTGACAAAACTCATGCTAGCTTCCTGAAGACACATGGCCCAGCCAACAGCCAGCACCAGCTTCCAGAAAAATGAGTGAGACTCTATAACCATCCAGCCCCAGTTGAGTCAACAAGAAAACCACCTGAGAGATCCCAGGCAAGCCAGCAGACAAACCACCTAGCTGAGCCCTGCCCAAATTGATGATAATGGAATTATGAACAAATAAAATGGTAGCACTTTTAGATCACTACTGTTGTTATGCAGTGATAAATAACTGATATCGGAGGTCTGAAGTATATTAATATTGGTAGAAATAAGAATAAGAAAAATGCATGCACAAGACATTTGGAATAATTTGTGTGTTTTTTGTTTTTGTTTTGTGTTTTTTGTTTTGAGACATAGTCTTGCTCTGTTGCCCAGGCTGGAGTGCAGTGGCGCGATCTCGGCTCACTGCAACCTCTGCCTCTCAGGTTCGAGTGATTCTCCTGCCTCAGCTATCCAAGTAGCTGGGACTAAAGGTGCCCGCCACCACGCCCAGCTAATTTTTTGTATTTTTAGTAGAGACAGGCTTTCACCATGTTGGTCAGGCTGGTCTCGAACTCCTGACTTCAAGTGATCCACCCACCTCAGCCTCCCAAAGTGCTGGGATTACAGGCATGAGCCACTGTGCCAGGCCAATTCGTGTTTCTTGATGACTCTTCAATGAAGGGGCTTAGGGAAAGGGCAAAGCAGGTCACAGAACATAAGAATTCAGAAAAAATGAGCACAAAGGTCAGAGTAAAAATTCAGGAATAAAGTTGTGCAAGCAATCTTCAAAAAAGCACTTCTTCCTAAGCAGTTAAAAACATGAAAGCATCTATTTTTAAAGACATAGATATCCATTAGTTGCTAACAGTATAAATATAATAATAGTTCAAAGATTTAGTTTAATAAGTATATTTGTAAAGCTTTAAAGGCATTACCAAGCCAGCTACTTTTAAATTCATATGGAAAAATCAATCTTTAGAATAAACAGGAAAGCACATAAGCTCAAAATCAATAACAACTTACATTGCACTAATGATAAGATTCATTGTATTAGCTGTCCAACTGTATACAACTATATTCACTTAGCAATTAGGTTGCTAAGACCAGGACTTCTAATGGAATGCCTCTCATAATTTACCAGTTAAATTTTCAGATGGGGGTTATCAGTAGTAGTTACAGTTTAATAGAAGCTGTTAGTGTTGACCATGTTTATTGTACAATTCAAGAGGAAATAGTTCCCCAGATGTTTAGCACTTAGCTTTATGTTTAAGAACACTAGCCTAGTAGGAACGTGTCAGTAATATCCCTTACTTAATGATCACATTTTTAAAAAATCAAAGTAATAAACGATAAAGAGAATCCAGAATGAGATAAAAGAAAAATACAGAGTCAGAAAGTCTAAAATGTGGAGGAAATGGATAATGTAAATAAAGTAAAAATGAGCCAAATATATCTTCACAGGCTATGAGAATCGCCTAAAGGCACGGTTACATAAGCCGTATGACAGACTGAGGGTCTCCTGGAAAAGGATGGAAAAAGTGTTTAAAAGGATCAAAATGGGTGGATTTTAAAGATCTCATATCCATTAAGCAGTGTTAAAGAAACAATAGTATTGTCGAAAAAAGTGTTTAAAACCAAAGGGTAACCTACCTTTGGATATGTAATTTCCATAAAGTTTGTTTAAGTAAAAAAACCTACAAAACGACCTCAGTCTTTGTTTAAACAATGCTGTCTGCCAAACGATTTTGTTTATCAAATTTTTTCTCAGGTTTTGGAGACAAGGATTGAGAAAAAATGTGGAATTGGAGATCTGGAAGATCTGTGTTTAAGCAGTGGGACCTTAACGTTAGACGCACAAAAATGCGTTAACGAAAGCCAGTAAAATTGAGAATGGGGTCTTCTGGTAAATCTTGTACTTTGGTTTGTAAGAAACTTCTATATAAAGAAGTTTATCAAGTTTCGGGAGTAAGATAATAAAATGCACTTAACCCATTCGGAATCCTACCCCTACCTACCTTACCTCTGTGCGGTTAGCTTCTGACGCGCGCGCCAGCACGTTCTGTGGAGAAGCGGAGCGCTGGGCTCTACCTGAGCAGCGCTTACGCCGAAGGGCAATGCTCCCCCCGAATCCCAGTTCCGGCCAGCCAGGTCTCCCCCACCTGCGCGGCAAGCAGCGGTGGACTCCGGGGCGTGGGAACTGGAGAAGCGGTGGCGCGCGCTCCTCCTCCCTGGCTGGGCGGAGCTGCACCCGCCGGGAAAGTGGCGAGAGCCACCTCGGCGCTTGGGCGCTCAGTCGCAGGAGGCGCTCCTTGGCGGTGCCTGGAGCCCGGGCGCACCCCACCGCTCCCGGGACCTGTTGGGGGCTGGCCCGAACCGTCGTCGAAGGGAGCCGCTCGGCCACCCCCGACGTTCCTCGCCCCGCCCGACGTTCCCTCAAGTGGCCGAACCAGCCGGACGAGCCAAACTCGCCGGGCCTCCCGGCGGCAGCAGGTGGCCCCGTCCTTCCAGGGAGGGCCCTGCGCCCCGCGGCGCTCCGGAGCCCTCTCGGCCGCCCCCGCCAGGCGGGATGGAGGCGGATGGGGACGGAGAGGAGCTGGCCCGGCTGCGCTCAGTCTTCGCCGCCTGCGACGCGAACCGCTCGGGGCGCCTGGAGCGCGAGGAGTTCCGGGCACTGTGCACGGAGCTGCGGGTGCGGCCGGCCGACGCCGAGGCAGTATTCCAGCGGCTGGACGCCGACCGTGACGGCGCCATCACCTTCCAGGAGTTCGCGCGTGGCTTCCTCGGGTCCCTCCGCGGGGGGCGGCGCCGGGACTGGGGTCCTCTGGATCCCGCGCCCGCCGTGTCTGAGGCGGGGCCGGAGACACACGACAGCGAGGAGGACGAAGGCGACGAGGACGCGGCGGCGGCGCTGGCCACCTCGTGCGGCCCGGCGAGTCCCGGCCGGGCTTGGCAGGATTTCCAGGCGCGACTTGGGGACGAAGCCAAGTTCATTCCCAGGTGCGAGTGTGAGCTGGGGGCGGGAGGTTATTCTGGCGCTTCCTGCTTGCTTCTTCCCACTTACTTGCAGGTGTGCAGACCCAATGGCCCCCCCCCCTAGTCTTCTCTGTGAGTTGCTTGTCTTCCTTCACCTACTCGCTTTGACTTTTCCAAGATCCGCTAGAGTTAAGAAAAAGGAGTCAGAGAGTCAGCGTTTGGGGAGAAAGTTTTACGTGCTGAATCCTGAGCCTGCAAAGGGCGGCGTGTTCATTACAGGAGCTCTCCTGAAATCTGCAGCTGCTGGCGCCCCGCGCGAGTTTAGGCGCGCGCGCCACATCTCACCGCGTCCTGGTTACGTCACCTTCTACCCCAGGCCTTAGGCTCTCACCCCAGGGCTGGGGCCCGGGCTGTTTGCCAATTTGGCGTCCTCTGTAATAGTTTTCTGATTTGTCGTTTTCCTAAGACTATAGAAAAGGAAACTTTGTTGGGCTTTTACATTGCTGGACACAAATATTGATTGATGTACCTGCTAGGCATTTTACAGAGTTCACGCATTTAATTTTCATAACATCCCTAGAAGGTAGGCTAGCTTATTTCTGAACTTAGACCTAGAAATTAGACAGACGTTAAGGGACTTGCCCAGTTAAACAGCAGAGATTTGACCCAAATTTTGTGAACTGAAAAACTCACTTTTTATGTGACGGAATAAAATGATAAAATGACACAGTATATTCTCTGCTCTTACTGCTCTGACAGAAATAACGTGTCAAGTCACGGACTTAATTATCAGGAGGTAAGGGGATGCCTGCAGGTGGGATTTCAGGGCCTGGAGGGAGAGAGGCTCAGATTTTCTTTTTGAGTTTCGTTTGCATTTGTCCATGCCTTGGTGTGGTGGGTGTCTCCAGCTGCTATTTTTCACTTCATGCCCCAGCGATACACACATTTCAGTGCTGTTAAGTGTTTTTCTGCTTTATGTTTGGATTTTAGCTGAAATTTTGCTGAGCTCTGGCTGTCGTTATTAAGACGCTCTGAAAGGCATCATTTTGGTTGGCAGTTTGCACATCTGAGACAGAACATTGAAAAGGAAGTATCCCTGGAAGGTTGTCAGTGTGCTTGTTCATTGGAAGCCCTCACTTCCTTCTCCTCCCAACTTCTCCCTCCAGCTTGGAAAGTAAGGGGAATATTGGGCATGGAGAGTGACTCACTGCCATAGAAGGGTTGTGTAGAGAAAGTGGGTGTGTAACGATCTTTTCTGTTATTTACAAATGAGTTACTCCCCAACCAGGGAAGTAGCAAAATTTAAACACTGCTACAACCTATACTCTTTATTTGAGTCATCTTTCATCTGTAACTTAGTTTGGGTGCAGCTAGTTAAAAAAAGTAAGAATTTTAGGAATGAGGCAGGGTGAGTCCACATCATATTGGATATGATGTATGCATACATGTGGATCTGTTTTTCACAGTTGTCTAGTCTCAGCAACAAATATTTCACACACAACCTTAAATGATTGAAATGACCTGGGTCAGTGTACAAACCAGGAATTAATATTATTGGTGGAATTATTATTATCATGTTGCCTTTCCAAATTCTTCAGAGATTACTACATTTAATGGGCACCGGTGTCACCTGGTAGACTTGTGTCCTAAGCCTCACCTCCTGATGTGAGATTAACAAGTACAATATTTGTCTTCCTCTCATGTTCAAGTGGAAGAGATCTAAACTGAGTTGCTGCATCAGATTGTTACCATGGCAGCCATCCGCTGTTTTGGTAAATTGGATTAATTCTACTTCACTTCCTCATACAGCTGTTGACCTTTTCTTCCTTCCATCCAAATGTGATTTAAACACTTTTTTGTTATTGATAATGCTGTCGGCATTATTTCAGCCAAATGTATTCCATAAGCATTACCAATTGCCTGCCATATGCCAAATACTGGCTTAGGTACTGTCCTAGGTTGCTGGGGACAAAGAGAAGGATAGTATGTAGTTCATGCCCTCAAGATGCTCATGGTGTGGATGAAACATTTTTCCAGCAACTTCATCGAAGAACATTTAAAGGCAAAGAACATTTGTAGGAAACTCCCTGTATTGTGGACATAGCCCAACAGACGGCTGCAAGCAAGAATTTTCTTTGAAGTCTTGAGCTTTTCTTTAAAAAGTGATTAAGTTGTTCATCTTTGTACACAATATTTTGGGACTTGTTTTCATATAAAATAGAGTTTCTTCTGAAGGGAGAATTGTCTTTCTAGGAAGGTGTGCCATTCCAACTTGTGGCTTTGTTTCCCACCTGGCACTCAATCTTATCCCTGGGGACAGTCTGCCCCAGGGCTATCCTGGGGAGTGTTCACATCCAGTTTGAGAGGAACGGATATTAAATAGGAAAATGTTTGGTTCCTATAAAGGCAAAGCATGACACTGTTGATTTTCATTTAAAGAATCTTTCAAGCAAAATATTAAGCAATTTTGGGTTAAACTCGCCAGTCATCAGTAATCGTGATGTTAGAGGGAAGATAATATTGCATCATGAAGGGATGAAAGTAGCTTTTGGGATATGTGTCATTGTTGAGTTCATTTTCTCTTAGAAAATTGAGGGACTTTTTGTTTTGAAGGCTGAGGAAGGAGTGTCCAAGGAGTTGTGTGACCGGGTAAGCTGAGCCTGGCAGATATGAAGGGTCTGCAAGGTCAGGATGGGCCTTGACCACTTCCTGGTCAGTTTGATAAGGTCAGCCAACAGGTGAAGGCAGCAGGACAGTGTGATTTAGTTACATAAGAGAATTTGGGAGGACAGGTGCTACCAGGCCAAGAAAAGTCCTGGAAGTAGGAAGAAAATGTGTGGGTGTTGAGGGTGGAGGGGCAGGGCAGAGAGCCAACTTATAATGTAGCCTTGCCAGTTTCTGATGCCTGGGTCATTGTCTTGGTGAAAGGGAGTTTCATACTCAGGAGATACTCAGTAAATGTTTGCCAAATGAATAGAATAAATCAGTATTCTTTGATTCTTGTTTCATATATCTGCATTTTGAGAGAGAGTGTAGTTCATGCTGTGAGCATTTTCTCCACTTCTTTTGCAGGTTCTCTCACTTTTTTTTTTTTTTTTCAGTTACTGTTGTGAGCCAGTCTTGGTGTTCAAAGATTGCCAAGAGAAGGAAATAGGCTGTGTGTGTGTGTGTGTGTGTGTGTGTGTGTGTGTATTGAGCATTTGATGGATGGCTGAGAGCAGGGATGAAGGCCTCTTCTCTGACCTCTAGTCAGAGCTGAAACTTTTCAGTTTTTTCTCAACTCCCATTTGCAGCAATTTTGAGTGTTATCTGTGAATTGATTCATGCTGATAAATTAACTTAGAAAACCCCACATTCTCACAAACAGGAATGTGAGGGTGCAGCTGGCACTGGAACCACTGAGGGTCTGTGAGTGGGCACAGGTATCCCAAAAGTATCCAAAGGAGGGACAGCCTCAGGTCAGGTACCTGAGGGTGTGGCAGGTATAGTGATGGGTGACCTGCCAGGCAGTGCTAGGCTAGGATTTGTTGAGACGTCAAAATCAGCACCGTTAGCTGTTTCACATGGTTTGCGATGTTTCTACATGCACGATGTCGAAGGGGATTCTTTTATTTGGTAATTTAAAAACAAATTTAATTGAGAGGAACCAAAACTTTCCATATGTGAATTGTATAGAGATTGGCAAAACGGCTTACCTTATTAAACTCAAGAGGAAAGGCTCACCCATTGGACAGCAATCCCATTTAATTGGGAAATTTTTAAAAACAAGTAGCTGCCAGTAGGCAGAGGCGAAGTTTCAGTATTGGTGAGGGTTGCTTCTCCATTTCCCTTTCTTGGGTTCTAGTTTAGCCCTTTTCAGAATGATTGCCTTGTTTTGTAATAGTGTAGTTGCTTCACAGCTCCCTTAATTTACATGAAACGGTGCTTGACAAGATAGAAAAGGGAGAGGAGAGACAGAGGCAAAGAAAGACATAAATACGGCCGGGCGCGGTGGCTCACGCCTGTAATCCCAGCACTTTGGGAGGCCGAGGCGGGCGGATCACGAGGTCAGGAGATGGAGACCATCCTGGCTAACACGGTGAAACCCCGTCTCTACTAAAAATACAAAAAATTAGCCGGGCGTGGTAGCGGGCACCTGTAGTCCCAGCTACTCGGGAGGCTGAGGCAGGAGAATGGTGTGAACCCGGGAGGCGGAGCTTGCAGTGAGCCGAGATCGCGCCACTGCACTCCAGCCTGGGCGACAGAGCGAGACTCCTTCTCAAAAAAAAAAAAAAAAAAAAAAAAAAAAGACATAAATACATCAGGAGTGAGCCGGAGAGCAAGAGAGAAGGCCAGAGATAGAGTGGCAGAGGGGGACATGTTGAGAGGGAGTGAAACACAGAGCTCAGATGGAGGGGAAAGGAAGAGAGACTGATGGATTCCATCTTGCCTCAGTTTCTCCTCTTTCCACTTAGTAGAAAGGTGGCCCTGAGTCACCTTGAGATGAGAGAGGTAAATCAGCTCTTTTCTCTTTGATCTCAGCTCTTGAGTATCTTCCACATGTGAGCATCTTGGTGCTTTGGGATGTGTTTGTGGTATTTAAAGACGAATATATATATATATATATATATATATGTATATATGAATATATGTATATATGAATATGTATATATGGATATATATATGTATGTATTTTTTCATGCTCATGGCCAGTAATGTCTGGTTCTCATCCAAGAAGAGAAGATGTGTTCTAGCTTTGCAACATGGTGGTGGGCTACACCCAAGTCCTAGATGAGGTTCAAGGGTGCTTTTGACTGTATTGGGTATTTACCTTGAGTACCAGATTTGGGATCTATCATTGTGCTTGGCATAGGTTTTATGGAAGTTTCTTTACCTTTTCTGGATTCTGAACCGGGATCCTAACATCTGTGTCTCTGTTTATGTCTGTATCTGTATCTCCTTGTTTTCTAACTGTTGCTATTCTGTAGCTTTTTGCTTTTTCTCTTTAATGTGTCCTCTGTCACAATTATGTGTATCATTACTCTGCTGAGTGGGAGAAACCTGTCTCTTGATAACTACAGCTCATTATTGGTGTATACAAATGCTACTGATTTTTCTACATTGATTTTTGTATCCTGAGAATTAACTGAATTCGTTTATCAAAGCTTAGGAGTCTTTTATAGGAGTCTTTAGGGTTTTCTAGATATAAGATTATATTGTCAGCCAACAGAGATAATTTGACTTCCTGTTTTCCAATTTGGATGGGTTTATTTCTTTCTCTTGCCTGATTGCTCTGGCTAGGACTTCCAGTACTATATTGAGAAGGAGTGGTGAGAGCGGGCATCCTTGCCTTGCTCCAGATTGTAGGGGGAATGAACCTTTGATCCTTCCTCCTGGGCCTTTTGTGAATCTGTGCATGCCTTAGGTTTTATGAGCTCTACTTGCTGGGTGGTGGCCACTTCTGGTTCTGATATTTGAATTTAATCTCAAGGTAGTAATTTCTTTTTGGCTTTCAGATTTTGGAAAGGTATTTTGGACTTCTAGTCCTTAGAAGGCTCTCAGTGTTAGCCATCTGAGCAGTGGCCTGCTGTGACCCTCAGAATTCACTGATTGCTCAGAGCTTTGCTCTCAGAATTTGAAGAAAGATGATTTATTCTGTCCTTCTGGTTTGTGCAAAAAGAAAAAGGCTTAAAAAGAAAAAGTCTTAAAACTTAGTGTTACCAGGGAGACTGTACTCCCAGAACTACAGACTCTTCTCTAGCTTTTCCTCAAACCTGAACTTGTGATTTATTCTTCTCCAAAACTACTGTTAAATTCAGTTACACTACCCCTATCTCTTTAAGCGTGTACAAATCTTCATCTGTTTCTTATTTTCTGCCCAGGTTATCCAATCTTTTTTCATTTGTACAATGAAAGTAGCCGTATCATATGGGGAAAGGTTAGTGTGCCATGGTGATTCCAAGTGTGTTTTGAATCCTTTTTCTCTCCTAAGAGGGTATACACAGTATGCCTTCTTGCTTCATGTATCACTTATTACAATTTAGGTAGCACTTGAGTGCAGTATGTAGTCAGAAGAGGGAAATGGGAAGAGAATATTTATTCTGAGTGTTCAGGGCTGCCTCACCTGACTGTATTAGTCTCATATGAGGTTGTAAAATGGAAAGTAAACACTTGTCTGTCTCCCAGAGGGAAGTTCTAATGGTGGAATTTATCTATGACACATAGGATTTCTTTAGAATTATTTTGTCAAACAAACAAGTTCATTGCTTCAACTTGTAAATATTCAGGGTCTTCCAAACGATAACTGCTTTTGTCAGAGTAATTATAAGAAGAGTGAATTTTAACCCTTAAGGCCTTAGTCTATATGTCTTATAAAAACAGGATATACAGCTCCAGTAGTGCAAATGTTTCTTTGATTCTTTCTCTAGTTCACCCAATATTGACATTGCCCTTGACATCTCACTAGGCACTATATATATACACCTGACCCTGACCTTGTTTCTCACCTTCTTAAATACTCAGGAGTTTCTAACACCTGAAGGACCTGGGATGTGGAATAATGAATGGGAAAATTCCTCCTGGCTCACCAAAACACCACTCATTCTGGACTATGGATGTTTCACATCGAATGTTTCTCAAATTGGGAGCCATAGACCCTTCGGGGTCCTTACATATATCTTTGGGAGTTTTAGGAGACCAAATATTCTTATTTTCATTTTGGCAATAATGTAAAATAAATTGATGTGAGCTCATTCCAAATCACCTGCATTACAGATTTGGATGACTTTTGTATTACAGATTTGGCTACACAATTTCAAAACCTGCATTTGTGTTCGTGAGGCATCTCATAACACTGTGTGCATTGTCATGGGCTAAAAAGGAAGGCAGAGAAACACTTTGGACAATCGAGGAGGGAGGAGCCAAGATGGCCGAATAGGAACAGCTCCGGTCTACAGCTCCCAGCGTGAGCGACGCAGAAGACGGGTGATTTCTGCATTTCCATCTGAGGTACCGGGTTCATCTCACTACGGAGTGCGAGACAGTGGGCGCAGGCCAGTGTGTGCGCGCACCGTGCGCGAGCCGAAGCAGGGCGAGGCATTGCCTCACCTGGGAAGCGCAAGGGGTCAGGGAGTTCCCTTTCCGAGTCAAAGAAAGGGGTGACGGACGCACCTGGAAAATCGGGTCACTCCCACCCGAATATTGCGCTTTTCAGACCGGCTTAAGAAACGGCGCACCACAAGACTATATCCCACACCTGGCTCAGAGGGTCCTACGCCCACGGAATCTCGCTGATTGCTAGCACAGCAGTCTGAGATCAAACTGCAAGGCGGCAACGAGGCTGGGGGAGGGGCGCCCGCCATTGCCCAGGCTTGCTTAGGTAAACAAAGCAGCCTGGAAGCTCGAACTGGGTGGAGCCCACCACAGCTCAAGGAGGCCTGCCTGCCTCTGTAGGCTCCACCTCTGGGGGCAGGGCACAGACAAACAAAAAGACAGCAGTAACCTCTGCAGACTTAAGTGTCCCTGTCTGACAGCTTTGAAGAGAGCAGTGGTTCTCCCAGCACGCAGATGGAGATCTGAGAACGGGCAGACTGCCTCCTCAAGTGGGTCCCTGACCCCTGACCCCCAAGCAGCCTAACTGGGAGGCACCCCCCAACAGGGGCACACTGACACCTCACACGGCAGGGTATTCCAACAGACCTGCAGCTGAGGGTCCTGTCTGTTAGAAGGAAAACTAACAACCAGAAAGGACATCTACACCGAAAACCCATCTGTACATCACCATCATCAAAGACCAAAAGTAGATAAAACCACAAAGATGGGGAAAAAACAGAACAGAAAAACTGGAAACTCTAAAAAGCAGAGCACCTCTCCTCCTCCAAAGGAACGCAGTTCCTCACCAGCAACAGAACAAAGCTGGATGGAAAATGATTTTGACGAGCTGAGAGAAGAAGGCTTCAGACGATCAAATTACTCTGAGCTACGGGAGGACATTCAAACCAAAGGCAAAGAAGTTGAAAACTTTGAAAAAAATTTAGAAGAATGTATAACTAGAATAACCAATACAGAGAAGTGCTTAAAGGAGCTGATGGAGCTGAAAACCAAGGCTCGAGAACTACGTGAAGAATGCAGAAGCCTCAGGAGCCGATGCGATCAACTGGAAGAAAGGGTATCAGCAATGGAAGATGAAATGAATGAAATGAAGCGAGAAGGGAAGTTTAGAGAAAAAAGAATAAAAAGAAATGAGCAAAGCCTCCAAGAAATATGGGACTATGTGAAAAGACCAAATCTACGTCTGATTGGTGTACCTGAAAGTGATGTGGAGAATGGAACCAAGTTGGAAAACACTCTGCAGGATATTATCCAGGAGAACTTCCCCAATCTAGCAAGGCAGGCCAACGTTCAGATTCAGGAAATACAGAGAACGCCACAAAGATACTCCTCGAGAAGAGCAACTCCAAGACACATAATTGTCAGATTCACCAAAGTTGAAATGAAGGAAAAAATGTTAAGGGCAGCCAGAGAGAAAGGTCGGGTTACCCTCAAAGGGAAGCCCATCAGACTAACAGCGGATCTCTCGGCAGAAACCCTACAAGCCAGAAGAGAGTGGGGGCCAATATTCAACATTCTTAAAGAAAAGAATTTTCAACCCAGAATTTCATATCCAGCCAAACTAAGCTTCATAAGTGAAGGAGAAATAAAATACTTTATAGACGAGCAAATGCTGAGAGATTTTGTCACCACCAGGCCTGCCCTAAAAGAGCTCCTGAAGGAAGTGCTAAACATGGAAAGGATCAACCGGTACCAGCCGCTGCAAAATCATGCCAAAATGTAAAGACCATCGAGACTAGGAAGAAACTGCATCAACTAATGAGCAAAATCACCAGCTAACATCATAATGACAGGATCAAATTCACACATAACAATATTAACTTTAAATATAAATGGACTAAATTCTGCAATTAAAAGACACAGACTGGCAAATTGGATAAAGAGTCAGGACCCATCAGTGTGCTGTATTCAGGAAACCCATCTCACGTGCAGAGACACACATAGGCTCAAAATAAAAGGATGGAGGAAGATCTACCAAGCAAATGGAAAACAAAAAAAGGCAGGGGTTGCAATCCTAGTCTCTGATAAAACAGACTTTAAACCAACAAAGATCAAAAGATACAAAGAAGGCCATTACATAATGGTAAAGGGATCAATTCAACAAGAGGAGCTAACTATCCTAAATATTTATGCACCCAATACAGGGGCACCCAGATTCATAAAGCAAGTCCTGAGTGACCTACAAAGAGACTTAGACTCCCACACATTAATAATGGGAGACTTTAACACCCCACTGTCAACATTAGACAGATCAACGAGACAGAAAGTCAACAAGGATACCCAGGAATTGAACTCAGCTCTGCACCAAGCAGACCTAATAGACATCTACAGAACTCTCCACCCCAAATCAACAGAATATACATTTTTTTCAGCACCACACCACACCTATTCCAAAATTGACCACATACTTGGAAGTAAAGCTCTCCTCAGCAAATGTAAAAGAACAGAAATTATAACAAACTATCTCTTTGACCACAGTGCAATCAAACTAGAACTCAGGATTAAGAATCTCACTCAAAGCCGCTCAACTACATGGAAACTGAACAACCTGCTCCTGAATGACTACTGGGTACATAACGAAATGAAGGCAGAAATAAAGATGTTCTTTGAAACCAACGAGAACAAAGACACCACATACCAGAATCTCTGGGACACATTCAAAGCAGTGTGTAGAGGGAAATTTATAGCACTAAATGCCTACAAGAGAAAGCAGGAAAGATCCAAAATTGACACCCTAACATCACAATTAAAAGAACTAGAAAAGCAAGAGCAAACACATTCAAAAGCTAGCAGAAGGCAAGAAATAACTAAAATCAGAGCAGAACTGAAGGAAATAGAGACACAAAAAACCCTTCAAAAAATCAATGAATCCAGGAGCTGGTTTTTTGAAAGGATCAACAAAATTGATAGACCGCTAGCAAGACTAATAAAGAAAAAAGAGAGAAGAATCAAATAGACACAATAAAAAATGATAAAGGGGATATCACCACCGATCCCACAGAAATACAAACTACCATCAGAGAATACTACAAACACCTCTACGCAAATAAACTAGAAAATCTAGAAGAAATGGATACATTCCTCGACACATACACCCTCCCAAGACTAAACCACGAAGAAGTTGAATCTCTGAATAGACCAATAACAGGCTCTGAAATTGTGGCAATAATCAATAGTTTACCAACCAAAAAGAGTCCAGGACCAGATGGATTCACAGCCGAATTCTACCAGAGGTACAAGGAGGAACTGGTACCATTCCTTCTGAAACTATTCCAATCATTAGAAAAAGAGGGAATCCTCCCTAACTCATTTTATGAGGCCAGCATCATTCTGATACCAAAGCCGGGCAGAGACACAACCAAAAAAGAGAATTTTAGACCAATATCCTTGATGAACATTGATGCAAAAATCCTCAATAAAATACTGGCAAACCGAATCCAGCAGCACATCAAAAAGCTTATCCACCATGATCAAGTGGGCTTCATCCCTGGGATGCAAGGCTGGTTCAATATACGCAAATCAATAAATGTAATCCAGCATATAAACAGAGCCAAAGACAAAAACCACATGATTATCTCAACAGATGCAGAAAAAGCCTTTGACAAAATTCAACAACCCTTCATGCTAAAAACTCTCAATAAATTAGGTATTGATGGGACGTATTTCAAAATAATAAGAGCTATCTATGACAAACCCACAGCCAATATCATACTGAATGGGCAAAAACTGGAAGCATTCCCTTTGAAAACTGGCACAAGACAGGGATGCCCTCTCTCACCACTCCTATTCAACATAGTGTTGGAAGTTCTGGCCAGGGCAATCAGGCAGGAGAAGGAAATAAAGGGTATTCAATTAGGAAAAGAGGAAGTCAAATTGTCCCTGTTTGCAGACGACATGATTGTTTATCTAGAAAACCCCATTGTCTCAGCCCAAAATCTCCTTAAGCTGATAAGCAACTTCAGCAAAGTCTCAGGATACAAAATCAATGTACAAAAATCACAAGCATTCTTATACACCAATAACAGACAAACAGAGAGCCAAATCATGAGTGAACTCCCATTCACAATTGCTTCAAAGAGAATAAAATACCTAGGAATCCAACTTACAAGGGATGTGAAGGACCTCTTCAAGGAGAACTACAAACCACTGCTCAAGGAAATAAAAGAGGACACAAACAAATGGAAGAACATTCCATGCTCATGGGTAGGAAGAATCAATATCGTGAAAATGGCCATACTGCCCAAGGTAATTTACAGATTCAATGCCATCCCCATCAAGCTACCAATGACTTTCTTCACAGAATTGGAAAAAACTACTTTAAAGTTCATATGGAACCAAAAAAGAGCCCGCATCGCCAAGTCAATCCTAAGCCAAAAGAACAAAGCTGGAGGCATCACACTACCTGACTTCAAACTATACTACGAGGCTACAGTAACCAAAACAGCATGGTACTGGTACCAAAACAGAGATATAGATCAATGGAACAGAACAGAGCCCTCAGAAATAATGCCGCATATCTACAACTATCTGATCTTTGACAAACCTGAGAAAAACAAGCAATGGGGAAAGGATTCCCTATTTAACAAATGGTGCTGGGAAAACTGGCTAGCCATATGTAGAAAGCTGAAACTGGATCCCTTCCTTACACCTTATACAAAAATCAATTCAAGATGGATTAAAGATTTAAACGTTAGACCTAAAACCATAAAAACCCTAGAAGAAAACCTAGGCATTACCATTCAGGACATAGGCGTGGGCAAGGACTTCATGTCCAAAACACCAAAAGCAATGGCAACAAAAGCCAAAATTGACAAATGGGATCTAATTAAACTCAAGAGCTTCTGCACAGCAAAAGAAACTACCATCAGAGTGAACAGGCAACCTACAACATGGGAGAAAATTTTCGCAACCTACTCATCTGACAAAGGGCTAATATCCAGAATCTACAATGAACTCAAACAAATTTACAAGAAAAAAACAAACAACCCCATCAAAAAGTGGGAGAAGGACATGAACAGACACTTCTCAAAAGAAGACATTTATGCAGCCAAAAAACACATGAAGAAATGCTCATCATCACTGGCCATCAGAGAAATGCAAATCAAAACCACTATGAGATATCATCTCACACCAGTTAGAATGGCAATCATTAAAAAGTCAGGAAACAACAGGTGCTGGAGAGGATGTGGAGAAATAGGAACACTTTTACACTGTTGGTGGGACTGTAAACTAGTTCAACCATTGTGGAAGTCAGTGTGGCGATTCCTCAGGGATCTAGAACTAGAAATACCATTTGACCCAGCCATCCCATTACTGGGTATATACCCAAAGGACTATAAATCATGCTGCTATAAAGACACATGCACACGTATGTTTATTGCGGCACTATTCACAATAGCAAAGACTTGGAACCAACCCAAATGTCCAACAATGATAGACTGGATTAAGAAAATGTGGCACATATACACCATGGAATACTATGCAGCCATAAAAAATGATGAGTTCATGTCCTTTGTAGGGACATGGATGAAATTGGAAACCATCATTCTCAGTAAACTATCGCAAGAACAAAAAACCAAACACCGCATATTCTCACTCATAGGTGGGAATTGAACAATGAGATCACATGGACACAGGAAGGGGAATATCACACTCTGGGGACTGTGGTGGGGTCGGGGGAGGGGGGAAGGGATAGCATTGGGAGATATACCTAATGGTAGATGACACGTTAGTGCGTGCAGCGCACCAGCATGGCACATGTATACATATGTAACTAACCTGCACAATGTGCACATGTACCCTAAAACTTAGAGTATAATAAAAAAAAAAAAAAAAAAAAAAAGGAAGGCAGAAAGGTGGGCTGTGCATTGAGCCATGTGTTCACATAATCTGAAGGTGACTGACAACAGAGTGCTGGATTTTCTGTGGTCTAAATAGAAAAGTGATGGGAGAATGGGCTTTTGATCATAGAAATGTGTTCAAGATAGCCATGTATGAGCCAGTCCCGCACGGACATTGACTGTGGAGATGTAGCTTGGAAAACTGCATCCCCGTCAGGTTAGCTGACTATTGCTAATTCTGATGTCATTGATTTTGTAAATGTGTGTCGATTTTAGAAATGTACTGATGCTGTTGGTACAAGGAAGTTTATATCTGATTTATGTTTGTTCATAGTTAAGTGTAATATGTTATAAGCAATGTTTAAGTCAACTCTGGAATTCACAGGATTCTTTTTTTTTTTTTTTTTGGAGACGGAGTCTCACTCTGTCACCCTGGCTGGAGTGCAGTGGTGTGATCTCAGCTCACTGCAACCTTTGCCTCCCGGGTTCAAGCAATTCTCCTGCCTCAGCCTCCCGAGTAGCTGGGATTACAGACATGCACTACCACACCCGGCTAATTTTTGTATTTTTAGTACAGATAGTACTGTGTTGGCCATGCTGGTCTCGAACTCCTGGACTCAGGTGATCCGCCTTCCTCGGCCTCCCAAAGTGTTGGGATGACAGGCGTGAGCCACTGCACACAGCCTCACAGGAGTCTTTAATAAGGTCTACATGTTAATCAAGTATGAGAAATATTCTAATGGGACTTGAAATCCTCAAGAACTATATAGGACGGAAAACATAAGTGTTTCATTTCTCAATGTGTATTTATCTCCTCTGTCATTTAAATTGAGGGCATAACACTATGGAAAAAGTAAATGTTAAATCTCCCAATCCTAAACAAGGAACGTCTGTGTTATTTTCCCACAGAAGAAACTCTTCTCGCCCTTTTTCCTATTTTTCATTCATTCATTCATTCATTCATTTACTCATTCATTCCTTCACTTAAACTTTTTTTTTTGTATCCACTGTATGCCCAGGACTGCACGAGGCACTGAGTACTTAGAAATAGTCTCCTGCCAAAAGTCCAAGTTGCTTGGCTGGTTTCCCTCTATTCAGAAGGTGATGACATCAGTGAGGATATAAAGTAGCAAGAATCACGAGGTAGATGGCCTGGGTCCAGATCTCAGTGGTGGTCAGAAATCAAACAGACCAGCTACACTCAGGGAGTTTCCACCCCTCTACCACAGAGAAGTGACGCCTTCATGCCTTCTTTTGCAAGGTTGAATTGTGCCAAAACTTTCTTTTGTAGTCCAGCATCAATAGGACTGCCGGTCCCTGTCAGATGACCTCCAAGCTCCTTCCGCTCTTACTACACTGTGGGCTGTGATTGATGGAGGAGGGTTTACAAACGTGGAGGCCTCCAGAGCCAGGCAGGTAATGCTGACCCAGTGATGTGGAGTCTACGGCCAGTAAGAGCCTCTGCTTTATATGCTGGGAGGAAAGCCACTTCTCAGCTCAGCCACTTTTCAGCTCTGGACAGCAGCTGCCATGCACGATGCAGGTCCAAATGTTGACAGTGATGCTGGGTTTTAAGTGCAAATTTCCAATTTTGCATAGCTAAAGAGACAGTATTTCCAGTGTGCAACCTGTGAATGTGCCCTGGTTAATTCAAATGTTAGGTTTGATCTCATTTTGAAGATCCCTGTTGATTCGAGCATGTTGTTCCATGACATCCTAACTTAGAACTTTAATGGTGTTACTTATTTCCCTTCTAAGTTTGTGGGATACCCTTTTGACCCAATGACAGTTTATCTTTACTTTCTTGTTTGCTCTTAGATGTTATTGTACTTTACAGAGTTATCTCACTCAGGCTCAACAGATGTTGTTGTATAATATTTTCTACTTCCAGGTTATGCTGCCCTAATGGGTATGTCCTAGGGGAGGAGGGCTAAGCTGTGAATGCATTGGGATGTCCAGGATACCTATCACTCCGATATTTTTCTTTCTCTTCATCTGAAGCTGGAAGTACTTGGCTGTCACAGTTTTTAAGATGTGTGAAAAGTCAATTGGAATGAAATGATTTGTAATAAAAAATAAGGGAATTTAGTTATAAGAGGTCATATTTTCTGGTATTGTAGTATTGTTTTCTTTCATTGTTGGAATTCTTTGTCCCTTAGGCAAAAGTTGTATTTTAGGGCTAAGAAATTTGAACAGCCACGAAAGCTGTGTGTCTGGGTTACTTTTCCTCTTTTTCTTTTTCGTTTTTTCTTTTTTTGTTTTGTTTTGGAGTAGTCTCATAACAGGTTCAGTCAAGCTTTGTTCCTTAAATGTTCTCACATGTATCTGTCCTTGTCTTCCATTTTTAAGTGACCAGGCAGAAACACCCAAGGTAATGGCATGTTCTGAGAGCCCCTTCCCATCACGTGCACACCAAGAGCAGCCACTATCTTCAATTTCAATTTTTAAAATTTTGTTTTGGGGTGTCTTCTGGGAATGTTCAGCCTTGATGCCCTCTGTGATCATTTACAACTGTAAAAGTATGGCACATGCTCAGATGGCCATTTCATCATAATAGTATCTTTGATCAATTATGTATTTTAAATGTCTAGATAGAAAGCAAAAAAGTATGAAAGGAGTTATTTATTCTGAAATCCGAATGCAGTGGTGAAAGTATCACCTATTGTTAGCTCCCTGTATCTACCTGGTGCAAGGATGAAGGGTTTATGGGAGGTTTAGGCAGCATTTCCTGATTTGTTGCCCATCTGCCTAGCATGGTGATCTCTGCCATTTCATCCCCTGGGATGACACAGTCGTCTCATAATTCTTGCTTCTATCAAACAGAATTACAGTCTGCTCTGAGCTGAGGTGGAAGAATTCATGAAGAGCCAACCCACATTTGTTTAGAAAATCCATTTTAGGATACTCCTGTGTCATGTTTTCTGATGGGAATGCTGTAAACTAGTGTTAGTGTTTGTAGTGCAAAATACTTTTTCTTTTCCTCCTTGGGGATCTCTTGGTATCGCATGTACTTCAAACTGGCAGATATGGTTTGCTTGGGGATGCTAATGAATGAATTACAGTGTAGGCATTTCTGCTTGAACACAGTGTATACATTCCAGAAAAGCCTAGTGTTCTGCAAACATACACAAGGCATATGGAAAAAAAAGTAGGAATGGTGCAGACAACTCGATATCTATACTTCTATAATGAGAATACTCAAATAAGCAGTAATAATCCTAATAAAATACTAGCACAGTAAAAAAAGTCATGCGAGATTCTTAATAGACATAGAAATACAGTAGTTCAGAATACCTGTGGGTATCTTAAAAATGATAACTATTGGGTACTAGGCTTAGTACCTGGGTGATGATGAAATAATCTGTATAACAGAGCCTCATGACACGAGTTTACCTATGTAACAAACCTGCACATGTACCCCTGAGCTTAAAATAAGAGTTAAAAAATAATCTGAAAAAGTGTTTAAACATGAAAATATAGGATTTTGCAGGGTTTTTTTTTTTTTTCCGAAGGTGAAGGAAGCTTAATGGAGGTGTAGGGTTGTGGCTGCTTAGTTAGTGGAGCAAGGACAAAATGCACAAGGATCTGAGAGAACCCAGACAACACAGGTGGACAGTCTGTGCTAACAGTACAACCACAGTGCGAAACAGCATCAGGTCCACACTGCATTCCTCTGTAGCCTGCTGTGTGCAGCTGTTAATGGACTTGCATTTCAGTGGCTGTTACTTGGGGGCACACTGGGAAAAGTCATTTCTGCTTTAGCATACTTCATTTACTGACCTAGGGAGTGAGCTAACTGATGGTGCAGGTACCTGCATTATGGCAGAGAAGTCCTAAAAAAACATCTTGAGTCCAGAACTCATGGGAAGCTCCAGCAAGGCACAAAGACAGAAATGAATGTCAGATTGATTCTGTGAACACAGATTCAAGGTTTTGTGTTGGTCTAAAAGGATAATGCATCACCTCTCTCCTAAGAGATTATAGCAAATGAGCTGTCTTCAGGATAATAAAAGTGCTTTAGTCCACAAAAGTTCAGAAATCCATTAGGTTGTTAGAGTCCTAATGACCCTGGCTAAAATGAAAATATGATGGGATAGCTGAGCACTTGGAGCCTTGGGAAGTGACCTGCCCTGTTGAATGATATTTAAAATTAAGGTTCTTATCAGTAACAATTAAAGTTCTTATTCAGCTCTTTTCATCAGTCCTAGCATACATTCACTGTGAAGCTGGTACATTGGTCTACATTGATTAGCCCCAATGAAAGTGCAGTGATTTAAGACACTTGTATTAGTTAGAGTTCTCCAGAGAAACAGAACCAATAAGATGTGTGTATGTGTACATACATGTACATACACACAGACACACATATAAAATGTATGTGTTATATATATACCATATGTACACACATATCTCTTTACATATTATTTAGAAAGAGAGAGATTGAGATATATTAATTTTAGGGAATTGACTCGTGTGACTGTGGAGGCTGGTAAGTCCAAACTCTGCAGGGCAGGATGGCAGGCTGGAGACCCAGGGAGGGGTTGAAGTTGCAGTCCCGGTGAAAAGGTCATCTGCTAGCAGAATTCCCTCTTCCTCCTGGGAGATCAGTCTTTGTTCTGTTAAGGTCTTTACTGAATGGATGAGACTCACCTACCCACATTATGGAGGGTAAACTGCTTTACTCGAAGTCTACTGATTTAAGTGTTAATCTCATGTACAGAGTACCTTCACAGCAACATACTCACATGTTTAAGCAAATATCTGGCTACCGTGGCCTAGACAAGTTGACATAAATAAAATTCACCATCATAGCCACTAAGAAAGTTTTTCAAATATTCTCAGTTTTGAGATCACAGAGCGTTTTTGAATGCTTCTAGCTTGTAAGTAACAGAAAATTCAAACTATTTGAATCAGGAAAAATTCCTATACATATATTATATTCCCCCACCTTCCAAATGCCTAAACACTCCACAACAAAGTACCAAATTTCTATGTCAACTTTAAAGTTATTAATTTTTTTTTTATTTCCCAAGAAAAGGCTTGCCCTACATCTGCTTATGGCTCTGAGATGCCCCTCTGGGAGGTCTTATTATTCAGCCTTGTTCCTACCCCTCTGTCTTCACCCTACAATCCCACTCTTCATCAAAATACTCATAACTTCAAACTGAGCACCTCACAGAAGATACATCTTGGATTTGGGCAGCCATAGCCGTCCAGCAAGCCACACAAACATTTTGCTTTGCTGGACTTTCCTGGGCAAATTCACTGCTTTCTGGCTTCCCTTCTTCTTCTCCTTCCTTCTCACTCCTTCCTTCCCTCCTTTCTGCAGATGCTCTGTGAAAGGAAGACATTGTGCCAAGAAGTCCAAAGGCTGACATTTTAATGAGGAACAGGAAGAAATTTTTTCCAGTAGGAATGGGTTCTATCTGCTATGCCCAACTACTAGTTTTTGTCCCCGAGTTGGAAGTTACTAACAGGGATGTAATAGAGAGCACAGGGAAGCCAGAAGTATTCCATCAGGTATAGGTCCTAAAGCAGCCACAAGAGAGCTGCTAGATTCATTATTCCGTTCCCAGCAGCTCAGCGGGCACTGGTGTTAAATCACGTCTTCTCTCTGCTAGTCAAGGGCGTTTCTAGAAGTGCAAACTCTTAGGTCCCACCGCAGACTCACTGAAGCATCTGCATTTTAACAGAATCCCTGAATAGTTTGTGTGTGTAATAAACTTTGCTGAGAAAATGAGAAGCGAGAGTGTGGGATGTGGCCACATCTGCTGGGCAGATGCTTTCAAAGAGGCAGAAAAGACCCAGAAAAAAAAATGCTGAACTGAGGTAGAAGAGATAAACTTCGCTGACTTCAAAATTTTGCCTGGGGGTGCTTCTGGTTATTTGATATCTGAATTTTGAGATGTTCATGACTGAGTTTACCTTGAGGAT
Source organism: Homo sapiens (assembly GCF_000001405.40). Classification (NCBI taxonomy): domain Eukaryota; kingdom Metazoa; phylum Chordata; class Mammalia; order Primates; family Hominidae; genus Homo; species Homo sapiens. The sequence goes on along the minus strand of NC_000009.12, from coordinate 83,043,597 downwards.
ACAGTCATTTATGCTCCATCAAGTATTCTGTATATTTTGTGAATGTATTCTTCAAAGACAAAACCACATGCAAAAAAAGCACACAGAACGTTAAGTGTACAGCTTGCTGAGTTTTCAGATGGAATGCTTGAATAAATCAGAATGCAGGTGAAGAAACAGAACATTTTACTACATTGCAGAAGCCCAGGGTCCCCCCCCCCAATCACTGCAGACCCCTCTTTCCAGAGAAGTTATTGTCCTTTGCTTCTGTTTTGATGTTACATACATAGGTTCATACAATGCATTTGGCTTCTTTCAGTCACCATGATGTTTGTGAGCTTGTAGTTTAAAACTTTTATTTTCACTGATGTAGTCTATTCCACAGTGTGAAAATACCGCAATTGATTTATCCAGTTTACTAAAAATGTCCATTTGGATAATTTCTGTGTCATGGATGTCACACATAGTACTGCAGTGATCATCTGTCACAAGTCTTTTGGTAAGCATATGGACATGGGCAACACATTGGTCAGAAAAATTGTTTGCAAAATCACTGAAGCTTTCCGTGCTAACTCAGGGTCATCATATGAAGTCTAGCTTTATCCCGGGAGGTAGTAGAATGATATCCCCAGGGATTTGTGGAGATGGTGGTTCAGCTTAGCATTTTAAGTTACCGTGTGGAGTGTTTGTCCTTGCCGTCAGGCTGCCAAATGACATTTTACTATTCTCAGTACTTCCTTCCTTCCTGGGTCTTTTGTCTGTTGAAGTTTTGGAAAACAAATTATCAGATACATTAGAATTGTGTTTTAAAAGCACTGTTTGAATGTAGATTATTTCTAAACCAAGCAGGGGTGTCTCAGAGGCTGTTTTTCTTTTTTTTTCTGACTTTCCAACCTCCTTTTGGATTCTTCTTAGTCAGATACCTGAGTTTCAGATAGCTGGAGTGCTGCCATCATTTTGAAATTATAATATTATTTGTAGTTTTACTCCTGTTCCATTTTTATTCATACATTAACTCCTTTTTCAATTTTGTTTATTTTGGAGATTCCTCAAGTAGATGCTGTAGTTCTAAATTATCTTTTTAGAAATTCAGCCACTTAGAGAGATAAGCACAAAACATGGAGTTATATTATTTTGAATACAAATAAGAAGTAGGTGCCCAGCCAGGAGTGGGCATGGTTCATGCTGAATGAATCCACTGGAGTCTGTCAGTCACTTCATATGTTGGTCACTGAAATTATTTTTAATCCTTTCTCTTTTGAGTCTTAGGGGAATGCTTAAAAAACTACACACCAAGATAAACAAATACTACTGCTTTGTGGATTCTCCTTGTCCACTCAAGCAAATTATTGTAATAACTTTATGACAACTTTCTATATAGTTCTTGCATTTAAAGCAACAATTAGGCATTTATTCCTATTTTCTTTAGTAGCTTTTGTATTCATTTTGCTGCCCAGAGGGTATGTTATTATCCAAGCAGGTGAGAGAGGAGTGCAGCTCAGACCACAGAACTGGAAACCAAGGGAATGTTAAAGGTTTGGGATAAAAAAATATAAACTGAGATAAATGTAAATATACAGCTTACTGAAATTGCTTTTCCTTATCTGATGAACCAGTGAGTTAAGATGATGACTCAATTAAGGGAAGACTGGTTTTTCTTTTCTTGACTTTTCTTGGGGGTTGAGGTCAGCCTCTGTTGGCAGATGGTGTTTGCAGATCTGAAGGCTGTTTGCTCTTTTAGTGAACTGTGGCTTTGGGAACACAAAAGTGGACCAGTGGCAGGACAACTGATCCTTGAATAATGTGCCAAAGTCGGATTTTAATGAGATTTTTGGCTACCTTTTTTTAAAAACACACTTCAGAAAATCACCCTTCCGTTCTGCAGAAAATCAAATGAAAAAATAATTAAACTTTCCAGCAGGTTGCTGGGAAAGCAGTGGAGTGGACAGATGATGGGCAGTGGGGTCTGTCTCAGGAGGCTTCTGCTTTGTGGAGAATGTACCCCAAGCACCATGGAGTGAGACCGGGAGCCTCTCAAAGGGTCTTACTTCACTGTTGAAATGTCAAATTAGAGATGTCAGCAACATTTTATTTCAAAGGGGAAATGTGTTTAAGAAATTCATAAGAAAATCTCTACAACTAATTTTACTTGGTTTGATACTTTTGATCTATTTTTGTATGTTTTCATAAAACAGACTGGGACACTGTTATTGATTTATCTTTGTGTTTGATGGTTGGGTAGCAAGGTAGGTAGGTAAAAATCAGTGATTCTTAAAATTAAAAGTAGATTATAAAACTCGGTGACATGTCTTTTGGGACACTAAACAAATAATATCACATATATAAATAGTTTTAACATAATTCAAAGATGTCATAGACAATAATTTCATGCTTAATTACATTAACTGTCATAGAAAACTAATGTAACCTTTGAAATAGGCTTTTAAAAAGGCCAGAGCACCGGGCACGGTGGCGCATGCCTGTAATCCCAGCACTTTGGGAGGCCCAGGCGGGTGGATCACCTGAGGTCAGGAGTTCAAGACCAGCCTGAATAACATGTTGAAACTCTATCTCTACTAAATACAAAAAAATTAGCCAGGCATGGTGGCGCGTGCCTGTAATCCCAGCCACTTGGGAGGCTGAGGCGGGAGAATCGTTTGAACCCAGGAGGCAGAGGTTGCAGTGAGCCGAGATCGTGCCATTGCACTCCAGCCTGGGCGACAAGAGTGAAACTCTGTCTCAAAAAATATATATATAAAATAAAATAAAAAGGCCAAAGCAGGTTGTGTAGAATTCTAACAAATTTTCTTGCCAGTGTTATGTATATTTGAGCATAAGGTTTATTTAACTGTAAACAAAACGTGATGAGGAACCAAACAGTTATCTTTCCATGATACCAATAATAATTCAGAATTAAATGCCAACTATTTAATAATCAGTGGTAGGTATTCAATATATAATCAGTGCTAATTCAGGAAATATATTTGCTATTGAATGAACAAGTAGAATGCACTTATATATTCCAGAATGTACTGATTTCGAAAGAGAAATTGTTCTTTACTGGTATTCATGATTCTGTAGTATATTAATAAATCATTTGGAGATTTTAGAATGACAAGCAAATCCTTATCTTTTGTAGAAGCTATGGTGAGTTATCTATGTATGCAATATGTTGTCTTTGTTGATCGCCATAGAATCATGTAATTTAATTTATTTTTGGAACTCACATATATGTTATTAACAAATATAAATAATATTTTGTTAAAAATGCCCCCACATTTATTATTGAAGTATATTCAAAATATATTCAAGATTTGATACATTGGTTTAGCCATTCAGCTGATGTTGAGATTGCAGCAACCTCAGCCCACAAAAACACAAACCTGAGGTGGAGTGTATTCATCCATTTTTGTACTGCTTTGAAGAAATACCTGAGACTGGGTAATTTATAAAGAAAAAGAGGTTTAAGGGACTCACAGTTCCACATGGCTGGGAGGCGAGGGAGGAGCAAAGGCACATCTTACATGGCTGAAGGCAAGAGAGTGTGTGTAGGGGAACGGCCCTTTATAAAACCATCAGATCTCATGAGACTTATTCACTATCACTAGAACAGCACCAAAAAACCTGCCCCCGTGATTCAGTTACCTTCCATCAGGTACCTCCCATGACACATGGGAATTATGGGAGCTACAGTTAAGATGAGATTTGGCTGGGGACAGAGCCAAACCATATCATGGAACAAGATAAAGGGGCCTTTGCATGTCAGAAATAGTTCCAGATACCAGCAAGACAGACAGTTTCTTGAGTTGGACTTATTTTCAGCTTTCTTAGCATCTGTTATATGGTAAATAGTGGGCGCATCCCCATTGAAAACAATGTGAAAGGAGAAAGGGAAAAAATAGTGAAGAAGGCAGCAGCACGCTGAAGACTGGTGCATGCTGGTGCGTGTAAAGTTCAGATGGAATCTGCTGTGCTTTCTAGAATCTCCTACTTTCTCACTGTGTTCAGCAGGAGAGACCCTTTTTATCTTGGCAATCATATTTCCCATAGTTAGTCCTCTCCCTAACCCTGTGCAGGCAAGGCTTAGCTGCTCACTCCTTCACACTGTTGCCTTCTTTGTCCTCTCTGAGTCAGAGTTCTGAGCCTGTCGCAGATCCAGTATAAAACTCCACCTTCTCCACATCAGTTCACGTTGAGCCCTTCTTCTCCAGACCTCCTGCCTCCTTCCTTCATTCATTAATGGAGAAGCTGCTGCAGGTCAAACCTGTAGGTGCCGGGTGCTACAGGGGATATGAGACTGATAGGGTAACTGGGAAGGTAAAACAGCCACAGAAAACTCAATACACAGAACTCAGATAAAGAGTGGCAGGGGATAGGAGGGGAGGGATTTCCCTGTGACTGGAGTATTCAGGGCCGACTTTCAGAGGTGACTTTTGGGAAAGCCTTGACTGATTTGTAGCATTTGGCTTCTAGATAGCATATATGAAAGGCTTAGATTCTGATCAAAGACTGAGATTAAAATATACTTTGAAAAGGGAGGGAAGAATTTGTTTCTCAACTTTTGCAATCTCAAAAATTGAAAAAACAAAACAAAAAAACCAGAACAGTGATGTGAAATCAGTCAAGAAAACATGCTTCATCTGAACTTTGTCTCCTTGTTGAAAAGTTACATATTTTGTATTGAGCCTTCTACAAAATACTTGAGGACACTGAGCACCTAAGGATGGAAAAAGAGTGAAGAAAATGAGACAGAAAACTAGAGTGGCCATAGAATTGATTCCCTAAACCAGGACTTGTTTGAGAATAAAATGAGGATAACTAATATACTTTAAATTATATAATTTTATCAAAACACTATTTTATTATCTGACAAATTGTTTTTATTATATAGTGGTCCTATGTACTAGTTCTAGTCAAAAATTTTAAAAATAAAGTTATTTGTAAAATATATAAAAGGTTTACGTACATTGAAGCAAAAATTCTTATCACTTATGTGAATATTAAAAAGTGCATGTGCAAAATAGTACTGGAATATATTCACGTATTTTAATGTTAATTCTATATCTATCTCTAATGCCAGAATTAGTGGTACTTTTCTGAAGAATACATCTTCGTTCAATGTGGTCGTATTCTTAATTTTTTCTATAATATTGCTTGTAATCTTTAGAGTTATGGTTTCATTTTTTGACTATTAAATTTGAAATTGTTGACATCAGCAGTTGACTCTTCTGTGTAGATCATAATTTTTTAATTAAGAAGACACTCTCAAGTGTTGAACTATAATTGTAGAGTAAATTCTAAGTGGAGGATATCGTAAATTCTTTTTTGTCTTGGTATTGACATGTAAATGTTAACATATGTGAATAATTCAGTCCACGATTGTCACAGGTTCTATGTCTTTACCTCCTTTCAAAATACTTTCTTTAACAAATACTTTGACAAATTTATTAACATTTATAAGACAAGACTTACCAAGTTGTGTTCGTTTATGATTCTTTAAATGTTTTCCAATACTTAGATACATCAAAATTATAGGACTTCTCAATTCCATCCTATTGTTACAGAATATAAATTTAATCAAGATAGGAAGACCCTCAAAAGATCTTTCTCATGAGTTCAGATATTCCAAATAATAATTACAGAATTTCATTTGTACATTTGAACTCTTATCATTGAATTTGTTTAATTCCTTAGTGTCTTCCTGTTTTCAGGCTTACTTTTCAATTAATTTCAGTCTGCAAAAAGCTTCAAAAATAGATGGTAGCTTTTATATGGTTCCTAATGTTGAGTGATTTGATTAAAGTTTTCCAACTGATTTTGAACAAAATGTAATGAAAGCTTAGAAGACTAGTTTACAAAAAAAAAAAAAAAAAATAGGACATTTACAATGATTTGCTAAGTAGTTCTTCAAAGGCTCAAAGATTTCCAAAATCTGAATGGTGATAAGCCACAATGAGAGAAAATGACTATTGCAAAAATGTTGAGATAATGTAATTATGTGTGTCAATATATTTGAAATTTTGACAACATTTCAGTCTACAGAATATTAAAGTGTATTTGGATTCAGTTATATGTGCCACCAATTCCAGTGTGTTTCTACTTCACAGATTTCTTAATTTGGTAAAAATATAATTTTTACTACAATGCTTTATTCTTTTATTTTTCATGGAATTTGTAATAGCGTTCGTAATAAGATTGTATGTTCTATCTTTGACAGAATGAACTTCCTGAACGTTGATTCCATTCAGTGGATGGGGAAAAAAACAAACCAGTGCTGGAATTGATGCAACTGTTTATTTTTTTTTTTGAAGCATCTCATTGCATTGATATAAAACTAGCCTCATTTACCTTTTTGAAGTTCTTCTTCTGCTAGTGCAGGCAATATACACAGCTCTCATTTCACTCTTTGCATTTGTACAAGATAATCTGTAATAAAAATTTGTGCAGAATTAATTTGGAACAAGTCTCTTGACCTAAGAAAAAAGTCATGTTTCACAGGTGGTATGTAAGTAAGCCTTCTGCAGCTGCATGAGTAAAATTGTAGACTCTGAAGAATATGGTTGTCTTAAAAGACATAGTTCCTGTTGCTCTTCAGGAGATTTATATTTTCTGGTTTTCATGTGGCTAATGATACCACTGTATGTAGGGCACCATGGTATCACTTTAGGGCACCATGGTGCACCATGGTGGAGGATAATACTGAGAAGCTTTTTTTAAAAAAAAACAAAAACAAAAAAACGAAGATGGTATAGTGTTCCCGTGTAACCTGTACTCACTTTTCCTTATTTATTAATATCTTGCTTTGGTGTAGTACAATTGTTACAATTAATGAACTGATTATTGATTCACTATTATTAACTAAAGTCCATATTCGGATTTCCTCAGTTTTTCCCTAAAGTCCCTTTTTTGTTGTTGTTCCAGCATCCATTTAGGACACCACGTTCCATTTTGTTGTCATGTCTCCTTATGCTCCTTTTGGCTATGACAGTTAACCATTTGGAGCAGTTATGCATTTATCTACTTTCGAGGTTGTTGCTGCCAGAAGAGTTTACTGCGAAATGTAAAAGCATTGCCATCCAATAAAATAACTAGATATACACTTAAACCATATAAAAAAGGTCAACTCACTGTAGCAAGAGCATCCGAGGTACTCTCCATTGCTCTGAGGCAGGCCTATCCAACTTCTGTTTTCTGTACATATTTCATGTGCACTATGCTTGTAATTTTCCAATTTCCCACTGACTTGACCACACGGCTGCCTGGCAGCATTTTGCACATCTTGCAGATAGGAGCACAACTGGCTGACTTTCCAGGTGGTTGGCCGAGGCAGCTGCTTCCAATCTTTCTCCACCACCATCTGAGTCCTGAAGGAGTTTTCTGTCTGCAGCTTCTCTTGTCCAAGCTTAATTTGTTTTATCAGTGAATGTGAGTGTTCTGCTTCCTGCCCCTGAAAGGAAAGTTTTAGTTACATTGTGTCTGGAAAAGGTCAGGAAAGGAGAGATGGGTTTATTCCTGATTATCTTCTGATTTAGCCACATATTATTCTATCTTTTCACTGCATGGATGTCTCACACACTAACAGGTGAAAGTGGAGATACAACAAATTCACCCTGGATTGTTTTAATGCAACTGTTAATAAGCTTAAATGTACAGTTGGTACACAGTTTAATAATAGGTAATACATGTTAATGCAACTTGTTGATTAAAATGAAAGGGAAATTCTAGTTAGATGCTTCATGTGGACAGGATACAGGACAACGAACATAAACTGGGACTGTCCTAAATCTGGGAAGGTGACAGATGTCACCTAAAGAGAAATTTTACATAAAAATTGATATTGTATTCCTTTTTTGCTTCTCAGCTCCTTTTTTTTTGCCAAAGTAGAAATATTTTTTTCCATGAAAAATAACTATAATATACCTACTTGCGCTAACACTACTAGATTATGCCTACATTTAACTTCACTCAGGTTAAGTTGATAGAAGAGAAATACGGGGAGAGCAAATGTGCACTGCAAGGCAAGTGCTCTTAAATAAAGAGCTGCATATTCTTACATATACATGTACACACGTATAGCACATACATACTGTAATGTCAACAGAATGAACTTCTGTATATGAAAAAGTTTGATCTGGACCTGGGGCACGATGTGAATAAAAGCCTGTTCATCTGAGTGTGGAAGGGTGAGGTCTGCATTGCCCCATGCACATTGCTATGCTCAGGGCCTTATGTTAATAGATGGTAACGGGTCAGCACAGCAAGGCTCATCTATCCCTCTGCCTGTTAGTGTAAATAAAATTTTATTGAAACACAGCCAAACTTATTCATTTATGCATTGTCTAGGCTGCTTTCACACTGCAGTGATAGGGCTAAATAGTTGCAGCAGAGATAGTATGTCCTGCAAAGCCAAAAGTATTTTCTACCTGGTGCTTCACAGAAAAGATATTATGTACCCAGGGACTATAACTTTTGCAGACTGACCTTGAACATGACCTAATTTAATTGTCCCTTTTCAGTTCCCAGAGTACTGCCACGCGTAAGACATTTCTGTCCATGGAGCTCCCATACTACAAGATTTTCTTCCTTTGACCCTTTTTGAAACACCACCCAGACATGGACAGGAGACAACCATCTACTTCTTTTTAACCCAGTTGGGGAGTGGAGTTAAGAATAATAATGGATGGAAACAGTGGCTGGCACTTACTGATTACCAACATTGTACCATGCACTGTACCTCACAGCTACCCTTTGCTACCCTTAGGTGGTAGGTTATACCCACTTTATGGTTGAAGAAGCTGAAGCTGGAGAGGTGAAGTGTTTGGCTCTGAGTCATAAAGCAGATGTGGTGGAGGAAGCATTTAAATCTACCCAGGTCATTCCACTTATCCTGTGCTGTATTCATTTATGACTGCAGAAGCCCCAGTTGTTTTGAGGCTGTGCCTGCAGTAAAGCGTCAGCATGATGCTTCCTGCTGTTTCTATCCTCCTGCCTCCATTGGTGAACTCCCAGTAACTAAATATCAGTGATTGAAAATAGGAAGCAATTTGTAATCTGGATTGTTCCTAGACATTGAATGGATCTAGTTAACTCTCTCATCTTCCAGGGAATTTCCGTTTTAATATCTTTTGGGGAATGTTATAAAAATAGATACTTAGGTAAGTAATATTTCTCAAGATGACACAAACCCAGAAAGAATTTTACCTGCAGGAGATGTGTGTGGTTAAGGGGCCCTGGGTGAGGCATTTCTGGTTTAAAATGTAGATTAGAAACTCCTCTGATCAGACAACAGCAAAACTGAAGCCAGAGAAGCCTCAGCCCCTGGACCAGGTTGTCTTTCCAAGTCTGCTGGTTGCTGTGGCCAAGTTGAGGAGACCATTGTTTGTTTTCTCTAGATTGGAGAGCTGGATAGCCATTCTGTATGCAGACTGAGACCACAGCCAGTCGTAAGCAACTCTATTAGTGGGAAGAGGTCATCCTGTCTAGAAAGCAAGACTTAAACTTTAGAAAGGGAATTAATATTTTTCTGTTCTAGTAGCATAGCTGGATTTGGCCCTTAGAATTTATTTTCTAGTTAATTTGGGGTTTATTCTGGAAGCATGCATACTATGTAATAAAAATACGTTTTTAGAAGAGTACTTTTTATTTAACTCATATGGGAGAAAAAGGATAAACCTTTGCACTTACTGACTAGACAAGTGTGATTCGTTCAGGGCATCGAACGAAGTAGGCTAACTGGTATTACATTAGTAAGAACATAATCCTTGTTCTTACCCAAAAAGAGAAATAATTATACTACCAGATTTTAGTTGTCTATAATTTACCTATTCTAGAGTAAAAGCTGGTGACAACTCCTGAAGTTCTACATTTCTGGATTAAATGATAATGGTCTTAGATTTATTTTTATCTCTGCACATTTATTTCAAAATCTTTTGTTTAATTCCTTGCTTCAGCCAAAACTGTGAAAATGCAAACTCGATCATGTCATCTCTTGCTTTAAATCTTGCCATGGCTTCCCATCCTTTCGGGACATCCCCGCCGACCCCCTTCAGTGCGCTTTCGGTCCTTGAGGATGTGCTCATCGGGCTCCTGCTAACTTCTCCAGCTCCAGCTCTCCTGCCTGACGCTGTGCACAGCCTGTGGCTATTGATGCCTGTAAGAGACCACCCCCTATTGCACCCCCTTTCTGCCTAGTTGACATCTATGCATACTTCAGGGAATACCCCAAGGACTGGTCATGTTCACCTGTTCTATGCTGTCAGTGCATCTTGTACTTATTCCTCACAGAACTTTTCAGTCATAGTCAGTCCTGTGAGCTTTATGCAGGAAGGAATTTGGTTGGCTTCCTAGCATTTTCAAGATCTCTCATGGCGCCCCTTGGATTGCATGCATGTTTTCATGTCTCATGTTCAGATGCTAGGATCTTAGCATCAGTGTTCTTGTGGCATTCCTTAGTATAGAATGATGAAGACATTGGCATTTATTACTGTGTGCTTTCGTTTACAAAAACTGGGTTCTAGATGCATAAAACATACGGTTTGAGTAATTTAGCTCCCTATTTTAATGCTTAAATCAGCATGACTTGGGATCTAAAGGCCAGTTTTCCTAAGCACCCTACTGGATCACTGTGTTTCTTAATGTGGAGTGAAGTTGTCTGTACTTAACTGGTTCCCAGAGATGTCCTGAGATCAGTGGTGTCCAAGCATTCTACATACCAGCCCTACTGCATTCCAGATATATAAACATAAATATATATGTAATCTTCTGAGTAAAATGTTAATCTTATGAAAATGGGTGCGTGACCTTTAAAAAGTTTTATACATCTTAGGTATACCTGTTTTCTCTTCAAGTACGTATAATTTCCCTCTCAGCTTCAATGGGAATATTTGCTATTTAAGGTTCTTATTTCCCAGGGATCATTTAAAAATTTTAAGTTGTGAAGTTTTCATCAGTAATTAGCCATTGCTACTGTCGTTCATACAAATCATCATATAATTTATTGAACAAGAAGATAAATGACATCTAAAACATTGATAATTCAAGGTACATTTTTCTCTAATTGCATTTCACTTGATATCTTCAGACACAAATTAGGTATATTAGTGTTGGTTGCTCTCTCAGCACAGATGCAGAGACTTCTTTTGTCTTGACTGACTAATGCTTATGACTTGATCCTTAATCTTTCTTTCCCTAGTGTTTGCCAAGTACACCTGTAAACAGATCTGCATGGTATTTGAGAGTGCAAGTGTAATTGCTTTAGATGAGGCCCTGGGTCCTTGATGAATTCAAAATGCTTTCAAGCCTTGTCACTACTTGTCACCCTTCTCAGCACTCACTTGTGCCAACTGGGTCAGGCCCAGAAGAAAACAGAGTTGTGTGTGTGGCCATTGTATCGTTTCTGCTTGTTTAACCTTTGACGTCAGAAGGTAGGACACGGGAAGAGGCCAGTAACTACTACACTCTTGTGAGGGAACAAAAATTATCTTGGCACCAAGTAATGGTGCCAAGTTTATTGAGTTGAGAAATCCACAGGTATTTAGCTGCCCAGGAGAGGCACAGAATATAAATCTTACGTAGAGGGACCAGGTACTATCTTTTGCTATGATGAAGTATTTTTTGTTTTGTTGTGTTTTTCCTTTTCCTATCAGGTGTGAGAATTGCCAAGAGTGTTATGTTACAGTCTCTTGGCATACCCCAGAAGGTGCATCATTTCCACAGTATAGACCAAGCGAAGCACACAGGCAGATGGGGGCAGGGATGGAAGGTGGGACTGTGCCCACTGCATGTAATAGTCCTTCCCCCAGATAGCTTTAAGTAAACTAAATTGTAGAAGGTTATCTCATTTTTATCTTATTCATGCTTTCATTCTTTTAAGGAGTCCTCTTGTAACGTGGGTAATCCTTGTAGCAATAAAACATGTCCTCTTCCAAAGTAATTTTTTAAAAATCTTGTTATATTACATTTTCCTAAATGGAGGTATGTACTTAAGACCCCTGAAAACTGGCTTAGCACTTACTTTTGGTGTGAAGAGCTAGTTCTTCCCTAGAGAGCCCAACTCTGGAGCCAGGTGGATTGAGTGGGAATCCTAGCTCTGCTAAAGGGACGTACTTGCCTAAGTCTCCTCCTCAGTAAATAGGATACTAGTGATAACATCTTCATAGAGTTGTCATGAGAATTAAATGAATAATATATGTAAAGGCTTAAATCAGCACCTGGACTACATATATAAGGTGATCAATAAATATCTACTTTGGTATCTGAATGCTTCAAGATAGCCTTTTGTTCCCTTCTAAAAAAGAGTGGGTAGTGATTGTTAAGACTTACCCGCTCATAAATGTTTTATTACATACTTAATATGTGAAGCTATCAAGTAAGGAGGTAAGGAAGTATGTTAATAGGGAAGAAGATGATAAAATACCCAAATAGGAAACCATAATGCCAACTTTCTAAGCTTAAGCTGACTGTAACAAAGAACTGGCTTTGTAACAAAGAACAAGTCTTACTGGCTTCATGCAATGCAAACATTTTTTTCTTACGTATCTGACAGATCAAGGTGGTCAGGTAGCTCTCCTGAGCAGTTTTCCACCATGTGGTGATTCAGGGATCCAAGCACATTCTATCACGAGGCTTAGCCATATTGGAGTTTTTCACTTCGGTGATGAGGATGAGGGAGAAAGTGGGAGAGAGTGAAAAGAGGGAGAAAGGTGGAAAAGGGAGAAAGAAGGAGAAGGTGGAAAGGAGAGAGAGAGAAATTGAGAAAGTGAGAAAGAAAGAAAAAAGAAAGAAAATGTGCTGAAGATTTTGTAAGCGATTTTAGAGGTCAAGCCTAGAGGTGGCAAACACATACCATTTCTGTACCCACTCCGTTTTCTAGAACTAGTCACATGACTCCAACCTACCAGCCAAGGGTTCTGGGGAATCAGATCTCCCTGTGTGCCCTGTAATGCAAAGCAAGATAGTTGAGTTTCCGTGGTGGAGTCCTGGCACAACAGTTAACCATGTGACATATTTTCTGTTAGTGGCAGACATTTCCTGTAATTATTCTATTTGTATGCTTCACTGTAAACTATTTTTGAAATTCTCTGTAATGAATTCCAGAACCAACACATGACCCAAGAATTTACAAATCATTATGTTTCTTTCTCATTTTAGAAATTTGCAAAAAGTGAGGGAATCTACTGAGATGTGTACTTCTGAACATTTTGATGTTGTACAGATAGCCAGCAAACAAGGACTCTAGGTGACAGTATCTTTTTTTTTTTTTTGTGACGGAGTCTCACTCTGTCACCCAGGCTGGAGTGCAGTAACATGATCTTGGCTCACCGCAATCTCTGCCTCCTGGGTTCAAGCAATTCTCCTGTCTCAGCCTCCCGAGTAGCTGGGACTACAGGCGCCCACCACCACGCCTGGCTAATTTCTGTATTTTTAGTAGAGATAGGGTTTCACCATATTGGTCAGGCTGGTCTCGAACTCCTGACCTCAGGTGATCTACCCACCAAAGTGCTGGGATTACAGGCGTGAGCCACCACATCCCCCCACTCGGTGACAGTATCTTAATGACACCCTGACAGGCAGGGTTCTATTAAAGAGCAGGTTTTTATGCTTTTTACCTTCCTGGTAGTCAGTAAATGACAAAGGCAAAGAAGTTAATGATCCATTGAAATTATGTCAGACAATCTAAGAGTAGAGATTTTTCTTTCACTGCCCCGTAATAAATATGGCTTACTATTGCAACCAGAATTTGTACTCAGCTCTGATGGGAAAGATAATGGCAGTTTTCTGTGTCTTATACCACCAAATAAAGAGACTTACTACTGCAGGTTTATTAATAATATTTTCCTTGAGCAATTCTTTTGAATCATGATTGGCCTCTGTACAGATCAAGCAGTTTGTTTATAAGAACAAGCCTGGGGCCAGGCGTGTTGGCACACGCCTGTAATCCCAGCACTTTGGGAGGGCGAGGTGGGTGGATCACCTGAGGTCAGGAGTTTGAGACCAGCATGGTCTCAGAGACATGGTGAAACCCCGTCCCTACTAAAAATACAAAAAAAAAAAAAAAAAATTAGTTTGGTGTGGTGGTGGGCTCCTGTAATCTCAGCTACTCAGGAGGCTGAGGTAGGAGAATCGCTTGAACCTGGGAGGCGGAGGTTGCAGTGAGCCAAGATTGCGCCACTGCACTCCAGCCTGGGTGACAGAGCGAGACTCAGTTTCAAAAAAAAAAAAAAAAAGAAGGCAAGTCTGGGAGAGTTTACAGCCACATGGACACACCTTGGGGCCAGGCTTAACTAAGCTTCAGAGTTAATGTGTACCTTACGTTTTTCAGTGTTTCCTTGGTCTGTGGATTGATTTTGAATCCCATTTCTTCTGCCAGAGTTTAGCTATTTAACACATAGGGAAGCAGTATGATTTTATGGTTGATCAGGTGGCCCACAGCTTGAGACTGAGTTTGAATCCTTATTCTGCCACTTAACCACCATGTTACCATGGGCCCTATATGGTATTTGTTTGCTAGGGCTGCCTAGGTATTTGTGGTAACAAGCATCACAAACTGGGTGGCTTAAACAACACAAGTTTATTTTCTCACAGTTCTGGAGGCTAGAAGTCTGATATGACTGTATCAGCAGGGTTGGTTTCTTCTGGGGCCTGTCTCCTTGACTTGCAGATGGCTGTCTTTTCCTGTGTCTTTACATGATCTTCTCTGTGTGTATGTCTGGGTTCCTATCTCTTTTTATAAGGTGACCAGTAAGATTGGATTAGGAGCTATTCTAATGACCGCATTTTAACTTATTTACCTCTTTAAAGACCCATTTCCAAATATAGTCACATTCTGAAGTACTGGGATAATAAAGGTACTTCATGATGTTGTGGTGAGCATTTGAAGAGAGGATGCATATACATTTCCTTACACATTACCAGGAATATGGTGACTACTCGCTACGTATAACTATTTTTATTACAATTATAAATTGTATTCTATCTGACTGTCTTCTTTTCCAATTGTGAGATGGCTGTCTGCATGGCTTTTCAGTTACTGAGGCCTAGGATTATTGTCATCTTTCTTGCGCCCTCATAGCATCTTAAAATGCTGCCTTCAACAGAGTAATAGGGCAAAAGCCCAAGGAATGTTGATCAAGTGGGTGGGTATGAATTTTGTGCTCAGGATTTCTGAGTGGTCTTCTGTGGCTGTTGCTTTGGTGTCACACCATAGATGGCTGTGAAATGCTCTCAGACTTCTTGGTTCCTGGAGTGGCCTGCCCAAAAACTAGACGAGCACCTGGAGAAGAGTAATCTCTCCATGTCAGGGGCAGGAGACAGAAGTTGTTGTGCATTGTCAGGGGAGAAACTGTAAAATCACAGAACCAGATCACCAAACATAAGAATTATCCAAACGTTGGAGGTGATTTTTAAATCAGGCAGTGTGTCAAAGTGATTGGCTTTCCTGCAATTATTAGCTATCCCCAACATTTCTGGACTTAATGAGAATTGATAGAATTATTTGATGCTGGTATTATGGTAAGTTATCATCTCATGCCCAAAGAATTGACTGTTCTCAAAATTTTTGGTATTTCTTGTTTCAACTGGTATAAATGTTCTTTGCTTTAAAAAGTGTTGCTACTGTCACAACCCGGTCACAGCCTTTGTTAAATACTAGCAAGCAGGGATCCACTAGGATCAGAAGAAGAAGGCCAGATTGCAGTCTCTGATATAAGCTGTCCAAGGAGGCCAATATGCAGCCCATCAATCCGGAGAAGCATGGATACGCTGGGGAATAGTGGGCTTATTAAGTCTACACCTGGCTATAGCATCCATCCATAGCAGATGAGTTACACAGGCTTCATTAACTAGACACAAAGGGTATATTATTCATACATCATGCTACATTCCTGTCGGTGAATCAGCTCTTAAACTGTGAGTCACGGACACCACCACCCTCACCAACTAGTTCCTTTATCCTCTTTCAGATCAGCTACTGAATCTGGTTAATTTTTCTTTTGAAATACCTCTGAAAATGTTTATCTTTTAGTAAAAGATTTTAAATAATAACTATGAGGACTGTCACAAATAAATAGTGTGATACAATAAGAAATATGTAGTTGGTCTTTGTCCCATCTTCCTGGAATACAGCTCCTAAAACCTTTGGAATCTCCAGAATGATGAGTGTCTTTTGTATGGTAGTGAGAAGGCTGGTAGCTGGGGACCCCTAGACCTTCAGGATGGGGGCTGAACATGATTAAGATTAAGAAAGACTGACGTGATTAGAAGGTTGGAACTTTCAGCCCCATCCCTGACCTCTGGGGAGGAGAGAGAAGCTGAAGATTGAGGTAATCACCATTGGCCAGTGATGTAATCTCTCATGTCTGTGCAGTGCAATCACCATAAAACCCCCAAAACAATAGTGTTTGGAGAACTGCTGGGTTGATGAACATACTGAGGAGCTGGGAGGGTGTTGTTCTGTGCACCCACACTCTGCTTCCATACCTTGCCCAAAGCATCTCTTCCATTTGGCCATCCTGAGTTATATTCTTTATGATAAACTGGTAAACCTAAGTCAAGTGTTTTCCTGAGTTCTGTGAGCCATTTAAGCAAAGTATGGAACTGAAGAGGGGGTCACGGGAACCCCTGATTTATAGGTGATTGGTCAGAAGTGTACGTGGCAACCTGGAACTTGTGACTGGTATCTAAGTGGGGAGCAGTCTTGTGGGACTGATCTCTTAACCTGTGGGGTCTGTGCTGACTCTGGGTAGTGTCAGAATGAAATTGGATTGTTGGACACTCAGTTGGTATCTGAAATGTTGGAGAATTGGTTGGTATGAGGAAAAAATCCACACATTTGGTGTCAAGAGAATTGTGACTGACATCAATGCAAATATATATAAAAATGTGAATTTATATGAAGTTACTTTTAGCTGACCGTAACATAATAGGTATATTCATTGCTGTGGTTTGGCTGTGTCCCCACTCAGATCTCATCTTGAATGGTTATCCCCATAATCCCCATGTGTCTAGGGAGAGAGCTGTTGGGAGGTGCTTGGATCATGTGGGCGGTTTCCCCCGTACTGTTCTCGTGATAGTGAAAGAGTTCTCAGGAGATCTGATGGTTTAAGGAGGAGCTCTTCCTCCTTCACTCCTCACTCTTCTCTCTCCTGTCACCATGTGAAGAAGATCCTTGCTTCCCCTTCTGCCATGTTTGTAAGTTTCCTGAGGCCTCCCAGTCATGTGGAACTGTGAGTCAGTTAAAAGCTCTTTTATGTATAAATTACCCAGTCTTGGGTATTTCTTTATAGCAGTGTGAAAATGGACTAATACACCCACTGTTATGACGATAAAGGCTGAAACATGTCTTATCAGGGGTGGATGAAACATGGAATTAAGTAACTGATTTAATGTTACCTAATTTTTCTGTAAATTTATATATCTTTCTATTAAAATTAAAAAATACACAGCAGGAACAACAACAAAATCCTTCCTTATTAGTCCCTTGCTGTGCATTTTCACTGTCCTCGCAGGCCCCATCTCCTATTGTGGGGAAAAATCCAACCATATCTCCTGACTGCTGTCTTCCCTTCCTTCCGTTCATTCTGTGATTGCTGGTTTTTCTTTCCTTAGTTCTTCATTTATGTTTCTCTTTCTTAAAAGCCCCCTGCAGAGTTGCCTTTAAAATTTTATAATTGGTTTAATTTTTATTTATTTATTTGGCAGAGAAGAGCAAGTTAGTACCTTGTACCAAAACATCAACCTTGTGGAGCCAAGATTAATTCAGCCATATGAACATGTTATAAAGAACTTCATCCGTGAGATCAGACTTCAAAGCACAGAAATGGAAAATTTGGCCATTGCGGTGAAGAGGTATTGAAGTCCTTCCTTTATAAGTGGCCTGTGGGTGCTTTAACTTGCTCTCTGACCTGGGTGGCAAATGGACTGAACTGCATTGTCACACTATGATATAGGTGGACTTCCTGAGCCTGAGGAGTCTAGAGCTTTCAAAATTAAGCCAGCAATGGAGAAGTAGGTCAGCTACCAATCAATCAGTAGATCATCATGATCCTATTATATAAACTCTTCAGGATCAATGATGACTTGATACAGAACAATTAAGAGATTTATCTTACATCCAGCTGCTTAAAACACACAGGAAACTTTTATCTAGAGAAGTAGATGGAACACTATTTGAAGCCTGGCCTTGTTACCTACATGTATGAGACTTTGTGAGCAGGTTACTTAATTTCCCTGAGTCTCAATTCCTGCAACTGCAAAATGAGGATGAATATCTTCACGTCCTCCAGGTGTTAAGACTTAGTGGATGATGTCATGGGTGAGCCCTGCACACTGCCCACCACATGGTGGGTGCTCAGCAGTGCTGCTTTGACTCTCTCTACTCTCTAGCCCTCCTCACTTGGCCCTCCCCCTTTGAACTGAAAGCCAAAGAACTATTAAACTCTTACTCTAATACAGTCCATTTAAGCCATAGCTAGCTTACATAGGATATCTTTTTGGTGTTAACAGCTATGTCATGCAAAAAAAACAATTTATATGTGTTGCAGTCCAAACGTCAGCCTCTTTGCCCCCTGGAAAAACTGCATTCCTTTAGCATGTATTGGGAAAGAGAGGGCATTGTGCTTGTCACAGTTCTTGTGTGTTGTGCCACACGGATGCTCCTTGCTGTCGTGTGCTCCACCAAGAGCTCCCAAGACGCTGTGCACCCTGCTGGTTTCTGCCTGGAGCTTATAGATGCAGCCCTTTTAATAGGAGGCTGCCCTGTCTACATAGGGGCGGGTGACTTGTCTTCAATTCTGCTGTCTCTTTATCCTTCCCATCCACATGATGCTGAAACTGTCTAGTTGAACCTTTGGTTCATTACGATGTAGAAAAGAAAATATTTTAAATTCTTGGTATGAAATAGGACCTTTCTTATCGTCCTGGAGTCAAGCCAAGGTTGATCTATTCACAAGGGATTTCTTATGAACATTTTTAGTACTTGACTGACCATTTTTCTCTCAAATTAGCCTTCTAGGGGCCTTCCAGGAGGATAAAGGGTGGTCCTCAGAACTCCAGAGTCTGTAGAGCATTCTGGAGTGTGGGTCAGAGTCCCAGAGTTGGTCTCCTTTGAGATGGGACAGGCAGACACACACATTGATTCTTCAGAGCATCCAATAAGTATTAAAACAGACAAACTCATAGGTACACACATAGGTACACATACACAGACCCACACAGAGATATGTGGGTACACATGCATACACATGCCCCCCATCTAAAGATAATACCATGTAAACCTATGAGGAAAAAAACAGACTGGCATGCTTGATGTTCTCATTACCAGCTAGGCTGCTTTTTCATGGTGGAGTGAGTACATCATATTAATTTGAGCTGTGTTGGTGTCCCCATCCACTCCCTTCTGTGCTGCTGGAGGGATCCAGAGCCAGCCTCTATGCTGAGCTGAAGTCTCCTAAAGCCTCCTTTCTTAGCTACCAAAGACCTCAGGAAGTGTTTAAATGGCTACTTGTAAACCATTCCTTGCATGCTTAGCCATCCATCCTCACTGCTATTTTTAATTGGGGGAGGGTTTTGGCCATTTTGTTCTGCACTGCACCTGAAGAAGGGGTTCCCAGTGTCCTGGAGGGAGCCCCGGACTAGGTCACAGTGGGCAGACATTTCACCAGAAATTGGAAATTGCTGGGGCAAGCACTCTGTGATTATGCATCACCCTGATTTACAAAAGAAGAAAAATGTTGCTCAGAAGTGAAAAGGGCAGAGAGAGTCCATTACGGAGCAGTCCCAGATGCTTGGGATTGGATAGCTAGAAGAAGTAGGTGGGAAATTATCATAACAGAGGGAGAAAGGATATGTGCCTTAGCCATTTACAGTCCCAGAGTTGACCAAAAAACCGCCAGACATTGCTATGGAGATACACAGTTTCTAGACTTCAAATAGCAGGTATTTATAAGCAGAAATGAACTGACTTCCCAAGCTTGGTTAACATAACCTCGGACAGGCTATAAGATGAGGAAGAAGTAAATAGGAACAGAAGATAATAATGTTACTGAAAATTTTACTTTGGGGTCTTTTTCCTCCCATAATACTTCCTTGGAGTTTTATGTGGAAGTTGAACCAATGCATGAATAAATTGTGTTGTGTGAGGGAGTAAATAAGTCAAAAGCAGGTAAGTTGCTATAGCAGAGACCCATCAAACTAGAAGACAGAAAATCTTATATTTAAGCCCTGTCATTTATTAATAGCATGTCATTTGTCCGAATGAATCACCTCTAAAGCTCATGGTTTAGATGCAAATCAATGTGCTCTGTCTCCATAGAGATGTGATTTATAATTGCACTCCTAACAGAAACATAATTTTTCTAAAAGGTAACCTTATCTACATTCTAGAACTTTAGGGGACAAATAAGAATAATGATTGAGATCTTTTTTTCCCTTCTCACTTTAACATATAACATTGTGAGTTTTATATAGTGAAATTTCAAAATTATATATAACCATCACTTTGCCACAGAGTTCTTTTTTTAATCCAGGGTTGTAACTCAGTCATGAGAGCAAAAAAAAATTCAGAATTTATTGAGAGCCTCCCAGCACTTTGATATCTTTACTGTTTGCCACAATCTAGTTTAATATCATTTTATCCAATTTATTAATTTATTTAATATAGTCAGGTACCACATCACAATGTTTTGGTCAATAAAGGATTACCTAAATGACAGTGGTCCCATAAGAATATAATCCTATACTTTTACTGTATCTATTCTGTGTTTAGATACATAAATACCATTGTGTTACAGTTACTTCCAGTATTCAGTACAGTCCCATGCTGTTCAGGTTTCCAGCCTAGGAGCAATATGCTATTCCATATAGCCTAGGTGTGAAGTAGGCTTTACCAGCTGGGTTGGTGTAAATACTCTTTATGATGCTTACACAATGACAAAAATCTCCTAAAGACACATTTCTCATAATGTATACTAGTTGTTAAGGAATGCATAACTGTATCTAGTTTTAAAATCATTTTACACCAAAATGGTCGAATTGCCAATCTCATTTTATTATGTAGAAGGAATGGGAAATCATTTTGAATGGGGTGTTTCTCTTCATCTGTAATATATAGGGCTTAACGTAGATGAATCTGAAGTTTCTCTTCATGTTTCAAGTTCAAGAGTATAATGAAAAGGTGTGCATCCTTTTGAATTTCAGAGCCCAGGACAAGGCAGCTATGCAGTTGAGTGAGTTGGAAGAGGAAATGGATCAGAGGATTCAGGCTGCAGAACATAAGACACGGAAAGACGTGAGTTTCTGGGTTGGCCATTCATTCAGCAGATCTTTATGAGGTGGTTTCTACGGAGAGGGCCCAGGCACTCTTCTGGGTGTCATGCAGGGGTACAGCAAGTCCAGGTTTCTGCAGAGTCTCCCAGCAAAGGAATTTTTACTGGTGGTGGTTTTTGGGGATGGGGTAAGAAGAAGTAGAAATAATAAATAAGCAAAGCAAATAAGTTCAGATAGTGACAAGTGCAGTAAAGAAATAACATGTGCCATAGTGACTGGGGGAGGAGGCTGCTTAGGTTGGGGGTAAGAGGCCTCTTTGAAGGGGTAACATCAGAGATGAGGCCTTAGGAGAAGGCAGAGGCAGCCTTCATAGAGAAGGTGGCTTGACTTTCCATACCTGTGTCTGCCCACACCTGCTGCCCACTTTAAATCTAGATTAGAGTGAAATTAAAATTCTGTCTTCAAACTTTGGTGTTTTATAATGGAATACAGTCATCACTTGGTACCCAAGGGGATTGGTTCCAGGACTCCCCTGCAACCCCGCATACCAAAATCTGCATGCTCAAGTTTTTATATAAATGGTGTATATTTACATACAACCTATGTATATCCTCTAGTATACTTTAAATCATCTCTGGATTACTTATAATACCTAATATTTAACACAATGTAAATGCTTTGTAAAGAGCTGTTACACTGTATTTTTATCTGCATCACTTTTACTGCTTAAAATATTTTCGGTCTTTAGTGGTTGAATTCGCAGATGCAGAACTTGTGGATATGAAGGGCTGATTGTATGCCTTTATTCAGCATTATAGGAACCATTTAAAGTTGAAAGTGATATGTTACCTTCAGTGATTTCCATTGAAGAAATAATTTTTTTATAAAATATTTTTGGGTGATTAATGTTTATTGAAAACAGAAAATAGACAATGCTAGGTTAAAACTTCCACTTTTGTTTATTAATTTGCCCTGTTAACACTGAGTGGCAGCAAAATAATGTACAAGTGGCCTGAACATTGGCATCTGGGAGACCTTAGTTTGCATCCTGGCCCAGATTGTATCTAGGTGGCATTGGGAAAATAACCCAACCTCTGAGCCTTTGTTATTCCATCTCTAAAATGGGATAATGCAACCTACCTGCCTTCACAGGGGTTAGACATGATGATCTATATAAAGTGCCTAGCACGGTGCCTGCAATGTAGTGGCTGCACCCTGGTTGTTACTGTCCTGCTTTTTCCTGTGGCTCTGTGTATTCCTGATTCCTTTTAGATTCTTCACCTTAAATGGCTTTACCACATATATGCCCTGGGGTGTCTTTGTTGTCCTATCTTCTTATAAAAAGTTTAATAAGAAGCTGGACGTCATTTTCAACCACATAAATGGTTTAAGGTTCATGGTCCAGCTTCAGAGCAATGGATAACCCCTTCTTCAGCTAGCACTTTCCTTTTGGTAAAAAGGAAAGAGTGAAATCATTTTTCTGCCTTTTTTTCTCTCCATCTGCTGTGTTTAATCTGTGCACAAATTCATTCATCAAACACTTATCAAGCACGTGTTATTCTGTCATCATATCTCATTGCTTCTTCCAGATAAATGCCTCCCAAATTTGTTGCTGGTAATGGGGATATTACCATGGCCCCCACCTTTTAGAATTTCATGTTTTGTTAATTACAGGATCTTCTTTAGTTTCCTTGGCTTCAGTCCGGTAGTGGCAAACCCATGCATCCACAGCATCATTTCTCTATTCCACAGCAATGACACATGTGGCCTGTCAGTCACCACATACATGTGGTCTCCACACCTCAGCACGCCAGTCCAGGACGTCACTGCCAGCTGAGCAGCTTTGGCACTGCGAGGAAACTTGTTTGCCTGTCCATCCTAGTGTCCGCCTCACACCTTTCTAAACACAGCCTCTCTGGAATAATGTGCCCAGGCCAGTCTAAGATTTTTCCCTCATTTCCTTCCATTCCACATGGCTCCCCTCGGCTCCCCAGGGTTCTTCGCCCCCAGCCCTGGCCCAGTGGCCTCACTGTGCCTGACCCTGCTTTGGCTCCAGCTGTTTTCTTTGTCTTGATGATTATCTCTTCACTCCTTTCCTTCTTCCCAAATTCTGCAAAGCTCAGAGGAACCCTCACTTTCTTCTTGATGCCCTGCCCTGCTCCTGTAGCCACATTCACCTCTTCCTGTCCTTGACTCCTATGGCATATATAGCATATATTGCATTACTTCAGTTAGTATTTTTTTTTAACTGTAACAGCTTTATGAAGGTATAACTGGCAGGCAATAAACTGCATATAAAGTACAGTATATGTGAAGTTTGGACATATGTATGCACCATGAAACCATTCCCACAGGCAAGATCATGGGCATAACTATCCACCCTCGAAGTTTCTTCATGCCCCTTGAAGGCATAACAAGCCTTCCTTCCTCCTTTCTTTGCCCCTTTTTGCCAGATAATCATTGTTCTATTTTCTGTCGCTGTAGATTAGTTTGAAGTTTTCAGAACTGTATAGAAGTGGAATCATGCAATATATGCTATTTCTTCTCTGGCGTTTTCCACTCAACATAATTGTTTTGAGACTTATCCGTGTAATTAATAGTTTGTTCTTTTTCATTGCCAAGTAGTATTCTATTACGTAGGGGTACCACAGTGTTTAGCCATTCATCTGTAGAAGGACATTTGAGTTATTTCCAGTTGTTGGCTATTGCAAATTAAGGTGCCATGAATATGCATGTACAAGTCTTTATAGAGGCATATACTTTTATTCCTCTTGAGTAAATTCCTGGAGTGGAATGGGTTGATCATCTATGTAGATGAATGTGGATTTTTGTAAGATACTGCAAACCTGATTTCCAGAGTGGTTGTACAGTTGTATGATTCAATCAGCAGTGTATGAGAGTCCCATTCTTTCAGCATTCTAATCGGTGTGTAGAGGAATCTCACTGTGGTTTTAACTTGCATCTCTCTAATGACTAGTTGTGTGGAGGATCTTTTCGTGGGTTTATCTGCCATGTGTATATATATATATTTTTTGCTGAAGTATCTTATTAAAAATCTTTGGCTCATTACAAATACAGTTTTTTTTAAAAAATTACTATGTTTTGAGAGTTCTTTTATATTCTGAATGCAAGTCTTTTATCAGATACCTGATCTATAAATATTTTCACCCACACCGTGACCTGTCTTTTCATTCTCCTAACAGTAAGAGTATAAATTTTTAATTTTTTATGGACCATACTTTTTTTCATGGACCATACTTTTCATGTGATCTTTAAAAATCTTTAACTCAAGATTTTCCCCTGTGTTTTCTTCTATAAGCTTTATTGTTTTAGGTTAAATTCAGGATCCATTTTGTATTTGGTGCCAAGATATGGATCAATGTTCATATTTTTTTTATGTAGATATCCAATTGTTCCCACACCTTTATTAAACAAGACTAACCATTTTCCACTGAATTGCCTCTGCACTTTATCCAAAATCAGTTTATTCTATTTGTGTAGGTTTATTTCTGGGCTCTCTGTTCTGTTCCATTGATTGATTTGTCTATTGTTATGCCAATATTACATTGTCTTGATACCTATTGGTTTATAATGTCTTGATACCTGTTGGTTTATAAGTCTTGATACCTATTGGTTTATAGTATGTCTTCATACCTATTGGTTTATAATAAGTCTTGAAATCAACTAGTATTAGTTCTTCTTCAACTTTGTGCTTTTTTAAAAGTTGTTTTGCCTATTTTAATTGCTTTAGTTTTCAAAGAATCAGCCTTTCAATTTCTTTTAAAAAAAAAAGCAAACAAAAACTAAAAGTCTGCAGGGAGTTTGACTGAACTTCATTGCGTCTATAGATCAATTTGGAGAGAATTGACAACAGTATTGAAAATATGATTTCTCTCTCTATGTCTTCTTTCAGCAATGTTTTGTGTTATTCACTGTACAGATCTTGTACATCTTAGATATACTCAGTATGTCATAGTTTGATGATACTGTAAATAGTATTTCTAAAAATTTCAATTTCTGATTGTTCATTGTGAATGTATAGAAATACATTTGATTTTTGAGATTGGTCTCGTATTCTGTAGCATTGCTTACATTGTTTATATGCAGTGCCTTTTTGTTGGTAGATTTTGTCATTTTCTAGGATGATTATGAAATATATTAATAAAAACATTTTATTTTTCTTTCCAATTTGAATGAAGCTTTTTATTTTTCTTGCCTTATTGCACTGGTAAGAAGAATAAAGGAGATGAGAACATTGAATGTGATGTTAGTAGTGTAGTGTTCACAGATGCCTTTATAAATGCAGTAGAGTCCCTTCTGTTCCTAGTTGGCTGAGTATTATTGTTGTTGCTGTTGTTTTAGTCAGGAATGGATGTTGGATTTTCTCAAATACTTTTTCTGTCTCATGATCATGTTTTTTTCTTTTTTAGAATGTTAATGTGGCAAATTACATTGATTGATTTTTGAATATTAAAACAAACTTGCACTTGAGCTAGGCCCTAATTAGTTATGATGTATTATCCTTTCTATAGATTGTTGAATTCAGTTTGCTAAATTTTACTTAATATTTTTGCATTCATATGTGGAAGAGATATTGGTTTGTACTTTTAATGCTTTTGTCTTATTTTGGCGTCAGGCAAATTCTGGTCTCCTAGAATGAGTTGGGACGTATTCCCTCCATTCCAGTTTACTGGAAGTTTGTGAAGAGTTGATCTGAACCACTACCATTTCTCACCTGCATTACTGTAACAATCTCTTATCTGATCTCTCAGCATCTACCTGTCGCAGGTTGGGAATGAAATAGGCTAGTGATCATTTCCTTTATTGAACTCTGGATAAAGTACTTCTTTTTTTTTTTGAGACAGAGTCTCGCTCTGTCGCCCAGGCTGGAGTGCTGTGGCGCGATCTCGGCTCACTGCAGGCTCCACCTCCCGGGTTCACGCCATTCTCCTGCCTCAGCCTCCCGAGTAGCTGGGACAACAGGCGCCTGCCACCACACCCGGCTAATTTCTTTCTTTTTTTTTTTTTTTTTTTTTAGTAGAGACGAGGTTTCACCGTGTTAGCCAGGATGGTCTCAGTCTCCTGACCTCGTGATCCACCCGCCTCGGCCTCCCAGAGTGTTGGGATTACAGTCATGAGCCACCATGCCTGGCCTGGATAAAGTATTTCTAAACCCTAAAATGTTTATGTTTGGTTTTGTGGCTGTGGATCTAATGAAGGGACTTGCAGTCAAGTCCATTTTGAGGCCAGGAAGGCTGCCTCATTAGCACCTCATTGTGAGGCCTCTGTGTCTTCATCCACATGTGAGGCAGGCAGAAATTGTTGCCTCACCTGTAAAGCTGGATGAAGTCAAGATAGCCCCTTTTAAAAACGTTACCTTTAGGGAAGATGTTGCTTTTCTGCCAAGCATTTCACATGGATTATTTAATTTATATGGATTAATTAATTTAATCCTCACAGTAGTTAAAAAGAAAATGGAGGCATGGATAAGTTTAGCAACTTGCCCAGCTCCACAGCCAATGAGTGGGCAGTAAGACACGCTACCTCTGGCAGGTATTCAGATGTGGGAGCATGCTGCAGAGAGGCCCTACCTTACTCTCTAGCAGACTGACTTCCTGTCACATCTCCCTGTTTTTTCTTTTTTTGTATTATTTCCTGAAATTGCCTTTTTCTGTCTTCTCTGCTAGAATGCCTGAGAACATCAGTTTTATTATCCCCCTCTCTGTCCCCATGTCCCCAGTCCCTTAGAACCATTGGTAGGTGATAAGCGAATATTTGTACACTGAATTTTACTGGCTGTCAACATAAAACTATTTGAATACTGAAGGTAAAATATAAAATTGTATCATTTATTAAAAGAAAAGTAAATTTAGAGATGTTTCAGCCAGTGGGAGCTTCTGAATGGCAATCCCCTGACCTGGGGTGCCTTACTGCCATTCTCTGCTCCAGAAGAACTTGAAGGGACACCCCCGAGAAGTACCAGGCCACAGGGAGGCACTTTGCATAGAAATTTGCAGTGATGTAATTGGGATTTAGATAAGACATCATCTCTAGGGAAAAGGGTTCACCCAGGATGCCTTCTTGAGTCCTGATGACATGATAGGATTCCGGTCACTGTGCCATGTCTTTTAACTAATTATAGCAATAATTACTTAATTGATTGATGTGCTATGGTCTCTATCACAATGTGAGTAATAGTCTTAGAGGTGTCACTCCCGGGTGAGGTGTGTATGTAGGTTGTGGGATCCTGCTCTTCTTTCAGTTTTGTAGGTTTCAGTTCCAAAATTGTGGTACATCTGAAGTCAATTGGTTTCCTTCTGATATCCTTTCTCACCTTCCCTGTGTAGGAGAACTGAAGTCAGCCTTAATTTGACACAAAATGTTTCTCACCTGTGGGGTTTTGAAGGTTAAGAGGGTGAACTTATTTAAATGAACAACATATTTTTTTTTCTTTTAGGAAAAACGCAAAGCTGAGGAAGCCCTCAGTGACCTCAGACGTCAGTATGAAACTGAAGTAGGAGATCTGCAGGTGACCATTAAAAAGCTAAGAAAGGTAGGCATGTGGCAGCTGGACTTGTAGGAACAGCCTCAGCATCTCAGGGTATCTAAGCCATTAACAACCAAAAACATTTGGAATCCTATTGAAGTGGCGGATAGATCAGATTTCAGATTTGTTTTGAGACTGAGTCTTGCTCTGTCACCCAGGCTGGAGTGCAGTGGCAAGATCTTGGCTCACTGCAACCTCCGCCTCCTGGATTCAAATGATTCTCCTGTCTCAGCCTCCTGAGTAGCTGGGATTATAGGCATGCACCACCATGCCCAGCTAATTTTTGTGTTTTTAGTAGAGGCGGGTTTCACCATGTCGGCCAGGCTGGTCTCAAACTCCTGACCTCAGGTGATCCACCCACTTCAGCCTCCCAAAGTGTTGGGATTACAGGCGTGAGCCACTGTGCCCAGCCTGAAAGACCTTTTAAGGGCCCCTGAGTTCCTCTTCTGTTTCCAGGGGCCACCTGTCTTTTGCATAGATTTAATAATTATTTTCTGATCCCTTCAACCATTGTCCATAAAACTTCAGTTTGCTTTCCTTGGTCTTCACCAGCTTAGTACTCTCAAGTCCCTTGTGTCTGGTAGACTGCATGCTTCATGACTGTTTTTCTTGGTCATGTCAAATATCCCCGTGTCCCTACCCCTAGCTTATTGCAAAGTGCATGGTAAGTATTCAGGGAATATTTATTAAATGAAATGAATATTGCTCTTCTAAGTAGAAAATTCCAGATCTAGGGTACCCTGATCACCAAGAGTCACTAGTTTTTGAAGAAGAGCAGAACTTGTTGAAGTGTGAGCAAAGATGTGATTAGTTTGTTTGTTTGTTTGTTTAATGTGGTTGGTTTTTGGCTTTTCCTCTATTTGGTTTCTAATGAGCAGGTTGTTTTACTCAGTAATACTCTGGCAGTTGTTTAACAGGTGGCTCTATAGTGGGTGGAGGGGAAGGGAGGGATGTGTATCATTTGTTGATTTCCATGGTATAAATACTCCTGTCATTACTGATTTCATGCTACCAAGTTGATGTTACTGAATTTAAGGTTGAGAAGAGATGCTTAAAGCAGACTCTCACCTGCTGGTACAGGCTGGCTCCGGCACTGTACTAGACACACTTCTTGGATCTGTTTTTGTTTTTCCCATAACTAATGGGGATGTGTTAGCTAAAATGAAAATGGATAATTAAAAAAGGATCATCCTTGCTGGGCATGGTGGCTCATGTCTGTAAACCTAATACTTTGGAAAGCTGAGGCAGGAGGATTGCTTGTGCTCAGGAGGTCAAGACCAGCCTGGGTGACATAGTTGAGATCCCACCACTGCAAAAATAAATAAATAAATAAATTTTAAAAATTAACTGCATGTGGTAGCACATGCCTGTAGTCCCAGTGACTCAGGAGGCTGGGGTGGAAGGATCACTTGAAGCTGGGAGAGGAAGGCTGCAGTGAGCCATGATTATGTCAGTATCTTAAAAAAAAATAAAAAATCATCTCTGAAAGTGGTGATGAGACTAAGTGGCAATTAGCTATATTTTGTATTTTATACACTATTGCAATTTAAACCTCTGGGATGATTAAGAATTCTCCCCAGTAGCCTCCTTAGAAAATGAATATCAATTTGAACCTTATATCTAATTTTCAAAAGTTATTAGGCCATGCATACTATGCTTACATTACAGAATTGAACAGACGAATCTTCTGTTTATGCTAGAGCCACAAATTCACTGAGTCACTGCCCTGACTTATTTCTGTGGCTTCCCAAATCTTTAAAGGAATGTCTACAAGAAGAGATGCAGCGACTGATGAGGCCCAAGTGGTCTGAACAGTAAGAAAGCCCATGTGTCAGGAGACCTGAATCCTTGTCAAAACTGTACCCATTTTTCCCTGAAGCACCTCGGATAGTTCACATCATCTTTCTGATTTTTAGTTTCTGATCTATAAAATGCAATTATTAAAAAACTGTCTTTCCTAACCATAATGACTGACATTTTATTGACTTTGCAGTTCACTAAGCTCTTTTTCATGATTTAAAAAATCAAATTCTTAAACTTTCTCTGAGGAAGGTATAAATATCCTACTTTTAGAGATGAGGACTGAGTTCCAGGGAGGTTAACTAACTTGTTCAGAGTCACACAGCTAATAACTGATGAAGCCATCTTACTACACAGTTTGTGCTTTCTCACTTATTCCAGACTTCCTGCATGCCTGATGTGGTTGTTATGCAAAACAGCAAGATGTTTATTTGAGAGTGCATTAAGGGCTATAGTTTACAAATTTGTTACAATTGCCACTAACTGTGTCCTTGATTCTGAGAAACTCATTTTTTCCCGATGGTTTTTCTTCTCTGAAGTCAAAATGCGTGTTTAAATCGATGGCTTTTCTCAGTCAGAGTCAGCCTCGTGGCAGTCATGACGTTGTTATGTAAACACTATCCCTTTATAGCATCTGGCAAGGTGAAGAAGGTCCAGAATCAAAGCACTTAGACTTCGTGAAATGTGGGATCCATTTTGATCAGTGCATAAACATTCCAATAATGAATACCAACAGATCCCTACCATTCCCAGAGGATGTAAGCTGTTTGTAGGAAAGGCATTTTGTTGTTGTTGTTGTTGTTGTTGTTCTCCAGGTTATAAATGTGTGGAACCAATTTAGTCTGGTAATTGTAACGAGTTTGTAGTTGCAATAGAAATGAGTCAACCAGCAAGCAAAGCTCATGTAGAAATGAGTTAATCATCAAGCAAAGCTTAAATGTAGGTATATATAATCAAGTGTGTTTGTGTCTCTAGCTTCCTGTTATACTCAGATTTTATTGATTTTAGTTATTTAATAAGCATTTCTTAAACTCACCATGAAGAAAACATAGGTGAATCTGACACTAATTCTGCTCTTAAAAAATCTTGCTCTGTAGCAGGGAAGGTAAGACATTTCTAAATAATTGTAATACAGAATGGAAAGTGTTAAATGCAGATAATACGAAGGAGAATAAAAAGATCCAGATTCTAATGTAGCATAACTGAAAAAAGCAAGAACTGGATTGCTTAATAGTTGAATGATTTCCAAAAAAGGCTTTTCAGCTGTTTCCAAAAAAGTTCATTTCACAACAAAACCCCTTTTTCAAATGTTTAAATTATTTAGAACAAAATTTCAAATCCTTATGGATTTTATGTAGTTTAATGATTTATGAAGTTGCATAATGTTGAAAATTGGTGACTTCTAGAATTCTCATATGTATATTCAAGGATAGTCCTAAACTTAACCAAAGCAATTCAAAGTGAGTTTGTAAGCACACAACTTTTATTTGGTCTTTCAGCTCGAAGAACAATCAAAACGCGTAAGTCAAAAGGAAGATGTGGCTGCATTGAAAAAACAAATTTATGATTTATCAATGGTAAGAATTACCTTTTCACTTACAGAAATGCACTTCCTGTTAGACCACATCCTCATGCTCTTATTTCAGTGTTCCAGGAAGAGCAGCTTAAAGGGAAGTTAATACTGTAGTTAGAAAAAGTCCTTAAAATAACTTTGATCAAAGATACTATTTATGCAGGCTTTTCCCTCAATAATATGCCACTTATTGTGAAAGCTTTTACTTATTTTTCATACAAAGTAATAAAGACCTAGTGCTTACATTTTATGTAACACAGTTAACCCTGTGTTCTTCCAACATCAGCTCTGGTCTGTATTCCTGGCTTAGTGATGAGGATATTAGTGCCTTGCCCCTTCCTCCAAGTTTTTTTTTTTTCTGTCGCTTTTCCATCTTACGCCAGCCACATCTACTTTTAGTACTAACAAAATTGGTAACATTTACATATCTTCTGTTATGAGTTTTATTTAGTTTGGTTTTAGATTAACTCTCAAATTTGAAAGCAGATAAAGAGCATTTTCTTTCTTATGATTCTAAATATTTTCACTGCAGAGCTAAGAAATGAGTGAGGCTTGCATTTCTTTCTCTCCATTTATTATCTCTGATCCACTTAGAAGGTTCCCAGCTTCATGGTCAAATGAATTCCTAGTTCCAGATTTTTCCACATCTTAGTAGGCTTTGTATTTGGATAATGACATTCTTGTAGAGTTATTTGTTTTTCTTGGATTTTCTGGTTGATTTTTTTGGTTTCTTCTTGCAAAAAGCACTACCATTTTCATGATATCACTGATACCTTAAGACTTATTTAGTCTTTCCAATGCATGAAATTTGTTTAGTTTTTCTCCTTGAAAATATTAATTTTGGAGTCTATAAAATTTCAGTTTTTTTTTTTTTTTTTTTTTTTTTTGAGATGGAGTCTTGCTCTGTCACCAGGCTGGACTACAGTGGCACGATCTTGGCTCACTGCAACCTCCATCTCCTGGGTTCAAGTGATTCTCCTGCCTCAGCCTCCCAAGTAGCTGGAACTATAGATGCGCACCACCACGCCCCGCTAAATTTTTGAGTTTTAATAGAGACAGGGTTTCACCGTGTTGGCCAGGGTGGTCTCAATCTCTTGACCTCATGATCACCCGCTTTGGCCTCCCAAAGTGCTGGGATTATAGGCGTGAGCCACCGCACCTGGCAAAATTTCAGTTCTTATTGGACTGATTGTTTTTTAAACTTGCCACCCATATGTTCTGCAATTTCTTTTCACTAGGCCTTTCACTGAATTGCAGCATTTTGCATATTACAATTTTTTGGGAGGAGAGGGTTTCATCCTCATTTCGGCATAGCACATCCTCAAGAAACTTCTTCAGAAAGAACATGTGAGAGAGAAATTTTCTGTTTTTGAATATTTGAGAATGTCTACATTCCCCCTCACAATTTATTAAGTTTGTTTAGATAAATAGGCTTTTTTGGGACTCCTCTGTGATTTATTAATTTAATTATTTCTAGGTACCATTTTTTTTCAACTACCTGGCAGTTGTTGGTGATCTGTTCATATTTTAAAATGAAGGACTAGCTTGGTCACTTAAGGTAGCTGGTGTAGGATCCTGTGGGACGGTGTGAACAGATATGCTCACCTGAAGGCCTTTCTCCCGAGAGAGTGTCTTCCAAGGAGCTCTGTGTGTGAAGCTGGCAGGGGACCCCAGTTACCGGTGTGAGTGGGGCAGGGATATTCAGAGAGAAGCCTTAGCTTTTTTTACAGGAGCCACTTAGTTTTAAAAAGATAATCTCTGCCTTGTCTTCAGAATCCACTCTGGCTCTCTGCTGTTACTTGCTAGGGTAAGATAGGGAATGGGCTTGGTGGGAAGGGTGGCTTACTATACAGTTTTAATCTCTCTTTCCAACCCCATATCTGGTTCTGTCTTTCTGGGGTTCGGCCCGGTCACTTGTCTCCTTCTGGATTCTGTGTCAAAACCTTAAACACACTTCCTCTAATCTTCCATTTCCCCACTCTGTTCCCTTTGGCAACACATTTCCATCAGTTTCCACTTTCTAGAAGTGCATTTAAGTCACTTGAATGCTCTGGGCTGCTCTTCCATTCTTTTAACTGTTATTGGTTCATTTCCTTTGGCATTTCATTTTAGTGAGGTTTTGGAAGGGGAAAAAGACAAATTCATGTGCTCCATCCACCATCTTGAACGAATGTCTCCAATATTATTTTAAGAAAATACAGAAATTTTCAAATCACACTGGTTTATTTTTAAGTGTAAAACTTAAAATATTAAGTGATGGAATTTATTTGTAAAAAGTAGCCAGTGTACCTGGTAATAGGTACTGTTGATTCCACAAAATGTTTATCAATAATTTTAAAGCGCTCATTAAATAAAGCAAGCATTCGAATGGTTGGTGTCAGTTAATTTGCCAATAATGTGTTGAAATACATCATGATAAACCCTTGACTGTTGTAGTTTGGTGTCAAATATCAAGCATAAAAAAATGAAGAATGACTTTGAGGGTTTTGATTTTTGACACTTTATTAATTTATATTGATTTCAAATTACCTTGAATTGACAAATAGTTGTTTGAACACTGAGATTTTGAAGAGTTGTGGAAGGGTGAGAGTGGTGTGGGAGGGTGACAGGACACTTTACTTCATTTCTCCCAGGCAGAGGAAAATCTGAATCTAATGACCCCCACTTTTCATTTTATCCAGGAAAACCAGAAAGTTAAGAAAGACCTTTTAGAAGCACAGACAAACATAGCCTTTCTTCAGAGTGAGTTAGATGCTTTGAAAAGTGATTATGCTGATCAGAGTCTGAATACTGAAAGGTATGAACTTTGCATTTTATTTGTTAGTTTGAGTAGAATATTGAGATGATCATCCAGGCAAAAGAAGCTCAGCTATGGAATAATGAAGAGTTAGTAACTTTGCTAATATCTTCTTTACTTTCTAATGATTTTATTTTCAGTATCAGGTTTCCTAGTGTTTTTTATGTTTTTAATTTTTTAAGCAAATAGAATAATTATTGTCTGTTTTGGCTAGTGCAGGGCTTAATAAATGTTTGAATTAACTGGGAGCTAAAAGAATATACCACAGTGTCAAGGGTTAGTACTTATTAAAGTGTTTTGAAGTCAGGAATCCTGGCCATAAAACATAAGAAAGGGAAAAGTAGGCAAGTCTATTTTCGTGTGTGTTAGTTTTGCAGTATGGTGTTAATACCATAAAACCTAATACACATACATACATTCACAGACACGTATTTATATATAAGGAACATAGACATGTATATTTTTATATGGATGGTAAATATAAAATGCATAGATATGTGTATATGTGTGTATCCCCTAGGACATGTACACTTGGGAAAAATATCTTTTTTTGGGTTTGTTTGCAAACTTTAATCAGAATTAAGGTCTTACAAGAGAAAACAGTGAAATATTATCGTTTACTACATACAAGTCTCTGAACTAGATAAGGAGTTATGAGTGGAGAGTATATATATATTTATAATCTCAAAACACAGAGCCCACGTCATATATATATATATATATATATATATATATATATATATATATATGATGAGAACTTCAAATTTAGTTGGGAAAAAAAGCAAAAAGATTATAGGGTTTAACAACAGAAGAGCTAAAAAATATCAGAAGTAGTGCCACTAACGTAGTCATGGTTTGGGTTAATTGCTGTGTGATCACAGAAAAGGTTTTGTTTTAGTTCAGAAGAGGTGAAGAACTGTATTGAAGAGGTGATGCTGGAGGTGAGCCTAGGTAGAAAGATAGCTCTGTGCTGGGAAAGGGGAGAGAGGCAGCCAGGATGGCAACATCAGCAACTCAGAGCTGGTGGCACTGCTGCCTGCCAGGCACTGTCCTGGTCCTTCGCAAGCATTAACTGATCCAGTCCACAGAACATCTGGTGAGACAGGGACCTTCATTATGTCCATTTTACAGATGGGAAAAGAGAGTCTCAGAGATGTTCCAGGTAAGGCAGTAACCAAAGCAGGGACCAGAACATAGGGAAGGATACGGCTTGGGGAAAGGTGGTCAGACCACAGGGCAGAAAGAGACATTTTGAATAGAAAAGCAAAAGTTTAAAAAAAAAATTAAAAAGTTTAAAAGCTAGTTTAAGGTTATCATAGAAGGCCCCCGAATTTTGGTTTAAGGAACTTAAATTCCTATAGACAATTAGGAAATGTGTACTTTTATCATCCAGGGAGCAGATGGACAGGTTATTGTGAACCAAACTTGATAGCCTGGGCATTTTGGGAAGCTAGTGATGAGGTTTGTATGCTCAGGGGAATAGGGGCTGGAGGAGAGGGCCAGTGTTCTGAGCAGTTTGGGGAAGAAGCCAGAGCTTCCATCATAAAGCAACAGAGGGATTGCCACAGAATGAGTGTCTCACGAGCTTAGCAAGCCTGGTTCTTTGGGGATCTCTGTGGTTTAGGTAAGGAGAGGAGGGAGAGCAGGAGTAGTGTGAGATGGAAAGAGGAAGGAATCACAGGAAAGGAGAAAATAGATGGAGTTGGGATTATATAAGGCTTTAGATGAGCAGGGAAGGTTCAGAGGATTGAAGGCACAGTTTCTGAGACACCCTTAGAAGAGACTCAGGAGGTTCAGCCCTCGTGGAGAACAGAGCTGGGTCAGCGAGCATGGGGATGGAAGAGCTGGTGGTTGCTGAGATGGGCTGAGGAGGAGAAGCTCTAGGCTTGTGATGTCGGAGGCGGGGCAGAGACTCACAGGAGAAAGCACAGGATGTGAGTGTGTTTGTGGAGTCGCAGAAGGAGAGGAGGCTGCTGAGGCCACAGAGGCCCAGAGCAGGAGCACGGGAAAGATAGAAAACTGTGGCCAAGGACACTCGTCTTTGAAAAAGGTGGGAAAGGGTCTGGGAGGGTAGGTATACGTGAGGCAGGACTTGACACCTAATTCTCACTCAAACATAAAATACAATTTTACAGGGATCTGGAAATAATCCGAGCATACACAGAAGATCGAAATAGTCTTGAGAGGCAAATTGAAATACTCCAGTAAGTCCGCAGATCAAATGCTCATTACATTTACATTTCACTTGTTTTTTAGTTAATAAAAGACATAACACATAGAACGTGAGTTGCCATGTTCTGAACACTGGGTTTGCAGGTCAGTGGGTGTTTCTTCTCAGGGTGTGCACTTGGCATCTCCTCTTAGCTTTCTGATGCTTATAATCCTAAATAAATTATTCAGATGTGGGAATAGAGTATAAATCTCTAAACATCTTGGGAAGTCAGGGGATATGTCCAGTGTGTCTTTATTATGCCTCTATAAAGAAAAATGGCCCTGAGCACTCAGCTTTCTCTGAGTTCTGTACCGTGAGTTTTTTTTTTTTTTTTTGAGACAGAGTCTTGCCCTGTCACCCAGGCTGAAGTGCAGTGGTGCAATCTCGGCTCACTGCAAGCTCTGCTTCCTGGGTTCATGCCATTCTTCTGCCTCAGCCTCCTGAGTAGCTGGGACTACAGGCACCCGCCACCAGGCCCAGCTAATTTTTGTATTTTTTTAGTAGAGACGGCATTTTACCTTGTTAGCCAGGATGGTCTCGATCTCCTGACTTTGTGATCCTCCCGCCTCGGCCTCCCAAAGTGCTGGGATGACAGGCATGAGCCACCACGCCCGGCCCGTACCCTGAGTTTTTGAGGCTTCTCTTGTTAGTGGGGCCACAGGGTTCTGCCTCCACAATTCTTTCTCAGTTTGTTTTGTTTACTTAGAAGTATATTTTTCTTAGGTTTTTTTCCCTCTCCCCAAGTAGAAATATACCCACTCTGTCAGCTTTATGACTAGGTTATAGCAGTTCCATCCTCTGAAGGTCTTCCCCACAAAACCTACCCCTCTCCTTCCCCTTTCTTTTCTACCCATGCTGCATTGTCTTCTGGTTTCAGTTCCCCTCAATGAAGTCAGGTCAGGTTTGACCTTTTTTTTTTTCACCATTTTTGAATGCTTATTAAGTCTCACCTGTGGCAGTTGTAGAGTTCATGTATTTCAGTAATCCTTCAAGTTATTTTATTTATTCATTCATTCAACAGATTTGTCAGCACCTCTTACAGGCCAGGTATGCCAGGAGCAAAGGATAGAGTGGGAAGTGGGTGAAAAATCTCTTTCCCCTTATGGGGCTAGTTTAGGGGAAGAAGACAGAAATGGATCAATAATCATAGAAATAAATATAAAAGGCCAAACAAGAGAGATGCAGCAAAAGAAAGGTACATGTCCCCTAAGGGGAGCATTGGCCTATCAAAGAAGGTCAAGGAAGTGTTCTGGAGGAAGTGAGGATTGAGCTAAGATGCGAAGGGTGAACCAGCCTTAAGCTGGGGAAGGTTAGCCACTCTGTGGTGTAGGAGCTGTGGAATCATAGCTTTGCTGTACAAGAGGGCGCTGAAGCTCTGACAGCTTGAATGACTTCTGTTAAGTCATATGGAAATAAGAGTTAGGATTTGAACCCAGACCTGACTGAGATCATCACCCAAGTGTTTACCTGCTACACGACGGTACCTGGTGGAACAGTGCCAGGCTGTGCATAGAATGCAGGAGCTGCCAGGAGCATGAAGCCTGATATAACACACTGCGTTCATCCCTGACCTCTGAAATGTGGTAACTGGCTGGCCAGGTTCAGGCATTTAGGGAGCTTTGAAAGACCTGCATGAAATCTGTTCAATCAGCGGGGCTACCTTAAGGAAGAGTGAGTTCCACAGCATAGACAGTTGATTCCTGCAAGGCCCTGAGACCTTTAAAGAGAGAGGAGTAATCAATTTAGTTCTTGTACTTTAAGTAATGAATTATCTCAGTTTTTGAGGTTTGAAGGGAAGTGGTGGAAAGTTGCAGAAGATGATAAGCTATTCCACATTCTGAATGTTACAGCTAGAAAAGAAAGTGATGACAGTGACCCCCAATGATACTTTCCTTGTCTCTCTTTCTGCTTGTTTCTTTACCCTGCAGAACAGCTAACCGGAAGCTACATGACAGTAATGATGGCCTTAGAAGTGCCCTTGAAAACAGTTATAGCAAGTTCAACAGATCTTTGGTATGCCACATAGTTTTACCATGTATTTCATTCTTTCTAGTGGTGGAGTATTTTGGTGTTGATGAAAATAATGTAATTTCTTAAAGGAGAGCCTCAAGTAAGTCCTTATAATAATGAGAAGATCTTTCCATAAAATAAAACGAGGCAGCATTTTTCCAAATTAAAAAATATGCTACTCCTCTGAAGAAATAAGTGTCTCAATGTTAACCAACTCTTTTTATAGATGTTCTAGGAATCTAGAGATAGGTGTGTAAGATGGGATCTTTGGCCTGAAAGAGTTTAGACTTGTGAGTATTCTTTATGCCAGTGAGATGCTCAGAATGGGAGCCTTGGATTTCAAACCCTCCTACAGAAATCAGCTTAGCTCATTTGGAACTTTAAGGACCTCTCCCAGACTGCATTTGTCATAAGACCTCTTATCCCACTTTTGGAAGTCAGCTTCATGTGTAAGATTCCAGGGTCGTATTGGGATATGGAGGAGTCAGTCACTAAGCCAAATTATGGTTCAAGAAGAGACACATTCAAGGAAGTTGAGTTGCAGGATCCTGGCAAAGTGGGGAACCATAGTACTCCTTTATGGAATATGCAGTAGGGTTTGGACGTAAGATAGGATGAGGAGGAGAGCGTACTATGGCAGTCATCTTCGTTGCAATGTTTCCCTTGATTTTTTGCTCACATTTGCTCAGGTAGTGTAACAAACTTTTAGTTACATTAGAAGTTTGAGTAGTGTGCTACAGTTTTAAAAAATGGGTTTGTGTGTACCTATGTGTATATAAAATGTTTACATGAAAATTACATGAACTAACAAATGATTACTTCTATATTACAGCATATAAATAATATCTCACCAGGGAATACAATTTCTAGAAGCAGTCCCAAATTCATTGGTCATTCCCCTCAACCTCTAGGCTATGACAGGTATGTTAACTCGTCTTAACTTTCTGTTCAAGTTCAGAATCACAGTTAAAAGGAAAGTAAATTTCCTTGGAGGTGGATTAAAATAATAGAATATACTTTGGTCACTAATTTATATTTTCTATGATGTTAAAAGTTCTGAAACATGAATCATGTAAAAATTAAAAGTGTTTCAGAGAGGGCAAAGTTATTTCCTGAAGATGTTATGAGTTAGTTTTATATATGCTCATCATTACCTCATCTCTAATCATGTCTTGTTTCTTAGAAGCAGACTCAATAAGAGATGTTTCAGGGAAACCAGCAGAATTATAGTATATGATGCTGCAGTGTTTCTGGTATATAATGTTGAAACTATTGGCATGATCTGTAAATATTTAATAGCTCAGCATAATATTATATGAGCTATGTTGCAGAAAAGGGAAACTCTCAAAGCAAATATAAATATCACTAGTAGATCCTTGTAAAATAGCTACTGTATTGAAGGAGTCACAGAGGCTTGCCAAAAGTTAGAATTTAGCCTTGTGTTTAATCAAATGAACTGAAATATTAGGCCTTTTATTACTTGAGACCTAGTAATCACTTAGAGATTACATGAGTGTATGTGTATGTTTATACACATATGTCCAGTGTTGCTAGTTAATTTAGTAATATGTCAAAAATTTGAAATTAGAAGTGAAAGCATAAACAAAAAGTTTCCGACTCTCTATTTCTTTGTGACTTTCAGATTCACGTTCATCCCCTTTTCATTTGGGTACTTTTGATAAAAAGAATAATGTACTTAACATCCTGGTGTTAGAAATGGTCAGGTTGCCATTTAGGAAGACCTGTTACGAAGGCTTATTGGTGATCATTTCTAAGAAAATTGTATCAGGTTTAAGTGGTTTCTACTGTTCACTGATTAGCTCAATAAAAAAATTTAATGGCTTGATTTATAGATGGCTGACTATTCTGTTATTGAGAAATAATCGATTTTTAAAAATGTGTAGGTGTGATGTCATTTTTGACTAATATTTAAAACTGATTCTAAGCAAATTGGGGGGAAAGGTATACAACTGAAAAGTATTTCAGAAATTTCACCATGATTCATTTTGGAAAGATTAGACACCATGAAAGCCTCATAAGAACTGGAGTAGAGCTCATCAACGAAAGATTCTAGGGGACAAAGTCATCACGTCCCCAGCATGTTTGAGTGACGTAGCACTCATGTGCCTACCTCCTTGAGCTGTAATGAGAGGCCACCGTAGCCTCAACACCATGCCCCTTCTGGGTGTGTGTGGGGGGGTGATTATTTTGACATAAGAAGATAACATTTTATTTTCTTTTTGATGCTAATATAAAAATGTAATAAAAGCATGTTGTACATCAGATTAGATGTACAATAAAATTGTATTGTTTTTATAGCTTTATTTGGTTTTAACTTTAAAATTTATTTTGGCTTTGTTCTTCGCAAGAACTCTAACAAAGATTTAATTTGTTTTGTACTTTTACATAGTTAATTATAATGAAATTATTGAGTGTTGGCAAGATGGTTGACTTTGAAAAGGATATGCAGTTCAATTGAGTTTGAGAAAGTTTGACCTGTACCTATGTTTTTATTTTTACTTTTAAAAATTTTCAACTTTTATTTAAGATTCAGGGGGTACATGCACAGATTTGTTACATGAGTATATTGCATAATGCTGAGTGTGCCTATATTTTCAATTTAGAGTCTAGATGTTTATTCAGGTGAATTCTTAATTCAGAACTTGATGTTTTCTTTGCTCCTTGTCAAAATACAAGTAGGCTTAAAATAAATCATAACCAGTAATGAAGACATGGAACTGAAGTAGTTTGTAGTATATTATAATTAGAATGGTTTTCTTATGTGCTTTATAGATGGACCTAAAATCAGTTTCAGAAGGAGAGTTTTATAAATAATGCAATAATATATTGGCAATATATTTTCATTGTTATTGTTATTAATAGTATATATTAACAATAAATAAATATTAAAATATATTAACAATATATTTTATTGTTATTGTTATTAACAGTATATTAACACACACACGCACACATGCACACACGTAGCTAGCTATATAGATTGAGTTATGATATAAAATTCTTGGCTCAGAATAAAGACTTTGTAATTGAGCAGTATTGAGAGAGAGAAAGTTAGTTACATCATCTTTTTAATTAATTTTAAACATTTGCTAATGGCATAAAAATACTTTTGACTTCTCAGATTTACATGGCTCACACTTAATTATATTAAGCTTACCTTCTCTCATCTAAGCATATCCACTTCTTGTTTCTCATATCTGAAGACCTATGTATCGTGCCCATTCTCCCTTTCCAATGATTCGTGTAAGCAAATTGGTAGGGTGGTGCCCAGGGTGTAGTGGGTGGTAAATAAGTCATAACCATAATTGGTAAACTTAGATTCTTATGGAAATCAAATGGAAAAGCTAAAGTAAACAGGAATGTATACAGTTTCTTATGATTCTCTTATTTGATGTGAATTTCTCCCTCACTTATAAAATCTTCAGAGTTTCACTAATGGTAAGATCTATAGAAGTCAGGAGTTCCAGCCTTTATCTGAGGCACCTCCCTCCCTATGAAACGTCTCCCAGAGGGGTGTTTCCAGACGGTGTGTCAACATTTAGTGGCAGAAAACTTACGTGTCAAATCA
Organism: Homo sapiens; assembly: GCF_000001405.40. Lineage (NCBI taxonomy): Eukaryota > Metazoa > Chordata > Mammalia > Primates > Hominidae > Homo > Homo sapiens. The sequence continues at coordinate 83,001,829 of NC_000009.12, read as the reverse complement.
TACATTCCAGTCATGTTTCTAATTGCTTATTTTTATCAGATGTTTCTAATTGCCTATCATTTTTTGCCATGTTGATTAGAAATATGACACCCAGAAAAGCTTATCTTATTTTGTCTTGTGCAACCTGAGAGGATGTGGTCTTCTTCATGTATCAGCTCTTCAAGTATTTGAAGAGAGAAACCATTAAGAGTTAAGTTGAGTACACTGAATCTTATTTTTCAGCTCTGAGGGTCTTGAGTCTGACATTGTGGTTGCCTTTTCTGTTTGGGCTCTCAGCAGCCCTTTTAAGTAGAGATGTTATCCAGAAATGGACACAATGTTCAGAATATGGTCTGACCACCTTAGAGTAAAAAAGCTCATATATTCTGCATACATTTTTATGAATACAACTTGCGATTGTGTTTATGTCTTAGGTACTCTAATTCTTTTTGTATCAGGAAATAAAGAACATTATTTTTTTAATGGCTTTGTTTGTTAAGTGTTTGATGTAAGGTTCTTTATCTTAACTGATTGCTGCATAGAATGAACTGATGGTGCTTTGAGCATTTTATTTCCCCTAATGCCTAATCATGAAATAACACTGCGGCTCTTAGCCACAGTCGGCCTACTTGATTCCATCTAATGGCATGTGGTCTATTGCCTGTATGTTCTTGAGCATTTCCAGCCCTCAGGTAAATTGGTCTTCCCCTTTATTACCAGGTCATCCCGCTCTTCCTATGTGGATGAGGACTGTGACTCCCTGGCCCTCTGTGATCCTCTGCAGAGGACAAATTGTGAAGTTGACAGCCTGCCTGAAAGCTGCTTCGACAGCGGCTTGTCTACCTTGAGAGATCCCAATGAGTATGACTCAGAAGTGGAATACAAGCACCAGAGGGGATTTCAGAGGTCACACGGGGTGCAGGAGAGCTTTGGAGGTGATGCTTCAGACACAGATGTAAGCCCCAGAAACCACTGCTCTCCTAGGCCTTCTACGTGATTGAAATCTGTCACCTTATTTGCCTTCTATCTGTCATGGAAATCTGTTTTAAAGGTCATAGATGTAAAGCATAGTTAGTAAAATGCTTTTTCCTCCACAGAGTTAGGGAGAAATTCTCATAGATTGCCATTCAGTGTCACTCTATTCCCTAATATTAATAGCATTGACTGTTGATTTAGCTGCATAGTTTTCTTCTTTTTAATCCATAATGTATACATTTTAGACTTTGTATTTTAACTGCTGACATTTTTTAATTTAACTGCTGACATTTTAAAAAAAATAGGTTCCTGACATAAGGGATGAAGAGACATTTGGTTTAGAAGATGTGGCTTCCGTCTTAGACTGGAAGCCCCAAGGGTCTGTTAGTGAAGGCAGCATTGTTAGTTCATCAAGAAAGCCCATCTCAGCACTCTCGCCCCAGGTAGGTGGTCTCCGAGACACTCCTATTCATGAACACTGCTTATTTTCTGTGCAGTGTTACTTATTAGGATGAAAACTGGCAATACCGTTATCATTCACTGTGGCTTTTCCCCCCAGACAGACCTGGTAGATGACAACGCTAAATCTTTTAGCTCACAGAAGGCTTACAAGATTGTACTTGCTGGGGACGCTGCAGTGGGGAAGTCTAGTTTCCTCATGAGACTTTGCAAGAATGAATTTCGAGAAAATATAAGCGCCACCCTGGGTATGGCTCGTATTTCGGTTGATAATGGGAAAATGACCTTCCTTAGCTTGATTTTCTCTTCTTCAGGGATTACATACACAGATGCTCAGTTAACAGTTTTCTCTTTCTCTGTGTATGCACACATATATAAATGTGTGTGTGTGTGTGTGTGTGTGTGTGTGTGTGTGTGTGTGTGTGTGTGTGTCTCCTAGTCTATGGAAAGGTCTTTCTTGTTTTGGCCAAGGCCTGCTTTTAGGAAAGGAAGATTAAAATGACAGAGATATCTGGCTGGGTGCGGTGGTTCATGCCTGTAATCCCAGCACTTTGGGAGGCCGAGCCAGGCAGATCACTTGAGGTCAGGAGTTCAAGACCAGCCTGGCCAACATGGCGAAACCCCATCTCTACCAAAAATACAAAAATTAGTTGGGCATGCTGGTGGGTGCTGGTTGTCCCAGCAACTCGGGAGGCTGAGGCTGGAGAGTCGCTTGAACCTGGGAGGCGGAGGTTGCAGTGAGCCGAGATCACACCACTGCACTTCAGCCTGGGTGATAGAGTGAGACCCTGCCACAAAAAAAAAAAAAGAGAGATATCTGCTTAGCCAATCAGATGAATTGAATCAAATTTAGATCCTGAGATATCAGATTCATTTATTCAGCATGTATTTCCTGAGTCCCACTAAAAACAAGATGCTGTTGTAGGTACAAACGATACACCATGAAGAAGGCTGACAATCCCAGCCTGCACTGCACTTACATCCCAGTGGAGGGAAAAGGTACAAAAAAGAAGTTTAGGGAGAGGTGCGGTTTTACGCAGGGTGGCCAGGAAAACCCTTTCTGCTGAAGTATTTGATGTTGACAAAGTGACAATATGGATTGCCACTTTGTCATTATGGTCAAAATCATAGCCAGATATATGATCCGTTACCCACCTTCACAACAGAACAATAGAACAAGTAGTATCCTGATTTCCCAAATTTGCATAATAGTAAAAGGAGTTGAAGATATGCAAATTATCATTTATTTTTCTTCTTCGTCTAAAGAGTTCTTATTTTGATCACCCGAAATGTTAGAACAGACTGATTGTCCTCTTCACATGAGTGTCTTTGTAAATTTATGGTTCTCTGATACACTCTTCAACATTAACAAAGCTGAAAGTTTACTTCAATTTGATTCATAAAAAGACTACATACAGTATTTGGTTCAGTTGTCAGAGACCATGATGCATGTAAATGTGTGTGTGCACTAACGTGTGTATATATACACACGCATATGTATACATGTTTAGATATACATACATTTATACATATATACCTACATATACATATACATACATGCATATACACAAAACACGTATCTGCACCTACACACATACATACACACACGTATACACCTGCACATTCATGCATGCCCACTCATACACACATGTACACACACCCACACACACACACACACAAATATGACTGAGTTCATCCAGTCATCAGGGAAAATAAAACAGATTTTTCCCTTGGCTCATAAATTAAATCATTCCCCAAGTCAGCCAACCTGCAGATGGTGCCTCTGCACACACGTGTGGTCTGACTTGTCATTCCTATTTGAAGGTCACTCTCCTTAAAGGTCATGTTCATTCCTCCCTCCCTGGCTGAGCTGTGTATTATTGGCTTTTGCTTCATCTAAAGAAGGCTTGAAAGTAAAAAGCCAATGGAATTATTTACATCGTGCTCTCCACTCTCACATTCCTTTTCAGGAGTTGATTTCCAAATGAAAACCCTCATTGTGGATGGAGAACGAACAGTTCTGCAGCTCTGGGATACAGCTGGTCAGGAGAGGCAAGTGCATTCCGCAGCGCTATGGGATATCCTGGGTTTGCATTAACAAGCCTTGCAGGCCACTTGATGTTCTTCATACTCAAAATTCTATAATTATAACATACTTTATAATTATATGCATAATTACATGTATAATTATAAAATGTATTATAACTTTAAAATGCTTATATTCTCGCACATCTCCTTCATTTACCTATGACTCCTGTGAGAAGAGGATCTTTAAGCTTCTTTTGAGCTGATGTTCAGTTGAGACAGAGAGTGCCCTTTGCTAACATGAGAGGCAGCATTTTTGAGTGCAGTGACAGCCTGAGGAACTCCCTGGCTATAGAACAATAAATGATGGAGAAGAGAACCAGTCAGCTCCCCTTGATTAAGGGCAGAGGCACAAACCGCATAGCAGACTTGCATTTGGTGATGGCACTTTACCTTGCATTCATTACCGATAAGCAGAGCATTAAGCACAGATTTTAATCTTGTTTAACTCCTTCGGAACAAAATCCATTCAATTGTTCAACCCGTAAGTATGGGGTGCCTGCCTCTGTACCAGGCATTATTCAGCATGCTGAGATTCAGTGGTGAACAGACAGGCACAAATACCTGCCCCCATGGTGCTCATATTCTCTAGCAGATTGGGAATTTCAACATATAAAAAATATTTGTGGTTGACATGACTGTATTTAAAATACTTATAAAATATTGCACTGGGTTTCAAGTTAGGGCATGTGTGTTGAGGTGTTCTCTTCCCAAGGTGAATCTCCTGACCCCCATGTATGTAAAGTCCTGGTATGTTACAGCGTTCCACACTGGTAGTTCCTCCATCCACCCACAATACTCCCTAACCACCACCACCACCAAAAATAAGTATTCTCTAGTTCGTATCTCCTTCCAGCCTCCTCTGTGTCCCACATGTGGGTTCTGGTAGCTTGTTGCTGAGGTTGAAATTTTTGGAAACTGTGCTCTCAACCTTTCCCTGGTTGTGCTCTGGGGATTGTAGACATTCTTGGGGTTGTTTGGTAGAGAGAAGGATTGGATTTTCTAAGTCGGTCACCCAGATTCTCATCATGTTACCTTTCATTGGGTCATTCGAGACCTTTGAAATGCCTATGTCTCAGTCATATATTGCAGTTAGAGTCTTCTCAACTGGTGTTGATTTTAGAAGAGGAGAAAAAAATGAGCATAAAAGAGAAGAAGAATGAGGCAACACAAACTGACTGATGATGTGGTTTTCTCTTTCTCAGATTCAGAAGTATTGCCAAGTCTTACTTCAGAAAGGCAGATGGTGTTTTGCTGCTGTATGATGTTACATGTGAGAAAAGCTTTCTTAACATACGAGAATGGGTAGATATGATTGAGGTAAGAAATCATAATGGAGAAACAGAAAATTACACGAGGAAGTTTTAGGCCATCTTGGAAAATGCTGTCTCTCTTCTTTGTCAGAATGAACTTGATTAGGAACCATTGATCCAAGCCATCAGGAAGAATTGGATGCTACAGGCAGAACTGGCAGCATTCATCTCTTCCTCAGGATTTGGGCACATTTCCCTGAAGCCAAGGACACTAATGAAGGGAGCTTTGGGGAATAAAACTTCTAGGTTTTCTTATAGATAAAATCAGAATCCCATCGTAAGCAAGTAAAAATCCAGGTAGCCTAGGAAGAAGTTATTACAAACAAGGAGATGGTGTGGTTGGTTGTGTAGTGTAGTTGGGGGCATGTGGGGGCATCCACGGGCATGGGAAGTACAGGTGAAACACCACCTGGATATGAGCGTGCGTCAAGTTTCAAATTGTATGGGAGCTCTCTTCTCTTCTCAACCTTATTCTGGTAGTGATTTGGGATCTTTAGATGTCTCAAGGTACTACCGAAATACCAGTTGATATTTTAAACATGGGCATAGCTTCTGTGCTTTCTGTGGTTAAATAAGATGATGTCTTTCACCTAAGGAACATTCCTGTCCTCTGGTTTCATGGTAAATAATTTTTAAAAGTAAATGATTTTGACCCCATTTAGCATGCTGCCAACAGTTACTAACATAACACTACAGTTCCAGCTATGGTTCAGCATGCTCTCTTGAAAAATAAACTTTTCAACTAAGTATATTAATACAACTTTTCAACTAAGTATATTACCTGTAATTTAAGAAGGCATTAAATTGCAGTAGTGGCTGAACAGAGGACTGGTTGCTGTCTGATCTCAATTTAGCTTCTGGCATTATTGTTCTCTTTCTAACTAAAGAAGTAGTGTGAGAAATGACTGATTGCAATTGGCAGTAAGACTTTGACAGTGATAAATAAATATGCACTCTGTTCTACCAACTTATCATGGCTTAAAATGATTGTAAACACAGTGAAAGTGTGTTTACATTTATGTAACATTTTTACTTCACAAAATTTCCCATGTTATAGTCATCTCTCTAGCATCTGAGAAATGAAATAAGAAAACATATTATCCTAAGTTTTTATGAGAAACTTGAGGCATAGAAAGCATAGGTAGCTCTTGCTTAGAGTTATTTAGTGGTTAGGAATAGAATAGGGGCTCAAACCGAACCTCCTGATTGAACAGTGGTTGCTGTTTTGATATAGCACCAGTGTGAGCAGAAGATTACTTGAAGAAGCCTCTGATATCAAGAAGGAATCCCAAGGACTATAATTCCAGCACTTTGGGTAGTCAAGGCAGGCAGATGGTTTGAGCCGAGGAGTTTGAGATCAGTCTGGGCAACATAGTGAGACCCCATCTGTACAAAAAATACAAAAATTACCCAGGCATGTTAGTATGGACCTCTAGTCCCAGCTGCTTGGGAGGCTGAGGTGGGAGGATCACCTGAGCCCTAGGAGGTCGAGGCTGAAGTAAGCCGTGATTGTGCTACTGCACTCCAGCCTGAGTGACAGAGCGAGACCCCCATCTCAAATAAAAAGGAATCCCAAGGTATAATTAGTGCATAGAGGAGCAATGGCTACTCAAGTGAACAAATGGAGATCCCTGGGATGGAGCAATAAGTCCAGAGAATAACAGATAACCCTAACTCATCCATACTAGTGTTTAAAATCCACAGCAAAACTGTTTTATTGTTGACATTTTGGATTAGTCTTTATTTAAAATCTTTGGGTTATGCTCAAGAAAAGGAGGCACAAAAGGCAAGATCAGCCACAGTGAAATAACCCTTATGTAGAGTGGCCCACTGCCATAATTTGCAAAGCAACTTCACACGTTGTCATCTTTTCCGCCATTGGTATCACGTTTTCCTATGGTCTGAAAAGGAAGAAAACTATAGAAGAGATGAATTCTTAAGTTTGTTATGGATGAAAAATTACATACTACTAATGGCATTTGACTTTCACCTTAGAAAAAGAATGAGCACAGTGAAGTTTCTCCATGGCTTACTGTTTCTAATTTGAGGAACTCCTACAGGGACAGTTTATATGGCCACTGTAAATATGGGCGGAAATGAATGGTGTGATCATTGGGGTAAGCCAGAGGATTGAGAAGCTGTAGACTGTCAGCGGTGAACAGACCCTCTGAATTAATAATTGATATACTTCAATGGAAAACTGCTGAGTTAAAAAATCTTGTAATAGAATTATGGATAAAGTAAAATTATAGCCATTTGTTTATCTGTCATGAATATTTTATTGATCGAATATTTGGGTAAAAGCTGAATGGAGATACTTGAGATGTAATATCTCTTCCCAGTTTTAACACATTCAAAACTATTTTTTGAGGATCTGCCCGGTTCCTGTGTAGTAGTCTAGGTTCTCGGGATATATCTGTTAAGAAAACAGAGCCCTGTCCTTATGGAGCTTGTGTTCCAGTGGGGGAGACAGATGAAAAGCAGCAAACATAGATCAATAAATGAAATGATATGGTAGAAGGTGATAATGTTATACAAACAAAACGAGAGCAGGTTAAAAGGCCTGACGATAAGGAAGTGGGCTGTGGTTTTCTTCAAGGTAGCCTCACTGGGAAGGACATATTTAAGTCAAGACTTGAAGGAGGTGCCCTTTACCTCTGTGGCTTTGAGAAGTCATTTAGATGCCTGGATTCTTGGGCTTACTGAAATGAATATTTGACTAATAACTTTCAAGTGATGCCCCTTGCATCCTGAGGTCATCAAAGAACACAATTAACGAGCGCATTAATGAGCGAAACAGCTAATTTTGGAGAGGGCCATTCATTCCCTTTCCTTTGATTTTATTACACTCTGGAGCCTTCAGTCCAAGGAAAGTTGCCTGAAGAGAAAGGAAGTCAATGATGATTTCATGTTGAGGCACGTTTTTTGATCCTGTATCAGGAATAGCCCCAAACCCAATGAGTACGCAGGTATCTTTAGTCACTGCAAAGAGTAATTTCCACATGTTTTCATCAGGGCTGCCACTTCTCTTATTTAGGAACCAGAAACTTGTGTTTCTGTGCTAGTCAGGTTGTCTTCTTGTATTCTCATCATAGCCTGCTGAGGTGGGAAATGCCTTCATTCAGTCCTTCATTTTACAGACAAGGAGACTGGAGCGGAAAGCTGCAGAGACTTGCCTGACCTCACACAGCCAGTGGGTCCAGCTGGTGGAGGGCTGGGTCTCAGACTTGCCTCTGCCACACTCATCTCACATTCTGTGAGCTTCACTGTGACTGTGGGACCCTGTGACAATTGCATAGGCTGACATGGGAGGCTTATCTTAGAATCCATTACTTTGAAAGATTGGTACTTGACTCTTTCTTAGAAAAATGTTGACCTTCAGGACTTTTATATTTTGCTTTTGTTGTAAACCAGAGAGCAGTGAGTGTGGAACTTCCAAACTCCCTTTTTGTTTCATTATAGTTGAAAAATTACTGTGTGTTTTATAACTGTAATAATGAACTTGGCTTGTGATCACTATTGTTTAAAATAACAGTTGTAGAAAATTATGTGGGCAGCACAGCCAAATATGATTCTGTGGTCATGCCTTTTGAGTTTATATTGGCTTGTAGTGCTCTGTGTGCTGGAGATAAGAAATTAACAGATATGTGTTTCCTTTGCCATAAAACTGATTAATCCCAGTGCCTTTTAGTCTTTTCATTAACCTAAGGATGGGGCATTATATAGAGGCAAGCGTTATGGAGTTAGTTTGGATCCAGGCCCTGACCCTTATACCTTCTTATTTAACCTCTCTGAATTTCAGTTTTCTCTTCTGTGAATGGGAAAATGTATGGCTGTTTTTAGAGATACTTTGAGGTTTAAAGATATCCTCTATATAGGATTTGGCACAAAGGAGGCAAAGGGAAAATGGTAATTGCTGTTGCTGTTGTTCTGTGGTCATCGTAATGTGTCCAGTGTTTGATGTGTGCCCCATTTTTTTTTTCTTCCTGGTAGGATGCAGCCCATGAGACTGTTCCCATTATGCTGGTAGGAAACAAGGCTGACATTCGTGACACTGCTGCTACAGAGGGACAAAAATGTGTCCCAGGGCACTTTGGAGAGAAACTGGCCATGGTAAGAGTGAGGATGCCTCAGAATTAGAAGAGAACATGGGGTTTAATGGCTTTGAAGTCGGTGGCCTTTCACTTTTGTCTACCTTTGCTTGAGAGGTCCTTTGACAAACCTCCCCCGTCTGAGGCATCTGTCCTTAACACAGGCAAAACTGCCATGACTCCCACCTCTTTTATGCCAAGGATTAAGTCCCTTGGGAAAATAAAACAATCACATAATCATTTTCTCCCATTGAGTATCATTGACAGAAAGGAACCCAAATAATCCCATCATCTTCCTCCTCCCTCTCACCTAGTTCCTAGAAACCTTCTCTAGTCCTGGAATCCAAGTAAAGGAAGAAAATAGTGTCCTATTTTGAAAAGATGGCTTTGGTTTCAGAGGGTTATAATGCCAAAGGCAGAAGAAGGTACAGTGTCTCACCTGTGTGGAAGGGAATTGGATGACTTCTTTTCTTCTCTAAGATTTGTGTTTAGTTGATATAAAAAATCATTCCCATATACAAATGCATATGCATTTTGGGGTATGCATTTGTATATAGGAATAAACTCATTCCTATTCAGATTGTTGTCATGGGCAGTGTTTATTCTCCCATCAGTGTCATCTGTCATCATGTCAGAATGCTACCTAGCTCTGTTATGACCTGTCTTACCCATACAAGTAGTCAGATGCACTTTGGGTCAAATAAATTAATATTGCAGCAGTCTGATTTGATGTTGATAGTGTTGTCTGTCGTCAGCACCAGGAAAGGACTACTCTGTAGCATACGTATGTGAACTTCAAAAAGAAGTTTCAGTTTTAATATTTTAAGCTGGAATAATCGTTCTTGTTTTAAAATTTAGAACTGCAAACCAAATGTGATAAATGTCAAAACTAGGCAATGAAATGCAGAAGAGATTCACTCAACCCATATTTATTGGTATCCACCATGTAACAAACACTTCATTGTGTGCTGGGCCAAGAGCAGAGAACAAAGCAAACAGTCCTTGCCCTCGTATTGTTTACTGTCTGAGGGAGACAGATGTTAAACTCATGAAATCCACATGCTAGACATGGTCTCACACAGATACTTTGAAATCTAGTTATTCTTGGCTGCCTGCCAGCTTTATTCCCTCTCCATGATTTCGCAGAGTTCCCAAAGTTTGCTTCCTTATGCATCTCTTGACCTCCACAGTCCTGCATCCTCAAAGGCAGTCTCTGTTTCACCCCATATCATCCTGGATGTAGAAGTCAACACCAGCACTGATGGTTTCTACCAGAAATGCATTTACTTTGTGGTGTTTGCAGATTTTCTATGGATTTGTGGGCTTACGAGTAAAGGTCCCATTGTGGCATTTTTCCCCATTTCCTGGCTTTTCTCATTCTCCCTGTTCTAGAGCAAGTGTCACCTCCTTCCCTTGTCCCACACAGGACTGTTTAACCCACACCTAGGCCCACAACACTTAGTTCTCCTTTATTAAGAGAAAATGTCTCCAGCTAGTCAGACAGGCACACAAAAATAACTTGAGCAATTATAATTGTGGCAATTGCTGTGCATGAGGATCGCAGAGTGCTATGAAAGTTTATGATGGGAAGTCCTAATACAAACTTTTCAGGGTTAGGAATGACTGAATCTTAACTGCAAGGAAGGATTACCTAAAAATCCCAAAAGTAGGTAGGTGTCAGACTGGTGGAGGGTGGAGGGAACCTAGGTGATGAGAAGAGTAGGTGCAAAGGTCCCAAGGTGGGAAGGCTTTGCGGACACTGGAGAATTAGAGGAAGGCCAGGGAAACTGCAGCTCTGTGAGTGAGTGGGGGATGAGTGAGGTGGGAGGTGAAGCTCAGAGCTTGCCTGGGGCCACGTGAAGCTGGGCCTCATTGGCCATGGAAAAGCATTTTCACATTACCTAAAGACAAACAGGAGGCATTGAAAGGTTTGAAGCAGGAGAGTGACATGATATCATATGCACTATGGCTGGGAGGTTGAATAATAGAGAACTAGAACGTGTCCATTGGTTTCAGCAAACGTGGAGGCTGCTGGATCCAGAAGGGAAAAGTTAGCGGGAAGGAGGGTGTGTTAGCTGCTGGCCAAAGGGAAACAGACTCTTGATGGACATTTAATTCCTGAGTGGTTACCTTGAACTCATTTTTATCTGTCTCGGAATATTTGATAAAGAACATTTGGTAGCATGTGTTTTGACTGTTGGAAATAAAAACCTTCAAACATGAAATATTCTATTTTTTTAATGTAAAGTAAAAGTCCTCCAACTAGGAACTTTTCCTGGAGTAACTATGCTTAAACCATTTTCTTTGTAAGTACTGGAACTCTGAATTCAGTTTCTTAGCTATTAGTTACTCTTAGCATGCTCAGTAGGAACATATTTTTATTTTACTGATTTTAAAAGCTAAAATTTCAGGAAACTCAATGAAGGGCTTCATTTAATTGTGTGTATTTCTTTTTTACAGACGTATGGGGCATTATTCTGTGAAACAAGTGCCAAAGATGGTTCTAACATAGTGGAGGCTGTTCTGCACCTTGCTCGGTAAAGTTTGGGAAAATGGATGTAGGATTGAATTTTCGCTTGTTGCATATGACACATTTCTTGTCCATAATGTGCAGATAGAATATATGCGGGAAAACACTCTCTTATCTGTCAGTCATGGTGGGAGAAATAAATATGTGGATATTATAAAAACTGGCAACGTTGCTGTCAACACTGGCAAAATATCTTTACTACCAAACAAAAGAGGTGCATCTGAGGTGTCATTGACATTTCTGAAAAATGTCACCACAAAGCTAATAGTTGACGTGTATGAATCATTTCCAGGAAGCAGATTTTATACACAAGGGACTATTATGAATACAACTGTCTATTATGATATTTTCCCGGGCAAAAGGGGAAAAAGAAACAAAGCAATTTGTATGTTATGCCAGTTAGAAACACTTTGTCAGAATTATTACCCAGGTAATTATTAAGCTAAGGCAATAGTGTTAATAATAAATAACATTTTGGATGTACAATAGAATGAAAATGGCATCATTAAAGAACTTGGATATAAATGTATGTGTTTTAATCCTTGAAGTAATTCTTAGGAAATAACATTCTACATTAGATTTTTCCCTCCTACCTGGTTTTCTGCTATAAATGAAAAGATTATTCTTTACTGGCCTAGAGGGATTAAATATCACAAAAAGGAAAAAAATCAAAATGTGCAATACAAATTTCAGAGCAATCATCTTTAATTGCAGACAAAGTTAAAATATAACTTTAGGCATGTCATTCTTTTTCTGATTATTTGTAAGGTTTTATAAGAATCTTAATTTTAGTATGATAATTGGCCTTTTCTGCTAGTAAATATTGATAGTTAAAATACTTTGCAATATCTTTAATGCTGTTTTTCAATTAATGACTTAGGGCCGGGTGCAGTGGCCCACACCTTTAATTCCAGCAGATCCCATTGGTTTCAGCAACATGGAGGCTGCTGGATCCAGGAAGGAAAAGTTAGCAGGAAGGAGGATGTGTTAGTTGCTGGCCAAGAGGAAACAGATTCTTGATGGACATTAATTCCTGAGTGATTATTTTTATCATTTTTATGAGAGGCAAGGCTGGAGGATCACTTGAACCCAGGAGTTTGAAACTAGCCTGGGCAACATAGTGAGACCTTGTATCTATTTAAAAAAAGATATACACACACACACACACGCACACATGCACACATACATATACATATATACATTAATGACTTGGCATTTATAGTGCTTAATAAATTAGAGTTCTATTAATAGAATGTTTGGACTAGGGCTACAGGATAAACTGTTGCCCTCACTTAAGAGAATCAGGAAATGGACTTTGGGAGTCCTGCTTGGCATTAGTTTGTGGCAGGGTTGGCAGATGCCCTGTATTCACACTCAAGAGTCTTCGAACATTTCCCTCTTTGACATCAGTCCAGGAGAGAGAGTCACCTCCCCCTACAACACTGGAAATCATTTTTGTTTAAAGCAAAAACAGTGCTAACCTTGAATGTGACCTAGCACATTTTTTCCTTTTGCATTAGGCTGTTTTGTGCATCTCTATAAAGGAATACCCGAGACTGCAATTTATAAAGAAAATAGGTTCAATTGGCTCATGGTTCTGCAGTCTTTACAGGAAACTTAGCACTGGCATCTGCTTGGCCTCTGGTGAGATCTCAGGGAGCGTTTACTCCTGGTGGAAGGTGACGGGGAGCCAGCGTGTCACATGACGAGGGAGCAAGGAGAGGGGAGGGGCTACTCTCTTTTAAACAACCAGATCTCCTGTGAACTCAGAGCGAGAACTCACTCATCACCAAGGGATGGAGCTATGCCATTCATGAGAGAGCCACCCGCTTGATTCAATACCTCCCACGAGGCCCCACCTCTAACACCGAAGGTCAGATTTCCACATGAGATTTGGAGGGGACAAACATCCAAACCATTTCATCTTTTAAAAGAAAAAAAAAGTGAATATTTGAACACATATACATTCAACTAAATTAGATGGGTTATTTTGTGTGTTTTTTTGTATGTTTGTTTGTTTTTGGCTGTGAATAGTAGGAGAATCATGGACTAATATCACATTTGTGCAAAAAGAGTCAGAGTAAAACTTTTATCTGTCGGGTTGAATAACAGATTCCACGCACTTATGGGTGCACAGGGAACACCAGCTATTTTGGCTCAACAAGCTACATTCAGTAAAGAGGGGAGAGTTCAGTAAAATGCAGAATTTGACTTCACTAAAGATCAAATAACTGTTGGATTGTCAGGTTTTTACTTTTCAAATGGTTGTGTTGGTGTTTCATTCATAAGTTGCTGGGAACAGCTGGATGGAAGTGATATAGTTGCTGGCACAGATGGCAGTGGGGAAGGATCTGCAGGTCTTTGGAGCATCCCTGGTATGCCTTAGCCTTGGTCAGCGGAACACTGCATTGCTGCTCCCATGCAGCAGTAACAGATGCAGCAGATCAAGCCTTGCATGTGGTTACTAGCTGCTCCCCAGCATATTGGAGGATTATGGTGTCAGGAGGCTCAAAGTCCATTCTTAAATCTGTTTCTAAATAGCTATGAGGTCTTGAACAAGTCCCTGTATTTCTTTTGGCAACTCTAATCTGTAAAATGAGGGAGGGGCCTAAAGGAAATGATCTCAAAGGTCCTTTCTAATTCTAAGAGCCTGTGACTCTGTATATGACAGTCTGTACTCCACTGAATATCTTAATCATTGTTTAATGCTCAGTTGTCTTATGGGGTCATATTAAAGTTATATGGCTCCAAAGTGCCCCGGTGAAGAGTCGATTCTCTTTATTATGTCATAAAGATGGGAGAGGCTGTAAGTTTCCTGTGCCTTTCTCCCCATCTGCTCCTGTGTGGCATGTTGGGTCAGCCACGTGTTGGCCCTGCTTACAATGAAGCTTCGACACTAGCTTGTGTGTGTTTACTTAAAACACCTGGTTTGCAAAAGAATTTTGATAACTAGGTTATTTCAGCTGCATAATGGATAGGTTATAGTTATTTTAAAAAGCTTTAGACAAGTAAAGAAATAAGATAAGCTTCTTGCGAATCATTTATCATAGAGGTTTTTGTTTTATTGTTATTGCATTATGGCCTGGCTTTGGGCTTCTAGTGATGTTAGTGATGTGTTAAATATAAAAATTATAAATAAAGCAAACATATGAAGACCTTAATTGCTTTATACTTAGCCTTCGGATTGGCTTTTCAAAGTACTCAACCCTTAAATGGAAATGTTATAGTCTCCACAGGTAAAATTACCATTTGTTGAAGTTTTACAACCTTGGGAAATTTATGTATAATGCAAAACATATATGTTCTCAATTTAGATTTCATAGGGTGAGATCATATAATGTCATAAAACTAGGAGAAGGTATGGGTTTGCACTGTCTCAAACAATTTATTTTTAAAGGGAGGCCATAAATATTTGGTTAACAACCTGAACTACTCTGCATTTTCTTAGAAAATCTTTCAATCCCAGGAAGAGTTTCTCCTAGGAATGCAATTTCTATATAGTGCTGATAGGTCATCGTTCATAACCATTGTCCCATTAGTAAGTAAATTTTCCATCACCAGAACCACAGGCTTTAAACATTTTGCAGTAGATTCAAGTTCAAGAGGCATTTAATTATCAACTGCCTGAAATTGGAGAAAAACACAAAAAACTTAGGCTGATGTATCAGTTCAGCATCAGAGCTGAGCCCATTGGGTGTAAATCTGTCCATAAGACTGAGTCAATTAAACTGCAGTTGTTAAGCGTATGGTAGATTTTGGTGAGCCCTAATTTTCCCAGCCTTAAATCTGTTTTAGATGTTTGGAATTGTATCTTTATAATTTCCTTAAAGTGGAGCATGCCTGCATTTTTGGCTGAAGGCCAGATGAAAATGTGGGTATATACTTTCCCCCTTAATATTTGCTTTCAGGTTCAATAATGTCTGCATTATTGGCACTTAACACGTGCATAGCCCCATGCTATGTTCAATAGAGACATCAAGGGATTTAAAGACTGGCCTTGTAATTTAACATTACAGAAAAGAACATGACAATATATGACCAGGCAGCCATATGGTACGTAGCTGATAGAGGCCATTGGATCTACAAGAAGAGAGAGATGTGAATTGTTCAGTGAAGATGCTATGGTTATTGTACCCATTTTACAGAAGAGGAAATTGGAAATTAGAATACTTAATCTGCTTGCTCAGTGACACAGCTAGTAAGTGGCAATGTGAGGACTCTTCACCACCAACCTGGATCACTGGCTTGCTGTTTAAATGTTGGTAATCTCAGGGTCTCTGACTGTCCTCTCTTTCTTTTCACTCTCTGTCTGTCTAATGTCTTCCATCCACACAGCTTCTGGAACCATCTCTACCTGGTAACTTCCAGTTTTTGTATTTTTAACCCCTCACGTCTTTTTAAAATTCCATAAGCATAGAGTGAACCCCCACCGGAAACGCCATAGCCATGGTGACTCTGCATATCCAAATCCTGGTGTGTTCATGTGGCTTTAAGCTTGTTCCTCAGTCTGTATTCCCTTTCTCTGGAATCTACCAAAATTATAATTAAACAATAGTCACCTGGAGTCAGTCTTGATTCCTTTTCTCTCTTGCTTCACCCCTTGCCTCCAGTGGCTTCTGAAGGTCATCTTTCAGTCTCTTTTGAATCCATGCATTTTTCTCGCTTTCTCCCTTTTTCTGCTTTGGTTCAGGCCTCAAAATTCCCTACCTGGGCTAGTGCAAGAATTTCTGCCTCAGGGTTTCTCCAATATCAGTTCATCCTCTACTGTGGAATCAGGTAATCTTTATAAATAAAGATCCAGTTAATATTTACTTTCTTGCGTCCAACCCCACATTGGTGTCTTACTGAAAACACAGAGTCCCAGCTCCTTAGCATGTGGCTGATAGCCCATCACAGCCTGATATGGTTTGGCTGTGTCCCCACCCAAATCTCAACTTGAATTGTATCTCTCAGAATTCCCATGTGTTGTGGGAAGGACCCCGGGGGAGGTAATTGAGTCATGGGGGCCGATCTTTCCTCTGCTATTCTCGTGATAGTGAATAAGTCTCACGAGATCTGATGGGATTATCAGCGGTTTCCACTTTTGCTTCTCTCTCGTTTTTCTCTTGCTGCCACCATGTAAGAAGTGTCTTTTGCCTCCCCCCATGATTCTGAGGCCTCCCCAGCTACGTGGAACTCTAAGTCCAATTAAACCTCTTTTCGTTCCCACTTTTGAGTGTTTTTATCAGCAGCGTGAAAACGAACTAATACACAGCCTGACCTTTCTGGTTGAATTTCTATCTCTTTTTCCCAAATGAATGATAATCTGTAGACACAGCAAACTTCATCCAATCAGGCCAAGCTCTTATGCCTCTGCCTTTCTGCATGCTGTTCCCTGCATCTGGAATCTCCTTTTCTGTTCTTTCAAAAGGTCTCTCCAATGTCAAAAGTCTCTATGAAGCCCCATTTCCGTGAAGCCCACAACACATCTGTGGGCACAGAGTGCATCTGTGGTAGCTGCTGTCTCAGGACCATGAAATTATTTATTTAGACATCTGACTCTCCCTTAAAGCTCAGTAGCTGAAGGTCCCAGAGCCTGGCATAAGTTGGGCATTTATTCAATGACAGAACGACCAAGATTTTGCATTTGGAAGTTGTGTTACTCTTCCGTTGTCCTTGTAATGAACTCCCACAGATGTAGAGGCTTAAATAATGCAAATTTATTATCTGACAATTTTGGAGGTCAGAAACCTGAAATGAGTCTTCCCGGGTGTTAGGGTTTGAATTGTGTCTCCTCTTTCTTCTCCTGAGTCTCTGTTGCCTCATCTGTGAGGTGAGGATAGTACTACTCACCCATCTCCTGTCGGGTGTGTGTGTCTGGGGTATATATCAAATATGAAAAACATGTATATTGCATTTACCAGCTGTCCTATAGCTAGAATCAGTTTATTTTTTTCCCTGCTGAGATGTCTTCTTTCCAATTCACAGTGCAGTGGATTTCGAAAGGTAGGATTTATCAGCACCTTCTGCAGCTAAGCTGGCCAGTTTGGTAGCCACTAGCCACTCACAATGTGGCTAATCCAGTTCAGATGTGCTGTATGCATTCAATATAGACTGGATTTTGAAGGCCTTCTACACATTATCTCATTAATAGTGTTTTTATTGACCACATGCCGAAATGACAATATTTTTGCTATACTGGGCTAAATAAAATATATTAATAAAATTAATTTTACCTATTTCTTTTTACCTTTTAAAAATCTGGCTACTAAATAATTCAAACTGACATATATGGATCCCATTGTATTTCTGTTGAGCAGTGTGGCTCTGCTGGAGAGACACAGATTCCCGCTAGTTTCAGTTAAGTGCTTCATCATAAACCATCCCAAAACTTGGTTGCCCAAAACAACAACCAATTTTTATTTCTCACAGTTGGCAGAGGTGGCTGGATGTCAGCCGGAAAGTTTCTTGACTGCTTTTGCATGAGTATCTCCTATGTTTGCAGTCAGATGGCCACCGGGGCTGTGGCTCGGGCTGGATGTCAGCCACCAGGGTGCTTCTCGTGGCTTCACTCCACGTGGCATCTCAGTCCCCAGGGCCACTCTGGTGGCCTCTCTCCATTGAGGAACCCTGGACTCCTTGAACCCTGGACTTCAAAGGGGGTAGAGATTGCTGCAGCCCCGCATTATAAACACTTGGGTTTAGAAGCCACAGAATACCATTTCCTCCATATTCTATTGGTCAAAGCAGGTGGAGAACCAGCTCTGACCAAGAGGGTAGGGGATCAAACCTTCACCTCTTGATGGGAGAGGCATCAGGCACTGACAAGGAAGGGCAGAATTATTTGGGGCCATCTTAGGGAGGCACTCATCTCGCTGGCAGAGATAGCCGTTCAGCTTGTCTAAGGTGAGACTTCTGGTCTTCATATTTCACAAGCATCCCCAGTGGCTACACCTGGAAGGATACTTCCTTAGGGGGTTTTCATAAGATCTTGGAGAGTAAGACATTTTTTCGTGAGTCTTGCCTCTAGCAGTTAATACTGGAAGAAGCTTACGATGACAGAAAGGGATGGTGGTAAATCCATTGTTACCTCCATGATCATGTATAATTAAAGAACGGTTATAAAATCACCATTGCTTTTGTTAAGCTCAGCAACCATTACATGAAGCTGGAAACCTGGTTCCAGAGTGTTAAGGAGCAAGCTGTGTGTATCGCAGGTTCTGCAGCATCCTGAAACCTCAGGAGAGAGTGAGGGGAGAAGGGTGTGTGTGTGTGTGTGTGTGTGTGTGTGTGTGTGTGTGTGTGTGTGTGGCCTGGTACTCAGAAAACAGGTGCTGGAGCCAGCCTGTGTGGTTTTAATCCCACTTCTGTAGTCATGTGACCTAAGGGAACTGTCTTAACCTCTTTTTGCCCTCATTTCCTCACATACAAAATGGGGCACAGCAAATTTATATGGTTCTTATGAAGATTAAGTCAAGACCTATAAAGCATTAAAACAATGTCTATAAGGCCGTGCAGACACTCAGCATGGCTATTTTTATTTCTACAGAACCATCTGTGGCTTAGTTTTTATACCTCAGTAATCCTCTCTCTCTCTCTCTCTCTCTCTCTCTGTCTCTCTCTATCTCTGTCTCAGAGAAGTGAAAAAGAGAACTGACAAGGATGACAGCAGATCCATTACCAATCTAACCGGGACCAATTCCAAAAAGTCACCACAGATGAAGAATTGTTGCAATGGCTAAATCCCAAACATCCTTGGCCTGTGAAGTCTTCATTTCCAGAATACTGAATTTGTGTGACTTATTTGGCTCTTAACAGAGTGGCACATCCTACTGACACTGTCCTATGGAGAGTTACAGTGCAGGAAACCTGAACCCAGCTCTCAGGTCCCTCTGGAACTTTGGCTCTTCTTTGTTTTGTCTCAGTGAGTGATTTGGGCCCTCTGGCTAAATAGACTAGTCATGTCCTTACAGGTCTTAAAAGATAACATGTAAATGTTTTTAAAATGGTAAAAAAAAAGAAAAGAAAAGAAATCACATGCTCAGATCAAAGCTGTAGAGGAAACTGACATAATTAGATTCATGTGGTAGCTGAATTAGGTTACCCACAAAGTCAGCATTTAAATATTTGATACTAAAGTTCTAGTAAGAAGGGATTCTCATCCTAGCTTTGCTGTTAACTGGCCTTGTGACCTTGGACATGTCACAAGCCCATGTCGGATCTGTTTCTTCATCTGTAAAATGTGCAGCTTGCCCTCAAAGGCCTTGCAGCCCTTGGCACCTCAGATTCTGTGGGAAGCAGTAGGACAGAGAGTGTGGTGGCCCACAGTTAATAATAGAACTATGGTTATTCCTGCTTTTTAATATTGGAGTATTGATTTTTCTCACTTCTGAAATAAGGACAGAATTTGATTAAAAAATGGAAACAGAAATATCTATTTTTTATGTATAAAGAAACATGTTTGAGACAAAAATAGTTGTATATAAAAGGATATTTCATAATCTCAGAATAGTTACAAAGCTCACTGCTTGAATTTGGTGTTAAAAATTCTAATGGAAACATGTAAAGCCACATACTACTGAAAGCACAATGCCCAGGAAAGTTGTCACTCTTCACTTAAGGGAGTGGTTGCCAGGGGCTGAGAAAGGGAGGATGGGGAGTGACTGCTAATAGGTATGTGGTTTCTTTGGGCGATGATGAGAATGTTCTGGAATTGGAATAGTGGTGATAGTTGTATAACTGTTTGAATGTACTAGGAACCACTGAATTGTATACTTTGAAAGGGTGAATTTTATGGTTGTGAATTATCTCACTAAAAAAAATGCTAGTACTTAGAGTGATGTAACATTTTGCAAAATTTTCATTTTCGTATCCCTGCTGATTTCAAACCTTCCCATGGTTTAGAAGCATAACCTGTAATGTAATGCAAGTCCCCTAACTCCCTGGTTGCTAACATTAACTTCCTTAAGTAATAATCAATGAAAGAAATTCTATGCATGGTTTTGAAATAATATCCTTGAAAGAGGAATCACCATTAGGAAAGGTGAGTCAGGGTCCTTTGTTTAATGTGACTAGTGGCTCATCATCACCAGTGACCTGGTTGGGCCTACTCTCCTTCCAGAACCTGCATTGCTTCCCAGACCTCCCCACTGAGATGCCTCTAAGAGCCAAAGGAGTCAACACTTGAGCCTAGGGTGGGCTACAACAAAAGATTCTAATTTACCTTGCTTCATCTAGGTCCAGGCCCCAAGTAGCTTGCTGAAGGAACTTAAAAAGTAGCTGTTATTTATTGTATTGTATAAGCTAAAAACATTTATTTTTGTTGAATCGAAACAATTCCATGTAGCAATCTTTTTTCTGTTCACGGTGTTTGTGATAGAACCTTAAATTCCGCAAGCATCAGTTTTTTGAAAAAATGGGAATTGACCGGATAGTTACAGGCAAAGATTATAAATAGCTACAACATCATTTAACTTTTATAAACATGCCTTCTCTCTATTGAAGACATCTGATATTTTTGCTGGAAAGTTGGATCTATCCTCAGTAACTCTGCCATGAATTCCTGTTTCCTGGTTCCAGAAAAAGAAAAGATTACATTTCTGATCATAAAGAATGTCTTGCATATGGGAAATTTTTCAAAATAAGGGGGGTATTATTTATGTGGCATGGGAAAACTTTTGCCATGGCTGTTTGTCTTAGTGGCATCTTTTGATGACATTGGATCAGATATATGTAGATGCTGATATATGGGACACATGTTTAGGTTTTGGTGCAGTTGCACAAAACTGTGTTAGTTTATATGTTACTGTGTTGCCTTTATTTATTCTCTCCAAAGTGTCTCTTTATATTTGTTTTACAATCTGTGAAAGAGTATACCATAATACAGAAGTATTTTCATAGTCTTTACCTCTGGATTGTCCTGTCAGTATAGCCACGTTGATGAGATTACACCAGTGCCTTTGATGGTCAACCAATCATCTTTAAGTATTTGAGCCCTGATAAATATTTTGGTAACATAATCCAAATTAGAGACTTAGAGCTCTGGTTAGCAATCATGTTTAAAGAGAAGCTTCTTAAAGCTCTGTATGCTGGGAGATTCATGATTATTACCAACGTTTTGATTTCATGAAGGTGTTCTCAAATTTAAAGCACATTTTCAGTAAGAACAAAAATATTTAATGTTTTTATCTTAGACTTGATACATTTGCATATTACTATGGAAGTTATTCACCTTGTCCCTGTTTTTCTTTAAGATATTTTAAAATCATAGTTATACTACAGTCCTTTTTTAAATGTATCCTGATACATTGTAAAATATTTTAATTTCATTGTGGAAAATAATGTTGGATAAGGAGATATTTTTCACTGTTAACTTTTAGCCCATGCATTTTCATAATTTATTTTTTTCACTTGCTGCTTTATATGACATATGTGACATTTGATTATTTAACACTTGATGTGATCTGCATAAACCCAAGTTGCACAACCCTCCTGCTGAAGATAAAATTGAGGTTAAAGATAAAGATTTATTTTCATATTTGTACAGTGATCGGCTTCAGTGATGGTTTTTGTGGGCATTTATTGTGTGTGTGTAAGAAATTTCATATGTATATATTAAGTAGGCCTCTGAGTATTGAATAATTGTTTTATGATTTTGATTTATATGGTTTACATTTTCATTGTGTGGGCCATATTTCGTTTATACTGTTTATTTCTCTTCAAACCTTAATAATTATACCATAAAGTGTAATTTTTATAGCAATGCAAATGTCTAAGGAACTACAAATATTTTCTACGTTGTAAATTCAATAAAGCTTGCTTCCTTTGGCCTTTTGAGTGTTTCCTTCAGCTTTACTGCAGATATCCCTGAAGTAATTTTAATTCTAGGATGTGTCTGCCTGAAACCATACCTCTAAAACACTTGTCTTTTCTGGCCATGGCAAGCCGAGTGTTGGGAGAGAAGAATGCACGCCTGGTATTCAGTGCTGTGGCACAGACAAGTCATCCTGGCCAACAGGGCAGCAGGTAGACCAGCTTGGGACAGGACAGCCAGGAATAGTGAGGCCTCTGTAGAAGAATGTCAGTGTTCTGGCCATCCGCACATCCTCTGAGGAGTTAGACCTTTTCTCTGATTCTCACCCCTTTCTTTCTACCCCCACATTCCCATGCACCCCAATAGGCTGAGGCTACCTGCCCTCACTCCTGTTGTACCTTTTAAAATGTGTCAACATCCTTCTTGTCCTTTTACTTATTACATAGACAGATGCCCCATGTCCTTAGCCACTTTTGTCTACTGCCGCCTCCCTTCTGTTGTATGCAGTGCTTGATACTTTAATTGTCCTAATTGTTGAATGGATGGTCAAGGAATTAACTGGTTAAATAAGGTAGGCTTTGCAAAGAGTGTCTGCCAACACCCACCACCACCAACACACACACACAGACACACATACATGATGATGGTGGACAATATAAGTACGAGGCAGTATAATATCAATGGGTATGAGCTCTGAGGCCAGCCTGCCTGGTTTGAACCTGGCCTCAGATGTAGTAGGGTAACTATGAACAAGGGACTTAACCTCTGTGTATCCCAGCTTCTTTATTTGTAAAATAAGAATGGTAACAGTACCTTTCTTGTGGAGTTGTTCTGAGAACTAAATGAGTTAATGTATGTAAAGGTCTTGAATCATGCCTGACACTTTGATTGCCCTCAATTAAAAAAACAAAACATTTTTGCAGCACCATTGGCTGCATCAGTCTTGTTCAAAACCCTGGGTACGGCCACCAATGAATAACAGAACTCCAAAAGTGTGCCAGGTCACATGGGGGATAGAACATTTTAGAGGATTCTCTTTGACTTAAGTTCATTGACTACCTTTCACGTACTTTCTTGGTGTTTCAATGGACACAAAGTTGGGGTATCATATAGGATAGGTTATTGTGTAGGGTGGATTAACAGAGGAGGAAACAACTGAGAGAGAAATAAGGGTCTGAAAGTTAGAATGGAAAAGTGTGAATGGAATCATGATTAGGGTAGGATCTCCATTTACTAATGGCTGCTAGGATCAAGTAGTGGAAGGAATGAGGAATATATTAGAGTCTGACTGGGATTTTGAATCTAAATGATAGCAAAAGTGGTAGTGGGATAATGGAATTCTCTAACTAAATGGAAACCAAACTTTATAATATGACTAATAGCTTGTTGAAAAAGAAAGATTGCCCATAGATACATCCCCAAATCCACACGATGGGAATGAATCCCCAGGAAAGCATATCATTTTGCAAGATTTAAAATAAAAAGAACAACTTTTCTTTCCAGAGACCAGCATTAAAATATGTTTCCATAGCTGAAAATGGAGAAAAAGATAAAAATACTTCAACTTGATATTACAGAGTAAGATAAATTTTCAAATGCAAAATTCTAGGAATAACCATTTTCTTTATTTTTCTCTGCAATTTTTTTTTGCATCCACATGTAAGATTTATTTGTGAGTTTATACTAATTTTTTGTAGAGGTGGGAATTTAGTTGTAAGGCCCTTTAACTTGTGATCTGTCTGGCTGGTAGTTCATGAGCCACATTTCACAGCATTTGACTTAAGATTTACAGAGTTCCTCATTGTCCTTGGGATGTTGGCTTTCTGAATATCTTTAAGTCCAAGTTTTCCTGCACGTTTTCCCATTGCTGGGCAATGGAGTAGAACTTGAGAGCTGGATAATTACCTTTTCAAAGAGAGTCTTATGAGTAGTTCCTGTTTGATTTTAGGGGTAAAATTTATGTTATTTAATTTGCCACAAATCTCTTCTTGCTCATTTTAGAAATGGATGTTTTACCCTTTAGATAAAATCTAAAATCTTCTTAACATGATGTCGAAGGCTCTCTGTGATCTGGTTCCTGCCTGTTCACTCACCAAGTCAGTCAATATTTACTGAGCCCCACTGTGTCCTGAGTACTATTCTAGACAGTGGGGATACACAGTGGATAAGACAGACTCTCAAAGAGATTACATTCTGTTGGGGGTCGACATCAAACTCGTAAACAAAAGGAAGTTCCACATTCTGCCTCCTCCCACATTTCTCCATCCTGAAGTCTACACTGGGGCACAGGAAACTGTTCCTTATACACTCCATGCTCGCTCACCTCCAGCTGTTTACTTAGGCTTTGCTTTCTGCTTGGAATACCATTGTCCACTCGAGTTTCCCTACCCAACTTCTGTACATCCTGCACACCTCAAATCAGAGATCACTTCCAGCAGCTGTGTCCAACCCCAAAGTCTGAGCCAGATCCTCTCCTCCATGCATATCTGCCCCAGTGCCCATCACAGCACTTTATTAGACTGGGTTGTCATGATCACTTCCCTTGTGTGCCTGGCATGTCCAGTGATTCCAGCCTCCTTTTACACTTTATTGAGTGGGGGGTAAACTTTCTCCTCCATGGATGCACACTTCAGCAGGCTCATGACTTTTCTGATTCCTCTAGATCAGGGTTTTAAGATTACTGTGCCACGGACCTCTTTGAAGCCCAGGAACCTCTCAGAATCATGTTTTTGAATGAATAAAATAAGTATTTTAAAGAAAACCAATGATATTGAAAAACTGTTTCCAAAATACTTTTTGAAATTTGTGATACTAGCAGGATTACTGCTGCTTTAATGGCACATGAAACTACAAGATCTGGTGATAGGTCTTAAAACCACCATGATTTTGACTTAGGGATGAAGGTAAACAGTATTTCAAGACATCTGCAAGACTTCGGTGAGCTATAAATATCTGTGATTTCTCTTGGTGACACTCACAGGTGCTGATAATACTACCAAGGTTTAGTTGCCAGCCTTTCATATTAAATGAAATGTTAAGTTTAAGTTAGAGTTTACTGAAAATAAACATGTAATTTTTTTTGTATTATTCAAGATTGAAATAGGGATTTCTATCTACAGACCCAATGAGCTGGTTCATGGTCAGGATCCTTGCTCTGGGTTAAAAACATATACTATGTTTAAGTTGCAAACATATATTCAGATGAGAATTCCCATGTAGTAATCAAAATGCCAAGCCCAACTTGGTGGTGCCAAGTCTTCTCCCTCCTCCAGCTCGGGTCTGCTTCAGCCTGGAAGCTCGCTGTGGGAAGGGAGGCTGGGCCCTCCTGCTTTGTCTTCCTCACTCCACCCCATCTCTGTTTACTGATACACTCCCCTTGAGGCTCCAAGCAAGGGGAGTATGGTGCTAACACCATGGGAGATAAATGTCGCAGAAGAAAAAGAATGCATGTGGCCAAAACTCTTGCCTGCCAGGAGTATTGAAGGTCAAGTAAAATATGGCCCTTGCAGGAATATGTTTCAGCCCACCTCCTGCCTTGTTATTGCCTCGAAACCACTCTCATTTAATTAGCACTTTTAGAGCCATAGACACTGAGGAAGCAAGAAAAGGTAAAAGCAAAACTAAAACATACAAATCCAACAGCAAAACATCCACAGATTAGCAAACTGTGCATAAGATTGAGGTTAATTTGGTTAAGAATGAGAAATATTGAATGCTTTCTAGGGTGACATAGCATATCATTTCTCTCCTTCCTAAAATCCCATTAATAATAGAGTCAAAGGGACTTTTAAATCTATCCACAAGAACAGAAGACAATACCATCAAAATTGTGAAGCTGGAAAGCAGATGGATAATGGAATATTGATATAATTGAGTTCCAAGTTAACACACCTAAGAAAGCTGAATCCTAGGTCAGTCCTGGGGGAGAGTTGTGAACAATTCAGATATACATCCTGGATTTCTCAGAAGACTCAGGAAGTGATACAAGTTGGTACCTCAAATGGTGCTGTGAGGCAAAGTGGTGTGAATGCAGTCTGAGAAGCAGCTCTGTCCTGCTGCTTCTCCCATGCTACACCATTCTCCCATGCTACACCATTATTACCCTGTGCGGAGTCTGGTGATGTGTTTTCTTGAGTGAGAAAAACAGAGGGCTTCTAGAGTGAGGAATGCCACTGGGTGCAGTCACACGTGTTGGTGCTGTTCAAAATTTGGCGGAACTGATGACATCATCTATTCTGAGTGCCGAATGCTAAATGCTAATACTCCTCACTCAGCTTTCGTAACACTGATCCTTTATCCTCCAGAGATTGAGAGACTTTTCTCCGAAGGGCTGACCTAACAAGAGGAAAGCCCTAAAGATATTGACATCAGGTATGTTTACAACAAATGGCTCCCCTGATCACCCTACAGTAAGGTTCAAAGTTGACAAGTTCTTCCCCACATTCAGAACTTTAAATCAGGTTTTTAGCTCCCCTGAGCAATCCAAGGATCACTGGGTATTTGTGGAAAGCCTCTTAACATGGAAAATGCAGACCAAAACAAACAAACAAAACAGAAAAATATCAGCACAGGGAAACAGAACGTATGCAGAGAGGAAAAAAAAATATATCAATGTATTCAGAGAGATAGATGTAACTATTGCAGCCAGGAAACAAGAACAAGGTATTATCAATAAGGACATTCATAGAACAAAAATAAGCTTTTAGAAATTAAAAACATGAGAGAAGTTACAACAACAACAACTAAATAAACTTTGGAAGATAAATTTGGGGTGCCTTGCAGAAAGAAGAGCACAAAGAGAAGACAGGAGAGGAAGGATGTCCAATGTCCAAAAACAGTTGTTCCAGAAGGATAAAATGGAGAAAATAGGATGGCATAATCATAAATTATTCAAGACAAAATATCCAGAACTAAAGAGTGTGAGTTGTTACATTGAAACAGCCTACCTAGAACCCAGGAGAATGGATGGAAATAGAGTATACTGTCAGTAGAGCCCTACGTCTGGAGAAAAATACTCTCCAAGTTTCCAGAAAAAAAAGAAAACAAATTGGAAAACAGGAATTAGAACGGTTGTATAGATCTCAACAGAAACACAGAAAGCAAGAAGACAGTGAAGCAATGCCTTCCAATTTCTGAAGGAAAATTGTTTCTAACCTGTAATTCTACACCCGGCCAAAATATTAATAAAATGTGAATAATAATGACATTTTCAAGATATTTAAAGTCTCAAAAAACCTGATCTCTCCTACACTGTATGAGAGGACTTCAAAAAGTTTGTGGAGGCCAGGCGCAGTGGCTCACACCTGTAATCCCAGAACTTTGGGAGACCAAAGTGGGCGGATCACCTGAGGTCAGGAGTTCGAGACCAACCTGACCAATATGGTGAAACCGCGTCTCTACTAAAAATACAAACATTAGCCAGGCATGATAGCGGGTGCCTGTAACCCCAGCTCCTTGGGAGGCTGAGACAGGAGAATTGCTTGAACCCGGGAGGCGGAGGTTGCAGTGAGCTGAGATCACGCCACTGCTCTCCAGCCTGGGCAACAAAGAGCGAAACTCCATCTCAAAAAAAAAAAAGTTTGTGGAAAAATAGAATTGAAAGATAAAAATTAAAAATATAAACTTTAGTTCTCAACATAAGTTCCATCAAGTTCAAGACTTTGGTAAGCAGTGATACCAGCCATTAGGCATCCCTAAAGAACCGAGGGTCCTGGGAATTTAAGTATGCTAATGCAATCTTTTTTACATGATGCTGCATTCTGGTTTTATCTGTCCCAAGAGAAAGTGTTTGGCCATGAAGAGAAAGAAAGAGAAAGGAGAATTGGAAGGGAAAGAAGGAAGAGGGAAAGGAGCAAAGGAGGGAAGGGAGGGAGGAAGAAGGGAAGGGAGGAGGAGAAGAAGGGAAAGAAAAGAAAGGAATAAAAGAATCACAAAGTGGCAAACTCTCCCTGCCTATGTTGCTGCTGGATGTCCAGTCCTCAGCTCACACTCATCTTCCCAGGTTGCCCATCTCTGGTGCCCCCTGTTTCCAAAAACGAACCCATCAATTTTCAACTGATACACCCAGAGGGTCTCTTACAAACTCTTAGGCAGCTAAAATCAAGCTTGTTCTCAATAAATAAAGGAAAAAATGAGGAAAAGAGTGAAAGAAGGAAAGAAGAAAAGAAGGGAGTGAGGGAAGAGGAAGACTAATGTTCTATGGAATGCAATTTGTAAACTTTCTCGGCCGGGCGTGGTGGCTCACACCTGTAATCCCAGCACTTTGGGAGGCAGAGGCAGGTGGATCACCTGAGGTCAGGAGTTCAAGACCAGCCTGGCCAACATGGTGAAACCTTGTCTCTACGAAAAATACAAAAAATTAGCCAGGCGTGGTGGTGGATGCTTGTAAACAGCTACTTGGGAGGCTGAGGCAGGAAAATTGCTTGAAGCTTGCAGTGAGTGGAACCTTGCAGTGAGTCAAGATCACACCACTGCACTTCAGACTGGGTGACAGAGTGAGACTCTGTCTCAAAAACAAACAAAAAAAGAAAACTTTCTCTAACATATATTTGCATTTTATTAAAACACTTTTACGTCACTTGCCTGTGTTTTTAATAACTACAAGCAAATGAGTCTTCACCATATTTTAAATTTATTGATTAATAATCAAGAAATTAGATGACTCAGATGATCAGACCCTGTGGTAGACATTTGCCACTTCTTTTTTTTTTTTTTTTAAACTGGCATCTGGTCACCCTTTTCTTTAAGGGGAGTCTCTCACTCTGTGAATATTAGTGGGAAGCAGAACTCTACATATCACTAGAGAAGCTGAAAGGAAAGAACACTGCCTCTCCCTATCTCCTGAACCTGGGGTTTAGGTGTGTAACCTAGACTTAGCACAGACCATGCTTGAGCCCAGCACCCAGCTCTAAAGGAGCAATGCAAACTTGAAGGGCAGGTATTGAATCACTCAAATCACGGTGCTGTAATGGCAGGCCAGCACAGGGAACATCCTGACTGGACTCTAGACTCTCTGGGGCGTGGTGTTAGCTATACTCCCTGGGATTCTGAAGCTTATTGTCTGTAATCTTCAGGGGGTTCTGTCAAGGCTTCCTATCAATTCTGTGAGTTACCCAATGGCCTTTGGATGAGACCGTTTTGCTAAGGTTCAAAGATATAGGCTGAGCGTGGTGGCTCACGCCTGTAATCTCAGCACTTTGGGAGGCCGAGGTGGGCGGATCACCTGAGGTTAGAAGTTCGAGACCAGCCTGGCCAACATGGTGAAACCTCGTCTCTACAAAAAATACAAAAATTAGCCAGACATGGTGGTGGACACCTGCAATTCCAGCTACTTGGGAGGCTGAGGTGAGAGAATCTCTTGAACCAGGGAGGCAGAGGTTGCAGTGAGCCCAGATCATACCACAGCACTCCAGCCTGGGTGACAGAGTGAGACTCTGGCTTCAAAATATATATATAGTGTGTATATATATATATATATATATATATATATATATAGTGTGTGTGTGTGTGTGTGTGTATATATATATACTATATACTATATATATAGTATATAGTATATATATTGTATATAGTATATATAGTATATATATTGTATATAGTATATACTATAGTATATATAGTATATAGTATATATATATAGTATGTGTGTGTGTATGTATATATATATATACAATTCATCCATTAATTTATCAAAAAGCTAAAAAATTTGTCTGTTATATAGGTCTTGTTTTTCTACTTGATCTGTATTACTTTCCTATTGTTGCTCTAATGAGTCCTTACAAACTTCATGACCTAAAACAATGAAAGTTCTTAAGGCCAGAAATACAAAAATGGTTCTTATGAGCTAAAATCAAGGTGTCAGCAGAATGGCCTTCCTTCTAGAGGCTCTAGGGGAGAATCCCTTCCTTGTCTTTTCCAGCTGCTAGAGGCCACCTGCTATCCTTGGCTTATGGCCCCTTCCAGCCATGGCATCATTCCAGTTTCAGCTTCTGTCCTCACATCTCTTCAGACTCTGACACTACTGCCTCCTTCTTTCCCTTACAAGGACCTTGTGACTGAATTGAGATTACCTGAATAATCCAGGAGAGTCTTTCCATCTCAAGATCCTAAATTACATTTGCAACATCCTTTTTGACAGTAAGGTAACATATTCAGAGTTTCTGTGGACTTGTACTATGGGGATCCATTATTCTGTTTATTGCAACATCTGTAATAATTATATATGATTATCTTTTTATTTTCACAATTTTCATGTTACTAGGTGACATAAATTTTTTAAAGGAAGAAAGTTTTATTCTTTAATATTTTTCTTTTTAACCTTCTAATGAGGTGTGTTGGTGATTTTTAAAAATTCCTAAATGTCCTTTGAGAGCAGTAAGTGAGCAACTTGTCATTTCAAACATTAAATTTATGTAAATGACCACAACTTGACTTGGCCAACTAAACATTTATACAGCAATGATTAGGAAGAGAAGTCTTTGAACTGCTGGAGAGAAAATAAAACAAAGAAGGTATACTTCTTATTCTTGAAGAACATATTGGTTAGTTCACAAGATCATAGAAAAGGCTATCTTCTCATCAACTGGAGAAAATGGAAGCAGTAGTAAATTCCAGCTGTTTAGCAGCAGGAGAATGTGGGTTCCCACAGGATTTCCCCACCAGACACTGGTTTGTCTTCGTACTTCTTATTGTTTTAGAAGTGTTCAAATGGCTATAAACATATACGGCCTTTGGAGAAGTTTATAATTCCTGAGATTTGAGACTCAATGAAATGTCAATGGGAGTACTGATCAAGCACACAGAGGAATTATTAACATACATGGAGGCATAATACAACTGACTGTGTGCTGATGGTCTATCGTAAATGATGCTAGAAATCCACCCATAGAGTATCAATCAGACTTGTGCTTAGCTCATATTCTGGAAGGCACAAATAAGATATCCATTTCTTATTGTAGACAGGAAAGCTAGTATTTCCTAAGTGTTGACTGTGTCCTATAAGCTTTTGACATGTTTTCTCATGTTATGCTTGCAATAACTCCTGTTTTAACAGATAAAGAAACAGGCTTAGCCGGGTCGAGTGGCTTAGCAAAGTTAATTAAGGGCTAACATGACAGAGCTGGGACTCAAACCTAGGTCTGGTAGAATCTTTGCACTACAGTACCCTGCCTCAGCCAATGCATGTCTTAAAGATCACCCAGCCATGAAAAAGAATGAGATCATGTCCTTTGCAGGGCCATGGATGAAGCTGGAAGCCATCATCCTCAGCAAACTAACACAAGAACAGAAAACCAAACACTGCATGCTCTCTGTCATAAGTGGGAGCTGAACAATGAGAACACATGGACACAGGGAGGGAAAAAACACACGACCAGGCCTGTCGGGAGGTGGTGGAGTTGTGGGGAGAGCATTAGGACAAATAGCTAATGCATGCAGTGCTTAATACCTAGGTGATGGGTTGATAGTTGCAGCAAACCACCATGGCACACAGTTACCTATGTAACAAACTTGCATATCCTGCACAGTATCCCGGAACTTAAAATAAAATTTAAAAAATAAATAAATAAAAATAAAAGATAAACAAAAAATAGATCACCCAGACTTTTAAGTCATAATGCTCTTGGAGAAGAAAATACCTCATGACTTAATGATTATAATGTGTGTTTTTAAAAAAAACCCAGGAAACATCCTCCCTTTCTACTGTCTGAACTCACCAGGCTGAAGCGCTTGGAAGGAGGGGATGACACTGTAAGGTGGCTAATGTTATGTTTCAAATTCAAGGTGACCGTCTCAATGGTCTTTTCCTTGGGCTGGATCAGGACTCTTGCCGTTCTTGTTTTAGAAAGACTATAGTTTCTATAGGGTCTTTTTCCCCATTAGTCTTGGCTATTGGAAGCTCTGCAGTTCTAAGAACTAATTCTTGATTTCCTAATTTAGTGGGCAGTGGTGGGAGCAGAGACGGGGAGAAACTTTGTCATCTCCATAGATTCAGTCCATGAGCAGTTATCAAGCACTAGTGCTGAGAATGAGTTTGGAGATTACGCACACACTTGTTTTAATTGGTGAAGTAGCTGGTAATCAGGGGTAGCCTGTGGTTGTCATTGTGGTTTCAGAACTGGACCCAGGACCCAGGCCTCCTGTCTTCAGACTGATAGTTCAAGACGCCACACTTCCTCTTGCTTTGCAGCAACAAGAACCGACAGTGTGGGGTTGCTTTCCTCCACTCTTTCTTTTTTTGTTTTGTTTTTTCTCTCTTTTTCCTTCCTTCCATTCTTCCATCCTTCCTTCTTTGTATTTTTTTCTTTCTTTTTGGTGGGTACAGAGGGACGTGGGGCTAAGCTTCAAGTCAGAAAGGGAAGAAGAACTAGATGCATATGACTTGATTACTAGTGATTCTCTTAAGCATAGAAATAAAATTATTTCCCTCATTAACAAACAAGTAAACAAGATCCTAACCTAAGCTCCTAATGGCATTAATGCACAGCACTGACTATCAGGTAATTTTCTTTTTAAAAAGAACCCTAATACGCATAAAGATAGGAAATTAATCACTAGACTTAGGGGGAAAGACTTGTTCATGTGAGACAGTTTTACAAAGGAATACAAATCACATAATGACTCATCAGAACATCAACTCAGGAAACTTAGCTGAGATGGTTATTTTTTTCTTTATAGAATATTTTAAATATTATGAAAAATTGCCTTCCTTCCTTCCCTCCCTCCCTCCCTTCTTCCTTCCTTTCTTCCTTCTTTCCCTCCTTCCCTCCCTCCTTCCCTGTTTTTCTCCTTTCTTCTGTGAAGTATGTACTTATTTACTCATTTTTTCATTAAGGCACTGTTGCAAATTGAATTATATTTCCTAAAATATATGCCAAAACCTAAATTCCAGTAGCAGTGAATACGACCTAATTTGGAAGCAAGGGTTTTGAAGATGTCCTCAAAATACAATGAGGTCATATTTGACTAGGGTGGGCCCTAACACTATGTGACTGGTGTCCATACATAAAGAGGGAAAAACATGTAGAGGCACACACAGGGAGGACACCATGTGACAGACTGGAGTGATGTGTCTTCAAGACAAGGAATGCCAAGGGCTGCCAGTAACACCAACAGCCAAGAGAAAGGGATCGAACGGATTCTCCCCTGGAGCCTTCAGGGAAGCCTGGCCCTGCCAACACCTTGATTTTAAACTTCTGATTTACAGAACTGGGAGAGGATCAATTTCTGTTGCTTCAAGTGTGTGTGTGTGTGTGTGTGTGTGTGTGTGTGTGTGTGTGTGTGTGTGTGTGTGTGTGTGTGTAGTAGGGAGGAGAGGACCAAACAGATGAACAAGACACAGCTGCTGCCCTCTAGGATCTCACAGTCTAGCAGTAACATTAAGAGCTTTTGTGATCGCTCCACTTTACCCACAGGTGTCTCCACTTTCAGAACAGCAGTCAAGGGCAGGTGGCCTCCATGGCTATATACACCTGTTACACTTTCAATGAGGAAACTGATTGCAGGAAAAACTGCAAGGAAAGGAAATGTTAAAAATCTTTACAGTTTCCAGTAGGTAGAAATTGAGATTGGCATCGGAGAACTGAAGGCCACTTTTTTAATTATTTAAGGAATTACGAAAATATTTAGGGTTCTGTTCTGAGTTGCTTTGGGATCCTTAACCGAGATGAAGAAAACTGAAGAAATCAGGAAAAGGTAAGAAAGTTCTGTCTGAACGTACGTTTAGGGAAAAACGGGGTGCAGAGAGCATAAGCTCCTTAGAGCCCTGGATCATACGCTATTTCTTCAGCATCCACACTTCCCGGCTTCTTTCGTGTACTTTACATATTCAGGTTGGGCTGAATTAAGGTGTAGTCATTTCCCCAGATCTTATTTTACACAGGAGAGCTGAGCTGGTGAAGGGAGGTGGGGAACCACAGTGGCCTCACCTTTTGTGCCAGTGAACGTACTCAGGTGGATCTCATCCTCTAAATTCAAGGTCAGACCATTTCCTTTATGAACTTTAGAGGAGATGAAAAAGAAGATGGAGTAAGGAGAGTGGAAGTCTGGGGAGAGCGGAAGAGCAAGGAGCAGCAAGAGCAGGATGAGGAGATGGTTGGAACCCAATCAGATGGTGGTGGCCAGCCCGCTTCAGCCTAGTGGACACTTGGAGGTGGGCTCACACCTTGATAGAGCCCAATCTGAATGCTTTCCAACCTCTTCTTTGTAAAATAACTAGGAGTGGCTGCAATTTTAAAAGTAGCTGCCCACCGATTGGTAATGTCAAATTTAGCAGTCCTCAATTCTGAAGAGGTTTATATGTCTGATGGAAAGAGACAAGTAGACAAACAGGAGGCAACATGACACAGCATGAGGCACCCAAGAGCTGCATCAGGGATATGTCTAGATCAGTGTTTCTCAAGTTTTAAAACTTTTTCCCACAAAAAAGTCTTTTTAGGCATATTTTCCTAATTGTCCTCTGCCCAGGAAATGTTAATGCCACAGATATATTACATATATGTTTATGAACTGTGCACATAGCTGTGTTTTATACATTTAAAAAGTAAGGTTCCTCTCACCCTCCCCCCCGAGAAACAATTCTCCCCTCTTGGGGACAATATCACCCCCCCTTGAGAATTCATGTCTAGATGACTTTTAAGACCTAGGAATTGCTGAGTTGGAACAGAGGTCATTGTACCCAATATTGTATACAGATGGGCTTAGGAATCTAACAGACCTGGCCTTGAATTCCACTTCTGCCACTTCCTAATTCTGTGACCCTGGGCAACTTACAAACATATCTTGAGTTTTAGTTTCCATATCTATCTTATCTATATTAAAGACTATTTAGATTAAAAAGTAAAGAAAGTTAAGTGCTTTGCACATTGCTTGACACCTGGCCGATGATCAGAGTGGATGTTCTTTCTAGTTATTTGCCAGGCTGTTTTCCCCATTCTCTGCATAGAACACTAAATGAACACCAAATGAAGTGAAGTATGTGCTACTTAGGTCAAGGAGTGATACAAATGTGAGCAACAATTTGCAGAGATTTGTTTTTTCTTCTTAAAGAATCTCACCATTAAAGAGCATGACAACTTTATTCTCTAAAGGGATTTGCTCACCTGGGATCCTTGGGCCATTGGGAAGCTCTGTCTCCGCTTCCTCTCACCAGCCTGTCCTTACTTTGGAGAGGAGGCTGCAGACCGCTTCAAAATGTTAAAAACAAAGAAACGACACTCAGATGAACCGTAGTCTAGAAGAAAATTAGTTTCTCTTCAGTTGTGTTTCCTTAGCCTAAGGTGACTCTGTACATGGGTAATGGGAAAAAGCAAAAAAAGAGAAAAGAAAAAAGAGTGATTGAGGAACAGTTCTAAAGAGATGAACAAAAGCAGAAAAGTGCCTCCTTCACAGTGCTGGTGGTGTCTAGGAAGGAGCTTAAGGTGGCAGTCATTTTCTAAATGAGGTGTTTAAATATATCAGCTCTCAATTTTTAGGAGATGGGGAGATGATGCATTTGGATAATCCAGGACGCTTGCTTTTCTTTTACCCATTAGACATCAGAATTTTTGCCATATTACAAAGTCTTAAAAGTCTGAGACCTGAAAGGACTTTGAGGTAACAACTACAGTTTTTTTGATAAATTAGTTGAGAAAACTGAGACCCCACCAAAGAGGTTAAGTTATTTACTCAAGGTCACATGGCCTGTGAGTAGCAGACTGATGTACATACCCAGGTTTTCTGATCCCAGATCTACTGGGCTTTTGGTTCCAAGGTAGCAGTTAGTAAAACTAGGACTCGGAAAAAGCACAGGGTGTGGAGTCCAGTTGACTGGGACATGGATATAGCTCTTCCCCTTATCAGAAAGGTAGCTTTAGAAAAATCATTTAATCAGGGTTGTTTCTGATAAATAACAGCATTGTGGAACAGCAAAATTCTACCTGAGGAGCAAATATATCTGCACATTGTAGGTGCTTCATCAGTGAGACCGTATCTCAAACTTCAAACCCAGGTCTCTTGGTTGGTTCCCAGAATATTGATTGGCCCCTTTGATTGGAGGCCTCTCAAATGGGTCCTAATAAATTTACATCTGTGTCAATTTTTATCATAAGAAGTTTGTCAATATCATACATTATAAGAAAAATGCATATTAAAACCATAATGATATATCACTTTTCCTACTGATTAACTTGGCAATTGCAAAAAGTTTGATAGTAAATTTTGTTGGGAAGTATTTGGGAGAAACAGGCACATGCATAGTTTGGAGTATTAACTGATATCACCCATTCAGGGGGTGACTTGGCAATATCTATCACAATTTAAGGTGCACATATTCTGTAACCCAGCAGCTTCACTTTCACAGATATGTCTACACATATCCAAAATGCCTTATCATTGCAGCGTTATTGGAACACAACCTACATATTCATTTAAAAATTAGTTAAATATATTATGGTACACCTATACAATGGAGTATTATAAGGCCTCAGGGAAGAATGAACCAGCTTTACATATACTGCTCTGGAACCATGTCTAAGATGTATTGTCAAGTGAAAAAGAAAGCTACAGACTGATATGTATACTATGATATGGTTTGTGGTATAAAGGTTGTGGATACACATATGCTTACTTATGCATGGGCTATCTATGGAAGGATACAGAAGAAATTCAGGAGAGGAGAACTGGGGAATTGGAAGACAAGAGTGAGAATGCGACTACTGCTTGGTATCCCTTTTGGAACCTTCTGAGATTGGCTCCATGTATATGTATTACCCATTTAAAAAAATAAACACAAAGCCAAAAGAAAGCCCAGCCATGCAAAATACTTGTGGTCTCCGGTGCTGGCACAGGCTGTCCTCCTGCCCACCTACTCTAATCTGCTTGGCTAACCTTCTGTGGCTCTCTAACCTCTTGGATCTTCACCTTGGCTCTTTCTCTTGATTTCCAATACCTACCACCAACCTCCTTTATCCTGATGATTCATTGCAGAAGCACACTTCTGGCTTCTATCGGCTGGCACTCTCTCCTGGACACGAGGTTATGAATGCTCTCTGGCTCTGTGGAGTTAGGCTTGCTGGAGCTGCCCACTCCTGATCAGGCCAGCTAGGTCACTAGTTAGCATATACATCCTGGCTCCAGACACTGCCTATGTACAAGGAGAAAATGGTCTCCTTGTTTGTCCATTGCATAGAGGTACAAGCAGAGCTGCCTATGGCAACATTTTACCTTTGATTGGTCGGGGACATCTTGGTTTCTTCATTTACTTGTTTCCTCATTGGTTGATCTGTTGGTTCTTTTTTCAGTCATTCAGTCAATACTTCTGAATGAGAGGAACACAAGCTACAGTCCCAAGGGATTAGTATTAAGAGTATACCTCCAAATTTCATATTCCTCCATTTTCCTTTTCTCCAACCCAATGGATAATTTAGATTTTAATATATCCTGATAGCATGAGACAATAATTAAAGCTATTGCCAACTCAATATGTTGTATGAACAGTGGCAGCTGTGAGGATTGATAGGACCTCCCTTTCACCCTCACTAGCTAGAAGGATCTACAAGGTACAACAAAGAGGCATTCAGTTTAATGACATTTGCAGATGAGCCTTATTTCCCTTGGCTGATTTTTTTTTGAATCAGTAATTCTTATTATTGAGTATTTTCAGGGTTTCAATTCTCTCAGAGGGCACCTTGGGAGGAACAATGAATGCCTTTGGCCAATTGACCACTTTCTGTCTTCAACCACCTGGGACCCAGGATGAGGTTAGAAGTACTGCCAGGGACCCCATCAATATTGAAAAATGCCTCTGGCCTGATTAAGCTTTGGAAACGCCTCCATTGATTCTATTCAAATATTTATCGAACACCTACCTCAGACCTGGTACCCTAATTGACCTCAGAAAAGTCACCTTTGCCCAAGACTAGGAGGAGGAAGTATACAGGAATGCTGGGTGGAAAAAGGAAATTCCTTATGGGTTGACTGAAAAATAGGTTAGTTCAGGTCCAAGCAGAGAAGGATCCAGGAGAAACAAACATTGGGTCTAAGAACAATGATAAGGGTTTATGGCCCTTGTTACCAGCTAGATGATCTGACCTGAACTGGAATCCAAGAAGTAAAGAAAGTCTTTAGAGTGGCAGCAGATACAAGCAATGACCTTCACAAAATCACCTTTCTGAGACACCATCTTGAACGACTGCACAGAAAAAAGCATTACAGTCTCTTGACTTGTCCTATAGAAAATATTTTTCAAGGAGACAGTGTTAAATTTAGTATTTCAGAGTACAGACTTGAGGCTGGGCTTGGTGGTCACACTTGTAATATCAGCATTTTGAGACTCCAAGGTGGGAGGATTTCTTGAGGCCAGGAGTTGGAGACCAGCCTAGGCAATATAGTGAGACTTCATCTCAACAAAACATTAAAAAAAAAATAGCCAGGCATAGTGGCATCCATCTGTAATCCTAGCAATTTAGGAGGCTGAGGTGGGAGGATCACTTGAGCCAAACAGGAGTTTGAGGCTGCAATGAGCTATAATCATGCCAATGCACTCCAGCCTGGCTGACAAAGCAAGACCTTTCTCTATAACAAAACAAACAAACAAATAAGGACTCTGGAGACACACTACCTACCTGGGTCTGGATCCAGGCTTTACCTCCAAGTTTGCTTAGCCTCTCTGTGCCTCCCAATCCTCATCTGTAAGATGGAAATATGATAGGACTCATCATATGTGCTTGTTTCAGGACAAAATGAGTAAAGAACTGAGCTGGCACCAGAACCCTAGTGAGTCCTCAAAAATACAGTTAACTGTGGCAAGTTTTGCCCTTCTGAAAATGACCATGTCTTCCAAGGAGTGGGATTGTTAATTTGCCTAGTTTTGAATTTTGTGCTTTGAAATTTTTGCACTGCCAAATACTTTTTTTCCTATTCTGTGGATTTGCTTTGTTGTCCTTTCCACATCATTTTTTGCTCTCACAGAATTTATGCAAACAAAGGCAGCCACATGGTCTGTAGTCCCTGAAATGCGTTACTGATGTACATGTGCTCCTTAAGTTCAAGGAGGAGCCATTATTACTGGCTTAAAATGTCATGAAGAGGTTGCAGCTGAAAATCCCTGGGGTCAGGAATGATTTGTTTCAATTTTTTACCTGTTTCCTATTGCAAGTATCATTAATAATGTTGACTAAATCATTATCTTTGCAAAAGCCTGCCGAAATTATCTTTTCCCTGAACTTGTGTTTGTATGAATACTGTTGAAATAATTTCTTCATGAAATACAAATTTCTCATGTTTATTTAAAATGGTTTGCATTCGTGCACAAATTGACATCGCCTGAGGAGAAAGCCAAATAAAGACCTTATCAACAAGAAGGCTTTTGAATTTGCCCTCAAGATAGTGACAGTTACCAGGAATATATCTGTCCAATTCTGTCATTTGCAGAACTTAAGTATGCAACAAGTTGTCATTGGCTTTGTCCATTTTTCTGTCCCCACAATACTTCTTGTCCTCTGAATTGATCCTAGTAACTTTCCAATAAATTCCATTTTTGCAATCGAATTGCAGTTCTGACCATATGGACCTATTCAGACTTTTGTAACATTCCATTTCCAAATGATTTTCGGCCAATTCAGTTCAAGCTGCAAATCAAATCTAACCTCTGTAATGAAAAGAACTGCAGAGAAAACCGTTTTCCAATTGTCCCTCAGAACCATTCCTTAAAGGACCTCCCACTTTCAGGCCAATAATAATTTTCACAAACATACCCATGGTCATGCTTTTTGATTTCATAATCGGCTTTGTTTAAATGAAACTGGGGGAACAATGTAGGTTCTTTTGCCCAGCCCCATGCAGTGGAAGAAAGGGTCCCCTATTATCTCCACAGCTGCCGTTGCCCTGACAGCAGCAGGTTGGTTATCCTAGTACCTCTAGGTGGCAGTGCAGCCCAAGACAACGTACTGGATCCTTGTCTTCCTCCCCTCCCCCTCTCTCTGGGTTGGCAGCACAGGTTGGATTGGCATACAGGGAAAATAATCATTAAAAATAAATGCAATCAAAAGAAGTAGGTTATTATAGTGGCGCATTGGAACTGCTTTTGTTCTTTTGTTAGAAGTCTGTCAGCCTCCCATTAGAAATGTTTGGGAGGAGTTTACCACTCAGCTGCAAAAATTTGCTGGAGGTTAAAAATGACAATCTCTGGGACTCAACCTTGTTGCCGATTTATTCCTGAGAAATTTGGTTTTAGATGGTTGGGTGGCTTTGAAGTAGCATGCAAAGACACACAGATGGGTCTGTTTTGCTTAAGGCAATTCATAACTGTTTTTGTAATACTGAAATGCATTATGACCCAATGACATGCTGAGGTTTTATGGGCCACATAAACTTGGGGAATGGGGCCTTCATCCCCTCAAGCATTTATCCTTTGGATTACAAACAATCCGATTACAGTATATATACTGTATTAGTCTGTTCTCATGCTCCTAATAAAGATATACTTGAGACTGGATAATTTATAAAGGAAAGAGGTTTAATTGACTCACAGTTCCACATTGCTGCGGAGGCCTCACATTCACGGTGGAAGGCGAAGGAGGAGCAAAACCACATCTTACATGGTGACAGGCAAGACAGCATATGCTGGGGAACTGCCCTTTATAAAACTATCCGATCTCGTGAGACCCATTTGCCATCGCGAGAACACCACAGGCAAGAAAGGCCTCCATGATTCAATCACCTCCCACCGGCATCCCTCCCACAACATGTCCTTATGAGGATTTCAAGATTACATTCTAAAAATATTGTCTTGTAAGCAGGTAAAATATTATTATAAGTTGCTGCTTAGTAAAAATCTAGATAAGTTTAGCAACAACCCGGGTCCTCCACCTCATCTGAGGCCAGTCCCTTTCCCCGCCCCTTCTTCTAAGCCATCCTTCCCTCTACTGTACAATGAAGAGTCACTTTCCATGAACATTAACATCAGATGTTAAGTCAGGATTATCTGCATCATGCTATGGCAACAAGTGAGCCCCAAATCTGATGACTTAACACCACCAAAATGTATTTCTCATTTGTACAGCCTGTCTGACTTGGGCCATGGGTGACTCTGCTTCACACTGTCACTGAAGTGCACCACCTGGAATAAGGGTTCTTGGCCTTCTCTTCTGGACTTTGTTCTGGAATCCACACACATCACTTCTGCCCCCAGCTCATCAGTGACAACTACTGACAGTTCCCCACTTCACTGCAAGGGAGTGGGGAAATATTAGGCAGACATCTCAGCCTCCATCATAAATCACTTTCAGCTCCACATTTTAGGATTCTATGATCCTGATGGAGAGACAATCTTATTAACTTTTTAATGCTCCCAACTGTTAATACCAAATGGCTTGTTAATTTCTCAAAAACTAAATTTAATGGAATACCTTGAAGAACTCCCAGGCTCACATCAAGGGGCAGGCTCTTGTAATTTTTCCTGTGAAGTCTTATTCTCCTTTTCTAGACAAAATTAATTGCTTCCTCTCTGTGCTTTGGAGGTGCTATGTTCATGCTGTTGGCTTTGGGTTTGTCACAGCTCAATTTGTAGCTCCTCTATCTCCTCTGACAGAGTATACTCTCCTTGATGGGAGGTAATCAGTTTTACCTATTTTGTATTGCTGACCCCTAAAAAGATATGGATGAAGAAAAATGAAATGATGAAAAATGTTATCCTATGGAAAATAATAACAATAATGTTTTTGAGCTTTATGGGCTCCGATGCTAATGAAGTTTCAAACATATGTAATATGCATAGATGCCTTGTCTCTTTCAATTCTTAGAGTAATCTTTGAGGCAGGTGCATGAGGGAACTGTATTTTCAGAGGTCAAATAACATTCCCACATTTGTGAGGTAGCAAATGCTAGAGCTGAGACCCAAATTCAGGCCTCTTTGATTGTATTTCTGAACCACTATGCA
This sequence comes from Homo sapiens, assembly GCF_000001405.40. Classification (NCBI taxonomy): domain Eukaryota; kingdom Metazoa; phylum Chordata; class Mammalia; order Primates; family Hominidae; genus Homo; species Homo sapiens. The sequence goes on along the minus strand of NC_000009.12, from coordinate 82,959,693 downwards.
AAATGCATAATGATTTATACCCTGATTTGCATGTCTTGATAACAAAAACATAATTAAAAACATTATAATTGAAAGAAAAAGAGTTCACCATGCAAAGTAATGTCAACTTGAAGTGAAACCACCTCTAAAGGACAAGAGACCTGGATTCTATTTCTGGTGCCAGTTCTACCACTTAATAGTTGTATGACTTTGAGCAAGACTGTTCATTAGCTTCACCCCAGTTTCCAGAGCTGTATGTTGAGATTTAAGTCTGGATCATTAACTTTCAACTTTACTGTATAAATTGGATACCTTGGTAAAATGCAGATTCTGATTCAATAGGTCCAGGGTTTCTGAGATGCTGCAGTTCTAACAAGCTTCCTGGTGATGATATTGTGGCTAGTCCATGAGGAACATTTTGAATAGCCAGGAGCTAGATGATTGCTAAGGCTCACTATCTGATTTTGTGAGGGTTTAGGAACTGTTGGATCGAAACTACTTCTTAATCTAAATAACTGGCACAAAAATATAAAGCAATTTATCAGTTATTCTCTCTTCTTCCAGCAACACATCTAGGGTTTCCTTGGAGATTCTCTCCAATCCTTAAAATCTATGTGCTTCAGGTGAAATTTGGAGGTATCAATGTTTAAAAATTTTCTGCCCACAACTATTGGTTCAGATTATGTCATGAGATAGATTTAAAGACAGTAAAATACAATCAAATGTGTTCCTTGGAATTTAGGAACAGACACAGAGACTTTTTCATGCCGGACTTGAACTCAAACATACTAGAGTAGCCTTAGCCATTAAACTTTAATGCCACAAGGATAGAAAGATACTCACGATGAGAAAATGGATCCAAGATGTGGAGGCAGAGGAGGCAAGTCCAGGGGAAATCTTTTGAGCTTTACTTGTAAAAGTAACTGGGGAGGCTCAACCATAAATAGTTGGAAACATGTATTAACTTGTGTGTATGTGTGTATACACACTTCTATTATGTGATTAGCCAGTTAGATGCTCATCACCTGGTAGGCCCAATTTCCTTCCAGATAAGGGCCTTGGGACCTGGGATCTGGGCTCAGCATTGGAGAATGGGCCTGAGGGGTGATTCCCAAGTCAGAATTTAAGGTCGAAGCCACCACTAAAAGCCAAACAGAAAATACAACAGAAGATTGGATGAAGCTGCAGAGTGGTAGAAAATGGGAGGGAAGCCACAGAACCACACTAGAGATTTAAGGCCACAGCCTGAGGGCTTGAGAGCTAAGAACGGAGCCTGCAGAGTCCCTGAGATGCTGGAGTCTGGCTGGGGTCTCATCCACAGGGCAAGTCTGCCTCTGTAGTGGGAAACGGAAGAATCAGGTGTGCCAAGCCAGGGGGACATACAAGGAGGTTGTATTGCTCTCTGGAGCCTTAGTAGGGCAAAGACAAGACTACAGGCTGCAATTTGTTTTGGTTAGTGAACTGCTGCTTGCAATGCCTGTGGGGTGTGTGTGTGTGGGGGGGGTGGTGGTGTTGTGATTATTTATTTTCCCGACAGAAGCAGTAATCTCAAATGGCCTCTTGAGACTGGGCAGCTATTATGCATGTCACAGATGAACTCCTCTTAGGACAGACGACTTCACTTTGACCTGAGGCAAAAGCTATTTAAATTTTATTAGGGAAGCAGGCCAACCACCCTATTAGACCTTTGGGTGATTAAAAGAAAATCATCCTATAAAGCTTTCCATTATATACGTCTGTTAAATGGTCATGGCTTCCTGATGAATATAAAATATCTGATAGGCAGATGGCATAACAGGAATGATTTATCTGAATCAAACTAAACACTTGAACTTAATTTTATGGAATATCACGGGATCCCTGGTTTTCCTATTTATGAGCAATCCCCTTCCTTTTCCCCTGCCCACAAACATGGTTGCCTCAGTGTATTCTGAACCCCATGTTCCTGCAATTGTTTCTGTCTTGCTTCAGTAACTCTGGAGCATTTATCCATGTAATAGCATGGTCTTCCGCTCCACTGCTTATATAGCCCTTACGCCTCAATGAATTTGCTTGATGGGATGCAGACAAAATGCTGCTTAGTATATTTTATGTATTTGAATGAATATTTATAGCAAACAATGGAGGCAGACATTTTTAAAAAGATATAATCTTTTTGAGGCAAATTGCTAATTAAGTTTTTATCATCTACAATAACTTATGTTTTGTACATTCTTCATTTGCCTTATAGGATGGGGTGTTGGGCCATATTTGAATAAGTTGTGTATACTGACATGTAGGCTTATTAAAAACTGAAACACATCCCAAAATATGATTTCAAGCTACTATTTTGAGTTAATTATTCTGCAATGGTCATTTACATGTGTAAAGATGTAGGTATAAGCATATTCTAAACAGATATAATTTTTTTTTTTCTTTGTGAGACGGAGTCTCGCTTCTGTCACCCAGGCTGGACTGCAGTGGCGCGATCTTGGCAAGCTCTGCCTCCTGGGTTCAAGCGATTCTCCTGCTTCAGCCTCCCAAGTAGCTGGGACTACAGGCACCTGTCACCAGGCCCAGCTAATTTTTGTATTTTTTTAGTAGAGATGGGGTTTCACTGTGTTAGCCAGGATGGTCTCGATCTCCTGACCTCGTGATCCATCTGCCTCGGGCTCCCAAAGTGCTGAGATTACAGGTGTGAGCCACTGTGCCCAGCCAATAATTTTTTCTAATGATTTTTTAATTAAAAAAAATTTGTGCGTACTTAGTAGGTGTATATATTTATGGGGTACATGAGATAATTTATGGCATACATTGCATGAGACATGCAATATGAAATGAGCACATCATGGGGAATGGGGCCTTCATCCCCTCAAGCATTTATCCTTTGGGTTACATACAATCCGATTACACTCTTTATTTCAAAATGTATAATTAAGTTATTATTGACTATAGTCACCCTGTTATGTGATCAAATAGTAGGTCTTATTCATTCTTTCTAACTATTTTATTGTATCCATTAGCCATCCCCACCTCCTCTCCAGATCCCCACTACCCTTCCCAGCCTCTGGTAACCACCCTTCTACCCTCTATGTCCATGATCTAAATGAAACTTTTTTTTTTTTTTTTTTTTTTTTGAGACAGAGTGTCGCTCTGTCACCCAGGCTGGAATGCAGTGGTGCGATCTCGGCTCACTGTAACCTCTGCCTCCTGGGTTCAAGTGATTCTCCTGCCTCAGCCTCCTGAGTAGCTGGGACTACAGGCATGCACCAATACGCCAGGCTAATTTTTGTATTTTTAGTAGAGATGGGGTTTCACCATGTTGGTCAGGCTAGTCTCAAACTCCTGACCTCAGGTGATCCACCCGCCTCGGCCTCCCAAAGTGCTGGGATTACAGGCGTTAGCCACTGCACCTGGCCCTGAACAGAACATTTTTGATTGAGAAAAATTAGACACAAAAATGTATCAAAAGGATGCCCATATTTTGGTAGAGGCTCATAGTGGAATATAATACAGCTGCTAAAAATGAATAAAATAGATCTGTGCTTGCTGGCTAAGAAGGATTTCTAAAAACAAAGACAGTCTCATAATAGGTATGTGATATGCTTTAGCTGTGTCCCCACCCAAATCTCATCTTGAATTGTAGCTCCCATGATTTCCATATGTTGTGGGAGGGATGCCAGTGGGAGGTGATTGAATCATGGAGGCGTTTCTTGCCTGTGGTGTTCTCGTGATGGCTAATGGGTCTCACAAGATCGGATAGTTTTATAAAGGGCAGTTCCCCAGCACATGCTGTCTTGCCTGTCACCATGTAAGATGTGACTTTGCTCCTCTTTCGCCTTCCACCGTGAATGTGAGGCCTCTGCAGCAATGTGGAACTGTGAGTCAATTAAACCTCTTTCCTTTATAAATTATCCAGTCTCAAGTATATCTTTATTAGGAGCATGAGAACAGACTAATACAGTATATATACTGTAATCGGATTGTTTGTAACCCAAAGGATAAATGCTTGAGGGGATGAAGGCCCCATTCCCCATGATGTGCTCATTTCACATTGCATTGGTAAAATAATATATATTAATTTGCATTCTCATAAAACTGTGAAGGAAACTACCAAATTTTTGTCAAAAAAGAAGTAAAATAATGGGTTACTGCCCCCTTTCTAAAAATATTTTCATATAATTTTATTTTGGAGTTTATTGTATAATGTGAAAAACAAAATATTTTATTTCAAAAAGGGTCCCAAGTTGGTAAACATAGAAATAATTCTGGTCTATCATTGCATACATGGCCACTGAAATATAAGCTATAAGGTAAAATGAAGCAATGTCTACTGATGTTTATGGAAGAAAGGAGAAGACATTTCACCACAATAGAAATTTGTGAGCTGCTGGCATGGCAGGGAACTTGGAGACAGCAAATCCAACTCATCATTTTGAGCATGGGGAAAATGAAAGACTGGCGGGGTTAATGTCTTTCCCAAGCTCATGCAGTCAACTGGTGAGGAGAAGGCAATAGTGAGGTCAAGACTTATAGGATGCTGAACCCTACGCTCTCTCCATGAGTATCTGCCTTCCAGTTTAAAGTTTAGTAATACCCAAGTTTTGAAATATGTCTTCCATTGCATTTGAAAGCTAAATAAATAAATAAATCTCAGTAGTTTAAGAATCCTAAAATATCTATGTTTTCATTGCTTCTATTTTATTACTGTGCTGTATAATTCTGGTTTTGCATCTGAGAAATGAATTAATCATGACCTTTCCTTACAGCCCTACGAGGCAGGGAGCCCTTATTATGGTGCCTTCATTTTCCAGATGAAGAAACACAGCAGCAAGAGGGTAAGTGATGTGCCCAGGGTCACATGTTGGAAGTGGTTAACAATCAAGTCCGGATTGGAGAGTTTTATCTCAGATGGATTATATTCTAAAGCATTAAAAACAAGTCCTGAAAGTCCAGGACACTTGCCGGTGCCTCACAGATTCTTGTATTTTGGGAATCCAAAGATTGAATTTTTGTAGTAGAAAAAAAAGAAAGACAAAATGACAAAGTTAGAAAGGCAAAGTAAGTATGTAACAGGGATAGTAAAGAGATAATTAACCCCTTCACCATTGAGCCTACATTTACATATCTGAGATGACGGTAGTACTTATGGAATGCCTGTGCGTAAACCATCTGTTTCCATTCTCTGAGAAAGATACAGAAATACTCTTTTTGCCTTCTTTGTTCCTATGATGATGGGCACAAGGTCTATAAAAAGGTTTAGAGTTGTCTATCTCAGATTTGAATGATGTAGCAATGAATTTATTTTTATTGGATCATTCTGTGAATAAGAATATTTCGATTACATATTCACAATGTAAATTAAATCCTCCATTAATTCGATGGGAAAGAGTCAGATAAGGTGAATCACATTATCCAGACTCTTCTGAGACACTCACACCCTTGATGAACCTACTGGGACTCTCAATTCATCAAGTGCTCTTGTTAGAATTCACAAGCAGGTATTTTTCCTCTTTCTTTCCTCTTTCTTTGGGAAACTTTATTTATATGTGCAATTCATTGTGGTCTTGTGCTTCCTATGAAACACACCCCTTTGCAGTAAAATGATTCCTTGTTGGTGGGATGAAATGAATCCCCCACTCCCTCAACCAGGCCAGAAACCTGGTAATCAGAGAGATGGCATAAACTTTGCACCAGTCATCATCTTAGCTGTCTCCAGGATTTTATACTGATTCCTGTCAAATAAAAGCTGACCCAGAAAGACAGCAAGAGAACCTTCAGAATAATATGGTCAGGAGGAGTTATCATCGGGTGTTGGGTTGAAGTTGGGTTTACAAGATCAGTCCTGTGAATTGCTCCCTGGATTGGGTGTGGGTAGGGAGACCAGTCCTCAGATACACCAGGCCAAGTGGTCTCCAGAAGATGACTTAGGATGGAGACCAGCTATGTTTGCCTCTGGGTTTCTTAGAAAGAACTGCCACCACCTGCACCCACCCCTTCACCCCTTCCAGTAAAGCTGTTGGAGGGAGGTGAGTGGAATTAAATCGCACTCTTCCTCCCAAGTAGAATCCACTCTTTCTCCCCAGACTGAGTCTATAGAAGCCTCCGTTGGTACCAGGTGAAGCCAAAGGCACTCGTGTATAGGGGACATGGAATGAGCTGGTCTGAACCTCTGTCATTCTGTGGGTGGGTGGGTGGCAGGGTGGGGGTTAGTTTGGTGTGTCCTGATAGACAGTTGGTGACATTCATAGGGAAGACTTAAAGAGGACACTGCAGGAGAAGCTGAGAGAGGATTTGGGGAGCAACGGGAACATAAAACATAAGGAAGCATTCAAGAAGTGTGTGTCATGAGAAAGGATACCCTCCAAAGACCTTTTGTCAGGGACTATGATGGGGAAGGGATTTAGGCAGGGAAACTAGCATGAATCAATATAGAAAGTAAATAGTTGAGGTATGACAACCATTTGTTACCATGGTTTGGGAGAATGACTCCAGAAAGCTAAATTGAGGCAGATTGTAAAACTCGTTTGGCATCTGTTTTTGAAAAATGGTTTCTGGTAAGCATTAGTTAGAGCCATTTAGAGTAACTCATTCACCTTGTGGCCAGTATTACCTGCCATATTAATAAAATATATGATCAAATCATAAATACAAATAGAGATGTGGAAAGAATAATATTGTTTACATAGCATTGTCTTACATGTCTTTTTAGTACTGGTTATCTATACCCAGTGGAAGTAGGTAGTTTAGGTGTTATTCATTTCACAGGTGATAAAATGGAGACCCAGAAGCTGGTTTGAACCTCGGTCATTCTAATAACCTCGGTCACTCTAAAAGTTCTGACATATCCAAAGCTCCAGGGAAAATTAAGGGTGAAACTAGGATGAGAACCAAGATGTCTCTGCCCCAGTCTGATATCCTTTTCCATTGAACTGCACTGTCCAATATTGCTTTAGCTAGAATCGTTTCCCTGGCAAATATTACTCCCATTTCCTACTCTGTTCACAAACACAGAAGGAAAATATAGACCATTTGAGTGACAGGGTCACCTGGAACCAACAAAAAGACTGAATAATTTTTTCATGTCCTCATTCTCGGTAGGATGTATTTCCTCTCTTTTTTCACCCCTACTCTCCTCCCATCCCTCAGTCCCAGGCATCAGTCCTTTCTGTTATAGAGCTACTGAACCCAGCTTAATACAGTAGTTTGTAAAAGATTAGATTATATTTATTTTATCCTTCAGAGAAAAAAAAATAATCACAGAAGTGTCTGTCTTTCCATTTAAGGGCATAGCTTGTCACATCTAGCTCAAGAAACACTTGCTGAAATTATCTATTTTATCTTATCTGGGCCCTGAAAAAAATTAGACATTGTTTTGGAACATCATTGAGTTTGATCATTTTTTTTTTTTTTTTTTTTGGTGGAGAGTTGTTACTAATCTATGCAATTGTCAGGGTTAGCAATCAAGCTGCTTCATGTTTGAATGTACACTTTGTAGAGTGAATTCCGCTTGGGTTCCATAAGAGTGCAGGATTTAGAAATGTGTAATGAAAGAGATGATTTGCTCTTCTATTTATTTTCTCTCTTTCAAAAGAATGTGTTATTTGAAAAAAGAAGACTGCAGTGTAATCTATTTCATTCTATTTTGATGGTAACCTCCCCTTGTACAACATATCAATTTCAAATAATACAGATTCCCATCCCCCATAAATGCATAAACCTTTCAAGCGCAGAGATTCTAGCAAACGACTGACAAAGCCTTAACTTTACTGAACATGATGCTATAATTAAGGAAATGTGGACTTTGAAGGTAATCATTAGTTCTCCCATATGCGTGTCTAGCCTGGGATTTTGCCGCCTACTACGTTTCCTTCTTAATGACAATGTTGGGAGGCTTCCATGTAATTGAAATTGCTCCCTTTGAAGAATTGAAGTGCTAAGTGATCATGTAATCTCATGATCAGCTAGTAAGAGAGAGATGAAGAAAATTTGTATCCTGGCACAAAGGGGAAACAGACAATTATGTGGGAAATTTCTGTACTACTTTGCAAGTTTGTGCTATAGAATTAAAGAAGATAGATGTTGCCCACTGCTGCATAAATTTAGAAAGATGCTTCTAGACTGTTTTAGGTAGATCATCAATAGATTGCAGTTATACTCTATGAACTCAACCACTTGTAGTGAAGAACCTTGTGTATATACATACGTCCATACCAGGAGCAGGCGTGTGGAATGTATTGCTCAGCTATTTCTGCAACAGTGTTGCATTTTGAGCAACCTTAAAATTTGCTCACATGTCTATGGGTCTTGTGCACTTTGACTGGGTGAGGCTAGACTTTGGGATCCAGGCTCCAGGCCCCAGGCTGTGGCACATGTTGGGTTTGGGTCAGCTCCATGAGTTTCTCATCCTCCTTGGACCAGCAACTCTCCAGAGCCTACCCTTCATATGACAAATGGCAGGAGTGCAAGAGAGCAAATGGAAACAAATAGCACCACCAGAGGCCTCAGCCCTGAACTCTCTCACTATCTCTCACCCACAACCCATTGGCAAATTGCATGGCCAAGCTCAACACAACTGCAGCAGGGCAAGAATTCTAAGTCACATGGCAAAAGGCATGGATACATAGAATTATATTATGTATAATAATTGCAAATAATGATTCAAGCTGCCAAGAGGCCAATAGTCTTATGGTGTCCATTCTTGAGAATTAATGGACTATACTTTGTTTATTTTTGTGGTCTCTTTATGCTCAGATTCTCAATACAAAAATACAACTGTTAATACCACATTCACTTCAAGTGAAGATGAGAAAATTTGCTGGGGGAGAGGGGAGAGAGAATTTGCTTTACAGAGGGTCCTGTTTTTTCTTGGGGATTTGTTTATGAATATGTGTAATTAGGTCAGAAGAAATGTTTAGGTTTTGTCTCAGTCACTAAGTACCTTTTAGAAAATAGGTAGGTGTTTTTGTTGTAGAAAAGCCCACATATTGATGAGCACTCTCTGTCATGGGCAGTAGGGAGAACTCTCACCTCCTTCCTCAGCATCCTTCACTATCTGCTCACTCCTAAATATCCTGCCAGTCAGTACACGGCAATCCCAGGTGAAGGCTGGGTGCTGGCACTCTCCAGAGTTAGTGTCTGTCTTGGGAGAGCTACTCTCAGCTGTCATTTTGCATGGGTATGGACTTGTGTTCAGTTACCTAGGATAGAATTTAAGTATAGAATACATTTAATATTCAAATATGAAAATGTACAGTACATTTGCCTCAAGGAACACTTCAAAATTTACATTCTTTTGCAAATTTTTCTACATTATTATAAAAGAAAGAAAATAAGATTCAAAAGCATATATGTTCTTGTTTGTTGTACATGTGGCCCTGATAAGCCTTACTGTACTCCTTGTTCCATGGCACTCAATTTATTTTATTTTTACATTGTCTGAAGACTAGTTTTTTTTATGTTAGACTGTCCACTAACCTTGAAAACATGTCCATTGATCTCTATATGAGTTTCCATTCTGGTAATCTCTCCCAAAATTTAAGCTCTAAGAAGACAATTTTAATCCACTTTCTTAATCTCAAGCTCAACACTACATATATGCATTTCACAAATGCACTTGGATTCTGGAATGATTTTGCTTCAAATACCTGGATGCAGAGATGCAGAGGTGGAGGTGGCAAGAAGGTTTGGCTCCTCAGCTCAGCCCCTGACACTAGCTTTGTGTCCTAAGGAAAGAGAGAGAACCTCTGCATTTCTGCATGGAACATGGCTCAAACAAGAGTAAAGGGTATGCAGGACTGTCCTGTCATCTTCAGGGCATGAACCACTCTTGGTTTCCTGGAAGACTAAGAGCTAGTGGAGGTGGCTCTCTTCAAGGAGGGCACAATAGCAGCTTTCGGGTTGCAGAGTCATCCTCAGACAGCTTTGCTGACACCTGATATTCCAGGGGCTGCCAAAGTGGAAGAACAAATGAAACCTGTGTTTGAAACCCAGGCAAGACATCTCTGAGGGTTCCAAGAAAGTACTGGGAAGATTTAGTGTGTGTATAGATAGAGAGACTAAAGTGCTCCAAAAAGACAGAGCTATAATAAATCAGCAAATTTTTGCTTACCAATATGTTTTTATTTATGCTCACAAGCAGAAACCAAAGGCAATTCAAGGCACTCATAAATTGACAGATGTATTTGGTCAGGTATATATGTTGAATACCAACTGTTGAGTTTCTTGGCCTTATCCAAATAGTTCTCCAATGAGTGTTTAAAGGATGGTCATCAGTCCCATGAAAGCAACTCCTTGTTGCCTCTTCTGTCTTAACATCCTTACAGTTCTTTGTTCTGGTGATTCTCCAGTTTGTGGCCATCCCACGCTCATGCTGTTCTTGCTGGGCAGGATTTTTAGAGATGACGTGTCTAGCTCCTATCTCATTCTTTGGTATTTCACTAAAACACTTGTTATCAGACCTCAGGAATAGGGAGATTATTTTTTGCCTGGTTGGAGGTGAGCATTTAGTGGGGGTCATTTCTATCCTTAGTGTGCAAAGTTCTGAACCCAATACTTTTAGAGCAGAGGTCTGAGGCATTGCCTTAGGATCTGGCCAGTTCCTGGTTTAGAAGACTTACATCAGCCATCAGCCACAATTCTTAAAGCAGCACTATAAGAACATATTAGGTACAGTTCTACTATGTCCTAGCATTTTGTAATGAGGTGCATTTGAGTATTTTTATGCCATATACATCCTAGAAGTCACATTTCAAATACAATTCAATGACTGACTCATACTTCTGCAATATAGATTTTGAAACATCTTGCCCACAAATTAGACTGAGTTTCCAGACTCCTTTAAAATCATCCAAAAAATGATAAGCCATAAGTTTTTAGAGAAAAGAATAGGAAATGAACTTTTTAAGTAGCATCAATGCTAAAAGAGTTATCCTGGAGGCATAAAACATTTTCAAGGTTTTCCTAAGTGCTCCTTGAGACAATGGCACCTTAGTGATTGAGATTTGAACTCCTGTGATCTGCTTAATACTGACAAGGTTATTCTAAGGGCTTTGAGCTCTCAGACACGAGCAGCATTTCATTACCTTAGATTTCAACAGAACTTTTGAAATGCCAAGGGTTTGCCTACTGTTCCCAAGCTTAGTGAAATATAGCCAGGTCCATCGGGTCAGAGGACTTTACCTTTGAATGCAGCCCACCGTGAATGTGAAATGCTAACTCTTTATAGCCAGAGTATTTGAAATGGCCTTTCTGTTCTTAATTAGTGAATGCTTTCTCTACCACTGACTACCTGGGTCTGACATGATGGAGAATTTGCCTGGTTCACAGGGGGTCCTGGGAGAGCCATTATCAATCACAGTGTGTTAGAAATGAAAGATGGAAGAAAAGATGATTAAAGCCCCAGTGGCTGCCTTCACAAATGAACTTCAGGAGAAAAAGCAGTTTTAGTGTAAATGTGGTGAGTCTTCATACTGGAGCTTGATAAAATTAAAGGCAATGCCAGGTAATATAAACCATTGTTGAATCTTTCTTTTATTAAAACTAGGCTAAAACAAGGAGTAGAAATTTGTCAGGTGCAGTAATTACTTTGGTACTTTACTGATGAAAGCTGTCTCAGGCAAAGCCCTCCCCTCATCTATTTTCCATTTCCTCTGAGTTCTACTTTCAGCTGCTAGAGGAGGATAAATACAAAACAAGGTGAGAGCAACTTCACAGCCTGTCTATTTATGGATTAAATATTTCTAAGGGCAACAGAGGTGGGTTTTTTATTCTTATACCTTACCCTGAATTACTACCTTGAGAAAATTTCTAGATTATCTGGTCCTCAGGAGAACATAGAAACATACATGTTAGTGACCATAGAAATGGAGGAAAAAAACTCCAAAAACCTGGTGAGAAAACATTGGTTGCATGTGAAAATAATATAACCTGGGTATTTCTGCTGGGGCAGGAAATGGGAGGAGGATACAAGAAATTGGTAAGGAAGGAATGAAAAATCTCTTAGGTCATTGCCATTCAAAGTATGGTCTGTGAAGTAGCATAAGCTTCCCATGGGAGCTTGTTAGAAATTCAGAATCCCAGGGTCCAGAATCTGCAGTTCAATGAAATCCACAGGTGAGATATAGAAATGCCAGAGTTTAAGAGGCTCTGGTATATGTAAGGCCCTTAAACTAAGTGATACTCAGGGAGTATCCAAAGCCAGGGAGACCCATAAAACCCAGAAGAAATTCACAGTTTCTCAGCAAGCATTTGCAGAGGGCATGGCAGTTAAAGGAATTATACATGTAATGCTGGTGAAGACAGAGGTATGTATTAGGTTAGTGCAAATTGAAAGTAAATGGCAAAAAACGCAATAACTTTTGCACCAACCTATAGCTAGTGCAATAGAAATTCACATGAAATTTTTAGATTTAAGACAACAAAGCTCTCTCTTTTAAAAGGTGAAATTTGTGCAATAATAGAAAGGAGTTAAAATGCTTCACAATAGATATACTGGTTATGAAAGAGTTGTCCAAACAATGGTGACATGAATGAGTATCAGATGTTGAGTTACTAGAAGCAGGAGAGATAGAATTAGCACCAGGCAAGAAGACAGGAGTGTCACCCAGGATAAAGATCTGCTTCTAATCACTTTTTGCTAATAGCTCTAACAAAAGCCCAGTGAGGTGAAGTTAACAATAAACCCAGACTATGCTTAGCCATGCTAACACTTTGTAATTTACTGAAAATCCTTATCTATTCATGTATGTCTTTAAATTAACTCTTTAATAAACTCTACATAATTCACCCATAAATGGGTTTTTTTTCTTCACAAGCACAGGCTCATTTGCCTGCTCCACTTGTATATGCTGGGAGACTTTTACCATCTGTATCTTAGCCTCCTTTGCTTCAGTTTCTTTAGCTGTAAAATGGGGTTAACAGTAGTACTTACCTTATAGGGTTCAAGGATCAAATAAACTAGCACACATTATTCACTTAAAAGAGTGCATGACACAAAGTTAAGGCTTAGTAATACTAGTTATGATTATTATTTATGAAATCCTAAACTAAAAGTATCCATTTAGATATTTTAAGGAGAGGTAGCTAAACCAGGACAATTTAACCAGCGTTTGAGGTCACTCTGCTGTTACCCAGAGAGGACAGATCACATAAGGATGTATTATTTTTAGGGATACCTTAACTACGGGTCTTAGATAGGATTTGGGTAGTTATAAATGAACTTAAATATATTTTCATAGAGCCAAGAAATGAATTCTTTGGAAATAGAAAATCCATCACTTATCTTTGCTTCCAGAAATCTCAGCCATTTTCTTGGATCCTTTTTTATTCTCACTCACTTTGAAGGCCAAGTCCACAGTAGTTGTTCCTGGATAAATAGTAATAGCTAAAGCAGAGTGGCTGAATTTCATTCTTTAAAATTTGATTGAGGAATTGAAATTAATTTGAAGTTGTATAATGCATCTTGTTTCATATGACAAGTATACTAGAATACAATTAAGATATGGTGAAACAGTAAAACTTTTAGGATCAGCTGGAACTCATTAAGAATGAGAGCTTATTCTTAAAAACAACTTTAATCAAAAAGTGGTTTGACCCAATCACTTTGCAGTACTTTTTAATGTGTATTTTGAGGATTTTCTTCCTCTATCTCCTCTTGTTCCTCCTTTTCTTCCTCCTCCTTGATCTCCTCCTTGCCCTCTTCTTCTCACTTTTTCTTTCTTGAGTGGTATTTCTGCAAGGAAACGTCATTAATAAATGCAATTTGTCATAGATGATGACAGTAATCTCCCAAAGCAATGCATTTTAATAGCTTTCCTTCAGGAAGCATAATAAATATGCAAAATAAATAAATTTGATCCATGCAGTGGACTGGTTATGTGAAAGCTTTTCTGTCTTATCATGATTCTTCTCTGACATTGTTTTGTCTTAAAGCAAGTCCATTTCCCTTCCTTAGGCCTCAGTATCTTATCTGTGAAATCTAGACTAAAATATAAAATCATATATCCAACCAAACTTAAAATTCTACTCCTTAACAATTAGGACCCTGCACAAAAGAATTATGAAAAGCATTTCTAACTAGTTAGTTTAATTTCAAATGGTTTAGAAGAACTGGGGTCAGGAACCATCATGAGACTGCCCTAGGGTAGAAGTGCAAGTCTTTCCTTGAATATAGTACTTTCCTTAATTGAATGTAATTTCTGAGAGTAATTCCTGTTTTTCTTCAGACTGGGGCCATGTTGGTTAGCCTGTTTGTAATATGGGTTTTGATTTGCAAAGGTGATTTCCTGCTTCTGCTCTCTATATCATTGAAGATGTTCTTGGAAATCTACACAAAATCAGGAGAAAGAGGTCCTTGATGCTGATGCATTCCACTTATAGTCGCTTCGCGTATGTGGCTCAGGTTTGGCAAGGAGGACATGGCAAAGACTCAGTGGAAATCCTGAACCATCAGGGATGACTGTAATTGATTTCCTGGGTAGCCCCTTTGCTGTCTTCTAGCCCAGGCACACTTCTTTACCTTTTTTTCTATTTTCTTTCTGGCTCCATAAGTAATCTGCGAAGTGGACAACTGGCAGCCAGAAAATCAATTGGCCTTTATATCTTTTCTAATTAATTTCTCATTGTCAAGCATTCACAATACATTTGTAGGAAGTAAACTAACTCTTCTGCCTGTTACAATGCTTTTGATATATGACAAAACAAAGAAGGGTTCAAGGTGGAGCAAATAGCTGAAATTCTATAACTAAGTATGCTCTATGTGAGCTTCTTCTTATCTTGACTTGTATATCCATAGAGGAAAATGTTTTCCTGAATAACAAATTATTAGCATAAATAATAATTATTTAGAATTAAATATATTACGTTTTCTGTTCTCTATTCTTTTTTATTACATTTTAGTGTTGGATTACAAAAACAAACTGAGAACATTGTAAATACATAGAAAATAGGAATGACAAAATAAAAAGAAAAATTATAAAGCACATGAACATCCCTAAGGCTTTGAAATTAATGCATATGAGGAGCACAGCAGGTACATATTAGATGCTTAAAATATTTAATAAACTAATGAAATATTTAATATAATTCTTATTTATATTTTCATCTACTAGCGGCTTAGGATATAAACTATTTGCCTTACATTTGCCAATGGTGTACAATTCTTTTACATTTCTTTTTAATTTAAAAAGGCATACATTCAGGGCTGGGCACAGTGGTTCACGCCTGTAATCCCAGAACTTTGGGAGGCCGAGGCAGGCGGATCACGAGGTCAGGAGATGGAGACCATCCTGGCTAACACGGTGAAACCCCGTCTCTACTAAAAATCCAAAAAAATTAGCCGGGCGTGGTGGCGGGCGCCTGTTGTCCCAGCTACTCGGGAGGCTGAGGCAGGAGAATGGCGTGAACCCGGGAGGCGGAGCTTGCAGTGAGCCAAGATCGCAGCACTGCACTCCAGCCTGGGCGACAAAGTGAGACTCCGTCTCAAAAAAAACCCAAAAAACAAAAAACAATAAGGCATACATTCTTCCTACACACCTACATGAATGACTATAATGAAAAAAACGCTGAAGATCCCAAGGGCTGATGAAGATGTAGGACAACTGGAACTCTCATCCATTGCTGGTGGATATGCAAAATGCTACAGTAACTCTGGAAAACAGTTTGGCAGTTTTGCATAAAGTTAAATATTCACTTATCATAACACCTTGCAAGCACATTCTTAGGTATTTACCCAAGAGAAATGAAAATATGTGTTCCTACAAAAACCTGTACACCAATGCTTATAGTAGCTCTATTCATAATCACTCAAAACTAGAAACGGCCCAGATGTCCTTCAGCTGGTGAATGGATAAACAAACTGGTACATCCATACGATGGAATACTACTGAGTAATAAAAAGAAACAAATGATGAGTTCATGTAACTACTTGGTGAAATTTTCAAGTAAAAGGCATTATGCTGAGTGAAAGAAGCCAATCTCAAAAGACTACATACGGCATAATCTTCTCAAGAAGTCATGTGTTTGCCAGGGGTTCAGGATGAGGGGAGTGTGTGACTACAAAGGAGAGCAAGAGGGAGTTTTTTGGGCAAAGTGAATCCATCTTGTATCCTGATTGTGCTGGTGGTCACATAAATCCATACATGTGTAATAATTCATAGAGCCGTGCATCGAAAAAAAGCCAGTTTCATGGTATAATAATTTTAAAAACAAAATGAAAAAAATGCATTCTTATTGAAGGCTATTAAACAATAGGGAAATATAAAAGTAAAATGGAAATGCTTCATCCATCACCTCTCTGGGAAGTCAGACTTGGGTGGGTACTCTTTCAGAGCTCTCTGTGTTCTGCTGACAAGCTGAGCATCAGCTGTGAGACACTGACTCAGGAGCAGATGGCCTTGATTTGTGCCCTAGACCTTCCACTTATTTATTGTAGCTCTGTGACCTTGGACAAATTGCTTAACCTCTCTGTGTCTCAGTTTCCTTCTGTTTATAATGGTGCTAATGGCAGTGTTGTAGGCATTTACATAGCAAGCACTGTGTAAGTGCTTGCATTTTTACTACACAAATGTGTATTACATGCACACATCAAGTAGATTTGTGTAATTCACACCTTTTTTTTTTTTTTGAGACAGAGTCTCGCTCTGTCGCCCAGGCTGGAATGCAGTGACGCGATCTCGGCTCACTGCAACCTCTGCCTCCCGGGTTCAAGCAATTCTCCTGCCTCAGCTTCCTGAGTAGCTGGGACCACAGGCGGGTGCCAGAACACCTGGCTAATTTTCTGTATTTTTAGTAGGGACGGGGTTTCACCGTGTTAGCCAGGATGGTCTCGATCTCCTGACCTCGTGATCTGCCCATCTCGGCCTCCCAAAGTGCTGGGATTACAGGGGTGAGCCACTGCGCCCGGCTATTCACACGGTTTTAATGTTGAGTTTCTCCTTTTGACATTATATTGACATCCCTTCATGCCGGTATATAAAGATTTTCACCACTATGTATTACAAAGGCTTCACAGTAGTCTATCATATCTATAAACTGTAATATATGTAATATTACATATTATGTACAAATTATATGTATTTAATACATTTAATATTAAAATGTAATATTATATACCTTATTTAATGCGTAATCTATATACAATATATACTCAATAAAGTTCTTATTAATGAGGGTACCCCTTTTAACTTAAACCAATTTTTTTATTTTTTTGCTTTTGAAAATTTTTCTCCATCAATCCAATCTGAATGTTCCTTCTACCTTTCACATTTTGTTCAAACTTTATGGTTTATAGCTGGTGACTTTTCCCCCCTTCCCATCCTCTTTCTCCTCTTAAAAAATATTTTCCATGAATCCCATAGGCTTTTGGGAGGCAGTGGAGATGATGTGTGTAGTCAGTCCACTATCTTGAACCATAAGCTCTCACTATCTCCTAAGATCATCTCTTAAAAAGGAGTTGGAAGAGATATTCGAGCAGAGGAGTACAGCTGGGGAAGAAAATGACTCAAGACAGGAAATTTGGGTGTTGATTCTGCATAGCAGTCAGTTAGCTGGGTGAAGTTGGGAATTCACTTTGTATTCTCTGGTTCTCAATTTCTTTCTTTTTTTTTTATTCTTCATCTAATTTTTTTTACAGTGATTTTTTTATTTTATATATATATATTTTTTATTATACTTTAAGTTCTAGGGTACATATGCACAACGTGCAGGTTTGTTACGTATGTATACATGTGCCATGTTGGTGTGCTTCACCCATTAACTTGTCATTTACATTAGGTATTTCTCCTAACGCTATCTGTTCCCCCTCCACCCACCCCACAACAGGCTCCGGTGTGTGATGTTCCCCTTCCTGTGTCCAAGTGTTCTCATTGTTCAATTCCCACCTATGAGTGAGAACACACAGTATTTGGTTTTTTGTCCTTGCAATAGTTTGCTGAGAATGATGGTTTCCATCTTCAACCATGTCCCTGCAAAGGACATGAACTCATCCTTTTTATGGCTGCATAGTATTCCATGGTGTATATGTGCCACATTTTCTTAATCCAGTCTATCATTGATGGACATTTGGGTTGGTTCCAAGTCTTTGCTATTGTGAATAGTGCCGCAATAAACATACGTGTTCATGTGTCTTTATAGCAGCATGATTTGTAATCTTTTGGGTATATACCCAGTAATGGGATGGCTGGGTCAAATGGTATTTCTAGTTCTAGATCCTTGAGGAATCGCCACACTGTCTTCCACAATGGTTGAACTAGTTTACAGTCCCACCAACAGTGTAAAAGTGTTCCTATTTCTCCACATCCTCTCCAGCACCTGTGGTTTCCTAACTTTTTAATGATCGCCATTCTAACTGGTATGAGATTGTATCTCACTGTGGTTTTGATTTGCATTTCTCTGATGGCCAGTGACGATGAACATTTTTTCATGTGTCTGTTGGCTGCATAAATGCCTTCTTTTGAGAAGTGTCTGTTCATATCCTTTGCCCACTTGTTGATGGGTTTTTTTTTTTCTTGTAAATTTGTTTGAGTTCTTTGTAGATTCTGGATATTAGCCCTTTGTCAGATGAGTAGATTGCAAAAATTTTCTCCCATTCTGTAGGTTGCCTGTTCACTCTGATGGTAGTTTCTTTTGCTGTGAGGTTCTCAATTTCTTTAGCTGTAAAATGGACAGGCAAGGAAGCCTCTAATAATCTACAAGTGAGGAAACTGGGTCTCATAAAAATGAAATGATTTACCAATGATCAGCCAGTAAGTAAGATGTAGAGTTGAGTTTTGAATGCACAGCTTCAGATTTCACATCACTGCTACACCAAGCTGACCTGAGCCATCCTACCTGGAGATCCAGAGATCTGAGTATGAAGGGGACAGGAGGAACACCCTAACTGAGCACTGTTCCCTAACATAGCAAGGACACACATGGATGTGGGGATGTGTGCCTGTACACACACCAGGGATATCGCAGGAGGTCTTTTTCACTGGGGCCTCCCACCCCTGCTCTCCTTTAGCAGAATTGTGTTCTAGAGCATTACGTGCCCTGGATCCTCCAAAGTGGGGTGGGGGAGCCGCTCTTGGCTTTGCCCAGCACCGAGAAGGCAGCCTGGGCAGATGGCAGTGTGGCTGGTTGCACAGTGGTCGGCCTCTCAGCGCTGAAGAGTTTGGCTGTGCTCATTTGAAGTCGCTCTGACAACATTCCTCTCCTGGCAGCCATGTACTCTCTCCTCCAGTCTTGTGAAAGCAAATGGCTTTGCAGCAGCTTCCCTCATGTCTCGGAGTAGGCTAGGATACAAGCATTAGGCCTACCTATGCATTTGCAGACATTTCATTTATTTAAATCATTCCACAAGGCCTGCTCCAAATTTCATTTCCTCTTTTCTTTCCATGGGTTTCCCTTTGGGATGTCTGAACACAGTTTATTCTTTTTAGTTAATATTTGTTTTTTAAAAATTACAAAGAAATCCCCACTCCTCCGAATGCACAAATAAATAAGCAAACAGAAAATCAAACCAACAAACCCATGTATCCAATAAACCCATTAAAAATGCTTCTTTGCAATCCTCATCAGCTTCTGATTCAGAGACAAGTTTTCTTGTTTCTTACATGGTTTAAGAATCATGTATTTGTGTATTACTACACACCTTTAATTTCTTTTGTGTACAAACTTCTGGAATCCTGATTTGTGTCTCTTCATTCTCTCTGTTTCCTATGTTCTGACCTTGTTCTTCCTCCCTACTTCTCTACTGTGTAGCTGCCGGTTCCCCTGAATCGAATGCAATTATATAATGTGGCCAATCTCTTTGAGACTCCTCCAGACCAGTAGTTATCAACTCTAGTTGCACCTTAAAATCACTAGGGGATATAATTTGTCTTTGTTGGATCCTAGATTTGCATATATTTAAAGGTATCTCAAATGACTTGAAGGTAAAAGGAAATAAGAAAGGACAGCATTTGTAAATAAGACCAGCTTCCTTTTTTCTATCTTCCTAACTCAACCTTTTCCTCTTGCAGTAGTTCTCAGAGAGGTAATAGGAGGTTCCAGGTCGGTGGTTGTTGGCTTGAGAGTGTTTGATCTGGCATTGCTTCAACACTCTGTGTGGGAGCATGGTGACACTCTAGGGCTTAGTCACTTTCAGGAGTCACAGGATGAACACAAGGTACAGGTTTTTCACTTGCTTTTCTCTTAATTTTTTTAAACAGCTGTATGGAGGTATGATTGATATATTAAAAAACTGCCTTTGGGAGGCCAAGGTGGGGGGATCACGAGGTCAGGAGTTTGAGACCAGCCTGGCCAACATAGTGAAACCCCATCTCTACTAAAAAAATATTAAAAAATAGCTGGGCATTTTGTCATGCACCTGTAATCCCAGCTACTTGGGGGGCTGAGGAAGGAGAATCGCTTGAACCCGGTAGGTGGAGGTTGCAGTGAGTCGAGATCGTGCCACTGCACTCCAGCCTGAGACTCTGTCTCAAAAAAAAAAACTTGCATATATTTAATGTACACAGTTTGATGAATTTGGACATATGCATACACCCATGAAACCATTGCCACCATCAAAGTAACAGATACGTTCATCACTTCCAAAAATTTCCTTGTGTCCTTTTTTTTAGTGGTAAGAACATTTGACATGAGATCCACCCTCTTAAATTGTAACATGCACAATTTAGTATTGTTAACTACAGGCACTATGTTGTATAGCAGATCGCTAGAACTTACTCATCTTGCATACTGAAACTTTATGCCAATTGAACCACATCTCCCTATTGCTCTTTCATTTGTAATTCTGAAAGGAGTAGAAGAATGATGTAGGATTTTTAGACTCTTCAATAATCAGATAAGAAATGAGAAGGGGAAAGAGAGCTCTAGGTTTCAGAAATTCACATAGAAAAAAAGATTTGTTTCAGTCATTGTACATTACATTATTGATGGTATCACTGTTTGGAATGTTTTTGGATCTGGTTCTTTTTAAAATACTTAGGGACATCCTGGCTATGAAGACACAAGGCATTTTGCACAGGTTGTGTGTTTAGGCTCATGGGAAGAGAGTCATAAAGCACATCTTCCATGTCCATCTTCTGCTGGGTATTGAGAAACTCTTTTCTGTTTGCCTAAGCACCTGTGTTGAATTTGGTAGCTGTGATGTTTGGACTGATTCAGCTGTAATTAATCTCCAGGCTAATTATGAGTTCTGTTGTCATTTTGCTTGATGTAATTAAACTGCATAGCTGGAGAAAGTTTGGAAACTACGGTTTCCAAGAAAACTCTTCCCTGTAACTTGGCAAGGAGCTTCAAGAGTGACAACATAATCAGCCAATTAAATATAAGCTGGAAGCCTGATGTCCTTCAGGATGAGTTTATGGGAAGAAGACAAATGTGTGTTCACAAGAGACACCTGCTGTTTTACTGCTGCCTTTTTGGAGAGTTTAAAGTATTCTAGAGGTTTTCTGTCATTAATCCTTTTGATAGCATTATTAAACAGTAAATGGAACAAGCATTTTAGTCCCTTTCAAACAGGTGAGATGATTAACATTGTGAAGGTTAGTTGTCAAAGGGCACAGTGACCACGCATCAGAAGAGATTCCAATGATGCATTTTCTTAGAAAAGATGATGCTTCTCTGCACAGATTTCTATAATAACTCTCAGATATATAAGAAGATTATACTAGCATGAAATATGAATATGTCCTTTGGTGAATAAATCCTTTAAGTCTTTTGGGGCCATAGTTTTATTTCATGTTTTAGTCTAAGGTAAGGAGCTACGGACCACATGCCAACTATAAGCTAATGGAGGGAGAATGTTGCTGAATCTCACTGGCCTTTGCCTTGCTTAGCCAAAATCATCTATTGTAATTGCAGTGTTTCTAAAACCATATCTCTGTGTATGTATGCACTCCCCTACTCATACTCAAGAACTCAGCTGCATATGGGGTGATACATGGACTCACATAGGTAGAGCTCTTAAATTGTTGTATTTTTCATAGTTACCTTATATATTTGACAATGGCTTTCTATTAACCATAGTAGGAGGAAAAGTCCTTCTAAAAAGACATTTATTATAGTAAAACTGTGAAATGTATAATATAAAATGCTAAATAATGGTCATTTGATTTGATATGTGGGTAGAACCCAAATCATGAAGGTGGCACTTGAATGACTCAAGTTTGGGAAACAGGGGCCTCTATCCATTTTCTCCTACTCCTGTTAAGAGGTCTGTCTGCTGATTCCTTTGCTTCAACAGTAATTCATTTTGTGAAAGACAGGTCAGATAAGAAATCTAACGTGTTATACTCTGAAGTTATCAATGTATATGACAGTATCATCACAATAAAGAAAAAGTAATGGAAACCATACTCAACCTCTGTCTGGTGTCTCCTGATTAATTTTAGTGCCTAATCATTTGTCTAACCAAGGCTTAGATCTTATGAGCAGAAGATTTAGTGCCTGCGATAATCACAGATTATGATTACGCCCTAAGAGTGTTTATCCTTACTTACCCTGGCATGCCAGGGAAACTAGCCATACTTACATCCTTTTATTCATAACTATAGGTAACACTATAAATGGCCAGATTCAGGTTTTTCATATTGACTTTGGCTTTAGGAAACAAGGGAGACTCTAAAGGAAAATATCTTAATCCACACTTCTTGAATGACTGATAATATGAGGACATAGATAAATCTTTTTTTGGGGGGTGAGGGGGTGGGGGGTGGGGAGGAGTCTCACTTTGTTGCCCCGGCTGGAGTGCAGTGGCATGGTCTTGGCTCACTGCAATCTCTGCCTCCCGGGTTCAAGCAGTTCTCCTGCCTCAGCCTCCCAAGTAGCTGGGATTGCAGGAGGCGCCTCTCACCACACCCGACTAATTTTGTATTTTTAGTAGAGATGGGGTTTCACCATGTTGACCAGGCTGGTCTTGAACTCTTGACCTCAAGCAATCCAAAACACCTTGGCCTCCCAAAGTGCTGAGATTACAGGTGTGAGCCACTGCGCCCGGCCAGCGCCCGGCCGACATAGATGAATCTTAAAGTGAAAGATGCCAAACTCAAAATGTTACATACTCTCTAATTATGTTTATATGACTTTCTGGACAAAGTAAAACTATCAGGACAGAAAATGTATTCATGGTTGCCAGGGGCCAGTGGTTGACTTTGAAGGAGCCTGGGAAACTTTTCAGTGTGATGAAACCATTCTTAATCTTGATTTTGGTGGTGGCTGCATGACTGTATCTAATTGTGAAAACTTCTAGGACGGCACACTAGAAAGGGTGAATTTTACTGGCTATAAATTATACCTCAATAAACCTGAATGGAAAAGAAATATGTTTTAGTGTTTCATAAGACAAATTACAAGTACAATGTGAAGTAATAGTCAAACTAAAAAAAAAAGGCCAGCCAATATCTGCAAATCGTTCTTCAAGGGAGGAGAAAGTCAGATTCAACCTTTGAATTTATTTACATCGATGGACATCCTCTTAATCTATATGACTAGATTGGAAATGTCCAGTGTATGCTTTTATACAAACTGTTCCCATTCAATCTTTTTGTGTTTGTTCATGATGACGTTCATTTCAGTGCTATCGCTCATCATAGTGGGAAAAATGTTTAGGTTCTGGCAATGTTATGGCAAAAAGTAGTTTCCCTAGTTTCGTACTGGATATAGTAACTCAGCTGAAAATGATTGGTCTGTAGCAACTTTTTAAAATAGAAAACACCATCTTTGCTTTTGGTACAATTAGGAAATTCCTAAGAGTAAAAATTAGGAAAGCATAACCTTTTTGAGGAAACATTTTGAGAATTATTTCGGAATGACCAGCTTATTTAATCCTGTGATCAGGAGCAAATAGAGATTCATTTCCATGTAAAAATAGACTTTTGCCAAGAGTTGGGCAAGTGATGTGAATTGTGAGATGCCAAGATAGACATGTGAGGACAGCCACCTGTGATGTTGTGGTGCAGCTCTTCCTGGAGGCTTGTCAGTTGCTGGCTTCTTGAAACTTATGCTTGTCCTCTGGTTTGGTGAAGTAAGAACCACTCAAAGCTTTTAAGGAGTTGATTAAAATTGCTTAAATAAATAAGGTAATGTAAATTATGGCACTTGAGAAAAACCATATTGCACATTTTTATAGGTTCCTACACCTTGAAAATATAATGTATTAACGTATAATGTATGAAGTTTAAGCATGTTTTCATAGACATTGTTTTCATAGGAGTAATTTATTTTCATTTGAAGGATACATATATTGTTGGCAATAAAGATCATTCCACAGTTCAAATAAGAGTTGCCTTTTCCCTGTGGCTTTTCAGGGAAGTTCTTAAAACTGTAATACAAGAATTTCTGATTGATATGTGTTATTAGTCTAGTTTTCATAACTGTAAGTGTTGTGATTCAAGTGCTGATTTTTACAATTTCTATTTTATTTTATTTATTTTCCTTTCTTGTTTTCTGATGATTACAAATGGTTAACCATGTTCACTTTCTGATATCTATGACACCATTTTTAAAGAATGCAGACCTTACCAGAGCAAGCTCCTGGCATTGTTTACTGATCACTGACTCAGCTAATTCTTCGCAAACCTTGCAGACAATCCAGAGCAGCTCCTTTTTGTTTACTTATTTCAACAAAAGATAAGTTGGTCCCCATCTGCTCCACTGGTGGGCACATGAATTAGACCAGCCAGTCATTGTGTCCCATTCTTCTTCTGGCCCCAGTGACTCATTTTCCAGTGGACCGGATATAGTAAATCAGCTGATCACACAACCTATGATAGGCCATTAAGAATAAATTCATGATGTTTTGCTAACATTATGGAGAAGACGAGCTCCTTATCTGCTGGTGTTACTATCCAAGTGTAATATTTCTGGGGCCACCTTTAATCCTGCTGTAAGAGAACCTTGGGAGAATACAGAGAAAACCAGAGACAGGGGATGGAGAGAGAAATTCTTCTGTCTTCCTTAGAGAACCTGATTCAACTTGCCTGAAGCTGATATCAGGCTACTCCTAGGCTTAAGAATATACAAGACAATATTTTTTAACCTAATGGAAGTTGAATTTCTGCCCCTTGCTAAAAAAAGATGACTGACTACAACACTCATTACATGCAAAGATTCTGGATAATAGATAAATATCTGGTTTCCAAGAGTTTACAATGAAAAGCAGAAAGTATAAAAGATAATAATATCCAGTTAGGATTACTCTTCACAGTGTACTATTTTTCTCTCTATCCCAGAATTTACTACTTTATGTCAGGATTATTTGCATGTATTTTTTTCTTTTGTGACAGATTACAGAGAAGAAATCCTGGTTATCTATTCACTTTCTTGTTCTTCAATATCTAGTACAAGTGCTTTGCACATGGAAATGTTCAGGAAGTTTTTATGGAACTTTATATGAAAAGACAATATTACTCAGGGATTGATGGTATTGAATGAGTGGTTTAGAGCATGAGGTCCTATCATTTTGGGGTTAAACGGTATTTTTTTTGCTGAGAATGATGGTTTCCAGCCTCATCCATGTCCCTACAAAGGTCATGAACTCATCATTTTTTATGGCTGCATAGTATTCCATGGTGTATATGTGCCACATTTTCTTAATCCAGTCTATCATTGATGGACATTTGGGTTGGTTCCAAGTCTTTGCTATTGTGAATAGTGCCACAATAAACCTATGTGTGCATGTGTCTTTATAGCAGCATGATTTATAGTCCTTTGGGTATAAACCCAGTAATGCAAGGACAAAAAACCAAACACTGCATGTTCTCACTCAGAGGTGCGAATTGAACAATGAGAACACTTGGACCCAGGAAGGGGAACATCACACACCAGGGCCTGTTGTGGGGTGGGAAGAGGGGGGAGGGATAGCATTAGGAGATATACCTAATGTAAATGACAAGTTAAGGGTGAAGCACACCAACATGACACATGTATACATATGTAACAAACCTGCACATTGTGCACGTGTACCCTAGAGCTTAAAGTATAATAAAAAATATATATAAAAAAATTTTTAAATGGTATTTTTTTGTCCCCTAGTCAAGGTCCTCATTCAAATTGCTGCCACTAGATGATTTGTGCTTCATTTTGTTCTATGGAGCAAGGCAGTATTTCTAGGGATCAGTACTAGACAGAGGCAGCTTTGTACTAGGATGGGCGAAGGGAAATTGGAAGACTAAGGCTCCAGGAATTTACATTTTTACAAAGAATATGCTTTATTATCCAAATAATGTTAAATTTACCTGTTCTTTTACCAAACTTACACTGAAGAATCATCAAATTCTAAATTTAATAAGAAAAAGAACATGAAGAAAAAAATCGCTCCCACAAACCAAAAATATGTGCAATAACAGTCATATCTTGATTGTAATCATTGTTTTGACCTTCTTTAGCTCAGTTACTACTAGCTAGTTTTACATCGTTGCATTGCGAACACACTTTCATAGTTAATTAAAATTAAATATACTGAAAAGGTCTGATTCTTTCTTCACTCTCAAGAGATATGAGTCTTTGTTCTTCCTAGAACAAACTGAAGTGAACTTCTTTCTTTGCTATTTCTCTGTCTTCAGAAGTGGAAGCAGCTGAAGCTCCTTTCTGCAAAGTGTGTAACTAGATACTTGCACTGAATATTTCTTTCTTTTAACTTTTAATTAATACAGGCATGAATGGGAAGGTCTGCCTCTTACAGGAGTGTATATTTGAGGACAAAAGCAATGCTTTTATTACAAAAGGTAAGACTCAGAGAAGGAACCAAAAATGCCCAGGTGATATTCAAAATCTATATGCTCTTCATCTTAGATTATGCCATTCTGTGGTATATGAAATAATGAGGCTTATGTTTAATAATTCCTTTCTATGATTTCATTAGATAAATAAGATTATATGTTTTTCGTAAGAAGATGACAGCTGGAATCAGACCCAAATGTGAATTCCTGCATCACCATTTGCTAGAGCTGTTAGTGTAGACAAGCCTCTTACTCCTTTTCAGCTTCAGCTTACTCATCTGTTCCCCACGGGACTGCTGTGAAGACTAAATGGTCTAAAGACTATGAAGCCAAAGCACAGTGGTGGTGGTGGCAGTGGTTAAAAATTAGCAGGACTGGCCGGGCGTGGTGGTTCACGCCTGTAATCTTGGCACTTTGGGAGGCTGAGGCGGGTGGATCACCTGAGGTCAGGAGTTCGAGACCAGCCTGGCCAACACGGAGAAACCCCATCTCTACTAAAAATAAAAAACTAGCCGGCCATGGTGGTGCATGCCTGTAATCCCAGCTACTTGGGAGCTGTGGCAGGAGAAATGCTTGAACCCGGGAGGTGGAGGTTGCAGTGAGCCGAGATCGTGCCACTGCACTCCAGCCTGAGCAACGGAGGGAGACTCCATCTCAACAACAACCACAACAAATTAGCAGGACTGATCTCTACTTCCTTCCTAGGAAACATGATGTAAGGACAATTCTGTTGTTTTCCAGGGTTGATTGGGCAATATGGCTAGCTAGGTCCCCTTCTTCCTCCATACTCCAGGTGTGCCCCTCCAAGGATGCATATGCGGTTGAACAGGGTATCCTCTCAGGATGGAGAAAAACTTTTCCTCAGTTTAAGGCACATTTCCAGGGAACATGGGAATGAAAAATGGTATAAAAGAACTGGCCAATAATGCTGCCAAATTGTGAGAATAAACCTAACATTGATTTTCATGTAGCTGATTTTTTTTTTTTTTGTAAAAGGAAGTAAATTTAAACAAAACCAGCTTTGATCAAATAAGTGACCCATTTTTTATGAGAAATAAGGATGTTACTAAGAATTGAACAGTTTATTGCTAGAATAATAATAAACAGTTTGTTGCTAGAATTTCTCCACCATGAGTGGAGGAATTTTTGCCTCTTGTTCTTTGTTAAATCCCAGCTCCCAAGCCAGTGCCTGGCGTATAAGAGGCACTGAATAAATAATTATTGAATGAATAAATGCACTGTTGCTAAAAGAAAAAACAGGTGGACATGGGCTGAATTTTCAGCATGATAAATGTGGCCATGCAAAATAAATTAGATAGAAGTAACATGATTAACCTAGGAAGCTGAAATTCCTCTTCTCTGAAAATCTCTAAGAGTAGGCTTCATGCTTCTGTTTCCAAGACTGTGTCAGTCTAACCTTTGAAGAGAAGAGGATGGCCCAAATACATTCTGAGGTTTGAAGGTTCTAGAAGTCTCATGGAAAGCTTCATATTTATTTGCAAGAGTTTTCCTCATCTTACGACTGAGCAATTTTTTCAACGCTACAAGAATATTTATCCATGGTAAATCTTCTACCCCTAATCTTGCTTTAAGACAAATTTTCTTTCTACAGATCCATATTGCTTCTTACACTATTTCATTGGAAGCCACCTGATATCTGTGTGTGCCGATGATAATGACCAGAGTGATATTTATTCATGGATCACCTTTCCTTCACAGAAAGCAGGAATCAGTTCCAGTATCTGGGCCATAAGTAAATATTAATAGTTGAATAACATTGTTGCTTTCTGTCTGCAGGCAACAGAGAAAGGAGTCTTGCTCATGGTTTCACAGATAATAGTGATTTTCTGTGTCCCAGACCATCTTCAGTCCAGGATATCATAATATATGCATTATGGTTCTATTTTCCTTTCGAAAATAGTGCAGTAGATCAAAGTATTTCTTTTCTTTCTATGAATAATTCTTCATTCATTCAAACGCCTCCTCTGAAACATGTATTTCTACTAAAAGACTTCCTGGAAACTTTGTGTAGAAAACAGTGCTCACTTTATAATTGGTTTGAAATCAAATAATATTTTAAGAAATAATTTTCTTCTTATCATGCTGGGGTACTGATAATTTTTTAAGGAAAAGGTAACTAATTTGATAATTAAGTAGTCTATATTTCTATACCAAACATCTAAAAATGAACAGATTTCATGCTACATTTAGAATTAGTTTTTTTTTTTTTTTTTTTTTGCTCTTACCAGAAACAAACTGCAGTCCAAAAGCCTCCATCATAGCCATAATACATCTCAGAAGGCACAGTTGGAAGACAAATTTGAAACAATGAAACTCACAGATTGGAAAGACACTCAATACAGATTTAAAGATCACACATCATCAAAAATGTCCTATGATGATGTTGATGAAACCGAAAAACTCAGTTTGCTACGATCAATTTTGTCACATTACCTATGTAAATAAAAGACAATGCATATGGTGAAATTAAGAGGACTAAAATAGCAAGAGACATCCAATACTCTCTGGTTCACTTTGAAGGTATTATTTATGAAGGTACTTTAGGATCATATATAATGCAAATGACAATATTTCTAGAAATATATTTGTGCTCTATGGATTCATGGATGATAATGCCTGGAGCATTCCAACAGAGGTAGTTGCATGAATTAATGGAGCACATCTGGGCATCAGTCCAATAAAAATGTTAGCTGAATGCTTCCTTTGGGGGGAAAAAGCTATTGAGAAGTAGATAGCTACAAGCAATTGATGCTGGTTAAACAGAACATCCTCTTTATTCTTTTTCCACTCACTTCTGAACTAGGTCAGCTATATGCCTTTGAGAGAGGAGGAAGGCTTCAAGGAGTAAGTTTACTTTAATGCAGTCACTTTTCAAGTAATTTACTTCTTTTTGGATAGACCGACATTGCATATGAATACCCAGGCTTACTAGCAAGTCCTTAATAATGAAGTCTCCACATTTAATGCTGATATCTCAGATTTATGCTGCACACTTCTTAGAAGATCAAAGTATAGTACTTAATTCTCAATTTCTATGGAACTATATATGTGAATACATTTATTTTGTGTTGAGAACAGTGGAAAGAAATAGAATGACATTAACCAGGCCTTATGGGAAGAGTTCCCTTCTTTCCAGCTCACACTTTTTCCATGAGGACATAAGGAAATAAAAACCCTAGTCTCATAAGAACCTCTATGCCCCACTTGCCAATCAGGAATAGAAGGCCATTGGGAGGGACTTTAAGTGATTTGTAACGGGAATAGCAGAAAGGACAATGTGGTGTGGGATAGTTCACCCAGGTGGACTGGCACTTGATTTTTACAACTGGTCTGAAGGTCACCCTCTCCAACTACAGTCATGTAGTGATTATATCATTGCAAAAATGAAAAAAAAAAAAGACCTCTCCTCCACATATCACAATTATTTTCTGAGGCTCCACTGGAATACTGTGTGTAGAAATGTTTTGCTGATTGTAAAGAAAGATGCAATTGTGAAGTGCAGATGTTATTATCCTCTAATGGAAAGCTCCCTGAGGGTTTATACCTTCCATAAACCTCTTCCAGCTGCCTACTTTATTTCCCAAACACTCCTCCTTTGGCTCTTCCTTCTTTTCATTCTAATTACATCCATGAGGAAGCCTCCATTAGGAATTAATGAGCATTAGTACCTTAATTTACCATCTGCTCCCCCATTCCCCCCTTAACAAATGAAGGTGTGTCTCAGCTTCAAGACCTTATGTTGGTTGTAGCCAGGCAGATGGGAGTGATTCAGATGAGAAAGACTCTTTTTCTAGGGTACCGAGGTCATATTTGGATTCAGCGCTGCTTTTGGAAGCCAGATGGTAACTTGAAGGTGATAGGCTCTCGGTTTAGAGCCCCTGCTATAGAACATACTGGACCCACTGGCATTTGCTTATTCAAGCAGGCATTTATTAATTCAACTGCATTTCTTGTGTCACTGGTATGTGACAACCCATACGCTAGACAGTAGAGATATAAGGTTGAATAAAACAGAGCTCTTTTCTTGAATTGCTCATAGCCTGGAGGAAGAGACAAGTACATGTACTCAGGTAATTGTAATGCAATGTTTGATATGCTATATAATAGTGATATAGCACTGAGTCTAGCTTTGGATGTGCAGAACTGAGCTACTCTCAAAATTTAGGCCTTTCAGAGAAAGTACTGTTCTCTAAGCTTCCTCCATGTCTATTAGTAAAGGGGAGCTGGTTTGTGGACCACTAGCCAACTGATAACCCCAATTCCATATCTCTCTTGTCTTTTCCGCCTATATATGCTATGTTAAGTATAGAATTCACCTCAGATGGAACTGCAGCATCAGAAGTATTTATATGTACAGAGACAGTATAATAATCTCCTTATAGCTATTTCTAATAACTATGTGTCATTTATTGTTTAATGAAGAGGGTGGTGAATTAGAATCCTAACAGAAAGTAGATGGCGCTCAAAACTATTTACAAAGGTGTGAGTACAGCCTCCACACAAGGGATTGTATAGGAATCTGGGGATAGTAGCAGCTGAGCTGACACAACTTCTGTGTCTGAAGGGAAACAGAGCAATTTCTGAAACCTGGAAGAAGAATGTCTTATAAAATTGGCCTCCGTGAGAGGCACAGTGGCTTTCTAGTGGAGGGACATGGCAGGCCCTTGTTGAGGCTGTGTTGCAGAGAGAGAACCAGAAAACAAATGTCATGACCCCACTCTCCTCTTTTCTCCTTTAAATCTCCTCTCTGGTGCTCTCTATTGTCCAGACCACAGTAGACTACATCCATGCAGGTCACCAGAGGGATGGAGAGTGGGCCAGGAGAGAGAAACAGGATAACTATCAATGAGAAATCAGACTCCCCAGCTATAACATGAAGGTGTGGGGGTACAGATTTGTCTGCTGTAAATATGTTTTTTATATATGCATATATAAAGTGCATACCTATATAATGTATGCATAAATATATATGCATGCATGTATGTATGTTTTTTGAAAATAATAGCATGCGAGTTTTGTATAACTGCTTTCTTACTTGAGATGCTTGAAGAGACATTTGAACCAAACATTGTAGTTTATCAAAAGCTTAGCTATATTTTCCTTGAAAAGAAAAAACAAACTTTTTTTTTTTTGAGATGGTGTTTCACTCTTGTCACCCAGGCTGAAGTGCAATGGCGCGATCTCAGCTCACTGCAACCTCCTCCTCCCGGGTTCGAGCAATTCTCCTAATTCTCCTGCCTCAGCCTCCAGAGTAGCTGGGATTACAGGTGCAACCATGCCCGGCTAATTTATTATGGTAAGTTTCAAACAAATACCAAAGCAGAGAGAATGGTATAATAACCCCCTAAATATCTATTATCTTGATTCAACACTTGTCAATTCGTGATCAATTGTGTGTCCTTCATACCTCAATTCAATCTCTCCACTCTTATTACTTTGAAATACATCCCAAACACCATAACTTCTTACATTTGGCTTTTGTTATTTAAAAGCTTGTTAAAATAATTTTGTAATGAACGACCTCTCTCAATCACAAATTAAGAATAGATGTACAAGAGCTAAATCATTGGCAGTATTTAATATGTTTTTTAAAAAAATCAGTCAGCCCTATTTGGCTATATTTAAAAATGACAAATAAATGATTGCAGAGCTGGGCACGGTGGCTCATGCCTGTAATCCCAGCACTTTGGGAGGCCGAGGCAGCGGATCACAAGGTCAGGAGATCGAGACCATCCTGGCTAACACGGTGAAACCCCATCTCTACTAAAAATACAAAAAAATTAGCTGGGCGTGGTGGTGGGCACCTGTAGTCTCAGCTCTCCGGGAGGCTGAGGCAGGAGAATGGCTTGAACCCGGGAGGTGGAGCTTAGAGTGAGCTGAGATCGCATCACTGCACTCCAGCCTGGGCGACAGTGAGAGACTCTGTCTCAAAAAAAAAAAAAAAAAATTGCAAAATACAATCAAGTCACACGATTTATGTAACTATTTATTTTATTATAATTTAAGAATACTGGCTTATATCTATATTTACCTCTGTTTTTCTCTTCTTTCGTTTTTAGTTAAATAAAACTAAAGAAAGCTTCATTTGGGAATTTAATTACCTGACCCTTCCCAAGAAAACACACTGGGAAGCTCTTGTGGGGCACCATTTAATGCAAAGAACATGGTTTTCCTCTGATGTGTAATGTCACGCCTTCTGTATAGCATATTTCAGTATAGGAGTGGGCCTGCGTTGGGCATCCCTTTTTATTCTGTTGGTTTACTATTTTTTTAATCAGTGTGCTAATATCACACTGTCTGAATTAGTGTAACTTTATAACAATTCTTGATATTTGCTGTTTGAAGTCTTCAAAAGTATCCTGGCCTTTCTTGGCCTGCTCTTCCATAAACATTTTAGATGCAGTTTGTCAAATTCAGTGGGGGAAAAACAAAACCTCCAAAATCCTGTTGGTGTATGGCAGTTGCTTTCTAAAAGGAGCTGAAATGCAAGACATATTTCTTGAGAACTTTGAAAGTTTTCTGGAAGTTTCTAACCTGAAGACTGCATGAGACTGAAGCTTGAGACAAACAGGAATGAAATACTATTTTCTCTTTATTTCTGCATGCATTTTTTTTTTTTAAAGACAGAGTCTTGTCTGTCACCCAGGCTGGAGTGCAATGGCGTAATCTCGGCTCACTGCAACATCCGCCTCCTGGGTTTAAGTGATTCTCCTGTCTCAGCCTGCCAAGTAGCTGGGACTACATACGTGCACCACCCTGCCCAACTAATGTTTGTATTTATAGTAGAGACAGAGTTTCACCATGTTGGCCAGGCTGGTCTCGAACACCTGACCTCTGATGATCCACCCGCTGTGGCCTCCCAAGGTCCTGGGATTACAGGCGTGAGCCATCTTGCCTAGCTTTACATGCATTTTTAAGCAACACTTAGCACGATGAAAAAAGAATATACCTTTCTAACATGAATGTTGAGCATAGAACTTACAGCTGTTTAGTGTAGCTTTCTAGTCACTTTAACATCTTTCTTTGTTACAAGGGCTGCCACAGTGACAAAAAAGACAAGGTTGAGAAGAAACATAAAATGGTTGACAGAACATCTCGGCCAGTTGTCTAGAAAAATGTTCACCATGGACTCCAAGGGCAATGCACTGATGGGCCAGATTCATTTGGTTGATGATTCAAAGATATCATTGGTGAGGATCATGGCTGCAACATAACTGAATCACCATTAGCTTCAAAATAGAGGACCTGAATGCTTAGGGATTGTATAACTTACTGCTGTGTAACAAATTATTGCAGACATAGTGGCATACAACAACCCAGGTTGTTGTTATCGCACAGGTGCCACGGTTCAGGAGTCCAGGGATGGCTTAACCGGGTCCCCTACTCAGGGTCTCACCAGGCTCCAATAAACAAGTCAGCAGACAGCATTTTCATCAGGACACTGAGCTGGGGAAGAATCTGCTTCCAAGTTCATTCAGGTTGTTGGCGGATTCATTTCTTTGCCTCTGCATGACCAAGGGCCCCAGCTTTCTGCTGGCTGTCAGTCGGAGGCCACCTCAGCTCCTCGCCCCGTGGCCTTTTCCACATGGCTGCTCCTCATGCAGTCAGCCGGGAGAATCTCTGACCATACAGGGCTCAGTCCTTCTTTTCAGGGCTCTCACTTGACTAAGCCAGGGCCATCCAGTATGATCTCCATTTGGATTTACTCAAAATCAACTGCTTTGGGACTTACACCTGCAAAACCCCTTCACCTTTGCCATGCTTGATTGTTTAGAAAAAGTCATAGGTCCTATCACACCCCAAGGGAGGGGAGGATTATACAGGCTGTGAACACCAGTGGGGCAAGAATCACTGGGCCACCCTAGGGTTTCTCTGCCACAGGGCAAAAAGAAAATGGAAGAATAATTATCATTTGTGGTTACAATTCCAGCCACCTGTTTTTTTCCAAAGTAAGGGACATTTCTGGGATGAAGCTTGCCCAGGCAGAGGGGTTCAAGGGCAATGTATCTCCAGCCCCATTTGGTTTCCTTGTGTTTGTGAGAAGTGTAATGCCACCGTTTAAGGAGCAGCCTCAATGAGCTGTTTAGGAAGGCTGTGTCACAGAGGTTGGGGAAATTGCAATGGGTTTTGTCCTCTTTAGAGGAGCAGATTTGGGGCCCATGGCTTCTACAGGCAGGCAGCAAAGGTCTTCTTGCCATCAGCAGCCAAGGATAGAGTTAAGCTCTGACTTTTGTCCCCAAGCCAGGAGTTTTTGATTAGATGCTTAACTGTGATTGGAAGCTTATGTTTAGGGTATAGGCTTAGTGACCTGAAACATTCAGGAACACATTAGTAGCTACTTGTAAGCCTGCTGTCCAAGACATGAATAAAAGGAATTGTGGGGTGTATTCTTGGCACAAATGCTGAGCAAACAATCACCTTTCTGGCCATGCTACAATTCACTGGTACAGGTGATTTTGTTGCGGCATTTCTGTTGTACATCTCCCTTCACCTTTCTGGCCCCAACCTGTGAAAAATTTTCATCGCAGTGGGGATTAGTGCCTAATGGCAAGAGAAAAAGCAATTAGCATTTCCTAACAGCTAACCAAACACAAAAGCCTCCCCAGGCCTTGGATGGAACACCTTTGACCATTCATTGCTCCTCTGCTGTAAAGCCAAGCACCTTACAATTTGTGCTTAATTACTCAGGAAAGGAGAAATCTGTTTCTCCGGGAGAGCCTCTGAGAACCTGTTGGGGAAAGCTTTCAATTTTAATTACAGACGAAATACTGGCTGAGGCAACGTTGAAAAGGAATTACCTTTCCCTTTTTTTCTGATTTTGCAAAACAGCTGGCCAAACAGAGAACCACGGCTCTGTTTAGGCAACCTGTGCAGGGTGGCTGCAAGGCCATGCCAGGGTTCATTTTGCAAATCAGCTGGAAAGATTTCTTTGGGGCTTAAGGAAGGTAATTTAAACATTGCCTGTGTACAGAAACTTAAGTCCCTCTTAATATGTCAGCTGTGCCATCAGACAAGCAGACCTCCTGTGCTGGTGTACTCGAGAAGAAAACCAATACCGTCTTCATTATTCAAACCATCAGCCCATAGACAAAGGGAGAAACAAGAAACAAATCATCCTGGTGACACCCAGATCTTTCCTATTTCATCTTGACAGGGTTTTGTTTCTATGTTGCACTCTCCCTCTCCCCCTTCCTGCAGCTCTTGCCTCCTGTTACTCTTTATGGTAATTGAAGCTGGGCCCCAAAGCCCTCAGAGGCTTGTATCTTCTTCTCACATGAGTGACGCTTCAGTGATAAACTTGAACTTAAAGTTACTGAGGCGGAACTGAGGGTTCATTTGATAGCTAGTGGTTTTCAGCAGCTCCGCGGGGCTTCGGAGACACAGCGTGAGGTAGATTGTTAATGTCCTGTGAGGGAAAACAATAACACATTTCATTAATGCGTTCATGGGTGAAGCATCCATTAGTGCACTGGAGGTATTAATGACGTTATGCTTTAAACTGACACGCGGGGCATGACAGGAATTGCAAGGTCAGATGGGAACAGATGATATGATGAATAAATATTTGAATGGCTTCATTTGCCTGCGGGTCAAATGGTGGGTACAAGGAATGGAGGGGGTGGGGGTGGGAAGGAATACTTTTGTTTTAACACAGACCATTGGCAGCAAAATGAAGCAGAATAAAACATACATGTATGCACATGTGCCTCCCTCCCTGCACAGAACCAGGAGGGTGGGGGAAACGTGCATGAGAACTAGCAGGACTGGCTGAAAGCTGCAGGTCATGTGATGATTTGACTGTGGGAAGGGGCCGCACAGACTCTTGGCTGCTGGGAGACTTTCCTTAGGCAAAAACTTCCTCCAGAGAATCTCATCATCAAGCTAGGATAGAGACTAGGGGGTGCACTCTCTGCCCAGCCTGAAAATGAGGGACGTGAAATTCGCAAACATAAATGTTGGCCAATAGGATCATTGGATCCTTCATCTAGCCCCTGGCAGCCTAAGACAGTTACCCTACATTACTGGGAGAAAAGCATGAAGACTCAGACTTGACACTGACCTCTAGTAGCAGGCAGTTTGTTGCAAATTTAACAACTATGCAGAACGTGGTAAGTGTCGGAATGGGGGTTAGCGTGAAGTGTCTTGGGAAACAGATGAAAGTGACTAATATGTAGGGTAGCATAGATCTGGGTTTGCCACAAAGTTTTGCTGTAGGCGTGTTTTCCCAGCGTAACGACTGGGACTTTTAAAGGTATCCTAATTTGAGTTAAAACAAATCCCTGGCGTTAGGAGCCACGACAGAACATTCTAGGGTAATGTTCTGTTTCTGGTTCTAGCTGCTCGTTCCACAGGACTAGTTCACTGTGCACTTACAATTTGCACCCTTCTTTGTATGTATGTGTGCATTTTTTTTAAAAAAAATCATGGAATATAGCTTACTGAATTGAATATATAAGCTGAATTGGGCAGTTACTGTTTAGCTTTTGCTCTGATAATGAGATGTAGAAAAAGTATTTGATGTTCTTCCTGGGTTGCAGCAGGTCAGTGCTCACTGTGGATTCTGAGTGGGGAGGCTTTTACAGCTGCAGGTTAGGTGGTTAATGTCAGCAACACACATCTCAGGGCAACAAGTGTAATTCAACATGAAAGATCTAAGCATTTGGTGTGTTCTCCGAGGAGGACACCCTTGGCTTTTCTTACTCAGACTCCAGTGGTCTTTCTCAGTCAGAGAAGACAACTCCCTTAATGCTGTTGTAAGGCAGAATGAGGGCTGAGCCTGCACCTAAATTAGCAAGAGAGTGGACCTTGCATGCCGTGAGAATCAAATGCCACCTTGGGCAATCTTAAATGGCAATCTCCCCAACAAGAAGGCTATTGCAGGATTGAACCTCATTACTTGCATATCTTTTTCTTTCTTAAGGTGGATTTTAGATCTGTTTTATACTGTTCTAAGTCACCAGAGATTGGGGAAAATGTGCTTGAAACTATAAGGAGTTAAGATTGAGCCCCTCAAGATGTATTTAATCAATTAATATGACATTTGTCCCAAGACTAAATAGAAACATCTATGAAGCTTTAAGATGTTTTCCCTCCTCAATTAGAAGCTAAAAATGATGAATCTTTCCCGATGGTATTTGAATATTGCAAATTATTCATTGCAACCACTGGCCTTAGTTAATGTTGAAGAAGACAGCGTTACAATAAATCAGAATAGCAGGAACATGCCAGGGATGGTGCACATGGAAATTTTTTATGCCAAACATTTTTGGAACCAGGACTACCTAGAAGTTGATTCTGTCTTCACCACGCTCTCCCCTCATTCCACAGACCCTTGAACTTCTGTCTGGTTGTCTCTACACATCCAAGATGCCATCTCATCCAAAAGTCTTCCTGAACCCCTCCAGTCTAGCTGGGCGGACCTCTGATATGTTGTTACCCATGAACCCAGTTTCCGTCTCTTATAGCCCTCATTGCAAGTCTGTATGTTTTACCAGAATATGGGTTACATGGAACTCCCATGGCAGACTTTGATATAGGTATTCAATAAATGGATACCAAAAGTCAATACAAGAATAGAAATATATGATTTACACATATATTTCCTTTCATAAGGAAATTGAGTTTGAAATGTTTCTGAGATATTCAGTTATCTTGGTACACATGTCTCAGGTTTCAAACTCATAGTTCATGTCCTAGTTAAGAAAATATCAGTTTTGGTGCAGATGAACGTCTAAACTCTGGTAGTTCAAACCATATGGAATTGCTGATAATTAATGATCTTTCAACTTATTATTTTGCTCTCTACACTAACAGATACCATTTTAATTGCAAAAACATGTGCTTTCCTTCATAGAGATTTTAGGAAGTTTTTGCCAAATGGGCACAAGCATCTGGATGCTTTTCTTTGTAAGCCAAGCTCAGAAGTTGTTGAGCTTTTGCCATCTCTAATTGATGATATGCGACTGTCTGACATTGACAGCGATAGTTGATGCTGGCTGGTGCTGGTGCAAGAGAGGTGAACGACATCAAGGAGGGAATCCTGGGTTTAACTTGTTCCCTGGTGCCTTCATGAAGCTCAGCATCATGACCTTTCTGCCTGGGAGATGACTTGTGGCAGATGGCAGTGAGCTAAAGGGCAGGGTTGGCATTAATTAAGTCCAAAAAAATTAATCCTGAATAATTTGAGGAGAGAACATTATAGGGCTCCTTTTCCTGGTAAATGAGACTTTTTGTTTTTTTATGCAGAAGATCTTTGCTTTAGCAGAATTTCTGTCATTCATAGTTTAGGCACAGCAGAGAAATTTTCACATGTTGGAGAAGGAAACCTTTGTGTTGGAGGTGGAAGGAAGGGGTTAATATGCCCTTAAAAAAGGGTAATAAAGAGCAATTACAAGTACCCCAAATGTGAAGAAGAGATGGTTCGAGGTATAGAGAAGGGTGAGCCCAGGAAGTAACATCTGCTACACTATTCTGAGTACAGCAGTCTGACTGCAATTGATAACTTGTGAGATGACATCATTTGAATGAACTGACCCCTGAGCAGAATGATAGGAAAGAGTGTTTCCACAGCTACACTTTCCATCATGGGAAGAGCAAAGACATGCACAATGATAGCCATTCCCACTCGCAGGCAGACATCACTAGTCAATGGCACCTCCCTGCTGAGCCTGAGCTCAGACATGACCTCAGAGTCCTTCTCAACACAGAGCTTTAGACAGCCTCTGTGAAGAAATCTATTTACTGTTCCTGCACGCATCATGAGCAGGCAAACTCTCAGAAAAATTGTGGCAAACTCACAAACAGACTGGCTCAACTTGCTGAAGAGCTTATCAAATTCAAATAATTTTCCCATAGCCTTTTTCCCTTCTTAATGATCTCCTCACCAGTTCTACACATTGGCATCCTGTGTACTGTAGTATTTGCAATTTATTTTCATCTGCTTTTCATGGAAACCTAAGAATTTAAAGTAGAAGAGTATTGAAAGAAACTTCATTTGGATTTTCTTCTAAAGATATTCTTAA
The DNA here is from genome assembly GCF_000001405.40 of Homo sapiens. Classification (NCBI taxonomy): domain Eukaryota; kingdom Metazoa; phylum Chordata; class Mammalia; order Primates; family Hominidae; genus Homo; species Homo sapiens. The sequence continues at coordinate 82,919,990 of NC_000009.12, read as the reverse complement.
AACTTTTTTCCTCAGTGTTTTGAGGCCAGATATATTTCTCAACAGTCACTTATTTTTGTTTGCATTCTAAATATTTGAAGGTATAATTAAATTCTATTCAAATTTTATTGCCTGTTTCATTATGAGCAAGAAAGATGTTGCCTTGATAAATATTTAAAAAGTGGCTGTCAAGAGTGAACATTTAAAACACACTGAAATTCAAATATACTGAATTTATATTTATAATTGCTCTGTGTGCATTATTTTTTCTGTTCAGACTAGGTCTATGCTGGAGTAAAAAGTGATATTTCCTTCTCATTTAATTGTTAAATTCTTCCCTTCGAACCTCCAATGTTCAAAAATCAACATTCATTACTAATTCTAGTTCCCCCTGCTGCTTTTATGGAAACCAACAGAACATTAAATACTATAAAACAGGTTCATATTGTAATGAAACATTTTCTGTTCTTCTCATCAATGTATCATGCAGATGGCATCAAATGCATCCACTGCAAACAGCCAAGGCCTCCCCAGTTTATTTATTGGCCATGCCTTGAACTCAGGTGGCCCAGCACAAAACACAAACTGTAACCGTAAATTGAGAAATGGCTGGCTATTTGGCTATAGGATCTTGGTTGACTAATGCCAATTTATTTTTATTTTCTGTTTACTTGTGGTTTGAAACCTCAGAAATGATGGTGCAGGTAGAGAGTAAGGTAAGAAAAGGACTCTCCTGCCACTCTCTATCTCCTCTTTCCAAAGTATTCTTTTAGTACTGAAACATGGCATGTATTTTTCTTATTCTATTGTGTGAAGCAGACATCTCTCAGGCAATGCTGTCTATGAAAGGTGCCACAGGGGCTGGTGATTTTTGTAGCCCATTAATGTCTGGTTCAAATAATCGCCTGTGTTTGTTCAAGCAGGCTTTTCAGCAGTTGAGGCAAAAATTGGACTCATCTGGAGGCTTTTTGTTGTCTTATTTAGGCTCCCACTGAAAGTAAACTAGAACCACAAGTATACTCTCATTTTTCCAGTTGTGGTTCTTTCCCAGCAACTCTTTGTATAAAAAGGTCATATAATGTAATGTTTCTTTTTGGCCATCCAGAATTTTTATTTACCTTACTGGTCTGCTTTAATGTTGGCTGAGGCGACTTGTAATATAGGGAACATGTAGAAAAATATAAGTGCAAGGAACCTACTGTTTCCCATCTCACATACCTCCAGGTACTTCATTTAGAGAGATGGTGTTTCCAAGTCCTTCTTAAAAGTGGATTTATTATGGTCTAAAGCAGCAATGCCTGATATATACTGTGAGACAAATATGTAATTTAAAATTTTCTATTAACATGTTAAGAAAGAAACATCAAGTTAATAGGTACTTAAGTAAAAAGAAGCACATCAAATTAATTTAAATCATAAATTTGATTTAACCCAATATTTCCAACATATAATCAATACAACATGCAATCAACATAAAAAAACCAACACGTAGCCTATATAAAACTTTTTAATGAGACAATATCTTTCATTCATACTGTTTTCAAAGTCTGGTGTGTGTTTTACACATACAGCACAACTCAATTTGGACTGGTCATATTTCAAATGCTCAGTGGCCACGTGTTTCTAGTGGCTACCATACTGGACAGCACAGGTCTAAGGCATTGAAGCATATAATCTGAAATTTTCTATTAGTTTTGTTAAAAAAGAAGCATATAAAATTAATAATTCCTTAAGTAAAAAGAAACACATCAAATTAATTTAAAACATATATTTGACTTAACTCAATATATCCAACATGTAATCAATTCAAAATGCAATCAACATAAAAAATCAACATGGAGCCTATATAAAACTTTTTAATGAGACATTTTATATCTCATATCTTTCTTTCATTGAAGCAGGTGTATTCATCTTGGAGTTATCAATAGCAAAAGTGGCCTAGGAGAGCATGGAGTAATGAAATCCAGATACAATTTAGAGTTTAACGCTTTGTAGGGTTATTTCCCAAGAGTAGGAAGGAAAAATTTGAGTTTTATCCTCATAATTACTGGTCTACTTCAAATTATTTGTATCATATAGTGCTTTGTACTTTTTCAAAGCGTTTCTCATTTGCTACTGTTGACAACCTTATGAGACTGGGTGGGGGCATGTGACTATATTCTCTTCACTCTTTTGAGATGAGGAAACTGAGGCACAGTTAAGTGGTGACTCTGTCACTTGTATGACAATGACAGTAATCACTGTATGGCACTAGAACCCATGACTTCTGAATTTCTTCTCTCTGATAAATGTGCTAAAGTCACTGAACTTCCCTAAAGTGAATAACAGAGAATAACTGGGAAAGTTCATTATTTGAATGATACATGCCTAAATAAAGGGAAACTGTCTGATATGGTTTGGCTGTGTCCCCACTCAAATCTCATCTTGAATTGTAGCTCCCATAATTCCCACTTGTCATGGGAGGGACCTGGTGGGAGGTAATTGAATCATGGGGGCAGGTTTTTCCTGTGCTATTCTCATGATAGTGAATAAGTCTCACAAGAGCTGATGGTTTTATAAAGGGCAGTTCCCCTACAGATGCTCTCTTGCCTGCCACCATGTAAGATGTCCCTTTGCTCTTCCTTTGTCTTCCACCATGAGTGTGAGTCCTCCCCAGCCATGTAGAACTGTGAGTCAATTAAACTTCTTTTCTTTATAAATTACCCAGTCTTGGGTATGTCTTTATTAGCAGCATGAGAACGGACTAATACAGTAAATTGATACTGGTAGAGTGGGGTGCTCCTGTAAAGACACCTGAAAATGTGGTGCTGCACATTTTCCACCAGTCATGGGTATGTCTTTATTAGTGACACAAGAATGGACTAATACAGTAAATTGATACTGGTAGAGTGGGGTGCTCCTGTAAAGACACCTGAGAACTTTTGAACTGGGTAACAGGCAGAGGCTGGAACAGTTTGGAGGGCTCAGAAGACAGGAAAATGTGGGGAAGATTGGAACTTCCTAGAGATTTGTTGAATGGTTTTGACCAAAATGCTGATAGTGATCTGGACAATAAAGTCCAGGCTGAGGTGGTCTTGGATGGAGATGAGGAACCTATTGGGAACTGAAGCAAAGGTGATTCTTGCTATGCTTTAGCAAAGAGACTGGTGGCATTTTGCCCCTGCCCTAGAGATTTGTGGAAGTTTGAACTTGAGAGACATGATATAAAGCATCTGGTGGAAGAAATTTCTAAGCAGCAAAGCATTCAAGAGGTTACTTGGGTGTTGTTAAAAACATTCAGCTTTATGTATTCACAAAGATATGGTTTAGAAAGAGAACTTATGTTTAAAAGGGAAGCAGAGCATCAAAGTTCAGAAAATTTGCAGCCTGATGATGTGGTGGAAAAGAAAAACACTTTTCTGAGGAGAAATTCAAGCTGGCTGCAGAAAGTTGCATAAGTAATGAGGAGCCAAATGTTAATCACCAAGAAAATGGGTAAAATGTCTCTGGGGCATGTCAGAGGTCATCACAGCAGCCCTGCCCATCACAGGCCTGGAGGGCTAGGAGGAAAAAATGGTTTCATGGGCCAGGTCCAGGACCTACTTGCTGTGTGTGGCCTAGGGACTTGGTGCCCTGCATCCCAGCTGCTCCAGCCATGGCCAAAAGGGACCAAGGTACAGCTCAGGCCTTTGCTTCACAGGGTGCAAGCCCCAAGCCTTGGCAGCTTCCACATGGTGTTGAGCCTGTGGGTGCACAGAAGTCGAGAATTGAGGTTTGAGAACCTCTGCCTAGATTTCAGAGGATGTATGGAAGTGTCTGTATGTCCAGGCAGAGGTATGCTGTAGGAGTAAAGCCCTCATGGAGAACCTCTACTAGTGCAATGTGTGAAGGGAAATGTGGGTGCAAGTGCCCATACAGAGTCCCCACTGGGGCGCTGCCTCATGGAGCAATGAGAGGAGGGCCACTGTCCTCCAGACCCCAGAATGGTAGATGTGCTGACAGCTTGCACCGTGTGCCTGGAAAAAGTGCAGATACTCAACGCCAGCCTGTGAAAGCAGCCGGGATGGGGGCTGTACCCTACAAAGCCACAGGGGTGGAGCTGCCCAAGACCATGCAAACCTACCTCTTGCCTCAGCATGCCCTGGATGGGAGACATTGGGTCAAAGGAGATCATATTGGAATTTTATGGTTTAATGACTGCCTTACTGGATTTTGGACTTGCACGGGGCCTGTAGCCCCTTTGTTTTGGCCAATTTGTTGCATTTGGAACGTGTGTATTTACCCAATGCCTGTACCCTCATTGTATCTAGGAAGTAACTAACTTGTTTTTGATTTTACCAGTTCATAGGTGGAAGGGATTTTCCTAGTCTCAGATGAGACTTTGGACTTGGACTTCTGGGTTAGTTCTGGAATGAGTTAAGACTTTGGGGGACTGTTGGGAAGGCATGATCATGTTTTGAAATGTGAGGGCATGAGATTCTGGAGGGGCCAGGGGCAGAATGATATGGTTTGGTTGTGTCCTTACCGAAATCTCATCTTGAATTGTAGCTCCCATAATTCCTACTTGTTGTGCATGGGTCCCACACAATGGGAGGTAATTGAATCATGGGATCAGGATTTTTCCTGTTCTGTTCTCATGATAGTGAATAAGTCTCCTGAGATCTGGTGGTTTTAGAAAGGGGAGTTCCCCTACATATACTCTTTTGCCTGCTGCCATGTAAGACATGACTTTGCTTCTCATTCACTTTCCGCCATGATTGTGAGACCTCCCCAGCCATGTGGAACTGTGAGTCAATTAAACCTCTTTCCTTTATAAATTATCCAGTCTTGGGTACGTCTTTATTAGCAGTATGAGAACAGACTAATACACTGTCTTTTATTAATCAGGAGTCCTTGGTTCAATTAGTCCCATGAAGATCATTTGTAGCGATGACTCAGTGTCAGACACTCTTCCAAGAACATGTTAACTCATTTCAACCACAGGACAAATCTGAGCAGACAGCATCATTATTAGTTCCATCTTATAGATGGAGAAACTGAGGCACAGAGACATTAGGCAATTGACCTCAAGTTACACAACCAGGATGTAACAGCTTGAATTAGAACCCAGGCTGAACTGACTCCAGAGCTGTGTCTGTACTAACCACTGTGCTGTTCTGCCTCTGTTGTGTCTAGGATTGAGGGATTCAAGGTCCCCAAGCTTTCTCAGAAACACAGGGAGAATGTGTCTTTGGAACACATTGGTTTGAAACATCTTATTCAAAGGACGCCTTTCCCAAATGGCCTGCTATCTAATTCCTTCCTCCCTCACAGGACTGGCTGCATTATTAACAAAACATGATTAATAAAATGCAATATAAGCTTAAGAAATTTTCCTCTGATGCTATTATTATTTTTAACATTTAATTTAATGCATATCATTGAGTGATAGAAGGGCAGTCCCTGTGAGAATTTTATTTTTCTGATGTTTTAAGCAGAGAGACAGAGGATGAGAGGTTCTTCAGGGGTGTTGCCATCTGCTTGTCAGTCATCATCCTGAGTGGGACCAGTTTGCAAGTGGGTTGAGGAAGAGGGGCTGATGTTTATATTTTTAAAATTAGAACATAGCTTGGCATTTATTTTATTTGCTTTTTGATCTTTTAAAAACAGCATATTGTTTTAATTTCAGGAGTTATATATTCTTGCCTTAAATGTATAGACATCAGAGAATTATAGAGAAGAAAATAAAATCACCAGGAATTCCACTACTTGGAGACAACTTTGGTTGACATTGTATATTTCCTCCCTTGTCTATCTTTCTATCATCTGTCTATCCATCTATCTATATAATATATTCTTTTTCACTTAATATTTTATGCTTTGATAAATATAAGTATTTTCAATATCTTTGGAAGTTTTTCATAAATGTCACTGGTTTACAGAAGCATCTTAGTTTTGGGAAATGTAAACGTGAACTGGTTTTAGTTCCATTGCTGTTTTCCATTTACTCTCCTTTCTTGCTGAGGTGTTGGCTCTTAGTGACATCTTGGTCAGTGTCCTCAGTTTTCCCATGGCTTTCCCTTTCTAGAACAGTCCTGTTTTTTGGTTTTTTAAGGCTGAATGACTCCCACTGGATTTTAATACTCCAACTTCCAAAGCTTGGCTCTTTTCATCTTCCAGAGCAGGCTAACTCTTGTGAGACTGGTGCTGGTGAGCTGTGGGTGGTGATATTTTTAAAATAAATCTTCCTCAGCCAATCCGTATTCCCTGCTAAACTCCAAGTAGGAATCGGAAAGACTGCCTCATCTTGGACCCATAGGAATGTTGCAACCTTGAATAATGCTCCTGCCTAACAACAGAATTTCAGCATGCAGGTGTGAACATATGTCTCTGAAGGGGCTACACCTTCACCACTGGATTCTCTCTTAGTTCTTATCAAGTCTCCAAGCAGTATTTTCAGAAAACTGTGGATGAGATTGACATATGGGAAAGGGAGACATTAAAAGTTAAAGAGGCAGCTCTTAACAGAAAAAGAACAAAACAAAATTCACTCAACAAAACTTATTGAGCAGTTGCTCTGTGTGAGGAACTGTATATGGCTATTTGGGAAGCACCAAGGTTAGGAAGCAAGCGCTTGGTTCTTAAAGAGCATCTAATCTAGCTGAAGGAATTTCTGAACCATTTTGTAATAGGAAGTCATGTGAGTTGGAGATCATTTGACTAGAATATCTTAAGAAGGATGCTTTATAGAAAGTAATGTGCAGTTTCTGCAAGTCTCTGGAGGTTTCTTGTAACAAAATCTAGAGGAAGTCTTTTAGATGTCACATTAGAGGTAGAAACATCAGAGAAATGTTTAGAAAGGATAGCTCCAAGACTGCTGAACCCATCCTGGAAGCCTCTTGGCAAGGAGGGGGGTAGATATTTCACTGAGTCTCTTAATTGCAGTTCTACTTCATTAAGGATATTAATGATCCAGTATTTCTAACTGTTAGGAAATGAACTGAGCTGGAATTATGGTTGATAAGCATTATACATTTTTAAATAGATTCAAATGATAATTAGGTTATGCATACACATTGGGGTCTGAGACAAAATGTGAGCCTTTCAGCTTTACTGAATTGGCTTATTTTAACTGAAATTAAAACTGGAATTTGCCAGGCAGCTGATCTCACTCACTCTTCCAGGTTGTCATAGCCTTGCCAGCTGCACTAGGTGTCACTGTGTGAACTTCTACTGAATGAAAGAATAAAAAAGGAAGAGAGAAGAAAGGTGAGAATATTTTAATCTGCTGACACCGTTTTATATTGAGCATTTCTCCCCTCATTTATTTTCTTTTTGTATCAGCTATTTTAAGATTATAGAACACAGCATGTATATGCATTATTGAATGACTGTGTTGTCCAAATAAGAATTTTTCTGTCATTTGGGGGATTACTATCATTTCAGGATAGCTAAAAGAAGCTCTCTTTGCATGTGTTCGGAAGTCTAATAGATGTAAGATTTTATCTTTTAAAAATTAAGCCTTGAATGTCTTGCCCTGAGTCTTATTGTGTTCTTTAAACAAAATTTCATCCTAAGGGCATTTCCCCTGTTTGGAGTAAAGAAAGGGAGTTATTCCATTATACCTGATATTAATGATGCAATGTGTAAAACTATTTGACTTTTAAAATTCCAAAAATGATAGCTCTTTTCAAACACTTCATTTCCTTTCCACTGCAAATTTTCTTCTTCTCCAATCCATATCGTGCTAACATAATTGAAACTTTTATGATCCCCATGACTGTGGTCTGATATTTATAACATACAACATCATCTCATACGTCTGTGACTGCTCTCAAATAAGAGAGATCTTTATGCAATAATCCTCCTATTGGAAGATATGCTTGGGTCAGCATAAAGACCAGCACCACATGTGCTTTGTATAAATGCTGTGAAAAATTCAGATGTGGCACTGCTGAAGAAGAAACACAGACAGAAACCCTAAACACATCATAAATCATTACCGTCCCTTAAAACTATATAATTTTTTTCCTTGCCTAAAAGCCTGGAATCTTTCATTCTGTGTTAAGTAACTCAGTAGCATCTTCCCTTAAAAATATATGACCCGTAATCAATTAGGGCCTGGAGAGACTGTTCTTCTATATTTTGTGCAATGCCTACAGCACTTTGTAGTGGCCAATAAATATTTTATAATAATAGCTGCATGCCAGCTATCTAGTATGTGTCATAGATAAACTTTATTTTCAGGCAAATGGTGGAAATACATCCCAGTTTTTGACACCTGTGGCTTTTCATTTCTATAAAACTTGTGATGTCTGGGAATCTGGAGACTTTTGGAGTCAAATGATATCCTTTAGAGCTAAAGACAGTATACATGTGACTTAGCAAATGGCTATCAGGGACAGAAGTCATGCTTGAATCTAGGGGATACTCCTGGTGGCTTTTATATTATTATTATTATTACTACTAGAGTCAACACTTAAATAGTATTACTATGCATTTTCCATATGTTGACTCCTTAATTTTTATTACAAACCATTGTCTGGAAGTAGAAACTACTATTATACTTATTTTACAATGGTGGCACAGAAAGGTTAGTTTACTTTTCTAAGGTCATACAGCCTTATGGTGGCAGAGTGAAGGATTTAAACCCAAGGAGTCTGGCTCCATAGTCCCTGCTTGTCTGGAACCGTTGAACTGTAATCCGTTTTAGGAACCTCTCACCAACCTCCTCCCAACAGCTCCCAGAAGTATCTAGGTCTTCAATTTTTTTAAGAATTGAAAGGACTGGTTATGGGCTAGATTCCGTCTTAGATTTTTTTCTTCTCCAGAATCCTCACTCTTTGGTTCACAAGAGTTGTCCTAGAGGGTGTTCAATGAGATAATTTAGATGTGGATTGGAACCTGGACACAGTGGGGTAGGAGGCATCAAAGAGTCCTCATAGATATCTGGAAGTATGGTAATGCCATCAAGGGAAATGGAAAAGTCCAAGTCTGGCAAGGCTGTGTTTGAATTTGTGCAAGTTTAGTTTTTGGTGGTGGTGAAACATCTCAACAGCTTCATGAGACAACTGGTAACATGGTTCCAGAGCGGCATTTCTGGAACCACATGCATCAGAATCACTTGAGCCAGAAATTCCAAGAGAGACCTAGGAATCTGCATTTTAATGTGCTTTCCAGTTGATACTCATGGGTCACTATTTGTTTTGTTTTGTTTTCAGAGATAGGGTCACAGCAGCCTTGAACTCCTGGGCTCAAGTGATACTCCAGCCTCAGCCCCCTGGGTAGCTGGGATTACAGGTACCAACCACCACGCCTAGCTGTGGGTCACCATTTAAAAACTGCTGGGTAAGAACTTTAGAGACAGCAGTCAGAGATGTCAATTCAAGAGCCACAAAATGTCGAGTTGTCAGAGGGAAAACAGTAGCACAAAAGAATTTTGAGATCTCAACTCACACTGGAGAGGTGAGCCAGAGAGGAGTGTGGGAAAAGGGAAGAGCGGCATTCGGAAATGAAGAGGGGCCAGGGCTGTGCAAAGAGGAGAAGGAGAAGAGCTGCCACTCTTCATGGACATAGGCACAGAAGGAACCATTCAGTACTGGGATGAAGGCAAGGGGGAGACATGCTTAGAGAATCAGGAGGTGTGGGTGATGGCAAAACACAGACCCTGAAAATGAGGATTGAAATAAGATGGTGGTATGAAGGAGCATCATTGCCAAGAGGTGGTTTTATAAGTTGAGGAAAATCTGAACTTGTTCGAAACCCTATAGGGCAACATGAGACAGTTCTAGACGGGGTTGATACCACATTGGGCCAAGCAGGGTAGGACAGAGTGAGCAAGGACTTGGGTTTTTGTCCTTTCCTGTGTCATCCTTTCAGTAAGATTATTGTGGTTCAGTGATAAGTAATTGTTTTCCATTTATCTTTAATACTTTGATGATGATTGATATAAACTAGTCTTTAAAAGGAGATATTTTTGATGCATTGTAATCATGTCTGCGTAGGCTGAAAATACACCCTCCCCGCGCCCCCGGAAAAAGGATATCCACATTCTAACCTCTGGATCCTATGAATCAAACATTATGTGGTAAATAAAGGGTCTTTGCAGATATGATTCAGTTAAGGATCTTAAGATTGGAGATTATCCTGTATTGTCCAGGTAGGCCCTAAATGCAATCACACAAGTGCATATAAGACAGAGTTAGAGGGAGATTTGTTACACAAATGCAATCACACAAGTGCATATAAGACAGAGTTAGAGGGAGATTTGTTACACACACACACACACACACACACATGCATGTACACACACACTCACTGACAGAGAAGAGAAAAGGGGGCAGAGATGGGAGTGAGGTGGCCACCCACGGAAAACCTGCAGTGCCTACAAGGTGCAAGGGGAAAGGAATGAATGCTTCCCTGGAGTCTCTGAAGGGAGCCCTCGGAACAACTTGGTTTTAGCCCTGTAAGACCCATTACACATTTCTGGCCTCAGAACTGTAAGAAAATAAAAGTGTGTGGTTTTAAGGCTTGTGCTACTTTGTCACAGCAGCAGTAGCAAACTAATATAGTAAGTCCTCACTTAACATCATGGATGGGTTCCTGGAAACTACAACTTCAACCAAAACAATGTATAACAAAACCATTTCTCTTTCTCATCAATGTTATATCTAAACAACAAAGGATTTGGGGGACCTGCCATATATGTTTTGCTTAAATTTGCAGCTTCTAATAACCTATGGATGATGGTAAGTGAGGACTTTCTGGATAATGTCCCAAAGTTTGCCTGCGTCGGGGGTGGTGATATGATGTACAAAAGAAAAGATTCTCTTTTCATGTCCCTCCAGCCAATGCCACATTTATTACTAGGTGGATTAAAAATCACACCCTTGACAAAGGCACTTTCAACCGCTGCATTCTTCCCTGTCTTCTTGACAGTTGGGAAGGAATTAAAACACTTTGCTTTCCTCACAGTGACTAATGGGGCTTGCTGTGCTATTAGAGCAGTGCCTTACTGTACTTTTTTTGGGTAAATTGTGGAACTCATTACTGTAATACTTGAACAAATTTAAACACCTAACTCACGCTCCTCTTTTATTCCTTTCTCCCTGGGTGACTAACTGTAGATATGTATAATGAAACCAAATAAACTCCATGAAGTGTGTAATGCCTACTTAATTCTGTCCCTATTCTCTAAATCAAGTACTTCTCTTTCCTGTCTGACCTGAGTCAGTCATTAAGCACATACAATAATACCCATTTGTCCACATTTAGTTGCCTGGAGTTAGTATAGATGGAACTTGATTTCAGTTAGGTTGTTGGGGCACTTAGTAATTAACGGAAAAAACCTTTATATTAGTCTAAAGATAAGAAGTAGAATTTGGCCAGCCGTGGTGGCTCACATCTGTAATCCTAGCACTTTGGGAGGCCGAGGCAGGTGGATCACTTAAGGTCAGGAGTTCAAAACCAGCCTGGCCAATATGGTGAAACCCCATCTCTACTAAAAATTTTAAAAAAAGTAGAATTTATAATGCTGTCTGATTGCAGTGATGCATACCTGCCTTCTTGGAGACTTTAAGGAAACACAAAAGTGGTTGGAGAGTTACATGTACAAAACACATGCACGCACACACGCGCGCACACACACACAAGCATATGTTGCCAGAAAATAAAGGAGACAGACAACAAATGGTATTCAAAATTTTGTCTTCTTTCTTACACTGCCAATAAGGGATAAACTCATTTTCTTTTGTAGATAAGGACAATTTGGACTGAATGTCAATTGGATTAAAAAGCTCAAGTTGGCATTTAAAGAGATTGATATCTCTCACTCCCTTTGACCTCTGTTTTTCTTTAATTCATATGAAACTTAGAGGAGAAAAAAAAGTAACTGAGTGAAAATGTCACAGAACAGTTTTAGTTGTTTCATACAAAGTAGTTTGTAGATGAAATTTTCTGCTATTTCTTAGGGATTAACAGCCCTATTAAAAAAAATTAACCAGTGATCTTAACTTGGTTAACCTGAGATAGTTTTGAGATTCTCTTTTGCCTTGATCTTTTGTTTTATGATGCTACTCTGAGAATACCTGGCCTAACCCAAATTGGAATGAAGTCTTGACTCTGTTTTATGCATTCCTATTCTTTCAAGCCTACTCATTTGATTTTAATGTTTGGGAAAGCTGGAATTATGAGTTAGGAAGAAGCAGCCGACTGTCTGAGTATTCATGCATTCAGCCCTGAACCCTTTTAAATGTACTCATCAGTATTCAGCAAGCATAATTCATGCCTCCATCAAGCAAGCAATTGCTAGGATACATTTTCCAAAAAAATACAGGGAAAAAAAGAAACCTAAAATGGATATATGTCTCAGGACTTCCTATGCTTAAAACACCAAGGCTTCTTCTTTTTCTGATTACCTTTGTATCCAAAAGTCAAAGTAACTCACCAAGTGAAAAGGGTCTTTAAGTTTTCTCAGTCTAATTCCTATAGTGTTTTTGAATCTCTTAAGTGATTTCTCCAGATTCGCCTCACAGACTTCTGACTTTCACTCCCCTCCAGCTCCATTCTGTAGGAGGCTTGTGGTGTGTTGACTACTGTGATTGGACTCGTCTGGACTTCAGGTAGCTCTTTGATTATGATTTCAGGTTCTGAAGCCAGAAATGCTTCCTGGCTCAGCTCCCGCTTTCTGCATAAACTCTAGCACTAACAATGACTAGAGAAGCAGGGAAGTTGGTGCCCACTATTCCTATGGTGTATTGAAGTTAAAACTAGCAATCCCAATGAATTAGGCAACCACTAATTATAAAGTGCCATAATGACAGAATGACCCTTCCATGGAGGATGTTACCAGGTGTCCTAATCCGACATGTTGGTGCCCATTGTCAACTGTAGAATAGTCATTGTGACTGAACTGACTGCCTTCCATGAGAAAGTCCACTAGACCCTAACATTTGTGGAGCCCAGAACAAGAAGGTGCAAGGAGGCTCTCTGTCCAATCCCCCTTCTTTTCCCACTTTTGACTTTCTCCCAAAGCTTGAGGGGCATTGCATGCATGCTGATGGACATGACAGCCTGCAATTGCCAACCTCCCTTTACATTCCCCCACTCCAGTCAGCTGCTCTTTGGACACTCTTCAGGTGGCTCAGCATATTATCATAAGTATGGACAGGAAAAGAGGTCCTCACAAGCCTAGCAGGCCAGCGAGCATCCTAATGGCAGAGAATTAATTCTAGAGTCCCAAGTATCCATAGCATGCTCTGTAGGGGAAAAGAGGGCACAGGCTTCATGTGGGGTGGGCTGCCCTTTTGGACCCTCAGACTTTTTACCCTGTAGGGATGTCATGCTTGGAGAAGTGACAGATCAGGGCCTCTAAACATCAGGGCTTAGGGCAAGCCCCCCGCTTGACTGGTGGCAGTACTAGAAAGAGAATTTTTTTTCTAGGTTAAGTTAGAGTTGTGTCTGCTTTGTGACTCATAATTCCTTCTGTATCTCTTCTTTTTCTTTTCTTTCCTCTTTTTCTCTCCCCTTCTCCTTCTTTTTCTCCTACTCACCCCCTTTCTCTTTGTTGTATTTTTCACCCCCCTTGCTCCCTCTCCACTACACAAATACTTACCAGCATCTTGTTCTAGAATGCTGCAGTTTGGATGAGTGCAGATGGTTTAGCTTAACTCTTCCTCACTAATGCACAACTCTAGAGTTTTTTCATCCAGTCAGCAGCACAGGTGGACCACGGAACAGAAGGAAGTCCGCTTGTATAGTTTGGAGACATTTTTCCAATATGCCCCATAGGACATTCCTTGTGGTTTTTAGTTTCCAAGTTGGATGAACCCAGACTCTACTATCTACCTACCATGTTGCCTTTTGTTCTTAATAAACTTCCTTTTTATTGGCTCTGTCTGTAATGGCACAGAATCTGCTAGACAACACAGGCACACTTGGCCTCTATATTTGTAGGGGATAGAAGGTGTCAAATGCATAGTATTAGAAATGTAAAGCCTTTCACTTTATTGAGATGATAAAAATGATAAGGAGGGGGCAACATTTTTGTATCAAGAAATAATAAATGATTTAATTTCCAAATATTCTCAATATCGTATTAAAACATGAAGTGGAATAAGGCCAGGACATATTGAGAGAAGCAAAGAAAAAAGAAAAGGCATGAGAAAAATATTTGGCTATTTTGTTGTTAACTAAGAAACGTATTATAAGGAAACGCTGTAACTTTTAGGCAATATGCTATTCAAACTATAGACCTGAACTGTCCAACGCAGTAGTCACTAGTCAAATGCGACTATTTCGTCCTTGAAAGATAGCTACTTTGAACTGAGATTTTCTGTTAAAAAAAACACACTAGATTTTGAAGGTTTAGTTAAGAAAAGGTAAAATATCTCAATTATTTTTCATATTGTTACATGTTGAAATATTAATATTCTGGATATATTGGATGAAATAAAATATAGTATTAATATTAGCTTCACCTGATTTCTCTGAGTTTTTAATGTGGCTACTCAAATATTTTAAATTACATGTATAGCTCACATTTTCTTTCTCTTGAGCAATGCTGGTGGAGATAGTTCTGAAAGTTGAAAGTTGACATCTATCACATGGTTTATATCTATATATATGTTCTATATATACTGTTATTTATGCATATATAAATATAGAAAATGTTATTTATAGAGATAAAATGTTAAGAAAGAGCTGAGGGTTTGGGTGGGCTGGTTTGCATGTTCGATGCAGGAATTGATTTCTCTGGAGGAAGGATGACGGAGTAATTTCATTTTTGCTCCTCTTAAATGACACACACAGTTTCTCGTGGGTTTAAAAAGAAAAGTGCAATCTAATAATGGTCTGAGCGACTCTTTGGCCTGTTTCATTTCTGGATCTTTGTGTGGGAGGCTCTATCTTGTCATTCTTTTCTCTGCTCAAGGTCATCTCTTCATAGAAACTTCCCTATATAACCCCAGCTCAATGCTGCCCACTTGTCAGTCACTCTCTTTCACAATTTCATTTTTTGGTGCATTTACAATTATGAGAAATTACCTTGCTTGCTTGCTAGTTTATTTTCTCTTTCTCCTACTAGAATATAAGCCACATGAGGACAATGGAAGTATCTAAATTGATTATCACTGTATCCCCTGTGCCTAAACTTGACGGTGACCATGGATGCAGGGCAGGTTGTAAAGCACTTAGTAAATACCTGCCGTTGGTTGATTTTCTAAGCACCTGTGTGCTATATTGTGGCTAGACATCATGATGCAACCAAACGAGATCAAATCCAGAGACTAAATGAAGTTTTTAGTGTTTTACTTATTAAGATTTGCATATTTAACAACAGAGCTGATAATATGTTTAACGACTAGACTTAAGTTCTAGGGCTCTCTTGGCTCAATGGTTTTAAGCAGATCAAGGACAGTTTTGAGTTTAGTTTTATCTAGAAAAATGAGGGACCTGAACTAGAGGGTTGTTTGAATAGTCTGGTTCTGAAATTCCCTGCTGTGGATTTCATCAGAGGGTTGAGAGTCATATATCACTTTGGCTACTAACTGCTTGAGGCTTTATCACCCATTGTTATATGATGAGAGGACTGAGAGTATTATACGTTATATAGTTATATGATGAGAGTATTAAAACAGGGCAGAGGTCTTGGCTCTCTGCATAATCACTGGGATATTGGAGGGCCAGATTTGGGGATCACAGAAAGTAAGGGTTTAAAGCTTCATGATGCCATGTGTGATGGTGGGTCTGTAAAGAGGAACCTTGCCTATTTTCCCATTTATATTTATGAAGTAACTATGTATGTATGTGTTTCTTTTTTTTTTTTTTTTTTGTGGCCTCTCTTCTGTTATACCATGATATGTTTCCCTGGTAGGCAGAGAGAAAATAAGACAAACGAGGAATTACCCTTTGCTTTGGACAGTGAACTAAACAGATCATGGCAGGAAATGCAGGAAAGACATTTAGGAAGCGAAAAATAGAAAAGAGCTCCAAGGATAAAGTGGCAAGTGCTTGACACTCTCCAGGAAGTGCTGTTCAGCTTCAAATATGACCGCAGTGCTGTGTGGGAGGGTCTTTTGAGAAGGACAATTTATCTCAAAATGTGTGGAGATAAATTTCTCTATAACCCTGAACTTTTGGCACCAGGTGGCCTGCTCTGTATTTCAATTTGTTTTTATAGACACTTCCTGATGAAGATATATTCTCTTTTCTTTATTGTTTATAATGGGGCTTTCGAATATCTGAATGCACAGTGACCAGGCATCCGAATGAGCAATACTCTCAATAATTCTTAAACAAACTCTGCTGATGGGATGCGTAAGCCATTAAAAAAAATGTCCTTGGTGGGGAGGAGATAGGATAGAGTGGGGAGATCCACCTCTATTGGCTGTAGTGACAGAGCGGGGCCAGTGGGTGGCTGAGCATCTAGATGGCTGGTAAGGGAAGAAATAAAACTTTTGAAGACTTTCATTTATCTTGTTTTTCAGTGTTAGAGTTCTTGAAGAGTTCAGGTATAATCACAGCCTTCTGTTCCAACAGGAAACACCATCTGCTGAAGCATTCTGTAAGCAATATAACATCTCTCCAGAGATAGTTTAGCATTCAATTCACAAAGAAAGATGGCAGGGACTTGTAAACAAAAGGAAACAACTGAAGCAGCGAGGAAGGGGCTGTGCTCTAAACATTCAATATGTTTCTTTATAGCTGAGAAGCCCTGTAATGCTACAAAAGCCTGGCAGAATTCTCTGATGTATTAATTGTTTTCTTGTGTGTGTGTGTGTGTGTGTGTGTGTGTGTGTTTAAGATTTGTGTTTGAAACTGCCTCTTCTAACACACCACTCTTTTTTTTTTATTTTGTTTTAATTTTTGCTTTTGTTTACTTTCAGGATAAGCCCTTTCTTATGGGTAAGGCAGGTCATAAGTGGTTATTGGTGAAGAACATATAAATAACAATTTAAAACATTTTAAAAATGCTGTACTTTGACTATAGCTTTGAGTTTGGAGGAGAGGAACTCATAGGACAAGGCCTTGGAGTGGTGGGCACTACAATTTGAAATGGGGTCTTAGCAAAAGAACTTTCCTATTTCAAGTTTTGCTATTTTGTCACAGGGAAAACAGCCAACAGTCTCACAATTTACGACGATGCCCAGTTGGTTGAAAATGCTGCATTGTACCCAAAGGAGAGGCTTCTAGAAACTCATCTGCATTGTTGAAGAATCAAATATTTAAGTAAAAGTGGATTCTCTTTTTCTATAGTCTAATTTGTCTCTAATAAAAAGACATAGTGTAGGAAAATTGGTCATACTGTGGGGAGAAAGTCTTTCAACCTTTTGGTTAAATTCAATACTTTAAGCAGAGTAGGAGCTCAAAATTAAGTGTCAGTGAATGAATAATTTGAGGGCAAATTTTCAGTAATCCTTCCTCCACCGCCCTTTAGCTATCTTCCTTCATTTAGACACACAGACCTGGGACATTTTGGTCTCTAGTTGCATATTTTACAAAACTACTCAATATATGACTTTATGATTTATATGGCCTAGAAATATTTACAGTAGCATTGATCATGATTTAAAACCTTAACCTCAGAACCTAGATTGTAAATATCCTGAACTGCAAAAGTATAGGAAAAAAAACAAAATCTCTGTCCTCAAAAAATGTATAATTCTTAGGGTTGCATCATTATATAAATTAATGACACTGAATGTGTGTGCACACATGCCTTGATAATTGTTTTATCCGATGGTCTTTATTACCTTGTAGAAATTGTATTGTCATAATTAAAACAAGTTTCATTATTTTCCACTTCCACTCCCATATAATAGATCACTACCATTTTAGCTTTGGGCCATTAGGCAATACAGATTGGATTGTTTTCTCCTAGATTTGTCGGTGTACTGCTTTTAAAAGAATTAATCACCTGTCTTATAGCTTCTCTTGTAACTCTGCTGGCTTCCACATGGAGAGAATTCTTTACTTTTTAGAATCACAGAATGTGATCCAGACATCAACTCTCTCCTGACCTGGATAAAGGAAACAGTGCAATGTTGTTTATGATAGAGTCCATAGAAATGTTCTATTGGCTATTTTAGTTGGCTACCAGAGCATTTTAAATGGTTGCATGTCCTTTCCACAAGCCTGTGAAGTGAGTAGTATTGAGACCAGCTTGGTCCTGGTTGTGAAATTACCACTTTGCAATTTGACTTTCCATTTTACCTGATTCCTGCATTTGTTGCTTGTCTGCCTTCTGTAGGTGTGTGATTTTAAACTCCTGGTCTATATGCAGATGTAGTTGTCACTTATTATAGAGCAGAGCAGAAATTAGGCATTCCCCAGTTCCTGATAATAATACCATAAAATACCAAAAGTGTATACACACACACATCCCACATAAATGTATACATTATCCCATGATGTGAACATATAACTTCATTGGTATATAGCATATATTTTATCAGATGACCACTGATCTCCATTTTAAATCAAGTTTCCACTTTTGGAAGTTTAAAAATATTATATAAAATAAAATATTATCATTGTTTGGGTAATTATGAGAGAAAAGGTTCTAGAACACCATTCATTCATTCATTCATTCATTGACTCAGCATCTTTTGCATGCTTGTTGAAAATCTATTAAATGCTGGGTATTGAGTTCTTGTTCTGTGTTGACCCTACAGGATATCATTGATTTGATATCACTTGATAGTTTCTGTTGAATAAGAAAACAGGTGTTAACAATGACACCACAAGGCCAAGGGAATAGTCTTTAATCTAGTCCATTATGGACTAGATTATCTTCCTCAATTATCTTGTTTAGTGTCATTTCCTAGGAGGTATCATTTAAGTTAATCAGTTTCTATGGACCTAACTCAATATGTGCCCGTAAGGCTAGTGGCCTGATTTATCACCTTCAGGATATTGATCTCTCTGAATCCTTCTGTTAGGAATTATTGGGATTCCTTGCCAGGAGTAGGGTTCTGGGAGTCCTGACTGGGAATGTGAGAGCCACTTGGTGGATCTCTGTGCAGGAGAGTCATTTCCTGCTGGTAGCCTAACTTGCAGAGAGAACCCCACTGGGGATGCTCTTACACTTTCTGTGAGAGAGACCCCTTCTCCCTAAAGCACCATGGGTATGATAGAATAATGGTCCCCCAAGGGTGTTCACATCCTAATCCTCAGAACATGAGAATATGATAACTTCCATGGCAAAGGGACATTTACAAATGTGATTAAATTAAGGCTCTTGAGATTGCTAAGTTATCCTGGTTTATCCAGGTATGCTCAGTGTAATCACAAAGATCTCTGTAAGAGAAAGGCAAGAGGGTTTAAGTCAGAAAGGAAATGTGATGGGTGGTGAGGCTAGTAGTTGGAGTGAAGTGCTTGGAAGATGGAAGAAGAGACTATGAGTCAAGGCAGGCAGGAAGCCTCTTGGAACAGGCAAGGCCTTGCTTCCTTGTGTGAAGCCTCCAAAAGGAGCACAGCCCTGCCAGCACCTTGATCCTAGACTTCTGACCTCCAGAACTTAGAGAGTGCACTTGTTTTGTTTTAAATTAATGTGTTCATTGTAGTTGGTTACAGCAGCAATAGGAAACTAACACAACTGGGTATCCACTGTGTGGGCAACTTCAAGACGTCTAATCTACCTGCAGGCACAGATCTAAGTCCTCTGTCCAGAGGGAGGGCCTATTTGATGCAAAACATTTATTCACAAAGCCTCCTTAAAACCAAGGAAGCCTGAATCCCACTTGCCACAAGAAGTCCATGAGTGTCTCTTACCTCTCTGCCACGGTTTCAGTGATAGGGAGCTTGTAGTTTGTCCCACCTCTGTGTCTCCTTCTCTCATTTTTTATTAAGAGTGGGGCTAGTAATACCACGGATTCCTCTGAATAAACTGAGCCAGCAAGGATCACAGATCCTCAGGCATATTTGTGAGATAAGCAGCTGCATAACCTTCACATCTGAGTCTATCTATTCATACTCTTTACAGTTCAATTTTCTAACAAATACTTTTTCCACTATGTGAATTTACGAAACTGGCCTCTAATCCAGGTCTTCTGAGTCTTGGCCCAGTGTCCTTTCTCTTAAATCATGATTGCTTGTTAAGTGGACTGGAGCTGCCCAGAAAGAAGAGTCTATGGTGAGAGGTGTCTTAAGTGCTAATGTGGATAGATGCTAAAGCTCAAAGCTGAAGATATCTATCTGTTTGTTAATTCTCAGCTTTGGGCATGTGCATCCTTCCACATTAGTGCTTTCATCATTGAAAGCAGTTACAGTGTTCTTGGGATCTTCTCCATCCTTTTAATGTGTAGGGATCTCCAGAGAGGGATGTCATGATATTTATTTCATAGTGAATAATTTCTCATTGCTTGCTGAGAATCTGAGGACCATGAAATAAAATTGCTCTTCAGGCCATTTTCTTAGCTCTCTGTTATTCACTCCTTTTTGAGTTCCTTGGCATAAGGCTGAACTACTGATTCTACCTAGCAGGTTTAGGCAATGCAGGAATGTCTTCTTGAATGTGTATGAAGGAATTCCACAATCCCATTGGCTTCCCTGGACACATTTATGCATGTCCTAATCCCTTAAAACACTGGAGTTGTGTTCCCAAATCCCAGCATGTCCTCTTGCGGTTCCATTAGGGACATTCAAACGTAAGGAAGCTAAGCGAATTTCTCATATATTCCAAATGGCTAGTGGCCCAATTTCCCGTTACAGACATCTTGGCACTCAAGTCTAGATCTTTTGATAGAGTAGTTTGTAGGTTTGGTGAAATAATCTTTTATGATAATTATTAAAATCTGCAGACAGATTTAGAAGCAATCTTAGATCTTGAAAGCAACATTATCTAGAGAACTATGCATTAAACCGCTGATTTAAAAAGAAAAGGCATGGTTTCCAAGTTCTTATTTGGAAAAAAAGGAATTGTTCATAGAGGTCAAGAACACTGTTAAAGAGAAGGCTTGTTTATTTTCTGAAATCACCATTAATTTTTTAATTAAAAAAAGTATAAAGTCATGTGCCTGGCATTGTAACACCCTATGAAGTTGGTACTCATTATTCCATTTTACACCTCAGAAAGCCACAGCATAAAGAAGTAAAGTAACTTTTCCCTTAGGTTATATCGCTTGTAATGGCAGAGCTAGGATTTGAACCTAGGCCATCCTTGTCCAGGGAGCATGTTATTAAAACTACATTATGCTGCCTCTCATAGACAGATGCCAAGAAGAAAGAGAGTCCAATGGATCTGGCCATTATCAAAGGTTGACTGCTATCACCATGGTGGAGATAGAAGTTTATGAAGGGGAGAGAATTTAAAACAGTTGATTGAAGACTCCTGACAAAGAACTACCAAAGCTTTAACATTCTAGTGCACCTCATCATTCAGCATACCTGATGAAATTTCTACAGTGTAATTATCTCCCACCGCTAAATCTTTATGGCCTACCTCCAACATTCTGAGAAGGCTAGTATAGGATGTTAATGTCACACATTCTGTAGAGATACATGACAACTAAAAGGAGATGATTATTCAGTGATGGTGTGCATTTGATGAAAAAATTTTTGCAAAGCTGACATAGTAACTTGAATAAAGCAAACAATAAGCAAATAAACAAATAAAAGCTCTTCCTGGCTTTACTATAGATTTAAAAATTAAATTTACTTTCAAAAAGTTGGTTACTCTTCCCTATGCGCTGTAAAATTCATGAAAAATGTGTCATAAAATAACTTGTTCATCCCTCAAACTGCTCAAATTTACCCTTTTATTTCTTATAGGGAAAGGAGAATTGTACAGGGCTCACTTTCGAAGAGGCTACTGTGTGCTTGCGGGCTGAAGAATTGTTGAATGCCAGGAAGTAGCAGCCAGAATAACACCTTATGTTTGTATGTGTTGCCGTTTATAAGCCACTTCTTCATACAGTATTTCATTTACACCTATGATAATCCTGAGGTGTAAACATTCTCTCCCCCCAGCCCATGGACAGCTCAGGCTCACTGAGGTTCACAGACTTGTCGCCAGTCACAGCGGCCATGTGTAGTGTGTCAGGGCCTCAAACCCAGGTCTGCACATGCCAAGCCCAAGGCTTGTTTTCTTACACAGCTGCCACCCTAATTCTTTCCTTTTCATCCCCAGGGTAAAGTGCCCCTGAAAAATCTGCTCCAGTATCCAGCTGTCTACAGGCTGAGGAAGCCAGCATGGTGTGCTTTATCCTTTCTTGGTGAACACAACCTACGCCCAGCACACCACAGAATAGATTTTAAAATTTCAGTGGCCCTTGAGCCCCAGTGACACATTTTGAGGTTTCTTTTTGCAATTAGATGCCTTATGGCTGTGGCGAAACTCTACCCTCATTCAAGATTTGGTCCATATACTCAGGGCTGACCTAAAATTGTATTGATCTCAAGACTAGCATATCATGCACTTTGACATCCATCTCCTGATATTCTTGTTGAAGGGACAGTTGTAGGTTTCCAAAGACCGTAATCTAAACTTTTTTATGACATTTGAGGCTTAACTACATCAACCTTGTTTAACTGCTAGACCCTTAAATTCTCACGTTGCTACTTTGCCTCATCTATGCTAGATACAAGGGATATATGTAGCATAGGTAAGGCACAATAGAATGATGAAGACCCAGTCCTTGCTTTCAAGTTGTTCATAATCTAAATGGGGAATCTTACAGTCCTACTCTGTAGAATTATTACCAGGTTTATAACCAAAGAAGTTAACTCGTGTCTAAACGTCTTATCATGGTGATTTAGCCTTGCTGGATATTTTCTGTTTGCTCCTTGACATCCATTCTCTCCTCTACCCCTCCCCACTCTCCCCAGTTTTGTGCCCTTGGGGCTGACATGTACTACTGGATCAAGGAGTTCCCTTGCCTTCTGGTAGGTTTGCTCTTTGGGAAGGAGATATCAAAGCATTTTTTCCTTTGCCTCCCTCCTTGCTAGGCTCTATCCTTCTTGGTATAGACTGTATCCCTCCACCTAAGGCCACATCTCATATTGGTGGCCCAATCCTAAAGCCATAGCTACCATTTTTTCTCAAGGTTTCTGAGCCTCTCCATCCCCAATCTTCAGGATAATAAAGTTCCCTGTTGTTGCTAGCCCTACAGTACTCTATCCCTTGTTAATTTCCCTTAATCCTGCCCACAACTTTGTAAAATATTTCTTTATTAAACTTCCCTTGACTATTTCATTTGAATGTGTTACCTGGCTCTCTAAGGCCCCTGTGTCATTCAAGACTCTCCATGACATGGTTCTATACTCTTAATCTAGCCACATCTGTCAGTGAATCTCATTCACAATCTCCACCCTCTCTTCAGAGGACCTCATGATGGAGAAATATTCTGAAAGGATCTCTCATGGTCCTTCTCACCATTCAAGGACAACACATGCTGCCTTGTTCACATAGACTCATGACCCCACCTTAAGGTCAAAATTAAACTCGCCTTCCTCACTGCTCTTGATATCAGATTAAATGCTGAACCATTGCTTATTTCACTTTACTTTCTCTCCTCTTATTTGCATGCTTGTCTTCTTTATCAGCCTGTTGCTCCCTGAGGGCAGGGCTTCCATCTTACTCAGAAAGAGAGTCCAACATTGCAGAATCAGTCCGCAATGATTGTGTGCTCAACTGATGAATGGGCTTGCTTGCAAGATGAATATGCTATTGTTTGGAGGTTAATAATTCAATCTGGGATAATCTAAACTATGTGGTTTTGCTGTCCTGACCCACTCCTTTGCTATAGATGCAAGATTAGAGGAGGGCATTTGAAATAGACCAATTGTATTTATCATGAACAATTCTGATGAAAGCATATATTGAGAAGGCTAAAACTTTTCAAGGATAAACGATGTTTTTGGAGTCGAGATAGAAGTTGAAGTGTTCTTTCTTCCACTGACAGTGGCTTTCAAACACTAACTCTTCTATGAGAACTCCACAATAGCATTTGCTTTAGTGAGGAAAAATTTGGCTTGGCTTGAAATGGTGGAAAGAAAAAGAGGTCAAATGAAATTCTGCTTAGAGAGCACTTCCTTCTGCCAGGCACAACCCTATTTCCAGAGATCTCGGGTATAAAAGATAATGGTTATGGGGTGTTGAGTAGTTAATGGGGCCCCTTGTCTTGGGCCAGTGCAGTTTTGAGCATGGGTTAAGAGTTAACTTTCCTTTTCTTTTGCTTGCTAAGCAAGCCCATGCTCCTTCTCAGTAAGGGAGGTGCCTTGTTTTGTCCTAAAGTCAAGCACTTTTCTAACATATCTTCAGTAATTAGATCTGTCTTTTTCCTTATAGCCCAATGCTTTTCATGGAGGTTAATGTTTAACTGTTTTATTGCCAGCACAGCTTCCCAACATGTAAGTTGGAGAGCAGCTATTTGCCCCTGGACCTGAACAATCTATATAGGCTTTCTTTATTACTTGATCAGCACTGTCACTAATGCAAATCTATCTCCCACACGAGGAGCGACATTAATTTTATATTGTTTATATACTCTTGCCATAAGGTTAAGCAATTTCTACTATTAAGCTTGATGAAATTGCATTACCTTAATGAAATGCACTTTACTGATAAAGAAGAATGTCACTTTCACAAGTGGAAGCACTGTTAGCAAATTTTTATGAGAGAATTCCCAAAATCATATCTTAATTGCTTGGACAGCTGTGTAGTTTACATAACGAGCAAACAATGCCAAGGTTTTTTATTTCCTTTGTCAGCTGTACTGGATGTTAGTATGCATGGTGGACCTTTTTTGGGCCTTTTATTACTTGATTGCAAATCATTCTTCATTGTTGCCCAAATTTATGGAAGGACATTGCTCCCTGAGGTGCCATTTCCTTTCAGGTCTGTAACTGAACATGACTGATGGCACCAGAGTAACAGTTGCTTATTACAGCGTTCACTGAGCTGTGATTGCTCCAATACTTTATGTTGGCAGATGTGTTTCCCTAGGAACAGCATCTCTGAGACAGAGGTCATTGATCAAACCCCCTCTGGCTGTTCCATTATGTGCAAATTATTGCTAAAAGCAGAGAGGCTGCAAGGGAGGTGGTGTGTACTCATTGCAGATATCAGGGAGGGAAGTCCAAGAAAAAAAAAAAAGGCAAGTGTAATGAAGCAGAAAAAAAATTCCACCTAAACTAAAACAATGTTTTTATAATGTGAATTAATAGGAAAAGGGGGAAATTAAGTGACTGAGAGACATGCAATGAAAGAAGAGTAGAATTTTATCATTCTGGGGTAACTTCTAATATTGGACTTGCTGACAGCATCCTAATAGCAGCTTTCCAGTCTAGAAGAGGGCATGTGTGTGAGCTGTACCCAGAGCACTGTCATCCTGATAGGGTAAAGATTAAGGCACTTAAGTGGCCAGTGCACAGCACTCTCTTCATCCTATTTGTGGCCAAATGTTTAGAAAATGCTGGAGACATACAGGGGACAAATGCAGACATGCTTCCTGTCCCCCAGCTTCTGCGGGTAGGGATGGAAGTGATAATGGATTGACTGGTGAATGGGAAGCACTTACATCTAGATCAGCCTTTGCTCAGGCTTGGTGGAACAGTATTTCTTATTTTTTTTGCTCAGCTGCAGCAGAAGCTCTTCCCAACAGATTTCTGTTTTTGGAAAGACCGGTGGATTCCCCATGTGAGTGTTTCTGATCTTTGCTAGCTTCAGTAAGACTATGGGATGGCTCAGGTGGAGCACGTGGCCTGCACACCTCTTGCTGGGCCTCCCTAGCCACAAACCTATACCACTTCATTTCTCACACTGACTTGCTTTTTAGTGTTGGCAAGAATCACTATTTTTATTTTTGCAATTCAGTCCTCCTTATCTGTAAAATCTTTCCTTACATTGAGCCAGATTCTTCCCAGAGTATAAGTCATTCCTTTCACACATTTTGGAGGCTTCAGGAACACCGTGTGCCAATTCCTGGGACATTGATATAGCCTTTGGGTATTGCTAGAGTCCCTCCTAAATATTGTATTTACTCCCAGGGTAACTTGATGTAACCCTACCATAACTCCCAAGGAAAGAGGGGAGTGCAGGAGCTCCTTTACTTGCAAACGTGATGGGGTCCAGAAGGCTAAGTAGTGACGGTAGGCTTTATCTCTATAATTTCAGAGTGACTGCCAATGTTCTCTGTTGGTGGCAGGCAGATTTGAAACCTTTTTTCTTTGGTGGTAGTTGTGGTATGAGTATTGAAATTACATTCTTTTAACAAAAGAATGCTTTTCAAAAGAGAGGAAAAAGCATTCCTATAAAAGATGAACACATCTCAAAGATTTTAAGTCATTAATCAAATGAGGGAACTAATAAGATGTTAAGACTAGTTCAAAGGAAAATCCAGAGAACAGATGCATTTATAGACCAGGAATATTGAAATGAATTTGCAAATTCATTTAAAACTGAAGTGAGGAGATTTAAATTAATTTGCATGTCTATAGATAAGAATTGTTTGCATTGTTATTAGTTTCTAAAAGTTAAACTTAATCTCAACAGAACTATGAAGAGCCTAGTCAAAAACAAAGGCACATTACCCTGTATGTTTAGATAATCCCTGGAGTATTCTGACATTCCATTGAAAGGATATCCAGTTATGCTTTGATTAATATAGTTATGATTCTTAAATTTGGAAATAATGGGACACACCTCATGCAGCTACACCACTGTACGCTCTCAGGAATCCTGATGCTGAATCCACTTGCTAAGTGAAATCTACCCTGTCCTCCTCAAGCAGACCTCTGCTTTTGTCACTCTGTCCTGAAGTGCCTACCTCTCTACACACATGTTCATTTTCTCTGTGCTTTAGCCTGTGCTCCCTCTAGCCTGAGTTTTCTTAAGCTATAGTTTCAACCACTGAAATCATAATAGCCCTTTAAGCAAAAGCCCCTGATAATATTT
Organism: Homo sapiens; assembly: GCF_000001405.40. Taxonomy (NCBI): domain Eukaryota; kingdom Metazoa; phylum Chordata; class Mammalia; order Primates; family Hominidae; genus Homo; species Homo sapiens. The sequence continues at coordinate 82,893,160 of NC_000009.12, read as the reverse complement.
CTTCCAAGATTCCATCACCAGTCTCCCTTTTTTCTGCATTCCTATTTTACTTTCAATCTGTTGACAGTGCTGAACTTTACCTGAGCCCTGTGCTCTTGGAAAATAGCAGTGGTTAAAAGATTTCCCTAATCTTTTGTGTTCCAGGAAATAACTTACTGCAAAGAACCACCCTTCCCCATATGACTTGGATAATACTTGCAGATGAGCCCCTTGTCTACTCATGACAAGGCCATACAGGCTCTTAAAATTCCTGTTCTTTGTCTCATAAATGATTAGCTGAACTGTTTGTCCCCATTGACCAATCTGGACAAAATGCTAATATGACTTGACCAAACTTTGAGTAGGTGCCATTCTTTGTCCTGGGACCCTCAACTTTGCTTTATTCCTGAGCATGGGACACAGAACCACCTCTCCTTAACAGCTCTCCAGAGCTATTACTTCCTATTGTCCTCAGGAAAAAAATACTCTCTTATCAACTAGCTGATAATGCCACCTGCTCAGCTCAGTCCCCCACACCTGATTCTTTCCAGCCTGTTCATTCCTCCCAATATAAGGAAAGGCTTTTCCTTGTAACCTTTGAGTTGCTTGCCCATCTTCCTATAGAAGCATTCTCCTTATTGTAATATTGCCTCCACCACTTCATCATAATAGTTTCCCTCTTCCCATTGCAATAGTCTTTTTAAATGAAATCTCTACTTACCTGAGTCTGAATTTGTTTTATCTGATACTGTTCTTTAATGCCAAACTCTCTACTATAATTTGATTATTCATAGATTGGTTTACTAGTATTTAGTAATACTTACATCCAAAGAATTAGAAGCAACTTATAAAATAAGAGGATTAAATAAATTATTGAAAGAATCAAGTAAAAAAAATAAGGCCAAGAAAGTGATAAATATATAGATAAAAACAAATATATAATACATGGGGTCTTATACAGTTACTGAGTTGAGCCATAAATTTGGCTGCGTTTCCTAGTAGACAAAGCAAGGAGGGAAATTCTTTCAGTTATAAAATATATAGGGTCTACAAAAAAAAAAAGAAAAATACAACTGGTTGTAATTAATTCATGTGCCAGTCTTTGAACCCCAACAAGATGGTAACCCACTAAAAGGCAAAGCATGGGACTCCTTGAGGACAAAAAGGTTAGATTAAATAATAGCCATAATAATAATTACCATTTATTTAGAGCTGGTGTTGTCTTATAATTTTAACACAGTTAATTTTAATGCAATTAAGTTTTTTTTGTAACACAATTTTGCTCTAATACTATTTAGGAACTGAGTGTATTGACTTCTTGAGAAATGTGTTTATGTGTCCTCCTCCCACAGAAGAGGAGATTGAAATATAAAACAATCTGTTAGAGTAGATAGACATTTTATGTAGGTAACTTTAAGTGGCAAAGTAACCTTTATAAAAGAGGAATACAGAAAGAGAGAAAGGTATTTTTCAGTTTTAACTCATCTCACTTTTTTCCTTCCAGTTTCTTTAGATGACTAGAGCATGGGGATAAGTAGAGCAGATGGCTGGACAACAGGCTGGGCCGTATTTTAGGAGTCCTTGAGTGCTGAAGGGAGAGTTTGCATGTAATGAGGTAGACATTGGGATACCACTGAATGTTTTGAGTAGGAGAAGTTGCATTGTTAGAACTATGCTTTAGCATGAGTCATCCAACAAAAGTATCTGGGATGACTTGGTGAAGGATGAAATGAGAGGGGGGGCAATATAGCAATTCCAAGAGATAGAGAGTAAGTTTGAACTAAAATGGAAAGGAGTGATGGCAAGTGTCACTTCAGACAGAGCCATAGAATTTGGAAGACACTGGCTGTTAGATGAAGCCTGGACCTGGAAGCAAAGGATGATATATGGCTTGACAACTCCTTTGAGGTTTATCTTTGCTTAGCTTGGAAGGTGGTAAAGATATTAACAAAATGGAAAAATCTGGGAAAGAGGATGTATGGAGCAAAGCAAATGTGTTCAACTTTGCAACTACTGATTTTGAGGTGTAAATGGAATGTTCAAATGAAGATGTCTAGGAGGTTATTGAGACTGTTAGGAGTGATGCAATCACACAGGAAAAGGCTGTAAAGAGGGAAGTCCTGAGGTGAGAACAGAGTCATGAAGCTGCCTGCACTTGAGGGTGCAGAAGGAGAAAGTAAACTTAAAAATGGGACAGAGATTGAGCAGAAAGGTAGGAGGAGAGCCAGTTTCAGTGGTGAAAAGAGAGGTTTCAATGAGGCTGGGGTCAACAATGTCAGACACTACAGAGAAGGGATAGATGGCATGAGGTGAGATTAGCTCATTGAAAGAGAAGGCTGATGCCAGATTGTAAGAGTTCAGGAGTGAGTGGGAAGGCAGGGCAGCAACTAAAATACTTGTTCAATAATTTATTGTGAAAGGAAACTATCTTGGGCCCCCCAAAATCACTAAGGAAAACTCAAGCTGGAAACTGCTTAAAGCGAAACCTGCCTCCCATTCTATCAGAAGTCACGCCTCTGCTCACTGAGATAGATGCATATCTGATTGCTTCCTTCAGAAAGACTAATCAGAGACTCAAAAGAATGCAACTGTTTGTGTCTCACCCATGTGTGACCTGGAAGCTCCCTCTGGCTTCCAGTCTTCCGGCCTTTGCTTCAAGTTGTCCTGCCTTTCCAGACCCAACCAATGTATGTCTTACATGTATTGATTGATGTCTCATGTCTCCCTAAAATGTGCAAAACCAAGCTGTGCCCCGACCATCTTGGGCACATGTGGCCAGGACTTCCTGAGGCTGTGTTATGGGTGCATCCTCAACCTTGGCAAAATAAACTTTCTAAATTAATTGAGACCTGTCTCAGATTTTCTGGGTTCACACTGTGTATAATTAAAAAGAGAAGGTAAAGAGAAAGAGAAGAAAGGGTTAAAAAAAGAAGGTGAAATTAAAGAGAAAGTAAAAATCAAGACAAGAAACGATAATCTTAGTCTGACTGGAGTGGAGAAAAGTGTTTTAGGATGTGGAAAAATTGAGCATAATACTAAACTATGTCAAAGAGCTTTGGGAGAGAGGTTGAAAATGAGATACAGAGAGGGAAAAAAGTTCTTGAGAAAAACAGGAGGGGATGGAATTAAGCAGCATAATAGAGAAATACTTTGAGACCAAGTAAAGGGATGTTGAAGAAGCTCCTATTCGATTGAATTAATCTTGGTAAGGTGAAATTGAGGGGTCTCTGATGGGGTTGGATGTGTGTGTTTAGGAGAATAAAGAAATTTTAAAATCCCTGCCCAAGGAGTATGTGAAATATCCAACAGTGGACAAAGGGATCTTCAGGCAGCTTTGAGAACTCACTTCAGGTTAATCAAGTTCCATTTGTAGAAGTGCATTTCATAAAATGCTTGTCAGCAGGTAGTGAGGCTGTATCTTGAGGGGAAGCAAAATATTGGGGTGTCTTTGAAGGTAAGGCAATAGAATATCAGAAGAGGAAGGGATTATTTTATTATAGTGATGATTGGATTGGAAAAATGACTGGCCTTTGGTTCGAGGTCAATCAGAGAGTCAAGTGAGTCCAGAGGATGGCCCCTAGGAGAGATGGCAGAGTTCAAAGACCTAGAGGTCATGATGATCACAAAAAACAGCATCCTTTATTGGAAGTGCAGGAATTAGCAAAATAGAAGGGAAGGAGCTATGGTCAGTTTCATGCGCGTCCGTGTGAAGAGACCACCAAACAGGCTTTGTGCGAGCAACATGGCTGTTTATTTCACCTGGGTGCAGGCGGGCTGAGTCCGAAAAGAGTCAGCAAAGGGAAATTGGGGTGGGGCCGTTTTATAGGATTTGGTTAGGTAAAGGAAAATTACAGTCAAAGGGGGTTTGTTCTCTGGCAGGCAGGAGTGGGGGTCACAAGGTGCTCAGTGGGGGAGCTTTTTGAGCCAGGATGAGCCAGGAAAAGGACTTTCACAAGGTAATGTCATCACTTAAGGCAAGGACTGGCCATTTACACTTCTTTTGTGGTGGAATATCACCAGTTAAGGCGGGGCAGGGCATATTCACTTCTTTTGTGATTCTTCAGTTACTTCAGGCCATCTGGGCATATACGTGCAAGTCACAGGGGATGCGATGGCTTGGCTTGGGCTCAGAGGCCTGACATTCCTGACTTCTTATATTAATAAGAAAAATAAAACAAAATAGTGTTGAAGTGTTGGGGTGGCGAAAATTTTTGGGGGGTGGTATGGAGAGAGAATGAGCGATGTTTCTCAGGGCTGCTTCAAGCGGGATTAGGGGCGGCGTGGGAACCTAGAGTGGGAGAGATTAAGCTGAAGGGAGGTCTTGTGGTAAGGGGTGATATTGTGGGGATGTTAGAAGAAACATTTGTTGTATAGAATGATTGGTGATGGCCTGGATACGGTTTTGGATGAATTGAGAAACTAAATGGTAACAGAAGGAGAAAAACAGGTATAAAAGGTCTAAGAATTGGGACGACTCAGGATATCTGATTAGAGAGTGCCTAAGAAGATTCAGCATAGTCCTGCCAACAAAGATTATTTATTTACTTCAAGAGTTAAGAGTGGCAGTTTGGGGATAGCACCTGGAGATATCAGCTGTGATAGCTTGGAAAAACAGTGTAAACCGGCAGTGTAAACAAGAGCAGGGCATGTATGAGTAGTTGAGAACGGTGAATAGGAGTATGACTAGACAGAAGGTAGTAGGGATGACAAGTTTTTTGGGGCACAGTCTAAGTTGGTCTGGTGTCTGGAATGAGACTGGGGCTTAATAAAAAGGAGCGTCTATACAGGAGCTTAAATGGGCTGTACCCTGTAGCATTCCGAAGACAGGCCTGAATTCTGAGAAGGGCAAGTGGTAAAAGTATTGTCCAGTCCTTTTTAGGTTGGTGGCTGAGCTTGGTGAGGTGTATTTTTAAAAGACCTTTAGTCCATTCTACTTTTCTTGAAGGCGGAGGACCGTAAGGGATATAAAGGTTTCACTGAATACTAAGAGCCTGAAAAACTGCTTGGCTGATTTGACTAATAAAGGCTCATCTGTTATCAGACTGTATTGAGGTGGGAAGGCTAAACTGAGGAATTATGTCTGACAGAACGGAAGAAATGACTGCAGTGGCCTTCTCAGACCCTGTAGGAAAGGCCTCTACCTATCCAGTGAAAGTATCTAGACTTAGAGGTATTTTAGTTATCTGACTCAGAGCATGTTGAGTAAAGCTAATTTGCCATTCCTGGGTGGGGCAAATCCTCGAGCTTGATGTGTAGGGAAGGGAGGGGGCCTGAATAATCCCTGAGGAGTAGTAGAATAGCAAATGGAACACAGAGAAGTTATTTCCTTGAGGATAGATTTCCACGATGGAAAGGAAATGAGAGGTTCTAAGAGGCGGGCTAGTGGCTTGTACTATAGCATAACCTGCCTTTGCTGGTGTGTGGCGATTAGGCCTGGTGGAACCACCATCAATAAATCAAGCGTGAGCAGGGTGAGGAACAGGAAAGAAGGAAATTTGGGGAAATGGGGTGAATGTCAGGTGGATAAGAGAGATATAGTCAGGGGGTCAGGTGCGGTATCAGGAATAATGTGGGAGGCCGGATTGAAGTCTGGGCCAGGAACAACGGTAATTGTGGGAGACTCAACAAACAGTGAGTATAGCTGAAGGAGCCGGGAAGCAGAAAGCATATGCGTCAGGTATGAGGAAGAAAATAGATTTTGGAAGTTATGAGAACTGTAGAGAGTGAGTTGAGCATAGTTTGTGATTTTGAGGGCCTCTAAAAGTATTAAAGCAGTGGCAGCCGCTGCACACAGACATGAGGGCTAGGCTAAAACAGTAAGGTCAAGTTGTTTGGACAGAAACGCTACGGGCTATGGTCCTGGCTCTTGTGTAAGAATTCTGACCACACTAACCATGCCTAGGAAGGAAAGGAGTTGTTGTTTTGTAGAAGGTGCTGGGGTTTGAGAGATCAGTCGGACACGATTGGCAGGGAGAGCACGTGTGTTTTTATGAGAATTATGCCGAGATAGGTAACAGATGAGGAAGAAATTTGGGCTTGATTGAAGTAATGGGGGCTGTCTGTGAAGCTTTGCGGCAGTACAGCCTAGGTAATTTGCTGAGCTTGATGGGTGTCAGGGTCAGTCCAAGTGAAAGCGAAGAGAGGCTGGGATTAAAGGTGCAAAGGAATAGTAAAGAAAGCATGTTTGAGATCCAGAACAGAATAATGGGTTGTAGAGGCAGGTACTGAGGATAGGAGAGTATATGGGTTTGGCACCACGGGGTGGATAGGCAAAACAATTTGGTTGATAAGGCGCAGATCCTGAACTAACTTGTAAGGCTTGTCTGGTTTTAGGACAGGTAAAATGGGGGAACTGTAAGGAGAGTTTATAGGCTTTAAAAGGCCATGCTGTAGCAGGCGAGTGATAACAGGCTTTAATCTTTTTAAAGCGTGCTGCGGGATGGGATATTGGCGTTGAGTGGGGTAAGGGTGATTAGGTTTTAATGAGATGGTAAGGGGTGCATGATCGGTCACCAAGGAGGGAGTAGAGGTATCTTATACTTGTGGGTTAAGGTGGGGGGATACAAGAGGAGGATGCAAAGGAGGCTTTGGATTGGGAAGAAGGGTGGCAATGAGATATAGCTGTACTCCAGGAATAGTCAGGGAAGCAGACAATTTAGTTAAAGTGTCTCAGCCTCATAAGGGAACTGGGCAGGTGGGGATAATTAAAAAGGAATGCTTAAAAGAGTATTGTCTAAGTTGGCAGCAGAGTTGGGGAGTTTTAAGAGGTTTAGAAGCCTGGCTGTCAATACCCACAACAGTTATGGAGGCAAGGGAAACAGGCCCTTGAAAAGAAGGTAATGTGGAGTGGGTAGCCTCCATATTGATTAAGAAGGGGACGGACTTACCTTCCACTGTGAGAGTTACCCAAAGCTCAGCGTCCATGATGGTCTACGGGGCTTCCAAGGCGATTGGGCAGCGTCAGTCTTCAGCCGCTAAGCCAAGAAGGAGTCAGTCAGAGAGCCTTGGGCCAGAGTTCCAGGGGCTCTGGGAGTGGCTGCCAGGTGAGTTGAACGGTCCAATTTCCAGTGGGGTCACACAGATGGGACATGGCTTAGGAGGAATCCTGGGCTGCAGGCATTCCTTGGCCTGGTGGTCAGATTTCTGGCACTTGTAGCAAGCTCCTGGGGGAGGAGGTTCTGGAGGAACGCCTGGCTGCTGCAGTTCAGGCGTTTGGAAGTTCTTGTGTGCTGGAGATGTGGCTGGGGTTTGTCTCACAGTGGAGGCAAAGAATTGCAACTTTTTTCTGTTATTGTACACCTTGAAGGCGAGGTTAATTAAATCCTGTTGTGGGGTTTGAGGGCCGGAATTTAATTTTTGGAGTTTTATTTAATGTCGGGAGCAGATTGGGTAATAAAATGTATATTGAGAATAAGATGGCCTTTTGACCTTTTAGGGTCTAGGGCTGTAAAGCCTCTCAGGGTTGCTGCCAAACAAGCCATGAACTGGGCTGGGTTTTTATATTTGATGAAAAAGAGCCTAAACGCTATCTGACTTGGGATAAAGAAAAAGGAGCATTAACCTTGACTATGCCTTTTGCTCCAGCCACCTTTTTAAGAGTAAATTGCTGGGCAGGTTGGGGAGGGCTAGTCACAGAAGGAATCTGTAAGCCAGACCAGGTGTGAGGAGGGGAGGCGATAAAAAGATTACAGAGTGGAGAAGCGGAGGCTGAGGAAGAATTGGGACCTAGCTTGGGCTGGCAAGGAGGGGAGAAGTCAGATGGGTCTGTAGAAAAGGAAGATTAGAAAGACTTAGCGACGCTTGGGGTTGGGACTGAGGGGACAGGCGGGAGGGAAAGAAGGAAGATTTGGGACGAGTTGCACTGGGCAAAGGAACTGATGTGTAAAAGAATGCCTGGACATCAGGCACCTCAGACCGTTTGCCTATTTTATGGCAAGAATTATTTAGATCTTGCAGGATGGAAAAATTCAAAGTGCCATTTTCTGGCTATTTGGAACTACTGTCGAGTTTGTATTGGGGTCAAGAGGCATTGCAGAAGAAAATAAGGCACTTAGGTTTTAGGTCAGGTGAGAGTTGAAGAGGTTTTAAGTTTTTGAGAACACAGGCCAAGGGAGTAGAAGGAGGAATGGAGGGTGGAAGGTTCCCATAGTGAAGGAAGCAAGCCTAGAGAAAAGAGAGAGTAGAGAAACGGAGGGAAGGGGTTCGGGGGTTCTTACTTTCCAGAAAAGTGGGAAAAGGGGTTGGGGCACAGATAAGAGGTCAGGGCACAGAAATAAGGGATTGGGGCACAGAGATAAGAGGTTGGGACACAGAAATAAGGGATTGGGGGTTCTTGCCCCGTAGAAAAGTGGGACTTGCTGCTAAGGGTGAAGGAGAAGGGGTTGAGGGGTACTTGCCCCTCTCCCAGAAAAGCAGAGAAGGGGTAGAGACAAGGAGAGAAGGGGTTGGGGTACTTGCCCTGTCCCCGGAAAAGCAGAGAAGGGGTAGAGACAAGGACAGAAGGGGTTGGGGTACTTGCCCCTTCCCCAGAAAAGCGGGACTTGCCACTAAGGGTGAAGGACCAAGGCAGGTGTCCCTGCGTGGTCTGACACCCTTGAAACGTGGGTGTATAATCAGACAGGTCTCCCTGCAATGATTAAACACGAAGGGAAGGCTGCCTTCCCAGTCTGTGACCGGCGCCGGAGTTTTGGGTCCACAGATAAAACGCGTCTCTTTTGTCTCTACCAGAAAATGAAAGGAATTGAAATTAAGAGAAGGGAGAGATTGAAGTGTAGCACCAAGATTGAAAGGAGAAAGACATTGAGGGATAGTGAGGGAGGCTGGAGAAGAGAGTAAAAAGAGGCCACTTAACAGATTTGAAATTGGTGAGATGTTTCTTGGGCTGGTCGGTCTGAGGACCTGAGGTTGTAGGTGGATCTTTCTCATGAAGCAAAGAACAAGAGGACAGGGGATTGATCTCCCAAGGGAGGTCCCCCGATCCGAGTCACGGCACCAAATTTCATGTGCGTCTGTGTGAGGAGACCACGAACCATGCTTTGTGTGAGCAACATGGCAGTTTATTTCACCTGGGGGCAGGTGGGCTGAGTCTGAAAAGAGAGTCAGCAAAGGGAAATTGGGGTGGGGCCGTTTTATAGGATTTGGTTAGGTAAAGGAAAATTACAGTCAAAGGGGGTTTGTTCTCTGGCAGGCAGGAGTGGGGGTCACAAGGTGCTCAGTGGGGGAGCTTTTTGAGCCAGGATGAGCCAGGAAAAGGACTTTCACAAGGTAATGTCATCACTTAAGGCAAGGACCGGCCATTTACACTTCTTTTGTGGTGGAATATCACCAGTTAAGGCGGGGCAGGGCATATTCACTTCTTTTGTGATTCTTCAGTTACTTCAGGCCATCTGGGCATATACGTGCAAGTCACAGGGGATGCGATGGCTTGGCTTGGGCTCAGAGGCCTGACAGTCAGAGAAAAGGAGTGTCCAATAGTGGAGGCCTTGTAGGGAGCAGTGTCCATGGGGTATGGTGACCAAGGTCTGGTTATGTGAGCATCTGATCTGTGAAAATGGATTAGAATTGAGCCATGGGAGGCCTTTGCATTCCTGGATCCACCATGACATGCAAAGGGCAATGGCAAAGGTGTGAGGCTATTACTTGATGTGGGTGCTTGGAAAGAAAAAAAATGACTGATTTGGTGGAAGATGTATACAGGGTTAGCGAAGTTGTTGCATGAAGGTAAAGGGCTCATAAGTGATTCTGTATGTTGCCTTTAAGAGAACAGTGTGGACACAGGGTCAAAAGAGTTTTGGAGGCCAAAGACAATTCTTTTTTAGATGAATCTTCCTGAGATGAAAAAAAAAAAAGACAACAAGTGGATGGATGTAAATAAAATTAAAACTACAAATCATTTATTCCTATTTTGAAGTGGAATTGTTTTAAAAATGTTAGATAGCATGACAGATTCTTTCTATAGAGGGTGGGCATGTGTGTGTGTATGTGTGTGTGCCTGTGCAAATGTGTGTTTAAAGCAAAGATAAAGATGGAGGAGGCTGGCAAGGTATAGTGTCAAAGTTCTGTTATGAGACTACAACCAGATTTTTTCCCCTATTTTCTTGCTAGTCTTGGGCCATTTCACTGCTAATCTGCACATCCATCAAACAAACAGGAAAGGGAAATGGAGGATTGAATCACAAATCTGTCAATTTTGTTATTCTTGGTAGTTCAGGTTAAAGTTTTGGTGGGGGCAGAGTTAGAAAAAAATGCCAAAAATTCGATTTCCTGGTAGTGGGAGCATTGTTATTGGTAATGAGTCAGCTACTTGAAATGCTACACATAGCCCAGATTTATGGCTTCTTTAGGTGTTCTGTGGAATTGAAATGCTTTTTTTTTCAGCGAAATCTAGTTGCTAACCTGCTTTTCTTTAAGATCTTTGTGCTTTTTATGTTATTAGACAGAAAGCAACAGCAAACAGCCTTTAGAACATCTCGGGAAATAAAATGTAGTGGGTACAAATTTCACAGGCCACAGACTCAGATGTGAAAAAAAATGAAATTTAGCATCTATTTCATACCCCTTTTTGGCTGAAAGCAGAAAACTTGGTTTTGCTGATTTAAGACAAACTGTGAACTTTATTTTGCATACTTTTTCAGAGAAAGATGCTCAAAATCAGGGTTCTTACACTCCCACTCCTATTCCCCAGCATAGCGGCTAAGCTCCTGGGACTTTAGTGCCTCACAGTGTTGAGAAAAGAGGGCACCTGGCTCATGATTGTCCTCTGTGCCCTGCTGGTATCCACAGAGGAATGTCTCATCTTGGCTGGTCATTTACTCATTGTCCTCTGTCTATGACTGATATCCACCATGATGACTCCATAGCCATGGCCTCTGGTCATGTCAGACCATCTGTTTCTTCTTTGAGTCACTCATGAGGTGTTGCTGGTTCACTAGCCATCTCTCAGCCATATGTGAGCCTCTCTTGTGGGGTCCTGGAGGTTTGCTGATGTTCTATGCACTTTACCTGGGTTGCCTCAGACTTTGAAGTTTGCCCACACCAGCCTACCTGGACCCTCACTTAGCCTTTGATACTCCACAGCTCTGTTACAATAGTGGATATACAAAGTTTCTCTCTGAGGCCTGTAGCTCTCCAGTGGCTATCCCCTGAGATATGAGGCACTGGCACTTTCTGATCTGGTATTTCCCTAAACCTATGTAATGTTTACATAGATTAACCTTAGACAAACTTCACCCAGGACTGTGACTTTGTAAGTGGAACATGATGTCTTTTCTCAAAAACACCACAATGCTTTCATCTCCCCGGCCCTTCTCCTTCATTTTATCAACTCCATTTCATTTTGTGTCAGAAAACTTGCTTTTACAATATCAAGTCTTCTTCCCAAATTTATTATTTATAGTATTGATTGTACATACTTTATTCATATTAAAATCAAGGATTTGGGCACTCAAGCTTTGCCTAGCTTTGAAAAAGCACATGTCCATTGACTTTCGACACTACTTTATTATGAATTTTTAAATCATTTCGGAAACGAAGTGGAATTGTTTTCTGAAAATTTTTTGGATAGTAAAGTGGGACTTAAAAGATGAGCCTTGGACAGTAGAGAAAAGATTTTGCTTCACTCTTAGTTACAGGCTTCCAGTCTCGATTTGATAGTAATTCCATGCTTTAAGCAAAAGGATACCTTTGACTAGGGTGACCATAAAATTTTTCTTTCAAACTAGGGCAATTATGAGAGTGAAAGGTGAAGCCATTAATAATTATGCCAAGAAATCTGGCATACACTAGGACTATCCCAAGAAAACCTGGATATCAGGTCATCCTACTTTTCACCTGGGGAGAGAGTGTAAGATCTAGTCAAAGATGCAGTGGTCTGTAGGACATCATAAGCCAAAGATAATGGAATAGATTCAGTTAACTGAATCTCAAGCACGAGATTGTCCTTCCGTATATGCTTTTTTCTTCACATTCTTTAGTGAGGCCCGGTTCAAGGATTTCAGACTGGCCTCAGCTGTGTGTGTGTGTGTGTGTGTGTGTGTGTGTGTGTGTGTGCATGAGAGAGAGAGAGAGAGAGAGAGAAAACATGGCTGGAGATTTCAATGGAAACCAGTGCCTTCTTGGCCTGACATGGGGAGGTGGCAGGAACAATTAGCAAGATGAAGAAAAAATGTTGAATAATAAAAGTTGGAAATGAGATCCAGGCATTGTTTTTGTACTGATATTCTCCCTCCCTCCCAACCAGAAAGGGCCTAGGATTAACTGGGTTAAGGAAACGTGCCTGACAATGTGCCCTGCCATTTAGTTTCTGATTGATGATTATTTCCCCACGTACCCCTTGCTCTTGGAAAGCAATGCACAGTGAGATAGCTGCAGTCTAGGTAGGGCTAAGGAAACCAGTGTCACTTTAAGTTATCTTAAAATTATATAACACTACTTGGCTGGCTCAGCATTTACAGTAGAAAAATTAATTGTTAAAATATAAATATCAAGTATTTTACATGCATATATAAATTTCTGATTTATTTTTAAAAACCAGGAAATCTGGCTATTTCGGGTCAGCTTCTCCAGGAAGCAAAAATCACTGGAGCAATATCTGACGGCTTTTACAAGATGTGGCATTCCTCTGCAGTTCACCAGAGGCCCTGCCACTCCTTCCTGTCATGTATCCAGGCCATTTCACTGATTTATATTAGCTTATTGGCTACTGCAGTTTTCGAATTTGTGATTCCTGCACTATACCACATTGTGTGTTGGAAATTTCCAAAATAACCAAGTCTAAGTACAGCAGTTGTATCAAGGTTTCTGCTTTTCTTAGAAATCCCAGCTGTCATTATTCAGACACCTTTATTAAACATCTATTTTTAATATTTTGAAGAACATTTATACAGTGACATGTACATATTATTAAGTGTAGAGTGCAATGAATTTTGCATATGCATATTTCCTGTGTAACTGACTTACTGATTAAGATATTGAACCTTTCCATTACCCCAGAAAATTCACTTATACTGCCTCCAGTCAATATGAACTCATCTCCTCTGTAGGTAAGCATTCGGAGTTCTATCAACAGAGAGTAACTCTGCCTTCTTTAGGGCTTTGTGTAAATAGAATCATACAGTATGAAAGTTTCTGAGTTCAGATTCATCCAGGCTGTTGAGAAAAGCCACCGTTTGTTCTTTTACTTTGCTGAGTAGTTTTCCATTGTTTAAATATACCATTATTTGTTTATTCATTCACCTCTTGATGGACTAATATGATTTGGCTCTGTGTCCCACCCAAATCTCATATTGTAGTTCCCATAATTCCCACGTGTTGTGGGAGGGACCTGGTGGGAGATGTCTGAATCTTGGGGGCGGGTCTTTTCCGTGCTGTTCTACGTGATAGTGATCGGGTCTTACGAGATCTGATGGTTTTAAAAGCGGGAGTTCACTGCGCAAGCTCTCTCTTTGCCTGCTGCCATCCACGTAAGATGTGACTTGCTTCTCCTTGCCTTCCACCATGATTGTGAGGCCTCCCCAGCCATGTGGAATCGTAAGTCCAATAGACCTCTTTCTTTTGTAAATTTCCCAGTCTCAGGTATGACTTTATTAGCAGCGTGGAAACTGACTAATACATGGACATTTGGGTTGTTTCCAGTTGGGGCTATTTTGAATGATTCCAGTAGAACATTCTTGTGTATGTCTTTTTACAGATATTTGTTTTGTCTAGTGTACTTACTTAAGAATGGAATATCTTGATGATAGGGTGGCTGTATATAAATTTATAAAAAACTGCCAAAAGTTCCAGAGCAATTGTACAATTATGTACTCCCACCAGCAGTGGATGAGAATTCTAGTTGCTACACATCCTTGACAACAATTGACACTGCCACTCTTATAATCTATTCTATATGAATATCATATAATAATGATATTCAGGGTATGCCTGAATATCATTGTAGTTTTAATTTACATTTCCCTGATTACTAGTGATATTGAGCATTTTAAAAATATACTTATTGGTGACCAGGCACGGTGGCTCACACCTGTAATCTCAGCACTTTGGGAGACCGAGGTGGGCGGATCACGAGGTGAGGAGTTTGAGCCAGCCTGATCAACAGGGTGAAACCCCGTCTCTACTAAAAATACAAAAATTAGCCAGGTGTGGTGGTGGGTACTTGTAATCCCAGCTACTCTGGAGGCTGAGGCAGGGGAATCACTTGAACCCAGGAGGCAGGGGTTGCAGTGACCTGAGATCGTGCCATTGCACTCCAGTCTGGGCAACAAGAGCAAGACTCTGTCTCAAAAAAAAAATATATAAATATATATGTATATATAAAAATATATAAATATTTATATATATATAAATATATATATGTATATATGCTTATTGGCTATTCATATATCTTCCTTGGTGGAGTGTCTGTTTCAGTTTCGTTTTTTCCGTTTTTATTGTATTAATTTTTTTTTCTTGTAAGACTCTATATTCTACATACAAATCCTTTGGAAGATATATATGCGTATATATGTATATATATAGTCTCATAGTCTTAAGCGTCTCATTTGACATGGTGTTTAGACATTATATAAGAACTGTGTGTACAGCCAGTTTCTAAATAATGTTCCTGTCAAGTACATAAAGTGGCAGCCACGTGGCTACTCAAGGAAATGGACACAACTGCATTTTGCAGTGATAAACATAAATCTTGGAGTTTGCCCTGAAAATAACTAGTTAAGTTGTAGTAAAGACTTCCATTTTTTTTTTGTTTGTCTCTATGTGTGTCTGTATGTATTTTCTTTTTTAGACAGGGCGCTTCTAAAGTTTTGCCACTAAATAAAAGGAACAAGTTCAATTACACAGTTGTGTGATTGTAGCTGTTCCCTGGGGCAGGCTGCTCTCCTCTGGAGAGCCTTCGATCTCCTTCCTGCTAGATACAACTACAATTCACCTGAAGTGGTGTCAGCAGGACTCTTCACCCAGTGCCAGATAATAGTTTCTCTTTTTAGTCTTAAAAAAGCATATCCTTCTGCCTGAGTTCTTAGGAGTGAGAAGCTGGCTTGAGGAAGCGTGCAGCAGGTTCTGCTTTGGGAAGTGAGAAAAAGCATGAATGGTGTTGGTTTGCAACACTGATCAAGGAATAAGTCTGGGAGTCTAGCAGTCTGTGTCTGTTTAGTGAGTTCAGACTGTGGCTCAACTAATTATGGTATATTCTGACTCAAAACCTTCAATGATTCCTGATGTCCT
Source organism: Homo sapiens (assembly GCF_000001405.40). NCBI lineage: Eukaryota > Metazoa > Chordata > Mammalia > Primates > Hominidae > Homo > Homo sapiens. Next base: position 82,877,962 of record NC_000009.12, on the reverse strand, counting down.
AGAGCATGGAGTTCAGAGTCCTTCAACATTAAGTACAAACTGGCTTCAGGAGCCTCATAACCCACAGACACAACTTCCAGACTAAACACCCCAAGCATTAGTGTTGCCAGCCACCTCTTTCCATCCCTCCTTTTTCTGAACACCTGGCAGTTAGGTGTGGTCATGTGACTTGCTTTGGTGAATGACACATGCGAGGAAGTGGCATCTGTCACTTCTGACATAAACTTTTTTTTTTTTTTTTTTGGAGACGAAGTCTTCCTCTGTTGCCAGGCCTGAGTGCAATGGCATGGTCTCGGCTCACTGCAACCTCTGCCTCCTGGGTTCAAGCGATTCTCCTGCCTCAGCCTCCTGAGTAGCTGGGACTACAGGCGCCTGCCACCATGCCCAGCTAATTTTTTGTATTTTATTAGAGAGGGGTTTCACATGTTGGCCAGGATGGTCTCAATCTCCTGACCTCAGGTGATCTGCCCGTCCCGGCCTCCCAAAGTGCTGGGATTACAGGCATGAGCCACTGAGCCCGGCCAGAAACTTTTAAAACCTACCTAGGTTTCCTTTCCAATTGTGTGTTTAATTATGGAATTCCAATTGTAGAATTGTGCTTTGGGAAATGGCATTTCCAAGATCTCTTAGGGAAATGCCGAAAGATCTGCGACTCGGAGTAAGTCAGACAGCTCTAGATTAAAATCTGAGCTCCACTACTTCTAGCTCCTGTCCTTTCTCTTTGACTTTTGAATACCACATCTATACATGGGATATAGGTTGAAAAACCCTTATATCTTCCTTGGTGGAGTGTCTGTTTCATTTTATCCAAAATGCTCGGGACCAGAAGTATTTTGAATTTCATATTTTTTCAGATTTTGGAATATTTGCATATACATAATAAGGTAATGGGGCCCAAGTCTAAACAGAAAATTCATTTACAGTTTTTATATACCTTAAAACATAGCCAGAAGGTAATTATATAAAACATTTTAAATATTGGTTTTTTTGCATGAAACCAAGCTTATTTACATTGAACCACCAGAAAACCAAAGTGTCCACCCATGTGGACAATCTGTGCTTGTTTGGCATCACTATCATTCCTGACTCTGAATATATATGCTATTGATAGGCAATCATTTTCTTGCACTTTTTGACACACAAATACTTAACAGTGAAAAACAGACCATGCCATAAATACAGTGAAGAACTAGTGTGTTCAAGGTAACTAAGCAGCACAGTGGAGTCACCAGAATACCTGCATCAGTTGTTAAACAACAGCAACAACAAGCAACAGCAGGCCCCTAGTCTCTATCTACAATGCTGTGTTCTGATTAAAAAGTTACTGTATAGTAAATTTTATTTTTTTGGCTAAGAAACACATCAGAAGCCTTGAGTGACCAGGAAGTGAGTCCTCCAGGTTTGAGGAGGCATTCTGCTGGATGGCCTTAAAAAATGTTTCCTCCAGAGTCATCTGCCTCATTAACAACATTTTATGCAGGGGTTATATGTGGTGGCTCATGCCTGTAATCCCAGCACTTTAGGAGGCCAAGGTGGGAGGATTGCTTGAGCCCAGGAGTGCAAGAAAAGCTTGGGCTACAAAGGGAGGCCCTGTCTCTACAAACAAACAAAAACAAAAATTAGCTGGGCATAGTGGAGTGTGGGTGGGACAATTGTTTAAACTTGGGAGGTCAAGGCTGCAATGAGCCATGATCACACCACTGCACTTCAGCCTGAGTGACAAGGAAGATCCTGTCTCAAAAAACAAAACAAAACAAAACGAAAAACAGTTTTTATCTTGTAAGTCTCTCTTTGATAAACTGACATAATTTCTTGTTCTATTATAAATGTGTGATGCTCTAGTCCTCCAATAAGCCCATTACACATTTCCACCCCATTGTCTACAGGCACCTTTTCTTCAGTGTTAACAATGCCATCTTCATCATAACTATTATCATGATCACCTTGATTCAGAACCATTTTGGCTATTTTACTATTGGTCAAAGAATGAACAACTGGAGCCTCATTATCAATGGTAAAAACTTCTTTGATATTCATTTCTTCCAGCTTACCAATGAACTCTGAAGATATATTTTTTGCATATGTAAGCAAGTCAAACGTCACTTTTTCTCACTTGACATATGGAATCCTTCAAAGTCACCACCTTGTTCATCGTCATTGAACATAGTAACAGATTATAGAGGTTGTGCCAGGTGTACACAACTGTGTCTTCAGTCACTATATTCCAAGTGTTGGCAACCTCATATATGGCGTCTTTCATGCTAAACTTCTTTTGAAAACCTTCCACACCGACATTGTTCACCGCTGGTAGCACACTGCTCAAGGCAGTGCTTTTATATTTACTTTTTACTGACCTTGGAATATCTTAGTCACATGGTTGAATGAACAAAGTTGCATTTGGGGGAAAGTATTAATACATGGCACAAACATTATTTTTTATGAGAATTTCAGCTGGAGGATGAGCAGAGCAGTTGTCAAAGAATAACAAAATTTTGCAGTCATTGTTTAGTCCCATTTCCCTGCAGTAAGCATGAGCCACTGGTTCAAAATGTTTGTGAAGGCTCTCAAAAGAAATGTCCCTGGTGATCCATGCCTTCTTGGTAGCATAGTAATGGATTGGTAAGAAATTCACTCCTTGAAAACTGTGAAGACACAAGCTTTTGCCTATCACAGCAAGTTGACACCTATGCGTGCCTGCTGCATTAGCACATCCCAGCACAGTTATTCTGTCCTTGGCATCCTTAATTCTTGTAGGGCTTAATTAATTCTTGTCTCTTCAGCTGTAGTCAGTGTTGCTCCAGGGCAATAACACCGAAACAGTGATGTTTTATCAGCGTTATAGACTTGTTCTGGCATCAGATTTTCATCAGTAATGTCCTTGGCTTACTTGTCAATGAATTTCTCTGCTGCTTTGTGATCAGCAAATTATTGTGATCAGCTTTATCATAACAAATATTTTAAAATCTAATACCTTGTCTTTTCTTAAATTTCTGCAACCTGCCTGTTGAATATTCACAGTTCCCTTCGATTTTAGTTCATCATGATTGATCTTTGCATGTTTCATGATCAGCATACCATTAAGTGGTATGTGTTCACTGAGAAGTTGATGGAGCCGCCCTTTCAATACATGATTAAGGTCTTCATTTTCAGCTTTATGCAGTGATTTTCTATTTTTCATTAACTTCTGTTTATCATTTTCAGCATAGAACTTCGAAAGTTTATCCTTCTATTTCTTCAGGTCATATATGGTGGTAATTCCAACACCATAGTCTTCTGCAAGATGTTTCACACTTATACTACTATCCAGTTTCTCCAACAGCTTGACTTTCTGTGCAGTAGAGAAATATAAATAATTCTCTTTTTCTTATCACTGTTACCTATTGCAGCATCTGCAGGCGTTTTAGATATTTTCGATGCTATCTTTACAGCACAGGGCAGATAATATGCACACACAAAAAAAACCCCAGTAAGTAATGCATGTAGGTTTTGGCTCCATGCAAGGCATTGTGAGGACCCTGATCTTGGTGTGTCCAGCCTGCACATGTGCCATTTTATCACTCTTTGTGGTGTGCTTGTGTGAGGGAATCTGGGCATGCTCAGAAAAGATATATCATAGCTAAACAAGGCTGGGAGTGTCTTTTTCCCTTGGGGATGCCAAATAAGCTGTCTATTGTGTGTCTGCATTTTTATTTTGACTAGTTACATGAGATCAGATCTGGGACTTTCCACTTGTGGCATCATGTTGGTGCTCAGAAAGTTTTGGATTATAGAGCATTCAGGATTTTAGACTTCTGGATTAAGGATGTTCAACCTGTAATATATCTATTTTGGAAGGTTGTTGCAAGTAGCAGAAACAAAATTGGGGAACACTTACCCAGTAGTTTATGCTACATACCTATTTTGTCAAGCAAACTGGTCAAACAGATAAATCAGAGTTGAATTTTTAAAATGAACAATCAGATTAGCAGGCTGCTAAATTTTACATTTTTTTTTGTTTTAGGCTAACTTACTCATCATGATAAGAATATTTACCAAGTATACTTCCATTTTAAAATTTTGTATGAAGCCTTTTATTTGCAAAGAGAATGTGACATAGCATTTTATTTATCAGAAGTAAAATGAAAGCAAACAGTCTTTTATTTCATAACAAGTCATATTTGATGCCAATAAGCTGATAACCAAATATAAACTAGATACTAATAGGATTTAGTAACTAATGTTCTGGTTATATATACTAAAATTTAGTTGTCCCTAGTAACTAAGCTTACCACTTCCCCAAACCTATGTTACATTAGGAGAGTCACATTTTTATCCAGAACATTTACAACTGTATGTCTTAACTTTAGCAGTTTTATTAAGGACAATTGGGCAAATACTTCATGATTAAAACACCAAAAGCAATGGCAACAGAAGCCAAAATTGACAAATAGGATCTAATTAAACTAAAGAGCTTCTGCACAGCAAAAGAAACTATCATCAGAATGAGCAGGCAACCTACAGAATGGGAGAAAATTTTTGCAATCTAGCCATCTGACAAAGGGCTGACATCCAGAATCTACAAAGAACTTAAACAAATTTACAAGAAAAATCTAATGACCCCATCAAAAAGTGGGCAAAGGATATGAACAGATACTTCTCAAAATAAGACATTTATGTGGCCAACAAACATATGAAAAAAGCTCATCATCACTTGTCATTAGAGAAATGCAAATCAAAACTACAGTGGATACCATCTCACGCCAGTTAGAATGGCGATCATTAAGAAGTCAGGAAACAACAGATGCTGGAGAGGATGTGGAGAAATAGGAATGCTTTTACACTGTTTGTGGGAGTGTAAATTAGTTCCACCATTGAGGAAGACAATGTGGCAATTCCTCAAGGATCTAGAACCAGAAATACCATTTGACCCAGCAATCCCATTACTGGGTATATATCCAAAGGATTATAAATAATTCTACTATAAAGACACATGCATACGTATGTTTATTGCAGCACTCTTCACAACAGCAAAGACTCGGAACCAATCCAAATTCCCATCAATGATAGACTGGATAAAGAAAATGTGGCACATATATACCATGGAATACTATGCAGCCATAAAAAGGACGAGTTCATGTCCTTTGCAGGGACATGGATGAAGCTGGAAACCATCATTCTCAGCAAACTAACACAAGAAGAGAAAACCAAACACCAAATGTTCTTACTCATAAGTGGGAGCTGAACAATGAGAACACATGGACACAGGGAATGGAACATCACACACTGGGGCCTGTCAAGGAGTGAGAAGCTAGGGGAGGGTTAGCATTAGGAGAAATACCTAATGTAGATGACAGGCTTATGGGTGCAGCAAACCACCATGGCACATGTATACCTATGTAACAAACCTGCGCATGAATCCCAGAACTTAAAGTATAATAAAAAAAAAGACAATTCTTTTTATAGATTTGATCTTAGAACCGTCAGTTTTTCAATGGGATTTAATCACTAGAAAAATTTTCAGTTTTTTTTTTTTCAAGTGAAGCAAATTTGCCCTATCTTCCTAATGTCAGTAAGCAGAAAGAGAGATGAAGAATCATCTTGGAGTTTTAGACATTTCCAATGGAAAATATAATTATTTTTTATAAGCGTTAATAATTGTGCTGTTCAATGAGTTGGCCCCCTTTTAGTGGTTTACAGATTTCAGATTGTCAAGGAAATTACATATAATTTGTTTTCCAAATTAAATTATTAGACAGTGGCATGACTTGTGCACTCAAAATTTAACTTAAAAAAGCATTTAATAATTAAAATGCCAAGTATAGGCAAAAAGGAAAACATTTCCCCACGGCTTCAAATTATGTTTGTTGAAAAACCCTAATTAAAAATTTGAGCCTAACAAGATATATAATGAAGGGCATAAAGGGTAATGATTGAGGACTCCTTCAGAAGTTTGGCTTAGCATAAATTATTTATTTTTACATATAGTGTAATCTGTACAAGCTAGGTTGATATTTCCTGAAGTCTGTTGTGCTTCAAATCTGTCATAATATTTACAAAAACTGCTGGCCTTTCCAAAGAGGGGGACTGGTAGTGATCATCTCAACCAATTCAGTTGGAGAATTGAAGGCTCACACAGATAACTGTCTTGCTCTTCTTCATACAGTAGTAGAGCTAAGACTAAAAACCAGGTCTGTCATTTCCTTGGCCCAGAGCTTTTTCAGTGGCACCCAGCTTAATCTTACCCTAGGCTGTCACATTTCTGCAGTGCCCACGTTATGGAAATGAATAAAACAGTGCTGGATTCAAGCATCAATTGAGTGGCTGTCTTATACAATCGATATGGTCTCTTTTAACAGGAAGATGCATAATTTCTAGTGGAGAACTTCCAGGATGATGACTCCACGAATTTATTAATCCCCATCTTCTCCAAGAAACCAAGCAAAAGCAAGCAACGAAGAGATGGGAAAACAAAAACACAAACTCCATCTTCTGAGAACTAGAAAAGAGAATGTAAAATAATTTTACATGCAAAAGCAAGTTTAATTTCATGCAAGAAACATTAGGAGTAAGGCAAGAGAAGCCAGGGGATTTGGGGTAGGGGTAGCAGGGCAGGGGGAGTGGGAGAGGGAGAGAGAGAGAAAACACCTGAGAGAAGCAATTAGATTCACAGAAGCAGAAAAGACTCTGCCACATACAAAATCACACAGACCCATATTATTTGGAAAAACTGTCTTGCTTTGTGGCAGCTGAAGAAAAGAGAATCTCTACAATGCAAAACCCAGCTAGCCTGGAGCACTACACTTGTTCCTCCCCACCTATGGAAATTCTTTGCAAATATTGGTCCATAAAATTCCAACTCATTTAATCATGAGTAATAAAAAAAAAGCTTGCAGAGCAGAGCATTGATAAAAAAGATATTACAAGAATAAAGAAATAATTGGAAGTAAAATTCACCTCTTGAAGGACATCAGGTTTGTTTCCAGTTTGGGGTACTACAAATAGAACTTCCATAAACAGTTTTGTATGTGCACAATAAGTTTTATGTGAACAATAAGCCTTCATTTGGGGGGATAAATGACTAGGAGTGCAATTACTATATCACATTGTAGTTGTATGTTGTAGTAGCCCCAAACTGGAAAAATTCCAGATGTCTTTAAATAAGTGAATAAATTCAACAATTTGTGGTACCATCATACTATGGAAATACTACTCAGCCACAGAACAGAATAAGAGAGAATTGTGCTGAGTGAAAAAAGCCAATCACAAAAGGGTACATATTGATGCAACATTTTTCTCGACCCCTTCATCAGACTTGTGACTGGAGTGCCCCATTTACTTGGCCTGTGGCGCTCAACCCCTTGCTGGAGGGAGCACATGAGTGAGTAAGTGCGGTATGTGGCCAGCTGCTTTGAATGCGAGCAAGAGCAGGCGCTGTGTGGGCCTGCAGCGGCACCCAGGTTGGGGTGCCTGTGACCCCCGAAGCCCAGAGGGCATGTTATAATGCTTTCTTAGCTCTACCGTCCATGGACAGTGGTGTGATATCAGCCCAGTGGGCCCCTTGCCCCGTCACATGGGGTGGCTGCCTCCCACCAGCAAGAGCAAAGGGTCAGTGTGGGTACCTGCACTCGGCGGGTCCCTAGCTCTTGTCTGGCATCCAAGAAGAAAGAGTTGCCTGGACACTTGAAGGATGGTGAAGGCAGAGAATTTATTAAGCGATAGGAAATGGCTCTTAGTGGAGAGGGGAGCTGGAGAGGGAATGGGACAGGAGGTAATCTTCCTCTGAAGTCCGGCCATCTCTCTGTTGTCAAGCTGTCTCTCTGATGTTAAGCTGTCTCTCCTCCGAAGTCCAGCTGTCCCTCTGAAGTCAAGTTGTCTCTCTCCAGTCAAGCTGCTTCTCTGTCTCTACCTGTTGAGTCTGGGGTCTTTACAGTCACAGGATGGGGGATGAGGCAGGCCTTAGGTAGTTTTGGAAAAGGCAACGTTTGATTGGTAAAAAGACATTATTCAGAAAGAACTAATCGGGAGAGAGTGAAGCAAACAGGGAGAGAAGTTGTCACTTTGGGCCCTGGGTTTCAGGCTTCTTTTGCCTGAATGTGGGGTTTCGTCAGGACCTGCCCCTGTCTGCCTAGAATGTCTCTGCCTCTTGCCTCTATCAGTAATATGTAATTCCATTTGAAAAACATTCTGGATATGGTAAAATTATAGTAATAGAGACTCATTCCTCCTAGGTAATTATAACTCTGTACTCATTGACCAGCTTCTCCCCATCCTTCCCTCATCCCATTTCCAGTCTCTAGTAACCACTCTCCTACTCTCTACTTCTTTGAAATCAAAGTTTTGTAGATTCCACACATGAGTCTGGCTTATTCCACTTAACATAATGTCCTCTAATGTCATTTATATTGTTGCAAATAACAGGATTTTATTTTCTTATGACTAAATAGTATTCCATTGTGTATATATACCATGTTGTCTTTATCTGTTCATCCATCAGTGGACACTAGGTTGATTCCATATCTTGGCTATTGTGCATACTGCTGTAATCTCCATGGGAGTACAGATATCTTTTCCATATACTGACTTCCTTTTCTTTTTTTTTTTTTTGAGACAGAGTCTCGCTCTGTCACCCAGGCTGGAGTGCAGTGGTGTGATCTCGGCTCACTGCAAGCTCTACCTCCCAGGTTCATGCCATTCTCCTGGCTCAGCCTCCTGAGTAGCTGGGACTACAGGTGCCTGCCACCATGCCTGGCTAATTTTTTGTATTTTTAGTAGAGATGAGGTTTCACCATGTTAGCCAGGATGGTCTCGATCTCCTGACCTCATGATCTGCCCGCCTTGGCCTCCCAAAGTGCTGGGATTACAGGCGTGAGCCACCACACGCGGCCCCTTTTCTTTGAATATATACCCAGCAGTGGCATTATTGGACCACATTATATTTCCTTTTTTCATTTTTTATGGAACCTCCATACCGTCTTTATAATGGTTATACTAATTTATATTCCCAAGCAACAGAGTGCAAGAATTCCCTTTTCTACACATCTTTGACAACATTTTTTTTGTCTTTTTGATAATAGTCATTGTAACTAGAATAAGGTATATCTCACAGTGCTTTTGATTTGCATTGTTCTGATGATTAGTGATGTTGAGCATTTTTCAAATATCCCTGTTGGCCATTTGTATGTCTTTTTTTGAGAAATGTCTATTAAAGTTTTTGCTCATTTTGTAATTGAATTATTATTTTTGGGGGGGTTTCTTTTTTTCTTACTGTTGGAATTTTTAAGTTCCTTATATATTCTAGATAATAATCCCTTGTCAGATGTATAGTTTACAAATATTTACTCCCATTTTCTAGGTTGTCTCTGCACTCTTTTACTTTGTTTTTTTTTTTAATTGTTTACTTTGCTGTGCAAAAGCTTTTTAGTTTCTTGTAATTCCATTTGTTTCTTTTTGTTTTTGCTGTCTGTGTTTTTGAGGTCTTTTCTAAAAAATCCTTGCCCAGCCCAATGTCATAAAGCATTCCCTATGTTTTCTTTTAGTGGAGTCATAATTTTGAATCTGACATTACATTCTTTAATATGTTTTGAGGTAGCTTTTTTATATGGTGAGAAATGGGGGTCTAATTTTATTCCTCTGTATGTGGCTAACAGTTTTCCCAGTACCATGTATTGGAGACTGTCCCCAATGTGTGTTTTTGGCACCTTTGTTGAAAATCAGTTGGCTTTAGGTGTGTGAATTTATTTCTGCACTCTCTATTTTGTTTCATTGGTTTATGTGTCTGTTTTTAGGCCACTACCATATTGTTTTAGTTACTATAAGCTTGCGATATAATTTGAAGTCAGAGTAATGTGATTTCTCCAGTTTTGTTGTTTTTGCTCAGAATGGCTTTGGCTCTTCCGGGTCTTTGGTGGTTCCATATAAATTTAGGATTTTTTTTTTCTATTTTTGTGAAGAATGCCATTAGTATTTTGATAGGAGTTGCATTGAATCTGTAGATTGCTTTAGGTAACATAGCTTTAAACACTATCAGTTCTCCCAATTCATAAACATGAAATGTCTTTCAATTTATTTGTGTTCTCTTCAATTTCTTTCATCAGTGTTTTACAGTTTTCAGTGTTGAGAGATCTTTTATCTTCTTGGTTAGTTTATTCCTCGGTATCTTATTTTCTTTTGTAGCAGCTGTAAGTGGAATTGTTTTCTTGATTTTCTTTATAGATAAGTTCACTATTAGCTAGTATAGAAACACTACTGATTTTTGTATGTTGATTTTGTATCTTGCAACTTTACTAAACTCATTTACTAGTTTTAACAGTTTTTTTTTAAAAAAAACCTTTAGGGTTTTCTATATGTAAAATTATGTAATCTGCAAAAAGGGACAATTTGACTTCTTCCTATCCAATTTGGATACCTTTCATTTCTTTCTCTTGTCTTACTGCTCTGGCCAGGACTTACAGTATTATGTTGAATAAAAGTGGTGAAAATGGGCATGCTTGTCTTGTTTCTGATTTTAAAGGAAAAGCTTTCAGCTTTTCCTCATTCAGTTTGATGTTAGCTGTGAGTCTGCCACATATTGCCTTTGTTGTGTTGAGGTACGTACATTCTATCCCTAATATGTTGAGAGTTTTTTCATGAAGGGATGTTGGATTTTTTCAAATGCATTTTTGCATCTATTCAAATTATTATGTATTTTAAAAATCTTTTTTATGTTAACATGGGGTATCACATTTATTAATTTGCATATATTGAACCATCCTTGCTTCTCTGGTATGAATCCTACTGATAATAGTGAATGACCTTTTAAAGCTGATGATGAATTCAATTTGCCAGTATTTCGTTGAGGATTTTTGCATGTATGTTCATCAAGGATACTAGCTTGTAGTTTTCTTTATTTTCTTGTCTGGTTTTGGTATCAGGATAATGCTGGCCTGGTAAAATGAGTATGGAACTATTCCATCCTCTTCAATTTTCTGGAATAATTTGAGGAAAATTGGTATTATTTCTTCTTTAAAGGTTTGGTAAAATTCAGTAGTGAAAACATCAAGTCCTTGGCTTTTTGTTGTTGTTGTTGTTGGAAGACTTTTTATTATAGATGCAATTTTGTTCCTCATTATTGGTCTGTTCAGGTTTTCTGTTTATGTATAATTTAACCCAGGTAGGTTGTTTCTGTGCAGGAATTTATTTATTTTTTCTAGGTTATCATATTTGTTAGTATATGGTTCTTCATAATAATTTCTCATGATCTTTGTATTTCTGTCAGCTGTAATATGTTTTTTCATCTCTCATTTTCTTTATTTGCATCTTCTCATTTTTTTCTTAATCTAGCTAAAGGTTTGTGAATTTATCTTTCTGAAAACCAACTCTCCATTTCATTGATCTTTTGAGCTGTTTTTCTAGTCTCTGTCTTTTATTTCTGCTCTGAGCTTTCTTCTATCAATTTTAGGTTTAGTTCTTGTTTTTCTAGTTCTTTGAGGCATACATTAGGTTGCTTATTAGAGATTTTTCTTCTTTTTTTGATGTACCTGCTTATTGCTATAAAATTCCCCCTTATAACTGCTTTTGCTGGGTCTCATAAGTTATAACATTATATATTTCCATTCTTGTTTGTCTCAAAAAACTGTTAATTATCCTTTTAGCTTGTTCACTGAAGCTTTGGTTATTTAGGAGCATGTTCCTTAGGTTTCATGTATTTGTAAAGTTTCTGAAGTTTTATTATTGTTAATATCCAGTTTTATACCATTGTGGTTAGAAAAGATACTTGATATGATCTCTGTCTTCTTAAATTAGTTGAGGCTTGTTTTGTGGCCTAACATATAATTCATCGTAGAGAATGTTTCATGTGTAGTTAAGAAGGATGTGTATTCTGCAGCTGTTGGAATGAAGGTTAAGTCCATTTGGTCTATGGAGCAGTTAAAGCCCAACGTTTCTTTGTTGATTTTCTGTTGAGATGATTTGTCCATTGTTGAAAGTGGGGGCGTTGAAGTATCCTACTACAAATAGACTGTATTGTATTATAGTCTATGTCTTCCTTTAGATATAATAATATTTCTTTTATATATTTGGGTGCTCTGGTGTTGAGTGCATATATAGTTACAATTGTTATATCTTCTTGTTAAATTGATTCTTTTGTCCTTATATGATGACCCTGTTTGTTTCTTTTTACAGTTTTTGACTTAAAGTCCAGTTTATCTAAGTATGACTACTTCTGCTTGCTTTTGGTTTTTGTTGCATGGAATATCCTTTTTCATCCTTTTACTTTCAGTCTATGTTTATCTTTAGTGATGACGTAAGTCTCTTATAGGTGGCACAGAGGTGGGCTTGCTTCTTTTTTTCTTTTATCCAGTCAACCACTCTCTATCTTTTAATTGAAAAAATTAATCAATTTACAATGAACATTGTTGATAGGTACAAATGTACTCCTGACATTTTGTTAATTGTTTTCCGATTGTTTTATAGATCCTTTGTTCCCTTCTTTCTTGTTGTTTACTGTTGGGTTTGGTGATTTTCTGTGGTTCTAAGCTTTGTTTCCTTTCTCTTTCTTGGTTGTGTATGTGTTGTAATTTCTTGCTTTGTGGTTACCAGGAGCTAGCAAAAAGAGTTTTGTAGTACTATAGACTATTTTAAGCTGATTACAACTTAACTTTGGTTACATAAAAATACTACCCTAGACTTTTCCCCTATAGCCCACAATTTATATTTTTATTACTTAATTTACATCTTTATCAATTATCTGTTCCTTAGCCACTAACTGTAGCTGTTGTTGTTTTGACTATTTTTGAAACATTTAACCTTCATACTAGAGGACTGAGAGATTTACATAGTAGCACTGTTACGGCACTGGATATTCCTCATTTTATTATGTTTTCGTGCTCTACGGGAACTTCACCACTCCCCAGTGCTCTTCAGCATACTTCCTCAGTTACTGCAGTCAAATTATAGTTGTTTAGTTTTTGTTCTGATTCCTTTTGTTTGGGGGACAAGTGTCATTCAACTCTAGTTGGCTGTCTTGCCAATGTCACTCCTAAGAATCCAGGAAACATTTTTAGAATGAAAGTCCTCTGTATATCCCTACTGTTCTTCTCATCTACTCATCATTTTTACCAACCTGGTTTTAAAACATTTTGTTAACTCCACCACTAAAATGATCTCTTAAAATTATTTTATATGCTTACTTCCCAGTGGATTTTCACCCTCAGTATGTTACTTCTAACGACAAAATATCTCCTTTAAAAATATTCCTCTCAAAAAAAGATTCTTCTCTATTGTCAGTCCTTTCATTTCAAACATATGTATCTGGGCAGAAACACGGAAGAGAATAGGTGGTGTTGAGCTATGGGTGGGTGCATTTGAGAGATGGCTTGTTGTTATTTTTATAGGTCTACTGACAAGTGTCTTTACTCCAGAAGATATTTCAGGAGGTACAGGGGCATCGACCTTATTTCCTGGACACAGATAAAGACATGAAGTTAGAAACTCGGCAGTGACTTCGAGTGAGCTGTGCCAGAGTGACTTTTCCAGATGTCTTTGGGCTTTACAGGTTGGAACTGTCTTTAGGGAATGGCTTGGATTTGATTTAACATTTTCTAAATTGGTTCACCCACCTTTGAGTTTGGAGGATGTATTGCTTCGTGCTTCCCCAGATTAACGTACTGCCAGCAGCTCTGACACTCCCATCTCAGGAAATTCATTAACACGTTGGGAAATCCGGAGACCAGGTGTGGCACTGAAAGGTTAATCTATCCTCATTTCTTCTTCATAGCAACTTCGGAGTGAATTATACTCTAGTCATTTAAAGTGAACAAATGAAGGCAATATACCTTACCTGTGCTTAACATGCTTGGTGTGATTCATACAGTGCTCGATTTTAGTCAAGGTGTGTGGACATTGTGTGTGTTTATGTGTCTTGCACACATCCCATAACCCCTAAACACCTTTAATATGGTTGTATTATGGTTACTTTAACTATTTTGTGTGTGCTCTTTTTGCTCCAATTTATGAGTAAAAAGAAATCTGCAGGCACACTAAGGAAATACAGACTTTCCAGGACATTCCAATGTGCACAGAGAAAAGGAAGCCCGCAGGATTTGAGAAGGAGCAATGGGCTTAGTCAAGACACCTTTGCTTTGTTTGGGGTGAGTTCAGTGTGGCGCCTTCATTTGGTCTGCAGCTTCTGGCTACCATGCTTCTGAATCCCCTTAAGACTGTCATCCCTCCCTTCTTGCTTTATTTTAACACATTTTCTATCTGTAGCTGCCTTCTTCCACAATGGTGAATGTGTTGACTATAGGTGTTCTATTGTTTGTTTCTTCCCCCACTGTAGTAAACCCTGTTTTGCTATAACATGAAGCCCCTGGCTGACTTGATCCCCCACAAACTCAGACCTATTGCCAGAAAATGGGAATTTATTTTTTCTTGCTCATATCTATTTCTTTCCTTAATCTCTTTCAAGCATCACCACCCCTCAACCCTCACAGCCTAACATTATTTTAGAGATTATCAGGTTTGCTTTTCGATTTTACTGTTTTCCATTCAAATTTTTTCATAAAACCACTTTACTTTTACAGAATGAAATATTATTTTCATTATTCTCCTACCCCAAATACGAATAGCAATAACACACTTCTGATGTATAGTGAGTCGTAGGTTAAATACATGATCATACATAATAAGAATGTATCATTGTAATGAAATATTTTATTTCCTCTTTTGTTACTTGTAATTTAGTTTAATTTGGCTCTACTAACCTTTTTGCTCATGTGTAACTCTTAAGACACGTTCTTATGAACACTGTATATTAAAAAAGGAGGAAAGGAAAGAAGAAGAAAGCCAGTCAGCATCAACTAAATATCAAGGTGAATGTAAGGTCAGATGCAAGTTTTGGGGGAAAAAGGAAAGAAAGTATAAAAGAATATATCAGGAAAATCTCATTGTTGAAAATGTGTGCGCAGCATCTTTGGCAAAATATTTCCACCGAGATAGAGTATCATCAGTGAATTCAATCTACTACTCCTATATCCAAATTCTGTTATTTCTAAGATTAGAAGAATAAAGGAACATTCAGGGACCCAAGAACCAAGGTCCATTATTGTAGGCGTAAGCTTTTTGTCATGGATATAGAAGTATCTGAGAAAAGACCTCTCTCAGCTAAACTATTCAGATAGGAGAGCTGGTTCCTTTTCTTTCTCAGCTTAATCATTACAGTAAAAAATGCTCATGTGGCAGAGCAACTCCACAGGCCTGCCTTGTTTAATAGGTTCTTAGTAAATTATATTAGCTCTTGAATACCATCCAGGTTCTTAATGATGATATTTCTGAAGGTGACAAGCTTCAATAGCTTGGAAAAGTTCATTGCAGTCTCTGTTGGTTGAGATTTTACCCTAATAAAATTGTCATTTGTACACAGCGCTGTTAGCAGTGGTCTAATTTCTTTCAGATCCTGGGACCTGGTATTTTAATAATGTGTGGGATGTGGGGAAACCGGGAGTCCAAACCGATGGCAAATGCTGTGGCCTACTGCATTTGCTCTCAAACTTTAGAGCCGCCAGCAGCACCTGCAGGGCTTGTGAAGTCACAGTTGCTGAAGCTGCCATACCCCAACACGAAGAACCAGAGGATATGTTATCTTTTATGACAGGGGTATTGAAGTTGCAGATGGAAGCCTGCTAATCAGCTGACCTTAAAATAGGGAGATTATTCTGGATTAGCTGAGTGGGCCCAGTGTAATCTCAAGGTTTCTCAAAAGTGGAAGAGGAAGGCATTGGTCAAAATGATAAGATATGGAAAGGATTTGGCCTGCCGTGCGGGCACTGAAGATGGAGGGAAGGGCCATGAGACAAGGAGAGCAGGCCGGCCTTTAGACATAGAAAAACAGGAAAACACATGATTGCCTAGAGCCTCTAGAAAGGAATGCAGCCCTGTGGACACCTTGATTTTAGCCAAGTGAGACTCATGTCAGACTTCTAACCTACAGAACTGCAAGATAAGCAGTCTGTGTTGTTTTATGCCAAAACAAAACTAAGTAAAACAAAAAAACATACCGGTTGAATCCCACTTCCAAAGTTTCTGATTTAGTTGATCTGGGATTGGACCTAAGAATGTCCATTTCTAACAAATTCCCAGGTGAAGATGATGCCTATGCTGTCGATCTGGCACCATACTTTGAGAACCTAGATATATATTTTTTAAATGCTTTAGCTAGTCGAAGATTTAAGAGTGAAGGATCTTTTTTAAAAAATTTTTATTTTTAATTGAAACATAATAATTCTACCTGTTTATGGGGGACAATGTAGTATTTTGATCCATGTACACATTGTGTAATGATCAAATCAGGATAATGTAGAAGAGCTAGCTAAATACAATGTCAACGACGAGTGAGCAGCTGCCCTTCTCTGAAGTTTCATTGTACTACTGAGCTAATATCACAGAAATTGTCCCCTCTCTTCTGCTTTGTGAGTTTCAGTTCATTTCCCCTTCCAATTCTGTAACCTTCTTTCTTTTTTTGTTTTAATTATTATTTCAGAGTCATTCAAGCTTGAATTTTAGTTCTGACTCCATGTAACCACTTACAAGTTATATAGCCTCTGGCAATTTATTAGAACCCTCTGAATGTCAGTTTCCTTATCAGTAGAATGATAATACCTATTTCTAAGGGAATTGTGAAAACTAAAATGACCCTTATGCCCTGAGGCCTTGGAACAGTACAGGCGCATTGTAGTGCACAATATATATTCATCACCCTTGGTTTTTATTGCCTGGGAATATGTTTCTTCCCTCTTTTTGTTCTTTACATTCTGTCACTTTGCTTTCATGCTTTCTACTTCTCTTTCATGCTTTCTACTTCTCTCTCTTTAATCCTTTTTCCTTTCAGGTTTGCTGAGTTAGCTATGATACTCATGTAATCCAAGACACCCTATTAGATCTACTCTAGTCCCCTATCAGAGGCCACGTGAAGTTCAGAAGGGGTAGACTTCTTTATGAGTTTGTGCCTTCAGCTTCCCCAAGATCACCCAACAAACTTTGCAGGACTTTACATAGTTATGCACTGAAGATTTGCAGTGGTTTGCAATGGGAATTGTAGGGCAGGAGGATACACTTAAAGTTCTTGCTAAATATGCCTTACCCTGGAGTCCAAAGTGAGCTCCCCAAGGTATCAGGTCATTTGTTAACCCTGATCCGAGCATCAGGGTTCTTTAAAGAATTCTCTTCTCATCTCCTGACAAATCTTAACCCACTTCCCTAGAATCCTCATGTCAAAGCTCAGAGGAAATTAAATACTTGGAAATATTCCCATTTCCACACTAAATGTACAAATCTAGGCAATTTGGTCTGGACTTTGGGAGACAGGGTCACTGGTGACTATACAGTCTTACTACCCGTAGAAGAAGGATGAATGGGAGTGGGGAAAACTCTGATGCAGGGCTGATGGAGTCCCCCAGGTTAGGGGTTCTGCAGGACTACTGGGGTCTCCAGGTTAGTAGTCTCAATTCTGCAGTGCTCCTCCATCTTGAGATGCAAGAATACCTGTTTCTTTAACATTAAACACGTTAAGTTTGTAGCTTTCCCATTCTCCAGAACAACTTAATCTAAACTCATATTGAAAAAGGAAATATAAGAGGCTGGGCACAGTGGCTCATGCCTGTAATCCTAGCACTTTGCAAAGATAGCTGAGGCTAAGTGCTCATGACCAGCATGCACAGCACCTTGTGCTTGTGGTCCCAGTTACTCTGAGAAGTGGAGGTGGGAGGATTGCTTGAGCCCAGGAGTCTGAGGCTGAAGCGAGCCATGACTGCAACACTGCACTCCAGTCTGGGTGACAGAGGGAGACCCTGACTGTCTTCCTCTTTTTTTCGACCTGTCAGAAAAAAAAAAGAAAAGATAGAAAGAAAAAGGAAATACATCCATACGGCCTCATAACTTAGGCAGGAAATAGTGTTCTACTTCTCATGAGCCCAGTGGGCCATATTAATGTTCTAAATAATATTTGCTTCTTCCCTGCTTCCACTTGAGTGCCTACTAGAATAAAAGTGTGGGAACTTTTTACCCTATCCATGTCAGCTTCCTGTTTCTAATGAGAAACTTAACAATGGCTGTTCTACCAAAGGCTAGACTGAGGTCTTAGAAGGGGTCTTTCATTCTTATTAGTTGATATCTGGGAATGGAGAATTCCAGTAACAGAAACATTTTTCTCCTGTCCCCCACAAAAGATGTAAACTAAGTTCCATCTCATTATTGTGTGCCTCGTGACATGTTTCTTTCTACCCTTGCCCTCTGATTATTTATTTTCAACAAACCTGCTAGAATGATTCTTTCTTTTTAAATAAACTTTGCTAAGCTACAATTTTTATACAAATATATACATTTAAGTGTATAGTTGAATGAGTTTTGACAAATGCATGCCCCTAGATTACCATTACATCACTCAAAACACACATTTCTATTGTTCCAGAAGTTTCCCTTGTGTTCCTTTGCAATCTATGACTCCACCTCCCTCTTGGCACCAAAAGACCATGGACTTTCTTGCTCTAGAACTTGTTTTCCTATCCTAGAACTTGTCTGACTTATTTTGATTAACATATATTTTAAAAAGTCATCCACATTGCTGTTTATAGCAGTTATTTTGTTTCTTTTTGTTGTTGACTACGATGCCACTTTATGGTCATTCTGTAGTTTTTAAAAATTCATTTCCCTGTTGATATACACTTAGTTTATTTCCAGCTTGGTGCTAGTATAAATAAAGGTGTTATGAACATACTTGAATTATTTGGTAGACATATATTTTCATTTCTCTTGGGTAAATACTTAGGAGTGGAACTGCCAAATCATGTGATAAGTATATGTTTATCTTAACTGCCAAATTCCTTTCCAAAGTAGTTGCACAATTTTGTAAGCCCACTAGAATTTCATGAGAGCTCAATTTGCTGGACATCTTTGTCAAAACTTAGAATTGTTATGCTTTCAATTTTTGTTACTCTAGTGGATGTTAAATGTTATTTCAATTTTTGTTCCAATGTGAAATTTCATCATGAAACATAATGAAACATTTTTATGATGAAAATGCACATTAAAACCAATACCTAATGTAGATGATGGGTTGATGGGTGAAGCAAACCACCATGGCACATGTGTATCTATGTAACAAACCTGCACATTCTGCACATATATCTCAGAACTTAAAGTATTCTAAAAAAAGATACTAAAAATGAAAGCTGTTTACCACTATATAAAAAAGGGACTAAAATCGAATGAAACAATGTTTTATTGAACCACATTAGAACCGCATAATTTTGGCACACTAGAACCAGAATTGATGAAACAATGTTTCATCTTGAAAATGCACATTAGAACCAAAATTGAAATACTATTTCAATTCATATTCTTATTAGTCATATCTTTTTTTCTGAAGTATCTGTAGAAGTCTCTTGTCTGTATTTAATTTGGTTGTTTGTCTTATATACATATATGATTTCAGAATATTTTATTGCCATAGGTATGGCATGACTTTTCATTTTCTTAATAATTATTCTTGAAGATAAGTTTTAAATTGTGATGATATCCAATTTACCAGTGATTATCATACTTTATCTTATATTCTGTGATCTTGTTGAGTTCACTTACTAATTATAATTTTTTTTGATTCCTTGATATTTTCAACAAGGTAAGCATGTTGTCTAAGAATACCAACAGTGTTACTTCTTTTCAATATTTATGATTTTTATTTCTTGGCTCATTGTACTGGCCAGACCAGATCTCCAGTACAATATAAAATAGAATTCACAAGAGTGGTTGTTCTTGCCTGATTCTTGCTCTTAGTGTTCAGTTTCTGATCATTAAGTATGATTAAGTTATTTTTTAATGTATGTCCATTATCAAGTTAGAAAAAATTCCCTTCTATCTCTAGTTTCCTGAGTTCATATATGTAAGTGCTTGATATTTATACAGTGGTTTTTCAGGAAGTACCAAGATGTTCATTTGGTTGTTCTCCTTTGTTCTGCTAATATGGTGAAACACATTATTGATTTCTGAATGTTTAAATAACCTTGCATTTCTGGGATAAATCCCACTGCATCATGAAGTCTTGTCTTTGATATATATTGCTGACTTCTATTTGCTAATGTTTTGTTGAGGATTTTTGCATATATATTCATGATGAACGATGATCTGTAGTTTTATTTTCTTGTAATATCTTTGGTTTTGTTATCAGGGTTATGTTGTCCTCATAAAAAGAATTGAAAAGTATTATCTTCTCTAGTACTTAAAAGATTTTTTGTAAAATTAGTATTATTTCCTTAAATGTTTGATAAAATTCACTAGAAAAACCATCTAACCCTCAAGTTGTATCTGTCAGAAGAATTTCTCTTTATTATCCTTAATAAATATGTGACTATTTGCCATTTTACTTTTTCTTCAGTTAGTTTTACTAAATGTTTTCAAGAGATTTGTGAATTTCATTTAAGTTATCAAGTTTATTGGTATAACATTCTTTATTTTATTCATTTGTTATACTTTTAGTATCTTTAGGATCTATAGTGATATAACATCTCTCATACCAATTTTGAAAACTTGTGGCTTCCCTTTTTACTTGATGAGTATTTTAAAGGTTTTATCAATTTTCTTAACATTTTAAAAGAATCCACTTTGCCTTTGTTATTTCCCCTATTGCTAGTATATTGTTGATTCTGATATCTCTTCCAATATTTATTATGTGATCTTTCTAATTATTTTTAACTTGCTTTTTGTTTTCTAATGTGTAAATGTAAGTCACTTACTTTCAACTTTTCCTTTCTAATATACTCTCGTAAGACTATAAACATCCTCTTATACAATGTTTTAGCTGTATCCTTTACATTTTGATATGTCATATTCTTATTAATATTTTGTATAAAATATCTTCTCATTTTTGTAATGATTTCCCATTTATGGATCTGCTATTTAATTTCAAAATATTTTGGGAATTACTATATATACCTTGTTATTGATTTTGAATTTAATTCCATTGCAGTTACAGAACATACTCTGAAAAATTTCCATCATTGAAATTTATTGAGACATATTTTATGGGCTATCATATGGTCTATCTTGATGAACATTTTATGTGCACTTGAGAGAAATGTGTGTTTTGCAGGTGGTGAATGCTGTATTCTATAAATGTCAGTTAGGTGAAGTTAATACTGTTCAGATTGTCTACATTATTACTGAGTTGCTGTTTAATTGTTCTATTAATTACTAAAAGAAGGGTTTCAAGTATCTGCAGGTATGCTTTTGAATATTTTGATGTTTCCTTTTAGTTCTGTCAGGTTTTGTTTCCTGTATTTTGAACCCAATTTTTTAGTTGTATACACATTTAGAACTGTTATTTCTTACTGATAAATTTCACTTTTCCTCACTATGAAATATTCTTCTTGAATTCTAGTAATACTATTGATTTTGAAGTCTAATCCATCCTATACAAATATAGCTGCACCAGCTTTCTTATATCTATTGGTTTCATGCTACATCTTTTCTCATCTTTTACTTTCACTCTATCTGTGTCTTTATGTTTAATTATTATTTTTTTTTGTAGGAAGCATGTAGTTGGGTCTTGGTTTGCTATTCAGTTTGACAATCTATCTCAATAGGGATGTTTCTTATATATTCATCTAATATAATTTTTGACATAGTCATGTGTAAGTAGTTGGCTCTTGGTTTGCATTCAGTTTGACAATCTCTGTCTCAATAGGGATGTTTCTTATATATATATATTTGATGTAATTTTTTACATAATCGTGTTTAAATGTACCATCATACTATTTGTTTTCCATTTACCCATTTTGTTTTTGTTTCTATGGTCATGTTTTCTTGTCATCTTTGCATTTATCAATTTTTTTATATGTACATTTATGTTCTCTATTGGCTTCATAGGTATAACTGTTTATTTTCTTTACTGGTTGAGCTAGTACTAACAACACACATCCTTCACCTATCAAAGCCTAGTGAGTGTTCATATTGTATCATTTTATATTTCAGGCCTTTCAGTTTCCACTTTTACTTCCAAATTCATGCTGTACTATCTCAACCATAGCATAATTCTATTTACTTGCTTCCTCTTTTGTGCTCTTGTTGCTATGTCTTATATTTCTATGTGTATTATCAATTACAACTTAAAATAGTATTACTTTTGCTTTAAACAACCTTTTAAGGAAATTTCAAAAATAAAAAACACACTGTTCTTTTTAATTCACTCATTTATTTAGCATTTCTTTTATTCTTTATTACTTCCCATATGTTCACGTTTCATCTGGAATTTATTTTCTTCAGCTGGAAGAATCTCTTTTAGCATTTTTTTTTTTTTTTTTTTTTTTTGCAGTGTAGATGGGCTGGTAACAAATAAATAATATTTTACCTCTATATAGTATTCTGGACTGAAACTTTTTTCTTTCAGAATTTTAAAGAAGTTGCTTCATTGTCTTCTGTCCCTTGATGTACAGGCATAGCTCGTTTTATTGTTCTTTATAGATATTTTGCTCCTTCCAAATTGAAGGTTTGTGACCACCCTGTGTTGAAGAAGTCTATCAATGCCATTTTCCCAAAAGCATGTGCTCATTTTGTGTCTCTGTGTCACACTTTGGTAATTCATGCACCATTTCAAACTTTTTCATTGTTATTGTATTGTATCTGTTATGTATCTGTGATCAGTGATCTTTGACGTTACTATTGTTTTGAGGCACCACAATCTTGCCCATATAGGATGGCAACTTTAATTGACAAACGTATGTGTGTTCTGCTTACTCCACTGACTGGCCACTCCTCTGCCTTTCCCCTTTCTTTGGGCTTCCCTATTCTGTGAGACACAATATTGCAATTAGACCAATTAATGGTCTCTAAGTGTTCAAGTGAAAAGGAGAGTTGCGCATCTCTGACTTTAAATCAAAAGCTAGAAATGATTAAACATAGTAAGGAAGGCATGTTGAAAGCTGAAATAAGCCAAAAAGCAGGCCTCTTGTGCCAAACATTCAGCCAAGTTGTGAATGCAAAGAAAAAGTTCTTGAAGGAAATTTAAAGTGCTACTCCAGTGAACACACAAAGGATGAGAAAGCAAAACAGCCTTGCTGATATGGAGAAAGTTTAAGTGATCTGGATAGAAAATCAAACCAGCTACAACATTCCCTTAAGTCAAATGTAATCCAGAGCAAGGCCCTAACTCTTTTGATTCTACGAAGGCTGAGGGAGGTGAAGAAGCTGAAGAAGAAGAGTTTGAAACTAGCACAGGTTGGACCATGAGGTTTAAGGAAAAGAAGCTATCTCCATAACGTAAAAGTGCAAGATGAAGCAGCAAGTGCTGATGTAGAAGCTCCAACAAGTTATCCAGAAGATCTAGCGAAGATCATTGATTAAAGTGGCTACACTAAACAACAGATTTTCACCGTAGGTAAAACAGCCTTCTGTTGGAAGATGCCATCTAGGACGTTCACAGCTAGGGAGGAGAAGTCAATGCCTGGCTTCAAAGCTTCAAGGGAAAGGCTGACTCTCTGTTAGGGGCTAATGCAGTTGATGACTAAGTTGAAATCAATGCTCATTTATTATTCCAATAATCCTAAATCACTTAAGAATCATGCTAAATCTACTCTGCCTGTGCTCTATAAATGGAATAACAAAGCCTAGATGAGAGCGTATCTGTTTTCAGCATGGCTTACTGAATATTTTAAGCCCACTGTTGAGACTTACTGCTCAGGAAAGAAAATATTCCTTTGAAAATATTATTGCTCATTGGCAATGCACCTGGTCACCCAAGAGAGCTGATGGAGGTATACAAGGAGATTAATACTGCTTTTATACCTGCTAATAAATCCAGCCTATGAATTAAGAAGTAATTTAAACTTTGAAGTCTTATTAGTTGATAAATACATGTTGGATTTAGGCAAAGCAAGTTGAAAACTTTCTGGAAAGAATTCTGCATTCTAGATGCCATTAAAAACATTTCTAAATCATAGACTGAGGTCAAAATATCAACATGAATAGGAGTTTGGAAGAATTTGATTCCAACCTCATGAATAACTAAACACTTTAGTAGAGGAAGTGACTGCAGATGCCAGCAAGAAATTAGAATTAGGAGTGAAGACTGAAGATGTGACTGAATTGCTGTCATCTTGTGATAAAACTTGAATGGGTGAGGAGTTGCTTCTTATGGATGAGCTAAGAAAGTGGTTCCTTCAGATGGAATCTATTCCTGTTGAAGACGCTGTGAACGTTGCTGAAATGACAACCAAAAATTTAGAATATTACATACTCTTAGTTGACAAAGCAGCAGCAGGTTTTGAGAGGATTGACTCCAATTTTGAAAGAAGTTCTACTATGGATAAAATGCTATCAAACAGCATCGTGTGCTACAGAGAAAGCTTTTATGAATGGAAGCTTTATTCAATGTGGCAAACTTTTTTGTTGTCTTATTTTAAGAAATTGCCACAGCTGGGATGCTCTGCCTATAGAGTAGTCATTCTTTTGTTTCTTTACTTCTCTAGTAAACTTACTTTTACCTTAAAAAAAAGAAGAAAAAAAGAAATTGCTACAATCACTTCTATCTTCAGCAACCACCATGGTGATCAGTCAGCAGCTATCAACATCAAGGCAAGAACCTCCATCAGCAAAAAGATTACAAGTTTCTGAGGGCTCAGATGATTGTTAGCACTTTCTTAAGCAATAGATTATTTTTAAAGTATGTACTTTTTAAAGACGTAATGCTTTTGCATACTTAATAGACTACAGTATACTACAAACATAACTTCTAATTGTAGTGGCAAACAAAAATATTTATGTGATTTGCCTTATTGTGATATTTACTTTATTGCAGTGGTGGGGACTACACCCACAGTATCTCCAAGGTATGCCTCTATTTTGATAGAAAGTCAAGTATAATTGATATTATTCCCTTTATGTAATCCATCTTTTTCTATTTGTCTGCTATTAATTCATTAATGCCATATTTAATTTTAAGTTCTAGATTGCATTTATAACATGTTCTTCATAGTCTTTATTTACTAAATCTAATTGTTTGGTGTTGGTATCTTTTAGCTAATTTTTTTTGCTTGTTTATTTTCTATTTCTTTGCCTACTTAGTGATTTTTTTATGTGTACACTGGATTGTGTTTTGTTTTTTCTTTTTGAAGTGTGTTTGTTCTGGTAGCCAGTTAAATTGCTGTGTTATAACTGTGAAGTTAAGGTGTACTTTTATATTTTATTATAATGGATCTGCATAAAGTTCAAGATACTTCTCAAGTTGTTCTACCTTGGTGGGTCTCAACCTCCTAATTCTGTCTCCTATGTGGATTATGTTGAAATTGGTTATAAGATTTTTTAGGGCAGGTATAGGGTAGACCTTACAGGCAGTTACAGTTTTATTTCTAAGGAATAGCCTTCCAGGTGTCTTAGTTGGATGCTGAAGGTGTTAATGAGATCTATCTACTCTGGCTGTACTAGAACTCCAGTATCTCCTGGCACTGATTGGCCTTTAGTATCAGTGTTCTATTCTAGGTCTCACGGTGACAGATCTCAGGTAAGTCCAGTAGGTATGTTCATGCCCTCTACATGCCAGCTCAGTCCTCACTCATGGACTCATTTGAAAACCTTACTCGGAAGCCTGAATTTCCCTTTCCCACACAGCTCTTTCTCTTCAGGGCCCTGTTCAGTAGATAATAGACACTTCAGTACCCCTAGATCCTGTTCTCTGGCTTTTCAGTTACGTGGAATCATTATGCTCTACTTTAGCTACAGAGCTTCATACTATGGTTAGGAAATTGTTCTCGGGCGGAGAATTGGGAGACCTTGGGGATCACCTTGTTAGTTTACCTTTTCTCAAGAATTTAAGTCCTTTACTGCCTATCATCAAACAACAGAAAATAGCTGCTTCATATTTTATCCAGTTTTTTAGTTGTTTATAGTGTCATCCCAAAGTATCTAAAAGCGGTCTCAATCAATTTAGCAAGCTTATTTTGCCAAGGTTAAGGATGTGCCCAAGACACAGCCTCAGGAGGTCCTGATGTGTGCCCAAGGTGATCAGGGTGCAGCTTGCTTTTATATGTTTAGGGAGATGTGAGACATCAGTCAATATGTGTAAGATGTACATTGGTTCCTTCTGGAAAGGTGAGACAACTCAAAGTGGGAAAGGTGGTGAGGGCGGGGAGGCAGGAGAGGCAGGGGAGGCAGGGGAGTTTCCAGGTCATAGGTAGAGATAAAAGGTTGCATTCTTTTGAGTATCTGATCAGCCTTGCACTGAAAATACAATTTAGACTGGCTCAATGAATCTGTGTTTTTACATAAACAATAGGGCAGAGGAAACAATCAGATATGTATTTGTCTCAGGTGAGCAGAAGGATGACTTTCTGTCTCAAACCTGTGAAGATAAGCTATCAGTTTGCATTGCCAGGGTGAAATTCAGCAGAACTGCTTTAGGGTAAAGATCTTGATGTTGACAAGGAATTTCCTTGTGTGCAAATTGTGGAGGTAAGTAGTGTTTTTTTTTTTTTTTTTTAAATATTTGTAGCTATCTTATTTAGGAATAAAATGGGAAGCAGGTTGCCTGATGGTAGTTCCCAGCTTGACTTTTACCTTGGCTTAGTGATGTTGGGGTCCCAAGATTTGTTTTCTTTCACAATAGTCAGAGGACTAGAACAATACAAACTTTCATTCATGTCTGGAAGTGGTACTATATTTTTATCTATTTGTTGTTAGCCCACATTCATTTCAATTTATTGAAGTAGAAACGTTCCAGCAACATAAAATGACTTACATACTCAACCAATTGAAGTGGCTTAGTAAGCAAAGCATATGTGAGCTTGTTCCAGAGAAGGGAGGCTATACTTGGAGAAATAAAGTCCCAAGCCATAATTTTAATTGCCCATAATTAAAAGTCTTAAATTGAATAAAATAGGATACAAGAAAAGTAACGCAAAACATTTTCGTTATTGTTTTTGTTTTTCTGGTAGATCTATGAGCAAATGATGAAGATTTTGACTTTGTGGCTAAGAGTCATCTTTCTCTCTGCAATGTTTTTCTACAACAACATTTGGAGGCCAGCTGGGTAGCAAGGCCTTTTAAATTTGAGATAAAGAAAATCATCAATACATTCATAAAGGATTTAGCACCATTTTAAGAGTTACTGTAGGGATATTGGTGATGCTCAGTCTACAGTCCATAGAGGCACTTGCTTTGCTGCTGATTAGAAGAAAATGTAATTAATTGCATTCAGTTTTTTAGCCCATAAATAATAAATGCTATTTAAAGTTTAATTTTACTGAACAATCTGTTTTTGTAACTGGGTGTTATTGTTACCTTTTCTCTTTTAGAGCACCCATAGTAATATATTCTGTATGGTGCTAATGGGATTTTTAGTTTGCAGCAACTTGTTTCTTTTTGTTTGTTTGTTTGTTGTTGTTTGTTTTTGCTACAAAACTAGATGGAATCCTTGAGGTTCTTCTAAATTATATTCCAGTTGAATCTAATCTATGTTTTCCACAATCTATTACTTTATTAAACACACTAAACATTTATTTACTTAAAATAGAAGTGTGGGAGACACTCTGTGAATTGGGAGATTCAAGACTAAGCTTTTACCTCAATACCTTAATGTCTAATAGGAGAATTATACAATTCTCCTGTTTTTCATCCTTTGGATCTTTCTTTCCTTCTTTCCTTCTTTCCTTCTTTCCTTCTTTCCTTCTTTCTTTCTTTCTTTCCTTCTTTCCTTCTTTCCTTCTTTCCTTCTTTCCTTCTTTCCTTCTTTCTTTCTTTCTTTCTTTCTTTCTTTCTTTCTTTCTTTCTTTCTTTCTCTCTTTCTTTCTTTCTCTTTCCTTTTGAGACAGGGTCTCACTATGTTCCTCAGGCTGGTCTTGAACTCCTGGCCTCAAGCCACCCTCCTCCTTGACCTCCAAAAGTGCTGGGATTACAGGTGTGAGCCACTATGCCTGGCATATAGGATCATTTTGAATAAGAAGAATGAGATGAGACCTGCTCTATCAAATGTTGAGACATTAGTATAAAACTATAGTAAATAACCCAACATGATATTGGTGCAAGGACAGAGAAATAGGAGCAGACTAAATGATCCACACTTACGTATATATGAGATTTTGTTGTATGTAGAAAGTGCAATGGGGTAGAGAATTTGGGTCATTTTTGTAATCAAGCTACCAAAGCAAGCATTCAAAACAGTAACTTTTCTCCTACTCATTAGGTCTCTCCCTTTTCTAAAACATTCCAGTAGATGGATTTGATTAAAATGTCCTCTGAAACACATCTCCCACCAGAAAAAAGTAAAGACTATAATTTTCTCTAAGTCAATGTTATTGTGGTAAGTAATAATAAAGTGCCCCAAAAGTTTTAGTCAGACTTAAACTTTAATAAGTTTAGAAGTATAACTCCTATATCCTTCAAAAATCATTTTTAAAATTGTTTATTTAAATTATTTTACACTCTAATTTTGGGCATTTATAATAATATATTTATATTTGTATTTTAGTTTTAATCCCTCTGATGGAAGATGGCAAATGATTGAAATCTAAAAAAGTATATTTTTCAAAATTCTCAGAACCCCAAAAATATAAAAGAAAATAAATAATTAAACATTTAAATAATTTTAAAGTAAGATTGCAGTATCTATCATTCTTAAATTATGAAAGCCTAAAACTGCAGTAAGACTTTGGGACTTGTTTTCACCGGGAATAGAACTCAACCCATTGGCAGTCTTGCTCAACCCATTAGCAATCTTGCTTTTCTAGAACATAGTTAAGAGCCATGAA
The DNA here is from genome assembly GCF_000001405.40 of Homo sapiens. NCBI lineage: Eukaryota > Metazoa > Chordata > Mammalia > Primates > Hominidae > Homo > Homo sapiens. Next base: position 82,849,223 of record NC_000009.12, on the reverse strand, counting down.
GTAGGTGAAAAAGATGTGATGACCAATCAAAATAGATGATTCAAAGCCCATAAACTAACGCTCACACACTAGTCACAAAACAGATCCTTGGGTACTTCTTTTGAGCCTGTTTACTTTTATTTTAGAAACATCTTTAGCAACTCTTATTACCTGGTCTCCAAAGCCACTTAGGTTAAAAGAAGTAAAGTAAAAGGCAGGAAAAAGACTGCTACAGGCAAGCATACTCACAACAGTAAAAGATGATAATTAACAGGCTGAAAGTGAGAAGGGAGACAGAAAAACTATAAGAAGTGCACACACGTACACACATGCACAAATATTTTAGAGGTCCTGGACTATTTAATTTAAGGCCAGATGGTGTTTTTTTGTTTGTTGTTGTTTTTTTTTTTTTGAGACAGAGTCTTGCTCTGTCGCCCAGGCTGGAGTGCAGTGGCGTGATCTCAGCTCACTGCAAGCTCCGCCTCCTGGGTTCACGCCATTCTCCTGCCTCAGCCTCCTGAGTAGCTGGGACTACAGGCACCTGCCACCACGCTCGGCTAATTTTTTGTATTTTTAGTAGAGACGGGGTTTCACCACGTTAGCCAGGATGGTCTCGATCTCCTGACCTCGTGATCCACCCGCCTCAGCCTCCCAAAGTGCTGGGATTACAGGTGTGAGCCACTGTGCCTGGCCACCAGATGGTTCTTGAATGTATCAATAAATCCTAAAACATCACTTTAATTACAAGATAGTATGTTTATAATGGCCAAAATCCTAAACTTTGTTTGCATTTTAAAAAGGAAAAGATCAAAGCTAATGTATTTGAGGGCTTAAATAGGTAAAACCATAGTCATCTTAAATGTCAAGAATGATATACTCTCCTAAGTATTTTTGCATAAACAATATTTATATTACCTCCTTCATATATTCTGCAACAACAAAGCTTATTGCTACATTGGTTGTGGGTGGCATTTAATAAATACTTGTTGAGTGGAATTCAATATGCATATCAAATACCTATATCTCCTCAGCTTCCCTTTCCCAGTCTGTCCCTGCTACTCCTGCCTGCATACAGGAAATAAAAAGCAAAAAACAAATGTCACTGTTGGCTGGCCATTTTCTCTGAAAAAGGTTTTCAGTTTCTAGCTTTAAAAATAAACATATCTTATTGCTAATCAGTGAGTGAGCATGTGACTATTGTATGTACATATGTACATAAATGTAAACATGCATGTACACATATAATATATCTATGTATGTATTTTTATGTATGTGCGTAGATATAACTATTAAAGTATAAATATTGACACATATCAATATCTGAGGTAAAACCATCCTGTCAGATTTTCCTAGGTATAGGATGTTCTTGTGATTTAAATGGTTCTCTACATATGGATTCCCTTGAATCACTTGGAAATTATGAAAATAAAGTTTGTTAAATGTTGATCTGGAGGAACACTCTCTCCCTTTTTATGATGAGAAGAATCTATTCTTCATTAAAAAATTAACAAGAATTTTCAGTGATAAATTCGTATAAATTAGTCACGTTAAAATAGAATGCATTGTGAGAAAGTAAAAAAACAGAAATGGCATGTTTATCTCTCAAGCAGTCAAGGTTGAAGAGTCAGACTTGCTAGGTGGGTGGGGACTGTGTTTTGACCACATCAAATTTTCTTGAGTAGCAAAAGGGTAGCTTTATTTCTTCTAAGTCAATGAAAGTTTTTACACATCTAGGAATCATCTCTTGATTTCATGAGGGAATTGGAGGTACACTGAGGAGAATCAAATCAGGTCCACTTCACTCAAGATGATCCAGGCCTTTGTCCTTACCAAAGTAGTAGAGATGTAAATTGTGCAAAATACAAATTAAGAGAAGAAATACTTGGCATAACAATATTTAAAAGACACACTTTTGTGTAGGCAAACTTGAGTGCTGTATAGTTCTATTTTACTTAAAATGTTGCCATGTCTAGAAGACACAGTATTTTAGCAACTTCATGGTATAAGTTATAGATACTGGATTTTTAATTTATACACACACACACACACACACACACACACTCACACATACACGTATTTTCCCCCTCCATCAAATAAGCTATGGACAAGGGCCATGAAAGAGCAATTTACAAAGAACCAATTATCAAATACAATTTGCTAGTTAAACACTAGAGAATTTTATTTTATTAGTGAGCCTCCTGATTTAGTGCAACTCTATTAGCTAATGAGTTTTTAAAACCTCCTGAGATTCTATGAACTCTGACAAAAATGGATACTGTAATATTCGGGCTTAAGGAATTATTTTCAAGTACTGATGGAGTAAATTTAGAAGTAATAAATGACCTGTTAAATATATTTCTGAACTGATTTTTGATAGTGTCTTGAAGAAGAGAACTATGTCATCTTTATTGTTCCCACCAAATGTTCAATTTTCATTTCTCTTTTCTTCTCCCTTTCCATCTCTCTCTTACTGTCGGTCTCTCTTTTAATGCACACATGCATGCATGCATGCACACACATGCATCCAGAGAATAAAGTCTAGAAATCTGAATTTCATTTTTAGCTGTGGAGGGCTTTCCATTTTCTTTGTCGCAGATACCTGAAGTTAGATAATTAATCTGATCCTAAAGTGCCCATTAAACTGTAGTGGGCTCTTTAAAAAAGTTATTACAAAATGTGCTTATGATGAGGCCTAATAAATTTGGTTTCCATATCTTTAAGCATTACTAAAGTGTTTCTAGTTTATAGTCACTTGCCCTGGATTAGCATGTATAATGTTTTAGAAATGAATTTGGCAAAATTTAGTTTTTAATTGGCTGCAATTCAAGTTCATAACTTCTGTGGAACAATGAGCAATTCTCTAATAATTTAACAAGTCGAAATTCAAATTCTATATTCTCCTTTCCCCTATGTCTTAGTCAAGATATTATCTTAGCTTCTTTCCACAAAAAAGTTCAACAAAGAATCTTTGAATACTTATACAATTTTATAATTTACATACTAAACTGATAAGTTGCTTTTTATCTCTAGAGAAGGATAGCGCATGCGATAAAAGACTGTTAGGTTTCTCAGGTCTCTCTTTTGTCTCTAAAATAGATTTTGACCTTGTTGAATCATGCAATGAGAAATAAACCAGGAAGATTTGTTAGAACATCGGTAGTTGCTATAATTCAATAAGCTAAAATGCATCAGGTGTTTCTATAATTTGAAGTAATTATAGAATAGTCATTTTTACTATGTTTTTTAATTTAAGATACAGCTAGGCATATTTTTGAAATCATTTGATTTTGATGTGATCAATGCACACGTTTTTCTGATTACTCCTAATGTGTGCCAAAGTTTTCCATACTTTCTATACTCTATTTCTAAACATTTTATATATGTAAACCCAGCATTCTCATCTTAAACATAGTCACTTTTTAAAGTAATATTTATACTTTCTAGCATTTAAGTTTGTATTTTCATGTTGGATGTTTATGCTTGCTAGTATTTATTAATTATAATTAGTAAATGCTTCTAGTATTTCATGATCTACATTGGGGCCTTGTGGTCATACATGATAGAGGTCTCCTTAGGACTATGTTCATTATAGTTATAACTTCAATAAACTTCATTTGTAAACTGGGGATATCTGCTCTACCTGGCTCAATGGAGTTATGTTTATTAAATGAATTAACATGTGTGAAAACTGCCATGCAAATAAAGGTAATAGTATAAAGAGGGCCCAATGGGAAAGGGGCACCAAGAGCTCTCTGGGTTGCAGCAGCCACAGCTCCTCCTTAGCACTTGCTCAGCAGTGGAAGGGCTGTTGACCTTGCTTTCCTTCATTGTCTTTAGTGAGTGACTATAAATGAGGGCTGAGATGGGGACAGAATGTGTGCAGCCTCGTCCTAGACTCACTGCCTTGAAGCCTCCCATTGTACCTTATTCCATGAAGGTTTCCCACTTGGTTCCTCACCACTGAGTCTCTGGGTTATGGTATTGCAGACAAGATCAGCCCAGGTAGCATTGAGAAGGAGGAAAAGTGGGTCTTGCACTCTCCCTTCCATTCATTGGCATGTTCCTTTCCACCTTCTGCTTCTTGGGTTCCCAACATCTTCGCGAAATGTTTCAGTCACGATTTTCCTCCAGGGACAGGATTCCCATACTCTGAATCTCCTCCCCTTCCCTTCTCTCTATCATAGTTCATCTGAGAACACCTGGACACATGGAGGGGAACAGCACACTGGGGCCTACTGAAGGGTCGTGGGTGGGAGGAGAGAAAGGATCAGGAAAAATAACTAATGGGTACTAGGCTTAATACCTGAGCGACAAAATAATCTGTACAACAAACCCCCATGACACACGTTTACCTATGTAGCAAACCTGCACATCCTGCACATGTACCCCTGAACTTAAAATATAAGTTAAAAATAAATAAATAAATAATAAAGTTCATCTGTCCTTTGTGCTATTCTTAAGGTAGCACAGAGATACAATGTTTTGATCTATATAAAAATACCAGGTTAACCAATGTTAAATATGGTTTGTTTTTCTGTCTTTGAAAGTACAATCTGTTAAGGGATTTAAAAAGAACATCTGGATAGGAGGAATAAATTGTAATGTTCTATAACAGTATATGTTATATAACTATAGGATAGCTATAGTTAACAATAGTATATTATATAGTTTCAAGGAGCTAGAAAGAGGATATTGAATTTTTCCAACAAAAACAAATGATAAATGTTTGTAATGATAAATATGCTAATTACCCTGATCTGATTACTATACATTATGTATCAAAATATCACTATGTACCCCATAAATGTATATAATTATGTCAATTAAAAAATAAAACATAATAAAATTTAAAAAATATTTTTAAAAGCACAATTTCACAAAGCTTTAAATATACTAAATCACATGGAGAATCTCTGAAGGGGGTAAAACATGAAATTTTTTTTATTTGACTATAAATCCTTTAAAAAAATTTTATTCCTGGAGCTTTATTAACATGCTGTAGGGCTTAGAACAATGTCCAGATGTTTAACCTTGGCCTTCATATTGTCTCTGATCTGGATGCAGAAAATCCTTCCTTGCATTTCAGGGAAACTGAACTTCTATGTGTTGTTCCCTAAACAAGTTTCAAACATTTATATCTTTGCATTTTGCTCTATCCTTTTCCTCAGAATTGCCCTTCTTATCCCTGTGTGGCCAAATCTTGCATGTATTTTGGGGTTCATTTCATGTGCGATATCTTCTATGCAGATTTCTCTAATCCACCCAGCTGGAAGGAATATCTCCTGCTTATTTTTTGTTTGATTTTTTTACACAGGGTCTTGCACTGTTGCCCAGGCTGGAGTGCAGTGGTGCAATCAAAGTCACTATAACCTCCAATCTTGGTCTCAGATTGTCCTCCTACTTCAGCCTCTCAAGTAGCTAGGACTACAGGTGCATGCCACCATGCCCAGCTAACTACAAAAACATCTTTTGCAGAGATAGGGTCTCACCAGTTTGCCCAGGTTGGTCATGAACTCCTGGCCTCAAGTGATCCTCCTGCTTCAGCCTCTCAAAGAGCTGGTACTACAGGCATGAGCCACAGTGCTCAGCTCTCTCCTGCCTTTTAGAGCAAATTATTTTGTTTTTATTTTTATGGCAGCAGTCACCTTTTTACATGTTTGCAAAATATGAATATTCAGTTTTCAATATATAATATAATCAATGAAGCAAAGCATGAAGAAAAAACCAGTTATTACTCATAATTCTGTCACCAGAAGTATATACTACTAAAGTTTGTTCTATCTTTCCTGTAATTAATTTTTTTAGAGAGATCTTTGCTCTTTATTTTTATTTTTAAAGTTTAATTTTATTCTATTTTAAGTTCCAGGATACATGCAGAGGACGTGCAGGTTTGTTACACAGGTAAACATGTGTCATGGTAGTTTGCTGCACCTATCAACCCATCACCTAGGGATTAAGCCCTGCGTGCATTATCTATTTATCCTGTTGCTCTCCCTCCCCCTGACCCCTCGACAGGCACCTACATAACTTTTTTAAAAAAAATTAAGATTATTCACTATTTTCTACTTCATTACTACTTTTTCTGATTTAACAATAAATCGTGAGCATTTACTCATAACAAAATATTCTGCAACATAAATGTAATATTTGTGTATAGTTTTATTGTTACCATGATAACCATTCATTATATGATGAATACTTATTGTATGCCAGATTCTGTGCTACATAGTATACCTAAATTACAGAGTTTGATTTTTTTTTTTCAAATTGTCATCATTTGAAGTAGGTATTATCTCTGTTTTACAGATGAGGAAACAATTGTTAGAGAATTTAAGTATCTTGCCCAGGATTGCAAAACTAGTCAATAGCAGAGTTGCAACTCCAGTCCTACTAAATTTTGCCCCAAAGCCTTGCATTTAACTGTTATCATTGACTCTATTTGCTTTATTTGAAAATTAATTTAAGCAATTTCTTATTCTTGGATATTTAAGTTATACTATTTTTTTCACTGCTGTTATTAAAAAGAAAACAAGACTGTGAATAAAATTTTGATAGAAAATTCTTTGCACACATCTATGCTTATTTTGAATAAATGTCCTAGCCATAAAATTGTATAGTTATGAATATTTTTTGATTATTGCTATCTAATTAAAATTCGCCTTCCAAATATTTTTTGGCAGTTCTCAAAACAACTACCGTAGGGCTGGGCAAGTAGTAGGAGCTGACTCAACACTTGTGAACTTGACATAACTCAGTAGTCAGGATTTCAGGGGAAAGGAAACCAGTGGGCCAATATACCTGAGCATTGAAACACCCCTTTGATCTCACAGTTACTCTGTTTCTGCAAAAAAATCTTTCCACCTACCTTGTCTCATTGATCAAACAGTTTGAGGCTGGAACCTTAATTCAGGATAATCACTTTTAAAAGGAAGTAGTTAAATTTGAACAATGATGTTTCTTAATAAATACTTCTTATACCAGCAGTGACATTTCTACATAGAGAATCCTCTTTGAATCCTTCCACCACTAAATTTCCTGTGTGCTATCAGCTAAGGCAGGTAGTAATTTTCTTAAGAATTATTGTATAACACTGGCAGATCACTGAAGTGTGAATTAATAGAATGCAACAAAACTGATGCTTGGAGCTCCCGGCTGGCCTCCTTTTACAAACTTCTTAGATTAAGGTCCACTTGTGGCAGCTAAGGGCAGCCTTTACCCAGGGCATTCTTCAAAGAGCAGCATCTAGACTACCAAGGTTGCAAGGAACATTTGGGACCATCAACTCACCTTTCAACTCCTTTCCCAGTAATACACAATGTGTAAATCCCCTTTTAAATTAGACCGTTTTAATTAAAAGTATTTTGGATCAGTGTATTTTAAATAATTCATTTTAAAGTTTATTTAATATTTAATAAGAGCAACAAATAGTTTTAAACTTAGCCTGTTCAACAAAGTTAGCACATGCCATTTAGTTGATATGAATTAATAATGTGTGAAAAAACCAAGTGTTTTTGACAAATTAAGATTTTGGATTGGGAAACACATCTGTTAGGTTGGGAACAACCCGTAAATCTACGTGAACACAATAAAGGTTTTCTTATTGCTCAGGCAAAAGGCTAAAACAGACCAGCAGAAGGCTCCACAAATCCTAAGTTCTTGGAATTAATAATTTTTCCAATTTTAGAAAGGTAATAAAACATATATTACCTGGCACCTCTAGGGAAGTCTGGGGAAGTCCCCTATTATCAAACATACTGCTATTTCTGCACTGAAAGAACAGAAGAGTCACAAGAAATAGATAATTAGAAATGAGAAAAAGAGATTCTGGAAGAGAAATTAGAATAAATATTTAAACTCCGGAGGAGGAGCAAACGTTTTCCTGGATCAACCCATTAAGAAAAAAATAAGCAAACAGAGGAGGAAGCTGTCTCCATGGATGAAATAAAGGTACAAAGAAAATCGACATGTGTTTAAAAGGGGACAATTTCCAGCAGCTTATGACATTAAAAGGCTCATGACTGATGGGCTCAGGGACTGCATTCCATGATTTTCAGCACCCACTGCCCCTGTGCGTGAGAAGCAAGTTTGCTGTTTACTAGAGGGGACACAGTGTCTTTTACAGACTACCAGGTTCAACAGAGAAAATTAGTGCGTTAAATTAGTGAAGCCCTCCCACCCAAGCCATGCTGTTTTGCAGAAACGGTTGTTCCTTCTCTCTCAGTGGCTCCTCGGTGGCCCTCTGGGTGGATGGTGTATTCGCTAACTCCTGTCCTGCAGTATCTGCCCACCTAAGGACACCCTGAAGTGAAAAATACTCCTCTTGATCATTGTTCTGCAAAGCCCCTAGACATCTGAGGAAGTCTTCTGCCCCCACAAAATTCACTGGGAGCTGATTTCAATCTGAGCTATAAACTGGAACTTTGTAGACCCTTGGTCCTGGACTTACCGTTCTGTAAAGAATAAAAGGAATAATGTTGTTATCTATTTTATATTATTTATAAAATAGACATTTTATAAATAATTTTTATAATATTTTATATGTTATCTGTTTCCACCAGGATATGGTGCCACCAGGAATAATCAAAGTTTGTGACTAGTTTCTTCCAATGCATATACACATACAGAGGCCATTCAGAAATTAAAATGAGAAATGTATGCCAAAAGGGGTTAAACTGAGGGACTCTACAAGTACTTCTTTTTGAAGCTATAGATAAGATCAATACCTCTTTTTCTAACGCAGTGAAGATAACTGGGAAAACATGGGAGTTAAAGAGAAAATAATTGCACCAGTGTTAGGAAAGTACTTTTGTATTTTGAAGGATATGGTTTTGAGATGACCTATAAATCAGATATATTGATTCCAAGACACTGGGGTCATTTGGGAAGCAATTAGATGTGTCTCTCTTAAGAAAAGGAAAGAAACAAGCTAAAACATTTTACTATTTTCTATGATTATCATTATTTTTGGATTCCAAGGGTTTATTGAATGTCAGGTCCTTAGCCTGTGAAGAAATAGAACTTAGTCTATTAAAACAGATATAATTTTTATGCCTGTTATCAATGTGCCATAATCCTAGCCTTATCAAAATTAATAAAAACTCTATGAAGAAATGAGTGATATTAAAATGGTAAGGTAAATACATTATTGCCATGCTTAATATACATTTTTGTTTAACCTACTGTAAGTATTTCATGTATAAAATATTACATGTAAAGCAACATACCTTCTAAAAGAATAGTTACTGATATATATTGAAATAACCATGTGAAATCTATTTATACTGTTCTGAAGGCACATATATTTGTGTTGCTGGATATTTGTGGTATAAAAGACCTGGAACGAGTGAATCTGGCATAGGGAATGGTAAAATATATTCCTAAAAGCATGAGAAAATAAAGAAAAATGTATTTAGTGTGAGCTACATAGAAATCAAATCTTGGAAGATAGGAGACGATTTCAAAGTCTTTGCTTCTTGGTTAAGCTTTCATTGACTGCATAAGATAGAAAAATGAATAAAGATCAGAAACTTGAATCTTGATTTGGGAAAAGACCAAGATTTTATATTACAGTCACTTTTTCAAGGGTGACTTAAATTCATGCAAGCTGTTTTCATTTTTTAAAAGAGCAATTTGAGTTCTGAGAAGACTCCTTAGCCATTTTCTTGCCCGCTAAGTCTTACTTATTTTAAAATATTAAGTACTATTTCCCACCAAGTCAATGAAACTTTGTTATGTAAATTCTAACATTATCAAGGTTTGTTGGAAACCTAAGAGGCCACACACTTGAAGTGCGATCTAAATTTGGTGATAACATTTAATGCAGGAGAGCTGGGTGAATATCATTGGTGCTGTTTTCATTTTGAAGTTTGATCTAAAGGAGAGCTGGGAAGTCCTTGAAATACACTGCTTAGAGCAGATTCATTGGCTGAAATGGTCTTTTTTTTTTGGTACTTCAGACCTTGGTCAGTCTGTTGAAAGCAGGTAAATAAATGTTGCCTATCACCCTCTGATGTCAAGAACTGTTTGGTAAAGATGCCACATGATCGGACTTCTTTAATTTATGCTGAGGTTTAGTCAACAGAGCAATATTTTTTTTTTTGAAATAAGGATTCACAAGCTTCAAAGATCTTCTGATACTTTAGGATCACAATAGCAAATTACCTTTGCCACAGCTGCATTTGTTAGCTATTTAGCATACTTGGTTTGTGTGTGAATATTTGGTGTTAATGAATTTCCCTTTATGACCCATTGTGTGTCCGAGACTTGAAAAATTATTCTCCTTCCCTGCCCTTGGTTGTTACTTAAGAGACAATAAAGGAATAAACCCTCAGCAACCACAGACTTATCAATAAACTGAAGGACAAAGATAGGAGTTTTCCATGAACTAATATTAAAAGAGAACAAGTGCACTGCTTCTCCTAAAAACATTTCATTTCATATATTCAGGAAGTATTTGTTGAGAGCCTGCTGTGAATTGGGCCAGTGCTAGATGTTGTGGATATAGCAGTGAGGAAGAAAGACAAAGTCCCTGCTCTTCAGAGCATTTTATAGCAGATTCCATAGCAGAATCTGAGCATAGGCTTAGAATCACCATAGATAGACAACAAAGAAAGAAATGAGTTAAATCAACAATATAATTTTAGAGAGTAATATATGATTTAAAATATTCAAAAATGTAATGTGCAGAAGCTTACTTCTGGGTAGGCCACTATTTTCACTGCAACAACGAGAAAGAAGTGGATAAATTTTAAAATCATTTAAGACATTGTAGAGTTACGGAAACACAGAAGGGTATATAAGCAAAACATTCCTGGGTTAAAAATTCCTTTCTTTTTTAAGTGAGGTAACATTCACCAAACAAAAATTAACCTTTTAAAAGTGAACAATTCAATGGTGTTTATTATATTCACAATGTTTTGCAACCACCACCTCTACCTAGTTCCAAAACATTTTTATCACTCCAAAAGAAAACCTCATACTCGTTAAGCAATTGTTCTCCATCCCTTTATTTTTCCAGCCCTTGGAAACCACCAATCTGTGTTCTGTCTCTATGAATTTACCTATTCTGGATATTTTATATAAATAGAACAATTTGTCCTTATTTGTCTTCCTTCACTTAACATAATGTTTTGAGGTTCATCTTCATTATAGCATGTAAATATTCCTTGCTATTTAAGGCTGAATAATATTCCACTGTATGCATATATCACAATTTGTTCATCCTTTCATCACCTGATAGACATTTAAGCTGTTTCCATATTTTGGCTATGGTGAGTAGTGCTGCTGTGTACATACACACACACACACACACACACACACACACACACACACACACACATATATTTGTTTAAGTATCCACATTTAATTCCTTTTGGGGTGGCTAAACCATTTTACATTCTCACCAGCAATGGAAGGGGGTTCTAAATTCTTAACATCTTTGCCACTTGTTATATTCCTTTTTCTAAGTTACAGCCATCCTAATTGTGTGAAGTAGTACCACACTGTAGATTTGATTTGCATTTCTCTAATGATTAATGATATTGGGCATCTTTTCATGAGCTTGTTGGCTTTTGTGTATCTTACTTGCAGAAATGTCTATTGAAGTCCTTTGCCCATTTAATCCAGTTGTTTGAAGAGCCCTCCTTTGATAAGCTGGGACTTGCATACCTGGAGGCATTTGCAGGTCTGAGCACAGGCTGAGGATTGACATTGCCATAAAAATAGAGACCCCAACAGGAGAAAGTAAGACCAGCAGAGATTTTTGTGTTGACTGACATTATGAACTAGACAGGATTCCTAAGCATTTGGCTGATTTTTTTCTGTGAAAAATTTGTTTAGTTTTAAAGCATGGTGGGGTGATGGATAGAGGTTTGAAAGGCATCATCAACTATCTCACAGTCTCCAGTCCACTAGATAGAGAGACCCAGAATAGAGGTTCAATACATGCTGAAGACACATGAGACCAGAAGTGGAGGAAGTCCACCTGAAGCTTTAGCCCCCTTCTTATTCAGCTCAACTCCTTGCTAGATTAAGGTAATGTAGCTCCTCACTCAATCTGCCCAGCAGAGAGAAGAGTGAACCCTTCCTTTGGGAAAATAACATCACCTTCAATTTCCATGACTCTTTCATTCACAGTTTCTAGTGTACAATAAAAAATTACCAGGTACATAAAAAGGGAGGATAATATGACTGATAAAAGAAAAAAACAATCAATAGAAGATAATTGAAATCTTGGAGTTAGGGGATAAGTATTTCAATATAACTATTAAGTGTATATTAAAATAGAGAAAAACTTGAATAAAATGAATGAAAATTTGGAGAACCTTGGAAGCGAATTGGAATCTGCTTAAAAAGGAATCAAATGCATATCAACAATTGGAAAATCTTAATTGTGAAATTAAGAACTTATTAGATTAATTAAGAGCATACTAGACATAACAGAAAATAGGTTGAGCAAACTCAAAAACTAGTCAACAGGAAATATCCAAACTAAATTACACCGACAATAAAAGAATGGAAAGAGCAGAACAAAATACGGTCATGTCACTTAACAACCAGGATGTGTTCTGAGCAATGCATTGTTAGATGATTTCATCGTAGGGTGAAAATCATACAGCATATTCACACAATACAGTTCATATGGAAAAACCAAATGCCCCATTACCATGACCCAATATTAATCATTTCCCCTACTTCATCTGAAATGCCAATATCACGTGTCTTAGATCAGGTTTCTATATATGCGCCATTATAATATCATGGAATCACCATTGTATATGTGGTTTGTTGTTGCCCAAAATGCTGTTGTGTGGAACATGACTGTACAAGAGACTTTTGCAACACTCTCCACTAATAAAATAAATGAGAAAAATAATATAATCATCTAAAGAGATAGATAAAAACATTTGATAAAACTTATAGCAAGTATTTTTTCAATTTTGAAATATTGAACATGTTCCCATGAGTTTGTGAGCAAGACAAAGATATCCACTGTTACCAATTCTAATCAATATTGTACTTAAGATCTTAGCTAGTTCAATAAATCAGAAAACAAAATAAAAGCTGATAAGCTTTGGAAAGAAAAAATAAAATTGTCATTATTCATAGATGATAGATGTGATTATGTTAAAAATCTAAAAAAATGTAAAAATGAACTATTATACTTAAGTGAATGTAGCATGATTACTGGATATAAAAACCAATATACAAAATCAGTTGTATTTCATATACTTGCAATGAACAATTGGAAAATAAAATTTTAAAATGGTATTCTTTACAGTAACATCAAAAACTTCAAATCCCTAGAAATCTAACAAAAATGTGCAACATTTCTACATTGAAAACTATAAAATATGTCTGAGAGAAAGTTTTAAAGATCTAACTAAATGGGGTGCTATCCTATGTTCATTTGGAAGATCAACATTTTTTCATTTGAGTTCATTCACATGCATTTGTAAGAAATACTATAGATACTCCACATAGTGTTCAACCAGTTTCCCCCAATTGTAGTATCTCATATGAATCTAGTACAATATCACAATCAGGACATTGACTTTATAGAATTAATCTTATTCACATTTCCCCTGTTTTAAGTGTACTCGTGCATGTGTGTACGTGTATGTGTATGTCTGTATATGTATTTAATTCGATGTGATTTTAACAAGTAGAGATTTATGTAATCATCACCATAGTAAGGATACAGAGTAGTTTCATTTCCACAAGGATCCCGTATATTTGTCTGCCTTTTTCTAACAACATCTACCTCCTGCACCTCCTCCCCCATCTCTAACCTCTGGCAATCACTAACTTACAGTGATTGAATTCATTCTTCCTGACTATAATTTTGTCATTTCAAGAATGTTATATTAATGGAATTATACAGTATGCAATCTTTTGGGATTGACTTTTTTTCACTCAGCATAATTTTCTTGAGATCCATCCAAGTTGTTGAATACATTAATAGTTCATTTCTTTTTATTACTGAAAAATGATATTGTTAAGAATGACTATAAAGATACAATATTTAAGAAAGTGACAGAAAAGTACACCAATGGAACAGAATAAAGTGCCCAGAAATAGACCCACACATATACAGACACTTTGGGTCAGACAGAGATGCCACTGCTAAGAAAGGAAAGAATGGAGCAGTGGAATATCCTTGTGGGGAAAAAACAAAATGTTACTTGACCCTTACCTCAAACTTCATATAAAAATCAATTTGAAGTGCATTGTTGAGCTAAAATTAAAAGGCAAACAATAAGGCTTTTGAAAGAAAACAAGGTTAAAATTACCATAACTTTAGGTAGATGAAAATTTCTGAAAGAAGATGCTAATGTACAAACCAAAGTAAATAAATGAAGGATTCATATACAACAAAGGATTCATATACAAAATGTATAGAGTTCCCACAAATTCATTAGAGATGAAAAACAGCTCAAAAACAAAATGGGCAAAAGACTTGCAGGGGCACTTATCTGCAGAGGATATCCAAATAAGCAACAAGCATAACATGAAAAAGTGCCCAATATCATTCACTATCAAGGAAAATCAAACTAAAATGGGATGAGATACCTCTGCACCTAGAGCTCTCCAGAAATACAAAGTTGTAAGGGCAAAGATCCTGAGACCAAAGTGAGCCTGACATACTTAAGAAGCAGAAGCAAATGTGGCAGACCTTCATGAGTGAGGGAGAGCATTGAAAGTGATGAGGGCAGAGAGGAGGGTAGGGCCATTAGGGCGGTGGAACTTAATTTTTTTTTAACTATTAATAGTAGTAAAAAAAAACCTTTTAGATTGCAACTCTGAGTGACAGCTTCCTATACAATACTTAGTATTAATAAATGGACACTCTAATATTTTTTATTCTCTTCAATTCCATTCCACTCCATTCTAAAATGCAATGTCAGTTGTAATTCAGTAAATTAATTTTATCCAGAGTCTGAACGAAAGAATGTGATCTTATCATGAAAATGGCTTTAAATTTTATTTCATTCTAACCAGAAACCATAGGAAACTTGAATTGAATCAATAATGAGTGATATGAAACCACCATAGTGATTTAAGCAAAGTTCATACACTGTTGGGGAGCTTGATTAGGGTAATTCCAAAATAATTAGGCAGGTTATGGATGGGCATGCTGTCTGAATCTACTTGTGTTGTTTTGAAGAAATACCTGGTGGGGTGCAGTGGCTCATGCCTGTAATCCCAGCAATTTGGGAGGTCGAGGCAGGTGGATCACAAGGTCAGGAGTTCAAGACCAGCCTGGCCAAGATGGTGAAACCCCATCTCTACTAAAAATACAAAAAAATTAGCCAGGCATGGTGGTGGGCACCTGTAATCTCAGTTACTTGGAAGGCCCAGGCAGAGAATTGCTTGAACCCAGGAGGTGGAGATTGCAGTGAGCCAAGATTGCTCCAGCCTGAGCAATACAAGGAGACTCCGTCTCAAAAAAAAAAAAAAAAAAAAAAAAGAAAAAAAGAAATACCTGAGGCTGGTACTTTATAAAGAAAAGCGGTTTATTTTGCTTATGGTTCTGCAGGCTATACAAGAAGCATGATGCCAACATCTGCTTCTGGTGAGGCCTCAGGAAGCTTCCACTTATGATGCAATGCAAAGGGAAACAGGCGTCACATGGCAAGAGAGGAAGAAAGAGAGAAGGGAGGTGCCATGATCTTTTTAACAGTAAGTTCTTATGGGAACTAATAGAGCGCAAACTCATTCATTACCGTGAGGATGGCAGCAAGTCATCAGTGAGGGATCCACCCCCATGACCCAAACACCTCCCACCAGGCCCCACCTCCAACAGTGGGGTTCAAATTTCAACATGTAACCTGGAGGAGACAAATATCCCAACTATATCAAATGGGATCTCCTTCTTAAGAATAAGGCCACTCATAGTTTGTCTAATGTATATTGTTTGGAATGACTGCAAGCAAATCATGTGTCCAGATAAATTAATGTCATCTTTCTCAGTTATCCTAAAATTTGCTATCTTTAATTCAAAGTCATTGTTTAAAATGTGCTATCACGTTAATCATTGTGAACTGTATTATATTTTAAGCTACATTATTCTATTTTGTATTGAACATAATATACTGGACCAGTCAGCTGTGACTGGGTTATAAGATGGCACCAATCACCATTTATCAACATGAACAAGAATCAGGTTCCCCAGTTAAGCATCCTTATTCTCTTCCACTCTCCATTGCTGTTCCACCCCAAAAAGATACATGTTTTATCAAAGAGCATGATCCTGTCTGAGAGAAGAGAAAGGGATTTTTAGTTAAGAGCACAAACTCTCCAAATAAACTCCCATCATCCATTTGCGGGAGTCATTATTGGAATATACTGTGTGCTAATAAAAGAAGACATTTTGCTGCTCTAAAATCAGTGGTAAACAAGTTGGTACATTATGGCATGATTTGGGTATATGATGTGGAGGGAAAACTGCTGAAATGAGAACTATCCCCAAAATAAATGCTTAATAAGCCTGTCCTCTCCAGCTCCTTCTGATCTTGGCTGAATCATGGCTCAAATAGAAAGTGAATGGATGAAAGAGGGCTAGGTAGATGAGGCTGACATGTGGGATGAGGATTTAGAGCCAGGCAAGAGGGGACCTAAACCCTAGAGACCCAACTCTGGGCCTTGTCCTGCTGGGTCCCTCCTTATGGGGTGGGCCATACAAGTAAGTATACCCACTCAGAGTCCGTTCACTTTCTTCATGATATGGATTCCATGTGAAAACTGGTTGCCAAATTTTCAGGAATTTACTGAGATGTCAATGTTACATTTACAGTTTGAAATTTGCCACAGTGGGAAGATTTACAGTATGCAAAGTAGCCAATGCTACAATCAGAGCTCCATACTCAAGAGCTGATTGTGAAATGTTTACCAGTACACCACTATTTATAAGCCTTACCCTAACCTAAACTTATATTTTGTTTTATGTTTTTGGATCAAATTATGGTGGAAATTACAACAAATTAATGCCTCATTATTTTAAAATAATGTCTATTTTGAACTTTCTTCTGTGGTACTGATTCAGCATTTTACAGAGCAGTGCATCAGTTCCTTGAGGCATAATTGTCTATGGGGTTCCTTTTTTTAAAAAAAAAAATCTTTTTATTTTGAAATAATTATGGACCAACAGGGAGTCACAAAAATAGTACATAGAGTCCCATGTGCCCTTAAACCACCTTCTCCCAAATGGTGACGTCTTATATAACTGCAGTATAATATCAAAATGATGAAACTGACATTAATAAAATACTGTTAACTAGGCTCTAGATCTTACGCATTTTCACTCCTCTTTACATGTACTCATTTACCCGAATGTGAACATGTGTGTGTGCGTGTGCATTTGTGTGTGTGTGTGATTTGATCCATGGGTTACTTTTTAAATGCAATCTCTAGACAGCCCCAGGGAAGCAGAACATTGCTTAATTAGCTGATGCCTTTAGAACCTTGCACTTAGCTGACCTGATAATTTTAGGCTAAAAAAATTTAAAAAATAAAGAAGAAATCCAGTCTTTGTCTAAGTTACCTCAATTTTCTGGGTAGATAGTCCCCAAAGTACCAGGTAACTATGTCATCTGCTGAAATCTGACTTTTTAAGGGTGACCTGAAATATCCCTGAGTGGCAGAAGTGCATTTACGCCTTTGAGGGGAATACAGACTTTCCTGTTGGTGATTGCATATGAACAACCAAATAGTGGATATATATGAGATATTAAAATAACAATGAATTATTTTTATTATAAGAACACTTAAGTATTGAGTTAAATGTTGATGGGAAAAGTATTGAAAAATCTTTTTTGTTAATATTTGATTTTTAATATGACATAAAGTATAAGTCAATTTATCACTATCTGAAGCCTAACAGAAAAGTTCAATATTGTTAGTAGGTTGCTGTCTAAGGAATTTAATGACTACCATTTTGCATCAAGTTGGTGTATTCCAAAAATATGATTACTGAAACATAACGCTTTATATGGGATGTGTTATGTTTGATTACAATACATTCTGTTCCCAATTATCTGTTGGTACATAAGCTACAGCATATCTTATTTTCAATGTCTTTACATTGCTACTAAATCTGCTTTATTTCTGTCTTTTCCAGGCATGAAGGTCACGATCATTTGAGGAAAGATCAAAGGAAGAACCTTTTAAACTAACTTACCGAGCTTTATATTGACCTCTTCTAATCAGGTAAGGAGGCGGTTAACATGAAATCTAGGGGAGAAGTAAGGCTTGTCTTAGGCTAGTACTTTGGCTTAACCATACCCTGCTGTCTGTCCTATTATAGAGGAAGCTGAGCAGTGAGCTGGGAAATAAAATGGGAAATTGCTTCAGTTTTACAAGTTCTCCTTAACTGGACATTTTTAGCACATATTCATTCTTTAGTTGTAATATAATATATATACAAAATTTAATTGCTCCCAGAAATCCCTAGTCTTAATTAAATTTAAAACTTAAATGTAAGTTCATGTGTATATTAATAAGTTTAATATAAATTGTTTTGATAATATACTCTTTTTGGTTACTCATGCTAATACTTTTTCCATTAAAACATATAACTTTGACTTGATTGAAGTGATAAACATCTCCTGAATACTTATTGACTGATTTTAATCTTCCATTATTCAAGTTATTTTATTATTTTATATCCTCCCAGTATAGTTTCTGAAGTCCAGAACTTGATGATAATTGGGATCATATTATTCATCTGCTTTTCTTTCATTTTTATAACATATGAGAAATTTATTTTTTACATTCCTTAATGTGCTTCCAAAATTATACAAATGAATTTCCAATTTATGGAAATTAAGTACATCCAGATTTTTATATGTTTGTGGCCACTGATATTAACATTTTAAAATGTGAAAATTTAATGAAGCAAAGCATTGGTCCTTCAAGAACAGTTTTATATTTATATTGCTCATATATGCACTGCTCATAGTTGATCACTTTCAAAGTATAAATTATATTTCACATGAAAAAAATTACTGCTTAGGAAGGAGTGGAAACCAATCAAAGTACAGTTACAAAAAGCAGTACAGCAATAAATTAAAATGTCAAACTTTTAAGTTGTTTTGTTAAAAGCCTTAACATCACCCATGATTTTTGGAATTGACAGTGTCACTTTAGCACCCACTTTTAAAGATCGTTTTGAAGCACGGGTTATTTGTCAGGTGTGATTTATTTAAGACAATAAACTTAGATTATTGAGTTGAACAAATAACTGTTTGGATGCCTGCCAAGCATTTAGAGCGAATGACTGAATGTAATGAGACTGGATCACTCAGAGGGATGAATAATCAAAAGCCGTAGGATGAAATTAACATTGTTCCAAAGATACATCTCTTCCTTCTCTCCTTGGTGAATATTAAGAAATAGGAGAGTGAAAAGCATCATGGGAAGTACAGTCTTTGTATTCCAAAATAACAGCAGTAAATATACCTTATATTTGCATAATGCATTCCAGCTCACCTGTGTGTTATCTCATATTTCATTAGAACCACGCTTCAAAGTAGTTATAATTGCAATATTGTGGATGAGGAAATGAAGAAGCCAGCAGGTTAAGTGATTTGCTTGGGTAATATAGATAGTGGAGGGCAGAGCTAGAATCTGAATCTAGCTCCATTTTCAGAGGAGGCAATAAGGGTTAGAGGTAAAGCAAAGGTGTGGAATTGGTTCTATTCTGTTTGGATCCTTGTTCTGCCACTTACTAGTTTCCCTTGTATCAACTGCTTAACGTTTCTGACCTTCAGTTCTCTCACTGTAAAGCCTGAATAACAGCATTTACTTTTCCTAGACCACAGGGTTACATGAGATAATCTAGGAAGATAGAATTTGGAGTGCTCAAGATCACTGGTCTTGGAAACTTTCTAATTTCAAGTTCCAGCTCCAGTACCTTAGTAGATAGGAGCCTGGGAAAATCCTGTAACCTTTTAGTATCTTATTTTGAGTATCTGCAAAACAATACCTATTTTATAGTGTTACCGGGACAATCAGATGAGCTGATATGTGGGGAATAGTGACCACAGTAGTTGGCCTGTGGTAAGACTTTCATTATTCTTAATGTAAGAATCGCTTGGGAGTTAAGAACACCCCTTGCCTCCAGAACTAGGAAGTATGACTTTGGTTCTCCAATTCCATGGCCTGTGAAGTTCAAGGTCTCCACTCTGCCATCTAAGATTCTAATTTCTGAGGTTCCATCTGCCTCCTCTGCCTCCCTCTGCCTCCTTCCATTCCTTTTGCATTTGAAGTTGCTGTTCTGGGCCAGAGACCCAGGGTGGTACTCCAAGTTTCTCAAAACATCCAGTCACACAGATTTTACCAGTAATTCTGGGGGTTAAGGAAAAGTATCACATGCACATCACAGAGCTTGTTCCCTGCTTCTTCTCCCCCTTGTCTTGTCCATGATCTGTCCTTCCTAGGTCATCCCTCAGATGTCAAATTCTTCTCCCTTTTTACACAGAGCAGTTGTGCTCACCCCCAATTTAGCCCTCAGTCCCGCTTCCCCAAACCCACCAAGGTGTCCAGGAGAAGAATGAAACTTCCACCCACCTGCTTTTGTGGTGGGCCCTGAAAAGTAAACTGACCTAGTTCTCATGACCAGCATGACAAGACCAACAAAAACGCTTTTCTTATATACAAAATAGAAATTTTTGGACAAATAAAGGATAAAACTTCTACTTTGGCAGAGGCTGAGATGGAGAAAGTGAACGAGTTCACCAAACGGCAGATACGGAAGTAAGAAGATGATCGGGAAAGCTCTATCGGGTCTGTGCAGATTGACAGTGGCCTCTGATATTTTCGGCATAGGTGCAAGCATAGGAAGGACTATATTCGCAGTGTTCAGCCTGTGCAGTCACACTTAGAAGAAGGGCCCATGCTTGGTTTAATGTTCTGCTGTCACGTTCTTGGAATTTTAAATAATTTTGAACAAGGGGCCCCTTATTTTCATCTTGCACTACCCCCTGCAAATTACATAGCCAGCCTTGAGGTTTACTATGCTAGGGCTTTATTTTTGTTGAGTACTGCTCCTGACAGAATATTAAAACAAAAATACTGCTAAATTCTTAGAAATTGGTTTCATGTGATACAAGTGGATTCCAGGAAGAAGCTATGTTTATCAACTGAAATTTAGCCTTTCCTTGTTATTAAGACAAAATCTCTTAGTAAGTACCATTTCTTTTAACTAGCTTTTTTTGCCAGGAACTTTATTTCTTCTTTTTCAACTGCCTCATTGGTTCTACAAGACAGTAAACTTGTAGACATTACAATTTGGGCTTCCAGTAAGAAGCCAAAAGGGTGATTGTTTGCTGTGAGTGGTGCAGGAAAGTAGAATTTAAGACATAATGACCTATAGGAGAGTACAAGATAGGCACTACGGGTTGTAGTCAGCAGATGGGCAGCTGGGGTTGATTGTTTCTGAAGCTGGTGAAAGCAACTTCTGAGAAGGATCAGCTAGAGTAAACATTTTCCTGCTAATAGAAGACTTCTTTTATCATCCAGATTTTCACTTAGCATTTCGTCCATAATTATTTAGACATCATTGGATCCTATTTAAGTCTTTAGAAATCTTATGCATTACAATTCAGGAAAAGGAGACTCACTCCCATGTTGTCTCATAAACAGACTTTAGAAGTTCTAAAATAACCAAAGGAATGGGCACTAAAAGGGATGGTAGAATTTCTAAACTGAGCATCTATGTGGAGAAGTTCTCTAGCCCCAAGATGCTAGTTCCAAACTTGACTTCTTATAACCCTGAGTCGTGTTTTTTAGATTATGGCTTTCATGCTAGGAAGAAAGAAAATTCTCTAGAGAAAACAGCTTTTTGTCACGAATAAAATAATTTGTACAATAATAAACTTGCTAAATATTTACCTAATCAGGAGAGATGATAGGAAATAGTAATTTTTAAACCTGCCAGTTTTATTATTAGTTTATTATGCCAGTTTTAAATAGTGGAAATCCTTTCTTTAAATGTATGCTTTTATGGCAGCCCAGCATAATAAACAAACGAAAGTTGAAGTGTTATTTTGGAAACTGAGATGGGGTTCCTGGAGTCTTGATCTTCTCACTTTACCTACTCTCATACTCCCACCCCCTCCACCCCACCCCACACTTGACTCAGCACAGTCTCTAAAGTATATCTGAAAACTCTGGAGGACCCGAGGCCTTTGAAGACCCCCTGATAGGAAACTACTGCTATAAATACACATTCTTAGTTTATTATTCACGCTAACAAATAGTCCATGGAAAGAAAATGGAATAAACTGGTTTTGTTTGTTTATATTTAAATTCCAGAGCACAAAAGAAACCTGGACCATGGAAAAGTATGTGCATCGTATAATGCAAGGGCAAGGGAGAGGTAATGTGTATTCGTCCATTTTCATACTGCTATGAAGAAATACCCAAGACTGGGTAATTTATAAAGAAAAAGAGGTTTAATGGACTCACATGGCTGGGAGGCCTTACAATCACGGCAGAAGGTGAAGGAGGAGGAAAGGCATATCTTACATGGTGGCAGGAGAGAGCATGCGCAGGGGAACTGCCCTTTATAAAACCATCAGATCTCATGAGATTTACTCACTATCACAATAACAGTATGGGAAAAACCTGCCCCCATGATTCAATTACCTCCCACCAGGTCCCTCCCATGACACATGGAGATTATGGGAGCTACAATTCAAGATGGGATTTGGATGGGGACACAGACAAACCATATTATAGCGGATTGTGTAATACAGAGTCTCCAAGTGAGTAGTGCCCCGCTTCCCTGTCCAGCTCCAAAGAATTTGAGAAATAATGAATAAATTTGAGGATCCATCGTTATTACCAGCCATGACCAGGCTAGCTTGATAAATAAACCAGAACCTGCAGTCTGTGCGCCCAGTTGCAAGTCTCCCTGGTGGAGGGGCTGGCCCAGGTGACACTCTTGGTATGGAGGAGGGCAAAACTGGGCTGTCTGCCAGAAGCTAAAGGACCAAGTAGGAGAAAGAGCAGCACTAAGTTATAATACCCAAGTATTATTTCCAAATTTACTCATCAGTGTAGCCACCCTCAACATCCCCAGAGGGTAGAATAAGGAAAGGTGCAGAGGGAAGCCAGGAGTTCTAAGTGACCTCTCTTTACATGAAAGAAACAGAGAAGATGTAGAAGAAATATTTCCCCTCAGTACAAGATTTAAAAGGAGTATTTGGGAAATAACAGATATTAATCGGTGCTCATCCTCTACTCCTGCCAGAAGGATACATTTGTGTATCATGTGATATAATTTGAATGTCCCCTCCATATCTCATGTTGAGATGTAATCCCCAATGCTGAAGGTGGGGCCTGGTGTGAGGTGTTCGGGTCATGGGGCATATCCCCCATAGCTTGGTGCTGTCTTTGTGATAGTGAGTGAGTTCTTGTGATATCTGGTTGTTTAAAAGTGTGTGGCACCTCACCCTCACTCTCTCTTTTGCTCCTGTTCCTGTCGTGTGACTTGCCTGCTCCTGCCACAAGTATAAGCTCCCTGAGGCCTCCCCAGAAACCAAGCAGATGCCAGCACCTTGCCTGTAAAGCCTGTAGAACCGTGAGCCAAATAAACCTCTTTTCTTCATAAAATACCCAGCCTTAGGTAATTCTTTATAGCAATGCAAGAATAACTTAATTCACTATGGAAATATCTTGTGATCTTTGCAAAAATGAATCCAATAATTCGAATAGAATTCCTTATGTTATGATATACTTTGGTTTTGCATGAATTAATTATACATTTCTGAAATTGTTTAGTTTAATTACCC
This sequence comes from Homo sapiens, assembly GCF_000001405.40. NCBI lineage: Eukaryota > Metazoa > Chordata > Mammalia > Primates > Hominidae > Homo > Homo sapiens. Next base: position 82,825,449 of record NC_000009.12, on the reverse strand, counting down.
ACCTTTTAGGAAAAGTAGATTGTACAGCATGAGGACTTTCCTTCTCTTAAGAGATCTGGAACTAACAGATTCCCACACTGCCAAAACTCCTGCCCTCACAAGCACCCATATTTGAGAAGGAAGTTAATGTGCTAGTTCTGAACACTATTAAGTATTGCCCAAATGACAAATGCATTTATAGTTTGGGTAGAGAATTCAATGAAAAACAATGGAGATAATCTGTACAATGTGGTATATTTTAAAAATATGCTTCTGGTAAGACTTTTTTCTCTGAAAATAATTACTCATATAATAAGCAACAGCTGCTTAGAAATATCTAAATTTGGAATTTTTAAATTATTAATTGAAATACCATTGCCTTTAACATCACATTCTAGAGATTTTATAAGCAGCATTGAATTAGTGGATGAAATGTCACTGATACTATTATACATACAATGTTTACGCAAGGAGACACAAAGATGTCTTTCTTTCACCCCTGAGCTATGGGTGTCTCTATAAAGAGCTAAGGGTCTATCTACATATCTCATCATAAGCAACCAAGTCAGGGTTTAAACATTTTAGAATCTTTTACCATTTTCCATGAGCTCAGAATTAGTAGAATATTGGTACTTAAGAAAGATAACTGCCACTTATATTTCTATACTGTCTTAATCATGTCTTTTTTTGCTGTGTTTGGATGCTTGGGCATCTTGGAGGCTAGTTGACCCTGGAGGGACTACCTCCTTTAGGGTTAGCCTATTCCTAAAGATGGCAAACAATTTTCCAGGCAATGCATCTGTCATTTGTAAACCAAACCACCCAGAGTCCATACCCCTAACCACCTAGTTTATTAGGCTCTCACACTCTGACCCACTATCCTGCTGCCCTAATCATCTGAAGGCCAGGTTCCTGACAACTAGGAAAGGGCCCAATGCCCCTAGTGCCTGCCAAAATTATCCAAACTTGCCAATTCTAAATCTGTTAACCCTGCATTGCTTGTTCCTTCCCTGGGAAATCACAATAAAGACTGTTAGCTACATTTTCCCCTTGCTCCCTCGTCTCCTGACTGATGCTGGTAGTTCCCTGGGTAGCCCTGTGTGGTGTGGTGTGCCTCTTGTTTCCAGGGATCTGTGAACTTTTTTTTTAAAGACCCTTCTTCCCCCTATAATCCCAGTGCTTTGGGAGGCCGAGCCAAGAAGATGGCTTGAGGTCAGGAGTTCAAGACCAGCCTAGTTAACACAGTGAGACCCTATCTCTTTTTTAAAAGAAAAAGAAAAACAACAAAATGCCTCCCTTTATAACATTCATTTTTATGTATCCCAGTTGCCCTTAAAATATATATCTCTTTGTAATTAATGAGTTGCTTTCATATGTATTTATTTCAATGGTCAGAATTATGAAACAAATATTATTATTCTCATTTGACAGACCGAGTAATTGAGGCTTAGTGATGTCAGAGCTACTTTGGACAAAGCTCCACTATACCACACAGAAGATACCTAGGCTTTGGGGATAGTAAATACAATAATGTACATCTTGTAAATTAATTTGTAAAGGGAGGCCAAGAATATCTACCTTGGAGGTGTTATAAAGATTGAAAATAACATTATCAGAGTTCTATGTTTCTGTTAATTCCTGCCTCTGCCAACATGGTTAAGGTCTGTTGCATCTTGCCCAGTTTCTTTTCTTTTATCCATCTGGCAAATAGAAATTTTATTCTATCAATCTCTTGTTTAGGAGCCCACAGATGTGAGACTTCTGGACCTGGATAAGATGGAGTAGTTTTCTGTAGGCTAATGATCTTTTACATAACAAAAAAATCCAGACAAAATGTAAAACTTCTAAATTTAAAGGCATCGGTGAGCTACTGAAGAAATCAGGATACAGGGTCTAAGATTCCAGAGAGGATCTAGCAATAGAGAGGTCAGCAGATGACAACCTGTAACCAGTGTTCCCAGAACTTGCTTGTTCTGGGCACAGACAAGGGGCTGAGAACAGGTAAGCTTTGCCCAGGATAAGGGCCTTTCTGGAGGACAAAGGCATCATACCATTTGTCAGTCTAAGCTGGCCGAAGAGACAAAACCAGATTCTTGAGGATTTTCAAAACCACATCATTTTTCTTCCCAAGACATTTTCCACATTTGAAAATTTCACTGTGCAGAAGACCATAAATAATATCTGAAAACATCTGAAATGCAGATCAGAATTTTTCAGCTTCACAGAACACAGAAGGTAGATTTCAGGACCTTCAAGGGTTTGGGGTCATGGTGAACAAATTATGTTCTCAGCTGAAAGTCCTGGGGCACAAAACCATAGGTAAAATAGCAAGCTAGAAATGGACTGAGCATTAGCTAAAAGTCATCCAGCCTTGACTTGGTTCAATCCTTGAGTTAAGAGGATTTGCTCTCACTTTGTCTAGCAAAGAAAAGAATGAACTTCGATGAAAATGATAACATCATCCAAAGCTTTTACAATTGTTGTAAACAATGTCCATTATCCAATCAAAAGTGACTTGTCTTGTGATATGATAGGACTATACAACCAAAACCCAAGACCAAAAATAAAAAAGATAATGTAAACAATCTCACTGGAGAACTAGGTATTAGAATTATTAGACAATGACTTTAGAATAGCTGTGATTACTATGTTGAAGAAAATAGAGCAGAAGATAAATTATTTTACTGGAGAGCTGAAATCTATATGGAATAATCAAATGGCAGTTATTGGCTTGAAAAATACAATATCCACAATTAAGAACTCAATAAATGGATTTAACAGCAGATTAAACACACCAGAAAATAGGGATAGTGAATTAAAAGACAGGTCAAGAGAAAAGATTTAAACCACAGCACAGATTAAAAAAAATAGAAGAAATTGCTGAAATTATTGTGGTCCATATGAACAACCTCATTAATTTAGATTGGATAATTCAGGAAATGCATTAATTTGAACCTTGTCAAATGGGTTGACATATACTCCTCAGTGTCTAAGGACTAGAAGAGGGAGAATATTTAAAGGCAATTCATAATGTATAAAACTTGTGGGAATGTCATATTTAGAAAACAAATTATTTTCAATGCCTCAAATGCATTTATTTTAAATTAAAATTTAATGTTTAATGTAAATCATTTTTATTAATTAAAACAGGTCCTTGAACACCAGTGGTTATTAACTACATTCCTGAATGTTCTTTTCAGTAACAAAGCTGGTATAATATAACGAAAATTTTTCAGGCTTTGGAATCAGAGACACATCAGCTTCAGCTGAGGCAGGAGAATAGGGTCTGGAGACAAGGAGCCTAAGGCCAACCCATGGCTTTCTTCTTCGAACTGGGCTGAAAGGAAAACCCCACCTCTGCATGCCCAAGTGACAAGAGGCCAGAGGCTCCTCCCTCTACAAAACCCCCTCTCCCCTACATCACAAACGAGAAATGCCTCTTATTCATCAGGGGCCATGCTTCCACTTCAGCCTCTGATTGCTCACGAACCAAGCCTTCATTTGCTTAGAGTGTTACCAATTGGCAGCCTCTAAAGTGTACCTATGGGTGTTACCAAATTATTTTAGTTTGATAAAAACCCTAAAGAACACTACAACTGGGGGTCTTGGGCCGCTTGCTTGAGCCTGCTCTCACTCTGTGAAGTGTACTTTTGCTTTAGTAAATTTGTAATTTCATTGCTTCGTTCTTTTGTTGCTTTGTGCATTTTGTTCAATTATTTCTTCAATGCACCGTGAACCTGGACAATTCACAGTCAAGACTTTCCATCTGGTAACACAAGCATGGGGTGACATAGGGCAACTTACTTAACTAGTCTTGGTTGTAGTTGTCTCATATAAAAATAGGGATAAGGAGTACCTTTTAAGGCATTTGTAAGAAGTAAATGACTCAACTGTGTGAACATTCCTTGGCACATGATTGGAATGAAATAAGTAATTGAATTTATTCATTATTTAATGAGTAAATTAAATTAAATTTTAACTTCTTTAGTTAACTTCATTTTTATTTAACTTTTTTTTTTTTTTGGAATTAGGATGGTTTTATGAACTTGGATAGTACAATTTCTTTTTTTTTTTTTTTTGAGATGGAGTCTCGCACTGTCACCCAAGCTGGAGTGCAGTGGTATAATCTCGGCTCACTGCAACCTCCACTTCCCAGGTTCAAGCGATTTTCCTTGCCTCAGCCTCCCAAGTAGCTGGGATTACAGGCCCCCTTCACCACGCCCGGCTAATTTTTTTGTATTTTTAGTAGAGACGGGGTTTCACTATGTTGGCCAGGGCTGGTCTCAAACTCCTGACCTCGTGATCTGCCTGCCTTGGCCTCCCAAAGTGCTGGGATTACAGGCATGAGCCACCGTGCCCACCTGGTTAGTACTAATATTATCAGATTGAACTATCAATTAAATGAGAGATTAGCATACTTTTTCTAAAAAGAGCTATATGGTAAATAGTTTAGGCTTTTTGGGCTGCATATAGTCCCTATAACATATTTTTCTGTTTTTTTTTTTCTAAGTTTATTTTAAAAACAGTACTTTAAAAGTGTGAAAAACATTCCTAGCTCTTGGGCTGTACTGAAAGAGGTAGTGTCAAATTTGGCTTGTGATTGCACCTCATCTAAACTTTCTGTGTTTAATGTATTTTATTTCTTCACATATACAAATTATTAATGTGCTTTGAAGATTTAGAAAGATCATAAACCAAGCCTAGATTTGTTGGATAAAATCTGGAGTATTCTCAATTTATATGTTAGAGAAAATAAATTGCTTCAGGGATGTCTTGCTGATTTCCAGAAAGCTACAAAGAGAACAACGGAAGACAGTAATTTTCCCTTCTGTCTGTGAAACAATCAAAGACTTTTGTGAGCTTGTGCACATCTTAGGAAATAAGGAAGTTTGTATTTTGTTTGATTAGAAAATGTGAATTCTTTAAAGGTGCTTCAGTTAGTCTCATAGGTATACACATTGATTAAGATTTCTTATTAACATACAATCATCTCCAAATGTTCCCACTTAATTGCTTTTTATTTCAGTTAAGTACCAATGTTCTTTATTCTCACACGTAGTTTAATTAGCACAGAAGGTCACTGAGAGGTGTTAAGGCACAAACTTGCCCAGAGGAAGTAGTTGATGCCTTGCTGGCTTCTAATTATAGAACATCCTAGAATTGCAGAGTCAAAGAGAGTTTAGGGAAGAGGAACAATAATGAAAGAACTAAAAGTGAACACTAGACATCTCTGTGCACATGAAGAACAAATGCTCAGCTCCTGTTTTCATTTTAAGGTCACAGTTGCATATGGTTATCAGTAGGTATTAAAATGCCATGTACAGTTTCTAGGTTATTTAACAACATTTATTGAACACCTACTCTGTGCTAACACTGGTGGATGCTGGAAGGGAATGCTAAAGAGTGAAATATGGAGTAAAATATATAGTGATTAAATATCACAGTCATATGTGAAAGGTGAGGGTATATTATTCTTTATTTATTAAATAAATTTTTATGATGAAAATTAATGAAATATTCTAGATTTCACTAAATTGTTATGAAATTACACTAGAATCTGTCTATGTGGTCACATAATCCATAATATTAACCATATGTAGACATTCTTAGAAACATTGCATTTTATATTAGTACATTTCAAGATATAACTTCTGTATAAGCAAACTGTGCCTTAGATTATCATAGATAATAAAGCTGCAATATGGTAATAGAATATATATCTTTTGAAATTAGTTAATTTAATGGCCTAATGGAGGTCATTAGGCTGGGTCAAGTATAGTGCCTTGGGTTCCTGCCTAATCAAACCAAAGCCCAATGTAAACAGTAAAATGAAACTTAAGTTTAACCAATCAGAAATCACCAACTCATCTCTAACTAGGAACTTTCCACATTAACCAATCAAATATATTTTCTTTATCTTGCTTCCATGAACATCTTATAAAAATTTCTCTCTTGCCTCTTCCCCCAGTGTAGCGCTGAACCACTTGCAGTCTGGTGCTGCCCAATTCATGAATCATTGTCTGCTCAAATAAACTCTTCAAAATTTTAATGTGCCTAAGTTTATCTTTTAACGTATATAATGTTTGTAGACACTTCTATGTGCCAGCCACTCTCATAAAGCTGAATAAGTATTATGCAATTTAATGCTACACTCATCCTAAGAGTATAAAATGGAGACTATTATTGTTTCCATTTTCCAAGTAATGAAAATCAGACAAAGAAAAGGTAACTTGCCTAAATCATATGCTTGGAAATAGGAGAGTTGGGAATTAAACTCAGTCCAAGTGAGTTCAGAATCTTTCACTAGTATGTAAACCTCAATGTTGGTATAGTATAAATACATCATAAAATATGGACTGGTGTGATCAATTTACCCCTTGACAGCATGAGTGAGTACACAGCTCTCATGTTCATTTAACAGGGAGTATATTTTTTGTGAGAAAGGTTTAGTTGGTATCTTGGTTCATCACTTCACCCCTCTGGGCCTCAGTTCTCTCATCTGTCAAATTAGGGGATTTGGGTGAGACTCAGTTTCAATATATTGATTTTTTCTTTCAAAGGATTTTTTAAGTGTAAAATCATGACTCCCATACAAGTATAAAATGAATATTTGTCAAAGATTTTATTTAACTCATTAAATTATGAGAAAACCAGTAAGATGTTACAACTAGTTCAAATAATTGAAATTATCACATTTGTATAGTTGAATCAGGAATGCAGAAATGGATTTTTCTTTGCGGGGAAGATCTGTTCAATTGTCCCTCCACTGGACAGAATTTGCATCTCTGTGTACAAACGTCATTTGCATTGCAAGCTACAAAATTGGAAAATAGCTCAAAGATAAGAAAAGGCCCAGAATCCCCACAGAATCAGATAACTCAGAGGGTATTTTAAACAATGCCTTGTTTCCCATTGGAGATATTCAGTAATCTTTTGGTCTAATTCAGTCTTTCACAATTTTCCTTCACACCTCATACCAAGTCCCACAGGAAGTTCAATGTATGAAACAAGTAAAGTGTGACTGCTTTGATGGCAGCAGTGGGAGGGCAGAGAGCTCCTGTCAATTTGCTTCAATGACCCATCAAAAAATTCCAAAAAACCTCCCCCACAGCTGCCCTTGAGGTAGCTCCTGGGGCTGTACTGGCTCTATGATCTTTCCTTGCTTCCACAGCTAACATTCTGCAGTTTTCTGGTTCTCACATTTGGAGGCAAAAGACAAAGCTATCAGAGATGAATGCATTTTGCTAGCATTTCACTGCACCAATTCACTGGGTTCCCATGACACTAGGAGCATCTTTCTGGGTTAGGAAACTGGAATTCTTTCTGATGCATCCTCAGAGACCTTCCCAGGCTCTTAAGATTAAAATATGTAGAAATTATTATGCTAGGAAACAAACGCTTTTCTGAAGGCTATGCCTGTAAAACTTCAAGATAATCTTTTCAGTGAGAACCTGAAAGCTCTTCCTCCCATCCCAAGGGGCCTTTGAGCATAAGGAATTCATAACACCACTAGATAATGTAAGGACATTCTGTGGATAATTCCTTAACAAAGTTACCCAGTGTGAACATAGAGGGGGCTAGCCTGGCAGGGCTTGTTTAATTTGACTGGAAAAATCCATAGTGAGTTTTAAGTAATTTGTAGGAAACTGCGAGATCAAGGCTTTGTTGAAGAGCTTCATGTTGACCTAAACTTAAAGGAGTACATGCAGTGTTTATTCTGCGTTCAGGCATCTTATCATTATTAGGAATGTTTTTTTTTTTTTTTTTTTTTTGAGACTGAGTCTCACTCTGTCACCCAGGCTGAAGTGCTGTGGCGCCATCTTGGCTCACTACAACCTCCGCCTCCCGGGTTCAAGCGATTCTCCTGCCTCAGCCTCCTGAGTAGCTGGGATTACAGGCATGTGTCACCACGCCCAGCTAATTTTTGTATTTTTTTTTAGTAGAGACAGGGTTTCACCATGTTGCCCAGGTTGGTCTCGAACTCCTGACCTCAAGTGATCTACCTATCTCAGCCTCCCAAAGTGCTGGGATTACGGGCGTGAGCCATATGCCCGACCCATTACTGGGAATATTTTCTACTAAGAGCCTGAGATAAAGGTTACAAACTTGGATTTTCTTTTACCATTTCTGCTCTATATCAATGGTATTCAAAATATTCCCAGGATGAAATTTTCCTGTAGACTGATTTGGGGGTGTAGTGGGAGCTTTATAGTTTGTAACCATGCCACATCTTTCTTCCAAATTTCTGGAAGTTTGCAACTCTCTTCTGATAGCTTTTCCTTTCAACAACCAAATCACCAAAATGTTCTTTGTCTGCTTTTCTTCCTTTATTGGTTCTACCTGTTTTAGGAAATCGTTTTCCTTCTACTCTCCTAGATTTGATATCTGGGTCCATAGAGTGAACTGACAATAGGCAGATTAACAGGAGGAAATGTATTAGAACTTATTAATTTTTAATAGTACTTTTAGAGGGACATCACAGGTGAAAAACGAGCACTTCCCCCAAAAATAATAAGTTTTTAGAGCTTATAGAGCATTTTAATTAGTGAAGGGAAAAGGAAAGCAGGGCACTTAGGGGAGAATAAATGATTTTTAGGAAAGAGAAATGGACCCTTAGAAGAATAAATGGGAGATATAATGGTTTGTGACAAAGTCTGGGTGTGGTGTCAACTTCTAGTCTCCTCTCCTGTAATATGAGTTAATTTTCCTCGGTTGATGAAACTCTTGAGGAGTTGATTTCCTTTGAAGGATCTGTCTCTAGGCAGATAGAGAAGTCCAGAGAAAGCCTTTTCCTGCATTTGCTGTTTTTGAAGTGCCTTTGGCTTAAGACAATCAAGATACCAAAGTGGCATATTTTAGGGTGACACATTTTGGTCTCTAACACTATCCTATTAAGATACTTACATTTTATTAAAATATGTTTATTGAGCAAGTGACAGAACAATAACTGACACTTTTATAAGAAAAGAAAAATCAACTGTGTAAATTCAACAGCATATCAGCTATTTCCTTGTATTTTTGTTCTTTTTTATTCCTTGCCAGTAAACCTACCTATTTTGGAGATGCAAGCATAGTGTAGATGTAATAATTTTGTGATTTTTTTCTCATAAATTATTATAAATATTTTCCCAGTTTGCTATACATTAGTAATATTTGTCATTGTCATTTAAATTTTTTATTTCTGTGAAATTATTTTTGTTATAGCAGATACAGATACATTGCAGAGTTTTAAAAACAGTACAGAAAAGTAGAAAGGAGAATGTAAAGTTCATCTGAACTTCCACCATCTAGAGATAATAATTACAAGTTCATCTAACATTCCTTTATTCATCTTCTTATGCACACATACACACATAGCTTTCAATATATAATTTTACATAAAGAGGTTTGTATATACATGCGGATGCATAACTAACATTTTTTCTCTCAATAATATGTTCTGGGCATTTTTCCATGTGAATGAAAATAGATATGTATCACCATGTTAGGTGATGGAAAAAATAGTGCATTGTAAGTTTTTAGCACTAATGTTTCAGTCCCCTTCTGACGTATAGATAGAATGGGTCCAAATTCCTGCCAGTGTAAACAATATTGCTACACACTTCTGGGATTATCTCCTTGGGGTAAATTTCAACTATTATTATTATCCTATTAATTCAGAGGCTCTTTTAAACTTTCAAACATATTTTAAAAACTGACCTTTTCAAAGTTGTGATATTTTACACTCCTATTACCAGTGTGACCGTCCTTTTTACCAAACCCTCCTCAACCTTGGGTCTTAGTCCCATCCATTTAACATTCTATAGCGTTCTGTGGAAAGGTGAAAAAAAATGCCTCATCATTTTTAAAATTTGCATTTCCTTAATTGGGTATTTGAGTATCTATCTATCTATCTATCTATCATCTATCTATCTATCTATCTATCTATCTATCTATCTATCTATATTTGTCATTTATAAGTCTTCTTTTGCGTCTTGGCTATTTATGTCCTTTGTCCAGACATCTACTGAAATGATCATCTTTTTTTGAGTTTTTATTTTGTTTTTACAAAATATCTAACCTTAATTGTATGTATTTAAATTGTTTTTTCTCATTTTTATTCGTGATTATTTAATTTTTGTATACTAAAACATATTACGTCTTTATGGAGTTTTTTGTATTGTTTTTGCTGGTGTCCTTCATATTTTAAATGTACACAATCAAATTTATTAATATTTTCCTTGACTGTTTTTAGTGTCAGTGTGACAGGAAGATCTTTCTCTAGATTATAAAAATATTATCTCATTTATTCTTCTAATAACTCGTGTTATTATTTTCTAACATTCAAATTAATATATCTAGTACTTGTTTGGGTGTACTGAATAATGTGAAAATTCAAAAATTTTCACCCAAATTCTAGTTGTTTTATCTCCAAAGAACACTGGAAAAGCAGACTTGTGCACATTAGGTGTTATTTGCACTGAAAAATGTCATTAAACTAGTAGATGATGCCAGATTTGAGTAGACTATGCCTGAGGAAACTGGAGACCCACATAATTACTGGGATTGTGAACATAATTTTACCTGGTAATGGAGACTTTATTAGTATATAATATTTATTATTAGATGTGTGTGATCATGAGAAATAGCCGGAAAGAATAGATCAAATTTAGATTTTACAAATTGTTAACGAGATTAATAAACTATAGAGCATGTTATCTATGGACTATGGTAACTATTTCAGCAGTATAGAGAAGCGAGCAACCATAGACAGGAAGATCTAGGTTTAAGAGGATAAAATACAAGTTAAGCGTGTGCTAAGTGAGGCATTAAGTTCCAGCTTCATTCAAAAAGTATCAACTGTGAGGCTGATGAGATAGGATTGGCCTTGTGGGTAGGGCTCTGAGGAATTAAAATGATAACAGACAATAAGTTAATAGAATGCCTGGGGCAATTACAATTAAGGAGAAAACAGGGTGGAGACAGACTTCATTGAGCAGGGGACCAAGGGATTACAAAATTATAAAGGTGCCTTGTGTTGGTGGACCCAGTTCCTAGATGGCTCTATCAGGGCAAGTCTTCTGGGAGAGAATAGAGAAAGTGCTTCCATCTCACACTCTAAGACTCTGGTTAGCATATAGGAACACAGGTACTTAGACATGACACCTTTATGTCACACTAAATTTTCATTTATTCTCACATCCCTTCTCTTTCATTGATCTGTCTGCCTCTTCCTGCATTCTTTCCTATTGTAACTTTACAGTGTATTTTAATATCTAAAATATCAGAGTCTTGCTATTTATTCTTCTTTTTCAGAATTTTACTGAATTATTTCTTATGCTTATACTTGCGTTTTTGAATCACTTTGTCAAGTATCCTGACCTCTTTATAATATCTATCTGACCATTGGCTGCCTGTCTTAGGCATGAATGGGTGGGATAAACTGTGATAGCAAACAACTCCCAAATCTAAGCAGGTTAACACAACAGAATTTAATGTTTTTCTCAGAGTCTATGCCCCATATGGGTGGGTATGAGTGGGGCAGGAGAGAGGATTTCTCCACAGAATTACTCAGCAGGCTGACCTAGGCTTCAACACTTTATAGCGCCACCACCTAGAAAATGCCACCTTCTCAGTGCCCTAGTCACCAGAACAGTGGGAGAGCAGCTGGAGAACTGTGTGTGGGTTAAAGAGACACATGTATTGTCTACCATAATGGAAATGTACTAGAATCTGCACTCTACAGTGCAGTAGCCATTTGTTTTGTGTGGCTATTGAATGCTTGGAACGTGGCTAATGTGACTGATGAATTGAATTTTGAATTTGGGGAAAATATTAATTTAATTTTCAAAATAAATAACCACATGTGGCTAGTGGCTACCTTATGGGAGAGCATAGGTCTGGAACTTGTCACCTAGTCATACCTCACCTCGGGGGAGCTGGGAGTGGAGAGGAGTAAACGGTGTTTTTGAGGAGTTTTATTATTTCCTCCTAGACTCCCAGAACAAAACACCAAACACACATGTACACGTGCACGCACACTCCCACTGGGAATTTCATTGTGATTTTAGCAAAATCATATTTAATCTTTTTTGAAGTTTTTTATTTTTAAATAAAAATATATTAAGATGTAATTCACATACCTTACAATTTGTGTATTCCAAGTGAACGATACAATTTTTTTTTAATATACTCACATGTACATGAAGCCAACATCAGAGTCAATTTTAGAATATTTTTATCACCTCAGAAAGAAATCTTATACCCTTAAGCTGTTACCCTCCTATTTTCCCCACCCTATCCTCCAGAGCTAAGTAATCAGTTGCCTACTTTGTCTCTAGATTTTCCTGTACTGGACATTTTATATAAATAAAATCATATATGTGGACTTTACTTAGCATAATGTGTTTAAGGTTCTTTTACTTAGCATAATGTCTTCAGGGTTCAACCAAGTTGTAGCATAACTTAATACTTCATTCCTCTTTATGGCCATCATAAGTTTTAAAATTTTTATCTTAAGATACTGTGGTTTTTTTTTTAAACTTTAACTTTAGGTTCAGGGGAACGTGTCCAGATTTGTTACACAGGTAATTTTCAGGTCACAGGGATTTGGTGTGCAAATTATTTCATAACCTAGGTAATAAGCATAGTACCCGATAAATAGGTTTTTGGTCCTCACCCTCCCCTCCCAGCTTCCATCCACAAGTAGGCCCCAGTGTCTGTTGTTCCTTTCTTTGTGGCCATGTGTACTCAATGTTTGGCTCCCACTTATAGGTGAGAACATGCAGTATTTGGTTTTCTATTCCTGCATTAGTTTGCTTAAGATAATGACCTCCAGCTCCATTCATGCTTTGCAAAGGATATGATCTTTTTCTTTTGTATGGCTGTGTAGTATTCCATGGTGTATATGTACTACTTTTTCTTTTTTCAGTCTATCATTGGGCATGTAGGTTAATTCCATGTCTTTGCTATTGTGAATAATGCTGCAATGAACATAACGTGTGCATGTGTCTTTATGGTAGAATGATTTACATTCATTTGGGTATATACCCAGTAATGGGATTGCTAGGTTGAATGGTAGTTCTGTTTTAAATTCTTTGAGAAATCTCCAAACTGCTTTCCACAGTGGATGAATTTACACTCCCACCAGCAGTGTATAAGCATTTCCTTTTCTCCACAGCCTCACCAGAATCTGTTATTTTTGACTTTTAATAATAGCCATTTTGGCTGGTGTGAGGTATTATCTCATTGTAGTTTTAATTTGCATTTCTCTGGTGATTAGTGATGTTGTATATTTTTTCATACGCTGCTGGCCACATGTATGTCTTCTTTTGAGTAGTGTCTGTTCACGTCCTTTGCCCACTTTTAAATGAGGTTGTTTGTTTTTTGCTTGTTACTTTAAGTTCCTTATAGATTCTGGATATTAGACCTTTGTCAGATGCATAGTTTGCAAATATTTTCTCCCATCTGTAGGTTATCTGTTTACTCTGTTGATAGTTTCTTTTGCTGTGCAGAAGCTCTTTAGTTTAATTAGGTTCTACTTGTCAATTTTTGTTTGTTGTTGCAATTACTTTTGGTGTCTTTGTCATGAAATCTTTGCCAGGACCTATGTCCAGAATGGTATTTCCTAGGTTATCTTCCAGGGTTTTTATAGTTTTAGGTTTTACATGTAAATCTTCCATTAATCTTGAGTTGATTTTTGTATATGGTGTAAGCAGGGCATTCAATCTTCTGCATATGGCTAACCAGTTATCCCATCACCGTTTGTTGAATAGAAAGTCCTTTCCCCATTGCTTTTTTTCATCAAATTTATTGAAGATCAGATAGTTAGAGGTATTCAACTTTATTTCTGGGCTCTCTATTCTGTTCTGTTGGTTCAGATGTCTGCTTTTGTACCAATACTATGCTGTTTTTGTTACAGGACAGATAAATATGTTACAGGAAAGAGGTCCCGATCCAGAACCCAAGAGAGGGTTCTTGGATTTCACGCAAGAAAGAATTCAGGGAGAGTCTGCAGAGCAAAGTGAAAGCAAGTCTATTAAAAAAGTAAAGGAACAAAAGAATGGCTACTCCATAGACAGAGCAGCCCTGAGTGCTGCCGGTTGCCCATTTTTATGGTTATTTCTTAATGACATGCTAAATAAGGGGTGGATTATTCATGCTTCCCCTTTTTAGAGCATATAGGGTAACTTCCTGACATTGCCATGGCATTTGTAAACTGTCATGGCACTGATGGGAGTGTAGTAGTGAGGATGGCCAGAGGTCACTCTTGTGGCCATCTTGGTTTTTGGTTGGTTAGAGCCGGCTTCTCTACTGCAACCTGTTTCATCAGCATGGTCTCTATGACTCATACCTTGTGCTGACATCCTGTTTCATGCTGTGACTTAGAATGCCTTAATTGTCTGGGAATGCAGCCCAACAGGTTCCAGCCTCATTTTACCCAGCTCCTAATCAAGATGGAGTTGTTCTGGTTCACATGCCTCTGACATTTTGGTTGCTGTAGCCTTGCAGTATAGTTTGAAGTCTGGTAATGTGATACCTTCAGCTTTGTTCTTTTTGCTTAGGATTGTTTAACCTTTTAAATATAGAGTTTTCCTGTTCAAGTACAAGGTATAACTTCCCATTTATTCCAGCATTCCTTTGTTTCTAAGCCATGTTTATTGATTTTTCTAAATCTAAATTCTGTATATTTCTTTTGGAGCTGACTTTTGAGCTAGGAAGACCAGTATTAGAATTTTAGCTCTTCTATTTGTCTTAAACTAATGTAACCTCTACTTACCTCAAAAAAGTTATGTAACCTCTTTAATTCTCAGTTCCTCCATTTATAAAATTTGGAGAAAAGTACCCATATACCCAATACTATCACTATTGCTGCTGCTAATATTATTGCCACTATTATTCCTTTTCCTATTATGACTACTATCTTATTAATATTGAATGATCATAATCATTATTTTATTATTATTATTATCATTATTATTATTAGGTAGAAAGCACCTTACGTGGATAATATTATTTAGTTTACACAAGAACCAAATGAAATTAGTGAATTTAAATCTGATAAAAATGTAGTTAGCACAACAGTTTATGTTATGTACTCAAGACAGCTTCAGTGTCATTGCTATTGTTACTATTAACATCAACATCATGATCATCATATTATCATTATTATCATGACCATCAGAATCGTCATTACTACCATCACCATCCTCAATTGCAGTTGCCTCCTTAATATCCCTTCCACCTTATCCCATCATGAAGGAGTGGGTTGGGTTTACTCCCTGACTCCAAAGGAGGATAATTCTACCCAATGGCTACGATGACAGGTTCAGGATGGGCACATAATCCAAGTCAAAGCCAATTAAAACATGCAATGCCCTCAGTCACTATGATTTGTTGATAAGTTTGTGACCCAAGGTGAGCAATTACAGAGAGCCCAGAACTTTTGTTTAGTGGGTGAAGGAGAGATTATCTTTCCTGTGTGGCATAAAAGAAAAAGGAAACCAACAGATAGAAACAGGATAATTATTAACACTATGCCACTATATTGGACATCACTTGAAGGCTGCTCTACTCCTGAACATTTTGGGTATATAAGTCAACAAATTCACTTTATTGTTTACGGTTGTTTTTTTTTCATGTACTACTACTAAATAAATGTGATTGAAATAATGAACATTCTTCTCATAATTCCTTAAATGTGTTAGTTGTGTATTTTCAACATACTGGGAAGCTATATATAGTGATTCCATAATCTCTTTGACATTGGACATCTTATCAAATTCTATTTGTATTACTTTTTCAGATGATTATTTTGGGATTTTATAGGCATATAATAAAGTAATTTAAAAATAACACAATACTTGCCTTGTCTTTTTTAAATTAAATATTTTATCTTTCTTAATTAGTAATTGTTAAAAAAAGGTAAAACAATAATGGTGATAACAAACATTCTTCCCTTATTTTTGCTGTTAATGGGCCCTGGTTGAGGTATACCACCTTAAATAAATATTCTCATTTTCCCATTTTCTTAAAGTTTTTGATAGCAGATAGCAGGTCCAGAAAAATATAATTCCTTCAAAGTGGCTAATCAGAAAATAACAAAGAGACCATATAAAACTTCCTACAGCAAAAATACAGCAGAATGAGACATAAAGGAAACCGAAAGAGAAGGGGAAAAAAAAGAGAAAATAGTTGCTTGACAGAACTTAGAAATGAATTAGAAGAGTAAGGAAGCTATATGGCAAAAAAAACTTAAATCAACAAAGTGGATGACAGGCTTAAGAGAATTAGAAAAAAGCCAGAAGAGAATAAAGAAATATAAGAAATTTTGGAGGAAATTATAGACTATAACAAACAGTACAGAAAACCAAAATATGTATACTGGCTGTGTCTGCAAAAGAAAAAGAGGATCAATGAAGGAACTCCCCTCCCAAAAAAATTAAAAAAAAAAGAGAGAAAAAAATGTTGCTTTAAAGATGAAAGAATGAATCTTCAGATAAGCGTGCTTACAGCTATGTTAGAAATAATAATACTATTATATAGGAAAAATAAAAACTGTGGAATGGGATGTTGAGATTTTATTCAAAAGAAAAGAAAATTCTGTTATTCTGATTTTGCATGGTTGCACTGCTCCTGAATTGGTTGGCAATTTTGATGATAATTTCAGTTAGAATAAGGTCCCAAAGCTTTTGAGCTTTTCATTTTGTGCATGAGCCTTTCAGTCACCTCTGGTATGCAGCTGCAAATTACATTTGTTCCCAGACCCTGCCCCTTCAGCTAGAAACCCAGTGTGAGCAATCAAATAGGGCTCAGGCTGTCTGCTGCAGGGTTTCTCTCCTTCCCTGTCTTAAGTGTCAGTTTTGGGGGGCTGGCAGAAACTCTAAGTTGGTTTTCCCCCACTCCTTATGCAACTTCTACACAACAAGAGGTTCCGTCTCCGTCCCATTCCCAACCAAGGGACTCTCTGCCCAGAGATCTGGAGGCAAGCAGGCAAACTTGAGACACATCAAGGACTTCCTTCTGGAATTTGATCTGTGCACCAGAGAGCTGTGCAATGAAGTGAGAAAGGTCTGTGATGCTTCTGGGGTTTCTCCTATTTGATCCATTTTGGGTTGTAAAAAGTCAATCTTCTCAAAAGTAGCAGAAGGATGGGGTCTTGAGAAATTTTTACAGAAATAAAGTTTTTTTTTTTTTTCTGCCCTTTCTCTCTGTCCCATTCTCCCAAATTGTTGTCCTACAGAGCATAGGAAAATTTTTATAAATATGTGTTTACAGTACCATATTTTCCTTGTGTCTTACTCCTTAATCTTATCAAAATTACGTCTTTTCATTTTTTGTTTCTTTGGTCTCTGGACAGTACCCTCAAAGTGGGATGATTAGAGTCCAGTAGGCAGGAAAAGCCCATTTGTGGAGAGGTAGATACACAGTGGGCATTGCTCAGAGTCAGTAGGGACCATGCGGAGCCACAGCCACTACTTGATACAGTGTCCAAGGCAGAGAGAAAGGGAGAGAGAGAAATATGCTGGTGTCTGAGTCCATTTAGGCTGCTATAACAAAATTCCTTAAATTGGGTAGCTTATAAGCAACAGAAAAATTATTTCTCACAGTTCTGAAGCCTGAGAAGTCTAAGATCAAGATAAACACAGATTCAGCATCTGCTAATGTCCCATTTCCTGGTTGATAGAATGGTGCCTTCTTGTTGTATCCTGACATGGTGAAGGGGTTGAATGAGCTCCTTCTGGCTGCTTTCCTAAGGGTACAAATCCCATTCATGAGGGCTCCACCCTCATGAACTAATCACCTCTCAACACCAACACCTTGGTTCGGATTTCAGCATGTGAATTTTGGGGAGACATAAACATTCAGACCATAGCATCTGGCATTTTCTTTCCTCTTTCTTTGATCTCCTGCTAATGTCTCTCACTGGCTGAAAACCTACTGAAAATACGATTTTATAGGTGGCAGCTCTCTGGAGTTCCGACCAGAGTAAGGGAAAGCAGTGAATGATCTGAGGGTAAAGAGGGAAATATGACATATATCAATGATTTCATGTAAACACAGGATCGCCAAAATTTTGAGAAAAATTAAAAACGAAAGACAGTCTTGCTTTGTGAATTAGTTTGTTTTCACACTGCTATAAAGACATACCCTAGACTGGGTAATTTATAAAGGAAAGAGGTTTGACTCATAGCTCAGCATGGCTGGGGAGGCCTCAGGAAATTTACAATCGTGGCAGAAGGAGAAGCAAACACGTCCTTCTTCATGTGGTGGCAGGAGAGAGAAGTGCAGAGCGAAGTGGGGGAAAGCCCCTTATAAAACCATCAGATCTCATGAGAACACACTCACTATCATGAGAACAGCATGGGGGAACCACCCCATGATCTAATCCCCTCGCACGAGGTCCGTCCCCCAACTTGTGGGTATTACAGTTTAGATTGCAATTTAAGATGAGATTTTTGTTGGAAACACAGAGCCAGCCCACATCGCTTTGATCAAGGGACTTGAATGTTATACCCCATGGTAAGAAAGTGCTTCTTTCTTGAACTACCCCACCTTCTCTGATGTTTGGAATCCCTTTCATGGGAAATAAAAGTTTAGTTCCTCAGATACCAAGCAAAGTAGCACATACTCCTGGGAGAGAGAACCCTTCTATCTTCTTCGTTCTTTCTATTCCTTTCTTCCTAGAAGATTTGGTGCCTATTATTCAATAGACACTGTTTTAAGCTGCAGAGATAAAAACCTTTAATAAGGCACACTTTAATAAGACATATAAGTACAAATATGTCAAAAGTTATAATTTAGAGCAAAAGTAGACTTATATAAAGAGTATATTATGAGAACAAAGAGGAAGGAATAACTGAGGCAGGGGCATTTGGGCTGAGTCTTGAAGGGTGTAAAATCAGTTAAAGAAGGGAATAGAAGTTACTAGAAAACAGAAAGACTAAGGCAACATCAGAGAATGGTGTAGCTTTGCACGTATATCAGAGAGGAACAAAATCTGAACTGCATCAGTGCCGCAGGCCCTACCCTGGCCTACCCTACACATCCACACACAAGTATATTCATAAGAGGCATTATTATTCAGTTCCAGTTGCCTGGAAGCAACCTCAGAATCCTTCTTGACACAGGACCACTGACATCTGTTCCTACTTGACTAGTGGTTGCACTATGAAATAAAGCCCTCTGCTGTCTTTACACTAGTTTATCATTGATGGATAGTATGTTTTACATGGTGAGGGGTGTACGTAACTGAAAGAGGCTAGAAAGGGAGATGATGAAGCTAGGAAAATGATTCAAGACAGGAAAACTGACAGCACTGATATATGACAATTCAATGTGTGGTTTTAGAACAATCCTATGATCGAAACAAAGATGCATTCCTGGCAGAGGCTGCCCTGGGCTTTAGATGGAGAACATCCAGTTGCTGTACTCCCTCTCTGATGACACTTCCAAAGTCTTGTCTGCATCTGTGAGGGCAGGCCTAGGGAAGGTAGTGTCTGCCTGCAACATCAGTATGATATTCTGGGTCTTTCCACACTGGGGCGTAGTACTAGGTGGGAGTATCTATAACTAAACAGGATTACTAGAAATAGCCTGGGTTTCCTTCTACTCCTCCAACCTCCCCTTTTTTGGCTCCCTTGCTGCCCCATTTTTTTCCAGGCTCCCTAAACGTGAGTATTCACCAATGAAACAAATTGGGATAGTATTTTTGCACAGTGAAGAGAACAGGCTGAATTTTAGGGTGAATTTCCATAATTATAGATGGGTTTTCTTTCATGGCATTAGGCTTCAGAAACTTTAGGCTGTGACATAGCTTGAGGTTTTCAAAGCTTTTGAGCTTACATACAGTCCTGCATCAATACATTAGCATTTTGGAACTGATATTATTAGACAGATATAATGAATAGCATACCACACGGTACTAATTTAGTACTGTTTTTCAAAAGCTTTAATATGTTATACTTTTTGTTAACTGGAAATTAGCTGAAATGTTCTTATACATATGATTATAAGAAGAAGGATGTATCACCACTCCATGTAATTCCAGATAATTTCTAGCAGTCTTTACTGCTCAACAAAGATGCTTACAGAACATTAATGAAAAAAGAAAATTCCAGATGTACATTTGATCATCGTTTCATAAACTATCCCTTTATTTCTCTAGTGTTAGCATGTAGAATTTCCCCTGGTGTCACATACTTCTTAGAGGTTGAGATTTGTGTTAACTGTGTTTTTTTTTCCCACATGAGGGCATCAGCGCTCTAAGCAGCTTTAGATTTCACCTTCCCTGGGTTCGACTTTAAGAGCTCTATTTTGAGAAAACGAAAACACTTTACGAGCCTCATAGATCTTAGACTATATAAAATTAACATTTGGTTTATCTTCCTGGAGAAGCCATTCATTCTTTCCTATCATTCTTTTAGCAGTGTAAATGATACCTTCTTCCAAGGGGGAAGAGAAGATGACACACCTGTGACATTGCCACTCCCTGTAACCATTTCTACCTGTACAGTCCACTAGGGTCAATTAGTTTCTGTTATATTAAAATGACTTGTAGAATTTTGATGAGTGGTAGTACTATGACACATGTGAACTTGCAATGAAAATTAATCCATTTAAGAAACTGTGCATATGTGTATTAAAGTCCATGGATTTACTTTCATCGCTCAGGATCAAGCCATCATACATTATCTTTGGTTAATTCCAAATTTCACACTTTTAGGTGAGAGTAGTTCAACGTAATGATATAGGTAAAACTAATTTAGCTGGATCCTGTGTATATTACTCTCAGTCTAGTTATTGGCATAAGGACTAGGAGTTTGTCTGTGAGAACTTTCCATGACTTGACTTTCTCTCTGCCTATTAAAAATAAATTAATCACCTTAGCATTGATATCATCACTATAAGACCCTGCTTTTCTAGCCTTGTATCTGCCTACTCCATTCTCAGAAGTTCTGCAAGTTCCAACCGGGTGGATAATTCAAGTGCCGCTTTTGACACATGACAGAGGCATCCCACACTTTATTGCCTTTTCTTACTCTGCCTGTTCCATCTGGAATATCATCCTTAGCCCCTATCTGCATCTTAGAAGCCTGGCTCCCTTTCAAAGTACAGGATGGATCCCAGATCCCCTGATTCTTGTTCTCATTTTTCCCTGCCCATCCTCCTGTTTGTGAGCTCTCTCTAACAAGAATACAGGGACACATTGTCATTGATTCTTGGGCACAAACTAGCCCCAATTTTTTATTCACAGATATGTCTGATGTCCCCTTATCATTTTATTGCAGAGATTATACTAGACCCATTGATTTGTTCCTTTAAAGCAGAAATACTCTGCTTTTCACCCAAAAGGGTGGAATAAGGAGTTCCCTTTTGGTATTTCTGTGAGGTCCTTCTTTTGCTTCCTCCATGAGTTTATGCCTACTTCTCAATATCTAGTATGTGATGGGACGCTGTAACAATTGACAGCCTGTTGGAGATTCAGTTAGCAGGTTTTGGTTGGAGGAAATGGTGTAGAGTCAGCTTGCTCAATCCCTGCATTATGAGCTCCAATCCCTCTAATTCCCTCTGCTGACATTTCTATCAGGTGACTGGGGTGAAAGTGAAGAGGAGTCACCAATTTTACTTTGCAGATAAGAAGTCAAGATCAGTGAGGTTACAAGCTGCTCTTGCGCCAAACAAGAATCAGGAGAAGAACAGAACAAAGAATATACTTACAGGGATCAGAAATTACTCTGTATAGGCCATTCTTACATGGCTATAAAGAAATACCCAAGACTGGGTAATTTATAAGAAAAGAGGTTCAATTGGCTCATGGTTCTGCAGGCTTTACAGGAGGCATGGTGTTGGCATCTGCTCGGCTTCTAGGGAAGCCTCAGGAAGCTTACAGTCATAGCAGAAGGTGAAGGGGGAGCAGGTATGGAACATGGCGAAAGCAGGAGCAAGAGAGAGAGTGGAGGGGGAGGTGCCACACACCTTTAAATAACCATATCTCACGAGAACTCACTATCATGAAGACAGCACCAAGCCACGAGGGATCTGCCCCTATAATCCAAACACCTTCCACCAGGCCCTACCTCCAGCACTGGGGATTACAATTCAACATGAGATTTGGGCAGGGACAAATATCCAAATATCACACACCTCTGGGTTTTATCACTACTAGAGAATTTTGAACTGGTGACTTTTTCTCTTCTACCTGTTTCTTCACTTTTTTCTTTTTAATCTGGACATTATGACAATGGTTTTTTAATAGAAGATCATGAAAATAGCAAATAAAGACTTCCGAAGACACTTAAGTCCTTCACTGCATATGCAGCTAATAACTGTAACCACTCCCACACTTCATAAACTTGCAGTCCAATTATTTACTCAACAAATGATTATCGTGCACCTACTGGGTACTAAACTTTGCTTATTTTATACACACACACACACACACACACTATTATGAAAAAAAAAAACAGAACTGGATTTAGTCTTAATTTCTTGTTAAAGTACCAAAATATGGGGATGGTTGAGCCAACCTAATCTTCTACCATTTAGGGTCTGAGACTGTTGGCTCTGCTTAGTACTTTATTCTCAACACCTTTTTTTGTGGTATCAAAGCCTTTTTTGGTTCTATCTCAGTCTCATATATTTTCTGATTCAATGTGACTGAGTTTTCTAACAACTTTTCTTTCCTTTTTTGAAGCTTTTCAAAAGATTTTGAAAAACACTCTGCTCCGTTCAGGAGAAGTCATGCATAAAGATGAACTGTCTTTGTTTCACAGCCAAACAGCATTCACTCCTGGAGCACCTCATGGGAAACCTACATAACTGATAGCATCCTTGGCTTGTCTTGTTTCTCTTCTTCTACCTCAATTTCCTGGTGAACTTCATGAGTCTGGGAATTTCCAAAATATCCTGGCAGTTTGTTTTTCTAAAACTGCCTGTGGATCTTAAAAAGGGGAGGAAGTGGGAAGCAAGATCTTGCAGCCAAAAAGGCATGTGGTCCTCCTTGTATCCTGCCATTTTTTTCCTCTTTTTTTCTCAATTGATTCTTTAACTGAGTTAGAGTTTGAGTCTGTCAGCAAGCATTGAGCTTCAGAAGTCCAAGCTCACAGGCAAAGAACATGTCCCCAGTAGAAGATAACAGAGTTACATTAATATAATTCCATGACTGTGGGTGTTGGGGGAGAGAGAGAGGAGGGTATAAGCATATCCTGGGATAGGTTTACGTGGGTAAAACCAAATAATTAAGAAAATTCTCAATACAAACTCATGCAAAAATCTCTCCTCTCTTGCCTTAATTAGCATTCTAACTGGGATGTAATACTTACCTTCTTTTTATTTTTTACTTTATCATTGAGTTTTGGCCTTCAGTTGTACAGCTTTCTTTTCTGTACTCGCCTGACCTACTTGACCACCACGAACTGATACCTTCAACAGAGTTCACTTTAAGGATCCAAGGGATGTGGCTCATTTCCTGCTCCATCTCATTGCTCACTTGTTTAATAATTTCATCACCAGATTTTCTGTTTTCTGCTTTGGTTTCCCAAAGCCATTATTTTTTCTTATATAATATTATTTTCTTTTTCTTTCTCTCTTTTCGTCGTCCTGAACTTTTTTCCTTCGGTCATTTATACAGGATCAACAGGACCCCAGTCCCAAGGCCTCTTGTGTGGATTTAGTGCTCCATCTATCTGTATGTCTATTGGTTTATAAAACCTTTTAAATAAGATGAAGAAAAATCACTATTGTTAATTAAAGTCTCTATCATTAGCAATAATATACTTGAGTATGTCAAGTGTTCAAACAGCTTAAAGGCCCATGAAGCTCCTCAAAACAACAGGCAATCGAGGAAAAAAAAAAACTTTTATACCCATCATGAGGGGTTAGTTTTTTTGTTTGTTTTGTTTTGTTTTGAGACAGAGTCTAGCTCTGTCACCCAGGATGGAGTACAGTGGTGCAATCATGGCTCACTGCAACCTAAACTTCCAGAGCTCAAAAGATCTTCTTGTCTAAGACTCCCAAGTAGCTGAAACTACAGGCATGTACCATCAGGCCTGGCAAATTTATTATTATTATTATTATTTTTTTTTTTTTTTTTTTTTTTGGTAGAGATAGGGCCTCACTATGTTGTCCAAGCTGGTCTCAAACTCTTGGCCTCAAGCAATCCGCCTGCCTCTGCCTCTGCCTCCCAAAGTGCTGAGATTACGGTTGTGAGCCACCATGCCTGGCTGGTAGGTTGGCTTTTTGAAGAAAATGCATTATTTGGATTTTGGTGGTGACATTAGTGAATTTGTTTCTTAACTTTTGCCAGGGTTTTCCCTTTTGCTGCATAAAGTTTAGGCAATATCAGTTTATTTTCCAAGAGGCAGTTAGAGATTCATCTCATAGCTGTTCTTAGCACCACTTTTTGCCTAATTTGATTTGTTGCTGCAAGGTTAAAGGCAGGACACACAAGACATTTTCTATAGACTATGATTACTGGAGGACTGGCCATATCCTAAATAATGGAGGATGGGCCTTTCATTCTTGCAGCTATAAAAATCTCCTAAATCCCAGAGAACTTGCAATACAAAGAAAGCAAGGGTGTTGTATCATGAACCCTGCTAATGAGTGTACACCCTGCTTAGTAGCACCATGTTTAATGAGGAATAATGTGTACTAATAGCTTATGAGGAATCTACCATGGCTAGTCACTATGTTAAAGACTGGATATACATCTGTATATCTGGCAAGATGGGCTGAGATATGTATGCTACAATAATAAGCAATCTTAAAATTGAGGTAGCTCAATCAACATAGGTGTATTTCTCATTCATTTTATGTATTTATCAGGGACACCATGGAGGGCTCTGCTCATTGTCATCTTTCAGGCTGAGTGGTTGCCATCTTGAGAGTTTCCAGTCATGGAGGGAAAAAGACCTTGTAATATATCAAACCAGCAACCACATACTCTGCCCTCAAAGCATCACCTATTATTTCTGTTGACAATTCATTAGTCCAATGGCCACATGGTCCACTCCACACATAAGGTGTCAGGAAGTGTAATTCCACCATGAGCTCAGAAGGGTGAATAAATGGACATATTTGTTCACTTGCATGAATGACTATCACAAACCAGATCTAGATCTCATTCTGTTCTCAGAAAGTTTACAGTCAGTAGTGTGTGGAGGGGTGAGGGGAAGGGAAGGGAAAGTGGTGGACAATAGATTCAGACATGCATATAAACAAAACAGAGCAGTATGATGAAGGAAACAGAATGTCTAATGAGAGCACATAGGTTGGGACTTTGCCGATGGAGAAGGCCACGAAAGGCTTCTAGATAAATCTGACATGTGAGGGATAGTATAAGTCAGTCTACTGGCAAAGGGTATTATATTTAATCCTCACAACTACCCTAAAATGTAGGAATAAATAATCCTCTTTTATACATGGTGAAATTGACTCTCAGAGAGTCATACAGAGTGAACCGTGAGTAGAATCCAAGCCCTGCTTCCTCCAAAGCTCCTGCTTTTAAATGCTCAGCTAGAGCTGAAGGAGGAGACTTTCTTGGTAGGCTTTTTGAAAGGAATAGCAGTTATGTTTAACTTTTAAAAAATCAGGTTAAAAATACCTCAAAAGAACACCTGTGATCTCAATCTAGGTTAATTTTGTATAGCACAAATTATAACACAATTCCAAAATACTAATTGCTACATAAGACATTACATCTATCTTGGGGAGGAAATCCAGTGGTGCTAATTAAACAGTGTATTTCTCTAAAAGCAGTAATTGAGGCTTGGATTGAAACAAAACAATTCTGGTATTCTGCTGTTCATAAACTTAAGAGAATGAATACAACAATGGTTTATTTATGCAGCACTGAAACCGTATGCTGCACAGAACCTACAACACAGGGGATACACTGAATACAAACATGCGAACCCAACTGTTTATTTCTTCAGTTGGCTGTGGGTTTCTAGTGTTTAGAAAAGGATAGCGTCACTGAAGAAATTTACACAAAAAGGTTGATTCAAGTCCCCATATGTAGGAGTTTATGAACACAGAAATCTCTGCACATCAATAAATGCATCCATCCCCCAAACAGCACTAAAAGAATGCTGGGTTGTGCAAGCAGGCCGTAAAATCAATGCAACACACAATTAAGGGTAAAAACTGCCATACATCCTCCAACACCTAAGAGGGCAGCCACATAGCAACTTCCTAGACATGCCTTGTGAGGTATGAAGTGGAGACAATGGTAGAAGTGCATCATCTGTAGTGGTTGGAGAAAAAAATCAGAGAAAAAAAAGTTCTTTTAATTTGAATCTTTAAAAAATGCATAAAAATCTTTTGTTTTCCAAGCTTTCTGGCAGTAAAAAAAAAGGCAATTTTATTGCTTCTGCATCGTTACTAACATTTTAACAGATCAATGTCATCTGCATTTCTCTTTGCAAATCTTCAGAGCCAGCCAGCCTAGAACTGGGGCATGTGTTCAGTGCTTTGAGGCCTGAAGAAGATGCCCATGTTGCCATTTTAGATATTATAACTGGCAGCCCCAAATGACGACCCAAAATTCCCTGGAGTCTCCACTGAGGCAAGCACCTATTGATTTCCTAATTTTTCATCACCAGAAGGCATGGATTTCCTTTTTTACTAATTATATACTTAATTTGAAATCAGAAAAGGGCAATGGGTAATGCATATTGTGTGTGGGTTAACCTTCTTCAGTTAACCTTCTCAGGTCTCTCCTCATGCTGAATATATGAGGATAGAAAATTAAAGAGTGCACAGAGGGAGGTAACTTATATCTCCAACCAAGAAGAGACTCTTAACATGCTTCAGAAAAAAACACAGAGGCCTTTCTTCCCTGTAGTTTTTACAAATCTCTTGTAGTTTTGTGTTTTGACCCTGATGGAAAGTTTATGCTTCCAGGGCTTTGCTCTGGTCTCCACCAAAAGTCTCAAGATGGAACTGAATTGTTCTCTTGTGGAATCATAGAGTGGTAGTGATAAGAATCAACTTTATACCCTGGATCTAGAAATTCATTTTACCATGGAATATCATGTTCTGAAACAGAAGAGCACTTTCATAATGTGAAGAGGAGTATTCTAATTTGAGGAGGAGAGAAACAGTAATGTTACTCCTAATAGTAAGTATATGATAAGAGATCATATTTAATTTCTAGGTATAATGTTAGACATTAAAATCAAGGAGGAGACTGTGCCCATGAATGCACTCACACATTTCCTTTTTGAGTTTTGTGAGTGAGAGAGAATGAGAGGAGTTCTACTTTATTGGGTAACTTGAATATTTCCTATTTAAAGAGAAAGGAAAATGATGCAGAAGTGTCTTAGGATATTTCTAAATCTTCGGATTTTAGGAGCACTGTTTGAATACACTTAAAATTGTGGTCACTGAATCATTTTCATTTTTCATAACTGTCCTTTACTATCTTTTCTTACCATGTTTTCAGGCTCATTTTGTATTGAAGTCACTTTCTTCGCATATGTAAAGTGGAAATAGGGTCAAGGTTTCAATATACTTATACCCAAAGAATCGTACCTCCAATTTTCCTTTTGTGTTGTGGACCAGAGTCTGGCTATTGCTTAAAGATCATGCCAGGGATTTCAGCTTTGAAATTTTGAACAAAGTTAGAGAACACACGCAACCCGTTGTCATAAGCTGTGAGTTCAAGAACTTTCAAGAGTTTTGCATTCATTTGCCTTTCTCACTGCCATTCCTTCTTTTTATAGCTCTCCAGATTTATCTGCCTACTCCTTAACACCTCGTTAAGCTGGCCACCTGCCAAGGTTTGGGTCATCTGGGGACACATTAGCCATTGCCTCTCTGCTTTAGTGGGATCTGCTGTCACTGATCATGGATGGGACACATGAGAGTTCTGCATTAGTGCTGGGTCTGTGCCCATTTGCATGTTTATTCTGCATAGTTAAGAGATATGATTTTTGTCTGCAATTCTTCTATATTGCTTAAAGTCTATCTTTTTTCTTGTGTTTTTAGTTCTACCCCATTCTGGTTTAATAAGTATTCAGAAATTGATGTCTACCAGTGCATACATGGCTGTCCTCACACGTTACCAGAAACTTGGTGGCTTTAACAACACAAATTTATTCACTTACAGTTCTGCAGGCCAGAACTCTAACATGGGTCTCTTTGGGCTACAATCAAGGTGTCAGGTGTTGGCAGGGATGCGTTCCTTTCTGTAGGCTCTGGAGAGGATTGTTTCCTTGCCTTTCCAGCTTCCGGAGGCTGCTGTATTCCTCTCTTGTGGCACCTTCCTCCTTTCTCAAAGCCAGCAGTGGTAGGTTTAGTACTTCTCACATCACATCACGTCACTCTCATCTCTCTTTTGATTCCCTCTTTTAGTTTCACGAATCTTGTGATTACATAGGAATCACACAAATAATCCAGGATCTTTTTTCTATTTTAATATCAGCTCATTAACAACCTTAACTCCACAACAACCTTAATTTTTCTTTGCCATATAAGATAACAGAGTCACATGTTCCTGAGATTAGGATGTGGACAGTTTGGGGGACTATCTTCCTGGCTGCCACATCTGGATAGATTTTTTCAGGTTAAAACAATGTTGAGTGAAAACACAAACACGAAAAGGCACACAAGTGGTAAGGGTACAGATCAATGGATTTTCACAAAGTGAACATACTCATGTACTTTTAAACTCAGATCAAGAAACAGAACATCACTGTCATCCCAGAAATCTCTCTTGAGCTTCCTTCAAGTTACCACTGGCCTCCTCAAAGGGTAACCACTCTCTTGACTTTTAACATGTGGATTAGTTTCAACCATTTAAAGAAACAGCTTTATTGATATATAATTCGCATAGTATGCAATTTACCGATTTAAAGTGTACCATCCAATGGCTTTTAGTACATTCAAAGAGTTATGCAATCATCAATGAAATCAATTTTACATTTTTGTTATCCCCACAAAAACCGCATACCCCTTAGCCATTACTCTTCAACCCCTTCTTCCACCCTACCCTCAGCCCTAAGTTACCACTTATCTATTCTCCATTTTCTATAGAGTTACCTATTCTATATCATAGTTGCCTATGACAATTCATATAAGTAAGATAATAAAATACGTGCTGTTTATGACTGGCTTCTTTTACTTAGCATAATATTTTCAAGGCTCATTCATGTCATAGCATGCTTCAGTTCTTTTTGTTGCTGAATAATATTCCATTGTATGAGGATGTCACATTTTTATTTATGCATTCATCTATAAATGAATATTTGGGCTCTTCTCACATTTTGAATTTTATGAATAGTGCTGCTATAAATATCCATTAATAAATTTTGTAGACATGTGTTTTCTCATTGTCTTCATTTCTCTTGGGCATATTCCTAGGAGTAGAATTGCTGACCATATAGTAACTGTGTGTGTAAATGTTTGAAGAACTGCCAAAATGTTTTCCAAAGCAATGGCACCATTTTATATTTCAACCAGCAGTGTATAAAAATTTAGATTTCTCCACATCCTTGCCCATGCTTATTATTGTCTGTCTTTTTAATTATAGCCATCATAGTGGGTGTGAAGTGGTACCTCATTGTGGTTTTTATTTGCATTTCCCTGATGGCTAATGAAAAGATGTTGAACATATTTTCATGTGCTTGTTGGCCATTTGTATATCTTCTTTGGAAACCCCTCTATTCAGATACTTTATCCACTTCTAATTTGGATTATTTGCCATTTTATTATTGAATTGCAATAATTTGTCATGTGTTCTAGATGCAAGTCTTTTATCAGATATATAATTTGGAAAACCATTTTTCCATTCTTTGGATTGTCTTTTCACTTTTTTGATGGTTTTCTTTGAAAAACTTTTGATAATGTCCAGCTGATCTATTTGTGTGTGTGTGTTTTTGGTATCACATAAAAAATCGCCTAATCCAAGGTCATAAATATTTACACCTATATTTTGATCTCTGGTTCATTTCATTGTAATTTTTGCATATGGTGTATGGCAGGAATCCAAATTTATTTTATTTTACATTTTTGCATGTAGATATCCAGTAATCTGAGCACCATTTGTTGGAAAAGCTATTCTTTCCCACTTAACTTATTTTTAATTAACTCATCTAGTATGTATATATTTTGCTGGCTTTTTACACTCAAATTTTATTGTGAGATTCATCCATATCTTTGCAAGTAATTTCTTTATTCTCATGACTCTCTAGTATTCTGCTAAATGAATGCATTATAATCTATTCACACATTCTGCCTTCACTGGACATTTAGGTAGTGTCTAGTTTGGAGGTATTATGAGTTCTGCTGACATGAATATTCATGGAGTCACAAATTATTGGGTGTTTGAAATCTATCTTATACTCCAGCTTTAGTATAAGGCCAAGAACTGGTTATAATAAGATACTATAAAAGAAAATCTTGGGGCTTCAAGTAGTAATTTTTGTCATTAATCTGAGTTCTTTCTTATCCTAAAAAAAGACATCTTACACCACCCACTTTGTAGAGTTTTTTGGGGAATGATATAATAGCAAGGAATGATAATGAAGAGGTGGCAGTGGCTGGGGGCTGCCTTTTTAGAATTTTTTTTCAACAAATAGTTTTATTTGTTCAAGGTTTTGGCACATGTTAAGGAATTGGGAGAAAACCATGTATGGGGATAGACAGGTTTACATGTAAATAGGGAATTATTATAAAGCTTGAAGAGTTCTCTAATGTTCAATGTACAATTGGCATACAGAAGATGGCAATCTTGCCCAAAATCCTGGGAGCCAGTGATGGTTCCCAGAAGAAGTTTTGAATTATCTGAGCTGGGATGCAAATTGTGGGCAGGGGTCCTCAGGTACGGTGTGTTGGTTGGAAGAATCAGAAACCAATGTCTACAGTCTACACTAGCGAGATGCATTCTATGCCAAGAACGTGAGGTGAGAAAATGCTAAATGTCTTTCACCTAATCTAGTTCTAGGTAAAACATAGACTCACCTCATTAGCATTCTTCTGTTACTGGCAGTTTTACTTCAAAGCTACTTGGAATCATAGAAAGGCAGAGGCTCTTGGTTTCTTTAAAAGATTATTTTTCGTTATCCAATCTCTATTTAATTAGAGAACAATGAGTGACAAAGAGGTGAAAAAGTAGAGATGAAGAAGTGGAGATAGCGGGGTGGACAAAAGATGCTAACACACTTTGACAATAGAATTTCAGTAAATTTTGTTCCCTTTGTATTCACACGTATTTTTTAATGTATTTTACTTTATGAATTTAAAAACCTTACTCTGATAAGGATCCAGAGTCATCATCAGACTACTAATAAGGTTAAAAACCTCTAGCTTAGAATGCAAATCCAAAATTGAATTATCCTAATAGAATCAGACGCATTACTTCTGTTTAAAGTAAACTATGCTTGCAAACTGGTTATCAGTGTGAGTTGATATAAAAGATTAATTCTTCCTTACCACTGTTTGGAAAAGATTGTAAATAGGACTGATTCCAATGAATTTTGACAAGTGAAAGAACCTGGCATAGAGGAGCCCACCTGTCATGATTGGGGTTGACTTCTGAGTAACTAAGTCTTCAAACACTCTGTTACCCCAGGTCTACCATCCTTTGGTCTAATTTTTTCATGCACTCAAGTTCCTCTGAGTCATAGTTAGTTTTCTTTTCTTCGAGTGAAACTAAACCCTGAATAGGAAATAGCTTTTTCATTGTAAGGTTGCATAGTAGCCTCTATCCTGATTTCTCTGAAAACTATAACATATAATCCTATAATCCTCTAATCAGTACAAATCCAGTTTCAGCAAGAAATGACCTGAACAAGAGAAGGTAGAGGTGGGCAGATACTTATACAATCTGCCGGCTGTATTTTTCCAGAAGGATAATTTCCTTCTACTTTAAGCAGATGCCAACTTGGAGTGGCGCAGCCTTTCAGCAGGATTACTAGGGAGTCCCTGACACAGGAAGTTTGTCTTTGTGTATCACATTAGGAAATCAAATTAGTTTTTCCTGTTACTTTTAATCAAAATATACAGATTCTGATTATTTGGAGATAATTAGATTTCCTTACTTAGCATAAATTTTGCTATGGGTTGCTGGGTATTGCTGGAAAACACACACACACACACACACACACACACACACACACACACACACACAAAACCCCTGGAGCTCTATCAGTAAAACTGCAAAAGAGCCAAGTAGCCTGATTGCTGCATTTTGATGGCCACTCTATATTAGAGCAGGAGGTCAAGTTAATTCTATGTAGCGGCTTTGATGAAAGAAATAGCCATGCTAATGTCATCCTTGTAAATAAGTTTAATTATTGAAAACAGTACAGTCTTGCTTTGAACTTTTAGATTTTTTGAGAATAATAGCTATTTGTATAGACTAGGGATTGGCAAACTGCAGCCTATGGGCCAAATCCAGCCCGCCATCTGTTTTAATAGATAAAGTTTTATTGAAACATAGCCCGTTTCGTTTGTTGTGGTAGCTTTTGCACTACAACAGTGAAGTTGAGTAGTTACAACAGACTAAATGGCCCACAAAGCCTGAAATATTTACTATCTGACCCTTTACAGAAAAACTTTGCTGACCCCTGGTCTAGACTGCAGAATGTCATTTGTAGCAGTGTGTTTATAAGCAAAGAATGTTTAATGGATTAAGAAAATCATTAGCGTTCAATGGTTCCAATATTGGTCTGATTTTCTCCAAGATCTGGTCATTGGATACTCCCAATTGTCCCTCTGTAAGTCATAAATGGCTACCTATAAGGTGTCTGAGATTGCAAGGATAGTGGGTCATGCCTCTGTCTATGTAGAGGAAGTATAACCTACCTGAAGTCATAACTGAAACATAGTATAGCTAAGTGCTCAGTCAGACCTACAACTGTGGGTATTCTGAAAAAGCTAAGAATTTGTTGTCTTTTCAAATTAATATTCTTTAACTATGTTTTCAACATGTTTTGTGCAGAGAGATTGAGTGCTATGTAGTGGAGGAGGAGAATAGGAGGACCCTGTTAAGAATTCTTGGCAGATACTTAATAAATTTTGCTAAGAATATGACTGAAATAACTGTGGGTAAAAATCAAGAACATCAAGTATACTATTGTCTTTCTGTCATTTTACAAATAAAAATGGATATGACATTGAAAAATACCTTTTTGGATTTTTAATAAATAAAATATGTAAAGCATATTGAGAAAGTTAAAGTGAATCTTAGACTGTTTTGAGTAGGGGTTTTTAGGGAGGGCCAGCAGGTCAAAAAAAGAAAAAAGTAGCTTTTACAAATCAGAATTGAGGAGTCCTAACTCCTCCAATCCAAAAGGATTATTACTGATGAGGTCAGAGAGCAGGACTCACTGAGATAGCAAATTTAGGCTGGTAGAAAGAAGGATTTTATATATATATATATATATATATATATATACACATCTATATATATATGTATATATATACACATATATGTACACTTGTAAAGCTAAGAAGAGGGGCAGATTTGGAACGAATTTATAATAATTACATGCTCTACTGCTTAAGTTCTCTTTAGGGTTTGGTCCACCTTGGCATACAAATAACAGATGGCACAGGCTTTCATATAGTTCTGCTTTCTGCAGCTTATCTGACACTTCAGTGAGATGTTGTGTAGGAGTAGAGGTTGTAAAGACGTGGCTGAGGAGGACAGCAGTGACTCAGTCAGCCATCTGAAGACAATGTAAGGGATATTGACATAATGTTTATGTTTAGTTAAAAGAATATCATTGCCTGCTGCATTCATTCAACTGATATTTATCTATTAAGTGCCTATCATTGCCAGGTCCTATGTGGATACAGAATACAGTCATGAATACAGAAATGAAAAGAACAAACAAACAAATGAACAAACACCAAAGACCTATTCCCTTCCTTTGCATTGCTGATAGTGGGAGAGAAAGCTTGGGAAACCAGTACTTACAGGATGAGTGATCAATGCTATTTTTATTATAGGAGAACATTATGCTAAGGGTGTTTGTAATAGGGGTACCTAAGAGAGTGTTTGGAGAGTGGTGTGAAGAATGATCAGGGGAGTCTTCCCAAAGAAACTATGAGGTGAATCCTGAGTGGTAAACAGGAATAAGTTCAGGGGATTCAGAGGGAGGGGAGGCAGCTCCAGTGGGTATGCACTTTAGACATGCAAGACAGTTATGACTCCTGGAGCAGTCCTTAACCAATAGAAGATGGAGAATGAAGGCTAAATGCTCTTCACTCTTGTCCTTTGGGTAGAGAAATCTGGGGGGACCTCCTGCAGGCTTCTGAGGAGGTCCCCACATACCAAGTGTCTTGGCTCAGGACAGTAACAATGATGATGCACCCACATGCTTGCTTTTCTTCCTCCTTTCTCTCATGCTTCCTGCTCAGTCACTCCTGTTCCCCTCTAAGTACAGGAAACAGTGGTCTGAAGGCACGGAGGTAGTGCTATGTGTGCATAAAACCACCAGAGAATCACTGTGGCTGGAGAGGAGGCCTAAACAACCTTGTCCCCCAGTGGCAAGCTTTGCTAGCAAAAAGCTCCAGGTGTCTCAGGGAAACTCTTTTAACACACCTAACTTGTACCCAAAGTAGATCCATCATTACATATAAAATATACTTAGGAAATGCAATTTAAAACATTTTAATAATTTTATAATAGTAATGGAAATATATACTAACAAACAATAGCAAATTTAGAAAATAAACTAATAAAATTAAAATTAGCTTCAATTCTATTGCTAGCAGGTATATTGTTACAATGTTGATATAGAGTTAATGTTTTAATACATTTTTCTCCAATTGTTAATTTGTGTATATATATTTTGCATTACATACTGTATTTCATATGCAAATTTGTATCTTTTTTCATTTAACATTATGCATGAACACTTCCCAAGGACATTAAGTATTTTTGAAGTCAGAAATTATGATGAGCCCATAATAGTCCATTATATGGATGTGCTATAATTTAATGAATCTCCAATTGTGGAACATTTAGTTCATTTCCAATTGTATACTATTATAAATAATGGTGTATTATTTCCTTATGCCTTAATCTTTGTCTGAATTTATGACTATTTCCTTAGGAAATGCTTACTGAAAGGCTCAAAGGAGTAATTTTGAATACTTTCCTGGGTAATGCAAGACTTAAATAGATTAAGTATCTTCAGAATCTAAGAATATCAATATGATTTTTTAGAATTTTTTGACATATGTCTCCAAGTTAATTTATAGAAAAGTTTACCAATTTATCCTTCCCATAACATTTGTTGTATACAACTACTTTATCACCCTTCTTTCAGTATCGTGAATATTATTAGTCTTTAAAAATCTTGATTATTTGAAAAATAAAAATTTCAGCATCATTGAAATTTATACTGTATTTACAATTTGCCAATGAGTTTAGAAAAATAATTTTTACTTTATCATAGTTTACCTCTAAGGTTCTGAATAGCTAATATCCAACTAATAATGATCATTAAACATCTATCATGGTTAAGACAAAAACAAAAAACTGTATAGGTTCTGGGTTGTCCACTCTTTCATTAACATTAATCAGGCTAACTTAGACATTTCAATAGCAAGACAAAACAAAAGCCCTAAAATTCTGACTTGCTGCTATAAAAGCTTGTTTTTCACTCATGTCATGGTCCATTGTGGGTTCGGTTTGTGAGTGGGTGGTGAGTGGAGAGCTCTGCTCACATTGTTTTTCAGCAGACACATTGTAGGTCCCAATCTACATCCTTTGGACCTGGCCTCTGATTTCCAACTACGGCAGGTACAAACAATTCTTGCTGGCAGCATCTCACCTTCTGCCACACAATGCTCCTCTTCCTTGTTCTCTCCCTGGGTCACCTTGGACTCCACAGTCCCTCTGGGAGGCATGGGTGGTGCCCATGCAATCCTAGTGCTTGTGCAGCTTAGAAGGACAGGAGGATTAACACCCTTGAAGGCAGCCCTTTGCTGATGACAGCTGATGCACAGATGCTCAGACCTTTTCCATCTTTAGGAAGACCCTCCCAGGGTATTCAGCATGCCTCTCAGGGGATTTCAGGGACTATGCTTTCCTTGCTCACAGCAGCAACCTGAATAACGCACCCTAATAGTAGCTTCCTTCATCTACGTGCTAACCATCTCTGCTTCCTCATTCTGCTTGCTGAAATAAATCACTGCTCAAACAACCTGTACCAAAGTCCCTTTCAGAGGCTCTGCTTTCAGGGAACCCAAGCTAAGATATCCAGGGATACAGGTTCACTCCGTCTTACCACTTTTCTGTCCTCTAAATCCTCCATGAGAAGGTGCGAGTGTGGTGAGAAGGTACGAAGGACTGTATAAGAGATGTTAATGGGGCAGACCTAGAAGTGGGAGGTATCACTGCTGCCCTCTCCCAATCATGTGAGAGTCTTAGAACTACTGCCTACTTGTACAGCTGTAAAGAAAAGGAAACAGGGATGGCGGAGGGATATGGTTTGGCTCTGTTTCCCCACCCACATCTCATGTCAAATTGTAATCCCCATAATCCTCATGTGTCAGGGGACCTGGTGGGAGGGGATTGGATCATAGGGGTGGTTCCCCCATGTTGTCTCCTGATAGTGAGTGAATTCTCGTGAGATCTGATGGTTTGATAAGTGTGGAGATATTCCTTCTTCATGCACTCTTTCTCTCTCACTTGCCACCATGTAAGATGTGCCTCCTGCTTCACATTCTCCATGATTGAAAGTTTCCTGAGGCCTTCCCAGCCATGCAGAACTGTGAGTCAATTAAAGCTCTTTTCTTTGTAAATTACCCAGTCTCAGGCAGTTCTTTTTTTTTTTTTTTTTTTTTGAGACAGAGTCTCGCTGTGTTGCCAGGCTGGAGTGTAGTGGTGCGATCTTGGCTCACTGCAAGCTCCACCTTCTGGGTTCAAGCGATTCTCCTGCCTCAGCCTCCCAGTAGCTGGGACTACAGGCATGTGCCACCACACCTGGCTAAGTTTTGTATTTTTAGTAGAGATGGGGTTTCACCATGATGGCCAGGATGTTCTCAATCTCTTGACCTCATGATCTGCCCACCTAGGCCTCCCAAAGTGCTGGGATTACAGGTGTGAGCCACCGCGCCAGGCCCAGGCAGTTCTTCATAGCAGTGCCGTCAGAAGGAAAACAGAACTTGTCCCTTTTGTCAGTGATGAGGAAAGGCCAAAGATAACTACTGTGACTCCAAGTGTTCAAAACTAGGGCTATGTTTTTTACTTTATTCTGCACATGTAAAACTTGCTCTATTTCTTTCCCTTTGAAATTTTGGCCTCCAAATTCTTTTAAAGGAGTTTGCATTTACCAAATATTATACAATTTATCCCTTACAATTGCAGTTTTTGTTTGTTTATGTGTTTATGTATGTATGTATGTATGTATTTATTGAGACAGAGTCTTGCTCTGTCACCCAGGCTGGAGTGCAGTGGTGCAATCTCGGCTCACTGTAACTTCTGCCTCCTGGGTTCAAGCAATTCTCATGTCTCAGCCTCCTGAGTAACTGGGATTACAGGCGTGTGCCACCACGCCTGGTTAATTTTTTTTTTTTTTTTTTTTTTAGTAGAGACAAGGTTTTGCTATGTTGGCCAGGCTGGTCTAGAACTCCTGACTTCAGGTGATCTGCCTGCCTCGGCCTCCCAAAGTGCTGAGATTACAGGCATGAACCACTGCACTCAGCCCGACTGTAGTTTTTCTTATTATCCTTAAGTACTCACCTAGTTACTGAAATGATGGTCTTGATTGCAATACTCTAGCACAGGTTTAAGTTCATTTGTACCAAGTATAAGTTTAGTCAATAAATATTTTGATTATCTATAGGGGGCTCTGTGCTAAGCCAAAAATGTATGTTGATGGAGCGTAGTCTGGTTTTTCAACTGATTAACTGTGTGAACACGGACAAATTAACTTCTCTGAGACTCAATTTCATCCCATGTAAAAATGAGGATAGTAATACAGTATTGATCTTGTGTCTTAGTTTTTAGTTGTTGATTTATACAAAAGCATCTACACATATAGCACTCAATAAATGTGAATGTGCCTTCTGGAATTCTTTGGGACTGTCACTAACTTATATGAGAGAGAACAAATCAAAATTATTATTTATTAGCTGGCTCTCCTTTCTAATGAAGTCTTATTTTACTGAGCTGGGTATTCAAACTGTGAGAAGAATCAACTTGATAAAGAGCATTTGAAGAGATTATAGAGGAGAAAAGAGCAGGTAGGCATAAATTGGATGATAAGGAGGAAACAAAGATGTCTAATAATTTTTTGTGTTATTGCCATCTGGTGTGTGATGTGAATTTTCCATCACCATAAAAATTAGTAAAATTAGCATCAACTCGCTTATACTTTTGGAGTTGGATTTGCTTGTTCTGGTATATTCTGGTATATTACATACTACAGAATCTGGCTTGAAAGTCGGCTTGAGTGGTCTAAAAGACAACTCCAATGGGCTGGCACATTTTAGACATTTGCTACTTCTAATTTCTGCACTTTTGAGATTGGAAAGTCTAAGTCACAGGTGCTTACTTACTGAAATTCAGATGAGAGATAAAAGCCAGAACTCCTCTGGAGATGGAGTGCAGAGTGATAGGACTGATGGGATTTGTTACTTCCTTTGGCCCAAAGAGCATGGAGTTTGGAATTCTATAAAAAAGCTTACTGGAACAACTGACATTATTTTTCCAGAAGCCAAAACTATATAATGAGCTATATAAGAACACGTGATTTGGAGATAGTTTGACTTGGATTTGAACCCCAGTTCTAGCACTTATTTTCTGAGTCACATTAGACAGGCTAGGTGTCCTCTCTAGCCTTAAATTTCTCATCTATAAAACAGGTATAGAAATAACTACCTTGTAGGGGCTAAGGTGAGGATTAAATAAATAAATAAATAAATAAATAGAGGGCACTTGTCACAGATTTTGGCAAATAGTAAGTAGCACCTTATTATTAATAAAAAAGACAGTAAGTACAATACTGCAGTATTTCAGATCCTATCATGTTGCATTAATGTGTTGCTGAACAATAGATTCTATCCCTATTCCACAAGGGTAAATGTAGCTCTCTTTTGGCATCTATGTTCATTCTCTACCACACAAATGCATGACAAGGCCACTCTGCGGATGAATTCTTTTTCATGGAAAAAAATATAAAACTATTCTTGGAGGCATCATTCTACAAAGCATATTTATTAGCTATAAAAATGGGAAATTGTATTTATTCAGCCCCACCTTGTGCTTGCATATGTTGTCATCGTCAGGGTGTTGAGGAGATGTAGGAGGTTAGCATTAAACACACGATGCTTTCATAAATGGACTGTAATTCATTATTTGGTCATCAGAGTGATGCAGTTCAATGGACTGTAGCACAAAAAAGATGCCAGAGAGTGGCACCAAAATATGCCAGAATGTTAATGTGCACTTGGTAATTATCTGTCATTTACCCTGTGCCTTGTGTTTTCAACATGCATTGCACTCATTTGGAGTGGGCAGGTGATATTCTTCCTCCTGGAGAGCTTTGGAAAATAAATATAGAATAGTGTAGGAACAAGAACAGATTCTTAACTCCTCATGTTTGATAGTTAAGAGGACCCAGTAAATGTGTTACAGAAGAAATAGTATCTTATGATCTTTATTTCAACTTGAAGTTCTTGTCATCACAAAAAGATGACTTATTCTTACTAATTTCCTCTAGTAGAGTAGTTCCTGGTAGGGAGATTTATTTGGGCCAATGTGTCATGGGCCTTGATCTGTGCTTCAGTTCCCAAGTGAAGATAGGAGCTGGCATCAGCAAAAGAAGGTGGGAGTGAGCATATTTTATAGATAAAGACTCACATTTCTATGGTACCCTATATCTTACACAGTAGTCTTACATGTATTTAATTTGACTCTCACCACACTGTGGGAGTGATAAAGAGCAAGAATTATTCTCTATTCTATAGTTGAATAAATTCCATTGCAAAGAGTTAAGTGAGTTACCCAGATCTCCTTGGCTATTAAGTAGTACATGAAGGTCTGAAACAAAGGAGTTCTGAACTCAAGGCCAGCATCCCTTTTACAAATTCCTTGTGCTAGCAATCTCGGTTTTGTTGAATGATAATAGTGGACGCTACAGTGCCAACTTACGGGTCTACTGGTAGACAGAGCTACGATGACTCCACAGGGAAAATGTGGAAAAGGCATTTCTTTCCATGAATGGAACCAGTCCTGCCCCAGCCAAACAAATGGCTTGTAAGTGGAGCATGAGCTGGATTTCAACCAGCCGTATATCCTTGTACAGCCATAACGGTAGCTCTACTGGTAGAGTAGAGATAAGAAGCCTGTGGTAAATGGCCTTCAAAGATACCTGTCAACAATTCTTCCAATCTCTGAATATTCATATTGTTCTTCTACTGAGAATTGGAGTTTACTTCTCCTCCCTTTAAATCTGGGTTGGTCTTCTGACTATTTTGACCTGTAGAATGCTGTGAACTAATAGTCTAATGTGTCTAAGCCAGGCCTTAATAGAATCATCAGCTTCTGCTTTCTTCCTCTTGAGATGCTCTTTCTTGCAACCAAGTCACTCTACTGTAAGGAAGCTACAAGAAGAGGCCCACAAAATGAAGAACCATGGCCACCAGCCATAGCCCTAGTTGAGCTCCCAGAGAACACCCAGTGTCAACCGCCAGCCTACTGATACCAAGTGAAATAGAAGAATGCTTAGTCAACAATTTATGGGAAATAATAAATTGTTGTTTAAAACATTAAGTTCTGGGTTGCTTTGTTATGTAACAAAAGATAACTAAAAAGGAAGTTACATGAATTAGTGTGGGCTGGGCCATGTGGGACAAGATTTAATGATTTCAAAGTCACTCACTGCCAATGTTTTTTGAGTTCTCAGAACACTGCAGTAAAGTGCAGTTTCCTTATACACTTTCCCAGTTCAAGCCATTGACTGAAGTAGGGCAGGAATGGAAGAGAACATGAAATGAACAACCAAGCTGCTATGCTTTGCAGTCCTGGTTTGGAGTCCTGCCATTTATCATTTTCCCAGGCTTATGCTTTTCCATCTGCATAATGGGAGGATTAGAGCTATTACTAGCATCACAGCTGAGTCAGCTACAACCATGAGGTGATGGCGACTGTTCTGGGCTAAATGATGGCCCTAAAAAAGATATTTCCATATCCTAATTCCCAGAACTCATGAATGTCATCTTATTTGGAAAAAAAAAAAAAAAAAAAAAAGTCTTGGCAAATGTAATTAAGCTAAGATCTGGAGATGAGGATTTCATCCTGGATTATCTGGGTCGGCCCTAAATCCAATGACAAGTGTCCTTAGAAGCCACAGAAGAGGAGGCATTGTGACCATGGAGGCAGAGATTGGAGTGATGTGACGGCAAGCTAAGAAATGCATGGAGCCACCAGAAGCTCGAAGACACAAAGAATGAATTCTTCCCAAAAAGCGACAGAGGGAGCACGGCCCTGCTAGATTTTGAACTTCTCACCTCCAGAACGGTGAGAGAATAAACTTCTGTTCTTTTAAGCCATGGAGTTTGTGCTGATTTGTTACAGCAGCCTCAGGAAACTAATACAGATTTTGGTACTGGAAGTGGGGTGCTGCTATAGCAAATACCAAAAAGCGCAAAAGTGACTCTGGAATTGGATCATGGTAGAAGATGGAAAAATTTTGAGATGCATGATAGAAAATGCCTAGATTGTCTTGAATAGACTGTTGGTAGAAATCTGGATGTTAAGACTCTGCTAGTGAGGTCTCAGAGGGAAATGAGAAATGTGTTATTGGAAACTGGAAGAAAGGAAATGCTTGTTACATAGTAACAGAAAACATGGCTGAATTATGTTCTATAGTTGTGTGAAATATAGAACTTTTAAGCGATGAATTTGGATACTTAGCTGAAGAGGTTTCCAAGCAAAGTGCTAAAATGTAGCCTGGTTTCTTCTTGCTTCTTATAGTAAATTACAAGAGGGAAAAGAATTGAGGAAGAAACTTAAGCAAAAAGCAACCAGCACTCAATGGTTTGGAAAATTCTCAGCATATCCTGGTTGTAAAAGTTGTCTTAAGAGGATTTACATGCTTCCATTCTCTCTTAGAACTCTGTCACCAGCCTGTGCACAAGCCTATGCTAGCCTACTGGAGAACTTAAGACCCCATGAAGGAAAGCCTAGATGTACAAACCAAGGCCTTCCCAGGCCAAATTTGAGCCAGTAGAAACCCAGATATGTGCCCAAGCCCAGCCTACCCAATAGCAGAGTTACCTAAGCTAACCTCCAGGTGACCAAAGTTCATAGGCAAGCCCAGTGAACAAATAGACTCCAGGGTAATAATAAATCCATATTATTTTAAGGATCTAACTCCTGGGAGGTTTGTTTAGCACCAATTGTTAGCCGATGCAGTATGCAAGATGACTTTTTCTGCCAGTTATTGAGGAAGACTAATTTTCTTGTGATCAAAAGAAAGTCTGTCTGAGAAACTTCAAGGTTGGGTATAGCTTCACTATTTTTATGTAGGAAGGTTATGTATAAATAACTGCAACCTAGATGGAATAAGAAAGCACGAGAACTTGCTTTGAAGTTGAGTTTGTATAGAAAGCACACTGTTTTTGTTCTGATATACTTGTCTGGGGTGGGAATCGGGGATACTTTTAATGAGGAATTGACACTATAAACTTCAAAAGATGAGAAATGAGTTGGTTAGGTTAACAAGATGGAGAAGGACTGGGGAAAAGCATTCCATGCAGAAGTTTCAGCTTGAGCAAAGACCTAGAGGTCTCTGTTTGTGCTTGGGATATTTGTAATCAATAAACAAGTGTCCACATCCCTCTAAGTGCTTTGCTTCATTACCGCCTTTAAAACAACACCCAAGATGCCTACTACGCCAGCTGCTAGCCTCCCCCTTACTTCCTCTCCCCTTCCTTTAACCTACAAAAACACTGCCTACTGATGAGTTGTAAGTCATTTTGCAGAGGAAATTGGGTGTGCAAATCCTGAGATTAGACAAACATCCCTCATTAAAAGTTGTAATCCCTTGGCCCTCCAAGTTGACACCTTAATTCTGAACTCTTAACAGCCTGAGCACACTCGATGGCCCTGAAAAACTCCAACTTCTTTATCTCTTTTCCAGCTCCCTCCCCTCCTTGCTGAAGTCACCACCAGAAAATGACACAGTCTTCCAGATGGGGTAATGCGGCCTTCTCTTACTTGCACTGATAATAATGTTTTCTCAGTTTTATTACAGTCTCTTGAGAGTGGGACTGATTTGCATATTCCCTAACACTTAATTAACGATGTCACCTTCCCAGTGCCTTGAAAACAGTTTGTATTTTTTTTTCCTCTCTGGGCAGACCTCCAACAGTTACCTCCCACATTTTCTGCTGCAGTCCTTTTTATTACTTTAATGACAAATAATTGGACAGATTCTGAGTAATGAGGGTGAGAGCCAAAGGACTGTTGCAAGGGAGACGGCTGTGTTACAAGACACTTTTAGTGGTCTCTAAATCAGACAGACAAGTAGAGTAATGATCATCTTGCTGTAATGAGACACGATTAAGAATCACCGCGGCAAATGACAGAGCAGTTCATTGAACAGTAACCTCCTTCTTCACGTTCTCTCTCCCTTTTTTTCCAAAGGAGATCGAAGCTTAATTATAGCATCGCCATTTGCAATGCTATCCTTAAGATTGTGCCAGCACTTTCAATACAAATTGCATATTTTCAAGAGTTTATTACTTGAATATAAAAACTGGCTCCATTTTGAAACTTAGGGTATCATATCTCGATCTAAGAGAGTCAGAAAATATAGATTTTCAATGTTAGGAAAGGTCTTACAAGTGTTCTGTTTATATCCGATCTTTGAATGTTAAGTTTACATTTTAATGGATCAAGGTGTGTGTGGTTTTTTTTTTTTTTTTTTTTTTTTTTTTTTTTTTTTTTTTTTTTGCAGATTTCTAAGGCAAGAGTGTTTGTCTAGTATTTCTCAAACTTTAGCATGTGTTAGGACAGCAGGCAGGGCTTGTTGTAACAGATGGCCTTGTGCCTTGCTCCACCCCGAGTTTCTGATTCAATAGGCTGGATAGGGCTGAGTTTATGTTTCTAAAACGTTCCCAGGTGATGCTGCTGCTGGTGGTATGGGTACCACATTTTGACAACAACTCCCTTAGTCTTTACTGTGAACAGGGATCAAAAACAAAACTCCAAACCACAGAACTGTGTCTCAAAAGTTAGTGACAGTGCTTTTTATTTAAAAGAGGGGATCCAAAGCCACACAAGAAACAGTGTCCCCTTCAGAAACCGACCAGGTGAACTCTCTCCATATGGTGGTTATTCTTTCTGAGTCGGTTCTTTAAAAAGGTAATACATTAAAAATCAAATGTAGATTTTTGATGCACCAGTGCAATTTAAAAATGATATATTCTTTATTTTATTTTGCAAGTCTCTATTTTCTTTTTTCTAATGAGCTTAATGCCCTTTGGGGTTTCTTATTCCCTATATAAATTCCCCTTTCCCAGTGCTACCTGTCTTTCCCAATATAGTATGTGTGAAATGACCAACACATTCCCAATGATAAAGATACAGAAATGTTCATGGACTATAAATAATCTGCCCAAAGTCGTGGCTATTTTGTGATAATGGTAGAGATATCTTTCTGGATGCTTATTTCACTGACATATAATTCATTATTTTATAATATTTATAAAAGGACTGATCCAATGTATTTTACTTAACTCCAGTATTTTTGTGATGGTTTCATAGCAATGTGGTTTCCTGTGGAATAAGACCAGCTAAGGAAATTGGAGAATAATTAATCATTTGTGTTCCAAATTCTTTTGGAAGAACATGGGATCATAAATAAATAATGACAAAGTCATTGCCATCTTCTTGTCTTGGAAAACCACACTGCAATTTAGCCAGGTGCATTTTACCGCATACATATTTAATAAATAATTTAAGTTTTGGAAAGTGGAAACATTTGGTGGTGACTGTGAATGCATCTGTGAAAGCACATGAGGGAGTGAAGAAAAGTAACTTTTTTTCTTGTTTAATGAT
Organism: Homo sapiens; assembly: GCF_000001405.40. Lineage (NCBI taxonomy): Eukaryota > Metazoa > Chordata > Mammalia > Primates > Hominidae > Homo > Homo sapiens. Next base: position 82,780,460 of record NC_000009.12, on the reverse strand, counting down.
GAATTGACTAAACCAATGATTTTTCTAGCATTGTGAAGACGTAGCCTAAAGACAGGTTAGTGAATTGATTGAATGGAATAATACAAAAAAAGTCATGTTGATTAGCAGCATTTATGATATTTAGATGCCCAAAGTTAAATGTCTGCAGAACTCTGGCTGTGTCATATGCAGGAGCATAGGAGATCCTGATGATAATCTCCATGACTATACCAGTCAGGGTATGTTGAGTTATGCTGCAGTAACAAAATCAAAAAACAAAATAAACTCAGGGTGTCATAGAGGTTTATTGTCTGATCACGTAAATCTATTCTGGGTTCAAGTGACTCTCTGGGACAATGTTCTTCCATTTAGGAACTTCGTTATCCAAGCTGCTTGAATATTTTTTTTTCCCACCATCTCAGCTGAGGTCTTCTCAGTCACCTTAGCAGGGGAGGAATTCTGGAGGCTGTGCACTGGTATTTATTTCAAACTGCAGCCTAGTTGTGTTAGATGTCACATCTGCTAACAGCCTATTGGCCTGTAACTAGCCACATAGCTCAGTTCAATCCCAAGACATCAGAGAAAGGTAATCTTCCCACGTGTCTAGAAGAAGAAGAGACAGGATAAATGTAAGCACTGGAAGTCTCTACCACAGTGATTCAGACAAAACTTCCTTTTATTAATAGTCTACACAAGATTACCTTTACTACTTAGAACCCATCTTTCTTTCTAATTGCATGGTATAAAATTTTATTTGTTGTTTCTGGTGAATTGTCTCCACAATTTTATCATTGAAACATAAACAGAGGCTTTAATCATGTTGAACATACATGGTTTACGAAGTACTATTACATATATTATCTCAGTTTATATAACTTTGTAATAATGCATTGATACAGTTTGGATGTGTGTCCCAGCCCAAATCTCGTATTGAAATGTAATCCCCAATATTGGAGGTGGGGCCTGGTGGGACATGATTGGATTATGGAGGTGGGTTTCTCATGAATGGTCTAGCACCATCCCACTTGGTACCATCCTCATGATAATGAGTGAGTTCTCATGAGATCTGGTCTTTAAAAGTATGTAGCACCTCCCCCCTTGTTCTCTCGCTCTTGCTTTCTCCATGTGATGTGCCTGATCCCTGTTCATCTTCTGCCATGATTGTAAACTTCCTGGGGCCCCCCAGGACCAGATGCTGCTATACTTCTTGCAAAGCCTACAGACCCATGAGCCGATTAAACCTCTTTTTTTCTTTGAGATGGAATCTTGCTCTGTTGCCCAGGCTGAAGTGCAGTGGTGCAATCTCCGCAACCTCCATCTCCTAGGCTCAAGCAATTCTCCTGCTTCAGCCTCCCGAGTAGCTGAGACTACAGGTGCCCATCACCACGTTCAGCTAATTGTTATTTTTTTTGTAGAGAGGGGGGTCTCACTGTGTTGGCCAGGCTGATCTTGAACTCCTGACCTCTAGTGATCTGTCCACCTCTGCCTCCCAAAATGCTGGGATTACAGGCATGAACCACCCACTGCACCAGGCTTGGGTATTTCTTTATAACAATGGCAGAATGGACTAACACGTGTATGTAGAAAGGTATCATTGTTATTTCCAGGAAATAGGTTCAGTGATTTAGAAACCTCCTCAAGTTTTCCTAGCTATGTAAGTGGTGAAGATAGGACCAAAAACCCAGATCTTCTAAGTATTATATTCAGTCCACTATACCATATCATTGTCTTTGTTGAAGCTCTTTGTGCTTATTCCTCTAAAATAAGTAAACTAAAATTACTATTGTGCCCTTAAACATGGAATATGCTGTGTCTGGTTTGCCTTAGAGTTTCATACTCAGTTCAGAGTGTTTATGAAGTCTGGGGTTGTTTTGTTTGCTGTATGGTTGCTGCAGAAATCATTTGCCCATAATTTCCTTAAAAGTCTAAAACACTCTTTGAATTTATTCCATTTTATTTGATCCTCACATGTGCTTTTAACATTTCAAATTATTGATCATTAAATTAATTTATTAGATATCTGTAATTACATGATCTTGGCTAATACTGTTCTGATATGTGCCATTTGTCCTTCTTTACCGGTAAACTGAGATCTGTCAACTTTTATGGTGTCATTTTGTAGTTCCTCTTACCCTAGAACTTTAATGCTTTTTACAGAAACTGAACTTGGAATTAGGTATTTGCCTTTTTACCAAGAAGGAAAACAAGGCCCACTGGGAGCTGTATTGTGGCTCTTCGACGCCAGGCCAGTTCTCTGCATGGCTCTAGTGGTGTACATAGCAACATTCTGAACTGATTTTCCCAAATGAAAATGGGAAGTGAACTATGAATGCAATTGTAAGGTATATAAATATCCATTCACAAAATTCAGTATATAAGAAATATAACTTTCTTTCTCCTTAAATAACTCAAGCAAAATATCTTACAAGCTCCTGTTGCATAGGGTGATAGAAACATAATTTCGTTGTATTTAGAGTACCTACCTACAGTAGGTGCTGTAAGTGCGTCCACCATATCCCCTTGGCATTCACCATTCCCACATATACCAACAGTGTCTCACGGCCAACTTCTACAACTCTACCGGAGGGCTTTCTCTCTCTCACCTTCATGCGGGGCAAAATGGAATGCTAAAGAATAGCCCTCAACCAATTTTGGGTGGGAATTGGGCACTAAATACTCCAGTTTACTGGCCCCTCAGGTGGCAAACTCCAAGGTATATCCACACTTTCTCCATAGGTCCTTATTGGGATTTGTTGAAAGTTGCCCACAGCACGAACCTGTTCATTAATGCCTGTGTATTAGTTTCCTCTTCTTCCCTGTTTCATCTCCCCACTCCTCTAGGAGAGCTTCCTGTAATCACCACCCACATAAGCCTCTTACATTCAGATCCTTATCTCAGGGACCAGCCCAAGGCACTCACTCCCAATTTCCCCAGCACTGCATTTGCGTTCCATTGCCTCTCAGAATATCAAGGCACAGATGGAGGGGGCTCCTATGTGGATCTGAGTCCCAAGTAGATAGATTATGCGAGTTCATGAACCAAAGAGTGGAAGTAGAAGTTGTCCTGCTCTTTATGATTTCAAGAGACCTTTTTGGGGGGAATTTGTGCTTCTCATTCTCAGAACTTACAGTCTGATTGTGCCAGTTCCCAGATGGGGAGACACTTCTACCAGAGGACACAATCAGAGTCTAACTCAATTTAAAATGAAGTCTGCTGCTTGTTCACTGTGAGCTCATGGTGCTAGGAGGCACAGAAAAGAGTTACCACACAGGCAGGGATTATTGTCTCTGATTAGCATAAGTAGTAGAAATGCTGCTAAATAATGGGGCAGAGAAGAATATGTTTGGCATTAAAATAGTCTACTAGGCCATCTCTTGGTACTGCTATGCGCACTTTTAACTGTAAATGGTCAAGTGCAGAAACCATGGCCTTTAAGGGCCTGAGACCCCCTCAGTGATGAGCATCTGGATCATCCCACCAAAAAAGGTGAGCTAGAACAGCCGAACCCTGAGCTGAGAGAGAAACCTAGAATAGGTGATAGGGAATGGAAATAATAATATCCACCATGGTCTTGGGTCCAACTATGGTTTTGGGTCTTGGGTCCCAGTAGTTTATTCAGGGCCTGTTAGGACTACCAGATCCTGTAGTTTATCCCACAAACCCCCCTATTGTAAATTTCCCTAGGAATTGTGAACACAGAATCCTGGTAGAGTTGTGCATGGATGCTGGCTGGAAAGAATGGAATGCAGGAAACAAGTGGATCTGAGCAGTACAAGGAATGGACTATGTTAGACATTGTTTAGTGCCCCACCCAGTGTCCTTCAGCAGGCTGCTGTGAAGGTCAGCTGTAACAACTCACAGATGGCCTTCTACTCTATGGAAATGGATTTTATTTGACAAGGTCTCAAGTATCATCCTGTATCCCAAAGAAGGTCAGAACCAATGGCTGAGTGACATGAGAGTACACACACAAGGTCAGCCCTTGCCATAAGGCAATATGGCTGTGTTGTACAATTTATGCCCCAGAGCCCTTGTGGATGTGAGACCACATCCGTGCTCAGTTATTGCCCCTTTTTCATCTGCTTCATGTCCACTTTACAGGACTTTTCCTTAAGAACACTCCCTCAATTCATCATGTGCATTTAAAACCCTGTCGTGGGGTGTGCTTCAAGGGAATTTGACCTGACAATCGATTATACAAAGTAGATTCCTTCCTGAGATTTACACAGTAGGTACTTGCCTGGCTATAGAGAGCCTTTTGATATGAAAAAGAAAATGGCATTGTTTCTTTGTGTCCTGCCTGCCCTGTGAGCCTATCTGATAGATGAGGTTTTTGGCATTTGAAAACCTTGCTGCTGGCCCTTCTCAAGTTTTATCACATTCCTCATTTGAGTCTCATTCCACCTTTGGCTGAGGCTTGGATTGACTTAGCTGTCCATCACAGCCAGTACACAGGCTCATGGCACTAGATTCACATGGGTGAGGGTGGAAAGGAAGACCTTAATATCAGAGATAAAGGTAAAGTTTTAAGTGCCATGTTGTTTATAAATGAAGTAGTAGAAGAGTTTACTAATTAGTGCTTTAAAAAGAAGGAAGGCTGAGAGCAGTAGCTCACACTTGTAATCCCAGTACTTTGGTAATCCCAGTACTTTGGGAAGCCAAGGTGGGAGGACTACTTGACTGCAGAAGTTTGAGACTAGCCTGGGCAACATGGTAAGAACTCATCTCTATTTAAATAATAATAATAATAATACATTTTTAAAAAGAAGGAAGATGCTTCTTAATTTCTCTGTGAAGAGAAAAACTTAACAAACTGAATCCAACAATATATATAATAAGAATTGTACACCACGACCAACATGAACTTATTCAATTGAATATTGTATTTATTCTAATACCTTTAATTGAAGGTATGCATAGCTTGTTCAACATTCAAAAATTAATCAGTGTAATCTACCATATCGATAAGCTACATAAGAAAAGGCATATGATCATACCAATTGAGGCAGAAAATTATTAGACAAAATCCTACACAGAGTAATGATATAAAAAAAATTCAGTAAGGTAAGAGCAGAGGGGAATTTCCTCATCTTGAAAAATAACATCGAGAGGAGCCAAGATGGCCGAATAGGAACAGCTCCTGTCTACAGCTCCCAGCTTGAGCGACGCAGAAGACGGGTGATTTCTGCATTTCCATCTGAGGTACCGGGTTCATCTCACTAGGGAGTGCCAGACAGTGGGCGCAGGTCAGTGGGTGCGTGCACCGTGTGCAAGCCGAAGCAGGGCGAGGCAATGCCTCACTTGGGAAGCGCAAGGGGTCAGGGAGTTCTCTTTCAGAGTCAAAGAAAGGGGTGACGGACAGGCACCTGGAAAATCGGGTCACTCCCACCCGAATACTGCGCTTTTCCGACGGGCTTAAAAAACGGCGAACCACGAGATTATATCTGGCACCTGGCTGGGAGGGTCGTATGCCCACGGAGTCTTGCTGATTGCTAGCACAGCAGTCTGAGATCAAACTGCAAGGCGGCAGCGAGGCTGGGGGAGGGGCGCCCACCATTGCCCAGGCTTGCTTAGGTAAACAAAGCAGCCTGGAAGCTGGAACTGGGTGGAGCCCACAACAGCTCAAGGAGGCCTGCCTGCCTCTGTAGGCTCCACCTCTGGGGGCAGGGCACAGACAAACAAAAAGACAGCAGTAACCTCTGCAGACTTAAATGTCCCTGTCTGACAGCTTTGAAGAGAGCAGTGGTTCTCCCAGCACGCAGCTGGAGATCTGAGAAGGGGCAGACTGCCTCCTCAAGTGGGTCCCTGACCCCTAACCCCCAAGCAGCCTAACTGGGAGGCACCCCCCCAGCAGGGGCACACTGACACCTCACACTGCAGGGTACTCCAACAGACCTGCAGCTGAGGGTCCTGTCTGTTAGAAGGAAAACTAACAAACAGAAAGGACATCCACACCAAAAACCCATCTGTACATCACCATCATCAAAGACCAAAAGTAGATAAAACCACAAAGATGGGGAAAAAACAGAACAGAAAAACTGGAAACTCTAAAAAGCAGAGCACCTCTCCTCCTCCAGAGGAACACAGTTCCTCACCAGCAACGGAACAAAGCTGGATGGAGAATGACTTTGACGAGCTGAGAGAAGAAGGCTTCAGACGATCAAATTACTCTGAGCTACGGGAGGACATTCAAACCAAAGGCAAAGAAGTTGAAAACTTTGAAAAAAATTTAGAAGAATGTATAACTAGGATAACCAATACAGAGAAGTGCTTAAAGGAGCTGATGGAGCTGAAAACCAAGGCTCGAGAACTATGTGAAGAATGCAGAAGCCTCAGGAGCTGATGCGATCAACTGGAAGAAAGGGTATCAGCAATGGAAGATGAAATGAATGAAATGAAGCGAGAAGGGAAGTTTAGAGAAAAAAGAATAAAAAGAAATGAGCAAAGCCTCCAAGAAATATGGGACTATGTGAAAAGACCAAATCTACATCTGATTGGTGTACCTGAAAGTGATGGGGAGAATGGAACCAAGTTGGAAAACACTCTGAAGGATATTATCCAGGAGAACTTCCCCAATCTAGCAAGGCAGGCCAATGTTCAGATTCAGGAAATACAGAGAACGCCACAAAGATACTCCTCGAGAAGAGCAACTCCAAGACACATAATTGTCAGATTCACCAAAGTTGAAATGAAGGAAAAAATGTTAACGGCAGCCAGAGAGAAAGGTCGGGTTACCCTCAAAGGGAAGCCCATCAGACTAACAGCGGATCTCTCGGCAGAAACCCTACAAGCCAGAAGAGAGTGGGGGCCAATATTCAACATTCTTAAAGACAAGAATTTTCAACCCAGAATTTCATATCCAGCCAAACTAAGCTTCATAAGTGAAGGAGAAATAAAATACAGACAAGCAAATGCTGAGAGATTTTTGTCACCACCAGGCCTGCCTTACAAGAGCTCCTGAAGGAAGCACTAAACATGGAAAGGAACAACCAGTACCAGCCACTGCAAAATCATGCCAAAATGTAAAGACCATCAAGACTAGGAAGAAACTGTATCAACTAACGAGCAAAATCACCAGCTAACATCATGACAGGATCAGATTCACACATAACAATATTAACTTTAAATGTAAATGGACTAAATGCTCCAATTAAAAGACACAGACTGGCAAATTGGATAAAGAGTCAAGACCCATCAGTGTGCTGTATTCAGGAAACCCATCTCACGTGCAGAGACACACATAGGCTCAAAATAAAAGGATGGAGGAAGATCTACCAAGCAAATGGAAAACAAAAAAAGGCAGGGGTTGCAATCCTAGTCTCTGATAAACCAACAAAGATCAAAAGAGACAAAGAAGGCCATTACATAATGGTAAAGGGATCAATTCAACAAGAAGAGCTAACTATCCTAAATATATATGCACCCAATACAGGAGCACCCAGATTCATAAAGCAAGTCCTGAGTGACCTACAAAGAGACTTAGACTCCCACACATTAATAATGGGAGACTTTAACACCCCACTGTCAACATTAGACAGATCAACGAGACAGAAAGTCAACAAGGATACCCAGGAATTGAACTCAGCTCTGCACCAAGAGGACCTAATAGACATCTACAGAACTCTCCACCCCAAATCAACAGAATATACATTCTTTTCAGCACACCACACCCATTCCAAAATTGACCACATACTTGGAAGTAAAGCTCTCCTCAGCAAATGTAAAAGAACAGAGATTATAACAAACTATCTCTCAGACCACAGTGCAATCAAACTAGAACTCAGGATTAAGAATCTCACTCAAAACCGCTCAACTACATGGAAACTGAACAACCTGCTCCTGAATGATTACTGGGTACATAACGAAATGAAGGCAGAAATAAAGATGTTCTTTGAAACCAACGAGAACAAAGACACAACATACCAGAATCTCTGGGACACATTCAAAGCAGTGTGTAGAGGGAAATTTATAGCACTAAATGCCCACAAGAGAAAGCAGGAAAGATCCAAAATTGACACCCTAACATCACAATTAAAAGAACTAGAAAAGCAAGAGCAAACACATTCAAAAGCTAGCAGAAGGCAAGAAATAACTAAAATCAGAGCAGAACTGAAGGAAATAGAGACACAAAAAACCCTTGAAAAAAATTAATGAATCCAGGAGCTGGTTTTTTGAAAGGATCAACAAAATTGATAGACCACTAGCAAGACTAATAAAGAAAAAAAGAGAAGAATCAAATAGATGCAATAAAAAATGATAAAGGGGATGTCACCACCGATCCCACAGAAATACAAACTACCATCAGAGAATACTACAAACAACTCTAAGCAAATAAACTAGAAAATCTAGAAGAAATGGATAAATTCCTCAACACATACACTCTCCCAAGACTAAACCAGGAAGAAGTTGAATCTCTGAATAGACCAATAACAGGAGCTGAAATTGTGGCAATAATCAATAGCTTACCAACCAAAAAGAGTCCAGGACCTGATGGATTCACAGCCGAATTCTACCAGAGGTACAAGGAGGAACTGGTACCATTCCTTCTGAAACTATTCCAATCAATAGAAAAAGAGGGAATCCTCCCTAACTCATTTTATGAGGCCAGCATCATTCTGATACCAAAGCCAGGCAGAGACACAACCAAAAAAGAGAATTTTAGACCAATATCCTTGATGAACATTGATGCAAAAATTCTCAATAAAATACTGGCAAACCAAATCCAGCAGCACATCAAAAAGCTTATCCATCATGATCAAGTGGGCTTCATCCCTGGGATGCAAGGCTTGTTCAATATACGCAAATCAATAAATGTAATCCAGCATATAAACAGAGCCAAAGACAAAAACCACATGATTATCTCAATAGATGCAGAAAAGGCCTTTGACAAAATTCAACAACCCTTCATGCTAAAAACTCTCAATAAATTAGGTATTGATGGGACGTATTTCAAAATAATAACAGCTATCTATGACAAACCCACAGCCAATATCATACTGAATGGGCAAAAACTGGAAGCATTCCCTTTGAAAACTGGCACAAGACAGGGATGCCCTCTCTCACCACTCCTATTCAACATAGTGTTGGAAGTTCTGGCCAGGGCAATTAGGCAGGAGAAGGAAATAAAGGGTATTCAATTAGGAAAAGAGGAAGTCAAATTGTCCCTGTTTGCAGATGACATGATTGTATATCTAGAAAACCCCATTGTCTCAGCCCAAAATCTCCTTAAGCTGATAAGCAACTTCAGCAAAGTCTCAGGATACAAAATCAATGTACAAAAATCACAAGCATTCTTATACACCAATGACAGACAGAGAGCCAAATCATGAGTGAACTCCCATTCACAATTGCTTCAAAGAGAATAAAATACCTAGGAATCCAACTTACAAGGGATGGGAAGGACCTCTTCAAGGAGAACTACAAACCACTGCTCAAGGAAATAAAAGAGGATACAAACAAATGGAAGAACATTCCATGCTCATGGGTAGGAAGAATCAATATCGTGAAAATGGCCATACTGCCCAAGGTAATTTACAGATTCAATGCCATCCCCATCAAGCTACCAATGCCTTTCTTCACAGAATTGGAAAAAACTACTTTAAAGTTCATATGGAACCAAAAAAGAGCCTGCATTGCCAAGTCAATCCTAAGCCAAAAGAACAAAGCTGGAGGCGTCACGCTACCTGACTTCAAACTATACTACAAGGCTACAGTAACCAAAATAGCATGGTACTGGTACCAAAACAGAGATATAGATCAATGGAACAGACCAGAGCCCTCAGAAATAACGCCGCATATCTACAACTATCTGATCTTTGACAAACCTGAGAAAAACAAGCAATGGGGAAAGGATTCCCTATTTAATAAATGGTGCTGGGAAAACTGGCTAGCCATATATAGAAAGCTGAAACTGGATCCCTTCCTTACACCTTATACAAAAATCAATTCAAGATGGATTAAAGACTTAAACGTTCGACCTAAAACCATAAAAACCCTAGAAGAAAACCTAGGCATTACCATTCAGGACATAGGCATGGGCAAGGACTTCATGTCTAAAACACCAAAAGCAATGGCAACAAAAGACAAAATTGACAAATGGGATCTAATTAAACTAAAGAGCTTCTGCACAGCAAAAGAAATTACCATCAGAGTGAACAGGCAACCTACAAAATGGGAGAAAATTTTCACAACCTACTCATCTGACAAAGGGCTAATATCCAGAATCTACAATGAACTCAAACAAATTTACAAGAAAAAAAACAAACAACCCCATCAAAAAGTGGGCAAAGGACATGAACAGACACTTCTCAAAAGAAGACATTTATGCAGCCAAAAAACACATGAAAAAATGCTCATCATCACTGGCCATCAGAGAAATGCAAATCAAAACCACAATGAGATACCATCTCACACCAGTTAGAATGGCAATCATTAAAAAGTCAGAAAACAACAGGTGCTGAAGAGGATGTGGAGAAATAGGAACACTTTTACACTGTTGGTGGGACTGTAAACTAGTTCAACCATTGTGGAAGTCAGTGTGGCGATTCCTCAGGGATCTAGAACTGGAAATACCATTTGACCCAGCCATCCCATTACTGGGTATATACCCAAAGGACTAAATCATGCTGCTATAAAGACACATGCACACGTATGTTTATTGTGGCATTATTCACAATAGCAAAGACTTGGAACCAACCAAAATGTCCAACAATGATAGACTGGATTAAGAAAATGTGGCACATACACACCGTGGAATACTATGCAGCCATAAAAAATGATGAGTTCATGTCCTTTGTAGGGACATGGATGAAGTTGGAAATCATCATTCTCAGTAAACTATCGCAAGAACAAAAAACCAAACACCGCATATTGTCACTCATAGGTGGGAATTGAACAATGAGATCACATGGACACAGGAAGGGGAATATCACAATCTGGGGACTGTTGTGGGGTGGGGGGAGGGGGGAGGGATAGCATCGGGAGATATGCCTAATGCTAGATGACGAGTTAGTGGGTGCAGCGCACCAGCTTGTCACATGTATACATATGTAACTAACCTGCACAATGTGCACATTTACCCTAAAACTTAAAGTATAATAAAAAAAAAAAGAAAAAGAAAAATAACATCTACCAAAATCCTACAACTAGCAACAGACTTAATGGCAAGAGACTAAATGCTTTACCCCAAGATCATGTGTAAGGTGAGAATGTTCATTTCCACCACTCTTATTCAAAATAGTGTTGACAGTTCTAGATACTGAAATGAATCAAGAAAATGAAGTAAAAAACATACAGATTGGAAAGGAAGCGGTAAAATTGTCTCTATTTGCAGATGACATGATTGTCTATGTATAAAATTCCAAGGAATCCACAAAAGAATACCTAGAACTAATAAGTTCAGTAAGGTCATAGCATACAAAAGAAACAAAAAAAAACCAAATGTATTTCTATATTCTAACAATGAACATGCGGGAATCAAAATGGAGAGTACAATACCATTTACAGTCACTCCAAAGAAAATGAAATACACTTAACAAAACATATATGGCGTATGTATGCTGACAATTACAAAATGCTGTTAAAAGAAATCAAGGAAGACCTAGATAAATGGAGATATATGTGGTGTGCATGAATTGGTAGACTAGATATAGTAAAGATGTCAGTTCTGCCCTGTAGTGATCTATACGTTTAATGTAATTCCTAGCAAAATCCAAGCAAGGGTTTCTATGGACATAGATGAGCTTATTCTAAAATTTATATGGAAAGGTACAAGCCGTAGAATAATTAAAACAACCTTGACAAAGAAGAATAAAGTAGGAGGAGTCACTGTATCACATATTAAGGCTTACTGTATAGCTACAGTAATCAAGACAGTATTACATTGGCAGAGGGAGAAACCCATAGATGAGTGAGACAGAATAGAGTATCCAGAAATAGGCCCACACAAATATGTCCAATGGACTTTGGCAAAGGTCCAAAAGCAATGCACTAAAAGAAGTATGGTCTTTCCCACAATTGGTACTGGAGCAACTGGACATTCATAGGCAAAAAAAAAAAAAAAAAAAAAAAAAAGCCTCAACTGAAACCTCACACATTAAACAAAAATTAACTCGAAATGGATGGTGGATTTAAATGTAAAATGTAGACATATACAACTTTTAGAAAATAAAAACATAGGAGAAAATCTTCCAGACCTAGGGCTAGCAATAATTTCTTAGGCTTGACACCAAAACCATGAATTAAAAGGAAAAAAGAAAAAAATTAATAATTTGGACTTTATCAGTATTTAAACTTTTGCTCTCTAAAGCCCCTATAAAGAGGCTAAAAGGAAAGCTGCCAACTGGGAGAAAATATTTGCAAACCACCTATCCAATAAAAGACTAACATCTAGAAAATCTAAAGAACTCTCAAACTCAGCAGTAAAAAACCAACAATCCAATTAGAAAATGAGCACAAGTCATGTAGAGACATTTTGCCAAAGAGGATATGCAGATGACAAATATGCACAGGAAAAGATGTTCAGCATCATTTTAGCCATGACAGAAATGCAAATTAAAAGTATAATGGGCTGGGTGCAGCGGCTCACGCCTGTAATCCCAAAACTCTGGGAGGCCGAGGCAGGCGGATCACCAGGTCAGGAGATCGAGACCATCCCGGCTGACACGGTGAAACCCTGTCTCTACTAAAAATACAAAAAAAATTAGCTGGGTGTGGTGGTGGGCGCCTGTAGTCCCAGCTACTCGGGAGGCTGAGGCAGGAGAATGGCGTGAACCCAGGAGGTGGAGCTTGCAGTGAGCCAAGATAGCGTCACTGCACTCCAGCCTGGGCAAGAGAGTGAGACTCCATATCAAAAAAAAAAAAAAAAGTACAATGAGATATTACTACACATCTATAAAAAAAAAAAGTAACAACACAGAATGCTGATGAGGATGTGAAGAAACCAGATCACTCATAATAGTTCGGCAGTTTCTTATAGAACTAAACATGCAATTAGCACATGACCCAGCAATTGCACTTTTGGGTGTCTGTTCGAGAAATAAACATGCTCACACAAAACCTGTACATGAATCTTCATACCAGCTTTACTCACAATAATAAAAATGGGAAATAGCCTAGATGTTCTTCAGCTGGTGAATAGTTAAATAAACTGTGCTACATATAGATTGTGGAATAGTACTCAACAATAAAAAGGAATGCACTGTTACATACATACCATAGTATACCACTTGACAATAAAAAGGAACAAAATATTAATGTATATAACAATTTGAATAAATTCCCACAAAATGTATACTGAGTAGGAAAAAACAACAAATCCAAAAATGTAACATAATGTACCAATGAACAGTTTTCGTTCATATAACATTTCAAAATGGCAAAATTGTAAAAAAAGGAGAGCAGATTAGTGGTTGTCAGGTAGAGATGGAAGAGATTTGGATGAAGGCAGGAGATTGTAAAAAGGCACCATGAGGGATCCTTGTGGTGATTCAGTGTCACGACTGTAGTAGTGGATACACAAACCCACACGTGATAAAATTGCACAGAACTAAAGGCACACTAAAGATACGTGCACACGTTCACTTAAAACTGAGAAAATAAGAATGAGTGAATTGTCAGTGTCCTGGTTGTGATATTAAACTATAGTTTTGCAAATATTTTGGGGGGAAACTGGATGAAGTGTCCTCGGGATCTCTGTGTGTCATTTCTTACTATTGCAGACGAATCCAAATTATTTTGAAACATTTTAATTTTTTTTTTTTTTTTTTTTTTTTGAGACGGAGTCTCGCTCTCTCACCCAGGCTGGAGTGCAGTGGCATGATCTCGGCTCACTGCAAGCTCCGCCTCCTGGATTCATGCCATTCTCCTGCCTCAGCCTCCCGAGTAGCTGGGACTACAGGTGCCCGCCACCAAGCCTGGCTAATTTTTTGTATTTTTTAGTAGAGACGGGGTTTCACCATGTTAGCCAGGATGGTCTTGATCTCCTGACCTGGTGATCTGCCCACCTCGGCCTCCCAAAGTGCTGGGATTACAGGCGTGAGCCACCGCGTGGGCCCGAAACATTTTAATTTTTAAAGTTATTGAAAAAAATGTGATTGGGATTATCAGAAAGCCAAAAGGGTACGTCACCTATAAAACAAGAACAGATTGTTAAGAAATGAACAGACAAGACACAAATATTCTTAGAATATGAAAACATGATTGCTATAACAATATTTAAAGGTTTGATAAATTTCAGAATGTGGAGCAAAAAGAAAGGGAAAGAAAATACCAGGACAAAAAATGAAAAAATATAGAAGATTAGTCCAGAGAGAGAGCAAGCAGAGAGAATGTAGAGGAGGAAACTATTAGAGAAATAAATAACAGGATCGAAACCCCAATGCCGGGAGCAGTGGCTCACTCCTGTAATTCCAACACTTTGGGAGGGCGAGATGGGTGGATTACCTGAGATCAGGAGTTTGAAACCAGCCTGGCCAGCATGTTGAAACCATGTCTCTACTAAAAATACAAAATTAGCTGGGCGTGGTGGCACATGCCTCAGGAGGCTGAGGCAGGAGAATCGCTTGAACCTGGGAGGCGGAGGTTGCAGTGAGCCAAGATCTCGCCATTGCACTCCAGCCTGGGCAACAAGAGCAAAACTGTCAAATAAATAAATAAATAAATAAATAAATAAATAAATAAATAAATAAAAATTACAACAAAGGATGAATTTAAGAAACACACACACACACCCATGAACACATACACGCACACAGAGTCATATTTTGAGCAAACCAAAATCAAACAAAATTTGGGAAGCTTACTTCTTATTCACTTTTTCTGAGGATATTACTCAAGCATATAGTCCATCACTAAAAGGGGGAAACGTGGAAATTATGAATCCAATAAGATGAAATCCCGAGACAGCAGCTAAGCAGCAGGCTCACAAAACAGCGAGCCCAAATTAGAATGTGGGGTTAGTGGGATGCGAGTAAATATCTTCAAAAGATGGAGATGTTTATTAAGCAAAGGAGAATCAGAAGAGCCTGCAGATGAATTAGGCACACCATGATAGGTTATAACTCTTTCAACTGTAAGAAAAGAAAGTAAGAAATTCCAGGAAATAAATACACAATCATGGCCCAAATACAAACCAAACCAAAATATGGAATGATTTTAATGCATGTACAGGGAAAGAAAAAACAGATTTCATCAGGGACTGTAATTTTTACTAGAGACAGTAACTGATACTAGGAACACTGTGATTTCAAGGACAGAAGGAAGGGTGGTGGGAACCGCAGACAATGAAATGTGACTATGACATAGTCTTTGACTTTCCAATGAGCAATATTTATATAGTTATAATCCTGCTAAGATATTTAGTGCCTGTCAATTTTTATAATCAACATGTAGTTAAAACAAGAGCTATACTTAAATGTTTAAAATAGATTGGAAGATGGGAGGGAAATGGAAGGATAGATGTGTTTTAAATTCTTGTTTTACAAGTTGGGAATTCAGTCTATATTTTCAAAAATGTATGGAACACAAAATGAGGGCTTATGGATTTCATTTTTAGTTACAAAAGTAACAATTTGAGGCAAAAAAATAGTGATATAGCCATCAAAAATTGAGAAGAGAGGAAGAAGATATTAAAAAGTATTCTTTTCAATCAGTAAGACATTAAACTGAGAATAGCTAAAGCCTATACATCAAGAATTAGTCCTAAAAATAGATCACTCAGATCCGTATCTAACACTCAAAAAAACTAGACACAGAAATAGTTAAACATGATTGCCCTTGGAGAGTAGAAAGTGGGGAGGTGACAGACTCTCACTTTATTTTATAAGCCAGTCTATTCTATTTGATTTTCTGCTACATGCATATATTACGTTGATCAAGGAAAAATATTTTATACAAGATTCTCTAGCTGTAACCCCATGGGAGGCTGTGGCCCAGTATCATCCTGCAAGGGGATGTAAAGTAACACGAGGGGTATACACTTAGGAAACATCTGCCATTGCGCTGAAATGTGGAGAAGGGAACAATAAAAGCCACAAATGAGAATTGCAACCCAAACACCACATGCGGAAACAGCTGTGTTAATTCTGACAAATTCTGTTTGACCTCATCCATCACTGCAAAACACCTGACTCTATCAGGGAAAAAAAAAATTCTTGCCTTTGAGATATTAATTCCATCTTATCAGTATAGGTCCATGCACATATTGAGTGCATGATGGAGATTAGATATCACTGGGGTAATTTCGGTGTGATTGCTTTGACAGTCCTAAAGCACTCTACATTTATAATGGCTAGTTATTCTATGTAGGCACTGTAATATCAACTCTCATGAGAGACCAGGAAAATAAATGATTTCTACTCTGATGCACATACATGCTGAAATAGATTTCTACAACATAGTCATTTGTTTTTATTCATCCTTTAAAATACATACCTCTGGTTACGTTTGCAGGCTACCTCTGTCATTATTCCCTTTAGCTCCTTTGCTTCCTGTAAAAAGCTGTGAGAGAATACAGCCTGTCTGATCTTGGCAGCCTCTTTGATGGCCTGGTCACTGAGCTGGGGTCTTAGAGCTGATGGCTGCCACATGGGGAGTGGAAAGCCATCTGGGTTCTGGGCCAGCTGGGCTCCCTGATTTAAAACAACCTCAAGGAGCACGGTAGGTGGAGCTCAGGTACCACTTCACACTCTGCCGTTTAGAAGGATGTGGGGCTGCTTTTAGGTGATCCTTTCTATGCAAAGAACTTGCCTCAGAGTTGAAACTCATGCAGATGTGAATAAGTATGAAGACAGAGCTATTCTTGAGAGGAGGCTTTAGGCCCATCCTGTCAGTGGGAGAGATGCAAAGGTGCTTTGGAAGCTGCTTTTGGGAAGATCTGGAGTCATTCGAAGAAAACTACAAAAATGATAAAGCATTTCTGATTGGATTTACCATACCCTCCACTCTCTCAGGAACAAAATTTCTACTGCATTTTGATTATTCTGCCAAATTACAGATCTGCAAGCTTTGTGTCTTTAGGAGCTCTTTTTGTTTTACGTACATGAACTCTGGAGTCAAATTTTGGCTCAGGCACTTTTTGTAATCTTGCACAGGTGAGTTAACTTCTCTATGCATCTAGCTATATATATATATGTGTGTGTATATATATATATGTATATACATGTGTGTGTGTGTGTGTGTGTGTGTGTGTATATACCATATCTGCTAACTGGGGAGAATGAGGGGTATAGGAGATAACCTGTGTGCCACTAAATAATAACAATAGCAATCATTTTTTTTTTCTACAAAACTTACACTAGGCACAGAAAATGTGAAGACAATGCCTTGAGATTTGCAAGTTGCAAATGGGGGTTTGAAAGTGAGAGCATGGTGAGGAGATAGCATTGAATACAAATCATTGGGGTTACTTTCTAGACATCGCTCTACAGGACACCTTCCATAGTTCAGTCATCTACACTGCCTTGAGGAGAGGCAGGGACACAAGGTGAGAGAGCAAAGCAGCTAATGTTCCATCTTGGGCTTTTAAAATAAGCTTGGGATGCCAGCCTCAGAAACTAGCAAACCGGCTTTGATAGCCAAAACTTTTCATTTGCAAGAGTGACTTCGAGGAGAAAAAAAGGGGAGTGCTCTTACGAATCCAAGCATAAAGCCCTCTAGGAGAGAATGTGGCAAGTGTGTGCTGTAGCAACAGATTACAAAAGAAGACTGAGAGATTCAGACAATGCCCTTCCTGCCAAGAATGGACAAGATTAGGGTGACCACATAACCTAAGGTCCAAATGGGTCACTGTTGAGAGTAAAAGCGGCCATTATACATCATTTTACTGGGTCCAAACAGGCAGAATAGGACTGACCTGCGCAAATTAGGACATGTGGCCATCTAGTCAAGGTGCACTGGGCTGGGAAAAGGGAACAGGAGCTGGATGGGGGGGAGGAATGAAATCTGGAGCACGACTTGGAGGAAAGCAGGATCAATAGAAAGAGCCCAGCACCATCTCTTGCCAGCACCAGAGGGCTGTGGGAGACCACAAAGGACCAGCAGGGCATCCATCAACACTAGAGTTAACCCCACTTGTCACCTGCCTGATGAGCCATGTAGCCCTCTGGGGAGAGCCTTCCACCTGTATCTGCCAGCATATTGCTGGTGCATCTTCCAGCAGCCATGGTGGCCGCTCGTCCCGTAGACTTTGCTGAGCCACATTCAAATTTCCCCACATGGCCATTCTGTCAACAGCCCAGGACATTCAGAAGCCTCCAGGAGGAGAGAGACATATGGATGGGGGAGTCCCCAGCATCCACACTTGGATGAAATTAGACTGTTGGAACCCACCTCCTGTTATAACAGATTCTAGCTGAATTTCTTCAGCAATGGGAAACAGCAGCAGCTGGGGAGGTGATGGTGGGAGGTGGGAAGATACTAGTTTAAAGACAGAGAGGCTTTGAGATCTTCCCAGCCTAAAAGAGCAATATAGCTTATCTTAAAAGTGAGTTTATTTTACAGAACTGAAATAGACAAAAGAAAATAGACACATGAAAAGAATTACAGTGTGCTTTCAGGTTGTGTGTAAGTTTTCCCTAGGTCATTTACTGTCCCTCATAATTTCCATGAGTTGAACATAAAAGTTACATGTTGATGGTATCAACATTGTAGGGTCTTATTTGACCTTAAGGCTATTTCCTACTGGCTGTGGGCTGTTAATATTCATAATCATCCTCTCTTGTAACTACCAGAAACCTATTGGAAAACATTTCTTAGGCTGAATTATGTATTTATATGTAAAGCATCAGCAAACACCCTTATGGCCATAACTTTTGGGTGTTTTCAAACCAGATTATAGTAAGACAATGCATTTTATTCAGCAGATTTGTTTTAATCTAATTATGTAGGTGAATAAAAATTACTGCATGCTGGTGCATCTAATGTAAGTTATCTATTATTCACACCACATTTACTTTTAATATTCATGCAGATTCCCTTTGACATAACCTACTGTGTCACAGTTAATCCAATAAAGATAAAATATAGCTCAGCAAAACACCAGTCGATTCCAGCTTTCTGGTAATAAAGACTATTTCACACTGGTTCCTTCAATCAATGTATTTCCCCTTGGATATGATAGCACTCCTCTTTGAAGCTTTCAGTCCTCCCAATGGATTCAGAGGAACACTCAGGCCCCTTTTCAGTCTCTGGGTCTCAGAGGTAGTTCAAAGAGCACAACAAGGCTTCACAGGTTTATCCTCAAAGGCTGACACTGTCTGTTTGATGTATGGTGACTTAAAAAGTCATCTCTGGCAAAGCATGTGTTTGCTACCAGTCTATTGAATCAGCCATTTATCAACTTATCTGTATTCACCCAGTGCACCTGCTAACAGCTCAAAGGAGAACACACACTGTCTCCTGCTGGACTGGCTATTGATTTGATTCCCGCCTCTAATTTTATATTGTTTTGCTGCCCTGTGGATGAAGCAACTCTTTTACTGGATGAAATGAACATGGAAGCCGTGAACGGATGGCTTTTGGTTGTTGTGTTCAAGAGCCTAGAGGGCAACAGGCTCTTCACAGGATAAGGACAGCTGGGCTGACAGTGGATCCAAGCTTTTCTGTCCCAGTGTGCCTTGCTTTTCACTTTTATCCACATTGAAGGCATTTCACTGTATGGACCCTGCTAGAAAATTGCAGAAAGATCACTAGGAATTCCCAACCTTGAAATCAGAAGCTGGTAATATTCAACAACTACAAACACACACAAATGGGAATCCTGGATTAAAGATGGAGATACACCAGTTTCCTCTCAGTCTAACCACCTCACCGTAACCATCTCCATGCTGCAAGGAAAGTTCCCTTTATTCTTTGTAATCCTGAGCACGTGATTCTAGCTGAGATGTTCTCCTTTCCTCTTCTCTGTCTTTATCTGTTTTCAATTAAAATAAAATGAGGCTACCTCATTGCATCATGAAAATTATCATTTATGAAGGCCTTTCTTATTACTTTAGTCTCTGGTGTGGCCATATCATTTGAATATCATTATAAGTAATGCTTCAATTATAGAAAAGACAATTTTATGGATTCTTATAGAAAAGGACAAAGACAAGGTCAATATTTTTTTCTGTGCAACATTATATATTTTAAGTAGAGCAAGTGCTATTTGGGGATAGTGATAATTATATTATTGCAGAGTAAATTATAACCTGAGGTAGATCTAAGAGAGATTATTGTTTGTCCCTGGTTCCTTTCCTATTGCTACAACAAGTCATTCTCTTTCTCTCTCTCTCTCTTTTTCTCTCTCAGCATATCTTGATGAAATTCACCAAGATTCTATCACTAGTACTCTTTTATTCTTGCTTTGCACACATTCCCTGAATGAAAAGACCCAGTCATAGCTCCCATTATCTATATACAGAAAACTCCTCCAGATCTATCAATACCACTGATTCCTCTGCTGAGCACCAGTCTCTACCTCTTTCTGATAAACATTTCCAATTAGATAGGTTGCAGGCACCTTAATCTCAATATTGAACTCATCATCTTTACACTTAACTCCTCCTGAATTCTTCATCAGTAGCAATGCTAGATATTAAGCCACTCATCTTTGTAGTCAACACTCCAGGTATAATTAATCTTCAAGTAGTGTCCATTAAATCTTTCTCAAATTTACTGCCTGCTCTACAACTCCATCATCACAGGTCTATCTCAAGGCACTGCCATCTCTAGCCTTGACCACCTCAATAAACTCCAGATACACAACCCATTTCTTCATGATTGTGATATGTTGGTTTAAAACAAGACTTAACCATAAAACTTGTTTATGTTGTTTCCACCGGGTTTCTTTATTGAAAAGGGTTACAAAAATTTAGTTGCTTGCTTAAATTGTTTCAACGTCTCCTACTTCCCTTCAGGATAAAGTTGAAAATTATTTAGTAATGCGTAGCAAACTGACCTTAGCCAATTGAGTCATTTAGTGAGCACTGGATTTGTTTTTTTTTTTAAAAAGAGCATTGGTAGTTTCAGTAGTTAGAGGCAGATGGAAGCTATATTTTCCGTTCTTGTAACCTCCCTACCAGGTGACACATCACATTCAAAATCGATCTCAGGTCAAACTCTGCCAGACTCACAATCTTAAAGAGGAAAATTCAAAGCCTTACACTATCAGATGGCTTATAATAGAACTGTAGTCATTATTAGTAAAATATGTAAAAATAGAGAACTAGGCCAATGGAATAAGTAGAGTCCAAACATAAACTCGTGTATGTGTGTGTGTGTGTACACACATATATATCTCACACTGATTGGTGACAATGTGACACTGCATAGTACAGAAAAACTGACCTTAATGAACAGTGCTGGATCAATTGAATATTTGCATGGAAAAAGAATGGGCCAGGCACGGTGGCTCACACCTGTAATCCCAGCACTTTGGGAGGCCGAGGCAGGTGGATTACCTGAGGTCGGGAGTTCGAGACCAGCATGGCCAACATGGTGAAACCCCGTCTCTACTAAAAATACAAAAATTAGCCGGGCATGATGGTGGGTGCCTGTAATCCCAGCTACTCGGTGGCTGAGGTGGGAGAATCGCTTGAACCTGGGAGGCAAAGTTTTCAGTGAGCCAAGATCGCACCATTGCACCCCACCCTAGGCAACAGAGTGAGACTCTATCTCAAAAAAAAAAAAAAAAGAAAAAAAAGAATAATGTTTCATCCTTCCCTCCAACCGTACCCTAAATCACTTAAGGAGGACTGTATATTTAAATGTAAAACAATGACACTTCTAGAAGACAGATTCCAAGTGTGAGAAGGATTTGATGTGCCCTTGCTGGCTCTGAGATGGAAGGAACCATATGTAAGAACCAAGAGAGACCTCTGTGAGCTAAAGGCAGCCTCCAGTTGACAGCCAGCAAAGAAATAGAGTATTCAGTCCCACAACCACGAGGAATTAACTTCTGCCAGTTACCAGAATGAGCTAGGAAGCAATTTCTTTCCCAAAGCCTCTGGATAAAATCCTGGGACAGCTGACACTGATTTCAGCCTTGTGAGTCCCAGAGTAGAGAAACTAGTGAGCCCACCCAGATTTCTGGCCTACAGAGCTGTGAGGTAATAAATTTGTGTTGTTTGTAGCTATTAAATTTGTAGTAATTTGTTATGGCAGTAATAGAAAACAAATATGATTATTAAAAGTAAAATGGATAAGTAAATTATGATACATCTTTATAATGCACTACTATGGAAAAGAGGTCAGCAAACTATGGCTCACAGGTCAACTTTGACCTACACTTGCTTTTGTAAATAAAGATTTATTGGAACAGAGCCATGACTATTCATTTATGTATTGTCTGTGACTGCTTTCAACTATGTGAGCTGAGTTGAGTAGTTGCCACAGAGTCCTTATGGCATCCAAAGCTGGAAATATTTACTATCTAGCTCTTTAAAGAAAAAGTTTGGCAACTTTTGCTATGGAGGAGTAAAAAACAAGTGACTGGTACCCACAATAA
The DNA here is from genome assembly GCF_000001405.40 of Homo sapiens. Classification (NCBI taxonomy): domain Eukaryota; kingdom Metazoa; phylum Chordata; class Mammalia; order Primates; family Hominidae; genus Homo; species Homo sapiens. The sequence continues at coordinate 82,757,997 of NC_000009.12, read as the reverse complement.
TGTAGTTCGATATCAGAAAACATAACAATAAAGGAAACCAGAAACAAAACAAATGCCAATTTTTAACAGGGAAAAACTAATATCTGCTTACATGAGTCTGCATAGTGGTTGCCTTTAAGAAAGCAACAGAGGAGGGAGGAGCCAAGATGGCCGAATAGGAACAGCTCCCGTCTACAGCTCCCAGCCTGAGCGACGCAGAAGACGGGTGATTTCTGCATTTCAATCTGAGGTACCCGGTTCATCTCACTAGGGAGTGCCAGCCAGTGGACGCAGGTCAGTGGGTGCACGCACCGTGTGCGAGCCAAAGCAAGGTGAGGCAATGCCTCACTCGGGAAGCGCAAGGGGTCAGGGAGTTCTCTATCCTAATCAAAGAAAGGGGTGACCGATGGCACCTGGAAAATCGGGTCACTCCCACCCGAATACTGCGCTTTTCCGACGGGCTTAAAAAACGGCACACCACGAGATTACATCCCGCACCTGGCTCGGAGGGTCCTACCCCACGGAGTCTTGCTGATTGCTAGCACAGCAGTCTGAGATCAAACTGCAAGGCGGCAGCGAGGCTGGGGGAGGGGCGCCCACCATTGCCTAGGCTTGCTTAGGTAAACAAAGCAGCCAGGAAGCTCGAACTGGGTGGAGCCCACCACAGCTCAAGGAGGCCTGCATGCCTCTGTAGGCTCCACCTCTGGGGGCAGGGCACAGACAAACAAAAAGACAGCAGTAACCTCTGCAGACTTAAATGTCCCTGTCTGACAGCTTTGAAGAGAGCAGTGGTTCTCCCAGTACGCAGCTGGAGATCTGAGAAGGGGCAGACTGCCTCCTCAAGTGGGTCCCTGACCCCTGACCCCCAAGCAGCCTAACTGGGAGGCACCCTCCAGCAGGGGCACACTGACACCTCACACTGCAGGGTACTCCAACAGACCTGCAGCTGAGGGTCCTGTCTGTTAGAAGGAAAACTAACAAACAGAAAGGACATCCACACCAAAAACCCATCTGTACATCACCATCATCAAAGACCAAAAGTAGATAAAACCACAAAGATGGGGAAAAAACAGAACAGAAAAACTGGGAACTCTAAAAATCAGAGCGCCTCTCCTCCTCCAAAGGAACGCAGCTCCTCACCAGCAACGGAACAAAGCTGGATGGAGAATGACTTTGACGAGCTGAGAGAAGGCTTCAGACAATCAAATTACTCTGAGCTATGGGAGGACATTCAAACCAAAGGCAAAGAAGTTGAAAACTTTGAAAAAAATTTAGAAGAATGTATAACTAGAATAACCAATACAGAGAAGTGCTTAAAGGAGCTGATGGAGCTGAAAACCAAGGCTCGAGAACTATGTGAAGAATGCAGAAGCCTCAGGAGCCGATGCGATCAACTGGAAGAAAGGGTATCAGCGATGGAAGATGAAATGAATGAAATGAAGTGAGAAGGAAAGTATAGAGAAAAAAGAATAAAAAGAAATGAGCAAAGCCTCCAAGAAATATGGGACTATGTGAAAAGACCAAATCTACGTCTGATTGGTGTACCTGAAAGTGATGGGGAGAATGGAACCAAGTTGGAAAACACTCTGAAGGATATTATCCAGGAGAACTTCCCCAATCTAGCAAGGCAGGCCAATGTTCAGATTCAGGAAATACAGAGAACGCCACAAAGATACTCCTTGAGAAGAGCAACTCCAAGACACATAATTGTCAGATTCATCCAAGTTGAAATGAAGGAAATAATGTTAAGGGCAGCCAGAGAGAAAGGTCGAGTTACCCTCAAAGGGAAGCCCATCAGACTAACAGCGGATCTCTCGGCAGAAACCCTACAAGCCAGAAGAGAGTGGGGGCCAATATTCAACATTCTTAAAGGAAAGAATTTTCCACCCAGAATTTCATATCCAGCCAAACTAAGCTTCATAAGTGAAGGAGAAATAAAATACTTTACAGACAAGCAAATGCTGAGAGATTTTGTCACCACCAGGCCTGCCCTAAAAGAGCTCCTGAAGGAAGTGCTAAACATGGAAAGGAACAACCGGTACCAGCCACTGCAAAATCATGCCAAAATGTAAAGACCATCGAGACTAGGAAGAAACTGCATCAAGTAACGAGCAAAATAACCAGCTAACATCATAATGACAGGATCAAATTCACACATAACAATATTAACTTTAAGTGTAAATGGACTAAATGCTCCAATTAAAAGACACAGACTGGCAAATTGGATAAAGAGTCAAGACCCATCAGTGTGCTGTATTCAGGAAACCCATCTCACGTGCAGAGACACACATAGGCTCAAAATAAAAGGATGGAGGAAGATCTACCAAGCAAATGGAAAACAAAAAAAGGCAGGGGTTGCAATCCTAGTCTCTGATAAAACAGACTTTAAACCAACAAAGATCAAAAGAGACAAAGAAGGCCATTATATAATGGTAAAGGGATCAATTCAACAAGAAGAGCTAACTATCCTAAATATATATGCACCCAATACAGGAGCACCCAGATTCATAAAGGAAGTCCTGAGTGACCTACAAAGAGACTTAGACTCCCACACATCAATAACGGGAGAGTTTAACACCCCACTGTCAACATTAGACAGATCAACGAGACAGAAAGTCAACAAGGATACCCAGGAATTGAACTCAGCTCTGCACCAAGAGGACCTAATAGACATCTACAGAACTCTCCACCCCAAATCAACAGAATATACATTTTTTTCAGCACCACACCACAACTATTCCAAAATTGACCACATACTTGAAAGTAAAGTTCTCCTCAGCAAATGTAAAAGAACAGAAATTATAACAAACTATCTCTCAGACCACAGTGCAATCAAACTAGAACTCAGGATTAAGAATCTCACTCAAAACCGCTCAACTACATGGAAACTGAACAACCTGCTCCTGAATGATTACTGGGTACATAACGAAATGAAGGCAGAAATAAAGATGTTCTTTGAAACCAACGAGAACAAAGACACAACATACCAGAATCTCTGGGACACATTCAAAGCAGTGTGTAGAGGGAAATTTATAGCACTAAATGCCCACAAGAGAAAGCAGAAAAGATCCAAAATTGACATCCTAACATCACAATTAAAAGAACTAGAAAAGCAAGAGCAAACACATTCAAAAGCTAGCAGAAGGCAAGAAATAACTAAAATCAGAGCAGAACTGAAGGAAATAGAGACACAAAAAACCCTTGAAAAAATTAATGAATCCAGGAGCTGGTTTTTTGAAAAGATCAACAAAATTGATAGACCACTAGCAAGACTAATAAAGAAAAAAAGAGAGAAGAATCAAATAGATGCAATAAAAAATGATAAAGGGGATATCACCACCGATCCCACAGAAATACAAGCTACCATCAGAGAATACTACAAACACCTCTAAGCAAATAAACTAGAAAATCTAGCAGAAATGGATAAATTCCTCGACACATACACTCTCCGAAGACTAAACCAGGAAGAAGTTGAATCTCTGAATAGACCAATAACAGGATCTGAAATTGTGGCAATAATCAATAGCTTACCAACCAAAAAGAGTCCAGGACCAGATGGATTCACAGCCGAATTCTACCAGAGGTACAAGGAAGAACTGGTACCATTCCTTCTGAAACTATTCCAATCAATAGAAAAAGAGGGAATCCTCCCTAACACATTTTATGAGGCCACCATCATTCTGATACCAAAGCCGGGCAGAGACACAACCAAAAAAGAGAATTTTAGACCAATATCCTTGATGAACATTGATGCAAAAATCCTCAATAAAATACTGGCAACTTGAATCCAGCAGCACATCAAAAAGCTTATCCATCATGATCAAGTGGGCTTCATCCCTGGGATGCAAGTCTGGTTCAATATATGCAAATCAATAAATGTAATCCAGCATATAAACAGAGCCAAAGACAAAAACCACATGATTATCTCAATAGATGCAGAAAAGGCCTTTGACAAAATTCAACAACCCTTCATGCTAAAAACTCTCAATAAATTAGGTATTGATGGGACATATTTCAAAATAATAACAGCTATCTATGACAAACCCACAGCCAATATCATACTGAATGGGCAAAAACTGGAAGCATTCCCTTTGAAAACTGGCACAAGACAGGGATGCCCTCTCTCACCACTCCTATTCAACATAGTGTTGGAAGTTCTGGCCAGGGCAATTAGGCAGGAGAAGGAAATAAAGGGTATTCAATTAGGAAAAGAGGAAGTCAAATTGTCCCTGTTTGCAGATGACATGATTGTATATCTAGAAAACCCCATTGTCTCAGCCCAAAATCTCCTTAAGCTGATAAGCAACTTCAGCAAAGTCTCAGGATACAAAATCAATGTACAAAAATCACAAGCATTCTTATACACCAACAACAGACAGAGAGCCAAATCATGAGTGAACTCCCATTCACAATTGCTTCAAAGAGAATAAAATACCTAGGAATCCAACTTACAAGGGATGGGAAGGACCTCTTCAAGGAGAACTACAAACCTCTGCTCAAGGAAATAAAAGAGGATACAAACAAATGGAAGAACATTCCATGCTCATGGGTAGGAAGAATCATTATCGTGAAAATGGCCATACTGCCCAAGGTAATTTACAGATTCAATGCCATCCCCATCAAGCTACCAATGCCTTTCTTCACAGAATTGGAAAAAACTACTTTAAAGTTCATATGGAACCAAAAAAGAGCCCGCATCGCCAAGTCAATCCTAAGCCAAAAGAACAAAGCTGGAGGCATCATGCTACCTGACTTCAAACTATACTACAAGGCTACAGTAACCAAAACAGCATGGTACTGGTACCAAAACAGAGATATAGATCAATGGAACAGACCAGAGCCCTCAGAAATAACGCCGCATATCTACAACTATCTGATCTTTGACAAACCTGAGAAAAACAAACAATGGGGAAAGGATTCCCTATTTAATAAACGGTGCTGGGAAAACTGGCTAGCCATACGTAGAAAGCTGAAACTGGATCCCCTTCCTTACACCTTATACAAAAATCAATTCAAGATGGATTAAAGACTTAAACGTTAGACCTAAAACCATAAAAACCCTAGAAGAAAACCTAGGCAGTACCATTCAGGACATAGGCATGGGCAAGGACTTCATGTCTAAAACACCAAAAGCAATGGCAACAAAAGACAAAATTGACAAATGGGATCTAATTAAACTAAAGAGCTTCTGCACAGCAAAAGAAACTACCATCAGAGTGAACAGGCAACCTACAAAATGGGAGAAAATTTTCACAACCTACTCATCTGACAAAGGGCTAATATCCAGAATCTACAATGAACTCAAACAAATTTACAAGAAAAAAAACAAACAACCCCATCAAAAAGTGGGCCAAGGACATGAACAGACACTTCTCAAAAGAAGACATTTATGCAGCCAAAAAACACATTAAAAAATGCTCACCATCACTGGCCATCAGAGAAATGCAAATCAAAACCACAATGAGATACCATCTCACACCAGTTAGAATGGCAATCATTAAAAAGTCAGGAAACAACAGGTGCTGGAGAGGATGTGGAGAAATAGGAACACTTTTACACTGTTGGTGGGACTGTAAACTAGTCCAACCATTGTGGAAGTCAGTGTGGCAATTCCTCAGGGATCTAGAACTAGAAATACCATTTGACCCAGCCATCCCATTACTGGGTATATACCCAAAGGACTATAAATCATGCTGCTATAAGGACACATGCACACGTATGTTTATTGCAGCATTATTCACAATAGCAAAGACTTGGAACCAACCAAAATGTCCAACAATGATAGACTGGATTAAGAAAATGTGGCACATATACACCATGGAATACTATGCAGCCATAAGAAAGGATGAGTTCATGTCCTTTGTGGGGACATGGATGAAATTGGAAATCATCATTCTCAGTAAACTATCGCAAGAACAAAAAACCAAACACCGCATATTCTCACTCATAGGTGGGAATTGAACAATGAGATCACATGGACACAGGAAGGGGAACATCACACTCTGGGGACTGTTGTGAGGTGGGGGGAGGAGGGAGGGATAGCAGTGGGAGATATACCTAATGCTAGATGACGAGTTAGTGGGTGCAGCACACCAGCATGGCACATGTATATGTATGTAAGTAACCTGCACAATGTGCACATGTACCCTAAAACTTAAAGTATAATAATAATAAAATAACTAACTAACTAAATAAATAAATAAATAAAAAGAAAGGCTTTTCTAGGAGATTGGTGAAAGATAAGGTTGGAATGACATAGGCCAGATGGGGGATAGGTTTAAGATGTGCATGGTCCTGAATTCATAGCTGAAGTATAAGGCATTATAGAGCCACCGAAGATAAATAAATGACATTATACTTAGTGAAAAAAAAAAAAAAAGTGACAGAGGGCTGGGCGCGGTGACTCACGCCTGTAATCCTAGCACTTTGGGAGGCCGAGGCGGGCGGATCACGAGGTCAGGAGATCGAGACCATCCTGGCTAACATGGTGAAATCCCATCTCTACTAAAAATACAAAAAAATTAGCCCGGCGTGGTGGCGGATGCCTGTAGTCTAGCTAATCAGGAGGCTGAGGCAGGAGAATGGCTTGAACCTGGGAGGTGGAGCTTGCAGTGAGCTGAGATAGGGCCACTGCACTCCAACCTGGGTGACAGAGTGAGACTCTGTCTCAAGAAAAAAAAGAAGAAAGTGACAGAAAAGCATAGTAATTTAGACCGGGCGTGAGGGGGCTTCTGTGATGCTGGTAATATTCTATTTCTTAGTCTACTTTCTTAGGTGGCTAAATGGCTTTGTGAAAAATCTATGAAGCATGATTTACTCAGTTTTCACGTGTACTATATACTTCAACAAAAAGAAATTTAAAACAACATGACTTTATTCAGCACTCTAAAAACATATAATTTAGAGGTCCTAAGTAACATTGAATCTAAAATTCAAAATATTTTGTATTTGAAATGTCCTCTAGAATCCATACAATAACCTCCACTTGTCTCTAATGTCTTGCTACTCATCTTGCACCAGCAGCATTCACATCAACTGGGAACTTGTGGGAAACAAAGAATCTCAGTCCTATCCCAGATGTGTTGAATTAGAAACAGTATTTTAATAAAACACTAGGCAATTCTTTTACGCATTAAGGTATGGATTTGCTATATCACTGCTTCTTGTCCTTCGCATACCTTATACATACTTACATGGTCAAAAATTCAACTCTTGACAATCCACACTCCCCAAACTCCTCACGTCACTCGGGCAGGACTGCTCTGAAAGCGAATATACGTGACCACTTTGGTTAAAGCTCTCTGGTTTCTGCAGTAGTAAGGCATCGGGAGACTCTGAGGCCCACATTTCCTTAATTTGCATTTGCATGGGCAAAATGGACTCCAGATTTATCTTTGTTATAATAATAAAGGGAACAAACATGGGTAGCCTTTTTCTCTGGCACCTTACATTTCAGACCTCAGGGGGAATATAAACATATCCATGGATTATTTTTATAATCTCAAAGGGTCAGTTTTTCATCTTCAAAGAGTCAAATAGAATGAGAAAAGTTGTCTCTGGGAGAATAAGATCTCCATCAGAGAGGAAATAAAACCATGTTTTCTTCTCTAGAAAACTGAAGAAAGGTCATATATCACAAAACTAGATGTAGGACAAATAATAATATACTGTTCCATTAGAAGGGAAGAATGGAGAAATGACTTGCTGATAATAGTTCTTATATGTTAATGACTCAGAAATCAAAAGTTGGAAAAGGAGTGTTAGAAATTTTTAGCTAATGGTGCTGGGATCTGAGTGCTTCTGCTCTTTCTTTCTTTCACATAATATGGCTTTAAAGTGGTTAGTATATTTATTATCTTTGCCATTTGTTGTTCCTCCCAATTCTGAAATGCCTGTGTAGCTGGAAAAAACGAAATCATCCAGTTGTGCAATTTTTGAAAGCACTGGGGACAAGGAAGAAGGGATGATGAAGGAAAGTAACTAATGCGCTCTACAAAGTAATGTGACTAATATGTCAAGAAGCCAATAACTCCAATGGAGCAGATGATGATCAAGCAGCCAGGAGGACCACTGCCTTTGAGGCAGAATGGACAAAATAGGTCATTTTCTGATAAATTTTAGGTCTTTGTATTTTTGTATCTGGAAATATAAAGTGCTCAGTTTGCCACACCTTGAATGAGTGAGTAAATGAGTTAATGGGTGAGTGAGTGAGTGTGTGTGCAAGTTTTGAAAAATCAGTGAAAGGAAATAAATTCCAGGTTGGGGTTAAGGAGATGAGAAAAAGGTTTGGGCCCATGGGAGGGTAAGACCATAAACTGCAGTACGATGAGCCCAGGATTAGAGCTTCATGTGCCTTCTACCTGAGTGGACATGTGACTCTTAGGCCTTCTGGGACTTGCTAGCACTCATCTGGAGAAGAAAAGACTTAAAGGAATTGGAGTTTGAGCCAGACACCTAGAAATTAGAGAGCAGGGTGACCAGCTGCTGTGTTCCCTTGACTGAAAAGACAAGCATCATAGTTGCAGCTCAAAATAGTACACCAATCATATTGCAGCATATGAAATTATCTCAGAGTGGCTGGTTTTTCTTATGTTTATATGAAAAAATCAGCAACTATGCCTTTTTTTTGTTTGTTTTGAGACGGAGTCTCACTCTGTTGCCCAGGCTGGAGTGCAGTGGTGCGATCTCGGTTCACTGCAACTCTGCCTCCTGGGTTCACACCATTCTCCTGCCTCAGCCTCCCAAGTAGCTGGGACTACAGATGCCGCCACCATGCCTGGCTAACTTTTTTAATATTTTTAGTAGAGACGGGGTTTCACCGTGTAAGCCAGAATGATCTTGATCTCCTGATCTCGTGATCTGCCCAGAACTGTCCCAAAGTTCTGGGATTACAGGCGTGAGCCACCACGCCCCGCCGCAACTATGTCTTTTATATTCTCTCACATTCAGTAAAAAGAGGCTATTGAATGTATTTTATCTATATAAAGAAATGCATTTTATTTGTCAACTATTAAAATCATTATTTTAAAAAAGTATTTAAATATGGTTCATCATTCACGTTATGATGCTTGTTATATACTTTATAATACCCACATATAACTAGTATGAGATAAATGCATGTGCTGGTTTTACTACTAAGCAGCAGGAAGTTGTAATACTTAGAAATTCACACTTCAGGAGTAGTTACCTAGCATTGTATGAGAAAGATCACTCTTCAGAGGTAACTATTGAAGGCATGTTTTTTATCTGTATCTCTTATTTACATCGGTAGTTTTGTTAATCAGCATAATGAATAATAGAAATAGATTTTTATTGTAGAAACTGATAACTTCTTTTTTTTTTTTTTTTTTTTTGAGACTGAGTCTGGCTCTGTCCCCCAGGCTGGAGTGCAGTGGCGCGATGATCTCGGCTCACTGCAAGCTCCGCCTCCCAGATTCACGCCATTCTCCTGCCTCAGCCTCCCTAGTAGCTGGGACTACAGGGGCCCGCCACCACGCCTGGCTAATTTTTTGTATTTTTTAGTAGAGACAGGGTTTCACCGTGTTAGCCAGAATGGTCTCAATCTCCTGACCTCGTGATCCGCTGACCTTGGCCTCCCAAAGTGTTGGGATTACAGGCATGAGCCACTACGCCCGGCCAAAACTGACGACTTCTATTCAGTATAATCAGCATTCGAAATGAGCTGTCATTGGTAAAATTAATGGTATTTAAGAGATATGGGCTGGCTAAAATATTCAGGAGCACCTCAAAGGCCGGAGAGCTGGGACTTCTTCAGTTTTACACAACAGGTTGTATAACTTCTTAGTGTCAGCTTGCTAATGGATGTTTGGTTACTAAGTACCTGGGCCATTTTGCTAGGGCATGTTTGTTTAAGGCATGTCTGCATATGTGGCAGCATTTTGCCTGAGGCTTGGTCTGAGGACACAGAGAAGTAACTGTCCTTCCCCTACCTTAAGCATGTTGGCAGCTATTATTTTTTGAAAGCAAGTAATTAAGGGTTGTTCATGACCATTTTAAAATAACTTATTAAAAACTTATTTACATGCATTTTTCATTTTTATCAGTCTTCTTTCACTAGTCTATTGATAACTCTGGGGGGATAAAAAGGTCAGCCATTGGCCTTGGGAGCCATAAGTGACATCCACCTTTGGCAATTCTCTGGGTGACAATAGCTATCATTTTCCAATTTGGTTTCCTGATGCACTTCTGCCTGCTTAGACCCATCCCATTAGTCTCCATCTGTGGGGATACGAAGATTAACCTTACTCAGTGTTATGTTAGAGATTTGAATTGGAGATCAATTTCCTTTAGGGAAGGGACTATCAATCAATGTCAACCTTTTATTTATGCAACACCCACTGTATGCACAGTATTGTTCTAAGTTTTTTGGACAATTATCAAAATTACATACACTATAGACCATGGTCTCCCAAAACCCATGATCCACAGGGGCGCAGAAGATTGGGTGCATTTAATTTCATTATCCGAAAATAATCTTTAGTCACAGCTGCCTATGACTTCACTGCTGCGGGATCTAATTTGTGGTGGATCACATGTGCTTTAAACTTCTTTTCTTTCATTCCATTCTTCCTCCTTCCCTTCTTTTCTCTCTCCCTTCATCTTTTTCTTTTTTTATTTATTTTTTTCCCATTTCTCCCTCCCTTTCACCCTCCCCTTCTACCTTTCATTTGCTTATTTTTTTTTTTTTTTTGCCTGCAACTCTTTATTTAAGCATTTCCCTCAGATATTAAAGCTTTTAATTTACTGTTTTGTTTTCCCTTTCTTCACATCATGAAAGCTAAATGGGTTCATTTAAAAGTAAATGATCTCAGCTGGGGCACAGTTGCTCACGCCTGTAATCCCAGCACTTTGGGAGGCCAAGGCGGGCAGATCACGAGGTCAGGAGATCAAGACTATCCTGGCCAACATGGTGAAAGCCCGTCTCTAATAAAAAAAATACAAAAATTCATGCACCTGTAGTCCCAGCTACTCGGGAGGCTGAGGCAGGACATTTGCTTGAATCCAGGAGGCAGAGGCCACAGTGAGCCGAGATTGCGCCACTGCACTTCAGGCAACAGAGTGAGACTCCAACTCAAAAAAAAAAAAAAAGTTAATAGTCTCTTCTCTCCCAGAATATGACTGCTGGATGCTGGGTGTTGAGTACTTCTGTTACCATAACCTGAGTCCCAAGTTCTTTGACTCTCCTGTAAGTAGTAAACTAACATCAGGCCAAGCAGAAGTCTTCTCAGGCAAGGTTTAATAGGCTTGTGGATGGAGCAGCACCAGGGAGCTGCATGCAGGAAGGGGATCCTGGTGCTTGCTCCTGAGGGGCTCAGCTCCTGTCATTTTAAGGAAGTTAAGGCAGGAAAAAGGAGTGACGCATAAGCATGTTTGGATGGGGTCTTCTCTGCGCCTGTGCAGTGAGGTGTTGTGTCCTAACATGCATCCCATGTACAGAAGGGGGCAGATAAGCACCTCCTTGGGTGGTGATTTTAGTATTACGATGACATTATAATGAGGAAAAAGTTGGCGAAAGTCTGCGCTGGAGTGCCTCTTGTTGCCAGGCAGCTGGATCTGGTCAGTTCCATGTTGGGTCATGCCAGAGTCTCGCTTCAATCGCCTGGGAAGACGTCACTCAAGGACATCAGCGGTTGGTTTTACCTTTTATGGTTAGAGATTTGACCTGCTCCACTAAGTTAGGAGGGGACCCCACTTTCTGCTTTGTGATTTGGGTCAGTTTGTCAAGGGAGGCAGGAAGGTAGGGTAGGGACTATGTCGGGACGTGTGAAGCTCACTGGGATTTTTGCTAGTTGTGTCTCTGCCAGGATCAAGTTTCTTCCCTTTACTGTCTCATTTCCTCTTTCAGGCCATGCTAAAGGCAACTGGCCTTCACTGAACTTTAGTATATTTCCAAATAGCCTAGACAGACCTGAACCCTCCCATGCATGGAAGCTCATCTTACTACTGTAGGACTCAGGCATTTTGGGGTTTGAACCTTGGCTCTCACATCCTGATTCTATGGCATTGGATAAGGTGCCTGAATTCTCTCAACTCTAGTTTCTTCATCCATAAACTAGAGGCTGTGATCTTTACTCCATAGTATATAAAGGTATATAGAGTATTCCCCCCCACTTTGGTTATTGCCATAACTTCTGCCTTATTTTTAACCCAGTTCTTGGTTTCTGATCTTCCTGGACCCAACCCTGTACTGCACTGCACTGGGATGACCTGCCTGTGTTCATCCATCAGGTATTGGAGCCAGATGTGTCTCCTGATGTCAGCATTCCTGTCCCCATCAGAGCATCTGCGCTCCACCCAGCCCACCAATACACACAGGGCTGTAGTGATCCCAGAGGGTCTGGACTCTTTTGTAATTTGTACCGTGCACACCAGGGGCCCTGAATGCCAGGAGGATTTATTTTAGTTAAGAAGGTCAGGCCGGGCGCGGTGGCTCACGCCTGTAATCCCAGCACTTTGGGAGGCTGAGGCGGATGGATCACGAGGTCAGGAGATCGAGAGCATCCTGGCTAACATGGTGAAACCTCGTCTCTACTAAAAAATACAAAAAATTAGCCGGGCATGGTGGTGGGTGCCTGTAGTCCCAGCTACTTGGGAGGCTGAGGCAGGAGAATGGCATGAACCCGGGAGGCAGAGCTTGCAGTGAGCTGAGATCGCGCCACTGCACTCCAGCCTGGGTGACAGAGCAAGACTCCATCTAAAAAAAAAAAAAAAAAAAAAAAAAGAAGAAAAACAATTCTTCCTCCATTTTCTCTCAGTAGTTATAAATGTATATAATAACCTCCCCATAATATACTTAATATTACCTGTTTGGAAGGAGTTAGAAATCTGAGGCATCAAAGAGCTTAGGATTTTAGGACCTGGAATCAGAAAGACTGGCCTTCACATCCTGGCTTTGTTTTTCAGTAGCTATGTGAATTTGGGGGCATTTTAACAGTTTTGAGCCTTAGTTTCAACCCGATCTATTTATCTAAAGGTAGCAGTTTCCTTGTGGAGTTATAGAATGGTCTGGGACATTGGAGACATAGATTCAGATCTTGCCTCTACTGTTAATGGAATGAACAATTTTGAGAAAAATCTCACTATCCTTCTGTTTCTGTTTCCTCATATATAAAATTTGGAAAATAATGCACAGAGAATTGTGGTAAAGATTAATGAGGCAAGCTCTTTTTCGTGGCACCTTGGGGGTGATCAGCTGTTTCAGAAGGAAGCTGCACATTTCCTTCCCAGCTACTGGCTGCCAGAAGTTCATTGAAGTAGATAATGACAGCAAACCTCATACCTTTGTGAGAAGCGTATGGCCACAGAAATTGCTGCTGACACTCTGAGTGAAGAATAGAAGGGTTATGTGTACAAAATCAGTAGTGGGAAAAAACAAACAAGTTTTCCTCATGAAGCAGGGTACCTTGACCATGGCCATGTCTGCCTGCTGCTGAGCAGGGGCATTCCTGTAATAGACCAAGGAGGACTTGGGAAAGGAGGTGCTAATCTGTTCTGGGTTTATTGTGGACGCCAATCTGTGTGTTCTCACTTTGGTTATTTTTTTTTTTTTTAAGGAGGAAGATATTCTTGGACTGCCTTACTACTGTGCCTCGTCACCTGGGGCCTGAGAGAGCTAGCGGTGTCTGCAAATTTTCCAACTCTCTAAAGAAGATGATGTCCACCAGTTTGCTAAGAGAAAGCCCCTGAATAAAGACAGTAAGAAACTCAGGACCAAATTGCTAGAGATTCAGTGTCTTGTTACTCAGCATGTCCTGCAATACAGATGTAAGCACATTGTTCTAAACAAACAACATACTTGAAAAAAATAAGGACTAGGCAGCAGAATATGATAAACTTTTGCCCAAGACACCAGAGAAGGCCAAAGAAAAACAAAACAATAGGAACGGATTGCCAAGAGATGGGGGCTGTCTTCTCTGAGGGTTTCTGAGTCCAGTCGAAAATAAGATGTTCTAAGAGTAACAAATAAGATCAGACTTCAAAAAAAAAAGACTAAATGAGACAAAAAATCTGTGACTACATTTACCTACAAAAGGCTTTGCAAATGTTAGCAAATGTTATTTCTAGTTCTGAGAATCATGCTCTCACATAAGGCCAATCAGTGTTTGAATGAGTTAAACTAGGAAAGAAGGATGGAATCGTTTTTAATCTGCTTTTCATGGTATCTCTGGCTTGACTAGGTTTCTCTGACTTTCTCTAGTTCTCATGCCTTTCTCATTTATCGCTCCTGGGACCCTCTACTTCCTCTCCTTTGTGTTACCTAGGGCAGCTGCCCAACCTGAACCAACAAACAACAATAACAACAAAAAAATCATTTGTTTTTAAATCGCTCTTGTTCCTGTCTGCTATGCTATTTCTAGCTTCCAACATTTTTTTTCTTTCTGGTTCTCCTCTGTGAGAGACACACCTCCTAGAATTGCATTCACTGTGAGGAAGTGCGGGGTAGCAGAGTAGGCCTGAGAGCCCACTCATGGCTGTAGCTGGTCCCCAAAGCAAGCTGCTTTCATTTAGGGTGGCTTCTGGACATGAATCTTTTGACAAGACTGCCAATGGATTCAGGAGGCAGGGAAGAGCTCTAAAAAGCTCTCTCTGTGTTTCTGTTCAGGATGAACTTCCAACTAATCTCAGTGCAGGATGCCTTTAGCACCTGTGATGATTAATTTTATGTGTCAACTTTGCTGCCATGAGGGATGCTAAGATAGCTGGTAAAACATTATTTCTGGGTGTGTCTTCAAGGGTGTTCCTGGAACAGATTAGCATTTCAATCGTGGGCTGAGTCAAAAGGATCCACTCTCACCAATGTGAGTGGACCAAAATGGCAGAAGAAGGGAGAATTCTATCTTTCTCTTTCTCTTTTTGTTTCTTCTCTTTCTTCTTGAGCTGGGACATCCATCTTCTCCTCCCTTAGATATTGGAGCTTGGGCCTTTGGACTTACGACTTCAGTTCCTCTGGCCCTCAGACTTTCAGACTTGTACTGAATTGCAACACTGACTTTCCTAGTTCTCCAGATTGCAGATGGAAGATTGTAGAACTTCTCAGCCTTCATAATCAGGGTGAGCCAATGCCTTATAATACACTGCCTTATACTGTATCTCTATATAGCTATTGGTTCTGATTCTCTAGAAAACCCTGACTAATACAGCATCACAGTGCCCTTAAGAGAATATCTCTACAGGAACACCTAGAGCATTTGTGCCTCAGAAGGTATTCTCTTCTAATTGTGAATAAAGAGTATGAGGAATAAATCTCCATGTGCAAGAAAATAGTTGCTGTTAGAAATTCTCCCCAGACTTAAACATTGTCAAACACAGAGACTGTTCGAAGAACAATATTGGGAATTAGTTTATATTGGAAGTATACTCTGTCTCTAAAGAACCTCAGAATGTTACAGCTTGATAGTCTAGTTTGGAGGCCCAAACTCAAATGTCAGTAGGAGGCAAGCACAGAACCTAGATGAGAGAAGTCACCTGGAGGGGACCATGGCATCAGCAGAGCGCAGACATATAAAGGGACAGAGGCAAATCCACTTCTGATGAGTGTTGCCTTGATGCTCAGTGCTGTCAGTGTCTCCAATTTGTATTAAGAGAAACTGGATTTTCATGTGAAACCCTTTTAAATATTTGCAAGCGATTAAACAAACAAAAGCACCAAGTGGTTGTGTGTTAAAATTGCCAGTCTAGTTAATATGCCTTTTTTGTTTTGTTTTCTTTTTAAAGGAAGCTGAGTCTCAGCAATGAGAAATGACGGTTACCCAGAAAGTTGTTGGAGAAAATTGTTCTAGATAATTGTCTGGATGGTAAGGCCCTAAAGTACATTTATTAAGACCAAGTCCATAGCCACTCAACCCCTACAGATATACTAATGGAACCTAGGTGTGGTAGATCATATAATTAATCTCACGCCTTTTCAATCGCATTATAAGTATATCCATGCCATTACCACAGCCTTGTGGTGGGTGGAGTGTATTTGCCCATCCTTGACTTTGGGTTTGACCTTGTGGTTAATGGGATATTAGCAGATGCAACTCAAGCAGAGACTTGAAATGTGCTAGCATGGTTGGTCTTGCCCTCTTCTGCCATCATCATGAAGAGAACACGCCTCATGGAAATGCTAGTACCAGAACAAGTGGCACCTGGACCTGACTTGCAACCTGGAGAAAAGTCAAATGGCATTCAGGCAAAATTAACAGTATCCCAGCTAGTCTGCTGATGAGCAGGAGATGATGCTTATTTTTCTGTGCTGCTGGGATTTTGTGGTTGTTATGTAGTGAGAACTGATGAATAAATACACATAGAATTGTGCTCCTATCCAACCCAGAGGAAATTTACATCCTTAATGAAACTCCAATTACCACTTCCCCAATGCACGATATATAGCAACATACCACAGATGGGGTGGCTTAAACAACGGAAATTTATTTTCTCACAGTTCTTGAGGCTAGACGTCCAAGGTCAAGGTGTTGGCAGGGTTAGTTCTCCTGAGGCCTCTCTTCTTGGCTTGCAGATGGCCACCTCCTCCTGTGTGCTCACAGTCTCTCCTCTGTGCACACACATCCCTGGTGTCTCTCTGTCCAAATTTCCTCTTCTTATAAGGACACCAGTCAGATTGAATTAGGGCCCAACTTAAGAACTTCATTTTAATTTAGTCACTTCCTTAAAGAACTTATCTCCAAACACAGTCACATTCTGAGATGTGGAAATTAGGGCTTCAACATGGATTTTGAGAGGGACACAATTCAGTCCCTAATAGACAGGTTATATTTGACTAGAGTGACCATTTTTTGTCTGAACCCAGGCATAGTAAGAGTACTAAAATGTCGAACCACTTCAGATGCTAGGATAACCAGTGTAAACTAGGGCTGAATATATGTCCATACCATGTGGTGGTGCTGGTGATAGGGGTGTATCCAGCCTCCTTCACTGGGGATGCAGGTCTATTCCAACTGTTTCGACCACTGTTATAAAAGCTTGTTTTAGTTCTCAGGCCGACTCAGGAAGGCCGCGGCTGACCAAAGTGAAAAAGGATTTAATTAACCTCCTTGAATATCACCCCTTATCTGCTTTCTCCCTTCTGCCAGGTGATCCCCTCTCACCTCTCCTCAAAAGCTTGCATGTAGACCCGGTCTCTTGCACAGCCTTTGTGTTTATGCTGCACAAACCTTGAAGTCAGACTCAGTAGCACTTTGCATTTACCATGAATACTTAGTAACATTAGTGAGCTCTATGGATTCTGTTAACAATTTTTCATGGAGAATGAGAATGTTCTCCTTACTCACCACCAATGAACATAATCTAGTTTTCAAAATCACAATAAATAATTCTTTTCCTCATTTCATACTGTTTCTACCTCTTGTACTTTGACATCTTCCTATATTCAGATATCAGGTGAACATTCTTTCTCTCTTTTTTTTTTTTTTTTTGAGACAGAGCTTCACTCTTGTTGCCCAGGCTGGAGTGCAATGGTGCGATCTCTGATCACTGCAACCTCCACCTCCCAGGTTCAAGCAATTCTCCTGCCTCAGCTTCCCTCGCACATAGCTGGGATTACAGGTGCCCGCCACCACGCCTGGCTAATTTTTGTATTTTTAGTAGAGACAGGGTTTTGCCATGTTGGCCAGGCTGGTCTAAAACCCCTGACCTCAGGTGATCTGCCTGCCTCAACCTCCCAAAGTGCTGGGATTACAGGAGTGAGCCACCACGCCCGGCTGAACTTTCTTGAGTAGCAACCCCATTGGACATTTAGTCCAGTCTTTCTTGTCTTGCAGAGAACCTGCAAAACCAGCCAGGCTTCTTTCTATGGGGGCAACTGACACATGGACAAGAAAGGCAATCATTTTTAGATCCTGGGAATGACTCAAGAGGAAGGTTTGACATCACTAGGATGCTTCTCAGTGTATCGCTGATCACACAGCAATGGCAACAGCAGAATGAATATTGGCTAGACACCTAAAGCTAGAACATCAGGAGTATATGAGGCACCTCTTTTAGTACTCCAAATGACTCTCTGGTGCAACCTTTCCTTGTTGCATGTGGGTACACCTGTGTTTATAGCATGAGCAGATGTGTGGCTGGTTGCTGATGCCATCATGAAAGATAATACCCAGTGCCCATATTGTAGGATTGTCTGAACCACTGAAGACTTTTTGCCTTTTCTTAATAACAGTGACTCTCAACCTGGGCTGTACTTTAGATCATGTGGTCACGTGGAGAGCTTTCAAAAATCCTGACACTCAAATAACACTCCTGGCCAATTAAAACCACTGGAGGTGAGATCTAGGCATCAGTATTTGTTTAAATTTTTTTTGTTTTTGTTTTTTGAGATAGGGTCTTGCTCTGTCCCCCAGGCTAGAGTGTAGTGGTGTGATAATAGCTCACTGCAGCCTCCAACTTCTGGGCTCAAGCAATCCCTTTGCTTCTGCCTCCCAAGTAGCTAGGACTACAGGCACTCACCACCACACCTGGCTTATTAAAAAACTTTTGTTTTGTAGAGATATGGTCTTGCTCTGTTGCCTGGGGTTGGCATCAGTATTTTTAATAGCTCTGTTGATTATTCCATGGTGCAGCAAAGTTTGAGAAGTTCCTGGCTACTCAAAGCACGGTTAGTGATCAACAGCGTAGCCATCCCTGGGAGCTTGTCAGAAATGCAGAATCTCAGGCCCCACCCCAGACCTGCAGAATCAGAATCTGTGTTTTATCAAGCTCCCTGGGTGATTCCTATCCACATTAATGTTTGAGGAGCTCCGAGCTAGATCAGCTGTTCTTACCTTTGCCTGCACATTAGTAACGTTTGGGGAGCTTTAAAAATGCTGGTGCTCTTGGCTGCACGGCAAACTCCACTCAGTCACAACCACGGGGTTAAGCACCAGGAGCCAGGATTTTTTTTTAGATCTCTGTGGTGATTCAAATTGAGAACCACTGCTCTAGGCTCTAAAATTTATCTCTGTTTGTAGCCCTTGTTCCCAGCACACAAATGCGAAGGACTTGAGAGGTCTTAGAGCCATGATGTTGCCCGATGCCGTCACACCAGCCAGGAGTGATGTTACATCAGAAGAGTTGCACAGTGATTGCAGCTGGGGCTTCTCTACTGCCTTGGTGCTGCCTCATTTGTAAAGAAACCGTGGCTGGTGGCACCTGGAGGTTCTTGAAGTGAATACTAACAGAGGGTCAGAAATAGTGCCCAGACATTTATTAGGAACCTTCAGGAAAAGGCCTGCCAGAAGGAGATTCAGACCTGTCTCCCACCTGCAGTTACACTGGCATAGGCGAGATCAAGCTGGAATGAGTGGGAAAACACCCCCAGTTGTGAAGGCCTAAGATGCCTGGAAATAACTTTAGGATCAAACTACCTTCTTTTTTTTTTTTTCTTTTTTTTTTTTTTTGAGACCAAGTGTCACTCTTATTGCCCAGGCTGGAGTGCAGTGGCATGATCTTGGCTCACCCCAACCTCCACCTCCCAGGTTCAAGCGATTCTCCTGCCTCAGCCTCCCGAGTAGCTGGGAT
Organism: Homo sapiens; assembly: GCF_000001405.40. NCBI lineage: Eukaryota > Metazoa > Chordata > Mammalia > Primates > Hominidae > Homo > Homo sapiens. The sequence goes on along the minus strand of NC_000009.12, from coordinate 82,738,500 downwards.
TACAGGCATGCGCCACCACCCCCAGCTAATTTTGTATTTTTAGTAGAGACGGGGTTTCTCCATGTTGATCAGGCTGGTCTCGAACTCCCAACCTCAGGTGATCCACGTGCCTCGTCCTCCCAAAGTGTTGGGATTACAGGCGTGAGCCACTGCGCCCCGGCGATCATACTACCTTCTTTGGTGCTGTTGAATGTTCTTAGCCAATGGCATTATTTACTTACTCTATAAATAATACCATTTTTATTCTATTAAATGCTTAACAGTGCAAATATTACGGGTTTAATTGTGTCTCCCTAAAACAGATATGTTAAAATCCTAACCCCCAGTAGCTCAGAATGTGACCTTATTTCAAAATAAGGTGTTTACGAAAGTAATGAAGTTAAGATTAGATCATTCGAGTGGGCCCTGATCTGATATGACTGATATCCTTATAAAAACAGGAAATCTGGACACAGACAGGCACATAGAGGGAAGACGACATGAAGGCCCACAGGGAGAAGATGGCTGTGACTGTAGTGATCCATCTACAAGTCCAGAAATGCCGAGGATTTTGCTGGCAAACACCAGATGCTAGCAAGAGGCAAGAAAGGGTTTCCTCTAGAGCCCTCAGAGAGAGCATGGCCCGACAACACCTTGATTTCAGAGGTCTAGCCTCCAGGACTGGAGACTATAGATTCCTGTTGTTTTAAGCCACCTAGGTTTTAGTAGATTGTTACAATAGTCCTAGGAAACTAATACAAGCAGTAAGTTTAAAAATGAATTAAGAAGACATTCTAAAAATTAAATCTAAAGAAAAAAATCAAACTGGAAGAGGAAATTATAAAACTGAATAGTTATTTTGAAAGATTTTTATTGATAAATATAAGTGCACAGATGCTTAAAATAAAAAGCTGAAAAGCGCTTTGCTTAAAGATGTCATATTTTCCAGCAAGCAATGAAGGGAACTTAGAGCCATTTGCGGAAATGTGTTTTCCCAAATGTGTTTTCCCCTTTGAAATCATTAAAACATACATTGTTGCTCTTTATGCTAGTTTTATGATGCATGTCAGAATTCCAAATTAAATATTGTTTAGATGCTTGGGCACCAAGAGTTATTTCTCAAGGAGACCTAAGAATGGGCAGAGAATATCATTTTATACCGAAGCAGTGAATCCTTACTCAATGGGCAAGATGTATTTTACAGTAGGGTTTTATTACAATATCAAAATATTTTGACAGGCAAAAGACTATGAATACAGAAAGACCTCTGTGTTCTACAAACCAATAATAGCAAGCACATTTGCCAAGAAGTTAGACACTGCCTTTTATAACATGTTCGTATCTTTTGTTTCATTCTTTGCTTCTATGCCAGTAGACCTGGCAGTGCTAAATCCAAGAGACCTAGAAACCTTTTCATATTTCCCCTCCCGAGAGCCACAGATGAAAGTACCCTTGCTAACTTTGCTGAGCTTTTTCATCAGCTCCTGAAGTTTCTACAAAAGTATGTTGCTGACCAGGAAACTGGGTCAGGCAATTGTTCTGCAATAAAGATGATCTTTTGAAGTGTCTCAGCAGCAGCCTAACTTTAACAGGAGTCCTGTGGATCATGCTCTTCACAAATTGAGCTTCAGGCCTCAGATATAATTTCTCCTTTAATAACAATAAAAAAATCATTGCCCTTTTTTTTCCCCCCCACCTGCCTCTGGGTTTTCTGATTGATGGACCTATTCACTTAAAAAGAGACTTTTAAAAAACACTTTAAAAAAATACGATTACATCTTGAAATATATTTGCCAAGAATAGCTATCTCTAGAAACTCTATAAAGCTAGTACATCTGAAACACTGCCATGCTGCCATAGGACGCACACCATTGAATTGGGCAGAATCTCTAAGAGGTGCTTCGACTGTGGTTTGAATAGGATTTGATCTTTCAGAGTCAGAGGTATTTTCCAGGTCTTGGGATTCCCCGCCCCCCACCAACAGAGCCATTTTCTCCCTTAGTTCTCCAATTAGAGAAGAAATAAACTGTGGTCTTATTTTTATTTAAACTGACAAGATTAGCATATTCAGAGTGAAATATGTATAACTCATAGGATCAGATACCTTGTAACGGGGACATGAATTATGAATCAATGAAAGAAGCTGTCACCAGCCATGTTACCTTGATATTAATAGCATAAGCAGTCAATGTTGGAAGTAGCTGGAGCACATTTTCCATTAAATCCTTCTTGTCTATCAGGAATGAGATAGAGACAGAGGAGGGAAAAGAGAGAAAGGTGAGAGTGGGCTGAGAGACGGAAGGATACTATTTATAAGGATTTCTTTTTACAACCAATGGAGTTCAGATAAATTACTTGTTGGAATCCCCAGCGAATTCAGGTTCATTCAGATTACGTGACCTAAGCAGAGACATCATCACTAGATTAACCTTACTGGTCTATAACAAGGGTCAGCAAACTATGGCTGCTGCCTTTCTTCATATGAGTTCAGTGAAGAATGGTTTTTACATTTTTAAATAGTTAAAAAAAATCAAAAGAATATCTTGTGACACATAAAAATAATTAAAGTTCAAATTTTGGTGTTCATAAATAAAGTTGTATTAGGACACAGTCATGGCCATTCCTTTATATGTCTATGGATGTTTTTGCACTACAATAGCAGAGTTGATTAATTGCAATAGAGACCCCGATGCCTAAAATGTTTGCTATTTATTCCTTTCCAGAGAAAAGCTTTCTGACTCTCTGTATATTAAAATACATGCATATATATATACACACACACATATATGTACACATATTCTTATGTGTACATATGTATACATATATGTAAATATCTGTATCTATCTATCTATTTAAAATTTTCCTTTCATGCAAAGGCAAACCTTTTCCTGGCATGTTTTCTTCTCTTAAGCAAGGTGATAAAAGCACTGAAGCATAGTATCTGTACATCTCTATTCTCTTTTTCAGTTTTCATAGTAAAAAACAACACTAGTCAGATGCACAAAGAAGTGTTTTATTCTACTGTGTGCTTACCTTGATAAAACTTAAAGTGCTCAATATTTACTCTAGCTGGCAGGGCAGTATATTCACCCAGAGTCTGGGCCATAATGGTATCTGATATCCCTACAACAGCAACTTCAAAGGTGATATAAAAACGTTAGTAGTAAATACACTCAAGCCTTCAATGCCCATCTGGGGTGGTGAGATTCATTTCCTATCACATGTAGTTAAAAAGGGACTTAAATTCTGGCTTTCAACTCGGGGGTTATTTAAGCTGTGTTTTAAATGAATATTCAAGGAAGGGCTTAAAGAACATTACTTCCAGTGGGAGCACTTTGATATGCTAGAATTGCAGAAGATCCTTTAATTTAATTTTTATAAAGTGACTAATGGGAACCTGGAGGTAGCCAACTCAACTCATTTTGGCAAATGTGTCTCAGATGGTGTGATATAATAAAGAATATATCTGGTCTTTGTCCCCGGCTGCTGGCACAGAGCTTCAAATACCCTTGGAATTTTCCTGATAGGAGTGTCTTCTGTTATACATAATGAGCTCCTTTCTACCATAAATTTATGCTAATGAGATGACTCATGGTGGGTCCTTAGATAGTTTCAAGGGAGGGTCCGGTCATGCCATAAAGACCAAGCAGGTGATTAGAGGGTTGGAATTTTCAGCCCCACCCCCGATCTTCAGGGATTGGAGGAAGGCAGAGAGTGAATTCAAACACCCTGCCAGTGAGTTAATCAGTCATGCCTATGTAGTGAAACCTATGTAATGAAACATGAGGCTCAGAGAGTTTCCAGGTTGGTGAACATATCAATATATCAGAGGGTGGCATACCCTGACTCCATAGGCATGGAACCTTTGCACCCTTCTTTCCCCAGACTTTAGCCTGTTATATCTTCCATATGGCTATTACTGAGTTATATCTTTTATAACAAACAGTAATTGTAAGTATAGTGCTTTCACTTAGCACTATATGAATCATTCTAGTGAATTATCAAATCTGAAGGAAGTTGTGAGAATCCCCAAACTTGTAGCTGGCTGGGCAGAAGTAAAAGAAGCTTGGGGACACCTGAGACTTGTAGTTGGCATCTGAAAAGGAGGCAGTCTTATGAGACTAAGCCTCTTACCCTGTGGGGACTGTGCTAACTCTGGGAGGTTAGTTAGAATGGAATTGAATTACAGGACACCCATTTGGTATCAGAGAATTGCTGCTGAAGTGTATATGGTAACTGTGGGCCAGGCCCAATGCTAGGTACTGAGAATAGAGACATGGGTAAAACAGGCCGGGTGCAATTGACTGACGTCTGTAATCCCAGCACTTTGGAAGGTTGAGGAGGGTGGGTCACTTGAAATCAGGTGTTCAAGACCAACCTGGCCAACATGGTGAAACCCCGACTCTACTAAAAATACAAAAATTAGCTGGGTGTGGTGGTGCATGCCTGTAATCCCAGCTACTGGGGAGGCTGAGGCAGGAGAATCGATTGAACCCAGGAGGTGGAGGTTCCAGCCTGAGCAACTGAGCGAGACTCTGTCTCAACGAAAAAGAGAGATAGGTGGCTAAGACAGTTCTCATTCTCAAAGAGCTCAAGACCTGGTCATGTAACTTGCTAGCATGTTGAAAATGTGATCTTAGCATAAGAGGGTAAAATTCCTCTCTTAGGAAGAGGAAAAATGGCTAAGCATGGTGGCTCACATTTGTAATCCCAGCACTTTGGGAGGCCAAGGTAGGAGGATTGCTTGAGCCCAGGAGTTCAAGACCAAGCTGGCCAATGTAGTGAGACCCTGTCTCTGTTTTAAAAAGGTTTTTTTTTTTTTTTTTTAGGAAAAATCTAAAAATAGCAATTGAACGAAAAAAAGGAAAGGAGAGGAGTAAGATATAAGACAGAAGCACAGGTCTTTGGTTTATTGTTTAAAGTACATTGTAATATGTGAAAGCTGGGGCTCTGTTTCTGTGGCTATTTCAAGGTTTTATGTGTGCCAGTTTTCAAGATCTATTTGTTATTGAGTGTGTGTTCTTGGGCTGTCTTTCCGGTTTGTATTCTTGGGGTATTCTTCTGTGAAAGGCTTGTAGTGGGTGAAGCCATTTGACACCAGGGAAAGAGGGAAAGTTTTTTTCCAATACAGTAGACCCAGAAGCCCTCACTTGGAACAGTTATTCACTGGGACTCAACAGGTGTCTGAGGTCATTTGAATCACATTTGAAATCATTTGTAAAGAGCAGGGTACCTCACATTGAGGAGCTGAACATTTGGGCTTACAAGCAAATTGAGCGGGGTAGATTAAAACCTCAATATGGAATTGAGAGCCAAGAAGTATGGCCCTGCACTTCCCGTGTGGAGAAAAGCAACATTGTTAAGTCATTTTCTGGAGCAGGCTGGGGTCAAAGGAAGGGGAGCCAAGAAGAGGGGAGATATTGGCTAGAGAACAAAACAACCATAGCACAACAACAAAGCTGCAAAGACCTGACTCAGAATCAGCAAATAAAAATCAACATTTTGGGTCGAGTTAAATGGAATTGCCAGGGAGACAAGTAGGGGACCATTTTGGGGCAGAAGGATCAGTATGCTGCCCTATTCTCTTCACCCTGTTCTCTCACTGTCTAATTTACTAGAACACCCAGTCTGAAGCCCACTTCCTCCAGCATAACCACAATTTCGTAAGCACCTAAATCCTGGTATTAAATTTTTTTCTGTTGAAAATAGCTGGATTAGTATTTTGCTATTCCCTTTCCAGTCCTTCTTTGCAGCTTTGAGAGTGTATGTTCTCTCACTGTCTAACCAAGGCCAATATAATTGCAGACACCTGACATTCATTCTCGCCCCTAGAAAAGTGTAGCTAACAGGAGGACTACTGTAGGGGGATATCCCTTGGGCCATTTCTTGGCTAGGCTGATCCAATCCCACACCTCTATTCATTCAAACACAAATGGGGGATAGAGGACTCAGCACATTCTCTGAGAAAGCCATGCTGCCTGCAGCAGTTCCCTCTATGGGACCCCAGGCAGGACATCATTCTCCTGTTATGGTAAGTCATGTCTGTTCCTCCTCTCCCTTTACACCCGCTCCCCACTCCTCCTGACCAAAACACTGTCAGCTCCCCACACCTACACTGGAAATGGAGCTTCATTTGTATTGGTTTATTTATTCTTAAAACCCCCCTCCCCCAAAACATGAATAGACATTGTTCAAAAGAAGATATACAAGTGGCCAAAAAGCATATAAGAAATGCTCAGCATCACTAATCATCAGAGAAGTGCAAACTAAGAGCACAACAAAATATCACCTTACACCACTCAGAATGGCTATTATTAAAAAGTCAAAATATAACAAATGTTAACAATGATGTGGAGAAAAGGGAGCACATATACACTGTTGGTGGGAATGTAAATTAGTGCAACCTCTATGGAAAACAGTATGGAGACTTCCAAAGAAACTAAAAATGGAACCACCATTCGATCCAGCAATCCCACTTCTGGGTGTGTACCCAAAGGAAGAAAAATTATTGTATCAAAAAGATACCTGCACTCATATGTTTATCACAGCACAATAGCAAAAATATGGAATCAGTCTAACTGTCCATCAACAAATAATTGGATAAACAAAATGTAGTGTTTGTGTGTGTGTGTCTGTGTGTGTGTGTGGCAGAATATATATATGTATATATATATATAAAATTATATATGATGGCAGAATAATATACCATACATTCCATATATATATAACACTTCTATATATTCTATATATATGGTATATATTCCATATATAATATGTATTTATATATGGATAATATATATAACATATTATTCTGCTATTATATATATACATTCTGCCATATATATGTGTTTGTGTGTACACACTACATTTTCTTTAGCCAATATAATGGAATAGCATTCTGCCATAAAAAAGAATGAAATCATGTCTTTTGCAGCCACATGGTTGGAACTGGAGGCCATTGTCTTAAGTATAAAAATCCAGAAACGGAAAGTCGAATACCACATGTTCTCACTTGTAAGTGAGAGCTAAATAATGTGTACACATCAATATAGAGTGTGGAATAATAGACACTGAGGACTCTGAAGGGTAGGAGACTGGGAGGGGGGTAAGGAATGAAAAATTACTTAATGGGTACAATGTACATTATTTGGGTGGCCATTACACTAAAAGCCCAGGCTTTACTGCTGCTGCCGCTGTGAAGTACCATACATGCTAAATCACAACATACTCAATCTAAATCTCAGCATATTATGAACGATTTTTCCTTTTTTTTCAAAGGGAGATAATCATAAATATTATTTCTAGAATTCCCCTACCCTACACTGTCACAAACACACAAAGACTAGTGTCTGTTCCTTTATTCCTTATCTCCAGGATAAGATGGTCAGAAACAAAACTTTTGGAAATCTAAACTCACACACAGAGGAAGAAACGTCAGGATAATAAAACAAACAAGCAATAAGTGTAGGTCAAGGTAACTGAGTTCTAGCGGCAGAAGCCAAGGTAAGAAGTAAGCACATCAAATAATTTGTTTGCCTCTTGGTGCTCTCTGCACCAAGTATGGTTCAACAAATACTCATTAAATACGAATGATATGCCAGCTATGTTGAAAATTACAAAGCTAAATGTTCACTTCCTCAAGGAGTTTATAAACTGATGTTCTTCACCTTGGTACCTTGTTAAAATTGCCAAGGCCTCTGCCTCTCGTCCGCTTTATCCCAGGGTGACAACAAGCTAATGTGATAACATGCTAATGCATGGAGTTTTCTGTGCCATCTTGTGTTTTTACTTGCTGTGTAATAGGAGCCTGAATAAATTGCGCTAATGTCCTAATTCCAAGTTGATGGCAGGGTTATCGGCAGGCTTGCTTAAAAAAAAAAAAAAAAAAAAAAAAGGACATTTTTGAGCAAATGGATAGCTTTCAAATCCTGACTTCACTGCTTATATGCCAGGCAGACTTTGAGTTGCAAAGTAGGATGACCCAGGCTTGGGGAAGTCATAGGACTTAGCTTTTTTGATCAGTCTGCAAAAGCACAATTTCAGACACTGTTCAGATCTATAGATGTTAAGTTCTTCTGGGTAATTTATGAATTCCTGAGAACTCAAATGCTGAATTGTGCTATCCTAGAAACTGACAGAAGTGACTCTTAAGCAGTAGTGTTGAATCACAAGTCAGAATTATAATGCTAATGGAGAGAACCAGTCAGTAAGTCCCCAGTTTATGGGAGCTTTATTACTTCAATCAACAATTGTTCTTTTCATTTTCAAGAAACAGCAAGAAGCAAACAATAAGATGCAATGGAGAGGGGGTAGATTGCAGACTGCAAAATAAGTGGAAAACACTTGAACGTGCCAAAGATGAGAGTAGGAAGAAATAGATCCTGGACTTTGTGATGCTAATCTGAGTCAGAAATTATAGTGTATGATTTCCCACTGCCTGAAATGAAACACCCTTTCTAAAACCCAGGACATATGCCTTTTGATAAAATGCATTCTGAGATCTTTTAAGGGAAGTCACTGACATCTGCATTATCATCTGCAGAGCAACCTGTGGGGGGACTTTGAGACATTTGTGAGGGGAGTGCGGATAGACCATTTCCTGAAATATTGGAAATAAAGTGTAAAAAGAGAAAGATTTAGTAAATGACCAACTCATAAAGGGAATTGTAAGACTGGGATTTCATGGGGAAATTTTGCATGGTGAATTTTGCACACATCTGAAAGTTTTTGGTTTTGTTTTGAATGGATTCCTTCTCAGATGTAGTTGAGGTGGACCTAGGAATCTGGATTTTTTTTTTTTTTGAGATGGAGTTTAGCTCTTGTTGCCCAGGCTGGAGAGCAATGGCACAATCTCGGCTCACAGTAGCCTCTGCCTCCTGGGTTCAAGCGATTCTCCTGCCTCAGCCTCCCGAGTAGCTGGGATTACAGGCATGCGCCACCATGTCCATCTAATTTTGTATTTTTAGTAGAGATGGGGTTTCTCCATGTTGGTCAGGCTGGTCTCGAACTCCCAACCTCAGGTGATCCACCCGCCTTGGCCTCCCAAAGTGCTGGGATTACAGGGGTGAGCCACCGCGCCCAGTCGGAATCTGGATTTTTAACAAGCTTCCCCAGAGAGACAGGTGCAGGTGATTTGGGCCACATTCTGAGACTTAAGAGTTGTGATGTCTTTATTGATGATGTCAGCACTGCCGACAATCACATGACTTGTGTAGAAGTTTTTTAAGCTCCATACTTTTCTCTTTATCAATAGACAATACAATCTAGACAAAGATAGCTCTGCTTTTCCCAACTACTTTCTGTTAGATTGAAATTTTATATTAGCCCCCCTCCAGCTTAAAAATTAAAACAAATTGGAATTTGACAATTACCTAGAATATGGCTGTAATAAAATGGATGTGAACATAGATGATGACTTGGGAATAATAAAATTTTAGAGCTTAATTTAGTCACTTCAAGAAAGATATCAATGTCATTTTTCAATTTGAGTCCCACTTTTGGTTCAGCCCAAGGTTTCTGTGAGTGCTCATGAATTTTTTCTTACATTTGAATAGTCCCTGTATCCTTTCAGTTCTGAGAAGACATCGGAAATGCTTTAAACAAAATAAGAAATAGAAGTCCAAGGAATAACTGACTTTTCCATACAATCCTCTGCATTCTTTGAAATGACAAAGACTCTAAATTTGAATCCTTTGCTTTAAAATGCCCTCACTGGAAGACCATTGTTTCTGAAGATTAGAAGTTGGAAAAGCAAAGATTTTTGACAGTTTTCACACTGATTACCTTCAGGGTAAAAATAATGATATGAGCTGAGTAAAAAAAAAATGTAATTTGCATGGAATTTTAAAACTAAGTTTTCTATGAGCACTCAAAATATTGTTCTTTTCCCAATGAGAAACCACTTTATCTTGAAATGAGGAGAGTAGTTTAATGAAGGCAAGATATTAATGAAATAATGGGAGGAGAACGTATTAATAAGACCCCTGGCCCAGTGGATATGCAAAGGTGTCAGTCAGACAGGTGGTAAAGGTGACGTCGCTAACAGGGTCATTGCCATTCAAAGCCTGGGGAAACAGTCATGGAAGGTCAACAATTGAATCCATGTAGAATAAAAATGAGCAAGACTAAGTGGTGCCTGAGAACTAAGTCATGCAATAAGGGAAACAAAAATTAAGCTACTAAATGACAAAGATTTTGTAAAAAGTATGCACAAATTCTGTCTGCTCTGTCTTCTGCTGCTTAGGTTCCATATTCATAGTTCTAGAAGGTAATTCAGAGCTTCTATGCAGTGAGACTTAAAAATTAACTTCCTTCTCCAGACAAATTCATGTAGGTAGACAAAGGGCAAGTTTCCTTGGATTTGTTCCAAACTCTTACCTTAGAAGCCATCATCTCTCATAGGGACTTCCTTCCAAGCACAAATGTTTGGATTTTTTTTCTTAGGATTCTTAGGCTTCCTTCAATGACAAGGATCTCTATGTCTGACATTCCAGCTCTTCCCATATTTTTAAAACTTAACCCAACGTAATAGGCATTCCTGAAGACATAAATGCCACAGTACTTATGAGAATATGAATAGGTGGATGTGGTTTCTAGACGCAGATTTCCTCACTGGAGGATATCCACAACCCTATTGAGTAAAGAGGAAGGAGAAGACTCAGAAGGACAAAAACACTCTTCAAATGTTAGAAAGTATCCAATAGGAAATGAGTATTGAATTCATTCTGGGTAGTCCTAATGGGTCATACCAACCCATGAAACTTACACATAGTTTTGTCTCAATACAAGGGAAAATTTTCTGAAAGTTAGGACATTTTAGAGTCACCATGAATCTCATTGGGAAAGAGTGTTTAACCCAGGCAGGATGGTTATTTATTGGTATGTTTTAGCAAAAAGAAGCACTGGATGAGAAATTGGAAAAAATGACTCATTTCTGTTTTCTTCAACTCTAGGATTATATATGATACTATGATTCTAATAGACAACAAATAGTCTGATCACTCAGACTATTGAATTTATAGATAATTAAACCTTTATTACTTTCTCCCAGCCTCTTCCTGTTCTCATTAGTTTTAAAAAATGAAAAGAACTTCAATCATTATTTTTTGACTTTATAGTATTATACAGTATGGCATTTTATGGATAAACATTGAGATAGCCTCAAAATTTCTATAACATTATTATTATTATTATTATTGCATTGGGTTATCATGTAGGCTCCTTGGATGTTCAAAGGGAATCATAGTCATGGTGTTGGGGTGAAACACCATATCCTTAAGGCTGTTTCTATATGGAGGATTATTAGTTAACTCTTGTATCTTCATGATATGTTCTTAAGATATTCACTTAATTAGAAAATAGGACAATATCCAAAGCTGTGAGGTTGTTTACAATAATGGGCTCTTTAGAGAATTAGAGAGTGTGAAAGATAAATGAAAATTAAATTAGAAATAAGGCTCATTTTGTCAGAGGTGATCGAACCAGAGCAACTCCATCTTGAGTAGGGGCTGATGAAAATGAAGCTGAGATTTGCTGGGCTACATTCCCAGGGGGCTAGGCATTTTTAGTCACAGGATGAGACAGGAAGTCAGCATTACTGGTTTCACAAGATGCAGGTCACAAAATCCCCGTTGATAAAATGAGATGTGGTAAAGAAGTCAGCCAAAACCCACCAAAACCAAAGTGGCAATTAAAGCGACCACTGGTAGTCCTCACTGCTCATAATGTGCTAATTATAATGCATTAGAATGCAAAAAAAACACTCCCATCAGTGCCATGACAGTTTACAAAGGGCATGGCATCATCTGGAAGTTACCTTAAGTAATCTTAAATGGAGAGGAACCTTCAGTTCTAGGAAATCCCCATCCCTTTCCTGGAAAACTCATGAATAATCTACCCCTCGTGTAGCATATAATCAAGAGGCAACCATGAGTATACTGTGGAGTAGCCACTCTTTTGTTTCTTTGGTTCTCTAATAAACTTGCTTTCACTTTGCTCTGTGGACTGACCCCAGATTCTTTCTTGCATGAGCTCCAAGAACCAACTCTTAGGGTCTGGATCGGGACCCCTTTGTGGTAACAATTTCCGTTAATAGTAATAATCTTCAACCCATATTAATCAGTCAACAGATAATATATACTACGTAGAACATGTTGCACTATACATCACCAGGAGTATAAAGTTGTATGTGACGTGGATGTAGTGTTGGGAAACTTGAAATTACTTTGAAAAAGACATGTAGCATAATAAAGCAGAGGATGTGAAGTGGGAAATGAGTGAATGACCACTGAGGTTTAGTCATTAGCAAATGGAAAAGGAAAAAGTTTTGTTTTTTAATGAAAGAAATACTCACATGATTTCTAAAAACCCAAATAATACAGAAGGACTTACAAACGAAGCAAAAGACATTTGAAGCACCCCAAGATCCACTCTCCAGAGTCAGTTGCTTTTAATAATCACTTCTGCTTTCTTTCCTTATTTATTTTTTTTTTTTTTGAGACAGGGTCTAGCTCTGTCACCCAGCCTGGAGTGCAATGGCACAACCTTGGCTCACTGCAACCTCTGCCTCCCAGATTCAAGCAATTCTCCTGCCTCAGCCTCATGAGGAGGTGGGACTACAGGCATGTGCCACCACGCCTAATTTTTTGTATTTTTAGTAGAGATGGGGTTTTGCCATATTGGCCAGGCTGGTCTTCAACTCCTGGCCTAAAGAGATCCACCCGCCTCGGCCTCCCAGAGTGCTAAGATTACAGGCGTGAGCCACCGCGCCTGGTCTGCTTCTTTTTTCCTAGTGATAATTGTACATCCTGCTTACACACACATACAGATGATTGATTTATTAACTTCGGAATTTTAAAATTACTTCCTGCTATATAGATAATGACAAAGCTCACTTAAAATACCATATCTAACAGTTGGTTAAATAACAAGTTCAGAGTTTTTATATTGAAGTGCTTTATATTGAAAAGTGAATGAGATACCCTATTTATTGATGTCTATCATTCCATATATACATGGTATGTGGCCTGTTTCCCAAAATCTCCTTTTCAGTAAAGCAATACTGATGAACATGACATGTAATTTCTTCATTCTTGCATTTATTTATTCATTTACTCAATAAATCTTTATTCAATACCTAGGTACTATGCTAGGCATTGGGAATAGTAGTCCTGATCAATATAGTCCCTCACGGAGCCTATTTTTGTTCTGAGCTGAAAGCCTCTTTATTTTTTTTATCTGTAGTCTGCCCAGTGAGACGGGTGTTGAACAGTTAATTATAATTGTGCTGTGTGCTATGAAGAAGCATAGGCAAATCTGCAAATGTGTCTTCAGGTACACTAGAAGGGCACCTCCAGTTACTCTGAAGATTAGGGTACTTATAGATGACTCAACCCTTTATCACTTTCTCTCAACATCTTACTGCTTTCACTGGTTTTAAGAAATGAGAATTTCAATCATTATTTTAATTTTGACTTTATATTATACTATATTTAACCCGCCTTAGAAAATGGCATTTAGACTTAGACTTGAAGGATGAAGAGGAGTTAGATGAGGAGTTGTAAGCATGAGATGGGAAGAGTATCCCAGACAAGGAGCCATCATAAAGTAAGAACTAGCATGGTGCATTGGAAGATCAGAAATTGACCCCCGCATCTTAACGGAACTTTACAATCAGAGCTACGTTTACTTCATTCTTCAAGTGTTCTTCACAACTCTTCAATTCTTCAGTTATTTCTTAAAAATAGGACTTGCAAGTTAAAGGAAATCATGCCATCTTTCCACTTAGAAAGGAAAAGAGGTGGTAGATAAATGATGTTAAATGATACATGTCAGATATCCCTCTCAGCACTTACAGATACTATGGGTACATGACCTAACTCTCCTTTTGTGGGCAGACAAACCATTTGTACCCACTTACACAATGGTTTACTATTTTATTGTGGATTACTTCAAATATCTAATGAAAATCATCTGACTTGGGGGCCAAAACAAAGCTGGCCTAAGAGCGTGTGTTGGAGCAGAATAATAATGTGCTGTTCAGAATTCAGTCAAAGCTTCCTCATGTCCTTCTGCACATCACATGCAGGATACAGGAACTGGGAGAGAGCTGAGTAAGCATGAAAAGATCACTTTTAAAGTCTCCATTACCGCCTCTCCCTCCAGCCCCAAGCACTGTAGAAGCACAGACGAGAGAGGAGAGTTATGGATTGAGCGTGAGTACCAATACAACACTTTTAAGTGTTATTTCTCCCTTGAAGCATCAGCGAATCTAAGAACTGAGGAAGGGAGAGAGTGCAGGTGTATAACCCTCCACTTGTTCACTCTCCAAAAACCCTTTACAGTGTCTTCTCCTCCCTCCTCCCTTCTGATTTCATATTTAATATTTGGCAAGGTAGAAAGAAGACAAAATGCCTTCAGCTCAGGATAAAAATAAACTAGTTCATGTCTGCCTACTTTCATTTTGGGGGGAAATTGCGGCATTCATATTAGATTGAGGACCCACATGGAGGAAGATGAACACCAAAGTGCTGGGGACAGTAGGAGGGGTGATGTTTATGGGCAAAATGGGGTCATGTGATTATAAGGTCCATGGATATCACTTAAAAATAGCAACCCATGATATAGGTTTCTGCTTAAAATACTGAATTTCCCTATATTGCTTCACTGACTGCACACATCAATCCATGATGATTTAATGTTAGTCAATGGTTAATTGTATTTACTCAGGCAAATTTCTTAAATTCTATCTAATATTAATGCAATAGAGTGGAAGACAGTTTATTCATAATGTCTGGAAAATGATTGATCTTTCTGTTAATGATATTTCTGGAGTTTAGTAATCATAACTCTAAAGCAACACTGTCCAATACTATAATGTAAACCACATATATAATTTAAAATTTTTGTAGCCATGTTAAAAAAGTAAAAATAAATAGATGAAATTAATTTTAAGAGCATGTTTTATCTCACTTAATATAGCCAAACTGTTATCATTTCAGCATATAATCAATGTGAAAAATTATTGAGACATTTTACATTTCTCCATACTGTCTTCAAAATCTAATCTGTATATTACACTTAGAACAAATAGCAAACTGAATGCTAATGTTCATCATAACTACTTAAACTGTTTTTAGATTTCATAAAAGATACAGTTGAAAAAGTAGATTCATATGGAGAAAGTAAAAAGACCAAAGATTGGGGGAACAGAGGGATGAATAGGCAAAGCCCAGAGGATTTTAGGGCAGAGAAATGATTCTATGTATTTAACTATACCATGATACTGTAATGGTGAATATGTGTCATTATACATTTGTCCAAACCCATAGAATGTTCAACAGCAAGAATGAACATTAATGTAAACCATGAACTTTGATTGATATGTCAGTGTAGGCTCATCAGTTGTAACAAATGTACCATTCCACCACAGGGGAGTGGAGGCAGAGGGTGAATTCTTGTACTTTCTACTCAATTTTGCTGTGAACCTAAAAACTGTTCTAAAATATAAGGTCTATTAAAAAATTAAATTATGAACTGACCAGTGAATTTTCTCCTCAAACTTCCATTGTAACATTATAACTTCTGAGAAACTTAATAATGTTTGATAATGCAGCATATGGTCTAGAGTTTGCATAATATGTTTTGATTTTGAAGATTCTTTCTTTAAGTCTTGTCATCTACTGTGTAAACTCCTCAAAGCCAAGTCCAGAATCTTGTTTCATAGCCTGTGTTCATAAACCGCGCTTAATCTATGTGTAATTATTTGTTTATCTCTCTGTCTTCCTCCTAGGCTTTAAGCAATTCCAAGGCAGAGATTAAATCTTGCTTGAATTAGTAACTGGAAGGCTTAGTAGTCAGACACAAAATAGGTCTCAATAAGTGTCCATTGAATGGTGGAAAAAAGTAGATTCACATAACCAAGCTGTTCCAAACATACCTACAGTTTTACAATCATGAAACTGGGCATTTGTTGTTATATTTAAATTAATGAAATTAAATACAATTAAAATTCCATTTCTCCATTCGACTAGCCACAGTCAAGTGCTCATTAGCTGATATGGGTTGGATACTTGTCCCTCCAAATCTCATGTTGAAATGTGATCCCCAATGTTGGTGGTGAGGCCTAATGGGAGGTGTTTGGGTCATGGGGGTGGATTTCTCATGAATGGTTTTGTACCCTCCCACAGTAATGTGTGAATTCTCACTCTATTGTTTCTGAGAGAACTGATTGCTAAAAAGAGCTTGGCACCTCCTCCCCTTTCTCACTCCCCCTCTCACCATGTGACAAGCTGGCTCTTCGTTCCTTCTGCCACCAGTAAAAGCTTCATGAGGCCCTAAACAGAAGCCCAGCAGATACTGGCACCATGCTTGTACAGCCTGCAGACCTGTGATCCAAATAAGCCTCTTTTTAAAATATATTACCCAGCCTCAGGTATTCCTTTATAGCAACACAAAATGGACATTAGCTACATATGGTTAGGACGGTCATACTGGACATACAGACTAACATATTATAAAGACTGAAAAACAGAAAAATTATCCCAGCTCTAACATCTTGTGGACAATTTTCTTTTTCTCTTCTCAGTCTATGAATTTACAAGTGATATATATAACAAGGATTTACAAAATTTTTTAATGTGCTAAGTCATATGAACAATAAATAACTGTTACCATTTGTGCTTCTGTATTTGCAGTGACTCATTCACTGGGACTCCCACCTTCCTGTCAAATCGGGCCATGGTGGAGTCAGCAAAGATTCATTAGCATTTCAGATGACACCATTACTTCATGCAGCATTCTAGAGCAAATTTGCTTTTATGATTACACAGGCATGCACTTTGACATGGATCATTAAAAAAATCCTTAATAAAAAAAGTTTCTCTCTTAGGAGCTTATAGTTGAGATTCCTGGGTAAAATTCAACTCCTGTATCAAAAAATGATGTTGCTTACTAATCTGAGTTTGTCACCTCTCAGAGTCTGATTAGAGAAGTAGAAAAGGATTTTCTTTAGCATTCCTTAGAGGATTAACATAACTGACCCCTTATAGTTTTACTTGGAGAAGCAGGAGGGAAAATGTAGATTTAAACAAAGAGAATGCATGCAAAATAACTGCATTATTACACACTTGCTTCAGGGATTAGCAATACCCCACTACGGACAAATTGGATGCCTGGATCTATAGCACATGCACTGTCAAGCCAAGTGCTTGTGAGGGCTTCTTTCTGGGTCCTTCTGTTCTGTTACAGCAATTTCAAATACCATGACATCTCCTATCAGGATTTTGCAGACTTGAGTTGGACAGAGCAGTAGATATCAGGCTATTCAGTTCACTTCACAAAGCACTGATTGGAAACCTAAGACATTGATTTGTGTGCAGTACAGAACAAAAAGTACATAAGACATAGCCCTTGACTTCAAAGAGCATTGCTTGTCTGAAAGATGAGTCCCCTAAGGAAGACAGGACATTATAAGTATACTTTTATATTAATAGCTTCAAATTCTAGGCTCTAGGGGAAACTTTTTTTTTTTTTTTTGCTTTTCTTCCTTATAATGAGAAATGAGAACTAAAATACTACTTGATATTCTAGCACATTATCTTCTACTTCTCATGTCCTAAAAGTTCTGGGTAGAATTGGATTGGAAAAGCCCTGTCAGCATCCATTATCTCTTGAATTTAAATTAAAAGCCTTTTCCAGGACCTCTGAAGGAACTACACAATCTCGTCCTTGGCTATCTCTTCAACTTCATTTCTCTCCAGCTATAACAGTCTCTTGCACTTCCTCAAACACACCAAAGGCTATGACCTTTGCATTTTTTGCTGTGCTCTCTGCCTAGAATGTCCTCTTTACATAACTGACTGCTTTTCATCAGTCAGTTGATACAATATGACATCTCTTCTCTTTCTCTTTGTCAAAAACAGCAAAGATGCTTTCTCTGACCATCTTGTCTAAAATAACTTCCCTCATCTCCAGTTTCTCTCTAGGCTCTTTCTTTTTTATTGTCTTTACAGGACTTATCGCTGTCTCTATTTATTTATTATTTCCCCTACTGGTATCTAAGGGTCATGATGGAAAGGACTTTGTCTCATCCGGTGATGTGGTTTGGCTGTGTCCCCACCCAAAATCTCATCTTGAATTCCCACGTGTTGTGGGAGGGACCTAGTGGGAGGTAATTGAATCATGGGGGTGAGTCTTTCCCATGTTGTTCTCATGATAGTGAATAAGTCTCACAAGATCTGATGGTTTTAAAAAGAGAAGTTTCCCTGCACAAGCTCTCTTTTCTTGTATGCTGCCATGTAAGACATGCCTTTCACTTTCCACTGTGATTGTGAGGTCTCCCCAGGCACATGGAACTGTGAGTCCAATAAACCTCTTTCTGGGCAATAAACTGCCCAGTCTCAGGTATCAGCAACATAAAAATGGACTAATATATCCAGACTATAACCTCACTTCCCTGCAAAATAGCAGATGCCTCATATTAGCTGCTTGTCTTAGTTCATTTGAACTGCTATAACAAAATACCTTAGACTGGGTAACTTATAGACAATGGAAATATATTTCTTACCCTTCTGGAGGTTGGGAAGTCCAAGATCAAAGCAACAGCATATTCACTGTTGGTGAGAGATCTCTTTCTGCTTCACAGATGGCACCTTCTCACTGTGTCCTCAAATAGTTGAAAGGACTGGCTGGTTCTCTGGGGTTTTTTAAATAAAAGCACAAATTTCTCCCTCCGCCTTTATGGCCTAATCACCTCCCAAAGGCCCCAATTTTTTTAATATCATCACCTTGATTAAGTTTTAACATGAATTTGGGGTAGGGGAACACAAACAGTCAGACCGCAGCTGTACCCAATAAATATTTGTTGAATTAATGGATATTTTGCTTGTCTATCCATTCACTGCCAGTGGAGCCTGAATAAGTCAGATACCATCTTATAATAATAGTTCCTTCACTCACAGGAGTTTTAAACAGATTTAGTGAGATAATAACTGTAAAAACTTAAAAATTGCTATGTATCATACAATATAAGTATGGTTATTTTTTCTAAGGTTAGCTGGACCTCCAAAGAGCTATCTAACTCCCCTAGCTTCAGAAAACTTAGTTTCTGCTTTGAACAGCAAAAATGTGCACCTCCAAGAACGATAGTAATTGGTTGTATATGGCGGCAGCAGAGACTAAGATATTCTAAGATGGCGACTCATCCCCAAGGATTCCATGGTCTTTTGTGTGTCTGTTGGTGAGGCAAAAATGCTTTTGGAACTCCCATACTCCCATCTCAACTTTCTGTCCACAGAATTATTTTGCATTTGGCCACTAGATTTTGTCAGCATGGGCATTATTTGGCTTCTGAAAGGTACATGTAAGAAAACTGAAAATGAAGGGCAGCCAGCTGCCACTTTTTAGATAATGACAGTAATGATATGGTAAATTGGTATATTCTTCAAGGAAATATGCAGGGAGATTCATTTCAAACAAGCCACCTTGTATTAAATGGGATCTACTTAAAATAACTGCAGCGCAGGTGGACATCATAGCTGCAAAATAATAGCTATATAGAAACACACCAAAATGAAAATGGCGAAATTCTACCTTTGAATCCCAACAGTGTTCACATGATGCACAGGAAAGAAAATCAGGGAGTAAATTATTAGCTTACAGTGCACATTAATTGGAAAGTTACTAAAACCTTTTCATTCACTTAAACTGATGGTGGTACATAACCACGTGCTAATAAACAGAGGAGAAGCAGCTTGCTGTGTACAGTCGCTTCTTAGTAAGGTTAACAAACTACATTAACCATTCACTCATCTGTAACTTGTAATTAATCACTCCTTGAAAATTACATTGTATAATAAATGAGGACAGACATGATTCATTAAAACTTCTAATTAATTCTATTTAATACTATTTCATAGTTCATTGATAAGTGCTGAGAGAAGGATTACACTGTAGGATATTTGATGCATTGCTGCTGAAGAAGTAAATAGAGGGAACATTATCTAAGATGAAACATGAATACTTGCAAATGAAAATGTCAGATGTTTATCACCGCAGTGCCTGGTTCTATACTCAACGGTTTCTCAGCATTACCAGTGGAAAACTGCATTTTCAGGGCTGTATCAGGTTGGTTGTAAAATCTCTTCTGGGTTCAACTGGATGCTCAGCATCTCAAGCTGGGGATGAGCTGACTCTACTTTGTTTTTCTAATAAATGTTCAGGGCTGTTTTGTGGGCTAATGACATGACTATTATTAAGCAGGTATTTCCACATCTGAAAAAAGATCGATTTATAGAAGAAGACAAATACTTAACAAGCAATTATGGCTTTGGGTTCATTTAATTGCATTGTGTGTGTATGTGTGTGTGCGTGTGTGTGTGTATGTACATAAGTGTGTGTGTTAAACTAGATACTAAAACAGCAGGGATATTCATGTCAAGAAAAGCCCAGTACATTAACTTTAATGTACTGCTTTTCAGATAAAAAGAATAAGGCTGTGAAGTACATGGTTTACAGCCTGGGCTGAGGAGAAGACAATCACTCCTAATAAATGAATAATGCATCTTTTGAAATTTAATTTTGGAATAATGTACTGTTAACTTTTTTTACTTTGCCATCAACATAGTCTCTCTCCAAAATGTGTTATAAGAACCATCAGTGGTTCCATGGTGTAAATGGCGAGGACTCTGAGAGAGAAAAGATTCACAAAATATATACCTAAAATAGGAAGTTGTTTCATAAGTTTATAAAGGACTCTTACAACCTGATAAGAAGACATCCGACTCAATTAAAGATTGAACAGACACACCAAAAAACAAGAGGTATAAATAACCAGCAAATGCATGAAGATGCTTAACATCATTAGTAATTGAGGAAATTATGACTAAAACCATCAAAGAAACTGATACACGTTAGGCTTGTTAAAATTAAAAAGACTGACAATACCAAGCTCTGGCAAAAATTTACAATGCTCATATACCACTTCCAAGCTCTGGCAAAAATTTAGGATGCTCATATACCATTGATGAGAATACAAACATAGAAAACATTTGAGAGTTTTTTTTAAATGTGATAAGCATACATCTACCATACAACCCAGTCATTCTATTCCTAGATATTTACAGGAGAGTAATGAAACACTTGTTCAGACAAACACTTGTACATGAATGTTTAGGCAGCTTTATTAGTAATGACCCCAAACTATAAGCAAGCCAAATGCCCATTAACAATTGAATTGATAAACCAGATGTGGTATATCCATACAACAATGAAATACTTCTCTGTGGGAAAAGCAGAACTAACAACTGTCAACATGGATTAAAAAAAAAAAAAACTAGACATAAAAGACTTCAGAGTGTATGAAATTCTAGAACACGCAAACTGATCTGTAGTGACAAAGAGCAGACCAAGGATTGTCTGGGACTGTGAACAAATGGAAGAATGAAGTACAAAGAAGCCCCAGGAGTCTTTTGGGGATGATAGAAGTGCTCTGCCTCATGACAATGGTGGTGGTTTAAACCGTCACAACTCATCAAGTCTTCTACCTTAAATGAATGTGACTTATTGTCAGCACATTATCTTTAATAAGTTGACTGTTAAAAATGAGTTATAAGTCTGGTTGACCCATCTCCCAATCAAAATAATAAGATTCTTCAGTGAAGAATTACTTTGAAGCCTCATCTAAATTGCATCTACATAAAAGCAGGTGAGATGGAGAAGGTTGTTGACACAGGGGAGGAAGAAAGTTTTGAAGAGCTGATAGCTATTTTCTGGCCCTGAGCAGATGGGCATCTAATTAACATGTTTCATTCTTCAGGCAAGGTGATTCTGCAATGTTTTCTTAAAGTGAGATACTTTTGAAAATATTAAAGTAACTTCGTGGCCCTAAATAGTACACTTTGATGGAGTCAGTGCAGTGTAGTCCAAGGAATGGCAGTTTAGGCGTTCAATCTATGCCCCGTGCTCCTTTCTGCCAGTCAATAAAACTGATTTTCAGGCTTTCACATCCCTGTACTTTTCCTCGTCTGAACCACTTCATGATTTTAGAGCTGTTTCTTGAAGCCTGGGGACTGTTTGGAGGTATGCGTGTGGTGTGTGTGTGTAAGAACTCCTTAGCGATTGTTTGAGGGGCTGAAGAGGGTATGGAGGGGGCATTCAAGGCACCAGGCCTCCAATTTTTGCTTTTAAGGTATCTATTGCTGGAAAAACATTTCTTTAAAAGTTGTAAATCACAGGTGTTGATAATGTGTAAGATTTTTTCTAAATCAATATTATACAACCAAAGTAGGGAGGAAACTCACAAAAACACTAGTCTTCATTAATACTTCTTAAATATATTAGGGTCATGCATAATAATGCCTTTTTCAACTAATATTATTCTTAATGATACCATCAATTTAATTAACATTTTCCTAGAAGAAAAGCAGATAGCCTCAGAGCTCTTCAGCAGTTTACTCTGTAGAATAGTTGAAAAGCAAGATTTTTGCAGTTCTCAAAGTCACAGCCAGTACTCATGAAAGCCTAGTATAAATGTGTTGAAAATAAGAAAGGCAATAAATCTTATATGCTGCTAAATTATTAAGTTGACCTATTTTTCTCTCCTTACAGGATTGACCTTTTAGTGGACTGAATTATCCACTCATTTTCAATTAAGTTTCCATATGGCAAATTGAAGCTGACCCTGTTACAACTGTAAAACTACACAGAAGGAAAGAGGCCATAAATATTGTGAGAGAAATTGTATTTTTGGGCATTATGTACTTAGATTTTTCCAGCCAAAAAAAGAGAGAAAGAAACAGAGTTGTTACAGTAAGTTGGGTAAAATAGGCAAACAATTAATTACCTAAATAACTATAACCCCCTCTCCAACCATAGGTCTTATTTGTTCCAGTATCCTCCATCATTGATTTAGTTTCCCTGTGTAGACTCTGAAAAGATTTTATTAAGTTGATGAAATTTTAATAAGATTTATTGTTATTAAGAGGAAAAAAAAACTAGGTGATGGGATGATCCGTGCAGCAAACCACCATGGCACATGTTTATGTACATAACAAACCTGCACATCCTGCACATGGTACTCCAGAACTTAAAATAAAAGTTGGAAATAAAAAGGAATCCCCACCCCCCACCACCACCACCAACAAAAATACAACAAAAAGAGGCAAAAAAAGAAAAAAAAACAAAAAAATATATTAGCCTCAAAGGAAGTAAACCTGGCTTTTTGACTGAGTTCTACACCTACTAACTTGAGTAAGTCATTTAACCTGCCTGGACCTCAGTTTTCTCATGTCTAAAATAGGAATAATAACACTCCTATTAATGGGGGGTGTTCAGGACTAAAGGATACAATATAGGTGATAGCACTTATAACTGATATGTTGGTATTCATTTTTGCATCTGTGATAAACTTATTTTTCACAATAATATTTTTCTTATTTCTAAAAATTTCTTAAAATTGTAGTCATTTAAAGTGTTTAAGAAGCATTTGATAAAGACCAAATGTGCATCATGGTGTATTTCCTAAGGGAAATGTCTTGAACAAAACTGGAATAGCTGCATTGGTCTCTCAGCCTAGTCACCCTCCCCAGCCTGTGTCAGAGCCCAATTCCATATGACTCTCAACTTCATCTTATCCATTAGTAAAATAGAGGAGTCGACTGAAGGGGAGAAAGCTTTCTCCTTTCCCCAAAATATCTCCTTCACCAGCTAGTCATAGAACTACCATTTCCCACCAGTTTGTGAAATGTATATCATTATAAACGCAAATTTGAAAGGCAATTGCTATATTGATATGTGTGTCCTGGGGTGACAGAGGTCAGCAAGTGAGCAGACCACACTGGTAATCAGGTAATTAGCATGTAATCAAAGGTTTCTTTGTCAGTGATCAAGTCTTCTTTCTTCTGTGTATGAAATGCACAGATTTATACAGTCACACCCCAAAACAAAAACAAGCAAAAAACACTACACGTTATTAGAAGGCTTTTACAAGTATTTTGAAATGTAGACAATTTTCCCCTAACAAACAAAGAAGAAAGGAAATTTGCCTGACTGTCTATTTCATCAGCTGATTTTTTTACAAGCAGAGTTTTGCAAATAGCTTAGTTTGAAAATTTGAGAGGATTCTGGGTTTAATGTTTTTGTGCTAGGTTTTTAGGTATTCTCTTGAACTAAACAATTATAATTATTTTTCTTATTTTCAGTACAACAGTATATGACTAACTGTGCCATTCATTAATTTATTACTTTTCAGCTCCAAATTCATCCTTTGTTACCTGCTTTGCAATAATGGAGCTTTACCCTTTAAGCATTTTACTTTTGCCATGAGCATGGTGTTAAGCTTTGTCAGGAGAGGGCAGTGGAGGGACACTGAAGAAGGATGGGACTCCTCCTCTTTTTGGCTCCATTTGTGTTTTTTTCTCACTGCGTGGCAGGCAGTAGCATGTTTGATGGAGATAGCCAGGAGTGCTCTGCCCAATTGTGTGCCTGAGGTGAGTTTGAAATATCAGCCCTAGCCTGGTAGTCTGCTTTCTAAGACCTTTCCAAGGTGAACACGTGTTCTCTAGGCTTCATGCTACCCAGCCAATAAGTGAGCTCCTGATACACCCAATGCTCCCCTTCCTCAGCCCACCTACACTCCAGGAAATTGTTTCTCATGGCCCTCATGAGACAGACAATGTGTACTGTACCGCAGGTTTCACACCATCCTGCAGGTAAGTGAGCTCCCTATGCTCTAACTCCATCTACATACTACCCACCAGTCTTGGCCAACCTGTATCCTGGAAGAGCATTTCCTGCTTGCCCTGTGATTGTGAACCAGTTCTGGCCCAGGAACACCAATGAAATTCTTCAACATCCAGTCAGCTGCAACCATATCTACTCCAACAAGATCTGAACTCTAGACTTGGAGTGGGGCCCTCCTTCCAAATTTGTTCTTCTCGTGGGTACTCTCCCTCAGCCTAGGATATTCCTTAGTTTTCTTTAGTCCTGTATAGTTACTCACCTGCTATAGATAATAATTGTTTATATTAAACTTTCCCTGTTAAATTACAACTGCAATTTCAAATTGCAATTTCAGCCTTTTGTTTGGCCACCCTGACTGATACAGAATTGGTATCAAGATGGAGAGTGGTCCCAGGTTATAGACATGCACAGATGGGGTTTTGAAATTGGTTTGGTTTTGCCCTTGGACTTGAGCACAAAGCTGAGCTCTTTGCCAATAGAAAATGGGATGCTGGTAATTCATGGCATACAGGGATATCAGAATCAATCAAATTATAACCAGTGGTAGATTGCCATGAAATGTGAACTGTAGTGAGTGCCTTGGGAGCTCAAGTGGCTTGAGTCCAGTTGACAATGATGATAATAATGACAACTTCAAAGACTGTGGTGTGATGTGGCTAATTTTGATTGTACCTGAGTACCTAAGGAAGGAAAAAGATAATTTTAGATGCCTTGGCACTCAGCTTAACTCACAGTTTGAGAACTATAGAGCTTCCATAATGGCCCTAAAATTTGTCTAATTTTCTGTAGCCTCAGAGCTAATATTGCTAAAAACCAAACATGAAACTTAGTTTACAGGTTGCTGAATTACAGTAACAGTTGAATTCACAGTCTTGTCAGGTTTCTCATGTGAACGTTAGAATACTGATTGGAAAATAATGAGATCCTGAATCTTGGAATTTGGACATATGGCTGAGCTCAGAAAAACAACAACAACAACACCAACAACAACAACAACAACAAGAAGTGGTAATTTGGGCCACATAGTCATTCTGTGCTTCTCTTATCAGTGGAAGTAGCTTGCTCTCCAAGATTTGAGGAAACTAGCCTTCCTCTGCATGAAAAGCCTGTGATAACCTCACCGGGGGAAGACACCATAACCTTCTCAAGACGTACTACAACCACCTCCTGTTGCTACTAGACCTATGGCTATGGTGAGATAACACCAAGCTATAGGAGACAGTGAACACACAACAGCCCAGGAAAGGATAGCTTACATTATGAAGGGATTGCAGGACTTTTCTAATACATATCAGCAAAAATCTGTAGAAAATGTGTGGGAACATGGCTAAGGGTCTTAGAACAAAGATGACAAAATATAACACTAAATTTGGCTGAATTTCTTTGATATGATGCGCTTACTAGAGACTTTAGATTTATGTTTTAGCTTCTGCGGTTGTGGGTAGCTTTAACAGATTAACCGAAACTCCAATGCAATGGTAGGCTACATTTAATAAGATTGAGATTCCAGAGCTTCCCTGAAATGTTGTGGAGAAGAGAACTCAAAAGACTGCGGAGATAATTGAATTGATGGACTGGATTTGTTATGTGTGGCCTGCACATTTACTCCCCAACTGTGTTTCATGAGAGAGCCCAGAAAGTATGCCCTTCCCTTCAGAATTTAAAAATGTCTTAGTAGGGGGAGCAATTGTATCCTTGAAAAGTTCTCTCGCTGCTATCTTTTGTAGGGTAAGTATGACTGTCACTATGGGCTCCTTGATTTCAGTGGGGCTGAGGGGAACCCACAGTAGCAGAGGCCAAGCAGCAGTACTTAATCACCAAAGACAAGGTGGCACATCTATCATAGGGACAGCAGGAACACATCAGCAATCAGGCTTTCTTAGCCATATTTGGCAGTGGATAATTGAGAAACTAGATGGGCAGCCTACTAGAGTATTGCTGAATCCATTTAGCAGGACAAATTCTAGCTCTGGTTGTCAAAAACCTGACTTGAGTTGCTCCAATAAACAGTTATGATTTTACAAAATGGATTACAAAATACAGTTTTTACAGACTGTGGTCTGTATTTGTACTCCATAAGAATGTCTACCAAATGACAGTCAATGCAGAGGAAGCTTTTAATAACCGAGTGGATAAAATGACATGCTGGTAAATATCAGTCAGCCTCTTGTAATAGCCACCCAGTGCTTCCACAAGGGTCCATGAACAAAGTGGCCATCATGACAGGGATGGAAGCCATGCATGGACTTACCTTCACCAAGGCTGACCTGATTAATTGGAACTCAGCCAAAAGCAGTGACCAACATTAATCCACAGACATAGCACAAACCCCAGAGGCCCCAGTCAGCCCCTGTGGCACAATGATGAGTATAGTAGATCTATTTCATTGTGAGGGGAAAAGAGATTGGTCCTCAGTGGAATGCCTTCCCTTGCCATAATGCTTTTTTCAGAACTACTACCTATTGATTCAAACAATGCCTTCTCTACCATCATGGCATTCTGTACAGCATAGCATATGATAAAATAATTTATTTGCAAAGTAAGAGAAGCCATATACTTACATCTATGAAATTAACTTATCCCATCACCTGGAAGCAGCTCACCTAATTAAAAGGTGAAGGGCTTGCCAAAATATAAGACTTACTGAAGACTCAGTTATGGTGCCACTTGAGTAAAAATGCCCTAAAAGAATGGGATTTACAGGATATAGTACATGGTTTAAATCAGAGGCCACTTTGTATGGCTCCAGGAATTGAGATATGGAGGGAGAGGGACAAATCCCACTGTTACACCGCATAACCTACTCACAAAATTTTTGCTTTTTGTCCTGGCAACTTTGAACTCTGCTGGTTTAGAAGTCTTAGTTCCCACGGGGGAAATGCTTCCACCCAAAGATATAAAAATGTTTCTACCGCATGGGAAGACAAGACAGTCACCTGGTTACCTTGGGCTCTTGATGCTGCCTAACCAACAGCCCCTGCCCTCCCACAAAATAAGACAATTACTCTATTAGCTAGAGAGATTGATCTTGATTTGATATTGATTGATAAAAAGAAACTGGTTTGCCCCTGGACTATATCTCTAACCCAGTGAATTTTCTGATGTGCCTCTGTATTTGATGCTCAATAGTGAATGTTAATGCAAAAAATACAATGCAAAAAAAAGGGTGGTTGAGGACTCAAACTCTCTATAAATGAAATTCCACATCAGTAAAGAACTCTGACAAGCTGAGGCTCTGGCTGAGGGTAAAGAATTGGAGAGTAATTAGTGGAAGTAGGAAGCAATTGATATCATTTATGATCTTGTGGTCAATTATAGAAATGAGTACTATAATAGACTTGCGTATTT
Source organism: Homo sapiens (assembly GCF_000001405.40). NCBI lineage: Eukaryota > Metazoa > Chordata > Mammalia > Primates > Hominidae > Homo > Homo sapiens. The sequence goes on along the minus strand of NC_000009.12, from coordinate 82,710,435 downwards.
TATTTTTGCTGGTTATATGTATGTCTTCATTGCATATAGTAACAATTTTCTCTCTTACAGTTTTATATACAAGCTGCTGGAGGTTAAATTTAAAGTTCAGTCTTTAGATGAGGAATATTCAGTGGGACTACAGCTGAATTTGAGTAGTTAATATAATCAGTTAATGTCTATTGGGTCAGAGAGAATAAAATCCATAATGTTCACCAAGTTGGGTTTGGGGGGAATACATACATGCACACACAGACACACAGACACACACACACACACACACACACACAATTTTGCTGTGAGTGAAGAGACTTAAGATTAATTTTCATTTTCAGCAGTATGGCTCTTAATGAGTGTGCCATGCCAAACTGGGATACAAAGAATCTCTTCTAACCTGCATTTCCAAAATTGTGTCAATTTGTAAAATTTAATGTTGCTACTCATGATGATACAAATACACATATTATCACTTGTCTTCTGTTTGTACATGTGAATTAATTTTAATCTATGTCTTAGTGACAGAGATTGAAGTTCTCCATTCAGGAAGCCACCCCAGAACTATCTAATTAAGCATTTCAAATTTTTTTTTATCAAAATCTGCACCCTGAGGTGTGCATATCAGCATACAAGAAATCCACATAATGGTTGTGATGCACAGTCCAAGAAGCTTGCCAGTTCAATCTTCAGCCTTCTAGGTTTAGAGCCATTTATGATTATAGGTTCATGTGTGGAGATTCTATGACTTTCTATAAACTGTAGAGTGTTGACTCTGATTCTGAGTCTGCATAGGAGTGGAACCGTCTGTAAAGAATCTTGCCGAAACTGAGAGGGAGACTTTTCTTAGCTTAAAACATAGATTGTATAACTATATTCATATATTTGCTAACAAAATCAGTATGTTTGGCAGAATTTGGAGTAAGAATTCTGGTAACAAGGTTTGGGAAAGAAATGGATAGTCTGCAGATAGTCTCCATCTACCTCTAATGAGTAAATACAACCAGAGTTTACCAAAAGCACCTGATAATTGTGAATGACTAAATGGGCTGAAGTCAGTTCACATCACACTCCAAGAAAGACATGAATGGCATTCTCTCTTAGGTAGATGTTAAGCTGAGTTAGTCATGAGAAAAGTTACAGTGCAGAATACAACTTGTTTAAATGGTATGTTCAAAATGACATGCCTAATGAAATACATATTTTGTCTTCTATGTATATGAGATTATAGAAGTAAACTGACTCAAACTGTGAGACAACATCAAAGGAAAAAGCAAATGAACAGCACTGTAACTATTCCACTTTACTTCAAGTGTGCTGCCTAAATATTTAGTATCCAAATATGTACCACAATTTTAAAAGATTTAAAACTCTATGAATTCTTGTTACTTGTTTCTGGAACCTGTACCTGCCATTCTCTTAACTATTCTAGGTGAAGAGTGGCTTTTGTTAGAACCATAGTTAACTTAGTTATGCAGCTATATATTGGAATCACCTGAGGAACTTTAGCAATACTGATTCCCAAGTCCTTCAGAGAGAGAGAGAGAGAGAGAGAGAGAGAGAGAGAGACAAGTGGATGTTTTAAAGCTCTTTCAGGTGATTCTGCCAGGCAGCCAAGATTGAGAATCACTGTGTTAGCAGGCACCAAGACAAGCATATGATCCAGTCAATTTTTTTGCTCTTAGAAAGTTAGGACTATTTGAAAATAATTAACAATCTCTAATTATTGACATAAAATAAATTTAAGTCAATATAGGGCAAGATTTAAAAGAATGAAGGCATCTAAATAAATGCTGAATACATTTTACCACTAAATTTCACTGTATTGCTGCTTAACTTGACTTCGATTTCCTACTCCCTACTATTTAGAATCTTTTCAGCTTTGGGGAAGTCATAAAACTAACCAACAAACCATAGAGCTCCTGTCTGTGTTTGCTTCCTGATGAACAGGTATGGCAAAGATTCAAAGCCTATAGTAGGATGCAATCCCACTGCCGGTGCTGCAAATTGTTGGTGTCTTCCTCAAGCCAGTGCGTCATGATTAAACCATAGAGATTGTCTGCCTTGGTTTGAATCACAACTCTGGCTCTCTGATATAGGATCACTTAATGGCCTTGTGAACCTAGAGTAAGTTATTGACCTCTCGGCCCTTCAATTTCCTTATCAGTGAAATGGGGGGTAACAGTAGTAGTTATCTCACAGAGCTGTTGGGAATAATAAATGGAACATTACAGTTAAAACAGTGTCTGGCGTATATTAAGTGCTCAGTAAATGCTAGTCATGTTATCTTATTAACTCTTAGCTGATTTGTTAATGCTGGTAAACCTTTAATATTCCACCCCCACTACTCACTATTTTAAAGCTTTTTCTTTATGCCTGTAGAAACAGAAACAATGAAGAACTCAGTTTACTCCACACCATCTTTAACTCCCTCTTGTGTATTCCGTAAGGATGAGATTTTTCTAACACCCCAAGATAATTTGTGCCTAATCAGGAAAAAACATTATGTTAGCAATCAGTTACTATATTTAGCCAACTCAATTACTGTTCAATTATTTCTTTGCTAACAGCTGAGTTTTGCATCCCTGCTTATGCTAGCCCTCCCTTACTACACACCCCAGCACATTAAGACCAATGTCAATATAATGAGAATAGGCACCCTAAAAACCAAGTGATATGATAACTGCCACACGAAGCTTCAGCTACTGCTTGAGTGGGGGAAATATGAAATAAAGCACAACCTAGGATGAGGAGCATGCAAGGAAAGATCTGGATAAAGGGAAAAGCAGAAAGGATGCTAAGGGGCTAAAAAGTTAGTTTGTGTCATAATCTTTGTTTAGTCATCCATGGAAGCTTTCCCTTGAAGTAAGTATGAAAAGAAGAAATATTAACATAAGATAAAAATCCTCTGTTTCTGTTATTTATACTGCAAGCTTTCAGGAGAAGACAGGCATTGTTGCCATGGTTAAAGTACATCCAAGAAGAAGGATGCTTCATCTAACATAGGTATCCTCAAATCAAAGCATTTTATGCTCTAGCCTAGCGCTCTGTCCAATAGAACTTTCTGTGATGATGAACATTTATATAATCTGTGTTGTCCTATATGGTAGCCACTAACCATGCATTGCTATTGAGCACTTGAAATGTGGCTAATGCAACTGGGAAACCAAAGTTTTATTGTAATTAATTAAAATTTACATATGAATAGACATGCATGGTTAGTGGCTATTGTATTGCATAGTGCAGTTCTAAACCCTGAAGGTAAATTGAAAGGAGGGCAAATTTCTTCACAAAGTTTTAAAAAGCCATGAAATTAGTAGGACATGTTGCATGTTGTGTTTGCCTCTCCATAAACCTCCCTCGTTGCATAGCAGCCCGTGGCTTGGGTAGAATTGCCCTCACCCAAGTAACATTCTTTTTCTCACATCATCCATCCGTAAGCCAATCAGGACATAGCACCCTGGTCATGAGGACTGATTCAGGAATGATTCAATGTACATTAAGCTCACTGCTTGTGGGAAGCAACTCGCTCTCTCTCCCAATTAGGAACAAGGAACATGAGGCTACATTGCTACAGGCAGCCATCTTTGAGTTGAGAAGGAAGCCAGCCTTAAAGCTCAGCTGGCAGAAGAAGGAAAAGCAGCAGGAATTACAGAAACGTGGAGTCATGTCCTGATCATACTTGAAGCTCACTCCCCCGCTTTCTGCATTTTCAACTGTGTGCTATGATATAATTTCCTTCCCTGATGGTCCCAGTGCTGCCCCATTCCTCACTTTATGCCACTCAATCAAGACTATTCCTTATGTGAAGATCAAATGGATTTTCGTTTTTAAAGAAAAACCGTTCAGATGGTTAAAACCATGCTGAATTTTAGCTTCATAATCATCAGATTCATAGTTTACTTCTACAGAATTTTCCTCCCCTGGAGTTTCTGATTGCTTTGCCTTTCCACTCATGAGATAAAACATAGACTTTTCCCATCTTATTCCTAATAATGCAATTTCTGGTTTATTTTGTATTTTTGTAAAATCCTTTTCTTCTTCCTGAAGATATTTTAGTTGCAGCCTACTGACTTACTGATCTAATGCCCTGGTCAACTTGCCAAATATTCAAATTATTGAATAGCCAATATTCAGGGAATTTTGTTCCTTTTCTGAAGGCTTAATTGTCAGGCCTCTGAGCCCAGGCCAGGCCTTCGCATCTCTGTGACTTGCATGTATACATCCAGATGGCCTAAAGTAACTGAAGATCCACAAAAGAAGTAAAAACAGCCTTAACTGATGACATTCCACCATTGTGATTTGTTCCTGCCCCACCCTAACTGATCAATGTACTTTGTAATCTCCCCCACCCTTAAGAAGTTTCTTTGTAATTCTCCCCACCCTTGAGAATGTACTTTGTGAGATCCACCCCTGCCCACCAGAGAACAACCCCCTTTGACTGTAATTTTCCATTACCTTCCCAAATCCTATAAAACCGCCCCACCCTTATCTCCCTATGCTGACTCTCTTTTCGGACTCAGCCCACCTGCACCCAGGTGAAATAAACAGCTTTATTGCTCACACAAAGCCTGTTTGGTGGTCTCTTCACATGGATGCACATGAAATTTGGTGCCGTGACTCGGATCAGGGGACCTCCCTTGGGAGATCAATCCCCTGTCCTCCTGCTCTTTGCTCCGTGAGAAAGATCCACCTACGACCTCAGGTCCTCAGACCGACCAGCCCAAGAAACATCTCACCGATTTCAAATCCGGTAAGCGGCCTCTTTTTACTCCCTTCTCCAACTTCCCTCACTATCCCTCAACCTCTTTCTCCTTTCAATCTTGGCGATGCACTTCAATCTCTCCCTTCTTTTAATTTCAATTCCTTTCATTTTCTGGTAGAGACAAAAGAGACACGTTTTATCCGTGGACCCAAAACTCCGGCGCTGGTCATGGACTGGGAAGGCAGCTTTCCCTTGGTGTTTAATCATTGCAGGGACACCTCTCTGATTATACAGCCATGTTTCAAGGGTGTCAGACCACGCAGGGACGCCTGCCTTGGTCCTTCACCCTTAGCGGCAAGTCCCACTTTCCTGGGGCAGGGGCAAGTACCCCTCAGCCCCTTCCCCTTCACCCTTAGCGGGAAGTCCCACTTTCCTGGGGCAGGGGCAAGTACCCCTCAACCCCTTCTCCTTCACCCTTAGCGGCAAGTCCCGCTTTTCTAGGGGGCAAGAACCCCCAAACCCCTTCCCTCCGTGTCTCTACGCTCTCTTCTCTGGGTTTGCTTCCTTCACTATGGGCAACCTTCCACCCTCCATTCCTCCTTCTTCTCCCTTAGCCTGTGGGCTCAAGAACTTAAAACCTCTTCAACTTACACCTGATCTAAAACCTAAACGCCTTATTTTCTTCTGCAACACCGCTTGGCCCCAGTACAAACTCGACAGTAGTTCCAAATAGCCAGAAAATGGCACTTTGAATTTTTCCATCCTACAAGATCTAAATAATTCTTGTCGTAAAAGGGGCAAATGGTCTGAGGTGCCTGACGTCCAGGCATTCTTTTACACATCAGTCCCTTCCTAGTCTCTGTGCCCAGTGCAACTCGTCCCAAATCTTCCTTCTTTCCCTCCCGCCTGTCCCCTTAGTCCCAACCCCAAGCGTCGCTGAGTCTTTCTAATCTTCCTTTTCTACAGACCCATCTGACCTCTCCCCTCCTCGCCAGGCCGAGCTAGGTCCCAATTCTTCCTCAGCCTCTGCTCCTCCACCCTGTAATCTTTTTATCGCCTCCCCTCCTCACACCTGGTCCGGCTTACAGTTTCGTTCTGTGACTAGCCCTCCCCAACCCGCCCAGCAATTTACTCTTAAAAAGGTGGCTGGAGCCAAAGGCATAGTCAAGTTTAATGCTCCTTTTTCTTTATCCCAAATCAGAAGACTTTAGGCTCTTTTTCATCAAATATAAAAACCCAGCCCAGTTCATGGCTCGTTCGGCAGCAACCCTGAGACGCTTTACAGCCCTAGACCCTAAAAGGTCAAAAGGCCGTCTTATTCTCAATATACATTTTATTACCCAATCTGCTCCCGACATTAAATAAAACTCCAAAAATTAAATTCCGGCCCTCAAACCCCACAACAGGATTTAATTAACCTCGCCTTCAAGGTGTACAATAATAGAAAAAAGTTGCAATTCCTTGCCTCCACTGTGAGACAAACCCCAGCTACATCTCCAGCACACAAGAACTTCCAAACGCCTGAACCGCAGCGGCCAGGCGTTCCTCCAGAACCTCCTCCCCTAGGAGCTTGCTACAAGTGCCAGAAATCTGACCACCAGGCCAAGGAATGCCTGCAGCCCAGGATTCCTCCTAAGCCATGTCCCATTTGTGCGGGACCCCACTGGAAATCGGACTGTTCAACTCACCTGGCAGCCACTCCCGGAGCCCCTGGAACTCTGGCCCAAGGCTCCTCTGACTGACTCCTTCTCGGCTTAGCGGCTGAAGACTGATGCTGCCCAATCGCCTCGGAAGCCCAGTAGACCATCACGGACGCCGAGCTTTGGGTAACTCTCACAGTGGAAGGTAAGTCCGTCCCCTTCTTAATCAATATGGAAGCTACGACTCCACATTACCTTCTTTTCAGGGGCCTGTTTCCCTTGCCTCCATAACTGTTGTGGGTATTGACGGCCAGGCTTCAAAACCCCTGAAAACTCCCCAACTCTGGTGCCAACTTGGAGAACACTCTTTTATGCACTCTTTTGTAGTTATCCCCACCTGCCCAGTTCCCTTATTAGGCCGAGATGTTTTAACCAAATTATCTGCTTCCCTGACTATTCCTGGACTACAGCTGCATCTCATTGCCACCCTTCTCCCCAGCCCAAAGCCTCCTTCGTGTCTTCCTCTCATATCTCCCCACCTTAACCCACAAGTATGGGACATCTCTACTCCTTCCCTGGCAACCGATCACATGCCCATTACCATCCCGTTAAAATCTAATCACCCTTACCCCGCTCAATGCCAATATCCCATCCCACAGCATGCTTTAAAAGGATTAAAGCCTGTTATCACTCGCCTGCTACAGCATGGGCTTCTAAAACCTATAAACTCTCCTTACCATTCCCCCATTTTACCTGTCCTAAAACCAGACAAGGCTTACAAGTTAGTTCAGAATCTGCGCCTTATCTACCAAATTGTTTTGCCTATCCACCCCGTGGTGCCAAACCCATATACTCTCCTATCTTCAGTACCTCCCTCTACTACCCATTATTCTGTTCTGGATCTCAAACATGCTTTCTTTACTATTCCTTTGCAACCTTGATCCCAGCCTCTCTTTGCCTTCACTTAGACTGACCCTGACACCCATTAGGCTCAGCAAATTACCTGGGCTGTACTGCCGCAAGGCTTCACAGACAGCCCCCATTACTTCAGTCAAGCCCAAATTTCATCCTCATCTGTTACCTATCTTGGCATAATTCTCATAAAAACACACGTGCTCTCCCTGCTGATCGTGTCCGATTAATCTCTCAAACCTCAATCCCTTACAAAACAACAACTCCTTTCCTTCCTAGGCATGGTTAGCATGGTCAGAATTCTTACACAACAGCCAGGACCACACCCTGTAGCCTTTCTGTCCAAACAATTTGACCTTACTGTTTTAGCCTAGCCCTCATGTCTGCGTGCAGCGGCTGCCGCTGCTTTAATACTTTTAGAGGCCCTAAAAATCACAAACTATGCTCAACTCACTCTCTACATTTCTTATAACTTCCGAAATCTATTTTCTCCCTTATACCTGATGCATACACTTTCTGCTCCCCGGCTCCTTCAGCTGTACTCACTCTTTGTTAAGTCCCACAATTACCATTGTTCCTGGCCTGGACTTCAATCTGGCCTCCCACATTATTCCTGATACCACACCTGACCCCCATGACTGTATCTCTCTGATCCATCTGACATTCACCCCATTTCCCCATATTTCCTTCTTTCCTGTTCCTCACCCTGATCACGCTTGATTTATTGATGGCAGGCCCACCAGGCCTAATCGCCACACACCAGCAAAGGCAGCCTATGCTATAGCACAAGCCACTAGCCCGCCTCTTAGAACCTCTCATTTCCTTTCCATCATGGAAATCTATCCTCAAGGAAATAACTTCTCAGTGTTCCATCTGCTATTCTACTACTCCTCAGGGATTATTCAGGCCCCCTCCCTTCCCTACACATCAAGCTCGCTCAATTCATCCAAAACCGTATCCAGGCCATCACCAATTATTCTATACTACAAATGTTTCTTCTAACATCCCCACAATATCACCCCTCACCACAAGACCTCCCTTCAGCTTAATCTGTCCCCCTCTAGGTTCCCGCTTGAAGCAGCCCTGAGAAACATCGCCCACTCTCTCTCCATACCACCCCCAAAAAATTTTCGCCACCCCAACACTTCAACACTATTTTGTTTTATTTGTCTTACTAATATAAGAAGGCAGGAATGTCAGGCCTCTGAGCCCAGGCCAGGCCTTCGCATCCCCTGTGACTTGCACGTATACATCCAGATGGCCTAAAGTAACTGAAGATCCGCAAAAGAAGTAAAAACAGCCTTAACTGATGACATTCCACCATTGTGATTTGTTCCTGCCCTACCCTAACTGATCAATGTACTTTGTAATCTCCCCCACCCTTAAGAAGTTTCTTTGTAATTCTCCCCATCCTTGAGAATGTACTTTGTGAGATCCACCCCTGCCCACCAGAGAACAACCCCCTTTGACTGTAATTTTCCATTACCTTCCCAAATCCTATAAAACGGCCCCACCCTTATCTCCCTATGCTGACTCTCTTTTCGGACTCAGCCCACCTGCACCCAGGTGAAATAAACAGCTTTATTGCTCACACAAAGCCTGTTTGGTGGTCTCTTCACACGGACACACATGAAATTAATATTTGTTCTTGTCTTGCCCATCTTGCCCTTGCTTTCACTCTTAACATTTTATAAATGAATAAATAAATGGGCTTTTTCATTAACACTATTTACTGGCCTTTCTATTTGTGTGAACTTATGTCCTGCCCATTTCAGACCAAGGCATCAGAGGGGAAGAATGTAAGTCAGCAAAAACACCCCAGTGAATTGTATTTAAGGGAAATCACACCCAGTCAAGTAAAGAGTCAGTGGATGGAGCACATTAAAAGCTTCAAAGAAATTCTCAGTTGTTCAGCAAATTATCCCTCTGGTGATTTTGTCTGTTTCAACTTTCAGCCCACTTTCTTGGGATTTCTCTTCATGGGGCTTGTGGGTTATCTCATTTGCTTCTTGGTCTCATTTCTTATTTTTGGTGCTCATATTTATTTTCCTGGAGTTCAACAACTCTAAGTATCTTCTTCAAAAAGGGTTCCAGAGCAGCAACATTTTAAGATGTTGTCTTTCTGAAAAGAACTTCATTTTGCCCTCACAATCAATTTAAAAATTGGCCAGGTTTAGAATTTTAGGTTCTAAATTATTTTTACCTCCAAAATTTGAGGCATAGAATCACTTTTTAGTGTATACTGATTCTGATTTTAAAAAAAATCTGATGGCAATCTGATTTACATTTCTGGAGATCCCATTCTTGAAGAATTCCTTTGCTTTCATATCTGCTGACTTCTTTATTCTGGCTCCTTTCACTCTTAGGGTTGCTACTATGAGTTTAGGGGGAAAAAGGAGACAAATGCTGACATTTTGAAATACCAGCTTCTCCTGATTTTCCTTAATTAAGTCGTGTCCTTTGGTTTACATAGTGTATAATAGTATATAAATGTCTACATTAAATAATAGATTATGTGACATTGGAGGGAAAATTAGGTGGCTTTGGATCAATCCAATTGGATGAATTTTAAGCTAGGTTGTCTTCAGAGAAAAACTGAAGCAAAAAGAAACTGACAAATGAAAGAAGAGTTAACCTTTGCATCAGCAAAGACACTAAGGAGAAGTAAGTTGAAGTGAAGCCAAGTCAAGCAGTAATCTTGTGGTGCTTCTGTTCTGATCAATATTTATGTCAGTCCCTGGCTGAACATTAATTGCACTGGTCCTTGAGGGAAAGATACATAGAAATGGGAAGAAGTGGATTTTGAATATAAGTTATTTTTTATTTTATAAATTGCTCCATCCAGATAATTTTCCTGATCTGAACTCCCACTGGATTGAATGCAAATGAGTTGTAGCAAAAATGAACTGGGAAACAAAAGTCCTGAGTTTACCCAAGTAGCAAATGTTCAGCAATAATTTGTGAATGAACTCTCTCTCAGGTGGTCCAGACCTAGTGTCTCTACATTAAAAAAAAAAATCTCCACTTTAAAATAAAAAGAGGGCATGATATTCCCCAATGTAACATTATATCCTATGTTCTAGGAATACTTTACTTCTATTTTCCAGTAAAAGGCCATTTACATTGATTAATTAAAAGGGAGATGTGTTCTTTTGGCAATGGAAACGCTGGATTGTCCCTTATTTAGTGCCTTATTAATAAGAAATACTGGGCATGAGATACACATTAACAGAACAACATTTCGGCACTAGGGCAAGTCTTCTGGCCTCCTGCCTATGAGTAGCGGGCCTTCCAGGTTCTAATTGGGTCCCCTTCTGATCCAGGAAGACTTCTGAGATTCTGATGGAGTCAGCAGCAATGCAAAGGCCTTCTTTCATAGTGAATCCATTAAAATATTGATAAAAGGATCTGAAAAGAAGAAAATGGAGCATTGAAACAACACGGGAGGTTTGGATGGGAAATGAACCCTCAACCGGAGAGTTGCATGGAAAAAAAACAAAGAGACAAAGGAAAAATGAAACATAAGAAACGATTTTGTAGCGTATAAGAAAAATAAAATCAACTACCAACTTCCATAGCTGCCAAAGTAGGAAGTTGCTTGAAGTGTCTTCTCAAAAAAATCAAAGTGCGATGGATGATCTTTCAACAAGAACTGGGCAGGCCAAAAGAAATACAAAAATCTGGGCAATAGCTGTAATAACTATACTAGAATACAGTTGGAAACAGTAAAAGTTAGAAGAACACAGCAGAAAAAGAGACTATTTATGAGCTCAGAGGCCAGTAGTAGCAGTGTGTTTTCAGAACTGGATCTTCTTCTCACCTCTGGGTCACCTTTATTGTTTATAGCACAAGAGACACGGTTTTTGTTTTATTTGCTCCAACGAGGGTCAAATGCAAAGTGCAGACATACATATTCAAAAGATTTGATTGCCACGCCTCGAAAGCAGTGCCATTTCTGTCTGCTTTTCTCCCCCAATATTTCTGTGAAAAGTGCAATATAACTACATTAAGTAATTTTTATCATTACGTTAAAAGAAACACCAGATTTCACAATTGACACTATTAAATATCACCCACATTATCACAGTATTACTTAGCAAAAAATAATTAAAATTGCTTAAATATTCTATGTAGGCCATTCATAAATCATGGTTTACCTTCACAATAAAGAATTGATTTTGTCACTTAAAATTATCTTTATGGAGAGCTTCTAACATGACTCCATTTTTAAAAATTATTCTTTCTGGATTTACTAATTGACAAATAAAAATTTTATGTGTTTATGACATACAGCATGATGTTTTGGCATATGTATACAAGGTGAAATGATTACCACAATCAAGCTAATTAACATATCCTTCACCTCACATAGTTATCATTTTCAGTTTTTTGTGATGAGAACTTTTAAGATCTACTCTCTTAGTAAATCTAAGTATGCAATACAGTATTATTAACTATAGTTTGCTTGCTATAATTAGATCTCCAGAACTTATTCATCCTACATATCTAAAACTTTGTAGCATTTGATCAACCTCTCCCCATTTCCCCAAGCCTGTAGCCCCTGGCAACCACCATAATGCGACTCTTAAATTATATGTTAAAAAACAGTATATTCAACTGCTCATAAATCGTGACCTCAGATACGATTTAACACATAGAAAAACATGTCAAATGTTATTGTATAATAGGTGGTTTTAAATTATTAAAAACTTCTCAAATTTTCTGTGGTGAGCTTCTAATATTTTTATGGTTAGAAAAACCTCTTAATTTCATCTATCACCCTAGGAGTCTAAGATAAATGAAACTGGCTTCATTTCGCATATTTCTTTTCACGAGAGTATGTAGTTTTTATTCATCAACTCTGCTTCATCAGATGTTCTTAGGTCTTAGAAAGCAGATAACTGAGTGGGTAAAAATCATTAATGCTAAATGGCAGCTTTGAGTTCATAATGTGTTGTTTAGTTTTATTTCATCCCAAGGACACAGAATTCATCCTGAATTCTGACCAAGTAGTCAGAAGGGGAAAAAGCAAAAATGTGGGTGGATCGACACAAATTTTTTCCTTTTCTGAGCAGTTTTATCCTTGTATATGGTAAGGAGTTTAATAAACACACACCTCAATGTTAGAATTGACACTATGCAGAACCACTGTAAGGAACTAATTTGAAGGTTTGCTTTCATTCTCCATATGAAATACAATAAATTTAAAGTTATCAGGGTGACATTTAGTACTGACACTGTTGGAGGGAGAATTTCATGAATCCTATGAAAGGACAAAATCGCTTATTTTTTATTTGGTGTAAGAGCAGAGTAAGTAAACAAAATCCTAAAAAATTTGGAGAAGAACTTTTTGTGATTTTTTTTTAATTTTTTTTTTCAAGAGACAGGGTCTCACTCTGTTGCCCAGGCTGGAGTACAGCAGTGCGATCGTAGTTCATTGCAGCCTCAACTTCAATACACAAGCAATACTCTCAACTCAACCTCCTGAGTAGATGGGACTACAGGTGTCAGCCACCAAGCCTGGCTAAATTTTAACATTTTTTTGTGGGGACAGAGGTCTTGCTATGTTGCCCAGGCTGGTCTCAAACTCCTGGCCTCAAGCAGAGCTCCCACCTCAGCTTCCTAAAGTGATAGGATTACAGACGTGAGCCACTGCTCCTGGCCTGAAAGTTATTTTTTGGAATATTGTTTTTGTTTTATAATCAACCACAAAACTCCGCTCTCCAGATGTTTGTGGGAGCCCTGGTATGATCAAAAGATATACCACCAATACTCTGCACACTGCAACCACAAGTAGAATTGTGCTTCTCAGGTCACAAAGTCATAGGAGTGATTTTTTTTTTTAGAACTTAAAGTATAATTTAAAAAAAAAGAAGTCAGAAAAAAAAAAGGTCATAGGAGTGAAAAACAGCATAAAAAATGGTAATTTGAAATCCAGCTCCCTAGCTCCCACTTAGGTAAAGACAGAGCATCTTATCTGCTTCTATTAATGTCCTTCAACTTGAGAAATCAATGGTGGGCACCATGATCATGTCACCTATCTCCCAAAATGATAATCCTAGATGCCAAGACTGTGGATTTTTGGTTGATATCATGAAAAAGAATTAAAAGTTCCAAATGCTCTTTGCTTTCCTTCCTAAACCACAGTGTTAGCCTCTTATTTGAACCATTGTGTAATAGAAAGATATAAAATGGGAATTATGATATGGACTTTACAGGATTGCTGTAGGATTTGGGAATAAAATATCTTGAGGTTGTTTGAAGACTTCTTGTACTTTTAGATTTACACAATGGCTATTTTTCAATTCCTTGTTGTATGTGAAAGTCAAAGGCTTCCTCAGGAATCTTGTGAATTCCATGGGGTGCTATGATATACATCAATTCTGTGTCTGGAATTCACTGTCTGTTGAATTCTAGTTATTTCTCATGTCTGGTGTCTGCCCTCTATACTGACTCCATTCTGACTTGCAGAATGTGAGCCCTTGTGCTCGCACAAGACATTTATATGTAGCAAACTCCATTAAACAGTTGAGAAGATGAGGGGGTTTTACATATCTGGGTAGCTTTGTAAACTCGAGCTTTATATGATCCCTTACGTCACCCTCTCACTTAAGTTATCTGAGCCCTCAAGCTTGATTCCTCTGGGAAAACACCTTAGCTTAGCTTATTCTGTTTCTCTCCATTAGACTAAAGGCCTATCAAAAATTTACCTAACAGGTTTGAAAGCCTTCAGAATGGCTGACTAGAGGCATCTGGTACTCACCTCCTCCACGACGATGAACCAAAATAATGAGTAGATAATCATACTTTTAATAGATCCCGTAAAAGAGAATGCTGGAATTCAATAGAAAAGTGACAGGAAATACACCTAGGGCAATGAAGGAGAAAGAAACAAGACAGCCTATTCAGCTGGGATCAGCTGGAATCCTGGAGAGTCTTCCCAGTGTGGGGAAAGGGTACGTGAGGGACTTCCAGTGGTCCATATTCCCAGTGAGGGCTCCTGTAATCCTACCATGGAAGAGCTCCTCAACCTATGTGGGCCCTGAGACTTGTATAGAGCTTCCTGGAGACTGCATGACAGCACTACTCCTGAGAGAGAATTTGCCCTAGGCTCTATACCCTCCCTGAATCCTAAGCAGCTGCAGCAAGGTGCCATTTTGAGAGCCCAGTCCCCACTAGACTGCATCCTGCCATGTGGTCCAACAGCTTATTCATTTCCACATTCCTGGTACCCCATTGACATCCCTACCTGCAGTCAGGTGCCACTGCTGGATGCTGCCACCAGGGTCGAAGTATGAACCGTTGGCAGTGGCCTCACTACCCCTAGTGGCAAGGCAACCATGCGTTTACAAGCACACTGAAAAAAGACAACTGTGATTGCAGCTGTCACTTGAGGCTAAAGGGTGGACTCCCCAGCTTCTTGTTTATAGCTGCTGCTACTGAAAGCAACTCCACCCTACCTAGCAGCAGGGCTATGTAGTTAGTGTAGCTGCTGACACCCCTACCTGAGCATTCTGCTAGGGGCTTGAGGCTCACCTTGCCTCTACCTACCACAGCCAATGCCCTCACGCACCACTGGGGGGGCCTGAGGACATGCCCACCTGGCCTGGCTTCACCCACCCCCAGGTGCCCAAGTACACCATCCAGGGACCTGGTAGTTGCCCTGTCCCATCCACCACCATTGGCATCTGAACACTCCTCTTGGGAAGCATGAGGTCAGGCCCACACAAGCTGTCACTACCACCACAGCTGGCATTCACCTACATGCACTGCCTGCAGGCCTGGGGTCTGGCCACCTACATGCACTGCCTGCAGGCCTGGGGTCTGGCCTGCTTAACTTGTCATAGTCACCATCAGTGCAAACCACTTGGGAGCCAGAAAATTGTCACACCAATGCTACTGCCATCATCCACATGGCATTCACTGCCCTGGGCCTGAGAATCTGCCCACCTAACTGGCCCATTGCTGCCACAGCCAGCACTGAAACAAGCTGCCTGGAGGCCCAAAAATTGACCTGCCTGGACTCATTAACACTAAGACCAGTGTATACCACCCTAAGGTCCAAAGACAGGAATGCTTGACTCACCACTGCCACCACTGGATATTGAGGACTGGCCCACCTGATGTCTTTGTCCCCACAAAACTTCACCACAGCCTCCACCACACTCTGAGCCACTGAGGATATCACAAAAACTATTGGTGCTGTTTATTGTCAAATAAATAATTCAGAAACACACCCAGAAGCAAAGCCAAAGTGTGCTACCCAATCCACACCATAGACACATCTTCAAGAAGAAGTTCTCTCCTATGAAAGCAAATTCTAAAAAGCTGTTACACCACATGGGCAGATACCAATGTAAAGGCATGGAAAACATAAAAAAAAAACAACAAGGAAATATGACACATCCAAAGGAACACAGTAATTCTCCAGCAGCAGACTCCAGTGAAAAGGAAATTTATGAAATCTTGGAAAAAGAATTCAAACTAATAATACTGAAGCTTAGTGAGATACAAGAGAATTCAGATA
Organism: Homo sapiens; assembly: GCF_000001405.40. Taxonomy (NCBI): domain Eukaryota; kingdom Metazoa; phylum Chordata; class Mammalia; order Primates; family Hominidae; genus Homo; species Homo sapiens. Next base: position 82,694,669 of record NC_000009.12, on the reverse strand, counting down.
AACAATACAAAGAAATTATAAAAACAATTCAGAATAAGAATGAGAAATTTACCAAAGAGATAATAGATCTTATTTTAAAAGAGGAACCAAACAGAAATTTCAGAACTGAAGAGTTAATTGAATGAAATACAAAATCATTCAAAAGCTTCAGCAGTAAACTAGATCTAGCAGAAAATAGAATTTCAGAATCAAATATTAAAATTTTTGCTGATCCAGAAGGCAAAGAGAAAAATAAAACAAAGGAATAGAAAACCTATTTAACAAAATAATAAAAGAAAATATTAGAACTCTAATAAAGAATGTAGACTTCCAGATACAAGAGGCTCAGGGATCCCCAAATGATACAATTCCAAAAGGTCTTCTCTAAACTATCAAAAGTCAAAGACAAACAACACATTCTTCAAAAAGCAAGAGAAAAGTGCCTAGTTACTTATAAAGGAACTCTCATTAAACGAAAAGGATTTCTCAGCAGAAACCTTACAGGCCAGGGAGCATGAAATGACACATTCAAAGAGCTACAAGAAAAAACGTGCCAGGTAAGGATACCATACCTAGCAGAGTTATCCCTTATAAATAAAAGAGAAATAAAGTTTTTCCCAGACAAGTAAAAGCTGAGGGTATTAATCACTACTAGACCAACCATACAAGAAACACTAAGAGGGTTCCTACACCATAATCAAGTGGGGTTTATTTCAGGGATGCAAGGATAGTTCAACATATCCAAATCAATGAATGTGATATATCAGTTCAACAGAATAAAGGGGAAAGGCCATCTCAATATATGCAGAAAAAGCATTTGATAAAATTCAACACCTCTTCATGAGGAAAACACAACAAAATAGTCATAGAAGGAACATGCCTCAACATAATATAAGCCATATATGACAAACCCACAGCTAACTTCAGACTGAATGGAGTAGATCTAAAATAATTACCTCTAAGAGATGGAACAAGACAAGGATGTGCACTTTCACCATTCCTATTCAATATAGTAGTGGAAGTCCTAGCTAGAGCAATCAGGCAAGAGAAAGACATAAAAGGCATCCAATTTGGAAAAGAAGAAGTAAAATTGTTCCTCTTTGCAGATCACATGATTTTACCTCTAGAGAAACCTATACTCTGACAAAAAGCTCTTAGAACTAATAAATAAACTTAGTAAAGTTGCAGAATGCAAAATATAAAAATCAATAGTGTTTTCATACCCCAATAACAAACTAGTTGAGAAAGTAATTTTAAAAAAATCTCAATTATAATAGCTATCAAAATAAAAGACCTAGGAAAAATTCAATCAAGGGGGTGAAAGACCATTGAAAGGAAAGCTACAAAGCTAATAAAAGAAACTGGAGAGGATACAAACAAATGGAAAGACATGGCATACTTATCGATTAGAAGAATTAACATTGTTGAAATGACCCAAAAAAATCAAATAAAACATACCAAAACCTATGAGATGATTCAAAAGCAGTGCTAAGAGGGAATTGTATAGTAATTAACACCCACATCAAAAAAGTAGAAAGATTTCATAAAGATTATTTAGCACTTCTCACATTTTATAGATGAGGTCAGACGCTTTTAAACAGTAGCAAGTTAAACTTCATTCTTGAATTATTTACTCTCTAAGTCAGACTGAGATATAATTTAGGATTGTCTTTAAACAGCCATTCAGAAACAAAACTGTAGAAGTGCTGTGTATTTGCGACTGGGAATGGTGCTTTAGCCAACTTGAAAGGATTAACGTAGAAGAGATATACACAAATTTAAAAATTATGTGTGATCATGAGACAAGATAATTAAAAACAAAATCACAGATTATGAAAAAAGTAGAAAGATTTCAAATAAACAATATAATAATAGGCCTCAAAGAACTAGAAAAGCAAGAACAAACAAAACCCCAAATTAGTAGAAAAAAATAATGAAGGGTACAATAGAACTAAATAGAAACTAAAAAAAATTACAAAGGATAAAAGAAACAAAAAGTTATATTTTTGATGACAGACAAAATCAGTCTGTCATCAAAAATAATAGCCTAGAGGGCTATTATTAAAAAGACAAAAAATAACAGATGCTGGAGAGTATGCAGAGAAAAGGGAACTCTTATACACTGTTGATGGGAATGTTAACTAGCCACTGTGGAAAACAGTATGGAGATTTCTCAGAAACCTAAAAATAGAATTATCATATGACCCAGCAATCCCACTATGGGGCATTTATCCACAGGAAAATAAATTAGCATTTAAAAAGATACCCAAATCCCCATGTTCATTGCAGCACTATTCACAATAGCCAAGATACAGAATCAACCTAAGTGTTCACTGATGAACAAATGGATAAAGAAAATGTGGTATATATATATACAAAAGAGTACTATTCAGCCATTAAAAATAGAATGAAATCATGTCATTTTCAGCAACATGGATAGACCTAGTGGTCATTATATTAAATGAAATAAGCCAGGCACAGAAAGACAAATATCACATTTTCACTCATATATGGGAGCTAAGAAAGTTGATCTCATAGAGGTAAGAGAGTAGAATGGCAGATACCAGAGGCTGGGAAGGATGTGGGAATGAGGAGGATGAAATGAGGTTGGTTAATGGATACAAACATATAGCTAAATAGAAGGAATATTATCTAACATTTCATAGCAATGTAGGGTAACAATGTATTATATTTTCAAAATAGCTAGAAGAGGACTTGAAGTGTTTCCAACACATAGAAATGGTAAGTACTTGGCCAGGCATGGTGGCTCATGCTTAAAATCCCAGTGCTTTGTGTGGCCGAAGTGGGGGGATTGTTTGAGGCCAGGAGTTCAAGAACAGTCTGGGCAGCAGAGTGAGCCCTGTCTCTACAAATTTTTTTTTTTTTTTAAATAAGCAAGGTGCGTTGTGTACCTGTAGTCCTAGCTACTCAGGAGGCAAAGGCAGGAGGATCATTTGAGCCTAGGAGTCTGAGGTCACAGTGAGCTCTGATCACACTACTGCACTGCAGCCTGGGTGACCGAGTGAGACTGTGCCTCTAAAAAAACAAACAAATTTAAATAAATACATAAATACACACTCAGTGACATATACCTCAAATACTCCGACTTTATCATTGTATATTCTATGCATGTAACAAAATTTCAAATGTACTCCATAAATACGTACACATATTATGTATCAGTTAAGAAAAAGGCAAATATAAAAAATACTTACCTAACAATCCACTAATACTTCTAAACTAGTCTCACTTTTGTGGCCCTGGAAGAGACTGAAATGTCAACCTTCTCGTGTCCTTTCCTTTACCAGTGTCTCAAAGAGGAGAGCCACAATAGATAGATTAACCACCTCATGATATGAATGAAGCCACCCATCTGAGAAAGCACAGTGGTGAAGTCAGTATGCTTTTTAAATGATAGTCCATTGCTCTATTATACAATAAAGCTCATGGAAGCCCATGATGGGAAGTGCTCAGTAGTTGGCCCTTATGATGATTATTTATCTGAATCACACTTCGTAACCCCATTCTTCTGTGGTTGGTATTTAACATGCCTACCAAATTTATCTTTTTAAGTTTATACTTAAACAAAATCACCTCCAACTATAGGGGACTTTTCAATCTATTACAAACTATGGCCAATAAAAAATAGAAGTTGCAGCAGAATGAACTCCTTTGTATTCCAATCCCCACATTTTATAAATTAAGAAACCTGAAGATCAGAATACTTCCAATGTGCCCAAATACACAATAAGTTGGTGGAAGTTTGAATGAGAGACTAGGACTCTTAGCCCATTCTCTTTGGATCTGTCAACATATAACTAATAAGACACAGAGAGTATTTTGGATCGAGATCCATAAGTTTCACGATTTCTTTTTTTAAATAAGATTATGATGTGCCAAAGCGTATCTTGTTAATCTACCTGCCATTGAAAAATAAATCAGGTTATTATGATTTGGTAAAATCCTTGAAAATCTCCCATTCTTCCAGGATCATGTTGCTTTTGCACATAAAGATAAGCTTTAGAATTTGACACTGCAAGATTCTAGTCAACTTCATTTATTTATTAGAGGAGGGGCTGGTGAGGGAAATAACAACATTAGAAAAATTCATCTATGTAGAAGACAAGGTAGCTTGTGTAAAATAGTGTGATATGAGGACAGGCCAGCAGGGTTTGTGACTTCAGCAGGCTGCAGGCCTTAAGAAAAACTCTGTCTAAAGTGTGAGTTATAACATCTTTCTTCATTGTAAGCAAGCATTAGTGTGTTGAAAGTTCTCTACCTGAAATTTTTCCATGCCGTATTGTGTGTGTGCACACATACTCATAGCCATGTGTTAGGAAGTCTCTGAGGCTGACTCTCTTTCTTTTTTCTTTGGTTGTTTTCTGCCAAATTGTGTTCCCAAATCTGGTTGCCTGGCCACGCAGCTCGATCAGTTTATCTCCCATTCCTTGACTCTTGCAAGTAGAGGCTCATGGGAGCCAATTATTACTGTTTCTTCCTCCCTGATAGAGTTGTTAGACCTATGAACTATGGGCAGCCTCCACAGAATTCTTGGGTAATATTTGAATTCAGAGACTGGAATTCAGCTTCCTATCCAGGCATAAGGTAAAAGGACATTACCAGAAGAGAAAGGCTTGAACTGCCTGTTAAAATGTCAGGACCCCTAGTATTTGTGGAGTAAGATATTGCATTCCAGATTTCTGCCCTAGCATTTTTCACTAAACCAATCATTTACCTTGCTCATTTACTCTAGGGCTAATCCCCTTGTAAATATTTTGGATGACTCATTCATTTTTTAAAACTTTGAGACTAAGGATGCTACATTCTTTTTGCTTTTAATATAACATGAAAACATGAACATACTACTGAATTGTAGCTTATTAGTTTCTGCATGAAAGAACAGTGGGTATTCTTTCAATTAAAAATTCAGTTATAATCTCTGAGGCCTCTTCTCTATCTAGGGATGACTTGGAGTACATTTATTAGATGGGAATTCTTATGTTATTAGACCATACTTGTCGTAAGATTGAGACTTACGGAAATGAGGAGCTGACCATATTTAAAGAAGCATTACACTAAAAACATGGAATTCCCCTATGTAAAACAATGCCTGGGATATAGATTTGCTCTATTCCTTTTAGTCAAGTCTCCCTCAGTTTACATTGGCTAGCTGGTTATACCTTTGTATAAGGTCTTGGAACTTGAATTAACTTCTAGGGTTTGCAAGTGGGAATTTAATGATACCCGGTAAAACAATGACAAAATGGTCCAATCAAGATCTTCCTGAGAATTTTCTTGACGATTTTAATGGTTTTCCAGTAAGAAAGGCCCTGCCAGTTAGTCACCTAATTAAGCAAAATTATTTGTCTGATAAATGCAACTCTCTAATGATGACCAGTTACCCATCAAAGCCAGTTGGGATTTTATGAGTAATGGTTATTAAAACTGCTATAAACTATTTCACACTAGGATTTCCTGTTCCCCCCCCCCCTTTTTTTTTTTTTGAGACAGAGTTTCACTCTTGTTGCGCAGGCTGGAGTGCAATGGTGCGATCTCGACTCACTGCAACCTCTGCCTCCCGGGTTCAAGTGATTGTCCTGCCTCAGCCTCCCGTGTAGCTAGGACTACAGGCATGCACCACCATGCCCAGCTAATTTTGTCTTTTTAGTAGAGATGGGGTTTCTCCATGTTGGTCAGGCTGGTCTTGAACTCCCGACCTCAGGTGATCCACCTGCCTCGGCCTCCCAAAGTGCTGGGTTTACAGGCGTAAGCAACTGCCCCCGGCCACCTGTTCCTTAAGATAACTAGGATACATTTTAAAATATAAGGAGCAAATAGAAAAATGATTTTTAAAAAATATAGGCCTGCATGATATAGGAGATAAAAACCGCAAAACTCAAAACCTGGTGAGTGGTGTGTGGGGTGTGGTTCTTTGGATACGACACAAAGTAACATTTCAAGCTGCTTGTAACCAACCCTTGTCTCCATGCAACGAGGTATTATTTTAAAGCAAGAGGTGATATAGTGACTACTAATGGACCTGTCACTTAATTGATGCCTCCATTTCCCAGTAGACATAATGAGGTAATAATTCCTACATTATATGTGGACATTTTGCAGAAGGGGAAACATTTAGAGTTCTGCAGCACATTAAGATTTCATGGAAATAATGCTGAATTATAAAGAAATTTCTCAATGTGTCATGGTTTCCCATGGCACCAGTGATTTATGTGATTATATAGATAGTGTTGCATTATACTTGGCCTCAATACTCATCCGGAAACCTGGCACAATCTACTGAACAAACCAAGAGTGGTATAAACATCTCATATTCATGTACATGGCCTATCTTATACTGGCCATGTACTTTTCTTTCACACTTGGGCTGTGGAAAGAGTGGGTAAAGGAAATTACCACCTAATGTGACATGCCATAACAGAGAAAGGTCCATATTTATAGGCTCACTGAGGAGGGGTAACGTCTGGTGTCTCCCCAGCAAGATAATCTTCCTCTTCCTTTGGGGCCAGTTCAGCACAGAGCACAGGCTATACAGAGCACAGGCTATGGTATCCCCCACTTGCCTCCTCTCTCTCTCCCCGAAATAGAATTGGGTGCCTCTATCCTGAAAAACTATTTTCTTCCTTTCTACATTTCCAGAGAAGTCTAGTTTCCTAATATATTCTCATTAGACCAGAGGAGAATAGGCAAATCAGGTTTTCTGAGAAGAGACATATACTGTTGGCCAGCCTGGATGAAGCAGGGTCTTCAGTTAAACATAATTTGTGGAAGTACAGTGGGCTCTATTGGCCCATTGTTTTTTTCTAGCTCTGTGCACCCATATCTCCTCTTCTCAAGGCTTTGCTGCCAATGGCTGACACCTGTGACTTTCAGAGGTGGGCACTGGAGCCCACCTTTATCAGCAGAGAAAGCAAAGTAGTGCCTGGGAGTTTGTTAACCCTCTTCCCCTATAGCTGATGGCTGTGTAGTGGGGAGCACAAAAGTCCAACTTCCTCGATTTGAGGCTAGACAAGACAAACTCTGTGATGTTATGTATGCTCCTGAGCTCCTTTGGGATTCTCCTGAAATCACATCCTTTCTTGGCTTCTTCCTCATTCTTATCCTGCTTCCCATGATTTCTGGGTAGTACTTTCCTAATAAATCAATTGCATGTCAATCCTTGTCTCAGTCTGTCTCTGGGAGAATCTTACCAAAGGGACCATGAGAAGGAGGATTAGAGAAGGAAAGATGGGAAAGAGAGATGCTCTCTTTTCAATTCTAAATGAACATGGGGAAAGGGGTAATCATCAAAGCTCAAAACTCTTGCTCTTACCAAATAATAATAATACATTGATAATGCACCTTTAAATTTTTGAGCTTTTATTCATTATTTAGAGATTTAAGAGCTTCATGATGTAGATGATGAAATGCACGGCAGATACATGGAGGGATATGCCTAAGGACATAAAACTCCATAATAAAGCCAGAAGTAGAAAAAAACCAACTGGCTTTTTGGCCAGTGGTTTTCACCCATCTTGGGGTCAGACAGAATGGAGTTTAAATCTCAATTCAGCCACTCACTAGTTTTGTCAGCAGTGGTACACTGATAAATGTTTAACAATCAGCTTTTGGGGGTAGGGAGTATGATATGGTTTGGCTGTGCCCCCACCCAAATCTCATCTTGAATTCTAGTTCTCGTAATATCCAAATGTTGTGGAAGGGACCTCTTGGGAGGTGAATAGATTGTGGAGGTGGTTCCCCCATGCTGTTCTTGGGATAGTGAGTGAGTTCTCATGGGACCTGATAGGTTTATAAGGGGCTTTTCCCCACTTCGCTCTGCACTTCTCTCTCCTGCCACCATGTGCAAAAGGATATGCTTGCTTCCCTTTCCACCATAATTATACGTTTCCTGAGGCCTCCCCAGCCATGCAGCACTGTGAGTCAATTAAACCTCTTTTCTCTATAAATTTCACAGTCTTGGGTATTTCTTCATAGTAACATGAGAATGGACTAATACAGTAAATTGGTACTGGGAGTAGTGGGTGCTGCTGTAAAGATACCTGAAAATGTGGAAGCAACTTTGGAACTGGATAACAGGCAGATGTTGGAACAGTTTGGAGGTTTCAGAAGAAGACAGGAAAATGGGAAAGTTTGGAACTTCCTAGAGACTTGTTGAATGGCTTTGACCAAATGCTGATAGTGATATGGACTATGAAGTCCAGGCTGAGGTGGTCTCAGATGGAGATGAGGAACTTCTTAGGAACTGGAGCAAAGGTCACTCTCACTTTGCTTTAGCAAACAGACTGGTGGCATTGTGCCCCTGCTCTAGGGATCTGTGGAACTTTGAACTTGAGACAGATGATTGAGGGTACTTGGCAGAAGAAATTTCTAAGCAGCAAAGCTTTCAAGAGGAAGCAGAGCACAGAAGTTTGGAAAATTTACAGCTTGATGATGTGGTAGAAAAGAGAAACCCATTTTCTGGGGAGAAATTTCGGTTGGCTACAGAAATTTGCTTAAGTAACAAAGAGTCAAATGTTAATCACCAAGACAATGGTGAAAATGTCTCCAGGGCATGCCAGAGAACTTCAGAGCAGACCCTCCCGTCACAGGCCCAGAAGCCCAGGAGGGAAAAATGACTTTGTGGGCCAGGCCCAGGGTCCCTCTGCTCTATGCAGCCTTGAGACATGGTGCCCTGCATCTCAGCTGCTTCAAGTCTGGCTATGGCTAAAAGGGGCCAAGATATAGCTTGAGCCATTGCTTCAAAGGGTGCAAGCCCCAAGCTGTGGCAGCTTCCACATGGTGTTGGGCCTGTGGGTGCACAGAAGTCAAGAACTGAGGTTGGTAAACCTCTGCCTAGATTTCAGAGGCTGTATGGAAACACATGGATATCCAGGTGGAAGTTTGCTTCACGGGTGGAACCCTCACGGAGTGCCTCTGCTAGCGCAGTGTGGAATGGAAATGTGGGATTGAAGCCCTGACAAAGTCCCCACTGGGGCACTGCCTAGTGGAGCTGTGAGAAGAGGGTCACTGTCCTCCTCCTCTAGACCCCAGAATGGTAGATCCACTGACAGCTTGCACCATATGCCTGGAAAAGCCACAGACAATGCCAACCTGTGAAAGCAGCTGGGAGGGGCACTACACCCTGCAAAACCAGAGGGGCAGACTTGCTCAAGGCCATGGGGGCCCACCTCTTGCTTCAGCATGACCTGGCTATGAGACATGGAGTCAAAGATCATTTTGGAACTTTAAGGTTTAATGACTGGCCTATTGGATTTCGACACGCATGGAGCCTGTAGCCCCTTTGTTTTGGCCAGTTTCTCCCATTTGGAACAGGTGTACTTACCCAATGCCTGCACCCCCATTTTATCTAGGAAGTAACTAATATGCTTTTGATTTTACAGGTTCATAGGCAGAAGGGACTTGCCTTGTCTCAGATGTGACTTTGGACATGGACTTTTAAGTTAATGTTGGAATGAGTTAAGACTCTGGGGGACTGTTGGGAAGGCATGATTGTGTTTAGAAATGTGAGGCCAACTCGGGGCCAGTGGCGCAATGGATAACGCATCTGACTACGGATCAGAAGATTCTAGAAATGTGAGGCCATGAGATTTGGGAGGAGCCAGGGATAGAATGATATGGTATTGCTCTGCCCCCACCCAAATCTCATCTTGAATTCTAGTTCCCGTAATCCCCACGTGTCATGGGAGGGACCTCGTGGGAGGTGAATAGATTATGGGGGGTGGTTCCCCCATGCTGTTTTTGTGATAGTGAGTCCTCATGAGTTCTGATGGGTTTATAAGGGGCTTTTCCCCACTTTGCTCTGAACTTCTCTCTCCCGCCACCATGGGATGAAGGACATGTTTTCTTCCCCTTCTGCCATGATTGTAAGTTTCCTGAGGCCTCCCCAGCCATGCAGAACTGTGAGTCAATTAAACCTCTTTGCTCTATAAATTACCCAGTCTCAGGCAGTTCTTCATAGCAGTACGAGAGTGGAATAATACAGGGGATGTGCTGATTTAAAGGACTTGACAATTTTTATGCTGTAAATACTTTCACAGTGGCCTGTTTCAAACTACCAATGTGATTTCACTGAACGCAAAGTTGAGAGGGATATACAAAATTCACTCTTGCAGGCTGGTGTGAATCAGACAATATATCTCTGTCTGTGCCTTCTTTCTAATCCTTTTTTTTCTATACCCTCATTCATTATATTGATATGATGATACCTACTTAATCATGTGTCATGAGTATTAATATTTTGCTACATAAGTGCCTAAAACTTGTTATTATTATCATCAATAACATGGAAAGTTAAAAATTAAAAAATGGCAAAAATGAGATAAATGTACAGTTTACCATTGATATTTGTATTGGTTGGATTGTGAAGTATAAATTTTAGCCAATGCTACGACTTACCCATTTGAGGAATATTTTCTGTAGGGGAAGGAAAGGAAGATACACATGATCAGCAATAGCAACACCTTCCATTTGTTTTCCACTCAAGTTGTGAGACTTGAGTGTATTATCTAAACTGGCCATTTGTTTCAGGGTCTCACCTAGCTTAATTCCACATGTCTCTGAAATGCACATCTTAGCAAATGTCAATGCCACTTTGCAAATTTTGCATTAACATAGACATATAAAGCAGCATTCTTTTTTCTGAGATCAAATGATACAAATTGTTATCACTATTAATGGAATTTCCATTAAAGCCAACTCTGTGTATTATAGCAACTGAATATAATTACCTCAAAATATCAAGTAATATATGCAATCCTTTTTCATTACTGTCATGAGATGGAAATACCAAGAGGCATCAAACAATTGTAGGGCACTGTTGCAAAATTCGTTGTTTTGTTAATGGAAGCCATTATATGAACATCATAGTAGTGATTAGAAAATTGTTAATATTCATGAAGTGCGTGCAAGTACCCCTTGGAGATTAGCTTGTATTTTGTAAGCATACTTTCCAGAGAATAGAATGAGATGCTAGATCTTTAACAATTGGGCACACCTGATAGGAATCCTATTTATCTTCTCTTCCTCAAGAGCTGGATCAGAGGAGCCAATCACGCACTGTATTTGCACAAGTGTTACCTCTTTCTTTAGTGCTGTGGAGTTGGGCTTTCTCCATATCCTATGAACTTTTTCCATTTTGATTTGCTACATATAAACTTTTATTAGACTTTTCCCTCAAGGCAGGCAGTAAAAGGGAGTAAGCCTAGTACAGCTGAGAAGTTGACACGGGGAAAGTGAGTGATATTTACCTAAGAAGAGGTCTTATTCATCAAAATCTTTGCTGAAAGGAAAGAAACTTGCATCCACTTGTCTGAATTGTGTTCACTGGCATTTACTTTTAGGTACAACATTTGTTTCATGACCACAATCCTGTTTGCAACAGGTTATATATACTTTGGATGCAATTTCAACATAAGTTGAAAGATGAAAGGTAGCCTAGGTAAAAAGAAGATACGAGATAATATGGTGACTTCACAGGAGTCAATTGGGTTTCTGTGAAGTAATGTAAGGTCAGCCTCACCCCTTGGGAAGAAAAACCTTGTGGAAATCTTACTTTGTAATAGAAATTGGTTACTGGGGGAAACTGGCCTTTTGATGGTTTTTGTCAAAATATTTCTCAAATGAAAACAGTTATTTTATCAACTTCTTTTTCTAGGAATTGGAGGGAAACATTATTACATGAGGAAAAAAAGAAGAAAACAAAAAGAAAGAAGCCAGGTACTGGTGCCGCAGCCTGCATTTCCAACCAGTGGTTCCATATACTTGCAGATGGATGGCTGCTGCCAGTTTCCTTGGGGGTAGATGCTAAAAATAAAATAAAAACAAAAGACTTCTTTGCTTTCTGTTTCCCTCATCCCTTTGTCCTCTCCCTTTGGGGACAAAAATGCTCTCCTTCTGCCTCCCACAGGGTGCAGTGGGGCATTGGAGCTGCCTTCAGTATCCTCCAATAAGCAGAGCAGTGGGCCTGGCTCAATATCATGCCCCATCTCTCCCAGCCTCTTAGACACCTGGGGAGAAATGGCCCAGCTGGCAGCAGCTTGAAAGCTGCTGTCTACCTCGCAGCGGCAAGTCTTCTCACAAATTGGCCAGAGGCTGCCATCTGAGTGGAGAGGGAGTAGGGCCAACAACTTCAGTTCATATTAGGCTCTCCCCTGCATGAGCAATGTCAAGAAAGCAAGAAGCATTTTTGTCTTAGTAGCTCTAAGTTTTATTGGAGACATGTGCCTTGGATTTGCAGGTCAAGAAACCTTGAGTTGAACTCTCTAATCTACTATATGCATTCACTTCCTCATGCAGCCCTTGTGTATTGAGCATTGAACACCTCCGGGTATGGTGTTAGTTATAGGGGGTACAAGACACGGAAAATCTGACCTTGGCTCTCAAGGAGCTCACAGACTATAGGGGAACACAAGTCTATTGCAGACAGCATAGTAACATGAGTGCAGTGTATAAAAAGAGAATGGGATGGCATTTAGGAAAGTCTCTGAGTGATATCAATAAAGGGAAGCAAGAGGTTACCTGGCCATGTGTGTGGGGAACACCAGGGCAGCATATTTCCTGCAGAGAAAACTACCCCTGCCACTTTGATTTTTAAACTCAGTCTGCTATGACTGCCACAGTTGAGCCTTGTCCACAGTCAATATTTGGATAAAAAAGAACATGCATCACATGGCCCTGTTCAGCAATGTTGCCCTGACTCTCCATACCTGCCTGCATCTCTGGCCAGCACATTGCCCTGTTCTTCTCTGTGTTTCTGTTATTATCAGGCAGGCTGTCTCCACATGAGAGCTCCCAGAAACTCTAGCCTACTCTCATATTCTCCAGCTAGCAACCTCAGCAATACAAAAGCCAGTTTTTCCCAAAGTCCCGGCAAAAATCCCAAACCCTGATTCTAATCAGGGTTGTATCCTCAGTCCTGAAAAAGATCCTTGAGGCAAAGGAATATGCTCATCGGTCAAGTCTGGGTGAGTCTCACCTCCATACAGATGCTAAGATGGTTCTTTGTTGCTGTTAACAAAATTTGGAGGAATAGATGTGGACAGCCAAAAATAAAAACTGCACACTATTTGTCATAAGCTCTTAGCTTCTGTTTTCTACCCATTGGACTAGATAAATGCTCTTTAGGGGAGTCTAGACAAGGGCCAGAGAGCAGGGATTGGAAAGAGGATGAAAAGAAGGAAACAGGGAATAATCATGTTGGTAAAGCACAATGAAAGAAGGCAGCAACAATTACATCTTTTAAGGTAATTCAACAGACATTGATATGTCTCAGACGTGTTCAAAACTTTATTTCTAATTGGACCTACAAGGCAAGACTTGTGATTTCATGGAATTTACATTCTAAAAGGAAGATGGATATAGCCGTAGTTCTAGATGTAGATACAAATATACATGTAGATATAGATAGATGGATAAGATAGATATGCAAGTAGATGTGGGAGGAGGGAAAAGGAAGACAAATCAAGAAGAGGCCCCAGGCGTGACCTTAGGGAATTTGCCCTTTTAGGGAGAAACTAAACATACACAGTGAAACAGCTGGAGACAATAGCTCCATATTGTACAATATAAAATTATATGAAAGTACACCAGATATGCATAGAGGCTGAAGAAGTTTTATAACAGGAGAAAGTATATTGGGTTGAGGTTATTTAAGTAGTTTTGTGGTATCATTCTCCAGTTTTGAAGCTTTGAAGTTGAAAGACTTCCAAGTGTTTTAAGAGGAAGGCAGAAACACTGGCCATTGTTCCTTAACTTCACTCAACAGTAAGACTCATTTCAAGTGTTTATAAACTTCTGGACCCTATCGAGACCTTCTGATTTATATTTTCCCCAGGATAGCCTGGGTGATCTGTATTTTAAATGACACCGTGACTGCTCCTATCACCAGGAAAGTGAGACTGTTTGCTTACCAGGCTGGCAGGTGCAAAGCAAGGTGGAACGCAGCAAGCAGGATGCCCTCAGGCCCTTTTTCATACTCAGCACTGCTACTTATGTCTATTTCTGATGAGGAGTGCAGAACTATTTTTAAAGGCTTTCTTTGCTTGGGTTTATAGAATGTGAGAATGCAAGGGAATGAGACATGGCTATTGGATTTAGTAGAAGGTGCGGGGAACAAATCCCAAATGCTAGCAGATCACGTGAAAGTAGACAGATTTTCCCTGGCAAACAGACAGGGGGCTATAAAGATTGCAGACAAAAATATCCGGAGTTTGTGCGTCTAATTCAATTAAGCCCCTGTTTTCCATCCAGCCTGCATCCCAAGTGCTCCACTAGCATATGCTGCCGCACTAACAGTGCCTTGTGGATGCACAGCCCTCCCTGAGGTGGGAGAGGACAGCTGTTTAACACTCGTTGTGCACAGCAGGGCAGAAGGTAAAGAACAAGCCCTCGGTATGGCTTGGGAGGCCCTAGGTAGACCGCAGGGAAGATTTCTGACAAGACAGAAGCCAGAACGGAAATTCTACTAAGGCTATTAGTGTACGGTATATCCATAATCTATCAGGAAATGTCTTGGGGGTTTGCAACTATAAATAGTTGAGACCTTGGGGCTTCCTCACTAAGTTTGTGCTTAGTGAGACTGCCTCACTAAGTCTGCCTGCTGCTGTGGGTAGGGTCTTACTTTAAAATATTTTTCCTTATCTCTGGGTAGTTGAAGAGATTCAAGGCAGCCAATATAATACCACTAATGATGAAGCCATATGCAATGGGAATAGACATTAGTATCCATTCACAGAAAGATTTCTGGTTCTAACTGGGCATACAGTACTGCACTGCTCTGCTCCTTGAAGTGGGGTATGGCCATATAATTTACTTTGGCCAATGGAATGTGAGTGGAAGTGGTGTATTCCACTCCAGGCAGATGCTTTAAAAACTGGTATGTGACTGGTCGCTCTCTCTTTCCAACTAGCATAGTGAAAAGCAAATGATGGCAGATGGTAGCTGCTCTGATCCTGGAGCACAAGGCTGCCGAAGAGCAGTGCCCCCAGCTGACCCATGATGGACTATAATCTGAGAGAGAAATTAGCCTTGTGGTTTTCAGCCTTGATGTGGTGGTTATTTGCTACTGCAGCACAACCCAGTCCAGGATGATTAATGCATTCAGCCAATCAATGTTTTACCCTCATGCAGGGGTAATAATCATATTATCATGTATCATCAGGTTGCTTTGTCAGATAGGTAAGAAGAAATCTGTTCTTAGCCTGGCTAAAAGCAAGGCAAATCTTTCTTTGCTCTTCTCTAGAACAATGTAGCCTTTTATTAAAGTCAAACAAATAGATTTTAACTATGCTAACATGACACTTTCATTAGTTTCTTCAACATAATTCTTAGTTTTTCTTGCAGGTTCCTTGAGTCAGTTAGCTATTATTCCCTTGCCTAGATTGTCACAATAACATCTTAGTTGGCCTTTATGCCTATGGAGTTTTTCTCTTCTTACACTGCTACCCGAGTTTTTAATAATTAATCCCGATCTCAGACTTGAATAGTTAACTTTTCTGCTTCAAACTCCACCATAGCTTCCCATTGTCTATGAGATAAAGTACTGGCAATATGCAAAGGATTAAGGTATTTTAAGAAATGATCTAATTTTCCTTATAAGCAACCACACACACACACACACACACACACACACACAGAAATACATGAGAAAAGCCAAATCATCTATTAATTAGTACACTATTTGAGTGAAGACCCATAACTTTCTCTCAAGTTCCCAAGAGATGTTGTCAGACCCAGGCTCTAAGAGGCCCCTGTGTACTCTGCACCTCCATTAAACTTGGGGCAATTAAAAATTCCGGCAATCTTAATGTAATATGTGTCCTTACAATAAATCACCATACTTTGAGACTTAGAAAGCCTCTTCTTGTAGCTGAAGGAGCCTCATTAGCCATTTAGTTTTATTTATTGCTTAAGATACTGAAAACTAAATTTTTTTTGAACTGGTACCCTTGTTATAAGTATACACTAGATGCAAAGCTATTAATTAAACCCTATTCAACAAATAGATGTTGTGTTATGATCTAGTGTATGTATATGTCATCAAGTAACCTGTACATTTAAAATTTTTTTTCAAAATGAAGTTTATTTTTTCCACTAATAAAGTACATTTATTATAAAAGTTTGGAAATTCTGTAGCAGAAGAGTAAAAGGAAAACATAAATTATGCACAATCTCACCACCAAAAGAAAGTCATTATTATCATTATTTTGGATTTGAGGCATTTCCTTCCAGTGTTTATTTTTCATTCTATGCATAGGAATCCCATTCCATCCTACTCCTCGCTTTCAAGACTGTGGACAAACTACACAAACAGGTTGCAAATTGAAAAGCTAGCAATTGTAACTGACCTCAGTTGGATGAAATGCATGTTACTTTCACTTCCTACTTCTCTTTTGTCAGCCAGGATTCAGTCAGGGAAACAAAGCCCCCATTAGTATTAGGGGAATAGGAGATTCATTTTAGGAATTAGACATTATACAAACGTGGCCCCTGCTGGGGAAGCGAAGATCTGGAAATGAAAGTTGAAGGATCAGATTGCTAATATATGTGATGCACACTGGCAAGCTCCTGAAGTCAGAGCTTAGAGAGAAATACAAGAAGCCCACACATCCTACCATCCCAGTGGGACACTGAAGGGAGCTCCAGAAACTTGTATGGAGAGCTGTTGTCCCTGCATGGTGACTGCCTCCGTGGTGCACAGCCAGCAATGGGGAGAGGGCCTGGAGCGAGGGCTGTAGCCTTGGTCGGTGGAAGTCCATTGTTGAGTCCATGCATAACCTCTATGTCTGCTGATATGACCGCTATGTTTTTTGGCCCACTGGACAAGGACAGGGTGGCTCAGAAAAGAGGCTGACAGATATCTACCAACACATGGGTCATCTAAGACCTGCAAGAATAGGTCATCTGGCCCATCTGATTATTAAATTTCCTTTCTGCTGAGGTTCCTCTTTTGTGAGATACAAACATGTTTTCACATCGTGCCTAATATGAGAGATCTATCACATACATCTCTTCAGACCTTCTTGTTACCAATTTTTAAGTGGTATTCCTTCAAGTCCCTGGCATTCCAACCAGACCATTAGTCACTTACCTTTCATCAGTTTGGTTCTATACCTTGTTCTATCTTATTCCAGGCAAAAATGAATAATCAGTGCATTGTTTGGAAGTTCTGCCTGTTGGCAGAACATCCCCTTACCACTGCCTTCAGGACCCCCCTAAGTGAGACTGTAGTGTAACAGCCATCTAATTTTACATTCTTCCAGCTTATCCTGCAGAACCATCTGTAAACCAGGCCTGGGATTTTTTCCTTCTTTCGTTATCAGCTGGTCATAGTGAACTTGTAATAAAGCCATAGGGGTGGGTTAAGAGAAAAGAGGGAATGTAGCAAGAGTAGGAACTGTAATAATCTGAGTCATGTGCTGATGAAGAGTTTCACATACATCATTCCCACTTGATGATAGGATGCCTCTCCAACTATATACTGGAGTGTCAGACTGCACTCTGCTCATGAGTTCCCTGGTCAAAAGCACTGCTGTGTGCAATGCCATAATGGTAACAAAGTATTCTGTAAATCTGCAGATTACAGCCTGTAATCAAGCATTTAGTCCCTATTAGGGCTGAGTAGCAAGCCAGCAGCTCTTTCTCAAAAGAATAGTTAACTGCAGAGGATGGCCTAGCTTTACTTCTAAACCTTAAAAGTCTTCACTGTGATTTTCGTAGACAGGAGCAAAGGCTCCACACAACTTCCCTATCTGGCAGTGAAGCTCCCTTTTTTCAACCTACATGAAAGAACACACCTTTCCAAGCCATCTTCTTTATGCAATACTGTTCTGTAGAACTTTATTGCTCTCACTGTGGCACCTACTTCCAGTGGGGAGCTGTTTCCTACTCCTCTGCTATCACAGAATGGAAAAGCCACTTGGGAAAACTGTGCAGTAGAATGAAACCCAGTGATCACACTTTGCTAGAATAGACAGGAGAGGAGGAAACAGGGAAAGAGCTTTTCTTAAAATAGAGTCTTCTGGAATCTGTAAGTCCTCTGAAATGAACAGCTTTGACTCAGAAGCAGAGATGGGAGGGATGGTGTCTATAAATCCTTCCTTTAGACTGGCAGGCAAGACCTCAAAAGAAAACATGATTCAGAAGCCAGGGTTAAAAGGGACCTCTAAAGATCATCACACATTCAATAAAGTTGAAAGAACATTAGGCCAGGGACTAGAAAACCATGTTTGTCCCAGGTCTGCCATTTGACAGATGATAGAGAACTGGTGAATCTGGCCTGACTTAGTCTTTTGTCCAGAAATGCAAGAGAGGGAGGCTGACTCTTTGAATATCCTTTTTGGGGAGACACAGTGACAGAGTCATGGAAGCTGAATTCTGAAGAGTTACCTTCCTGTCACCTATCTCAGGAAGGTGTAGCAATCACATGGAATTTCTTTGCTCTAATTGAAATGTCAGCCTCCACTGAGTTCAGTCAAAGAACTGGGGAACATCTGGGTTTGGAGGAGATGGGATAAAGAGTGCTCTTTTACTAATGAAGTGATTTAGTCTCTGTTGAAACCCTGGGTTTAGGTCGGATGGATGTCAAGTCTTCTGGGAAGCCACCTTATATGCCCAAGTCAGCATGTGTTATTATTCCTTTTTGTGTCCCCTCTGAGTATTTCTGCTAAACCCTTCTATCACTCTGCTTTGGATTGCAGGTAATGCCTCGGATGTCAGCATTCTCCTTTCACTAGGCCAGTTGTTCTCATCTGAGACATCAAAACCCAGGATGTAGTAATCAGCAGTGAAGTGGGTTGTAAGCAATTTATAACTAATAGTAGGTAAAATAACAACATACAAATGATTCAGGGTGACAGCTATGATATGTTTCAAACTCCTTAATGCTGCTTTCATTCACTAGCACTCAAGTGCAATTTCTTAGGCACAGGAGACATGGATATAGAAAAAGCAAATGCATCAGAAATTGTTCATAACTCTGCGTTTGCTCTTGAGAATGTGTTGCACATATTAATGCCATCCATTAAGTGTCAAGATAAAAAATATTGAGAATTACTGTGTTAGAATGAGAACTCTTTGAGAGAAAGTTCTTTGATTCACCAGTCTCTGTATTAACCATGTTGTCTAGTACAGTGATATGTACTTAATAGTAAGTGGACTAAATAAAAGAAACTGAAGAAAAATGAAAAACCAAAGCAAACAAAATCTACCACGGTGAGGCGTGGTGGGAGAGGTGAAAAAAGGAAAGTAATAATTTGTTGGTGGGATATGAGTCTGTTATTTATGTGACAGCTTCTAGTTATAAAACTTTATAATTGCTATTTATAATAGAAATGCTTTACATATCTGGGGTCAGCTGGGGTGACTAGCAGGCTAGGTGGCGCTGCTAACCTAGACTGGACTAACTCGTGTATTTAGGGGGTCAGCTGGTGGTCAGCTGTTCTCTCTGGCCTTGGTTGGGGCAACTAGGGCAGATGAGCTGATCCATGTTTCTTGTCTTCTAGCAAGCTGGCCTGGGCATGCTCCCATGGCAACAGCAAGGGTCCAAGATAGGTCAAGTGGCAACATGCAAGACCTTTGGAGGTGTAGGCTTAAAAATTGCCCACCATCTCCTTTGCACATTCTATTGGCCAAGCAAGTCATAAGACCAGTTCACATTGGAGAGATGGAGAGAAAGACTCTGCCTTTTCAGTGAGTAACTACACATTCACGTGGGAAAGGCTGGATACAGGGACTGTGAAGAGCTGGGGCCATCACTGTAATTAACCATTGAATATGAGAAGATTTTACCACACCCAGGAGGACTGGACTGGAGTCTACAACTGAGGATCTCATGTTTAATAAAGTTTTGTCGGTTCCAAAAAAAAAAATCTTCTGGGACAACTTCTAGGGTTGGAATATTCCTCCATGGTGATGACGACAGGGAGGCAAGTGCTCTGCACAGATTATATCACATAGCAGCAAAAGACGGCCACTCTTTCACATTAGATTTTGTCTCTGCAAGAACTTAACATGCAAACATTTTGATATGAAACGGACACAGTTCCTGGAGCCTGTCCCTTTTTCAAGCATGGACCATTGCACTGCACAGGGATACTCTGCCTTTGGCAAAGGAGCACAATAAGAGCTCTGTCGCCATTCCTGGTTCATTGTTCCTCTTCAGGGTTCCTAGGGGAAGTCAGGGAAATACATTAGGAACTATAAGGTAGTCCTCCCAGCATCTCTTGGTAGCCAATATGTATAACAGTGGAAATACTCCGGATTGCTTTCCATTTATTTCTGCAGCTACTGGTTTCCCTTACTGCTTGTTGTAAGTTTAAAACAACATCAACTTTTAAGGACTTGAAAGTGCTTTTCTATTTAAAATCAAACAAGACAAGCATCATTTTCATTCCGGGACTGTGCTTTGCTTCTTGAAGTGTGCTGAATATATAGACACCCACTGAAAAATAATAATAATAAAAAAGCTAAGTGATGGAAATGAGTAATTGCTTGGCAGCAAGTCTGCAGGGAGAGCACTGACGCCATGCAGCACATATTTCATGAATAATGAGAAGAGTCTCAGAGCTGTGCAATCACTGCCTATTGGGTCAGAAATTTCACATTAGTGGATTCATCAGAGCAGATCAGTGTCATAAAGACACTCTCTCCTGAGGTAAACACACCTTTTCCTTTACTGAACTGTCATCTTCTGGTTGTACAGTACATACAGCAAGAACTTTCTGAGAAAGAGGAGGGACACGACTGGATTAGGAGTATTTTACACCCATGTCATTCTACCTGCTTATTTGGAAAGAAAGAAATCATTTTCAGCAGGGATAAGCTAGTAAGTCTATGGCTAACAAAGAGCCTAATGAAGCACTGAAGAAATGTATCAACATGTACACTTAATTCTATGAAATTTCGCTTAGAAGTACAGTCGTGTTGTTTAATGATATGTTCATTATGTTCTGGGAAATGCATCCGTAGATGATTCTGTCATAGAGTGTATTTACATAAGCCTAGGTGGTATAGCCTACTACACACCTAGGCTCGATGGTATGGCCCAGATTATGGGCCTAGGTCTATAATCTAACTAGGTTGCTCCTAGATCATAAACCTGTATAGCATGTGACTGCGCTGAACACTGTAGACACTTGTAACACAATGGCATTTGTGTATCCAAACATATCTAAACATAGAAAAGGTACAGTAAAAGTATGGTGTAATAGATAAAAAATGGTATACCTGTTAGAGCACTTGCCATGAATGGAGCTTGCAAGCTAGAAATTGCTCTGGGTGAGTCAATGAGTGAGTGGTGAGTGAATGTGAAGGCTTAGGACATTACTGTACACTACTGTAGACTTCATATACACTGTACATTTAGATTACACTGAATGTATTAAAAATATTTTCCTTCTTCAATAATAAATTTACCTTAGCTTACTGTAATTTTTAAATTTATAATCTTTTCAATTTTAACTTTTTGACTCTTGTAATAACACTTAGCTTAAAACATAAATAAAATGCATAGCTTTACCAAAATATAGTTTTTCTTTATGTCCTTACTGTATAAGCTTCTTTCTATTTTTAAAATTTGTTATTACTGTTTTTTTTAACTTCTTAAACTATTTTGTTAAAAACTTAGACAAAAACACACACATGAGTCTAGGCCTACACGGGGTCAAGATCACAGGGTAAGCCAGAGGCAGTTGTACTAAATAAGGAGGCAAATATATCCCTCAGAAATCACTGATATTCTTTAATTCAAATCAAATACATTCCACATCCCCTTCCACAAACTCTAACTTTTCTTCTCTTGGCCTTAGTGGAACCATAGAATATTAGGCTAAAGAACATGTTAGTCACAATGTCATACAAACTCTTGAGAAACTGAGGTCCAGAGACTTCAGAGACTTACAGATTTACCCAGAGACAGGTACCTGCTTAGTGGAAGAGGCAGGTTTAAGTGAGAGAGACCATATTATTTATCATCCAAAAAGCACACTTTTGAAAGCAAAGGGAGAACATTGTTAGCAAGTACACCAGGACAACAGGTGGAAACTAGGACTTTCCCAGCAAACCAGAACAAATGGTCACCCCATTTGGGATCTACTTTCCCTGACTCTGCCTGGGATCACTTTCCTTCATAACAGACATCTGAACGCCATTGGTGTAATAGGCTCTTCATCTTTCTCTCAAATGACATAGCTTTGTCACTAGGGAAGGAAAGAAGGAAAAACAAAACAAAACACTGCTTTCCCTTGTGACGTTCTTTATAAATTCATCTTCACCTTTATTCTTTTCCCTCCTTGCTTTCTTTGGCTAAACTTCTTCATCACATTCAAGTATAATTATTTACCTCAAATAACTGTCTTGTTTAAAGGAGTCATGGCTCCTGATTATACTGATGACACTATATTTGTAAAAAGTTACTGCTACGTGATAGAGCCCAGAGGCAAGATTTACTATAAACAAACAAACAAACAAACAGGTAAGGTACCTTTAGATAATAAGCAACATGGAGAAGGTTGGATAGCCCAAACAGAAATGGAAATGATCAGTGGAACTTCTCCAGAAATACACACACTCATCCGTACCCAGAAACGTCCCTAAAGAAGCATGCCTTCCTCTTTTCTGTATTCAGAAGAGAGACAATGTTTTTGAAAGTATTGGAAACAAACTCTTGAGAAAAAATGTCAAAGGCCCAGAAAACATTCTGGTGTTCTCTCCAAGTTCCAATCCACATACAGAAATAATCCATGTAGAAAAGAAAAGAAGGGCTATGTGTGCAGGTGAGGTGCTATTTCTGTTTGGGCTATGCAACCTTCTCCATGTTGCTTATTATCTGAAGGTAACTGTTTTTTGTTGTTGTTGTTGTTTGTTTGTTTGTTTGTTTTTAGTAAATCTTGCCTCTGGGCTCTACCCTGTGGCAGTAACTTTTTTCAAATACACGCTCATCAGTATAATTAGTGACCATGACAGGCAAAGCTTGGCCAGGCTTCCAGGGCTTTGCATGTGTTTCTCCTTTTGCCTGGGATGCTCCTTCTGCTGATCCTCTTATGGCTGGCTCTTCTTTATCATTTAATACTCAGAGACTTCCCTTGACCATGGTATCTATGTAGGTCATGAATATATTTCCAGAAGATTTTAAGGATCCTAATAGGGACTCAATAAATATATCTTGAAAATATAAAGTAATGAGTGAATGAATTGCATGCTGTTCCTGAATCAAATAACTAAATAGCCCATTCTTTAAGGCTAGCTGAAAGCTGTTGCTAGTCTTTCTCTAGCATGCTATATTCCTCATAGTTTAGGGTGCAATACAAAAGTAGGACTGATTGTACTCAAAATTAGGAATGAGAATGATCCAAATGGATGAAAATGTGGATGACTCAGACTTTCTGTTGCATCCTATTTAGGGTCCTCTCCTGCTGTGCGTGGTCTATCTCTAACACAGCTCTGCCTCCTCCTTTCCAGTTCTGCTCATTTCTCTACCTGCTCTGCTTTCATTTTTTGCCTCCTTTCAGCCCTCCAATTACCTAATGCCTCCCAATTTTCACTTTCTCTCTTGAAACCAAATGTTTCTGAAAAGGCACTTTATCTCTAAGCCACTTAACAATACTCTTTAAAATGGTGCTTCATAAGAGATGATTGACTCTCAACTAGATCCACAGTTTTTCTAGCTTTTGGCCAGAGGCTTTTCTCAGCTTATCTCTTAGGAATGGGGTATCACATTTTTTTCTCCCACACTTGACCAATACAAATAAGCTCCAGCCCAGCAAAGCTCAACCTTGCTTGAATACATGAGATTGTTAGTCTTTGCATGACGTACACAGTTCACCAAAGGCATGCTGAGCTCTCAATCAATTTCAAATTTAGGAAGAGAAGTGTAACTCTGAGTTCTGAGGAATGACAATCTTTGTCTTTCAGGCCATGCTTGCCTCAGGTGCTGAGGAAGGAAAAGTATTGGTGGAACTACCCTATGACCACACTTGAAGTCATGAATTCCAAGCTAGGAAAGACCTGTGATATCAGGTCCTCCAAAGTTTCCATTTTATACACGATGGAACCAGAAAGGTGGAGAAGTGTCTTAGTAAATAAAAGATAAGCAATGATTTAAGTGATGATCTAAAATTTTTTGTCTCTAAAATCAGTACTTTTTTATTACAACTATTCAAATTCTTCCATTCTTTCTTCCCTTCCTCTGTCTCTTTCTCTCTCCTATTCTCCTTCCCCCTCTACCCTCAACTAGTTTAAAGGCTACTAAAGTGCATGGACCCTGTCCTTTCTCTTGCTATGTTTTTAATTCATCCAACACACATTAAAAGTTACAACAGATGGAGAAGTGCCAATAGTCGCATCGCTCAGATAGTAAATTGCAGCTCTTCCTCTTATCCCTCCAGATTCAATTCCCACCCTTTGTTACCTTGCTCTGTGCCCAGGAGGCTTATCAACCCATCAACAGGCCTCTTGCCTGGGGACCAGTTGAGTTCAGCCAAAAGGAAGCCCAGGCAGAAGATTGGGGCAGGAGGAAAGTACAGTGGGGTATTTGTCCTGTGCTCCCTCCCTGCCAGGTCACCATGGTTGGCTGTGACCTTTTATGAAAGGCTTCTGTCAAGCAGCAAATTTTCCTTGTCCTTCTGCCCCTTGAGGCCTAACAGGGCTAAGTGATCCCTGCGGTTATTAGTCCTAGGGCATGTTCCTATCCCTTGCTGGTTTGCTAAGTCATGCTATCACCTATAGAAACTCCTCTTTTATTTAAGTCCTTGAATTACCAAATTTGCATGTCTAGTCTGGTTCCTGCCTTGTTCCAAGTAAAAAAACAATTATTAGGGGGAGACATTTGTCTCCGGCATGAAGTGGGATGTGCTTGGTTCCAGGTACTCTGCTAGGCCTTTCTATGTGTACTTCTTTTTAATCCTTACAATAATTGTCTGAGTCAGATATGATTCAGCCCATTTTATAGACCAGGCAACTGAGTCCCAGAAAGACTAGAATGTGGTCAGAATCACACAGCTGGTAGTTAGACACTGTCTTGAGATTCCCCATAGAAGCCAGCTGACCCTAAATCTGTTACACGAGGATCACAGTGCAAATATTTTCTCATACACAGGGAGAGAGCAGAAATGGGGGTATGATGAAGTGCTCAACGAGTGAGGAGCATATCCAGGAGACTGACCTACTTGCTCTTCTGGAACCCACCAGCAGGCAAGGAAACAAGAGCTGCGGCCTCTTTTTCTGACTACAGTGGTGGACACATAAGTGCCAGGGGGTCTGCACTGGCCACCAAAATTTCATAACAGTCAGGAATCTTTGAGGAGGTTCCTGCTGGCTCTTGGCCCCTGAACCTGCCTGGCCACCTTCCAAAGAGGCAAATCTTCTTTCATGCCTGCTTCCCCCACCCGTTATGATGCCCACACAGTCTGGAGCAGAAGTGAATTTCCTGGGCCCCCATTTAATCCCAGCAATGAGCACCTTCATGCTTCCCCCTCCCTGCAAGTGTAGAGCACAGCGTAGCCTGAAATTCTCGGCTCTGATGGAGAGCTCTGAATTATTCATCAGCCTGATAATGGCAGGTGATGAGATCTTTTCCTGCTATGTCCCTGTCAGTAGGTGTTTATTAATCTGTTTCACCAGCCACCCTGCTCTGACTGCAGGGCCAGAAGAACCCCACCCTCCCGCCTGAGATGTATCAGCAGAGACAGCACTTTAAAGACTCCCTTTTGCCTGGGAGGTCATCTGAAGGTTATTAGGAACAAATTATTTCTTCATTTCCACTGACTGAGTAGATAGCCTTAATGATCTGTCACCTAGCAATAGCCTGCCTGTTCAAACATAAAGAATGGCAGGCTGATGGGCTTATAACTAGAATCAGTTCATTTTAGCTATTCTCTTGTCAAGCATGTTTCCAAGATACATATAGTATTTACATATTCATGAGTCTCTGCCGACACTGATGCCGTGAGGGGGCCTGTCTGATAATGTGATACAAGTTTGTACTGTGTCCTCAGGCACTTAAAGTCTATTAAGTGAATAAAGTCTACCCAGGTCCTCTCTTCTTGGAGGTGTTCTCTATTTTAAACACAGGGGATGCTATCCCAATTTCCCTTTAACTTCTCCCTTCTCCACCCACTAACAACCACCAGAATCTCCCCACCTACTTCTTATTGAGAGGAAACTCTGGTTTAAAGAAAGCAAGGGGCCAGAGTGGGTTTTCTTTCCTCCAAGCGGGGCGAACTCATCTCTGAGATGTTTGCTTTCCTTTCCTTTAGGCTTTGTAGGTAACTCAAATTACATTGTGTAAAGCAAAGTGAAGCTACAGCTGGCTTTGCAAATTTTGGACTTTGACAGCATTCTCAAGTCTCCTTGGGCTACTTGTAGCTAATTACAGTTTTATGCCTTTGACTTCATGATGGCCTATGGTCTTGTCTCAATCTATCTAGTTGAGGATGTGCCTCAGGAGTGAATCCTGCTATAAAACTAAATCACCTGGGGATGACCTGAAATTTGTCATTTGGAGAAGGATTCTTATTATTCCATCAGCAATCTCCTGTCTCTTACTCCACCCGAAATATTCCTTCTATCCCTATTGTGACTTTTAGAAAGAAAAATGTAATTAATGTGTGTTGCTACGCCTATGTGGACATCTTTCCTTTTTAATTTATTTTGCAGCCTATAGTATAATACATAGTATAATATAGTACAATATACTAAACTATAAATATATTATAGTATAATATACCATACTATAAATATAGTATAATATACTTACACTATACTTACGGTATAATATACTTACACTATACTTACGTTATAATATACTTACACTATAGTTATAGTATAATATACTTACACTATACTTACGGTATAATATACTTACAGTATAGTTATAGTATAATATACTTACACTATAGTTATAGTATAATATACTTACACTATAGTTATAGTATAATATACTTACACTATAGTTATAGTATAATATACTTACACTATAGTTATAGTATAATATACTTACATTATAAGTATAGTATAATATACTTGCACTATAGTTATAGTATAATATACTTACACTATAAGTATAGTATAATATACTATAGTTGTAGTATAATATACTATAGTTGTAGTATAATATACTTATACTATAGTTGTAGTATAATATACTTATACTATAGTTGTAGTATAATATACTTATACTATAGTATAATATAACCTGCCCTTTAATTCTAAGATGTCTGAGTCCAATTTGGGTTTGTTCCACTTCATCAAAGGCCTAAGTTCCATCCTCATGGATAGGTAGTTGCCCCAGAAAGCAAATTGCTTTCTAAAGTACTGCTGAAGTGTCCTTGAATGTAGAGACCTTAATTACTTATTCAAAGAGAATGAGAAGTACTTGGAAAAATAACAACTCGTCAGAGAGTTGCTGAGGGAGGCTTCAGCAAGCCCATCATTTTCTTTAAGAGTCAGTTTTTCTGCATGTGAAATGGGGATAATAGCTTGATTCCTTTTTTCTACTCACAAAGTCATTATGAGGATAATGAAATAGTAAGTTGGTGACTGCATTGGGAATCTCTTGAGAAGCCAGCATTAAAATTGACTCAAAACCTAATTGTTTGGCAGATAAATAATGACTTCATCAAGTTAACTATGTGCAATTCATTTGAAAATGTGTCAGAACACTTTGATTCCTCTTTCATAGGCGCTTTAGGGATGTCCAGTATGGGCATGGACTCCAATTGGTAAAGAAGCCAGAATATCAAATGACATCCCAAGGTGACTAAGGAGGAGTTGCTCTGGTTGAAACAGTAGGATCCTAGGAACCCTATACTGTGGGTCCCCCCTTCTGTCACCACTAAAGTTACCTCTAGATTCAAGAAGGAAAGTTTGAAATCTAGACCTTGTCTATCTCATAAGGCAGCCACTAGTTCCAAGTGTCAATTTAAGTGCAGGTTTAAATTAATTAAATTAAACTAAAATTAAAAATTCAGTTCCTCAGTCACGGTGGCCACATTTCAATTCTCCATAGCCACATGTGGCTAATTGCTACTGTGCTAGACAGTGCACATGTAGAACACATTCATCACTGCAGAGAGTTCTAGTGGGCAGCATCATCTAGGCCACTGTGAAACTTGAGTGTATGTAGGAATGACTCCTTAAAATTCACTTTTCTCAGACTCACTCTCAGAAATTATGATTCAGTAGGTGACAGGGGAGTCCTAGGAATTTGAATATTTTAAAAGTTTCCCAATAATTCTGATGAAGATGGTGAGAAAATCTGGCTTAATTAATGCTACTCAAAGTATGTTCCACAAATCAGCAGCATTAGCATCACCTGGGAGTTTGTTTGAAAGGCAAATTCAAGAATTTGCAGTGGGGTTTGGAAATCTATTAACGGGCTTCCAGGTGATTCTTATGTATGCTAAACTTTGAGAAGCACTATTTTATCCAGTACAGAAATGCAACTGTAGCCTAAAAATAATTGAAACTTAGATATAAATATTCATAGTCTGACTGTATTGGGATTTACTTACATTTACATGAAATTCACTTATATGAAATTCATTCATCCATCCATCCATCTATGTATCCACCTGTCCATCCTTTCACTCATTCACAGCTTTTAGGGTATCTATTATGTACCAGGCATTGTTATAAGAATTGTGAATATGGCAATGAATAAAATTGTTACAATCCTTACTTTTATGAAATGTGCAGTTTATTGATTTTATTAGTGTGTTTTCACACCACGGATAAAGACATATCTGAGACTCAACAAACTAACAAAACAAAAAAGGTTTAATGGACTCACAGTTTCACGTGGCTGGGGAGGCTTCGAAATCATGGTGAAAGGTAAAAGGCATGTCTCACATGGCGGCCCACAAGAGAAGAGAATGACAGCCAAGCAAAAGAGGTTTCCCCTTATAAAACCATGTAATCTACTGAGACTTATTCACTACCAAGAGAACAGTATGGGAAAAACTGCCCCCATGATTCAATTATCTCCCACTGGGTCCCTCCCACAACATGAGGGAATTTGGGGAGCTACAATTCAAGATGAGATTTGGGTGGGGATACAGCCAAACCATATCACTGATTGTTAACTCTATTTTTATTTTTCCTCCAGTTTTCTAGTGGGATGGAGTGAAAATATGACTGTTTATTTAACTAGAGCTTGGTTTATTGCATTAGTAAGCCCTCCAATTGTTTGCACAGCAAAGAGCAGTAGGTAGTTTGTTTGTGTTTATACAAATATTCAGGCGGAGATAACAGACTCAGTTTTCCAGACACGAAACCATTTCCAGCAGTGTTTGAAGAAGGAAATGGGTATTTGATTCGTGGTTGAATGTTTCAACTGCTCACTTTAATGACTTTAGCTACTGAGTATTTTCAATAGCAATGTACATAAACAGTTTCATCACAGCATTGATAAATACCCTGATATTTATGAACTTATCATTCATATTCCATCTTTAGTATATTTTCTATTATATTGTATTTTAACTCTTTTATTATGGGAAACTTCAAACATAAACATAAATAGACAAATACAATAATAAACTCCCATGTATCACTACCCTGAATTAATAATTCTTTCAAATTACAACCAATCTTTTTTCATCTTTCTACCACCCTTCAGTTTTCTCTTCCATATTATTTAAAGCAAATCTCAGTTGCTATTTCATCTCTCATAGTTCCATATGTATCTTCAAAACATAATGACTTTGTTAGATATGCACATACACACATGATCACAATACCATTATGATCACAGTAAATTTTTTTAAAAATTGTAGTTCCATTAAATATACAGTGTTCCAATTTCCACTCCCTTCAAAAATATAATTTTAAGTTAATTTGAATTAACATCCACTTATTTCTATGGTGTTATATTTCTTCCTAAGTCTCTTTCAATAACTTGATAACCCCTCTGTCTCTTTTCTGCCCTCTTGTAATGAATCTATTAAGTAAATTTGTTTGCCTGTTCTGTAGTTTCTTATATTCTATATTTTGCTGATTGCATGTTCGTGGCATCATTTAGCATGTTCTTCTGTCCTCTGAGTTTCCTGTGAACTGGTCACTAGATCTAGAGGCTTAATCAGGGTGAGGTTTGATTTTTCTGGCAAGACTACTTCACAGGTAGTGTTGAGTACTTCCTCAAGAAAGTTGTTGGATATTATTGCATGATTTTAGCAGCTGGAGATGATTAATACCTAGATCCATTAATTAATCTGGGTTTTTGAAATGAAGATACTCTAATTTTTTATAACTTCTTCATCTGTTAGCTGGAATACTTCTATAAAAAGAAGTTTGCTCTTATCTATTTGTTTACCCAGTGGAACAGTTCATTTAGGAAAGACAGAAAATATGCTTGAATTTTTTCCCCTTTATTTACCAGTTGTCAAATAATAAGTAGATTCACTAGCAGTTGTATTTTCAGTTGTATACAGCAGTTGTATGTAGCAGGTTATATTTTCTTTCTTTCTTCCTTTCTTTCTCTTCCTTCCTTCCTTCGTTTCTCCCTCCCTCCCTTTCTTTCTTTTCTTTCTTTTTTTTCTTACTTTCTTTCTCTTTTCATTTCTTTTTTCTTTCTCTCTCTCCTTCCTCCTTTTCTTCCTACCATCCTTCCCACCTTCCTTCTTTCTTTTTAGTAGTATCTCACTATGAATTCACTGATTGAAACATATTTGTTTCATTTAATTGCAGTTATTGTCTTTATTGATGCTCAAATTGCCCCATTTTTTTCAGTGGAAGCTTCCTCTGATTGGTTGCCAAGTCCTTTTGACACAGTAGTCTTTGATCACTTCCTTGTTATCATTATGACAACATGCTCTGGGTTTATTTTGTACATTTTCTGCTCCAGAACCTGGAATCAGACATTTGTCTTATGTAAATTACTTCCTTTTAGTGAAAAATGTTTTTTGAAGTAAAAAATTTGAGGCTGTTTATTGCTACTGAGTTGTTCAGTATTTTTAGGCCTTTGCAGGAAGCAGATCTTGGCTATAGGTTATTCTAAGATAAAATGCATCATTAATATATGCTTATTTTTCCAATTCCAGTTCAATACTTACAGGGTTTTTGTTGTTGTTGTTGTTGTTTTGATCTTACATATACTGTGAAATGTACCAAAAAAGACCTCTAATTTTCAACTGCTGGTCTTAAATGGCTAGGTATACTGGCCAGAGATATTGGGGCTCTTCTACGCTGGGGTTTGTTAGCATTTCATATGACTTTATGGGCTTCCTCCCACACAAATGCTAACACTATAAAGGTCTTTGGATGCTTTTTTCCCCTACATGCTCATATTTAGGGGCTCATGGGGATACTTTATCACCTAGTTTTGTTTAGATGGAGTCAGTGAGTTTTTGTTTTACCATCCTAGTTCCTCTGTCTCTCTTAATGGGAACATTTGGTGAATTTCACAAACTACACTATCATCTTCCTTTTAAAGTATATTTTAAATTTGATGCTATTTTATGATAGATAAATTATTTGTACAATGTATTTTTAATAGAATTCCTATTTGTGACTTCAAGTTCCAAAGGCGTTACTTTAAAGGACAAGAAGAACGAAGTTTTCCCAAATGATAGAAAGGATGCTTAATCAGAGGGTCACAGACAGGGGCCTCTCATTTTGGTGAGCGATTGGAGATTTCATACAGCCTTGAAACATAGCAGAAATGATTTTGCTCAATATTGTGTAGCAAAAACCCATTTTTTAAAACTTAATATTCCAAAGAGAAGAGAAAATGAAGGAAGATGCCACAAAATACTTTTCTTTTCAAAAAGGCAATTCTCAATGCTTGAAAGGCAGGATGAGAGAAAAAGCTTAGAAAGAAGGAGAACCAACTAACTTCTATCTGTGAAAAAGAACCAATTACAATAAGCTATTACGTGCACATTTCCTTCAAGTATCCATTTCTGTAGACCAGATATAATTCAAAAGTCCAGGCCTGAAAATAGATTATAATATTATAGCAAATAAACCAGAGCCTGCTAAACCTTGTTTAACTATTAGAGTGGTTGCCAGAGAATATTTTAGTTTCTGCTATTAACATAAATATTTTTCTTCTTTCAATGTAAAAACTATAAAATACTTTGGAGTGCTATTAAAAACTTGGATTGTTTATTTACCACCTATCACTCTCTACTTCAATTCTTTTTTTAATTGAGATATAATTCATGCAAAATTCAACTTGTAAATATACAATTCAGTGGTATTTATGCTTATATTCACAAGTTGTGTAACCATCATGACTATCTTCTTCCAGAATATTCATCACACTTCCTCTGCAAAAAAACAAAAACAAAAACAAAACACACACACACACACAAACAAAAAACAAAAAAACCTCATACTTGTTAGCAGTCACTTCCCATTCATTTTCCTCATCCCCTTTCAACCACTAAAATTTTCTGTCTCTATGTATTTGCCTATTGTGGACATTTCATGTAAATGCCCACACCTGTGACCTGTACATACACAGCTTTTTTTCATTATAAGTTGAGATCTCTGTATGCATATCTACTCTGTCTTTCAGAGCACAGTGGTCCATGTTGTATTGGTTTGGCTTTCATCCTTTGAATCAATACCACCTAATAGCTCATATCTGCCTCTCTTCTCTCATTCTACCTGCCTCTTCCATTGCTTAAATTATAGAAACATGAACCACCTTTAGTCACCTTCAGTGATCAGAAAAATTATGTCTCAGTAGCCTGGTCAAATAAGTTATCAATTGGTCAGATTAAAGGTGCTTCAATGTCCTCATCTTTGAGATACTTACAAAGACATTCTTGGAAAGCTACAGTGCCTGTACTATTCGTGATATTCATTCATTTATCCTTCTTCTAAAAATGACTGCATCTCTACTATGTAGTACGTACTAAGTGCTGGGAAAACAAGAATGCTTTCAAGTCACCAATTTGTGCTTTAGAAAAGAAGTCATGCCAGCAGACCAGCCATGCCCATAGAGTGTGATATGGCCTACAATGGGACACAGCTCAGTGTGCCTTGGGAGAATTTAAAGGGCACCCAGCTCAGTTTTTGAGGTTTTCAGAAGGCTTTCTTGAAAAAACGCTATCTAAGCTAAGGCCTTAAGGGTGAGAAGAAGATAATTATATAAAACAGATAAAGGGGAGAAAATACAGACAAAGATAACAAATATGCACTTGGATTCTAAGTTCATTCATTCTATAAAGTTAATTTTCCCACCTACTATGAGTAAACACTCATAGTGTTTGTAGCTGTTATAACTACTGCTGTAAGGTTTATAAAGATAAATGTAGAGTACATGAAAATGCAATTGAAGTTAATATTTTTGAATGAATAAGTGCATAAATACATCTCAGCCCATGTCATGAAGAGTTTTCCAATCTAGTAGAAGAAATAGAGCCTGTTACTCCTTTTAACCCTTAACATGTACATAGACCATGATTATAACACAAGTTTGTTAATCATTATGACAATGATCAAAATGGACACTGGTACTTGAAAAAAAGTTGTGTAAAACCATGAAGAAATGTATATATTTAGGGAGCCAGGGAATAAAAACCAACTGGCATTAGGCTAACCTTATATAATGCTGCTGTGATAAATAATTCTAAAATTTCAGGGGCTTAATGCAATAGGGGTTTATTTCTTGCTCATATCACAATCTCATGTGTACTGGGGAAATGTCCTTCACATTTTTCCAATTAGCAGAGTATCAAGAATCCAGGCTGCTTCCATCTTGTAGTTGCACCATCTGGAAAACGTGACCTTAAAGATTACCATGTGTGGTCGACAGCTCCTAGAATTGATCCCAACGATCCCTTTCTTGTGATATTCATGCCCTTGTGATAGCCACTTTCTTTGAATGTGGGCTGGATCTAAATACTCATTTCTAATGAATAGAAGGTGGCAAAAGTGATAGGATGCCAATTTTGAGATCAGGTTACAAAAAGACTAACTTCTGTTTTACTCATCCTGTCTTCTCCCCCCTCCTTCCTCCTCCTCCTCCTCCTTCTCTCTCCCTCTTCCTCTTCCTCTCCCCCTTCCCTCCCCCTTCCCTTCTCTCTCTCTCTCTCTACCTCCCTCACCTGTTTTTGCTGTGGGAGAAGAAAGCTGACATGATGTGGGCAGCACCATGGAGAGACCTATGTAACAATGAATTGATGTATTCAGCTAAGGTTCAGTGATGCTCTGAGTCCTACCAATAGCCATACGCATGAACTTGAATGTGGACCCTCCCCCAGTGGAGCCTTGAGACCCGTGCTTAGACCTTGAAGATAATCTTCTGGGAGGCTTTGAGCCAGAGGCACTCAGCTAAATTATACTCAAATTCCTGATCCATGGAAATTGCGAGATTGTTTAAGCCACTAAATTCTGTAGTAATTTTTTGCACCACAATGATAACTAATACACCAAGGCAAAAGGAGAGGAGAAATGAGTGGAATGTTTTTAAAATTCCAGGCCTGGAAGTAGCTTTCATCACTTCTACTCATACCCATTGGCTTCAGCTCAATCACCCTGACCCAATCCAACTGCATGGGAAGCTGGGAAATGTAGAGAATCACATGGATATTTGATATTACATTTGTTGTTAAAGGTTTAGTGGATATTGACCAATTTAATTGCAACCTTCAAACAGGATTCAGTTACATGTGAAGTCATAAAACATTTAACTGGGAATTTACTGATGAACATATATTTTCTTTTCTTTCTTTTTTTTTTTTTTTTTGAGATGGAGTCTTGCACTGTCACCCAGGCTGGAGTGCAGTGGCGTGATCTTGGCTCACTGCAAGCTCCGCCTCCTGGGTTCATGCCATTCTCCTGCCTCAGCCTCCCGAGTAGCTGGGACTACAGGCACCTGCCACCACAGTGGCTCACGCCTGTAATCCCAGCTACTTGGGAGGCCGAGGCGGGTGGATCATGAGGTCAGGAGATTGAGACCATCCTGGCTAACACGGTGAAACCCTGTCTCTACTAAAAATGAATGTATATATTCTTTTCTTGTTGCAACCCAAGTACTAATGACAGCCAGACCATCAGTTGCCACTGATTCAAACCACCTTAGTATCAGTCAATTGACCAATTAAAAAAAATTAGGAAAAAATGAGCACATGCTTGTCAATTGCACAAATGACTGAAAAATCATTGTTTGTAGGCAGTATTCAAACCACTGACTCTGCCAATACGATAAATTCAGAGGTATCACCTATACAGGGCTTTAAAATACAAGGAACTTATTCCAACTTCCCTGTACCCTACTCCAACACACCTCTAAATTCCCAGAAACTCCTGGAGAAGAAAGATACCTGAAACAGTCAAAATGCTCCGTGCACTGATAGCTTTTAGAGTTAGAGATGCAATTTTAACATTTCAGTCCAACTAATATGTAATCCATAAGACTAGATGTTAAGCATATTAACGTATTGCTTTTACTTTAGAAAATACTAGACAAGAATTCCTGGCCTCCAACTTTCTTAGCATATTACAGATTTAGTCTTTGTTACCTCATTACTGTAATAAGTGCAGACTCATTTATATTTTTTAAAAAACAATTCTTTATTGGATTTTAGAAAGATTAGACTTTATATAAGGAAGGGGATAGCCAGCTTCCCCAAACCATTAATAGTCATGATTCTCCCTTTGTAAATGTGACTGAGGCTGGGCACGGTGGCTACCACTGTAATCCCAACACACTGGGAACCCAAGGTGGGTGGATTACTTGAGATCAGGAGTTTGAGACCAGCCTGGGCAAAATGGTGAAACCCCGTCTTTACAAAAAATACAAGTATTAGCCGGGCATAGTGGCGCACACCATGGGAGGTGGGAGGTGGGAGGTGGGAGGATCTCTTGGGCCTGGGAGGCGGAAGCTGCAGTGAGCCAGGATCGTGCCCTCCAGCCTGAGTGACAGAGCCAGACCCTGTCCCAATCAATCAATAAAAATGTGTTTGAGAAGCAATTCTGCTAAATGTTATGGGCTTGGCATATACTGGCCATTTACGTTACACGGCAGCAAATTAAAATGTAAAAGGGCTATCGATGGTTGACTATTTGGAAAATAGAAACTATTAATTATCTACATTACTTAGAATGAAGAGGATTTGAAAGGTGTTTTTGTTTTGTTTTGTTTTTGTTTTTCCATCAGACTGCCCCTGGAGACACTAAAAGTATCAGTAAGCTTCTGAGGACAGTAGGCTTTCCCCCCACCTTCCTTCTTTTCTCTCAGAACTGGTGAGTTGGCTATGCTTATAAAGCAGCAGTCATGGGATTCCAAGAAAATTATTTGATGTTATTAACTTCTGAGCTTTATGAAGGGCTCTGAAGCCATATCTTCAGATACTAAGTGAAAGAGGAAAGTGAGGCAATTATCAGGTAATGCAAGTAATAAACCCAATTTTTTTTTTGCCATGATTAACTTGATGTTTTCAAGAAAAGAAGATAGTTTGCCTCAAATAAACAGAAGATTTCTAATGTTCTCCGCTTTTCTTGAGGATATAGATTTGGCCTTAATTAAAAATTCAGGCTGGGTGCAGTGACTCACACCTGTAATCCTAGCACTTTGGGAGGCCAAGGCAGGCAGATCACCTGAGGTCAGGAGTTCAAGACCAGCTTGGCCAACATGGTGAAACCCCATCTCTACTAAAATACAAAAAAATTAGCCGCGTGTAGTGGCACAGAGCTGTAGTCCCAGGTACTCAGGAGGCTGAGGCAAGAGAATTGCTTGAACGCAGGCAGTGGAGGTTGCAGTGAGCCAAGATCACGCCACTGCACTCCAGCCTGGGCAACAGAGTAAGACTCCAACTCAATTAAAAAAAAAATTCATGCTATATGACAGGTTTAAATACACATTGCTATAAAGTGGTTGTCTTTTGGAAGTTTTTTTAATGAACTTACATTTGATTCTGAGATTTTTCTTTTTTGATTTTTCTTTTTTCCATTAGATTCTATAATTCCCAATTCTTTGGTGATAGAAATAATATTTTTAAATAACCCTATATTTGAATCAAAACATATTCTCTTCTTCCATTTTGCTAGAATACCCTTCATAGAAATAGGGCATTAACATAGAATTTTGCATGTCTGTGAAGGAAGCACCAGTAAACCACTCTGATCCCTCCTCCTCCGCATGGTGTCCCTTATCCTGGTTTAGAAAGACTTCTGATTTCAACCAATTTACTCATAATTAACCTAAGAATTTTTGGTAGTCATTGGTAAGAGTGTTAGAAATTATGCTTTTGTAAACTGATTGCTCTCCCCTTCTCTGTCTTTCTGGTATTCCTAGTCCCAATCTTGCCCCTCTGCAATGCATCCTCTATACACTGTCATCTTTCTAAATCATCAGTCTAGCTTGTCTCTCTCATTTTTACACCTCTTTAATGGGCCCTCATTGTCCTTAGATAGAATTATAAAGAAAATGTGGTATACACATGATGAAATACTATTCAGCCATAAAGATAATGAAATCCCATCATTTGCAACAACAGAGATGAACCTTCTAAGTCAGGCATAGAAGGATAAACACCATGTGATCTCATTCATACATGGATTTAAAAAAACACATTGATATAAAAGTAGAGAGTAGGACAGTGGTTATGAGACTGGGGAGGGGAGTGAGAGAGAAGGATAAAGAGAGGTTGGTCAATGGGTACAAAGTCAGAATTAGATAGAATAAGTGCTGGTGTTCTATTGCATGATAAGGTAACAGTAGTTAACAGTAAGGTATAATATATTACAAAATAGCCAGAAGAGAGGCTTTCTGCAAAAAGAGAAATGATGAATGTAAGAGGTGATGGGTTCACTAAATGCCCTTATTTGATCATTATACAATGTGTAGATGCATTGAAACATCAAATTATGCCCCATAGATATGTATAATTATAATTGTGTCATAAAAAAAGAATAACAGAATACAAACTTCTTGGCAAAGCCCAGAAGGCAATGGTGACCTGCTGCTGTTTCCCTCTCCAGACAATCTGTCACCACCTCCTTGCAACATGCAGTTGTTAACATTGAACTCAAAGAATTGTTAAGTGCAACGCTTTGGCTTGTTTTCAGATACATAATTTTATTACATGATACTAAATGATTTCTGGGGATAATCAGAATTGGTTAGTACTTTTCGGGGAGTGAGGTTGACAATAATAATTTATGATGAAGTTTCCTCACTAGAAATAGGCATTTGAGTAAGATCGACAGCTAAAATTACAGAAAATAAAATATAGCTCAAGAAATAGAGAAGTCCAAAATGCCTATTGTCTGGAAAGATGACTTTTTGTATTTTTTAACTGATGTATCATAGTTGTTTATATTTTGAAGGGACATGTGATAATTTGATACATATACACAATGTATAGTGATCAGATTGGGGTAACTGGGATATCCATCACCTCCAACATTTGTCTTTTCTTTATGTTGGGAACATTCTCTTCCAGTTATTTTGAAATATACAATACATTTTTGTTAACTGTAATTTCCATACTGTACAATCAAATACTTGAACTTATTTCTGCTATCTAAAGGGATTTTTTTACACATTAACCATTTTACTCTTTATCCTTCCCCTTCCTTCTTCCCTTCCCAGCCTCTGACAATCACTATTCTACTTTCTACCTCCATGAGAGGTACATTTTTAGCTCCCACATATGACTGAGAGCATGGGAGAAAATATTTTCAAACGATCATCTGACAAGAGATTAATAACCAAAATATATAAAAATCTCAAACAACTCAATAGCAAAATACCCCAAATAATTCAATTAAAAATGGGCAAAAGATCAGAATGGACATTTCTCAAAAGGAGACAAATAGCCAACAGGTATATAAAAAATGTTCAAAATTATTAATCATCAGGGAAATGCAAATCGAAACCAAATGGGATATTATCTCACTCCAGTTGGAATGGCTATCATAAAAAAAGACCAAAAAAAATAACAAATACTGGTGAGGATGTGGAGAAAGGGGAATGCTTGTTTACTGTTGGTCAGAATGTAAAATAGTACAGCCATTATAGAAAACAGTATAGAGATGCTTCAAAAAACTAAAAATAGAACTACTCCCTACTGGATACATATCCAAAAGAAAGGAACTCAGTATATTGAAGATAAAAATAGTATGTACAATACACATACGCTCCCATGTTTCTTGCAGCACTATTTCCAATAGCGAAGGCATGGAATCAACCTAAGTGTCCATCAGTAGATGACTAGATAAAGAAAATGTGTGTGGTGTGTGTGTGTGTGTGTGTAGTGTGTGTGTGTGTATATATATATATAATGTGTGTATATATATATATACACACACACACACTACACACACACATACACGCACACACAATGGAATATTATTCATCCATAAAAGGGAATAAAATCCTGTAATTTGCAGCAACATGGATGGAACTAGAAGTCTTTATGATAGGTGAAATAAGCAAGACACAGAACAAAATGCTTTGACTTTATATCTCTAGCCCACAGGGAAAAAAGAACTGTAAAAATGTATTTCACTCCAGTAGATTTGGTTTTTCACAGTGGTATAGGCTAGCAATTCTGAAATTACTTTTTGTGTATTGCAGAATTGGGCTCAGGACTGAGAATAAAGTAGTTTTATAATAAGCATATATGGCCGGGCGCGGTGGCTCACGCCTGTAATCCTAGCACTTTGGGAGGCCGAGACGGGCGGATCACGAGGTCAGGAGATCGAGACCATCTTGGCTAACACGGTGAAACCGCGTTTCTACTAAAAATACAAAAAATTAGCCGGGCGTGTTGGCGGGCGCCTGTAGTCCCAGCTACTTGGGAGGCTGAGGCAGGAGAATGGCATGAACCTGGGAGGCGGAGCTTGCAGTGAGCCGAGATCTCGCCACTGCACTCCAACCTGGGAGACACAGCGAGACTCCGTCTCAAAAAAAAAAAAAAAAAAAAAAAAAAAAGCATATATAATTTAAACATTATTTTCTTCTAAATTATTATAAACTTATTCTAACTTTGTTTACTGTTCAGTGACAGATCTAAGATGATGGGAACATTTGAGATCTGATGTTTAATTTAGCCAGATTTTTAAAATAAATGCAAAAACAAGTCTCTATATACAGAAAGTTTCCAATTCTCTCTTCCTTTTCAACATATCACAGCTAAAATAAGTTTACTTTTATAATTTAATTACAATATATAAATGGGTTGGTTAACCTCTAGTACTTTTCTGAATGTCTATGCTATTTAATGTGGAAATATTTAAGGCAGATTTAAAATATGAGAAGAACCCAAAATAATCTATAAATTTTAATCACATTTAAATCCCAACAGGATTGTTTTGTCAAAGTTAAAAAAAACAAGCCAAAGTTTACGTAGAAATGTCTAAGCCCAAGAATAGCTAAGATTTAAAAAATAAAAAAGAATAAAAGGAATTGTCCTATTCAATTTCAAGAGTTATAATACAGTAATAGTTTTAAGATAGTGTGAAGATGGCAAAGAACTGAACAAATAGATCCCAAGAGCCCATGAAGACGCATGGATATTTGGAAATTCTTAGATTTTAAAAGTGACGTTTCAAATCAATGAGAAAGGAAGCATTGTTGCATAGATGGAATTAGGACACGTTGTTTTCTATATAGAGAAAAAGCCAGACACCTATATCACATAACACATAAAAATTAATTTTGGTGAAATAGAGCTCTAAATTGGAAAAATTAAATTATTGGTAGTAAAATTTGGAAGACTATCTTATGACAAAAAGATAAGAAATAATTTCTTAAGCAACAAATATAAGCTATTAACTTAAAGACAAAATTGACAGATATGATTGTGTGAAAATTAAAAACTTACACAGGAATAAAAACCAGACTCAAAGCAAAAGAATTACAGTCTAGTATAGATAATGGGCGAATAGATTAGTATCCAGAAAATAATTTTTAAGGTTTACAAATCAATCAGAAAAGGATAAGCATGAAATGGTAATCACAGAAGAAATACACGGTAAATAAAAGGGGAAAGTATATTTAATTCCAGTAAAAAGCAAGGAATAATGAGTTAAAACAACCATAGGATTATATTTCACACTAGTTAGCTTGGCAAAAATTTAAAGAGCTTCACAATATCGAGGATTGTAGAGAACATGTTCAATTTGAAATTCTCATATTTTGATTGAGGATATGTGCATTAATTAAACCACTTTAGAGAAAACTTTGGCAGTTTCTAGAAAAATTGAAAATGTGCATAATGTGGCCTGGTAAATTTCTATCTAAGTGAATATGGAAGAGACATTCATTCACCTATGGACAATGCTGGATCCACAAAGTTGCACATAGCAATGGTAAAAGAATGAGCAAATAAAAAAAAAAAGAATGAGCGAATCAAATAGGATAAATATGATACAGTTGGATGTTGACAATTATACAGCAATTAAACTAACTGAATAAGTTTATATGTGTAGACATCAATAGTTCTCAAAATGATGCATGAAAAATATGCAGAAATATATGCAGTATGGATGTCTTTTAAAAAACATATTTGTATTTATTATTTACTTTCACATATGAATACAGAAAAGCTAAAAAATAATGATAAAATAGCAAGCAAAAAATGAAGAGGAAAGGTAGACATTAAATTTAGGATGGCTAAAGCCCTTGTGGAGGGAAGAAACTGAATGGAATCGGGAGCGAAGTACAAATGAATTTTATTTTTCCCATAATAATTTATTTATTTATTTAAAAATATCTAAGAAAATAAGACATGATGTCAATATATATAAAATTAAAGTAGTAATGATAGGGGTAATTTTAAAATTATATTTTTTACTTTTATATGCCTTAAAATTTCTCTGAAGTATTAAAAAATAAGAACCTAGATACATAAGTAAATAAAAAAATGGAGCTTTGGAAAGTATTATTTTATATTTCCAGCTTTACTTGTTTTTCTTTATTACAGTTTTCTTCAGAGCAATGTTCCATAAATCAAGTCATACCTCTTTAAATATATTGAGTTTTATAATAAAAGTTAATAGAATTGTGGATATGTTACAGATAGGGGTATATTAAGATGATCAAAAGCAATGAGTGATATAGTCCCATCTTGAGAACTCTGTTAAAGCTCTATCACTACATTTAAAAACCAGTTTAGGACTATATACACCCCCACTTAAACATATTTTGCTGTATTTGGAAATGTGTCATGTTCTTTTAAACATTTTCTTTACATGTAAAATATAAAACATCAAAGTTCAGCATTACTCATTGTGTTCATTTGCCAATGTATTTTCAAAAATTGTTACTGTTGTTTTTCTCTTTCCATTTCAAACAAATTTATACTTCATCTTACATCAGCTTCAAGTTTTTGCCCTACACATTTAGCCTTAAAGACACTCCACCCAGTTTAGTAAGTTCCCTAAATTCTATATTCAAAGAATATTTTGTTCCTTTTTAAAGAAGCCTCTGCTTCATCTTATGAGAATGGTGGTAATTATACTTGACAAGCAGCTCCTTCTGCCCTACCACATGAGCTTATCAAATGAAATATCTTTACTAGTATTTAAATAACAATTCCTTGAGAGTAACAGCGTAAGATGGCAGAGTAAAACTCTCTAGCTATTGTCCCCCTGCATAAACATCAATTTGAATAACTATCTAGACATGAAAATATCTTCACAATAACTTAGGAAACCAGATAAGAGATCAGAATATCTGATTGTAGCACAAAAATAAGAAAAGATGCATTGAAGAAGGTATGCAGGATAGTTTTACATTATTTGCATCACCCATCCCTCAACCTCAGGCAGCCCAGCTTGGGGAAAGA
Organism: Homo sapiens; assembly: GCF_000001405.40. Lineage (NCBI taxonomy): Eukaryota > Metazoa > Chordata > Mammalia > Primates > Hominidae > Homo > Homo sapiens. The sequence continues at coordinate 82,651,932 of NC_000009.12, read as the reverse complement.
CACTGTCTGCTTGACAGATAGAGAGGAAAGTGAGCACAGGAGTTTGTCTTGAACCTCAATGCTGGGCCCACGACAGTAAAATCCAGCATCAGGTAGGTTCCTGTGGCCCCATATTTCAGGTTGGTACCCATGAACTGAGTCTCTAGACCTACTTCAGTGTCAAATAGAATCACATAGCCCCAGGTGTCAGGCTAGACCTACTTCAGTGACAAAGAGAATCACATAGCCCCAGGTGTAGCAAAGTTGATCTCCACATCAATGCTGGGCTGACATCAGCAGCCCCAAGATCCAGACAGCCCTCCACAGCAGGCTGGCCTTAGCAGCCCCTGGTTTCTGGCCCAAACCAGTGTTATGCCAACTGTGGCTGTCCCAGGCTTCTGGCCTACCTGAATACTGCTGATGCCATAGGGGACCTCAGGCTTTTGGCAGTGCCACAGCGGATGCAGCTGCCCCAGGATCCTGACCCATACCAGCATGGCACTTGTTGCAGGACTTTCCCAAACAAAGCAGCCTGTGAATACTGGAAAAAGTACCTACTTCTTCAGATGTGCAGACAGTGATGCAGGACCATATGCATCAAGAACCATTAGTAGACTACAACCTCACCCAATGAACAAAATAAAATACCAGTAACTGATTGTAAAGAAGTGGAGATATATAAAATGCCTGACAAATAATTCAAAATAACTGTTTTAAGGAAGCTCAGTGAACTTCATGAAAATGCAGAGAAACGATTCAATAGAATGAGGTAAACATTAAGTGATCAGAATGAAAAATTTAATACAGTGATTGAAATAATTTTAAAAAAACAAATAGAAATCTTGGAGGCCAAACAAAAACAAAATGAAAAATACAATAGAAGAATCAACAGTGCAATTAAGCAGAAAAAGAATCTGTGAACTTGAGGACAAGTTATTCGAAAATACACAGTCAGAGAAGAAAAAAGAATGAAAAGGAATGAAGAACACATACATGATTTATGGAGCAGTTTCAAAAGAACAAATTTATGTCATAGAGCTCATGAAGGGGAAGAGAAAGATAAATGGGTAGAAACCTTATTTTAAAAAATAGTAACAGAAAACTCTCCAAACCTGGAGTGAGATGTAAATATGTAGGTATAAGAAGGCAAAAGGATTCCAATCAGATTTCATCTAAATAAGACTACCCCACAACATATTATAATTGAACTTTCAAATATCATACACAAAGAGAAGGTTCTGAAAGCAGAAAGAGAGAGGAAGCAAAAAATATATAAGGGAGTTCCAACAGAGCTAGCAGAAAACTACTCAGGATAAAGCTTACAGACTGGGAGACAATGGAATGATATATTCAAAGTGCCAAAGGAAAAAAAAATGCCAACCAAGAATATTGTACCCAACAAAGCTATTCTTCAGAAACGAAGGAGAATACTTTCTTTTACAAACAAAATCTGGGAGATTTCATCACCATCAGACCGGTCTTACAAAATATGCTAAAGCGAGTTTTTTAAACTGAAAGAAAAAAATGCTAATGATTAATATAAAAACATCTGTAAGTATAAAACTCACTGAGAAATGTAAGTACATAGTCAAAATCAGAATATTCTAATGTTATAATGATGACATGTAAATTACTTATGTCTTTAATGTGAGGTTAAAAGACAAAACTATTGAAAATAATAATAGCTACAATAATTTAAAAAACATACTATATAAAAATGTAAATGTGGCAGCAACATACATCTTACATATTTTAGAAAAATTAACCTAATCACAGACTTAATTGTGAAATGTAAAGGTATAAAACTCTGAAAAGAAAACATAGGTAAAAATCTGTGTGACCTTGGGTATGCTGATGATTTTTTTGATACAACACCAAAAACATTATACATTTTTGTTAAAAAAGTGATAAATTGGGCTTCACTAAAACAACATTTTTGTTCTGCAAAAGACTCAGTTAAAAATGACAGATAAGCTACAGAATAGGATAAAATATTTGCAAATAACATATTCCATAAGGAAATTATACCCAGAATATGTAAAGAACACTTAAAATGCAACAAACAACCCAAGAGACCAACCGACAAAAGAATTAAACAGTCTACCAGAACAAATATGTAAATGGCAAGTAAACATATGAAAAAATACTCACACCATTAATACTTAGGAAAATACAAATTAAAATTATAATAAAATACAACTATACACTCTTATAATAGCTAAAATTAAAACAAACAAAAACCTGACAGTATCAAGTGCTAGAGACAATAAGGAACAACAGAAACTCTCATTCAATGTTGATGGAAATGCAAAATGGTATAGCCATTTTGGGAAAGTTTGGCAATTTATTATAAACACAAACTTACTATATGATCCAGCAGTTCCATTCCCAAATATTACCCAATTGAATTATAATTTTATGTTCACACAGAAACCTATATGTGAATGTTTATAGTAGATTTATTTATAATTGGCAAAACCTAGAAACAACTCATATGTCCTTCAGTGGGTGAATGAGTAATCAGACTGTGGTACATCCCTACCATGGAGTATTACTCAGCAATAAAAAGAAACAAACTACTGATTCTCTAAACAATATGGATGAATTAAAAGTGCATTTTACTACCCAGACCCATAGGCTTATGTAATGTATAATTCAATTTATAAAACATTGTGGAAAAGGCAAAACTGTAGGAATAGAAAACAGATAAGTAGTTTCTGGGAGTTGGGAATGGGGGAGGGATGAACAACAAATGGGTCAGACAAGGCAATTTGCAGGGCAATGTAGCAATATAACTCTTCTGTAGGGGACAGTGGTGGTGTATATACGGCTTCACCAAAACCTATAGTGCTCTGCACTGACTGTGTTACAAATGTATGCCATAAGCTCAATGAAGGGGTTGGGGAGGAGAGAAACTAAATAATTTTTTAAAACATTAAGCCTAGATATGAATTAGCATCCTAAAACTACTGTATTTGTATACTAGGTTGAACAAATAAGTAAATATATAGTGGATCATGAGATCCCAGTCACTTTCACTGTCAGAAAAAGAAGTTACAAATAATCAAGTTGGAAATGCTAGGATGAATCCTATGATGCTAGATTAGAAGCTGAGATATCAGTATGAACTCATGTTTACATACATATACATACACACAGATAGGTACAGAAATAAATGTAGTTATGTGTGTACAAATGGATTAGTATGCATACATTATTTTCTAGTTCTGTCTACTGTAATGGATAGGGTATCACTGGAAGCAGTGATACCCTATTCATATAAAGTATACCTGATGCTCAGATGCTGGTTTCTAAATACCATTCTTCAGTAAAATAAAGCAAAGCAACGTTGGAGAGATAGTTGATTCTAGGGCTTGGACAGAAAAAAATACAAGAGTCTGGAATATTTTGTAATTCCAGTAAAGAAGTCCTAAAAACAGATGGGCATGTCAAAAGGACCTAAGAGTCAATCTGAAAGAGCTGCCAATGGCTAAAGTTTGAAATTTAAGCCAGAAAATAAATAACAATAGTATTGAATTATAACCCAAATAATAAAATAAATATTCATGAACCCACACTGATATAAATAGTTCCTCCCTCTCTCTCTACACACACAGACACACAGACACACACACACACACCCCACAACTAAATTAGAGGAAAAGGACATTTTAAAAAATAGAATACTTCTAATGTATAAATGTAGAGGAAATAAGATAAATGGAAAATCACCATTAGAATACCACAGTAATAATAAATGCAGGCAAGATCCACTGATTAATTCTAAATTAGTGGGATAATGTTTAAGGCAATATTTGTACCTTAACATATCTTCCCCCAGACTAAGTTCATTATTGTGGTAGTTTTAGCATCCATCTGCAAATTTTTTGCTACTTACAGCTACAGGAGTTGGAGCTTAATGCTTCTATGCTTGAGTACAGCTACACTTAGTGACTCACTCCTAATGAACAAACAGCATGGGAAGAGGAAAATGATAATTTACAGTGGGAAACCTGGCAGATTCTCCCTTATCTAAGTGAACAAGGTTGACTTCATCACTCACGTTGGTATCATATGCCCCTGATACGATATTACACAGGATACCTCTGTGATATTCTTCCCTCAAATTTATAACTTTAGTACAATCATAATAAAGCATCAGATAAAAACTGACCACTACTTGCTAAAAGTTTTGAAGTTATGAAAGATAAGGAAGACTAAGAAACCCTCATCAACTGGAGGAAAATGAGGAGACAAGTTGACTAAATACAATGTGATATCCAGGCCTGGATCCTGAAACAGAAAAAGGATGCCAAGAGAAAAAGTGGAGAAATCTAAATAAAGTCTCTCATTTAGTTAATATTATTGTACCAATGTTAGTTTCTTAATTTTGACAAATACAACATGGTTATATAAAATGTTAACATCAGAAGAAGCTGAGCGAAGGGTATATGGAAGCTCTCATTTCTATTTTTGCAACTCTTCTATAAATCTACATAAAAAGAGACAAAAAGGTGAATGGCACAAGAAATAATTTTGTGTCTATTCATTTAAAGCTACAAAGGTAATGATTGGGGTAACTAAAAGTAATTATATAGCTATTTTAAGAAGAGGGGGAGGAAAAGTGGACACATGATGTAAGCGAACCTAAATCTCGCCAGTCAATGGATATCATAAAAAATCCATGTCAATGTTGACAACTCAACAAATAATGTTATAAGTGTATCATTTGGGTAACCACCAGAAAATCTTAAAACAGACTTGATTAAAGGAAGTTTCTTATTGGAGTAGGAATAGAAGTGGCCAGAAATGGGAGTCAGAGATTGTTTTTTCATTACCATTTCATTAGCAATATCTGATTTTAGGACCATATGCATGTTATTTTGATTTAAAAAAACTACAAAATAGTGTCATTCCACAAAGAGCCTCTGTGGGCAATTAGTTTGGAATGTACTTATTATTTTTCCTCCATTTTGGAGAGTCACAATATATATTGTCATATTAAAAACTCAGAGAAATTGTAAAATAAAAACATAACAAAATGTAAACAAACTTTCTGTAAATCAGTATTTTCCAAACTTATTTGTCCACAGAAACAGGTATTAGCCTTATGAGAATCTTTCACAAAATAGAATGCAATTTGAGAAATGCTGTGCTCTGAACCCTTGAAGAGTAAAAGAAAACCACAACTGAGAAATTGATGTAAGGCTCTCCAACTGGTGTCACAGATGAACTCCTACTACTCTCCCTTTAATTGCTAAACTCATCACGGTAGTTCCTGTCTGTCTCCTGTATCTGTCCCAAATACTAGAAGAGTCTGGCACAATTTTGCCTTCTTACATGCAGTGTCCTCATTGCTACTTAATCGTTTTGCAGGTTTGTGCAAACCTCATTCTGGTTCTTGAAATATGTAAAAGACCCTCGAAGCATAATTCTGTGCTATTCCCCACATTGAGAGAGTGAGATGGAGCTCAGTTGGATGTCACCTCCCCTGTTTGGGACAAAGATCACACTCTGCCTTGAAACCCAGTAATCAAAAAGGTAGGATTCTGTCCTCTGGGTCCTTCAAAGCTTCTAGTGCTATGGGGAAAAAAGAGGCCCTCTTCCTTACCTGGATTTTGGTCCTATGGGGATGATTTCTTGGAGGCTGACAAAATCTATGACTGCAGCTGATGTAATTTACATGGTCCTGAATCAAGGCAGGTGGATTATGCATTCTCTTTGTTTTCACTCTGGATTTATGGGAAGGAAGGGTTATTTTTCCTCTTGTCCAAATATCTTAAATCATTCAAAGGCAGCATTAGACTTTTAACAGAAAAATGCAAATGTAACTAGGACACTTACAATGACCTAAATGCATGCTGATTACCTTTCTGTTATTTTCTGCCCTTAAATAAAGAAAATAAAATAAATGTCAGCAGTACAAAAAATGAAAGTAGGTCAGTCTACAGAACCATTAGATCAAAAGCAGTTAGAAGCCAAACACACCTTTCCCAAGTGGGAAGCAAGAAATCAACATGTAAACGAAAAGCATTTGAAGAGTTGTAGCAGTTTTTCTATTAGCCCTGGCAATTAGCAGGAGGGCATTAAATTATTCTGGTGACTGCATCTTGTAGCTGGAACAAAGTGGAAAGGCTGGTAATGTTACTGAAGGAGATGAGTCACTCCAAAACAGAGCTTCTAGTGAGTGGGACTCACATTTCTCAGAAAGTGAGAGGAAGAATAGACAACAAAGGATGTTTCCTGCTAGGATCATGCGGAAGGAAGACCTGACTTTTCACTCTGTGTGTACATGTGTGTATGTGTAGGTGTAAAGGTCTTTTGATTCCTTTCAAATGACCATACTTGAAGGTCTAATACTAACACCATCATGTGACAATATCAAATTCCAACAGCATGGCCAAATATGGTGGTCTTCATCGAAGACTTGTGCTCGTCCCTGTTAATGACTATTACACTGCTTCTTTTCCAAAGATTCCTTTTAATGTCCTATTATGTGGGATCAAGTTAATACACTCATCCTTGTACTACAGAGTTTAACAGAGTCAACACTGAACACATGCATGAAGTAAGAGAAGCAGCTAAATAAATGTGGAACACATCTGTTAATGAAAAACTGCTCACAAAATGTTTTTAGAACAAGATAAGATTTCTAGTGATGAAATCTTCCTCTGAGAGAAGAAATGGGAAGTTACCTGAGGCAAAGCAGTGTGGTAGTAGAGAAGGCTCTAAGAATTGATGGAAGATTTTGGAGAATAAACACTGAATGATTTGGTCCACTATATGTAATAATTCATTAAAGAATTTGAAACCAGTTTTAGTCCCAGCACAGACAGTCCACATAATATATTCATTCTCCAATATTGTCCAAATTATCATGACTTTACAGAGGTTGATCTTGAGTTTTCACCTAAAATATATGAAGAAGGCATAAAAGACTTTGAACTCTGGAGAAAAATATATCTCAAATTCCCTTATGCCTAATCTGTAGGAAAAACAAAGTCCTAACTTTATTACCCATTTGGAAAAATAAAGTCCTAACTGTATTACCCATATTACCTTTGGAATATATCATTTTCCATATTATTCAAGAAAAATACAGGAAACATAAAATACTCCACCATTTAATACATTCTACAGCATGAGGGCTGGATATTACTTCTTTTCTTCTTTGCTCAGCCCTGAGAAAAGGGACTTTCCAGTGGCAAAAAAAGAGAAACTTATCTTTTTCTAGCAGACGACAGAAGCTATGGAAAAGGTAAGTTGAGTTTCTGGCAAATACATCATCTTTATTTTCAAAATAATTATATTGCTCTTTTAAATGTAAAAGTGGAAATAGATGTTTTCATGTTGACTAGTAATCTTTAGACTCTCTAGATTGTATCTTGAATTTACATAAAAACTCATAGGCAAGTTTATATGGAAAGGCAAAAAACTCAGAACGGCCAACAAAATATTAAAGAAGAAGAAAGCTGGAGAACTGACACTATCCAACTTCAAGATGTGCTATAAAGCTACAGTAATCAAAACAGTGTGGTACTGGCAAAAGAATGAATAAATACCTCAATGGAATAGGGTCCAAAAATGGACCATACAAATATTGCAAGTTGATCTTTGACAAAGGAGCAAGTGCAATCCAATGGAGAAATGATAGTCTTTTTAACAAATGTTCCGAAACAACTGGATGCCCAAAGTCAAACAATAATAATAATAATAATAATAATAATAATAATAATAATAATAAACTACAGGCAGACCTTACATCTTTCACAAAAATTTCTCAAATTGGATCACAGGTCTAGGTGTAAAACATAAAACTATGAAACTTCTAGAAGACAGCATAGGAAAAACTCTAGGTAACCTTGGCAATGACAATTTTTTTTTATTTGTACAAATGTATGAGATATATGAGAAATTTCATTACATGTATATAAGGCATAGGGATCAAGTCAGGGTATTTAGGGTGTCCATCAGCCAAATACAATACCTTTTTGTTAAGCATAGTCATCCTACTCTGCTGTCAAATATTACATTTCTTCCTTCTATCTTGCTGTATGCTTGTACCCTTTAACCTACGTCTCTTTATCTCTCCTCTCCCCTCAACTCACCCTTCCCAGTCTTTGTTATCTATCTTTTTACGCTCTTCCTCTATGTGGTCAAATTTTTTTAGCTCTCACATGTAAGTGAACGTGTGATGTTTGTCTTTTTGTGCCTAGTTTACTTCACTTAAGATAATGACTTCCAGTTTCATCCATGTTGCTTCAAATGGCATGATTTCATTCTTTTTATGACTAAATAGTATTCCATTGTATATATATGCCACATTTTCTTTATCCATTCATCTATTGATGAAAAATTTGGTTGGTTGATTGCATATGTATTCCATTCACTATCGTGAATAGTTCTGCAATAAACATAAGAGTGCTGATATCCCTTTGATATATTGATTTATTTTCCTTTGGGTAGATACACAGTAGTGGGATTGCTGAATCAAGTGGGTGATTCTATTTTTAGTTTTTTGATAAATATCTATACTGTTTTCCATAGAGGCTGTACTAGTTTACATTCTTACTAACAGTGTATAAGAGTTCCCTTTACTCCACATCCTTGCAAACATCCGTTATTTTTTGTCTTTTTAATGGTAGCCATTCTGACTAGGGTAAGATGGCATTTAGCTATAGTTTTGATTTACATTTCTCTAATGATTAGTTGTGTTGTGCATTTTTTCATATACCTGTTGGCAATTTGTCTTCCTTTGAGAAATGTCTATTAGTCCAGTTTTTAATGGGATTATTTATTTTATTCATTTTCACTTGTTTGAATTCCTTCTACATTCTGGATATTAGTTTCGTATCATATGATTAGTTTGCTAATATTTTCTCTCTTTCAACAGGTTGTCTCTTCACTCTGAAAATTATTCCCTTTGCTGCTACACAGAAGCTTTTTAGTTTAATATATTTTCATTTGTCCATTTTTTTGTTTTGTTGTCTGTGCTTTTGAGGTTTTTGTCACAAATTTTTTGCCTAGACCCATATCCAGAAGAGTTTTCTCTAGCATTTTTTTTTAGTATTGTTATAGTTTTGGGTATTTATGTTTAAGTCTTTAATCCACTTTGAGTTTATTTTTGTATATAGTGGAGAGATGTAGGGTTCAGTTTTATTTTCTGCATAGCCACTTTTCCCAGGATCATTTATTGAAGAGGGTGTCTTTTCCCCACCCAGTGCAAGTTACTGTCAGTTTGTTGAAGATCAGTTGGCTGAAAATATGTAGCTTTATTGATGAATTCTAAATTGTTCCATTGGTCTATTTTTATACCAATATTATGCTGTTTTAATTACTATACCTTTACAATATATTTTGAAGTTAGGTAGTGTGATGCCTCCAGCCTCCAGCTTTATGCCTTTTGCTCAGTATTGCTTTGGCTATTTGGACTCCTATTTGGCTACAAATGAATTTTAGGGTTTTTCTTTTTTTTTTTCTTTTTTTAAAATTTTGAGACAGGGTCTCATTTTGTCACCCAGGCTGGGGTGCAATGGCATAATCACAGCTCACTGTAACCTCAAACTCCTGGGCTCAAATGGTCTTCCTGCCTCAGTTTCCTGAGTCTCTGGGACTACAGGTGCTCACCACCACACCTAGCTAATTAAAAAAAAACTTTTGGTACAGATGGGGTCTCACTGTGTTCACGAGGCTGGCCTCAAACTCCTGGCCTGACTTCAAGTGATCATCTTGCCTGGGCCTTCCAAAGTGCTGAGATTATAGGCTTGAGACATCATGCCAGGCCAGGGATTTTTGTATTCATTTATTTATTTACTGGTAATTCTGTGAAGAATGGCATGGGTATTTTGATGTGAATTGTACTGAATCTAGACATTGATTTGCACATATAGTCATTTTAATTATATTAATTCTTTTGATCTGTGAATATGGGCCATTTTTCCACTTATTTGTGTCATCTTTAATTTTCCATCAGCATTTTATAGCTTTCCATGCAGAGAGCTTTCACCTCCTTGGTTAAATTTATTCCTCTAGACACTTTATTTATTTATTTTTATAGCAATAGCTACAAAATTAATAGCTACAAAATCAAGAAGGCAATTCCATACATTTCTTTCTCAGTTAGATCATTATTGGTTTGTGGAAATGCCACTGATTTTTGTACATTGATTTTGTATCTTGTAACTTTACCAAATTCATTTATCAAAGCTAAGAGTTTTTTGGTAGAGTCTTTTAAGTTTTTCTAAATATAAGATCATATTATGAGCACAGAGAAAAAATTTGGCTTCCTCTTTTCCAATTTGGATGGCTTTTATTTTTATCTCTTGCCTGATTGCTCTAGCTCAGACTTCCAGTACCATGTTGAATGACAGTGGTAAAAAGAGGGCATCCTTGTCTTGCTCCAGATCTTAGAGAAAAGGCTGTCAGCTTTTCCCCAGACCATATGATGTTAACTGTGTGTTTTCTTGTAAATCACCTACATTATTTTCAGATATGTTCTTTCTATGCCATTTTATTGCAATTTTTTTTATCATAAAGGAATGTTGAATTTTATCAAATGCTTTTTCTGTGTCTATTGAGATGATTGTATGGTGTTTGTCCTTCATTCTGTTGATGTGATGTACTGCATTTATTGATTTGCATATGTTGAAACATCCTTGCATCCTTGGTATAAATCCCACTTGACTGTGGTGTATTATCTTTTTCATGTGCAGTTGTATTAGACTTGTTGCTATTTTGTTGGAGAGTTTTACATTATGTTCATCAAGGATATTGGTCTGTAGTTTTGTTGTTGTTGCTGCTGTTGCATCCTTATCTGGTTTTGGTATCAGGGTGATGCTGGCTTCATAGAATTAGTTAAGGAGAATTTAATCCTTTTTAAGTTTTTTGGATAGTTCAGGAGGATTGGTATTAGTTCTTCTTTGTACATTTCAAAGAATTTAGTTTTGAATCCATCTGGTCCTGGGCATTTCTTTATTGGGGGGCTTTTTGTTACTAGTACTCTTTATTGGTCTGTTCAGATGTTTTATTTCTTCCTGATCCAATCCTGGCAGGTTGTATTTTTTCAGGAATGTATCCATTTCCTCTAGGTTTTCAAGTTTTTCAGCATATAGTTGTTCATAAAAATCTCTGATGATCTTTTATATTTCTGTGGTATCAGTTGTAATGTCTTCTTTTTCATTAATGGTTTTCTTTATTTGGGTCTCCTCTCCTCTTGGTTAGTCTAGCTAGCAAGTTATTAATTTTCTTCATCTTGTTGAAGAATGAGATTTTAATTTTGTATCTTTTGTATCTTTGTTTAGTCTCAATTTCATTTAGTTTGGCTTTTATCTTTATTATCTCTTTGATTCTGTAAATTTTGGGTTTGTTGTTTTCTTGTGTTTCTAGTTCCTTGCAGTGCATTATTAGATTGTTCATTTGTTTACTTTTTCTACTTATTGTATGTAGGCATTTATTGCTATAAACTTCCCTCTTAGCACTGCTTTTGCTGTATTTCACAGGTTTTGGTATGTTGTGTTTTGGTATGTTGTTTCAAGGAATTTTTTTATTTCCATCTTAATTTTCTTCATTGACTCCATGGTCATTCAGAAACATGTCATTTCCATTTATTTGTATAGTTTCCAAAGTTTCAGTTGGTATTGATTTCTAGTTTTATTCCATTGTGGTCTGAGAAGATGCTTATATGATTTCAGTTTTTAAAAAATTGTTAAAATTTCTTTTGTGGCCTAATATATGGTCAATCCTGGATATAATTCCATCTGCTGATTAAAAAAATCTATATTCTGCAGTTTCTCTGTAGAATATTCTGTAAACATCTGTCAAGTCCATTTGGTCTAAATTTCAGTATAAATCCAATATTTCTTTTTTGATTTTCTGTCTAGATTATCTGCTTAATGCTGAGAGTAGAGTGTTGAAGTCTTCCACTGTTATTGTTTGCAATTTATCTCTTTCTCCTTAGATTTAGAAATATTTTATTTATGAATGTGGGTGCTCTAGTGTTCAATGCATATATGTTTCAAATTGTTATATCTTCTTGCTGGATTGATGCCTTTATTATTACATAATGACCTTCTTTGTCTTTTTTACTGTCCTTGACTTAAAGTCTGTGTTGTGTAGCTACATTTGCTCATTTGGGTTTCCATTTGCATGGAACATCTTTTTCTATCCCTTCACTTTCAGTCTATATGCGTTTTTACTGGTAAGGTGAGTTTCTTGAAAGCAGCATATAGCTTAATCATGGTTTTTTTAAATCTATTAAGTCATTCTATATCTTTTACATGGAGAATTTAAGCCATTTACATTCAAAGTTATTATTGATATATGAGGCTTTGCCATGTCATATTGTTGATTGTTATCTGGTTGTTGGCTATAATCTTTGTTCCTTTATTTTTCTTTTATTGATTGTCTTTGCAGTTTGGTGGATTTCTCTAGTGATACCATTTCAGTTGTTTCTCTTTCTGATTTGTGTTATTGCTTTACCAATGAGTTTTATACTTTCATATATTTTCACAGTGGTAAATGTCATCTTTTCACTTCCAGATTTAGGACTCCCTCTAGCCTTTCTTGCAGGACTGGTCTAGTGGCAACAAATTACCTCAGCATTCACTAGTCTGAGAAAGATTTTATTTCTCCTTCATTTACAAAGGGTAAGTTTTCCAGGGATAGTATGCACGGATGACAGTTATTTTCTTTCAGCACTTTGAATATTTTAACAAGTTCTCTTCTGGCCTGTAATGTTGCTGCTGAAAAATCCATTTTTAGTTTTGGGGTTTCCTTTATAGGTGACTAGATGAAGTTCTCATCCTGTTTTTAGGATTTGCTCTTTATTTTTTTTTGTCTTTTTAAAAAAATATTACTTAATTATTGAATCTCTAAGTCCACTTTATTGCTCTTTATTTTTGACTTGAAACAATCTGATTACAATGTTCTGTGGAGAAGATCTTTTTGCATTGTATCTTCTTGAGCATTACTGAGGCTCATTTATCTGAATGTCTAAATATTTTGCTAGACTTGGAAAGTTTTCTTCTATCATTTCATTAAATTGGTTTTCTAATCATTTTTAGTCTCATTACCCTCAGGGATACCAATAATCTGAATATTTTCTTGCTTTATGTTGTCTCAAGTCTTGCAAAGTCCTTGTCATTCTTTTTCCCTTATTTTAGTCTAACTAGATTATTTCAAAAGACTTGTCTTCACATTCTGAGATTCTTTCTTCTGCCTGCTCTAGATTTTGCTGAAGCTATTGTATGTACTTTGTATTTCCTTTAATGAATTATTCAGCTCCAGAATTTCTATTTGGTTCCTTCTAAAAAATATATATCTCTTTAGTAAAAATCTCATTCATATTTTGAATTATTTTTCTAATTTCTCTGTATTGTTTTCTGAATTCTCTTATATCTTTATGAGCTTCTTTAAAATAAATATTTTAATTCTTTTTCTAGGATTTTGAAAAATTATTTTTGATTAAGATCTATTGCTGGCAATTATTATGTTCTTTTGGGAGGTGTCATATTTCCTTGCTTTTACACATTTCCTGTGTCCTTACATTGATAACTGTGTATCTGATGTAACACTTGTTTTTTCCTATTTTTTAATTTGTTTTCATAGGAGAGGACTCTTTCCTGAAGATATATATATGGTGTCTGTTGTGTAAGGTACTTTGGCTTTGATTCTGGGTATGTGCAGTAGTAGGGTAGTCTCTGTATGATTTCTTTTGCTATAAACAGCATTAGTGGTGACTGTGATTTTCTTAGTGGGTTTTGATGTGGTTATTAGTGGAGGCTGTAGTGAAGTTGTTTCAGGGACTTGGGTGCCAGGTGGATTAGTGTTCAGGCCTCAGTGGTGGCAGCAATGGGCTGAGCATGCCTATCTTTGTGCCCCAAGGCAATGTATGCTGGCACCTGTGTTGGCAGTTATGGGCAAATTGATTCTTGGGCCTTCAGGTGGTTTTCTCAGATGCTGGTAGTGACATCAGTGGACCAGGCAGGTGGGAAGGTTCCTGGGCCCCTGGGCAGTCAATGTGGTATGGGAAACGGCAGTAGCAATAGCAGGATGATTCTCTGTGTCCAAAGCTATGCTCATTAATGTTGGCTGTGGCTGTGATGGGCTGGGTGGGCCACTCTCTAGGCCCATAGGTGGTGATTGCAGGTAGCTGCCAGCTGAGGTGATAGCAGCCAGGAGTTTAGGCTCAGCCTCAGCCCCTTAAAAGGAGTGCTCAGGTGCCCACAGTGGCAGATTGGGTTGAGCAATCCCCGGGATCCTGAGCTTGTGCTCTGTCTCAGGGCACAAAGCTGGGTTGGGTGGGCTTGTGTTCAGGCCTCCCAGTGATGAAAGCAGGCACAAGCCAGGGTGGGCAGTGGCAGTATAATCCTCAGGCCTCAGGCAGAGTGCTCAGGCGAGGAGCAGTAGCAGTCATGCTGAGGCCCTCCCACTGGAGAGAGTGGGGCCATCCTCGGTGGCCACAGCTTGGGCAGCTAGTGGGGAATGCATATCCCTCTTATTCCCTGTCCCAGTGAGGCTCATCTTCCATCCCTGGTGGCAGTAGTCCATGCCTAGCTCAAACCCTCATCCTGGCTGCAGGATTCCCCACCTAGCTCCCAGTTACATTCCAGTGGCAACTCACACTCTGCTTACATTCCTGTCTCAGTCCCAGTGATACTTGCTTCCTGGCACTGACTGCTACAGCCCACATCTCACTTGCTTCTTAGCCCAGGCTGTGGGAGCACTTCCAGCTCTCTCTTCAGTCTCAGTAGCAACTGCCCAGGTTTCTGTAATGCCTTTGTTTCGGCACTACTGGGACCCAGGACAGCATGCAGTCTGCCAAAGGCTAGGTTTGAAAATGGTGACTTGCTGTAGACACTTGGGTCTTAGAAAGGGTGTGGGACCCAGTGCAAGCCCCATCCCTGGAGCACTTCTGTCCCATGGCAGCTTCCTATGTTAGTTTCAGGGGTTAGCAGGATCAAAGTGTTCTCCCATGGCCAGGATTTCAGGATCCAATGGTGAGGATGTAGGCCACTGTCCACAAGTCACTCACTCACCTTTTCCCCATGTTGGGAAGTCACTGCCAGCTGCCAGCTGATCTTGGCCAGGTAGGCTGCCTCTCTTCCTTCTCCTTCCCTGTTTTTGGTGTTTCCTTCACTTCTCTGTTGAACTCTAACATTCTCTTTGGATAATGTATTTGAAGTGTGACTTTCTATGCATTATTTTCGTTCTAAGTGGAGGAGATGGGCATGAAATGCTTCTAGACAGCCATCTTGAAGCCCTTCTGAAAGTTTAGCTATGAGGCCAAAAGTACGATTCATAAGAGAAAAAAAATTGATAAGTGGAACTTCATCAAAATTAAAAACTTCTGCTCTAAAAAAGACTATTGCAGAGAGAATTTTAAAAAGAAGCTACACTAGAGAAGATATTCATAAAATACATATCTAATAAAGGAATTATACCCAAAATACATAAAAACTCTTAAAACTCAACAATTTAAAAAATCCAACTAAAAGTGAAGAAAAGATATGAACAGACATCTCCCTAAAAAGAATATTGAATTGCAAATAAGCACAAGAAAAAATGTTCAACATCATATGTCATTAGGGGATTGCAAATTAAAATGACAATGAGATACTACTACATATGTATTAGAATGGCTAAAATCCAAAACTCTGACGATATCAAATGCTAGTGAGTATGTTGAGCACAAGAGCTTTTATTTATTGCTGGTGGGAATGCAACAGGATACAGTAACTTTGGAAGAAAGCCTGGTAGTTTCTTACAAAGGTAACCATGCACTTACTATAAAATCCAGCAATCATGCTTCTTGGTATTTACCCAAATTATTTGAAAACTTATGTCCACACATGAACCTGCATACAAATGTTTAGAGCAGCTTTATTCATAATTGCCAAAACACGAATGCAACCAACATATTCTTCAGTAGGTGAATACATAAACAAACTGTGATATAGCCAGACAATGGAATATTATTCAGTGCTCAGAAGAAATGAGCTATCAAATCACAAAAAATCATGCAGGAAACCGGAGTGTATTTTGTTCCCTGAATAACAGCCAATGAGAAAAGGCTACATTTCTGGAAAAGGTGTGACATTCTGGAAAAGGTAAAAGTATGGAGACAATAAAAAGATCAGTGGTGGACTATGGGCTTTAATTAAAATATTAGGCTGTTCTTGCATTGCTATAAAGAGATACCTGAGGCCAAGTAATTAATTTTAAAAAAAGGTTTAATTGGCTCATGATTCTGCAGGCTCTACAGAAAGCATAGAAGCGTCTGCTTCTGGGGAGGCTTCAGGGAGCTTTTACTCATTGTGGAAGGTGAAGCTGGAGCAAGAGAGAAAGTGTGTGTGGCACCGCCCCCCCCCCCCGCCGCCACACACACATAGACACTTTTAAATTGCCATATCTTGTGAGAACTCACTATCACGAAGACAGCACCAAACCATGTGGAATTGACTCCCATGATCCAAACACCTCCCACCAAGTCCCACCTCTAATATAGGGGATTATAATTCAACATGAGATTTGGGCAGGGACAAATATTCAAACTATATCAGTTAATAATAATGTATCCATATTGGTTCATTTATTGTAACAAATATATCACACTAATGAAAGACATCAATCATAGAGGAAACTGGGTGGATAAAGAGGGTGTAGAAACTTTCTGTACTTGGCTGAATTTTTCTGTGAACCTAAAACTGCCCTAAAAATAACGTCTATTAATATAAATTAATAATTAGAACAATTTTAAAATTTCATCACTTTTCTAATGAAGAAATCCTGCATGTGGTAAGCTGCTTTCCCTCTATTCCCTATTCTTCCCCCACCTGATGCCATCTGGACTATTATTAATTGCTGGGACACAAGTAGGTGATATCCTCACTCTCTAATATGGGAAGATACTAACCATCCTATGATTACAAATGAAAGAAAGAATACTAGCCAAAGAATGGACTTTATCAACAAGTTCGTAGGACATATGACTGAAGGTTGAGAGTCAAAGTTTGTGAGGACACTCTTCACTCAGAACTACTTCTTTCTTTTGGACTTGGGAGAACACCTCCTCATCTTCTCCTCAGTACAGCAGGGAGAAAGCTTCTTTCCTTGGCTTCTTTTGCCCTAGTTTTTGAACATAACAGAGTAATGGTATAGTTGTCCGGTGGCTCTGGTATAGTGGCTAGCATTCTTATATTTTGCCCATAGCAAAAACAAAAAAACAAACAAAAAAGAAAACACCACATCAAACCATTTGCAATTTTTAAACCAGGGTATAAATAAGAAACACAACTGGAAAGTTAGGTAGAGGGTTCCACTGAGCATTTCATTCCGGTTGTCAACCTTTTTCCTTGAAGAGATCTTATATGTGGTGTATCCATAAACCCAAGGGTTCTATGCTCCCTAACTTCCACAGCCTTGGAGAAATTCTCCACACCCTCAGGCTTAAGTCAACTCCTCCCTTCATCTCCTTCTATCTGGCCATGGAAAAAGCTGGTAGGGCTTAAGCAGTGGGAGCTAGAAGTCATATGGTTCAAGTCTTGTGCCACAACTTTAAGTCAAAGATATTAAGTCAATCTTATAGGCATCTTGACATCTTACGCATCTTGATTCTAACCAGCCTAAATAATACAACATAGGGAAAATCAGAGTGGTGCATTAATAGATTAGCTTTTTAGTTTGTTTTTCCTGAGAAATTTGTATAGCCCTTTGTAATAGGCATTGTTAAGAAGGAATAGAAAAGTAAAACTGGGCTGTAGATTTTCAAATGATATATTACACATGTGGACACACATAAATCCTGATTAATATTTTTACTGGCCCCTAAAGAGCCTGAGTTGTAGCCAATATGCTCAGAACGCTCATGTAAAGAATGACTGCCCTATGCCCCATACCTCAGGTTACATACCCCATTCAAGATTAAATTTGGCAAGGAGTTTAAGAATTTCCACTTGGAACTTACCACCAATGGCAAAAAGTTGTGTCTATGTTTCTATCTTGCCATGCAAATGTAAACGCTTGGTGTCCCAACTTGTTTTTTTGTAGTTTATCATGATTTATTTTTTCTTTCTTAATACATATTCATTATTGTACCTAATTTTTTTTTTCTTTTTCAACTTTGTTTTAGGTTCAAGGAATATTTGTGCAGAATTGTTACATGGATAAATTGCATGTCACTGAGATTTGGTGTACAAACAATTTTATCACCCAGCATAGTACCTGATAGGTAGTTTTTCCACTCTCACCCTTCTCCTATCCTCCACGCTCAAGTAGGCCCCAGTGTCTATTGTTTCCCTCTTTGTGTCCATGTGTACTCAATGTTTAGCTCCCACCAATAAGTGAGAGCTACAGTATTTGGTTCTCTATTCCTGTGTTAATTCACTTAGGATAATGGCCTCCAGCTGCATCCATATTGCTACAAAGGACAGGATTTCATACTTTTTATGGTTGTGTACTGTTCCATGTGTATATGTACCACATTTTCTTTATCCAGTCCACTATTTATAGGCATCTAGATTGATTCTATGTCTTTGCTATTGTAAATAGTGCTGCAATAAACATACAAGTGCATATGTCTTTTAGGTAGAATGATTTATATTCCTCTGGATATATACCTAGTAATGGGACTGTTAGGTCGAATGGTAGTTCTAAGTTCTTTGAGAAATCTCCAAACTGCTTTTTACAGTGGCTGAACTAACTTACATTCTTACCAGCAGTGTATAAGTATTCCCTTTTCTCTACAACCTCATCAACATCTGCTATTTTCTCACTTTTTAATAATACCCATTCTGATCAGTGTGAGATGATATCTCATTGTGGTTTTAATTTTCATTTTCCTGATGATGACTGATGTGGAATATTTTTTCATAAGCTTGTTGGTTGCTTGCAGGTCTTATTTTGAGACGTGTCTGTTCATGTCCTTTGCCCATTTTTAATGGGGTTGTTTGTTTTTTGTTTGTTGATTTGCTTAAGTTCCTTATAGATTCTGGAGATTAGACATTAGTTGGATGCATAGTTTGCAAATATTTTCTTCCATTCTGTACATTTTCTGTTTACTCTGTTGATAGTTTATTTTGCTGTGCAGAAGCTCTTTAGTTTAATTAGGTCCCTGTTGTCTGTTTTTGTTTTTACTGCAATTGTTTCTGGAGACTTCATCATGAAATCTGCCAAGGCAAAGATTATAAATGTGGACACGCATGTATCCGGATTAATATTTACTGGCCTCTAAAGAGCTTCAGTTGTAACCAATATGTCCAGAATGGTATTTCCTCCAATTTCTTATGATGACAGACACATACATGAGGACACTGGGTCAACTTCTTGGGGAAGGGAGCAATTAACAGCATCTCCAAAACCAATCAGCCAAGGAAGAAAATGAAACCAGTCCTATTCTTGCTCTATGGAGACCAGTGGAACTGAGAACTCTGGGAATCAATGAATGTATTTGACCATCGGGGCTATGGACTCTAGGTTTTCACCAATAAGTTTGAAATACGAATATGTGCACTTACATTCCATGTTTAGTTTTACTTGCTAAACTTCTGATAGTCTTCATCACTGCTGCTACTTACTTTTTTTTTTAATTAGGTATCTCATTCGGTTACATTTTCCCTTGTAACCGGTCAAGAAACTTGTTTCCCTAGCACAATTTTACAAGCAAAATCTCTCTCTAAAGTGTTCTCATAAGCTTAAATTTGGCAAAAATACAAAGCTAGGCTTACTTTTGGAATTTCAGAATGCTGAAAAATGGAAACCCTCTCCCATGCACTGGGCTTAGGTACGTGGTGCCACATCCATACACGAATCAAAGTGATACCCAGTGAGAGTATTTCTGGGCTTAATTTGATGTATTATTTAAAAGGATGTATGGACAAAAAGATACTGCATATGAGCTATGACAGGAAAAAGTTATTCTAAAATGTTAATCACAGTAATGACACTTTGAAAGCAGTTTTTAGAATGTCAAATATGTGAGCATCATTTTTATTTCTGTCAGCATGAAACAAACTTGAAATAATGAGCTTGGCCAAATTATCTAAGTGCTTCCTAGTAAGCAGAACAGGAACATAAGTAAGGAGGTTGATCATGGTATTGTCACCTGGCAAAATTCCTATTTCCAGTGGAAATCAATTTCTTGTCTTTCATTATATTTCCATTAAGTCCTCCAAAAGAACAGATGGTTTACTATCTGTTTACTATCTTTCATGACTTTCAAGTTTACTAGAAAGCACCCTCTCTCTAAACTTGTCATTGTTTTACACGTTATGGGACTCCCTTAGCCAATAGGAGGGAGGAATCAGGGGCCATAATAAATAATAAAAAATTTAGAAAAATTGGATTTTCTTCACATTGCTTTGAATTATTTTTCTTATTCTAGAGTCTTTCTGTCCTGTTTACAAATGTTCTTACCCAAGACCATTAACAGGGACTTTCTTAAATAGCATTGAGAAAATTTGTCTTGTCCATCTCAGTTGGCTGCTTTAAATTGATCATGGTTTGCTTACAAAAAAATTAATTTTGAATCTAAATTTGATAGAATCTATGACTTTTTCCTAATGTTTGCAAAGATGCATGAAACTCTTCTTTACTCTTGGCTTTGAAGTTTAATGAAGGAGGAACCATGTAGGCCCTATTGAGGCCCAGAAAAATAACAGAATACTGTGAGAAAATGATATTCCTAGACTTCCCGGGGGAGGGGGCTAATGGAGGAAAGAAGAGGAAGGAAAGTCAAAATCTTGCTGATCCAGTACTCCCAGTCCTATGACAGAAGTTTTGTCTTAGACAACAAATCCTGTGAGCGTATCTGAAGTCACTGAGACTTACACATTTTCTGATTGTCTTTGTTTGATTAAACAATCCTCAAAGACATAATAAATAATTTATGATAAGTTAATGTCCACATAGAATAAAAGCACATTTTAAAAGGATGGTTTTATATCAAATCCCCAAGTGAATGCTAAGCTTATTCCTTTTTGTGAGCTATTTTATTACCATTGTCCTAGTTTTTAAAATTTCAACTTCAAAAAGAATCATGAATAAGAAGTAAATATTGAATAGCTCTTCCACAGGCTACAAATCAAGTTTCATATATTCTCCCACTGAATCTCCACAACAGTGTTGTTAGGTTGGTTATCAGTATTATACGTGGTACTGTAAGAATTAAAGAAAAAGGAGAGAAACACAAAATGTGGCTCAACAGTCAACAGGTTTATTTCAAACCTGGGAGGGACTTCTGACCGAGTTAGGTCAGAAGGTGCACTCTCTTACAGACTAAGAGTTTTTAAGAATTCAGGGTGGGAGAGCTTATCAGAGACTTGGACTGCTTCTGTGTCTCTTTGTTGTCCTTATCTGGGAGGGAGAGTTGTGGGTCTGTTCCCATACATCTTTCTGCAGTTGCAGGCATACCTGAGTCTGCTTTTAGCTTCCCTATCTTCGTGCACCTGAAGGGAAAGGAATGTGCTTATTAAGGCCCACTGTTTTACTGGGGCCTATTGTATGAGGGTGAAGTTTGGCAGTTACCCAAGAGACTTTCCCCCTACCCACTCTGTGCCCCAGCTGTCTTATCTGTGTTTTAGTGTCTGCTCTTTCTGGCTTCTTGTAGTTAGAAGAGAAGTGATTTCCTTGAAATGCATGAGGCTAGAAAGGGAGCTGGAACTTAAAGTGGCGGTGTTTGTCTGAAATGATGGTGCTCCTGCTCTGTCATGTATTATCTCCACAGATGAGAAAATGGAATTTGTTTTCTTATGTGACTCCACCAAATGTATACACATGCTATAAGCAGCACTATCAGATCTTAATTCCAACATCTGATAATCCATTGATGCTCCTTTTTTATTATATAAAATCTTAGTTTTAAGAGATCTTTCCTAGGCTAGTGGGATGAACACATGCATGTGCTAGGGAAGCTCTACACAGTCCTTAAAGGCCAAACCTAGAGCCACAGAAACTTTCTACCATATGGTAATTCTAATGCTCACTTATTCCTACACCACAGTGGGTACTGGGGGGAAGGTTTATAAAATGCATTGAGACTCTGTAGCTCTCAAATCTTGAAAACAGAAAGGACATTCTCTATTTTGTTGCATTCTCTTGATATGATTTTCTTGATATGATATGGTTGAGTCCTCCCCATTACCCGCCCATTCACTCTTAGATACAGATATTCTGGAAGGGAGTACGACCTAAATGCAAGAAGAGTACCATTAAAAACATATGTTTTGTTATCTTCTCTTCGTATACCTCAATAACTTCAAGTATTTATTTGTGAAGTTTGTGTTGTTTCTCCTCTTTCTTCTTCTTCTATCTCATTAGAAAGAAAGGGCAGGAAATATGCCCAGCAGGAACATTCAGGTATGTAGGGCCTCCTCCAAGTGTGCTGAAGTATAAAAGCTGGTGTTTTAGGCATGAACTTCTGAATGCATTATCTTTGATTTCCAGTATTTCTTTCCTCCAAACTTCAAACCTCTTCTTGCAGAATTAAAAGCACTACTTTTCCTTGTCCTTGTATTTTTAGGTAATCAAGAGTTTATATAAATATGAAGCAGTGCCAACATTTCATGGGAACCTGCACTGTACAAAGTACTTGTGAGATATGTAATGTAACGCAAGGTTAGGCCACGTTAACAACTTTGAGGAGACACAACTCCCTATCATCACCTTCATCTCTACTTTTCCCTTTATCCTGCAGACTGGCTAGAAGATGTAATCTTACAACCAATAGGGTTGTGCAAAAATATGTCTAATCATTTTGATCCAATTAAAATGTATTTCATCATTATTTAAATGGTAATAGTGTTACTTACCTGTGGAATTTTTGAAGTGAAAGTGACAAAACATATAAAAGGAGCAAATAGTGTCCTGAAACAGAGTAAACACTTGGGAAATATTAGCTATTACAATTGTATATGTTATTGTAGAAAATCCTGACAAAGTTGGAGTGAAGTACAGGGAAGCAGGATCAGTACAGACACTCCCATTGAGAACTTGGACTTGGGGAAGTGTAAGGCGTCTCCTCCTGAGTACACTAGCAGCTACTAAAGACTTTGTGATCAAAGGTAATTGGGGATCTTGCTTATAGGCGTCACTGGTGGTTTCTAACAAACTACTTGATCTAATACAGAGACTTAACTCAGTGGCTGCTTCCTGAATCCTTAACAGGTTCTTTGAAGTACAACATTTCAGAGAAATTGAGGATTGACTGAAGTGCTTGGCAACATGCATCAGCTCAAACGCCTAATGCTTGCATATTTCACATCTTGTAAATCAATGTAGCTGGGAGAGTAAATGGAAAGAATTACAGTAATGATGAACCTAAAGAATGAACTTCAACTCAATCTCCAGATCCAACAATTGCTTTTGAATACTGCTCAGGCAGAATGGAAGACAGAAAAACAAAAGAAGTGCTCTCTTCTTGGAGCTGGGAAAGGGCATATTACAGTGAACTACAACACGTGTTTTATGGTAAAAATAGAGATAACTAGAATTTCCATGGAAGGAAAAGCGATATTAATTCTAAGAGCAGCCATGGAATAGGTGGCTTTGGAAGCTAGGTCTCAAAAGTTCACCGGGAGGCTGATAAATGAAAAAGGAAAAAAGGAAAAAGAGTACTTGAGGCAGAGCAAACACATGAGTAAGGCACTAACATGGGCAACAGAAGAAATGACTAAGGAGAGATGCAGGTTAAATAAATTCAATGATATTTGAGAGGTTGACCAAAGGGTGATTCCCGGTGACATTTCCCAATTAGAGGGCAGGGGGAAATACAGGGCTTCTTGATAAAGAACAGGGAGCCTACAGGTGGAAAAAGCCCATTTCATTCTGCCTCGTAGTGGTTGCAAGTAATTATCTGTCTACCCAGCCACTGCCCATCGCGGCTTGTTCAGGGAGCTCAATTGGTGTGGTACCTGCAACTATGGAGAAAGAAAGCTATATAATTGATTGACAGTCTTCCAAAAACCTGGGATCTGATCCCTTCATTATTTGTTTTCTCTTCACCACCACCATGACAATATATAGTATTCAGGTGTGGATGAAAGAGTCTGAGTTATTATAAAGAAAATTTGAAGACCCATAGATTCAAATGAATTTTCCTACCAGTGTGACAACTGTGTGTCAACTCTTTCCCTGAAGTCTGCTTTAGACATCCTGGAGTCAGAAGTATCATTTTTGTAATACTGCTATCATGCCTTTCCTTTAAGACATTTAAAGAACTTTTCCAACTTTTAGATTAGTGACTACTTTGCAGGTACAGCACAGCTTATCCACTAGACATAGCAGGCACATTGTTGGGGGCCCCTAATACATTTAGGAGGCCAAAACAATGTTGTTGTTGTTGTTTCTTCTTAAGAGACTTTATTTCTTAGAGCAGTTCACAGCAAAACTGAGAGGAAGGTACAGGGAATTCCCATATACCCTCTACCCCCAAACATGCAGAGCCTCCCTCACTAAAAATATTCCCCACCAGAGTGATACATTTGTTACAAATGATGAACCTACATTAACACATCATTATCCCCCACAGTCCATAGTTTACATTAGGGTTCACTCTTGGTGTCATACATTTTATGAGTTTAAACAAAGGTATAATGATGTGTATCCACATTATACTTACTATACAGAGAAGTTTCTTTTAAAATAAGGAGAAAAGATGAACTTTTATGGTTGGAAAAAAACTTTAATTTTCTTCAAATGAAAATGTAAAGAAAATGAAAATTTTAGAGCCCTTGAAAATCTATTAAATTTTGCTTAAAATTTAAAAAATGTTGAAGTATTTAAAATTATATCAAAGATAATACTTAATATTACTATTCTCAAGGAAAAAAAAGTCCATAAAGGTAAAAGTGCCTGGGGCCCATGAAATTATAATGTGGCCCTCCTGCTTTTTTCACCACAACAAAAGTTCTTATGACTCAATTTTCAATGCCCTTTAGTCACTTATGCCCTATGTGACCTTGGGTGAATTTACTCATCAGTAAACGAATGTTGAATGTCACTGCTGTTATCTCCTCCTGTCTTTGGTCCTTCCTATTTAATTAGCTCAGCCATCTATGGTGACTGCCTTAGGGAAGAAAAAACATGGCAGGAAATAAAAAAATAATAATAATGAATTTTTGTTTTCTTTTCACATTCCAAAATTCTAGGCCCCCAGAATAGAAACATTTCATGTACATTAAAAATAAATAAACAGAATAAATGATAAGTAAAAAACAAATCCTATCCTCAAACTAGATGAAGGATTTTGAAGTCCTACTTTTCTTCCACCGTTAACTCCTAGAAAACACAGATCTGTTCTCTACTATAGTTTTGTTTTTTTCCATGATGTCGTATAAATAGAATCATACAGTTTTGACTTGTAGTGAATGGCCTTTGTCACTCAGTATAATGCCTTCATGGATGTCAATAATCTGTTTATTTTTTATTGATAGATAATATTCTATTTATGAATATACAATAGCTTGTTTATCGAGTCATTCACTAAAGGACACTTATTTCCAACTTCTGGTTATTAAGAATAAAGCTATTGTAAACATCCATTTATAGGGTTTTGGGTGAACATAAATTTTTTTACCTCTAGGGTAAATACCCGGGAGTAAGATTGCTGGATCGTATCATAAGTATATGTAGGTTGAGCTTCCCTAATCTGAAAATTCAAAATATGAAATACTCGAAAATCCAAAACTTTTTGAGTGTTAACATAACACACTATTAGTGAAAAATTCCTCTCCTGATCTCATGTCACAGGTCACAGTCAAAATGCAGGCATATAAAACACACACAGTCTATTCAGAATGACTCCTCAACCCTAGAGGCTCACTTCCCAGGCTCTCAGTTGCTTCTGATGTTACTTTGCGACTAAAAATATAGAATACAATGTACACTCATCTGTACAGCATTGTAGGTGAAGACTGCAGCCATTGTTTGGTGTTGCTGTTGTTTAACATCGGATACAGGTATTCTGGTGGGTGATGCTACTTTGTTGCTTAGTTATCCTGAACACACGATTTGTTCATAGTATTAATGGCATGTTATCTTTTTTACTGTTAAGTACTTATGTGTGAATAAATGTAATAAAATGATTGCTTATCTGTAGCATATAAATTCAGAGTCAGGAATGATGGTAATTGTCAAGCAACCACAGATTGTCCACATGGGCATCTGAGACAGTGACACCTTTGCTTTTGGTTGGTTGTGAACTCCGTTTCATGCACATAATTATTTAAAATATTGTATACAATTATCTTTGGGGTACATGTATAAGGTGTATATATAACAAAATTAATTTTCTGTTTAGATTAGGGTCACATCTTAGAATCAGTTTCTCTGTATCTACAAAAATATCTTAATGGGATTTTTAATAAAATTTGTTCATTAATAATATAAATCAATATGGATAAAATGAAGATCTTTACTATTTTGAGTCTTTCACTCCAGGAACATGTATGTTCTCTATTTATTTGTATTTTTGATATCTTTCACACACACTTTATATATTTTAGCATATAGATCCTGAAAGCGTTTTTCAAAAATTACTTATGTATTTCATTTGGGGAGATATTGAGATAACTATCTATAAAATTTCCATTTCCAATGATATATTGTTAGTATATAGAAATCTGAAAAGAAATTTTGTGGCTGTATTGACTGTGGCTCCTGTCACTTTGTTAAACCCATATTTTCATTACAGAAAGTTTTTTGTATAATCTTTGAGATTTTCTACATAATTATGTTATCTATAAATAGGAACAGTTTAAATTTTTCCTTTCTTATATGTGTACCTTTTAATTATTTTTATTGCCTTTTAAAATGACAATGCCTTCCAGTATGATATCAAGGGGTATTGAGAAAGAATTCTCTTACCTCTTTGCTTGTCTTGAGGGAAGTAATCTTTCACCTTTAAGTGTGTTTTAGGCTGTAAGATTTTTGTAGATGCCTTTTACCAGGTTGTAGAAGTTCTTTTCTATTCCTGGTTTACTGAAAGTTTTTATACTGAATGAATTTTGAATTATGTCAAACTTTTTTCTGCATTTATTGATAGAGTCATCTGGGTTTTCTTCTTCAGAATGTTCATTTGGTGGATTACCTTGAGCAATTTTCAAATATTTAACCAGCCTTGGGATAAATTCTACTTGGTTGTATATAATTATTATTCATTTTGTATATTACTGAATCCAATTTGCTGGTATTTCTTGAGAACATTTTTGTATCTATGTTCATGAGGGCTACTGGTCTATAGAGCTCTTGAAGTGTTTTGTCTTATTTTGGTGTTAGGATAATGCTGGCCTAAGAAAGATTGTTAGTAAGTGTTTTCTGATTCTTCTGCTTCCTGAAAGATACATTTAGAATCATTGTTAATTCCTCTTAAACATTTAGTGGAATTATTAGTAAAATGATCTAGGTCTGTAGATTTCTTTTTAGAGATTTTCAACTGTAAATTCAAATTATTAAATAGTTAAGGACCCTTCAGTTAATCTATTTCAACTTTGGAGAGTTTTGCTTTTATGTGTTTTTGAGGAACTGGTTCATTTCATCTAAATTGTTGAAGTACGTGTATAGAGTTGTTTGTAGTGTTCCCTTATTATCCTTATAAAGGCATCATCGAGAGTAATATCCCGTCTATCATTCCTGTTACTAGTAATTTGTGTCATCTCTCTTTTATCTTTGACTGTATTGTTAAAAGTTCATCAGTTTTAAAAGACAAGATTTTTAAAAGCAAGATTTTAGTTGGATTTTTTTAAACTAAGGTTTTAGTTTTATTAATTTCTATCCGTTATGGTTGTTTTAAAATTTGTTGATTTTAAGGTGGAAGCTTAGATTGTTGATTTGAGAACTTTATTCTTTTCCAATATAAGTATTTAATGTTCGAAAAACCTTCTAAGCACTGATTTGGCTGCATTTTACAAATTTTGATACATTGTAAATTTATTTTCATTCATTTCAACATATTTTAAAATTTTCTTGCTGCTTCTTTGACCCATAGATTGTTTAGAAGCATATTGTTAAACTGCTAGTTTGGAGACTTTCTTGTTGTCTTTCTGTCACTGATTTCTAGTTTAATTTTACTGTTATTAGAAAACATACATTTTACGATTTTCAATTCTTTGAAATTTATTAATATTTCTTTTGGGACCCAAGATATGTTCTATCTTGGTGAATATATGCACTTAAAAAGAATATGTGTTTTGCTATTGTTTGGTGGTATTATATAAATGTCAATTCAGTTACAAAACAATCACAATCACAAATTATAATATAAATGTCAATTACAGCTAGGTGGCTGATAATACTGTTCAGTTCTTCTATATCATTACTGTTTTTCTACTAATTAGTTATATGTATTATTAAAAAAGAAGTGTTGACATCTGTGACTGTAATTATGGATTTGCCTGTTTCTCTTTTTCATTCTGTCAGGTTTATTTCATGTATTTTGGATTTGTATTAGTTTTCTAGGACTGCCATAGCAAAGTACCACAGACTGGGTGGCTTAAACAGAAGGAATTGATTTTCTCAGTTTTGGATGCTTAAAGTCCAAGACCAAGGTATTGGCAGGGTTGTTTCTTCGGAGGCTTCTCTCCTTGACTTACAGATGGTCATCTTCTTTTTCTATCTTCACATGTTCTTTCCTTTATGTATGTCTACATCCCAAACTACTCTTACATAGACATCAGCCATACTGAAATAAGTTCCAGCCCAATGACCTCATTTAACTTTAATTATGTATTTAAATAACTTATCTCCAAATACATTCACATTTCAAGGTGCTGGACAATAAGGTTTCAAACTACGAATATGGGGGGAATGCAAATTAACCCATAACACTCCCTCCTCTGGTCCCCCTAAATTCATGTACTTCTCACATGCAAAATACATGTACCCCATCCCAATAGCCTCTTCCCCCCCAAAGTCTTAATCCACTCCAGTATCAACTCTAAGTCCAAAATCTCATTTAAATATTATCTAAATCAGGTATAGGTGAGACTCAAAGTATGATTTGTCCTGAGGTAAAATTTCTCTCTAGTTGTGAACCTAAGGAAACCGTAAGACAACACATTATCTGCTTCCAAAATACAATGGTGAGGCACAAATAGAATAGATATTCCCATTCCAAAAGGAAGAAATTCAACAGAAAAAAGAAGTCACAGGTCTCAAGCAAGTATGAAGTCTAGTAGAGCAAAGTTTTGTAATGCTTGGGAATAGTCTCTTTGGTTCAATGTTTTGTCCTCTGGGCCCACTAGACTGGTGACTCTGCCTGCCAGGCCCACCAGGGTTGTCCCTCTGCCTTCTAATTTTAGGGTGTATACATATTTTAAATTGTTTCATTTTCTTGGTAAATAGACCCTTTATCATTAGAAAAATCCATTAATGCTCCGAGTTCTCTAATTCCTGAGTGATATTGAGTACTCTTATCTGCTAGGTCCTCTTATTTATTAATTCTATGTGGGTGGAGTCAAGCCATAATAAACTAGTTTTTCTCCAAGAGCTGGGCTGAATTAGGGCCTTTAGAAGCCATGAATATTGAGAAGATTTTGGTGCTTCTGATACTTATTTCACATTTATTATGTAATAACTACATAATAAAGTAATATTTGACTTTAAAATATAAAATACATGTAAACTAAAGCTAGCTTTTTTCTAGAAGTGAACAAATTCATTGGAGCTAACCTTTCTCATTCTTAGTACCCTAAGTGAATTATTGGTTTTCTATCAGGTAATTGACCACTGTCAATGGGTGTTCCATAGAATGTAGCCAAATGGCTCTTTGGTCCAATAAATTTGGGAAATACTGGATACAGTATTTCTCCCATAAATATTAGTATATTAAAGGCTTTCAGAGTTCCAACATTTTTTAAAGCAACTTAAAATTATTTAACTTCATATATTGTAATTAATTTTACCACAGAACTGTTTTTTATGTAATGCACAGTAACAAGCCATAAAATAAAATTTCCTCTTAGTACACTTTGGAATATATTTCAGAAATACTGCATCATTTTCTAAGAAGTTATTTTGTGTTTGGAAATATTCTAAAAGATTTACACATTTTATATTATTTACCACATGTTGGATTTGGGGCATGAGTAGATTAAGTATTACTATCTCCATTTTATAGATGAGGACATTGAGACAGTAAGGTCACATAGCTTTTAGTAATGGAGCTGTAATTCAGACTTCATTTACTTCTCTCCATAATTTACCCAGCATGGAGGAGCAGCCCTTTAGTTTTTCCTTCCTTGGAACTGATGTCATACTCTCTTTTCATCATCTTTGATTCAAACTCCAGAGCCCCACCTCCTATTCACATACACTATTCTAGTAGATGTTTGCCTTCTGATTCATCCTATCCTTATCCCTCAGCTCCCATATGGCGCTGACTTTAAATTAATTCTCTGGTTTTCAAGTGAGACTATGATACTAGAAGAAAGCATGGGGTTGTACATTTCACCTCTGGCCTGCCTCAGCCCTGACACAGCTTTGTTATAAACAAACATCACCTGCTCTGCAGAGCTAAGAGAGTTGTTGTGGTGTTAGATGACAAGAGAATGGAAAGAGTAAACAAATAAAGCAGGCATGAGAAGAGAATTAGATGTCAGGGGAAGCCATTGATGGGTTGTGTACACTCTGTCTACAGTTCTCTTTGACACTCACATTGCAGAAAGAAATTTTACAGGATCAGACAGGCATATTGTTACTCAAAATATTCAAGAGACTCCTAGCAATTCTTTTCTTAGGAGTGAGATATAACAGAGTTTGTTGATAACTTTGTAATATAACCCTCATCATAAAAAGTATACAATTAAATTATGACTTTGTAAATGGCTATGCCTGTAACATATATTTATTTGTATATGTCCATTAACTAAAATGTTATTTGGAAACATTTCCTTAGCAAATCCTAGAAATAATAAATGTAATTCATCCAATCAGGAAATAATTAAAACCACTGACCAGTATTCAGCTCTGCAGAAGTTAAATGATCCATTAATTCATTCATTATAGAATCTATTAAGTATCTTCTAAGTTATGGCTTCTGGACACTTATTCAGCCATAAAAAGGTTTCAACAGTTTGAATACGTAATCTGGAAGGTGTTAAGGTCATATCAGAATTTTATCTAGATTTCGCACTTCATGTCCAAGTTTGGTAGACTGGTGACTCTTCAGATAGCTGCCAAAGCAGTGGGGAAGTTAAAGAGATGAGTGAGTGAAGACTAGCAATAAATGTGGCAGTTCACATGAGGAAGCAAAACCCCATCAAATTACGGTAAAGAGGTCTGAAAAGATGAGGATTGGCTTCAACCCTCTAACCCTCTGCCTCAATTAAAACCTTGAAAGCTGAGGCTTCAAGAGGGTTTTTTGTTATTGTTGTTGTTTAGTCTTGTTTTTTTCCCTGTAAACCTACAAAGTATAGAATGTATCCTTGATCCCTCTTTATACTGCCAATAAACTTGTTTGAACAAACACTCATCTGACAAGCTTCCTTAGATTGTGCCTGGGTTGGGAATGCACAAATCCAGGAGTCCAGGGTTTTGTCTCAAGGGGGTGTCGTCTGAAGACGAAGGTCAGTGCCAGAAGAGTAAATGAACTATCTACAAACTAGATGAGTGGGGAGACAATGACTTTTAATAGCTCATTATTTTGAAAGGATGTGGGTGTTGTAATTGATGGTATTCTTTTAACAGAGGACCCTAAGTGGGTAGATTCATAGACATAGAATAGGAAAGTGCAAATTTATCAAATGCAAGACTAGGATGCAGAGGATGCCACTGGATTTACAAAGTGCTGGAAAAAAAAATAACTTCTTTCAATAAAAAGGGTGATTTCAGAGTTGTATAGACAAAGACATTTTTAAAAGCTTTATTGAATTACAGTTCATTTACTGAGCTAATAAAGTGCGTATATTTACAGGGTACATTTTGATAAGTTTTGGTATGTTTATATCTGTGAAACCATCACTACAATCAAGACAGTGAGCATACCCATCACCTCCTAAAGTTTCCTCACGCCCCTTTGTAATCCTTTGCCCCCAACCTTTCTTGGTCCCTCCCCCATTCCTAGGCAGTCACTCATCTGCTTTCTTCCACTGTAGTTTAGTTTTCATTTTCTATATTTTATATCAATGGAATCTCATAGTAGGTACTCTTTTTTTTGGTCTCCATCATTCAACATAACTATTTTGAGCCTCATCCATGTTGTAGTGTGTATCAACCATTCATTCTTTTTTATTGCTGAGGAGGACTCTATTGTATGGATGCACCACAGTTTGTTCATCCATTCACGTATGGATGAACATGTGGGTTTGTATTGATTATCTATTGTGTAACAAATGATCCCAAAACGTAGAAGCTTAAAACAACAAAACATTTACAGCCTTATAGTTTCTGTGGGTCAGGAATCTGAGTGCAGTTTAGCTTAATGCCTCTGGCTCAAGTTCTCTCAACAGGGTACAACTAAGGTGTCAGGGCTACAGCAATCTCAAGATTCAACTGGAGGAGGATATGCTTCCAAGCTCATTCACTCCCATGGCAGGCCATGTTGGCATGCCTCAGGTTTGCTAGAGAGAGGCTATGCGTGGTAGCAGATCAATTCTGAAATGCAATCTGTTGTTGACTCCTACCACTGTCAGATGTAGGTTGTGTAGCATTTACACATCTGTAGCTGCAGCATGTGGAATATGTGGCCATTATAGTCGCCACAGAAGGGGAGGGACAGCGGGATGATCATGCGAAATGTTTTCTGAGGGCCAAGACTACAGGGGCCTCATACCACATCTACCTACATCCCTTTGCTAGACTCCAGGCCCTCACACCACATCCACCCACATCCCATTGCCAGATCAAAGTCCCCTCACACCACATCCACCTGAATCTCTAAATCTCATGTCCAGACCCCAGTCCCCTTATATCACATCCATCTACATCCCATAGCCTGACCCCATTTTTTTCATACCACATTCACCTATATCTAGTTTTTAGAATCAAGTCTGATAGCTCCAGCCTAATTTTGAGGGGAACTAAGCAGATAAGTGTTGGTGATCCCTAAGTGTCATATGCCCTGACTCCAATGTAAGCTTCTATACCCTATGAGGGCCAAAGTTTTGCCTTCCTTATTCAACTGCTGAAACTGCTGTTCATACTTAGTTATAGGTACAAAATAGGTGCTCAATAAATATTTACATTATGCTTTCACTTATATTTCATTACCTCTATGAGGCAATTATTCCCATTTGTACATGAATAACCTGAAGCGCGTAGAAATTACACAACTGTCCTAAACCCACATAGCTGGTTAGTCACTGAATGAAACCATATTTGTACTCCCATATTCAATAAATTTTATGTGATGCCACTGATTTTTCTTAAAGGCTTTGGATCTCTTAAACAACCCTGTGTTGAGTGGATTCTAATATGTTTTTCCTCTGAGTGTATAGTCAGGGTGCACAGATAGTGAAAAAGCCCATTCTACATACCAAAGACCCTCTGTTCATTTTCTGGGAGCCCCTGGCTGCTCCCATGGCTTTTTTAGTAGGCAGTAGAGAGTGAGCCTGGAATTTGCCACAATCTTCCACGGTCTTTTGCTCTCCCAGGTTGCTGAAGTAATGCCCAGCTGAAGTCCTAGCTTTGCTGCCTCTGTGCCACCCCAGTAAGGGTTGTGGGCCCCCACGTGCCATTTTCTTGAGGGTGCACTCCAAGTCCCTGTGCAAGCCACCTCCCAAGAAGCTGAGACACATACTCAGCTCAAAGCTACAACCTTTCTTCTCCCATGGGATTAAACTGCTCCTCCATTTTTTGGACTGTTACTGGTCTTCATTATTTTTGTTTCTGTTCCAGTGCCCTTTCCATGAAGTGGTGAGTGTCAGGCCTTCTTTGTTATTCTTTCATAAGCTGCCCAGCCTGGAGCCCATTCTTTTAGCTCTCTCCTTCAAAGACTGATTCCATTTTCTTCCCCAAAATCATGGTCTTCTTCATTCCACTTAGAATACCTGCATGCAAGCATACACATACACACACATGCACACACAAACACCCCTTCCTCCTTCCTTGACGCCAAGCCTTATGTTTCACTTTGAAGCTCTCACTACAGGAATACAGTCACATTCTACATAAAGACATGTTGGTCATTGACGGACCACATATATGACAGTGGTCTCATAAGATATATTTTTACTATCTTTTTCTATGTTTAGATACACAAACACTTACCATTGTGTTACAGTTGCCTACAGTATTTAATACAGTAACATCCTGCACAGTTTTGTAGCCTAGAAATAATAAACTGTACCCTATAGCTAGGTGCATAGTATGCTATCCCAGCTAGGTTTCTGTAAGTACACTCTATGATGTTTCCAAAATGACAAAATTGCCCAAGGATGGTGCATCTCTGAGATGGGAAGTTCTGACAGCCTGCTGATATGTTTTGAATGTTTTGTTCCCCTCAAATCTCATGTTGAAATGTGACCTTCAATGTTGGAAGTGGACCTAGTAGAAGGCATTTGGGTTATGAAGGCCGATCCCCCATGAGTCACTTGCTGTCCTCCTCATGGTA
The DNA here is from genome assembly GCF_000001405.40 of Homo sapiens. NCBI lineage: Eukaryota > Metazoa > Chordata > Mammalia > Primates > Hominidae > Homo > Homo sapiens. Next base: position 82,617,416 of record NC_000009.12, on the reverse strand, counting down.
ATGAGTGACCTCTTCTGTGAGTTCACACGAGAGCTGGTTATTTAAAAAAGGAGCCTGTCACCTCCACCTCTCTGTCTTGCTTCCTCTCTCGCCATGTGACATGCTGGCTCCCTTTTGCCTTCCACCATAATTATAAGCTTTCTGAGGCCCTCGCCAGAAGCAGATGCTGGTGTCATGCTTCTTGCACAGCCTGCAGAAGCATGAGCCAAACAAAGCTCTTTTCTTTAGAAATTACCCAGTCTCGGATATTTCTTCATAGCAATGCGAAGGGACTAACATACCTTTTTTTTTTTTTTCTTATTAAAGGCTGACTAAATGTTGCACAGAAATTATCTCCTTTTCTTCAACTGTAATTTGTAATCATTCAACATGGTGCTGTTGTTGTAACAGCAGCAATAGCATGCAGAGCTGAAGCAGCAATAGCACGCAGAACTAAAATAATTCCAAGAAAATGAAAACCTGAAGGATGGGTGGTAAATGTAGTAAAACTTCATCACTGGGGCCAAACTCCTCAGAATCCTCTGCAAAAAGGGTTAATGCAAAAGCCTTGCCAGTCAAGGACAAGTTCGGATTGCAGCCAGAGAAATAAATACTTACCTGCAGTCCCTCACTGCACAACTGAGCACTACTTTATCAAAAGCTGAATGTGTGGTTCATGTTTCATTACCCGGGTCAGGAAGAGTGTAAATTTGGAGGCCATATATTACAATTTTCCCCTGTCTTGAACCATTAACAGCATACCTCTGGCTTGAGTTGCAGCCTTGAAAATCTATGAGCTCTTTTCTACTTCGTTGGAGCATCAAAAGTATCTTCCAAGAGTTGGAGCAAACACAATTTTTGGAAGAATCATCCTTTGCTATATCATTCTGGAGAGACCCCCGCCCCCCACGTCTGTATTGAAGAAGAAATTTTGCATACACAACATCTCTCACTCTAACTCAATCTGTGTTTTCAGACTCTTCCCGTCCTAGCTCATACTTGATGAATTGCTCTGTAATTGAAATTGCCTTGGGTTTTCACTACGATTACTATAAATTGTATAATTCAGGTATTTTCGGGTTTGCTGACAGATTCACCATTAAACAAAGTGGCCCACTCTTCAAATAAAACTAAGGCTGCATTATAGCACCAGGGACTCTAAATGGTTATTTGCAAACTAATCATTTTACTTGTTAATATTTTCATCCTAATACAGCACCTTCTATCTTTTCCCAAAACCTCCCTATTATGGGCTAAGTTGCATTTTTCCAAAATTTATATGTTGGAGCCCTAAACTCCAGTACCTCAAAATGTATTTGGAAATAGGTCCTTGAAGAGGTTATTAAATTAAAATGAGGCCATTAGGGTGGGCCCTAATCCAATCTAATCGGTGTCCCTTATAAGAGGAAGAGACACCAGGGATGACAAGCACAGAGGACAGGCCATGTGAGGACACAGTGGGAAGACACAAATCTGCTAGGCAAGGAGAGAGAAACCAACCCTACTGATACCTTGATCTTGGACTTTTAGCCTCCAAAAACTGTGAGAGAATAAATTTCTGCTATTTAAACCATTCAGTCTGTGCTATTTTGTTATGGCACCCTCAGCAAATTAACACACCATCCAAAGACCAAGATCTAATTAATTCTTGGCTAGGTTAAAAATCTAAAATTTTGTTATGGGAATGACTTGCACATCTAGAATTGTTTTAAAATGGCATTTTCAGATGGGCATAGTGGCTCATGTCTGTAATCCCAGCACTTTGGGAGGCCAAGGCAGGCAGGTCACCTGAGGTCAGCAGATTGATACCAGCCTGGCCAACACGGTGAAACCCTGTCTCTACTAAAAATGCAAAAAATTAGCCAGGCATGGTGGTGCACGCCTGTAGTCCCAGCTACTAGTGATTATCCAGAGGCAGGATAATCACTTGAACCCGGGAGGCAGAGGTTGCAGTGAGCCAAGATTGCGCCACTGCATTGCAGCCTGGGCGACACAGAAAGACTCTGTCTCAAAAAATTTTTAAAAATTAAAAAATAAAAATTTTAAAAAAGGCATTCTCAATAGAGTATCTGTTATTCCTGATGGACTGACATTGTTATGTCTACCTTTTATTCATTTATTCAGCAAATATTAATTCAGACCTTATTGTGAATCTTGCATGGTGCTAGGCACCAAGACTGATGCAAATACAGAAATAAAATATATGACATATTTAGATGACTATAATATAAGGAAATACAAAATACTTTCAAAGTAGTAAGAAACAAAGTGAAGTAGAAATTCCGAGTGCTGAGAAAGAACTTCTAGCAGGGTAAATTTGGGATGTGATACTTGCAGCAGCAGAAGTAACATTGGAAAGGAAGAAAGATATAAGGCACAAGTAGACGAAATAGCAAAAAGAAATTTTTGTCAGGCATGTAAGATTTAGAGTATCAGTTACCAAAGATAACACTGGTAGGGTGGTTCACGAGGAACAGATTAGGGAAGGTCTTGAATTCTGGGTTCAGAAGTTAACCTACATGATTATATCCATATTCTTAGCAAATTGGGAGCCAGTAAAACTGATGGCGTGTGAAACATAGTGAGGTAGCTAAGAACCCTGCCTTCAGAGTAGACAGAGCTGATTCCATCCTGAGCTCTGCCAGAACCTAGCTTTGTGGCCATGCTTAGTAGCGTTACTTAACCTCTTTACATCTCAATTTCCTAATTTGTAAAAAAGAAAAAGCAAAAACCCTACTTTTGTAGGGTTGTTGTAAAAACAAATAAAAAGCTGAATATTTATAAGATGTATCTTATGAGTATTTGGCTTTTACTTCGTGCTGGGCTTAAGCAAGTACTCAAAAAATCACCATTTCTTTTTATGATGATAAGAATGATTTAAAATTTCCTTTTGGGAAGACTAAAATTGCAATAACTTTATGAAGAAACATAAGAGCTTTTTTATTTAGTAAAATCTGTAAATCATTGTAGACATGTTAATAATATATTTTAATTTTTATATTTTTAAGATTAAATACTTTTCCTTCTGAAATTTTTAAAAAAGAAATATGAATCTAATGACCTGGTTCACCAAATAAATAGACTAGAAACAGGCAAAACTGAAAAGTAATGAGTGACTGTGTCTAGACCACGGTAAACATTCAAATGGAAACACTTGTGGGGCTGTGGTAGGCTGGGCATAATATCACTATCAAACAAGGAGATATTTGAAATATAAGGAATCTAAGCCATATTTTCAAGAATTCTTTTATTTTCTTTTATTTTAATTTGGATGTTCAGTGCCATGGGTACAGGGCCAGAGTGTTGATTGAGGAGAATTTGGAATAGGGAGAAAGTGAATTAACCATTCTGTAATCTCATAAACGTTATTGTTCTGAGAGGCAAACAAAATTCCAGGTTGGAGTGCATGTCACCCATCAAAAGAATATTATATCACTTCCTGGGTTTGGCTGTATTGCTCTTTTTCTCCTTCCTCCTATTCTTTTTTCCCTGTTCATTTGGCAGATCCTGGACATGGTGCCATCCTGTTCTCTCACCACAAGTCCAATGGCAAGCTGGAGCCTAAAAGTGACTGTGCCCAAGCTTTCAGTGCTTTTTCTCCTGGGAGAAACTTTGGAATGAGCACATCCTCTCATGACTGAAGCTGTTATTTATTAAAGCAGAGATGCATTGATGGATTCAGCAGCAGTGGACCGAAGTTGAGCTCTGCCGCAGGATGCTGAAGACCTTGTCAGATGTGGGCAGCCAGTAGACAGCTGTAAGGCAACCCTTGACCTGAGAGCTCTGCCATGGTAATTAGTGTTGTAAATGAGTCAAGCTTACAGAGGCATATGCTCAAATCTAATATAGCATCTTCCATCACTATCTTTGTGTTACGATGATCATAACTGTTTTCAGAGTGTGCTAAAAGTATTCTTAAAGAGTTACAAAGCAGTAACAAAGAAGCTAGCAACTGCCCACCGCCTTTCCCCCTCACCCAAACAACCTCCACCCTAGGTGATTTCCCAAACCCATTTGAAATAGAGATGAATTCAGGTGAGTTTCTATACCACAGCCTGATCTTTGGCTGTATAAGATTACTTTTCAACAATATAAGATGCATAAGTGCCTTTTCATCGTATGAAGAAAGCATGCCCACTGGCAAATGAATCATATTATAAAAATTGATTGTATCCCAAAAGGGAAAAATGTTATTGAAGATCCAATGGCCTGGGATGATACACCATTGATCATTGTAAGAAATACTTCCAGAAACTGTTTTTAATCTTTCCGCCAGAGCATTAGCAATTATTCTTTAGCCCATGGTGAGTAATGACTTGAGTTTCCCAGCTTCTCAATCGATAAAACATTTACCCTACCGCTACAAATGTGCTCTTCGCTTAGACAAGCAGAATTTTTCTTCCAATTACTCTTTTTTTTTTTAGTGTGACCTCATAAAATATTTTTAAACATATTTCAAGGCTCTTTTGTAAAAAAGGAAAGGAACAATACTCCTCCACGTGCTTATTTTTTCCCTTTTCCTTCTTTTGACAAAGAAGTCATGAAGATTTCATAGTTATTTAGATAGCTAAGACTGCTTTTTATCATCTCTTTCAAACTTAAGAAATGGTTTTTATCCCGCCAGCTGCTACATTTTGGAGTTGGCCAGTAATAAAACATTTCTCTTCCCCTCTCCCCTGAACAAAGCTGGTTGTCCAAATTCCTTCGAAAATCAACAACAACAAAATATAATACCACTCCTAAGGAGGCTGATATCTTCCTCCACTTTCTCTACATGCCTTATAAAACTATAGCACTGGCTAATGGAGAACAACATAAAACACACTGTTATCAGGCTAACAAATAGCTGTACAGAAAATTGGAGATTAAAGACGAATGTGCACAAGCATCTTTTGATGACTAAAAAGTTAACATTCCAGCAAGTTTTCCTTTCCAAAGAATTTATGCTGTACTTCTATTTGAAATTACAGCCTCGACTCAAGCAAAAGTGCCTACTGTTATTTCTTATCTCTATTGCTTTCTCTCTAGAACAATATCTATTTTGGCATACTTATTAAACCATGGTTGTCACACAAAGGAATTTGAAACTCCTTAAAAAAAGGCTGATTCTTGGTGGGGTTTTGCATGAAGGTTTGGTTTGTAATAACAGCCTTTTTAAAAATTAGCTTTGGAAAATTGAATCTAGTACCGACAAGGCAGATTCTTAATTCTTTCTCCAACCAAAGGTGGCTTTATAACTGTGTGTGCCTTGATCTGAGTAAACAAGGTGCAAAAGAGTGGATTTTCATCTGTTGTCACAAGTTTAAGAGGCTACTGGTAAGTAAGTGAGAATTCAGAGGCTTGTTGGTGGAATAGGCCCAGTGGTGGAAGAAGACCCAAGATGCTCTTTGACTCTAAAGTAGAAAAGGAATTATTAGGATATGTGCTTAATAACAAAAATATGAGGCAGGAGAGGAAACTGCAGACTGTTTTTTTTTTTTTTTTAGACGGAGTCTTGCTCTGTCGCCCAGGCTGGAGAGCAGTGGCCCGATCTCGGCTCACTGCAGGCTCCGCCTCCCAGGTTCACGCCATTCTCCTGCCTCAGCCTCCCCAGTAGCTGGGACTTCAGGCACCCGCCACCACGCCCGGCTAATTTTTTTTTGTATTTTTAGTAGAGACGGGGTTTCACCATGCTAGGCCAGGATGGTCTCAAACTCCTGACCTTGTGATCCACCCGCCTCGGCCTCCCAAAGTGCTGGGATAACAGGCGTGAGCCACCGCGCCTGGCCGAAACTGTAGACTTTTAAGCTCCTATTTCTGTCATCAGATTTTTGTCAGAATGAAGACATTCTAGGCTATAAACTGGGCACAGCTGGCTGAAGTAAACAATTATTAAAATATGCATTACTTGAGTTATCCACAGCTGGCTGAAGTAAACCATTATTAAAATATGCATTACTTGAGTTATCCACAGCAGGTTTGTGGTAAAATTATGGCATCAAACTAATGATAACAACTCAGGTTAGAGAATCAGAACAATTGTTTTTAAAAGATGCCACTGTGAATCTGTATTTCACAAGTTTTCTCACATGTATTTGATCAAACCTGGCAGTGCATCACTGTGTTTTGATAATTTGATCTTCTTACTTTTTTAATTCTATTCATCCATTTGGTCGGCAAACATTATTTGAGTATCTACAAAAGTGCTAGGTGTTTTACTGCACCTTTGCCCACCTGGAACTCATTGTCTACTAGGAAAGACAACATGTAGACTCTTTTGTTCTTATTGTTCCTGGTGCCTCAGAAATAAAAGTGACCTTGTGCTTTCTTTGACCCGTGAGCATTCCTGCCTGAGAGAAACGTTTTCAGGAGATGTCTTTCCAAACCTTGTATGATTTTGTCTACTCTCGAACTACTCCAACTTCCCCGCTCCCCATCCAATGATGTTTCTTCCCTCTTCATTGTTTATACCTAAAGAAATTGTTAAAGAAAAGGCCTTGGAAAAAAAAAAAGTGCATCGACAGTTAAGCATGATTTTTTTTTTTTAATGGGGAATGCACTCCTGGATTCTAACTCTTTGACACAAAAGACAGTGGTGAAGATCAAATGGGGTGATGCCCTTGAAGCATTATGCTCTCCATAAAGCACCATATAGATGTAAGGGATTATCATATTGTTACAAATATTTCGAAGAAAATGAATGCCCAGGTTGGTGATGTTCTTCCCCCAAAGGCTTGCTCACTATTGTGTAGACACAATCTTCATTCGCTATACTAAGTCAGCACCTCATGCTGTGACTTTTCTTGCATCTCCCCAGGAATGCCATATTTTAAAATGACTATTATACCATGTCATGTAGCTGCAGACCCCTAGCTGCCTCCATTTCTCTACCTGGAAGGTTAATCAAATGTAAGCATTTCCCTATTCTGTAGCAGGCATCCTGGGACATACAATTTGGGATTAGTGACTGACCCTGCTGTTCATTCTGACAGCACACACTCCAGATTGCATTCTCCTTTTAATAAGCAGAGCTGGTAGGAGAAAAGGCAAGAGTCATTAACTAAAAGTTAGCTGAGGATTGAAACACAGCACACTTTGCTTCTGAGAAGCTCTTCTGAAAGGAAACCTTTTGTCCCCAGGAACCATGTAACAGTATATCCAAGGATTTCATGATAATTTATCTTGACCTTTAGCAAAATGAAATCTTATACAATGGCTGGGTCACATATACTTTCTTGGTCACTTATCTGTTACTATATTGCTGCCATTGTTGAAGAGAATGAGCTCAGGAGAGTCACAACGGCTTATGCAATAAGCTTTTTTTACGGAGTACCATGACATACTCAAAATGTGAAGGATTAAACTTAACAGCCTAGAAGGCAGTTGCCAGGGATTCATATTTGAAACCTTTCTTGTGAGGCTACAGGTGCAACTGAGAAGTATTTCTGTGAAGGCACCTTCCTCTTCTCTTTATTCCTATTCCTGCTTTCTTGCCCCAGGGCCAAAGGTAGACATTTTCTCTCCCTCTTGGAGTCTTGGTTTCTGGGTTGCTTGATCTTATTGTGGTAAGGACACTGTGTACCAGCCCAAGGTTGGGTGACTGGAGTGTTTTTAAGCTTCTTGCTACTCAAGTAGTCTCATTCCATGCCTAGTAATATATGTTTCCCTACTTTTTTTTTTCAGGTTGATTTTTTTTTTTTTTTTTTTTTGCAGCATGATGAAAGTGAGCAAATTACTTTATATACAGTGTGAGCTAATGAGAATATTTCTAAAGAATTCAATTTAATCATGATCAATAGCTAGAGGGGTAGACAAATTCTGATCCCAGGATCAGGCAGCTGGGATGGAAAGGACAGAGCTTCCATCTATGGTTTTAAAGTTTGTGCCCTGAGCGGCTTCAAGGCATTCCTAGAGTTATGCGGTGTCTACTTGCACGGATGTACAAGGTATCCTTGTACATCTTATACTTCCCTTGTTTAGTCAGGGAAATACAGAAAGGTCAACCTTTGACTACCTTCTCTACATGTTTCATGGTCTTTCCATCATATGACTTCATCTAACATCTTTTCATCATCAAGACTGCTGTGTCAACATATTACAAAAGAGAAATGATTGGAAAATTGTTGTTTTGAAGAATATGCTTTGAGGTAGTGTGGTAGGCAGAATCCCCAAAGATATCCACACCTTAATCCTCAGCACCTGTGAATATGTTATCTTACATGGAAAAAGTGATTAAGCTAAGAATCTTGAGATGAGGAGATTTCCCTGGATTATCTAGCTGGGTCTAATTTAATCACGAGCCCTTAAAGGTAGTTTTCACAGATGTGGTCAGAGAGAGATATGACAACAGATGAAGAGTCAGAGAGATGTTACCATGCTGACTTTGAAGATGGAGGAAAAGACCATGAGCCAAGCAATGTGGGCAGCCTCTAGGAGTTGGAAAAGGCAAGGAAATGGATTTTCCCCTAGAACCTCCTGAAGAAATGCAGCATTGCTGATGGCTTGATATATAGGGCTATATTGTAGTAAATATGTGTTGTTTTAAGCCACTAAGTTTGTAACAATTTAGAACAGTAGCAATAGGAAACTAATACAGGTAGCAACCCTTCCCTCTTAATCTACTCCTCTCTTTCCTCTCTCAGCCCTCCAAGTGCTCCTGCAGATGATTAACTTAGTTTACACATCAGGACCAAAAAAGAGAATGGTTTCCAGCAGGGGTCAAGAAGGGGTAGGAACCAGATCATAAATCCTACTGTTATAGCAGGAAAATAGCTAGAAGTAATATGTAAATGAACGGGTGTGGCTGCATTCCAATAAAACTTTATTTACAGACACAGGAGGTTCACCATCGGGTCGTAGTTTGCCAACCCCCGATTTAGAGCCTTGCTAGTCAAAATGTAGTTCCCAAACCAACAGCATCCTTTGGAAGCTTGTTGGAGATGCAGAATTCCAGGACACATCTCAGACCTACTAGATCTGCATTTTAACAAGATCCTCTGGTGATCCATATGCACATTCAAGCTTGAGAAGCATTGCTCTAGAAGATTTAGCATTCTAGGGATGAAGCAAAATTATCAGAACAAATATTATTGACATCCTTGTTTCTAGCTGCAGAACACTGCTCAGGTAAGGAAGGCAGATGCCAGACCTTAAAGGAAAGAAATGATGTAAGCATTTGTTAAGCACCAGCTATGTGTGGGGCACTTTCAATGAGGTTATTCTGTTTAATCCTCACATTGACTTCATGTCATTTTCCCCAACTTTTATAGATGAGGAAATTGAAGCTTACCCAGGCTTTCTTGTGAGTGAGAGACCAGATACCCAAAGCTCAGTTGCTTGAATTCTAAAACTCAAGCTTCTTCTACCATACTATACAGAACTGTCTGTTTTCCAAAAATCATTTAATACCTGTGTCAAAAGCAATTCTTGGATTTAAAAGTTCCCAAGATGTGAGATTTAGCTGGATATGATATCACTGGAATCTTGGATGCATATGGTGCACTTTAGCCTCTATTTATAAAAGTCTTTCAAGATAGTCCACCTTTTGTTTTCTCTCTCTCTCTTTTTTTTTTTTCTTGGTTACTTTCATCGTTAGCTGAAAAACTCTTGGATGACATTCTGCTGGACAGAGTCGACTATTTAATTATCAGCAAATTGGGATCTCTTGTGGCCTACGATTTTGAGGTTAACAATAATAGTTGCTATTTTTGATTTCTAAACCATTCCCATGGCAGAACTTATGGACACAGTTACCAAATGGACATGAATTAATAAATCTCAGCCACTTCAGTCTCAGCTCTGCACCTCTCCAGTCAGCCTTTTCACATCCATCAAAGGACTGTCTGATGGAACAGATGGGCTTAGCATGAGGCCCTGAAGGACAGTTTTGGGAAAAAAGACAAGGAGAGGGATTTCCAAACTATGCACCTTCAATGGAAACACTAGAAACAGTATCTTCCCATCCAAATTTCAAATACTTAGAGACCACTGGTCCTTTTAAACTGCAGTCACAAAAAGCAGAAGATGGTATTAAATGTGGCCAGGATATATAAACTTAAGTTAGGCTCAAGCAGAAAAATGAAAGGCAGATTCGAGTTTCATGAGAAATATGGATACTGGATTCTCACATAAAATGAAAGACATTTTTAGCCTTCTCAGCTCTAGAGAAGAACTCCTTCCTTTCTGGGTAAAAATTCTAACTGCCATGGAGTGCAGTTTCCACTTCCAGCAAATGGGGTTCTGCTTATAAGACAAAGTTTAAGAGCTCACTCCTGAGCCAGGGGGCAGGGTTCTATCTACTCATTGTCATTAAGGTCCCACCTAACCTTCAGTGACTGGAAGGCTTTCAGAGCTGGGCCACCACAAGCTCCTTGCTCTTGATGATCTCTAGATTCGGGGTGCATCTCCCACCTTGCCCAAGCAAACTCAAGCTTCATTTGGCAGTTTGCTGCTTTTGTTAAAGAGCAAGCTCACTGAGGAGCAAGACGTTGGAACTCAAATTCTGGTCTCTAGATGGCAGTCTAGCCCTGCTAAATCTGACTACTCCCCTATCCTGGGTGAATTGCAGAAGCTACCGCTAAAAATAAAACCTAACCCAGGAAAATCTATAGAGGGGGCATAACAAGATTCAGATATTAATTTTTGGTTGATGGCAAGTTAATGATTGGGCTTAAGCACCAGGTTGGAAACACATGTCTATGAACATGCTAAAAATGCTGTTTGGCAGTCCTTCTAATTTGACTGCATACAATTCAAGAGCGATGAATATGAACAGCTCTACCATGGAATGAGCTCCTCGTCTGAAATGTTGCCTAATACCAGAAAGGCAAGAATGTGGCCATCACCAAATTACTAGGGCCTTTTTATGCATTGTCTATTTACATACAAAATATTTAGTCAATAAAATCTAGATGGGATAGTGAGTTTCATAAAGAACATTCACGATGTCCTGAAAATTTTCAGCAAAATGGAATGGCTGTTGGCATTGATAATGAAAGAAACCTTTTGACTGACTCATCTTTCAAATAGTTGTATTCACCTTGTGTGGATGAAGCACATGAGTTCAGTGTTGAGTTTGAGCTGGTGCTTAGCTAAACATTGTAAAATCTTGATCTGGAAGAGACCTTAAGGGTCATTTCTGTCCAACTTTTTACTGTACAGATAGAAAAGCCAAGCTCCAGACACCACGCAAGACCTGAAGACTTGGCAGCTGAGCAGACTTCCAACTGACTCCAAGAGGAGATTTGGACTTGGAATAGTGTGCACTTGGTCTTGTGTGCACAGTTTACTTCCAGTCATATGTAACTGTTATGTGTCAAAACAGCTCTCTATTAAGTGCAAATTGTAATGATACATCCAAAAGCTATTTCCATTTAGTTTGTTCATTTAAAATATGCTCTTGAAATTAAAAATAAAATACAGAACCTAGGCTATATTAGAATATCTTCTGAGTGTATCTTCTGAGTGTGAGAAGGCTTGGCTAGATGCATTAGTAAGAGCTCAGATAGGAACCTGTGTGGTGCTGCAGAAAAGACAGTGGAATGAGGGGACCAGAGACCATTGTGTAACTTTGCTGTGGGGCTGCTGGAGCACATCACTTTGCCTCAATATTCTCACCTGTAAAATGGTGATAATAAGGTTGTCCCTGCCTGCTTTGTAAAATAGCTGTAATGATCAAAGTACAAGAAGGGAGTAAAGGTACTTTGTGGAGAGCTGTACAAACAGACAGTGTAGTTTTTAACATCCCAAATAAGGAAATTTGGACCCCAAAATAAAGTATAGTAAAAAATATATAAACTGTTTTTTAATCTTTAAAAAAAATTGTCTAAGTGGAAAAAGACCACTTCTCCAATTGTATTTCATTTATATAAAATATCAAGAATAGGAAAATCCCTACAGACAGAAAGCAGATTGGTGGTTGTTACAGGTTGGGGAAGGCAGGGAGAGGAGTGAATGCTTACGTGTATGAGGTTTCCTTTTGGTGTGATGAAATTCTTTTGTAGCTAAATAAATGCAGTGGTTGTTCAACATTGTGTGTGTATTAAATGCCACTGAATTGTTCGCTTTAAAATGATTAATTTTATGTTATGTAAATAAAAATTCAAGAGGCTTGTGTGTATACATATACATATGACTTGGCTGGAGGGAGGAGTGGTCCCAGGAGTGTTTGTACAGATGATTTTATAAGTGTAATCTCAGACTCACAGGCTCCTTTATAAAAATGTGTTTCTGAAGTTTACTTTCAGTTGCTGTTAGTGTTTGCTTATCTCTATGAAACTAAGCCCAGTGGATTCTGTCCACACCAGGCCACTGGGTAATGTCCAAGGATAACATGTGCTGTGAACTCCACAGATGCTGAGACAAATGCCCTTTGGCTTCTTGGGTCCTCTGACCCTACTAACCAGTTGCTATGAGAGTTGTTTAAGACACGAGATTTAGGGGAGGAAAGCACCACTTCACTGGTCCTCTTCAGTCCAGTCTTGACAATTTACCACTGCTAGAAATTAGACTGCTGCTTGAAATAGTTTCAGATGCTGACATTTTTCCCCATAGTTGGCAAATCTTGGCTTTTGTGTGTTTAAATTTCCTCTGTGGACCTCTTCTCTGAGCTTCAAAGAGAATTGCTGTTTCATGGTATCAATTTTCTCACTGTAGGACATTGCCTTCTGATCTTTGCAAGGGTCCTGCTTCTATTCCAAACTGATGGGGGTATTTACAAAGGCTGTCAATTAATATCAAGAGTATTTTTGGACTTCATTTATCATACAAATATTGAGAAGTGAATATTAGTCACCAACATGTTTCTATATGTATATGAATAATGGGATATTACATACACAATTTGAGGTGCAAAAATTTCACAGAATGACTTACTTGATATTTTCCATGAATCATTTGTTAGACTGAAAAATAGATTTTATTTTGTTAGACAAAATAAAAACAAAACAAAAAATACCCCAAATCTAGCTTCTATTAGATATCATAGAATCGCAGAATATCAGTGCTGCAATGGACTTTTCTATGCATCCATCCAGCCAATTAGGTGATGTTGAATATATCTCAGTAAGGCCTATCAGATTGTTTGCTCTAAGCTTGATGAGGAGTATTTGAGCATTAGAAAGTTCTTCCCTAAATTGAGCCACATTTTATCACCCTATGACTTCTATTACCTAGTCTTGAATATATTACTTGGAGACATTCAGGATAAGTCAAATGTGTCTACCACATGATAGATTTTAAATTATAAAAAGCAATGTTTTCCTTTTTATTTAGGCTAAACATACATAGTTCTTTCAACTGACTCTATTTGCAAAGCTTGAAATTCCTTCATTGTCTTGTCATTAACCCCTGTACAGACTTATGTTTACTCATGTCTCCATGATAATCTGATAACCAGAATAGAATACTGTACATGAAGTATATATAAAGTATACAATGGAGAGGTTAGGATCATCTTTGTAGACTGTATAGTTTTTTGAAGGCAACCAAGTTAATATTTAATGTTTAATATAATTGTGTCTTTGTGTCAGTTATGGGAAAATTTTAATTATTGAATGTGACTGCCAAGGTTGAAGTTTGGGAAATCTAGAGACGTTTTAAAAATAACAACCCATAGCTTAAAAGAATATCAGGAGAGGGAATAAGAGAACTTACGATCATGGAGCCCCTACAGTGCACCTGCTAATGGGGTTGGCATTTTCTACATTTTTGGGGTAGGGGTTAAGATTTACTTGGACCTTAAACTTGAGCTCAGAGAACACCTCCTCTGTGAGGCAGTCCCTGATTATCTCTTCCTGCTTATAATACCTCATACAGGCCTCTTCTATTGAACTGTTCACCCTACATATAATTATTGTTTACATGCCCACTTTCTCCACTAAACTCCTTTACAAGCTCCTTTACAGCACCTGATGTATAACTGGACTCTCATGTGTATTGAATGAATTAATACATGTTAGTCTTTCATTAGTACATCCCAAGTGGCTATTAATTAAGAGGAGGAATCATGTTATCAACTGGAATTCCCTTAGCAAAGCCTTAGATGATCACAGCTTTAAAATGTGTAGTTTTACTCATATATTAGTTCACTGCTCTCATTAAAGACATGCAACATTTTATTTGATAATCCAAAGATAATTTGTTCATAAAAATCATATTTTAGCTTCATTTTTTAAAAAGCTAACAATTGTTTATATCTTTATTTCAAAATTAGATTTGGAATCTGTATATAAATATACATATAGGCTCTGATATGGTTTGGCTGTGTCCCCACCCGAATCTCATCTTGGGAAGCCCCTCGCATTTGGTTCTCATTCTGTCTTGCCTGCTGCCATGTAAGACATACCTTTCACCTTCCACCATGATTGGGAGGCCTTCCCAGCGACGTGGAACTGTGACTCCATTAAACCTCATTTTCTTTATAAATTACCCAGTCTCGGGTATGTCTTTATCAGTAGTGTGAAAATGGGCTAAACAGGCTCCGAATCTAATACATGTATATTTTTCCTTTTGGACACATATCTAATTACAGAAAGAAAAGATTTTTAAAGTTTAGCCATTTCATTATAGGATCTGTCAAATAGAAAACAACAATTGTCTGTAGATGTTCAATTTAACACACTTAATTTTGTAGAATGATTGGTTTTCATTGTGTATCCATCGCTATAGTATTTATTGGTGGAAAACGGGCGATTATAATCCCAAGTCTTCAAAAATGCGCAAAGCAAACAAACAAGCAAATGAACATTAATGCATGGTGTTAAGTGAAAATTTTCAGAACAAAAGCTTTCTTTGTCATAAGAAGCTGACATTATCTTTTGGGACACATATTGCTTCTACATAAGGTTGTTCTCAATTGTGTACAGACCTCCATAGTAAACTCTGGGTACCTGGTCATCATATAGTTGAATCACCATGGGGAAGAAAATACCATCTGGCAAGCGGGGGAGTTCAAAGAAATAACTTGCAGAATATTGTAACTCTCGATGCTCTTTAAGATGGACTATCCTACTCAGTGCAGTGGGAGGGCAGTGGCATAAAGGGCCAGTCTGAGTTTCCTTGTCTCCGGAAGCTTGTCCTATTTTGACATCTATTCCTGGAAACTTCAGGCATATTCAAGTCTCTAGAGTTGGGTTTCTCCAAATGACTTTCCACCTGGGTATTTATAAGCCAGGAGCCAGTTGTCCTTCACCTGATGGAATATGTCTGCCACAGTTTCATTTCCATCTCAGAACTGTTTTCCTCTAAGGGAAAAATTCTGAGGTAATGTTATCTATAATTCAAACTTCATAGAAACTTTTGAATCCAGGTTGTCATCATATTACTAATTTAATCTGTTTATATTTTAAACCCCTACCCACTTCCAAAAATGATCTGAGACTTCTAATGCCTACAAAAATCTTATTTTACACAGGAAAAAAGTGTAAAAATTCTGCAACCTAAAATATCTTCAATTCAGTTTTTATTGCATCTTACTCCAGAAGCAGAGCTGTAAAATATCTAAATTTAAATCCTTTTTAGAAAACGTGAGGATTTTCCAGTGTGGGTGGCAGCTTCGTTCACTATGATGTCCAGCCATCAGAAAGCCCAAAGAATTCAAACTGGTTCAAATGAAGTTCAAACTTTAAAAATATATAAATAATTAAAGACCAACCCAACATCTGCTTTTTTCCATTCTTACTTCCCCCAACTCTTTCTTCTCCTGTTTCATTGCCTTTCACAGCCAAATCATGGTTTGAGAAAATAAATACTTGCAGACTCGATCTTATCTCCTGAAGTAATAATAGCTGATTTTGAAGTCATAGAGAATTCCTGGAGTCTATCTCATGGTCTGTTGAGGAGAACTCTTGGCTTCTGAAAAGAGCTAAGAGTAGGTATAGTTTGACCCACTGGGAATACTGGAACCTTAAAATAAAAATATTGAATGTATATACAAAATAATAGGCAAATTCATTCTCTCCACATTGGCCCAGGAGCAACTACATTCCTATTGCTGCCTCATCTTGAACTAGGCCCATGTGGCTGTAATAGACCGGTGCATCTGTTTAACATCAACAGAAAGCAAACAGAAGGGCTGTCATCTCTTCCAGTTTGAAACAGATAAAAACAGTGAATCTACAAATGGCAAGCTCATAAGTGCTTTCCTGTGGGGAGAAATCCTGAAGGGGTCTCTTGCTCCAGGAGCAGCGTGGAGGAGACTTTGAAGCAGGAATACCACCCCACCCTCACCCACTCACCCATGTCCGTTTATTTTGGACATGCTACAGTAAATCCTCCCCAAGACATGCGCTGCTCGTGTTTCATGGTGAGCAAACACAGCTTCCTTTTGTTTGGTGATATTCTCCTGCTCGCTGACCCTTGGATTTGTACTACCCTTCAAAGAAAGGGGCCATGTGGGGGGCTTTGTTTGTGTTTACCAGCTTGTGATGATGCTCATTTCTGACTAGAAACCCACTCTGTTTGGATAGTGGGGCTTCTACTGAGTAAACCTGGCTGCAGGCAGTGGAGTGTACAGATACAGCTCTCCAAAGTCTGCGAAGGGCCAACTGTGGAGGCCTCTCTGGGACAGTTCTGGGATACTGCAGTTGCTTACACAGCTTCCCCAGCTTATTGCAGGAACTCCTGGAGTGTCAGGAAGAATACCTCCATCTGTAATATGCTGAGTTATAAAGTAAGTGGTTAGGGTGGCTAAGTCTGTTGTTATCTCCCAATCTCCACTTCTGGGCAATTGTGAAGCCATCGGAGTGTGTTGGGTTAACTTGTCAGTCCTCCAGGCTGCCACAGTGAACCCGGTGGTCATAATCCCCTGGATGGTTCAGGTGAGTTCCCGGTCTTCCAGGATAAGCCTGCCTCCCTGCCTGTAAGGAAATCTCATCCACCGTGCTATGTGGAGATGTCTGCAGCTCCTGCTTAAGCCTCCCTTTGTGCCCTGATCACCTTAAATTCAAGCCTGACTAAAGAATAAGAAACCAAGGGAAATAACATTTATAATGATAATAATTAATTGTTAATAGATGGATGGGCTGTCTTATACCTATGGCTTGCAGTATGGAGAGGAAGTGAAATAATAACACTAAACAAAACAGCAGGATAGAAGGAAAACCTGAAGAAGCGATTGTTTTGAAATGAATTCCAGGAGGAGAAAATGACTAATGTAAATACTGAATAGAATCTAATTCTATTCTCTAGGCTGGTATGCAAAAGTCCAAGGTCTGAAAAGCACACGGGGGATCTACCTTTAAGGTTCTTATTCTGTCCAGGCAAGCCCTCATTATGTGGATGATATGTTAATACCATACCCACATGTCAGGTATAGAAAGCTGGGATGGAGAAGGAAAATAAGCCTGAATTAAACCACCTCAGGATGATAGTATGTTAATACTGTACCCTCAAATCAGGTATAGCAAGCTAACAGTGAGAGGAAAATAGCCTGAATTAAGCCACATCAGCATGGAGACCTTTTTCATTGCTATCTCTGTATTTATGTGTTGCATGTCTAAAAACACAATGGGAAGTACCATACATTTTTCATGGTGCTTCAGAGATTGCTATAGCCAAGGCTCTACCGAAGCTAAATAAGAAAATATTCTAATTTCCTATTTTTTCAGCCAAATACAGTAGTTATTTCAGAGGTCATTGAGAAGGAGGGCAGGTATATTTGCATTATGCCTGTGGATCTGTTGCCAAGCACATCATCTTTCTGTTGACATAAGAGCCAGCTTTGTCTGACAGCACAGACATCAAAGCCCCCACATGGAAAAACAGCCCCAAATTTGGAAGAGGCTTTTTCATAATTTCTAACCATTTCATTATGGTATTAAGGTGCATTAATTGCTTCACAGTCATGTGGATATAGGGTTGTATTCATTGACTTAAGTTGACAACTTCCTTTTTGCTAAAGCTAGTTAGGAAAAAGCACTTCAAATGGGTTTCTAATGATCTCATAAACACTGTGTTTCTTCTGATTGCTAAGTAGCTTCCTTTCCTTTCTTCTCTTTTTAATTCTCAGCTTCCAGTTCCTCTTCATTATGGTTATGAACAGCTGAACTTAGGCTCTGAATTGTTATTTTCCTAGTCTTCTCAGAAACATGACGACTTTATCAGTGATTATGGACAGAAGGATGAATTGTCACTGAGCTAGAGGGAGCCAGTTACAACTTAGATTCCAACTATAATTGAAGAACTTGTTTTTGGACCAATGGCAATAAACTTTCTTAATAAACATGTGGATGGTGCCATGTTCCAAAAGAAATGGCAAAAACAAAATTACTTAAAAACTTCAAGTTTTATATTTAATGAGTAGCTATTGTACACCAGAAGGAAACTGAAAAGCTACATCTGCCTGAAAAAAGGAACATATTTGAAAGCCAGTAAATCTGGTATTTTAAATTCCTGAATGCCAAATTGAATTGACTACATCCACGATCTGCTCAGGTGGGAAGTAAACTCCTGTTAAAGATCTTTTGGTGACCTGGGGTGGGTATGGTATTTAAAGAAAGAGCAGATGAGTTTGTAACCATGTAATACACAGCCCCCACAAGCTGCTATATCTAAACTACCACCAAATACTAAGAGAAATTAATGCCACGGGCAACCAAGTACTGCAGATGCTCTTGCAGCCCTCTGTTCTGCACCAATTTAGGCAGAGAAGAAGCCCTCAATTAGAGGTCTGCTCGTGGAATTAAATTAGCAGGACTAGCAGGACAATCAGAGTTGAAACACATGGCCAGCCACTTTAAGACCTTTATTTTTCATTCTTCTTTGTAGATACAACTAAAAATAAAATTAGTGAAAAGAGCATGGCATCTGTTTTATTAAAGGAGTTTCCCATGTATCTTTGTAAGAGATTGTTTTTCTAACAATACACACTTTCTTCCAAGTTTCTATGATATTTACACAGAATCTACTGAGGATTAAATGTTTTCTAAGAACTTAGCATTTCCTGTCAGAGTTTTAGACAATTCCTTGGAACAGCTGTGGACAGAAACCTAGCTACTCCTGTCGCGAATGACCTCCAGTGTTTGGAACATAAAGAGCAAACAAACACTTACTCCAAGAATCGCAGTCCTGGACAGAATATGAACTTTGCTGTGTTTTACCTTCTCACAGCAATGTACTGGAAATTAATTTGGTAGTTACCTGACCACTAGCTGTTCTAGAAAATGTAAGCAGATGTGCAATCCAATCAGCAATTCCCAGGACTTACACACACACACACACACACACACACACACAGACACACACACATGCACACAGAGGGATAAAATACTAATGGATGCTAGTAAAAGAGTAGGGAGATCAGTTTAAATTTAAAACTATGTGCTTCATTTTTTCCCCCCATGAATGTTTATTTTACCTTTTAGGTCACTGGTTTCCATAAATTCCCTGTGTCTTAGCAGCATAGAGGATATTTTTAAACATAGCTCTTATGCTGGAGTGTACATTAAATATTTGTTCAGCTGATTAAAACAGTTCTACATTTATTTAATGTTTGAACAGTAAACAGTTTATTGAAAACTGAAATGTCTTTTTATACATACACGTATGCTCACACAGACACACCTCTCAATAAGCGGGGCTTCTCCTATGAGGTCTCTCCACTTAGATACTACTGAGTATAAACAGCCCTCATATCAAAACCCTTTTCGGACACAAGTTATCTTCCAGGGAGGGCTGGATTTCTGGCAGGGCTGGTCCAGGTTTCGGGTGAGCAGCCAGAGTGAGTGGGCAGGAGTGACGGTAACCGGGGACGGTGAATGGCTTAAAACCAGAATAAGAGTTTTATGCTGACAGAGACACTTATCTTAAGGAAAAAATATATATGGTCTCAGATATTAAAGACAGCTCAGAGGCAGCCTCGGTGGTAACATTCTCTGCCCTTTACCCTGGTTCATTAAAACAAAGGTATTTTGACCTCAGATAAACTGAGAAAGGTTGAGATTACTTTGAAGAAGACAAACAAACAGAAGATAAACTTTGCTGTAGCGATTTTGCTTTATCATCTGTGGAGCCTGGGTGAACCAGAGAGGAAATAGTCACACTGTTTATGCTAGCGTCTGCAATCTCCCATCCCAAGGAGATTGTACGTATTACCCTATTCATTCTCATCATATGTCTGCTTAACAAGGCACGTGTGTTCTATCAGTATGCTGTGTTATCAAGCATGGTGCTGTGGGGTGTAGTGGTTAAATAAGACTATTGGCTTTTCTCATATATGGACTGCCAACTTTGAGGGTTAAATTGCGGCATTTTAAAATTCTGTAATATTATCAGCTATATGGAGTATAATTTAATCTCTTATTACTTGCCAAGTTTTTAATATTATGTAATACTCCAGATTCTGCATTCTGAAGAAATATCATTCATTGTAGCATTAGTTTGTAAATTCACAGTTAAATGAGCTCTCATTTTAGAAGTAGGCAAATATGTGTGACAGAATAGTCATTGATTTATTGTGTGACAACACATTAAAAACATGACCTTGAGCTAGAAGTCCATAAATGGAGAAATGGTTAAAGCATGAGGCAAAAATAAAGTGGAATATTATGTAGTGCTTAAAAGGAATGAGGTGAATTAATGTGTGCTGACATAAGGGCATGCCTAAGATACAGTTTTAATGAAAAAAAAAGCAAGTTGTTGAACACTGTGTCTGGTAAATGCCATTTTTTGCTATAAAGAAGACAAATACATTCATACATCTACATGCTTTAGAGACATGGAACATTTCTGGAAAAATAAAAAAGAGACTGATAATAAATGGTCACAGGTGGAAAGTGAACATGTGGCAGGATGAGGCTTTAACTTTTTACATTATGCTATCTGACCTATTTGACTTTTAATATACAACTTATAAAATCTATGCAATATAGCTTATAAAATTACTAAAATTATGTAAGTCAATTTATATGTTTATAATTTAAAAATCTAGTTCAAAATTAATGTTAACCAGTAAGAACTTACTTCATATACTGAAATAAGCACCTCTCTTTACCAACAAGTTTCAAAAAGGCCATTTGTTCATGAGTCCAAAGTGACATTATACAGGTGACCAATCGTAGGTTGGTCAAGGCAGATGGGCTGTAGAAATTCTAATTACAGATTTTTGTTGCTTTGGGGTTCTCTTAAAATTCTTATACAACAATGTTTACAGTTTGGCTTCCTTTTTTCATTATAACTTAATATAATTAACTTTTTATTGGGCATCCTCAACTCATTAGGGATAAGAACGTGAAACAATTTCATTTTTCCAAGCACTACTTAACCATATTCTGCCCAAATGACAATGAAGATCCCTTAATGACATTTTAGAAAGCTTGGTGGTTTTCCAGGCCCTTTAATCAAAGTCTGGCTTATAACTGGTTGGTGTTTGGAAAGGCTACTAAGAAAGAGATTAGAGAATTCTCTTCTCAGATTTTATCTTAGTTCCTCCCTTAAGTTTAGTGCTACCTCTAACATTAGACATACCCTGAGTTGAATTTGTACCAGCCCTTCCCTTTCAAGGACCTGATTCCTACAATGCTAAAGTATAGGAAAGACACTGGGGGAAAAGGGCACCCATCTCTTGATGTTTATCCATGGCCGATCTTTTTCTGTGGGTTGTTGTTGCTTCTCTGGCCAACGCTGGTTGGCCTCAGCACCCAGTCATCCACATACCTAGGGTGCACGTGTAAGTTTTTGCAGGGCCCTTTGGGGCTCCACACATCTCCTTGTCTTCTTCCACCCTCCACCCATCAACGAGCTGCTGTTGTTGTCAGTACACACCACAGCTGCTAGCTTCTGGCATTCTGTTTGCCTGTCAGACAGACTTCTCACCCTGCAAGTTGACCCTGGTCCAGATATCTTCTTCAGTGTTCACCAAACTCAGAGGAAACATCAGCCTCTTTGCCAAGCCCAATAATAGGAAGGCTGGCTGCTCCACTACCTCCCCTTCTCTTCAACCTCTCATCTCTCAATTCATGTTTCCCTAGTTCAGCAAAATAAAGGGCAGAGCAGCAAGTCCACTACCTAGGCCATGTCTATAAGGAGAATGATGTGCAGGGTCTTGTCTTTGCAGGCATCCCCATTCATTTTAAGTGACTCTCTTTGAGGACTCTTCACTTGGCTTTAAGACAGCAGAAAAATAAAAAAAAAAACTTCTTAACACGAAAACATAATATTCGCAAAGCTGCTGCCACCACTGATTCTCATAACTTTCTCTCTCTTCCCCTTCCCCCAGCCTTTTCCTTAAATTTGCAGTTAGGAGAATGGGAGCTGGGGTG
Organism: Homo sapiens; assembly: GCF_000001405.40. NCBI lineage: Eukaryota > Metazoa > Chordata > Mammalia > Primates > Hominidae > Homo > Homo sapiens. The sequence continues at coordinate 82,595,202 of NC_000009.12, read as the reverse complement.
AAGGATGGGGTTGTAGCACCTCGTATTTTTAGGTGACTCTTAGAAAGGTCGGGTAGCTGGTTGGTTCCACTTGTTGATGGTTCTTTAAAAGGTAGAGTTGTTAGCTTTTCTTTGGCTTCAGCTTTGAACTCCAGCTGATTGAAAATTGCCATTCAACATGCATTTACATTCATCTGTTAAAAGACACTCCTTCAGGATCAAGACAGTAGCCAAGACTTAATAGTCCAAACGCAATTGGCATTGCTATCTAATGGTGATAAGAAGAGTCGTGCCTTTGGTACATAGCATTGCTCACATCCATGAAAATTTGTAAATTGAAACCTTTGTAATTTGAAAGAGAGTAACTTCTATACTTATTTATTCAATGGACTATTATGCCAGCCCCTGCCCATGTTACAGGAGTTAGAGATGAATGGGAGGGATAAAGTCAAGCCATTTTGTCCTTAAGAAGCATAATATCAAGTCACCTGTTGTGTACTGTTTTACAAAACAAAGCAGTAAATGCCGAGGGGAAGCAGAATAAAGGGGCAATCTGAATCCATGGAAGTAGATACGTAGGACTTTAATAGAGCAAATGAGTTTGGTTGGTGTTTGGAGAGGCTACTAAGAAAGAGATTAGACCCTTGGTTTTTAAATGTGTTTGGTAGCACCTACACCTACACAGGAGAACTCAGGTAATTACTGTAAAATGGCAAGGAGAGCAATGGGGGCCTCAAGAGACAGAGATGAAAGCCCCCCATTCCTGTTTAAACAGAATAGTTCTGCTTTTACCCATTTGATGAAATCAATTTCTATCTACAATTCCATTTTCTGAAAGGATTTGCAGGTTTAAAAATGTGGAAACTACTGAGTTATGGGATAGTAAGGCACTAGATGCATAGCAAAGGGTGTAGGTGCAGATAGATTAGTCGAGTCCTGAGCATCACGTTCAGGAATAATGAAATGAGGGGAAGAGCAGCAGGGTGTTGACGGGGGAGGTAAATTGACAAAAAACTTGAAAGACTGACTTGAAGGGTTTCGATTTGAAAACTTACACTGCAGGAGGATTTTGTATAAAGAATTAGAAAAGTAATATTTAAGGAAGATTATTCTAGCTGTACATGACATGTCTGTTTGAATGTATGTGTCTGTGTGTGCCAACATGGGTCCCAGTGGGGACTCAGTCTATAATCTTCCCACTGCAGCAGATGTTGATGGTAAAAATCAGGAAATCAAACCAGTAGCTCTAACTTCTACTCTGTTCTGTCTCTTGAGTCTAGTTTCTAACCAAGGTGAATCCCTAAAGCTGCTTTGCCTTGAGTCATGTATTTTAGAACAGGATGTCTCACTTTCCAGAACTCCTCAATTGAGTCTAAGACAAGGTCTCCTTCCCTCCTCTGCGATGGCCAACTGCCCCACCTCCTTCTCACCCCCCACCCTCTTAGAAAGGGGGCTACGTCATAAAAACAGGAAATCTTTTCAGGCTATAACCAAAATGAGCCGCTTAAAGTAATCTCATTGCTGCCAAATGTTCAGCAAAGCCTCAGCAGTGTTTAGGAGGAACCTTGCCGAATCCCTCAAGTAATGATGTTGAAAGCCACAGGATGCTGTGAGCTTCGCCACAGGGAGCCTTCTGACACATTTTGGCAGATGGCAGTGTACATGCCTCTTTTATGCACAATGCTTCTCTAAATTAAAGATGATTTTTCAAAAACAATTCTCTTAAAGAAGGATAGAGTGAAGAAAACCTCACATGTACCCAGCTGTAGACGGCCTCATATTTACATAAGTCATGAGGAAATTAAAAGTCGCGGTGCCATGGTATGTTTTTTAATAAGTCTTAAGAATGTTAAATACTGAGAAAAATTAAGTTTTCACCTTCTACCGAGGTGAGAATTCTCTGAGGCCTGGGGAACTAGCAACCTAGAATTTTAACACCATCTTACATCATTAGAATGATAAAATGACCATCCCCCAATTTGATCTGTGAATAAAATAGTTTAAGTATACACTTATTATTTTTTGTTAATTACACCTACTTTTTGTTCATGCTCAGAATTTAAAATAATGAGAAATCTTTGCCTATGAATTCAGCTTTGGCAATTAATCCAAAGGCTCAAAATAGAGCTTAGTGCCTGGGTATCCAAGAGCTGACTGACAACTAGTTCTTATAATGGCTAATTCTGTCAACAACCAGATGTTTCATACAAAATGTTGACATTTCAAAAACTGTTGTTCCACCGAGTCAACCAGATTGACTGGCAGTTTGGTTGTCACAGACCCAGTACATACTTTTTTATTGAGCGTCTGTATTGTTTTTATTTATTTATTTTTTGAGAGCTTATAGATGAACTAGGACACACATGTCGTCATCTGAAATGCCCTCAGTCCCAACACTTATCCACTGTGTTTCTTGTGTCTCCTCATTTGCATTCTGAAATGTGATACCTATTTCCAATTGACCTCACCAAGGTAATCTGAAAAGATGATGCATTTCAAGAGCCAAACACAAGTGGATAGCTCAAAATCTCCACCATTCCTCTATTTAACAAATGTATTCAGTGCAAGGCACTGTCCTAGGACCTCTGGGAAAGGCACAGGTGTAGAAAACCTGATTCAGTTTAGTTGAACTTAGAATTTGGTGGGGGGATGTGGGAGGGTGGTGGATACAGAGCTATGCATAGAATTTAGGAATAAAGTGGAAAGTGCTCTGATGTAATATCAACAGTCAACATTTATTGCATATTCTCTATAGAACAGACATTTGGCTAAATGCTTTACATCCATTATCTCACTTGATCATATCAACAACACCACAAGATCGATTTTATTTTACTCATTTTATAGAAGTGGAAACCAAGACTTAGAAAGTTTAAAACGTGCTAGGTGTCACACAGCTATAACAGTCAGAGGCTGAACTAGTACTTAAGTCCAGATCTTTACATTTTAAAGGCCTTTGCTCATAATGAACACACTTTACTCTTTCCAGTGTGTCCTTATAGGTATGTTTGCTATGGTGTTCAGTGGAGGCAGTAAATACTTCAGAACTGGGAGAAGATAAAAGTTTAAGAAGTGGTATTTGGCCTAGGTTCTGAAGGATTAGTACAAAGGAAGGAGAGAAGAGAAATTTAAAAAGAAGGAACAGTGGGAGCAACAATATGGAGCCAGGAAATGTAGGGTCTTGCATAGGATAGCTGGAGATGGGTATCCCTGAAAGAATGTCTCTCAGATCTTCTAATATATCTGACTGTAGCATCTTAAACTGTTAGCCAGTCATGCGAAATCTTTCAGTTGCTCAGTCATACTGGCAACTATTTATGTGTGTGTGTGTGTGTGTGTGTGTGTGTGTGTGTGTGTGTGTGTGTATTCCTTCTTGGACAATTAACAAATTTGACTGGAGAACAACTGCAGAAGGATGGGTTGGCTTTTGCTGACATATGGTCCAGAATGTGCCACCATCAATGCATATGCAACATGGCCATAATTTCTTAGAAAATGAATTTAGGCCCACTAAAAAAGAAATGAAATGGAAAACCGAACAACAAAGTTTGAACATTAGCCTCCCTTTGCAATCACTTGCACGTTACGTGTATGTTTTACTTTTTGCTGCTATGGCTAATGTCTTTCACTTTGGCATGGTGCAGTACCTTGTTTTCCTTAGCATCACTTGCTATTAGAATTAGGGCATGCTGTTTTCTACCTGAATGTAAATGTAAAAAATACTATTTTCATATGTATAAATGTCTAAGAGGATGGATGATTGGTGGCCTTTCCATCCAATATATCTTCAAAATGCAAAGTAAACTTGCCTTGGCAAAAACAAAAATTCCCTAGACTTTAAAGCAGAACTCACTGATTACAACTTATCACCTCTGATCCTTTGGCTTTTCCTTGTTTCATATATCTTTGGAACTTTCTCCAATTGCCACACAGATCTTAATCAGAGATGGCATTATTCTGTTCCCCGAAAAGGTAAGGAGTCAAATGATGAGGATGACATAGGCCGAAAGAACAGGGTCTTCCCTGTAAGGAAATCTTAACAAAAAATTACAATTTTAAAATGCACTAAGAATTTTTAAAAGTAATCAGGGCTTCTTTAGCGTTGTCTCACTCTGAATAGCTCTACTCAGCCAGCACCTATGAGAAATCATGAAGCTGTGAGATTTCTCCCCATGACGGAAGAGTCCACAAACATGGTTGTTCTCTGCTTTCATTCTTGGCACATGCAAATGAGAAATCATTTTGAACCTGAGAGTGGCACACAATGCCACCTGTTCAGTTTAACCTAATAGGTGGAAAAGTTATTTTCCTTCATATATAAAAAGAAGGCATAGCAAAGATCTGAATGCAAAGCAGAATGCATGGATAGGACATTCCATTGTCCTCATATGCAATGTGAGACTGCTATGAATGTCTGGGAAGGTCTGTTCCCTAAAGTTGAAACTGAAGCAGAACCTGATTCTGAACATTCAAAAGTTGCAACAAATTCTGTGCTGGGCCTGTGGGGTACTCTGGGGTAATTGGAATTGGGAGGTTATTCAGAAAGTCAAGGTTATCAAAAAGAAAATGAATTGTTGGATAAATTCATAAGTGTCTTCTTGCTAGTAGTCTTGGAGTATGTTCAGAAAGATATCAGTAGAAGCTAAGAGTATCACATGAAACTACAGAATGGTCCAGATGACATGGAGAAGACCTTGCTTCCCCACTCAGTATAACTTGACCCATGGCATTACATGAGAGAGCCTCTCTATGGCATAGGATAATTGGTTTTCTCATTCCTCCTTAACAATTTTTAACACAGAGGATGAATTACAAGAAAAGAAGATGGCTAATATCTGAGATTTTTGTGAAGAGATGAATGGGCAGATCATTGAATCAGGGAGCAATTGATAGAGGGAGATGAGTCTAGAAGTCTCCTGTGGAATGCAGTTGAAAGTTCAAGAGTGTGTGTAACTAAAAAGGGTGGAGAAATACTGTCAAATTATTCCTGCTAAAATATAAGTTCTACCAGAGTTGAGTCATGGGATGAGAAGTTGAGCCCAAGCGTCAGTTTCCCAGTGAAAGGAATTTGTGATGATGCAGCCTCCACCTCTAAGTCTTTGGCTTGGGGGAAATTGTTCTGTGGGAGGTGAAGACTTGGGTTTTAGGCCATTTTGGGAAGATCTCTGGCTGAACTCTATTTGCAAAGAAAGGGAAGAAGAAGAGTGACCTCTTAGGTCTAAAGAAAAGACAGAATTTGGGGATGAGACCCTCTAGCAGCACTGAGGCCTCTCCAAGACCTACTATAGCATGGAAGGTGATACTAGAATAGAGATTCAGAGTCTTGCAGATTCTAGAAGTCTGAGCAAAGGCGAAGGGGTTTTTTGTTTGGGTTTTCTTTGGTTTTTGTTTTCTGGTTGTCCCTCCCTCCCAAACTTAATTCTGAAGTCCAAGATTTTTAATCTTTTCACTCTGCATGTTATATAACTTAAGGGATTGAGGTTGATTATTTTACTTTCTCATTTTTATTTCACAGATGAAAACTTTTAAAAAGTCCTCTACCTTTTTTTTTAGTCTTGTTCCTTGATTGGTTGTTAGAGAATATACTCTTCACAATCAAGTATGAAGTACAAGAAGCTTCACTGAAATACGAAAGAGCAATGAGCATGGGAAAGAAAACAGGAAGAAGCTAAAATAAACATCAACAAAGTTTTCATCTAAAATTAAAGCTAGCACACAAGAGAAAGTGGACACAAACTAGAGAGTTTTGGAAAATACCTGACTTCTTCTTCTGAAAGGCCTGATTTTTAATGTGCACAAAAGGAAAGGTCTAAGACTGGACTAATTCTAGCAAAGTTTGAGAGCCCTGTGAGATTTCCATAGTTCCCCACTTAGTTTGAATCTCAGAAAATAGGCACTTATAATGAAAACATGCACAGACTCTTAACTATAACACTGCTAGCAGGCATTGCTATAATAGCAAGACAATTTAGTGATAATGGATGAGTAGGAAGAAAATTAAGTAGTTTGCTGAGATACAAAAAAGAAAAAAATCCTAAGCCAGAACATATTTGGCTTCATGTTCAACTTTAAATGCAAAGTCAGTTCATTAGTGTAATTTAACCTTTTCATAAGCTTCTCAATGATAAATTCCATTAATGCATTGGAAATGCCAGCTGTTAAGAATAGCCGGTGACTATGAGAGGCACTGAAAAGGGTGGGTTGGACTATGATCCCTTCCTACCTCCTCCAGCTCAGCACAAATGAGTGGATGGCAGGTTTTTTACCTTTCTTGTCCACGGTAAACGTCCTCATTCCACTCCATTCAGCCTGAGCCTTAGGGCAAGACAGGGTTTGCAGCCATTTACTACAATAATAGCAAGACAATTTAGCAGTAATGGATAAGTAGGGAGCAAATTAAGCCATTTGCTGAGATACAGAAATGAAGCCAGAAAATATTTGGCCTCGTGTTAGACTTCAAATTTATAGCCAATTCATTAGTATAATTTAGTCCTTGCATAAGCCTTTGAGTGATAAATTCTACTAATACATTTGAAATACCAGCTGTAAGAATAACTCATTGAGTGTTGAGTAAAATTAAAAGATGGGCAAGAATAAATCCTTCATTTTCATCTCATATGGGAAGATTTATGAAGGCCTTTGAGAAGAAGCATCTGTCTGCTAGTTGTAAATTGAGAGTATTAAGGGAAAACACTGGAATATTTTAGTTACATTAGTGAGAGGCATGTATTAACTCAAATGCTTTCGAGATCTTTCCCTTTGGGTTTGAAGATTACTCTTGATGAAGAACATGTGAACTTTTAGAATACATGTCTTGCTTGGGAACAAAGGCCACAGCACAAACAATATTAAGTGGTTGGTGTTTCGGGGAGTGGTTTCTAAGAAATTAGTCATGTGGGATGTTGGTGACTTTTTTCCCATATGGATATAGTTTTTTCTATGCTTGTGAGTGTTCTTTTTTAAGCCTGCAGAGGCTGCAAAGACTTAGAGCAGGGATAGGAAATATAAACAATCCATATTTCACTTCCTTAGCAAAAAAAAAAATTAATTCGTTTCATCAATTTCATTAGTTAGTTTCTCTCACAGGTGTCTTCAAATTGTATACCTTCATAACAAAATAAAATGTTCATTTAAAATGGAGGAAAAGAAGTAAATTTTCTTAAGCAACTATTACATGCTAGAAGATTTGTACAAAGTAGCTCAGGTTTTCTCCAAAAATTTTCTGAAACATGTTGTATTCCCAATTTATAGAAGAGGAAACTGGAAAATAATCTTCCTAGGACAACAACTTATCAGTAGTAAAACTGAGATGTAAACCTAAGTATGCCTGAGTCCAAGGAGGGAGACTCCAACAGAGGTTTGCTGACAGGGGTGAGTTTGGGATATCTAAAACTGACTCATGGAGACAGGCTTCTGGCCGCATGCTGTGTCTGGAGTGACCAGCTCTACTCTGGTCCTGTGGCCCTTCACTCGTTGTCAATGTGCTAGTTTTGGCCACAGCTGTGTTGTTAAACTTTTCCTGCTATGAATTGCCATCCCTGGCTAGAGACCCTGGGACTGACTTTTTCTGTCCTCAACTCTGCTTTAGGTTTGCAGGAAATATATATTAATAGATATGCTGCCCAGTTCCACCCTTGGTCCCAGACGATTTCACTACTCAGAGGATCATGCTGTAGAAGGCACAGTTTCTGGCCTACCTCTATCCTTGACCCTGCCCATTGGGATTGCCAGGCTTAGTGAATAAAGATATAGACATCTAGTTAAGTTCCAATTTCAAACAAGTTTTTAAAAGTATAAGTATGTCCCATGCAGTATTTGGGACATACTTATACTAAAATAGCATTTATTATTTACCTAAATTTCAAATGTAGTGGGGCACCCTGTATCTTTTCTGGTTAGTCTGAGCACCTCCATAAGTCAGAAATGTGAAGCTATGTAATAAACAATTAACCTTACTCAAAGAAAGTTTTGCCCTTTGGCCTGGTCTCTGGGGAAGTTATTTCAAGGAAGAGTGTCATTTTTTACCTGGCGACCTTCAGACTCAATGGACAATCTAACAGTGTGTTTTATGAAAAGGGCTTTGTGTCGCATGTTATCTGCTCTATCTCCAGAGGAGATGGAAATTAAAACTATCATCTGGGCCTCTAGAGGGGCTCAAGACTAAAGTTCAATTATGTGAGAAGCCAGGTATGTCACTGAACTCCCAGAAAAAGTCTGAGTACCAAGACTTGGGGAAATTCCTCAGTTGGCAGTACTCTGCATATTGTCACACATTATTACTGAGAGGAGTTAGCGCTGTTTATGATTCCATGGGGAGAGGACAACTGGAAGTTCTACATTTGGAAGCATCCTGAAACCTACCTGATGAATCTCTTCCTTTGGCTACTTTTAGTCAATCTTCTTCCTTGTAATAAACCATAACCTTGAGTATAACAGCTTTCAGTGAGTTCTGTGAGCCCTTTTAGTATAATCAAAACTGAGGGTGGTCTTCAGAATCCCTGAAATTATAGTTGGTGTCAGGAGTAAGAGCAATGTTCTGAACTGTGCTTTGTCTAACTTCTCAGAGTTAGATGGCTGCCTTTCTTGAGCTTACCATCTAGACCATACTACAAGTACTGAGATTCTGGAATTCCCTACCCAAAGGGCCGTAAGCATGCTTCCTGAGCTTGTGTGAGCTTCTTTCCCAGAACTATTCAAGGGTGAACAATGCCACTGATGTGCCACACCTAGCCTGGAGGGTAGCTAGTGGCTGCTGGGGTCAGTAGATGTGGTCAGTATGCATAGGCCTGTGTGCCCACATGCATGTATGTGAAGACCCTTCTCTTGTAGAACTGATCTGGGGTGAGAAGATAAAGTGGGAGGGCCGCAGGGGCCTTTCATTGTACTTTTCGCCCTAGTCCTAGTAAAAGTTAAAGAGCGAGGTGGGCCTCATCTTGCCCTCCCTTGCCCTAATGCAATTTAGAGCTTGTCCTCACTTTCTGTTTTTCTTCTCCAGCTTGGCACAGCAGTAGCTAGAGACTTTCCTCCATGACATGGCTCAGGTGGGGCCATATATCTCAGAATATACTCTTATTGAACAAGACACAACTTCAGTCTCATCTCCCACAACTTCAGTCTCATCTCCAGCTCCTCACTTGAGGGTGTCAAACTAACTTATATGGAATGGTCTGGATCCTAAGATGCCATCTATCATAAAATCTACCTCTGCGTTAGCAGCACCTTTTGGTGGTAGGGGAAAAAATTCTTACTAAAGTCAGTGCATCTATTAATTGGAAGATGGATTTTGTCTTCAGAAACTTCAAAATATAAAACAATGTTAACATTGAGGAGCTTTGCTATATATAGAATTATCATACTTCTATGTCGCTGGAGAGTTTAAAAATCTTTGCCATTCTTTATCTCGTTTAATCCTCATACCGACTCTTGTGGGGTCAGCTGGAGCACCACAGCACATCCATTGTCTTTTTCCCCACTGGCACCAGGGATCTCCCTCTATTTTCTCTTTTCCCTGCATCTTGATATCTCGATTACTGAGACCTGTCTGTGACCTGAGAATAGGCATAGGATAACTGGTTTTCTCATCCTCCTTAACAATTTTTAACACAGAGGATGAATTACAAGAAAAGAAGATGGCTAGTATCTGAGGTTTTTGTGAAGAGATGAATGGGCAGATCATTGAATCAGGGAGCAATTGGTAGAGGAAGATGAGTCTAGAAGTGTCCTGTGGCATGGAGTTAAAAGTTCAAAGGTGTATATAATTGAAAAGGGTGGGGAAATACTGTCAACTCATCTCCCCTAAAATCCAAGTTCTACCAGAGTTGAAGTGTGGGGTGAGAAGTTGGATCCAAGCGTCAGTCTCCCAATGAAAGGAATTTGTGATGATGCAGCCTCCACCTCTAAGCCTTTTTCTTGGGGGAAATTGTTCTGTGGGAGCTGAAGAAGACTTGGGTTTTAGGCCATGATGGGAAGATCTCTGGACCACCACCAACACAGCCTGGACTTGTACTTCCTTTGGTCTTGGCACCTATGACTGGCAGAAAAAGGAGCCACTGGCAGAGGGTACCATATGACTGGGATGGGTCTGGGCTTGGGGTAGGGGGAAAAGAAGGAAAAATTGGGTGTTACATAGGGAAGAGCTGTGATGCCTTGCTTGAAAGGGAAAGACAAGGGCCTCCACCAAGTCTGCAGGTGAGAGGAGAGGTTTGGATGCAGAGAGAATGGGAACCATGGGACTTTGGACAAGCCACTTTACTCTCTAAACCTTGGCCACCTCCTCTACAGAGTGGCACTAATGATTCCTACATTGTGGGGTTGCTGCACTATCAAAAGAGACAATATGTATAAAAGTCTCACCCATAATATGGCACATGAGCTCATTAATTTTACCTGTTATATTAAGTTTGAGCTTAGTGGAGTTCCTAACACAGTAGACACTCAATCAGTCTATGGCAGCTCTAATTATAATTATTGCCAACTCTTCCTCGGAAGTAGCTCTGAGGCAGAGTCCTTCTCACTGTCACTTAGAGGACAGAGAAAATGCAAGGAGGAATGAGTCAGAGGCGATGCTGATACAGAGCATTTTTGCATAAACGGAGCCCAGAGTTCTTTCTAGGGAAAAGAGAAAAAGTCATGGACCTTCCTGGCTGTGCCTGGCAGTGGTGGAGCTGAAGCCTGGGGAACAGCACCTGGCTCTGTCCATAAACCGGCTGTTAGGAAAGACGTGAAGCTGCTGTGTCTCCCTGCTTTCTGCTCCATCTCTTCCTGCCTCCTATTGTGGTAGGAATAGAAGTACTTAGAAAGCCATGGAAAGGCCTTATATCATCTTCAGAGAACTGAGGACAGGAGGAAACAGCCCCTGCCTGTGGCCTGAGAGCAGAGAGTGCGATGTGAAACCACGAAGAGTGGGGGTAAAAGAGAGGCAGGCAGCAGGACAACTCCCTGGAAGCCAGTGAAAAAGGTGTGGCTGGGAAGCCACTCATTCCTGATGAGGGTCTCATGGATTGACCTGGGAGAGAGGCTCATGGTGCTCTTAGTAGCCAGAGTCATTAGACAGAGAAGAATCAGAGCAAGGGCGATGGGGAAGACAGGATGATTAGCGGGGATCTCATGTGTTCCACTGCCATCATCACTCCTCCTGTCCTGGGAAGAGAAATGACATGGCCATCCCACATAGGATACACATATTATTTCCCCCAAATCACCAATGATAAGCCACACTGGCTGGATTTTATACACTTTCCCTGAAAGCCTGGGAATTTAACCACTTTTAGTACTAATGATTCTATGGGGAAAATGTTTTCTGATTCTCCCATTCTCTCATTTCCCCACTGACCAAGACATGAATTTCTAAAATGCAAACCGTGCCAGAAAGGGGATGGTTAATGCTGTTCACCTGAAGAGAAAAAAGATGACTGGTGCCTGTCCTGTTTTGTTTCAGACACAAAAGCAAGTGACGCCTTGGAACCAGATCAAAGAGGGCTCCAAGTGCATGCTGCACAGAGCAGGCAGTGACCCTGGAAGGTTCGATGTCCCTGGGAACATTCCCACTTTAAGTTGGACAGACCTTGAAGCACATCTGCGCCAGCATTTGCACGTTCATGTCTCCCTTACATGCCTTTCCTCCTGTTTGTTTGGTAAGGGCCTCTCTTTCCTGTAGCCATTCATCACGGTTTTCAGGGAATATCCATCCCGGTTTCCAGGACAACTACCTTCTCTATAAAGCCATATAGATTTTTCTCAACTCTGAACTCCTGCAACAAATGGAGTCCACACCATAGGGTCTAATTTTTTTTTTTTTTTTTTTTTTTTTGAGATGGAGTCTCTCTCTGTCGCCCAGCCTGGAGTGCAGTGGCACGATCTTGGCTCACTGCAACCTCTGCCTCCCAGGTTCAAGCAATTCTCCTGTCTCAGCCTCCCAAGTAGCTGGGACTACAGGCGCACGCGCCCAGGCCTGGCTAATTTTTGTATTTTTAGTAGAGATGGGGTTTCACCATATTGGTCAGGCTGGTCTCAAACTCCTGACCTCAGGTGATCCACCTGCCTTGGCCTCCCAAAGTGCTGGGATTACAGGTGTGAGCCACTGCACCCGGCCATAGGGTCTAATTTTTTAATTTTATTTTTCAAGAAAATATATATTGATCTTTTATGAACTTCAATATTGTTATCTGAATGATATTGTCAGGTTTTAAGGGCAAGGATTGTCTTATGCTTTTGTATCTCACAGAGCACTTTTCAATGCTTAGACTTGAGAATGTTCTTGCAGATATATGGTTTGCTCACATGTTTACAGAAAACATTGACTGCCACCTGATTAAACTTTAACCACAACCACCGCCATCATCACTGCACACAACTCCACTGCCACCACCTGGGATCACCACTGCTACTGGAAATTTTGTACAGCAATTCACAGTTTACTAAGTGTTTTCACCTGCAGTATCACAACCACAGCATAAGGGAAATATTACTTATTATCCCATTTACAGGTGATAAAATGGAAGCTAAAAAGGATCAGGTGACTTTCCTATGTGGTAGAGCTGTAAGCTGAAATCTTTTTAGGCACTCCCAGAACACACACGTCTATATATTTGTGAGCATGAAACAATGCGATTGTTTTCAAACAAACACTTAAAAGTGTTGTTCCAATTACGTAATAAACCTCCTCAATTTTGAGTGGTATAAAACACAGCCGTTTTCGTATGCTCCCAATTCTGTTGGTCAGGAACATGGCAGGGCATAGTAGGGCTGGCTTGTCTCGGTGCCATGAGGCTGAAGCCTCACCTGGATGGATCATATGCCTAGGGCCATATGGCTGGGGACTTTTTTTTTTTTTGCAACGGATCTTTGAATAATGTTGTTTCATTCAAAGTGCTTTTGTTATAATGATAATGAGGGAAAAAAGATAACCAATTCCCTGCTGGGGCCACTGTCTCCGTGGAGTTTGCACGTTCTGTCCATGCTTTCTCCAGGTACTCTGGTTTCCAACTACATCCCAAAGATGTGCACACTTGGTGAACTGGTGTGTCTAAATGATTTCAGACTGAGTGAATGTGGGTGTGGGCGTGAGTGTTCCCTTGGATGGGATGACAACATGTCCAGGGTGAGGGTGAGTTCCTGCCTTGTGCCTGAGCTGCGAGGACAGACTCCAGCCACCCATGACCCTGAACTGAACTGGAATACTAAATGTATGTATAGCTCACATTTCCTTCAGTGTTTAATATGAGAAATGTTTTGGTCTTTATTTAGAAGTTCGATGATGTTTTTGTAACCAGAAATATGCTGCAGATCTTGACTTTTGCTTATATCAATTAGTCTATAGTATAAATTAGTTTTGGAGTATGTTGTTTTTTCTTAAAGACACAGTTTCCAAGAACCTGTTGACGGTGTTAAGTGAGGACTTACTATGTGTGGTCAGAGCAGACCAATGTGGGAGCTGATTATGCAAAGGTTCAAATAGGGGTGGTGTCATTCATCAAGAAGACATCTGTAGAGATCAGCTACTGCAGTTATTCCAATTACATTTTTAAATCACAAGTCATACATGTGTAGGCAGCTCCTGTGACTTGCTGAAAACATTCCTGGAAATTATGAAGAATGTCCAAAAAAACCCAAACCAGACCTCTTTCCTTGAACAACTCTTTAGGTCAGAAAATCTGTAACTTACACCTGCAGCTACCCCTTTTTGGCACTAGTGGGTAGGCCTAAGTCAATAAGGCAAAAAACTATGTTTCAGTTGGTCCTGAAGGTCACAGAAATTTCAGAATAGAAAAACTAATGTAGCAAAAGATAGCACAAACTTCCATGTGACTAACTGTTCTTTTGTGTTTTCTTAAGTGTTTTTATTAAGTAATAAAAGTAAGAGAGAATAGATAAAGCAATTGAGTTTCCTTGGAAGTTTGTATTTGACTTTTAAAAGTGTATTGTGGTATCTACAATAGTCTATTTTTCTTAAATAAACTAAAGTGAATTTTTGAAGGGGTGATTTGGAGTCCTAGTAAAAACAATGGACTCCAGTTTGCTACAACAAATATTTATTGAGCAGCTACTGAAGTCAAGCACAGTGCCAGACATTCGATGTATCAGAGAGCACATCAGACATAGTATCAGCCCTCGTGAAGCTTATTATCCAGTGAGGAGAACAAAATAGGCAATTAAAATGTAATGTCACACATACTATGACTGAACAAGTACAAGGAGATGTCAGAGCACAAAGGAGGGACCTGTTGCCCAGGCTCAGTTGTTGACAGAAAATGTAAAATACACATGACAGAGAGAATCTTTCTTTTTTAAAGTCTTCTACTTTAAAAAAAATTGTGACGGAATATACATAACATAAAATTTACCATTTTCACCACTTTAAACACACAATTTAGTGGCATTAAGTACATTCATGATGTGCAACTGTCACAACTATCCATTTTTAGAACTCTTTCATCATCCCAAGTAGAAACTCTGTTCCTGTTAAACAATAACTTCCATTCTTCCCTCCTCCCAGCCCCTGGTAGTTTCTGTTCTACTTTCTGTCTCTATAAATTTATCTACCCTGTGTAACTTACGTAAGTAGAATCATTCAATATTTGTCATTTTATCTTTGACTTATTTACTTAGTATAATGCGTCTAAGTTTCACCTACGTTGTAGCACGTATCAGAATTTCATTCCTTTTTATGACTAAATAGAATTCCATTGTGTGTGTGTGTGTGTGTGTGTGTGTGTGTGTGTGTGTGTGTGTGTATGCATATGTTCACGATGGTCTGTGTCCCCCAAAATTCATGTGTTGGAAACATAATCCCCAATGCAACAGTGTTGAGGCCTTCTAAGGTAGGGGGGTGTGTGTGTGTGCATCACAGTTTAATCTGTGTGCATCATTAATCTGTTAATGGGCACGGACTTTGGGGTTGTTTCCACATTTTTGCTATTGTGAATAATATTGCTATAAACATTGGTCTGTTTGAATCTCCAATTAAAATTCTTTCAGGTATATATTTAGGAAAGACAATCCTAAATCATATGAGAATTCTTTGCTTAACTTTTTGAGAAATCACCATACAATTTTTCACAGTGGATATGTCATTTTACATTCCAACCAGCAATGACCAAAGCTTATAATTTCTCCAATCCTTGCCAACACTTGTTATTTTTCATTTTTTGATAATAGTCATCCTTAGTAGATGTGAAGTGATATCTCACTGTGGTTCTGGTTTGCATTCCCCTAATGGCTAGTGATGTTAAATATGTTTTATGTGCTTATAAACTATTAATATTTGTGTATCTTCTGTGGAGAAGTGTCTATTCAAGCCCTTTACACCTTTTTTTAATTGGGTTGCTTATTTTTGTAGTTCTTTATATATTCTGGGTATTAATCCTTTATCAAATATATGATTTTCAAATGTTTTCTCATATTCTGTGGATTGGCTTTTTACTCTGCTGATAATGTCTTTTGATGCACAACATTTGTTAATTTTCATGAAGTCCAATTTGTTTATTTTTTTCTTTTGTTGTACCATTGGTGTCTTATCCGAAAAATCACTGTCAAGTTCAATGCTGTGAATCTTTGCCACATGTTTTCTTCTTAGAGTGTATTAGTCTGTTTTGCATTGCTATGAAGGAATACCTGACATTGGGGTAATTTATAAAGAAAGGAATTTTATTTAGCTCATGGTTCTGCAGGCTATACAAGCATGGCATCTGTATCTGCTTGGCTTCTAGTGAGGCCTCAGGAGGCTTTTATTCATGGCACAAGGCAGAGGGGAGCAGGGGTGTCACATGGCAAGAGAGGAAGCGAGAGTGCCAACACCATTCAATGGGGAAAAGATAGTGTTTTAAACAAATATTTCCAGGAAAACTAGATAGCCACATGCAAATTAATAAAGTTGGACCCCAACCTAAGACCACTCAAAATGGATCAAAGATTTAAAAGTGAGACATAAAACTGTAAACCTATTTAATGTAGGCTGGATGTTTGTCCCCTCCAGAGCTCATGTGAAAATGTGAGCCCCCCTGGGAGCAGTGGCTCATACCTGTAATCCCAGCAATTTGGGAAGCTGAGGTAGGAAGATTGCTTGAGCTCAGGAGTACAAAACCTGCCTGTGCAACATGGTGAAACCCTGTCTCTAAAAAAAAAAACAAAAAACAAACAAACAAAAATACAAAAATTAGCTGAGTGTGGTGGTGTGTGCCTGTGGTCCCACCTACTCAGGAGGCTGAGGTAGGAGGATCACCTGAGTCCAGAAGGTTGAGGCTGCAGTGAGCCTAGATCACACCACTGCACTCCAGCCTGGGTGACAGAGGAAACTCTGTCTCAAAAATAAATAAATAGATAAATAAAAGAGAAATATGATCCCCAGTGTTGGAGGTGGGGTCTAATGGGAGGTTTTGGGGTCATGAGGGTAGATCCTTCACGAATGGCTTGGTGCCTGCCCTGTGGTAATTATTACCATGAGATCTGATTATTAAAGAGTGTGGGACCTCCCTACTCTCTCTCATCAGGGTTTATTTCTGGAATTTCTATTTTATTCCATTGGTATATATGTCTGTTTTTATGGCAGTACCACACTGTTTTGATTACTGTAGGTTTGTGGTAAGTTTTTTTTTTTTTTTTTTTTTTTTTTTTTTTTTTTTTTTTTTTTGGAGAAGAAGTTTTGCTTTTGTTGCCCAGGCTGGAGTGCAATAGCACGATCTCGCCTCACTGAAACCTCTGCCTCCTGGGTTCAAACAATTCTCCTGCCATCAGGAACTGTGAATCTTTTAGTTTTGTTTTTCTGTTGTTGGTTTATAAGATTTCCTGGCTATTCTGGGGTCCCTTGAGATTCTATGTGAAGTTTAGGATGGACTTTTCTATTTCTGCCAAAAAAAATGTCATTGGGATTTTGACAGAGATTCCATTGAATCTATAGACAAATTTGGGTAGTATTTGCATTTTAAGAATATTATCTTCCAAACCATTAAAATGAAATATATTTCTATTTATTCATGTCTCTTTACATTTCTCTCATCAAAGTTTTATATTTTCATTGTACAACTCTCTACATTTTTGGCTAATTCCTAAGTATTTCATTCTTTATAATGTGATAAATGGAAGAGAGAAACGCAACCAATTTTTCTGTGTATATTTTATTTCTTGCTACTTTGCTGAATTCACTTGCTCTAACAGTGTTATTGTGGAATATTTAGGGTTTTCTATGTACAAGACGATCTTATCTGCAAACAGAAATAATTACTTCTTTCTTTCTAATTTGTATGACTTTTGTTTTTCATGCCTAATTGTTCTGGCTAGAACTCCATAAATGTGGAGGTGGTGATAGTGGGCATCCTTGCCTTGTTCCTGATCTTAGAGAAAAAGCTCTCAGTCTTTTGCCATTAAATATAATGCCCTTTTCATGTTGAAGAAGTTTCCTTCTATTCTTAGATTATTGAGTATTTTTATTATAAATCAGTGTTGAATTTTGTTGAATGCTTTCTCTGCATCAGTTGAGATAACTGTACTTTGTAGTTTTTTTCCTTCATTCTATTAAAATAGTGTATTACACTGATTAATTTTTACATGTTGAACCATTCTTGCTTTCCAGGAATAAAATCCCCTTGGTCATGGTGTGTAATCCTTTTAATATTTTACTAAATTAAGTTTGCAAGTATTTTGTTGAGAATTTTTATATCAATATTCATAAGGAATGTTTTCTGTAGCTTTTTTTTCTTGTAATATCTTTGTCAGGCTTTTAGTATCAGGGTAACACTGACTTCATAGAATGAGTTAGGAAGTATTCCCACTCCTTCAATATTTTTGGATAAATTTAAGGAGGATTGGTGTTAATTCTCTTCAAATACTTAGGAGAATTCACCAGTGAAATCATCTGGTCCTGGGCTTTTCTTTGTTGGAAACTTTTTGATTATTGATTTTATCTCCTTACCAGTTATAGGTCTGTACATATTTTTCATTCCTTTATCAGTCAGTTTTGGTGGATTGTGTGTTTCTAGGAATTTGTCATATTTTATCTAGGTCATCCAATTTGTTGGTGTAAAATTATTCATTGTATTCTCTTATGATCATTTTTATCTCTGTACAATTGGTGGACATATTCCCATTTCAGTTTTGATTTTATTAATTTCAGACTTTGCTCTTTTATTCTGAGTATATCTACTAAAGTTTTGTTGATTTTTCAAAGAATCAATGACTGGTTTTATTGATTTTCTCTATTGTTTTTCTATATTATTTATCCCTGTTCTAATGTGTATTATTACTTTCCTTCTGTTAATTTTGGATTTACTTTGCTCTCTTTTTCAAGTTCCCTATGTTATGATATTGAGATCCTTTTTAAAAATATTCATTTTTAGCTATAAATTTCCCTCTTAGCACTTCTTTTACTGCATCCTATAAACTTTGATATGTTGTGTTTCAGTTTGCACTGGTGTTAAGATATTTTCTCACTTTGCTTGTGATTTCCTACTTAAAAACATTGGTTGTTTTAGAATGCATTGTTATTTTCTACACATTTGTGGATTTTCCAGTTTTCCTTTTGCTTTTGATTTCTAGTTTTGTTCCATTGTGATTGGAAAAGATACTTCATATGATTTTCATTTTTTTAAAGTTACTAAGATTTGATTTTTTGTTATAACATATGGTCTCTCTTGAAGAATGTTCAATTGTACCTGAGAAAAATATGCATTTTTCTGTTGTTGGGTGCAGTGTTCTGTATATCTATTAAGTTTAATTGGTTTATTGTGTTGTCCAGTCTATTTATTAATTTATTAATCTGCATGTTCTATCCATTATTAAATATGAGGTATTTAAATCTCCAACAGTAATTGTAGAATTGTCTATTTCTCTCTTCAAGTTTATCAGTTTGTTTTATGTATTTGAAGTGCTCTGTTGTTTGGTGTACATATGTTTATAGTTCCTAGGTCTTTTTAATTATTTGGCCTCTTTTCCAATATATAGTGTCTGTCTATGTATTTTGTAAATTTTTTTACTAAAAAATTTATTTTGTCTGATATTAGTATAACAACCCAACTCTTTTTGTTACTATTTTTAGGGAATGCATTTTTTTCATCCTCCCACTTCAACCTATTAATATTTGTACCTTTAGATCTAAATGGGTCTCTTACAGACACTGTATAGTTGGATCATGCTGTTTTATCCATGCTAGTAATTTTTATCTTTTCACTGGAGAGTTTAATCCATTTACATTTAAAGTGAGTACTGACAGGGAAGGATATACTATTGCAATTTTCTTATTTGTATTCTGTATGTCTTGTAGTTGTTTTGCTTCTAATTTTCTCCTTTACAGTCTTCCTTTTTATTTAGTTATATTTTTGTAGTGACATATTTTTGTTCCCCTCTCATTTCCATTTGTGTCTATTCTAGAGATAATTTCTTTTTAGCTACCATGGCAATTTCATATAACATCCTAAAGTTATAACAATCTAATTCGAATTGATAACAGCTTAATTTCAATTGCATAGAAAACCCTACTGCTATACCACCCTAATCCCCTGTTATGTTATTAAATATTACAAATTACATCTTTATCCATTCTGTGCCAAATTATAAATATCTATAATTATTTCTATACATTTATTTTTCAAGTACTGCAAGAAATAAAAAGTGGAATTATAAGCCAAAATAATGAAAGCCAAATTACTGGCTTTTACATGCATTTACCTTTACTAGGGATCTTTATTTCTTTATATGGCCTCAAGTTACTCTCTAGTATCCTTTCATTTCAACCTAATGGACTCCTTTTTGTGTTTCTTACAAGGCAGGTCTAATGACAATGAACTCTCTCAGCTTTTGTTTATCTGGAAATGTCTTAATTTCTACCTCATTTTGAAGGGTAGTTTTGCCAGATATACAATTATTGGTTGACTGTTTTTTCTTTCTTTCAGCTCTTTAAATATGCCACTGACTTCTGGACTCAACTATTTCTGATGAGAAGTTGGCTGGTAATCTTATTGAGAATTTTTTTTATGTGACTAGTCTCTCTTGCTGCTTTCAAGGCTCTGTCTTGGTTTTTGCTTTTGACAGTTGATTATGATATATCTTCTTGTTGGTGTCTTTGAGATTAATATACTTGTAGTTTGTTGTGCTTCTTGGATTTGTAGATTCATGTCTTTAATCCAACTTGGGAAGTTTTGGCCACTATTTCTGCAACTATTCTTTCTTCCATGCTCTCTCTCACTTCTTTTTCTGAAATTCCCATTATGCATATATTGATCAATTTAATGTTGTCTTACAAAACCCTTAGGCACTGTTCATTTTTCTTAATTATTTTTCTTCCTGTTTCTCAGACTTGATAATTTTAATTTTCTTGTCTTCAAATTGGATGGCTACTTTTCTCTCTGCTCAAAGCTTATATTGAATATCTCCAGTGGATTTTTAATGTCAGTTATTATATTTTTCAGCTCCAGAATTTCTGTTTTATTCCTTTTTATAATTCCTATCTCTTTATTGAAATTCTCATTTTGTTCATATATTGTTTTCCTGATTCTATTTAGGTCTTTGTTCATGTTGTCCTTTAGCTTTTTGTGCATATTTAAGACAGCTGTTTTAAAGCCGCTGTTTAGTAAGTTTGGTGTCTGAATTTCCTCATGGATAATTTCTGTCAGTTTATTTTGTTCTTTTGAATGAGCTATGTGTTCCTGTTTCTTTGTATGCCTTGTAATATTTTTAGTTAAAATTGAGTAGTTAACTATTAAACATGGGAAACTTGGGAAATCAGATTCTCCTTCTTTTCCATATACTCTTTTTAAAAATTGTTGAGGGCTGTAGTAGTTCATTGGTTTTGAGACTTTTCCAAATTATTATTTTTTTTTTTTTTGAGATGGAGTCTCACTCTGTCCTCCAGGCTGGAGTGCAGTGGCGCAATCTCAGCTTACTGCAAACTCTGCCTCCCGGGTTCACGCCATTCTCCTGCCTCAGCCTCCCGAGTAGCTGGGACTACAGGTGCCCGCCACCACGCCTGGCTAATGTTTTTGTATTTTTAGTAGAGACGGGGTTTCACTGTGTTAGCCAGGATGGTCTCGATCTCCTGACCTTGTGATCCGCCCACCTCGGCCTCCCAAAGTGCTGGGATTACAGGCGTGAGCCACTGTGCCCAGCCCCCCAAACTATTTTTGAAAATACCATTTCTTATTATGCATAATCATTGAAGTCTCTGTGTTCAGCAAATGTTTGGACAGAGATTTCCTTGAATGCCAGAAACTCTCCTAGTCTTTAGAGATTGGGTCTGTGCTGAAAAACTCCTTCAACAATTAGTTAGGTTTGTTATGAGTCTAGGGGCCATTCTGAGGTAAAAGTTTAAGGTCTTTTCTGGCCTTTTTTGAGCATACATCTTGTCTGGATATGTGTGTATGTGACTTTCTAAATTCCCCCATATACATGACTGCTTTTGAATGTCTTAATTTCCCAAAGCTACTCACTCCACCTGCTCCTTGGGCCCAAGACAATCTACTGTATGTCTCTCTATATAATCTCTTGTTCCAGGTATCTGTAGGTCTGTCATCACCTTGCAGCTTTTATAAGCAGTACCCACCACTTTTTCTGCCTAAGTTTCAAGCTGGGTGAAACAGAGACAAGAAACTTACAACAATCTTTTAGATATTCCCCAGACAAGTTAGACTAGAAGTATGCAAATTTACAAATAAGTTCTGCTGTGTTCCCTCCAGTTTGAGGTTGGGAACTGAGAACTAATATGCTGCTTGAAGACCAAAACCACTGCCATACTGGTGGGGAGCAGGAGTGGGACAAGGACAAGTTAAATGCCACAAAACTTTCTTTCCATTTTAAAGATGGCTTTTTCTTGACCAGGCATTAGCTTGTTAGCTATGAATCTTTGACTACTTTCCAGAGCTTTTTAAAGGTTGGTTCAGTTAGTTTCTGCTTGGGGTTTTTGATGTGTTTGTTGAAGAATGAGAGATTGGAATTTCTTTGTCTACCATTTTGCTGAGATCACTTGAAAAGATCAAAGCTCTACTTTAAGATGTTACTTTTGGAGCTGATCTTGCCCACTGCAACTAGACCAGGTGAATTCTTATTTCCAAAGATAAGTTCTAAAGTTTTATACTTTCCAAACTGGTTCAAAAACGGCTTCCACAACATTAAGAAAATGTAATGCATTGGAATGACAGTTCTTTGTTTAGATTTTCTAACACTTCTTTTTAAAAAACGAACATGAGCCACTGTAGCTGGCTGGCATTGTCATTATTATCAACATTGTTGGTATTTAACTTGTTACTAATTACTTTATAATTATAGCCCCCTTACAATAAATCTGGAAAATGCTTTTAAGCACACTATTGAATTTTAATATCAGTGCATTTCAGACTTTCCCTATTAGTGTTTGACTGTCTATAGTTATATTTTCCTAGATAAATGAAAATGACTTTATTCCATACCTACTAAACTCTGTTTGGATAGAGCTAAATTTTTTTCAACTTTTCTCAAATGAGTTATAAAAATAAATGTTTCCATAATTCATTCCTTAAAAATGTCTTTGAAAGACATTTTTAAGCAGAATTTTATATATGTAGACTTAGAAAAAAAATAAGAGATTTGATCAAAAATTTTTTCCTCACTTTGCATTTAATAAAGTATCACTCTTTCAAGCCATTGTTCAAAGACATAAAGAAATGGTAAGAAGAGTCATAGGTTCTGAAAGCATGCTCCTTTATCTTTTTAGGAAGCCAAGTTTCATTGAAGAAGAGAAGGCAAAGATCTAAAGCTATCTATATTCATAGGGGCACCCAACCAGGCCAGGTGAGATAAAAAGCAGAATGAAGGGTGGATTTCTGGAGTTTCAATATGAGGTCAAAGAAGAATACAAAGCTTGTAGCTTAAAGAAGATTGTCTCTACTTTTGCATTGTGCAAGATTATGTAGAAACTGATTACAATACAAAATTATCTGATACTTCCTAATTTCAACAATGCTGCCAGGTCTGACTCTTGGGGAAGCAAAGTAGGTACAATGCACAGTTGCCCTAAACTTTTCTTCCTTCACTGGGGCGCCCAGGCTGCTTTTTAATAAATGGCTCCTTGCTTGGGTACCAGGTGCATTTGCTCAAGGCGCTTCCAAAGAGTTCACCTACCTCACATTAGTCAGCAGCTTGCTATGAGAGAAACCATCACTTTGCCTCACTGAAGGATTATTTAGCCCTTATAAAACACACCACATCTCCCATTATCAACAGGACATTTAATTAGCCCCCACTGATTCACCAAGCAAAGCAACTTGTATGAATTTTTTTGGCTTTTCATTGTGGCTTTAGGATATCCACATACTTCTTGATATTTTGAAAATTTTCATTCCAGTTCCACTCTAAGTTTTCAGAGTAGAAGTGTACATAAGTAAAAAATTTCTTCAGGTAACTGAACAGTACTTTTCAACCATTCATGTGGTATAAACTGAACTACCTACTAGAGAGACTGGGAGGAAGCAGGGAGGGGATCCTTTGCAGAGCAGGGTGTGCACAGAGTGCACTGTGTGCACAGTCACTCAGGATTGCTTTGGAGATGCTTCCAAGGAAACCCTGCTGTTCACCTGCAGTTAGGGCACCTCTCAGCATGCTCTTTAAAGGGTGGCTTTCCTTATCCTTAGGCTGTATCTGAATATGGCTTATATCATGGACTGGATTCCAAAGCAAAAAAGAAAATATTTGCCCATGGGTGAATGCTGATCTTCAACTTCATTTTACTTAGCCTTTGGGCAATTAGACTAATACCTACATTTTATTGTTTAGGGAAAAATTACACCTCTAAAGTCTTTAGTAATAATGCACCTAGATGGACCAAATCCCAAAAAAAGCTTTTCTTTGCCTTACCCTCCAGCATGTTTTGTTTCCAAATTCATATACAGGAGAAAGTTATTAACTAATCCTCTGTGCTAGGAGATTTTATAAATTATCTTAATATTTGGAATTACTCTTTGAAGTAGATATTAGTCCTTCTATAACACCAAATTCAGTTGCTAGCACATAGAATCTCAATACAGAGCGAATGAAGAAAAGCTAAAAAGATAAATGAATGAATTTACAAATGAGTTCAGATAGAGCTAAATGACTTGTTCATGGTTATAGAACTAGTAAGCTGAAGAGCTGGTATTTTAGGTTAAAAAATGGTGGTGGTGAAGCACATATTGCAGACCAGATCTAAGCCAGTTTGCCCATTCAATTTTTTAAGTTATTTTGGTATATACCAGTAGCTTCTGAAGGCTATTAATATGTGGGCTATTGTTTTCTCACAGATTGTATTTATTCATGAAATCAAGTCCTAAGAATAAATTCTGCCATACTTACAAAACACATTTATAATCAAGTGGGTACAATAGCAGTCAGTTGTCACAAAACCATTTATTGGAAGCTTAGTTGTATCTCCCCCTTCTTGTCCTGTTAGAGATTCTGACAAACACCTTATTTGTAAGATGTGCCCCGAAGGCAAGTGCAGCAAATATTTTGACAGGAGAATAACTAATCTACCAGTTGGATCAAGGAACAGAATCATCTATTATAAAGTGGGGAACATAGGACTATAGAAGTTTCAGATGGTGGGGTTGCTCTTAAGGTGTGAAGTTACTGTCTAGAGCTTCCTGTTCCCCATTCACAAGAGGGTAAAGATGCCTGTACAGATGGCAAGCCAATGGCTCCTAAACCATATAGAGTGTGGCAAATGTATGACCTAGTTGTTCTATACCAGTTGCTCCCTTTGCCAGGAACTGCCAAAGCTCTTAAGCTAAAGCCACTACCAGATATGCTCACCCCTTGAAAAAGGCTATGGCCAAGATGCTGGCTTTCCAGCTGGGAGCCTCCAGAGGGTGCCCTCCCCTTTGGCACATCTGTTGGAAAATGACTGTTCTTGGACTGCAGCTGTTTCTCAACCATCATCTACTTTGCTGTACCTATGTCACCCTGGAAATCAGAATAATCCAGAGTAGAAGGAACTACCAGGGTCTCCAAGCTCCTTCTCTTCCTCACTTGGCATTGATCTCTGGAGAACTGGTCCTGATGGAAATCCTGAGGGCAAACCACCTTCTTTTTTTCTCTACACATGATTTGTAGGGTTAGTGATTTGAACTCCCTAAGCAAGGCACACAGTCTTTTTTTTTTTAATATACTTTAAGTTCTAGGGTACATGCGCACAATGTGCAGGTTTGTTACCTATGTATACATGTGCCATGTTGGTGTGCTGCACCCATTAACTCCTCATTTACATTAGGTATACCTCCTAATGCTTTCCGTCCCCACTTCCCCCACACCACAACAGGCCCCGGTGTGTGATGTTCCCCTTCCTGTGTCCAAGTGTTCTCATTGTTCAATTCCCACCTATGAGTGAGAACATGCGGTGTTTGGTTTTTTGTTCTTGCGATAGTTTGCTGAGAATGATGGTTTCCAGCTTCATCCATGGCCCTACAAAGGACATGAACTCATCCTTTTTTATGGCTGCACAGTATTCCATGGTGTATATGTGCCACATTTTCTTATTCCAGTCTATCACTGATGGACATTTGGGTTGGTTCCAAGTCTTTGCTATTGTGAATAGTGCCACAATAAACAAAGGTGTGCATGTGTCTTTATAGCAGCATGATTTATAATCCTTTGGGTATATACCCAGTAATGGGATGGCTGGGTCAAATGGCATTTCTAGCTCCAGATCCTTGAGGAATCGCCACATTGTCTTCCACAATGGTTGAACTAGTTTACAGTCCCACCAACAGTCTCAAAGTGTTCCTATTTCTCCACATCCTCTCCAGCACCTGTTGTTTCCTGACTTTTTAATGATCGCCATTCTAACTGGTGTGAGATGGTATCTCATTGGGCACACAGTCTTCAAATCTGACCTGGTTTAGAGCTATGTGCCATCTTTGTTCTCAACTCTATTCCTCTAACCTTCAACCAGTGGAGAAGATGCCAGCACTCTCTAATGAAACACTTGGTGTTCTGTGTCTTAATCATACATTTATTTCAACAACTTCTAAGTGATTCCCATTGGCCAGGCACTGTGTGGTAGCTCCGAACTAGGTCACCGTGCAAGAAAATTCAAAAGCATTAAGTGTTGCAAAATAAGAAGGGCAGGTTGTTAGAATGTAACCATACCTCCAGTCCTCTAAGACCTTTAATTCCCTGAGAATTTCCTCCCAGATGCCTAAGAAAGACATGCAAGTGCCTTCAGGATATACGGTTGTGTTTTTAATTCCAGATGGTCCATCTGACCCATCATAGTCTTTAACTACCCTAAATTGGACTTGCAAATTATATTTGTGAATGTAAACATAAAAGGCAAATACAATGTGACCTGATGGTAGCAGACAGATAATATATGACACATTCATAGACTATTGATAGAATAATAATAATAATCTGAAGCCTTGAGGGTCAGGCCAGCTTTTGTTTACTTTATCATCTATAAGTCTCTCATTTTATGTTACAAAGTTGATAACTGGCATATAAATGACACAATACCTATTTAACCAAAATGTCAGTTTTACCTTGCTTTGTCCTCCCAAGTTCATGGTTGTAAACCACCTGGAGAAAAATAAAGTATAATGGAAAGAACCAGGGCTTTGAAGTTGGGCATGTTCTAGCTTTGCCACTTAGTAGCTTTGTAACTCTGAGCCTTTGCAGTAGGGAATAAAATTAATCTACATATCACAGGATGGTCCAGGCCTCAAAAGCTGCTGTATGGAAAACCTCCTGCAAGCTATTGGATCTGTACTAAAAGCCTGCTAGCTATACAGCTTCTATTATTTTCTACCACGTCATCATATATTGTGTTGCTATAAGTCACTGTTTCCTGGTGAGGTTACTTCACATTTTTCCAAATAAGAGATTCAGGGATATATTTGAAGATTTCTGAACATGTGAGAGCTGGTATCTACCAAGCTGTCCATCTTCATGAGATAGGGAACAGGAAGCATAAGTCACTGGAGTCTGCGGCTGCCAAGCCACTCATGGATTACCCACCTTTTTATGCAGATAAATGCCATGACAGATCAGTTATTAAATATAAAGTACACGGTGCCATATAAATCTCTGTTTCCCATTGCTCTCTCCTGTGCTGAGCTGACACATGAGATGGGTTTAGAAAATTAAAGGCTGAAAAAGGGTAAATGTAGAAGGCTAGCACTTGGCTTTATACATGGGTGATTGATGAGCTAGGGAGAGGCTTAAAGCAGAGAAGACCGTGTGTGGAGATCAGAGAACACCTACCTGGAAAGAGATCCATATCAGGAAGGAAGGCCAGAGAAGCCTGGAAATCTGAGAAAAATTGTGCTTGACAAAGCATTTTCTAACCTAGGGATACCACCACTCTCAGTTAATAGCTGCAAGGTTTCTGGTGGTAATCTTGCAAAAGCAGTTTTTGTATTTGTGTTTACACTAATCATTACTCTTTCTGTTCCAAGTAACAGAAACCAAACTAAAACGGCCTTAAAAAAGGGATGGTGGTAGATATTGGTGATAAAATTTGTTGGTTCAGGTAACAAAATATTCTAGGCTGCATCTAAATGTTCAAACTATGACATGAGGCATCATTTCTCTGCCTTTTATCTCTGAGCTGGCCAGTGAGGGGCCAAAGATGGGCACTAACAGCTCCAGGATGATTTTCCCCGACCCTAGAAACACCAGTAGGGAGTTCCTTCTTCTTGAAATCCCTGGAGATTATTCTAATTAGTTGTGCTCACACTTCAACTGATCTCTTTGGTCAGACTTAGGTCTATGGTCCAAACTGGAGCCCAAACTAGGCTCAATTCCAATTGAAGTACAGGCCTGAAGTGGGGTGGCGAGAGGTATGAGGGGTGTTAAGCAAGCAAAAACAAAAGCTGTCTGCCTCAGGGATGCCATTGCCTTTAGCCATAGGGAGAAAGGGACCAAATTTGGGCCATTAAAGTTCTCCATGCTATATGTTCCTCATACACTTGGAAGACTAGATGGCATTTTAAGGCCATCACTTTTCCCTTCCCTCCTTCCTTTCCCTTCTTCCCTCTCTTTCTTCCTCCCCTCCTCCCTCCCTTCATCCCTTCCTCCCTTGACATTGGCTGAACATCTACTATGTTCCGGACACAGTGTTGAGTAATGGGGATACAAATGAATAAAGATATTGTCTCTGAACTTCAGGAATTCTAGAAGTTTTCTCAGGTCCATATCAGCCCTAAAAAATGTAATATTTGCTTGCAGTCCTTTGACCGAAATGTGAGATTCTTACAGTGCCTAGGGAAATTGAGTAAATGGCCAGAGAGAGATTCCTGTATGTAGACATGTTCTGGGCTTCATAGGAATTTTTTTAGCTTTCTTTATGTGGAGAGCCCTTAACCATAGAACCATGGCCTGCTCAACTCTGATACCTTAGGCTGTAGTGCAAATTTTTAATTACACGTGAATTGAAAATAGTTTCTTCCATACACAAGCTAATAGCAGCCATTATTGCTTATTGGTTGCAAGGGCCCAAATGTTACTAAAGGTGCTCTGTATAGTATAAAGCAAGCTTTTCTGGAGTTACTGAGGTAATTAAAATCCCACATGATATTTAACATATGAAACCCAAGAACTATGATAAAATGCATTTATTAGGCAAATAAGGAATGCAATCCCTTAGTGGTAACTGAGTACCTACTAAGTAACTTAGTAATAATAGTAACTGAGTCAGCCTTGTGAGCTGAAGGCTTAAGCAGAGTACTACTGGGGAAAACTCTCCCCTCTTCATGTTAGTCCTGGAGGGTTTCATGGAGAAGATAGGATTTTCTGACTCCATTTAATTTTGCAACCACTCATGTTTAAACTCATCTTGGTTAACTGTGCCACCAGCTTGCTTTCCTTCATTTGTGCCTGTGCTGGATATTGTTAGAATAACATTTGATACTATCATCAGAGATGAGAGATGGACTGGTAGTATGAAAGGACAAAGGAAGACAACCTGTGTCTTTTCTAATTGCAGCCAAGATACTATCTCTAAGACAAGAGGGCAAGACACTTGACCTTGACCTTTATAAGCTTCTGTTTTCTTTTCTACAAAATGAGGGGAGCAGTCTCTCCAGTCAGCCAGTGCTGTTCAATGGAGCTTTTAGAGATGCTGGAAGTGTTCTGTATTTGTGCTGTCCAATAGAACAGTCACTAGCCACATGTGGCTTGTGACTAGCTAGTACGACAAAGAAATGGAATTTTAAAATTTTACTTGATTTAAATTATTGTAAATTTTAATGTAAATAGACACACATGGCTAGCAGTTACCATACTGGACTTCAGAGAAAGGAATTCCTACAGTTCTAACCAACTCCCAAATTCTGGAGTTTTAGAATAGCCTACACGTGAGGTGTGTTAACTCTGGGCTTTTATGTATAAAAGTCCTTTTAAGCATCAAAATCCATTTTGTGCTCTCAACACTGAAGTTTCCATTCAGCTTTCCAATTTAGCTGAAAGATGAGCAAAGGCACATGTAAACAGAAAAGCTCCCAGGGGAATGAGCAGCATCTCAATAGGGCTCTTGTCAGTTGAGCATTCCAGCAGACTCCTAGAATATATTACCCCTGTGAACTATTCTCCTGCGAAGGCAACTGAAGACACTCTAAAATATCGCTGGGAGGCTGGAGCCTTCTTCCCAGTCTTTCTTGATGCAGGCTGCTGTTTCTGGCTCATGAGGCACACATACCTATAGTGAGACGGTACCTGAACCAAACATGATGATATGGAGATTTAAAATTACTGGTTCTTTGACCTAACAAAGACATCCCAGCCATTATGGCAAGATCTCAAAGCCAGAAAAGAGTGAAAAGACAGATGGGAATTGCCACACTGCCTGGGTTTGTGTGTGTGCAAGTAAGCATGTGGTCTAGTTGCCAGCTGGCAAGGGTCAATTTAAATTGGTCAGCACGCTGTTCTGTTCTGAGGGGTTGAGGCTCTCCCAAATTATCATCCCTAGGACTGCTGCATTCATATCAGATAGAAGAGGTGAAGGACCTGAATTATATGTTGAGCCCTGATCAGGTTATCCCCTGAGCAGCAGACCAGCTTTCTCCAACTCTGCTTTATGCTTCAATGCTCAACCCACGAGCCCACCTAGCTTAATGTCTAGAAAGTTATCTTGAGGGAATCACCTGGCACAAAGATTTAGTGAAGTCTACAAGTTGCCAGTTGTTCTTTATATCATTTTCCCTAAAGGATTCAGACAGATGCGACAGCATAGCCAAGAAGGAATGGAGGCTTTAGAACCACCCTGCTGAATGACCACCCAATGTCCCACACTGATGCCAGCCTGTCCTCCTCAGAGTTCTGAAGAGCGCAGAGGATCATGGGAAACAACATGGTGAACTGCAGTGCTCTCACTTTATTCAATGTCACAAATGTCATGGACAAAGACACTTATAAGTGGCATTAGACTGAATAAGTGTTGACCCCTAGCTCAGAGGTGGTGCTGAAACTCCTCCTGGGTTGGCATTTGAGGGATTCTGTTAGGACTGGCTCCCAGTGGGGAGGCTCTCTACATCTGGGCACCCAATCATTGTCCTAAGACGTATTTTATTGCCTCTCTTCTTGATTCTGATAGCATTCAAAGAGTTACCATTCATCCACTCCACAAGTGTTATTGCTGACACTACCTGTTCCAGTAACTGTTTTGGCAGCAGACCAAACAAGCCTTTTTGAAGCCTAAATTTGATGAGGAGGGTGGGGTGCAGGTGAGACAGCAAACAAACAAATAAATATTTAACATGTTGAGTAGTAGAAAGTGCCAGAAAGAAAAGCAGCACAGTGAGGATGATAAGAAATGAGGGGTTGATATTTTTTGTAAGTTAGTCAGGGCAGAATTCTGTCTGATAAGAAAACATTTGGATATACATCAGATGGAAGTGAGAGAATGAACCATTTTATTAAATGAGTGAAAAGTGTTCCAGGCAGAGGGAATAGCTAGTGCAAAGGCTCAGAGGCAGGAGGGTGTTTGGTGAGTTTGAAGAGCTATAATGAGACAATGTGGCTGGAGACATGTGGGGAAGGGGGAAAGTTAGAGAAGATAAAATAGGAGTGTGTGTGTATTAGTCCATTCTCACATTGCTATAAAGACATACCCGAGACTGGGTAATTTATAATGAAAAGAGGTTTAGTTAGCTCACGGTTCTGCAGGCTGTACAGGCTTCTGTACAGAGTAAAAGCTTCTGGGAGGAAGATCTCAGGAAACTGACAATCATGGCAGTAGGTGAAGGGGAAGCAAGCATGTTTTACATGGCTGGCAGGAAGAAGAGAGTGAGGAGAGGAGTGTTATACACTTTTAAAACAAGCAGATCATGGGAGAACTCTATCACAACACAGCACTGGGAGGATGGTGCTAACCCATTAGAAACCATCCCCATGATCCAATCACCACACACCAGGCCCATCCTCCAACACTGGGGATTACATTTCCACATGAGATTTGGGTGGGAACACAAATGCAAACCATCGGTGTGTATGCATGTGTGTACATGTCTGTTGAGTGTGTGTTGAGTGTGGGTCTATGTGTTGAGTGTATGTGCTGAGTGTATATATCTTTTGAGTGTGTATATGTACATATGTATATGTATGCATGAGTATAGACAATGTGTGGTGTATGTGTGCATGCATATGTGTTGAGTGTGTATAAGTGTATGTGTGTACATGTGCATGTGTGTAGTGTGTGTATGTGTGTTGAGCATGTATGTGTCCGTGTTGTGTGCATGTGTGTGAGCATGTGTGTTGAGTGTGTATGTGTATGCGTTTGTGTGTGCATGTGTGTATGTTTGTGTGTGTGTGTGTGTGTGTGTGTGTCTGTTCAGGGAAGAACACGTAGGGCCTTAGAGCACTCTGCAAAGAATTTGGCTTTTACTCTGAATGAGATGGGAAACCACTGGAAGATTTTGAATATGGAACTGGTTATGCCCTAACTTAATAATGTTTCACTCTGGCTTCTGTATGAAGTGCAGTCCATACAGGGACAAAAGGGGAAGTGACAACCAGTGGGGGTGGCATAAGTTGTCAGAGTCTGGATGTATTTTAAAGGTAGACCTAACAGGATTTCCTGAAGAATGGTCGTGAGGTGTGAGAAAATCAGAGGATTCAAAGACTGAATCTAGGTTTATGGTGAAAATAATTTTTTACTGCTTCATCTTTGTAGAGCTTAACAGAAGGAATGGCAGAAGTTTGCCCAAATAAGGTACATGGGCAGACACCTGAGGCTTTCAACACCTGTTTTAACAAAGAAGAAGAACCCATCAAGTCAATTTTTCTGATCCAGCAAACAGCATAGGTCTGGGAGTCAAAAAGCCTGGTAGCACATAGCCTCTCAACTACTTATTACCTTCCCTGACACATTTGTCCATCCTGGATGTCCATTGATTCATCATAAAGGATTGTCGAAAGAATTAAATGAGGTCAGTACAGTACCAAAGATAGGGTCCGGCATGTAGTCAGCATTTAATACAGCCATACCTACAAAAACTAATTTCTATTATTGTGCATTACAAATTACACAATGTATAAAATCAGAGCAATGAGCACATTCTTTTTTATGTTGGTCTCTGCTTATGTTTATAAAAAGCTGAATTTCACTCTCCCCCTCTGAGTCTATAGAGACTGAGACGGGGAGGGAGGTGGGACTGGGGAGTGGTACCCACTGGGACAAAAGATAACTTTTATATAAAACTATTTTTTCACTCCCTTTACATCGGTGCAGCTGCAGCCTGGGAGCTCATATCAGAGTCTATCGTAAAGCAGCTTTATTAAAAATAACAATAATAATGAAAGGGTCCAGGTTAATTCCAGCTATTGACCCTGTGGGTAGCACTTATATAGGCAAAAGGGGATGCTTTCCAATGCTGGTATTGATTTCCATGTATAACTCCCTCCTCACAGAATCCTTTTCTCATTGCAGCCAGCGTAAAAGCAATCATTCTCTTTATGATCGCTCCTTCAAGTCAGACTCCAAGCCACTCGTAAAAGAAAGAA
The DNA here is from genome assembly GCF_000001405.40 of Homo sapiens. Lineage (NCBI taxonomy): Eukaryota > Metazoa > Chordata > Mammalia > Primates > Hominidae > Homo > Homo sapiens. The sequence goes on along the minus strand of NC_000009.12, from coordinate 82,562,295 downwards.
AAAAGCCTGGAAGGAGAGGCCTGCAGCAAAGTGAGGTGTCTCCTTTTATGAGCAGTGCCCTGGGATAGCTCCAAACCCAAAAGCTAAGTGCCCTGAAGACAGGTGAGACGTGGTGAATGCAGCAATAAGGGGAACTTTCTGCAAAATCCATTAAGGGTGTGTTAGGGGGAATGGATTTTTCTGTAGCTGAGCCTGGAATGGAATAAATGGAAGCACCTCACCTATCTGGCTCTCACTTCTCCTTCTCTCTCTCTTTCTCTTGCTCTCACTTCTCCCTCTCTCTCTCTCTCTCTTTCTCTCTGTCTCTCTCTCTCTATATATATACACACACACAGCTCAGGTTGCCCCATTTTTCTCCCCACCCAGACTCTATTCTACACCTCAAGGGCCCATGTCTTCATGCCTATGGACACCCCAGCCCTTTTGTCCAAGTTCATTCCCAAACCCCTCACCCTCTCAACTGTCAACCACCATCAGGGCAACCCTTGAGCCTGGGGATGTGCACTCACTCCCACAGCCTGGTATATCCTGTGGGATGCCCAGGCCCTGGAAGCAGGCCTATGTTTTTAGGGCTGAGAATTTCTAGCTCCTGGAATGCTCAGAGAATGATCTAGAAAGAACTACACCATGCAATCCAGTAGCCACTAGGCAGACAGTTATTGAGCTCTTGAAATGCAGCTGATCTGAACTGAGATGTGCTGTTAGTGTAAAATATACACTGGAATTTGAAGACTTAGTACCAAAAAGAAAAGAAAAAAAATGTGAAATATCTCAATTTTCATATTGATTTCATTATAAAATTATGTTGGATAGGTTGTTAAACTTAAATTCATTAGCTTCCTTTTGCTTTTTTTTTTTTTTTTAAGACAGTCTCGCTCAGTCGCCCAGGCTGGAGTGCAGTGGTGTGATCTCAGCTCATTGCAAGCTCCACCTCCCAGGTTCATGCCATTCTCCTGCCTCAGCTTCCCGCCATTCTCCTGCCTCAGCTTTCCGAGTAGCTGGGACTACAGGCGCTTGCCACCATGCCCGGCTAATTTTTTTGTATTTTTAGTAGAGATGGGGTTTCACCGTGTTAGCCAGGATGGTCTCGATCTCCTGACCTCGTGATCTGCCCACCTCGGCCTCCCAAAGTGCTGGGATTACAGGCATGAGCCACTGCACCCGGCCTCCTTTTGCTTTTTTCATGGCTACTAGAAAATTTCAAGTCACATGTGGCTCACATTAAGTTTGTATTGGACAGAGCTGGTCTAGACCAGTGGTTCTCAAAGTGTGTTCCCCAAACCCACAGCATCAGCATTACCTAGGAACTTGTAAAAATGCAGATTCTTAGGCCCACCCCCTACTTCCTGAATCAGAGCTCTGTGCCCAGCCATCAGCTTTTGATCAAGCCTCCCAGGTGATGATGATGCGAACCTTTCGTCTAGAAGCAGGAGAGTGCAGCTAGATGCAGAGAATTGCAGGGAAAGAACCAGAGCAAGATCCTTGGAAGACTCAGCGCCGCTGCCCCCCACCCCAAGTTCCACCCCAAGGGCAGTTCTAGTTCTGCCCTTAGCCCTCCTCGAAGGGCCTGCCTGGGGTTGTTCTCCTACATACAAGGAGATGTATTTATTCAAGGGGTTCAGTCACCTCACTAAACAAAATCACTCGCTTAGGCCGGCAAATATTGACTCAAGCTGTTACGCTTTTATGTATTTCAGCAACTCCCAATTTCGAGGGCTCAGCAAGCAAACAAGAACAGGTACAGGAAGTGATTGTGGTGTTTGGGCCCCTGTCTGTTTTTGTGCAGCTGATGCCTGTTGGCCACTGTGTGATGCTGGTTACTAATGACCTTGTAAAGGAGCACTCTGCAGTTGATAAGCCAAAGGCTTTAATAGAATACAAATGCATTTTACATTTCCACTTGAAGAGTTTATTTTAATTGTGTTTTGAAATATACTCTACCCTAAAGGCCCCTCTTTACCCAGCAATGTACATCCTCAAAATAAAACCCTGCAAAGAATGGAATGCATAATGGGGTGCCATGTAATGGGCAGTTTTGCCCTCAGTTTAAGGAGGGCTGCTGGCATTCTTCTGCATATATTTAAATAGGTCTCTGCAGCTTAGGAGGGAGGAAAGGAGCTGTGCACTCATCATGTGTGGTTGTAAAGAATTGGAGTGTCGGAAATTCCTTATAGCCTTTTGTGTTTTCTTTAAGTAGCCTCTTGGTTCTATCTTAATGATGGGAACAAAAAGTTTTTTAGAATTTCTGATGTTAGCTGGAATGCTGGGGGTCATACCCAGAGGTATGAGACTTCAGCATGCACAGGTTGGGAAATGGATGGGAGAGGCCTGGGGGACGGGTCTGGCAGCCTGGGAATTGCAGAATTGCAGGAAAGAGAAGAAAGAACAGATAAGGCAGAGGAAAGCTGGGATTCCCAAAGCCCCTCCTCCATTTCTTCCTTTCTAAATCCTGCTCCCTTATTTGCTCGTACACACCATTTTCTCTCCTCTCCCCCCTCTTTTCATTCTTCTTCATTTTCTTTTCCTCGTCCTTTCTCTTTCTTCATCCCTCCTTTTCCCCTTCTGAAATAAGGTGGAGAAGAGAACCACTGAAAGGAAGAAGGAAGGGAATTGACCCCCTAAATAAATCAAGTGCAGTATTTACCCCTACTTCAGGCACATGTACTTGCATACACTTCCTTATATATCACACATAAGCATTCGCAGGAGGTAATGAATGCACACACACGTGAGATACGTAAGAAAGGTTCTTTAGCTCTAAATCTAGAGCAAAATACCAAAGAACAATGTTGCCAAAGTGACACTGACCCTGAAACCATTCAAAGATTGGTGCTTTGGGCTTTCCTGTTTAAAGTAATCACGTGGGGATGACTAACTCAGGGAACAGAAGGCACCCAGTAAGCTCCCATAAATATTAGCATTATGGCTGCTTCTGTGGCGAAGACTTGCAAATGGAAGGCATTCTGTGGTTAGAAGATCCACTTTACTTTTTTTCTGTCATTTAGACCTCAGTGATGTGGTCAAAGCAGCAAAATTGTAATTAACCCAGTGCTTATTTTCAGTCAAGTTATTTTTTTAAATTAGAAAGTAGATAATTTACATAGGATGCACCCCTTAGTAAGTTAATATTGAGAGCTCTTAGAAACCATTTTTCTCTCTCTCTCCCTGCCCTGCCTCCTTCTTTCTCTGTGACTTTTTCTTCCTTGACATTTCAGATAAAACTCGGTGATGAAACAAAGTTCAGTTCACTGACCAGCTAATCCGTTGCCTAGGGATGACCTGTGATTTTGTTACTGAGAGCACGTGCTAGTGCCAGAGCTCCAACAGGAAACTCGTTCCAAGCCACTGCCCCATTGATTTGCCCTGACTTTAGATAGCTGTCTGTGTTTTCTCAATGCATGGTTTTGGAGGGTCCTGGGGTCCTAAGGCCCAAATGGATTAAACTCTGGGATGCTGAACTAAACATTCTGGGTTTAAGTCTCATCTGGGGTAGAAACACACTTTTCCAGTGGAACTGAGCCTTAGGACAATTCTTTAGCTCCAGATGCTTCTATGTGAGGGAATTAGAAACAACACATTAAGTGTGATGGTGAGATTCTTAAGTTAAGTGGATATGGATGCAGGAATTTTCCCTTCTCACTGTGATAGTCACAGACAAAAAAATAATTTGAGGCAGAACTGACTCAGTCATAAATATAAGCCAAAAAACATATCCACATGATGGTTCACTGTTACAGCCAAGTTCCTCAAAGTGTCATCCTTAGGCTTGTGAAACATGGAAATTCTCAGGCCCCATCCTGAGTTATTGAATCAGAATCTCCAGGGTGGGACCCATCAATTGAGGGTTAAAGTCTGAAAGACATGGCTCTGAGCGAAGAGCCAGAAATTAATATTTTGTTGTTGTTGATGCCTTTTTCCTCCTAGAATTATGTATTTTTTTCCTCAAAGTGAAAAGGATTTTATTTTGTTTCATTTAATTATAAAATCATTTATGTTAATTGTAAAAAAGTTCTGATAAAGGAAAGTTTAGATAAGTTAAAAATCACCAGCAATCCCACTAGAGATAACTATTTATCAACACTTTCATTTTTATTTATTGTATGTGAACAAACACAACTCTGTGAGCAGAGGTGCTGCTTTCATAGAACCATAAGATATTAATGTCATGAGGGAAACTGGAGATTATGTAGGCCCCACCCCCTCACATATATCCAAGAAAACATATATCCTCACATATATCCAAGAAATCCAAGAGTAATTAGCTCTTCATTTATGTTGGGGCACAGGTCCTCCTAGTGCCCCGGCATAAATTAACCTAATAGATGGCCCTACCAGTCTCTCCAGTAGATTAAGAATGAAACATCAGGACCACCTATCTGAAGGGCTGGTATGTTAGAGTAGAACTCTGTATAGTTTCAAATTTCAAAGAAGCCTAAATAGTGCGGGTACCTAATAAGCCTAATATTTTTCCCTTGGGGTGGAAAACAAACAGGTAAAAGAAAGCGTACAAGACCCACTGATAATACTTCTCCATCCTTGGTGAAGTAGGCTACACAATAACTACCACCCATTAGTCAGCTATTAGTGCAATGTATATTAATGGGAAGGCAATTTGTTCATCCACCTATTCAATGCTTTAACATATTTTTTTTTTTTATATACAAAACAAACATCATTTAGTTTGAGCCAGACATTACTACTCTAGGACTAGTGCATTGGTAAGAAGCAAAATGTACAAATTGGGTGTATCATTTAAATGAACTTGTAGCTTCCTTAAAAATAGTCTCAACTCTGGTGCTCTGAGGCTGGGTTTTGTGAGGCTAACAAATTGTATGCTTCTTCCTTCAGTTTTAACTGCATATCATCAAATAAACTTTAATGAGAGTATTCCATCTCTGGAGTTGCCCAATATTTGGAGATTATTTTTTAATGAAATATCTTGTTATCATTGTCCAAATAATTGATGACCTTTCAAGTGGAAAGCATATGTAAATACAGGGACAGGAAATCAGTATATTTCCTTGTAAGGAGGAAAAAAAAAAGGCATGCAAAAAAGAACAGGAGGGTGGGAAAGTTCTGTGAAATGTCAATTACAGTTTCTGAATGGTGAGTTTTAGTTTACCATATATTTTCCGATCATATGCACCATCCCATTTGCTCTTCAGAGTGTCACTATGCCACAGACAGCAGCTGACACTGTTACCCACAGCACTGGTGTGCTGGTGAGAAGTTAGCCGGTGGGTCAACACTTGGTAAACCAACAGCATTGAACAAATGGAAGGTATTTATATGAAGATCAGGATATGTGTATTGCAGTAGAACACTTTGTGCTCTTCATAGCAAGGGCATCTAATGCCTGGAAGTAACCTTTCAAGGAAGTATTCAGCTTCTGGGAAACACAATGATCTGCTTAAAAACTTAAAAAAAAAAATCAAGAATCAGTGACTTTTTGGTTATCAGGCTCCATGCTCTTGTTTTATTGATGAGTAAATGGAGGCTCAGAGAGGTTACGTGGCTTACCCAAGGACTGGAAGCTGCGATGCCTGTAGTGTTGTTTTTACTACAACCATATCTTGCCTAGAGAGCCTCAGAAAGCATGTCCACACACTGCTCCTCCTTAGTCAGTGCTAAAGTTACCTTAAACTGTGTCTTATGTTTAATACAAGGATCCAACAATTAGATGATAGTGGCAGACATGAGGTTGACTGACAGGAACCTCAGGGTATGTATCGAAAAAATAATGCACTCCCCATATACTTGGTAAGCCCAATTAAATTGAGTATTGAGATTGGAGTGGAAATTGGGGTGGAGTGTAGGGTAGGGGTGGGGAAGCTGAGGGCAAATGAGAACATTACTGGAAATGGCAGCTGAAGGCCTTTCATAGAAATTGTTGGGTCGTGTGACCTCAAAGTAACAATTAATAGTTGATTTTTTCAAGAAAACCATAACTCTTGCCGGACCTCTTTACAATAGAACACAAGTTTATGATCTTTTTATCTCAGTTCATAATGTATTGTTAAGACAAGGCAAGGAAAATGGTTTATAAATGTAATATTCCACTAGGAGATGTCTAGACGGCTGTTTTTGTTCTTTTCCTTCTCTCCTTTCCAATCATCCAAGCTTTGAATGTGAGAAAGAGACTGAAGACCTTCAAACAATAGGCCCAATAAATGTCTTTCCATTCTGGAAGGAAAAAAATTGGTCTCAGGGGCCCAGTAAACTGAGTCTAAGTTGGCCTGAAATAGCCACATACTTTCTGTTCTCTGGACTCCTCATGGTCCCTATCAAATTATTTAACTGGCCTTGAAAACAAGCTCTGTGGCATTCTGGAGGCCTTTATCTTTTATGGAGATTTACTGTATCCAATGCAAACCTCCTCCAGGGCTCAGGGAGTCTCAGCAGCAAGGAATATGGAACCACTCAAATCAGGACTAAATGGGGACTTTGAAGACAAATGGTAAACTGTGTTTTCTTGTTGACAAAATAATCTGAAGCTTTTGTTGTGTGTTTCCATAAAAGACTTCCCAGGCATAAATCAATATGGCAGCACCAACTCCACGAGAATAAGAAATGATAAGTATAGTTTTCAGCACCCCGTAACCACTCATTACATTTATTTCCCAGTTTTCTTTGTTAGGCCTTTCCTGTTCAAATCCGAGCCAGCACATTTTTGGCTTCCCAGCTGAAGCAGGAGGCACTGCCAATCAGCAGGAAATACAATACAGATAAGATTCGTATAAACTCTTTTGAACTGGTAAAATAGCTGGATAGGAAATGGATGTTAAATTGTTTACGTTTGGCACGAGAAGAAAACGTTCCATTTTTAAATTCAAAGCCTCTGCACCTTTGTAAATGAAAACAAATCACATGGGTCATGTAGTGTTCCACTCTGCAAAAGCCATCAAGCAACTGATAAAAGCTTTTGCAAATCACTAACTTTATCTGGGACTTGCTCAAAAGAGTCATTGCCCAGATTAATATGATGTGGCCCATATCTTCAGTCTCTGGAAAAACTGCACATCAACAGCTGGCTCCCAGCATACTCTGAGGAGTGATCTACAAATAGTGGCAAGTTGCTTTCATGGGGTCCCAGAAAGCTTTGGGGGAGATGCCTGTGAATTCTTATTTTTTTACCTTACTTATTTCAAAAATCCTATGAAAGTGTGACAGCATGAAGAATTCAAATATGTGGTCTGAGGACATTAGCATTGTGAAAAAGCTTTCATCTTGGCAAACATTGGTGCACCCGGCTGGGTTCAAGTGATAAAATCAGTTTGTGAAAATAGAAACTAATTTAAAAAAATGGACTGTTCAGTTTCATGAAACAACCAAGTAGCTTAATCCCAGAGAATGATAAATTCCTGCTTTGTCTGAATTTCTGTATGTTTCAGCCATTTGATCTTATTTCATCTAAGCATAGTCTAGACTGCAAATGATGTAAAAATTGTTCAGAATGTGTTTAATAGTTAAGTGAAAATAATTACAAAGCTGAATTAGAGGCAAATGACTGGCCGGCAAGTCCTTTGTCATGGGTGGGATGCAAAGCCTGGAATATTTCATCACTGTGGCCACCCACGTGATCCTTCTATGTTTTTGTATCATGGTCAAGTATATTTTAGAGTCAACCATATGGACCAAAGAAAGGGGACAGACAGCAGGACTATGGTTACATGAAGTTACATACTGGGCTGAATTTTACGTTGATAAGCCATCTGGTTCCCATTATTAGAACAATGCTGGCTTCAGAATGAGCCAGATAGAGGAATCTCTATGCAACTCTGTGCATCTTTTTAGAATCCTTAGGGCTCTTCTGGGAGGGGTTTCTTTTATTCATCCATTCATTCCATAGGGAAAATCCTGAGCTGCAATTAGGAATATGAGACTAAAGATAGCTGTCTTCATCGATATTGACTTCTCATTTATACCCACGTAATTTAATAATTTGTGAATCGGAAGATTATTTTCCTTCAAATTATAGTGTAGGTCCAATTTTCTGAGATTTCAAAATGGTGAAGCTTGCACAGGCAGTGGAGGGAGGTGTAAGCACCCTATACAACGGGCCTTCCTTTGTAGCCATTCTCCTGCCATGCTGCATCTGATTACTCATTTTCGGAAGATGACTCATTGGCAAGATGATACCCAGTTCCCCTGTCTCGACTTGGTTTTGTAATCATTCCAGAAAGAAGGTTTGAGACCAGACACTTGTCTCTCCTTGCCACCTATTGAGATTCTTCTAGCCAGGCACCCCGCAGATTTCAAACAAATGCTGAGCATGGAGCAAAGTCAAGGAATCAGAACACGGATGAGTCTCTGGCCTTCTGAGTGATCCTGAAAGGATACTTTGAAGTCAATAGGCTCAACACGAAAATCAAAAGGAAGCCTGTGAATGCATGGAAAAGTGAGGATCATTTTCTTTAAAGTGAACTTCACTAGCATTCCCCAGTGACTCAAGAGCTGTTGGCAGCCCTCAGGTTTGCTGATACTGCCACAGTCTGGCGCTATCTATTACTGAGATGAAAGAGGCTGGTGTTATATTAAAATAATGATCATGTGAATGCCCAAATTAGATAGCACTGATGGGACATCATTTTGAATATTCAGAGAAGTTACTAACACTCATAAACCAACAGTTTTGTTTGATACTTGAACAACTTTTATACTTGAATTGAACATAAGCTCCCATTAGCACCAACAATTTCTATTTGCTGCACACGTACAAAAGTAATAACTTGAACTTCTGCTACTGAAATTCAAGACAAAGGAATCACCAAACATGTTGAGGAGATAAAGGTGCTCTGAAAGACTTATTTTTACAAGGATGAGAAATGAAACCGTATCTCCATCAAGGTTTGGAGGATTTCATGGAAATAAGGAACCAGGGCTTAGCAAAGCTTGGAAAATGGTGAGGGTGGTATTAGGTAGATGGGTGAAGTAGTTCCTACCCAGAATTTGCAGAGGGGTCTCTCGAGAGGAACAGCAGCAAGCAAACATTGGGATTTTAACTAAATTATTAACAGACAAGTGTCAGTTTGAAAGTTCATTAAAAATAATCATCTGGGATCCCCAGCCCTGATGTAATCAAGCCCAATTTATTATTGGAAAGTACTGGGTCAGGGCGAGTACCAGGGATGCATGGCCTCCCTTTTTCATATTTAGTTATGGTATTTTATTGAAACAGAGGCTGTACTCCAGTGATAGACATTTAGGGCATTTGCTGATAGAATGAATAGAGCATTATCATAGCATAGCTGTACTAATGATACTTGGCATCGAGTTAATAAAGGTGAGTGAATAACAGGTGTTTTCCTGATGAGGTGATGGCTTCTACAAATCAGGCAAAATGTGCTGAGGCTGGGTTCATAGCCTTTTCCTGGTAATTTTAGTTTATTGCCAGCATTAGAACAATAGCCCTTTATAATTTTAATCTGATTTGGATGTTGCAGTAGAATGCTGCCTCTGAAGTTTGTTCTCAGAGATTTTTCTTCTTCAAAGTGTATCCCTCTAGGATAGCCGTTAACTGTCTTAGTCTAGGATCCATAAGAAGAGGACCCTGAGGCAAGGATAGGAGTACAAGTAGATTATTTGGAAAGCAATCCTAGATAGGATTGCCAGATTTGGCAAATAAAAATGCAGGAGTTAAGCTACACTTGAATTTCAGATAAACAATTTTTTAGTGTGTTATACTCCATGCAGTATTTGTGGTAACTTGTGGTATACACACACACACACACACAAAACCTTGTTGTTTATATGAAATTCGAATTTACAAATTTACTTGAGTATCCTTTATCTGGCAACCGCAGTCCCATGAAGCTAAGAGAGTAGAGATGAGACCAGCAAGGGAAGGAGACCAATGCAGGGTAAATTAATGAGCAGGTTACCACTGCATGCAGTCCCCAGTTCCTCTGGGGACTGTGGGAAACTGTATGGAATATAATTCAGAGTTTTCCTATCTGGGGACAATGGAAGTTTGGGGCGTGTACCCACCATCTCCTTTCATCATTGGTTAAGGGCTGATCCTAGGGCCATAAGTCTCCCCACCCATTCTATTTTCCCTGAGTGAGGTGTGGGCAGGGTGGGGGTGGGGAGAACATTCCTGCAGTCACAGAAAGCACTTGGCAGATAATTGCAGTTACTTGCAGTAGAACAGTTGCAGGTTATAGTAAATGTTGGAACCTTGCATAAAAAGGGATATGAGCAAAATCCTGATAGTGCCTTGTTTGGTGACTTTGGGCAACTTATGGCATCTCTTTTTGTCTAAATCCTCAACTTCTTGCATGTCTCCCTAGAGGCTCTTTCTTCAGGACAGTGAGTTACTGATATCTTCTCTAGGAGAAGCTGCCTGTGTTCCCAGCATGGGGCAAAGAGGTGGGGCTGCTGTTCAACCAGTTTTGCATAATATCATTCCTCCAGCATTTTTTGAAAACCCTGCTTCTGTGAGATGCATTCTATTCTGCTGTCAGTTCATTAGAGCCTAACACAAGGTTCATAGTCTTCCATCATGCCTCATGTCTTAAAATCCTCCTAAGCAATTTCAGCACCTGCGTGGGTATCTCCCCTGACACCCAGGACTCCTCCTCCAGAGATGTCTACTTCTACTTCACCTCAGCCATCTGTTCCCTGGGATACACACTGCACTGGGTCATCATCTGGAACTGCTCCCCTACCCAGGGTAAATGTGCGTGCTGCCTCCACCAAGTCTTATCTTTCAGTTCTCTCAGTGAGTCACTCTAGATTTTCTCTTTGACCCCATTGAGACTTGGAATGCAATGAACCCCTCTACCAGCCTCACTCAGACTTCACTGCTTTTTCCATCCAGATGAGACTGCATGCCTCACTTACGTCTTCAAATTCGTTTTTCACCTGTGATTTTTCTAACACGCCAGCCTAATAAAACCCCCACACTCAGTCATCCATCTCTCCATCATTTCCTCTGTGTCTATGCCTGCATAATGGAGTCCTGTTGATGCCTCTAAAAAGTCTTGAACTTTTTTTTTTTGAGATGGAGTTTTGCTCATTCACCCAGGCTGGAGTGCAGTGGTGCAATCTTGACTCACTGCAACCTCCGCCTCCCGGGTTCAAGCAATCCTCCCACATCAGCCTCCCGAGTAGCTGGGATTAAAAGTCACGATCTTAAATGCACCCTCAATGCACCTGGCAATCTTCTATTTCCTAATGTGTTCTCTATCTTTGGATCTTTCTAGCAACTGTTTCCAACTTTCCTTCCTCAAATCTTCTATCTCTCTCAAACAACCCTCCCTATTTGTATATCCTCAGTCCTTCAATTTTCTTCCTCACTCTTAGGATGTGATTTTACCTTTTGCCTCCTACTTCAGTAAGAAAACAGAAACCACTGGATGAAAATTCTCACATTCCTGCCATTAAGATCACACATTTCCCATACTCTTCTTTTCTTCTGAAGCAAATGGAAGAAGGGTGTCTACTCTTCCTATAGTACATCCTTTGACATATGATATGAATTTCATTACCTTCCATCTTCTCTGGGATCTCAGTTACACCTTTTTTTTCTTTATCTCAAGCTTTCTTTTTCCACTGGCTTCTAGCCATCAACTTCTTTTCTTTTAATATGCTTTGACCAACATATCCTATCCTGTCCATCAACTGTTGAAATGTTCAAGTCGTTCCTATTTTATGAAAAATACTTTTTTCATGATTGCTTTCCCAGCTGTACTTTTTGAAAAAGCTGTCCATACTTGATGTCTTTACTTCTTCAACATCCATTTTGCTATTAAACTCACTGAAGTATAGCTTCTGCCTCTATTGATCAATTAAAATAGCCATTGTCTGAACTCAACAATTAAATCTTAGGTGCTCCATCAAGTAGATACTTTTTAGTATTATCTTACATGAATTCTTGGGAGCATTTGCAATGGTTGACCAGCTTCTACTTTTTGAAATGCTCACTTCCCTTGACTTCCTGATCCTGTGCCCTTTTGAGCCTCTTTCTTTGGCCATATTTTCTCAAATTCCTTTGGGGTCTCCTATACCTATAGTTTCCCTGTGAATGTTAAAGCTCCTCAATTCTCAGTCATAGACATTTTCCCACCCCATACTCTCTTTTCCTGGGTATCTTCCATGGTTTTAATTCCTATCTATTAAAAGCTCTCTTTGAAGATTTTAATTATCTGATATATGGATAACTTCTAGATCTTCTTTGTAGGAGTTTTCCATTTGATTATCCCATAAATAACTCAAAATTAACATGCCAAAATGGAAATAATCATTTGTCCTCTAGACCTGTTTCTCCTCCTATATTCCCTACATCAGTAAATGACATTATCTTTCAGCTACTTGTTCTAACCAAATATCTGGGCCCCATTTTCAATTTCTCTCTCTTCCATCTCTCCTCTCACAACTTATTATTCAATAACTCATTGTCTCTTACCAGTTTACCTCCAGAATATCTCTTAAAGCTCTGAACCATCTGTTATCACCATTGCTTTAGTTCTGGTTCACCCTTATCACTAAAGTGTTTTCCTTCCTCTTGTCTTGATCCCCTATATCTATTATTGATTGAATTTATTTAACTACTTGTAATAAGGAATCTGACTCCATAATTTAAGTTTGACTGAGGACAGATTTCAAGCCCCAACACTCCCATTTCCCTTTCTATCCCATATCTGGGCAGGCTGAAAAAAAGGGCAGGTGCTCCCTCGTTTGGTGCTAGTGGGAACTTGCACAGAACCCTTAATCTGGCCCCACCTCACAACCACAAAAAAGCCAAACCACTCTCTGTTCCCTGCTCTTTTAAGCCATTTTTTGGTCTTCCTTGGGAGCCTGCCCTACTCTCCTCAGGAAGCCATGGCAGGTGAGTAATAAACCTTTTCATACCCTCTTGGTGCATGTATGTTGTTATCGGTCTTGACATTATACCAAATGTCAATGGTCATTCTTGCTCTGCTGGATAAGCACAACACTCCTCAAGTGGGCCACGTGCTTCTTGCCTCTTGTTGCTCCCTGCACTTGCATCAGTCTCTCCTTATCACCCCTTCTAGTTGCTTTGGTCATTTCCTTTGGGAAGCCTGGTCTGTTTCCTTCTCATCCTTGACCCTGTCTGGTTTAGGTATCCCACTCATGTCCTCTGAGGGTATCCTGTCTCACTCTTAGCTTTGTCATGAGGACACAATAACATGGGAGTCACCCACCACCCCAAGCCATAAGCTCTAGGACAAAAGAGGCAATAGGTCTGACCAGTTCAGAGTTGGGGTATAATAAATAGGAACAAGATCCTGTGGAAAGCTCGGCAGTGAGACAATACATTGTACATTAATGTTACTCAATGAGCCAGACTGTGGTGGGACAAAGAGCTGGAGTCCTGATGAACAGGTAAAGCATGAGTAATGAAGAGCTCATCATATTTCTTGCTTTTCTTTAATTTTATACCTCCATGGAAAGCACCCCCCCCAATATTGAACAGCTTAAAAACTTGCCAACGTATTCTTATAGTATTTTTTTTAAAAAGGAGGATGCAGATTAAGAACACAGGAGATCACTGTACTTAATACTCGGGATAAGGAATTCAGCACGGTGTTTAGCTCTGAGCTTCCTGGCAACTAACACAAAAAGGAGAAACCAGTGTGTCATAATTCTCATTATCTGAATTATTTAAAATACCAGATGTTCAGAAAGTATGTGTTTATGGCAGTACATTCTGAAAATAAAAACAAAAAACAACCAATAAACATGTCAGGGATCATGAATTGTTACAAAAGGAACATTAATGCCACAGTGGAAAATGCCTCCTCAAGACAATGAGCACCACAATATTCTTTCAATTGGTTATATTTAGAACTATTTTTCCATTTTGAAGATTACAAAATTAACGAATCATAGGTACAGAATCAGAATGAGACGAATACAGACTTCATATCTAATTCCCCTCTGCTGGACATTTCTCTCTGGTACATAGTGGTCCAAAACAACACAGATCCAGATCTCAATAGAGGGATTGGGGGTGCTATCTGTCACTTCAACACACTGCTTCAGTCCATAAAATTCCTGGAGACAGAGCTATCTTTATGAGCCATCACACAGTTTTAGTAGGACATTTGAGGTTGGACTAAGTCCATGTTTGGCTGCTTATATTAAATTGTCATTCCAAAATTGGATGTATTTCAACAGGGCTGGCATGGGACACACTCATCTTTGCTATCACAAAGCCAATGAACCCAGACCTGTGTCTGCATTTATGGTGCCATACCTACCCCATTGTTCACCCATGGTTAATGGCACTAAAGCTGGCTCAGTGGAAAAATGAATACCCGAAGTATTTGGCCACTGTATTCTAAATTCAGATTATTTATAAAGCAATGTATTTTTCATTCAAAGTTGTTTTCACCACAGAATTTTTGTTTGGTTTGACTTTATATAAATTTTCATTTTGGTTCTGTAGTTTAGGCTGAAATAGGGGTAGACATTCCAGAATGCCAGGTGAAAGGCCAAGATAAGTATACTATATAGCAACCAGAAAATAATTAAAACCTCGAAAGAGACTCTTTTCAGCTACATCTTCCCTGCTCTTTCAAAAGCCGACATGAACCAGTCTTAACTTAAGTGACTGATGGAACTATAAACTGTGCTTTATTAAGCATATGCCCCGTGGTTTCTGATGACAAGCCAGACGCTAGACTCTGGCCTGCTGGCCCCTTGTAGAAGGCTGCTTTTTAAATCCATGTCACATCTCCAGATGTGTTTGCAATTCACAAACCTAGACAGCTGCCCCTCTAATTACCATCCAGCCCAGCTGTGGCCAGAGTCTACCAAAGTCATTTATGCTCCAGTTAGTATGAAATGAGTTTGCACCTTCAAAATGGAGGAAATAGAAACAATTTCATGTAAACAACAGTTGATGTAACTATTGCTAAAAAGCAACAATGCCTCCCCTACCCACCTTCAACTATCAGTTCTGTGTATGACTCCAAATATGTGCATTTCCTGCTAGTATCCCTGTTCAGCTGGCCAATAAAAAATTCCTTCAATGTCCTGCTGTGAGTTCCACATCACTGCCACAAAACACAAACTCACCATCCCTCTTGGAAACCAGCTGAAGCTTCGGATATTGACACCCTCCATTTTTTTTTTCAAGAACTAAATTACTGTCTTTAGATCTGGGTGAATTCTCTGCATGCCCAGCTCTCTGTAAGCAGGAGTGTACAAAACCCTACTTCTACCTGCAATTCTGAGATAAGTTAGTACCTTACTAATATAGAAGAAAACATCTAAGCAACTTTCTCATTGGGGTAAAGGCTTCCTCAATGTCTTAGTCTGTTTTGGGCTGCTATAACAAAAATATCTGAGACTGGGTAATAACAAAGAACAGAACTTTATTCTCTCAGAGTTCTGGAGATGGGAAGTCCAAGGTCAGTATGCTAGCATCTGGCGAAGGCCTTCTTGTTGCATCATCACATGGCAGAGGAGCAGAAGAGAGCAAACCCACTCCTGCAAGCCCTTTTTATAACAGCATAATCCATTTATGAGGGCACAGCCCTCATGACCCAAACACCACCAAAAGTACCTCCCCACAACACTACTACTGGGGATGAAGTTCCTAACACATGAATTTTGGGAGATAGTTTCAGACCATACCACTCAATATTCAACAGAATCAGATAAGTACGTTTAGCCTCACTGACAACTTCACGTTCTGCTTCCATACACATTTTCCCAATCCCACCATATAGTTAAAAATAAAAACAGTACTAACCAGTTAAAAAAAAAAAAACCCATTATGTAAGGAATCCTATAGCATTGCTTTTCCAGTGATAAATACTTCTATATCTATTAATGTTAAATTTCCACTTTTGTTTTCTTTTTTTTTTTTCTTGGTGCTCCTCCAGATTTGCACACTCCCTAAGAAAAGGCTTCATCTGCCTTTGTAAGGATCTCCAGCTGGCAGTATCAATGGCTCCTTAATGCTGATCATCCACATCTGTTGGTGCTCTCTTAATTGAATTCCAGCCTTCCCTGCTCACCAGACACTTCTTGTTTGCTGCTACTTAGGCTGCAGGTTTGAATTAAGATCTTAGAGTCCATTCCAAACTCCCTGTCTTAACCATGATCTGTACCTTTTCCTTTGGTGTCTGAGCCCTCTTGGCCCATGGCTCTCTGCTGGTTCCATCCCAAAGCCTTGCCCTGATCTGCAATGACTAGGCTCACCTCAGTTCCAGACTGTTTATCTGGACCCTTAATCATTCCTGACTGTGAGCTCCTGAGCCGTCCCAGAACCCTCTGGTCTTGGATCTTGCCTTTTCCTCTCAGTGTCTCCTTGACCTTCCTGCTATCAATTCTGGCTCTCAACTCTGACAACCACCACTGCCTGATGCCCCCCCGAAATCCTTATTTGAAACCTAGGAATCATATTCAATATTGTTCTTCTTTGTCCAGAATCACTTGTACAACACTCTTGGCTTCTCATAATATCTGTAGAGATCATTGTTTTCATGGAAGACTCCTGTTATAATTTTATTTTTATTCTTGAGATGGAGTCTCGCTCTGTCGCCCAGTCTGGAATGAAGTGACCGATCTCGGTTCACTGTAACCTCTGCCTCCAGCGATGAGATCCCGGCTGAATGCAACCTTTGCCTCCCTTGTTCAAGCCATTCTCCTGCCTCAGCCTCCCAAGTAGCTGGGATTACAGGTGCACACCACCACACCCAGCTAATTTTTGTATTTTTTAGTAGAGACAGGTTTCACCATGTTGGCCAGGCTGGTCTTAAACTCCTGATCTCAGGTGATCTGCCCACCTTGGCCTCCCAAATTGCTGGGATTACAGGCGTGAGCTAACGCGCCTGGCCTCCCGTTATAATTAATATTGGTCTAGTCTAGCTTTGTGCAGTCCCTACTATTTCCCATACATCTGAGACATAATTACCAGGTTAATCTTCTGGGAAATACTACTTTGATTGTAAGAACCCACAATTCAAGTATATGTCTATATTCTTTTTTGTTGGCAAAATAAATTGCAAACTCTACACATAGCATTTTAGAAATAAGCCCAAACCTATTTTTCTAACCAATATTTACTCATACTATCTACCTTATTCAACTGGTCAACATGCCATCCCCATAACATACTTCATGCATATGTACCACTCAGCTTTTTCATACTGTTCTCCTTTCCTAAAATACTTCATGCCACTGGCAGCATGGTTTTGAGTAAGTTAGATAGCCCATTAAGAGCTCCAGAGTACTCAATGTAAAATGAAGTTATGAGACAAGATTTTTTTTTTTTTAGATGGTGTCTTGCTCTGTTGCCCAGGCTGGAGTGCAGTGGTGCTATCTCAACTCACTGCAACCTCCAACTCCCAGGTTCAGGCGATTCTCCTACCTCAGCCTCCAGAGCAGCTGGGATTATAGGCATGCTCCACTAAGCCTGGCTAATTTTTGTATTTTTAGTAGAGACAGGGTTTCACCATTTTGGCCAGACTTGTCTCAAACTCCTGACTCCAAGTGATCTGCCTGCCTTGGCCTCCCAAATTGCTGGGATTACAGGCATGAGCCACTGCACCCAGCCAGGCAAGATGGTTTCTAAATTTTTTCCAGCTTAGAAGTCCATGATTCTACCCTCATCTGTATCCTTCAAGACCTCCAAGTTATTACTGAAGCCACCTGTGTCTGCTTTCACCCACATTGAGTGACTCTTTCCTGACTGTATTTTGCCCATCCTTTCTACTGTTCACTTGGCCCATAAACATATTCCTTCTCATATGCCTATTTAACTTGTCACGTGTCTGTATTTTCTCTCTAATTCCTGAATCACGGGACCTAAGTATCCCATCATCACCTTATAGTAGTGAGCACCCTATCATTATCCATTGATGGATGTTGAGCGAATCAAATCATTAGTGAAAGTTGCTGGAAAAATAAATTGGAAACATAGGTACCACAAGGGGACTCGTTAAATGTACTCTCACTGGTCTAATTGCATTTAATTAAGTCCCTTGAGGAATAATTGCCCCTTAGGCCATGTCATCCAAGGTCAATGTGACTCGTTTTAATCAGAACTTCTCCTAGGGGTGATGGCACAATTACATGGCATTTGAGGACTTGCATCTATGATTTGGTTAAGACATCATTTTAATTTTGTGTCTGAAACATCTGAATTCTCAAGTGTAGGAAGAAGACTTTGTAAATTAGGCCAAAGAACAGCCATTAAGGCCTACTTACACAGTCATTCCAGATTGCCTCCCTTGCTGTGGGCTTTCTTCTTAGAAGCCCTGGACTCAGGTCAGATGACATAATGACCTTGGGCAAAGTGGGTGTGAGAGGTAACTGAGGTTAAAGTGATGTAGTGCTTTTAATAAGTATAGTTGTGCTGTTTTATCTAAGAATGTAAGGTAAAATAAATTACTGTGTGGTACCTCTGAGTCACCATGGTGGCATTAGCCTCTGGACATGTTAACCAAGAAACTCATAAATATAATAGATTGATATTTAGGTTTTACTTTTTGGACAGATTTTTAATCATTACAATTATGGGCTGTGTCTTGAATCCACAGGAATCTGCTCTTTGATGCCAAGTGTATAGATTTCATGATCAAATAAAATGTTTGCAGGAATTGTGGTACAACTCTTGTCCATTTTGTCCCTCAAGTCTCCAGGAAATTTTTAGGTTGATTTAAAGATTTCTCACAGCTTTTTATTATTTACTCACAAAATCTGTTTTATGTAGAAGTAAGTGAACATTGTTGTCACTGTGTAGTTATTATAAAGGAACTGGGCCACTCATTGAATAACAAAATAAAAATACTGAACAGCAGTTTTGGAAACTAGGGATATGAATTCTTTTTATTTGAAGTAGGTGTGGAAGAGGGTGTTGGGATGGTGATACACAGTTTAGAAAAGATGGGTCATAGAGGGAGGGGAAGAATCATGGGACCCAGGTCAGCATCTGGGGCTTCATCCCAGTTCTGCCCTTAACACGGTCTTTAACCGTGAGCTAATCATTGATGTTTCTTTACCTTAATTTCTTCAACTATAAAATGGTAATCATAATTATTCTATCTACTTTTACTGAATTATTAAAATATTTTTTGAGATAATTTTTAAAGGCAAAAAAAGTACATTGCTATACATGTTTAATCTACTAATACTAATTATTTCTAGTTGCATTGAGAGCTGTTCTTTGAGCCACTTGGAAATAGCTCATTTCAACTTCATTTTTATCCACCCAGTTTCAAAACCTAGTCATTTGACGTATAAAGATAATAACTAGCAGCTCGAAGGACAGTGTTGAGGCACTGGCTGGCGATTCCATGATTCCTATTATCAAATGCACGTGAAACTTCTGACATATGCTAAACACTTATAAACAAGATAGAACACATTTAATTCATTTGCTTGTATCAAGAGCGAAATATAAAAGGTCTTATCTTCTGGCTTCCTTGATGATGTGTGACCTCAAACTGTTTTTAGAATGGGAAGAATTCAATTCATTATTAAAAGAGTTATTTTCTATGTGCAATTACTATCTCTAAGATGCCTCAACAATACAAAGGGGTAATGAAAACAAACAACAAAACAGAAACGAAGAATAAGGATTAGCGTTTTCAACCCTGGATTAAAATCTGAAAAATATCAGCCACAGCATAGTAAACACAAGAAGTAACTTTAAGGTCTGAATTAATCTAGGGATGGCATTAAAGAACAGCCATTGGCTTCAGATAATAGTATCGTGGTTGGTCCTAGTATTAATAGTTTAGCCAAGAGTGTGCTGAGAAAACATGACTGAAAACCCTGGCTCAGTGGTTAGATGGGTGACCCTGGGCGAGTGAGTTAGGTTGGCAGAGGTGGGGGAAATCATATATCTCTGCTGTAAATGGTAGAGATTTGTACTAGATGATTTCCAAGTGTCCTTTTGAATGCTTTGTGGGAAGTAATATAGGTAATATATCAAATAAAGCCATATCCCTGAATAAAACCAGGCACGGCTCATCATCCCTCCTCCTTTTCTGAGTTTCCTCCACCAATACCTCTTCACTTTATAGGTTCCATACTCCCTTCAAAGCCACCTACCTGAATCTTCACATATGAAGAATTATGTAGCACATATTAGATACTTAGCATGTACTACCCTACAATATTGTTCCATTTTATTTTACAATTCTCTCTGTTTCTCCAGGATTTCTGGCACTTAACTTAAGGTTTTGCATATAGTAGGCATTCAATGGCTAATAATGAGTGTATAATAAAGTTGGATATATTTCTTATCAACCTAGAGAGGCAGTCACTATGCCTTGGAAGAATAAAGACTGGGGGAGATGATGGGAAAAGAATGGTTCTTGTCAGTAGACACACATTGTTTGCCATCCTAGCTTTCCCATATACTACGTGACCATGAGCAAATTACTTGATCACTTGGTGTTATTTTTACTCCACTTGTCAAATGGAACTCTTCTCTATCTCTTCTTAAAACAAATCTTTTATTTTAGATATAGAGGGTACATGTACATATTTATTACATGGGAATATTGTGTGATGCTGAGGTTTGCAGTATGGATCTTGTCACCCTGGTAGTGAACACAGTACCTGATAGGTAGTTTTTTAACCTACCCTCCCTTCCCTCCATCCTTTAGTAGTCCACAGTGTCTATTTTTCCCATATTTATGTCCATGTGTTCTGTATCTTCTAAACAGCCTTTTGAGGGATGGGGGAAATTGCCAGGGATGAAGGAATGAGAGGTAACCAAGGTGAGCAGGTATTCAAGATATCAGCTTAGCAGTCTTCAAACACTATGGACTTTTGATCACTCTAGAGCTGATAAATTGCATCTTATATGATTGTGAAAAGAAAAGATTGCTAACAGCTTTTAAATCAAACTTGGAGCTGAGAAGAAGATGCCAAATTCCAAATACCATCACATCAAACCCACACAAGAAGCTGCAACTCTTTTCTTTCTTTTCTCCTGGCACCAGCTATTTTCCTGACCAGGCCTAGGTTTCTGGAGCAGGAATATTTATTGGTCCTTCCCTTGGTGGATTCAGGTTTCAAGGGGTCTGAAATTAGGAAATTTTGGAGGCTCTATATAAGGAAAATAATGCACAAGTATGTATCTAAAACTAGCTATAAAAATAAATACGTTTTAGAATAAGTAAATCACAAACTTTAAAAAGCTAAAAATTGCACCACCTTGCAAAATTCAGAAAAAAAACACTTGAAAAAATGCCAATGAACTACACACACCTCTTCTCTCCTACATTTTTTTGCCGTATATGCTTTCATTACCCATAATATAACAATGATTTTATATTTTTTCAATAAAAATAGAAATAATTGAGTTTCTTTTAGCATAATTAGTCATGCTAAGTCATGTTTTTCATTATTGATAATTTAGCAAAGATTCATTCAAATTCACAACTTTTTATTTGCAATTCCACGTAACATTTCAGAATTACTGTCAATTTAGGAAAACATTCTTCAAATATTTTTCGTATGTGAACAGAAAGATTTTAGGGAATTTTACATTTCTTTGTGTGTAACTAATATTAAATACTTGTCACTTAAGAGTTTGTCATCGGTGTCCTCATAGTAATGGCATATTATTAGTTTTATATTATCTCTGTTGTCATTATTTCATGGGAAACCAACATGTATGCTGGATTATAAGAATGGCTACATTTTAAAAAATCCATGCCTTTTAGTAGAATCCTTCCACAATAACTTAGCCATGGGAACTTACTTTCATAAAATATTACCAAACATGATTTAAGCTGAGCCCTAAAAAGCACTTGGATTTGGGACTTGCCCCTGCTTGCTGTCATTGGAAACAGTGCAATTGCCATCATGAGAATAAGTCCTGACCTGTTTTCCAAATAATGAGAGACTGTGGCCTAGTCATTGTGTCATGCTAGTTGATGACCAGCCAACTGCCAAACTTGTAAAGGAGGATATTCCAGTCACCAGCCTTCAGATGACGCCCGCTTTCCCAACCCCAGCTGACTGCAGACATGTGAGTTTGATTGCCCAAGATCAGAAGAAGAGTTGCCCAGCCAAATCACCAAGTGTTGAATAGTGAGCTAAATAAATTGTTGTTTTAAGCCAGCAGTTGGCAAACATTTTCTCTAAAGGACCAGATAATAAATGTTAGGTTTTTATATTAGGTTTTCTGCTGCCTCTGTTACATTTCTTTTCCTTCTCCTTCATCTCTTTCTCCTCCTCTAACTTCTCCTCCTCTTCCTCTTTTTTCTCCTACTTCTCTTTAAAAATATAAAACCTATTCTTAGCTTGTGGAACATAAAAATATGGGCTACAGGCCAGATTTGGTCCATAGGGTATAGGGTAAACCATTAATTTTAGGGGAAGTTTGCTACACAGCAAAAGGTAATTGATAGAGCAAATAATTTAACTATTTTCCCAAAAGCATTCATATGATTTATTTATCTTCATTATTGGATTCACAACAATCCCAGGGCCTGATCATTCCTTCTATTCAAAATGCATCTTATCAACTTAGTGAATTTTTGTTTTTGGTATGGCATAAAAATACTTGGCATGGTATGAAAATCTATACATAGAGTTGACTATATCTCATATGAATATATGGGGGTTGACTCAATATATACATGGAGTTGACTGCATCTCACACGAACCCAACAACTGTCTCTTAAGTTTAACTTCCACTTAGCCGTAACCCAAAAATGCTCATGGCCACTCCAATACCATCCATCAAGGGGGAAGTGTGATAGGGGAAAATGAGAGTGAAAAGAGACAGCAGACTTAACCAATTACAGTTAAAATATATTCCCCCAATAAATTAAAATGATATGTATGAGCATGTTAGGAATCCTTCCAGGGATAGAGCCCATACAAATGATGGGACATGCAACTTCAGTATTATTAGCTTCTTTATAAATCTACCTCTGTAACTTTCAGACCATTTAAATCACATTAGAGGAAGCGAGCATGAGCTCAAGTGGGTGAGAGGCACTTATTGCCCAATTCCATTAAGAGACAGAGTTTATTTACAAAAATGGCTGCCTTCCCCCTGAGTTCCCAAGCAGTAAAAGAATTTTTAGCATAAGTTGACTATATGTGCACCATAGTCTCCATGGGAAACAAGTACAGCTAAATATTTCCATGTGTTTTTCCCCAACTTCAACGTATAAGCAACATTTTTAGCTTTAAAACATCTACTTTTTAAAATTGCGTTTTATAATATATCCTTAGAATTTCATTCATCAACTCCATCTATCTGCTATCTATTGGTAACATGGGTCACAGATGATACAAAGAATTATGTCTTTGTAAAATTATTCCCACAATTTAAATGTTATTACTTACCAAAAACTCTTTACTGATCAACAATGTGAAAGTGCTTCCTCTTGGCCAGGTTAATTTAAAATAGTGTTGTGGTTTGGGGAAAAAAAAATAGGTTTCCATGAGATTTTCCTTATCTCTGTTTCCCATCTGGCTTGCTGTTATAAACATTTAATCCAGTGTTTGCTGCCAATGTTTCCCAGAAAGCCTTATAATTGCTTGGAATTTGTATGAACAGTTCCAGTCTGGTGCACAATTAGGGATGCACTATAAAATTTTCATTGCTTGATTTAGTTGAAATTATAAGATGGATAGGGAACAATAACACCCATAGTTGTAGACTATAAAAACGACTACTAGAAATTTGCAAATAATAATACCTATAGATTAAAATTTTGGTGGGTAGCTGTGAGCCCCCAAACAAAGAAATCTTACAGCCAAACATAGATCTAGAATATTTAATTAGAAACTTTATATGGGAAAAAATAAGTTGAAATTTAAAATCGTACAAGGTACAAGAGGAAAAGAGGGAAGAAAGACTCATTGCCCTGTGCTTTCTTTAGTGCAAATATGTACTGATTCCTGTAAGAAGCAATATTTTTCTCTGGTCCCGTATATCTAAGGAAAGAGAGACGTAAGCAAATAGTGACAAAAGGTGATTGGTATCAATATACTGCCAAGATTTTGCAGATTAATCCAATTGGCATTTCTTCTGAAATAAGCTAATTGCAAAAGTCCTTTCTAAAGGACTTCTTGTCATGCTGTGGACTATAATTTCCACTGCTTCTATAGTTCCTGAGGCTCCCAAATTGCTCTACCATTGGCCACACCATTAGAGTATATTCATTACTTTAAGAGAATGGTAGTTGGTCTGTGCCAGTTAGTGTCTGTGAGTGTTTATGTTGCCAACATCTAATTGAATAGTATACAGTCCCATGCTTGCAGTTCAAATGTTTCAGCTCTGTGTGCATATAAAATTAAAAGAATAACACTGCTGGGATCTTGGCCTAAAAATGCACTTGAGTGGAGGAGCCAGGTGAAATGTAGATAATCCAAACAGAGGTGAACTGGGATTTCTGAAACCTTCTTGCTATGGAAGGCCTGCTGTGAGAAAACCAGTGTTCAAAGTGAGAAAATGCATTAGCTGTTAAGTCTATTGGGGTAGAAAAGCCAATGTCATAGCAACTCACTATCACACATCCAGAAGTGTCATCAATCTCTCTATCATCTATCTATCTATCTATCTACTTACCTACTCATTATCTATCTATCTATCTATCTATCTATCTATCTATCTATCTATCTATCTATCTACTTACCTACTCACCTGCCTACTTACCTAATACAGACAGAGATTGCCAGGAGCTCTACTGGTCCATCTACAGGTGAGAGGACTCAGGGGAGAAAACTAGCCTATCTAGGGAGTGTAGAGTTTCCAGAGCCATGTGAAACTCACGCCAAATTTATAATGGAACCTGGAGGAATACAGTAGTCACATTATGGCTCAAGAAGTCATTTAAACCCCAAATTTCCAAAGCCCTGAGGACTGAAGATGTAGAAAATGTTTCTAGAACTCTGTACAAAGTAAATGTTGCTATTTACATGTTTGACACTTCTGACTCATCAACTATTATTCTATTGCTTAGTTTTCCACGGATATTTGTTTACACAACTTACATACATCAAACTTTTTTTTTTTTTTTTTGAGACGGAGTTTCACTCTTGTTGTCCAGGCTGGAATGCAGTAGTGCAATCTTGGCTCACTGCAACCTCTACCTCCCCGGTTCAAGTGATTCTCCTGCCTCAGCTTCCCTAGTAGCTACGATTACAGGCACCTGCCACCATGCCTGACTAATTTTTTGTATTTTTAGTAAAGACAGGGTTTCACCATGTTGGCCAGGCTGGTCTCGAACTCCTGACCTCAGGTAATCCACCCACCTCGGCCTCCCAAAGTGCTGGGATTACAGGTGTGAGACACCACACCCGGCCCAAAGTTGATAGTTTTATACCATCTTTCTGTTGAGGTAAAAATGCCACAGTCCTGTGCCATTCTACCCTGATTTTAGTGACTGTGGCCTAAAATTCCACCCTGATTTTAGTGACTATGGTGAGAATGACAAGGTTTTGTCTTTGGGTGGATTTTAAGCAATAAAGAAAAGCCCATTGTGAGTAGATTCACACAGTCCTGACTCTGCTATTTAATACCTGATTTATATTAAACAATTCACAGTCAACAATTTGCAATCTTGTGAAGCTCAGTGTCTTCATTGTAAAATTCAGTCTAATGGCTCTAGCCCACCATACAGATTATTCTGACAATACAATAAATAATGATTTTTCTTCCCTAGTACTTTTCTCTCTCCAGATTAATCATATGGAGGAGTACAGATAACAACTTGCATCTGTTTTTCTTTTTGTTTTAAATTCAACCTCATGCTTTGATGTCAGGCAATTCTGTCATTATTGTATTATGCTGTATATAAGATCATGAGTTTCATAGACTCTCCTTTTTCTTGTAGATAAAATGAGAATAACAGTAATTACATCAGAGAGTTGTTAGAATTATTTAAAAAGATTCTATGTGTATATGTGTGTATGTATACGTGTGTGTACATATACATAGCTACGTATATACTTTGTACAGTGAGGCAGTAAGTTGCTTAATAAATATTAATGTACTTGTTATTGTTAATTTTTTATATGTATAATGTTATGAACATTCAAGGTAGCAATGTGTTCGAAGAGAATATATATTTTTGAGTGGCTCAGAGAATAAAATGTTTTCCATATTTGGAAAGAGGCTTATGATTATCTATGTATTATCCAGAAAACTTGTGGCTGTAAAGATACATCTCAAATTTGGCTTACACCAAAAGCCAAAACACTTGGAACACAGTGTCACCTACATTGTAAATTAGTAGATCAGAAATCTTAGGCTAATTTCTAATCTTCTCTTCCGTCTTTTCACCTGTGAAAACAGATTTAAAAAACTTTAATATACTACTATCCTGTGAAGAAAATGTGGCCACAATCAGAGATATGGGCCTCACCTATGAGAGAGTAACTACACAATTCCAAATTTCCTTTCCATTCCCTTCCCTTCCCTTCTTATGAACCTATTGAACTGCCAGTTAGTATGAAAGTTAAAGTGTGAGAAACCACAAAAATGTCTCAAACCCCTTCATACCAAGCTCTAGAAATTACTTGGAAATGAAGATAACCACAAAACGAGGACAACATTTTGAAGTTTCTCAAGCCCACTTGTCCACAGAAAGGACTGATTGTGAAGGTATTCTTAATGTTGCCTCTCAAGTTTCCTCTTTAAAGGAAAAGAAACTAAATCTAGCTTGTGGCTTTAGAAAGCCCAAGAGTTTTCTTGCTTTGTAATAAACGTCTTCAAGAAGCATTTCTGCACTCTGGGTTTCTGTAGAAAAAGGTGGTGTCTGTGACTTTAAATGTGAGGCATATCCAGTGTTAGACTAATTCAGTCATTAATTCTGCCCCTTTGAAAATGTAAGAAAAGGATCTAAAGTAACAGCATAGTATCTGTCCTCAAGAGAAAGAACCTGGTCTGTACAATTGCCTCATAGAAGCTTCTTTTTAGTGCTTTTGAATTCACTTCCCTGGGGAATAACATACAGAAATCCCTGAAAGCATTTTGGAGTGACACTGCTGAGGTATCCTGGGAAGTATTGCTGAGTCCCTTCCAGTACAAACTTGATCTCTATTACCAATTTCTGACCTATTTAACCTCTCTGTATTTAGCTTGAGAAAGCTGAATTACAGGGCCCATAATATTTGTAACTTAAGTCCCCAAATAGGATGTTATAGAGATGAATGAAGCAATGTTTCCAAGATGCTTGGAGGTCTGGGATGAAAATCTGCTGAAACAGAGCAAAAAGCTAAGTCGTGATCAGCCTTGCATACAGCGGAATGTAGATCCTCGTCATCGGATTTGGACCCAGTGTAGACAGCACCTGAGCATCAGTCAACTCCACCTTCTAAAGCCTGTGTTTAGGTGGGTAAATCAATGTGAATGCACACGGTCACCGCAACTGACTCTTTCAGTCTGTGCTGTCCATTCATAGCCTAACTTGTTTTTAAAGATGCAGACTACTGTAACCTCTGCATCCCTTTGTCGTGTATTGCCACTTGCTTTTAAGATATCAAGTACCTTTTCCTTTTCATTCTTAACTTCTGGCACCATTTTATTATAGCTGTCCTTTGATTTTTTTAAAAAAAACATTTAATACTATTACGTATATACACCTTTAATGTCATTTAAAAATATAAAGTCAAAAGTGAGAATGAGGGAACTCAATCGGATTAAAATGTATTAAAGGTCAATGCTATTTAACCCATATTATATTAGTTTGATCCTTAGAAGGAATTTTGATGACAATCACTAGATCAAGTTAGGAAGTTATATTAATGCTAATGCCTGTTTATAGGCTTTTAGGATAAAGGTATATTCATTGGCTTCCTGTTTTAGTAACATCCTGAGACAGACCTATTTAAAATCTCCTCTTTAATCAGAAGTAATCATGGTGCCTAATACTCTTTCCTTAGTGCACATCTCTGCCTCCCTCTTGTCTGCTCATGCCCCAACACAAGCACACGGACATACCCATGGAAACAGTTATTAGCCAGGGACGGGTTATTAAAATGGAACCGATAGAGGTCCATGTCAAGATGTAGCTGCCAAGAAGTATCCTTATGGTAGGTCCTCCCTTACTGACTGTCCCTAAAATTCTTTGATAACTCAACCCTTATGTAAGAAATTGAATATTGTCAAAATGCAAACATTTATAAATGTGGCAATACTGATATCTCAGAAGTCAAGGGAATGAAAAGGAATACAGATCAGGGAACAGAAGAAGTATGTCTGTAGAATGGGATGGTACTAAGCTGGCATGCAAGTAAAGAAAAAGGGGGCTTCTGGACAGTAAGCTAATAACAAGATAGCAGTGCAAATACAGAAATGATGATGGAAGCCCAAAAACATAGTGGAGAGGTCCACCATCATGGTGACAAGGCCTAATATTATGTCACATTGGAAAGCTAAGGGAGTACAAATGTTCTACGTGGTAAAGAGATCCACTCAAATGGATCCTAATAACTTCATGCAAATATGTGTAGGGATCCCTGTTACTGGAATGCTTAACATGAGACTGGTTGACAAGTTGATGTGAATGCTGTAGAAGAAATTAAAGCCCCGGGTGCAGTGGCTCACATCTGCAATTCCAGCACTTTTGGAGGCCGAGGCAGGCAAATCACTTGAGGTCAGGAGTTCAAGACTAGCCTGGCCAACATGGTGAAAACCTGTCTCTACTAAAATAAAAACAGAAAAATTAGCCAGGCGTGGTGGCGGATGCCTATAATCCCAGCTACGTGAGAGGATGTGGAGGTTGCAGTGAGTTGAGATTGCACCACTGCACTCCAGCCTGGGGTACAGAGCGAGACTCCATCTCAAAAGAAAGATATGGGCCTCACCTATGAGAGAGTAATTACACAATATAAAAAGAAATTAAAGCACCACAGATGTTGAGTTGGACTAAAAATATGGGGCCAGTTTTTTGAACTATACTTCCGTGACTTTATAGAATTTTTGATGGCTGACTTAAATTATGTATACTTACATTGAAATGTGAATGGGAAATAGTATTTATTTTGCATCTACCAGAACTTTGTATTCTCTATGTTACTTCATTTAGATGTCTTAACAATTCTGTGAGGCACTTATCTTCATCTATCAGATGAAGAAACTGAGCCTTGGAGACAATGAATAAATTGACTGGGACTTTTACTCAGCTGGTAGATGTTATACCCACAATTTAAAACTAGGTTTTTCTGGCTTCCAAGTCCATGGCCTTTTTACTAAACATCCCCCAACCAGAGGAACTAAACTCTGTCCCAGGCTCATGGTGCACTGATTCAACCAATGTTCATAATTTCCAAGCACTGTCAGTGCAAAGCATCCCTGCAGAGGAGGAGGCACAGTGAAGAAGATAGTGAGCATATGCCACCAGTCTTTGAGAAATACTGCCCTTTAGTAGCCTGGAGCTCTTCTGTTACTGAATCACTATAATCAAGTGTTTTTTTTTTTCCAGCCACTGCATCAAAAAGCAAAAGTACCAATGGACATTCTTCACCCTGGTTCAGCGTTTCTTCAGCCAAGTGCTTACTCAAGGAACCAAGAATAAGAGATAACAATTTTTTAAATATGCAGAAACCCACCAATATGAAAAAAGAAGATTGAAGGCCTTATAAAATATAAATGTTTCCTCACTGGTGACAGCCCTGCCACTATTAAGCATTGGTATATTAGTCCCCAAGACATTTACTGCCATCTGTTGGAAAATTAGTAGAATGAATACATTAATCTAAGATGACCACAAACATACATGTCATCACATAGTTTTGTGTAGTGTACAATCTACAACATACGAGGATGCAAACCAAAAGTTTTGAGAAGGGATAATCATGCTTAAAATAAGCCCCACAGACAATATTATTACCATTATTTTTCATTGATAATGTATTCAATTAGATAGTAGACATTTGAGGAAATGACAAATAAGAAAGATCTAATTGTGACATAATTTATTCAATAATTCATTTATACAGAAAATATTTATCAAGTGTCTATAATGAGTCGAGCTTTATTCTGGGATCTAGTTATAGAGCAATGAATAAATAACACAGACAAAATTATCTCCCCTTACAGAGTTTCTGTGGGGAAAAACAATAAAGTTTAGATAAGTATGTCATTTATGAGATAGTAATAATTGCTAAAGACAAAAAGTCAAGGATAAGAAATACAAAAATGTTGGGTGATAAGTAGTTTGAGAAAAAACTTAGGAAGTTCACACAGTGGGGAATAGTTTGTGTCACTTTAGTCATAATGAAAGGCCTTATCATATATAGGCATCAAACAGTCTTCAAAAGAATATTGCCTTAGTACTGGGGCTACATTGACTCTAAACCAAAAGCTGCTCTGACCTGCCCTAACAAAGTTCAAAACAAAGACTTGAAAGAATGCAACTAATCCCAACTAACTTGACTTTATGCCAGAACAAAATCCAACATGATTTAAAGAAAAACAACCAAATTCAGCAAACAGCAATAAAAATTTCACAATGCTTGGTATCCAATCAAGTATAATTAGTTTTGCAAAGTAGGAAAATTTATCCAAAACCAAGAAAAAATTAATAAAAGCAGATTTTAAAAGATCAGAGCTGATAAAATTAGGAGACAGAGACATTGAGACAGCCAGGCTAAGTATATCCAATGTGTTTAAGAAAATAGATGAATATATAAGAATCAAGAGAAAAGAAATGGTAGATTTTTTTAGATGATATTAAAAGTAGATTTGACACTGTAAAATAAATAATCAATGAACTTAAAAATATAAAAATAAATAAAGTGCAGAGAGAAAAAATAAAAATAAAGATCAGAGTATCCATGTCCTGAGAGAATATCAAATAGTCTAACATTTGTGTAATTGGTGTCCTAGAAGGGTAATGTGCAGAAAAAGACACTAATAAAATAAAATAAATCACTAACATTTTCCAAATTTGGTGAAAACTATAAAATTTCCTGTACTGGGTTGAATAGTGTGTCTCCCTCCCAAACTCAAGAAACACACACACCAAATTCATGTCCATCCAGAACCTGTGACAGTGACCTTAGCTCGAAATAGGGTTTTTGTAGATGTAATCAAGTTAAGAAGAGTTAATGCTAAACTAAGATGTACCCTAATCTAGTGACTTGTGTCCTTGTAAAAACAGGAAAATTTGTGCACAGAAATATGTGAAGAGGTCATGTGAAGACATAAACAGATATTGGAGTAAGGTATCTACAAGCCAAGGAACACTAAAAATTACTAGCAACCACCAGAACCAAGAAGAGACAAGGAAGGAGTCTTCCCTAGACCCTTCAGAGGGAGCATGGCCCTGCCAAAATCTTGATTTCAGACTTCTGTGTTCTATAAGTGTGAGAGAATAAATATTTGTCATTTTAAGCCACATAGATTGTGGCAATTTGTTATAGTGGCCCTAGGAAAACTAATATACCCACAGACCCAAGAATCTCAATGGACCCCAAGAAGAATATATAATTAAAAAATCATGCTGAGAACCATCATAACTATTTTTAAAAATAAAATTATGGGTCTATGACAAAGGAACATAGGAATCACCCTGAAAGGGCTCCAAAAGCTCAGAGCTAGAATGATTTGAGTAATAACATGAGTAATGTAGTTTTAGACTCTAACCCAAAGCATAAATTAAATATCCACAAATCTATACTGATATAAACACATGGTTTACTAAATAAATTAGGTAGAATAGATAAATCCCATGTACAGAAGAATTCCAAATAATTTGTGTACATATTGCCAACTACAAGCATTAACTTAAGCAGTGGCAATGCCCTCAAGTTTGAAGATATTTTTACTGAGTAAAACATTTTTGATTACTTTAAAAACAAATCAAATATTTTCTTAAGACACATCTGAAAGAATTCATCACCATTATGTCTACACTACAAAAAATGTTAATGATAGTTCTTTAGGCAGAAGAAACTGACACCACAAAGAAACTGACACCACACCATAAAGGAATGAAGAATGCCAAAATGGTAACAACTGGGTAAGTGTTAGAGATATTTGTCTTTCTTTTTGTTTTTTTGGACAAAGTTTTGCTCTTTTTGCCCAGGCTGGAGTGCAATGGCACGATCTTGGCTCACTGCAATATCTGCCTCCTGGCTTCAAGTGATTCTCCTGTCTCAGCCTCTCGAATAGCTGGGATTACAGGTGCACGCCACCACACCCAGCTAATTTTGTATTTTTAGTAGAGATGGGGTTTCACCATGTTGGCCGGGCTGGTCCTGAACTCCTGACCTCAGGTGATCCACCCACCTCAGCCTCCCAAAGTGCTGAGATTACATGCATGAGCCACAGCTCCCAGCCTTGTTTTTTTAGATGGAGTCTCACTCTGTCACCCAGGCCGGAGTGCAGTGGTGTGATCTTGGCTCATTGCAACCTCTGCCTCCCGGGTTCAAGTGACTCTCCTGCCTCAGCCTCCCAAGTAGCTGGAACAACAGGCATGTGCGACCACACCCAGCTTATTTTTGTATTTTTTAGTAGAGATGGGGTTTCACCATATTGGCCAGGCTGGTCTCAAACTCCTGACCTCAGGTGATCCACTCACCTCAACCTCCCAAAGTGCTGGGATTACAGGAATGAGCCACCACACCCGGCCATTTTTCTTACTTTTAATATTTTTAAAAGATAATACCTGTTTAAAGCCAAAATAATAATAAATTTTTGAATTTAAAATATGTAAAAAATGTATAACCAAAATAACACAAACGATGGGGTAGTTGATGAAACTACGTTTTTGGGTTTCTGATATTATATGTGAAGTGGTCTTCAGGTAGGCCATCATAAATTAAAGAGACATATTTTAAACCCTAGAACAATCCATGCTAAAAATAAAACAAATGAAAAAATAACAAAAACAATAAAACCCAAAGAGATATAACTAATAAGCTAAGAGGGGAGATAAAATTGAATAATTAAAGAAAAATTTCAACTAATTTAAATAAGTTAGAAAAGTAGATAAAATGAAAGAACAGTTGAGAATAGAGCACAAATACCAAGACTGTAGCTTTATGTCAAACCATATCCATAATTAAATTAAATTTTAAATTTTTAAAATTTCAGTTAGTAGTCAAAAACTGTCAGATTGGATAAAAAGCAAGACCCAACTACCTCCTGCATTAGAAGACATATGATGACATAAGTAAGTTCAAAATAAAAGAATAGTAAAAGATATTCCATGTTAATAGTAATCAAAAGAAATTTGGAGTGGCTATAATAACATCAGACAAGGTAGACTACAGGGAAAGGAATAGTATAAGATATAAGAAGAATATTGCATAATTACAAAAGGATAAATTTATCAAGAGGAATTAAAAATTTTCAAACTACATGAAACATTTGGGTTGGTTCCAAGTCTTTGCTATTGTAAATAGTGCTGCAATAAACATACATGTGCATGCCTCTTTATAGTAGAATGATTTATAATCCTTT
Organism: Homo sapiens; assembly: GCF_000001405.40. NCBI lineage: Eukaryota > Metazoa > Chordata > Mammalia > Primates > Hominidae > Homo > Homo sapiens. The sequence goes on along the minus strand of NC_000009.12, from coordinate 82,528,925 downwards.
GAGTAATATACCCAGTAGTGGGATTGCTGGGTCAAATGGTATTTCTGGTTCTAGATCCTTGAGGAATCGCCACACTGTTTTCCACAATGGTTGAACTAATTTACACTCCTACCAACAGTGTAAAAGCATTTCCATTTCTCCACATTCTCACCAGCATCTGTTGTTTCCAGACTTTTTAATGATTGTCATTCTAAGTGGCATGAGATTGTATTTCATTGTGGTTTTGATTTGCATTTCTTTAATGACCAGTGATGATGAGATTTTATTCATATGTTTCTTGGCCACATAAATGTCTTCTTTTGAGAACTGTCTGTTCATAAACTTTGCCCACTTTTTGGTGGGGTTGTTTTTTTCTTGTAAATTTGTTTAAGCTCCCTGTAGATTCTGAATATTAGACCTTTGTCAGATGGATAGATTGCAAATATTTTCTCCCATTCTGTAGGTTGCCTGTTCACTCTGATGATAGTTTCTTTTGCTGAGCAGAAGCTCTTTAATTAGATAGATTGGATAAAGAAAATATGGCACATATACACCCTGGAATACTGTGCAGCCATAAAAAAGAATGAGTTCATGTCCTTTGCAGGGACCTGGATGAAGCTGGAAACCATCATCCTCAGCAAACTAACACAGGAACAGAAAACCAGACACTGCATGTTCTCACTCATAAGTGGGAGTTGAACAATGAGAACACATGGACACGGAGGGGAACATCATACACTGGGACCTGTCAGGAAGTGGGGGAAAAGGAGAGGGAGAGCATTAGGACAAATACCTAATGCATGCGGGGATTAAAACCTAGATGATGGGTTGACAGGTGGAGCAAACCACCATGGCACATGTATACCTATGTAACAAAACTGCACGTTCAGCACATGTATCCTAGAACTTAAGATAAAATTTAAAAAAATACATGAAGCAAAATCTGAGAATTTAAAGGTGATATAGACAAATTCACAATTATACTTTGCTATTTCAATATTTCTTTATAACTGATAGAATAAGGAGACATAAAATCAGTTTAGAACACTTGAAAAACTCTAAAACAACTTGACCTAATCACTATTTATTGAACATTCCATTAACAACAGAATACATATAGAACATTCATCAAAGAGACATGCCTCAATAAATTGAAGAAATTTGAAATAATGCTATGTATATTATCTGTTTACAGTGAAGTTAACCTAGAAATCACTACCAGAGAAACCTCTGAAAAAACCCAAAATATGTGGAAACTAACTAACATACTTCTAAGTCAGTCATGGATTAAAAAAGAAATCAAAAGGGAAATTTAAAAGGACTCTGAAGGGAATGAAAATAAAAACCATAATATACCAAAATTTGTAGGATGCAGCTAAATCAGCACTTAAAGGGACATTCATAGCATTAAATGCTTATATTAGAAAACAAAGAGTTCTCAAATCAATGATGTAAGCTTCCCTCTCAAGAAACTAGAAAAGATGAGCAATTAAACCAAAAGTAAGCAAGCATAAAGAAATAATAATAAAGTAGAAATTGATTAAGTAGTAAATACCAATTGGATAATCCAGTCAATCTCCCAAAGCTTTGCTCAGTGGGAGAGAGAATGATGATTTTCTCATCATTGTCTTTCAGAGCCACCTCTGAGTGGGACTATCATGCATCAGCCTGCCCACCCACCATTTAAGAACCAAGCTTGACCACTTTTCTCCTCCACCAACTAAATGTAAGAATTCGTCTCCAAATGTGGTCACAGGTGTGAGCTGACAGGCAGTCATAACAAAACTGGTCAATTACATGGAATTATGGTCCACCTCTTTACGTGGCTTACTTGTGCTCTCCAGCCCTGTTCCTACCCAGCACCAGACATACCAATATTGGTTTACAAAGGATTGCTGCTGGACATTCCTAATACTATGAATTTGTGGGTCTGATAAAACCCAGCTCATGATCAACAATTTTAGCCACTTTTTCATTTGACATCCTGTGGTTAGATGCTCCATTTTTATGAGAGTCCTATTTTACATCAAGAGCTGTTTTTTTGAATTATGTATAATTCTCTGCTGCATATGGCATGGCCTCGTGCCAGAACTCTAGCTGTCTATGTTATGATTTTCCCACTGAGATTTGTCATAAACTCCACACAGCTTCTTTTTCCACCATAAATATTTCCAATTCCCTAGGATTTGCCAAGTCCTCTGGCTTAAGAAGCAGGGCTGCTTGCACCACAGCATGGACTGCTGCAAAGCCTTCCCTGCTCTGGACCCTACTCAAAACTGGCAGCTTTTTATGTCACCCAGTATATGAATCAAAGCCATATTGCTAAATGTAAAAAGCACTCTGCCTCCAGAACCAGAGAAGGCTTACCAGGGATGGCACTTTCTTATTAGTAGCAGGAAATTTAAGATGTAATAATTTATCCTTTATAATAAAGGGAAATTTCCACCATGCCTTTGACAACTTCATAGCTCCCAAAACTTCACTGATGGGGGGGACTCTTATATTTATATGGAATATCTCCCACACTGTGGTATTCATGTGTTTTTGTTTCTTACCAAGACTCAATGTCTGGTGGTCAGGAGAGAAAGTGGAGGCAGGTCTTGAAGTGGGAATGTCAGACCTTAATAGGGAGGAGTAGGCTACTTTTGCAGGCCTAGGGGGTTCAGGGGTACTGGGCTTGCAAGATTTTTAAATGCATTGACCCAAATGTCTCATCCAAAGCCTCAGGGTTCCACTTCTTTCTACCAGGGTCCTCACCTTTATGGGATCTCCCCAGAAACATTGCTGGTCCTGGAATTCAAAATTCTCTGGAGTTCTGTTACTCTTATAATAAATACTAGGAACGATCTTTATCTTTTCCACTCTCCAGCACCAGGAGAGGGTTTTTAAATGTTGCCCTGGAGGTCCTCTAAATTTTCAGACTTTTGCCTTAAATTGGTGGTTAATCACCTCAGTCTTTCATCGTCTTTCTCCACTGCATACGTTGCACCCAGCAAGAGCCATCCAATTCCATTGTCCTTTTTCATTACTATTGCCTTTGAACTTCTCAAATGCCTGAGATATCGAGTCCACTGTGCATTTCCTTATACCCATGCTCCATCTCAGTTTACCACTAGAGAAAGCTGTAATATTTGCACCACTACTGCATGCCACGGCTTCCAGGACTCCGCCTATGACTATGAGTTCTCATTGATAGCTAGGAAGTGACCCATCTCCCAAGTTTCATTTTAGAGTCTGCCTCCATAGACCAATCCTCACATTAACTCTCCTAGTTCAGGTTCCCTGGGAAACACTCTCATTGATGGAGATTTGAATGTGGGAAATGCATGCTTTCAGGAACGACACCTGTGAGGGAATAAGGATTGGGCACAGGGAGATGAACTGTCATAGAGTCACAACTGAGACCTCAACCAATACCAAGGAGTGTTCTGAAGCCCTTCATAGATCTCCTGGGACAAGGCAGAAAGGCTTTTGTGCCTCCACAATGGCCAGTCTTTGAACATGGGCTGTTTCCAGAGAGGAAGCATAACCTTGGGTGAGGCTGCTCAGGGAGCTCCTTTCCGCAAAGGGCAATTCCCCTGTGAGCTGTCAGCAGGCAACCTGGAAACTGTTAAAACGAATGCCTCAGTCTCAAAGGAAGGGGGTGATCTGGGTAGGCCTCCACAGCACCCACCACAATATCCAATCACCCGGAAATGCCTAAAGCACAGAACCATAGGTCTAAGACCTCATTTCTGAAAACATAAACAGTTCTGCCTAACTGAACAAAACAACTAAACTTAAACCCATTAGATTGATATAAGGCAGTAAATCCAGCATCTGGATGGGGAGGTGAGAGTTAAATTGTCAAGTTAATTCAGATTTGGGGTGTAATTAAGCCAAAATCAGGAATGCAGATGAACAGGGGAGGCCCCTTGATTCACTGACTGGCGTTACTTTGGTGAACTAAAAAGGCATTTCTTCTCTCAAGTCATTTGTTTGAACCTCTACCTCCTGAGTATAACCTAAGTATCTTCTAAGTGACTTAAGAAAGCTGTAAAAATGGAACCATATTAGCATAATAAATTCTGTTTTACAGCTTTCACTCTGTTTTGTTGTTTGTTTGTCCTTGAGTCCCCTGAAGTAGTCTTGTAATTATTCCTGGAAGGTTCCAGAATAGTCTCATATACCAATCTAGTCCATCAGCAGGTCTACCTGTCATACTCTTACTTTACTTTTTAGTCCTTTCTGGTATGGTCTATGGCCAAGCCCCACAATGCTCCTGAAAACCAGTTAAATGTTAATATCTTACCCTTGCTCCCGTGGCCCATCATTGTGTAGCTTTTGCTGTTTGACTGCCCCTACTGGGTACCTGTGATGCATGCATTAGAGATGGCAGTCTGGTTCCTTGCAGAAGCAGAAACAACATGTTTCCCCCATTTTGTGTCCCTACACAATTGAAATGAAAATAGTATTATTTTTGTATCCATGCATCTTAGAGTGCACACTGCTTTCCCTTCTCTTTCAGCCCATTGTCCCTCTTGACCAATGAGAGGCCATTCATTGTAACTTAGAAAAGAATAAACTCTAGGACCAATCCTGTGCTGCCTTCCCTCCTTTCTCTACCTCTATGTGGTGGGAAAAATAATGGACCCCAAAGATTTCCATATCTTAACCCCTAGAACCTGTGAATATGTTATGTTACATGGCAGGGAGGATTTAAGTTTGCAGATGAAATTAAGGTTGCTGATCAGCTGACCTTAAGTTGGGGAAATGATCCAGGATTACCTAGATAGGCCCATAAACATGAAAGAGGAGGCAGAGGGGGGTCATAGTCAGAGAAGGAGATGTGAGGATGAAAGCAGAGGTTGGACTGAAAAAAAAAATGCCCTCTTTGCAGATGCAAGGGGGCCATGAGCCAAAGAATGAGGGCAGCATCTAGAAACTGGAAAAGGCAAGGAAAAAAATTCCCTCCTAGAGCTTCTAGGGGAACAGAGCATAGCCAATACCTTGATTTTACCCATGTGAGACCTATTTCAGACTACTGACTTCAGAACTATCAGATAAATTTGTTTTGTTTTAAGTCACCAAGTTTGTGTAATTTCTTACGGTAGCAATAACATACTCCGGCTCCAGCTCTTTTCTCTTCCTATCAACAACATCCTCAGGCAAATCGATGCCTGCAAATGAATGTGGTGGGCCTACCCCATTAGCCTGCTTGATGTGTCCAGATGTGCTGAGTTCCCACCCATCTCCAAGGAAAATAGGTCCCCATCTTGAGAGAGTTCTTTTAACTAATCCACATCTCCATTACCATCAAACAAGCCGATGGAGGTGGGGCCTGGAAGATTCATGTGTTAAAAGTACTCCAGGTAGAATCCTGCTGATATAAAACAAATCTTCGCAGGTAAAGACTGGGGAGTTGAAGAAACTGTACAATTATGTGGATTTTTTGGTACAGTATGTGTGACAATAGGAACAAAAAGTTAAAAAAAAAAAGTCCAGTGATTGAATGTATATAGGAGCAGAAAATCATTTCTTATGGAATATTCTATCCCAAATACCTGGAACTTATTTGTTTTTGCATTAACTTTTATCATAACAAGGCTAGTTCCGAAAACCAAATATTGTAGTTGGCTTGCTAAGTCACTAGGTAAAGGCATATATCATATTTATCAGAAAAGTAGCTATGATGTGGCTATGCTTGATGATGAGATGCCAAAGAATTAAGAGAAAGAAACCCCTATTTTGAATAACATAGTAAAGAAAAGTAAGTTGACACTTTTTATTTAAATGTACACAGCACCTCAAAATAAAAGAAACACATTGGAAAACACTTCTTATATTTGCTGAATCTCTTCATTAGTAAATTATTTGATGTATTCAAGTGAACACACACAATTGTTTACATGAAGAACAAAATACATAAAATCAGTAAAACATTTTGAATTTTAAAAATTGCTCTTTTGTTTCAGTAAATATTTGTTGATTAAATTTGGTTTGCCTTTAGAAGCCTATGTTATGTGCAGTTTTTGCAAAATAAATCAACGCAAATATTTTGTGAGGGCCTATGCTTGTACACAGCACAGATTTTAATTTAGTTTCTTGTTTGTTCCAAGCCAGATTTTTCAAACTTCAGCAATTCAGATACTACCTTTATGATTTTTGTCATATCTGCATAAGATTTTGTAGCATCACTTACTAATATTTTACTTAAGAAAATTAACTTTGTTTACTTAAATTTACATTGAAGGAAAAGTATATATTACTCACAGAAATGAAAAAAAAGTATCACTTGCTGGAAGTAGAAAGTATTAACACATATAATTGTAATAAAAATAACCAAAACATTTGCCTGCTGGAGTTTTGAGCTTGAGAACTGTTCTTTTTGTTGTTGTTAAAGTGGGTAATTGAGGTGCTGGAGGTGCTAAAGACGTACAATCCATAACTAACTTTTTTTCCCCCTTGAAGTTAACCAGAAGGATTGAAAGAAAGGTAAAAAGGAAATATTACCACTATGTGGTTCAATGTACTTTACTATCATGTCTGAATGCTGAATAAAATGATTTGGGGAACATCAGGGATTTTGGAAATACCATTTAAAAGCATTTAATTTTGCTTTCTGACTTGGTTTGTGCCATTGTCATCTATCAGTGCTACTATCCTGCATAGACTTTTGCTCTATCTTAGAGAGAAAGGTCTTTATCAAGCACCTATCTTTTACTACTTCAGAAGGCTCATATCTCTACATTTAATTTCTAGCCCCATGTGTGTCATCTAATACAAGGCAACTCAACTCCAGTTCTTCATCTTCTGACAAGACTCCTAGAATAAATTCAAGCTATGGCAGCAGTCATACATGAGGAATCACTATAGTCTTTCTATTGGCACCTGCCATCATTATTTTATCCAATTCTGCTCTGGTCTTTTTAAGTAACTCTAGCTTGCCCATACAAACTCAAAGTAGTCACTCAGGCATTAGTAGTCCAGGATTTACTTAGAACCACTCATACTTTTCTACTCTAGTTTCTTGCCACTCATAGTGTGGTCCAGGGGCTGGAAGCATTGCATTACGTGGGAGTTTGTTAGAAATGCAGATTCTTAGTGTCTCCTTCAGTCCTACTGAATCAGAATCTGCATTTTGACAAGACCTCTCCCACTCCCTTGGTGATTTTTATGCATGTTGAACTCTGACAGGCGCTGGTCAGCATTCTCCGTCTCCACTTCTCTGTTCATCCTGGTTTGTCAGCTACCCCTCTCTGCAGGCCCCTCCTTACCCTTGGACTTATCCACTTCTTACTCAATGGTCCTCAACCTGGCTGCATGCTAGAATCACGTGGTGAGTTTTATTTGTTTTTAATTGTGATTGCTGGTCTCCACCTCCAGATGTTTTTGTTTTGTTTTGTTTTGTTTTAATTAGAAGTAGTGTCTAAGTTTTAATTGCCCTAGGTGATTCTAATGTGATGTCAATATTGATACATACTGTATGAATGGTTGGTTTGGACTCCTGGCATTGGCTCTCTGGCTCCACAAGCCATTCTAATAGTAGGGATACAGATAGCTACTTGATGTAACAAGTTAGGCCCAGTTGAACTTCCCTTGATGTCCTATATTAAGGACAAGTGATTGACCAGTTTCCCCCTCTGAACAATCTATGGGAAGAAACTCATGTGGCTAATGCAGCATCAGCAGCAACATACTTTTTCACCGCTTGTCAAAACCAACTCTATCTTTGTAAGACTATGTTTCAGTCTTAACAGATTTAAAATTTGTTTAGGGCTCATTCTCTGTATAAAACATTTTAGACACATAAATGATATAGCTTTCATAGAAACTGTAGACTTCAAGCCAAAAGGAAAGAATTTTGTCATTGTAAATTTTAGACATTTCCATAATGTGTTCACATAACCTAACAGTGGGGTAAAAAATCTGTTTAGGAGCAAACAAGAAAGTTTATTTTAGAACAATGTGCTTTATGTAAAGCGGCTCCTAATATCCCATCTATTTATTTGTCCCCACTGCAGCTTGGATCTGACTATGCACTCAGGTGAAATTGGTCTCCATTGGAAGCCTTTATAAAACATGTGCCACAGAAAGTGTCAGCCATGACCAAATGTCATACGTGCTGCTCCTGTCTCCCTCTACCTCACCCCCTAGAATCTGTTACTCATGCCTCTAGCTAAATTCCAATATCTAGTTGTATAGACCCTTAGCCTTATGTTTTTTATCAATTGCTGCTCAGTCTTTCTTCTGGATTCCTGATGCTTTGTTTCACAGATTTTCATCCTGGGCACCTAGAATAATAATAATGATCACTAATTGCTAGATGCTACTAAGAAAACACTAAATATCCAAATATCATCCTATTTTCTCTTCACAATAACCTTACTTTGATTTTACAGATGAAGAATCTGAGACATAGAGAGATTTATGTAACTTGTTGTATTAGTTTTGGCAGATTACACTGTGGTAACAAACAACTCCAAATTTCAGTTGCTAACAGCACAGGCTCATAATAAATATCAGTTGTAGGTCTATGGTTTGGTCCTGGCACTTCCCACAAGGCACCTTACTCTGAGATCTAGGCTGAAGGAGCTGACCCTTTCTGCAACATGCTCTTCTCATAGCAGGGGGAAAAGAACAATGGAAAAATTCGTGGATTGGATCTTAAATATTCTCTTTGGACATGGTTTTTGTCACTTTTGCTCATATTCACTTGTCCAAGCAAGTCATATGGCCAAGCCTGAGATTAGTGGCTATAGGGGGAACTCTTGCCACTGGGAGGGACTCTGAAGAGATGACCCAGTAGAGAATAAAAGCTTGTATTTTAAGCAAAGTATACAAACACAGTTGCCCAGTCTCATAGTCAAAAAGAGGCAAAACTGGGGTTTGAATACAGCTCTGTTTAATTTTCAACCACTGCAATGATGCTTCCGTTTTGCTTTTTCCACTTTGCTGATTTCAAGTATTTAACACCTAGCATGTCTAACTACACAGTGCTTACATGCTCCTCACTGATTTAGCTGTTCTCCCTGAATATAATGGTCTGAATGAATTATAACCTTGACAAATATGTCTTCAACGTAGCTGAACTGCAGATCCCTGCTTTCTGATCAGCTTGGTAAGGCTGGGATAAGTATGAGTCTATTTTCCAGCTTCTGCTCCACATATCACATAAAGGTGCTCCTGTCTTCAACATGAGGGATACAGATAGCTTCTTTACTGTTGTAGGGAAATTCACAGGGACCAAATTTTAGCAGCGTGGCCTTAAACCCTGAAGAACCACCTTTAAACATGGACAAGAAACTTTTTAGGATGATTTCCAACCAGAAACAAATTGTGGTGGTTAAATATACTCTACAGGAAGTCTTGTTTATTGCTGGTCTCAGGGAAGTGAATTAGTGAGGTTCTGTCAACACACTTGGATCATTTCAGAGGGGGCTAGCCCCTCCAAAATCTACCCACTCATGTCATCTTTCACCACTCATAAAGAAAGGCCACAGATTTAAAGCTTCCTGTCTTTTTTTGCCAATGTGAGGTAGCTGCAGAATCTTTTATGCTTTATTTCCAAACAGAAAATATGTTTTGCTATGACAAGATCCAGTTTTAATCATGTATCAATGATTGTTGTGGGCTCAATTCTTCTCTTGTAGGCAGCAATTTGGACCCTTTTTTAAAATCAACATTTGCAAAAGCTACCTTATAACTTAAAAGTTGACTTTGTTTTTTAAAGAATATTATTGGAAAAGAAAATAAATCAAGAGTACACAACTATCTTTTTTACAATCTCTTTGCAGAGTATGACCTCATTGTATTGCCCTTTAAGAAACTGTGTTTACTTTCTCAAGTATACACATCCAACCAGTCTCTGAGGGTTCATCTCTATAGTTAGCAATATACTAAGATTTATGGTCTATTAGAGACAATGAAAGTAAGACAGAATTCTATAAATAAAAGCATAATTTATAGAGTTTTCAACTTGAAACAAGGCTTCTTTCCAAAAAAAGCAGTTATTTCCATGCTAACTTGCCTCCCAATAAGCTCTTGTGCACATATTGGGATTGAATATTTCACAAATTATCATCTCAACATATTTTTTTCATTGGATAGTTGGCATATGTGAAATCATGATGAAGCATAAAAAATCATAGTTAAAGTTTTTCAATGTTCTTTTTTATACCTTTCAAATCTTAACAGAAAGGACATATCAGGGGCCCCAAAGCTAGAATAAGACATTTATCAGAAAGCAAGAATCATAATATACGTGTTCTTCATATGTGCCTTCTATGAATTTTCATCATGTATTTTTGTGTAAATAAAATAGAGAAAATGAAAATTGGAAAATTTGGTTCTGACCGAAGAATGCTCTTCAATTTCCTCCAAATTTAAGGCTTCATTCTTACCCAATACTTAACAAAAAGCAGAGCCCATTTAGACTTGGCAATCGTGGCTTGACTCCTGTTGTAGCTTTGTAATTTTCTGTACAAGTAGCAATCACTGCAGTAGTTTTGATTAAATGATTACCCATAGGCCTGCTCTTGAATGAAATGACAAATATTCACTGAAAAAATTCAAGTAGACACTGTAAACTTGGAAAATTTCTAGGATGAATGTGCTCCAAATGGCATTATGTGTTAGTAATAGCAATGATCTACAAGTCAAACTTTAGAATCTACTTTCCATAGAGGGAAGAAACTGGCTTCATTGACTGAAAATGATGGGTGGGGGAGTTTTTAAAAATTTGATGTAAGGAAACAGTTTGGGGAACTCAACGCTTTCTTGAGTACTTGAAGAAAGTATGGTGGATGTGTGTAGGCTGATATGTATACCAGCACCAGAAAAAAATATCTTGAAAAGAGACACAGAAAACCAGGGAATTGTGTCTTCCTCCTTTTCAGTTCCCATCACTCATTCTATTTGTTGTATGAATAAGAACTTGTTTTCTTTGAATACCAACATGAAACAATGATTTAGGCATTCAGATAAGAAAAACATCACACATTTTAATTTCTGTAATCTCATTGCTAAGAGAATTGTATCTCTAAAGAGTAATACTCTGTGCCTTAGCTATATCATCTTCATTTCAGTTTTTCATCGTTGCATGATGAGACACTAGCGGGGTAGACTCAAAATAGTCAAGCATAAAGAAGCTGCAGGCTACTTTCAAAATACATATTCATAACTTAAAACTAAACTAAACTTTTGCAAGTACTAGGTTTTAGAAACATACTCTATGTTTTACTTGGAAAAACAACAGAATTATTCAAATATCTAAGTATTGGGTGGTTCTAGATACTTCTGTTTATTTATTTTCAGTTGACAAGTGAATATTGTATATATTTATTGTATACAACTTGAGGTTTTGATATATGTATATACATTGTAGAATGACTAAATCAAGCTACTTGTTCTAGAGAGACTTTTGATCTTAGCAAATCCTAAAATGACGCTGATTGTAGATTAAGAGTTCAAAGGAATGCAGTGCATGGGGAATTAATTTATGCCACTGATATTGAAATAAATTATTTGCCTTTGAAGTTTGGAGGCTTTACTAATGCAAAGATAAAATATATGGGTTGCTACTTTATTTGCAAACCATAGAATAAACATTCACTTTGGGTTGGATGTAAAGTTTTCTTTCACTAAAGCATAATCACATTGGAAATTTATATAATGATACTCTATTAATAATTACAAAAAATAAACTCAACAGGTTTTAGGAGAGAAGCACTGAAGGACACGAATTTTCATTTTCACTTTGCCATTAACTTGCTGTGTGATTAAGTGTTGATTTCAGGTGAATGAACCTACCTCAGTTTTATTTCCAATCTACAATGGAAGAGAGGGTCTTAAAAATTAGGACTCCCCATGGTTAATTCTAGATATAATTTGGATTTTGTTACTGTAAGCCCTATGTAGGCATAGTTGGGAATTAAACAGAGGCCTAAAATGTCTATGAAAAGCGAGTGTGTTAAGTCAGCTAATTAAGAATGAATGGGAGATTTTCAGTACATCTTTCTTTAATGGCAGCAAGAAAGGCAAGGCCAAGAGTGTAGAAGATAAGGTAGGATTGGCAAGGGTCTGGCCAAGAATGGGAAGAAAAGAGAAGAGCTTCTCACAGATGTCACCATAGTCGTAAAGGAATGTCAGCAGAAGGATTTATTGTAGACAACGGCCTTTCTTCTCTAACACCGGTGATGACTTAGAGCCTCTTGAGAACAGACAGTTTTAGTCCATGTGGCATCCAGCAGAGGACAGAGTACCAAAACTGCATGTTCACATTGACATAATGCTTGGAGTTTACAAACCATGCTCCCATGTTAGCCTACTGTTTCTTTTCAATATTTTAATGGCTGAAGCAGGGAATGAATGCAGTGGTTAGGCATATGGACTTTAGAGTCAGACAGTCCTGGGCTCAAATCCTGTTCCATCCCCTCTTGTCTAAACTGACTTTGGACAGTCCGTTCGTTTAACAAAGATGCATTGAATCTGCTGTGCTATACACTGAGAATACAGAAGACAGGTAATAAATAAGTAAATGATGATTTTAGATTGTGATGAGCGCTCTCAAAAATAAAATATGGTTATGAAAAGGACAGTAATGGAGCCTGGCTAAACGGGATTGGGTTTCAGGAAAAACTACTCAAAGGAGGCAGCATTTGAGCTAAGACAGATGAGAAGAAGGAGCCAGCCATGAAAGATCTATTGGAAGAATGCTCCCAGAAGAAGAAACAGCACATGCACATGCAAATGTCCTGTGGCTGCAAAGTGCTTACCTGGGCCAGAAAAAGCAATTCAGCTAATGTCCCTGAGTGCTGTGAAAGAAGGGGAACATAGTGTGTGATGAATTCAAAGAGGTAATTAGAGGCTAGGTCCTGTGGGGCTTATAAGACATGAGAGGACATTTAGATTAGATTTTTCTCTATGCAATTAAGCAACTTCAGTTGGGGGTGGGGGGGTGGGCATTGCAAAGGACGTGACAGTATTTGTTTGATGATTTTAGGAGATCACCATTAATATTCCAACAAAGCAGATGAAAGAACAGTGAGAGTGGAGACTAGGATTCTAGTTCTGAGGCTATTTTAGTTTTTGAGATAAATAGCTTTCCAGTCTCAGCTTTCTTATTTGTAAAATAGGAATAATAATAGGTACATCATAGGGCAGCTGTAAAAATAAAATGAGAAAAGATAAATGAGCAAATACACAACTCTGACAAATAGTGAGCTTTCAATAAACAGAAGTTGTCATTGTCCCCCATATATACACAAGAAAACTGACTCTCTTAGAGGTTAAATGACATTGTCAAGGTCAGATAGCCAAAATACATAGATGGCTGGAGCTTGAATCCAAGTTGCAGAATTCCAAAATTAGTGTAAGTCTACATTCACATAGTTAGAAAAGGATAGAGTTCAATTCAACAATTGCTTCTGAGACACAGAAAGAATGCAAGAACAGCTAAGGAGAGGTTATGTGATGAGAAGCAGCTTGTCACATGTGGCAGACTCTGAGTGATTTTGAATTACTGGCGTAAACAGCATATAAAGGAAGAAGTAGGAGTTGAGGTTGGGAGAAAAGGATCAGGGGTGAAATGATTACCAAAAGGAATGATACTACAGTTGAAAGTAAAAGCTGTGACATCTATAGGCTGAAAATGAGTAGGATATCTAGACTGCCAGGGAGAATGGGGCAATAGTGTCATTAAGTAGGAATTGGCAGACGTTAAAACATGCTACTTGACTTATACAGCCTCATATGAACCTGATAGCATTTGCTTGAGCACTCAGAGCACGCGGTTTACATATGTGGAGATGGAAGCTTTGCTGCATTAAGTGCCTTGCTTAAGGTCACTCAGATGGCAAATAAATGAACCAAGAGGAGAGCCTAGATTACTTACCTATAGTTCAAGCTCCATCTATTGTCTACATTTACATTATCCTATGTGCCTGTGTAATAATGAAGATGGTTGAGAAAGAGCTAGAAGCAGAACAAAGCAGGAGAGGTGGATGACAGGACACTGAGGGCATGAAGGAAGATTTAAAGAGAAATCAGAAAGAGGAGGATAGAAATCAGCATCTGTCCAGATAATACTTGGATATAGGTTAATGTTGGGGAATTGGGAAGAGAAGAACATAGTGCCTGGAGGATGGTAGAGACACAAAGACTTTAAGAAGTAGGAAAGGAGGGAGGGAGGAAGGGTGGGAAAGAAACTGGCAAAGGGGAAGAGGGAGAAGGCATGGGAAAGGAAAGGAGAGAAAGGAAGAAAGAGAAGGGAAGATATACTGGCAAACAGGCTGCTGGGGAAATTATGGCCAGTGTAAGCAGATGACTATGCCTGGGGAAAACATCTCTCTGAATGGGAAAACAGGCATATGAAACTCTGAGTGGATAAGTACAAAGAGCCGGTGATAATTCATAGCAGTTACAACAGTGGGGCTGACATGGTTTGGAGCTGGAGAAGACTGGAAGAAATTTTCCTCTCCATTGCTTCCCCTCTCTCGCAGCACTCAGGAACATTGGCTGAACTCTGTCCTTTGTTGACATTATTATATTTCCTAAGCCTCAAATAAGGACACAAAATCTAATTTAAAAATAAGAGAAAAAGTTTGCTGCCACTTCCACATAGGAAAGATAATCTTAAAAATGTAGTTAGTTGGCATTTTTAGAGTATTTTCATGATAATATGACTATAGTAATGAAGAATAGTTGAAATTGAGATATCTCAGAAATTCCAGAAAATGTGGTAATAACAATTAATCCTTTCTGAGTGCCAAGCATTGTTCTAAGAGTCATTCAATCCTCTCCACAACCCTGTGAAGTAAATTCTTTTATAAACTCCACATAATAGATAAGAAATCGGTGGCACAGAGGGGTTGAGTAAATTTTCAAGGTCATAAAAATAACAAATGGCAGAACTGGACCTACATTTTGTGGTTTCCAACTACTACATGAAATTCCCAAAGGGCTTGATTACATTTCTTTTAGTTCTGTTTGATGGCAATGTTATCTCAAAGAATTTTGGAACAGACAGGTTATGAGTGTCACAGGTTCTGTTAATTTAATCTACCTTTTAAAATATTTATATATAGGTAAGTAAAGCATTATGAACCATCAGATAATTTAGGCAAAGAGCTTTAAGATCTTCATAGGGAGCTGACATGAATAGTACTCACTCCCTCTTTCAAAATGAAAAATATCTTGCCAAACAAAGGTGAAAAGTCCCAAGCCAAACACTAAAGTAGGTTGTATTTCTTTCTAGGTTGCTTTATGAAATATTGGCAGCCAGACATATTTCTCAGCCCTAGAAGACATAAATCTTTCCAAGGGAAACTAAATTTCTTTGGTTTGGCTGCCAAACTATGACTTCAGCCCTGAACCTCATCTCAGAAAACTGTAAACACCCTTTTCCTCCCTTGTGTTTAATTTTAAGCATATCTTCCCTTCCCGAAGACCATCTTTCTTCCTTTTCGGTGGCTGTCTCTCACCCTATCTTATCCTGCGTGCCAACCTGTGAGTGCTGACCTGCTGAGAAATGGGCTGTCCAGGCCAATTCAAGCCCTCTGCACTCCCATCTCATGCTCACGCCCCTCTGTTCTTCTTTCCTCTACTTTATACATTTTTCTTTTTACTAATAGTTCTTGGCTTTCGATTCACATTCCATTGAGGGTTGATGATTTCACTCTGTAAGATTTTTCCCTGGACCTGCTGCTGTCTCCTTTATCACAGTGCCCCTTGACGTCCTACTTTGTGCCTATATGGCAAAAGGATTCACAGGTTTCATTTAAAAATAGTCTTAAATCACTTTTTTTCCAGTAACCAAAGGCTAATTGACTAGATCGACTCATGAGCAATTAGATCGACGTAAATATGCAAACATATCTGAAGCTATATGTGCTTTAGGGTGAAGACAATTAAGGTTCCTACGAATGGGGAAGGGATGATGTTCATACTCCAGAAATTCCGATCAGCATGATATCTCTGGGCATTCATATGAAGGAGACAGTAGGTTGTAGGGGAATACGCACTAGGCTGGGAGACAGGAGATCAGGTCCTAGTCCAAGTTCTGACTCAAGACAAACCAGCTGTGTGACACTGGGAAGAAAGCTATCCCATCATTCACTCTGGGTGTCAATTTTTTTTCATATGTAAAATAAAGCAGACTAGGTAGATTCAAAACCTGGATAAACCTTAGAATCTCTGGAACACCTCTGGAGTTTCACAATAGAAATAGAAATTAGGGCTTCAACACAGACATACTTAATGAGAGTCCTCAGGAATAAAGCCCTAGAATCTGAATATATGGTTTGATGTAGCCACCCCAGTCTAGGTTTAAGGACCAGCATCAGGAGGCCTTTTGATTTGTTAAACTATTATGTCCTTCAAGTTTCATCAGTATTTCCCAGGCAAGGTAAATTATAAAACAGGAACACACACCTCTATCCACTAGAATAATGCTTCAGAAATGGCTAGTGCTGAAGTGAGCAACAGAGAGAGCCAGAAGGGCTGAACTTGTTGCTCTGGACTAATTTATAAGCGCTTGGATGCTCAAGAGTTCTCATACAGCAAGTAACAGCAACAATCCCTCCTCCTATATGATTTTTCTGTCTTAATATACTGTAATCACAATCATTTTCAGGGCTACTGCTAAAAATAGACACATTACTTTTATACAGCCGTGATTTTTACTTTTATATAGCTATATTATATAGCTGTGATCTGACCAGGTCTGTTTTTACCTTAAAGATACTTGTCACATCCCTCCCATAAAGATTACATCCTTGGCTCTTGGCATCTTATTGGCATATGAAAGTGCCACGAGAGGAACCACCTACAGCTGCAGTTCATAAGAGCCAGGTGAGAACAAGGCCTTTCAGGATCTGGGAACTGGTTGATCTCATTTCTTTCTTTCCCCCACAAGAATCCTTTTCATGGTAAAAACATTATGATTTCTTTTGGGGTAATTATTTCTTTGATTCTTGGGTAATTGCCCCAGTTTAATTATTGGCTTCCTTTCTTCACACGTTCCTCTATCTATTCCCTTTGTCTGCTGATTCGGCCATCACTCCCACAAAAAGCTCGCCAATGGGGTGCTAATAGACGTGATGCAAGCAAAGGCTTCAAATGCGCTTATGCTCTTATACTTTGCCATGGGAACAGCCTCTCCCACGTAGCCGCCACCCTGCTGCCTGGGACCCAGAATGAACTGTGTATGGAGTATATCTTTGCCATCTGCCCCACATCTTTAAGCAGAACCCAGCTTACAAGAGCTGATCACCAGCCTATCTGCAGGTAGGAAATACATTAGCATGATTTAAAGCCACTGAGTTTTGGAGTGGTTTGTTACATTCCAATAACTGATTGATTCAGTTTGTCAGTCAAGGTTTCAGGCCTTCCCCTTGCCAATAGGGAACATGTGACTCAATCTAGGCCAATCAGATCTTTTCCCCAGAATTACAAAAGGCTAATGAAGAGTAGAAACTGCCTCATCCCAGCAATCAGCCACTCCCTAAAAACTTGATGTATTAGTTCCTGATACATGGATCACTGAGGCTCTCCCCATACCTATTCTTTCCTTGTTTGTTCACCAAATGTCTCTTATGTTTTGTCGGTTCTTCGTATGTTTCTAATGAAGGTTTCTTATATCACTCCCTTATGTTCTCACGTATGTTTATATCCCAATCAATTGTTTCCTATTTAAGTTAGAGTCTTTTCTACTGTTTGCAACCATAAAATCTTAACTGTTATTGAGGGCCTCAAAGGGAAACAAAAGGGTGTCAAAAGGAAAAGGGTGTCAATTGCACAAATGGGGCAAAAGATAAGCTGGATCTTCCTGTACATTATAATTTTATTTATGCACCGGCCAGACACAGAGAGTGTGCACTGATAATTCAGAGATTTCTACGTGTCATCATGGATATTACATAACTTTTTAGAATGCCAAATATGTTCCATAAAAAACGTACAGAAACATAGGCTCTGGTAGATGTTGAAAAATCTTTTTCATCAGAACCATAAGTCTTTGCTTATTATTTTTTTAAAAAATAATATTATTTCACTAGTGTTGGGGGTACAGGCAGTGTTTGGTTGCATGAATAAGTTCTTTAGTGGCGATTTCTGAGATTTTGGTGTACCCATCACCTGAGCAGTGTACACTGTACCTAATGTATAGTCCTTTTTTCTCTCACCTCCCTCCCACCCTTCCCCCTGAGTTCCCAAAGCCCACTATATCATTCTTATGCCTTTTTGTCCTCATAGCTTAGCTCCCACTTGTAAGTGAGAAGATACAATGTTTGATTTTCCATTCTTGAGTTATTTCACTTAGAATAATGGTCCCCAACTTCATCCAGATTGCCGTGAATGCCTTTAGCTTGTTCCTTTTTAGGGCTGAGTGGTATTCCATGGTGTATATACATATGTGTGTATATAAAATATATATATATATAATATATATATATATAAAATATATATATATAATATATATATATAAAATATATATATATAATATATATATAAAATATATATATATAATATATATATAATATATATATATATAAAATATATATATATATATATACTATATTTTCTTTATTCACTTATTGGTCGATAGGCATTTAGGCTGGCTCCTTGTTTTTGCAATTGTGAACTGTGCTGCCATAAACATGTGTATGCAAGTGTCTTTTTCATATAATGACCTTTATTCCTCTGGGTAGATAACCAGTAGCGGGATTGCTGGATCAAACGGTTGTTCTACTTTTAGTTATTTAAGGAATCTCTATACTGTTTCCCATGGTGGTTGTACTAGTTTTACATTCCCACCAGCAGTGTAGAACTGTTCCCTTTTCACCACACCTATGTCAACATCCATTATTTTTTAATTTTTTAATCATGGCCATTCTTGCAAGAGCAAGGTGGCATCTCATTGTGGTTTTAATTTGCATTTCCCTGATGATTACTGATATTGAGCACTTTTTCATGTGTTTGTTGGCCATTTGTATATCTTCTTTTAATAATTGTCTACTCATATCCTTTGCCCACTCTTTGATGGGATTTTTTTTTCTTGCTGATTTATTTGAGTTCCTTGTAGATTCTGGATATCAGTCTTTTGCCAGGTGTATAGATTGAGACTATATTTTCCTACTCTGTGGGTTGTCTGTTTACTCTTCTGATTATTTCTTTTGCTGTGCAGAAGCTTTTTAATTTGACTAGATCCCATCTATTTATCTTTGTTTTTGTTTCTCTTGGTTTTGGATTCTTGGTCATGAACTCTTTGCCTAAGTCAATGTCTAGAAGAATTTTTCTGATGTTATCTTCTAGAATTTTTGTGGTTTCAGGTCTTAGATTTAAGTCTTTGATCCATCTTGAGTTGATTTTTATATCAGGTGAGGAATGAGGATCCAGTTTCATTCTTCTACACGTGGCTTGCCAATTATCCCAGCACTATTTGTTAAATAGGGTGTGCTTTCCTCACTTTATGCTTTTGTTTGCTTTGTCGAAAGTCAGTTGGCTGTTAGTATTTGGTTTTATTTCTGGGTTCTCTATTCTGCTCCATTGTTCTACATGCCTATATTTATGCCAGTACCATGCTGTTTTGGTAACCAAAGCCTTGTGGTATAGTTTGAAGTTGGGTAATGTGATGCCTCTGGATTTGTTCTTTTTGCTTAGTCTTACTTTGACTATGGGGGTTCTTTTTTGGTTCCATATGAATTTTAGGATTTTTTTTTCTAGTTCTATAAAGAATGATGATGGTATTTTGATGAGAATTGCATTGAATTTGTAGATGGCTTTTGGCAGTATGGTCATTTTCACAGTATTGATTCTACCCATCCATGAGCATGCAATGTGTGTCCATTTCTTTGTGTCATCTATGATTTCTTTCATCAGTGTTTTGTAGTTGTTCTTGTATGGATCTTTCACCTTCTTGGTTAGGTATATTTCTATGCATTTTGCTTTTTTGCAACTGTTGTAAAATGGGCTGAGTTCTTGATTTGATTCTCAGGTTGGTCGTTGTTGGTGTATAGCAATGCTACTAATTTGTGTACATTAATTTTGTCTCCTGAAACTTTACTGAATTCATTTATCAGATCTTGGAGCTTTTTGAATGAGTCTTTAGGGTTTCCTAGGCATATGATCATATCATTGGCAAACAGTGACAGTTTGACTTTCTCTTTACTGATTTGGATGCCCTTTAATTCTTTCTCTTGTCTGATATCTCTGGCTAGGACTTTCAGTACTACGTTGAATAGAAGTGGTGAAAGTAGGCATCCTTGTCTTGTTCCAGTTCTTAGGTCGGATGCCTTTAAGTTTTCTCCATTCAGTAAAATGTTGGCTGTGGATTTGTAATAGATGCCTTTTATTACCAAGAGGTATGTCCCTTCTATGCCAATTTTGCTGAGGATTTTAATCCTAAAGGATGGTGGATTTTGTCAAATGCTTTTTCTGCATCTATTGAGATGATCATATGATTTTTGTCTTTAATTCTGTTTATGTGGTGTTTCACATTTATTAACTTGTTTTTGTTAAACCAGCCCTGCATCCCTGGTATGAAACCCACTTGATCATGGTGGGTTATCTTTTTTATATACTGTTGGATTTGGTTAGCTAGTATTTTTGTTGAGGATTTTTACATCTATGTTCATCAGGGATGTTGGTTTGTAGTTTTCTCTTTCTGTTATGCCATTTCCTGATTTTGGAATTAGGGTGATACTGGCTTCTTAGAATGATTTAGGGAGGATTCCCTTTTTTCTTTCTTTGGCAATAGTTTCAGTAATATTGGTACCAATTCTTCTTTGAATGCCTCATAGAATTCAGCTGTGACTCCATCTCATCCTGAAACTTTTTTGTTGGCAATTTGTTTATTACTGTTTCAATCTCACCACTTGTTATTGGTCTGTCTACTTCCTCTTGATTCAATCTAGGAGGGTTGTATATTTCCAGGAATGTATCCATCTCCTCTAGATTTTCTAGTTTGTGCATGTAAAGGTGTTCATAGTAGACTTGAATGATATTTTGTATTTCTCTGATATTGGTTATAATATCTTCCATTTCACTTCTAATTGAGCTTATTTGGATCTTCTCTCTTCTTGGTTTATCTAACGGTCTATCAATTTTGATTATCTTTTCAAAGAACCAGCTTTTTGTTTCATTTATCTTTTGTATTTTTTTTGTTTGTTTTATTTAATTAGTTCTGCTCTGATCTTTTTTTTTTTTTCTTCCACTGAATTCGGGTTTGGTTTGTTCTTGTTTCTCCAGTTCCTTGAGGTGTGACCTTAGATTGTCTGTTTGTGCTCTTTCAGATTTTTTGATGTAAGCATTTAATACTATGAATGATCCTCTTAGCACTGCTTTTGCTGTGTCCCAGAGGCTTTGATAAGTTGTGTCACTATTATTGATCAGCTCAAAGAATTATTTAATTTCCTTCTTGATTTCATTGTTTACCCAAAGATCATTCAGGAGCAGATTATTTATTTTTCATGTATTTGTATAATTTTGAGTGTTCCTTTTTCAGTTAATTTCCAGTTTCATTCAACTGTGATCTTAGAAGACACTTGATATAATTTTGATTTTCTTAAGTTTATTGAGACTTGTTTTGTAACCTATCATACGGTATATCTTGGAGAATGTTTCATATGCTGATGAAAAGAATGTTTATTTTGCAGTTGTTGGGGAGAATGTTCTGTAAATATTTGCTAAGTCCATTTGTTTTGGGTTACAGTGTAAGTCCATTGTTTCTTTGTTGACTTTCTGTCTTGATGACCTGTGTAGTGCTGTCAGTGGAGTATTGAAGTCCCACATTATTATTCTGTTTCCATCTATCTCATTTCTTAGGTCTAGTAGTAATTGTTTTATAAATTTGGGAGTTCAAGTGTTAGGTGTGCATTTATTTAGGATTGTGACATTTTCCTATTGGACTAATATTTTTATCATTATACAATGTCCTTCTTTGTCTTTTTTAACTGTTGTTACTTTGAAGTATGTTTTGTCTGATATAAGAATAGCTAACAATCCTGCTCTCTTTTGGTGTCCATTTGCATAGAATAATGTTTTCCACCCCTTTACCTTAAGTTTATGTGAATCCTGATGTGTTGGGTGAGACTCCTGAAGACAGCAGATATTTAGTTGGTAGATTCTTATCCATTCTGCCACTCTGTATATTTTAAGTGGGGCATTTAGGCCATTTACATTCAACATTAATATTGAGATGTGAGGTACTATTCTACTCATCATGTTAGTTGTTGCCTGAATACCTTGTTGTTTTTTTCTTTTTTCTTTGTGTTAAGGTTTTATAGACCCTGTGAAATTTATCTTTATGGAGGTTCTATTTTGGTGCATTTTGAGGTTTTGTTTCAAGATTTAGAACTCCTTTTAGCATTTCTTGCAGTGTTGGCTTGGTTGTGGCAAATTCTCTCAGCATTTATTTGTCTGAAAAAGACTTTATCTCTCCTTCATTTATGAAGCTTAATTTTTTTGGATACAACATTCTGTTTGTTTTGTTGTTAATTATTTTGTTTGAAGAGGCTAAAGATAGGACTCCAGTCTTTTCTGGCTTGTTGGGTTTCTACTGAGAAATTTTCTGTTAATCTGATAAGTTTTCCTTTATAGATTACCTGAAACTCTTGCCTCACAGTACTTAAGATTCTTTCCTTTGTCTTGACTTTAGATAACCTCATGACTATGTTACTGGGTAATGATCTTTTTGTGATAAATTTCCCAGGTTTTCTTTGAGCTTCTTGTATTTGGATGTCTAGATCTCTAGCAAGGCCAGGGAAGTTTCCCTCAATGATTCCATCAAATATGTTTTCCAAACTTTGAGATTTTTCTTCTGCCTCAGGAACACCATTTATTCTTAGGTTTGGCCATGTAACATCATCTCAGATTTCTTGGAGGCTTTATCCTTTTATTATTATTTTTTTTATTTTTTTGAGACAGAGTCTTACTCTGTCATCCAGGCTTTAGTGCAATGGTGTGATCTTGGCTCACTGCAACGTCTGCCTCCCAGGTTCAAGCAATTCTCATGCCTCGACCACCTGAGTAGCTGGGATCCCAGGCTTGTGCTACCACACCCAACTAAGGTTTGGATTTTTAGTAGAGACAGTTTCACCATGTTGCCCAGGCTGGTCTTGAACTCCTAAGCTTGAGTGATCTGTCTGTCTTGGCCTCCCAGAATGCTGGGATTACAGGCATGAGCCATCACATCTGGCCTTTTTTAAAAATTATTTTTGTTTGTCTTTATCTGATTGGGTTAATTCAAAAGCCTCGTCTCCAAGCTCTGAAGTTCTTTCTTCTACTTGTTTGATTCTATTGTTGAAACTTTCCAGTGCATTTTCTATTTCTTTAAGTGTGTCTTTCATTTTCGGAAATTGTGATTGCTTTTTCTTTTTGATATCTATTTCTCTGCAGCATTTTCCATCCATACCCTGTGTTGTTTTTTAAATTTCTTTAAGTTCCTTTTCACCTTTCCCTGTATCACTTTGAATAGCTTAATAATCAACATTCTGAATTTTTTATCTGGCAATCCAGAGATTTCTTCTTGGTTCGGATCCATTGTCACAGAGCTAGTGTGGTCTTTTGGTGGTGTTATAGAAATTTGTTTTGTCATATTACCAATGTTACTTTTCTGATTCCTTCTCATTTGTGTAGACTATTTCAGTGGAAAAATCTGGAACTCAAGGGCTGCTCTTCAGACTCTTTTGTCCCATGGGCTGGTCTCTTGATGCAGTGTACTCCCACTTCCCCTACAGATGGGGCTTCCTGCAAGCCTGACTACAGTGATTGTTGTTGCTCTTCTGGGTCTAGCCACTCAGCAGGGCTACCAGGCTCTGGGCTGGTGTTGAGGAATGTCTGCAAAGAGTTCTGTGCTGTGATCCATCTTCAGTTCTCCCAGCCATGGATACCAGCACCTGCTCTGGTGGAGGTGGCAGGAGAGTGAAGTAGACTCTGTGAGAGTCCTTGGTTGTACATATGTTTAGTGTGTTGGCTTTCTTGGATGCTGATTCTGCTAGCAGTAAAGTTGTCATGTGGACAGATTCAGGACCACTGGTTAGCCAGGATGTTGCAGACAGTGGAATTATCTGTTGTTTTTCTCCTTCCTTGGAGCAGGGTTGTTCTGTCATGAGTTGCTGTAACGTCCTGAGTTGGTGGTTGGCCAGCAGGTGGTGCTTTCAAGAGAGCACCAGAGTTTTTGCATGTCTCGTGGAATTTGTAGTGGCTTGAGGCTTCTTTCAAAGGATCTGTGAATTATTTTGGTTTCCCTGGTCTGCTCCTGTGGTGCTTCCTGGAACAAAATTTCATGGTGTGAGTCTCCACATGATGTTCTGTCCTGTCCAAGTGGGAGCTGCATGTCAGCCCTGTCCCTATCCGCCATCTTTCCAGAACTGCCCTACAACTCACTTCCAAGAATCTTGAGAAAATCTTGGCCTAACTCACAACATGAAGGGTGTTTGTTACCTAGCCCCTTTCTCACATTAAACATACACTTGTCATGAAAGAGAGATAGAGATTCTGAATCTATTTTTCTTGTAAATTTTTACTAATAAGCAGATCTATTTAGGTAAAAATATTCTGAATTTTTATATAGAATTTCAGAAATCAAAAAATTCAGTGTCCTGCTTACAAGCAACTATTATTTTTTAATGACTTTTCTACAGTAACTCCTAAACTCAAGAGGCAAACAAGACATGGTCTATCTTGACAGTCCCATTGGCTGTTGAGATGAGAAAGGTCTTGAATAACACCTGACATTATACTCTATGTTTGTTAATATTAGGAAACCACTGTTTCTTCAATTTACATTTTCCCCTTTTTGCAACAGCCTCATGTTAAAGAAGTAACATAAGTTTAATTATGCTAAATGAAATAAGCCAGTCACAGAAGGACAAATACTGTATGATTCCATGTATATATATGAGGTTGGTAAAATAGTCAAACTCATAGAAACAGAGAGTGGAATGCTGGTTGCCAGGGAATAAGGGGGAAGGAGAAACAGGGAGTTGCTGTTCAATGGGTAAAGTTTTAGTTGTGCAAGATGAGTAAGTTCTAGAGATCTGCTGTATATTGTGGCCTTAGTAAACCATACCGTATTGTGCCCTAAAAAATTTGCTGAGGTTAGATCTCATGTTATGTGTTCTTACCATAAATCAATCAATCACAGATTGGGGCAGAAGGTGATCTGGATCTTCCTGAACATTTTAACTTTACTTATGAATGGGGCAGACACTGAGATTGAGCATTGATAATTCAGAGATTTATTCATGTCCTCATGGATATTACATAACTTTTTATAATGCCAAATATGTACCATCAAAAATGTGTAGGAACATAGGCCCTGACAGATGTTGAACACTCTTTTTCATCAGAATCATGAATCTTTGTTTCCATGAATCTTGAAAAAAAGACTGCCTAAGATCTTTGAAATGAATATATACAACATAAAACAAATCCATCATAATTAAAAAGCGACTCAAAGGAAATAAACTTCTAGAAGGGAAAAAATAAAAGCAGCCGCTAGACCCCACACCACACCCATAAACTGTTGCACAACTGTTACCACCTCCAGTGATGATGTACTGCCAAACCAAAGACCAAGGTATTCCTAGGATGATATGCTAAATTCCTTACCCAGGCATCCCTGTAGATCCTGTGCATTACAAAAAAAGAGGAAAATTGGTTTATCTCCATGGACAAAGAGTTGGTAGAAAAGAAAAATTTTTAAGGCATGTGTCTGCTGGCGGAGCTCTAGGTAGTATCCTTGGGAATTCTTGCCCTTCCAAAAGATTCTTTGGGGTTATATTGACAGCTTATCTCCAGAACACAAAGAGAGTGTCTGGAAAACACAAAAACTATCAATAAGTAGCTATCACTTTATTGAGAAAATGGAAAATGTGGTAACAAAATGGAATAATTTTGTTCAGAAGCCCTAAAGTTTGCTTTTACTCCATTGAGTGTATAAAAATATGTAAATTGAATTCTCAAGCAATCACTAGGATGCTTCTTTTTGCTTTCTGTGCACCAATTGTGAATTTCAGATGCAGTAAATACCAGTGAGTCCCACAGTTTGGATTGGAATTATTTGATGAATATGCTTATTACCTTGTGAAGCTTGCTAAGGGAGATAATTTATATTTCAGTTACAAACAAGTGTGCAGGAATGGATGGATTCTACAGTAACACCACAACCATGGATATTCGAGCTACCTCACTGAACAAATGTTTATTAAGCCTAATATCTGTTATGTGACATGTCCTGTGCTAAACAATGGGTGCCCATAGATGAATAAAATATTATCCCTTCCTTTTGGGTCTTATTCCCTAATGAGGAGGAATTCCAGAGTTTAAACTTAATAAACGGATTGTTTTCAATTCTATAATGGAGATATAGAGGTTTCTGACTCATATACCCAACTGTTTTCTTGGAAGTATAATACAATGGTTATGAGCATAGTCTTGAGATTTGCACTGACTTGGACTTGCATCTAAACTCCACCTCTTACAAACTGAGTGACTTGGCATGTTATGAGCTTCTGTTTTATTGACTTTAAAATGAGGACAAAATGTTAGCTACTTCACAGGTTGTTATGACAAGTAATTGAGATCATTCACGTAAAAAAACCTTGCACAGAGTAAATCTCCAATAAAAATTAGCTCAGATTATTACTACATTCCAGGCTAACACTTGGGTGTGCACCATTAAGGATCTTGCAAGAGAGTGTAAGAGACATCCTCCTCTGTAAATAGCTCCATTCACAGAGATGTCACTGTTCTCTCCCTTAAGAAAACATTGAGTATTTCCCCTTTGCCACACCATGATCTTTGATCTGGATTGGAAATACTCATTTTCATTTTATAGGACCCTTACAAAAAATATAAGTCATATAACTAATAAATTATGTCTTATATTAATAAGATTATAAATAAAAGATAAAACATATATAGAGCCTTATATAAAATGGCCCTATAATTAGCTGAGATAAGACAGAGGAGGCATAATAGGAATTCATAAATTTTCTCTTTGGTTATAAGGTTTCTTTCTTTGTTTACTTTAGTAGTGAGGTGTAGCATACATACTATAAAGTATGCAAGTCTTTTATGTACAGTTCAATAAGTTTTACTTATGTGCATACCTATTGACCACTTTCCAGATCAAACACCCTTTCTCACGTACCCTTCCAATAATTACTTCCTCACCACACCCTTTCTCACGTACCCTTCCAATAATTACTTCCTCACCAAATGTAACCACTCTTTTGATTTCTATATATGTGTGTGTGTATATATATATATATATGTTTTGCCTGTTTCAGAACTTCACATAAGTAGAATCAAATATTATGTACACATTTATCTCTGCTCTATCATTCAACATTATGTGATATTCATTCAGGTTGCATGTTGGAGTACTCTTGTTTTTTTCATTAGGTTTGATTCTTTTGGTAATTTTCTATGGGCACATTAATTTTATCTACAAATAATGGCAACTGTAGTTTTCTTCTACATTACTGATGCTTGTTTCTTTTTGTTCATTTTTCTTATCTTATTGCAGTGGATAGAACATTCAGTATAATATTAAATAGAAGAGTTAAAAGCAAGACATTCTTATGTCATTCTCAGTTACAGAAAGAAAGCTTTTAGTTATTTATTTTAATATTATTGCCATTAAATATTATTTTGGTATCAATTTCTGGTAGGTACTCTGGCACATTAAGAATACCAGGTATTTTATTCTGAAGGATTGTTATCCTAAGTAACTGCTTTTTAAAAATCTGTTGTGATGGTCACATTAGACTTTTCCACCCTTTTTTAGTATAACAAATAACATTTATTTCTTCTTCTATTATTACGCCAATTTTGTATAACTGGAATAAAGCCTACCTAGACACAATATATTGCTCTTTTTTTGTAATCCTGGGTAGAATTTACTAATTTTTTATTTTAAAATTTTGCATCTTTTTTGATGAGAGATTTGGCCATTACCACCAAGAAATTTTAATAATGTTCTCTGGTGTTAAGGTCATGCTGGCCTTATAAAATGAACCACAGCAGTTCACAGAGGGAAATTTATAGGTCAAAATGCATGTATGCTTGTATTACAAAAGGATAAAGCCTGAAAATCAAAGATTAAATGACCACATAAAGGAACTAGTAAATAAACAGCAATTTAAAGTCATAGAAGAAATAAAATATTTAAGAGATGTAATCTATGAAATAGAAAACAAAATGAAGTAGAAAAATAAAGAAGGCCAAAGTTTATTCTTCAAAAATAAAAAAATTGATAAACCTCTATAAAGATTGACAGGCACAAAATAGAAAAAAGTCACAAATTACTATAACATGCTGATAAAAGAGAATATTCCTACAAAGTATAATTTAAAAGATAATAGGAATATATAATTTTAAATATTATACCAATAATTTTAAAATTTAGAAGAAATGGACAAATTCCTTTTTAAAAGTTAACTATCAAAATTGATGAAATAATCCAATTTTCCTTATATTGTTGATGAATTGAATATGAGTCTAAAATTTTCTTGCAAAGAGTGTTTCATGCCTAGATAAATCCTCTGGTCAATTTTTGCAAACATATAAGAAAGAAATCACACTATTGAAAAGTCAACCATAACTTTAATGTTTCTCCTTTAAAAGTAATGTATCTTTTTTCCTATAGATGCTTTTAGGATTTGCTCTTTGTTTTGAGCTTTCAACAGTTTTACTATGATGTATCTAGGTGTGATGTTCTTTGATTTGCCCTGCTTTTGATTCATAGATATGCTTGAATCAGTAGACTTCCAGCAATTTTAGATAATTCTAGGCTATGATCTCTTCAGAGAATCTTCTCTCCCTTTCTATCTCGCTTCTTTTTCTGGACTCCAATAACACATAAGTTTAATCTTTTTACTGTGTACCTTATATCTCCTATGGTTTTAAAGCATCTCTCTTTCTCTTTCTTGTCTCTCTTTTTTTCTGTCTCTTTCTTTCTCTCCTTCAATCTAAATATTTTCTACTAACCTATCTTCTTATATATGAATCCTTTTCTTATGAGTCTAATCTGCTGTTAAATTACATTAATTATAAAGATTCCTATTTTGTTATTTTTATAGTTTCTTAATTTGCTGTGCAATTATCCACCTTCCCTATTTTCCTTGCACACATTAATCATAATTATTTTAATGTTCATATCACTTAGTCCCAACGGCTGCATGACTTATGGATCTGTTTCTATTTTCTCCCGATTTCTGTAGATTTGGTTATTTTTCCTGGCATCCTGGAAGTCTTTGAATGAATGACAAATAACATGTATGAAAATCCTAGTGGTCCTAGGTAATGTTATCTACCCTAGAGGGAATTTCATTTTTATTTGTCAGACATTAGAATACAAGTATTTCTCCTTGATCCAGTAAAGACTGGTCTATTTCTGGTTTTCTAGCACTCCTAGGGAGTAAGCTTTCAGGGTTTGCCACTAAAACCCAAGAGTGTTTATTAAGGCCTTTAGCAAATCCCAAAGCTGTGATAATCTCTGCTTAGCTTTTTAATAGTTGCTTTATACTTATTTTCTTAGAATCTTGCTCTGCTTAATTACTGATTAGTGGGTCTCAAAATGTCTTGAGGGGAAATTTCCTACACTTTTCTATGGTTCCCTTTTCTCTAAATCTTGGTCCCTCATGTTCTGGCTGTTTAGGTTGGTCTCCAGTGCCTTCAAAAACAGCATTGGTTTTGGTGTTTGTTTGGGTTTTATTTTGATTGTTTTTGTAGATGGTTTTGTGCCGTAGCCAACTTTCAAAATTCTCTTATAGAACAGTGGGTCTGATACAAATTACTCCATCACAGCTGGAAGCAGACTGGTCTTTAAATATGTTTTCATATTATCTTATCTAGACAAACCATGAGAAAATCAGGGCAGCTGTAACAAGGACTGTTTTCCAGATGAAGAAATAGAAACTCAGAAGCATTAATGATTCTCCCAGATGGTCAGTAAGCTGCAGGGCCAAGTCAGTCTTAAAATCCTTGTCATCAGCTCTTCATCATCGGCACTTTCTACCTTACTAGTGTTTACCAAAATTCTGTCTCTGATAGACCACTTAATGGTCTTTTGGAGGAACTGTGATTACTAATTTTTGTGAAAAAATATCATAATCTAAATAGCAAGTATAAAACATGATAGAAAATATACTTTTCATTAATATTACCATTTCTTACCAAGGATTGGGATGGTTTTGTTTGGCATCCTCCACAGAGATAAAAATCACTCTTTTAGCTCAAACCACAAGCTCTGTGTCTTTTCTTTGCTTAGTATTTACATCATCTATGCTACATTCTGCCTTTGCAATACTATTCAACAGTGAGAATGCTAGCACGTGTTAGGAGACTTTGTGGGAGAATGAGAGATATTTCTATTGTACTTTAAACCAAAGCTTGTGGACAGAATACACTGAATATAACATTCAGCTCTCTTTCACCAATGATGTCAGTGAAAAAACTGTAAACAAGTAACAAAGGTTTCAAAGTTTCAAATTGGAAGATGCAGTAAATGAAGTATTACCACTACCCTTATTTATACAAACAAATAGAAAATATTTGTTTATGTTTCATTGATTATGTGAATGTAATCTTGAAATCAAGTCAAGAAAATATTGATTGATTTGTCTGATGAGTTAAGCAAATATACTGCTAGTTATATGACTTGAATGAACCATTTCAAGTAATAGAAAAGGTCTTTACTGGAATTATCAATATTATGAAGACATTTTTAATTTTATTATTTCAAGTATTCATGTACACAATTTCCATCTTGAAATGCAAATTAAAACTACAGTGATGTCCTTCTACAAATCCATGCGACTGAATAAATTTAAAAGTCTGACAATACCAAGTATTGGTGAAGATATGAAGCAAGAAGCTGTTATGCAGGATTGGTATGAATGAAAATTGGCTTGTGATTACTGTATTAATTTACATTCCAAACAATAGTGTATGAGGTGCCCCTTCTCAACATTCTCACCAACACTTATCTTTAAACCACTTTAGAAAAGTGTCATTTCCCATACAATATTCTATGACCAAACAATAACAATTCCATTTCTGCGTATATACCTAGAAAAATGTATTCACATACCTAGAAACATGTAAAAGAAGGTTCATGGTAGCAATTTTTGCAATAGCTGAAAATAATTCTAACATT
Organism: Homo sapiens; assembly: GCF_000001405.40. Taxonomy (NCBI): domain Eukaryota; kingdom Metazoa; phylum Chordata; class Mammalia; order Primates; family Hominidae; genus Homo; species Homo sapiens. Next base: position 82,497,802 of record NC_000009.12, on the reverse strand, counting down.
CATGAAGCTATCAGAATGTTAGGATGGATAAATAAATTGTGGTTATTAATATGGTAGAATTTTATACTACAGGAAAAGTGAACTCACTAGAGCTAGGTACAATAAACCTAATTTAATCTTACAAACATATTATTTATTGAGAGACTTTTTTAAATTATGAATTTATATAAAGTTTAAAACCAGTTAATATTTGACATTTTATTTAGGGCCACATATAAAAGCAATAAAAGTACAAAGAATCTCAAGAATGAAAGTAATGTGCATATCAAGACAATGTCTTAATCTAAGAGGGATAAAGAGAATGTGATTGAAAAGGGATACCCTGGGGCAAGGGGTTGCTTCTACAGTGTAGACAACAGTCTATTCCCTTATTTAGGTAGTAGTTAAAAGGATATTTACTTTCTGATTATTCATTACATTGTGCATTTATTTCCTATGCATCTTTCTCTTCATGTGTTGTATTTCACCATTTAAAAAGTTATAAAAGTTTCCTTTTGGAAAACAGCATACTTCACTTTGGAAAAGAAGAATCTCATTTTCAGGGGAGTAGGCTAAAAAGACACATACTGCCATCTGATTTTATCTACAAATTTCTGTACTGTATTTCCTTCAACACCAAATCAAGATTAGTAAGCAGACTCTTGTGTGGAGACTCATATTATGAACTTTTGCTCCAAGAACTACCACAGGAATATACCAGGAAAGCCAAGAGACCCTTTGAAGGAAGTGCATTGCTCCCACAGGCTCCAAGAAACTTGAAAAACTGAGAGTGTCCAAAGTGTGAAAGTGTGAAAGAGGGATGATCCATCCCCAAACACACACCCTCAGTGGGGAACCTGAAGGTCCAAATCACGGGAGAAAGATCCAAACTTACCTGGAGCTGAGACAAATTTAAAGATCCGATCTTACCTGGAGCTGAGACAAATTTAAAGATCCAACCTTACCTGGAGCTGAGACAAATTTAGAGAGCCGAGTGAGTACAAGGGTAGAAGAAGCAGCAGGAAGAGCTCTGTGGGCTCTCTTGGTCTCCAGTGAAGTCATTTCTGACTTTGTCTCACAGAGGTCCTTGAGGAGGGCTGCCAGAGGAACTGGGAAAAGACCGCAGAGGGAAGGAAACCTCAAATGAACTTTGTAACAGTTTCAACCGAACGCAAAGATTCCTGGACAGAACTTGTAGGGGGGAGGGTGAATTGGGTGTGCTGACATGGCACAGAAGCTGGGGGAGGTGGGGAGGTGTGAAACCTGAAAGTTCTGCTTGCTTTATCAGCCAGGAGGCTGGTAGTCTGAGGCAAGTTCTCATTCCTGTTCACCGCTGCCTGGAAATGAACTCAGTGCTGTTGGCGGGTGCACAGTGGGAGTGGGACTCGCCTTTTGGGCTGCATGGGACCTGGGTGAGGCCTGTAACTGCTGGTTTTCCCCCACTTCCCTGGCAACCTTCATGACATAGCAGAGGCGGCCATAATCCCCCTGGGAACATTACTCCATTGGCCTGGGAACCATGCCTCCATCCCCCACAGCAGCCATAGCAAGCCTCATCCAAGGAGAGTCTGAGCTCAGACACACCTAACCCTGCCCCCATCTGATGATCTTTCTCTGCTTGCCCTGGTAGCCAGAAGCCAAAACACATAATCTCTTGGGAGCTCTAGGGCCCTGCCCACTGCCTGATCCTTCCTATACTACCGCAGCTGATGCTCTCTTAAAAGCTCCACCTGGGCCAGGCTCCATGGCTCACGCCTGTAATCCCAGCAGGCGGATCGCCTGAGGTCGGGACCAGCCTGGGCAGCATGGTGAAACCCCATCTCTACTAAAAATACAAAACTTAGCCGGGCTTGGTGGCAGGCACCTGTAATCCCAGCTACTTGGGAAGCTGAGGCAGGAAAATTGCTTGAACCCGGGAGGCGGATGTTGCAGTGAGCCGAGATTGTGCCATTACACTCCAGCCTGGACAAGAGAGTGAGACTCCGTCTCAAAAAAAAAAAAAAAAAAAAAAAGCCCCACTTCCTGTCAGGAGGCCAACCAGCACAAAACTAGTATAGTAAGCAAAACTACAAACTAAGTACCCTCACAGAGTCCATTTAACCCCCTTGCCACCTCCACTGGAGGAGTTGCTGGTATCCATGGGTGACAGACATGAAGACTGTTCACACCACAGGACTCTGTGTAGACACCCATCAGTACCAGCCTGGAGCTCAGTAACTCTGCCGGGTGGATAGATCCAGAAGAGAAATAACAGTTACTATAATTCAGCTCCCAGGAAGCCACATCCCTATGGGAAGGGGGAGAACACTACATCAAGGGAGCATCCTGTGGGACAAAAGAATCTGAACAGCAGCCCTTGAACCCCAGATCTTCCCTCTGACATAGTCTACCCAAATTAGAAGGAACCAGAAAAATGATTCTGGTAATATCACAAGTCAAGGTTCTTTAACACCCCTAAAAGATCACACTAGCTCACCAGCAATGGATCTAAACCAAGAAGAAGTCTCTGAATTACCGAAGAATTCAGACGGTCAATTATTAAGCTAATCAAGGAGGCATCAGAGAAAGGTGAAGTCCAATTTAATAAAATCAGAAAAAGATGCAATATATGAAGGGAAAAATCTTCAGTGAAACAGATAGCATAAATAAAAAACAATCACAACTTCTGGAAATCAAGGACACATTAGAGAAATGCAAAATGCACCGGAACATCTCAGAAATAGAATCGAACGAGCAGAAGAAAGAACCTCAGGGCTCAAAGACAAGGTTTTTCAATTAACCCAATCCATCAAAAATAAAGAAAAAAGAATTTTAAAAAAAGCCTCCAAGAAGTTTGGGACTATATTAAGTGTTCAAACCTAAGAATAATTGGTGTTCTGGAGGAATAAGAGAAATCTAAAAGTCTGGAAAACATATTTGAGGAAATAATCGAGGAAAACTTCCCCAGCCTTGCTAGAGATCTGGACATCCAAACACAAGAAGCTCAACGAACACCTGGGAAATTCATTGCAAAAAAAATCATTGCCTAGGCACATAGTCATCAGGTTATCTAAAGTCAAGACAAAGGAAAGAATCTTAAGAGCTATGAGGCAAAAGCATCAGGTAATCTATAAAGGAAAGCCTATCAGATTAACAGCAGATTTCTCAGCAGAAACTGTACAAGCTAGAAGGGATTGAGGCTCTATCTTCAGCCTCCTTAAACAAAACATTTATTAGCCAAGAATTTTGTATCCAGTGAAACTAAGCTTCATAAGTGAAGGAAAGATAGTCTTTTTCAGAAAAACAAATGCTGAGAGAATTTGCTACTACCCAGTCAGCATTACAAGAACTGCTAAAAGGAGTTCTAAATCTTGAAATGAATCCTCAAAAACACCAAAATAGAAACTTCTTAAAGCATACGTCTCACCTATAAAACAAAAACACAATAAATAAATAAAAAAACCAAAGTATTCAGGCAACAAATAGCACAATGAATAGAATAGTACCTTACATCTCAATACTAATGTTGAATATAAAGGGCCCAAATGCTCCACTAAAAAGACACAGAATGGCAGGATGGATAAGAATCCACCAACCAAGTATCTGCTGCCTCACCTAACACATAAGGACTCACATAAACTTAGGGTAAAGGGATGGAAAAAGATATTCTATGCAAATGGACACCAAAAACAAGCAGGAGTAGCTACTCTTAGATCAGACAAAACAAACTTTAAGGCAACAGCAGTTAAAAATGACAAAGAGGGATATTCTATAATGATAAAAGGATTTGTCCAATGGGAATGTATCACAATCCTAAATATACATGCACCTAACACTGGAGCTCCCAAATTTATAAAACAATGATTACTAGACCTAAAAAATGAGATAGACAGCAACACAATAATAGTGGAGACTTCAATACCCCACTGACAGCACTAGACAGGTAACCAAGACAGAAAGTCAACAAAGAAACAATGGATTTAAACTATACCCTAGAAGAATTGGACTTAACAGATTCTTACAGAACATTTTACCCAACAACTACAGAATATACATTCTATTCATCAGCACATAAAACATACTCCAAGATAGGCCAGATAGACCATATGATGGGCCACAAAACAAGTCTCAATAAATTTAAGAAAATCAAAATTATATCAAGTACTCTTTTAGACCACCGTGGAATAAAACTGGAAATCAACTACAGAAAGAACCCTCAATGCCATACAAATACATGGAAATTAAACCTGCTCCTGAATGATTGTTGGGTCAACATTGACATCAAGATGGAAATTAAAAAATTCTTTGAACTGAATGATAGTGACACAATCTATCAAAACCTCTCGGCTACAGCAAAGGCGGTGCTAAGAGGAAAGTTCATAGCATTAAATGCCTACATCAAAAAGTCTGAAAGAGCGCACATAGACAATCTAAGCTCACACCTCAAGGAAGTAGAGAAACAAGAACAAATAAAACCCAAACCCAGCAGAAAAAAAGAAATAACAAAGATCAAAGCAGAGCTAAATGAAATTGAAACAGAAAAAAAATACAAAAGATAAATGAAATAATAAGTTGTATATTCCCACTTTTGTTGGCAATAAAATCCAGCAATTATTTTTAAAGTATTTTTATAGAAAAAATCATTTCTATGGAAAAAAATCATTTTTAAAGCCTGAGAAGTACATAGTACATGCATGCAAAGCTCTGAAGACCTCATGCTACTATTTAATCAAGTTTTATAAAAGGCGATTTACTACACACTAGGTTCAAAATGATCGCTGGCCTTATTAAATAAAATTTTCCTTTGTTTATTTTTGGATTTCCTATTTTCACTTTTATATCCAGATGCTTCTAGCTGTTTTTCCCTTGTCTAAGCACATACATAATCACATTCTATATTCATTCTGAATCCTGGTCACTAAAGATGATTATAGTGGTGGTATATTTCTGTCAATACTTTTATAACTGTCTTTATGTTTTCATAAACTACTTTTGTGTGATTGCTCTTCTTATAAAATTAGAAATTGAATAATAAATTCCAATAGTGACAATGTAAAAAAGTCAAATGTAACAAATGCAAATGGTAACATGCTAATAATATGAAAATAAGTTGACCTAAGCACACTGCATTTGATTAACCGAATGGAAGCTGAGACCTGATCAGCAGAGTTCTTGCAGCACGTGGGCCACTTTTAGGATGCTAATGACAATTAAAACCAGAGCATACATCAGTGAGAATTACATTTATCTTATGTTTTAAATGTGTTAAATATTTGTGAATGAAGGGTTTTAAGTTTCCTTTTTCCTCTGAAATTCATAAACGATTTGCCCCAAAGCCACCAGAGGACAGGAGTGATTTATGGACCACACTTTAAGAAACGCTGCTTTGTGTTCTGCTGTGATCTTCGAAACCAAACCCAAAACTTTCAAAACCCATCTAGCCAGTTTTAGGACCCATGAAAATCTAATTAGCAATTCAGTTCAAAATGCCTCATTTCTTAGCTTGCTCTGTGACCAATTAAAAAAAAATGTTTTGCCCAAAACAATTATGAAAGTTATGGCTAGCATTTTCCAAGACTCAAATTTAGATCTCAGAGCTCCCCTTTATTTTCCGCTACAGTCTTGGGCTTACAATCACCCCATGTACTAACAACACTTTCAGACAGAGGAACCTAGTGAAGGGAGACAGCTTCACTAAGGGATTTCTGGATGCTGAAGTTCTGGGGATACCTTCTCTGCAATGCAGAGCTTTTAGTGAGAGAATAACATGTGAAAAGTCAGAATACTTACTTCAGGAGCATAGCTACGAGCTGGGAAGCTCTAAGAGTTGAAACCCAGACACCAGATCTTGTTCTCCTGACATTTGTGAAATTTTTCAATTTTATCATATTGCCTGAAATGAACAAATGAAATGAAAAGATTCTTTGGGGCTGATTTCCATGCTACTTTAAGGGCAAATAGCCTGAAATGATTATGAGGTCATTCATACCTCATTGCAAATTATTTTGGTCACCAGGAATTCCTTTTGATGACAACAATGTATTTTGATTAAGATGAATGAAGCATCCTATACTTGACAACAGGAAAGGAGGGTTTCATAATAAAACAGTTTAGGGAAACATGAAACTGCTTGGACCCGCAAGGTGACTGTGAGAAAGCGAGAAAAAAATTATAGATGAGTTTCTGGAAGAGGGTACCAAACCAATTTTGTTTCTTTCAGGTTGTCGCATGGGATAACCTTACCAGTAATGTGAGAAGAAACTGTTTTTTCCCCTTCTTCTCATTCCTTCTCTCTTTGGGCTCATATTCCTAGACTCCCATATAAATGGCAGACAGAATTGCATCTTATAACATGAAGGATTTTCATTTTTATTTTTTTCCTAATATAGTACTTTATATTATGGGTTACATTATGTGTTAAAAAGTTTTGGGGAGGGCCGGGCGTGGTGGCTCATGCTTGTAATCCCAGCACTTTGGGAGGCTGAGGCGGGTGGATCATTTGAGGTCAGGAGTTGGAGACCAGCCTGGCCAACATGGTGAAACCCCGTCTCTACTAAAAATACAAAAACTTAGCCGGGTGTGGTGGCAGGCACCTGTAATCCCAGCTACTGGGAGGCTGAGGCAGGAGAATCACTTGAACCTGGGAGGCAGGGGTTGCAGTCAGCCGAGGTCTCGCCATTGCACTCCAGCCTGGGGAATAAGAGTGAAACTCTGTCTCAAAAAAAAGAAAAAAAAAAGTTTTTGTGAGAACCTATCATATCCCCCATTTATAACATTCCTTCTACCAGAAATCACAAACTGAATTCCAAAAAACTGGATCATAAATACATATTTGAAACACAACTCACTTTTATTTTATTATTTTTTCTTTTTCAGATGGAGTCTTGCTCTATCGCCAGGCTGGAGTACAGTAGTGTGATCTTGACTCACTGCAACCTCTGCCTCCCGGGTTCAAGCAATTCTCCTGCCTCAACCTCCTGAGTAGCTGGGATTACAGGCGCCCACCACCACACCTGGCTAATGTTTTTGTATTTTTAGTAGAGACGGGGTTTCACCATGTTGGCCAGGCTGGTTTCGAACTCCTGACCTCAAGAGATCCACCTGCCTCGGCCTTCCAAAGTGCTAGGATTACAGGTGTGAGCCACCGGGCCCGGCCACAACCCACTTTTAGATAGAATATGCTGTTTGCCAAAGTGACTAGCATCTCATTACATCTCTTATCTGTCCCCCTTTCCTGAGAACATTCTGATGCTACATGGAAATAAGATAATGGAACATTGCTATTAGGAGGGGTCATACAATGAAAAAAGGATTGCCAGAAGAATAAAACTGTTTATTTTTTTTTCTAATTGAAAAACCCAAGTGACCTCATTCCCTAGGGATGTCTTTTAGCGAACTAGGAACATATTTTGAAACCATATCCCAGCTGGGAAAAAAAGAAACAACAGTAGAGTGAATGAGGGTAAGGTTTCTGGATTTCACAAGAAACAATAGAGTCAAATCAATCAGCAAAAACTCTTCTTGCAAGGAGAATAGCTCAATTAAGGAGAATGGAATGAAGGAGCCTGGGGGGACTCGTTTGCTCATCATTAGCTCACGTGAAGTTCTTGGCACTCTGCTGCCTTTTTCTTTAGTTTCAGCCACAACTTCAGTGCATAACTATTTAAAGGTATCTGTGTGTTGGAGAGCTCTGCTCACTCCAGCGGTGCTATATGGGAATTAGGGAAGCTGGCACAGTGGTTTTGTGGTTATGACTGAGACCAATTAAAGCAATGAAGGTGATGTCTTGCCTCTGATTTATTGCTTCCTAAAAGGTGTAATACAGAATGCATCCCTGTGCTCCTAATCCTTGCTGCTAGAAGGAGGACTGGAAAGAAAAAGAGTAAGGTAAAAAATTGTCTTAAGTTTTTCAGTTTCTTGAAAAAGTGTGTGTGTGTATGTGTGTTGCCCATTTATTTGGAACTTTACAATTCATTCTAGAATCTTTGTTAAAAGTGTGTGTAAAGACACAGGTTGGTAAAATTGGCCTCTCAACTTAATTCAACAAATTCCTACGGCATGTGCTTGTATTCTCCTAGGCAGTTGGATGTATTAGGAATGAGCGTCATTGCCAACAGCTTGAACAATAACCTGGCATAACATCATGTATCTGCTGGACTAGCTGAAATCCAAGTGACACAAAGGAAACTAGGCTGAAGTATGGGACTTGCTATACAAAAATAAATTCTGTTGAAGGAAAACAAAAGCGAAACATTAAGACCTTCAGAACAGCCAGTATTTCTATGGGGACAGGGTAAAAATCTCAACTTATTAGTCGAAAGAATTTTTCCCCTGGCAGGAAGGAAATGGCCTGCTCTCCTGTTGTGTGAGGCATACAATGAGCTGAGTGGGAAAAGCATGGGATCTTTGTCATGAGTTACACTAACCAACCTCAATCAAATTAGGAAACCACAAATGAGAGGAATTAACTTCTAAGTGAGAGGGTCATCCCTTTATATAAAGGAATGATCTCTTATGCTAACTAAAGGTCTTGGTTTGGAAGACTCATTCAAACAGAAAGTACAGCCTGCCCTGTGGGTACTGTTTCGACTGACTGATTTAAATGCAGTCATAGAAGTACAATGTCATAACTTTCCCTCTAGACAAACAGGTTCTTTATGCCACTGTTTCAGTCGAGGGAGTCAAATAATACCTTTTTTATTGCAGTATTTTTAGACATTGGATACATCTGGAAAAATATTCAAGCAGATAATTAGATTGCATTAGCAATGTGTCTGTTGTGGTTTCCCTGATCCCAGAGAAGGCAGCCCTTTATGAAGCACTTGGCCACAGTATCCACGAAATCTACTGTGTAAATTGGCCCACACTAAAGCATGTGGAAAACATTTTTTGGCTGAAACTCGAAACCATTCATGTGGCTTTGAGACTGGGAAGCTTGGGCTGCCAACATCAATAGAACTTTGTACTACAAACCCAAATGGTCATTTAGACATGTGTACTTCTCTGCTCACAAATGCACTGAGGTCAAATATTTTTTAATCTTGGGAATTTTTTCTCTTTATACAGCCTCATATTTCATGCAGGAAATGAGACTGAGTACAACAAACACAAATCATTGAGACTGACAGAGCATATTGGGTTCAAAACCCAAGCCTTGACTCTAATTGCTCTCCAAAGGCCCCTGGCTCAAGGTAACTGTTGATTTAGTTCAGCTGTTTTCAATCAGCACTGTAAGGTCTCACTAAGACAAACTGGTGAGGCCGCGTTACATTTGTACCCGGGGATCCCTTGAGTGTAAGTATAACACAGTTAGCATTTTAAAAATTGCATTTGTCTGTACGCTGCAGGCAGTAATTACAAGCAGGCAAATCTTTTGTGAAAGATGCTGTAACCTTCCTTCTAGTGAAAGAGTGATGATGGCTTCTACAGGAGGAAAAATAATGTTTCCATTCAGAGTTCAGAGAGGAGGCCCGCCTCTTTTCAAATGGTTGCCAAACTTGACAGCCAGTTTGTTGTTATATTTTGGTGAATATCAGAGTAACTTATTGCTTGAGGGAGCCAATTTCTTGGTATTACTTAACTGTTGAAGGATTTTAGAAAGCATACTATTCTGAACTCCCAGAGAAGTGATTGCTACCTTCTTAGTTTTTCTACGCAGCCTACAAGTCATAGTAAAAAGTTTAAAGATCTGAATATGTATATTTTTGTTTGGAATAATGTTCTCAATGTGTTGTTGACTTTGAAGTTGCAGAGTGGACTTTAAAATGAATATATTGGATTATCTGGATATGGGCTTGAATTTGCATATGGGAATCAAACGTAAAAGTCTGCTCTAGATTAAAAGGCTGAGATTAAGGACAGACTATGTGCTAATAGTGCCCAGGAGAGCTCAGTTCCATATGCAGTTAACAGCCTCCCAAGGACAGACAGGCTGCTGGGAGACCACAGAATTTTTGTTTCAATAAGTTTGTTGTTACAATTTCATACCTTCATTCTCTGTCTGCACACACACACACACAGACACACACACACATATACACACAGATTCTCCAACACCTGGAAAAGTGTTAGGGACATAGTAGGTGCTAAATAAATATTTGCAACTGACTGACTTTGATGGAACAAATGTTTTATATATATATATATATATATATATATATATATATATATATATATATATATACATATTTAATGGTACCTTACTTCGAGAAGACTAAACATATACTTTTATTTTGTAAATCATATTAATTGTCCAAAGAGTCTTAACTTTTCAATAAAAGCTATTCAATTAAATATTGGCTCATCCAGTTAATTAAAACCAATTTGAAAATTCATTTTACATTCAATTTTTCCTGACTATTCTTGGGAGAAAGAAGCATTTGTGTGCATCTTTAGACATATGAGTGCATGTGTTTATGCCTACGATAATGTGTAAATTTATTTATCTAGGGGCATTTTATATCCATTACCTTTTACAAAGTTCAAATGGTTCCTCCAAGTGCATATGTATATGTAGTTATGTGTATACATCTATATACACATGGACACTCCTACACATAAACACATGTGTGCATGCATGTGTATATGGATGTAGTCACTTTCCAACAATCACTTTCTATTATAAGTTCTCTTCTGTGGCTATCAAGTCTTACAGAATTCTGTTACTCAATGAAACAAATACCCCCTATAGTTAAGCATGCTTTTTTTATAAGCAGGAAACTTTTAAGAAGTTACATTGAACTCCTATAACCATAAGAGTAATAAATATCAGCTTCAATTAAATTAATTTGTCCAAAAACATTTTTCACAATTTCCAAATATACATAAACCAGGATGAATATTTCACATTGAGAGAAGCTGGCACATTGAAATATATTTATACCTTTCCTAGGTAAGAAATCATAATAACCCTTCGTGTATGATGACTTGAACAATGTCAGTAAACTGGCTGGAAGTAAATTGGCTGGAAATCACATAAGTAACTTGGCTCTCAAAGAAAGCTCCTGAAAGGAGTGGTTGCTAGGTAAATTGTAGAAGCCGTTACCGTTTTCTCTAATGCATCCAAAATGTCTGAAGGTGACTGTAGAACTCTTACCTACATTGCTTTCAGGAGCAGCAATTATGGAAAGCACATCTAAAAGCATTCTTTCAAGTGTGGAGTCATGGGATCTTGTATTCAGAGAAAAAAATTAGGAATAGAGGCTTTCTACCCGCTAAACATTGAATTAATACTCAAGCAGGTGTGGGTTTAAGTTCTTTTGTTGTCACTAACCAGCTGTAGAACCTTGAGCAAATAATTTACTTCTCTGGTATTATAATACATATTAAATGAGATAACATGCACAAGCCTTTATGGAATTAATATGGACTATAGGAAGCACTTAATGTATTTCCCAGATTCTATGATACTCATTTATCTTGTTTTAATACTTATGAAAGGAGGAGGTACCTTACAATTGACATTGTTTTTTACTTTCCCTGAAAAATGATTAAGTTAATAAATCCTACAATTGTGGAAGTGTGTCCTATTGATTCTATTCCCTTCCTTCTTTTCACTCCCTCCACCCTCACCCTTGCCACCATCAACACTCCCAAACCTTCATTTTTGGCTCCCAGTGGACAGCACAGTGATCAAGAGTTCAGGCTTGGAACAAGTGATCTTTGTTTGATTCCCAGTTCTACCACTTAGTAGCTGTTGATCTTGGACCATTTATTTAACCTTTTAAGGTCTCAGATTCCTCATCACCAAAAAGAAGTTTATAACATGAAACTCAATGTTAGCCTAAGGATTGTAAAGTGTTAGCACTGTATGTGGCACAGAAGAAACTTGTCATACATGTTTGTTAGCAGTTTTTATTATCAGGGCTGGCTTGTGAGGACGACAGATGACAATGTTTGGCAGTGTATTTAGAATACTTGCTTGGTTCCTGGATCATCTCATAAAGATATTTGCCAGTCAGAGTACAATCTTCACTGATTTTACTCCAACTGAAGTTATTTGCAATCACTCAGAGCCCCCAATTCCACATAGCCCACCCGCTCTTTCTGACTGTTTCTATCACTTCCTTGATATTCGGAATCAGTTCCCTCATGTCCTTTGGCTCTGGCCTCTATTTCTGCTGTCACTGTCCCCTTGCTAGATGACCACCCCTCTGCTGGGTATGGTCATCCTTTGGGAGCATTTGTTTCTGCTACCAACACTTTGTTTAGAGGGGAAAACTGCATGCCTACACTTGACTTCCCCATGCCATGCGTGAAGCAAGTTCTTTCCTAATTCCCCATATTATCTAAGACAAGACCGTAAACTTTTAAATGACTTAATTGAACAGCAAGGATGATGGAAGGGAACTATTCTGTAAAATCCACAAAGCCACTTTCTTTCTAGTCTCTGACTCTTTCCCAGCTATTAGAGATCAGTTCACTCCTTTCATCATGAGTATTTGGAGCGCCTGAGCTTTGGAGTCCAAGACCAAGCATGGCAGAGCCTAGAGAGAGAAGGAATATCTTTCTTTCTCAAGCCTAAAGATTTATTCTAGGCCATATTCCTGTGCCAGGAATGAGCTACTCCCAGTTGACTGACAACAGAAATACCCATCCCTATAAGGCAAAACCTACCTGTATCAAATGGAATGTGATCCTGCTTTGTGGCTCCAGTAGGACATTCACAAAGACCAATGTGGTTCAATATCAATATGTTCTGGATGACATGATCTTAAATATTACAGTGTATCAGCAACTCAAGTCAGGCTGGAAAAAGCTAAGACTTTTAAACAGTCTGCCCTCCAAGCAGGACATTAAAAACCACCTCTGCAGCATCTTCCTCCAGTGCTACCTGTCTCACCTGTACCTGCCCTCTCCACCAAGAATAAAATTAACTCTGCAAAAATTAGGACTGTAAATGTACAAGAGACACAATATATTTCTGCATACCAGTTATGCTTTATCACATCTTCCTTCCTTTTCCCTCTCACATCCTGCCCCCTACACAAAAATAGCAAGAGCATTTTATAGTATTGACCCCAGCACAGCCATACCCAACAATTTCCATTTCCAAATGAAGCATGTAGCTTCTCAGCCCAAGACTTCATATATCCTGTAAGGAAAGGTATCTGCTTGGCTTTACTTGTGTTTCACTTGCAAACATGTCTCTACTGTGTTGACATTCCCCATGCTACGAGACAGAGATAAAAGGTTGACTTGAGACCTGTGGCCATTTTCACAATCAACATAGATACACAAGGACACTTTGTGGTTGTTGATAGTCCACAAAACTACATACAATTGCGGTGTTTTTATGTCTCTTTTCTTTTCTTTTTTGGCTGCCAAGCAATTATTCTGCTTCCTCAGATCTAAAATTATGCCTTTTGCCCTCTTGGTTTACACTGTCTTTAGCTTGAGGAGCTGTTATTGTCTGTGCACTCCAATGTATATGTGTTAAATGAATATGATTTTTTCCTGTTAGTCAAGAGAATGCCTTCTCTATTTTCAAGGTTAATATTTGTCATTTTATTCAAAACGTAGTTTGCTCCATAGCTAGGTATCAGGACATTGAAACAGGGATAAGGAATCTGGAGATGGAGTTTGAGGAAGCATTAGACACGAACAGTGTTAGCTTGATGAGTCATTTAAATGTTGCTTCAGTTTCCTCCTCCATAGAATGGGTTGGATATTCCGTAGTGCAAATACTTTCTGACTGATGCCTATAGTTCTATTACCCCTTGAAGGGAAGCTTGCTCTTCCCTCAAGTCTTTCACACTCACTGCTCCCTCTCAGGTTTACTCTTTACAATTTGAAATTTGTGAAGCAAAAGTAGTGGCTCTGGAAAGCAAGTGGGCTGCCTGGGATAAGCGGAGAAGACAGATGAACCTTGCATGCTTGTCTAGAGGCTGGTCACCATGGGAGGAGAAGTCAATGAGTTCAGGACTCTGTAAACTGCTATTTCAAAGGTCAGTTGATTTTTTTTTCTTGCAATTACCATGGTATAAAATGGCAGAAGCCTGAAGGATATTTTGTCTTGTTAATTCTGAGGAAGCCAACTGATATTTGTGTTGCTGGTTTCTCTTGATCTGCCCTGTGCTGCCGAGGCATATTAGGCTATCTACAGGAAACACAAGCAAGTTAGGGACCCAAAGGTTCTCTTGCCCCAGGTTCATGGATTCCTATTTCCTTTTGTATCCTATCTAAGGACACAAAAATATCCACCACCCTCCAGAAATTCTGATTCAATGGCTGTGGAGTGCATCCCAAGCATTAGTATTGTTTTAAAAACTCTGCAGGTGACTCCAACTGCAGCCGTGGCTGAGAACCATTGCTCTGAAGCCTCTCCATTCTCACCCTTTCTATCCTGTAATGCCAAGTGTTACCCATATGCAGTCCTATGTGAAAATAAAATTGTACCCCTCATCTCATTAGGGACTAGAATATAGAATATATACAATAAAAGTTTACAAAAGGAAGGAATGAATAAGGGAACAAAGGATATAACAGAATATACAGTCTAAAGAAGGAAGAGGGTGAGGAGAAGGGGTTGGCCAGGAAGGAATGATCAATGACAATTTGTCTCTTGCAAACATTAGGTTTACAACTCTTTCCACTTACATTTTTTCCATGACAAAAAACTTTAGAGTTATCTTGCCACTACTGAAAAAAATACTGCTTTCATTCTGGAATTTCTGACTAACTGGGTCCAATCAAATTTTTTAGATGTTTCCATGGGAAATAATATTTTTCTTCCTTTGAAAACCTAAAAGGGGAAGACAATGACCAAATGAAAGAATGAAGCAATGCACAACTGGATGGCTTTCTGATTATTCTAGGACCTCATATATCCATGCTCTCTGACTGCAACACGAAGCTCTGCTCTTTGAAAAGGTGCATTCAACCGTGTTGGAAAGAAGAGCTCAGCAGTAGAATCAGTGTCAGTGGTATCTCTCCCTAAATTGTATGTTCTAAATTGATAACCCTCCTCTGAGAATAATTTCTATTATATCAAATGGACCCAGAGTAAAAACTTATTAATTTATGACCTGTGATTGACTAGCCATATTCTCATTACATTGGATTGCATTTAGTATATGTGGGAAGGGCAGGTCTAAGTGATAAAGGGTAATTTTCATCATGAAAGAACATATTTTACAGGGCCAGAGTTGCTGGTGACTATGAAAATTTGCTCTCAGAAGGCTTTCATTGAAGGGGAAAATAATCTTAAAGTTCAATGAAATGTTGAACATTTACAACAAGCAGCTCTCTCCATCTCCCACTGTATATGATGGGGACAGGATCAAAGGGAGTTCTGGGTTGTGTGCATTTGAGCAAGGGCCCTGGGTCACCTGCACTAGGTGGCTGGGGGTGGCCGCTTACTCAGGCTGGTCCAGTGAGGATGGAGGAGCAGGTTACATGGGTGGCAGTGCAGAATAATGGCTAAGAGCACAGTCTGGGGTCAAACACTCCTATGTTAGAATTCTTTCTCTACCTCTTAGTAGTTGAGCTTCCATTGAAAGATGGGGGAGTGAGGTGAGAGAGATATAGAGAGCGAGGAAGAGAGAGTGGTAGATATTAGAGACCCTGAACTGAGTTGAGCTTGGGCCTCTGCTTCCTTCTTAATGGCAGTAGGTCCAATATCATTTTAGGAAATGTTCTTCACATCAGAAACAAACACCTGTGATTATTGTTAAATTTCTGGTCATTACAGAGAACCATGTGGAAAGTAAGTTATAGTTCATAAGATGCTGACCATCCTGTAATCAAAATGTATATTCTACTGAGAAAAACACTCAGCACATCATATATAGCAATGGCAGATGCTGCCCACAGCAGCAAGTATCTGTAGATTATCTGACTGTGTAAGAGTCATATAGCAGCAGAATCATGAGGATATTGTTTCATAAAATCACAGGTCCTGACTGCTTTACTGTACTAAATTCCATCTTTATTTATAAAATAACTTCCCCAAGAATTTGTGTGGGGCACTAGAAAGAATTTTGGATTACAAAGACATGAATTCTAATCCCAACTCTGCCATAGCAGAATAATGTTGAAAAGCTACTCTTTATGTTCTTCAACTCAAGGTTGGAGTTTCAGAAAGTAGATGGGGAATTGGTTAAGATGGGTTTAACAAGGCCTCTTTAAGCCCCAAGAGTTTTCCTGATTTGTCACAGAATTTTCACTCTCAGAAAGATTATAAGAATGTTTGTTTTTAAAAGCAAATATCACAATTACTTAGAAGAATTTGCAAGGTTCATGGATGAACAATTACATTAACAGAATGGCAGGTGATTGTTAACCTTGTCTAGACTTAATTATGAAGTCAGTAAGAGTTCATAATTGTTGGAGAATTTGTGAAGCTGAAAATCCTAAGTTTAAGCTTTATACACTGTTTCATAACAGATGGCAAGTTAAGGTTATATCATAATCAGAAACCACTCACCTTTGAAGGAACTAATATAGTAGAGAATTATTGCCGACATAACCCAGAAACATGACAGCTCATTCTTAAAGGTTTTTCCCCCCAACTATTTCTCGTTAGCATTTTTAAAATGAGCATACATTTAAATGCAAAGATGTCTTCTTCTATTAAATATTCAACCACCATTTGCCAGTAATCAAATCTTCATGCTCAAATAATTTTTATTAAGTACCAATGTGTGTACCATGGTGTGTTAGATACTATATAAAGAAAAAAAAAACCTGGCATGAACGCAGATGTTCATATAAATAGACAAGTGAGTATAATAAAATTCTTCAACGAAGAGAAATGCAGCAATGTCAGGCAAGAACCCAAGCTAATAAATGAATAAAATGTATAGTAAAAATGCTTAGCCAGTTCCCACTTGTAAAGCTTTTTTGTATGACACATACATGTTTTAAGGTTATATATATGGGCACATTTTACCACTTCTCTTTTAGGATGCTCTCCCTGTTAAGAAATTTTATCAGCTGCTTTCTGCTAAAAGACCTTGAGAGGGCTTTACCACTCTTTCATTATACATTAGCTTTAGTGCTCAGATTTTTATGGTGTTGGATGTGTGTAAGTAACTCTTTGGGAATAATGATCACATAAACTCTGTTTGAAAGAGAACTACTGACTGAATTTTGTACACTGCATGTTTCATAATTATCTTGAACTCCTTTAATTAATTTACCCAAAAATCACATGTATGTATTCATGCATTAATTCATTCATGAATTCTCATATTCAATAAAAATCCCTCTCCTAATTGCCAAAGGTACATGTTAGAAAACACCTGCTCTTTGCTTTCAAGAGTCTCACAGTCTGGGGGAATGGGTGGGCTATAAGACATATTTCTGAAGAGAAAATATTATTAAACCATGTCCTGCTGGTGGACAGGGCATTAGACCAAAAAAGAAAGGTTACCTAAATGACACGGACAGTCCTACCAAACAACCAAAGTGAGCTGTGTATTAACCAACAAAATATGTTCCCTCCATAGCAAAACCAAAGTAGAATCAACTAAATGGAACAAAACCCAGAAGATTTCTTTTGGACAGTTAATATTTTCTAAAACCTGGTGTCTTTCTACTGTACCGCCCCAGGTTTTACTTAGCAGACAGCAGAGACCTTGTCCATCCAATATAGGGCCAACACCTTGCCACATGTTGGAGGAGCATCAGAGTTTGGCTACTGTCGGAATCGTGTAGGCACTACCTGTTAAAAATACACATCTGCAAACTTCCCAGCTGGAAATTTTGATGAAGTAGGTCTGGATGATGCTTGGGAATCTATTTTTTTTAAACAAGTTCCAGGTAATTTTCATTATTAGCTAGATTTGGGAAACAGCCTTAAATAAATTCATAATTTGTAACAACACACATAAGATGAAGCAGTGTGTGTTGGTGGGGAGATGTATCATTCCTGTTCTAATACAGTCTTCTTATAAAACTTCAGTTTAACCCACAAAGCTGAAGGCCTTAAAATATGGGAAAATAACCTTTAAACACTACGGGAGAGAAGGAGACATATTTTATTTTATACTACTCATGTGGTTTCCTATTTAAAATCTCCTCTCCTTTCTCCTAACTTAGGTTTCTTTCTTTGAATAATTCTACTGTGAGCCTTTGAACTATTTTACATGGCTAATTAAATGTTAAATGAAATAGTTTATTTGAGAAAGACACTAGTGCCTATCCAGATGTGTGTGATTGGTTCATAATGTACTTGCAGACACCCTGATGCCTTTCACCCCTCAGCTTCTGGCCTAATGTGCCAACTCTCCATGAGCCCCATTACTCTACATCTTATGCTTTAGTGCGGGGGTCTCATCTTATGGCTGGTCAGTCGAGGCATTATATCCGAGACCTACAGACTGGAGTTCTCTGTCCTTGCTTAGTTAGATAGAGGCTAATAGGGTGGTTATCTACTGGAAAGACCTTTAATAAAACTAAAGCACTTTTTAGAATCTCTTCAACTTTGTGAACTCACTTAAGTAGTAATAGAAACAAGGGCATGCACTGACTTATGGATCAAGTCTAACAAGAAAACCGAAAGCCAGACCTCTGTGTCTCAAGCTGTTTCTGAGGCCCTTCTGCCATAAAGGGGACTTGACATGCGCTCTCTCATCTTCCCTTTCTTTTGCTGCAGAATGTCGCCTTTCCTCTGACCCTCAACCGATGCCTCAGGGAGATTCCACAAAACCCCATCACTTTCAATTATTCAGCATCGTAATGAGGCATCTGACTCCATTTTCTGATGTTTGACTGTTGGCAGCTTTTAAGCCTCACTCTTGCTCTTCCTCTTGTGCCCTGCAACTGGGAAAGCTGACAGGAAAGCCTGGTGCTTCCTCTTTTGGCAGTACAGAGAAAGATTCGAATCATGCAAGCCCCGGCCTAAGCACATGCAGGTGAATATTTACCTGGGCCCACTTTCTCGCCTCAACAAAAACCCAAGCCAGTATCTTTTCATGGCTCTGTCACGCCATTTCAGACCTGCTTGAGAGGCCTGCCCTGCTCTCCTGAGAGATCTCAAATATGTAACTGAAGAACAGGACCTGTCACATCCTGAGGACTGTGTGGACCCTCACAGTCATGTTAGACACAGCATGTAAACAAGAAGTTACTTTTTGTTATTTAAGCCATTGAGATTTGAAGGCTACTTTGTCACCACAGCAAAACCCACCTTCCTATGTTGTATATCCATCTAGGTAGATATGTATATAAAATTTTTTTTACCTATAGATATTTATGATCTGAATTTACATGAATATATACATATTATCTTTAGTATATGTAGGAGTATAGTGTTATTATATAGCATGCATAATTATTTTATTTTATAGATGTCATATAATGAATTAATGTTTTATAAAATATAAAATATATGAAACAATATACTAATATAATTAATATAATTGTTATTAGTGAAATACCTATAAATAAGCACTGTTTGAAGACATCAAGGGAATAATCATTGTGGAAAACAAGCAAATTAGTAATTAGCACGAGATTGTCATACACGCTGGGAAATAGCCATTAGAGCTTCACAGAGAAGTGATTCACTCTACAATTAATTAATAAAAGAGACACAAGATAATCTTTAAAACTTGGAAAAGAGAGACCGACATGTAGAAAATGATGAGGATAAAACATTGTATCTTCCACATATACCTGTAAGATTCAGCCTAGAGTGTAAAAGTCCCAAAGTGCTGAACTGTCATAAAGCTAGCGCAATGCAATTTACTATACAAGAGAGGTTTCTCTCTTCTTCATGTGAGAACGGGGCCCAGAGTTAAGCGTGAAATTCAGCTTCCTAACCCAAAAACATAGCTCTGAAGATGAAAAGTAGCAAGAGAAGAAGACTGCATCCTGGTGAAGTGACACCCACCACCTAGGAAGGAGGCAGCAGCGTTGTTCCTTCATAAGACATCTGAAGAGCAGGGAGCACGGCTTTAGTCCAACACAGTAAATTATGTTTGTAATGAGGGCCTTGCATCCTGAAGAAAGTTGGAATCACATTTAACAATTTGTGTTTTAGAAGGCACCAAATTAAAGAACATATTTTATTTCAATGTACATAAAAATAGTCATCCCAAAAATGATTGGTGTCAAAGAAGACACATTACACTTCTCTCTGTCCCCACAGCTCTCACTCCACTCTCTTAAGTATGGGGCATATGGCCCTGTTTTTCAAGAACTGGAGTATAAAGAATATCACCCCTTTCTATCCCCGCCTCATTCTCTATTAAATTCTGGAGAAGTGAATAATCATTCACCAACAACATATTTGGAAGAGCACTCATTTTAACATAACTTTCCTGGTAAAATTTCCATCAGGAATGGTGAAGGCTCTGAGATTTTCCCCTGCTTGCATGCAAATAACTTATCCTGCCGTAGTTTCATGGTTGATAGCAGAAGACACAAGATTCCCGGGCCATAGATGAAGGATAGTTTATAACTCACAACAATAGCAGTAGCCAGAGTATCAGCATTTTTGCAATAGTTTTATAAATCCAATTCCCACAGGGTGACATGAAGGAGGCCAGATGACACATGTGCACACAGAGGGCTGCATTACAAAAGAAGAACCCTGAGCTTAGGGAACTTGAATCTTTTATAATGAGCAGCGAGCATGCCTGCCCTTGGCTCCAGAGGGAGATACTATCCCTATCTACAAGGGCTCTTCTCTATATAAATCTCCTTGAAAAGACAGCCCCCTCCAAATAACGGGCAGTAAGTGCCTCTCTTGTTAAGACATGCAGAAACACAAAAGACCCATAGAGAGTTGTCTCCCAAAAGTTGCTTAGAAAAATATAAAATCTAAGAAGTTTTTAGAAGCAAGGCAATACAGAGGCATGTGAGTTGTACTTCAGGTAGCATACCATGCCATTATCAAACCAAATATGTCGGCCCTTTTGAATACTGGCTTGCTATAGTGATTGGAACCTAAGTGCCCTGGACAGAGAGAGTGAGAACAAATGTTAATGCCCATCTCTAATACCCAAATACATGTACACAAACAAGAGAATATAGGTTTTTTGAAAATGATTTCTGTCTTATTCACTGCTGTATTCCCAAGTTTCTAAAACAGTGCCCAACATACAGTAGGTATTCCATAAATATTTACCAATGAATGAACATGGGTGGTCTCATTACTTTATAAATGTATTGGCTGTAACACAACTTTTTTCTGACTAAATTATTATAGCAGTAAATTTTCTCTAATTCATGAAGTATGTGAAACACAGCTTAAGAGTGCCATATTTCTGTGTAGCTGTTCAGAGTTTAAAAGTGTTTTCTTTGACCATATATATATGTGGGTATGTATTATACATAATGCATGTATTTTATTTTCTTTAATATAAATATTGCAAGCTCTGTATATTTATTGTGATTAAGAACAGATGGAACTAAGGGAAAAGCAGCAAAGGAGGAAGAGGTTGAAAAAACGACATGCACAGTATTACCTATGTGAGATTGAAGAAGTGGGCCACTGAGGTTACAGACAAGTAGAGAAGCTTGAAATATATACAGTCCCTCTCTAAAGAAATAAAGGAGATGATTGGGAGAAAGGACACAGTAAAGAAGAGACACTTTCCTCAACTGAACTACCTTCAGGTGCTACCATCAGCCCTGCACAGCTCCCTTACCATTTAGAATGGTTCAGTGAGGGAGGAGAGAGGCAGGACTTTAGCCTTAGAGTAGGTTGACAAGAGAGGGAGGAAAAACTCAATTCACTTTTACACTGTTTACTCTGTGATATTCTCACCTCGGATAATTCCCTTACAGCTAGTTAAGAGATATCAGCTTACTGCCAAAATCTGTAAATACCAACTCAGGATTTATGGTTTGTGATTTATCACAGTTTCCCAAGAGCCAAACTGTAGGAATATTGTGTAACAACATGCCAACTAAATTAAGAGCAAATGGAATAGGAAATAATCCTTAAAATCAATGATGAGACTTTTCTTTATTCTTTGCTGTTTTGTTTGTTTTGGATTAATGATCAATACATCCAGGATAACACAATAAGTATAGTTGACCCTTAAACAACATAGGTTTGAACTGTGAAGTTTACTTACAGGCAGGCAGACGTTTTTCAATAAAAGTTATACTGAGTGTGTCTGCCTCTCCCGCTTCCCCTTCCACCTCCTCCATCTTTTCTGTCTCTGCCACTCCTGAGACAGCAAGACCAACCCTCCTCTTCTCCTCCTCAGCCTACTCAACATGAAGATGACAAGGATAAAGACCATCAATGTCTACGTAATGAATACACATACATACAAAATATGTGTTAATTGACTATGTTATCAGTCAGGCGTCTGGTCAACAGTAGGCTACTAGTTAAGTTTTAGGGGTCAAAAGTTATACATGGAATTTTTTTTTTTTTTTGAGATGGAGTCTCGCTCTGTCACCCAGACTGGAGTACAATGGCAAGATCTCAGCTTACTGCAACCTTGGCCTTCTGGGTTCAAGTGATTCTCCTGCCTCAGCCCCCCTGAGTAGCTGGGATTACAGGCGCCCACCACTATGCCTGGCTAATTTTTGTGTTTTTAGTAGAGTTGAGATTTCACCATGTTGGCCAGGCTGGTCTCGAACTCCTGACCTCAAGTGATCAGCCCACCTTGGCTTCCCAAAGTGCTGGGATTACAGGTGTGAGCCACCATGCCCAGCCTATACATGGATTTTTGACTGCACAAGGATCAGCACCCCACTCTCAGCATTATTCAAGGGTTCCCTGTAGTTAGGTTAGGTAGGTAGTTTATTTTAGCACTATAATCAAGAGAGAACAGTATATGCATATTTCATATACAGAAACAGAAAGCTGAATACTAAATACATAAATGCAAACCAACATGCTCAGTGATATATGCTCAAGTTTCTTTTCTGAAAATGTTAATAAGAAACTGTTAATAGTGGTTTTTATTTTTTTTCTTTTCTTTTTGAGACGGAGTCTTGCTCTGTTGCCAGGCTGGAGTGCAGTGGTGCCATCTCGGCTCACCGCAACCTCTGACTCCCTGGTTCAAGAGATTCTCCTGCCTCAGCCTCCTGAGTAGCTGGGATTACAGGCACGTGCAACCATGTCCAGCTATTTTTTGTATTTTTAGTAGAGATGGGGTTTCACCATGTTGGCCAGGATGTAACAGTGATTTCTTTTAGGGATAGGTACTCAAAGGAGAGGAAGGATTTCCTTTCCATATTATACCTTTCTTTATTCTTTGAATTTTAAATTTTGCTTTATAAAATTGCTTTCTAAAAATTTATTATTTTTATTGTGATAAAATACACATAACAACATTTGCTATCTTAACCATTTTTAAGTACATAGTCCAGTGGTATTAAATACATTTATGATGTTATGTGGCCATCACAACCATCAATCTTCATCATCTTTTCAGCTTGTAAAACTGACACTGTACTCATTAAACAATATTTCCCCATTCTCCTTCCACACTACTATCATTCCAAGCCCTGGCACCCTCATTACATTGCTTGTCTCTTTGATTTTGATTACTCTAACTACCTCATATAAGTGGAATCATATAATACTTATCTTCTTTTGTGACTGGTTTATTTCAATGTCTTCAAAGTTTGTCCATGTTGTAGCAGGTGTCAGAATTTTTTCCTTTTTAAGGCTGAGTAAGAGCCTTAATATGGTGTACCATATATGTATACAAATACAAAATATGTGTATACCATATTTTGCTTATCCATACTTCTGTCCATGGACACGTGGGTTGCTTCCATATTTTAGCTATTGTGAATAATACTGCTATAAACATGGGTGTACAAATATCTCTAATACCCTGCTTCCTATTATTTTGAGGAATATATCCAGAAATGGAATTGCTATATTGTATGGTAATTCTATATTAATTTTTTAGGAATTTCCATAAAGGTACATAGTGGCTGTACATTTTACATGCCCACCAACAGTGCCCAAGAGTTTCAATTTTTCCACATCCTTACCAACACTTGTTATTTTCTGGTTTTTTGATAGTAGCCATTCTAATGGATGTGAGGTTGTATCTCACTGTAGTTATGATTTGTATTTCTCTAATGATGAGTGATGTTGAGCATCTTTTCATGTGCTTACTGGTTATCTTGGGAGAAATGTTTATTCAAGTCTTTTACCCATTTTTGAATCAGTTTTTTGTTGTTGTTTGTTTGTGTTTAGGAGTTGTCTATATATGCTGGGTATGAACCCTTATCAGATATATGACTTGTAAATATTTTCTCTCATTCGGTGGGTTGATTTGTTACTCTGTTGAAAATGTCTTTTAATGTACAAAATGTTTTAATTTTAATGAAATCCAATTTGTCTATTTTTTTATTTTTTTGGCTATGTCATTGATGTTACATTCAAGAAACTACTGCAGAATTCAATGCCACAAAGCTTTTGCCTTTTTCTAAAAGTTTTATATTTTAGGTTTTACATCTAGGCCTGTGTTCCACTTTGAGTTAATTTTGTATATGTGATAGGTAAGCGTCCAACTTCATTATTTTATATGTGGATATACAGTTTTTCCAGCACTACTTGCTGAAAAACCTCTTCTTTTCCTATTGAATCGTCTTGGCATCCTGTCAAAAGTCATCTGACCATATACATAAAGGTTTATTTCTGAGCTCTTTATATTATTCCATTGGTCGATGTGTCTGTCTTTATGCCAGTATCACACTAGTTTGCTTACTGTAGCTTTGTAGTAAGTTTTGAAAAGGAGAAGAGTAATCCTGCCAGTTTGTTCTTCTTCAAGATTGTTTCGGCTACTCAGGGTCTCTTGAAATGCCACATAAATTTTATAATGCACTTTTTTAATTCTGCAAAAAATGTCATTGGGATTTTGATAGGAACTTCTTTGAATCTGTAGATCACTTTGGATAGTATTGACATCTTAACAATATTGTCTTCCTTTCCATAAACATGGGATGTGTTTCCATTTGTCTTCTTTTGCTACTTTCAGCAATGTTTTATAATTTTCATTGTACAAGTCTTTCACCTCCTTAGTTAATTCCTAAGTATTTTATTCATTTTGACACTACTGTAAATAAAATTGTTTTAATTTTTTTCAGATTGTTCATGGTTAGTGTATTTTAAAAATGCAACTGATTTTTGTGTGTTCACTTTGTACCCTGTTACTTTGCTGAATTCACTTATTTCTAACAGTTTTTTGTGGAATCTCTGGTGTTTTCTACATAAAAGACATTATCTGTGAACGAAAATAATTTTACTTATTCCTTTCCAATTTGAATGCCTTTTTTTCTTGCCTAATTGCTCTGGCAAGGACTTCCAGTAATATGTTGAGTAGAAGTGGTGAGAATGAGCATCCTTTTCTTGATCCTAATCTTAGAGGAAAAGCTTTCAACTCTTCACATTGAGTAAGATGTGTTAAAAGAAAAACCTTAGGCAAATTAAATTTAACAGAGTTTAATTGAGCAAAGAACAGTTCATCAATTGGGAAGTCCTTTACCCAGAGTAAGTTCAGAGAGGCTCTGGCGTTGCCATATGATCAAAGATTTGTGGACAGAAAAAGGAAAATGATGTACAGCAAACAGAAATAAGATACAGAAACAGTCAGATTGATTACGCCCCTGTATTTGCCTTACTTGAACATGGTAGAACAGTTGGCCACTTTGGATTGGCCAAAACTCAGCAATTGGCACATTGAGGTTACAAGAGTAGGTTACAGTGTGTTATGCATCCAGTTAGGTTTCCATTCACCATGTACAGAGAAACCTTCTGGCCAAACATAAAATATGTCAGGAGGTAGCTTTAGGCAGCTGTAGCCAGCTTTAGGCTAAACGTAATTTAACCAATGTTTGCTGTGGTTTTTCTTATATGATTTTTATTATGTTTAGGCAGTTTCCTACTATTCTTAATCTATTGAGTGTTTTATCATGAAAGGATGTTGAATTTTGTCAAATGCATCAATTGAGATAATCACTTGACATTTTTCCTTCATTCTGTTAATGTGGTGCATTATATTGGTCAATTTTTGTATGCTGAACTATCCTTGTATTCCAGGAATAAATTCCACTTAGTTGTGGTGTATAATCCTGTTAATATGCTACTGAAGTCAGCTTGTTAATATTTCATTAAACATTTTGGCATCAATGTTCACAAAGGATATTGGTCTATAGTTTTCTAGTTTTCTTTTCTTGTGATGTCTTTGTCTGGATTTGATATCAGCATAATGCTGGCCTCATAAAATAAGTCAGAAAGTTCTCCCTCCTCTTCAATTTTTTTGGACAAATTTGAGAAGGTGTGGCATTGGTTTTTCTTTAAATGTTCAGTAGAATTCTCCAGTGAAGCCATTAGGTTTGAGGGTTTTCTTTGTTGGTAGATTTTTGAATACTGATTCAATCTTTTTTACAAATAACAGGTCTATTCAGATTGTCTATTTCTTAATGATTTAGCCTTGGTAGGTTTTGTGTTTCCACAAATTTGTCCATTTCATCCAGGTTATCCAATATGTTGGCATACAGTTGTTCATTGTACTCTCTTATAATTCTTTTATTTCTGTAGAAATGTTAGTAATGTCCCCATTTTTTATTTCTGATTTTAGTTATTTGAATCTTCTCTCCTTTTTCTTAGTTCTAGCTAAAGGTTTTCACTTTTGTTCATATTTTCTAAGACCAACTTTTGGTTTCATTGATTTTTCTCTATTGTTTTCCTATTCTCTATTTCATTGATCTCTGTGCTATTCTTTATTTCCTCCTTTCTGCTTTGAGTTACTTTGTTCTTCTTTTCATAGTCCCTTAAGTTGTAAAGTTAGGTTGTTAATTTTAAACTGTTTTTATTTTTTAATGTAAGATCTTATAGCAATACATTTCTTTCTTAGCACTGATTTTGCTGTGTCCCATAAATTGGGCTATGTGATGGTTTTGTTTTAATCTGTTGTTAAGTATTTTCTAATTCCTTTTTTATTTCTTCTTTGATCTATTAATTCAGAGTGTGTTATTTAATTTCTATGAAGTTGTGAATTTTTCAGTTTTATTTCTGTTACTGATTTTTAACTTCAATCTGTTGTGGTCTGAGAAGATACTTTGTATGATATCTGTTTAAATCTATTGAGACCGAATTTGCAGCCTAACACTTGGCCTAAATTGAAAAAATGTCCCACGTGCACTTGAGAAGAATGTGTATTATTTAAATCTTCTGTTTCCTTAATCATTTTATGTATAGTTGGTCTATCCATTTTTGAGAGTGGGGTGTTGAAGTCTCCAAATATTATTGTAGAACTGTATATTTTCCCCTTGAATGTCATCAGTATTTGCTTCATATGTTTGATGTTCTGTCATTAGGTGTTTAAATGTTTATAATTATTATACTTTCTTACTGTATTGAAACTTTCATTAATATATAATGTCCTTCTTCATCTCTTGAATAATTGATTTTTATTCATACTTTTTCTTTTTTTGCTAGAAGAACTATCTGGATGGTGAAATTAAAGGTCATTTCTCCCTTACACTTTAATGTTTAAAAAAACTAATACATGTTACGAAAATTCAAACTAGCCTGCAGCACTAAAGAAAAACAATAAACACTTTCCAACCACACTTTCTTAGCAAAATGTCTTTTTCTTATTTTTAACAATGAGTTATTTCTCATCTGCTTAATCTCATCCTCCTAATTTTAGATGCAGTTTGAAGCATCGGCAATGCTCTAGTGTGTTTGTAATTCTATTGTTTTCTTATGTTCCATTTCTTCTACTGTATTTTGAAATAATCACCCTACCACTACTCAGTCCTCAGTCATAATAATATGTTTTTAGAGTCAAATCCAATCCAGTGCAAATAAAGTATCAAACCTACCAAAAAAGACCCTTTTCTCTCTTCTTAAGAAACGAAGAGTTGAGTGATGACATGCTCTCTTTGCCATGGGCATTGTTACTGAAGATATCAAGTTGATATATTCAGGCATTGCAGCAGGAAATAGGAAAGGTTTTCTTTTTTAATTCCTATTCAAATTATCCAAAGAAAGTAGCCCTAAAATGCTCTATCTGAGTCAGAGAGTTTCTGCCATTTATCAAATACATTGCACTTTATTGTAAGTCTGAAGGAATTATATTTGAAACTGACTGTAAGTTTGTAATAGGCAGATCCATTATAGTTTGTTTCACTAGAATAAAACATGACAATAAAATATCTCTGGAAATACATCTATCACAAGTTAGCTTCTCTGGAAGCAAATGATGAAATGGAACATAGCATGCTAGATGTTGATTAGGGATCTATATCTGTGGAAATGAGGAGGATAAAGCAGGATTGGTCAAAGAGAGAAGTCAAACTGTGGTGTAGGCCCACAAAGCCTTGGCCAAACCCACGGGAAGCTCTCAAGTGTACATGACATGAATGTGTCCCAGAGTGGATTAAATGGTTGGGACTTCATATCCTTGCTGCAATTATTTATTAGATTTGGGCTGTCTCAGGAAGGGTTTACCCTTGAGTGATGTAGCTTTCTGCAGCTGGGGCAATTCAGAAGGGGCCGAGAGCTAGAAGCTGACTGCTGAACTCCCAGTAGCTGGACAACAAGTCATTCAATAAATGGGAATCTGGGCAGTGCTTCTTCACACCACTACAATTTCTACTTAAGAGATATATCAACCAATTATAATTGGGAAAATTATTTCAATCCCGATGTGAGCAAATACAACACATTTTAAAAATAAGCATTTATGAGACAATCATGGAAACTTGAACAGGTGACTGGATATTTAATGATATTTAGACATTATTGTCAATTTCTAAGTTGTGTAATGGTCATATTTTGAAAAAGAATTCCTTGGAGATATATGCTGAAATACTTACAGTATTATAAATGATAACAGAGATTTGCTTCAAAATAATCAGGGGGTGGGGAGAATGGATAGAATATGGGTGAAACATAATTGGACATTAGTCAGTAATTATTCAAGTTGGACGATACCATACTCCATACCTTTATGTCTGAAACTTTCCATCATGAAAGTTAAAACACACACACACACACACACACACACTCAGATTTTGCTTAAAAGGAGAAAAAAAATTCTACTGATAGGACAAATAAGGCATACATTCAGAACTCTCTTTCCTTGGAAATCCCTTGATGACATTATGAACTGAATATGGGTAATTCCTCTCAGCCACAAAGTTCCTAAGAAATGGAATAGAGATTATTTCAAAATTTTGTATGGGAAACACCTAGAGAGTATTACTGGGAACTCATACAATGAAAACAAAAGTTTGACTTAATTCCAGCAGAAATTTCTGCAAAAGCTTCTCTATCTTGTCAAAATTTTGTTATGAAGGAACTTGCATGAATTTTCCTTCTATGATATTGTTTGTTTGTGGGTCCTTGGATAGGGCAGGGGGATGCTAAACCCTTTGTGGCACTTGTATCCAGGTAGGGCCATTTTATGTAGGTTAAACAGTGGGAAACCTTTATATGTGAAAATGCTTTTGTTCTGATGAAGCTAGTCTATTGCACAGATGAGACAAGTCACTATCACCACAGATATAGTAATTATTATAAAAGGGGCAAGAAAGGAAGAAATTGCAGCCACAATTAAGTTTTATTTTTAAATTCATGTCTATCTGTATATAAAGTCCTCAAATTGTCCCATTGATGGCAGTAATCAAAAATAGAAAACAGAAATGCACCATGCCAACACATATGTGCACGTAACACACACACACACACACACACACACACACACACACACACACACACAGACATACACAATGCAAGAGCGGTAGCTGATGGGCTGTGATGGTTCTTTCCAGCCCCAATTATGATTGATAGCATTCCATTACCTTTATGCTTATTTTAAAATCCCCTTGACACGAATTGATTAAAGGCACGGACCTCTATGAACCTATGAAAAATTTATGGATTTTGAAAGAGCTTTAACATGTACCATTTGAGCACGAATCATTTCCTGGCTGTCACTGTTTTTCCCACAATCTTTCTTATGTTGGTAATATATGTTTAATAATAAAAAACTGATGCTAAGGATTAAAGCATCAAGATGTTACAGAATAAAGCAACAACAACAACAACAACAAAAGAAATTAGATTTGTATGATTTTAACTATTCTTTAATCTGCTTCTGGGCAACAAAAGTGATTTGTGTCAGCCGTTATTGCATTAAACTTTAATTTTCTTCCACCGGCACAGGATTATATAAAGGAGTATTGGATTGCACTCAGCATGGATTAGCTGAGCAGTGTCTCTGCTGCCAAGGAGCAAATGGATTTCCTTCTTTCTTTGATTTATATTTTTATTGCTGTTTTCCCCCTCCTTCTAATTCCCATTACCCTTCTGTTTGCCAGCACTGAGATACCCTGTAGGAGCAGCAGAAAGGCAGGCAGAATTATTGGCTTATTGCATATATTTATGTTCCAAGGCCTCTCAGTCATCTATGTCAGAGGAATAAAGTAGCCTCCAGCCATGGAGACTGCATGCCAGTTTCAAACTATAATATTAAAGCTTGTTTCTAGGTAAAAAGTAACTTCTCACCTGCTTAAAATCAGCCAAACTAGCTGGGTTTGGCCTCACTTCAGATGTCCTGGCTGTATCTCACAGCAGATGGAGAAAACCACTGAGACAGAAAATAAAGATCCCAGGACTCCCTTTTACGAACAGGAGGGTATATGCAGCAAAGCCCTTGAGACTCAGGCAGGAGAAGCGTTCTCTGGCCTTTCCCTTTAGGGTCTTTGAGATATGAGATTGCCTTTGGAAATAAGAGCAAATAAATTCCCTCTGCTCAAGGAATGGAGGGCTGATTGTCGGCACTCCGCATGGAACCTAGAGGGGGCGCTAAGGACATGGCTCCAAGACCGTGGCGGAGACAATGATTGACTCAGGCTGCACTAAGCAGAGGACACAGAGGAACAGTAGCAAGTTGACAAGAGCAATGGTGTGTTCTGTTTAGTCTGCAAAGGTCTCTGGATTTCTGAAGAAGAAAATGAGTCCGACAGATTTCAGTTTTGGTTTTGGTTCTCACAGACTTCTTGAAAATAATGAATTCTTAAGTCTCAGAAGAGCGGCTATTACAGAGCAGCTCCACAGCAGATGCCACTTAGCAATACTTGGGAAGAATCCGAGCTGCGAAACTAGGACCTGGCTCTTCTCACAGTGAGTAGCCCCTGCACTGGGAGCTGAAATACATTCCCCCAGGGGAACCACAGTGGCTGTCCCAAGCCAAAGAAATATGTATGGATTAATAGAACCATTTCGAAGAGAAGAATAAAGATTTTTAAAACCACTGGCAGGCTGTTAAAACTAGACTGAGGCCTCACTGATGGAGCAAAGACGTTTCCATAGAATTCAAAGGGCAGAAAACCTTGTTCATGAATTCATCCTTAAGCATCCTTTGCATATAGAGCACACTCAAAATTTGGAACTATAAAAGTGTGGTTAGATGTGGCCATCTTCATTCAGACCTTTTAGCACATCTATTTGTGGACTAAATTAGATAGGATGGGTTTCCAAAATCAAGATCCACTTATTACTTGTCATTAATCCTTACAATTTCAGTGTATTTTTACATCAGATACAATGTTATACCTTAGAACAAACACTCAAAAGTTTCACTCTAAAGGTATACAATATCCAGCTCAGATATTCAATAAATGTTTGTCTGTTCTCCTTCAGCCCCATGATGCTATTAAGATATGACCCCAGTTCGGTTAAAGCCACTTTTTTAATAGGCTATGTTGATTCTTCATTAATTATAATTCCTTAAATGGAATCCATGCCACATCAAGTTCATAGCAAATTCCATTCTATATTGAATAAACTTATATTGAGGAACTTTTTGGAAAGGCTAAATTTGATTTCATCATTCCTGTTTCTTCTGATGGATTTCTGGACAGTGAATATACTTTTCACTTCTACTGAGAATGTTGACTTTTTTTTTTTTTTTGAGACAGAGTCTCACTCTGTCGCCCAGGCTGGAGTTCAGTGGCGCCATCTCAGCTCACTGCAAGCTCCGCCTCCCAGGTTCATGCCATTCTCCTGCCTCAGCCTCCCGAGTAGCTGGGACTACAGGCACCTGCCACCACACCTGGCTAATTTTTTTGTATTTTTAGTAGAGACAGGCTTTCACCATGTTAGCCAGGATGGGCTCGATCTCCTGACCTGGTGATCCACCGGCCTCAGCCTCCCAAAGTGCTGGGATTACAGGCGTGAGCCACCACACCCAGCCGAGAATGTTGACTTTAAAGGAGCTTCTTGTGTATAGACAATTCTCTGGAACTTTTTTCATAAGGGATTCTCTAGGCCTAGGCCATGTCACAGGAAAGTATACCTGAGGTTAGATAATCATAGCTCAGAGTCATCTGCATTTAGGATCTTTCCCAGTTAAGCCAGACCTCTATCATACTTTGCTTTGGGGACTAACAGTTACCTGTGAAAATGTCCCCTAAGATCCAATAAAAACCTACAATATATCAGAAAAAAGGATCTCATGCGGACAACGCTTAAAAAATATAACAGGCAAAGGAAATCAGGGTGATTATCTACTAAATATATCATATAGTAGAACAGGTTCCATATAAAAAATCATGGCTCATGCCTTATGCCTCAGGCATAAATTAGAAATTTGCTTTCTTTCTACCAAGTTGTTTCACTACTCAGCAATCTTTGCCTGGGTTGATACATACTGCTCTCACAGTCTCTTTGTTCTCCTCTAAAAAACAAAAGTCTTGAATAAGGATCACTTAAATTTAGTGACTCTAAGATAAGAATTACAAAAATAGTTTTAAGTATTATTTCATTATTTATACAAAACATTTATATCACAGAGTCTTAGTTGTGTTAATGAGGTAAAACTTTTAGGAGCTCCTATAAGTTTGCCTTTTTAACTAACCATCCACCTAGATACCAACTCTCAGGGTTAATGCAGTTGCCACAGGTAAAAGGCTTAGTCCCACAAGACTGACCCCACCTCAAACATCAGCCACAAATGGGGTGCTCAAGCTACCCATACTTTTTCTCAGAAGGCTACAAATTCAGGTGTTCCCATGATCCCCTCCTTAGGTTTGACAATTTGCTAGAACCACTCACAGAAATTAGAACAGTGCTTTGCATCAATCTATGTATATCAAATCATATTAAAACATTGGAAATTTATGCCTAAATTTACAGTGAATGAAATGTCTTTAATATACAGTTTTCATCTGAAATTCTATGTGGAAAATTGTTTTGTTTTACATTTGTCAGGTTTATGTTGCAACAACACTATGTAACAAACATCCCCCAAAACTCATTGTGTGGTCTTTTTTCTTTCATTCAACACTAAATATGTGTCATTTTTTCACACTAATTATCTGACACCAACTGGGTGTTCAATAATTCCCTGGAAATTCAATTTTGACACCAATTCTCAGGGTTAATGCAGACCCCACAGGTTAAAGGCTTAGTCCCACAAGACTGACCCCACTTCAAACACCAGCCACAAATGGGGTGCTCAGGCTACCCATTCTTTTTCTCAGAAGGCTACAAATTCAGGGGTTCCCATGATCCCCTCCTTAGGTTTGACAATTTGCTAGAACCACTCACAGAAATTAGAAAAGTGCTTTACTTACAATTACTCGTTTATTTTAAAATATACAGCTCAGGAGCAGCTAAATGGAAGAGATACATAGAGCAGAGTATTGGTAGGAAGTGGAGGGGGTGGGAGATGGAGAGCTTCTATGCCTTCTCTGGGCTGACCACCCTCCTGGCACATCAATGTGTTTACCAACCCAGAAGCTCTCTGAATCTCATAGTTCAAGAGTTTTCATGGAGGTGTCATTATGAAGGCATGATTGGTTAAATCATTGGCTATTGATGACTGAACTCAATTTCCAGCCCTTTCTCTTCCCCAGAGGCTGGGATGTGGGGCTGAAAGTTCTAACCTTCTAATCACATGATAGGATTTTCTGGTGACCAGCCCGCACCATGAAGCCATCTAGGGCACCCTTATCAGGTATATCATTAGCATACAAAAGATAGTAAATTCCAGGGATCTTAGGAGCTTTGTGCCAGGAATTGTCAATAAAGACCAAATATTTATTTATTACATATAACACAGTGGCTTATAAAAACAAATATTCTTTCGTCTGTCACAGATCTTTCTGCATGTGCATTTGGTCTTTGCAGAGCTTAGTGAGGATAACCTGGGCCTAGCCCAAGTTAAGGTTTAGCTGAGATATATTTGATGTATTTTCTCATTTGGGGCCCAGCAGTTACCCAGCATATGTTTCTATCATGGTGAGTTGTCTAAGCACAAGTGAGGTGAAGAGAAATGTGCAATGCCTCTTAGCACTTCGTATTAGAACTTGTATAGTAACCCTTCCACCCACATTCAACTGGCCAAAACAAATCACATGATCAAACCCAAAGATAATGGATCAAGGAAGTATCTCCACTCTGCTCACATGGCATTAGTTGGGTGAGGAAGGGGAGAAGGAAAATATTTTTTGACAAATAATACAATATACCAAAGGTCTTCAAACTTTTTCCTTAAAGGAGTCAAATAGCAAAGAGCATCACAAAAGTATGGCTATGTTCCAGATAGCCCATGGCTTATAGTTTGCTTACCCCAACAATATAACACAGTGTGCCCTATTGTCACAATTTTCACTCCTAGATGTAAATCAATGATACTCCAAGACTCATATTCAATCAGGATCAAAGTCTAGGATCTTATGACAGTATCTATATTGGACTGATTTGGCAACTCATGATCTAGAGACTTATGAATTAAAGTGGCAAGTCATCTGCTTGTATATATGGCAAGTCATACACACAAAATGAAAAGAGATACGTTAACTGCAGTAAACATCCTCATTTGGAAAAGAATTGAGGGCACAAGTCCCACTGAGAGTGGTAAATCACCCTGATTAGATCCTAGATACAACTTCTAGGAGTGACTCCCCAGTCCATTGTTCAACATGGTTCTTCGATCCACCCTTCGATCCATCCACATCTGAAAAGACCATCAGAGAATATAACTTTCTTAGAACTTAACCAGCTTCCTAAGCCTGTTTCTTGCCTGTATAAATTTGGAACCCCAATGTTCTCTTTTATTGTTCATTCTTAAATTCAGCCTGATGTACTTTTGTAATTTTTTTTTAGGCAATGAGTTTGATCCAGTCAGCCCTATATGTCAAAAGTCATACCCAGAATTCCTTTTGCAGAATCTCTCTCTCTCTCTCTCTCATTTCCAGGTCCTTTGGCTATATCTTCCTCCAGTGATATTACACCTTTCATCTCCAGTATAGGAGGCATTTTGTCCAATTATAATGATCTGCTGAGCCCCATATTAAGCCATTTAGAGTTTCTAACTGAAGATATGATAACTACATCCATATTTTGATGTTTGCTGTGGAGCCATTTCTTTAAAATTGAGTCCCTGATGTGGGATATAACCATGAAACTGAGTCTTAGAAAGCCTTTAAACTCAAAATATTTCTTTATTTTATCTTCAGCTTGTGAAGATAAAAAATATTTTTTTTTTACTTTCTAGAAGGTTTAAATTCTAGAGTTTCTGATCATTCTATATTCCCTTTCAATTTTGATTATTTTTTTCTATGTTCCTCTCTTGAGGCACCACTCCAAATGAAACTAGTAATAATCAGCTCATCCTATCAACAATTTGCATCAAAACTTCTGTACCCAATGCACAGATAAGACTCACTTTAGATCCAAAGAGAAAAATTGGTTGAAAAGATGGAGAAAAGGTATTCCATGCAAGTAGTAACCAAAAAAGAAATGGGGTGTCCATACTAATATCAGATAAAACAGATTTTATGTCAAAATTGTTACAAAATATTTAGAAGGTCATTATTTATGATGAGAATGATAGTTCATTAGGTTTCAGTTTTACCAAGTATTTCACCCCCAAATACCATGGATTGCCATTTATAGGTTATTTACAACAGTTTCCTCACTATCTCATTCCAAAGCCAATGCCCTATATTTTAGGTTGTTGTCACGGCTACATGCCATTCTTTTTAAAATTTCAACTTCTATTTTAGATTCAAAAGAAGACATATAAGCAGCCAACAAATATATAAAGATGCTCAATATCACTAATCATCAGAGAAATGCATCCCATCCTTACTACCATTTTTTGAATAAAGTTTTGCTTTAATAATGATGCCTAACAAACATTTGTAAAATTCAGTGGTTGACAATAACAAATGTGTATTTCCTGCTGATTATATAAAGTTGAGGAAGTTCATTACGGGTAGACCTGCCCTACCTGAAATACTAAAACTTTCAGGTTAAAATGCAAATAATTTAGATAGTAAGTTGAAGCTATATGAAGAAATAAAAACTCCAGGCCGGGCGCGGTAGCTCACGCCTGTAATCCCAGCACTTTCGGAGGCTGAGGCCGGTGGATCACCAGGTCAGGAGATCGAGACCATCCTGGCTAACACGGTGAAACCCCGTCTCTACCAAAAATACAAAAAATTAGCCGGGCGTGGTGGCGGGCGTCTGTAGTCCCAGGTATTCGGGAGGCTGAGGCAGGAGAATGGTGTGAACCCGGGAGGCGGAGCTTGCAGTGAGCCGAAATCGCGCCACTGCACTCCAGCCTGGGCGACTATTGTATTTTTGGTTGGTAACTCTTTTTTTGTTTGTTTCGTGCATAATTTAAAGGACATACTCATAAAACAATAGTTATATATTAGTGTTAATGGGCATATAGGTATAAAGGTACAATTATGATAATAAATACATAGAGGGTGGGGAAAAATGGAGCTATATAGAAGCAAAGTTTTTATAGAGCTATTTAGTTTTATAGAGCTATATAGAAGCAAAGTTGGTATCAATTCAGACTAGATTGTTATAAATTTAGGATGCTAACTTTAATCCCCATGCTAACCACTAAAAAATAACTAAGAAGTATATAGAAAAGGAAATGAGAAGGGAATAAAAATGATACACTGAGTAACTAAACACAAAACCAGGCAGTATTGGTATAACTGAAGAACAAAAAAAAATGAAAAACATATAAAAACAAGTAGCAAAA
Organism: Homo sapiens; assembly: GCF_000001405.40. Taxonomy (NCBI): domain Eukaryota; kingdom Metazoa; phylum Chordata; class Mammalia; order Primates; family Hominidae; genus Homo; species Homo sapiens. The sequence goes on along the minus strand of NC_000009.12, from coordinate 82,460,888 downwards.
TGCCAGAAGTAAGTATTTCCTTACCAGTAATCACTTTAAACATAAATGGATTAAACCCACCAGTTAAAAGACAGAGGCTGGCAGAATAAATTTAATAAATAATTCAAATATATGTTGTCTACAAGAGACTCACTTTAGATCCAAAGACAAAGTAGAGTAAATTTTAAAGGATGAAAAAAAATATTCCATGCAAGTAGTAATGAAAAGAGTGCTGGGGTGCCTATATTATCAGACAAAACCAATTTCGAATAAAAATGGTTAGAGAAGATTTAGAAAATCATTATTTATTTGGTAAAAATATCAACACATGAAGAATACATAAAACTTATAAACATGTACCAAAAATACAGTCCCAAAATATATGAAGCAAACATTGGCAGAATGCAAACCAAAGCCACATGCAATACTACTTTGCATCTACTAGGAGAGCTGTAATTTTTTTAAAAAAGGAAAATAACATGTGTTGGCAGGCATGTGGAGAAACTGCAACCCTATTAGATTGCTGACGGGAATATACAATGGTTCAGCTTCTGTGGGAAATAGTTTGGGGCTTCCTCAAAAACTTAAACATAAAATTGCAATATAACCAGCATTTCCACTTTTAAGCATATGACCAAAAGAATTAAAAACATAGACACAAATACTTGCACATGAAAGCTCGTAGCAGCATAATTCATAATATTCAAAAGGTGAAAATAACTCAAATGTTCATCAATGAGTGAATGAATAAGCAAATTATAGTATATACATACAATGGAATATTATTCAGCCATAAGAAAGAATAGAATATTTCTGGCACTTTTAGTCTCAGCTACTCAAGAGGCTGAGGCTGGAGGATCACTTGAGCCTAGGAGTTCGAGGGTATAGTGTGCTATGATCATGCCTGTAAGTAGCCACTGCACTCCAGCCTGGGCAACATAATGAGACTTCATCGCTAAAAAAATTTTAAAAAAATCAATAACGTCAAAAATTAGCCTAAAAATACAAAAATTAGCCAGGTTGGGTGGCATGCACTTGTAATCCCAACCACTTGGGAGGCTGAGACAGAAGAATCGCTTCAACCCAGGAGGCGGAAGTTGCAGTGAACCGAGATCATGCCATTGCACTCCAGCCTGGGCAGCAAGAGCAAGACTCTGTCTCAAAAAAAAAAAGACAAACTACCAATACATATAACGCGAATGGATCTCAAAAATATTTTGTTTTGTGAAAGAAGCCAGATTCAAAAGACTACAAACGGTATGATTCCATTTATATAAAATTCTAGAAAAGGCAAAACTATGGTAACAGAAAACATTTCATAAGTTATTAGATGCAAATATCATGGGAGTAAATTGACTGAAAAGGGGAATAAGGTCACTTCTTGGGATAATAAAACTGTTCCATATCTTGATGTTAGTGGTGCTACATGACTGTATATGTTTGTCAAAATTCACTGAAATTGAAATATCTAAAATTAGTGAATGTACAGTATGTAAAATATACCTTAAGAAAATTAATTTTTAAAAGAAGGAAAAAAACCTCTTTTTGCTAAACTTACATAGTGGTTTTTTTTTTAAATGCCCAACTTAAATCTTTATTTAGATGTGATATAGTAAAGTTCTTCCAATGATGGCCATAGAGATTTTCTAGAGTTGAGAGAAATCTTTTACCCTTTTGACTCAGGTGCTAAAGGGGACTATTAAGACGAATATGCCTTCTGTGCCAATGGAAGATTGAACCACACAATATATTCAACCATATGTTCTCATCTCAGCCTGACCATCTGCTGGCTGCACAATTAAATATATCATCTAGTTCACTGATTCCCATTTGAAGAAAAACTATGGGGTAAAAAAGACATATCCTATAAAATACTTAGTTAGCTAATAGCTATGTTGAAAGAGTCTAAGTACACTATCTTCCAAGAATAAACCGTGCACCCTGGGGGAAATAAATTCATTCAAGGTATCAATGTAACTCTGAGTTTGGAGGAAAAATGCTTTTATATCTACAAAAAAGAAATGGAACAGGAGTTGTGTCTCAAAAACTTGACCCAAGACAATCAAGAGGGCAAATCTATTTGTCTGATGTCTCTAGATTGCCCTTGAGGAGAAATTAGAGAAAAATTAGAGTTACAGCTATCTTCCCATTGCCACTTTGATGTCTACATTTCTGTCCTTTTGAGAATTTTTGTTGTTAAGGTAAATAATCTATATATATGTACTTCTAACAATGATGTAAAACTCCATTTTTACACTTTCTTGGTATGAACCATGATTTTCCCTGAGCACTTGTAGAAAAAAATCTTGGTCTTATTTCCCTATTTCTCCAAAGGCAGAATTAGATAGTTTGTTTTGCTTAAAACAGCTGGAAAATAACTGCTATCTGTTTGCCAGCCTACTAAAGATGTGTTAGCCCTGTTGCTAAATCCCCAAAGTTCATATCTATGAGAGTGTGTTAGTTCTTAACTAAAATGACATCTACAAAGAGACACATTATAATTCAGTCTCTTCATTCATTCCAAAAACATTATCATCAGGGTAAAGGTTCTGACGTTTGCAAAGTTAAATATACGACTGCTTCTTGAGAGATGGTCCTAATTTCAATCTTTTGCATATTTCATCTCAGCTGCTTCTCAGGATCCACTTCTTTCCCCTGCCAGTGGCAAATGGTGCCCTTCAGACGTTATCCTTTTCCCAATCCAGCACTTAGGACGTTGCAGCCACTCAGAAAAGCAGCCTGTCAAAGACTAAATCAGAAAGGATGGACCCTGCTGTTTTCTTCACTTCAGAGAGAGAATCCCCTGGGGTGACTTTAAGACACAATGTTCACCTGTCATTTCTAGCTCATCTGCAGAATCCACTTGTGGTGCTTTTCACATTCTCAGGTAGTCACATTTCTTTTCTTGTGCCTTTCGTTTATGAAAAATGAAACACCCCACAGAAGGTGAACCCAGAACTCTTTATAAAACGAAATTCAGCGAGGTGCAGCTAGCAAATGAATAATCTGCTTGCACTGCACTGCTTTCAAGCAGGCTTAAAATAAAGCAGTTTATAAGGCCCAAATAGAATTACAGTATAACAGACTCAAAATCCGTCTCTAAGCCCAGTGTTCAACCTAAGAGGGAAAATTCCAGAAGGGCTGCATGTTGAGCTGGCTCAAGGTCCGTGAAATGCTCAAGAAAGAGATCATTTTCAGTACCTCCTTCCACAACCTCTCACTACTTGTTAGGTGCTTTAGCTTATGATCATGCAGGGGACCTCAGAACTGAGAATTCTTGCTAGGCACAAGGTTTAAGAAGGGAATATCTTAGTCTAAGTTTGAATATTTAAATTATTTTCCAGAAGTGCACTCAAATCGGCCTACTGCAACTGAACATAATTCTTTAAGCTCATGATTGCCTAACCTGCTAAGTGCACACTCTAGCCCTCAGAGTTCCTTCCAGATGAGCTAAGTGCTTTCCACATGCAAATTTCATGATTAGAGATAGGCTTTTAATGGAACAATTCTGTAGCTCTATGATGTATAAAAACACTGGAGAAGAGGGGACCACCTTCTTACAACCTGGGACCGTTGAAAGGTTGCCAACCTCTTTAGCAGAGAAAAGTCTAAAATGCCAAAAAAAAAAAAAAAAAAAAAAAATCACAGCTACTAGTGGTCACCTGCTTGATTGAACCAAACACTCACTCCCTTTTTGTTCCGAAGTCCCCCTCCCAGACTAGGTCTGTTCAACTTAGGCCCTCCTAATTAGATGTCCTGCTTTTCAGAGCTCTCCACTCCATCCACTCTGCATGCCATTGAAAGATAAGTCTTTAATCCAGTGCCTAATTTCTCATTGCTTTGTCATGTGAGGTTTGCTTTCCTGACACATTCAGAATATCTTGAAGACTGACCAGGATCATGATTTAGACACTTTTTCCCCAAGCTCTTCAAGTTATCCAGTATAGTGCTTATGAATAGAGCATGGAATATGTAAATGATAGAGGCCCAAGGGAAGCAGGAAGCTTCAAGATGAGGCCTTTGGTCTTCACAGAGAGCAGAGGAGATGTCTTAGTGAAAAAGAAAACAGCCAAAAGGAAAGTGAGTCATCTGCTAAGAACCATTCATCCACTCATCCACCAAAGACTTAATGAGCATGTGTCGTGAGGCAGAGTCACCCAATACCAAATAGATTATATTCTCATTCTAAGAACAGTAAGAATTCCTAGCATTTGAAGGTATTCATAAGACACCTTCCCTTTGCTCTTTTTATGTTACATGGATTCTCAAGAATAAAACTAGTGATCACGGGAGAAATGCAGTTACAGTTTGATGTAAATGAACCAGAAAGTGCTTGCTCTGAGCAGTTGCTCACAGAGAGAGGAAGCATCTTATTAACTTTGCTGATGGCCCTTTCCAACATTGTCCAGGGTGTGACACATGAGCCGATAAAGTGGATAAAAGCAGAGTGATGGCTCAAGAAGTGAGTTTAGACCAGGCCTGGGATGAGCACCAGGCCCACACATGTTCTCATTAGTGGTCTCAAAATTTCACCAGCTCCCTGATATGAAGAATGCCTAGTTCATACAAATCACATTGTGTATATTCTGAATTTCAAGACAAACATTTGCATCTAACTTTCCTGTTGGCAAAGTAGACCAAGATCATTTTACAAATGTGGGCTTCATTCTCCAGGTGGTCTTTTGCTACTCTTCTAAATTTCCAAATTTAAAAAATGCACATATTGTTAAGGTGAAACACTTGCATTGAGTGGACACAACTACTGTTAACTTTTTTTTTTTTTGAGATGGAGTTTCACTCTTGTTGCCCAGGCTGAGGTGCAATGACATGATCTCGGCTCACTGCAACCTCTGCCTCCCGGGTTCAAGCAAGTCTCCTGCCTCAGCCTCCTAAGTAGCTGGGATTACAGGCATGTACCACCACGCCTGGCCAATTTTGTATTTTTAGTAGAGACAGGGTTTCTCCATGTTGGTCAGGCTGACCTCAAACTCCCCACCTCAGGTGATCCGCCTCAGCCTCCCAAAGTGCTGGGATTACAGGCGTGAACCACCGCGCCCGGCCTTTGTTACTATTTTAATGCCCTGATTGCTATGAGGAAAAAAGGACTTAAAAAATTAGGACAGAGATCTATTTCAATCCACTATACCATCACCCACTCACTCATGCTATGGATGCCCAGTAAATAATTGATTAATTAAAGTGTCAGGTCTGTTGCTTAATTAAATCAACAAGTTATTGAACAGGAATATTCAATTATGTACCCCAGGTAAACAAAGCTTCAGGTAACACTCCAAGACTCCTTCCACCCTGGAGCAGTGAGCAGGACTTGCAGCTAAGTCTCTAGCAAGCTTAATGTTTTCTGCTCTTTACCCTGGACTTCAGTCAAATCATCAGTTGTCCTTGTGCAGAAAGCACTATGATCACCAATATGATTAATAGGTCCTTTATTCTGTGGCAGGGCTTCCTAATGCCAGCTTTCAATGAGCTTTGTAAATGTCTTTTTTATGCCCTTCATTGAACATGTGCCTATGAAGTTTGAGTAAACAATGTGCATTTGAAGATGTAGACCATATTGGCAAATACATTCCTCCCACTTTTGAACTAGTATTCCTGTGACAAGGCAAAATTACAATGTTCCCTGACTCTTCACTGCCAGTTAAATTTTTGAGTTCATGACACCTTAGTGATTAGACGACACATTTATTTCACTTTAGCACCTGAACAATGATAGCACAGCACGGAAAGGACTTAAGGGATTTTCCAAAAGAAAAAAAAAGCTGTTGTCTTCTGTACTTCATGTTCTCTGCAATTGATTGTGAGTAAAAGGACAGGCAGTGCTTTGCAGCTTGCTGTACACATCTGTAAACAGGAGACAGATAAGTCTTTCAAAGTGGTCCGCAGTACATGAATGTTGCTCCAGTTTATGAATGACTGAGCCTCTCTCTCTGAGCTGAGAAAGTAGGCATAGGATATTGTATGTGAAGCTCTCTCTTTTGGATCACTCTGTCAAGAAAAAAAAAAAGCTAATCTGGAACAAATCACAAACTGTCCCTGTAAATCAACGCTTGGATGAGCCCTTTGGAAGTGTGGAACAAGATAAGAAGTAAGAACAACATTCACTCTGGTGAATACCATTGTGATCCACTCTGCAGATTTCAGGTTGAACTGCTAGTTTGTTTGCTACAGAGACATTTTACCAGAGTAGCAAAGTCCAGGCACAGGCATGTGGGAAACCAGGTACTGTTCTGACCTTTTGAAAGTCCTCCAGGGACTCCAATCTAGACTTGTTTTCTACTTAGTAAGCTCATAGCATTAGACCAACATCCTATGGGCCTTAGAAAAAGAAAAGCTAATTTATTGGTTATTTTTGTCTGTCCATTGACTTATTGCTTAAACATTATATTTTTCTTACAGAAATATTAAGGATGGCATCATATTACAATAAAACAAACCATTTATTAAAATATTTTTCTTAAAATTATATATCTATATACACATTTGTATATAAACAGACAGTGTGTATATATGCATGTGTACATACGTTCATATGTATATATATGTATGTATGTAGGTTTATACCCACACACACTTTTTAAATACATTTTTCACACAGAAAAATTCACAGCTATGTACATCTGATCTCCTTTTGACCTAGTTCATTGTAAAATACCATAAACCTGGCAGATGAGGGTGACTAATTTTCACCTGTGGTGAGACTAATGCGTTTACACTTTAATATAGCCATTTGTATTTTTTAAAACCAAATAAACTAAAATGAATGATCCTGCTCTCTGATCAAGAATATTGGCTGCATAAACCAAAAATACAGAAAGACACAAAAAAAATACAGATGCAATATTCTCAAAATATAAAAAGTGACAAGTTATTTAAATAATTGTCTCATATATTCAGAGTTTGGGAACTGTATTTGTTTGGTTATTTACAGAGTACTGATTCATATGCTTTTTCCATGTTAAAAAAAAATGCATTGATTCCTAGCCACCAAGTCCCTGACTTATTTTAGTAGATCTTCCTTCTGCAAAATGGTCCCTTGGTGATTCTGAGGATGAACACTAATATCAAGAGATAAGAGATTGAAATTTTACCATATGTTAGAACATGTGTACAGTGGAGCTTTTCTTGGATTGAATGCTGTCAACATGGGGATTCTTCAGCTTCAATGTGTCATTTCATCCACACCTTAAGCCCTCAGCAATGCTTTCTGTCCTTTGTTTTCATTTTATGAGAGGGGCCCTTCTCACGCAGATGTTTCTAAAACAAATTATATACCAAGATTCAAATAACTCATCACAATCGAGGTTCACTGCATTTCAATGATTCTCTAATATTTGCCACACTTTTAACTTTGTTTTTAGCAAAGTAATATGTGTTCATGATTTACATAATCAAATACTACTACAAGGTATTTTAAAAAGTTTTCCCTGACCTACCCATTCTCACCCTTGATTCTCGTTTTCCAAAGGCAAACATTTTCGGCATTTTCTTCTGAAATTTACCTCCATATTTTTAAATAACATTCTTACTGCCCTTTTCTTGATGTTTTTCTATTATAAAAAAACAGAAAAAAAATCTGTTTTTATGGCATACATTATCTTTCAATTTGTGGCATACATTATCTTTCAATTTGTGGAACAAATATGTGGAAGTAGGATCTCAGCTTCCTTACAAATCCACCCCAAAAAGACATACTCACACACCACTTTTTTTATTGTAAAACTATGTCACAATTTTTAGTTAAACTAATATTCATAGCGCCTTTCTTGTTCAACTTTTTGTTTTCTGTGGAGTAAATAATTGTTGTTTTTTGTTGTTGTTTTCCATATATCTATAATTAATATATCCCCAAGAGTTAAAGCTTTTTTTAATAGCCAATACAGAGATGGAAAATTTTTTCTATAGAGGACTGGAGAGTAAATAGGTTAGGCTTTGTGAGCCACATGGTCTCCGTTGCAACTATTCTACTCTACCATTGTAGCAGTGTAAATTACTGGGCAAGGCTGTGGTCCAATAAACCTTTATTTACAAAAATAAGAGGGATTGGGGGCTGGATTTGGCCTGAGCCTCAGTTTGCTGACCCCTGGTCTTGTATCAGGTGATCTATCGGTTTTTTTGTTTTCTTGAAAATATTCCTCCCATACATTTTGATTCTCTTGCTTTAATCTGGACTTGAGATTGTGTACAACTGCTGCAAAGCCATTACCTGACATTTCCCCATACCTCTCTCCTAGGTTGAATCCTTTCTTTCCTCACTCTCATGTCTTTCTTGCTTTCCATCATCCTTTCAATAGCTTACCAAGAAAAAGTGAATTGAAGGTCAATTGTTTGAGACCATGCAGGTACCTCAAATGACTTTATTTTATCCACATATATTTTTGATACTTTTACTGGGTATAGAATTCTAGGTTAGAAAGAATTTTCCCCTCAGAATTTTGAACCATATCTTTATTTCTTTGAGCTTCTAAATCTAATTGAGAAATATGATTTTATTCCAAGTCTTGATCTTTCCTATGTGACTTATTTATTCTTACTGGCAGCCTTCAGGATTTTTCTCTTTTTCTCCAGTGTCTGGAAATTTTATGATGATGCATATTGTTGTTGTTCTTATTTCTACCAATGTATTGGAGAATCAATAGATTCTTTCAATATCAAAATGTATGGCTATCATTTCTGGGGCATTTTTTTGGAATAATTTTTTGGCTAATTGTCTCCAATATGATCTTCTTTTCTGGAATTCCTACTACTCAAGACCTCTATAATTCATCCTATCTTTTTACTCCCTTTTCCCATCTCTGAGCATATTGGTTCTATTTTTGAGGATAGTGTTTTTTTTAACTTTATCTTCTAACTTCCAACCAGCATGGAAGTTACAATAAAACATGAATAGATGAAAATATACAAAGAATCACAATTAGAGGATGTAAACGTTTTTTGATGGCAAAGTGTTTGGAAACTTACAAAGCCAGTTTACACAAAGCACACAAGAATGGAATATTGGTATGGAAGGACGTAGGCATCTCAGGAACCTTCCCAGAACCTTCTCACAGGGGAGTACAGCCTTGGATGACAAGTATTACACAACAGAGATTCTGAGTAAACATATCCCTAGTATTTATAGATGAAATAGCTATAGAATTGTTTGATTAAAATTTTCTTCTTCACCTGACATTTCTTCTAAGTTCCTTTGTTCTATTCATTTGTTTTGATCTCTCTTCTATTGTAGACCCTTTCTTCAAATGTTTGGTATTTACTGGATACTGTTCATATTTATGAATGGTGCACTAAAAAGCTGACAAGACAAACATTAGTTTGATTATTAATTATATAATGCATGTCCTAGCTGTGCAAGCCTAGACACAATGTAAGCTTCAGTGAGTTATACTTTGCTCATCTATACCTGAGGATACTAAGTCTTCCCTGTATGGTAGTTTTGAATATCTAATGAGATCAAATACGATATGATAAGGGCCTGTCAAAAGCCATGCCCTTACAATTTATAATGGGATCTTTAAATTGACAATTTCTTCTCCTCCTGCTTATTAGCATACGAAAGAGAAGTTATTTATTTTGAGTCAGTACAATGTATCAGACAGACATTATAGGTTTAAGAATCAGACAAACTGGAAGATGCTTTCAAGCAAGTTTATTATTTCATTCATCTATTCATTAAAAAATATTGAAAACCATCTCTGCCTCTTACTAGCTGAGTGAGCTTAGGTAAATTACTAATGTTCTTCAGCTTTAGTTTACTCATCTATAAAATTAAAATAATAGTACCTAAATAGTAAGGTGGTTGTGAAAATGGAATAAAACACACAGCCTGCAGCACATTATCGGTGGTAGGTATATTATGCTAGATGATTATTTTAATAAATGAATTAGTGAGTAGCCACTTAGCATGGGTTTTTTAAAGCTTGGTTTTCTTGCAATATGGATTAGAATAATGATATTAAAATATTCACAGGCCATGCGCAGTGGCTGATGCCTGTAATCCCAGCACTTTGGGAGGCTGAGGCAGGCAGATCACGAGGTCAAGAGATCGAGACCATCCTGGCCAACATGGTGAAACCCCATTTCTACTAAAAATAAAAAATTAGCTGGGCATGGTGGTGCATGCCTGTAGTCTCAGTTACTTGGGAGGCTGAGGTGGGAGAATTGCTTGAACCTGGGAGGCAGAGGTTGCAGTGAGCCGGCCGGGATTGCACCACTGCACTCTAGCCTGGCGACAGAGAGAAACTCCATCTCAAAAAAAAAAAAAAAATTCATAAACACACTTTGCTCTTAATTTGCTTGTACTGAAGACAAAATATACTGTCTATTCAATCGATTTGCCCAACATTATGTAGCTACCAAAACTAGTACTTTGTGGACTTTTCAAGTTCATGTCTTCTATGATTGTAGGAGCTTTAAATGCATCAATCCTTGGGTCACAGCAACCAAAGAAAGAAGTGATAGGTGCAGTATTTGCAAAAGCAGTATGCCAGGAAAAAGGAGCCTCAATAGCTTGCATTCTGCATATGGAAGCTAGCTTATTTAGCAAGGGTATTTCCCTGTTTTAGCTGTTTCCTCATGATGTCATTTACCATTGAAAAAAATTGACATCTGAAGTCTCTGACCTATTTTAAGGCTGTCTTATCTCAAGAGGCATCTCTTCAGTGACTCTAAGAATAAGGCTGAGAGATGGGCATTGAAGTTCTGCCATATGGTGCAACATATGTACAGTTGGTATACATGTCTTGAAAGGATAGCAACATAAGATACACTTTATATACAGTGTATCATCACACATAAACCTTTCAAAAGAAGTCCAGAATATGTGTGTGCATGCATATAATTATAGGAATACATATGCATAAATGTGCATATATATGCATATATAGACACTCAGATATGTTAGTATACAACCAAGAATTGTTTCCATGAAAGCTTAAAATATTGGGAGATGACTGCCTTGGCAACTCTACAAATCTAATTTTGAATTAATTCGTTTATGTATGCAAAAAATATTTATTAAGTATCTATGATATGCCACATTGGACACAGTATTGAACTGCATCACAGGCATTGCAAAGGAAATGATGTTTTGTAACAAAGAGAATGTGTTACCTTTTGTAGAAGATTTTTAGGAAGAAATGGCAAACAATATTTTCCAAGTTCTAAGTAAGAGTCTGCCTTGACAAATATTAGTCCCATGGTTAAGGATTGTTAATGGAAAATAAGCATTTCTTTGTATTTACAAATTTTTATCTACCTATGGAAAGAATGAAAAAACTCTTACTACAGTCATGTGCCATACAATGACATTTCAGTTAACAATGGGCTGCATATACAATGGTGATCCTATAGGATTATGATACTGTATTTTACTGTACCTTTTCTATGTTTAGATATGTTTAGATACACAAATAGTTAACCATTGTGTTACAACTGCCCACAGTGTTCAGTACAGTAATATGCTGTACAGGTTTGTAGCCTAGAGACAATAGAATACATAGCCTAGGTGTATAGCATCATCTAGGTTTGTTTAAGTACACTCTATGATGTTTGTACAATAATGAAATCACCTAACAACATGGTTCTTATAAGATATTCTTGTCTTTAGTGATGCATGACTATAATTTAGTTACTACTTCAAGCCACACCTTTGCAAGTACTCTTTGTGCTCAATTAAACAATAATTAAAGAATCACACACACACACACACACACACACACACACACACACACACAATAATATTAAAAGATGATGAAGCTGAAAAAGAAGTGCTGCTCTGCTCTCAGAACTGACAAGATCTGCAAAATCAACCTCAACACCCCCAGAACCTGTTTGGTCTGTCTCGGAGGTAACAGGGACTTGCAACCAACAACTTAGCTGTTTGTCTTCCTCTCACTCATTCTTCCCTTTCATCTACCTTGCAATTCTTTCACCTGTTGCTGCCCTTCCCCACCTACTTCTTTTCTTCTGGTCTTTTTTCCCACTTGGTAATGTCTCTGTTTTATTATAATAAATACCCATTTCTGTCTAGCACCTGAAAAAAATCTTCAGATAAAAGCACTCTACAATAAAATAAATAAATGCAAGAAATCTTAGAGAATGGTGGCAGGAGGAAGATGATAATATGAAGGCAACACATTCAGAATTTGAAAAAGAGCCACCTAATCCAAATGCTCAGAAATCCATGTCACCCTAATCATCATGTCTACTGAATGTACTGTGACTATACCCAGGTCATTTGATAGAGGGCACCTGTAAAACTCTCAAAGAGAGAGTCTAAGTTTCCTTGGTGAGATGCATTCTTCCACTTACAGACACAGAAATACACAGATGTATAACAGAATAGAAAATAATAGCACATTTTCATTCAAAAATAACAGTAGTCAACTAGAAAGACAAAAAAGTAGTATACATTACATATTTTAAATAAAAATAATTTTAATATAGCAATATATTCTAATATAGTGATATCAAAGACAAACTTTCAAGTCTATCAGATTTTCAAAAAACAAAGTTAAGTCAAATTACTTTTCAAGTGATGTTAAGTCTATTTTTGCTTCTCATTGACCACAACAAGATATTTGTGATTAAATTATTACTTGTCATTCACAGTGCAAACAAGGCACTGGGTACTTTGTTTCTCACAATTTGTTTGTATAGGGCAAGTACTTAATATACATTAATCAATCTTCTCCTATCATTAAGCCATGCAAGTCGGGTCTTAAGTTTCTTCAAGACCACCTGGTCTTCAGTTCTTCAGTTAGAATTGCTATTGTCAAGGATTAACATCTTAATTAACTTAAAGGTCATAAACACAACAAATGGGACCACTTCCACATTGTTCCTTGAGTCCAAAACCACAGTAGAATTTCCAAATGAAAGAATTTTGCCAAAATGTCTTTCAAATCACTGCAACTGGTAGCTTTGATTTTATTGAGCATCAGTGTTTATCAAAGGAGCTGTCATTAAGATTTTTCTCAAGCACATTTGACATCTCCCCAGGCTGGACAATAAGAGATAAGAGCAGCAGAGGCAGAATAATAGCTCCATTTATGGAGCAAAATTATGTGCCTGGCAATGTGTTCTATGGACTGTAAAGAAGATCCACTGTGCACTGGTTACCACCTTGCCTTGAGTGATATGAGACAAAACACCCACAGACACAACAAATTACATGAAATGGATTACTTAGAGTAAGCAGCAGGAGACAACGGAAACCTAGAGGCTCATGAAAAAACAGTCCTCCAAGGCTCAGAAAAGTTGCCTGAGGTGAATGAAGTCTCATCTGTGCATTCGCCACTTGTACCACAGCTGAAAGACTCTGGAAAGTAGCCCACATGGGTTTTATACTCTGTGACACTGTGAATTGCTGAGCTAAAGCACTGACGGACGTCTTGTCTCTCAGGGGTACAGGAACAGAGCTGACTGTTAAGGTCAGTTCTTCCCTGTCTCACAGTGTTGCATTCCCAGAACATTACACAGTTATTCTTGAGAAATACAAGGGAGAAAGTGGGGAGAACTCGGTTAGTCTAAGATCACCTAGAGAACTTCCCTGAATGAACATGATCTGATTTTACTTTAATGGTGACCAGTAAGGGAGATGATATTATCACTATTTTACTAATGAGAAAATAACCCCATGGAACTAAAGAAATTTTTCTAAACCATACAAATAGTAAGTGGAAAAGCTGGGATCTGAACCCAGCTTTATATCAATGTTGTTAGACAAAAGGATATATAGTTTTTTCCCATCGAAAGGATATATAGTTTTTGTTCTTGCTGCCTTTTTCACTTCTGTGATTAGACAAATCATTCTCCCAGCAAAACCAGTTCAAAGCCTTGGATTTTCTTTTTATTCTTTCCTTCCTCCTCACCACAAAGAATTTGTTGCCAAATTTTTGTCAATTCTACCTTTAAATATTCAGTACAGCTGTCTCTCCTCTTCCATTTTTACCACCACTGCCCTGTAGAGATCCTCCTTTCTCTTGGCTAGACCCTTCCAATACTGTTTTAACCCTTGTTTCCCCTTTCAGCAGTCAATTCCTCCTTTAATCCATTGCAGGGTTTCTCAGCCTTGGCACTACTGATACTTGGAGCCAGATAATTCTTTGTTATTGGATGCACAATGGGACATGTAGCAGTGGAAAAGTCCACTTCCTCCCCCTACTGAGATGTAACAACCACATCTCAGATTATCTACTTCCTCTCCCTACTGATATGTGACAACCAAAAGTGACTTCAGATCTTGCCAAACATCCCTGGGCAGAGGGCAAGCAAGACTAACCTCTAGTTGAGAACCACCGATACATACTAGTCACCATCAACAGTTAAGCATCCAAATGCATAGCTAACTTTGATAGGGTAACTCCCTGGCTCAACATATTTCAGGACAAAGTTCCAGATTTATTTTATCTACATCATCTCTTCTGTGTGCATTCCTTGCTCCTGCAAATTTATCCCAATTGTTGTTACCTAGATACATCCTGTCTTCATGCCCTTCGTGCCTACTCTATTTCTTCTATCTGAATGCACACTTTGGTAAGTTTCTCCTTCTGAAATTCCATCCATCCACTGAAGTCTATCCCAAAAGCTGCCCCTTCTAGAGCCTTCTGTGATACAGCTTACAGAAATTATGTCTTTTTTTCCTATGGTGTCTCCATTTAGGGTTTGTCTCTAAGATTACTGACCTACTGTCAATCATCTTCTAATTACAGCTACCTGCATCCATTTTCTTTCCTACTACACTCTTAGCCACACCTCAGTTATAATTTATAACCCTAACAATACCTGGCATCTCTTAAGAATACAGTAAATGTTTGTGAATTAAGTGGTCTTAAAAAAACTCTGAATGCCTACCCTGAGAGTATACATTCAATGTCAGGGAAATTCCTTTAGCTCTGCCTACACGGCAGAGAGAAATGTAGTAAAGAACTTCCAGTGAATACAATGTCTGGCTGCAGGAGTTCCTAGACTAAGTACTAGGTAAACTGGATGTATGCCCCAAAACTTGTCAGTGGGATTCACCAAGCTGCATGAGAAACACAAATAGTTACCATGTCAGGGCTGGAAGTTACAAAGTGGCTGAGTCACGGTTAGGGTGCTAGCAGGATGGGTGGCAAAAAGCAGGGGTGAGCCACGAGCAAGGCAGATCCAGAGAGTTGCCTGTCATACAAGAAGGTGAGACATGGGCTCTGTTGGCAGAGGCTGGTTGTTGGCCAAGATATTCGTTTCGTATAGGCACCGTTCTGTCTCACCAAGCCAAGGGTGTGGGCTAATGGAAATTTATCTGGTTTGACATGAATCCCAGTGGCTAAAATCTCATAAGAATCCACCCCCCAAAAATGATGGAACTTATATGCAGTCTTTTAAAAAATCTCTTCCAGGCCTATGGTGAAGGGGAGAGAGGGACTCTAAAAATTCTTTAAGGTCCTAAACAGTTGGCCAGGTGCTAATATCAAGGCTGTTATACATAGCTGGCACACAAGGTATATGCTATGAATCAGATGGGCTTATGCTGTAGAATACCATGTAAATGACAACTGGTAAGCACGTGAATCCATTGCCTTTTTTGAGTTTAAATAGAAAAGTGACATTTCACAATGTGCTGCACAAGTTCACCAGATTGGCTGTAACCAACCTAAAACACATCCAGTATTTCATCCCAGAAAGTCTTTATAAGCAGTAGCACACATTTAATATACTTCCCATCAAATGTCTACCTTGAATGTGATTGTTGGTTCAACATGCCCTATACCAGCCTGACAGGGAATTGTGAGGTTTTGTGCTTTCTAGCCTCCTCCTAGGACTGGTACTGTAGCCATCCCAATCCCTCTTCACATTGATTATGGTTTTCAGTGGTTGTAAGATTGAAATCTCCCTTACAGGTAGCAAGGGAGAAGAGGAAAAGTAGGTCTAGTTCATGATTCTTGCATTTCAAATTGTATTTTGAATAAATGTAATGCAAACCAATAACTGCAGAACAGAATATTGTTTCTGCGAGCCAAACTTCTAAGAAGAGAATATTGCTTATCGTCATTCTTGTCACACACTGCTCGTCCTCGGCCCCACTTCTTTTCCATAACCCATGTTCATTTGTTACAGTTGCATTTTCTTTAAAGCACATTTTCTTATCCATATTGTATGTTACTCGAGCTCTTTTATTTGGGATTTTTCACACATCCTTCACATCTTCTTTGCAGCTCCAGTCAATAAGCACTAAGACCTAAATGCGCCTTTGCACTTCATGGCTATTCCCTTATCATATGCATTTTCTGTTGCCTTAAGGAAGACCTGTACAATTTTTGTTATTGAAATCTGAATTTTTTTCCCTCCCAAGCAGATGGAGGATGTGTAAATGTGTCTAAAGACTTAGAATAGCATTAAATCTGTTTTTTCCCCTTCCTGCAAAGCCCTGGGAGTCAGAGTATTTCTCAGGCACCCATTAAAACCAAGAAGTGAGAAAAACAGCAATAATTCCCAAACCCAGAGAAAACTGCAAGAGCATGTTACCAAGCTTCCCTTGCCACACAGACCTTTGTTTGGCTGGGTGCATCAATCTCCCCCTCTTTGGCAAGACGGTATGATTGCCAAATCATCCATGAATGGAATTACATTATTCCATTATATATTGATTGAAAGATGTAAAGCTTTTATTGTTGCTATTTGTCAAGGCTCCTTGCCAAGAGATGTGTGGGAAAAAATGCTGCACAGGGAGCCTCAACTTACCCATCTACTACACTCACAATCTCCTTCCTAAATTGACTTAATGGATATTAAAATGTACTTCCCAGACAAATAAGGCTATCTTGTGTGGTTAGGTTCTCCAGCTAGCACATAAACACCCAACTAACCCTTAAAAGGACACTTACCCACATTTATATTATACTTCTGATACACCAAGCTAGTCTATGTCCACATGATACACCCATACGCACACAATTCAAACACATCCCTCACTATTTTATACTTCCAAGGTTTAGGTCATCCTATTCTCATTGTGAACATCCTTCCCTTCTCTCTCCTTGTGACTAACTCTTGTACAACCTTTCTGAATGAGCTAATATTAGCATTATCTCTTAGGGAGTTTCTCTGATTCCTTCCAAGCCCACCCACCTTCCAGCTGAGTTATGTAGGGTCTCTGGGTTCCCATAATAATCTAGGCATCCACTGTGTCACACCATAGTGCTTACAACATTGGATTAAAGTATTCTTATTAACCTTCCCTTTCCTCTACTAGTCTTAAGTTCCCTGAGGGCTTGGTCAACATCATGCCTAATAAATAATAGATCAGTAATTTTTCTTAAATAGTTACATAACTGGCAGTCATACAAGTTCTGTCTTCAGGAGTTCCCATGAAATACACTATCTCCCTCCCTTCTTGCTCAACACAACAGGGAGATTGCTTAGAACTTTTTTGCTCCTGGAAGAGTCTCTGTTATTATCAGCAAAGAAGCACTGAAGCTGTCCAGATGCTTTGGAAAATCCAATGTCATGTGACATGGAAGGCAAAGAGGGGATCTTAAGGAAAATATAAAGGCAGCAGAAGTACATGTTCTGGCAAGAGCAGCAGTTATCTTAGGTATCCTAAAGTGGATACAAGAGTCTCTGCAGAGACAACTCAGGAAACACTGGTGATATGGTTTGGCTGTGTTCCCACCCAAATCTCATCCTGAATTGTACTCCCATAATTCTCACATGTTGCGGGAGAAACTCAGTGAGAGATAATTTGAATCATGGGCTTGGTTTCCCCATACTGTTCTCGTGGTAGTGAATAAGTCTCACAAGATCTGATGGTTTTATCAGGAATTTCCGCTTTTGCATCTTCCTCATTTTCTCTTGCCACCACCATGTAAGAAGTGTCTTTTGCCTCCCACCATGGTTCTGACACCTCCCCAGCTATGTGGAACTGTAAGTCCAATTAAACCTCTTTTTCTTCCCAGTGTTGGGTATGTCTTTATCAGTAGTGTGAAAATGGACTAATACAACTGGCATCATGTACCTGCTAACTACCATAGTTAAGTCATGTTCCATAGCTGGATGGCTCTACAAGGAATGTCAGGAACTCCACAGACTTTGCTTTAACTCAGGAAGATTTACCAACACTTATTTACTCACTTAATGATTTTCTAACCCAACATATGAAATAAAGATTTCCCATGCATCATCTGTTCCCTGAAGCTTTCCCTTATTCCAGCAATCTCTTCTTCCTCAGAAATGTCATTGCTCTTAGTAATTTTGTCACGAGTTAATCTATGTTTTCCCCAGGTTTCCATGGTACTTTAGCTGCCACTCCCTTCTAGCATTTAATTGCTACTTTCTTAAAGAACTCAAAGAGAGCAGTCAGTATAAAATCTCAACATTGGAGAGAATTTTGAGCACATCTAGTTTCTTTATATACCCAGGTAATCACAACTAGAAGCAGAGCAGTGATTATAATCTATACAACCTAATTTCAAGTTGACTGTTCTCACTGGTGTATTACACTGCCTCTTACTTAAATTCTATCTTGTCATACTTATGTTGAAACATGGCTTATCTTCACCTTGAAGACTAGATACCCATCTGATTTACTTTTGTATGAGTTCAGGACTAGCTAGGAAAAGATGGCAAATTAAAATTAGGTAGTTTGTATTGAATTTAATAAAGAGACCATTTGCAAAACTGAGGGCAGGGTTTATGTTTTCCCTAGCCAAGAGAAGACAGTTCAATACTCTAACAGCAGAAATTATGGGGAGCCATTATTGAGTCCTAAGGGGCAAAGCAGTGAACATTTACAAGAACCTAAGGACGGTGGCTCTGTGAGTAAAGCAACCCATCTAAGATGATTTAGCAAGAAGGTGGCAAGGAGGATAACTACTGCAACTTCATTCTCTTCCCACCCTAGATCTCATGCCAGCATCTCCCATTGGCTAAATTTAACGGAAGCTATATTAGGGTGTTCTTGCATTGCTATAAAGAAATGCCTCAGACTGGATAAGTTGTAAATAAATAGGTTTAATTGGCTTTTGGTTCTGTGCACTATACAAGCATGGCAACAACATCGCTTGGCTTCTGGAAAGACCTCAGGGAGCTTTTACTCACGGCAGATGGTGAAGCAGGAACTGGCATGTCAAATGGAAAAAACAGGAACAACAGAGAGAAAGAGTTGGGGGGTTGTTGCCACACACTTTTAAACAACATCTCCTGTGAATTCAGAGTGAAAGCTCACTTATTACCAAGGAGATGGCCCAGGCCATTCATGAGGAACCTGCCCCATGATTCAAACACCTCCCACCAGGCCCCAGCTCCAACATTGGGGATTACATTTCAATATGAGTTTTGGGTGGGGGCAAATCTCTAAACTATATCATTCCCACCTTCCTCCCACAAATCTCATGGACTTCTCACATTGCAAAATACTATCATGCCTTCCCAGTAGTCCCCAAAGTTTTAACTCATTTCAGCATTAACTCAGAAGCCCAAAGTCTAAAGTCTTATCTGAGACAAGGCAAGTCCCTTCCATCTATGAACCTATAAAATAAAAAACAAGTTATTTACTTCTAAGATACAATGGGGGTGTAGGCATTGGGTAATTCCCATTCCAAAAGAGTTAAATCAGCTGAAACAAAGGGGCTACAGGCCCCATGTGAGTTCAAAACCCAGCAAGGCAGCCATTAAATCTTAAATCTCCAAAAGAGTCTCCTTTGACTCTATGTCCTGCATCCAGAGCACACTAATATGAGGTGTGGGTGCTCAAAGCTTTGGGCAGCTCTGCCCCTGCAGCTCTGCAGGGTTCAGCCCCCATGGTTGTTCTCCTGGGCTGGCATTGAGTTCCTACAGCTTTTCCAGGCATACGGTGCAAGTTGTTAGTGGATCTACTATTCTGGGGTCTGGAGGACAGTGGCCCCCTTCTCACAGCTCCACTAGGCAGTGCACCAGCTGGGACACTGTGTGGGGGTCTAACCCGACATTTTCCCTCCACACTGCTCTAGTAGAGGTTCTCTGTGAGGGCTCCAGCCCTGCAGCAGGCTTCTGCCTGGGCACTCCAGCCTTCTCATACACCCTCTGAAATCTAGGCAGAGGTTGCTGAGCCTTTTTCACTCTTGCACTCTGTGCACCTACAGGCTTAACATCACATTAAAGATGCCAATGCTTACAGCTTTTACCCTTTGTTGCTGAAGCAGTCATTCGTGTTATACCTGGGGCCCTTTGAGCCACAGCTGGAGCTGGAGCAGCAGGGATATGGGGAGCAGTGTCCTGAGGCTGTGCAGGGAAGCTGGGCTCTGGGCCTAGCCCATGAAATCATTTTTCCCTCCTAGACCTCTGTGCCTGCAATGGGAGGGTCTGCCAGGAAGGTCTCTGAAATGCCTTCCAGGCTTTTTCCCATTGTCTTGGTTATTAGCACTTGGCTCCCTTTTAGTTATGCAAATATCTCTAGCCGGTGGTTGCTCCATGGACTGCTTAAATTACTCTCCCAGAAAGGTTTTCTCTTTCTCTGCCACATGGCCAGGCTGCAAACTTTTACACTCTGCTTCCCTTTTAAATATAAATTCCAACTTTAAGTCATTTATTTGCTCCTGTATCTGAGCATGGGTGTTAGAAGCAGCCAGGCCACATCTTGAATGCTTTGCTGTTTAGAAATTTCTCTGATAGATAGCCTAAATCATCACTCTGAAGTTCAAACTTCCACAGATCCCTAGTGTATGGACACAATGCAGCTAACCTCTCTGCTAAAACATAACATGCTGATCTTTGCTCCAGTTCCCAATAACTTCCTCATTTCCATCTGAGTTCTCATCAGCCTGGACTTCACTGTCCATATCACTAGCGGAATTTTGGTGTCAACAATTTAACCAGTCTGTAAGAAGTTCCAAACTTAATCTCATCTTTCTGTCTTCTTCAGAGCCCTCCAAACTCTTCCAACTTCTACCTTTTACCCAATTCCAAAGCTGCTTCCACATTTTCCAGTATCTTAAGCAATACTCCATGCCTAGTACCAATTTTATGTATTAGGGCATTCTTGCATTGCTATAAAGAAATATCTGAGATTGGATAATTTCTAAAGAGAAGAGATTCAATTGGCTCATGGTCCTCCAGGCTGTAAAAGCAGGGCACTGACGTTGCTTGGCTTCTGGGGAGGCCTCAGGAAGCTTTTACTCATGGCAGAAGGTGAAGTGGGAGCTGCCACGTCACATGGCAAAAGCAGGAGCAAGAGAGAGAGGGTTGGAGGCGAGGTGTCATGCACTTTTAAGCAACCATATTTCCTGTGAACTCAGAGTGACAGCTCACTTATCACCAAGGAAATGGCCCAACCCATTCATGAGGGATCCACCCCCATGATCCAAACACCTGCCATCAGGCCCCACCTCCAACATTGGGGATTACATTTCAACATGAGATTTGGAGGGGAGAAATATCCAAACTATATCAGAAGCCAAAAGGCAAGGGACCCTGGATGAATGTAATCTATGAAGATTCACCATCCTGTGCTGAGAGCAATTGAGGAAAGAGTGGATAATTAATCTGGAGAAAAACAAATGATATGCAGAGAAGTGCTTAGCACCATGCCTTGCACAAAGAAAAGGCACAAGAATTTTTTTTTTTTTTTACAAAATTAGTCCATGTATTTAAGAGCAAAAGTTTCATTTTTATATATTGGGTATGATGTTGTAAATACCCATCTCAGTTATAAATCCACTGAGGAATTCCTTACACACTGCACAAGGCAATGCTGTGCCCAGAGTAAATATTAAATAAATATTTTGGAGGAAAAAGATTAACTAGCCCAGATAAACAAAAAGTAAAATCATTTTTTTCTGGGTAAAAATGAGGCAGCCTTCTTACAAACACGCATGAAAGCCAAGGTCAGCCAGTGAAACAGATTCAACATTTCCAGACACTGTCAAACATGAAACTCTCCTGTTACTTAACAGTCTTCAGGATTTTCCTGCAAGTCATTTTCACTGTCTGTCATCTCCAAGTTCTCTTCATTTACATTAGAAGCTTGAGATATAGGAGAAACATCAAACTACACACTCTTCACAACATTTATGGCCTGATTAGATGGAGACCATTTTAACTTATAAGATGGTTTATTGTGCAATTGGTTCCATTGTTCTTCAATTCCATTGGGTATTAAATACCACTAGGGTGTTTAATGTGACTAATACATGTGCATACACACACACAGGTCATTGCTTAGGTAACAGCCTCTTTAGAAACCCCATATATGTAGCCAGAAAATACTGAGAAGGCTATAAAATCTAAGAAAAACTGGGCAGTCTTGAAGTAATATTTTCCTCTGAGAGAATAAATATTTATAGAATATTCAGAGCTGACTTGATAATAACTTCATGCCTAAAGAGTTTCCTGATTCACATAAAATATTATCCACCTAATTCCAGTTCTCCTCGCATTAAGCACATGGCCAAGAGTTGGCCACTATGAAAGATGACCAAAGCATTTCATGGCCACGAAGTTTTCCAGCAGCTTAAGGAGAACAGAGGAGTCAAACCTGGTTCACAGCCCAGCCGTGTGATAGTTCTTTTGGAATGTGAAGGCCCCTCTTGAGTTCATGACATTTTGTCTTATTAGCCAGTTAGTAAAGAATAGAGAAGATTACAATCTCTCTATTTCTGCAGGAAAGTACACCTGCCGTCATCTCCTGAGTGATTGTAAGAGGCAAAAGTGGGGGCACTGCATGCACATCTCATTAGAAGACTTCCGAAGAAAGGGCAGAGCAAGGCTGCTGCATGAGCTGGGGTCCTGTTAGGGGCACTCAGGGATCGGCACCACAGCCCAAGGTCTGCACCAGGCTGCTGCACTTGCTGGAGGAAGAGTACCTTCCCCTAATCCACACAAAGGCATGACGGGAGCTATTCCAGGCCTGGGGACAGTGAGTGTAGATGTGTTTTCAGAGAGCCAGTCTCAATCACCTACTATTAATGGATATACAGTCACGTGCCATTTAACAACATCTCAATTGACAAAATGGACCACATATACAACAGTGGTCCCATAAGAGTAAAATACTGAATTTTTATTGTACTTTTTTTTTTTTTTTTTTTTTAAAGACAGGGTCTGGCTCTGTTGCCCAGGATGGAGCACAGTGGCACAATCTTGTTTCACTGCAAACTCCACCTCCCAGGCTCAAGCCATCCTCCCACCTCATCCTCCCAAGTAGCTGGGACTATAGGCCTATACCACCACACCCAGCTAATTTTTTGGATTCTTTGGTAGAGAAGGGGTTTTGTCATGTTGCCCAGGCTGGTCTCAAATTCCTGGGCTCAAGTGACCTGCCCACCTCAGCCTCCCAAAGTGCTGAGATTGCAGGCATGAGTCATCATGCCTGGCCCTATTGTACCTTCTCTATACTTAAATATATTTAGATACACAAATACCATTTTACTACAACTGCCTAGAGTATTCAGTAGAGTAACATGCTGTATAGTTTGTGACCTAGGAGCAATAGCCTATACCATATAGTCTAGGTGTGTACCAGGTTTATAGGTACACACTACACATCTAGGTCTGTGTAAGTCCACTCTACGATGTTTGCATGACAATGGAATTGCCTAACACATTTCTCAGAACGTATCTACCTCATTAAGTGACGCATGACTGTAAGGAAACCTGGGGAAAAAAAAGTCAAGAAGAAAATAAAGAACAACATAAGCAAGTTTCTTAACAAAACAAAACAAAAAAAAGGTAGGTCAGGTATGGTGGCTCACACCTGTGATCCCAGCACTTTGGGAGGCCAAGGCGGGCAGATCACCAGAGGTCAGGAGTTTGAGACCAGCCTGACCAACACGGTGAAACCCCATCTCTAGCAGCCTAGTTTAGGAAGCTGCTTGATGCCCACAAGGCTATACTGCCCCAGAGAAGGAGTCCACATATAGCACCATCTAGAAAGCCAAGCCATAGCTGAGTATATTCTGCTCCATGAACTAGTGGTCACTGCCTCCTTCCATCCCAGAGGCTACCCTGTCATTACAACAGCCTTCTCCAGGAAAGCAGCTGCTGCTGTCTATATCCTAGAAACAAACTCTCAAAGAGGTTTGCCTTCCACATCCTAGTGACTGCAACACTCTAACTGTGGACTGATTACTGATTTATTGTGCCATCAGTGTGCTCACCAACTGGGCCTGGTGTTTCTAGGTGATCCCCATCTCAAACCTGCAGAGCAGCCCCAGTAATCCACAGCCAGGCGAGTGTTTCCAGAGGAGTCCCATCTCAAACTGGTGAACCAACCCCTGTGACTCAGTAACACATTCACTAGATAGTCATGCAGCTTCCTGACACCGCCACCTTCTCCCCCAGCCCCCAATCCTGAGCAGAAAAACAAATTGCACATGCTCCTGCAGCTTAGGTCACCAAGACACTCACAGGTATCACCAAAATGGATACTAGCAAAAGAAAAAAAAAAAAGGCAAGAGAAAAGTACAGATACTACACTAGTGTGTCCTCCTAGAACTAAAGCAGATGCAGCCCATCTAACTGACACCCTAAGACACATCTCCAGGTGAAAATCTTTCTCTACATAAGCCACTCTATACAATTAGAACAGGTGACCGTGTCAACAGTCTCATAAATATAAACATAGGAGATAAAAAGCATGAAAATGCAATGAAACTTGACACCACCAAAGGTGCACAATAATTCTTCACAAAGTTACCCTAAATAAATGGAAATTTTCAAGTTGCCTTAAAAGGAATTTGAAATATTGATCTTAAGAAAATTCAATGAGATACAAAAGAATACAGCTAGAAAACTTAATCAAATAATAAAAAAAACAAGCCATAACCTGAATGAGAAATTCAACAAAGACATAGATACCATTAAAGAAAACAAACGGGCCAGGCGTGGTGGCTCACACCTGTAATCCCAGCACTTTGGAAGGCCGAGGTAGGTGGATCACGAGGTCAGGAGATCTAGACCATCCTGGCTAACACGATGAAACCCCGTCTCTACTAAAAAGACAAACAATTAGCTGGGTGTGGTGGTGGGCGCCTGTAGTCCCAGCTACTCTGGAGGCTGAGGCAGGAGAATGGTGTGAACCTGGGAGGCGGAGCTTGCAGTGAGCCAAGATCGTGCCACTGCACTCCAGCCTGGGTGACAGAGCAAGACTCTGTCTCAAAAAAAAAAAAAAAAAAAGAAAGGAAAAAAAGAAAACAAACCAACAGAAACCTTAGGAATGAAGAATTGAATGAATTAAATAAAAAGTACAACTGAGAGCTTCAATGGCACACTAGATCAAACAAAAGAATTTTTGAACTTGCAGACAGGACTTTTGAAATAACCCAGCCTGAGGGAAAAAAGGAGAAAAAAAGAGTAAAAAGAATCAAGGAAAGTCTATGAGACTTGTGCCATGATATTAAGATAACAGATTTTGAAAATATAGAAGAGAAACAGAGAGAAGAGACAAAGACACAGAAAACTTATTTAACAAAATAATAGCTGAAAATCTCCCAATTCTTGGGAGAGATACGGACATCCAGTTCCGTGAAGCTTAAAGGGTCCCATACATTTTCAACCCAAAAAGGCCTTTTCTAAGGCACATTATAATCAATTTGTCAAAAGTCAAACACAAAGAAAAACTTCTAAAATTAGCAAGAGTGAAGCATCAAATCACAAATAAGCAAGTCTCCATTAGACTATCAGTTTTCACAGCAGAAACCTTGAATTCTAGGAGAGATGAGGATGATATATTCAAAGTGCTAATGAGAAATCAGTCAGCAAAGAGTACTGTACTTAGCACAGCTACCCATCAGAAATTAAAGAAATAAAGTCTTTCCCAGACAAGCAAATGCGTATGGAATTCATCACCATAAGACCAGCCTGACAAGAAATGCTTAAGGGAGTGCTTCAATCGCAAGTGAAAGAACAATACTCATGCAAAAATACAGGACACTATCAACCTAACTGTTAAAAGTAAATTCATATTCAAACTGAGAATTCTACATTACTGAAATTATGCTTTAGAATCTTTCAAATCCCCCTTGAGAAAGCTGAACATCAAAATAGTCAAAAATATTTATATCTACAATGAGTTCTTAATAAACACCCAATACAGAACAATATAAATTAAGGCAAAAAATTACAAATTTTGGGCACTGACAAGGGATGTGGGGGTAGTATAGCAGGTTTGTGCGTGATCAAAATTTTTATCAGCTTTAAATAGTCTATCATAACTATTCATTTTTAAATGTAAGCTCCAGAGTAACCAGAGAAAAAAATTACACCAGATATGTCAATGAAATAAAGGAATCAAAGCTTATCAGTACAGAAACTCAGCAAACCATAAAGCAAACAATAAAAGAAGAAGAAACAAAAGATCTACAAAACAACCAGAAAACAATTAACAAAATGACAGAAGTTAACTTCTTGCCTTTTAATAATATCTTTGAATATAGATGGTTTCGATTCTCCAATAACAAGATGTAGAGTGGCCAAATGGTTTTTCATACATGTTTCCCTAGTCCAGACACCCAAGAGTATGTCCCTCTCTTGGGCATAAGAAAACCTAGAGTTATATTTAGGGCATCATGTGTGGTGAATAGTTGACCGAGCTGGCATTCTCACAATGACCAAATTATGTTTGTCATATTTTAATCCAATACATTGATCTACTATGAACTTGTAAATAATGTATTTGCTTTCTAGACACATTCCAGGAAGACCAGAGAAACTGACTTTTATCCATATGGAATAATCCACTGGCAAATTTCTTTTAGGACAGACCAAAGCTGATCTAGAACATAATATTTACATACTTGGATCCTTCCCATCAGACGAGAAAGAACATCTGGGGTGAAAGGCTCCATTAGAAGAGCAATGTGGGATGGTGCTGTGCTGACAACTGGTAGTTCCTGCCCTACAACTTTGTAGAGGACTGGAGCCCAGAGCATGCCATGGTCAACTTGTATGTTGAAGTGAAGACCTCCTTCGAGGTGTGCATGTGCTTATTACAGATATGCCACGGTGCTAAGTACCCCAGGACTACAGGAAAAATTAAGAATAGATGCTGTATCCATGATCATGAGGCACACAGGCCAGAGCACCAGCTGTGGAATTGCACAGCCCGGGTTCAAAGCCTGGCTAGGCCATGACCACCTGAATGACCTGAGGAATGGTCTCAGGCAAATTTGTAAAAAGTGGAGACCCTGCCTGCCAGGGAGGCACGTGGTAAGAGGCGCAACCAGTCAGGTCAGGGCACCGCGTCCTCTCTTTGGAAACCTGCGGAGTGAGGCTGGTGGCCCTTGAGGCCACAGCAGCCATGGAGAAGGTGGGCCTGGCTCCAGGTGGCACAGAGGCACTGGAGAGGCCCCCGGGGAGCCTGGCGGGATCTGGCTGGTCCTGCGCTCTGCTTCCAGGTTCTGGCCCTGTAACCCGTGGGACAGGGCCGGCCAAGACAGGGCCACTGGGTGCCAGCCAGCACCTGGGCCAGACGCCAGGCGGAAGGGCTCTGGCAGATCAGTCCCGCACCCCCAACAGCCCCACAGGGAGGCCCATCCAAGGCCACACACCTGCCCCCAGGAGCAGGATGTCCCTGAGGCTAGAGTCCAGGGGGACCAGTGGAAGGGTCTCACCCTTTGCCCTTTGACTCCTCTTGTAGGCACCCTCGCTGGGCTCCTAAGCACTCCTCCACACCCTGGCTCTGTCACCAGCCCCATGGTGATGTCATAAACTCCCAGATGCCCAGTGTGCACCCGGCCACAGAGAAGTGGGTGACTTAGGAGTATCCTCTCCACTTCTGACCCTTGGTTTCATCTGTGCACAACTTGCTCAAAATGGGCAACTCACTAAGCATATTTTGCTCCTGGTCCCACCGCAGGTCCTGGCCATGCCATCGGCAACCTGCTCGTCTTGTCCGTGAGGCCTTCCCAGCTGGCCGGGCTCACCCCGCGGCTCCTGCACCTGTGCCTGCCCCGGGAATCTGGGGCCGTTTCCCACTCCTCTTCAACTGACAGTGACATCTTAGGCCTTCTTTTCCAGTCAGGTGGGACAGCGCCCCTATGAGGCTGTCTTATCCCTCGGAACACGGGCACCCCACAGAGGGTCCTGCCTCCTGTGGTCTGGAGCCCCCCCTCAAGGAAGAAACCCATGCTGTCTGCTCACAACTCCAGGATGTTTGGACACCTCAGCCCCGTGAGGATCCCTCGTCTCAGAGGCAAGTTTAACCTCCGACTTCCTTCATTAGATGAGCAGGTGATCCCAGCCAGGCTCCCGAAGATGGAGGTGAGGGCAAAAGAGCCCAAAGAAGCAACGGAGGTGAAAGACCAGGTAGAGACCCAGGGGCAGGAGGACAATAAAAGGGGCCCCTGTAGCAATGGGGAAGCAGCCTCCACCTCTAGGCCCCTGGAGACTCAGGGAAACCTCACTTCCTCCTTGTACAATCCCAGGCCCTTGGAGGGAAATGTCCACCTCAAGAGCTTGACAGAAAACAACCAGACTGACAAGGCCCAGGTGCATGCAGTGAGTTTCTACTCCAAGGGCCATGGAGTCGCCAGTTCACACAGCCCTGCTGGAGGCATCCTTCCCTTTGGGAAGCCTGACCCACTTCCAACGGTGCTCCCTGCCCCAGTTCCGGGCTGCTCCCTGTGGCCAGAGAAGGCGGCCTTGAAGGTGCTGGGTAAAGACCACCTGCCCAGCTGATGGTGATGGTGGGGGAGGACACGCAGCCCAAGGATCCTGCAGCTCTTGGATCAAGTAGGTCTTCTCCACCCAGAGCTGCCAGCCACAGGTCCTGCAAAAGAAAACTGTCGGGGCCACTGCTGCAGCTGCAACCAACCCCTCCCCTGCAACTGAGGTGGGATAGAGATGAGGGTCCCCCACTGGCTAAGCTTCCATTTCTATCTCCTGAGGCACTGTTGGTGGGTCAGGCTTCCCAAAGAGAAGGACGCCTCCAGCAGGGCAACATGCATAAGAACATGAGGATGTTAAGTAGAACATCAAAATTCAGGAGACTAAGAGAGCTGCTTATGAGGAGAAAGAAGAGACGGCAGGGCAGGCGTGGTGGCCCACGCCTGTAATCCAGCACTTTGGGAGGCTCAGGTGGGCGGATCAGGAGGTCAAGAGATTGAGACCTGAGGAACATCTCTGCCTGCACCAGCTGGGAAGTGAGGAGCGCCTCTGCCCGGCTGCTCCACCGTCTGAGAAGTGAGGAGTGCCTCTGCCCAGCCGCCCCACCATCTGGGAAGTGAGGAGCGCCTCTGCCCGGCTGCTCCACCGTCTGGGAAGTGAGGAGCGCCTCTGCCTGGCCACTGCCCTGTCTGGGAAGTGAGGAGCACCTCTGCCCAGCTGCCCACCATCTGGGAATTGAGGAGGAGCACTGCCTCTGCCTGGCCTCCACCCCATCTGGGAAGTGACGAGCAACTCTGCCTGGCCACCTCATGGTATGGGAAGTGAGGAGCGCCTCTGCCCAGCCATTGCCCTGTCTGGGAAGTAAGGAGCGCCTCTGCCTCGCCACCGTCCTGTCTGTGAAGCGAAGAGTGCCTCTGCCCGGCCCCCTTACATTCTGGGAAGTGAGGAGCGCCTCTGCCTGGCCACCGCACTGTCTGGGCAGTGAGGAGCGCCCCTGCCCGGCTCCCGCCCTGTCTGGGAAGTGATGAGTGCCTCTGCCCGGCTGCCTCACAGTCTGGGAAGTGAGGAGCACCTCTGCCTGGGTCCTGCCCCGTCTGGGCAGTGAGGAGTGCCTCTGCCAGGCCGCCGCCCTGTCTGGGAAGTGAGGAGCGCCTCTGCCCGGCTGCCTCACAGTCTGCAAAGCGAGGAGTGCCTCTGCCCAGCCCCCTTACACTCTGGGAAGTGAGGAGCGCCTCTGCCTGGCCACCATCACATCTGGGAAGTGAGGAGCGCTTCTGCCCAGCCGCCCCCCTGTCTGGAAAGTGAGGAGCACCTCTGCCCGGCCCCCTCACCGTTTGTAAGGGAGGAGCGCCTCTGCCCAGCCCCTGCACTGTCTGAGAAGTGAGGAGCGCCTCTGCCCAGCCCCCTCACCATCTGGGAAGTGAGGAGCGTCTCTGCCCGGCTGCTGTGCAACCTTCCAAGTGTGAAGTGACAGCCTTGTGTGTGATCTTTCTGCCCTCCTCAAGCTTGCATTTTCGACATTAAAGTTTACTTTTTAATTAAAAAAAAGGAGATCGAGATCATTCTGGCCAACATGGTGAAACTCTGTCTCTACTGAAAATACAAAAATTAGGCGGGCATGGTGGCTTGTGCCTGTAGTCCCAGCTACTCGGGAGGCTGAGGCAGGAGAATGGCTTCAACCCGGGAGGTGGTGGTTGCAGTGAGCCGAGATCTCACCACTGCACTCCAGCCTGGTGACAGAGCAAGACTCCATCTCAAAAAAAAAAAAAAAAAAAAAAGTAAGACATGGCAAACTGCAGTGGCACCCAGCCTGCCCCTGCTGTCTCCACACCTGCTGAGACTCCCTGCCCCTGGCCACCTACACTTCACAGATCCCAGCTCCTCGTCCTACTCTGACTCGGCCCACGTGCTGTTGGGCCCCTCATTTTGCCTGTCCCTCCACCTTCTCCCACACCAAGAATTGAGTAAAATTTGATATCCATAATTCCTAACTCTTCCCTGGCTCTTCCCACTGACCTTGCCCCCATTTTGGGGGTTCCACCTAATGAAAAAGGAGGCTGCTCTCATTCAGCTGCAGTTTCAGTGCCTCTGACCTCTGACCCATGCCCCACACGTCCTAGCCCCACATCTTTCTCCTTCCAGCCTCCCTTCAGAAGGGTGCCTCCTACACCCATATGTGTGCATTCCTCTCCTCCTCTTTCCTCCCCCACTCCTCTTCCAGCAACTTTACTATAGAAAACAAAAGACCCAAGTATGCAAGCAATATATACCATGTAAATGGGTAGTGAGATTAAGTATCAGCAAGATACCAAGCCTCCTAAATTAATCCATAAATTCAACACACTTCTAATAAAAAACCCAAATGCATTTTTTTTGGTTAAATATGATCACCTAAACCTAAACTCACAGTGAAGAAGGGTCAAGAATAGTCTAGGCAATTTTGAAGAACACGGAGGTAGAAAAACACTCTAATCAACGTTTATTATAAAGCTGTGGTATACATGAATGAGTCTCTGGTATATGGAGATATGAATATATCCAATGAATAAAAATAAAAGCCAGAAATAGACCCTTTAGAAGGGAATCTGGCTTACCAAAGAAGGGAAATTTCCAAGCTGTAGGTAAATACTGGATTATTCAACTAATAATGCTGAGACAACTGACCATCATATGGAAAACAATCAAATTAGACCTTTAGGGTAGGAAACGATTCCCTAAGACTTCAAAAGACCAAACTATAAAAGATTGGTAAATTTGGGCCGGGTGCGGTGGCTCACGCCTGTAATCCCAGCACTTTGGGAGGCCGAGGTGGGCGGATCACAAAGTCAGGAGATCGAGACCATCCTGGCTAACACGGTGAAACTCCGTCTTTACTAAAAATACAAAAAGTTAGCCGGGCATGGCAGCGTTTGCCTGTAGTCCCAGCTACTCAGGAGGCTGAGGCAGGATAATGGCGTGAACCTGGGAGGCGAAGCTTGCAGTGAGCCGAGATTGCGCCACTGCACTCCAGACTGGGCGACAGAGTGAGACTCTGTCTCAAAAAAAAAAAAAAGATTGGTAGGTTTGATTTCAGAATATATAAAACTTTTATAAGACTAAAGAGTTCTACAGAAGTAAAGAATAGAAGCTCCTCTTTGATCAGATCAGAATCAGAACAATAATACTCAGGAAAATATCTTGTATCACATTTTAAAATAAACCAAATATTTTTATGGCAACAGGCACATATGGTAAAATTATAAATATCAGCAAAGAAAGAAAACAATCACCAACTTCAAGACAGTGGTTATCTGTATGAGAGGCAAGAGTAAGTGACGGATGTGAAGGAATTTCTTAAGATGCATTTGTAATATTGTATTTACCTGTAAAAGTAAGCTTGAATTAAAAATAGCAAAATGTTAACACCAATTAATTCTGGGTGGTAGGTATATAGGTGTCTGATATCTATATCTATATCTGTATCTGATAACTTTCTGTATTCTTAATGTATTTCTTAATTAATGAAAATACATACAATATAGCAAAGATAGCCAAGAGAACGAAAAGTAAAAAATAGATGAGACACTGGAAGCAAGGAGGAAAGAGGCATAAGTGAGTGGAAGCTCCATAATTCATATTGTGGGGATCAACAGGTGTTGTCTGTACAACAACAACAACTACCATTAACAAATGGTAGTTAAGCATACTACAGTATCTAGAATTATGAGGGTAACGTGCGACAGATTTAAAATCAGAAAATAACCAGATGGGTAAAAAGCAGGAGTCTGTTGCTTTTCATTTTAAGTGTTCAACCATTTGAAATATTAACACGTGTGCATTCTTGGAAAAAAGGGCAAACATTAATGCTTAAATTGGAGATTTTAAAAAATGCCTGTATCACCCCTAGAATAAATTTTTTAAAATCAGGAGCTAAAGCTGTTACTCCTGGGAACTTCAAAATGTTTTGTTTCAGATAAAAAAGGACTACTACATATAAAGCACTATAGACTGCAGGTTACTACAAGAAGCCAAATACAAGTACTTCAGGTAGCAAAATCAATTTACCCTGAAACGATGTTGTAGTTGAGAGCAGGATGGTCTTTTGGGACAGGAGGAACAAGAGGTTCTGGTTGCCACTCTTCAATCAGTTCTTCTTTTTCCTACAGGAGAAAAAGAATTAAAATACAGTGCAGTGCTAATATTATCAATTATTAGTGTCTCTGCAACTTCAGTATTTCCTATTATTCTAATTCTACTAACTGTTCTCAAGTTCGCTGTCACTCTTATTCAAGCTTATGTCTTCACACTATTAGTCTTTGTTCGCATAATACATAATGACCCACCAGACACATGCCTACCATATAGTTGTACCTAGCCCTTGACCACTAACAGGAGCTCTCTCGGCTCTCCTAATAACATCTGGCCTAACCATAGGATTTCACTTTAATTCTACCACTCTTTTAACTTTAGGCCTACTAACCAACACACTGACTATATATCAATGATGACGTGATATTGTCCGAGAAAGTACATTCCAAGGCCACCACACAGCAATTGTCCAAAAAGGCCTCTGATACAGGATGCTCCTATTATCTCAGAAGTATCCTTCTTCGCCGGTTTTTTCTGGGCATGCTATCACTCCAGTTTAGCACCGACCCCAGAATTAGGAGGACATTGACCCCCAACAGGTATTCTTCCCCTGAACCCTTCAGAAGTACCTCTCCTAAATACGTCCGTATTACTTGCATCAGGAGTTTCAATGACTTGAGCCCATCACAGCCTAACAGAAGGTAACCAAAAACAAACAATTCAAGCACTACTTACCACAATCCTCTTAGGAGTCTATTTCACCCTTCCACAAATCTCAGAATATTTCGAGGCCCCCTTTATTATCTCTGATGGAATCTACAGCTCAACATTCTTTACAGCCACAGGCTTTCATGGACTTCATGTTATTATTGGATCAACAATTCTCACCATCTGCCTTCTCTGCCAATTAAAATTTCATTTTAGGCCAGGCATGGTGGCTCATCCCTGTAATCCTAGCACTTTGGGAGGCCGAGGTGGGCAGATCACCTGAGGTCGGGAGTTCGAGACCAGCCCGTAGACCCTTACATTGACATGGCCGACTTCCCAAGACTATCTATCTTACTCCACTGTCTTGCAAAATATATGCGATTCTCACTGAACATAGTAGGATTTACTCACTCTTCTCTAAGAATAGAATCCAACCTTTATGTTCTAAGTGTCAGAAAAACTAAAAAAGAAAAAGTTTCATCTTTGCAAACTCAGTAGTGCTCTCTTCCTACCAATCATGTACCCATGTCCTCACCTTTCTCTCCCTGTAGACACCTCCTCTCAGGAAGGCTAATACGAGCTGAAATATAAATTAATAAGCAAGACTTAATATGTGTGGCTACTTAGGACAGGCAAAGGACCAATGTACATAAGAGAGAGCCAGGATGCTTTCCAAAATAAGGAACGGCTTCAGATAGTAGAGCAGGTTGACTCAATTTTGTATCTTGTGTTCATTGCCCAGTGCTTGGCTATTTCTGTCAGGGTTTGTCAGGAAAAAAAACCAAAAAAACAAAAAAACAAAAAAACAAAAAAACAAAAAACTGTAGGTATTCTGAACAACAATGAATTTAATACAGGGAATTAAAAGTTTACACAAGCTTCAGAAGGACTAGTGAGCTAAGGTCAGGGAGGCCCAGCCTCTGAGGAAGTCTAGAAGTACCAGCAATGCAGAAAAGCTGCCACAAAATTATCAGATGCTTGCAGTGCAAAACTGGATAAATCTCAGAAGCATACTGATGAAATCTGGTGTTCCTCTAATATCTGCCAAATATATCTAATCTAGCTAATGATATCCAATCTATCAATATATCTAATATATCAATAATATCTAATATATCTATCAATAATATCTAATCTAACATATCCTCTAATATCTGATGTTCCTCTAATTTCTAATAAATGTACCTTCCCATAGCTGCTGCCATAGATTATGACTTCTCCTTTTCACCTGACTTCCAGAGCTCACAGAAATGCTTCTCAATGGGAGAATCTAAAGAGAATAAAGAGGGTGGGTTTGCTACTGAGAGAAAAGAAACAGTATCTGGCATACTGGTGGAAAAGAGGGATGCAAAAATATTGGCTAAATTAGTGAATGAATAATTGAGGGATGGAGGAATGGATGATGGATATATTCTCATAGAATAGGGCACTACTCTTTAGGCATTGATATATTGGAGGTAAATATGCAAAGATTAGACTAGAAAACTGGTAAGGCCCTTTTGCACCCTCAGATCTGGGTTTCATGCATGAATTGATCATACTCTACCAGGAACCGAGCTCTTTTGGCTTAGTTCACAGAATTCAACCTGTAATTTTAGAATTTTAGTTATTTTGTTATGTATGGCAATAAGTTTTGAGGATTTTCTAGAACCCCTAAACCTTGTCATAGGGCTATCACATTATTCTCCCTACTAATAAAGAATGCCCACGTAATAAAGTAGGGTACATGTGTTTCTCCATTTATACTTTGTTCAGAGATTAATTCTAATTTATAAAGTTGTATAAGAAATGCTCATCTCACATTAGACACAATTTTACTCTTGTTAGATAAAATTATCTACCATGGTTAATAAACCTCAATGGATACAGTATAATGGAAAGAATGGTGTCTCGGCTGCTGGCTATGGGTCTCAAATACCAGTGATTACAATAATATCCTGAGTAATAATATATGCCTTTCTACAACTCTTAGATCCTCGGTTTCTTAATTTGAAACTTGAGGGCTTTGAAATGTGTAGTACCCATGCTGCTTCAAGATCTAAAGAGCTCTGGTTTTATAATTTGTCACCTGTATCAAAAATATGACTTAGTCATGAGTGACATTATGACCTCTCTTGAGTGTTGTTTGTATGACCTTCTAATTCTTTCCTCACTCATTCTACCATGCTGGAATTCTGAGATTGGATTATACCCTATGGTTGCTAAAGCTGCCTTAAGTCCCTGGATAATATTCTCGGTCCCTGAAGGTTTCTTGATAGGAAAATGTATTGCTTTGTCACTAAGGAGACCTTATTGAAAGATCGCAAATTCGTATCTGCACCCCTCCTCTCATCACTGGGCTTAGAGTGGCATTAGGTATTATTAGCATGGTATTAATATGACATTAGGCCAGAGGTTAGCAGTATATGAATATTGCTTTGACTCTGGGTTTTCTCCTGTCAATAAGTTCTCTAAGGGAAATATATGCACAAAAAAGCTAAAGCAACATAGTAATTCATTATTTGGGGGACTTTAACCTCAGATAACAGTGAGTTAAACTATGTGGAAGGCTCCTTTTACTGAAGTTAAATAGGTCCAAGTAATGTTGAAACAAAGCACTCCTAGAGGATTGCTTCATGTATTTCACCTCCAATGTGTAAACCCTAATCTCAGATCTTACAACCATATCAAAAGGCTAATTAAAAATGCACCTGTCAGAGCTTAAGAATCTATAACCAGAGAGACAAAAGCAGAGAGAGAGGAAGTTTGCTCTTACTGCCTGGTATCAAGCTGGCCCTGATTGTAAACCAGGCAGCAGTCTTGCTCCTAGAAGGAGGAGACAGTATTTGAGGAAAGAGAGAAAAGGATGGTTGAGACTACTTCCCTCAGGGCAGGAAGAGCCCAGCCTTTGCATGCTGAACTTTTAATCACTTTGACAGTTCCAACCCTAGAAAAGTGTAGTTCAGAGATGGCTACATAATTTGCAGGTCTAGTGCAAAATAATTATGTAGGGACCCAGCCAGAGGCAGAAAAGTCAGGCCTACTGCTCTACAGACAGGTCACCCCAAGCGTACCTAGATCTCTCAGTACCTGGATCCCTGGGTGAAGAGTGGCAGGGGACAGGAAGTAGGCAGCAGACAACCCATCCCAGGGAGACAGGGAGTGGGTGGGAGGTGAGACTGCACATGAGGCAAGGCTCTAAGACCTGGGTGCATGTGTCATTGTCCCATCAGACTTTCCTTACACAACATAAATTCAAAGACAAAATTGTTTAGCATTTCAAGACAGCAATGGCAGAGGATTAAAACCCAAGCACAGGGGCCTCATAAGTGAGGGGGTCTATGTGACTGCAGTGTCCCTGAAGCTGGCCCTGATGCAGCCATTAAATTTTTCTGGCTAGGAACCATTCCTTCCTTCTCAAGAGGTATAAAGTATCTGTCAAGGTATGGAGGAAAAGATGGTCTCAGAAGCCTAACCTCTCTGTAGGCCACAAATGGGTTGAACTGGATAACTCTGAGCAAGAAATTCCCACCAGCCTGGCACTCCAACCTGCTTCTCCCAGTATAAGGCTCTAGTCACCCAATGCCTCCCTGCAAAGTTCTGCCTTGATTCTTGTTGGCAAGTCGCATCCACCCAGGGGAGGTTTTGCAGTGCAACAAAAGCAGCTTGGACTTTGGAGCTAGGATGGCCCGAATTCAAAAGTAACCCTGATTCAACTGTGTACAAACTATTCGAGCTCTTAGAGCTCCGGTTTCCTTATATGCCCAATGCAGATAACAATACTTTCCCTAGAGTTTGTATAATAAAGTGCCTGACACAGAGTCCAGTAGTATGGTTATCTCTGCTACTTTGGGTGCTAGCAACCTCCATCAGCAGGGATTTTGCCTACAGGCTTTCAGCATAATTTCATGCAACTGATGGCTCCTGTCAGAGTCTGTTTCTATCCAAAATGACTCTCTAGAGCTTTTAGCAGCTACATCATCAGTGGGGCCCAGCCATGTGCCGCATGTCTCCTGCCTGTGGCTTCTTAAGTGCCCTGATGCCTCCTGCTTCCTTGGAGAGCTTTGGGCAGATGGAAGACTCAAGGTTATTTTTGCGTCAGCCCTCTGGTTCTTGCTAAGCCCTGGAAGGGCAGTGATAAGGTAGCATCGCTCTTCAAGGAACTGATGAGAAGGCCCCAGGGTGGTATTAAGAGAGAAAGCAGTGACTGTCCCATGGTGGTGCATCACATCTGTCTCTTTAGTCTCCTTGGGGCGGGCTTTGGGGAGGACTGGGTCTCCTGAGTCTCAGGGCTGAGGAGAACTTTCAGTCTCTGTAGGGCTTGTCTTCCAGAAGATAAACATCAAGTGTGCCTTTCTGACAGTGTCTGAACCCTGGATTTCAGAAGATGAGGATTTGGCAAAAGTCCCCAATCCTTCTTTGCATAAATCTGGAAAAGTCTCAGGAACACCTTTACAAGTAAACCTAGCACAAGCTCTGTTATCCTGTTCTTTCCCAAGATAGATTTGCAAACTCAGGTTTAATAGTGCCCCTGGGTTAGATTCCTGAGTGTATGAATGTATTTTTTTCTTTGCTTCTTGCATCCTTACAGTCAGATTTCAAACTTTGGGGCGTTCAGGGAACCACTCTGGTCAGGCAGCCTTCAGGGTGTGTGTCAGTCCATTCTCACACTGCTATGAAGAAATACCCGAGACTGGGTAATTTATAAAGAGAAGAGGTTTAATTGACTCACAGTTCTGCATGGCGGAGGAGGACTCAGGAAACTTACAATCGTGGTGGAAGGCACCTCTTCACAGGGTGGTGGGAGAGAGAATCAGTGCCAGCAGGAGAAATGCCAGATGCTTATAACCACCAGATCTCGTGAGCACACACTCACTGTCACAAGAACAGCATGGGGGAAACCTCCCCCCATGATTCAATTACCTCCCACCAGGTCCCTCCCACGACACATGGGAATTATGGGACCTACAATTCAAGATGAGATTTGGGTGGGGACACAGCCAAACAATATCGGGGTGTGTCCTTGCATTGGTAGGAGCTCAGTGAATCATGCTGATCTAGTTTATACAGGTCAAGGCTGTGAAATGCTCCCTATCTGAGGGGCAGCTTATAACTTTACGGTCACACTCTTTATGTTTAAAAAAGGGTTTTCCAGCCGGGCATGGTGGCTCACGCCTGTAATCCCAGCACTTTGGGAGGCCGAGGCGGGCAGATCACGAGGTCAGGAGATCGAGACCATCCCGGCTAAAACGGCGAAACCCCGTCTCTACTAAAAAATAGAAAAAATTAGCCGGGCGTAGTGGCGGGCGCCTGTAGTCCCAGCTACTTGGGAGGCTGAGGCAGGAGAATGGCGTGAACCCGGGAGGCGGAGCTTGCAGTGAGCCGAGATCCCGCCACTGCACTCCAGCCTGGGTGACAGAGCGAGACTCCGTCTCAAAAAAAAAAAAAAAGGGTTTTCCATAATAGATTTGTTATCGTGCATTTGGATCTGGGCCTTTTACATCAGAGATTCTCAAACTTTAAGATGCATAAGTTAAAATGTAGATTTTGACTCAGTAATTTTAGGATGGGGCCTAAGATTCTGCTTTTCTAACAAGCTTCCATGGTGATACCAATGCTATTAGTCTGAGTACCACAATTTGAGTAGTGAGGATTTAGAAAATGTTCATTTTACGGAAGGGAAAATAGAGGCACTAAGAGGTGTCATGCACAAGGGAAAGGCCTTCCTTCTAACTCCTTGACTCTCACTGAGTTTGCTGAGCTGTAGAGACCTTTAGGTAAGAGTTTTGGCCTCTTTCTCTTCTCACTGTTTAACTCAGGCTCTGTTTTCTTTGGCTGTCCGAACCCTACTTTGGAGCTGGAGACACAGGGCCAAAATTCGACATTTTCGTGACAGTCCCGCTGGAGCCCCACCAAGGTTCAGGGCGAGGTTAAATTTGCTCTGGCTGGGCTGCTGACAATCGCTTTGGGGTGCCCAAACTCCCAGACTTGAAGATGGAAATATAATATCTCCCTGAGGAAGTGCTTTTATTGAGCCCATGAATAAGAGAGCACATAGTTTGTTGTGTCTAATTTCAGCTCTGCTCCCTCCATGGGGCACGCCTGCAAGGCAGCAGGGCTTATGGCTGGGCAATATCAGAAATGTGGCAGGAATCAGAAAAAAATTAGAACTTTTGTAAAAGTAGACAGCTATTTAAAGCAGCATAAATGGCTAAACTGAGCCTGAGCTGCTTTTGATATTTCCTAGGATTTTTAAAATTATGAGATTACTTGTTTCAGAAAGAACCAGTTACCCTGTCTCCCTTTTCTTTCTCCCACTCCCATAAAAAACACGCTAGTTACAAAATAATCATTAGCACTGTCAAAAGACAAAATTACAACAAATTTAGTTTAAGGGTCTGATTGGCTTTTATTTGTGATTCTCGAATCAGGTAACACCTCATTTTATATAACAGAGTGAGTGTTCTGATGAGCTGAGCAGAGGAGGTTGGTCTTACAGGCACAGAAGGGCTAAAGAAAGCAGAGAAAAATGCAAATCAAAACCAAAATGAGATACCATCTCACACCAGTTAGAATGGCAATCATTAAAAAGTCAGGAAACAACAGGTGCTGGAGAGGATGTGGAGAAATAGGAACACTTTTACACTGTTGGTGGGACTGTAAACTAGTTCAACCATTGTGGAAGTCAGTGTGGCTATTCCTCAGGGATCTAGAACTAGAAATACCATTTGACCCAGCCATCCCATTACTGGGTATATACCCAAAGGACTATAAATCATGCTGCTATAAAGACACATGCACACGTATGTTTATTGCGGCATTATTCACAATAGCAAAGACTTGGAACCAACCCAAATGTCCAACAATGATAGACTGGATTAAGAAAATATGGCACATATACACCATGGAATACTATGCAGCCATAAAAATGATGAGTTCATGTCCTTTGTAGGAACATAGATGAAATTGGAAATCATCATTCTCAGTAAACTATCGGAAGAACAAAAAACCAAACACCGCATGTTCTCACTCATAGGTGGGAACTGAACAATGAGAACACATGGACACAGGAAGGGGAACATCACACTCTGGGGATGTGGGGTGGGGGGAGTGGGGAGGGATAGCATTAGGAGATATACCTAATGCTAAATGACCAGTTAATGGGTGCAGCACACCAGCATGGCACATGTATACATATGTAACTAACCTGCACATTATACACATGTACCCTAAAACAAAGTATAATAATAATAAAATAAAAAAAAGAAAATTAAGAAAATAAAAATAATAAAATAAAATAAAATAAAAAGAAAGCAGAAACAGTGGACAAATAGCAGATTGGTCATTTCACGGTAACTTTCCTTACAGCATTAACAGAGGGGACTTCCATATTACACTGACTCAGGCTGACTGGAATCCCATGGTTTATTTTATTTTATTTTATTTATTTATTTATTTTTGAAAATTGGCCCATTTCAAGGTTCAGCTTGATTACATGGCACTTAGCACAAGTGGCTCCATTCTGGTTTGGTCTGGTGTGCCAGGGCCTAATACAGGAGCTTAGCACAAAACAACAGCCTCCCATAAACTTCGTTTAACAGTACATAAAGATCATAAAGGTATATCATAAACTTTGTTTAACAGCACATAAAGATCATAAAGTTTTATGATTTTAAAGTTTTGTTCTAATGTTTATTGCACAAAAACTATATACATAGCCATATGCAAGAGATGTTACCTAACAAGACAATGTGATTGAAGGTATTTCCCTAGTATTATTTTAATAAAAGTCTGGAAGATTATTCTTTCCATTGCTAAAGGAACTTTCCCTCCATCAGGAGCAACAATTATTGGCCACGTGTGCTTTATAGAGTCTATGGAGATTTTACCTCCAGGGAGCCCCAAGGAACAGCACCTTTTCAGAAAGTGCATCTGAAGCAGTTTGCAAATGTGCAGCGATTCAATACTAAATTAAAAATAGAGCCATTCCAAATATGCT
The DNA here is from genome assembly GCF_000001405.40 of Homo sapiens. NCBI lineage: Eukaryota > Metazoa > Chordata > Mammalia > Primates > Hominidae > Homo > Homo sapiens. The sequence continues at coordinate 82,419,583 of NC_000009.12, read as the reverse complement.
ATGTAAATAAACTTATATATAAGAAATGTTAACACATAATTACACCACCATTTAACTTAGAGCTTTTAATCCCAATCCATACTATAGCTCAAATTGAGTAAGCTATAGCAAAAAGATAGAAGTTAGATTTTTGCACCAATGTCTAAAATGTATTCTCCTCATTACTGCACACAATGTGATGTTTGATTCTTATATTCCCAAGTGATTAAGATTATTTGCTTGCTCTCTCTTCTTGGCTCATTTACCAGATGATTCTCAGCAATATGACCACACACAAAAAAGGCTTCTATTCCTGCATGGAACAAATCTTTTTTTTTTTTTTTTTTTTTTTTTTTTTTTTTTTTTTTTTTTGAGACGGAGTCTCGCTCTGTCGCCCAGGTCGGACTGCGGACTGCAGTGGCGCAATCTCGGCTCACTGCAAGCTCCGCTTCCCGGGTTCACGCCATTCTCCTGCCTCAGCCTCCCGAGTAGCTAGGACTACAGGCGCCCGCCACCGCGCCCGGCTAATTTTTTGTATTTTTAGTAGAGACGGGGTTTCACCTTGTTAGCCAGGATGGTCTCGATCTCCTGACCTCATGATCCACCCGCCTCGGCCTCCCAAAGTGCTGGGATTACAGGCGTGAGCCACCGCGCCCGGCCTGGAACAAATCTTTAAAAAAATAAATAAAAGGAAGGCGTACATTTTCACAGCACCCTAACAGGCACTTTGGGTTTCATATATCTTGCCTAGTGCAGACCCTCTGTTTGAGTGGTGGTCTTTTTACAACAATAATTTCTAATCAATGTACACTTTACTGGAACAGAAAAAAAAAATTTACATTGCCTGGACAGCCACAAAAAGAATTATATGATGTTTTTGCTACCTGTGAGTAAATAAATATGCTTTTGGCATTCCTAGATATCTGATCCATTACGTGAGCCAAAACAACCATTCGTCCTGTGTTTTTTTATAGTTTAAATAAATTCTAGAAACCTATTACAGCACTCAAGGGTGAGTGCTTCTGTGGTTTAAGCTGCAGGAAATATTATTGTGTAACTTGAAGTGCAGCAAATGAGATATCAGGAGACCGTGGTTCCTCACCTGCCCTACCACGAACAAATGGTGTGACCCTACACAAGTCCCCTGGCCTTTCTCAACCGATGCTTTCTCAACTGCAAAGAAAGAAATTTTATTCATTCACTTACTCATTCATTAAACATGTATCGAGCTCCCATTGCACTAAATACACTCATATTCTGGGGACAATTTAGTGAACAGAAAAAGGAAGGACTTTCTTTGACTTGGTCTAGAGTCTAGATTCTAGAACCTATAGTCTAGATCATCTATAAAATGTTCCCAGAGCTGAGATTCAGTGTTTCATTATTGCCAAAGCCTGTCAGGAGGGGAGAACTTGTACCAGGAATTAAGATGGCAAGAGTTCTGGGTTTTTGGTAGTTTTATTTTGTTGCCTTTTTCTTGCTTTTGCAAACAATAGAGCATGCAAATTTCTACAATAAGGTATGCAGCAGGAAACCAAAAGGCCGTGGAAGCCTTTTCTTTTTGTACCTCTGATTACCCATTTCCCACAAAAAATCCTGTCTAAATTCCTAACCCACCAACTCAGGGCTCAAAAGGTCCTTGAGACATTGCTATTCTTAAGCCATGATTCTTCTGAACTGGACAATGGATAAGAATTGCTGTTTAATGCTTACAAAAGGGGGTAACTATTTCAGGATGAGACAAAAGAGATTTAAGAGAGTTTCCAATGTCACAAGAAGTTTTCTTTCATTCAGATTGCCCTATTTCTTCTCCATACCAGTCAGCATCACAAAATAAACTCGATTTTGCATTAAAAAAATGAAACAGCACATGGAAATAATTTTGGTACCTCAGACTTGTGCCAACAAGCTTTGGGAAGTAAGAGATCCCATTTCAATTCAATCCAGTAAGTATTCTTTACGTATCTATTATGACAGGCAGTATGCTCAGAGCTCAGATGCAGAAAAGAAATTGACCAAAGTCCCTACCCTTGTAAATTCTCTAACTGGTAGTGGTGGAAAGAAGTAGAAGTCAGAATATAATCTAACACTTGAAAGTAGAAAAAATGTAAATGGTGCTATGGTAAAAGAAGAAACAAGAATTTCCTGAGACACTCATAGAATGTATGATACTTAAACTTACTTTGGAAATGGAGGCCTGTGTCATGGCCCCAGGGGCTAAAGAGATGAGTTACATTTCATGGAATATCATGGGTCTAGACTTGACTGGCCATCCTTAGGCCAAAGCCCAGAGATAACCAGAAATCAGTGTGAGAGTCCAACGCTCCTCTGCCCATTGCTGCCATCTCACAGAAACCCCTTTGAACCCTACATCTGGACATAATCTTAGGAGGCCTAGGGAAGAAGGAGCAGAAATCTCAAAGACTGAATTTACCTCAAAGAGACTGAATAAAATGAAAAGATACTATTTCAACCAGAAGATAAACAGAAATATATTAGCTGTCAACTTACTCCAGGACCCGTGCTAACAGGAAGAGTCTATGAGGAAGATAGAATCAATTATGGAAAATAAAGACAATATTTGCTATACATCTGAATTACATATGCCACATTTTAAAATCTGTTAAATCTCCTGCCACATCTTAAAGGCATTAAAATTCAACATGGCTAAAAGAAAAATCATAGAAATTTCCCAACCACAAACCTGGGCCTTTTCCATTATTTTCTATTACAATGGCACCTCCATTCACCCAGATCTAAATCCAAAAACCTATGATTCACTTTTCCTTTCTTATTAAACCCATCACTAAGTGACATTAAGTTTATTTACTAAATATCTCTTGAATTTACCTTCTCTCTCTAGTACCACCTGATCTTTCTCTGGCATTTGTCTCCATCTTTTTTTTTCCATTTTACAGCTAGAGATAGCATTGAAAATGAAAATGTGATCAGATCACCACCCACCACCATACCCTTCACGGTCTGTTTCATGCCCCCTTCCTGCTGCTGCTTCCTACCACTCTCCTCCTTGCTCTGTGTACTCACATCTCCTCCAGTTCCAATAATGGGTTCTACTCCTCACATTATGTTCAAAGTCTCACAGTGGAACTTCCTCTCTCTCCACTCTCCCTCTTGTCCCCTTTTATCCTTCCTTGAGATCCCAGCTTCCTCAGAGAAACCTTCTTGATCTCCAGGCCAGGTCAGATCCCCTGCTGTATGTACTCATAATATTATGGACCTTCCTTTCACAGCACGGGTTACAATCATCTCCCACTAGGATGGGCAGGGGCTACTGACAGATTCTTTCCTTAACCAAACTCTAGTGATGCTCCTCTAAACCCTCTTCCCAACTAGGCCTCAACTTTTATGTCTCCATATCTGTCTGCATTGTGCAATTTTAGCAAGAATCCTGCAAAGTCAGTTTTACCAGAACTCTCCACCCTCCGTATCTGATTACCCTCGATATTTGATCAGATTCGTATTCCCCACCATCCTCCAGGTGATGTCTGATCATCCTGGCCTGTCCTCAGCAAGAATACTATTGGGTCATTTCAGCCAGATTATCCCTTTACCCCTGATGTTTCTTCTTAGCAATTTCCGTCCACTGACCCCCGACTCCAAATTCCCAGTTTTTTTTTTTTTTTTGGTGTATCTGCAATTGAGCCCAATCTTTCGCCTCCACAAAACTCCATTACAGTGGTTCCTATACCTATTTGATAGTACTAAATAAAATCTTTAAAAAGTGTCATGAGTATTTTTTTCTTTAACATTGTATCTGACTTTATGAGCTGGTACATGGGCAAGGATGCACAAATGCATCCCTGGCCCATGGCAGGCACTCAAATATAAAATTAATGAATTAATCTACTCTCCTTTTGAGTAAGTGGACTTTTTCTGAAGTTATCTCTTTCACCTTTCTGGTATATGATTAATTTTGGAAAACCCTAGCTAGATTCCTCTTTTTTTATTCCTATCCAATTTACTTCTATTATTTCAATAGTTTTTCAGACACAGGTGGTTTTTGATTACATGTATCAGTTCTTTAGTGGTGATTTCTGAGATTTCAGTGGACCTGTCACCTGAGCAGTGTACACTGTACCCAATGTGTAGTTTTTTATCCCTCACCCCTCTCCCAGACCTCCCTCACTGAGTCCCCAAAGTCCATTACATCACTCATGCCTTTGCATCCTTACAGCTTAGTTCCCACTTATAAGTGAGAACATAAACAATATTTGGTTTTCCATTTCTGAGTTACTTCACTTAGAATAATGGCTTCAAGCTCCAGCCAAGTTTCTGCAAAAGACATTATTTTGTTCCTTTTTATGGCTAAGAAGTATTCTATGGTGTATATATGCCACATTTTCTTTATCTGTATGCTGTATGATGGGCACTTAGGTTGGTTCCATATGTTTACAATTGCAAATTGTGTCTTTTTCATATAATGACTCTTTTTCCTTTGGGTAGATACCCAGTTGTGGGATTGCTGGATCGAATGGCAGTTCTACTTTTAGTTCTTTACAGAATCCCCATACTATTTTCCATAGTGGTTGTGCTAATTTACATTCCCACCAGCAGTGTGCCAGCATTCCCCACATCCATGCCAACATCTACTGTTTTTTGACTTTTTAGTTATGGCCATTATTTGCAGGAGTAAGGTGGTATCTCATTGTGGTTTCAATTTGTAATTTCCTGATGATTAGTAGTGTTGGGCATTTTTTCACGTTTGTTGGCTGTTTGTATATCATCTTTTCAGAAATGTCTAATCATGTCCTTTGCCCACTTTCTGATGGGATTGTTCTTTTCTTGCTGATTTGTTTGAGTTCCTCATAGATTCTGGATACTAGTCCTTTGTCAGATACATAGTTTGCAAATATTTTCACACACTCTGGGTTGTCTGTTTACTCTGCTGATTATTTCTTTTGCTGTGCAGAAGCTTTTTAGTTTAATTAGGTCTCATTTATTTATTTTTGTTACACTTGCTTTGGGGGTCTTAGTCATGCCAAAGCCAATGTCTAGAAGAGTTTGTCTGATATTATCTTTTAGAATTTTTATGGTTTCAGATCTTAGATTTAAGTATTTAATCCATCTTGAGTTGATTTTTGCATAAAGTGAGAGATAAGGATCAAGTTTCATTCTACATATGTCTTGCCAGTTTTTCCAGCACTATTTATTGAATAGGTGGTCTTTTCCTCAATTTATGTTTTGTATGCTTTGTAGAAGATCAGTTGGCTGTAAGTATTTGGCTCTATTTCAGATATCTCTATTTTGTTCCATTTGTCTACATGCCTATTTTTATACCAGTACCATGCTGTTTTAGTAACTATAGCCTTGTAGTATAATTTGAAGTTAGGTAATGTGATGTCTCTAGATTTGCTCTTTTTGCTTAGTATTGCTTTGGCTAGATGGGCTCTTTTTTGGTTCTATATAAATTTTAGAAGTTTTCTAGTTTTGTGAAGAATGATGATGGTATTTTGATGGGAATTGCATTGAATCTGTAGATTGCTTTGGATAGTATGGTCTCTTTCACAATATTGATTCTTCCCATCCATGAGTACGTGATGTGTTTCCTTTTGTTTGTGTCATCTATGATTTCTTTCAGCAGTGTTTTGTAGTTTTCCTTGTAGAGATCTTCCACCACCTTGGTTAAGTATATTCCTAGGTATTCCTAAAATTTTTGGCAGCTGTTGTAAAAGGAATTGAGTTCTTGATTTGATTCTCTGCTTGGTCACTGGTGGTATATAGCAGTGATACTGATTTGTGTATATTGATTTTGTAACCTATACTTCTTAAGGTAAATAAGGAAACAAAATAGAAAACAAAACAAAACAAAAAATCAGAAATAGACTATTCTCTACTTTCATAAAGCCTAAAAGATTACTTTTAAGAAGCTGGCTTTTCCTTTGTCAATAACTTGACCATAAAAGATACTGTAAGTTTAAAGGAAATTTACTGCTGGCTGCAAAATTATAAAGGAGGCTGATTGAGGCTGAAATTATAACAGAAGAGTTTCAAATCCAACTCCCTCACACTGAGGTAATATTTCCCTCCTTCTTGCAACTCAGATTTAATTGCTTTCTTTTAATGTTTTACTAATTTTCTCTTGTATTACCTAGCTTTTGTACTATATGCTGAAATAAGTATAATACTTATTCTAACCTTGGTGAGTGCAATTCAGGCAATTGTTTCCAGTTCTAAACATGAAGTTTTAGGTTGGTGAGGAAGAACTGCATGGTTGGGCAACTCCAGTACTACCAACAATGGTAGCTAGCTGGGCACTGACATTTCTGTTTTGACAAAATTCTGATTTATATTTGTATAAATAAGTATATCCTCAATTTTTGTGTTTAAGTTGGTGTAGTCTTGCAAGTATATAATTACTGGAGGCTTGAGTCCTGGTCCTACCCACAAATGACTTAATTTCAAGCAATGGAAGGCAATAACAGCACTATTCCAACTGCACACACCTCATTTACTTTCTTTCTTTTAAAAAAATGTGTTCTATGCTCCAGCCATAAATACCAAGATTGGAAAGTCTTGTGCTTCTCATTGAGATTAGCTCTTCTAGCTACAATAGCAGATAAGCAAAGGAACTTATCCCTGGCTTTAGTCTCTCCAACTACTTGAAGTCTTTGCGAATCTCCACCTCCAATGAACTGCTGCCACTACAGAATACATGTTCTGGGTGCTTTGGATTAAGACCATGCAGGCAGAAGCAGAGGCAGTGGTTCCAGTCCAAACTTGCTCCAATGCCCCAAGGCCCCTGATGGAATGCTTACATGTAGAAATGTCTGTGCCCTCAATTCAGAGACAAGCAATCCCACGTACAAACCATGGAATTTTTTAGAACAGCAAACTTTCTTAAAATCAATTTCATCACTTCCAGTGCTAAGTGATGTGGGATATTCAGAGACCATTAGCAGTAACAGCTTGTAATGGCCATTGATATTCATTCTCTCCAAATGAGCTCATCTTCCTTAAGTTCCTTCAGATGATAAAGTAGAAATATCAAAGTATCTTGCTTTGCCCACCCAAAATTTTGTAATTATGACTAAGCTTAAGTCAGCTTGCTTTAACAAAGCCATGGCTAAAAGATGACTTGCAAAGACTGAGAATCACTTACTTGGGCAGCTTCATAGAAGGAAGACTTCAAAGTTATGCTAATTCGAGGTATTACAGCCTCAAGATAAAAGCCTTCTAATGAGTGAATTTTATAGACATAGAGCATTTCAATGTCAAATCAGTCCTCACTCTTGCTGCACACTTGGGGATGCATATAGTTGTTTCTATATCATCACCTCTTTTACACCTTTTTATATTAAAGAATTTCCCCAATCAATGCTCTCTTACCAGATAAAAAGTAACAAAATGAGAGAAAGGACTTAGTAAATATAGACGTAGTATTCCCTTTCAGAATATATAAAAAGTCAGAGGCAAACAGCTCAAGGAAAGAAATTCATAATTAGTGAAAGTCATTCACTTTTTCCCTCATTCAAGCATTTATTGATATGCTATTATGTAAAAGGTATCAGAGTTCACAGTACGAGCTGCTTATTCCCCAAGATCCATCAAAGGTTCAAGTTACCAAGGTGAAGCAGATATGGATCCAGGCTGTTCTGGAAGAAACTGAGAAGAGGTACTTAGAAAGAACAGAAACCTAGGATGTGTGAGCTGGAGGGGTCAGGGCTGAGAAAGCGAAAGCCACCTCCACCCTCACCCGCACCTTGTGTAACCTGAGGAAAAGTTCACCAAATGTTAAGTATAAAAGGAAAAAAATGCCTTTCCAACCACAGCCTAGAAATATTGGAAGGACAGACAGAAAGGAAGCAATAACTAGAGAAATGTGGAGAAAGACTGACATTGTTAAAGGGAAACCTCTTTCCAGATGGTCTCAAGAAAATTTTAAATATCATAAGACCAAAAAAAAATTTTAAACTATGCTTTCAGATATGCATCTCAGACCACATGTTGAATTGAATGAAAATAGATACCTGTATCCTTTTTGAACAGTGGTTCTTTAAGCTTGTTCCAGGTCTACAGCACAGAATTGGAAATGGGAGATTCCAGGGACCTGGGCAAAGAGGCATTCCCTCTGGAATGTAGTGACAGGATCATTCTGAGTTTGATTCTCAACTCTTAACTTATTTGAGGAATTCTGACACTATACATTTCTGAGGGTGAAAAAAATAGCCCTGCTGAGAAGGTAGCATATGGGGAAAGAATTGTGATTATGCTTTTTTCAAATATGAAAGTGCTTCAGCTGCAACATTCTGGACTCTTGAAATTTTAGTTGATTCTTATAATGTCATGAAAAAGAAACTATACCAGATGAAGCAAGACAAGTTTTAGATGTGTTTGAGGACTTAAAGATCAAGGTAATCTCAAAAGGAATTTGGACTAATTCCAAAAATGCAAGAGAGAAGGAGGGAGGTGAATAGAAAAACATTTAAGGTTTACTTAGGATTCATATGTCTATAAAGCATGCTTTTACCTGTGTGTTTTTTGTCATCATGTTGGGAGATTATGAAATCTTAGCTACCTTTGACTGTTACTCTGAGGTTAGAAAGACATTTTCTACTGTTGTCACTCTGGGCAAGGGTTGACATGGAGAAGGAGGAACAGAGGCAGGAGTTTGATAGGAAGTGTGGGCAAAGTGTAAGAGAATGACCACAACAGTTCATGACCTGCTTTGGTTTTAATCTAGGTCTTAAGTTAATGCTCACCTCAAAAAGCAAAGACTTACTGAAGACAGTAAACATTTTACTGAAGAAGAAGTACACGTGAGAGTCATTGGTTACCTATACTTTCCCACCTTTGGGAGTACGTATATAGAGGGAATCATTTTGGGAATAGGACACAATCATTTATTCTCTCATATGATACCTACTCGTAAGGAGGTTGCCTTCTGGGATAAAGACAGCCAGGAAAGAGACAAATCTAATAGAGGATGATGATAATGATCAGGGTAGAGTTGTGTATAACCTATCTTGGATCCTCTATGTCAGCTGGAGAAGGCAGGAAAGACTCCATTAAGCAGGTGTCATTTGAGTTGCATTTAGAAAGAAGAGTAGGTGTTTTCCAGTTGAGCAAGGTGATGAGTCATTCCAGGCAAAAGGCATAGCATAAGCAAATACCCAGAGGCCCACACACAGAGTATTCAGAGAATTGTAAATTCTTAAATACAGTAGAGTGGGGAGATTTGATGACAAGAGATGCAAGTGAACAGATGGATGAAGCCCAGATTATGAAAATGATGTTATAGAGTTTAGGTTTTATCCTATAGGTGATAGAAAGATATGGAAAACTTTTAGGAGGACAATGACATGTCCAAATTTTCAGCTTTGGAATACTTTTTAGCAATGACTTTGTCAAAGCTAATAGTTTTTCCTTCATATTGATAAGTCAGAATAAGATTTATCTTGTTTGAGCTGTTGAGCTTGGCTTCAACATGTCAAATGTTTCAAGTGTTTCTTAGAAGTTTCTGAATGCAACTGAATAATTTCCTGACCTCTAACCTTGTCCTCTGAAAAATTTCTAGCCTTTCTCTCCTTAGGTAAGTAAATGTAAATAGATATTGATCTCCAGAGGAACAGAAAATTAACCACTGGGAAAAAGCAAATGTATTTTTATATTCTTACCTGCTAGTAAGGGGGACTACTCAGGGGATAATTTGTTTTTCTGATTGCTGTGTTAGAAGTGCTCAACAGAGTGCTTCACACTAGAGTGTCAACACATTAGCTATAGGAGATCTAGCCTAGGTCTTGTTTAATAAGGAGGAAGAAAACTACTACATTTGTCAACAACTCATCTTTATAAAAATCACCACACTGGCAAGTCCCTGGAATTTGTTGTTGTTGCATGAAGTTGCCATACTGGATAAAGAGGAGGAGGTTAAATTAACAATGTCAGCTACTCTTCAATGAAATTTTCAGGTCAGGGAGACTCCCAGGACTATGACTAGTATTCCTGAAACTCGGGAAGTACTGCAGCATGGCCTTGTGTTTCTCAACCACTAGTTATGTTGTGGAACTATTGCCCTGCTCGTGACTTTTCAGAGTGGGAAGCAAAGTGATTTGAGGATTACAAAAGAAAGCCACTCTACTTCTGAGAGGAAGAAATCAAGTGTGACAGCCAGATATAAGTATTCTTAGAAATAGGCTCATATGATTTGTATAGAAGTTATGGAGAGCTGTTAGCAAAGTCTAGTGTTTTTCAATCTCTTTGGGTTAAATGTAAAAACTTTCTTCCCTCGAGGACGAATAAAAGTCTTCCTACATTACATCGGAGTTAATTTGGGAATTGTGCATCTTCTTCCAGAGAGAGATAAGATTGTCATTGTCTTTACAATCTTAGTGGTTCTTGAGCTTTGGAGTTGAGTCCGAAAGTGGCAACATGAAAAAAAAAATCATCAGTCTAGGGATCAGAAAACCAATTTCAGTTCTGGTTATGCCACACATAAGTGGTCTTATGGGGCCATTGGGTTTCAATTGAACTTAGGATTTTGATTTAAAAAATTGGGACATTACCACTCCTGTTAGATTGTTTCTTCTGGATGATGCTTTGTGAATCCAGGACAACGCAAAAGCATCAATCTAATATTTTAATACAGCTATATAAATATAAGCATCAGTAACAGTGATGGCCAAAGAGAGCACTGTTAAGACGGTATCTCTTTAGAAGAGGAAATAAGGTCATGAAATCAATATTATGATCATGGAGGGCCTGAGTGAATGGTAGAAGGGAGAAGAAATTGGAAGGTTTAAATTCTCTTCTTAACAGCTGAGATTCTGGCAGAAGATAGTTATGAGGCTTTCTAACTTAATAAAAGTACAACTGTGATGTAGTAATAGAAGCTAATTTTATAGATTGGCCTTGAATTTTAATGATTCACCAAAGAAATTAAACATACTTCAGTTAAGAGGCTAATGTTTGAAGCTCCACATCAAATTGAGTACTGCATCCACTTTTCTGGTGATCAGTATCTGTCTGGCCCAGGTGACACCAATCATAGCTATTCCTTAATGTGTAGCACCAGAACATCAGCATAAGGACATTAGACTGGGTGAGAAGAACCATGTAGGTAGTTTGGGAAGAAAAATCACACAATTTAGGACCCATTAAACTTAGTACATGCAAATCAAGGCATATTTTTTTCCTTGCCAACACAAGCTTGCTCTCCTGACATTTCTTCTAGGCGTGTAAATGCGCAATTATTTCTGACCTTATATCTTCCTCCTTGCTTCATCAAGCAAAGTTATCAAGACCCAGTATTTTTTGCTGCAGATCCTTTTTGCATTCTTCCCCCCAAAGAGAGAAGATGCAAAGGCCCCCAAGGACTCAGAATGCTATCAACAGTGATCAAGACTCGAGGGCCAGATGCGGTGGCTCACACCTGTAATCCCAACACTTTGGGAGGCCGAGATGGGTGGATAACCTGAGGTCAGGAGTTTGAGACCAGCGTGACCAATACAGTGAAACTCCGTCTCTACTAAAAATACCAAAATTAGCAGGATGTGGGGGCTTGCACCTGTAGTCCCAGCTACTTGGGAGGCTGAGACAGGAGATTCACTTGAACCTGGGAGGTGGAGGTTGCAGTGAGCTGAGATCACGCCACTGCACTCCAGCCCGGGTGACAGAGCAAGACTCCGTCTCAAAAAAAAAAAAAAAGAAAGAAAGAAAGAAAGAAAAATAAAGACTTGAGGTCCAGATGCAGACAGCCCCTGGTGGACTGTATGGCATTCAGTAGACCAATGAAATAAGTTTAGAGACTACTTGCAAATTCTTATCTCCACTGAGAGCTCCTGATAGTCATCCTGGCAATCACAGCCTGGCAATGACTTTTTTAGCCTCCTTCCACACAAGAATATGTTCTTTTTATCTTACCTCCCTACTTGCCTCTTGACTTGAAGAGCTCAGACTCTCCATCAACAGAATAAATCCTTTCACTCCTGCTTGTTGAGCTTCTCCAAAAGCCGTGGCAGTTTTGCCAGCAAAAGTGGTTCTGTCTGTAACTCCACTCTTACTTCAAAGGGCTGGGAGAAGGTCAGCTAGATTGTTCTCCATTCTCACTTTATAGTGCTCCTTCTCATTCTAGTTTCCTGGCTTCCTTCTCCTTTCCTTCCCTCAGCCCATCATCAAAACCATGCCTGGTTTCCTATGCAAACAATTTGGGTTGAGATAAAGGTAATACCAATGATAGAACTATGGTAAGTGTTTTCCCAGAATTTGAAGGGTTAAAAATCAAGATATGTGATTCCCAACTGCAAAAACCACTAAACCCAAATCTAAATACATGTAAAGTGTTTAACTGAATATTTCTTCCTCCAGGAGAAATCCCTAGTGCTTAAAGATGAGGGTCTCTTTCATCCCATAGTTTGCTTCTGTTTTCCTCCTAGCCAGGCACCAGCCCTTTCTATTTAGCTATTGCTTTTCTACCTAAGGACACAAGAAAAATAAAGAATGCGGTTAGCATGCTTCTCATAAAAATACTAATGTCAAGCTTTGCACATTTTCCAGTTTTTGACTAGTAGTATAATAACTTAAAAAATACTGTAGCAGGTCACTGAAATCGACAGTGGCCCCCCTTGCCCCAGAATGGATTCTGATTGCCCTGCTAGCCTTCCTTTTACCAAATTCCCTTTTAAAAACTTTGATGTAGCACAGACAGAGCTTCTGTGACATGTAATATAGATTAAAAGCAAGAAAATTTCATCAACAGAGCATTAAACTTAAATATCTAAATGCCAAAGGGCTGGAAATTCAACCTAATTAAAATGGCTAAACACAGAGTCACAATTAAACAGTGAGAGAATTATGGAAAAGTAAATATTTACACACACATTGTACACTTATTAGGGTTTACAAAGAAATGCTTCTCATCTGCACAGCTTTCCTTTGTAATGATATTGTTATGAGGCAATAAATGTGGTTATAATTAATAACAGATGTTAAATGGCATAATTCATCCAGAAATCTCACTAATTACTGCAGAAGCACCAGACGAATGCACAGCATCATGGGAGGTATTTCTTATCTGTTAGTTTGTAAACTGAAAAAAATGAAAGAAATACTTAAAATAAAGCTGTAGTTATTTAAATGAAAACTTTAAAGTTACAACAGGCTTCCCCGGAGTTCATGTTTCATTCAGGGAAAACAAGGTGGCCTAAATGAGTTTGCGCTAACTTGGCCACTATAGTGGTAATCATTTTCTAAATTAGTTTAGGGAGAATGTTCCATAATTTAAACTGCATTACTTGTTGTCTTTAGAATGATGCTTACCATCAGATATTTCATTTTTCTACAGTCCAGTGCTTCTCTCCTTACAAGGGCACTGGGACAAATAAGGAGGAAGGCAGACAGGGTACAATGTCATGTAAAGTAATTTTATTTTATACAGATCATACAGAGAAGAGGTGGAAAGTATAAACACTTAAAGTAATTTTCCATAATAAATTTGGGAAGGCTGATTAGAAAAATTAAAATCAAGAGGCATCTTTTGTTATCTTCACAAAAGCTCAAAACCCAGGAGTCACTGTGAAACTCCCCATGCCCTTCACAGTCAACTCTCACTTGACTCTAATGTTGTTCAATTGTTTCCTCCACTTCCATGTTGTCTCAATGGTGGTGCCCTTTGAAATGTTTGTGGTTGACCTGCACCATATTTTACAAAGCCTTCCTTCTTGGATTTAATTCCTATTGGTCTTCAAAACAAAAGAGTTTTATTTACATCTTGATTTAAATAAAGTCAGGATGCTGGAGTAAAAACACCACAAATTTCCAAGGTTTTTGGTTGTACAAACACACATCTTTGCATGCACACATACACACACAAAGACAAGGAGAGAGAGAGGGCAGAGAGAGAGAGAGAGAGAGAGCAGGATGGATATTTGAGCAGAAACAGAGAACGAGAGACAAAAACTACCTTTAGTTTTGTATGAAATAGAAACCATTATACCAGACCTCTGGTATAATGCTTAATTGTTCCTTTTCCTTGTGGAAAGCCTGGTGGCCAGGTTATTTATTTATTTTTTAAGTGCCTCTGAGTGAGACAACCTTGAGTCTCTTGTTTTGATTTTTTTGGAGAATAGTTTTCCCATAAAATAGAAACTTGGCAATAAAAATCAATGTATACCCATCAATATAATCATTGGAGTCAAGGGAGATTTTTTTTCCATATTATCTTTTGGAACAATCTGAAAAGAAATCTGCTTAGGAAAAAGGCCAGGACAGTTTATTCTAGTGACAGAGAGAATGGACTAGACTGGTGCTTCCCAAACCTCAGTGCACATATGCACTACCTGGGGATCTTCTTAAAGGACAGATTCTGACTCAGGAGGCCTGCAGTGGATCTGCCATCCTACATATCTAATAAACTCCCAGATTCTGCTGCTGCTGCCTGTGGACACTGCGAGCAGTGAGGACCCAGAGGGCTGCTGACAGTCTCATCTAAATCTGGTATCCTTACACAATAGCGCTTGAGTTATCAGTTGCAGAGTCCTGAAAAAGGAAGCAAAGTGAAAGTTCATATTGAGCCTTAAATTAGAAAGCTGGAAGGGTACTTAAGGGGAATTCTGATTTATTCCTTATCACATGATGTTCTATCGTATCACAGATAAACTATTCCAGATGGCTGAATAAGTATGTGTTTGTAACAGTCGCCTTTGAAGATAGCCTGCAACATTGCTTGGTAGTTAATTCAGTTTTTAATGACCTCAAAAATATTTAGCAAAAGTTTCCTTTGCTGTATCATCAGTTAATTCTTTATGTACAGACTTCCATTTAGACAGAAAATTCCTCTAAATGATACCCCTTTATAAACTAAAAAACTATTCATTAATATGTAATCTCTCAGTTTCCATTCTTTACACTAAGCTATCTCAGATGGTTTAGACTTTTCTCAATGGGACATTTTCCAAGCCTTTAATCATCTGGGTAATCTTATCCAAGTGATGTCATTCCCCTTAGAGAGTAATTTATTCTACCTTCAGTTAAAAAACATCCATCCTCTTTGTTTTCATTCTTTCAATCCCTAAAGGCCTACTTCTTTTCAAGAATTTCTATATCATCACTGTAAAGGATCATTATCATCTCCTTAAGATCTTATGGTGAATAACCTCCAAAATCTCAGTCTTGTTAAGTCATTCAGTCGCAACACAACTGAACTGAACACAAGGAAGAGATCATAATTAGTAGACAAATTGTCACCATGTTGCACCCTGATGTTTATGCATTTTGGTGTTTTGCCCCTGATAATCTAATTGTTTTCTAAGTATTTCCCAAACTACTGATATATAAGACACATGGATTCAGCCAAAACATACATTGGAAAAAACCCGAATAATTTCTTATATTTCACTTTGTATTACAACACAAAAACCTAGTATTTATTAGGCAAGTTAACATTATTGAGTAAAAGCTTCCTTCTTTTTTTTTTTTTTTTTTTTTTTGTTTTTGAGACAAGGCTCTTGCTCTGTCGCCCAGGCTGGAGTACAGTGGCGCCATCTTGGCTCACTGCAAGCTCCGCCTCCTGGGTTCACGCCATTCGCCTGCCTCAGCCTCCCGAGTAGCTGGGTCTACAGGCGCCCGCCACCACACCCAGCTAAATTTTTGTATTTTTAGTAGAGACGGGGTTTCACCATGTTAGCCAGGATGGTCTTGATCTCCTGATCTGATGATCCGCCTGCCTTGACCTCCCAAAGTGCTGGAATTACAAGTATGAGCCACTGAGCCTGGCCAGAAGCTTCCTTCTTTTTAAAGCAGGGATGATAATAGAGATTCATACAGATTAAATTAGATTATATGTATTACATATATATGGATTATATTAGGTACTGCATATATAGAGATTATATATAAACATGCCTAGCACACATTGGTCATTCAATAAACAATTACTTCATTTTTCTGCAAGTAATGAAACTTACCAATCAGACCATGACTAGTACTTAGGATAGCATTTTTCACATAGCAAGCAGTTGATAAATATGTTGAATGAATGTATCAAAATAGAGGTCTAATCAGGCTGAGAATCTGAACAAAGAAAAATCATTTGAGTTGGTTAAGTCCCACTTTCATTATATGGATAAATTCACATCAATTCCTCAGACTTAGCTTTTAAAGGTTTCATTCCCAGGGTTAAGCAACATAATAAAAACCAGATACCAGATTTAGATGAGACTAGTGTCTATCTAGGTCATTAGAATCGTTTTGGTATAAATGGCCATAGAAAAAGGGCTCAGAGTTTTTTAGAGGAAAGATATCTAAATGAATTATATTACATAAGGATTATATTAATTTGCTGAAAGCCTTTACTTAGATAGGCAAGACTGTGACCATTTACCTATAGGGAATGTGTCAAAATAATATTAAATATCACAGTTAACTGACACGTTAGGGCCAAGACTCATGAAGAAGGTGATAAGGAGCAAACTTGAGCTCTCAGTGCCATATAGACTTCTATCTCTAAAAGAAAGGGTGTATTTTGGCATAGTCACTGATTATTGGGGTAATTTTTGATGTTTTAGGTTACTTAAAGCTGTATTTTCTCATCTATATGAACGAAAATTAAATTTTATCAACATATATATGTTAAATAACGAAGCACTTTATTAAAGCCTTTGTCACAGTGTCTAATAAATTTTAACTGTTTTTCACAGACACTCACTGTTGATGTAGGTATCCTTTTTTTTTTTTTCTTTCGAGTTGGAGTCTCGCTCTGTCACCCAGGCTGGAGTGCAATGGCACAATCTCGGCTGACTGCAACCTCTGCCTCCTGGGTTCAAGCAATTCTCCTGTCTCAGCCTCCCAAGTAGCTGGGACTACAGGTGCCTGCCACCAAGCCCGGCTAATTTTTGTATTTTTAGTAGAGAGGGGGTTTCAGCTTGTTGGTGAGGCTGGTCTCCAACTCCTGACCTCAGGTGATCCACCCGCCTTGGCCTCCCAAAGTGCTAGGATTATAGGCGTGAGCCACCGTGCCCAGCCGATGTGGGTATCCTTTTAAAAAAGAAATTAGAACTCTTGACCTCTACATCTGGAATGATTTGATACATCCAATTATGCTTATATCTAAAATGTTAAAAATTGATTATATCTGTGGCTTCAAATTGAGTGATTTATGACATTTATTTTCATGTGATATTATTTCTAGATTTTAATAATAAAAAGCCTAAATCATTACATGATTATACATTAGCATTTGTAGTTATAACTGACATAAAATATTTCCCCTATAAAGGAGCATAACTTCATTATTAATCAAGTAACCTTAGTAGTGATGACAAAAATCTATTAAAACTACTAAAACAAAATTTAAGGCAACATATGACAATGTAGAAATCAAAGACAATATTTACTGCCAAATTCAAACAGATTTAAGATTTTAAAGCAAATTTGGGGCTGGGCATAGTGGCTGACGCCTGTAATCCTAGCGCTTTGGGAGGCCAAGATGGATGGATGGCTTTAGGTCAGGAGTTCGAGACCAGCCTGGCCAACATGGCAAAATCCCATCTCTACTAAAAATACAAAAATTAGCTGAGTGGGATGGTGCATGCCTGTAATCCCAGCTACTCAGGAGGCTGAGGCAGGAGAATCCCTTGAACCCAGGAAGTGGAGGTTGCAGTTAGCTGAAATCACGCCACTGCACTCCAGCTTGGGCTACAAAGTAAGAGTCTGTCTTAAAAAAAAAAAAAAGAAAAAATTTGAGACAGTCTTTGTCATAAATTTGGCATTAACAAATCTGTTGGTAAATTATTTTAATTAATGTTTTAAAACTGAACATACGCATGATTTAAAGGCAAGTAAGTAAAGTAAGTAGTTTCATGTTAGGAAAAATAACAAGCCCTCCAACCAACCCTTTTCCCCAAATTCCCACTCTCCAGAAACACTTTAAATTCTTTATTATTTTGCTATTTATCTTCATATCTTTAAGTAATTAGCATATCATACTACAGTTGAACCTTGAACAACACAGTTTTCGATTGTGTGGGCCCACTTATAATTTTTTTTTTTTTTTTTTGAGACAGGGTCTCACTCTGTTACCCATGCTGGACTGCAGTGGCGCAATCTCAGCTCACTACAACCTCCACCTCCTGGGTTCATGCAATTTTCCTGCCTCAGCCTCCCGTGTAGCTGGGACTACAGGCCAGGCCACCACACCCAGCTAATTTTTGTATTTTTAATAGAGATGGGGTTTCATCATGTCAGCCAGGCTGGTCTCAAACTCCTGACCGCAGGTGAACCACCCACCTTGGCCTCCCAAAGTGCTGGCAGTACAGGTGTGAGCCATGACGCCAGGCCAAGGGTCCACTTACACTTATTTCTACACACCTCAAACATGTACTTTCTTCATCCCCCTTCATCCCAATAGAATAATGTCATAATTTTTGCTAGATCAGTACCCATTACTTACATTATTATGACTATGTAAATGTTATGCATAGTTGAACCACGTAGTATAATTACTCTTATACTTTTACACAAGGTATATTTTTTATATCTTGGTGTTATTTTGTTCTTTGCTTATTTTTCCTGAAGATAATAATCTTTAAAAAAATTTGCTTAGATCTCTAAACACATCACTTCTACCCAAATACTCCTCCAGTGAAAAAATCTCTCAATCTGTTCAAACTCCTTGGGTATCTAGTCAATATCATCTGTTTAAAGAAACTCTCCAAAAGCCTTTTGATTAACTTGCTTGTACTGGCTGCCTTCTAGATTTGGCATATATTAAATAGTACTCATCTTGAGAGTTTACTTCCTCCTTTTTCAGGGCACTGCATTTGTCCATGTCTTATGTTACATCTCTTGTTTTTTGGACCTCATATGGCCATTGCTTGGGGTTTACTCACTTGTCTTGCAGGGTACATATATTCCAAACTTCAATAACTTTTTGGAAGGTAAATTTTTAAGACTTTACTTGTCACAACATGAATTGATTCTACCTTTATGGTTGAGAGTTCATCTTTATGGTTAATTAATTGATAGACCCCTAAATCAAAAATCATTTTTCCTCAAAATTTTGAAAGTATTGCTCTATTACTTTCTACTGGCCAATAATGGGTTGAGAGGTCTAAAGCCAGTCTGCTGCTTCTTTCTTCTATGACATCTAATTTTTTTTCTCTCTGCAATGCATTTGGCTCTTCATTTATTCACCATATTTTTGAAATTTTACAATAATACTCCTTGGTATGGCAGTAATCTATTTTTAGGTCACTGCCTAGCCTCATTCCATCTGGAAACTTACAGTATTCAGTTCTGGGGAATTACCTTAAATAATTGATTTAATGATTTTCTACATTTCATTGTCTCTATTCTCTCTTTTAGAATTCCTGTTATTTAGCTATAGGAATTTATAGAATAGTCATCTAACTTTCTCATTTACTTTTTATCATTTTTGTTAGTTTTCTAGGAGATTCTTCATTTTGTCTTCCTAATCTTCTTTTGAGGTTTCATTTCTGCTATTTTAACTTCTGCATGTTTTCTTGTCCTCTGAATTATTCTTAAAAATCGCCTTTCATTCCAATTCTACAATTGTAATATCTTCTCTTACGTCCATAATAGTATTAATAATAGGTTTCTTTGTTGATTTTAGTTTCATTCTCCCTGTATATTTTCTGTTTCCTTCAGATTGTTCTAGTCAGCTTATTTTGATTTCTGCCTTTTATATCAGATAATGTCCTTGAATGTTTGGTGATCCTTTACAGTCTGCTCCTATCAAAGAGGAGGGCACTAAGAGGCTGATTGAAAGTTTTGCCTTCATAGTAAAGCCTTGTGGACTGTGGATTTCACTGTATGGTGCTATGATTAAGCCATTTTGTTAGACAAATCCCAGTATCAGTAACATTTACTTAATCTCCCTGTTTCGTATGAAACCTTATCCCCTGCTGTTTCCCAGCCCAGAGAGCCTATGTTTCACTTCTCCAGAAAATAAACCTCTCATCCACAGCCCTCGTCGGGGAAGAGAACCTTGGGATTTCCTTCATCTTACATATTCTTTCAACTCACCCTCTTTTTTTTTAAAGCTCTACTTCACCTCCCACATCCAGAGTTACTTGGCATCACCAATGCCTGAGAATACTAAGGATTCTTTGGAGTAAATCAAGTTGTTGTTTCCCCTTTCCTCACTCTCAGTTTAGCATTTCACTTTTTCAGGTCTGCTGCATTCAATTGCTTTATCCATCTGCATTTTATCTTTAACCACGTGATGGTTTGTCTCTTCTCTTTTTGCTTTGTCTTTGTAGGTTTACGTTTTCAAAGACATATATATTTACTGATGTTTTAGTGGAGGGTTAGGAAGGACTGAAAGGAAATGCTTATGTTCAACCTACCACCTTTAATTGGACGTCTATAAATAGTTGGTAACTATATATTAAAATGAGACTTTATTAAACCTCCCCTGTTCTACAGTCAAGAAGATACAACTGCTTTTTGTTTTTATTCTTAATTTTGTTGTATTGTAATTGGACATTTTATGGTGTTATTCTATGTGGGAAAAAAATTTGTGCTAATGGTTACCGTACTGCCCAATAAAGTTTCCATATTTCCCAAGCTTTCTGAATTGTCACTCAATAAATGGTTACAAATACCTCTTGAGAGTCTGAATTCTCTTAAACCCAGACTTTCTATTACAAAACTAATCACAAGGAAATTCAGTTGGTCCTTCCTAGGCACAGTGATGAAACTTAGTTGGTTTTTAACTATCAAGAACTGCCCTAGTATGGAATATTCTTTGCTTTATAAAGTTAGAACAGCCCTAGAAAATAAGCAATATTCCAACTTCTTAGAGAAGATCATGAGACAGATCTTTATTTAAGAAGAAAAGGACTCTGACAAATGCTTTCACTGTGTCAAGTTGGTCTCTCTGAATGGCTTCCTTGGGACCCTGCATGTTTGAGGAGTGAATATGAGGAGATCCTACTTTGTCTTGAAGTGTCACTGTTTATAACTATCCAGTGGCATCAGGTCCTGTTATAGTTTGCTGAAAGGTCCACAGGTAAACATTAAAAAAAAAAATTGATTGACTTTCTGCTGTACTGCAATTCATGAAGCATCTTGAAGCTGACTGATTTCCAGGCTTGTACTATAGGTTTGGGGGTGGGTTTTTTTTCTTCCAGTTCTATTTAGCACTGCTTGTTTTCCTCCTGATCCATATTCTACATATCTACTTAGTTTACCAACATCTCAAGTGTGGTTTCACAGATCCGTCAAAATTTACAGTAAATTAGAAAGGTAATGTTTCCAAGAAGATTTAAAATTACTGGTAGTAAAATAATGACCACAACCCAGATTGGACCCTCTGGAGAAGGCTGAGGTTTGCTTTTCCTGAAATGGTCAATTTTAGATTGCAATTGAGGCAGCTTCTTGAGTGATGAGTGAGTCAAGGAGAAGGAGTTTAACAAGCCCATATGATTCAAGTTATGTAATCTCACCTTCCTGGTATAGATCCATCATGTTTTCTGCAAAGTTATTTTTATGTCTTTTTTTCCCTAAGCACTACAATATACAAAACCACACAAACACTGTAGTGGTTGTTTTGTTGTTGACGTTGTTATTTACAATTAAGCATTGTTAAAGTAAACCTGCTGTCTTGTAAAGGCGATGTGAGAAAATGTTCAAGGTATCAATTTTAGAGGTTTAATGAGCTCAGTGTTAAAGATGTAAAGGCCCCTCCTTTCTCCTTTCCATTTTCTTTAAAAACTAAACTATTCCTCCATTTTCAATATATCCAAAGTAAGGTCACACACTGCCCTCAGTTAAAAAGGCAGCATGCTTTAAGTGGATGTCAATGATTGGTTAATTTACAATGAGGCTGAGAGAAGAAAGAAAACAAGGTTGGGGTAAGGGCTGTAGTCCAAATTTGCCAGTTTCCCAGGTGAGTGCTCTATTTGAATTAAAATATTGGTTTTGCTAGCTCAAGTCAACAGAGACTTCTTTCCCCACAATTCCACACAGTACATAAAGAACAAACCTCAAAGCAATTCAGTGGGCACATATTTGGTAGTTGAAGTACTCTATCTTGCAAAGCACATTAAAAGAGAAATAAAATCCTTACTGCATTCAGACAAGGCTCCTTCCCAGCTGAATATAATGTGACCACAACATGGAGTACACAAACTAGTTACAGGTGAACCTCAAAAGGCTGGCCTGTTAGGTCAGCATATACTCATTTAACTAGTCTGTCTCCATGATTTCTGAAACTGGATTGACTCTTCAATAAACTAAAGGCTGAGCATCAAATTAATGTGAAATGCCTCTTGAAATTTAGCTGTACTTCACCAAATTTGAAGCTGAATTAATAAAAGAGGGTATAACCTTTAGTTTTCCTTATAATAAAACTTATTTATGAACTTTCCAAATTTGATATGGGGAAAAATGCACATCAAGAAGTTTTCCATTGCTCCCTCATAAATAGTATTGCCCTATAACAATTTTTATGTGCAAAATTATGCATAAAGTTATTTGTTTCTAAACATTTGATGCAAAATTTGCCTTAGTGTATATTCAAAACATTGATCAAAATTTCTCCGTACTCATTCTGAAAGAAAAAACTCCAGACATAAACAGTGAGTAGAGTTTTAGCTTAATTAGATGCATATGTCCAGCTTTTTTCTCTGTCTAAATCCTAAGAATATTTCCAGGTTTGGATTTACAAAATTAATATATTTACAAGCACAAAATATAAAGTCAGGCTTGCTTTAATATTGGAGTAGCTTAGAACAACTTGGCGGGGTAGACAATTTCCCAAATGTTTCCAGATCACCAGTTTTTTCACATATGCCCACTGGGTGGGAGGTAAGAATACAACACTGACCTAGACATGGTTTCCAATATCTCAATGAGCACACTGGAAGGAGGCAAAGGATTGGTCCAAACAAGAAGCTACTCCCAGTTCTGAGGCCAGTATCTGGAAAAGCACATGAATAACAGATACTTTTTTTCTGTCTCTCTCCTGGAAGTAGATACAGTCAGTTGAGGCCAGCATGGAAGAAAAACTCAGTCGGGACCTTTAACCCATGAGAATGAGAAAAATCATGTACAAATTCTCTCCTCAAATCATCTAGTAATGCTTTATGAGACCAGTGATGTACAGCATTAACCTTCAAGAAACTCAAGGCAGAGCGCAGAAGAATGCTGAAAAGGTCAGACCTTCCACCATAATTACTACCAAAAATTCAGAGGACACTTTCAGTATTAAAATTTCCCAATTATTCACACTTATAAAAACACCAAACAGCATTAAAGAGGGAAATGACTTTCTCTTCCAGTTTTAGTTAATTGGGCAAAGCTAGTTGTGCTTGTTAGCAAACAAACAGATTACACTCATTGCATTATTTTTCTGCCATGAATTTTAAGTACAACTGTGGCAAGAGAGGTTTTACTTGGTTTAAGGATTATGAAAGCCTATACATTTATTTGAAGACACAAAAACAGAAATCTAAGACAAAAGCTTTGGAAACCACTGAGATTTTCTAACCAGATATATATTCATTGTACAGTGTTTGGAGTCATGTGGGTTGAAGTGGTTTTGTTTTAATGAACTTTTCCCAATTCTTATTTAGAAAACCTCTCATTTACAAGACTCCCTGATATCAGCTTGAATTCTCTTCCACCTCTTTGTCTAGTGCTCTCTGGAAACTGGACTTGCTTCTGCAAAGTGCTGTAAAATTGTGTCCAAGGTTTAATATTAGATTGCATTTTCCACACACCGAAGACACAAGCAGTGGGAATGTAATTTATATCACTGATATCCAAGGAATGGCAAAGAGTATATCTGCTTGACTACCTGGATCCCTGTGGACCATGGTATATTTTAAAGCAGGAGAAGCTTAGACCAGGATTACATAGTTATCATGACCTGTGAGGCAATTTGGGTTTTTCCAGTGATAGGGACAAGTAGGGGTAAAAAAACATGTATTTTGATTGCAATTTAAAGAACAACTAGATTTCATATGAAGAAAAAAGCTTTCTATGCCTGCAGCTCTGCCCCCATGAACTTTCCTGCTTACCAGAATTACTGGAATTGCCCAATAAGTCTTTTATTTAGTCATTCTTCTAAATAACATTTATTAACCATTTTCTCTGCCCATGGCATGCTACCACAATGCTACAATAAATAAATAGGTATATATCTATGTATGTATGAACATATATACATATTTCTTTCTTTGAAGGTAAATACTACATATATACATACACATCCATACAAATAAATTAAAACCCATTGGAGGTGGGTATCTACCCATAATACACTCTGTCATACAAGACAAGACAAAACCAAACTAAACCAAAGTGATACAGTTATATTAAAAAGCACGAGGGGAGCCTGGGGCATGGGTAGAAAAATTCCACTGAGGGCATTCAGAGGGGCTTCCTAGAGGAGATAGATAAAATTTTGGCTGAATAGCATTTTGAAAGGTGGAAGTGTAGATAAAAGATGTTAAGCAGCTAACACGCTGCAATTAAATATGAAGGCCACACTTTCCCCAGGAGAGTTCTTCTGTACTTCCCTCAAAATGATCATCAACTAGACTAGCTCATGAAATACTGCCATGGTTGTCATCTCTAAAAACATTACTGCTCACATATGCAAAGGTAAGAAACCAGAATTACAGTACTTGCTATTTATAAAATATAAGAGCAATTCTTATCAGATTGGTGCTACAAGAAGAAAAATTTAATATTTGTACTGTTTATATAGAGATTTATCTCTGAGACGCTCCTCTCATATACATTATTTCCTGGTATAATCTAATATTTACTAGGAATCTTCCTCATGTTCAATACTTTTTAGAACTATAATAAACAATCCAATTCAATTTAAAAAATAATAATGTTTTCCTCCAAATTCTAATAATCCTGTGATACAATCTGTCCCCAGTTGTGGTTACATGTAGTAATTTCCCTTCCTTTTCAATTTCTTTGTCAAGTTATTTTCTTTGTCCCATTAATTTTTTTTATATGTAGTCTTTTGGTTCAAAGGGGTCACAAGAGGTTGGTCGGGTTCTTTAGAATTCATACTTTCATGATATATTTTCAATTTATTTATTTAATGTTCCAGACATTAGTCTTCTGCAATATTATATAAAACAACTAATGGATGTCATTGCTGACTGGGTCAGGTGTTTCATTTGTACATTTAAACTTAGCTGTAATAAATCTTATGTGGGTCTATTTGACTTTCTTGGTGGTAGAGGGGCAAGGCAGGTATGAGGGAGGTAGTGCTGCACATACATATTAAAGCTATCTCAAATAGCAACCCTCTTTTCTAAAGTAAATTTCTTTCCAAGCAGATGGGCCCTTCTTTTGAAATAAATATTTAATTGCCATAAGCATTTGCATTTATAAGATTGGGGTAGATTTTAGTAATGATAATATCTGGATTTTACTATCAGTCTTTTGCAAGTGTGGGTAGAAAATATTCATATATCCAATGTAATAAAAGCTGTATATTTTTTCTTAATGATTAATGTACAAGCATATGGTTCCTCAGCTTCCCCTTCCCAGGAGCATCCTAATTGCTTCATAAAAAGTTATTCCTCTTGCACTTTCTATATGGTCTTGGGGGTTGAGTGTTAGCCAGGCTAACCTTCCATTATGGCTTCCTGTCCTGATAATGATACCCAGAGGATGAATTGACCTAAACATAAAATTTTAGATTGTATCACACACTCTGCATCTAGGGTGTGTGATACATAGGTAGAGAGGATGGTCAAATCACTGTCGTGACAGTGGTACTGATGATGATGGTGGTGGCAGTGTCAATGGGAAGGGTGGTGGCTGTTACTTCATCTCACCATGTGAACCTGCAGTGTAAACTTAGCTGTTGTTCTGTTTGGATAACCACCCTTGTTTCCCACAGATTTTAAAATTTTGGTTTCTTGGTCTTTTACTAATTCTGTGGGTCCTAATATATTTACCATATGTCCCTTTAAATTTTGATTTTTTACTTCAATAACCAAGGATAGTTTGGGTGGCTTGCAACCACCCTGCAAGAAACCAGATAGATATGGAGATATCATTCTGAGAGCAAATCCACAGGAAATGGGGTTGATATCAAGGTCTTACTGAGTGGTTAGGAGGATTAAAACTTCAACCCTGTTGGAAGCACAATATGAAACACAATCCACTTTTAGTCATTTGATTTAAAATAAGAAGGCCCTTAAAGTGAGTATGGAATACATAATAGTTTTATACTTGTTATTTTCCTTGTTTCTATAATTATGCTGTCGCATATGATAGAACTCTTCATTTTTAGGAAGTATACACTGAAATATTTAAGAGTAAAATGGATCATGACTGCAAATTACTCTTAAATAGTTTAGAAAACAAGTAAAGATAGATGAGAAAGCAAGAAAGAAAGAGAGAAAGCAAATGTAGTAAAATGTTAACATTTGAAGATATGGGTGATGGGTATCAACAGCTAAGATTTCTTTGCATTATTCTTGCAAATTTTCTACAAGTTTGTCAAAAATAAAAACATTTAAGTCTTAAAGTTATGGTGTTTTCCAGGTTCATTTAATCTACCCTTCCTTTCTCATAATTGAGGAAACATATTTGAGAAGTTAAGCAAGTTGCTCAACATCACATTGCTTGACAATAATAAAGTCTCTCTCCAATAAAGATGTGAAAACAATGCAGAGACCACGGAGTAGAGGGTCTCATTGAGGTTCCAGTTGAAGAGATAAGAGGGGTCAGGTCCATTCTATAATAGAAAGGTAGGGAAAGTTGGATTGAGGGAGGATCCATTATAGAGAGACAGAACCTTGAGAGTTTTACAAGAAGAGCTGGAAGATGGGGGTAGGGCTGGCAAGTATCATGGAGAGAGATACAGCTGAGAAGGATACCAACGTATACAGTATTTTTAAGGGAAAAGTTACTTGTCCTTGCAAATGGACTCATTGGTGGCCCTGCATCCTGGATAGAAGGAAGGTGCAGATGCCTATTTCACATTTACAGACATGAGGGCTCATAATAGAGATCTTATAGCCTTGGACAAGTTACTTCGCTTCTCTGATCTCAGTTTTCTCATCAGTAAAACAGATATAACAGGACCTCATGGGTTTTAGGGGAGATGAAATGAGTCATTACAGGTAAAGTGCTTAAACAATGCCTGGCATACACTAAGTGCCCAGTACTTATTAGCTATTTGCTCTAGGGGTAGGGCTTAGATATATATGCCTGTCTTGTTTCTTTTATGTAGTTTTATTTAAAGTATACACTTGTATCACTCTATGCAGATGAAGAAGAGTGAGCACTGGAAATTTTGACTAAGCCAAAAAGTTCCAGAAAAGGGCTGCACTATAACCTGACTTGTAAGAATTGATCAGTTCTAATGGGCACACACAATGACCAGGGTATTGCAAGAAGATGGCTTGACCAAAAAGATTCAGGAAGAAAACTGAATATGCACAGCTTAATCTCTTATCTCCTGGGATGTGCTGTCTCTGAATGACCTTATAAATTATAAAATAATGGTAATGAGACATTTTGAAATAAACTAATATGGAAGGCCTATGTTTCAACCAAATTCTAGGTTCTGAGCATTTACTGGTGAGAAAGAATGCCTACATAGCACTTACACTCTATTTAAAGAGGCAGATTATAGTAAGCAAAATTGTAATATGGTTATAATTGTGTACCAGTATGTCATGTAGCAATAAATTATATTATAAATGAAAGAACAGGATAAAAAAATCAAAGGTGACAGAAGGATGGTTTTGTAGATAGGGTGATCAGAGAAGGCCTCTCAGAAGAGCTGACATTTGAGCAGACCTGAAAGAAGTGAGGGGTGAGCCATACGAAGTTTTAATGGAAGAATATTCCAGTGAGAAGAAAGAGCAAGTGGGGATAACCTTGGTGTATTTGCCAAAGACACGAAAACCATATGGTTCCCAGGCAATAAGGAAGGAAAGGAGCTTGAAGAATGGGTTGGAAAGATAGAACAGATTGCCTCCTCAAGTGGGTCCCTGACCCCCGTGTAGCCTAACTGGGAGACACCTCCCAGTAGGGGTTGACTGATGCCTCATACAGGTGGGTGCCCCTGTGGGATGAAGCTTCCAGAGGAAGGATCAGACAGCATCTGCTGTTCTGGAATATTTGCTGTTCTGCAGCCTCTGCTGGTGATACCCAGGAAACACGGTCTGGAGTGGACCTCCAGCAAACTCCAACAGACCTGCAGCTGAGGGACCTGACTGGTAGAAGGAAAACTAACAAACAGAAAGGAATAGCATCAACACCAACAGAAAGAACATCCACACCAAAACCCCATCTGTAGCTCACCAACATCAAAGACCAAAGGTAGATAAAACCACAAAGATGGGGAGAAACATGAGCAGAAAAGCTGAAAATTCTAAAAACCAGACAGCTTCTTCTCCTCCAAAGGATCGCAGCACCTCGCCAGCAACAGAACAAAACTGGATGGACAATGACTTTGACAAGCTGACAGAAGTAGACTTCAGAAGGTCAGTAATAACAAACTTCTTCAAGCTAAAGGAGGATGTTCAAACCCATCGCAAGGAAGCTAAAAACCTTGAAAAAAGATTGGACGCATGGCTAACTACAATAAACAGTGTAGAGAAGACCTTAAATGACCTGATAGAGCTGAAAACCATGGCACAAGAACTATGTGACGCATGCACAAGCTTCAATAGCTGATTCGATCAAGTGGAAGCAAGGGTATCAGTGATCGAAGATCAAATTAATGAAATAAAGCAAGAAGACAAGGTTAGAGAAAAAAGAGTAAAAACAAATGAACAAAGCCTCCAAGAAATATGGGACTATGTGAAAAGACCAAATCTACATTCGATTGGTGTACCTGAAAGTGACAGGGAGAATGGAACCAAGTTGGAAAACACTCTTTAGGATATTATCCAGGAGAACTTCCCCAACCTAGCAAGGCAGGCCAACATTCAAATTCAAGAAATACAGAGACCACAAAGATATTCCTTGAGAAGAACAACCCCAAGACACATAATTGTCAGATTCACCAAGGTTGAAATGAAGGAAAAAATGTGAAGGGCAGCCAGAGAGAAAGGTCGGGTTATCCACAAAGGGAAGCCCATCAGACTAATAGTGTATCTCTTGCCAGAAACTACAAATCAGAAGAGTGGGAGCCATTATTCAACATTCTTAAAGAAAAGAATTTTCAACCCAGAATTTCATATCCAGCCAAACTAAGCTTCATAAATGAAGGAGAAATAAAATCCTTTACAGACAGGCAAATGCTGAGAGATTTTTTCACAACCAGGCCTGCCTTACAGGAGTTTCTAAGGAAGCAATAAACATGGAAAGGAACAACCGGTACCAGCCACTGCAAAAACATGCCAAATTGTAAAGGTCATCAATGCTAGGAAGAAACTACATCAACTAACAGGCAAAATAACCAGCTAACATCATAATGACAGGATCAAATTCACACATAACAATATTAACCTTAAATGTAAATGGGCTAAATGCCCCAATTAAAAGACAAAGACTGGCAAATTGGATAAAGAGTCAAGACCCATCAGTGTGCTGTATTCAGGAGACCAATCTCACGTGCAGAGACACACATAGGCTCAAAACAAAGGGAAGGAGGAAGATCTACTAAGCAAATGGAAAGCAAAAAAAAAAGCAGGGGTTGCAATCCTAGTCTCCAATAAAACAGACTTTAAACCAACAAAGATCAAAAGAGACCAAGAATGCCATTACATAATGGTAAAGGGATCAATTCAACAAGAACAGCTAACTATCCTAAATATATATGCACCCAATACTGGAGCACCCATATTCATAAAACATGTTCTTACAGACCTACAAAGAGACTTAGACTCCCACACAATAATAATGGAAGATTTTAACACCCCGCTGTCAATATTAGACAGATAAACGAGACAGAAGGTTAAAAAGGATATCCAGGACTTGAACTCAGCTCTGCACCAAGCAGACCTAATAGACATCTACAGAACTCTCCACCCCAAATCAACAGAATATACATTCTTCTCAGCATCACATTGCACTTATTCCAAAATTGACCACATAGTTGGAAGTAAAGCACTCCTCAGAAAATGTAAAAGAACAGAAATCACAACAAACTGTCTCTCAGACCACAGTGCAATCAAACTAGAACTCAGGATTCAGAAACTCACTCAAAACAACTCAACTACATGGAAACTGAACAACCTTCTCCTGAATGACTACTGGGTAAATAACAAAATGAAGGCAGAAATAAAGATATTCTTTGAAACCAATGAGAACAAAGACACAACATACCAGAATATCTGGGACACATTTAAAGCAATGTGTAGTGGGAAATTTATAGCATTAAATGCCCACAAGAGAAAGCAGGAAAGATCTAAAATCGACACCCTAACATCACAATTAAAAGAACTAGAGAAGCAAGAGCAAACAAATCCAAAAGCTAGCAGAAGGCAAGAAATAACTAAGATCAGAGCAGAACTGAAGGAGATAGAGAAACAAAAAACCCTTCAAAAAATCAATGAGTCCAGGAGCTGGTTTTATGAAAAGATCAACAAAATCGATGGACCGCTAGCAAGACTAATAAAGAAGAAAAGAGAGAAGAATCAAATAGATGCAATAAAAAATGACAAAGGGGATATCATCACCGATCCCACAGAAATACAAACTACCATCAGAGAATACTATAAACACCTCTACGCAAATAAACTAGAAAATCTAGAAGAAATGGATAAATTCCTGGACATGTACACCCTTCCAAGACTAAACCAGGAAGAAATTGAATCGCTGAATAGACCAATAACAGGCTCTGAAATTGAGGCAATAATTAATAGCCTTCTAACCAAAAAAAGTCCAGGACCAGACAGACTCACAGCCGAATTCTACCAGAGGTACAAAGAGGAGCTGGTACCATTCCTTCTAAAACAATTCCAATCAATAGAAAAAGAGGGAGTCCTCTCTAACTCATTTTATGAGGCCAGCATCATCCTGATACCAAAGCCTGGCAGAGACACAACAAAAAAAAAAAGAGAATTTTAGACCAATATCCCTGATGAACATCGATGCAAAAATCCTCAATAAAATACTGGCAAACTGAATCCCAGCAGCACATCAAAAAGCTTATCCACCACAATCAAGTCGGTTTCATCCCTGGGATGCTGGGATGCAAGGCTGGTTCAACATGCACAAATCAACAAATGTAATCCATCACATAAACAGAACCAATGACAAAAACCACGATTATCTCAATAGATGCAGAAAAGGCCTTCGACAAAATTCAACAGCCCTTCATGCTAAAAACTCTCAATAAACTAGGTATTGTTGGAATGTATCTCAAAATAATAAGAGCTATGTATGATAAACCCATAGCCAATATCATACTGAATGGGCAAAAACTGGAACCATTCCCTTTGAAAACTGGCACAAGACAGGGATGCCCTCTCTCACCACTCTTATTCAACATAGTGTTGGAAGTTCTGGTCAGGGCAATCAGGCAAGAGAAAGAAATGAAGGGTATTCAATTAGGAAAAGAGGAAGTCAAATTGTCCCTGTTTGGAGATGACATGATTGTATATTTAGAAAACGCCATCATCTCAGCCCAAAATCTCATTAAGCTGATAAGCAACTTTAGCAAAGTCTCAGGATACAAAATCAAAGTGCAAAAATCACAAGCATTCCTATACACCAAAAATAGACAAAGAGCCAAATCATGAGTGAACTCCCATTCACAGTTGCTTCAAAGAGAATAAAATACCTAGGAATCCAACTTACAAGGGATGTGAAGGACTTCTTCAAGGAGAACTACAAACCACTGCTCAACGAAATAAAAGAGGACACAAACAAATGGAAGAACATTCCATGCTCATGGATAGGAAGAATCAATATTGTGAAAAATGGCCATACTGCCCAAGGTAATTTATAGATTCAATGCTGTCCCCATCAAGCTACCAATGACTTTCTTCACAGAATTGGAAAAAACTATGTTAAAGTTCATATGGAACCAAAAAAGAGCCCACATTGCCAAGACAATCCTAAGCAAAAAGGTCAAAGCTGGAAGAGTCATGCTTCCTGACTTTATGCTACAATGCTATGGTAAACAAAACAGCATGGTTCTGGTATCAAAACAGATATATAGACCAATGGAACAGAACAGAGCCCTCAGAAATAATACCACACATCTACAACCATCTGATCTTTGACAAACCTGACAAAAACAAGAATTAGGGAAACGATTCCCTATTTAATAAATGGTACCGGGAAAACTGGCTAGCCATATGTAGAAAGCTGAAACTGGATCCCTTCCTTACACCTTATACAAAAATTAATTCAAGATGGATTAAAGACTTAACATGTTAGACCTAAAACCATAAAAACCCTAGAAGAAAACCTAGGCAATACCATTCAGCACATAGGCATTGGCAAGGACTTCATGACTAAAATACCAAAAGCAATGGCAACGAAAGCCAAAATAGACAAATGGGATCTAATTAAACTAAAGAGCTTCTGCAGAGCAAAGAAAACTACCATCAGAGTGAAACAGGCAACTTACAGAATGGGAGAAAATTTTTGCAATCTACTCATCTGACAAAGGGCTAATATCCAGAATCCACAAAGAGCTTAAACAAATTTACAAGAAAAAACAACCATCAAAAGGTGGGCAAAGGATATGAACAGACACTTCTCAAAAGAAGACATTTATGCAGCCAGCAGACAGATGAAAAAATGCTCATCATCACTGGTCATCAGAGAAATGCAAATCAAAACCACAATGAGATACCATCTTATACCAATTAAAATGGCAATTATTAAAAAGTCAGGAAACAACCCATGCTGGAGAGGATGTGGAGAAATAGGAATGCTTTTACACTGTTGGTGGGAGTGTGAACTCGTTCAACCACTGTGGAAGACAGTGTGACGATTCCTCAAGGATCTAGAACTAGAAATACCATTTGACCCAGCAATCCCATTACTGGGTATATACCCAAATAATTATAAATCATGCTACTATAAGGACACATATGTTTATTGTGGCACTATTTACAATAGCAAAGATTTGGAACCAACGCAAATGTCCATCAATGATAGACTGGATTAAGAAAATGTGGCACATATACACCATGGAATACTATGCAGCCATGAAAAAGAATGAGTTCATGTCCTTTGCAGGGACATTGATGAAGCTGGAAACCATCATTCTGAGCAAACTATCACAAGGACAGAAAACCAAACACCACATGTTCTCACTCATAGTTGGGAGCTGAACAATGAGAACACATGGACATAGGGTGGGGAACATCACACCCCGGGGCCTGTTGTGGGGTTGGGGGTAGGGGGAAGGATAGCGTTAGGAGAAATACCTAAGGTAAATGAAGAGTTAATGGATGCAGCAAACCAACATGGCACACGTATACATATGTAACAAACCTGCACATTGTGCACGTGTACCCTAGAACTTAAAGTATAATAAAAAAAAATAAACATCATGTATAGTCACATTTTATTCTGCATCTGATTGTTTCAATATATGAAATCCTTAGGTGTCTATTTGGCATCTTGTTTCTTCTGATTACCCATATGGTGGCTTTTGTACTGTAGGCCTGATGATCTTGGATTGTGAGTTTATATTTGGTTGATTTCAGAGAGTAAGATTCCTAAGGGTTTAACTTGGAGATGTGTTTTCCAATAAGCATTTGCTTTTTCTTCCTCCAGGATCCAAAGGTACTATCAATCCAAGTTTAATTTTGTTCTCCCCAAAGATCTTAGTTTAACATCAGAGTAGCAGGTGAGCATATAGGTGCTAATCTGTTTCCTTTGGACTTGCAGCTCATTTTTTCCCTTTGTATCTTTTTGAGGTTATCGGCCTTTGGAGTTTTGGTTTCATTTTTGTAAGCCTAAGAATATATTTTGACAACTGTTTTGATCCAGAATCTAATTGTATTACAATAGAAGGACTCTTCAGAATATGCACTACAGGACATCCTGCTGGCATATTTCAGCAGAATCCTTTTTGCATTGTCTTAAGTGGTTTCTCAAAATTAAGGACAGTATATTTTTTTTGTGATCAGGAGGCTATTTATTAATAAGTTACACAAATATATAAACAAAGGCTTATGATAAACTGAAAAGAAACTTAGAAGTAATTTGTTCAATATTCCTAATGCTTTTGTCTCTTAACATCCTGATATAACCTCTTTGAACACACATTTATCAGGCTATCACTAAGATGAACCAGCATTACCAAAGAGTATTAATTCTGCAAGAACAAAATAACTTAATCTTTAATGCTAAACTTTAAAAATATCTCAAATGCCTAGCAATTTGGACATTTTACTTAGTAAACTATATTATGTACTGTTACTCATCTTGGTGTTATTCCCCAAGAATTCGTTCTTTAATAAATTTCTATAGACTTAAAAATTAATTATGAGTCAGGAACTCACTATCCTCATATTCTTAAAAGAAAGTTATTTTAATTGTATTTGAAATCAGATGGTTGTATAAAAAGATGCATCTTTTAAATGAATTTAACCTGTGAGAAAAATAATGGGGCAATATAAAAGTTATAGCTATCTGAAACTTGAAAAGTAATGGTCTTTACTTGCTTTGAAGTTACAGTCATCTGAATGAAATACATGTGAAGAGCAATATCCACAAACTAATTTTCATTGATATGTCATTAAGGCATATTAAACAATTAGCATAGCATTCCATCTGAGAACTTGTGCCTGAATGTATGTATATTTTTGCATTTATTATACATCAAACTCAAAGGCAGCCCTTCATGTTTCCTAGAAAGTCGTATATATAAACAGGTGGATCATAAAATACACTCTTTTGGCTTGCTCAAAAGCAACCCAACCTTTATGAGAAGTTACTTTGCATAAACATTTTTCAAAGACAGTCTACAAATAAGGCATTAATAAAATTCAAAATAAATATATTACAAATGAAATGTAAGAATATCTTTATCTCTTCAAATATCTGTCACAATTTTACTTCAAGAATGGAATGGGAGTTTTGTTGTTTAGGACATAAAGTTAGCTAGTAAGAGTCTTCCCCTTTTTCCTTTTAACCATGGATACCAGATGCCACAGTAAAGATTTCTCCACCAAAGAAAATTACAATATTAAGATTTCCTTGCTCGAGGTGTCAATTCATTTTAATGATTGTATTAATCACAATAATTATTTTTTTCTCAAAACTGAGCCTCTATGTAAATAGATCAAAGCAAAAGGCAAATCTAGGCAAGTTCAAACAGAAACTCTAATTTTAAAAAGGTAATATCTGGTAAAAATTATTTTAATGGCAATATTCAATCCTAATGAGAGGATGGCCTAGACTGTGCTCAGTGCTGTGAAGAATATACGTAGGCACAAATATTCTGGAAAACAATTGTGCTCTATCTTTTCAAAGCATTAAAATGTGCATGTCCTTTTGACTCAATACGTTTATTTCTAAAAACAATGGCCTTTTTAAGTACTAAGATTAATCATGCTTTAAAATTTTTTATTTATGCTTTTGCGTATTTTTCCAATTTTTTCTGATGACCATAAATTATATTTTAATGAGTTATACTACATTCATTCATAGAATCTGTCCTTGAGCAGACAGAGAGACATATTATGGACATATCAACCTGGCAATTTGCCTTCAATACACTAATAGGGTATTACAGATGATTTCCCAAAGTGCCATCAATGTTGTCAATACACTTGCTATTCTCAACATTAGCTGTTTAGGGCAGAAATAACTCAGGCATAAGATAGAGGACTGAGCTGGTTGACCTGTTATGTGCCTTCTAATTTAAAAAATAATCTTTATATTTTTGAATTTTTCTCCATAAATTACAAAGGGACTATAGTGTGAGTAGATCAGCACACGGGTTAGAACAATTGACATTTTCATACCCAATAGATAATATTTACCAGATCTATACCAACACTTCCGTCAGATACTTTTGATGAGCTAAGTATGTAAAAATAAGGTAATCAAAAGTTTGTCAACCATGATGACGTAAAAAGAAAGCAAAAGAAAAGATTCATAAAAATATTTCGAAGTACAACCTGTACAAGCAAGATAAATTTGGTAAATGAATGTTTACATGATATGCAAATAAAGCAAATAATGTGAAAGTGGTAGATGGATGACTAATATTTGGAAAACTCATCATTGTGTCTGTGGTTTTTGTGTGCATTACATGTATTTTATGTGTGGTGTATAAAGTATTATTTGTGTGTGTTGTGCGTCATCTATGTAGTAACCACACATTTTGCATGTGTGGTATGATCACACAGTATATATATTGGGTATATTTGTGTGTCACATATGTTTGTTGTGTGTATTTTGTGTGTTCTGTATGAGTGTTGCTTGTATTTTGTGCTAGTTGGGGCTCAAAAGACAATACCCCCAAAGTATGGCACTTTGACATGCTGAGCATTTTGAACTAAAATAGGAAGGCCTTAGAAGACGCCTCAGAACCAAAGACTTTCTAATCTTGTTTCTTCCCCTGTCTCCAAACACAGCATGGGACTGCCTCTGGAATGTCCTTATCTGACGAAGGAAACTTCTTTTCAAAAGAAATGCAATTGTCCTAAGACCCCCTCCTTAGGAATCTCATAAAAGAACTAGAAAAGACTAACCACTGAAAAAGACAGGAGACTAAAAGTCCATGATCATGCACAGATAGACTTTTTTTTTTTTTTTTTGAGATGGAGTCTCACACTGTCGCCCAGACTGGAGTGCAGTGGCGCAAGCTCTGCTCACTGCAAGCTCCGCCTCCCGGGTTCAAGCCATTCTCCTGCCTCAGCCTCCCGAGTAGCTGGGACTACAGGCACTGACCACCACGCCTGGCTAATATTTTGTATTTTTAGCAGAGACGGAGTTTCACCGTGTTAGCCAGGATGGTCTTGATCTCATGACCTCGTGATTCGCCCGCCTTGGCCTCCTAAAGTGCTGGGATTACAGGCGTGAGACACCACGCCCGGCCACAGAGATAGCCTTTTCACCTATTCTTCTGAGAGCAACTTTGAAAGATTACCTTAGAGACTTTATATGCATAATAAAACAACTTTCATTTACAATAAAGTTCTGCCCCTCACCTTCATACTACCTCCTCCAGAACTCAAGGAACTTTGTTTCAGGCCATTCTTTGGCCTTATTTCCCGTGAAAATCATTAAGTACTCCCCTATAAATTGCCTACATGCCCCCAGTTTCCTCTTCCCCGTAAAGAGAGTATTTAAGCTTCAACAATCTCCACTTTGAGTCTCATATTTGCAGGACTCCTGTGTCCACGAGCACGTTAATATATTTGTATGCCCTTTTCTCCTATAAATCTGTCTATTGTCAGTCATTTCAGTGAACCTTCAGTAAGTTAAGAGAGAGCTTTCCCTCTGCCCCTACAGCTGTTTGTGTATGTTGTAGTTGTGTGTATATGTCTGTGATGCTACCAGAGGAGCAGAATCAAACTGACTGCAGTTTGATTATCCAATTTACAAGGATAATTAATCCCATGGGTTTCTCTGTGCTTCGTTTTCCATGGGTCTTGTTTTGTGAGCTGGCTAAAAATTCAAGATATATGAATTTCTGCCAACATATTAACAGCCTCTGATCTCTCCACTATCAATTGGAGAAAACCAAGAATAACTGATGGTCTCCAATGCTTTCTCCATATATTAAGTAATAACTTACCTTTGAATCATATAGTTTGAAAATGTTCTCACAACAATTAATTTCCCCTACAGTTCTGAAAGGAAAAGTATTCTTTCCAACAAACTTGGAAAGAAGTCAGAATGCCCAATTTTCACCAAAATGGAAAGTGAGGCTCAGAAAGATTAAAGAATGTGCTTAAACTCATGACTTTATGTGGCAAAGCTAAGATTAGAAATCACATTTTACGGTTTCCAATCAAGTACTAGAAATATGATAATACACAAACTACGTTTCCCTTCCTGGACACATTTTCATTAATATTTTTTAATATCTAATAATAAGGTATTTCCTTTAAAGTGTTGCTGAAAGATTTTAATCGCTTTATGTATTAACACTTCCTTCCCTAGCAGATACGGCTTGGCAGGGAAAGACTAAATATGATGCTATGCACATGGTGTTCTCACCTTGGTTCAAACCCTCATTATTAGGATTTGGACCACTATATACAGAGATTCCATGATTTGGTGTCGTTGCCTCAAGTCTTGCTTTTTCTATTTCATCGTTTGCAGTGCTGCTGGGAGTAGTCTTTCAAAAATTCAAATAAGATCACCCTACTTACTAGGTTTAAACCCTTTGGTTGTCTCTACTGCACTAGCAAAAAATCCAGAATCCTTAGCAGAATTTTATTTTTAGTTCCAAGATACATGTACAGAATGTGCAGGTTTGTTACACAGGTACATGTGTGCCATGGTGGTTTGCTACACCTATCAACCCATCACCTAGGTATTAAGCCCAGCATGAATTAGCTATTTTTCCTGATTTTCTCCCTCACATACCTTGCTGAAAGACCCCAGTGTGTGTTGTTCTCCTCCCTGTGTCCATATGTTCTCATTGTTCAGATCACATAGATTGCAAAAATTTTCTCCCATTTTGTAGGTTGTCTCTTCACACTCTCATGATAGTTTCTTTTGCCGTGCAGAAGCTCTTTAGTTTAATTAGATCCCATTTGTCAATGTTTGCTTTTGTTGCAATTGCTTTTGACGTTTTTGTCATGAAATATTTGCCTGTGTCTATGTCCTGAATGGTATTGCCTAGATTTTCTTCTAAGATTTTTATAGTTTTGGGTTTTACATTTAAGTCTTTAATCCATGTTAAATTAATTTTTGTATAAGGTATAAGGAAGGGTTCTAGTTTCAGTTATCTGCATATGGCTAGCCAGTTCCCCCAGCACTATTTATTAAATAGGAAATCCTTTCCCCATTGCTTGTTTTTGTCAGGTTTGTTTAAGATCAGATGGTTGCAGATGTGTGGTCTTATTTCTGAGTTCTCTATTCTGTTCCATTGGTCTATGTGTCTGTTTTTGTACCAGTACCATGCTATTTTGGTTACTGTATCTTTGTAGTATAGTTTGAAGTCAGGTAGCATGATGCCTCCAGCTTTGTTCCTTTTGCTTAGGATTGTCTTGGCTATAAGGGCTCTTTTTTGGTTTCATATGAATTTTAACATAGTTTTTTCTAATTCTGTGAAGCATGCCAATGGTAGTTTAATGGGAATAGCACTGAATCTATAAATTATTTTGGACAGTATGGCCATTTTGATTCTTCGTATTCATAAGGAATGTTTTTCCATCTGTTTACGTCCTCTCAGATTTTCTTGAGCAGTGGTTTGTAGTTCTCCTTGAAGAGTTCCTTCACTTCCCTTGCAGGCTGTATTTCTAGGAATTTTATTCTCTTTGTGGCAATTGTGAATTAGAGTTCATTCATGATTTGGCCCTCTTCTTGCCTATTGTTGGTGTGTAGAAATGCTTGTGATTTTTGCACATTGATTTTGAATCCTGAGACATTGCTGAAGTTGCTTATCAGCTTAAGAACATAAGACTGATAAGCAACTTCAGCAAAGATGGAGTGAGAGATGGGGTTTTCTATAGGATCGTGTCATCTGCAAAACGAGACAGCTTGAGTTCCTCTCTTCCTATTTGAATACCTTTATTTCTATCTCTTGCTTGATTTCCTTGGCCAGAACTCCAACACTATGTTAAATAGAAGTGGTGAGAGAAGGCAACCTTGTCTTGTGCTGGGTTTCAAGGGGAATGCTTCCAGCTTTTGCTGAATCATTGTGATATTGGCTATGGGTTTGTCATAAGTGGCTCTTATTATTTTGAGGTATGTTCCATAAATACCTAGTTTATTAAGAGTTTTTAACACGAAAGGATGTTAAATTTTATCAGCCTTTTCTGCATTATTGAGATAATCATGTGGTTTTTGCCTGTAGTTCTGTTTATGTGATAAATTACATTTATTGATTTGCATATGTTGAACCAGGCCTTTCATTCAAGGGATGAAGCCAACTTGATTGTGATGGATAAGCTTTTTGACGTGCTGCTGGATTCAGTTTGCTAGTATTTTATTGAGAACTTTTGCATCAATGTTCATCATATTGGCCTGAAGTTTTCTTTTTTTGTTGTATCTCTGCCAGGTTTTGGTATCAGGGTGATGCTGGCTTCATAAAATGAGTTAAGGAGGAGTGCCTCCTTCTCAATTGTTTGTAATAGTTTCAGAAGAAATGGCACCAGCTCCACTTTGTACCTCTGGTAAAATTCAGCTGCAAATCTGTCTGATTCTGGGCTTTTCTTGATTGGTAGGCTATTACTGCCTCAACTTCAGAACTCTTTATTAGTCTATTCAATAATGACCAGTTCAACTTCTTCCTGGTTCAGTCTTGGGAGATTGTATGTGTCCAAGAATTTATCCATTTCGTCTAGGCTTTCTAGTTTATTTGCACAGAGGTGTTTATAGTATTCTCTGATAGTTTTTTGTATTTCTGTGGGGTCAGTGGTGATATCCTCTTTATCATTCCTGATTGTGTCTATTGATTCTTCTTTTTTTTCTTTATTAATCTAGCTAGTTGTCTATCTCTTTTATTCATTTTTTTCAGAAAATCACCTCCTGGATTTGTTGATATTTTGAAGAGCTTTTTGTGTCTGTGTCTTCTTCAGTTCTGTTCTGATCTTGATTATTTCTTGTCTTCTGCTAGCTTTGGGGTTTGTTTGCTCATGATTCTCTAGTTCTTTTAGTTGTGATGTTAGGATGCTGATCTGAGATCTTTCTAGCTTTATTATGTGGGTATGTAGTGCTATAAATTTGACTTTTAACACTGCTTTAGTTGTATCTCAGAGATTCTGGTACATTGTCTCTTTGTTCTCATTGGTTTTAAAAAAAAATCTTCATTTCTGCCTTAATTTCGTTATTTACCCAGGAGTAATTCAGGAGCAGGTTGTTCAATTTCCATGTAGTTGTGTGGTTTTGAGTGAGTTTCTTAGTCTTGAGTTCTAATTTGATTGGGCTGTGGTACAAGAGACTGTTATGATTTCAGTTCTTTTGAATTTGTGGAGGAATGTTTTACTTCCAATCATGTGATCAATTTTAGAGCATCATGTGGCGCCAAGAAGAAGGTATATTCTGTTGTTTTTGGGTGGAGAGTTCTCTAGATATCTATCAAGTCTACTTGATCCAGAGCTGAGTTCAAGTTCTAAATATCTTGGTTAATTATCTGTCTCCATGATCTGTCTAATTGACAGTGAGGTGTTAAGGTCTCCCACTATTATTGTGTGGGAGACTAAGTCTCTTTGTAGGTCTCTAAGAACTTGTTTTATGAATCTGAGTGCTCCTGTATTGAGTGCACATATATTTAGGGCAGTTAGTTCTTCTTGTTGAATTGAACCCTTTGCCATCATGTAATGTCCTTCTTTTTCTTTTTTGATCTTTGTTGGTTTAATGTCTGTTTTGCCAGAAACTAGAACTGCAACCCCTGGTTTTTTCTGCTTCCTGTTTGCTTGGTAGATTTTCCTCCATCCCTTTATTTTGAGCCTGTGTGTGTCTTTGTACATGAAATGGGTCTCTTGAATTCAGGACACCAATGTGCTGTATTCATCTAGCTTGCCATTCTGTGTCTTTTAATGGGGGCATTTAGGCCATTTACATTTAAGGTTAATATTATTACGCGTGAATTTGATCCTGTCATCACAATGCTAGCTGGTTATTTTGCAGACTTAATGTTGTTGCTTCATAGTGTCATTGGTCTGTGTACTTCAGTGTGTTTTTGTAGTGGCTGGCAATGGTTTTTCCTTTCCATATTTAGTGCTTCCTTCAGGAGCTCTTTCAAGGCAGGCCTGGTGGTGATGAATTCCCTCGGCATTTGCTTGACTGAAAAAGATTTTATTTTTCCTTCACTTATGAAGCTTAGTTTGGCCAGATATGAGATTCTGTTAGGTCCACTGTTATTCTGATGGACTTCACTTTGTAGGTGACCTGGCCTTTCTTTCTCGCTGTCCTTATAATGTTTTCCTTCATTTCAACATTGGAGGATCTGACGATCATGTGTCTTGGGGTTGATCTTCTCATGGAATATCTTACTAGGATTCTCTGAATTTCCCGAATTTGAATGTTGGCCTATCTTGTTAGGTTGGAAAAGTACTCCTGGATGATATCCTGAAGAGTGTTTGCCAACTTGGTTTGGTTCTCCTCTTTCAGGTACTCCAATCAGTTGTAGGTTCAGTCTTTTTACATAATCCCATAGTTCAGAGAGGTTTTCTTCATTCCTTTTCATTCTTTTTTCCCTAATCTTGTCTGCCTGTCTTATTTCAGCAAGATAGTCTTCAATCTCTGAAATTCTTTCCTCCACTTGGTCTATTTGGCTATTGATACTTGTAGTTGTATTGTGAAGTTCTTGTGTTGTATTTTTCAACTCCATTAGGTCATTTATGTTCCTCTCTAAACTGGTTATTCTGGTTAACAGCTCCTGTAATGTCTTATTATTGTTCTTAGCTTCTTTGCATTGGGTTAGAACAGGCTCCTTTGGCTCACCAGAGTTTTTTATCACCCATCTTCTGAGGTCTACCTCTGTCATTTCATCCATCTCAGCCTAAGCCCAGTTCTGTGCCCTTGCTGGAGAGGTGTT
Source organism: Homo sapiens (assembly GCF_000001405.40). Taxonomy (NCBI): domain Eukaryota; kingdom Metazoa; phylum Chordata; class Mammalia; order Primates; family Hominidae; genus Homo; species Homo sapiens. The sequence continues at coordinate 82,377,051 of NC_000009.12, read as the reverse complement.
GCAATCATTTGGAGGGGAAGAGGCACTCTGGCTTTTTGATTTTTCGGCGTTTTTTTGTTGATTCTTTCTCATCTTCCTGAGTTTATCTAGCTTTGATCTTTGAGGCTGCTGACCTCTGGATGGGTTTTTGTGGGGACTTTTTTGTTAATGCTGCTGTTGTTGCTGTTTGTTTTTCTTTTAACAGGCCTCTCTTCCCTAAGGCTGGTGTGGTTTGCTGGAAGTCCCCTCCAGACCTTAGTCACCTGGGTCCCTCTTGCCCCCGGAGGTGTCACCAGTGGAGGCTGCAGAACAGCAAAGATGGCTGCCTAATCCTTACTCTGGGAGCTCCCTCCCAGAAGGATACCAACCTGATGCTGGCAGGAACGCTCCTGTATAAGGTGTCTGGTGACTCCGGTTGGGGGATCTCACCCAGTCAGGAGACACGGGATCAGGGATCTGCTTAACAAAGCACTCTGGCTGTCACTTGGCAGAAGGGGTGCCTTAGCATGACTTTCTCAAGGATCCTGCAGATGACCAATCTTTCTACCCTTTTTTCTTATTACGGGCTATTCATACTATGCTCCAACCATACTAAGTCATCATTCAGTTTTCAAACTTGTCAAACTCTTTCATGCCTCTGTAACTTGCTCACAATTTCCCCTCCTCAAAGTGCAATTCCTCCTCTTAGGTGCCTAAAGAAATTTTCTCTGTGTTCATTAATTAATCATATTTTCTTCCAACCCCATGATCTGTATAGCTGCCATCCTACTTCAAACAATATATTACACTTATTTACATGTAATCTGAAAGCTCCTTGAGGGCAGAAACTAACTCTGATATATTTCTTTACCTCCACTGCCCAGCACAGGGCATGGCATACAGTAATAAGTAATCAATGAGTACTGTCCAGGTATTGCTGACTTTCAGGGGTTGGCAAACTATTACACATAGGCCAAAACAACCCACTGCCTATTTTCTCAAAGTTTTATTGAAACACAGTCCTGTCCATTCACTTACGTATTGTTCATGGATGCTCACAGGCTAAAATGACAGATTTGAGTAGCTGCAACAGAAACTATATGGCCTGCCAAGTGAAATATAATTACTATCAAGCCGTTTACAGAAAAAGTTTACTCACCCCAACTTAGCTAATCTCTAAGAAACTTAAAGTGCTGCTTTTGTTGTTTTGTAACTTTTAGCATTATGGGCTTTTTGAAAACAATTGCATAAAAACAACAAAAAAGTAAGATTTATTATATTTTACTCACCAGAGTATTAGAAAATTGGCATTAATTCTATTAATAGAATTGTTAATTATAGGTATTTATTTTTTCCTACAGTTTGTATATACATAAGCTCAATAGTATGTAGTTCAGATAGCAAAGAAGAAAACTGCCAGTTAAATATGGATAGATGTTTAATTATGAAAGCTACAGAATGTATTATTTACTCAGAAATATTTAAGGGATAATAGATATTTGAGTTTTCAAAAACCATAAAAGCATATTTGAATACCTTTAAATACATACACATTTGAATAAAGAATCAATCAAATGTCTGGATAAATTCCAGCCACATCAATGAGAGAATTTATTCTTGTGGTTTAAAATTAGCTAACCAAATAATAAATTTATTTTGTATTATGGAGACCAACTTATTCTCTGCAAAATGACTGATAATTTTGTAAAGTGACATTCTCTTTTTCTTCTAATAAGAGGAATATTTCATACTTTGAGATCTCTAATTTCCTTTGAATCACAATCTTGGATTTATTATCAAGTAAATGTATCCCTCAATCATAGACTTATTCAGAATGCAAACCTCCTTTGCCCCCAGGCAGACTTAATTATATTGAAAGATAATGTATTAAGCATTTCTTTATATTATATTCAGAAACGAAAGGAAGCATTCTGGAAGGATAAGGAGGACAAGTCCATTATTTTTCCTTAGTTTGTAATGATGTATATTTTACTATTTTATTAAACCGTTTTTGTTTCTAAAATTCATAAGCCTCTCCTCTTGTGTCAGCTACCATAAATGTGCTGAATGGTATTTATTCAATTAAAATAAGTTTACATAAATTATCTTTCAGAATCTTTGAAATAGGTCTTACTCCTTGAGCTAATGGAAATGTGCTAGGATGTCATAAAACCAAGGTTAGGAGTTATTTCAGAATTGAACTTGCAACACATATGACTCACTCTAATTGCCACTAATTTTAAATATATTCCTTAATAAAGAATGTATTTCCTGCCATTAAGCCCAAATTTGTGCTTTCCTGACACTTCATCTGTTATGTAGGAGGTATAATAATAATAACAATAAATAAAATAATAAAAACAAAAATAGTCCAACAGCAAAAATATTTCAAATCCAGAACCATTTAAAGGTATTACTTTCACAGTGTTAATTACCATATCATATGTATCATCAAAACTCAGATAAACACAAATTATAAGTGAGATAATCAGTAGCTATATGTGCCACACAATATAGTGATAGTATATAGAGACAACAATACCTGATGGTAGTTACCATTTATTCTGGAATTTCAGCTGGTTTTATTATTTTTCTTTTTTTTTTTTTGAGATGGAGTCTTGCTCTGTCGCCTAGGCTGGAGTGCAGTGGTGTGATCTCGGGTCACTGCAACCTCTGCCTCCCAGGTTCAAGTGATTCTCCTGCCTCAGCCTCCCGAGTAGCTGGGACTACAGGCACACCACCAAACCTGGCTAATTTTTGTATTTTTAGTAGAGAGGTGGTTTCATCATACTGGTCAGGCTGGTCTTGAACTCCTGACCTCATGATCCATCCGCCTTGGCCTCCCAGTGTGCTGGGATTATAGGCGTGAGCCACGGCGCCTGGCCAGCTGCAGCTGTTTTTTTTTTTTTTTTTTATGGTGGTGGAAATATGATACTTGTCTCCTTTAGAGACAAGAATTTTCACTTCTATTTCTTAAAATTTAGGCTATCTAAAAGGTTATATCAAGGAAAACTTCAATATGAAGCATTTTAATGGTCTGGTTTATTTAAATGGAAAACTCCAAAGTTATGCTAAAAGGATTTCCTATAAAAACATCCCAAGATTTATATTTTACTCATGATATTTAGGTCAAAATACTAAAAAGCATTTTTATATTGATTACCTAGAGGGAAGAACCAATAATAATTGGAAATTGTTAAAATTTTCAATATCATTACTAATTTTTATCTGCTTATTTTATTCATTTGTGAGAGAAGTCTGTTAAAGTTTTTCCCTGTAACTGTGGATTTATCTTTCTTTTTAGTTCTGTCTTTTCTTGCTTTATATATTTTGACACCATGTTATTAGGTGCATATACATTTAGAATTCTATCTTCCTGATGGATTAAACTTTTATCTACATCAAATGTCTCTCCTTAACTGTAATAATGCTTCTTGTCTTAGAATCTACCTTATATTATCATATAAGGTTTGGGCAGTTACACTTTCTTTTAGTTATTGTTTGCATGCAATATGTCCTTCCATTCTTTTATTTTCCATTATACAGTGATTATATTTAAGGTATGATTTTGGTAAGCTAATGGGTTTTCATGCAGTTTGAAAATATTTTCATTACATTTAATGTAATTAAAAATGTGTTGGGGTTAATATCTATCATCTTATTATTTGTTTTTTATTTGTCCCAGCTAGTATTATCTCCTTGCTTCTCCTCTACTGAATTAGTCTGTATTTTTATTATTCCCTTCCCCTTTCAATTAGCTAATTAATGATATAATCTTTCAAGGTACTTCTAGTAGTTTCCCTAGATATTATAACATATACCTTCGATTTTTGGCAGTTTAATACAAATTATTAATTTTTCCAGTTCCCAGCCAAAGTTAGGACCTCAGAACACTTCAATTCTTCTTTGTTGCTTTGCCACTTTCTTTGATATTATCATGTATTTTTAATTCTGCAACCTTTCTTCCATTTGCCCATTCAGGCCTAGAGGTAGTAATGGTTTTCCACTGTTGCTGGTCACAGGATGCTCCACTATCTGTTGCTGATTATTTGAATTCTGCCCATACCTCTGAAATACTGTCTTCATTAAAATATCTTCAGTTAAATCCATTGAGCATGTTATTTTTTGTCTTTCAGTGTCCTGACTGGTACTATATTAACATCTAAGGCAAGAACTGACACTCTGATGTATTTTTTTTAAAAAAGAAACAGTAATCTAATGCAACATTTATGCTTTAAATGAATGCTTTATGAAGAATGTTTTTACAAAACAATCTAATTATTGTAATTTGCAGATAAAGATGCCACTTATATTAAATAAATAAAAGGGAAGTTTTATATAAATTGTTCTTTGCTTGTACCAGGCTAAGAAGTCTACCCATTGGCCTCAATAAAATATCTCATTTATCTTGACTTCACCTCCTTTTCATAAATATATGAAGCTGCTTACAGAACCTTCCTCACCAGCATCCTCACTGATCAACATTTACATATTTAAATAGGATAAGCAATATGGTGAGTATATTATTTTATCAAGAGCAGTGCCTGCATCCCTCAAAAAAAATTCAAAAAATGTTCTATCTCCCCAGATAGAAATCTTGATGTCATTTAAAACTCCCTGCAATATGTTACTTACTGATGAAGTTCATTCCCCATTTCAAAACATTTATACTGTTACTGAGATATATTTCAGCATTCTTTCCATCACAGTATATCACTTTTTAAATTAACACATAAGCCTTACTTTGTAAAAACTTGTAATCTAGAATACCATACAATAATATAATACAACTCAGAATATGATTAAGATTTAAATTATTAGGTATAGACTAAACCAAGAAAGTCAATTGGATATAAAATGATATTTGAATACCCATAAATGTGAGTAAAAGTCATTTCTACCTGGTTAGTAGCAGCATGAACACATATCTTGACCAAAGCCTGTTAGAAATTTCAGTGGCAAAGCTTAGATATAAAAAGAACTAATAATCATATTTCCAGCCATTTGACAAGTGCTTTGAGCCCTACTTCCTCTCATTTGATCTAATACTTCATAGTACATTTTTGCTAGAGAAATGAACTTTTGTGCATGGACTGCCTTAGGTTAGTTCTTTGCTATTAAATCTCTGGAAACAGAGTGAGCATTAAAAGATTTCTAGGATTAGCAGAGTGAAGTTCTGAAGTTCCATTGTTTCTGAGTCCTGCTCTTCTGATACAAGTATGTCTTTATTTCATCAAAGAGAGTTGTTGGTGGAAAGAAAGAGAAAGTGTGATAAGATGAGAGAAATGAGTTCCATGGTGCTTAAAATCATCCATTTGGGTCCAAGGTGAAAATGCTGTCTGTACAAGAGTTTCTTCTCTGGTACCAAAAATAGGGAAATTTTGTGAGATGTGAAGTCCTCTGGGGCTCAGAAGCCACAGAGCAGCATCAGCAGTCTCCATTTGACACGTCTGAGGAGTTTTGGAAATACAGAGAATTGTTTAGCTCTGGACATGGGACTTGAATGTCACAAGACACAAAAATATCTGAGCAATAATGGCATTAGATACTTCTTGAGAAGATGTGGATCTCTGAGTATGACACTATTTGCTACCTTGGTGCCAGAACCAATCAGAGCAAACTGAAAAGGAGCTTAAGTCCAATGTCTTTCCCTTTTTCCAGATTAAAAACTCAGTCTCTTGAGGTTGGAGGAGTACTCACCCCAAACCATGCAATTAATCATATTAACTAACATTAATTAACCACTCTGCTAATAAATATATACTCCTAGCCTCAGTTAATCTTCATAATGATCCCATGTAGCAGATACAATTATGATAACAAAGACAGAATACTGTTTCAAATTCTGACGCCACCACTTATAACCATAGATAAGTTACTTAGCCAACTTGTGACTTAAGTTTCCTCATTTTTAAAATGGAGATAACAATATCAGCAATAACAATAATCAAAACAATAATGTCAGCAAGCCATTAACACATTAGTTCCACCCAGTAGAGACACATTTCTAAGTGTATGTTAGACACTTACTGTTTCACCCATCTGGCATTTCTATCACTCCATTTGCCATGGAAATGGATTCCATGAGAAGAGAAAAAAAGAGGAGCTTCTCTCCAATACTTTCAACAGAGGAGACAGGAAGAGGGAGAAAAAAATTTTCCTGTACAATATCCAAAGCCCAGCCAAACTGTGAATGCCTACAAACCACTCAGAGAAGTTTCTTACGTCACCTTTGTAATGGGTAAAGTGGTAGTAATATTATCTCAAATGGCAGGTGGACAGATTTTGGAAGTAGTGAGTTAAATAAGGCAGCTTTGTCGTAGACTCATACATTTCCACTCATAGCCCTGCCCTCCGGCACCCCCTTGACCCTCTGGAGTTCCTTGGAGGACATGAAAATGTGAACTCACAGCCCCAGGTCCTTGTTCTTGACCCAGATTTCATTCTACTTTTAATAATGTTAGTGAACGTTCCCAGCTTTCCCCCACATGCATTATTGTCCATCAGCACCAAAACATGCAGTTGGGTATAAGCCATAGCAAAGAGATTGTGAATAGGTCATATTTTAATTTTTCTTTCCATATCGACAAATGACACGGGACTCCTTTGGGTGTACATTTGACACCCTCATGAATACAAAATGAATTTATTATTATTAGTGCTTTCACCTACAGTATGACATTAATTCATAATGATTGATGGGCTACTTAAAATAAAGTAGTAACCTTTTCCTAAGGTGGCTAGGTGACCCCCACATCCACTTCATTAGTAATATTCCCTGAACTGTATTTATGTAAATGAAAAAAGTATCACAAGGCTACTTTATCCCTTATTACACCATACATACACTCAAGCACAACTCTCAATGTAACTACATCTAATACAAACCAAAAAACAATTTTGTTTTGTTCCAGAGAACTTGACAATGTTTTATTTCTACTTTTGAAAAATGTGCACAAGTTATGATTAAAACTATGTAATAATCAAATTTAAATCATACTATGAGGAGCTATTTATACTCCTTGTGTTGTCAAAAAATATTGCTTAATTCCATCTTGGATAAATCAATAAAGTCCTGCTCACATGATTAAAATGCTGTTTTCATTGATGCATGTTTAATGTATTTATGAAAAAATAAAACATTGTGTCATTTAGTATGGATTCATAATCATTCCTTTGGGCTAAAATATATGAAGAAATGGAATTTCTGCACCCTAGGTTCATGCTGTTGATTGGGTGATTAGAAACTACCGAATAGGCAAGGGCAAGAGTTTAAATGTTTAAAAAAGATATACAGAGAAAACCAGCTGGGAAGCTGCATACCACTTGGTTCTCATTGCTTTTCTACTAGTTCTCTTGAATGCAGTACTTCTCACAGCCTGGCTATTATCTATCCAAATTGTCACAAACATGCATCTCCCTTTCTGGCATTATTTTGATCTAATTAACAAATTGAAGGTTTCATGAAAAGTAAAATAAATAAGTCATAATACACTGAAATAAGAACATGATGCACAAGCTATCAACAAAAACAAGAACTGATCTGACTGAATTGTATTCTGTCTAAAAGCATAGGACTTAGGTTTTATAACTGAGCTGGAGAGGTGCGGACTTTGGAAGTAAACAAAAGCAAATTGTCAGTTTGCTTACCTCATGCTGGGGAAAACACAATGTTCCCTAGCAAAGCTGTGTGCAAAAATGGAGCTGGAAATTTAGCCACTCCATCCATTCTGCCTTTGATAGGGCATGGCCTTGAGTAGATCACTTAATATCATTTTCATGCCTCAGTTTCTTTTCATTTACAACAATAATGTCCATCTGTTTCATTCCCCAGGGTTGTGTTGAGGAGCAAATCAGATATGATATCATACATATCATATATATAATATGGGTTTCAAAAATACAAAGCATAAAACAAAATCAAACATTATGAAATGCTATTTAAACCCTCATCATTGTATAATGTAGGAATTTCACATACCAGAAGCAATGGTCATTCATTCAAACAAATATTAACTGAGAGATTTCCATGTGTACTAGAAGAGATGCAAAGATAAAATGGGTTATGTCTAGAAGAAAAGCAAAGACATCCACATAAACTGTAATATACACAAGATAGGCAGTGGGAAGTAGCAGCAATGAGTGAAACATAAATAATCACCTGTAACAGTTCAAAAGAGAACCAGAAAGGCTTGTGAAAGAAAGTTCACTAAAGCTAGTCCTTAAAGGAAGACAGGACTTAGAGTTTGGGAAGAGATGGGCAGGCAAGTATTCCAAGTGGAGACAAAACTGGAATTCCCCTAGCATGGGGAACCTTCATGGGGTTCTACTTAGCTCTGGATTAGCATGGTTGAGGGAGATGTGGGGAAATACTCATTAGTAAATATTTAAGTGCCTACTGTGTGCCAAACATTTTTCAACATGCTGGATAAACAGCAATGACCAAAACAGACCAAATCACTGGCTTTGAGGTGTCTACATTCTAGTAATTATAAATGTATGCTACCAGATGTCTCTAGCCCATGATCTCTTTCTACAACACCCTTCTCCATAATTTTCCCCTTTCCTCCCATGGTAGCCAAAGCAAGCAAACACACACACACACACACACACACACACACACACACACACACGCACACACATTTAGATGTTAAATTTTTGAGTAACACCATTAATGTTGGCCAAGATGCAGAACTTTGATTGTATTTGAGAAACCAAAACATTTTTCAAAAGTTGGTGGGGAAAGATAAAGAGAAGAAAACAGAAGGGGGTAAAGAGAAGAAATTTCCCCAGTGGTTTTGAACACTGGATGCACATTAGAATTATCTGGGGAGCTTTAAAAAAATACTCATGTCTGGACATCAACCCTAGAGCAATTAAATCAGAATCTCTGGAGGTTGGATCCAGACATCATTATTTATTTTTAAAGTTCCTTAGGTAATTCAAATGTGTGTGTGGATTGAAAAACCATTGAAGTAATCAATAGTCCAAAGGACTATCTCACTTTTTTTTTTTTGGCTTCACCTAACAGTTTAGATAAATGAAGAGATAATTTGCATTAACCTCTACATCATTTGTCATAATCCAGGCAGCAAATCATAGAATTTTGGAAATGCAAAAGGCATCAGATATTGAGACGGGTGAGAGAAAGCCTGAGAAAGTCAAACTGACAGTCATAAGGAGGATTATTTGGAGGTTGCTTTGAAGCAAAGTGGGAAGAAATTGAAATGTGAACATGGTTTCCCAGATCTGAGTCTTGGCTTCATAGCTGACTTTGTGATTTTTTGAACTTTGATATTCTTGTCTGTAAAGCTGAAAATCATTCTTCTGCCTCTCCTACCTTGCAAGACTCTGTTGAGAATCATTGGAGACAGTATCAGTTAAAAATATATTGTAAACTTAAAAGCATTAACACAAGTTTGAGAGATTATGTTTTAACAGCTGAAGCAACATCAGTAAACAAAATTTAGATCTGTGAGACAATGTCTAAAGCAGTGTCTTTACCATGCACTTAGGTGTGGCAAATAAAACCAGCACTATTAGATATATACACACCAATAAAGTCGTTTTGTTCTATGCTACATAGTTAATGTTATATTCTTTACCATCCAAGATTCCTCTACAGAAGCCCTATTGGAAAAACGTATTAATAATGGCAGGAAACCAAAACAAACTAATCGGCTGTTAACAATCCAGATCAGATTATGCTAATGTACTTTGAAATCAGATAAAATGGAGAAGGAAAGGAAACATGGGAGGAGCAAAAGCCTTAAGAATTCATGAAGAAAGCAGTAAATCTAACTGACAGGAGATAAACTTCTTGGGCACCAAGGCAATGAAAATGGTGTTGATCTATGTGTTTGCAGATGTGGCTCCAGGGTATAATCTGTCCAGCTGCTCAATATCAGGACAGCCACATGGGCACCACCTCAGGGAAGATAAATACAAAACCTTTTAGTCAAGGAGATAAACACAATTGCTGCTGCTAGTTCTTACATGGAAAACCTGCTGATTGTCACTGTTGCAGGGAGGAAGAGCTACTGAAATATTCCGAGGCATGGAGAGTAAAAGGCCTGGCCACAAATCCAAGGACTGACGGAGGTATAGAGAGTAATAATCTTGGCTTGCACCAGTTCTTTCAAGGTGGGTAAAGGTATGCCACTCGATTTCATTAGGTGGTGCATGGAGCAAGTTTAGAAGGCACAGTACAATCAGGAATCTTGTATTATAAAATATGTAAAATATGGTTATGTGTAATACATACAAGCTATATTTCAAGATCAGGGATGGTCAGAAATATGAAAATCTGGGAGAAAAATGCATTGGTATCTTGGCCAGTGGATTAATATTGCTGCTCTATTAGAAACAATGAAAATCATCCAGTCTTTATGCAAAAGGCCAGTTCATGTATTAGGAAGCAGGAAATAAGAGAAATAAAACTGTCCTCTGAAAAGAATGTGGAAGAAAACTTGCTTTAAAAATAAACTGTTTGACCTTCTCAGAGATTTCAGTAATGTGATATGGTGAATTCAAGAAATAACCCGGATGTTTTGGGAAAAATCCATGCCTTTAATTATTAAAGCCAACATGTTGCCACTCCTGATGTGCATATTTTCTCAGCAATTACACCATGTAGGCACAATTGTAGGTGCCATGAGAAAGAAAAAGAAGAATCAGACACAGAATCAGCTTTCAAAGAGCTTACAATGTACTAAGGTGATGCCATATAAAAAGCAGCAAAGCACCGTAGAAAACAGGTGCCCTTAAACAAAAAGTGTGATAGACAGTGAAGACAGGGAGGGAATTCCTTCCAAAGGGCTTGATCAAAAAATGCTAAAGCTGCTTTTATTTTCCTCTTGTCAGTTATGACTAGATCTAAAATGGATTCTTCTTCATTAAAATCTTCTTATGTATCTCCCAGTGGAATAAGCATTCTTGGGTTAATTCTCAAGAAACTTGATATTCTGTCTCTAGCTTCAATAGGAACCCAACCTTGACACTAAAGACCTAGAATTGTGTCCACCCTCTGAGAGCAGTTCTGGGTCGTTTCTACCCCTGCTTATACCTAGAGTAGGGATTTATGCCAGGGGCCACAGATGAGTTGCCCAGTTAATGGGTACCTTGGCATTATGTGCAAAACTACTGTGTGCAGATGCCCTTGTTTTTTTTTTCTCATAGCTTTAATCAAAATGTTTTAAGTCAGGAGCTACTCTGAGGTATTCCTAATACCTGGAATGCAGTATCTATCCGATTATCCTGGAGACACCTGTAACCAAATTACAGGTGAGTTCCCCATGACTTAGATTGAAATGGAATCAGTAGAGTGAGCAAATAACAAATCAGGTTTTCTCTCAACAAAGATGAAAAAAATTTTTTCTTGACTTAGTATTGAAAAGATTTACTTGGTCAAGCTTGGGCTTTCACTTTTTCCCTAAAAGAATATGTGTTGAAATAGAAATATCATTCTCAGATCAAATAATATGTATGTGTTGAAATGGTAATATTGTTCTCAGATCACATGACATTCAGATATATTACTGGTTCTAAATGAAAATGAAAGCCATTGAATTTGAGAACATAATCTTAGTCTTTGTCTAACCATGTTGGTAACCATTTACCAGTGGATTTTTTAGAATTCTATAAAGTGGATGTTGATGGTACCCAGAGCAGGCAATAATAATCTTTACCGGAACAAAATGAAGGAAAGGAAGGAAGCTAAAAACTTTGTTTAGTATAATTGTAGTTTAATACACTTTATTACACCCCTAGATTGACTCGCATAAGGCATGAGAAACCAGTAAATTTCAGTGAACAAAAATCAAAATACTTAAAACCAGCTATTTATGATGCCTGTAAATAATCACAGCTTGACTGAATTTTTCATGCTCTAACCAGCTGTTTTGGCATTTTGTAGACACAGCTTGAATAGTTTCATCTACTTTCCATCAGTCCTAAATTAAAGTGACAATGTGTTTGTGTTCTGTAACATTTTCTAAAGTTGATAACTTTGTAAACAATTAGATGGTTGGCCCAGCTTTTTAAAATATAGACATTTCTCATAAATTGGTTGTTCTGAAAAATAGCAGTTTTTTCATTTCCAAAGGGCATTCCAGAGACCACAGAACTAAACTGGCCATCTCTTCCTTTGTTTCCAGACCCACTTTTCAATATATCATGTAAGTGGTACATAAATTTATTTTAAATGGCTTACCTCCATTTAGGTACCCATCAAGAGAAATGGAGATGTCTGTTCCAAAGTTATCAAAACTTTCCTGATAGCAATTTTTTTTATTTAATTAAAAAAGGGAGAGAGAAAATCAAATCATGTCACAGGAAGGTGGAAGGACACCGCAGGCAGGACTGTGTTTTCCAATGGCATCCAGCAAGATAATGAGTCCATGTCTATGGAAATTGATTCATTAATATTTCATCGAGGCAGCTTCAGAGCAATTCAAGAACCAGCTCCCAGGAATTCAATCAGTAAATTCAGTGAATTGTTGAGCTTAAAATACCAGGGGGGGCAAAAATATACATATATTTGGAAGGGTTGCATATTTATACATACTGATGCGACTCATGCATGCACGCAAATACAGGTACCTATATTAAAATACTGCACATGTAAAAGAATGTAATTTCTAGGCTCAAACCCAGTCTTACCTGCCTTTACTTCACCTTATTCTTAGGAAGAATTTCCAAATAAAACAAAAATCATTTTGCTTAATATTATTTTCCTTCTGCACAGTATCTGCCTTGGAAGGCAAGTTAACAAAAAAGTCAGCTATAATGTGTTCACTGGTAATCAAATATTTACCAATAGAGTGCCTTTAATCATATAACAGAATATAAAGATGGCTCTCAAAGACCCATGCTGGGACTGGAAAAAGAGGGGATCAAACATTTAATGGAGGAAGGGCTTCTAGTTTGGTTCAGAACAGACAACTCGCCATGTGATGTACACATTGAGAAAGGCCAGTTAGGGAAATCGTTTCAAATTATCATGTCGGCTAAGTAATTGGTCTTTGGTGTCCCTAAACACCAACCTATAAATAATTTTATTTTCATTTTGGATCAATGTCTTCTAGCCCTTGTCTAACTAACCTGTATTGATGTCTTTTTAATTAAACCATGCGTGATATGCTCGCTTGGCAGTGGGGCATACTGAGTGTGCATGCTAGGAATTCCAGATAAGGTAATTATGCTATTTGTCACTGTCATGATTAATGTGTGACAGCTGTTATGACAGCTGTGCCACTGTTTTGTCACAATACTCTGTTCATCCATAACAAAATTAGCTGTCGTACTCAAAGGTACACACTTGCTGCTATTTCTTTCTGAAGTCAACAATGAGAAAATCGAGAGGGAATATTACATGAACTCTGTGACAAACAAGAAAAACGACATCTTTATTTTTTTTTTTTCTTTAAATGATGATATAACCTGCCTGCATTGGAAATGCAGATAGCTCACCTCTAGCAAACAAGCTGTCACAAGAAGCCAATCCACCACTAATCTGTCTAACAAGGTCTCAGTATGTGAGGGGTTTGCTTCATAATTTGAATCTGCCTTGTCAGGCAAGCCTTTTAGATGTTACCCAAATTAGCACTGGCTGGAACTGTTTCTGCCTGTCAAGGTGGGAACCTGCAAATGCAGCGCTATAATAGGAAGTGGGAGATCGACTCAACCTTTCCTTTAGGCGTCAGTCAAGCGGAGCAAAATAGGCGGCTCTTCCTCCATCTCCCTCAAGACAGCTGTCCCTCCCTCTTCTGGCACCCCTGCATCCTTTACTGGGATAGATGCTTTCAGGAGCTGACTCCAAGCAGAGATGTAAATTGTCAGATGAAGGCAGTTATTAATGTTAACCAATATTGTTTCTTACAGAGCCCTAAAACTGGACTATAAAACCATGGAAGACACTGATGTGAAGAGACAGATGGCTACAATAATAGCGTCATTATTCTATAGCTTTGAGTGAAGTGGATACAGCATATGTTCCATAAATTTAAAAGAAAAAGAAAAGCTCACCTCTATTCATAATGAAAAAGAAACATTGTAACAGCAGAGACTCTGGGTGCCATAGAAAGAAAATATGTCATGTCAGATATGCATATCTAAGTGAACATATTTTATCTCTTAAAACTTAAAGGGAGAACAGCTGTAGCTATTATTATTTTTCAACAAGTGATTAGTTTGATATACTGATACTATATTTGAATTTGCCAATAACTTAATCAGAAAATAGAATGTGCAGTTTTAATAAGGATATTGTTTAAATCAGGCCCATCTGCACTGTGTCTCCTAGGCCTCCTCTCCAAAAACAGTCCTGGATCAGAAAAGTGAATAATTTCAAACAATTATAATGATTACAAAGGAACTGTTACCACCTGCTGCTGACTCTTGGCAGCCATCAGTCAATGAAGGATTTAATTAGAATATTTATCAACAATGGCCAAAATGCCTTTTGATTTGTTCCTGATTTCTCCAAGCTGGAAGAGTAAACTCTTTGCAAACTTCAATTAAAAGACATTGGAAATTCTGGGGGTCTTACCCAACCGGCTTTATTCAATTCTCTAATTTGGTTTTCTTGGTTTATGACAAGTATGTGTGCCCTTGGTGATTCTTTTCACTTTTTTTTTTTTTTTTTTTTTTTTTGAGGCAGGGTCCCTGTAACCCAATATGGAGTGTAGTTGTGTGATCTTGGTTCAATGCAACCTCCGCCTCCTGGGCTCAAGCAATCCTCACACCTCAGCCTCCTGAGTATGCCAACTAATTTATTTTTTGTATGTTTTGCAGAGACAGGGTTTCACCATGTTTTCCAGGCTGGTCTCAAATTCCTGGGCTCAAGCAATCCACCTGCCTCAGTAAAGTGCTGGGATTGCAGGCGTGAGACACAACCTTTTAACTTTTGAAGAGTATCTCTTTCCTATTTCAAAGGAGACCAAGAACATTCTCTGACACATATTATTACCAAACACTTAGTGTTTAATTACTAGATCATACAGGGAGTTCAGATGAAGGAAGAGATGGTTGTGTGTGCTGAACGTCCTTACATTCTTGGCATTTAGAGAAGGCATCTTTGTTAACTGTTTCTGTTCATTCTGAGAACTGCCTGCTGAAAAACTATTCATCTTCAAAGTCCACCTCCAATGCCATCTCTGGCATAAAGCCTTCCACGAAATTTTGCTGCCATGCATTCTTGCTCTTCCTTTTTTCTCTGAACTCCTATAGCACTTACTGCCTGTTTGTTTTCAGCACCAAATCACATTTAGCTTTGGATAACAAATATGTGCTTTTCTTACTCTGGGGCTCCAAGAGAACAGGAAACACTACTCTGAGTCTTTTTGTTCCTCACAGGGTCTAGAATACTACCTCAAACACAGTAAGCTCTTTTTGTTCACATTTATGAAGTAAATTAATTAATGCATAATGGAATCCTAAGAAGAGTGTTTGTGTATTGTAGTATTTGTATTCAAGTTATACTTAGGAATTCACGAGCTATTTAATGGGTGTAATTTTTTATAAGTGAACATGAAATATTTAAACAGACAAAAGCTCCCAAGTGGTAACAATCAGACAACTTTTAACATCAACTGCTATACCCAAGAAGGATGTCAGATAATGGGACACCTGAAATAACCATACTAAAAAAATAAAAGGGTGTTCCAACCAGACAGCTAACCTATTCTTGTCTAAAGCCAGGGAGGTCTATAGAAGGCCTCTCTGTATAGCTGAAAAGGCATCCTTAGATATTCACACATAGTACCAAACAGAATGCATTTTTTGGTAGTTTTGTGGGAGGCAATTTTTGCAGAAGGCAGTTACACTGGAGGATAATTGCACTTTCAGCATTCCATAGGTCTGTGGAATTAGCAATTAAGAATAGAAAGAGCTAGAGTAATAGAAATACAGTAAGTCCTCACTTAACTCCATTGATAGGTTCTTGAAACTGTGACTTTAAGCAAAATGCTGTATAACAAAACCAATTTTACTATAGGCTAACTGATATAAACAAGAGTTAAGTTTCTGTGGCATATTTCTGGTCACAAAAACATTACTGAACTTCTAAATAAAAACCAAACCATTTCTAATATTAAACATTGAAATAAATGTAAACCAAATATTCCAGTTCAGGGTTATGGGTGGCCAGAGCCTATCCAGGAAGCTCAGGGCACAAGGTGGGAACCTACTCAAGAAAGGATGCCATCCCATTGCAGGGCACAGTCACACACTCACACTGAGACCACATAGACATTCCAGTTCACTCCACATCTACAGCCTTGGGATATGGGAGGAAACTGGAGTATGCAGAGAAAAACCATATAGACATGGGAGAATGTGCATACTCCACACTGACAGCGGCTCCCACTGGGAATTTTTTTTTCTTATCAACATTACGATGAAATGACATTATTCGAGAACTTGCCGTATAGTAGATGGGCTACATGGAGCGATGGCAAGACAAAACTTAGAACTCTGCAATTAGTGGATCAACTCTAGTGCCAGAAACCTGAACACCAGGATGAGATGGGGTGGGAAGGTCCAAAGATGATGCACACTTAGCAACAGGTAGGAAGAAGACCCAACTCAAAGCCTGTCAGACTCTACAGGGACTTCTCACTAGTTAGAAAGAATCAGTACATACCAGAAGCCACTAGAGCTTCAACTTAATCTATAATTTTGTTTGTTTGCTTTTGGTCAACTATTTAGTAACCTGAACATTTTATCTCATTATGTAGGCTCAATTCCTTTAAAGATGTGACTTAATTTTTATTTAAAGGCATAATATAACAGATATTATGAATAAGAGGGTACCAAATCAGTGGACTGACTTGATAATTTCTGGAATCTTGATAAAGTGATATCCTATAAGCTGCTGCATAATGCCTTTTCCTCTTATATATACCAGCCCTTACACTTGTCCTTAAGAATTAATCTGATGGGCTCCTTGCTGTTCCAAAGAAAGTGATTTTTGAATGGCATTATCTCTCTGTTTTCTCAGATTCCATTTCTAAGCTAAAGGCAAGGGGCTTCAATGATCAGTTAATCTACTTAAACACTTGAAACTTTGCTAACTCTACCAAAACTCACATACCATGAATTTATCCTCATCCTCAACCAAAAAGATGGTTAACAAACTGGTATCCTATATGAGAGTCTTTTCAGAAAGTTTTGTTAAGATTAGGGGAAGTCTTAATGACAGTTATATAATTAAAGTTGTAGGGTTTATTCAAAAAGCAAAGACTAAAGAAACTGGGCATGTGACCCAGTTGCCTGGCCTGAGATGTGCTGTTATTCCATCCTTCAAATAATGAAATGGCTCTCGAAAACTACTCTTGTAATATATGCCAAGCTGACCTTTTTAACACTTCTAGTAACTCCTCTAGTTCTGGGGACCTTATTTCCACTTGATAATGAGAGTGCTCTCTTCTTACTCTCAGAGCAGTAATATGTGCAGTCCTTCATCTAGCCCAGTGGTTCTCAGACTTCACTGCACACTGGAATTATCTAGGAAGCTTAAAAAAATACCGATGCCACTGGAACTACCATTTGATACAGCAATCACACTATTGGGTATGTACCCAAAAGGAAGTAAATTATCATATCAAAAAAAAAAAAACAGAAAAAATACTGATGCCTAGGTCCCACCCTCAGGTATTCTGATTTAATTGGTCTGGTAGAGAGCCTACGCACTGGGATTTCTAGAAGTCTCACAGGGAATTCTACCATACAACCAAAGCTGAAAACTATTACTACAAGCTGAATGTCTCTTTACAATTAATGCGCATACAAATCATCTGATGATTTTGTTAAAATGCAGATTATGATCCAATGAGTCTGGACTGAGGCCTGAGACTCTGCATTTCCAACAAAAGTCTAGGTGATGCTGATACTCCTGGTCTATAGAACACATCTGAGTAGCGAGGATCTGGATGACTCTCACTTCCACAAGTTTACGTCTACATTATTGGCCATACCTGGGATTAACGGCAATGATTAAGTGGAAAGGTCTGTGTTTATGGTCATAGTCCAACATTCTTTTCAAATCATATCCTAATTAATCTGAGTACCATAGTTACAGACATGAGTAGGGTAAGAACATTAAGTAAGGAGAAAATACCTTGAAAATGAAGATTCACAGATATGCACTTACAGTCATCTTATATTCTGCTCATCAGAAAAGATTTCCTTTCAAAATGAGTGATTTCTTTTTTACAATTCAGTTAAAAACATAGGTTCTTTCCCCACATATGCAGGACATTTTGACACCTTATTATTTTACTTGATTCCACACATGTCCATGTTTTTAGTATCATGTGACAGTTGTGTTGTATTGTAGAGCAGAAAATTAACACAGTGATGTTTAATATGGATTCTCGGGATAATTCCATCAGAGGAGGAAGGGGGGATGGTTCCTTCAAATAAACACAGTACTACTTTAAAATCAGACATTCTTCCTTTAGTCTTCAGATTTCTCTAAATTAGTTAAAGTCTATAGGCCTTAAATATAAAGCTGGCTAGGCAACTAAACTTCCAATCAATGGTAAATTTTGGTGTGACTTTTGCGAATATTTCAGAATTGGCCAGGTGCAGTAGCTCACACCTGTAATCCCAGCACTTTGGGAGGCCGAGGTGGGTGGATCACGAGGTCAGGAGCTCAAGACCAGCCTGGCCAACATGGTGAAACCCCATCTCTATTACAATACAAAAATTAGCTGGGTGTGGTGCGGGCACCTGTAATCCCAGCTACTAGGGAGGCTGAGGCAGAGAACTGCTTGAACCCAGGAGGCGGAGGTTGCAATGAGCCAAGATCGCACCACTGCATTCCAGCCTGGGTGACAGAGCAAGACTCCATCTCAAAAAAAAAAAAAAAAAAAAAAAGAAAAGAAAAAAAAGAAATTTCAGAATTAAGTAAATTTCAGAGAGATGAGATTGCAATCAACATGTTTTCTTTTTTTGTTTTCATTTTTGTGCAAGACGGTTAAGGGGCACATGGGGGAAATGTGCTCATCTAGTTGCTACTTCATATAAGAATAATAAAAAATAATTACTTCACATTTTCACACCACACCATGCTAGCCTCATCTTTCCTCTAGAACAGGGTTAGGCAAACCCAGAGGCCAAACCAGTCCACTGCTTGCTTTTGTACAGCTCACAGCCCAATTGAAAATGGCTTTCGCATTTTTAAACAGTTGGGAGAAAAAAAATCAAAACAAAAATATTTCCTGACATTTGAACATTATATAAAATTCAAATTTTGGTGTCCCTAAAATAAGGTTGCTTTTGTGCTACGTCAGAATTAAATATTTGAGACAGACTATATGGTCCACAAAATGAAAAATATTTATTATCTGGTGTTTTACAGAAGAAGTTTGCTGATTCTTGCTCTAAAGATATCCTCATTTTCCTTTCCTTAATTTTTTTTTTTTTTGGAGACAGAGTTTTGCTCAGTCTCCCAGGCTGGAGTGAGGTGGCTGGATCTCAGCTCACTACAACTTCCGCCTCCCAATTCAAGCGATTCTCTTGCCTCAGGCTCCCCAAGTAGCTGGGACTACAGGCATGTGCCACCACACTGGACTAATTTTTGTATTTTTTTTTTTTTTTGTAGTAGAGATGGGGTTTCACCTTGTTGGCTGGTCTCAAACTCCTGACCTCAAGTGATCTGCCCGCCTTGGCCTCCCAAAGTGCTTGGGATTACATGAACCGCTGTGCCTGGCCCTTAATTTTTACTTAAAATTCAAAAGATGCCTTGTTTTGGAGATTGTACTGGTTTCCCAAGTTTTGACACCCTCTCATCCCTGCATGCACACATAAGTGAGCACACACAAGTGAGCACACACATACAGTGATTTTTTCTCCTTTGCCTTCTCACTCCTTCTCTGATAACCAGCAAGTCTGAGCAGCATCTGCTTCAGAACCCATTCTATTTCCTTTTCCTGGCCAGGAGAATGGAGTTCTTTAAAAAGGGAACTGAAGCTTGAAAGCACAGAGAATCACCTTTCCCTGTTTCATGCTGTCTCTTCTGGCCCAGCTCCTAGAGATAGGGTCTCTAACATATGTTGCAACTTTCCTCCCAAGCCTTCCGTGTGGAAAGTATTCCAAAAGGGAACAGACCTTTTTCTTGTTGCAATTTTCTGTCAAGAAGACTTGTGCCCAGAAAATATAAAAGAAAACTTTAAAATCTCTCCAAAACTTATGAGAGAAATTTGGCATAACCGATCAAGTCTACAGAAAGCATTTTTTTTTAATTTAAATAAAAAGCTGCCAGATTATTTATCAGCTTTGAGGAAGAACAAGAATTTCTATGTTCTTTTCCCTTAGGAAATGACACCAAAAAGAGTGCCTCTGGACATGTATAAGACAGAAAGGAAGAGAAAAATAAAATAAAAGGAATGCCTCAAGCTTTCATGTTATTTGTAAGAGTTTGTAAATGGAGCTATACTGATGACATAAATATGTGAGTGGCTCTAAATTTCAGAAGGGTCATTCATTTCCCTTGCAAAGATATTCTGGGACTATGAATGACTCTTGAGAAAAAGACATAAAAATTCCAAGACTCTGGCACCTTCAACAGCAACATGGTGAAGTGGGGAAAAAAAGGCAGAAAGGGGAGTGAGAAAACTGGAACTCTAATCTGCAGTTACAACTTCTATTGTCATGGACACAACCCCTAAATTTTTTGAGTGTCAGTTCCTTCCACTATGAAAAGAGGAGCAAAATGCTTCCCCACCTGGCTTCAGGGGGCTGTTCTCTGATTCAAATGTGATAATATACGTTAAATGCGCTCTGTTGATTGCAGATAACTAATCCCTTTTAAGATACTGTTTTTATTACCATTTATCTTATGTCTAGAGCTTTATCTCATTGTTTAATCAGTTTCCTTTAAACATCTAAAAAAAAAAGCAAAAAAAGAACTTTTAAATCCAATCTCTATGTTGTGGAAGAAAATTTATTTTCTGGTGTCTACAAAAAAAAATGTAAATCAATAAAAAAATACAGCTGGGCATGGTGGCGTGTGCCTGTAATCCCAGCTACTTGGGAAACTGAGGTGAAAGGACTGCTTGAGCCCAGGAGTTTGGGATCAGCCTGGGCAACACAGTCTGTACAAAAAAATTTAAAAATTAGCCAACGTGTGCCAACATGATGGCACACACCTGTAGACCCAGCTATTCAGGGGCTGAGGTGACAGGATCACTTGAGCCTGGGAGGTTGAGGCTACAGTGAGCTGTGATTGCACCACTGCACTCTGACCTGAGCCACAGAGTGAGACCCTGTCTCAAAAATAAACAAATAAATAGGAAAAACAAAATTTTTAAAAAATAAAAATAAACTGAAATTTTAAAAGATGGACTCAGAGCCAGGATTTGTAAGGCAGCTACTCCTAATGGGTTCCCCTTTCAAGGCAAAGTAGCTGGGGCCTGACCAGACAAATTATTCCACAGGCTGCCATTTTCCAAGAATATAGGGCAAATGTCCTCTAGAAAAATAAAACAAAACAAAACTCATGCTATATTTCCTTAATCTCTGTAATTGAAAGTGGTGCCTGTGGTCTCATTTGATCATGGTTCTCAAATAAATAGAAGTTAGAGGGAAATCAAGCAAAAGTAATAATGTGCACTCAGAAGTACAGGTCTAAGGTAGTTTCCTATCTCCCCCAAAGTATCATTCACCACCATGAGCTATAGTCATTATTTCCTTTGGCATGAGTGTTTTTTTGTTTCTTTTTGTTGTTATTGTTGTTGTTTACATCCAGATATAGAAGATCACATAACCACTATGGGGAAAAATATTATCTTGAAACAACATAACATCACACGGGAAGGAATCACATGGATTTATTTGTATTATAATCTTATGCTCTTTATATAGATTAGTGTACATATCATTACCAATTTTTTCATGGAAAAAAAAAACCTTTCCATAGGTTAAAGAGCATTTTTTAAATTACATGGCAACTTTATGCAAGTCTAATCTTATAATTCTGGAATGCTTACATAGGTTTATAATCTGTTCTCTGAATGCTTAGTGGAAATATTCAACCATCCAAAAATTAAAAAAGAGTAAGTACCAAGCACCTACCATGTGCCATGCCCTGCTTATTACTAGGGTCTCACTGGGGACAGTCATGCTCTTTTACATCCACTGGATGTGTGGCTTCCTCCCAACAGATAGTACTATCCTTGACCCCCCTTCTGGTCAAAGATGCCTTTGAGAACCCGGGACCAGCAAGCATGGTGTACACTCTTAGTTCTCTGAGCCTCCTCTCCCTCATGCCCCACTCTTGACAAAACCCCCTAATGCCCCTCAAATACAAGAGAAGGAAGTTAACTTCACACCCCAAAAAATAATGTTTGGAGCTGCATATTTTTAGCAACTAGAAAATATATGCCTACTACTATTACACTAATAGTGCTAAAACAAATACTAGGTTCTACCAGAAATGTCTCATGCAAAAGAGTTAAATTTCCAATAAAGGAGAAATTAGAAAATAAAATATAGTACACTCTCTCAGTACATGGCTAGGCAGGCATTAATGTTTGTAATAACATGAAGAATGCTTGAGTAATAGTGACTTACTTCACCAGCCTGGAGGTATAAACGTAGCCACATCCTTTTTATTATTCTAATGAATCATGTAAAACCCCAGAAGCCTGTGTGGGCAGGCAGTTTGGTATCCCATATCCCCTCAATCACAATGATGTAGACCAAAGGACTTCGATGACTCTTCTAAATGTGAGAGAACCATGAGTCAGAGGCAGCACTGTTGGCATTGTCACTTCAGGGTCTGCAGACACTGGACAAGGGTCCACAGCTACAGTGAAGCCCTTGTACATTTAGATCCTGAGGCCACCATGGAGGTCACCACTCATTTCAAACGCTGAGCCATCCCACTGTTGCCCAGTCGCGATGTCAGAACTAGGCTGGCCACGGCTGGGACCATATGAAGGCTCAGTACAGGGTCTGGCAAAGACAGACCTGTCTTAGATCCTTTTGGAAACTTCGGGAAGCCCCAACTTCCTATCTCTCACTGTATGTTCTCATCTATCATTGTCATGTTCCTTTCCCACCAAGAGGTCTCAGTCAGGAACACTGTGGTTCCTTCCAAATTTCTCTAATGTTGAATCTTAAGGAGAAACAGCTGGGGTTGGAGTCTCTTCACTCTCACAAGGCTTCTAGACTTCTTATGAAAAACTGATTCACAACCTTCACAAAAGGTAGGGTGAGGAAGGGTAGGGAGGAAAGGAAGGAAAACGTTGCTCAAACCAGAATCCTCTGCTTTGTTTCAGGGAGGGGCATGTAAATGCCAGAACAGGCTGCACACATGGTTATGTAACTAAGGTAAGCCAGGCCATTTCCCCCCACGATTAGAAAAATATGTCCTAAGCTGACTTGCTGGCTTAACCTCTAGAACAAGAAGAGGTTACATCATATTTTAAAATTCTACCCCACCAGTCACCTTGTTGTATTGATGCTTATAACCATTTTTTAAAATTATAAGTTTTAAAAAATGGATATCTAATTTTAAAGGGAAGAGTGGAGCTGGCAGGGCCCTACAGGGACCTTGCCCTTTCCTAATAACCTCACTTCATAAATCCCTGTCTAAGGGAAAGGGAAGGAAAGAAGGGAGAAATACATCCCAAAGTTGCCATCATAGCACCAGGGATGAGAAGCAGTCAGGCTGCCTAAAGAAGCAGAGTCTCCAGACTGTAGCTCTGGTACCAAAATGACAAAACTCAGGCACTTGGTTGCTGTATGGATGACAACCTGAGAAGTTAGGAGGTAGGGGTGGGGCTAGGGGCAGGAAACCAGACTGGAAAAAGAGAAGCTAAAAGGCGAATGAGAACCTGGAAGAAAGTGCTTTGCACTGAGACATACATGCTGATTAACCCCCCAGACATACACTTAGATATGTGCATGATGGTGAAATACACATTACATGATAAAATCAACCCAGTAAAAAAACAACAAAACCTATATATAAAATAGAAAGAAGATCAAAATATCAATTGCTGTTCTCTTTCAATGGTAGCAATTAAGCCATTCCCCCTATTATTTATATTGCCATTTTGCATCTTTTTTTAACTTTTTAAATGTAATTCTTTTTTCTTTAGAGGCAGGATCTTGCCATCTTGCGCCAGGCTGGTCTCAAACTCCCTGCCTCAAGTGGTCTTCTTGCCTCAGCCTCCCAAGTAGGAGAAACTACAGAGGCATGCCACTATGCCCAGCTAAATTTAATTTTTTTAAAGTGAGTAGTTAAATGTTTTAATGAAAAGTGCTTTTTGAACTAGCTAATATAGCAAGCAATGTAATGTTCCTTTACTTTTTATGAATATATATTTATTTTCATTATTTTTGAATCAC
Source organism: Homo sapiens (assembly GCF_000001405.40). NCBI lineage: Eukaryota > Metazoa > Chordata > Mammalia > Primates > Hominidae > Homo > Homo sapiens. Next base: position 82,352,733 of record NC_000009.12, on the reverse strand, counting down.
AGGAAAAGGCTGTAAGGTTTGAATTTGCCTGTGGCTTAGTAGTTTGGTAAACTCATACTTGGCATAAGCATTAGTCAAACAGTACATGAATTGCTTATATAATGGAAAAAAAAAAATTCTTAACATTATTAATTGAAATGTCTCATGCAATTTACAACTTAGAGCTTAAAGACCAGGATCTAAAATACACCGCTCCAAAATCCATTGCCCTGCTTCCACAAGACATCCAAACCTTGGCTAGGTTTTCAGGTGACTGCCAAAATGGCAAGGAAGATAAGATTGTTGAAAAGTTGAAATGGAAATGATAATCAAAATTGAATAACCGAAGATAGGTCATAACAATATAGACAAATTAGTTCTCTTTTTAATATTAATGAATCCTCTATGTTGTGTAATGAGAAATGAAGAAGCCATGTCAACTTGCAAAAATTTCAAAACCAAAACAAAACCCCAGTGAAATGTGGCCTTTTGGAACCATTTTACATATATTAACTAATTATTACAATAATGTGTACATAGTATCATATGTTAAAACAGAGATTTAAAAAAATACAGCTAGTTAGCAGCAACTTGAGTCCTCTAAGTCCAGATCTTTTCTCACTAAAACAATAACAAACACAGAAGCATAAAAACTTGTACTAGCCTTTTAAAGTTTCCAAAGAGTGTATATTGTCTCAATGAAATTTTTAAAAATAATGCATCCAATTCAATAGTTATTTATGACACTCCAAAAAATCCACGAAACCTGCCGTGATTTGGGTTCTCCCAGAAGCAGATCTCGATAAAAGGATTCAAGTGCAAGTAGTTTATTTGCAAGGTGATCCCAGAAAACAACAGTAAAGAAATTGAGTAGTGAGGAAAGGAAGAAAGAAAGGAAAGAAAGCCAGTAAACAGTTACCATTGTGGGTAACTGGAGCTTAATCCCACTGGGGTGCCTCAGGAGACAGTTTGGAACATACCCCAGATTCATCTCAACTGAACGATAAGGGAGCTGAATATCCACCATAATCCTTTCTGTCTTTGGCTTAGGGTTTATTTCAGGAACACTACCTCTTCAGAACTTCTGACCTGTCTTTCAGGCAGGCCAACCTGTGAGCTGAAAAAGTCTTCAGGCTGGTGGTTGTCACAGCAGTCTTCAGCATGCAGAGTGAAAAAGCCAAGGAGCTACAGCCAGAACCTTGACATTTCCTATGGCTCTCAGTTTGGGCAGCTTTATCTGGGTGAGGTGTTGAAAGTGTTGAGCACCCATATAGCATTTACCTCTCAGCATATTACATACAGGTCTATGACTAGAGTACTATTACCATCCCCATTTTACAGATGATAAAACTTAGTCACAAAGTGGTTAAGTGACTTGCCCAAGGACACACAGCTGGAATTTCAACCCAAGCTCTCTGATTCCAGAATTCACAAGCTTAACTACCTTGATACATCTCCTCTACTGTGGCCATGACTGATCTGCCCACATGAACAGTGAAGGAGTTTGGGGAGAGCTTCTCATAGGGCTCTGAAAGGAGAGATACTGGCTCTTTCCTCATCAATTCTCAATGACTCCAAAGACAGTAGCCCCTGGGTTCTATTGACCTTGTTGCCCAGTCAGCCAAGACACACATTTGGCATTAGAAAATGAAGACCTACAGGACAATATTTTTCCCATCACCTACCTTCTACTCATTATCCATAACCTGTAGATTTGCTAGAATTTTTATTCAGAATCCACACAATCCAGCAGTCATTTTGGGACATGCTGACTTTCACTAACAGTTTAAATTCTAAGAGCCTCTAAGCCTCTCTCTTCACAATGCCGTTGTAACCCAGGATGCAATCAGTTTGACCACAGATTGTGAGCAAAGAGGCAATTTAGCTCTCTTTCCACTGACTGTGCAACTGTCATGGACACAGTGTTAGGCAGGTGGTAAATTAGCCTCTTGGAGAGGTCTTCTCATTCTTTCAGGCCATTGAGGCATTAAAACCTCTATGCGCATCTACTAGGCCATGTCATAAATGTTTGTGAGACTCTACTTTGGCACAATTTTAGGAAAACTACTTACTCCAGGTAACATAATTAGAAGTATGGCTTACTAGGCTTTTTTTTTTAAGACTATGAGCCTGAGTACCCATCTGAGTTTGGTAAACAGAATTTGGAATTGATTCTAATAGGTTTAGACACTAAGCACTCTTAGCCAATTCCTTCCAATTAAACAGAGAATAGGAACAGATGAGAAATCAATCAAAAGAAAATGAAACACCTTTGATCACCTTGGGTGGGATTTGCAAATGGGCCCATTTCTTTGTTGTCTTATATTATCTTGTGGCATTATCAAATTCTCTCTGAGACAAACTAGAAAAGTGGAATGGGCTCAGATTTCTTCAGTGGAATGACAGGGAAGGGTGCATTGCATTTAATTCTTTCCCATTTCAAAAAAATTATAGACATGATTCAGTTCCCAACTCTTTTAAGCAGTAACATAATGAGTATGTACATACAAAAACAAAACAGAACAAAACCTGGAGGATACATCAGATGTTTCCCTTCCACTACATTGTGTTTTTAGGAAATTTCTTCCTATTTTACATTTCTCAGAAATCCTGAAAACTTTTGTCACACGTCCCAGGTGGATGAGTAGAAAATCGACATAAGGCCAAGTGTTAAGGTTTCATGTATGTCTTCTTCATTATTTGTGGGTATTACCAATTGGTCTTCAATGCTTCATACCAAAAAGGTTCTCAATATATACTTTTTTTTTTCAGGCATAGTGAGATGTAGCAGGAAAAGTATGAAAATCATATACAGAAATGACTATCCCAATTTCAATTCAACTACTATAATTTTTAAGCCATTGTCACCATGGATAATTGGCTTAAATATCTGAAGTAACACCTACCTCATTAAGTTGCTGTGAGGATTCATGGTATGCTGCAGCCAGCTCCTACAATTTGAGAGAAACAAATGTGGGCATTTCATTTAAACTCTGCATTCAGTGACATCCTGTGGGTAACTTGAAATCAGCCTGGATGGAAATATTTATAACACAGAAATTAGCAAGAGCGATAAATCTGGGATTTTTTTTTGAAGAGCCAGCTTACTAGCTCATTACTGAAAATTAGGTAACATATGCAAAATGTTTAGCCTAGTGTCCAGCTCTTTTCCCTTTCTTTCCTGTGTTGAAGAGTATGTTATCTCTCTTCATGGACAATATGATTCTATACCTAGAAAACCCTAAAGATTCTGCCAAAAGGCTCCTGAAACTGATAACAACAGTAAAATTTCAGGATAGAAATCAATGTACAAAAATCAGAGCATTTTCTATAAACCAATAACATGCAAGCTGAGAGCCAAATCAATAATTCAATCACCTTTACAATAGCCACCAAAAAAATAAAATAAAACAACTAGGGATACATCTAACCAAAGAGGTGAAAGATCTCTACAAGGAGAACAATAAAACACTGCTTTAAAAAAATCATAGACAAGAGAAACAAATGGAAAAACATTCCATGCTCACTGGAAAAATCAACATTAAAATGGCCATATTGCCCAAAGCAATCTGCAGATTCAATGCTATACCTATCAAACTACCAATGGCATTTTTCATAGAAGTATTCTAAAAATCATATGGAACCCCAAAAGAGCCCAAATAGCCAAAGCAGTTCTAAGCAAAAAGAACAAAACCTGAGGCACCACATTACCCAACTTCAAACTATACTACAAGGCTACAATAACCAAACAGCATGGTACTGGTACAAAAACAGACATATAGACTAATGGAACGGAACAGAGAACCTAGAAATAAAGCCACACACTTACAGCCATATGGTCATTGACAAAATCAACAAAATCAGTAAGCAATGGGGAAAAGACTCATTAAATACATGGTGCTGGGATAGCTGGCTAGTCATATGCAGAAGAATGAAAGTGGACCCCTACTTTTCACCATATACCAAAATTAACTCAAGGTGGATTAAAGATTTAAATGTAGGATCTTAAAGTGTAAGAACCCTAGAAAAAAATCTGGGAAATACCATTCTGAACATCAGTCTTGGGAAAGAATTTATGACTAAGTTCGCAAAAGCAATTGCAACCAAAACAAAAATTGACAAGTGGGATCTAAGAAAACCAAAGAGCTTCTGCACAGCAACAGAAACTATCAACAGAGTAAACAGACAACACACAGAATGGGAGAAAATATTAGCAAACTATTCATCCAACAAAGGTCTAATATCTAGAATCTATAAGAAACTAAAACAATTGAACAAATAATAACAACCCCATTAAAAATTGGAAAAAGACATGAACAGACATTTCTCAAAAGAAGACACACAAATGGCTAACAAACGTATAAAAAAATGCTCCCATATCACTAGATATGCACTAATTTGCATATCAGAGAAATGCAAATTAAAACCACAATGAGATACCATCTCATATCAGGCAGAATGCCTAGTATTAAAATGTCAAAAAACATGCTGGTGAAGCTGCAGAAAAAAGGGAACACTTATACACTGTTAGTGGGAATGTAAATTAGTCTAGTCACTATGGAAAGCAGTTTGGAGATTTCTCAAAGAACTCAGAACTACCATTTGACCCAGCAATCCCATTACTGCATGTATATCAAAAGAAAACAAGTCTTTCTACCAAAAGAACATAGGCACTCACATGTTCATTGCAGCACTATTCACAATAGCAAAGACATGGAATCAACCTAGGTGACCATTCATAGAGGACTGGACAGAGAAAATATGGTACATATATACCACGAAATACTATGTAGCCATAGAAAAGAACATAATCATGTCCTCTGCAGCCACATAGATGCAGCTGGAGGCCATTATCCTAAGTGAATTAACACAGGAACACAAAACCAAATACCACATGTTCTCAGTTATAACAGGATCTAAACTGTTTCCTTTTAGGGTGACAAAAATATTTTGGAACTAGATTATGAACATAAAAAGTGCTACTGAATTGTCTACTTTAAAATGGTTACTTTTATATTATGTGAATTTTAATTCCATAAAAATTTTTAGACAAAAAGAAGAGTTTGAAAAGACAGCTTTGTTTCTATATCTAGAATACTTTAAGTTACTACAGTAATGATTTCACTTCATAATCAGTAATTTATTAAGAATTTCCCTTGCTATTGCTTTTGACAATCATACAAGGCAATTTGTTAAGATGACCTCTGATTTTTTGATATTTAAATATGAGGGAAAATTCTGCTGTAGTATTTTGAAGAATAGTGTTGCCAGCTGATCTTCAGTACTCCACATAAGCAGATCTGTATTAGTCCATTTTCACACTGCTGATAAAGACATATCCAAGACTGGGAAGAAAAAGAGGTTTAATGGACTTACAGTTCCACATGGGTAGGGTGGCCTCACAATCATGACAAAAGGCAAGGAGGAGCAAGTCACATCTTCCATGGATGGTGGCAGGCAAAAAGAGAGAGAGCTTGTGCAGGGAAACTCCTGGTTTTAAAATCATCAGATCTCGTGAGATTTATTCACTATCATGAGAACAGCATGGGAAAGACCCACTGCCTTGACTCAATTACCTCCTACTGGGTGGGAATTATAATTCAAGAGGAGATTTGGGTGGGGTCACAGCCAAACCATATCATTCTACCCCTGGACCCTCCCAAATCTCATGTCCCTTTCACATTTCAAAACCAATCATTCCTTCCTAAAAGTCATTTCAGCATTAATTCAAAAGTCCACAGTCCAATGTCTCATCTAAGACAAAGCAATTCCCTTCTGCCTATGAGCCTGTAAAATCAAAAGCAAGTTAGTTACTTCCTAAATACAGTGGGATACAGGCATTGGTAAATACACCCATTCCAAATGAGAAAAATTGGCCAAAACAAAGAGGCTACAGGCCCCACACAGTCCAAAATCCAGCAGGGCAGTCAAATTTTAATGCTCCAAAATGATCTCCTTTGACTCCATGTCTCACACCCAGGTCATGCTGATACAAGAGGTGGGTTACCACGGACTGGGGCAGCTTGGCCCCTGAGACTTTGCAGGGTACAGGCCTCCCTCCTGGCTACTTTTACAGGCTGGCATTGAGTGTCTTTGGCTTTTCCAGGTGCACTGTGCAAGCTGTCAGTGGATCTAGCATTCTGGGTTCTGGAGGATGGTAGCCCTCTTCTCACAGCTCCACTAGGCAGTGCCTCAGGAGGGACTGTGTGTGGGGGCTCCCACCCCACATTTCCCTTTCATACTTCCCTAGCAGAGGTTCTCCACAAGGACTCGGTCCCTACAGCAAACTTCTGCCTGGGCATCTACGTGTTTCCATACATCTTCTGAAATCTAGGTGGAGGTTCCCAAACCCCAATTCTTGACTTCTGTGTCATGTGGAAGCTGTCAAGACTTGGGGCTTCCACCCTCTGAAGCCATGGCTTGAGCTCTACGTTGGCCCCTTTCAGCCAAGGCTGGAATGGCTAGGACACAGGGCACCAAGTCCCTAGACTGCACAAAGCACAGGGACTCTGGGCCCAGCCCACGAAACCATTTTTTCCTCCTGGGCCTCCAGGCCTGTGATGGGAGGGGCTGCCATGAAGACCTCAGACATGCCTGGGGGGACATTTTCCCCATTGTCTTAGGGATTAACAATCAGCTCCTCATTACTTATGCAAATTTATGCAGCTGGCTTGAATTTCTCCTCAGAAAATAGGATTTCTTTTCTACTGCATTATCATGCTGCAAATTTTCTTTTTTTCTTTTTTTTTTTTTTGAGATGGAGTCTCGCTCTGTCACCCAGGCTGGAGTGCAGTGGCACAATCTCAGCTCACTGCAAGCTCTGCCTCCCGGGTTCATGCCATTCTTCTACCTCAGCCTCCTGAGTAGCTGGGACTACAGGTGCTCGCCACCATGCCCAGCTAATTTTTTGTATTTTTAGTAGAGACGGGGTTTCATCATGTTAGCCAGGATGGTCTCGATCTCCTGACCTCGTGATCCCCCCATCTTGGCCTCCCAAAGTGCTGGAATTACAGGCATGAGCCACCGCGCCTGGCCCAGGCTGCAAATTTTCTGAACTTTTATGTTCTGCTTCCCTTACAAACTGAATGTCTTTAACAGTATCCAAGTCACCTCTTGAATGCTTTGCTCCTTAGAAACATCTTCTGCCAGATACCCTAAATCATTTCTCTCAAGTTGAAAGTTCCACAAATCTCTATCACAAGGGCAAAATGCCACCAATCTCTTTGCTAAATCACAACAAGAGTCACCTTTGCTCCAGTTCCCAACAAGTTCCTCATTTCCATCTGAGGCCACTTCAGCCTGGATTTTATTGTCCATATCGCTATCAGCATTTTGGGCAAAGCCATTCAACAAGTCTGTAGGAAGTTTCAAACTTTCCCACATTTTTGTGTCATCTTCTGAGCCCTCCAAACTGTTCCAAACTCTGCCTGTTACCCAGTTCCAAAGTCGCTTCCACATTTTCAGGTATCTTTTCAGCAGCACCCCACTCTACTGGTACCAATTTACTGTATTAGTCTGTTTTCATGCTGCTGATAAAGACATACGTGAGATTAGGAAGAAAAAGAGGTTTAATGGACTTACAGTTCCACATGACTGGAGAGGCCTCACAATCATGGTGGAAGGCAAGGAGGAGCAAGTCACATCTTACGTGGATGGTGGCAGTCAGAGAGCTAGCTTGTGCAAGGAAGCTCTCATTTTTGAAACCATCAGATGTCATAAGACTTATTCACTATCATGAGAAGAGCATGGGAAAGACCTGCCTCCATGATTCAATCACCTCCCACTGGGTTCCACCCATGACAAGTGGGAATTGTGGGAGTTACAATTCAAGATGAGATTTGGGTGGGGACACAGCCAAACCATATCAAGAGTTATTAATAAGAACAGCATGTGAGATTTGTTATTGAATGGGTTTTACTGAGGTGCTGGCACTTTCTGTTCAGCCTGAAGTGGTATCACCTAAAAGACTTTCTCTTTAATCAAAGGGCTTACTCAGGAAATTACACTGTCATGCTGCAGCAGTTGGGAAAACTGATGTACCTCTAATAAAGATGCTGCTAAAATTGACAGTGCAATTTCAACATTAAACCAAAATGAAATCTATGACATGAAATTCACCATAGATCTGGTGGCATGGATATATATACTGAATATACTGTACTTGGAAGCCTACAGAACACTGACTTTCTGATATACAGAGGATGTGGCAGGAATAGTGGCCATAAAGGCATCAGCATCAGAGGTTTACTTTGTCCTGGGTACTGAGGGAAGATTTCTTCAGAATATCCTACAGGATACCAGTCTCCTTCTTGGCATATAAGACCTCAAACGATTATTGGATTTCTGGTATATATATATAAAACTCTGGAAATATTCTTATACTTTACTCCTTTTCTCACTTCCAGAACATAGCAGGGCTAGTACACAGCTGAAATTTCATATCAGAGATGCTTTGGAGCAGTTATTCCTGGTAAGCAGTAACATACCATGCTGCATTAGGAAGAAAGGCATGGTTGTTGTCAAAACACTGTGCTCCATGTTTCAATTTTGCCATTCACATATGACCTTAGGCACATTCTTTGATTTCTCAAAAATCAAACTTTTCATCTTTAGAGCAGGCATCCTTACAGGATTCATGTGAGGGACAAATACTGAAAATATGCCCTATATAGTAAAACACTGCACAAAATATAAAATATTATTATTGCATATATTGAGCCATTCATTCTTGGTCACACTCTACCAAAAATAAAAGTTTTTTAATGTAAAACCTCTAATTTGACATTAATAGGAAGTCAAACAGTACATCTCAGAAATCACTTTGAAATGTTAAATCATGGAGCAAAGAAGGAGTCAATATTCCTAGTAATTAAGAGCTGGGCTTTGGAATCAAGTAGAATTAGATGCAATTCCAAGGTTAAACACATGCTTGCTGATTTATTTACACATCTAAGCCTCAGTTTCCTCTTCTTTCAAATGAGGACTTTGATAAGGCCCCGGTCATTAAGTTGTTGTGTTAAATGAGAAAATGTATATAAAAGTGATTAGACCATAGTTTTCAATAGATGTTATATGATTTTACTGTTGTTGTTTCTATTGTAATTTGCATTTTGAAATTACCTAGGCAGAAAAAAAGTCTCTAATGCTAAGGACAAGAATCCCAAGCAGAAGCTGAGAGAATGTGATGGGGAGTCTCACAGATCCTAGAGCTCCAGAATTTAAATTAAAGGCCTCCGGTAGTGGTTACATTTGGACAGTTAAAAAAAATGGTAAAGCAAATTAGCCTCATTTTCCTCCAGGCTCTTCCCCTTAAACTGTCTTTCATTTACATTTTCAGAAATACCAGCTGGGAAACAACCGTATTTGTGACCTAGTTCTTCTCCTGGGATGGAGGAGGGCCTAAGTGAGAAGATTCTGCCCAAAATGGAGTCAGCAGTCAAGGCTAAGTATGGGGGTAGTTTTGCTGACCATGGGCACAGGGCATGAAAAAGGGAAAAAGGAAGTTTTACATGCCTGGCAAAGGTAGATAGGGAAGAAAGGGGTAGCCCATAGGGTCTTAAAAGAAGACAAGAGAATAGAAACTGAAGACATACCAAAGGTAAAGAAAGCATGCATGCCACTGTGGATTGGCAGGATAAAAGAAGGGGTTCAGGTCAAGCCTGAAGCCATGATAACAGAAGTGTGGTGTATTAGTCTATTCTCACACTGCTATGAAGAATTACCTGAGACTGGGTAATTTATAAAGGGAAGAGATATAATGACTCACAGTTCCGAATTGCTGGGAAGGCCTCAGGAAACTTACAATCATGGCAGAAGGCAAAGGAGAAGCAGGCACCTTCTTCACAGGGTGGCAGCACAGAGTGGGTACAAGCAGGGGAAATCTCAGGCGCTTATAAAACCATCAGATCTCATGAGACTCATTATCACAAGAACAGCGTGGGGGAAACTGCCCACATGATCTGATTACCTCCACTTGGTCCCGCCCTTGACGCATGGGGATTATGGGAATTACAATTATAGGTGAGATTTGGGTGGGGACACAGAACCAAACCATATCTAGTTTTTAAGAATAACTTTGGTGCTCGGTGAGGAAACTGCTAGAAGTAATTCATTACCTTTGTTTGAGGTTAGTGGTAAAGAATATTAGATAATTGTGAGATTAAAACTTTAATTTCTTATCCTAAGTGAAGAAATAGGCTATCTCTTCAGAAAATAAAATATGCTTTTGGAGGTACGAATATGCATTTGAGAGAGGAGGTAGAAAAAAACTAGCTAGGCAAATAGTTCGGGAAAAAAGTCCTCGGCAGAACTTCCCTTCTGGCAAAAAGCAGCCCAAGAAATCACTTCTTTTCTAATAAAGAGCAGCCTGGAAGATCAGGCTGCAAACATAGATAAGGAAGCTGGAAGTTTGCAAGCGGGGAATGCCTGCAGCTGCACCGATAGAAAGGGGTAGCTGGGGGCCAGGCATGTCACCATGGGGGCTCCACCTCCTGCTTTTTAACACATACACAGTAGGAAAGCAACATGGAGTAGCTCAGGCAAAGGACCTGCCTATGTAATAAAAGATTGATGTGGGGGCTGCCAGAGATTCACCCTCTATTCAGATGGCACACCTGGTCCTAACCAGTTTTTCACACCCTATGTAGATAAGATGCTGCTTCCCCACTAGCTTATAAACACTTGCATTTCACTGCTGAATGGCAACCCTTTTTGGGACCCTTCTCTGCTGCAGATAGCTGTTCTCTTTTTTTTTTTTTTTTTTTTTTTTTTTTTTTGCCTATTAAACTTCTGCTTCTGCTCTAACCTGACATTTGGTGTGTCTGCGTTCTTGATTTCTTCGGCCATGAGACCAAGAATTTCAGGTGCTACCCCAAGCAACAAGGCTGTTTCACACTGAGCCAATCTTAAAAAGTTTTACTATTTTATTAAACTGACACAGAATCCATGACTTTCTGTGTTCAATATTCTTTCTGGTTCAAAAACAAAAAAGTTCAAAAACTCTAAACAATAAAACAAAACAAAATTTCAATCTACTTCCTAATGTTAATCTGACTCCCTTCGCCAAAAATTAAAATCTTCAAAATAAATCATACCTTACCAGAAAAATAATCTGCAAGTATTAGTAATGCACACAGTAAGAAGAAAATTTATAGTAAAGCACAGTGCTCATTAACAAAATAAATCAAGATTCAGCTGCATGTGGAAGAAAGCATCCAGTGAACTGATGTTAAAATTTGTGATAGAATCATTTTTTTCCTGCAATTTCCCAAGATTTCCTGCATTTACTGAGACCCTTCAGAATAAGTTACTGCTTTCTTCAGCACACTTCAATGTTTTCACTCGTGATATCTCTTAAAATCAGGCATGACTTCAAAGGCAGGGGCAATACACATTACTATTACATATTCTTTTTTAAAACCATAAATCTAATTTTTTATTCTTAATTACATTTTAATTATTACTTGTTTTTAAACAAAATTCAACCCATGTTGTGGTGAAATGTCAACTGTTTTTGCCAATTATAACCGTTTGATGCCTGGACAAATAACAAAGTTTGCTCTATGGATTCCTTTTTACTACCATATTGCTTATTTCTAGTTAGAGGGGGGAAAAGATATGTAGAATATTTGATATATGAAGGGAATTTTAGAGCTCATGTTTCCAAGTCTCAAAGTCCATTAAACTGAGATCCAGAGATCTTCTCGAAAAACTGTTGCGACATGAGAAAAGACAAAATGATATGAAATCTGGAGTTCTCCAACATCACCTTAACCAGGTCACCCTACAATGATGATACTGCCAATTAATCCCACTCACATGCTTAGAGCTTCCAATAAGTGATGTGCCCCTACTTGGAAATATGAGCAGACATCCAAGGACTATCAAATACTCTAAGGCTATAAACAGAGTGATAAAGATATTGGAATAGACATATTAGAGAGTGATCAGTAGGGGAGAACCAAATGCTCATCTTCCATACTGGGAAGTCAACAAATAATACCTAAAATGTAAATACCCAAAGAATAAGGTAAACAAGTAAAAAGTGATAGACTCTAGGTGGGGGAATTGAAGAAAGGAAACTAGGCACTGATTAGCCTTAACCTGCCTTGTGGAAATAGCTGGCCCTCTGAACTAAGTGCATGCATACAAAAATGAAAATTTTCTTAAGGAACAAGTAGAAGTTATCTGAGATGTTAACAGGATGTTAAGAGGAGGACCAGCAGGAGGGTGTCCTAGGCGAAGGCTGTGATGGAGTCACAGCATGGTATAGTGGGAGACTATGAGCAGAACCACACTGCTAAAACATTAAGTCTGGGTTATTGGGCAGTCTCTAGATAGTTTCTTCTACAACATTTGTACTTCCTCATCCACCATGGAGGTGACAGAAAGCAGTGCCAAGACTGTTGACAATCTGAGACCCTGAAAATGTGCACAGTGCTTCTCTGGCACAGCTTGAAACAAAACTGAACTGTTCAACCTGGTAAGATACCTCTAGTGTTTTGAAAGAGGTATGAAGTTTACAAATTGCTTATTAGTAGAGTTAAGTGTGCCCAGAACTAGGTGAGCCAGAGTGTGACTCCAGATAGAGGACCCAAGTAGGTGGCAATGCTGGTCTCGCTGAAGCTTGGTCGACAACCAGCATGCTCAGGCTGGGAGAGATGAATGAGAAGGAAAAGGAGTTTCCCTGGAGCCTCAGAACTCCTGTGCTTATGGTGGTCACTTAGAAGGAAGTTTTCTAGGGTCATAAGCGGATTTAGCTGGTGAAGATGTTTTGTTCCTTTCTTCTGGGTATTGAATTACCCATATTGTGAAAGGTTAAAAAAATAGTCATTAAGTTAAAATGAAAAAGTCTGGCTTATAAAGGTCAAAATTGCAAACAGGTAATCAAAAATTAAAGGATAAAATTTAAATAGCAAGCACTAGAAATAACAGAACATTATAACCAATTTTTAAAAACTGTTTTTGCAAGTGCTATGTGTATTTAAGAGGACAAACATCAAGGATAAATTGTGTGCACTTACAATAACAACAGGGGGAATTAGAGACAATGGAAAAGGAAATCGTAGAGACACTAAAAAATTACTTGCAGCTGTCTTTACAAATATAAAAGACTAGAGATTTGTCTGATTTAGGGATCAGATTCCTTCTACTGAAAGCATGAGAATTCGGAAGTGAACAGATAATAGTGCTACTGCTGATAAAGATAGAGTATCTTTCATCTGATAAATCCAGACAAGAAGCATCAGAAAGAAATGGGAAAGAAACAGACAGGTTTTTAAGAGATTCGTTTTTGAATTTGTGTTATTTTCATAAAAAGCAAGGGGCTTAGACAGTGACTATCATAACTGAATGGAATCATCCCTGCTTTAAGAAAGGTAACAAAACAGTTTAATTTTGGTGAAAGAACAACATTTAGGAAGGATGTAATCAGAAAGGAAATAGCATATGTACCATGCCTTTTGATACAGGAAATGAACTGTTAGATTAGAATCTACTCCCAAGTTCCTCTCTGAAAATTGTGAAAACATACAGGCATAATTGCAACTGCCCAAAGATAAAGAGGATACTCCTGGCCCTACCCCATAGTTCTGAAGCTTCGGTTTGATTTATTTAAAATTTCTCTGATTTAATAATCTCTGAGGGATCATTATACCCACATTTGGATGCTGGAAGTAAAGTCGAGTCATTTTGGAAAGCTTTGTTGAAGGTTTCACATGCTCTGTGAGGTTTCACCATTAGCTATGACCTTTAACTTTAGTATCCTTTAACAATAACAACAAAGTAAAGCCAAGCAAATATCCAGCCTTGCTCTTTCCAATGAGTGTATCTATTATATAGAGAGCACTTGTCTCTTTGGGGGTTTGGTTCTAGTCCTTGCCCTGATTCATTTCTAGTTTTAATCAGAAGATTTACCTCTTTTTACCTTTCCCACCCATCTTTAAATGTGAATAGTAAGACTGGCTCACTACACAGAAATTTTAGGAGGATAATTGTGTAAATTGCATTGACTTTGCTCTTTCCAGTTGGTGAATAAAAATGTTTATTTTTACAGAGCTTATTATCACTTTTTAAGTTTTAGAATTATAGCAACCTGACAATAAAATTACCCTGTTGAGAACTGGAACTTGGGGTGTATAAAATAACCAGTTTTAGTATTTTTTTCTTTTACTGCTAGTGTTAAAGTCTTACATCAATAAAATGATAAAATCCTCTCTCTCTCTGCATTTGTCTCTCTGTTTGTCTGTCTGGCTTTCTCTCTCATACACCCACAGATATAGACACACACATAAAATTTTCTAATTCAGTAAGTTTGTCTAAACATTTGAATGGTAAATTGTTAGGCTTAAAAGTTTCATTTTATAATAAATCTTCAGTCTTATAAAAACCCAGCTTTTTCTACTTAAAAAACGTTTATTTTATTCCTTTCTTGGGAAAACCTATCTCAGAAAATGATAACTGCTATGAATAGGAGTATACAAAGTAATTTAACAGAGAATTCAGACGTAGAACAAAATACATACAGGATACTAATTTAAATGTAGCATTTTTCATCCATGGAGAAAAGCAGGATTGCCTATATATGAAGTCAAAACAATTGAATAGCTGTTTGGAAATATGAAGGTTGAATCCTTCTATTATTCTTTATGCCAAAACAAATTCTGGCTATAACAAAGATTTAAATGTAAAAAGAATGAATCTTCAAAAGTTCTCAATAAAAGTTCAAATAAAATTATTACAATCTTAGAACATAAAAGGTCTTCTGGTCAAGGCACATGATGAAGAACATATAAAAAATAATGAATAATAAATTTAGCAGTATAAAAATTTTTAATTTCTATATGGAAAAATAAAATAATGGCAAAATAGGAAACATTTTTACAATATATATAAAATATTTTTCAATTTACATATATTAAATATCAGGATAATTTTCTTAATTTAAAAAGAGGTAATATAAACATATAATTTTTAAAAATAGAATAACTCAATCAAAAAATGAGCAAAGGATAGGCACACAGAAGACAAATACAAGAGAGCATTAATCATATGAAAAGTGACTAAACCTTATTCAAAGCTCAAAATGTAAATTCAGACAAATATGAGATGCTATTTTTACCCATTAGAATGGAAAAGATAGACAGAGACATAAGATTCCCTTGTATAAATAAAATATGTATTTTATATACAGAAGCACATACATATGTACATATATGTATGTGTACTGCCAATTTATGTATAGCAATTCTGTCTGACAAAGATATGTAAGACTTGATTGCCTTTAGAAAGAGAGCCCAATGTGAGAAAGAGAGACTTTTACTTTTTTTTTTAAATACACTTTATTTTTAGGTTCACAGTAAAATTGAGCAGAAAGTATAGAGGGTTCCCAGATACACAATGCCCCTGCACATGCATAGCCTCCCCGACTGTCAACATCCCCTACCAGATTGCTGCATTCTCCACAATGGATGAACCTACACTGATGCATCATTATCGCCCCAAGTCCATAGTTCACATTTGGGTTCACCGTTGGTGTTGTGCATCCTGTGAGTCTGGACAAATGTATAACGACATGGCTCCACCATTATAGTATTATACAGAAGAGTTTCACTGCCCTAAAATCTTCTGTGCTCTGCTTATTTGTCCCTCTCTCCCCCTAGCCCCAGGCAAACACTGACCTCTTTACTGTTTGCCTTTTCCAGAATGCCATACGGTTTGAATCATATAGTACATAGCCTTTTCAGATCGACTTTTTTCACTCAGTAGTATGCATTTAAGGTTCTTCTATGTCTTTTCACGGTCTGATCATTTATTTCTTCTAGTACTGAATAGTACTCCATTGTATGGATGTACCACAGATTATCCATTTACCTGCTGAAGAACATCTTGGTTGCCCCCAAGTTTGGGCAATTATGAATAAAGCTGCTCTAAATCTCTAGTTATAGGGGCTTTTACTTTTAATTTCTTATTTTTGACTATTATTTGAATTTTCTAATCAAGGGAATTTGTTTTAATGCTAACAAGCATGATGTGGGATGGTATGATGAGCCTTTTTTACTTATGCATTTTAATCATTCCGTTACCACCAACCTAATAAATGTTATTTTTAAAATTTATAGCTAGAAATCAGCAAACAGATAAACATATCAATAAATATGTAAGAGGCTATTCTATCTCACTTTCATATAGTTAAAATAGTAAGTATTGATGTAGTCAACACTATCCACTCTGCATAAAAGCAATTATTTCAGATCTATGCAATGGTTACAACAGCAAATCTAGAGAGATGGGGCAAAGGATGTCAGGTGGACAGAAGCCCCCACTTTTTTTTAGACTGTAACAGAGGACTTGAGGACTGGGAACAACATCCTATGCCCAGAGTGGCAAAACTTAGTCTTACAGGTTTGAAAGGATAACCACGCTTAAGTCAGTAATCTCCTCACTATGGAAACATTGGAGAATGGGGTCGAGAGAATCAGAAAACAGATCCACCTTTAAAAGCTTACCAAGCCACTAGGACCAGTCCATGATGAAGGAACAGGCAAGGAAATTAACATTTCTGGACACTTACTATGTTCTGCATAATACCTTTCCTACTGATATTGTAGTGCCGTAGTCAAATGGATCTAAAAAATGAGATTCACTCTGACTTCTAGTCTACTAAAAACTCTATGAAGTCCTACAGCAGAGAAAACTGTTTAATTTCACTTGACACAGTTTCCCAGAGTACTTTTCATACATAACCCCTTTTAACACAGGATAGAACACACTTGGGGAAGTACTGGTCTATTTCCTCTAACATATATTATTTTATTTGATCCTAATAATTATAGGAGAAATATCTTATTTTCTCCATCTTAAAAATAAGAAAATTGAGATTTCAAATATTTAGGTAACCTTGACCAAGATTATGCTAACCCTTATGTGAGATTCATACTCATGTTTTCTCAACTCTAGATTCCTCACCAGCTATTGTAGAAACCCATGAAAATCCACCCAGCTCAGAAATTACTCCAGTCTGGATCCCCTTATTCCACTTTGATATTTTAGGAATAAGGATATTCTATATAAAGTCAAAGCAATGACACTAGGGCCAAACCCAGGATTTGAGACTCCTAAGGCCATAATTTACAAACTATAAGATGCTTGCATAGGCTCAGTTGTAATGCAATAAAATATTGTGATTCTCTACAGATCAAATTATTCTCCTTACAAATCATCTGAATTTGTTGAGTTTGGTAAACCTTTGAGGATTTGCCTATATCTAGGAAATTCAGACCAGTCATGTAATTGAGTAGTCCCTGAATCATGATTAGACCTAATTCTAACCCTTATGTTCTCTTAGGCCCCACTGAAAGGTATCTGATACCTCTGTAGCAAAACACAGAGCAAAGAAAGGAGAAGAGAGGAAGAAAATCTGAACATTACTCTAAATTTCCTTGCTTACATGGGTTTTGGTCAGATATAACTCCAATTATTTTTCTCTGCATTAATTTCTCTTCTGGTAAAGTGCTTATAGAATTTATTTCCAGTTAAAGCTTTTAGGGTAGATCATTGCTCAAGCCATTTTCAAGCATATTAGAGAAAGCATTTGAAAATACACTATGGGTAGAAACTCAGATATGGCTCTTGGGAAAAAAACAAGATGACTTCATAGGTCTCCCCACCAACTCACCTAACTCCTGTGATTGAATTAATACAGAGGATAATGGGGGAAGAGGGATGGAAATGTGAGTTGTAACCACAATTTGAACTGCATACAGTTACATCATGGCATCAGTTTTTCCATTCAAGTTGGTAAATGGCTATACCCAGAGATATGTGAGCCCTTTCTGATGAGATACAAATCAATCCAAACTGTTATACAATTCTCTCTTCCAATAAATTTAAACCACGTCTTTCCTCTTCCTTCAGCCTTTGGTTCTCATTTTATTTCTAGCTCACCGTGGTCTGAGCTCAATTTTTAAGGGATTTGATCCAGTTGCCTGGCCCTGAAACTTGAAACAATTTTAAAAATAAATTCAAATTGTCAAATCCTAAGATCTGGTTGAGTGGGGTTTGCCACAGGATAAGGGAGGCAGAGAGTATAGGAGTATGTCTCACCTAAGTGGACTATAAGAAAAGTTTAGAGAATACCTTTGTCAGTTAGCTATTACAGCATTCCAAACCACCCCCATATTTAGTGGCCTAAAACATTATGCATTTTTATTGCTCACAAGTATATGGGAGAACTGGCCTTCTGCCCTTCTTGTTAGGAAAGTTCTTCTGGTCTTAGTTAGGATCACTCATACATCTGTGGTCAACTTGTGTTGTGTAAGCACTTTGCTGATCTTGTTCAGGCCCACTCTCATGTATAGAGGCTGGCTGGCTATCATAGAATGGCCTCAGCAGAGATGTCTCTGTTCATTCCAAGGTATTTATAGACAATAAACAACTATTGTTGTTTTTCTGTTTTAGAGAGAGGAATATTATGTTACTAATACAATATGTGAGTTAAGACATGAAGATGTGCTCCTTTAGGAGTGTCTGATCTTCCTGAGGCTAGCCCAGGCAGAGCCAGGGTCCAAAAGGGAATAGAAGCAAACAGGCCTCTTGAGGCCTAGGCTCAGAATTCACACATCATTTCTCTATCCATATTCTATTGGCCAAAGCAAGTAACAAGGATAACCTAGATTCAAGAGGTAAAAAAACAGACTTCACCTCATTGGATGAGCCTCAGAGGGTGTTGATACAGGGAGAAGTGAACCATTGGGGATGTCTTCACAATCTAATTATAATAGTATTTGATCTCTTTCCTTTTCTAGATGAATCTTGAGGCACTCTGGACGCAGCTAAAGGAACATCCCAGTATCCAGGGGAGGACAGAGGTAGAGTGCCATGATGCCTATGTTAGTCATCAATACAGCTCAAAATCAAGTGACTCCTCCACGAATAATGTAAGCTCTATAAAGGCAGGTGGCTCTTCTCTTTCTCTCTTCCTCTCTCCTTTCCTCCCTACTGAATGCCTATATTTTCAGAACACTGGATCAGATGCTGAATAAATGAATGAGTGAAAGGAAGCATTATGTGAGAGTGTCTATTGAAGGAGAGTCTGATGAAGAAAGTGAACCAAACTCAGCAGAGACTGGGGAAAGCAATAATGAAGTGATGCAAAAGCAAATAAGGAAAGCCCACCCTGGAGAAGAAACTCCTGAGCTCAAGTGAAATGACAGTGGTGATGGTATTTTTGAGGTTCATGCTGCTGCTGACTTGGCCATGCTGGGAATATTTAAACAGGAGGAATGAATCCACTGCAACGAATAAGTTGAACAGGAAAAAAACAGATTATGTAGCTCATTGTTCTAGAAAGCAGCTAATTCCAGGTGACTGAGAAAGAAAGGATATGGTGACTCTCTCTGGGGTGGATCTGGGGTGGGTTTTACTTACTGACCTGGGGGGCCTGGGAGACCCCAAAAATGTAGAGATCTGTCATTAATGTCAAGGTCCCTGCCACTGGGAGCAGTTTAGAAACAGACTTGTGACACACAAACTGCAGCCCACTAGGAGGAAAGGAAAGGAAAGCTATCACATGACAAGAGATAGGCCTTGGGAATCTGAACCAGTAAAGAGAAACTGGTGGCAATCACCAAAGGAGGGCCAAGGAGAAGTGAATCTTTAGTGCCTCAGGGATTCCCCAGATCCTCAAGGCCATGCACCTATTTGACTCCCTTGTCCTTTAGCAAGCAGATATGTGTTTTATCTCGTCAGTAAAATCTGCATTGCCAGGATGACAGTACTGACTTTCTGCAGGGTGCATAACAACTTTCCAACATGTTGTCAGAATGTGTCAGGTCGAGTTACGGTGATTCTATTTCATGAGGACGTGACACATGGCGCCATTGCTGGCGATTCAGACATTTCCTGTCAATGCCTGCCACTCAGGAATGGATGTGTAATCAAACCCAAGTCACAGCTAAGCTTTTTGCATGACAGTCACTTCCAAGTTTTACTTTTAATACCTAAGGTTTTGTGTTACTGATATTAAATAAAAACTCTTTGCAATGAATTTTAAATGAGGTAAAAGCTCTCACCAGAGATTTGTTAAAAGCAGATGAACAGCTGTTCTCTTTTCCCCCTTTTTAGTAGAAGAGCTTTAAATTATATATTAACCAAAAAGGTAAACAGAATAAAATGGGCAATTAAATATTAATGGAAGATGTAGTGGAATTGTCCTGTGCTGCACTTAAAACAGCTTGAATGATTGAGCTGTGAATTGCTCTCCCCGAGGTATTGAAATATTCATCAGTGCTATTTAATAAATGTTCATATTCGTAGGCACTCATGTTTACACTACAGCACTTGCAAGAGAGTGCTTACTAAAGAAAACATGCTAATGGAAGGTGAACTTTCCTGTACAGTGAGTCATCTTAAATTATACAGAGTGTGCGCCGAGGAGACAGGGAAATCTCTCCTCTGACAAATGAGAAGCTTGCATAAGAGAGGGATGTCTTTTGTTAAAGAGAATGGCTGGGGATGGCACAGAGGCATTGTGGCTCCAAGACTATTTTGAGGTTTTTAAAATTTTATCTGGTTTGCATTTTTAAAATGTTTAACCTTTCCTGCCTGAAGTAGAGCTTCATTCCAATGCTATTACTGTAAACTGCCTACTTTATGGGAAGGAATGCAAGAGATAGCAAAAAGAAACTGCAGTGGAAAACCCTTAAACAACCGAGGTAAAGCATTCCAGGTGACAATGGAGACAGAATCAAAGACACACACAGCATTTCCAGGCAGAGGCAGACACTGCCTCTTATGGCTTCCTCTCCGTGACATTTATTTAGTCATTCTTTCCCAAGAACTGTAAATATGGTATCACCTCAAGTAGGGAGCTTGATTGTTCTCGTAAGTTAAACAGGATCAGAGCTGGTCAATACCTTGGAATTGGCCTATCTCTAGGGAAAATATTAAGATTTGCTACAGCAGCAGAGCTGTATTGCTGATGAGTGGTATAACCTAAAGGGAGCATGACAGTCCAACCTAGACACCTATTTACAGGCAGTTACATAGTCACCAAAATCCAGCAGTACCATTGGTTGGATTAGGGTCAATTGGGATGGCCCTGCATCATCCTAAGATTAACCATAAAAACTTGAGACATGTTTATTCAGTAAGAAAAGGGAATCTCAGTTCTCAGAGTAACAAAAACAGCCATATAGAGTACTGTGGATTGACTTTGGTCTCAATGTTTTATTCTTCTGACACATACCTGTGTCATTGATTCACAGTGGGTAGAAAATACCTCTCTCCCCTTGACGGGGGATTGGCCATGTGACTTGCTTTGGCCAATGGAGTGTTGGAGGCCATGCAATGAAAAAATGTTTAAAATTTTCATGCACAGTTGAGCTGGTTCTCCTGTGCCCAGGCCTTTTGCCATAAGAAGAAAATGTCTCCAGTAGCTGCTAGTCCAAGAAGGATGAGAGACACTATGGCACAAAGCCCAACTGAATCCTCCTATATCACGTGAGCTCTAATTATATACAGATGTGCAAACAAGATGCTAATTTTATATGCCAATGAGTTTGGGGATAGCACTATTATGGCACTATTAAGGTCAGCAAGGATCATTCCAAGGTATTTATAGACAATAAACAACTATTGTTTTTCTGTTTTAGAGAAAGGAATATTATGTTACTAATATAATATATGAGTTCAGACATGAAGATGTGCTCCTTCAGGAAAGGACACTGCCTTTTATCTAAGGAGCCTTTTAAACTAAGGAGCCTTCTTTAGTTTCTCCTTTTCCTTGTACATCATCCTTTCAAAAAGGTCACCAAGTCCTGTTGACTCAAATACTTGAATACATCTTATTCTTTCCATTTGCACGGCCACTGCCTGCTTCCAAACACTGTAGTTTTGATTATTACAATAGCCTGCTCAGTTGTCTTTCCAATATCTACATTTCTGTCAGTCATGTTTCCAACAGATCATGGAAAACTTCCTGATTGTATCACTATCTTCTCTAAATCACTTTAATAATAATAAAGACACCTATCAATGATTGCCAATCAAGTACAAATGCTTTAGAATGTCTTTCCATGACACTGAAGATTTTTCCCAAAGTACCCTTCCATCTGTATCTCCAGCAATTTCTCCTTAATCTCCATCCTAGATTATGGAATTCCCAGGTTATTTTTACTTCTACAGCTTCATTCCCCACGCTCCTTCTTTTGCCAAGCATGCTGTTCTCTCTGATTCCCTTTCTGATTTATCCTCAAAGTTCCAATGGAATCACAGGTCACTCCTTCCTTTGGACTACGATAAGACCTTGGAAGAGCATTTATCCCATTTTTTTTATAAATTCTGTTGGCCTGCCCAAGACTCTGAAGCATAATACAAACAGAAAAGACTTTGACTTAATTAAGAGATTCAAAATGAATGAAAGGAAACACTACCACTACCAGAAGGAAACCCAGGTTATATTTAACAATAATAATTTACTGAAAATAGTACCAAGTTATATCTAGGCATTTGTTTCTTTAACAGTTTCCTCTAAAATCCTTTATAAATATATTTTAAGCTAGAATTAGACTTAGTTGCTTAATAAAAGTTGTTTTTATACAAAAGGAAAATTAAATTTAAAATGTGGTATTATCTCTGTTGAGAAAGTTATAAGAATCCTTGTTTGTTAGACTATAAGACCATTGTTCAACTAATATCAAATATATTCCAGTTATCAAGAAAGAATATCATGAGTATAAACAAAGACACCAATCAGAATAATCTATTCTTTCAATATACTTTTATCTGCTGATTTTCTCCTAATACATTTGTAGCACTTGGATGTTGTGTAAGGTCTGTTTTCAATGTTCTATAAATAAATCAGGTATATGTTGAGTTTGGTAACTAGTTGAATGTCTACTTAAGTTCTGATAGTCAATGAGGCAAAACTCTCAGGACCAGTCATTTTACTGGTTAAACACCAGAGGCAAGAGTATTATACTCTACAGATATATATACATGAAACCTTGAAAAGAAGCTGACTGAGGCCATTTTGAGGCTACCTGAGGACTTGCTGAAACAAAGTAGAAAGATAAGGCAAAGGACAACAGAAGAGGTGACAGGGAGCGTGAACAAGACTGTGGGCCGTCAGCCCCCTTCTCCCCAGCATGACTGCCTTCTCCTGCAGCACAATTTGTGATGTTAAGAAAATCGTCCAACATTTGAACCAACTAGTCTGTCTTACATATCTCACTCTATACCTTTAAACCTATCTAGAGATCTAAACAAAAATACTTGCCTCTAACAGAGTGGGTTCCACCAAGCCTAGCCTTACAGTGAACACAAATGTATAGTTTTGTTCAAGAGACGAGGGGGACCTTGTTAGCATGAGTACCATAATAAGAGTACATTGAGGAAAAGTATTAGCACGTGTGCTGCAAAGCCTCCAGGAGGAAATTAGCTGTTTTAAACCATGGAACTAATGTGAATCATTGCTAATAGCTGCTTATTTATCACCAGCATAAAAAGATAATTTGCCTAAGCTAATGAAGTAATTCTAGCTTTTAACTGAATGCTAGTTATTAATTGCATGTTACTGAAAAATACAGAGGCATAAACTACGTGAAGGAGTGAGTACAACCAAACCATGCTAGTGTATTAATATTTCTTGATGCTGCTGGGTTAATATTCCAGTTTCATGAATTTGGAAATATCAAACTGTTTAAGAAGACTCCTGTGGAGAGAAAGAAAACCTGGATTCAGCACCTTTATAGAAACAATGTAAACTAATTTGGGCAGAAAAAGATGAGGTGTGTGTGTTTGTGTGGTGTGTGTGTCCTTTGCTTTTTCCTTCCTTTTCATTACAGGTGAGAAAATATCCTCAACAATAAAGTGTAGACATTGTAGTCAGTAGGCCTGATATTTAATCCTGGCTAATGCTTTCTAGTGGTATGGCCTTAAATTTGTTATTATTTGTTTCTGAGCCTTAATTTCTACCCTCTCTAAAATGGGATAATAATATCCAATGTAAAAGCAAACCAATCTGGCCAGGTGTGGTGGTTCACACCTGTAATCGCAGCACTTTGGGAGGCCAAAATGGGTGGATCATGAGGTCAGGAGTTTAAGACCAGCCTGGCCAACATGGTGAAACCCTATCTCTACTAAAAATACAAAAATTAGCTAGGCATGGTGGCAGGTACCTGTAATCCCAGCTACTCGGGAGACTGAGGCAGGAGAACCATTTGAACCCAGGAGGCGGAGACTGCAGTGAGCCAAGATTGCGCCACTGCACTCCAGCTGGGCAACAAGAGCAAAACTCTGTCACCCAAAAAAAAAAAAAAAAAAAAAAAGCAAACCAATCTATTGAGTAGTATTAATTTTCTGGATTATAAACAATTAACGGTTTTATAGGAGTTTTTTTCCTAATATATTTCTCCAAATCTACTGTGTAGAATCGACCTGTCCTTCTGGGTTGTGACTCCCTTAATGAAACTGTGGCAGATTCCATAATTGTCCAGTGAATATTGTTTATTAGAACAATCTTACTTCAGTATTAGAAGACATAGTCCTATCAAGAACTAAACATCAATCCCATATCTGATTCAGCATTTTTCTCCTGACTCCAGGGTAGGACAGACTGACTCTGGCAGTCTGGAGTTGAGTGGAGGGTGGTGAGCTCTTCATCTTCCCTACCCACCCACCCTACATCCTGCACCTTTCCCTTCTTTGTGTTGATTGCTCAGGAGTTGGACAAAAGTGAGAGAAAGAAAAATTAAAGTTCCAACTTGGCTAGGCAAGATTATATTCCTGTCCTTGGCTGTAATGACTGTTGCTCATATTAGTTTATGGACTCACTGAGATGGAGATAGCGCTAGCAGGCCCCACTGAAGGGGAGTTCACTCCCCATCCCAACCAATCTCCCAGATATGCATTCCACTCAGCCTCCACATGCTGTGGTAAGACTGTGGTATCCAGTCATATACCCTCCTCAGCCAACTCTCTAACCTGAGGTTACCATGGCCAGTGCCTAGTGACTGCCTACGACAGGCTAATCCTGTTCTAGTCCTTTGTGAATACAGTATCAGAGATCAAAACAGAAAAAGTTCTTCACCTCATCATATAGTTTGGAGTGTCTTATAGTCTAGTAAGGGTAACAAAGAAAATAAAATATACTAAAGAAAGAAAATATATTCGTTTAGATGGAGATAAGTGCTACAGAGAAAAAAAAGCAGGTAAGGGAAATGCTACAATTCAAATGACCAGAAGACCTCTCCAGCAAGGGTTCAGAACTGGGCTGAGGCTGAGATGGCTGAAATGGCAGAAGCAGGCTTCAGAAGGTGGATAAAAACAAACTTCACTGAGATAAAGAAGCATGTTTTAACTCAATTCAAGAAAGTTCAAAATCATGATAAAACAATGCACGAGCTGACAGCCAAAATAGCCAGTATAGACAGGAACATAACTGACCTGACAGAGTTGAAAAACACTACAAGAACTTCACAATACAATTATAAGTATTAATAGCAGAAAAGAACAAATAGAGGAAAGAATCCCAGAGCTTGAAGACTGTCTTTCTGAAATAAGACAAGCAGAAAAGAATAGAGAAAAAAGAGTAAAAAGGAATGAATAAAAACTCCAAGAAATATGGGATTATATAAATAGACCAAATCTACAACTGATGGAGTACCTACAAGAGACAGGGAGAATGGAATCAATTTGGAAAACATATTTCAGGATATTATCCAGAAGAGCTCCAAACAAGCTAGACAGGCCGACATTCAAATTCAGGAACTGCAGAGAACCCCAGTAAGATACTGCACAAGAAGAATATCCCCAAGACACATAATCATCAGATTCTACAAGGTAGAAATGAAAGAAAAAGTGTTAAGAGCAACCAAGGAGAAAGGCCATGTCACCTACAAAGTAATGCCCATCAGAATAACAGCAGCCTTCTCAGCAGAAAGCCTATAAGCCAGAAGAGATTAGGGCCAATATATATATATTTTTTTTTTTTTTTTGAGATGGAGTTTAGCTCTTGTTGCCCAGGCTGGAGTGCAATGGTGTGATCTCAGCTCACTGCAACCTCTGCCTCCCGGGTTCAAGCAATTCTCCTGCCTCAGCCTTTTGAGTAGCTGGGATTACAGGCACCCACAACTACGTCTGGCTATTTTTTGTATTTTTAGTAGAGATGGGGTTTCATCACGTTGGCCAGGCGGATCTTGAGCTCCTGACCTCAGGTGATCCTCGGCCTTGGCCTCCCAAAGTGCTGGGATTACAGGCATGAACCACCACACCCAGCCTCAACATTTTTAAAGAAAAAACATTCCAACCCAGAATTTCAAATCTGGCAAAACCAAGTTTCATAAGTGAAGGAGAAGTAGGATCCTTTTCAGACAAGCAAATGCTGAGGAAATTTGTTACTACCAGACCTGCCTAACAAGAGCTCCTGAAGGAAGCATTTAATATGGAAAGTAAAAATTGTTACCAGCCACTACAAAAGCACACTGAAGTACACAGACGAGTGAAACGATGAAGCAACAACATCAACAAGTCTGCAAAATAACCAGCTAGCATCATGATAACAGGATCAAGTTCACAAAGAATAATACTAACCTTAAATGTAAATGGGCTAAATGCCCCAATTAAAAAATACAGAATGGCAAGCTTGATAAAGAACCAAGACCCATTGGTATGCTGTGTTCAAGAGACCCATCTCACATAAGCTCAAAATAAAGGGATGGAGGAAATTTTACCAAGGAAATGGAAAACAGAAAAAAGCAGGGGTTGTAATCCTAGTTTCTAACAAAACAGATCTTAAAGCAACAAAGATCAAAAAGACAAAGAAAAGCATTACAAAATGGTAAAGGGGTCAATTCAAAAAGAAGATCTAACTATACTTAATGTATATACACCCAATTTAGGAGTACCCAGATTCATAAGACAAGTTCTTAGACCTTCAATGAGGCTTAGACACCCACACAATAATAATGGCAAACTTTAACACCCGCTGACAATATTGGATCATCAAGACAGAAAAGTAATAACGATATTCAGGACCTGAATTCAGCTCTGGATCAAGTTGATCTGATAGATATCTACAGAACTCTCCACCAAAAAACAACAGAATATACATTCTTCTCATCACCACATGGCACTTACTCTAAAACTGATCACATCATAGGAGGTAAAACTCTCCTCAGCCCATGCAAATAACTGAAATCACAACAAATAGTTTCTCAGACCACTGTGTGATCAAATTAGAACTCAAGATTGATAAATTCACTCAAAACCATACAACTACATGGAAATTGAACAACCTGCTCCTGAAAGACTCCTGGGTAAATACTGAAATTAAGACAAAAATCAAGTTCTTTGAAATTCTTGAGAACAAAGATACAATGTATCAGAATCTCTGAGATGCAGCTAAAACACTGTTAAGAGGAAAATTTATAGCACTAAATGCTCACATCAAAAACATAGAAAGATCTATTTTTCCACATCATCTCCAGCATCTGTTGTTTCCTGACTTATTAATGATTGCCATTCTAACTGGTGAGATGGTATCTCATTGTGGTTTTGATTTGTATTTCTCTAATGACCACTGATGATGAGATTTTTTTCATATGTTTGTTGGCCACATAAATGTCTTCTTTTGAAAAATGGCTGCTCATATCCTTTGCCCACTTTTTGATGGGGTTGTTTTTTCTTGTAAATTTAAGTTCCTTATAGATTATGGATATTAGCCCTTTGTCAGATGGATAGATTGCAAAAATTTTCTCCCATTCTGTAGGTTGCCTGTTCACTTTGATGATAGTATCTTTTGTTGTGCAGAAGCTCTTTAGTTTAGTTAGATTCCATTTGTCAATTTTGGCTTTTGGTGGGAATGTAAATTAGTTCAACCATTGTGGAAGACAGTGTGGCAATTCCTCAAGGATCTAGAACTAGAAATACCATTTGATCCAGCAATCTCATTACTGGATATATACCCAAAGGATTATAAATCATTCTACTATAAAGACACATGCACATGTATGTTTATTACGGCACTATTCACAATAGCAAAGGCTTGGAACCAACCCAGATGTTCTTCAGTGTTAGACTGGATAAAGAAAATGTGGCATGTATACACCATGGAATACTATGCAGCCACAAAAAATGGATGAGTTCATGTCCTTTGCAGGGACATGGATGAAGCTGGAAACTATCATTCGCAGCAAACTAAAACAGGGACAGAAAATCAAACACTGCATGTTCTCATTCATAAGTGGGAGTTGAACAATGAGAACATATGGGCACAGGGAGGGGAACATCACACACTGGGGCCTGTAGGGAGCTAGGGGAGGGATAGCATTAGGAGAAACACCTAATGTAGATGATGGGTTGATGGGTGCAGCAAACCACCATGTCACATGTATACCTATGTAACAAACCTGCACATTCTGCACATGTATCCCAGAACTTAAAGTATAATAAATAAATAAACAAATAAATAAATAAATAAATAAAGAAGATAGAAAGATCTCAGGTAAACATCCTAACATCTTAACTAAAAGAACTAGAGAATCAAGACAAACCAACCCCAAAGCTAGCAGAGGACAAGAAATAACTAAGATGAGACCTGAACAGAAGGAGACAGAGACATCAACAACCCTTCAAAAGATCAGAGAATCCAGGAGCTATTTCTTTGAAAAAATTAATAAAATAGGCCACTTGTTAGAACAATAAAGAAGAAAAGAGAGAAGATTCAAATAAACACAATCAGAAATGATAAGGGGGATATTACCACTGACTCCACAGAAATACAAACAACCATCAGAGAATATTATGAACACCTATATGCACATAAACTAAAACATCTAGAAGAAATGGATAAATTCCTGGACACATGCACCCTTCCAAGACTAAACCAAAAAGAAAGTAAATCCCTAAATAGACCAATAATGAGTTTCAAAACTGAGTCAGTAATAAATAGCCTACCAACCAAAAAAAGCCTAGGACCAGACAGATTTACCCGAGGTTCAAAGAAGAGCTGATGCCATTTCTACTGAAATTCTTCCAAAACACTGAAAAGGAGGGACACCTCCCCAACCCTATGAGGCCCACATTATCCTAATACCAAAACCTGGCAGAGATACAACAAAAAAAGGAAAACTCCAGGCCAATATCCTTCATGAAGATCAATGTAAAAATTCTCAACAAAATACTGGCTGACCGAATCCAGCAGCACATCAAGAAGCTTATCCACCATGATCAAGTAGGCTTCTTCCCGAGGATGCAAGGTTGGTTCAACATATGCAAATCAATAAATGTGATTCATCACATAAACAGAACTGAAGACAAAAAACACATGATTATCTCAATAGATGCAGAAAAGGCCTTCGATAAAATTCAACATCCCTTCATGTTAAAAACTCTCAATCAACTATATATTGAAGAAACATATATCAAAATAATGAGCCACATATGATAAATCACAGCCAATATTATATTGAATGGTCAAAAGCTGGAAGCATTTCCCTTGAAAATCAGCGCAAGAGAAGATTGCCCTCTCTCACCACTCTTACTCAACATAGTACTGGAAGTTCTGGCCGGGGCAATCAGGCAACAGAAAGAAATGAAAGGTATTCAAATAGGATGAGAGGAAGCCAAACTATCCTTGTTTGCAGATGACAAGGATCCTATATATGGAAAACCCACCCAAGAGTCTCAGCCCAAGAGCTTCTTAAGCTGATAAGCAACTCCAGCAAAGTCTCAGGAACAAAATCAATGTCCAAAAATTGCTAGCTTTCCTATGCACCAACAGGCAAGCCGAGAGCCAAATCACAAATAAACTACCATTTACAATTGCCACAAAAAGAATAAAATACCTAGGAATACAGCTAATAAGTTAAGGACATCTTCAAGCAGAACTACCAACCACTGCTCAAAGAAATCAGAGATGACACAAACAAATGGGAAATCATTCCATGCTCATGGATAGGAAGAATCAATATTGTGAAAATGGCCATACTGACCAAAGTAATTCATAGATTCAATGCTATCCCCATTAAACTATCATTGACATTCTTCACAGAATTAGAAAAAACTATTTTAAAATTCATATGGAACCAAAAAGAGCCCAAATAGCCAAGGCAATCCTAAGCAAAAAGAACACTGGAGCATAATGCTACCCAACTTCAAAGTACATCACAGAACTACAGTAACCAAAACAGCATGGTACTGGTAAAAGAACAGATGCACTGATCTATAGAACAGAATAGAGAACCCAGAAATGAGACTGCATACCTACAACCATCTGATCTTTGACAAACCTGACAATAACATGCAACGAGGAAAGGATTCCCTATTTAATAAGTGGTGATGGGAGAACTGGCTAGGCATTATACAGAAAATTTAAACTGGAACCCTTCCTTACACCATATACAAAAATCAACTCAAGATGGATTAAAGTCTTAAATGTAAGACCCAAAACTATAAACACCCTAGAAGAAAACCTAGGCAATACCAGTGAGGACACAGGCACGAGCAAAAATTTCATGATGAAGATGCCAAAAGCAATCACAACAAAAGCAAAAATTGACAAATGGGATCTCATTAAACCGTAGAGTTTCTGCACAGCAAAAGAAATTAGAGTGAATAGACAACCTACAGAATTGGAGAAAATTTTTGCAATATATGCATCTGACAAAGGTCTAATATCCAGATCTATAAGGAACTTAACCAAATTTACAAGAAAAAAGCAATCCTGTTGAAAAGTGGGCAAAGGACATGAACAGATGCTTCTCAAAAGAAGACATACATGTGGCCAACAAAAATACGAAAAAAGCTCAGTATCACTGATTATTAGAGAAATGCAAATCAAAATGAAATGAGATACCAATCAGAATGGCTATTATTAAAAAGTCAAAAAACAGAAACTGGTGAGGATGTGGAGAAAAAGAAATGCTTTTACACTGTTGGCAGGAGTGTAAATTAGTTTGACCATTGTGGAAGACAGTGTGGTGATTCCTCAGAGACCTAGAGGCAGAAATACCTTTTGACCAAGCAATCCCATTACTGGGAGGGCAGGGGGTGGGAGGAGGCAGAGGATCAGGAAGAATAGCTAGTAGATTCTGGGCTTAATACCTGGGTGATGGGATGATCTGTGCAGCAAACCACCATAGCACACATTTACCTGTGTAACAAACCTGCACATCCTGCACATAGAACCCTGAACTTAAAACAACAGTTGGAAATAAAAAATAAAAGTTAGAATGGATTAATGCACATGCTTGAAAGGAAGAATGCAGACATTTATAATAATAACCATTTATCTCTTACTCATAACTTAGTAAAAGAGGCTGTTGGGACTGTAACAATGACAACTGTTCACATTCTTACATCCCATCCAAATTTCAAACCAACTGAAAAACCAATTGAGAAATGCATAAGACTGATGAAAATTAAAATATAAGCTTTGTTACTTAGATATGTGTCCAAACTCTGTCTTTCTCATTCTCCCTACACTCCCACCCCATCCCAACATCTGGACTTTCAGAAGCCCATTTAAAGAAGAACAAGGTTCTATAGAGTATGCTGGCTGAATCAGAATTGCAGCCTCACAGCCAGTAAGCCCTGCAAGTGGAGATAGACAAGTGTGGGCTCTGGTCCACGTGCTGCATGCCCAGTCATGGAGGTGGGAGCAAACACAGAACCCAAGCTTCTGAAGCAGACCATTGTAAAGGAAAGAATCCAAACATGTCTCTGGATCTCTCCTGTCAGAGAAAGTGCTCTTCCTCTCTCCTGAAAGCAAGGAGCAAGGATATGTAGGAATGGAGGCCAGAAGGGTTCCTCCCATTCTCATCCCTTCTGGGACAGTGGACATTTCTGTCCTCTGTGGAAATGTTAGGAGTATGAGAGGTGAGGCAGGGAAGAGATTGGTGCACCCCATTCTACACCCAAGGCAGATCTTAAAGGCCAAAAATAATTTCTTCTTTCTGAATGCCAAAGTCAAATAGACTGCATTCTTTTAATGGCAGTGGAGCAGTGCTGGCTCATTTCCCAAACATCCCTTCATAAAAAGATACTGAGCGAATAACAACATTGCTGTGTTTCCTCCCTCTTTTCATAGCAATAATTAGAATTCACTTATAGACATCCAACCAATAGCTTATAATTATGATTAGAGGGACTTAGAAGTGAAATCACTTCTCTAACAATAGTACTTTCACTGCAAATTCCACCAAAAAAATTAAAATCCTTTTATAAAATGTAAATTAAAAGACTGGCTAAAATAAATCTTTAATGAAAGTTTATAAAGTCCTGTTACACATACCCTAGATACCTCCATATCAATGCAAAGGTTTCTCAATGCTAATTCAACAGTGAATAAGCTATTTCTCATTGCTGATTCAGACAGAGAATTTAGCTCTATAGGTCCCAAAGTGCTTTCACTATACAGAAGCATCCTTAAAGCTGACTTCTGGTGCCTGAATTTAACATACTAAAGAGAAAACTAAACTATTCATAATACACCAAAATAGTAGTTTAACAACAGAAGCATCCTCCTGACAAGAGCACTAAGCATTCTTTGATGAAAGTAATATGAAAGATAAGTGTTTGCCTAAAACCATTCCATTGGAAACTCTTGACCTTCCTGGAGTTGTGATGTGTAGAATTTAAGAGTTCTGAGTGACCATAGAGAGAATCTAGTGATTCTCAACCTGGTGATTCTTATCCTGTCTCTCAATAGACAGAATTCCTATTAAGAATCACTACATGGAATAAGGAATGGCACTGAATGGAGTGTATTATATATATGAATGGTATCATTTCAGAAGCAAAGATTAAAAAGAATAAAAAACTCTCATTCTTCATATAAGAAAGCCAAGGCACAGAGAAGTTAAGTTTCTTCTTCAAATCATGTGGCAAGCTAACCAAAGTCAGAACTAGCCTTATTTTTTAGTGATTGAGGCTGGTGCTCTTTCCTCATGAGTAATTTACATTAAATACAAGGACTCCTTTTATTGGATGTTTTGGTAATATCTACTCTGTCCAAAGTATTAAAGATATGCATTTTTCATATGAGAATGACTATGCATAAATTGTGATGGAAAAATTATGCCAAAGCCCCTTACAATGCCCAGAGATGATTTTGGACTTGAGGAGGTAAAATTCCTCTAGATTTGTGCCCATCCAATGTGAAGGCAATATCTATATGTGTCTATGGCTCATAATTAATTTCCATTCCAGCATCTTGCTCTTTGAGAAACAGAGTTTTAATTTTATCTGGATTCTATGTCAATGCACTTATGAGAGGAAGACAGAAGATTCAATAGAAGGGCTAAGATTTACAGCAATGCCCTTGCCAAGAAGAAACTCAAAGCTAGTCTGCAGGGAAATCTGATATTTTGGTTTCCTAAATTTTTTCTTTTCACTTTTATCTGCAGATCAGCTGTGTTAACGAAAAAAATTAGACACTCCAGGAAATTTCGAAGTGTTTACACATGAAGTAGAATTTATGATAATTATTAGAAATAAAGATTATCATCAACCTCTAACTAAATAAAAAAGATACGTTAGGCCACATTCAACAGATCAGAGTTTTCTTCTGAAATAGAACTTTGTGGTTTGTTTAAATGACAATTAAATAATTTTTTTAAAAGAGGCACCAAAAAGTCTTTCCTTCATTCCTTCCTAGATCGAGGGAAGACTGTTGAACATTGTTCTCAGCCTTCTTTCCCATCTATTCTAAAATCAGTAACTTTGGTGGCTCACGCCTGTAATCCCAGCATTTTCGGAGGCCAAGGCAGGCAGATCACCTGAGGTCAGGAGTTCGAGACCAGCCTGACCACCATAGTGATACCCCATCTCTACTAAAAATACAAAATTAGCTGGTCGTGGTGGCACATGCCTGTAATCCCAGCTACTTGGGAGGCTGAGGCAGGAGAATCGCTTGAACCCGGGAGGCAGACATCGCAGCGAGTCAAGATCGTGCCACTGCACTCCAGCCTGGGCAACAAGAGTGAAACTCCATCTCAAAAAACAAACAAACAAACAAAAAAAAACAGTAACTTAATAACAGATCATGATTAACTTGAATATGGTGAGGACTTTTACAATGAATTTCCCACTACATACTAGTCTCCTTTTCTTTTTTCTTTACTTCTCTCCAGTATAACACTGAAATACCTTTTTAAGTAATGAAATAAACAAATCACCCCAAAATTCACAGACCCAAACTAGTATTTACAATTGTTGATGTACCTGCTCCTATTACTAGTATATCAATTAATCATTTATGAAATGCTCATATATATTAACCTATGTAATACCTTTAACTGCATCACAAGAAATATTCTATACAAATATTGAAAATATTGAATAGAGAAGAAAAACAAAACTTTTTGACTGTCCAGAATCACAAAAATGGTAAGCAGTAATCCCTCATCTCCTATTTTTGAACATCAGGCTTTATGTACATCTTCTACAATCACCTTAGAATGTTAGCATTTCTGCCAAGTAAATCTTAGTAACAACAGGAGAAGTAGCTTTTCAAAGATTATGCAATGCCCTTTAGATTTCTCTTTTGTGACCTATTCTAGACAAATGAAACCAAGCCATAAGAACCAAGCCATAAGTTCGAAGCAACTGGTCACTCCAGAACTTTCACTAAGAATAATCACTTAGGAGCTCTTCCTTGGACAATGTAAAAGAAATACTAGAACTCAAGCCTTTATAATAAGCTCTACTGTTATACCTATACTTAGGCTCACATAATTTAAGCATCAGAGTGGTTACATAAACTTAACTTCAGTAAGCTTTAGTTTTCCTCACCTATGATATGGCAACATCTACTTCACAGGAAGTTGTTTTAAATGAGGTAATATAGATGCCACTTAGCGAAGTATCGGATATCTAGTAAGTTCTTAATAACTATTACCAACTTATTTATATTTATTGTCATTTTTATTATTGTCATTAGTTCAATAAATACTTGCTCCTTAATATTAGTTTTTACTTCCAGAAAAAGAAAGACTAATTATATATGACAGCTTCTTTGCATTCATTAGCATTGGTAAAAATAATACGGATTTTGTGCACTTGGGGACCACTATATATTAAAAGATAATGGTATTCTGAAAGTTAAACATGTTTCTTGAAATATAAGAGACCTACTCATAATGATACATTAAACGCACATTAATTTCTAAGTGGGAAATCAAGCTGATAAAACAACTCTGATACACTGTTAATGTAGAAACCAGCAAAGGTAGCTAGGAACATCTTTTCCAACTAAGATTTCTTCTGCATATTCTCAGAAAATAGATGTGTGAATAGGTCATTCTGATTATGAGCCAAATTTTAACTTTCACTAGCGTTAGAAATATGAATGTAAAGAAACCAATAGTCATCCAGCTACGTTTTTTCTTAGATAATTCTAAATTTTAAAATTTGCATTCTACATACATATGTAATTATATTAATCAGGGTTTTCCGAGAAACATTTCCAATAGGAGACACACACACACACACACACACACACAGATTTATTATCAGGAATTGGCTCACGAGATTCTGGAGACTGAGAAGTCCCAACATGTACCATCTGCAAGCTGGAGACCCAGATGTGTTTCCCTTCCAAGTCCAAGGGAGTCAATCGTGTAAGTTCGAGTCTGAGGGCAGGAGAAGACTGATATCCCAGCTCAAATAGGCAGAGAGTGAGCAAATTCTCCCTTCCTCCACATTTTTGTTCTATTCAGGCCCTCAATGGATTGGACAATGCAGACCCACATTAGAGAGGGTAATCTGTTTTACTTAGTCTACCAATTCAAAAGCTACATTTTTTCCAGAGACACTCTTACAGACACATCCCCCCAAAAAATGTTTAACCAAATATCTGGGCTCCCTGTGGTCTAGTTAAGTTGGCATCTAAAATTAATAAACACAATAATTGTTTTATGTTGACACCATTGAATTTTCTATCATGACTGGAAAATCAAAACAATTTTCTCCTAATTGTGTATTTTTCAGTTACCAACATATTACCTGCTCTAAAATTAATCTGAGATCATTAAAATGTTTTAAATTCCAAATAGAAAAAAAATAGGGTAGAGAATTTATTGAAATAATAAATTTAGTAAGCAAATATTTTTAAACAATCTGGAGGCTAAAATATCAGAGTGCACTGAAATTGTGCTCGGTGTTCCACACAGATGGTACTAGTGAGAATTTACCAAAGTAACCATTTTTCTGGATGGGATCTCTATAGCCACTGCTGTTAATCTCTGCTCATATCTCATTACACAGCTATCGGATGCTTGTGAGATTTAGAATATTTGTATATTTTTAAACAGAAGGCAAGTGCTTCTCTGTTTCAGAGTTGTCATAGCCAAAGGATATGTCCTCAAATTAGACTGCTTTTCTTAAATGTGTATTTATTGTGGAAGCTTTTTCCCACGGTCCAGTTTAATAACTGATATTTTAAAGATAAACCATTATTTTCCCATATGCTGGTATTGATGTTTTACAATTATGGAATACTTTACTTGATTATCTCTTTATATTTGTGTGATTCATATAAGAATTCTTAAAGATATGGATTTGGGAAGGTATAGAATTCATCACACAATTTTATAATAATTTATGACAGCCTTATATGTGTCAGTCCATTACTTAGAGCTTTAAATTCCACAATCTCATTTAATCCTGACAATAATCCTGACACACAAAAATATTTTACAGAGAAGGAAACAGAATTGCCTAGAGTTTGGATCACATGTTCAGGCCAATCTGACAGTAAGTAGCAGAGCCAATGATGTGTCTATAACCTTGGAGTTATCCTGCGCTATCTCTTAAAGGTTGGTCTCATAAAGATTTCTACTTTGAAATACACTAGACTACACCTTCTGATAGACCCTCCTGCTGAAAACCATAGAAACAATAAAACAAATGCAAGAAGACAAAAGGAAGGAGGAAAAGACATTTTAAATTACTGAGTTGACAAGAAAGTTCAGGAAAGTTTACAAGCCAATGATAAAGTCAAGTCTGAATCTGGAGAGACAGGAAAGCAAACCAGTTTTCACCCCAAGGACATGTACCCAATCCTGGGCATATTGAGCTTATGTCTTGATGAATAAGTAGAGCACTGGGAATAGGAGACAAAGTCCAGGACCCACTGAAGATGGCAGTTCTAAAAAGACACCTTTGCATAAACAGGTATCTCAAAGAGTTATACTTATGGTGTAGCACTGGACTAGAAATAAATGAGACCCTTACAAAAAGACAAGAAAAATTTCCATTTGCAACCTTTGAACTGGATAATGTTAAAATCACCTTTGAGAATTTGTAATCATGAGCCATTCATATCTCCAGGACACTTCCAAAATCTTTAAACCAAGATTTATATGAAATTCATCCTGAATGATTGGTAGCCCCATGCTGCTGGCAGAAGAAAATCCTCTGGATGAATGTATCTTCAAGAATACCTCAGAGAATTAATGTTGAGTTCCATTGAACAGGAACTTGAAGTAAAAAAATCTCAAAACTCACAAGAAGGCACAAAAAGAGAGAGCCAGAGCAAATAAGACTCCAGAAATTGAAAATATGAGGCTCATAATATAAAAATAAGTTTGTTTAATATATTTAAAGCTATACAAGAGAAGAATGACTAAGGAAAAAAGTTTAAAAAATGACTAAGTTGATTTGGTAGACAGAACTTTTAGCAATACTATAGAAATACTATTGAAGAAGAAAAACATGGTAGAGGAACTGACCCTCCCCAGATACCAAGGATTGCAATAAAACTACAGAAAATAAACATTTATTATTCATGTAAGATTGATCAAATAGACAAACAGAAAATAAGAGAAAATTTCTACTAGGAAATGTAATACTAGAAACAGAGCTGGTATTGCAAATAATTGGAGAAATAATAAAGAATGAATTTTCAAACCCATTGGATCTAGATAATACCGTTTAGTGTGTGGCTTCTTTCAGTCCTCACAATAATCAAGGAAACCCAGTTTCCCCTTCAGTCAATGAACCATAGTTCACTATGAGCCAGTGAACTGATATGTATCTAAAAACAGAATGAAGAATCACAATTTTCTACTGTGCCAGTGGGGGTCAGCCTTCTGCTCATCACTTTACAGGGTTCTTACTGTTATCATTACTATTATTATAAAAGTTGAGCCA
The DNA here is from genome assembly GCF_000001405.40 of Homo sapiens. Classification (NCBI taxonomy): domain Eukaryota; kingdom Metazoa; phylum Chordata; class Mammalia; order Primates; family Hominidae; genus Homo; species Homo sapiens. Next base: position 82,314,603 of record NC_000009.12, on the reverse strand, counting down.
TATTCTATTCACTAACCATATATCCCACCCAAGGACATAATCATGATCTATTACTCATTACCATAGGTTCCTGTGGGCAAAGACACTGTTACTGTCACTCTGCTTTTGCTGTTCATTATGGTAAATACATATATTTTGCATCTGATGGTTAAGGGCTGCCACTTAGACTATTTTGTTTTAGAATCTCATCATCTCCATTGATATTATGGAGCCTTGGATCATGGCACCATTTCTAACTAACACATCCAGACTGCAGAAGAAAACCATCACAAAGTTTCTCAAAGATTCTGTTGCTCTCTATATGAGTGCATTCTTTATTGCCTAAGTGAAGGTAGTGTCCCCAGCCCCACCCCCAGGGTACATAGTCATGTGATAGATTCTCAGATATGACATAGTAATGCACAGATACATTCTCATTTCTCTGAGTTTTCTGATTCCTTCCTTCATACCATGTCAAGGACATTCTGGTATGTCCACCCTTGTTTAATGGTAACCATTGTTGCTTTCAAGATTCAAGGAACCATCACAACAAATTATTATAATCAGCTCCAGAGATCTTTGCCAGAACATCTACCTTCTCCCATCCCGCAAGTTTAACACTCAGATAGCCAGAGGTGTTCAGGAAAACAGAGCTGGTTTTCTCAGTTGCACAGGATGTTTGCTATAGAAAACCACTGTAACTTAAGCAATCCATCTTTCGGAGAATAGGTCAGCAGTTTATTTGCCATCTACTGTCCTTCATTGGTCAAAGTTCACTCCATGGTGAATAAGCTACTTCTCATTTCTGGATTGTGTTATTTGCTCCTCTGAACAGCCACTGGGAAGAGAAGCCAGAATTTCAGTGGGTCCAGTTGGCCCACTGGGATCTACTCTTTCCAAGTCCCCACCCCTGCTCCCTCCTTATGCACATTAGTTATAGTAATGACTTTGATTATCTACCTGGATGTCCTAGTAGTAATGGACAGTAAAAACAAACATCATCTGCCAGGAAACTGCTTTATGTAAAAACATTGCAGAGTCCAATCACGATAAGACCATCTTTCTTTATGAAGAGAAAAAGGCCTACTTCTGATACTCTTGAGAGATTCAAGGTAATGGAAGTGTTCAAAATTCTTAGGTTCACCCACTTAAATATCTCCATCACCGGCCTTGGTGTCCTACTCTTTCCTTATCAGGGCCCTCACTTTCAAAAAAAAATTATTGTATGTATGTAGTAGATGTGTATCTTTATGGGGCATATGAGATATCCTGATACAGGCATACTATGCATAATAATCACATCAGGATAAATGGAGTATCCATCACCTCAAGCGTTTATCCTTTGTTACAAATAATCCAATTATACACTTTTAGTTATTATACAGTATACAATAAATTATTACTGACTGTGGTCACCCTGTTATGTTGTACTTATTCATTCTAGTTAACTATATTTTTGTACTCATTAACCATCCCCACTTCTCTTCCAACCCCACTACCCTTTCCAGCCCCTGGTAACCATCATTCCACTAATCTCCATGAGTTTAACTGTTTTAATTTTTAGTTCCCACAAATAAGTGAGAACATGTGATATTTGTCTTTCTGTGCCTGGCTTACTTTACTCAACATAATAACCTCCAGTTCCATCCACGTTGTTGCAAATTACAGGATCTCATTTTTTTATGGCTGAAGAGTACTCCACTGTGTATATGTAACAACATTTTATTTATCTATTTGTTGGTTGGGGGACATTTAGCTTGCTTCCATATCTTAGCTATTGTGAATAGTGCTGGAACAAACATGGGAATGAAAATATCTCTTCCATATACTGATTTCCTTTTGTGTATATACCCAGCAGTGGGATTGCTGGATCATATGGTAGCTATATTTTTAGTTTTCTGAGGAACCTCCAAACCATTTTCCACAGTGGTTGTACCAATATCCCACCAACAGTGTATGAGGGTTCCCTTTTCTCCACATCCTCACCAGCATTTGTTATTGCCTGTCTTTTGCACAAAAGTCATTTTAACTGGGGTGAGATGATATCTCATTGTGGTTTTGATTTGCATTTTTCTGATGATCAGTGATGTTGAGCATCTTTTCATATACTTGTTGGATCAGGGCCCTGACTTTGGAGATGTGATATTTATTTTGTCTTCCTTACAGTTGTCTGTCATATTTATAGTAAGACCCTAAGCCTGCTGGCTTTTTGTTTTGGTTTAGTTTTTGTTTTTCAGTCTTCCTTAGGACTACTACAGAAGTCTCCTGGCATTCGTGGCATACCTTATATAATTAATTATTTGACATGAGTGTATCACTTTTTTGCAAGTTCCCCAATGCCATCAAAAACAACCATCTCATGCCACAATTCTCACATTATTTCTTCTGCCTTCCTATCAAATGCAGTAGCCATTTTATTTCCAATGGTTTGCCTTTATCTGCACCTCATCCTAATTCACCAACAATGAAATTTTAGTAACTGTAAGGCCAGGTATGACACAGATTATGGCTACTCCCCACAGCAATAACATTTAGGTCCCTATTGTTCTCTGCTATGCAGGCAATTTAGTATCCTGAGAGTGTGCTTTCTAGGACCTCTCTTGATATCACGGTTTGATGGGAATCTTTAGCCTAAGTTTCTTAGAAAACAGCACCTGAGGTAAAGTTTATCTGCTTAACATTTTATTGAAGTTGGGAGGTATAATCCTGGGAAAACGAGAGTGAGGGAATGAGGCAGAAAGATCATTATAAGGTAATGCATTACCCAATTAGCCACAGCCTTATAAAAACACAACTGATTTACTTAATCACATATGATGTTTGCTATATGGAACCACTATATCTCTTAAGCAGTCTGTAGAGGGGATACAGGCCAGTAGTTTTTCAGCCAGCTCTTTTATGTTTTTTGTCTAACTCCTTCTCATAACTGGGTTGTGTCATTAGCCCTTCTAGTCAGATAATGGAGAGGAAGCCAGAGCTTCAGTGAGTCCAGTTTGGTTGAACCTACATACTAGGGCTGCCACAGCTCCAGACGTGGAAGACATAGTAAAACTTTTGCTATAGCCTGGCTCTCATTCTGGCCAAGAATCAGAATAATGGTTGAGGGCTGGGAGGCAGATGGAACCAAGTAGATCTGGGAAGCACAAAAATTGGCTAGTATTAAGGATATTTATTATTGCATATAAATGTCCAAGAATAGTTCAGGTTCTAGGGCTGTTTGACTTAGCAGTTCAATGCGTTCATCAGGGTCCTAGATTCTCTTTATGTATCCATATAGGATGGCATCCATCAACCCAAGCTTACTTATCCACATGGTAAGGAGGTAGGAAAAACATTTCCTGTCTGCATCAGGCAAGAGAGAAAATCTCTTCCCCATTCTTCGACTTTAAGAGATAAGAATATACCCTATTAATGGAAGAATACCTCTAGTTTCAGAATGATGCAGAATAATTGTATATATAAAAATTACAACACTTGGTTAGACTAATTTCATAAAGCGGAAGTGCTACTCATATATATATGTACATACGTATGTATATGTGTATGTATATAGATATAGATTTTTTTTTTTTTGAGATGGAGTCTTACTCTGTCACCCAGGCTGGTGCAGTGGCACATTCTCAGCTCACAGCAAGCTCCACGTCCTGGGTTCAAGCGATCCTTCTGCCTCAGCCTCCTGAGTAGATGGGACTACAGGTGCCCCCCACCACGCCTGGCTAGTAGAGACGGGGTTTCACCATATTGGCCAAGCTGGTCTCAAACTCCTGACCTCGTGATCCGCCTCCCTCCACCTCCCAAAGTGCTGGAATTACAGGCATGAGCCACTGCACCTGGTTGTTTTTTTTTTTTTTTTTTTTTTTTTGAGACGGGTCTCGCTCTGTCACCCAAGCTGGAGTGCAATGGCGTGATCTTGACTCACTGCAACCACTGCCTCCCGAGTTCAAGCGATTCTCCTGCCTCAGCCTTCTGAGTAGCTGGGATTACAGATGCCCGCCACCACGCCTGGCTAATTTTTTTTGTATTTTTAGTAGAGATGGGGTTTCACCATGTTGATCAGGCTGGTCTCAAACTCCTAATCTCATGATCCACCTTCCTCAGCCTCCCAAAGTGCTGGGATTACAGGCATGAGCCACTGTGCCCGGCTGTTACTCCTGTATTTTTTAACCTTGCCCAAAAGGTGTCAGAAGAAACAAATGTGTTGTGCAGAAAAACAGAATTAACAGTTTTTTGACCTTGTCGTTCTCTAGTAAAGTTGGCAAGTCTATGTGCTTCTAGGCCTCTAGAAGTGCAACATCACAAGCTATTTCGTGAATCCCACTCACATTCTAAAATAATTCACCAACTTCCTTCTCACAGAAATAACACCTTTATTTGGACAGTCTAAACACTCTCTGTCTCAAAAAAAGGTTAGATATGAAAAATATGATTAATATTAACCTTTATATTTAGAAAAATGAGTGTAATCTATTTTAAGATAAATTCTAAAGAAATATGAGTAAAGTTTTCCAGTGGCATTGATAATGTAGACTTGAAATCTCGAGATTCCTGGATTCTATTCCCAAACTGCCAACCAATTAGCTTTATGACCTTTGGCAAATGACTTCACCTTTCTAAGTCTCAGTTTTTTCATCTATTAACTGGCTAAACAAGATGATCAGAAACATTTCAGTTCTAACAAAACAAAATGTTCCTTAATTAAAAACATTAATATATTGACTTGTTCATTGGCATCTGAAATCTGAAAATCTCAAAGCTCAATCCTGCTTGGATGTTATACTGGATTCTTTAAGAGTCAACACTGATGTCAAAAAAGAGAATTTGACATTAAAACATAAGATCTTCTGTTGTATTTCATTTATCTTGTACATATCAGGAGTGAGGGGTAAAATTAACTGTAATTTCAAACTTCTCTTCCAAGAGAGAAGAAAGATATTTTACTGGTAAAAATAAATTCTGAATGCTTAGAGCCTACTTTGCACACTAATAAAAAATCAAATGAAAAAAAGCAATTTGATTAAATTATGTGTGCCTTTTCCTATGCCAATGGAGCTTAACTAAGCAAACAGAAGCAGTGAAGTAAATCAATGTTGGTTTATTAAAGATCAGAATTCAATATCTCAATGGTTGAGGGGCTTATGCACCAGAGTGCTCACTGTTTAGCTTTTCTTTGCAAAGAAAGTAAACATGGCGGTACCAAGGAGAAACTTGTTCAGAGAATGACACTGACAAGCCAGGTTTCTCAAGGTGGAGGACCCTTGTGGCTCTCAGTAGATATTTTTAAGACAGAATATAAAATTTATCCTAATGTCTCACATTTCAGCTCCTCTTCAAAAATATTTAACATTTTCTAAAAATTATTATTTCCTTAACATTTGCATTTTTCATCAGTGAAAGCAACTTTCACCTCCCAATTAAGAAATGAAAACTGAAATGCTTTCACCTGTTCTCATACGGCTTACCAAATATTTGGTGAAGAAGTCAGAGATTAATTTCTCATTCAGATCCATCCTACAATGAAGTCATAAATAATAGTAAATTTGTAACATCACATTAATCTCCATGGCAACAGGCTTACTGCGCAAACAGAGGATTATGACTTCACAAGAGAATCAAACAGAGGGAGAGAGTGGGTTGCAAAGAAGAAAGCTCATTTTCAAACTCATATAATCTACAGTAATTGCACTGGGAATACAGGCAAAGCCTAGCAAAGCAAATTGCTTTTCATAGAAATATTTTTTTTTTCAAGTTTGTTCCACAATGAAAATCTCTCTAAATTGCACGGAGTGTTGGACATAAAGCAATTTTAATACATAGCCAATGTGAGACAAGCAATCTGGGATGTAAAGGTTTGAACTGAGACTGACAGCATCATGAGAAAAACACTATGCTTCCAAAACAGCACTATGTAGGACTGAACAAAAACAAAATACAGAAATGCTACTAATGTGTTTACTATCCACGCATCTAACATTTGTAAAGGAATCGGCCTCTTTATCTTTCCCTTCCCATTTTACACTCTCTCAAACACATTCTATAAAAATTATACTTCCTTTTTTGGAATCATTTCCACTTTGGAGAAGTTGCAATACTCTTATACCTAAATAACATCCTTGGGAATTATTCATATGCAAATTAGGTTAAAACATTTCTCCAACTATTCTTTCCTCCAACTGGTATTCTTTCCTGTAATCTCCTTTCCTTGTTAAAAGAAAAATCCTGCTCACAGTAAGCCTAGAGCTTTTACAGAAGTCTATACTCAGGCAATAGTGCTGAGATTTTTCTAAGATAAGAAATTAAAAGCCACAACTCCAATAAAGCAGGGAGTCTGGGTTATACATTATTGGTTGTTATTGTTGTTTTTGAGTTGAGTTATGCTTTGTACCGTTTTGTTTGGCTTGCTTTTCTAATAAAGTGGGAAAGTCTTTAAGAAAATAAGAAAAATAAACCACGTGAACTAAAATGATCTGTCAGTGATACTCGGGAAAAGGGAGGGTTAAAATAATAATTTAACTAGAGGCCAAAAGATTACAAACTCTTCTAAGTCTTCTAATATTTATATTGACATAGGGCATGAGTATTCTAAAAAGCAGCCTATTGTGAAACAGTCAAGACTTCTTGCAGTATTTTCATGGAATATCCCCCTAAATTCCCATCTGCCTGTGCAGAAGGCCAAAGACGACATACAACGTATGATTAAGGATAACTGAGTGTTCAAACTACTTTGGAGTTGGCAAGGAGCGGAGTTCATTAATGGTTGAATTAAATGGTTGAATTAAATATTTGAGGCAAATGGTTGAATTAAATATTTGAGGCAAGAAAATGATCTGACCAAGTCCTCAGAAAACATTATACCAAGTTGAATGACTTGAGCCTTTTACATGTTTGAAGTCAAACAGAATACCAAGTTCTTGAGGCTCTTATAACTAGATGGACATTGACTGATAATGCCACAGCATATGCTGTATTTTCTTTCCAATATCTAGTTGATATTACACTTTCAGAAGAGACAGCATCTAATCGTTCCTCTTCCACCTTCCTACCTGCCTTTAAGATACACCTAAGTGGACAAATATAGGGTTGACTTAATCAATTTGGTGCCAATTTCATAACATTCTCTTGAGTCAAGATCAAAGTAGAAATATGGATTTTGTTGTGTTTTAATAAGCATCAGAAAGAGTGAGACTACAATTCTTTCCAGACCCTCTTTAGCCAACTTCCGGAAAGTCTCCCTTTTACTTTTTTAAACCTTCCTGGCCTTTCCCAGAAGTTTTTCAAGGTTGAGTTAGAGACAAAAACTGAAAAGATTCAGTTCCAATGGCTTCTTTTCTGACATCCACACTCAGTTTGCTCGTCTTTATCACTGTGGACAAGAATAATTGCTTAGGAAAAAAAATCAAATTAGGACCCAAATTAAAAATATATTTATAAACAGTAATTACACTGTGCGAATAGTTTCAAGAAACTTGAGTAACATAGGTAAATATTTAACCTATAAAATAGTCCCTTTTAGTCAATATTTGAATAAATTCAACTTATTTAACAGTATTATTAATATTGAAAGGAATAATAGAAAAAAATAACCATAACTACTTCTTTTGGGCATTTATCTGTCATAACCAGATTTTGTGCTATGTACTTTTTATGCATTACATCAAGTAATCCTCATCCCAATCTTAAAGAGTTGATGGGTATTAAGAGTTCCATTTTATAGATGAGGACATTAATGCCCAAATAGATTAATAATCTCAAGTTTACAGAATTCATAAATGATAGAATTAGGATTAACTCATCTCGTATAATTTATTTTCTTTTCAGTGACTTCTGCTTATAAAGTTTCTGCAGCATAATACCAAACCAGAAGACAATTAAATCTGAAAAAGACAGCAACTTTGTCAGATGGGCTTTAAAAAGATCTGAAACTCTGAGGCTGATCTATATATATAATATGTGTGTGTATGCACATACACACATACACTCACATATATACATATACACATATATACATGACATATCGTGTGTGTGTGTATTTATGTGCATGTGTATACACACATATACTCATATACACATGAGTATATGCATGTGTATACACACATATACTCATATACACATATACTCATGTGTATACACACACATACTCATGTGTATATATATGCACATACATACACGTACATATATCACATGATGTGTCATGTATATATGTGTATGCATATATGTGTATAAGTGTGTATGTACACACACACAGAGACATACACACATATCAGCCAATAAATACTTCACACCTCAAGGGCAAAGAGGTATGACTACCCTTCTCCAATCCCATCTTCCCTATTGCTTAAGAGACCTTTCTGTGAATTCTTTCTTGTTCCCATTCTGCCCTTATAGTTGCTGAGAGAAGAGAAAATGAAGATAAACAGCAGGGCCAGAATTTAAGAGTCTGCTGCTCTTCAAATTCTCACAATGAAAATCCTTGGAGAGCCCTTGAAATATTTAGATATCTCAATGGCAAAAAAAAAAAAAAACCAAAAAAACAGATCAACATATCAAATTTGAGTGCAGCTTAAAGGCCAATGAAATGATTCCAAATCCTACTTGCCAAAGCAAAATGTATTTTATTAAAAAAAATGGTCAAGCTTTATTTGATAGCTTTTAAAACTAGTTTTGATCATTCAAATAATGCCTCCAAAGGAAACTAAATTAAAATTGTGACTTAAATGTTAACATTTTTCATAGCAAGTATATTAATTTGAGGTAGGCTAGATTTATGGCATAGTTTGTAATCTTATGTGTTATATGCATGCCTTGTCATTCATAAAGGCTACTTGAATAATCTATGCATAAGGTATATTTATGCTCTTTTAATGGAACTTGAAACATTACCATTTGAAATTATTATTTAGATTTATATTTAAAGTATCTTCATTTGTAACATTTTATTGGTTACAGGACTAATTAGATGTGGTGACCTTGGTCAGGAATATAAGCTTAGTTATGATGCTACTCTATGCTAGCCAGCTAGCTAGCTTATTGGTGATAGAGGGTCCATTTTAAGACAATATCACTTGAAACTTTTCCTGTTCAAATATTAGAAATGCCTTGGGTTACAAAGAGCAATAGCTTTAGGTGAAGGTTAAACAAGTCAATTAAGACCAAGCCTATATCTGCTTTATCCGTGAACAAGGCTTTGTTGTTAATAACAAAACAACAGTGAAGCTGGTGAAAGGTTAGGGGATAATGGGGAGTGGGTCAAGGGAAATACTAATTTACTGGGAAAGCTCCAATAAATGTTGGCCTCACAGAGTGCTGTTTTCAGGTTGATAATGATTTTTTAAAATTTCTTTTCATCAGTATCATATTGGATCTCAGGAGAGAAGAAATACTGGATCTTTTTTCCCAAGACGTATGAGAGAAAATAGGAAAATAAAGACAATGGAAGACCAGTTCTCGAGATCATTTTCAATCTGGCTTTGCCTATCTGTCTGTGGTCCTCAACACGGCATCAGTATACTTCTCTCCATCTGCAACTTTACCAGAACAACATAATAATGCTACCATTAATACTTTGTCCAAGACACTGTGCTAAATTAGCAATAAATATATATTTACTTTAATCTCCACAGAAACCTGATGATTGGTTGTAATTATCCTCATTTCACAGATGATAAAATAGAGGCTGAGAGGCAATTATTAGCTTGCAAAGGTCCTAGTAAGGCCAGTTGTCCACTACACTACCCTGCTTCCACAGCATCCCAAAGCCCTTGAATCTTGTAAACTTCTTGTACATTTGCTATAATCAACTGTTGATAAGGAGAGGTTTTAGCCAAAGGAGGCAAGTTTTACAAATCTGAGAACAATACAAATGACTGAGTAAAATGGTTAAATCATCAAATCCCAAATTGCTACCTTCAGATTGCTGTGATTCTTGAGCTAAAATAGTTTTGCAGAGGGGGGACTCTTAAGCTAAAACCCAAATAGGAAATTTTACTTTTTCCAAAGGAACCCTGGGAATATAGCCCTTCTACCACCCTATGGTAGGAGAGCAAGTGAGACAGCAAGACTAAGAGTGAGAGCAAGTGAAAGAGAAAGGATGCGTGCCAGGGTACCTTGGAATGATAGCATATCTTATAATGTACATTACATGTTCACCATGCTCTGTCCATTAGAGGATGGCTAACCTCTTTGCTTCCAGCTTTACCAAAGGCTGTGTAGTAATACAGAGAAACAAAAATAGCAGAGGCTATAGAAATGACCAAAACAACTGTAAACATATTAAAGTCTCAGAACTATGGCTTTATTATTGCAAACTGTTGCATGTTCCAGCTCCTGTGGCCCATGTTCATAAAAGCAAACATAATGCAAGCAATACAAATAATACTATTTATAAAAGAGTATTGATATGGGAATATGCTAAGTAAAAGAAAGCAAGCTACAAAATAATGTGATTTCTATTTTTAATCCACACACACACAAATATTTGTACATACATAGAAAGTGAAGTACATATACTAATGTGTTAAAGGACTTTTGATAAAGCAGGAAGATTTTTTTTGTTTGAGCATTAGAACTTTCTTCATTTTCCAGTGTTTAAACACTGAACATTTGATTTTTTTAAAAAGTATTAAATGAAATATTCACCTAAAGACATAGGTAGATTATAACAATTCAGTGTTTAATACCTAAACAACAAACAAATGCAGGACATGAACCCAATGCAGAGCACAGACGAAAATTAGCAAGTAACGTAAGAAAAGGATAAAGAAATAAGAGAAGATCTAAACAGATCAAAGAGGAAGACATTTCTGTAAATGTAATCTAGCTAAATATTTCATTATTCCCTTAAGAGGAGGAATGAATTAAAGACCCAAACCGTGGATTGAGCAACATGATGGACTAGAAGCCCCTATTGCCTATGCCCTCCCCACAAAGACAGCCAAAACAATGAATAACAAATTACATTTTGATGACAATAACTAGAATGTTGAGGTACACTAAAAAAGTAACAGAAACGCTGGTAAGCAAAGAAACTTAGGATAGCCACATAGAGAACAGAAGGAAATACCTGGCCTCTACCTCCCATTCTCCAGCCAGGATCAGCTGGGGACCAGAAGGAATTTCTCCTTGTAGGGAAAAGGCAAACAAGAAGATTCCAGCAGCCCCCATCAACAATACCTAAAGTCATTCACCACTGGGGACTCCTGCAGTCCTCACAAGCACTAAGCCCAGTTGAAGGAGCTGCCTGGATTCCATATAGCTGTGCTTCCCCGAGAGAAGGAGCTGACATCATGTTCCAGCTCCTGTGGCCCATGTAGCTACTTTACTGTACCTTCACAGAACTAGAACTACTGTTGGAGTATCTTATTGTGGGGACAAGTGGCCACAGCACCCTTTCCCCTGACACTAACCACCACCAAACCACTCCCACTCAGTGACTCAACATCCCCAAGCAGAGCTGGGAGCAGCTGTTACGCCCTTCCCTGTGCGGCCAAGCAGTGGCAGAACCACTCCGCCTACCCTTCACAGTTGTGGCTGTGCCCTACTCCCTCACACTGGAGCTGAAACTTTGCACTCCCTCCTGGAGAAATGGTGCTTGACAGAGCAGTTCCATCAACCCTTTCCTAGTCACTGCTATGTCCTGACCCTAGGGGCCTGAGCTTAATCTGTACACTGCCTCCTGAGGAAACTATGCCTTCTCAGAATAGCTCTGAAAGCTCCTTCCAATCACCCCTGCGCCCAGTCCCATTAGACTGAAGCTGAAGCTGTATACTGCCTCCTAGGGAAATGGTGCTTTGGTGGAGCAGCTCTGCATATACTTCTCAGTTCTACACCTGCCCTCCTGTACTAGGGCTGAAGCAACACTTGGCATCCTAGGAATAGTGCTTTGGCCACCCAGAGGAGTTGCATCTTTCTGTGCCTGAGTGGAAGTGGTACCCTGCCCCTTAAGAAAGCTATATATTGGTTGCCCAGAGCAGTCATGCCTTCCCAGTGCCTAATTTGAAGCAGCACCTTACTTCCTGAAAAACAGTGCCTAAGTCATCCAGAGTGGTAATGTACCCCAGTATCTAAACTGAAGCAGCACCCTGCATCCCGAGGAAACAGTGCCTGGTCCATCTAGAGCAATCACACACCCCAGGCCTGAGCTAAAGTAGCACATTATCCCCTGGGGAATCAGTGCTTTGGCTGAGCTGAACAAATCCATATCCCTGGGCTGAGCTGACATATCACCCTACACCCTAGGGAAGAAAAGCAGTGGATGAGCTAAGACACCCTATCCTACAGGCCAAATAATTTTAGTACCTTGCTTCCTGGAGCAGAATTAGCCCTCTAGAATCTGAATTGCTCAGATATTCCTCTCCTGGGGGAGTTGAGTCATTGATGTGCTGCTCCCTGACCCCCAGGGATCAAATGACAGCCATTTGGTCGGCCATTCTGTGCTCTGCCATTCTGAGGTATTCACTACCACTGCGCCTAGCCTCATATAATCTGAGATACTGCTAAGTCCTACCATCCTGAAGTCATGGTGCCTCATCCCCTAAGGCCTGAGTTGCCCTATTAGCTTTGGTTTCCAAAATGCTGCCATATCCCGCTTCCTGGGCCTAAACCTCCTGGAGGTTTGGAGAGCATCCCTTCTTCCTAAAAAAGAGCCAGTGCTGTACCCTGCTCCCCAAGGATGGAATCACAACTAAAACCCAGCCCCCAAGGCCCAAGTTTTAAGGGATGTTTCAGAGTCACTGATCCTGCATCTGTGGGCAATCAACATCAACATCCAACCCTGCCACAGAAAGTGAACCTGTAACCCCAAGATCCAAGTGTCACAATATGTTGACGAGACCCTGAACCTAGAACCCTAGGTCCAAAGCCACTGAGCACCTGCATCTGGAACCCAATGGCACTGCAACTGCTTGTAGGCTGTGTCAGACCCAATACCAAGAGGGATCCCCTAAGCTAAGTCTCCCTATTATGGGGAAAACAAGAATAGAAACCTTTGGCCATCAAGAACATTAACAAACTACACCACCACTGCTGTGTCACAAAATTCTATAGCCTTGGTCACTGAGGCACTCACAATTATCACTGGAATTGGTCACAGATGAAGCTGCACAGAGACTATGCCACTACATCTATTCAGAACCAGAGTCACTACACCCTTCTCAACCAGAATACAAGGCCCCAAATGCAGGTGAAAGTCTTCCCCTACCAAAGCCACTATAAAATTTGAAAGAGGTGATTGTTCCACCATATAAACAGATATCAACAGAGAGACACGGGAAATATTAAAAAAAAAAACAAATAAAACACCACCAAAAGAACACAATAACACTCCAGTAGCAGACAACAACAAAAAAAAAAAAAAAAAAAAAAAAAAAAGAAAATCTACAAATTGCAAGAAAAGAAATTTGAAATTATAATGTAAAGGAAAAAGCTCAGGAAAACAATTTACAATATAAATGAGAAATTTCACAAAGAGATGGAAATCATAAAAAAGAACCAAATGGATATCATGCAGCTGAAGAAATCAATTAATAAAAGATACAATAAAGAGCATCAATAGCAGGCTAGATAAAGCAGAAGAAAGAATCTCTGAACTTGAAACATGTCATTTGAAATTATTCAGTCAGATTTTTAAAAAGTAAAAATGAAAAAGAATGAAGAAATCCTGCAGGACTTATGGAACACCATTAAGCAAATAAATATTTGCATTATGGCATTAGAAAAGGAGAAGAGATGGGAAAAGGTGTGGAAAACCTAGATGTTTAATTATATAATAGCTGAAAACTTTCCATGTCTTTCCCATATGGAAGAGATATGTATATCCATATCCAGAAAGCTCAAATGTACCAAATAGAGTCAACACAAAAAGATCCTCTCTGAGGCACAACATAGCCAAATTGTCAAAAGCCAAAGAAAAATAGAGAATTCTAAAAACAAAAGCATGAAGTCACATATAAGGGAATCCCAACTGGACTAATAGATTTCTCAGCAGAAAATTTACCGGCCAGGAGAATCAGATTATATATTCAAAGTACAGAAAGAAAAATAAATTTGTTGGTCAAGAATACTATACCCAGTGAAGTGATCTGTCAGAACTGAGAAGGAAATGAAGTATTTCCCAGACAAGCAAAAACTGAGAAAATCGAACACCATTAGACCTGCCTTACAAGAAATGTTCAAGGGAGTGGTACATCTGGAAGCAAAAAGATGATAGCCACCATGATGAAAGCACGTAAAATGATAAAACATTCATAAAGGAGACACAAAAAGGAGAAAGAGAAAGGAATCAAGGCTTATCACTACAGAAAAACAACAAAACTGTAATGATAAACAATAAGAGAAGGAGAAAGGAACAAAAGATACATGAAAAATAAAAACAGAAAACAATCAACAAAATGACAGGAATAAGTCCTCACATATCAATTAAAACCTTCAATGTTAATGAATTAAATTCTCCACATAAAAAACACAGAGTAGCTGAATAGATAAAAACCAAGACCCAGCTATGTGCTGTCTCCAAAAGGCTCATACTATCTGTAAAGACACACATAGACTGAAAGTGAAGAGATGCAAAAAGATATTCAACAGAAACAGAAACCAAAACCAAGCAGGAGTAGCTATAACTTACATCAGACAAAACAGAATTTAAGTCAAAAACAGTCAAAAGAGACAAAAAAGATCACTATATAATGATAAAGGGATCAATTCATTTAAAAAATATATCAATTGCAAATATATGCACTTAAAATGAGAGCACCCAGAAATGTAAAGGAAATATTATTAGATATAAAGAGAGAGACAGGCTCCAATACAATAATAGTTAGGGTCTTCAACACCCCACTCTCAGCATTGAACGGATCATCTAGACAGAAAATCAACAAAGAAACACTGGATTTAAACTGCACTTTAAACCAAATAGACCTAACAGACATTTACAGAACATTTAACCCATTCAACCTTTTGTACCTCCTTCAGTGTTTGTTTGGATATGCCCCTCCTTTTAAGACTGCTAATTCTTAAGTTTGCAGTTAAATGTGACAGTTTAAGCATGCAGTTTATCCCTGCTTCCCTATAAAACAGCTTTAAAATGATAGTAATGGAATTTTTAAAAAATAGATGTGAACAAGGGCTAAGAACAGAAAAGGGAAGAACAGCAGATGAAAGACAGTAACATTTTTTAAAGCCTGAAAATGGGACAGATAAATAATCATTGTTTCTGAAAGCCTACATAGGGCAAAATCAGTGAAAAAATAAACATTCACTGTAGAACTCCAGAGTAACTCAGGAATTGAAGGTTCTGAGTACTTCTGAAAGCTGGGCATGGAGTTCGTCTGAAAGCAGGACTGGGTGAAAGTCTGTATCAGGAGTGGTCAGACCACCATATCCCTTCCTTCTCTTTTCTCTGCTAGTGAGAACCCTGATCTTTGCTGGCTGTTAGGACAATTCAATCACAGAAGACATGGAAACACCAAAGCTAAGGGTGGAAATGGCGATCTGTGCTGAAAAGAAGATGAATGAGTAATATCCTGCATATTGAATGGTGAGAACTGCTATTGCCTCCCTCAAACTCCTTTACCTGTATGGCTCGCAGAATTCTAACAGCTAGGCTTACAACCCTCTAGTAGAATTTCTCTGTCACAGAAATGATCAGCTGAGAGACAAAAGCTTCTAGGAGACATCAATGGGTTGTCTCCCAATGAATGAAATTAAGGGCCACTGGTGCAATCACTTAACCATACACACACAACTTATCAATAATCAGAGATTCATTTCTTAAAGAACACCAATAAACAAAACAATTCCCCTCCCATGACCAAAGATGTCCACATCCTAATCTCTGGACCCTGTGAATATTATATTCTACATGGTAAAAAGACTTGGCAGATACGATTAAGTTAAGGATTTTGATTTGTAGGGATTGTCCTTAATTATCTGGGTGGGCCCAATGTAATGACAAGGGTCCTTATAAAAGGCAACCAGGAGGGTCAAGTGAGAAAAAAAAAAAGACGTGATGATGGAATCAGAAGTGGAGTAATGTACTTTAAAGACGGAAGAAGGGACCTACAAGCTAAGGACTTCAGGTAACCTCTAGAATTTGGAAAAAGCAAGGAAACATGTATTCTCCTAAAGCCTCTAGAATGAAATCAGCTATACCAACACCTTAATTTTAGCCTAGTGGAATTTATTTTGAACCTCTGAATTCCAGAGCTATAAGATAATAAACCTGTATTGTGTTAAGCCACTACAATTGTGGTAATTTATTACAGCAGCAGTAAAAAACTAATACAAGTACAAAGAATAGTCAAAGATCACTAGATATTTGAGGGGTATGTCTAACATGAAAGAAGCAGAGACCAAACCAGGCCAGATGAAAATAAGAATTCAGAAGAAATGTAAACAGTGCACTGAACTGAAGAAAAATTTAGAATATTATAATGGACATACTAAGGAAAAAAAAAAAAGGAGTACATCTAAGAACAAGAACAGAATATTGCCAAAATGCAATATCTAAGATAACATAACTGAGCTTGGGTAATTGAAGAGGTGATAGGACATCAAAAAGTAATGGTTTTGTTAATAGATAAACTTGAAGAAAGTATCCATTAAATAGGATTTTAAATATATAACATTTATGTATATGTAGACATATAATTAAAAATTAATTTTGAAAGTCATTATTACAAAAGTTCCAGAAAAAAGGAGAATAAAAAAATGAATGGGAGAAAAGTATCAGATAAATAATACATAAAATGAGTGCAGTATAAAAATTAACAGATAACATACCTCCCACTGAATATTCAGTTCCACTAATATATAAAATTTCACACCAAAATATATCATTGTAAAATATCAGAACCCCAGGAATAAAGAAGATTACAAATGTTCTCAAAGATAGCGAGGGGAGAGTGGGAGAGAGAGAAGCAAGTAATATATAAAGAATTAGGAACTAAACTGGCATTAGATTTCAACAAAAATGCCTTCAAAATTCTGAGGAAAAATTATTTCAAACCTAGAATTTGATACCTAGTCAGATTATCAAACAAGTGTGAGGATAGAATAAATATATTTTCAGACACATACAGTCTCACAGAATTTACCTTATTACCCTTTCTGATGAAGCCATTTTAGAAAATGTTCCATCAAAATCAGGGAATGAAGTAAGAAAAAGGAAGAAATGGGAACAGGACCCAAGATCATACAGAAAATTCCCAGGATGATCACAGATGAAATCCCAGAATAAGAGCTATGTTCCAGACCTAGAAAGAAAAGAAAAGAGATAGGGTCGCAACAGGAAGGGGGATTTCACTAAGTAGATCATGATATTGGTGTTTTCTCTGACATGTGAACTATATTAAGATGAGTTTTACAATTCTTGATAATTATATTTTAAAAAAACAATGAAAATATAAAAAAAGCTTATTCAAAAAAGTCACTTTGTGACTCAGCTATAATTCTATTTTCAACTCAGATCATATTTCATATTTTTATAACACATATCTTATAATGAATTGATGAAATTCATAGGTATATAACTTGCCTATGTTCATAACATAAAGAAAAACATCAATGTTACATCCTAACTGAAATATGATGAAGAAATACACAAAAGTAAAATTTAATGAAATAACAAATATTCTAATATGTAAATAAACAGATTTGGATACTGATTACATTAACAGATAAAATAAAGTAGCAGATATTGCATCTAATTGAGAATCTTCATGAATGTAACAGCTATAAATATAGATTGACATATATTAATATATTAATTAAAATAGCACCGGGGGTGTTTTGGGGCATATGATTTTCCAAATAGTGTGCAAGTCTTAATAAACCTCCAAACAACAAATGACAATCTTTCATTGATTAGTCTGGTGGTTAATTCCTAGAAAATTCAGCATATAGTGAAACGCTGTTAGAATACTGTGTGTTTTTATGTAAAATTCTGACAGGTTCTGGGTTCAGATATTTATAAATGAGTTTTTTATCTACACTAAGGTACCTATGTACAGCATTTCAGCAGGACATTCAGGTGGGGTGCAGGACAACTCTTTGACCATGCATTGCACAAGGTCTAGTAGCCCTGGACTCCATCCATTAAGCATCACTTGTGCCCCAAACCATTGTGAACTCCAAAAAATGCCCCCATACATTTTCAAAAATCCTTGCAAAGACGTTTGCAATCTCCTCCACAGTGTCCCTCCTAATTAACCCATACCCCTTTCTCACTTGCTTCACCCCTAGCACAGTTATGGGCAAATGTCTTCATTGCTGTGTTCCAATCAAGCCCAGGAAGCAGCTTGTTTCTCTCTGTTCTGTGTATCTGTTCCCTGTCTATGTCTACAGTGTTATCAGGGAATCACCCTGACAGCATCAAATCCCTTAACCTAATTATTATAATGTCTTAATGAACAATCATTAAGAATGACTATTCCTGCACCCATTGAGAACCAATTTATTTAGTAACAATGAGAAACAAAATACTGATTTCACCAAACATTGTGAAAAAGAGGATGGGAGAAGGGGAATAATGTATGTTGGAGGCAAATGGAGTTTAAAAGAGTTAAACCTTTATCTTTCATATCTGTCATAATAAAAATAAAAACTCAATATGTAATATCTAAAACTGAAGAATCAAGAACCGCAAGTATAACTGTGTTATATAGAAAAATGGTGGCAAATACCAGAAGCATTGACAGAATGAAAAGTGGTGGTTCTTGAAAGCAGGACTGACAGTAGGGAAAAAGAGGTCAAAGGTCTGCTGGTTTTCATTGTAAACCTTGTAACATTATTACTCTTTCCAGAAATAGAACATCTATGGCTTACTTTGATGAAACTTTAATTGACAAAATCGTTAACTCCTTCACCTGCTCCAAGGCTAAACAGTCACAGTTACTGTTACCTTGCATGAAATGATTTTATTAAATAAAATCTTACTATAGGTTCAGTTACCTGGTTTCAACTTGTGCTAAAGCTAGTTCTAACAGGAATAAAATATTGAAACTGTCACTCATACTCTAATATTATCCTTGGTTAACCGTGTCTGTGATGCCAACTACACACCCAATCAAACATCTAAAGTTACGAACTGGCTGCAGAGTTGGTGCCCTGGTTACAAAACACTGACCAGCTGTAGGAAACACAGAGGGGAAAAAGTTATGCCTTGGCTACTGAGCACAATCCATGCTCAGTGCTAACGATCCTATGTCAGTCCATAAATTATAATGGCTAACACTGGAACATTAACACCACCCAAAAACACACTCGTAAGCAAGCCCGAGCGGCAAAATGAGGTCATGGAGAGGCTTAAATCTATTTTAGGATATATCTTGAACACCAGTATAGTTCCTTTGACACCACCTGTTCTCATTTGGAGGACTGTATATTGAAGTCCCACAACAGCAACTGGGCTCAAACCCAGTGCTGACTCTACAGTCCAGTTCAGGATAAATGCTGTCTTGTCATTAGGTGCTGACCTTTAGATGAGACATTTAAGTCCCTCTGACAACATTCCCCACCTTCTGCTTAATTGGCACAGTATAAAAGATGTGGCTGAGAGAGCATTCGACAGTGGTCATAGTTGCCTGCATAATATCATAGTAAAAGAAGCATGTGAAAAAATAGGTGGATAATATAATCCAATACAATAAATCACTTTTGCTGAGGATCACAGTGGCATCAAGATGACAACTTGCACTCACACTAGGAATTTACTTATTCTCCATAAAACTATTCTTGCCCCATTTCATAATGAAATCTCAGTGTTTGGGATGAGTACCTACCTTCATATATAACATGTGCCAGTACCCTCCAAAAAAGATGAGCTTATGTCCAGATTTCTTTCAAAGTCACAATTCCTAAGTGTGGTAAAGTTGGTATAACTTGGTTTTTAAAGCCATCAAAGAAAACTTTAATAGTTAACTTAAAATCATTTCAAATAATAGGTGATATGGTTTGGATGTATGTCCTCACTGAATCTCATGTTGAATTGTAATCCCCAGTGTTGGAGGTGGGGCCTGGTGGGAGGTGATTGGATCATGGGGATGATTATTCATGAATGGTTTAGCACCATCCCCTCAGTGTTGTTCTCATGACAGTGAGTGAGTGAGATATCCAGAGATCTGGTTGTTTAAAAGAGTATGACACCTCGCCACTCTCTCTCTTTCTCCTGCTCCAGTCATTCCAGTCATGTGAAGTGCTGGCTTTCCTTTTGCCTTCTGCCCTGATTGTAAGTTTCCTGAGGGCTCCTCAAAAGCTGAGCAGATGTCAGCATCATGCTTCCTGTACAGCCTGAGGAACTGTCAGCCAATAAAACTTCTTTTATTTATAAATTACCCAGTCTCAAGTATTTCTTTATAGCAGTGCCTGAACAGACGAATACAATATGTAAATCAAAATATAAATTACTGATACCCTTTGGAGTACAAAGGAATTGGTTAGCAAAAGTTAGAAATTAAAGGCTTAAGGTTTTTGCCACAAAAATTTTCAGTTGTTTTTTGCTGAATTTCACAAATGCTTCTGCACTTGAGAAAGTGAATGCATGTTGTTTTGTAGCATTGTAAAGTATTTATAATGTCTTCATCATGTGCTCAAAACTAAACCACTGGCTTCCAAACCTTTCAAGTCATTCCATTTTCTCCCAGCACCTAATACTGCTTTCCCCTCCCCTATAGTTCACAATAAATGTTGATTACATGAAATTCTGTGCACAAAGAACAAATACATGACTATGAATCTAAAGTTCTCTTTACCACTGATAACACAATTTATATGATTATTGAGAAATGACAGGTTGTGTTTTCCGTTTCTGTTTTGTTTTGTTTTGTTTTGTTTTTTTGAGACAGAGTCTCACTGTTACCCAGGCTGGAGTGCAGTGGTGCAATCTCAGCTTACTGCAATCTCTGCCTCTTGGGTTCCAGCAACTCTCATGCCTCAGCCTCCTGAGTAGCAGGGACCACAGGCACGTGCCACTCCGTGCCCAGCTAATATTTGTATTTTTAGTAGAGACGGGGTTTTACCATGTTGGCCAGGCTGGCCTTGAACTCCTGACCTCAAGCGATCTGCCTGCCATGTCTTCCCAAAGTGCTGGGGTTAAAGTAGGTTTTGTTTTTAACTAAACCAGTATTTATTGTGCATTTTTATTTTCCAGGCAATATGCTAGTCAACAGAGTTAAATAGAAGGGCAAATCAGATGTAGTTCCTACCCAAAGATTTCACACTCTGTCTTCACTGCTCTTCCTTGTTTCTAAAACTATTATTTACAACAACACAAGCTTAGTAACACACTCAAATTACAATTGCATATCTTGTTTTGCTCTTTTGCAGCTCTGAATAGGTTGGCCGGTGAGGGCAAGTGATAAATGCAAGATCAGCACAGAATTAGTAGGTTAGACTAAGGTTATAGTCACATATATGTGAAGTTGAAGGGCATTTTACTCTATTTTTCATTGTTTACAAAACAGGGGAAAAAATGAAAAATTAAAACAAAACAAGACTCCAAAACATGGGGTAGTATCATTTGCACATCAAGAAAATTTTAATAAAGAAGCAAAACGATATAATATCTCAAGAAGTTTGTGTTATCATAGAACTCATCTTGACAAATACTTTTGAATCTCTTCTATAGGACTTCTCTGAATAGATCTACTAGTGAATCCATGTTTGAACATAGCTAGTAAGAAGGAATTTCCATCAGGCATGATCCATTCATCTTATTGCTGCCATTTAAAGACAAATACTTCAAAAGATAACCTGTTTTTCCCAACCCCTACTACCTACCATTCCTGTCAAAACAATCCCTATGCTTTCATTCATCAATAATCTCACTGAATTTTAAGTCCACATCTACCTAGGGCTCTCTTCCAAGAATGTATCAGTTTACTTTTGTCCCTCCTAAAAAGTGAAACATAGAAATCAACCCAAACCTCTAGGGTGTACCTGTACAAAGGGGTTGATTAGAATCATTAATTCCCTTAGATGAGATACTATAATGCTTTTGAAGTAATCTATCATTCTGTTAGTGTCTCAAGCAACAACTTTATAGCCACATTCATAAAAATAAAATTTGAGTTATCATCTGGTTGCCTTCCTTTCATGTAAGTTTTTAAATTCTATAGGCCTAAATCTAGTTCTAGGCCTACAGAATTAGGCACAAATATAATCAACCCTCAAGAGTTTTTCATAATGGCCTGTCCATAATGAAGAATGTAAAATAGATCTAAAGCCAATGAAAGTAAAAAGATCAGCAAAATGGAATCTCTGTGGAATCTTTGTGCCAAGTAGACATGATAGAATACAAAATCTATTTAATAAATACATCATTTTCACCTCTAGGTCAGATATATCTAAACTACAGCCCGAGGTCCATTCTTAACCTACTCAAACACTACTCTTGATTTTATAGATAAGGCTACAATTTCTTGGGAATAGATTTGGAATCGTGTAATCTAATTTTTTTTTAATTCTCAACACATAGTTTCTGCTTCTCTCCTATTCCAGACAGAGTGTGTCTGGAGCACATATTATATGCACATATTATAGTATTAACATTTGTATTATAATTTACATGTTCACTAGGCAGACTTTCTCAAAAGATTCTACATTCCCAGAAAGGAGAATTTTTTTTTCCAATTTTATATCTACAACATGTAGAAAGTTACCTGGACTAGAGTATATGCCTTCTTTGTACTGGTTGAATAAATATGAAATATCCACACTTCTTATCAAATGTCAAGCTATTATAAAGCTAAAATAATAAGACATGGTGGAATTGATAAAGATTTAGAGAAATAGACAAAACAGAAAAAAAGGCCCAGAAAGATTCCTACACATATATCAAGCATACATCACAAAGCAATGCTAATTAGTGAAATGTTGGACTATTCTTTTGTGCTGAGAGAGTAGGCTAACCATACGAAAAAAATGCAAACTCAAATCCCTACCTCATATTATATGCAAAATACTAATCCCAGGTGAATTAAGTAGCTAATTATAGAAAGAAAAACTGTACATCATGTAAAATGAAATAGAGAAAAATATCTTTACAACATCAGAGTAATGATTTTTTTTAAAGTAAACTTGCATGCATGCAAACACACACACACACACAAAGAACTCAAAAAGCTTAGCAAAAACTTTTGACAAACTTGACCATAAGTCAAGTTTGCATCAAAACAAATCGCTGACTGGGGAAAGATAATTATAACACCAATAATCATAAATAATTATTATTCAAAAATAACTGCCAGACTCCAATAAACTAATATAAAAATGAAAACAAACTCAGAAAAACAGACAAAATACTTAAATGGGCAATTGATAGAAAAGGAAGAATGGCTAATAAACACCTGGAAAGATACCCCACCTCCTTAGTAGTAAGAGAAATAAATATTAACACCACAATGAGGTGCCATTGCATAAGACAATAGCAAAAAAGAAAACTGAATATGCTGGTGAGGACACAGCACAAAGTTGACTTTTATGCATTGCTAGTGGGAGTACAAGCTCATACAACTCTGGAGAGCATTCTGATAATATCCAGTAAAGTTGAACTGTCTATACCCCATGACCTAACAATGCCACTCCACAAGACAAAACTTTGAAAACCACTTGCAATTATCTTAGAGCTGTTTGCTAGTATTACAATTCTTTTCCTCATGGGTATGTGGCAGTATTACACAGCTCTAACCTAATCCTTTGAAATTAAATGCGGCAATGTAATTTTCTATGGCCAGTACAATCTGAATAGAAGGAACATGGGTCAATTCTGGGTGAAAAGTTTTTAAGAGACTGTAAATGATTTACCTCAGTGACTTCCCCAGCTACAGTGACCAGAGTATTGCAGATGGTGGAGTTTCTGTCAGTCTGGGTCCCACCCATGGTGGACATGTAGAATAAACTGTACATCTTGGGTGGGACCCAGACTGACAGAACCTCCACCATCTGCAATACAAAATCCAAACCAAAATAAAATATTTTAAGCCATTGAGATTTGAGCTTAGCATAGTGTATCCCATCCTAATAGATATACAATCTAAATGTTCATTGATAGGTGAATGGATCACTAAATAAATTATGGTATAGTCATACGATGGAATACAAGGAAGCAGCAAAAGTGAAACGCACATGTAAATATGGATAAATCATATTAATGTAATGTTAGAAGAAAAGAAAGTTACAGAAGAACACATATACTATGGAACATGAGTTTCATCAATATTAGTAGTATTTTTTAAGCTGGGTGGTAAATATACTTGAGTAGGCTATTAATATTTGTATCACATTTTAATGAAATATAAAGTTTTGTTTTTTTTTTTTTGAGACAGAGTTTCACTCTGTGGCCCAGGCTGGAGTGCAGTGGCAACATCTCGGCTCACTGCAAGCTCCGCCTCCCAGGTTCACGCCATTCTCCTGCCTCAGCCTCCTGAGTAGCTGGGACTACAGGCGCCCACCACCACACCCAGCTAATTTTTTGTATTTTTAGTAGAGATGGGGCTTCACTGTGTTAGCCAGGATGGTCTCCATCTCCTGACCTTGTGATCCACCTGCCTCAGCCTCCCAAAGTGCTGGGATTACAGGCGTAAGCCACTGTGCCAGGTCAAGAGTTAATTTTGTTTTATTCTACTGTGGTCTAAGAGAGTACATGATACAATTTCAATTTTCTTTAATTTATTAACATTTTCTTAAATTTATTTAGACTTGTTATGTGACCTATCATATGGCCTATCTTGGAGAATATTCCATGTGATGATGGAAAAAATGTATATTCTGCATTTGTTGGGTAGAATGTTCTGTAAATATCTGTTAAGTCCATTTTTCTAGGGTATAGTTTAAGTCCATTGTTTCTTTTTGTCTTAATGACCTATCCAGCACTGTCAGTGAAGTATTGAAGTCCCCATTATTACTGTATTGCTATCCATCTCATTTCTTATGTTATGTAGTAACTGCTTTATGAATTTGGGATCTCCAGTCTTAGCTGAATCTATCTTTAGGATTCTGGTATTTTCCTGCTGGACTAATCTTTTTATCATTACATAATGCCCCTCTGAAATTTTTCAATTTCCTTCCTAATTTCTTCATTGACCCACTGGTCATTCAGGAGCATTTTTTTTAACTTCCATGTATTTGTATAGTTTCCAAAATCCCTCTTGTTATTTCTTGTCCTATTCCATTGTGGTCAGAGAAGATGCTTGATATTATTTCTATCTTCTCAATGTTTTAAGACTTGTTTTGTGACCTAACATACCACCTATCCTTGAGAATGATCCATGTGCTGAGGAAAAGAATGTGTATTCTGCAGCTGTTGAATGAAATTCTGTAAATATCTATTTTAGATCCATTTGGTCTGTAATGCAGATTAAGTCTGGTGTTTCTTTATTGATTATCTGTCTGGAACATCTGTCCAATGCTGAAAGTTGGGTGTTGATGTCTCCAGCTATTATTGTATTGGGGCCTATCTCTCTCTTTAACTCTAATAATATTTGCTTTATATATCTAGATGCTCCAGTGTTGGGTGCATATATATTTTCAATTGTTATATCCTCCTGCTGAATTGACCCCATTATCATTATACAGTGATCCTCTTTGTCTTTTCTTATAGTTTTTCTCTTGAAATCTATTTTGTCTGATGTAAGTATAGCTACTTCCACTCTTTTTGTTTCCTTTGGCATAGAATATCAGTTTTCATCCTTTTATGGTCAATCTATGTGTGTCTTTTTAGGTAAAGTGTTTCTTGTAGGCAACAGATTAAAGGGTTTCATTTGTTTCATCCATTCAGCCACTCTGTATCTTTTGATTGGAGAGTTTAGTCTATTTACATTCAGTGTTATTATTAATAAGTAAAGACTTACTCTAGCCATCTTATTATTTTCTGGTTGTTCTGTGGTCCTCTCTTCCTTCTTTCTTTTCTTCCTGTCTTCCTCTAGTGAATGTGATTTTTATCTGGTGATATAATTTCTTTTTTTTGTGTGTGTATCTATTGTATATTTTTCTGGTTAGAGGGCACCATGAGGCTTGCAAATACTATCTTATAACTAATTATTTTAACCTGATAACAACACAGTTTGTATTAATAAGCAAAAAGAAAATTAATAAAAACTCTGTGCCTTAACTTTATTCCCCTGCTTTTTAACTTTGTTATTTGTATTTATATCTTATTGTACTATGTCTTATAAAGTTGTAGTTATTATTTTTGATTGGTTCTTCATTTAGTCTTTGTAATTAGTATCAGAGTAGTTTACACACCACAGTTACAGTGGTGTTTTTCTAGGTACTTAATACTACCAGTGAGTTTTGTACCTTTAGATGATTTCTTATTGTTCATTAACATCCTTTTCTTTCTGACTGAAGTACTCCCTTTTGCATTTAAGACAGGTCTGATATTGATAAATTCCCTCAGCTTTTGTTTGTCTGGGAAAGTCTTTATTTCTCCTTCATATTTGAAGAATATTTTTGTCAGATATACTATTCTAGGGTAAAAGCTGTTTTCCTTCAGCACTTTAAATGTCATGACATTGTCTCTTGACCTGAAAAGTCTGCTGATAGATGTATTGGATCTCCATTTCATGTTGTTTCTTTTCCTGCTTTTAGGATCCTTTCTTTAACCTTAACTTCTGGGAGTCTGATTATTAAATGCCTTGAGGTAGTCTTCTTTGGGTTAAATCCGCCCAGTGTTCTATAACCTTCTTTTACTTGGATATTGACATATTTCTCTAGGTTTTGGAAGTTCTTTGTGATTATTCCTTTGAATAAACTTTCTACCCACATCTCGCTCTTTATTTTTATATTTTATTTATTTTTTTTGAGACAGAGTCTTGCTCTGTCGCCCAGGCTGGAGTGCAGTGGCATAATCTCACCTCACTGCAAGCTCCACCTCCTGGATTCAAGTAATTCAGCTTCCCAAGTAGCTGGGATTACAGGCATGTACCACCATGTCTGCCTAATTTTTTGTTGTTGTTGTATTTTTAGTGGAGACAGGATTTCATCATGTTGGCTATGGTTGACCAGGCTGGTCTCAAATTCCTGACCTCAGGTGATCCACCTGCCATGGCCTCCCATAGTGCTGGGATTACAGGTGTGAGCCACCATGCCCAGCCATATATCTTTTTCTAACTCCTCTTTAAAGCTAATAACTGTTAGTTTTTCCCTTTTGGGGCAATTTTTTAGATCCTGTACATATCCTTCATTTTTCTGTCTCCTCTATTTTCAAATAGCCTGTCTTCAAGTTCACTAATTTTTCTGATTGACCAATTGTACTATTAAAGTTCTTTCATGCATTCTTCAGTATGCCAATTGCATTTTTTAGCTCCAGAATTTCTGCTGGACTCTTTTTAATTATTTCAATATCTTTGTTACATTTATCTGATAGACTTCTGAATTCCTTTTCAGTGTTATCTTGCATTTCTTTGAGTTTCTTCAAAACAGCTTGTATTAGTCCATTTTCATGCTGCTGATAAAGACACCTATGTCTGGGCAATTTACAAAAAAAAAAGAGGTTTAGTGGACTCTCAGTTCCACCTGGCTAGGGAGGCCTCACAATCATGGCATCAGACAAGAGAAAAGCTTGCGCAGGAAAATTCCCCTTTATAAAATCATCTGATCTCATAAGACTTATTCACTATCATGAGAATAGCATGGGTAAGACCTGCCCCCATGATTCAGTTACGTCCCACCGGGTCCCTCCCACAACACATGGAAATTATGAGAGTTACAATTCAAGATGAGATTTGGGTGGGGACACAGCCAAACCATATCACAGCTATTTTGAATTCTCTGTCTGAAATGTCACATATCTGTTTCTCCAAGATTGGTCTCTGGTGCCTTATTTAGTTCACTTGGTGAGGTCATGTTTTCCTGGATGATGCTGATGCTAGGAGATGTTCTTCAGTGTCTGGGCATTGAAGAGTTCGGCATTGATTTTAGTCTTCACTGTCTGGGCACTGAAGAATTAGATATTGATTGTAGTCTTCACCATCTTGGCTTATTTGTACCTGTCCCTCTTGGGAAGGCTTTTCAGATATTTGAAAGGACTTGAGTGTTGCGTTCTAACCTACATCCACATTAAGAGGCACCCCTAAGCCCAGTAATGCTGTGATTCTTGCAGATTCATAGAGGTATCGCCTTGATGATCTTGGACAAGATCTGGGAGAATTCTCTGGAATACCAGGCAGAGACTCTTGTTCTCTTCCCTTACTGTATCCCAAACAAACAGTCTCTTTTTCTCTCTGTTCTGAGCCATCTAAAGCTGGAGGTGGAGTAACACAAACACTCCTGTGGCCACCACTGCTATGATGGCACTGGGTCATACCTGAAGCCAGTACATCACTGGGTCTCACTCAATGCCTGCTGTAATCATTCCCTGGCTACTGCCTATGTTTGCTTTGGGCCCTGGGGCTCTACAATCAGCTGGGTCAAAGCCAGCCAGGACTGTGTCCTTCCTTTCAGAGCAGTGAAGTTCCCTAGCCCCTGAGTGGGTCTGGACGTGTCATCCAGAAGTCAGGAACTAGAGCCAAAAACCTTAGAAGTCTGCCTGGTGTTCTATTGTACAGTGCATCAGCTGGCAGTCAAACCACAAGATGCAGTCTTTTCCACTCTTCCCTCCCCTTTTCAAAGGCAGAGAAGCCTCACCCTGAAGCCACCACCACCCCAGGCCATGATGAGTACTGCCAGATTACCACCAATGTTCCCTTAAGGCCCAAGGACTCTTAAATCAGCTTGTTGTGAATGCTGCCTGGTGTGGGACTCACTTTTGAGGGTAGTGGGCTCCCCTCTGGCCCAGGGCAGGTCCAGAAATGCTATCCAGGAGTCAAGTTCTGAAATCAGAAACCCCAAGAACCCACTTGATGTTCTATACCCCTGTGGCTGTGTGGTGTTACCTAAGGTGCAAGACAAATCCTCCTTCACATTTCCCCCTGCTTTTCTCAAGCAAAAGGAGTTTTGCCACGTAGCCACCACAGTTGGTAATGTGCTGTGTCTCACCTGAAACTAGTTAAAGTATCAGAGGCTCACCCAAGGTCATTGATGTAGTACCTGGGTATCCCTGCTGCTTATTTGGGGCCCAAGAGCTCTTCAGTTAGCAGATAATGAATGCTGCCAGGACTGGGTCCTGTCCTTCAAGGTAGCAGGTACCCTTCTGGCCCAGAGTATGTCTAGAAATGTCACCTTGGAGCTAGGGCCTGGAATGGGGGCCTCACAACTCTGACTGGTGCCCTGCGGCTGAGCTGATATCCAAGATGCAAAAGAAAGTCCTCCTGACTCTTCCCTCTCCTCCCCTAAAGTGGAAGAAAGAGGTCTCTTTTGGAGCTGTGAGCTGTGCAGCCCAGGGTTAGAGAAAGGGTAATGCCAGGACTCCCTTTGTTGCCCCAGGTGATGTCTCAGTATGTCATGTGCCCCCGACCCCAGTCCACTGTGTCTGAGCCTAGCTCAGCACTAGGAAGCACCTAGGAGTTGGAGTTGCAGTCCTTATGGCCTAGACTGCCTTTCAAGTTCATTTAGAGACACAGGGCACTGTAGCCCATGGTGGTAAGGTTAATGAAAGCTCAAGTTTGGCGGACCACTGTGATTCCACTTTGGCCAGGCCTGATTTAAATGCTCCCTCAATGGGCAGGCAGCAGCTGAGTTTGGTCTAGTTTTCCCTTCTGCTCTTACAGGACAGCACGGAGTTCAATGACTCATAAGTGCTGTGTTCTCTCTCCCCCAGTGCCCAGAGATGTTCTCCACACCATCCACTGCTGCAGCTGCCTCGGGGGAAGGTGGGTGGCATCCACAATTCAGGACTGTTTTTTCTATCTCTTTGGTGCCTCTTACAAGTGATATGACATTAAAACCAGGTACTGTGAGGGCTCACCTGATTTTTGGTTCTTATGAATGTGTTTCTTCTGTGTAGATAGTTATTAACTTGGCATCCTTGCAGAGGGGATGATCGGTGGAGCCTTCTATTCCGCCATCTTGCTCTGCGTCTGTCTATAGCAGCAGCTCCGCATACTGATAATACTCACCTCCACAAGCTAGTTGAGGCTTCTCTTGCTGTTTGTTTTATATTTGCTTAATGGCTAGGCTGGGCTAGTTCAGTAAAGTCTATTTTTTCTGCAGCATACAGCCTCTGATGTTCCTACTCAAATATTTTTTCTTTATTTTTATCTTTTGGCCTGGCTTCCTAGAAGGTTATCGTGTGTTATCACCATTTAGTGATCAGACACTGATTGATCAGAGGTTTTAACAAGCCCCGTGAACCAGTGAGGTTTTCACCTTTTACTCTTCAATCTGTGAATGGGGTGGAGATTGCTTTCATGGTTTACAAAGTATGTGAGTTTCCCTGCATACAGCCAGGAACTTATAGCTTAATGTTTCTGTCTCTCTGGCTGCTCTTCAATGCAGGCAGCCCTGGGCATGTGCACAGTCTTCCTAGTCACCAGGGAAAACTATGGTTTTTGCAACGCTCTCTTTGACTTTCTTCTTCACTTAATCTCTCTGTTAAGATTGTGCCAGGTCTGACTCTATTGGTATCAACCCAGCTGTTATCCATCATTTATTGCTAGCTGATCACTCTATTGCTTCAATACCCTGAGGCATAAATTGTTCCACAGTCTGATTGAAATAATGTGGGGATCTTTGGCACAGATGGGTCACAGCCAGTCTTTCAGCATTTCTCTAACTCTCCCCTTTCCCTAAGCAGAAATTTTGTTATGAAGCAGGAGCTGAGAGAGAATAGTGAACTTACTGACCGCTCTAGCTGGATCCTCTCTACGGAGCAGTTGTATGTGAGTGTGAGGATAGTGGGGGTGGGGTTCTGCGACCCAGTTGCCATCACAGCCCTGTATAGACCTTCTGCAGCCCAGAGTCAAAGAGCATAAAATTTGCTGAGTTTTGCCATCTTACTATTTAACCAGATTGGCTTTTCTGCCCCAGGGAGTTGGGGATGATGGGATCTGACACTTGGATGCCAACCCCAGTAGAGCAGCTCTCCCGCGACACAGAGCTGTGTAGAATTGAGGGACTGTATTTTTCACCAGTTTCCTCATCCGGATACTATATACCTCATAAGAGTTGGAAATGGAGGAATGGACACTGCTGCCACCCACTCATATCGTCTTCTGTAGCACAGGGCTGTGAAAAATCGGATTTGCCAATGTTTACCAGCTCCCCAATCTACCAAGAATAGCTCTCCTACCCAAGGAAGTTGAGGGATATGGGATCTAGCACTCAACTGCTGCTGAATAGAACAGCTTTTCCAGAACACAGAGTTGTAAATAAACAGGGGCAGTCCCTAACTCAATTGCCACACCTTCATGAAAGAGTCCATAGATCTTATTAAATATTCCTCAATATGTAGCAAGCCCCATGATCAATCTCCAGAGACTCTGAAGAATTGTCTTTGCTAATTTTAACCCATATAATAGCTGTCTCTCTGGCTTTCCTCCAGGTCCTCATATCTTCTTTACTACGGTGAGTTTTAAGAATGTATACTTTCTTAAATTTAATTTTAAATTTCAATTTCCTAAGTTTAAATTTAAGAATTTAAGAAAACGTTAAATAGTTACAGAATCTGAATCATCTGTTTTATTTTATAATTTTTTAAGAAAGAATTAAGTTTATAAAAGATTTCCACATCTTTGATTCATATAAATTTATAATACATCCTAATATAAAATTTATATAATACAGTATATATTTTATATATCATATAAATTAAAGGTTATAATGTAACCTTTGTAATCTAATTTTTAATATTTACATATGTAAACTATCTGAAATTTAAATGTTATTTCATCATATAATGTAAAGTATGGTTTGATTTTTTTGTACATTGTCCTTACTAATTAACCAAATTTCCAGCACCTTTTTAAATATAATTTCTGCTTACTATACACTTTTTTTTTGTTTATTTTTGGGGTTTTTTTGGGGGGAGTTGGAGTCTCACTCTGTTGCCCGGGCTGGAGTGCAGTGGCACGATCTCAGCTCACTGCAATCTCCAGCTCCTGCAACCTCCACCTCCCGCCACCACACCTGGCTAATTTTTGTGTTTTCAGTAGAGATGGGGTATTGCCATGTTGGCCAGGCTGGTCTCAAACTCCTTGTCGCAAATGATCTACCCACCTCAGCCTCCCAAAGTGCTGCGATTACAGGTGTGAGCCACCACACCCAGCCTCTGCTTACTATACAGTTTTTAATATATACATGTGTTAATTACTAGATTTTATTCTGTTAATAGATCTAATCTTGACACACTATTTTGATTGCAGATTTATCACTTACTTTAATATTTGATAGTGCATATATGAAACCTCTTATCCTCTCTATATTGATATTATAGCTGTTATTACAGTTCATCATATTGTATAACTGCAAATCATTTCATCAGGTAGAGCCAAAAATGCACTATACTATTGGCCTTACATAACTGATATAAAATGAGGAAACTCTGGTATCTAAATCCCGATTCTTCCTATCTGAGAATAGGGTAGATAACTACTTAATTCTTTTGTCTTTTACTAAATGTTTTGCACTTTTTAAAAAGAGATCTTCCAAATTTCATTTAAATAAATTTATGTTGTTATTCTGAATGGCATTTTTTCCTTCATATTTTTGATAGTTATTGCTGAGCTGTAAGAACTCTATGAATTTTTGTATATGAGAGTTCCCTTATTGAACTCTGTTTCTACTATTAGACCTCAGGGCTTTACAATCAATTCTTTTAGTTTTTCCAGGTAAACAATCCTACAAATTAAAAATAATTATATTTCTAATATAATTAATAATCCATAATTATAAATAATAAGAATTACATGATTACTTTTACAGTTTCCTTTTCTTGTATTATATTACTGACTAAAAATTCTAAAACAAAGCTAAATAATAATATTGACCTGCGTTATTAGTAGGCATATATTTGTCACAGGGATGATAACTCTCCAGCATCCCCAGCCCAACCTGTCCTACCTAGGCCAGCCTCAAACCTAAAAATCTTGGAATAAAAACTATTCTTTCTTACCTTGCTAGGTATCCAGTGGTCCTCCTTGGGGTCATCAGCATGCTGGGATATATCACAAAAGCATCTTCCCTAGAAAACAGTATCAAATGGAGTATGAGATTTTAAACCACCAAATTGGCACAAAACTATCTCCACTATAACTAAACGACTATCAAGCAAGGTCTCAAGGCACAGACAACAAGATTTTGATTCTCAAAAAGTCTGGGCAGGTGAGGACTCCACACACATACCTTGTTTGGCTTAATTAGGTAAGCCAAATGCATTCAGTGTTTTGGTTCTTTCTCAGAGTAACTCCCATGATAGTTCCTCTTCCCTAGTCAACTGGCCTCAGCATTTCCCAGGCTATGGATTTAGTATGAGGTCATTCAGTGTCAAGGTTTGGGAATGTGAATTTCTAAATCCAAGGCCCTCCCTCCTTAGCTTCACTATTCTGGGCTCTCACAACCCAAAATCAAGTATCACACTCTTTGCTGACCATCTTGCTTCATTCCTTTCCTTTTAAGTTGCCTTAAGCATCTATATACTTATTCAAAATGAAACTACCCTCAGTATTTTAATAATAAACAGGGAAAATAAATGCAAATTTAATTTCTGTTATGTGCGAGGTACTGTGCTAAGCTATTTACAAACATTATATAATCTTCACCACAACCCTATAAAGTAGATGCTCTTTTTTATTTCTATTTTACAGATAAGGAAATTGAGACTTATAGGGGTAAAATGTACTTTCAAATCTTACTCTATACTTCCTTTAGTTTTTCACATTTAGTTTGAATACTTGCATTAGGTTTAGAATACTTTCCTTCATACAAAATATATATCCTTCTATTACGATTTCACAAAACATTTTCTTCATACAGTGAAATTGAATTTCACAAATGCCTTTTAGCATACACTGAGATGATCACAAAATTTTTCTTTCTTTGTTCTCTTAATATGATGAATTGTTTTAATAAATTTTTTACTTTTACATTTTCTTTGCAGGTCTCAGATAAAGTCAGCATGTGCACAATGTATTAGTATTTTAATATAATGTTGTATTTGAGTCGATATTATTTATTTAGGGTTTTTGAATCTTTATTCCTAAGTAAGCTAGCTATTTTTGCAATTCATAAAATGAACTGGGGAACAATTCATCTTTTTCTAAACTTAATAAAATATTAATAGCAGATTATTTTAATACAGTCTATATTGGAATTACTATTATTTATTTAGGATTTTTGAATCTTTGTTCTTAAGTGAACTGGCTATATTTTTTATTCATAAAATTTGAATTGGGGATCAATTCATCTTTTCCTAAGCTCAATAACATTTAAAATAATACAGAAATTGCTTTTTTCTTGAAGGTTTGGGGAAAATTATCCTTAAAATATTCTTTACCTGGTATTTTCTTCAGAGTTAGTTCTTTAACAACCTTCTTAATTTATTCTGTGATTATTCAAATTTTCTATTCCCTCTTAAATTATTTTTAGCAATTCACATTTTCTTTAATAAAACTGTCCATTTTATTAAGCTTGTCAAATTAATTACCAAAAAAGGTGATTAATGACATATACTTTTAGTATTTTATCTCCTGCATATCTTATATTAAAATCATTTTCTCCATCAATTGCCCTATTGCTGACCTTCTACTCTGTGCCTAGCACTGCTCAGGGTGCTGGGTAATTACTAATGAACAAAATCTATGGTTCCAGACTCTTAGGGATCTTATAGTCTAGTGGGCAAGAACAATGGTGAATAAGTAAGAAAATAAAACAGTAATTAAAAATTGTGATAAGTGGTACGAAGGCAACAAAATACAATAATAGAAAATAATTGGGGTGGGGATACAGGGCTCAGGGTAGCTCAAATGTAGATTAAAAGGTCTGAGAAGACCTTATCACGGGGTAACAATGAAATCCAGACCTGGAAAACCAGAAAGAACCAGCTCTTTGAAGAAAATGAAGAGAAAAATTCCAAAATATGCCAAGGCGGTATAGAACCTGTCGTGTTTGGGGTACTAAAAGAAGTATAAGCTTGCTGAAACATGAAGAGTGATGTGGGGAAGGACTCGGGAAGATTCTAAAGAGTTGAGAAGATTTTTGAAGCATGCTGGTCTTTTAGTGGCTGCCTGAGAATTTCTGGAAAGGTGATTAGGTACTGACATTTTTTAATCAAAAATGGAAATTGAAGCTGAATTTGCAAAGTTCTTTGTGTAAAATGGAAAACAGTTCAGCTATCTATATTCAAGAATGGGACAATTTGTAATAAACATTGTGTGGATCATGATAGAGTTTATATATTTGTAAAAATAATAAACTTGACTTTTAGGCAGTTGTAGGTTTACAGAAAAAAATGAGCAGAAAGTATGGTAAGCTCCCAATAACACCTTTGTCTTCCACCCTCATTTACTCTCCCATTTCCCACAACACGCACCCCATACACAATTTTCCATATAATTAACATCTTCCATTACTATAATATACTTGTTACAATTGATGAACCAATATTGATACATTATGAACTAAAGTCCATAGGATTTTACATTAGGCTTATTCTTTGTGTTGTACAGTTATATGGGTTTTTAATTTTGCAAATTATACTTTATCATTTTTTCTATTATTTTGAAAAATGTTTTCATTTTTTTCTTTTCAATTTTTTTTTAATTTCAATAGCTTTTGGGGTACAAGTGCTTTTTGGCTACATGGATACTATGCAGCTATAAAAAGAACAAGATCATGTCCTTTGCAAAAACATGGATGGAGCTGGAAGCCATTATCCTTAGCAAATTAACGCAGGAACAGAAAACCAAATGTCACATGTTCTTACTTATAAGTGGGAGCTAAATGATGAGAACACATGGACACATAGAGGGGAACAACAGACACTGGGGCCTACCTGAGGGTGGAAGATGGGAAGAGGGAGAGGACCTGGAAAAGTAACTAATGGGTACTAGGCTTAATACTTGCATTATTAAATAATCTGTACTACAAACCCCTGTGACATGAATTTACCTATATAACAAACCTGCACATGTAGCCTTGAACTTAAAAGTTTTTTTTAAAGCATAATCCAGAAAGTTGGGGAATGACTAGATGTCAGTGAAATTCTGTGCTGGACCAGGGCTATGTATAAAAGAAAGTTTTTGAGACATCTCCGAGAAGGTACCTTTAGAAGGTATGTTTGAGAACAATAAAGAACTCAGAATTACCTTTAAAGAAAAGAAAATTTGGCTGGGCGCGGTGGCTCATGCCTGTAATCTTAGCACTTTGGGAGGCTGAGGTGGGTGAATCACCTGAGGTCAGGAGTTCGAGACCAGCCTGGCCAACATGGTGACACCCTGTCTCTACTAAAAATATAAAAATTAGCTGGGTGTGGTGACATGCCTGTAATCCCAGCTACCTGGGAGGCTGAGGCAGGAAAATCACTTGAACATGGTAGGTAGAAATTGCAATGAGCCAAGATTGCACCACTGCACTCCAGTCTGGGCAACAAAATGAGACTCTGTCTCAAAAAGAAAAAGAAAAAGAGAATTTAGAAAAACCATGGTTCCTATCTTTAAGAGCTGAAAGCACAATATTGATTCATAACTGTTTTCTTTCTTTTTGGTATTCTTGTTAAATAATGACTGATATTTCCTAATGACTGATATTTCCTAATATATTTCCTAATACTGCATTAGGAAAATCCAATTGAAATCACATGTTAATTTTGTGAATTGGTTCAAAATAATAGTTCTTTTGAGTATCACTCATCAGGTAAAATCAGACTGTCTCTAAAGCATGACATGTGCAAGGAAGTCTCCTCAGAGTTCACTAATCAACAAAAGGGTATGCAGTACCAGCAATCCTAGCAAAAAATGGAGTAATGAGAATGTGCTCGGTAATAGCTGACACATAATTATGGCAATCACATCAAAACTGAATGAAAATAAAGGAAAGGAGAATAGAGGTGTGATCTTCACATTAAAAAGAAATAAAATAATAAGTTAAATCTCATGCAGGAAGAAACTCTCTGATATGGTTTGGCTGTGTCTCCACCCAAACCTAATCTTGAATTGTGGTTTCCATAATCCCCAGGAGTCATGGGAGGGACCTGGTAGAAGGTAATTGAATCATGGGGGCAGTTTCCCCCATGCTATTCCTGTGATAGTAAGTTCTCATGAGATCTGATGGTTTTACAAGGGGCTTCCCTCTTCACTTGGCTCTCATTTGCTCTCCTGCCACCCTGTGAAGAGGTGCCTTCTGACATGACTGTAAGTTTCCTGAGGCCTCCCCATGTGGAACTGTGAGTCAAATAAACCTCTTTCTTTTATAAATCACCCACTCGCCAGTAGTTCTTCACAGCAGCCTCAGAACAGACTAATACACTCTCCTTATTCCAAGTGCACACAGGCAGCACAGAACAACCCAGACACAGTTGTTTGTGGCTGGTTAACAGCTTGACTATCCTGGGTATGAAACCATTTGCTCCTCCATTCTGGGGAGACACAAGTCTTAGGGGACACACCTGGCTGGCTGGCTTCCTGTTTATTCACAGAATTTTCTTGCTGTAAGGCACATGGTCTGTCCATGACAATTTAGGACAAATGACTTCCACAGGTGATCAGCTGTTCCTCATCGCCTTTGAAATCAGAGAAAGATAAAAGAGCTTAAATGTGAACATGTTGGATCTAAAGGGATGAGAAATTGCTTTGACAGAGAGTTGTCTGATCACAAGGATAGGTTACTAAATTAGATTGTGACACTTGAGAAATATTAACTGAATTGAACTGAACTTCATGAGGGTAATCATATATTCAGAAATGATCTTAATACTGTTAGCCAAAAGATAGCAGTTCTAACATCATACCATTTAAAGAAGGTAGGTGTTTTATGGACATTACATAAATAATAAGTAATTACACTGGAGAGAGAGAAAAAGAAAGACCCAGAAGTTTAAAAGTTGCAACAGTGAAAAATAATCCTTGTATTTTAACAACTTGCTACTCAAAGTGTAGTCTGTGGACCAACGGCATCAGCATTTCCTGGGAGCTTGTCAGAAATGCAGAATGTCAGGTCCCATCTCAGACCTGCTGAATCAAAATCTGCATCTTAACAAGATCCCAAAGAGATCTGTATGACATTGAAGTTTGGACACAGTGATTTAACAGATTCATAGACACTAGAGGGGAAGAGATATTAGAAAAGATCTTACCTAATCCCCTCATTTTTCAAATTTGAAAACTCATCAAAGTTTCATCTTAAGACAAATGTCAAGTGATCAATTAATGTTAGAGTTAAATCTAGATCCTGGCTTGGCACAGTGGCACGTGTATGTAGTCCCAGCTACTTCAGAGGCTAAGGCAGGAGAATTGCTTGAGCCCAGGAGTTCAAAACAAGGCTGGGCAACAAAGCAAGATCCCTTCTCTAAAAGATGATAGATAGATAGATAGATAGATAGATAGATAGATAGATAGATAGATAGACAGACAGACAGACAGATCCTACACCAGTGCTCCGTTCATGGTCCATTCTATCAGCCAAGAATTTCCAAGTACCTAATAAAAAATTTTTAGACTGCTTTATTAGCCTGTTCCCCACCCCCTCATCATCTAATTTTATAATAGCATTACTAATTAGTTCCAGATTTGATATCTTTAAAACTTTCTCAGAAATGAATCCTCTGTCAAAGAATAAACCTGTTAATAGGACGGATTTACTGAATGCCAGAGTTATGCATTTAAAACATATTCTCTCTTCCAGTTATGACAGATGCAATCAAAGGTATGGTGAGAGATTGCTGGAAATGACTAAATGTGTTTCATTTTAAATTGATAACTTTGTAGAGAGGGTGAAAGGATATTGGAGAGGGAAGGAGGAGGAAAACAAGGAAGGTGGGAGGGGACAGCAGGAGTCGGTGGATGATTCTGCTCTGGCATGCCTGTCTGACATCACTGGCTTAACATTTGTATTTCAGTCCATCGCCTGACTAATAACACCATGTAGTGAAATAAAGCACCCATTCTGGAGGTAATTGTTATGTGGTGGAATATAAACAAGCCCCATTCTGCAGTATATTTACCACAGTGCATATTTACGAGTTGGGTTTAATTAAAAGTCGGGAACACTAGAGCTATTTTTTAACTAGATGCCTATTATCTAGTGTCAAATGCTTGGTTTTAATCATGCATTTTATATCATCGTGACCTAGATCACTGCCTGTGACATATGAGATAGTGTGTTGTCTTTCCTGAGAAGATGTAGCAGGGCTTGATGGATGTTTTCTCATTCCTAACCTCATTACTACCAGCTTCCCATCCATCTAATAAAATGCTATGATAGAGAGTGGGAAGGTGCTATAAATCATAATATTCCAGCCGCTTCAAGCAGATTCATTAGAAATGCTGACTATATATCTCACAAACAGAAAGTCAACACACAAAGTAGGTTGCTGCTTCTTCCCAGGATCAAGGCACCCTGTTCCCTGCCTTACCCTCTCCCAGTGGAACAAAGGTTCTTTTTAAATGGCAAAACCCTGCGATTTAATGAAAAACTGGGTAGCCCTCTGTCTTAACATGATTTATCCAAGATAGAATTGATAATACTAGGTTCAGTCTTGTCACATACAATCTGACCATTATTCCTCTGATTGGAAGAGCTGTCAACTTCTAAGTGCTCAAGAAACAGGTACAGTTAAAATGGTTTAGATTTTGGAGTTTTTGTTACTATATTTTTGCCCTGACAAAGAAAAGGACCCTGTATCTTCTTTGAGATTAAGGTAGAATTTGTTGAAGAGATGAGTAAGAGCTCTGACATCATCATTCCTTCAGGTAATGGGGCATGAAACCTTGGTGAAATCTTTGGCTCCTCCTTCTCTTTTGAGTACTCATTTGTTCATTCATTGAACAAACATTTCATGTGGACCTATATGGTCTAGGCACCATACTAGCTGCCAGGTTACAATCGTCAATAAGACATGGCCTTCCCTCAAGGAGCTTGTACATTAGGTGAAAAAACAGAGTGCAATGGGAACACAAAGGAGGAGGTCCTAAACCCATCTGGAGCAGGGTGGTGGTGGTCAAGGAAGGCTTACAGGAGGATATGAAATCTAAGTTAACTAGAGAAGAGAGGAGGGGAACAGTGTTCCAGAAAGAGAGAGCAGAACATGTGCAAAGATTCAGAGTTGTGAAAAGGATATCCAAGTTTAGCATAGCTGAGACCAAGAGGTACAAGGAGTGGCAAGAGAAAAAGGAGTTCAGAAGTCATAAAGGATAAACCATGAAGGGCCCTGTATGCTTTTTAAGTAAATTTAAGTTATTCTGAGAGCAACAGAAAAGCGTTAAACACTTTTAAGCAGACCAGTCACATGGCAGGTTTTGCATTTTACAATCGTCACTCTCTCAACAGTGAGGAATGCATGGGGACGGGGCAGCAGACAGGATTAAATTAGGGAAAATAGCAAGAAAGACAGCAGCAATAAGGTAGGCCTAAGATATAAGAATGGAGAAAGCTAGTAGCAGCTGAGAACTATTTATGAGCTACAGATGACAGGACTAGTAAATGATTTGAACACTCTATCTGGTCACCAAGTCTATTAGTTTTTTGTTTTGTTTTGTTTTGTTTTGTTTTGTTTTGTTTTCCAAATGAAGCTTTATTCAGCTGTTTCTATTTGTTCTCTTAGACACTAGGCTATTTCCAAGACAATAAGCCCTGTGCTGTATCCTAAATGACATCCATATCTGGGCTGATCATGATAGTCTCCAATCCATGTTCTACCACAATAAGTTCTCATAGGCCTGTTCTCTGTCCCAGAATCTCCTGTGACTGCCATGTACCTGACCCCACTGTCCACAGCAATAGCTTTTAAACTTCAGTGAATATCTGAATCACTAGGACGCTGGAGTGGAGGGCCTGTGAAAAATGCCGAAAACCAACTTCTATCAAGATAAAATTTCTGATTTAGATATATCGTGGGATCCAGAAATAAATATTTTTGACAAACGCTCAAGACACTAAGGTCGGAAATATATTTTGAGATAATGTCCAGGGTTATGGCCTACAGTTCACAGATCTCTACAATTTCTGCCCACCACACTGTCCTACAGTGTTGACTGTAACTTACGTCTCTGCCCAAATCACTTTCTGTTGTACTCTGGCTTGATTTCTTACCGTAAAAATGACTATGCTATAAGCAACCCCACCTCCATACCTTCAGTCATGTTGTTCTGCCTTTATCCTCTGCTTGTCAGAATTCAGTCCATGTGTGAGGGCTCAGTTTCCATATCTGTAAAGGTCAGTGAACAAATTAGATGGTATTTAAGTTATATTACAAGCTTACTGCTCTATGACTCATTTTAAACCTCATCTCCTCATGAGCCCATCCCTGGTCACTCCAGCCTTCACTGAACTCTTCTTTTTTAACTTGGTCACTCCCTCTTCCTGTCCTCCACCACATTTAATTATAGGAACTAGTTTATAGCTTATCAAAAGCTAGCTGGATATCCTTGTTAACCTTCTGCCTCGTTGATCTGTCTAGTATTGAAAGTGGGGTGTTATAGTATAAAATTGGGATTAAGAGCATAGAAACCAGAATCAAATTGACTCAGATCAGGTCCTGGCTTGATCATTTACCAGCTGCATGATATTTGGGAAGTTGCCTTCTTTCTAAACCTCAGCTTCCTTATCTGTAAAATGAGGATAATAAAAGTTTCTGCTTTGTAGAATTATTGCAAAGATTAAATGACATAATCCATTTAAAGCAATTATTATCGTGCTTAGAATTTATTAAGGCATTTTATAAAAGTTGACAAAAATCAGTGTGACAGCCTTGCCTCTGTTTATGACTCTGTTATAAGTAACTTGAAGGCAGGGAGGGCAGCTTCTTTTATATCATTGACCACCTCCCCCAGTCCAAAGCCTGATAGTATCACCTAGGAGATGGACTGATATTTATAGTATTCAAAAATAAAAAGAGCTGGGTATGGTAGCTCACGCCTGTAATCCAAGCACTTTGGGAGGCTGAGATGGGAGGATTGCTTGAGCTTAGGAGTTCAAGACGAGCCTGGACAACATAGCAAGACCTTGTCTCTGCTGAAAAACAAACAAACAAACAAACAAAAATAGCTGACCATGGTGGCCTGCAGTCCCAGCTACTAGGGAGGCTGAGATGAGAGAATCACTTGAGCCTGGAAGATTCAAGCAGCAGTGAGGTGTGATCTTGACACTGCACTCCAGCCTGGGAAACAAAGCAAGACCCTGACTCAAATAAATAAATAAATAAATACAAGTGAGTGTAGCACAAATAAATCTTATTACAGACTCAGGTATGTCACATGTCCACATTTTCTTTGTCATCTTCAATCTGATAACAGCTTCATTCTACTGTACTGAAGAAAATTCAGTGTTAGTCATTATTGCCCCTACAGAGAGAAGAGGTCCCAAGGTGTTGTGTAGCACCAAAGTGTCAGGGAATTCTCACACTGTTCACACTGGTCCCTCCTGAGATGCCCAGTGAGCCAGTCCATAAGGTTCCTGTAGGTCACAGGCAGCTTAGCTGCTTCTCTGCCTTGCATGGAATATAGGAAACTGGACCACATTTGGAACTCCTAAACTCAGGATGCAACTCCCAGTGCTTCCGTTCGTCATCGCTTCTGAGATTTTGTCACCTCTCCAGGACTTTGCCAGAAGTGGGATATGAGCCTCATTCCAAATGGACCTATTATTCTCTTTTGCCATCTCAGCCAAAAGGATGACCCTTCCTGGACTCCCTGCCTTAAAAAATAATTCCCTCTCTCTCTCCATACTTTCAGGGCTATCTAATTACAACTTAAATGGGGTAATGACTTTAATAAGTTTAGGATTCTGCTCTCAACCCTACCAAAAGAAAAAAAAAAAAAACCATTCTCTGAGGCAGGGGATTATTAAAGGCCTGGTCCCCCATGTGAAGTGAGGAAAGACAAAAAATGAAGGGATCATAAGCACAAAATAATATTTTAATAAACTATCCCTCCCAAAGAGCCAAGAGGAATCACTTTGCACCAACACAGAAGGATCAAAGCACAAAATAAAGTGATGCTGGAATGCTGACAGCATATTCCTCTCTTGAGTCAGATGAGACCTTTTCTCTAAAGTTTTGGCCTTGAGAAAAAGAATGGGCCTTTGGTCCAGATTAGGATTCCCTGTCTTCTTTCCAAATTTTAGGGAATTTTTGGATTGTTACACTAAGAGTGCCATCCATGCAAGCAAAGCACATCTTGCCTCTTGAAAGAACAAAGGCCCGTAGAGGCCATAAAAATTGCTCATAAGTCTTCTTACACATCAAAGGACTCTTAACAACAACATGCAGATGACTAAGTGAAAGTAAATCAGGAACATATGGATTAAGATTCTCTTGAAATACACATGGGTTTAGAAACTAGGTGAAGAAGGAATTGCTTAGGGCCAAATGCATCTTGGATATTCTAAATACATGTGTGTGGTTACCACCACTAACATCCACCCACCCACCCTCACATACACACTTAGAAATATTTGTTGCATGAATTAGAGACCTAGAAAATGTTAAGACTCCTAGAGATCACACATCATGGGAGAGTCATAGCTATTTACCCGAGGTTAGATTAATTCAACAAATGATTTTTCTTATGTTTTCAGCAAAGGGGAAAAAGGAAGAAAAAGTTTGTTGTTAATTCAAAATAAACAACAAAAACTTTTTATTTGGTTTCTGATTTCAAGAATAAATATATATCTACTTTGTTGGGCTGAGTTTCCCTAACTATAAAACATAGGAAGTGGAGTGATTGATCTCAGAAATACTTGAAAATGTCTTTACCCATGGACCTGTTTTTCATCTGCTTATTTTTCCTTGTTCTTCCTTTTCTAACAGGACCATATGCAAATTTTTATAGCAATAATAAAAAGACCTGAAAGTTTAGCTTTAACATGTCTCACACACAAGCCTGGCCCCAGGAAAAACCCAAAGTAGGTGAAAAGGAGCCTTGGGTTACCCACCCACTCGCTTTTTTCTGCCTCTCTTCTCTTGGAACAGTGATACAAATGCCACACCCCAGCAGCTTAAAGCAGCCCATCAGAAAACCCACACTATCTCTTTCATAAATTAGTGGTACTGTAAGACTTTTCAGAAAATTGATTAGTGACACATTCAGGAACACTAAGACCTAAGTCTGAAATTACGAGTTTAGGAATTGGAGGGAGTAAGGTAAGATATGTTATTACATATCCTTGTTAATAAAGTGAGAGAAAAAGTTACTACCAGTATCAGGCAGATTAAATATGTACTGAAGACTTCTTTCCAAATCCAGTTTTCTCAT
Source organism: Homo sapiens (assembly GCF_000001405.40). Lineage (NCBI taxonomy): Eukaryota > Metazoa > Chordata > Mammalia > Primates > Hominidae > Homo > Homo sapiens. Next base: position 82,270,360 of record NC_000009.12, on the reverse strand, counting down.
TCATAACATTCCGGCTATCCTAACCTGAATCAACACATTATAAGAAAGCCTATTTGGCTTCTGAGGAGGAAGCAGAGACATTTATGTACTAAAACTATTATTCAGCAGCTCTCTAATTCCATTGTGACTATTTTAATACAATTGCAGTTATTTCACAATCATCCATTTCTAGAGTGTGAATGAAGCAGATAATAATTCAGTTCTGCATTTGAAACTGAGGTCTAAGCTCTCTCCGAGAGTCAATGATATTATGAGGTCGGTGCAAAAGTAATTATAGTTTTGCCATTTTAATTGTGGCAAAAAACCACAATTACTTTTGCACCAAAAGTAATTAGAACCTATATCAGTTCTGAATGTAGAACTTAGTTTTAACTTAATGACATACGTAAACCCAGACACAGTGCTAATTCAAAACCATTGACTCTACCAAGATGCATGACCTATACGTGATGGTTTTCTGAAACCTGAGAAAATGGCTTCTAACATATGGATCCCAATTACTGTGGATGAAATTTCATGGCATAAATATTCTAACGAACTTAAAATAAACTAACATGGTCTTCCCTTTACCAGGTAAACCATGTTAGTTTTTCCCATAATATGCTCCCATACCACCTTGTACTTCCTTATTGTAACACTGAAAACTGTAAGATCTAAGAAGGAAAGAGAGGGTGATTATCTTGTTATCAATTGTATTTTAGAGCCTAGACAGTGCATGACATAAATAATAAATATTTGCTGAATATACATTACAAATACATAAATTTTATTTCAGAGCTCTGTTACTTTAATTGGTACTAAATAATTTTTGCTAATTCTCCCAACAACCTAGCCATCTCTGTCCTTCTAGTTTACAAACATCATAATTAAATATTAGATTTGGTTCCTTTGTGTCTTCAAAGGGCACTGTAAGGCATTTATTTTATCCTCTCCATGTTTGATTTGAGAGAGCAGCACTAATTTTATTTCATAGATGACAAGCCTGGGGCAAAATCTTCTATATCTGGTCCCAGGAAACAAACACAATCTCTGAATAATAAAAGTGAAAGTGGGGCCGGGCTCAGTGGCTCATACCTGTAATCTCAGTGCTTTGGGAGGCCAAGGTGTTAGGACTGCTTGAGGCCAGGAGTTCAAGACTAGTCTGGGCAACATAGGGAGAGCCTGTTTCTACTAATAAAAAAAAAAAAAATTAGCTGGGCAGGCTACTGTAATCCTAGCAACTTGGGAGACTGAAGCAGGAGAATCTCTTGAGCCTGGTAGTTTGAGCCTGCAGTAAGTTGTGATCACACCATTGCACTCGAGCTTGGGCAATAGAGCAAGATCCTATCTCTAAAATAATTAATAATTTTTTTAATGAAGGAGAGAACTCAAGAAATCTTGATTTTTAATTTCATTTGTAATTTCTTATAAGGAAGAGAATCTTAAAATGCTTCCTGTGGAGGCCAAGCTTTGAGGATGTGCCTTTGCAGACACACAAACAAAATTAAAATCTGACAATGAAAATGCACTTAAAGAATCATCCAAAGTAAAAAAAAAAAAAATAGAATAATAAATACACATAGAGAAGCATACTGTAACACTGAGGTGGTCAAGGTGGAGTTTACTAAAGCCTGCTCTGTTGGCATTCCAAAGCATGTTATGACGGCATGGAGCAGAATAATAAAATTTGTATCCTTATGTGAAAAATAAAATTCAGATAAAAAAGAAGGTACATGAAGAAGTAATTTAAAGTCCCCCATTAGTGCATTTCTTTACAAATCAATTGGCCAGAGATAAAAGGTATTGCAGAGCTTTCCTTGCTCATTTTTATATAACTTCATGGAAGAAAAGATAGATGTGTTACTTTGTAAAAACACTGTACACAGACAAAATAGAAAAAAATTTTAAGCATTTAGTCCCATTTTTAATATAGCATCAGTCTGAAAAATGATGTGACACACAGGAGCTAAAGCTTGTATTAAAATGGTTACTAAAGGCCGGGCACGGTGGCTCACATCTGTAATCCTAGCACTTTGGGAGACCAAGGCGGGTGGATCACGAGGTCAGGAGATCGAGACCATCCTGGCTAACATGGTGAAACCCCGTCTCTAATAAAAATAAAAAATTAGCCGGGCATGGTGGCGGGTGCCTGTAGTCCCAGCTACCGGGGAGGCTGAGGCAGGAGAATGGCATGAACCCAGGAGGCGGAGTTTGCAGTGAGCTGAGATTGAGCCACTGCACTCCAGCCTGCCTGGGTGACAGAGCAAGACTCCGTCTCAAAAAAAAAAAAAAAGAAAGAAATAAAATGGTTACTAAAAGCCGGGTGCGGTGGCTCACGCCTGTAATCCCAGCACTTTGGGAGGCTGAGGTGGACAGATCACGAGGTCAGGAGTTTGAGGCCAGCCTGACCAACATGGTGAAATCCCATCTCTACTAAAAATACAAAAATTAGCTGGGCATGGTGGCATGTGCCTGTAATCCCAGCGACTCAGGAGGCTGAGGCAGGAGAATCGCTTGAACCCAGGAGGAAGAAGTTGCAGTGAGAGGAGATTGCGCCACTGCACTCCAGCTTGGGTGACAGAGCAAGTCCTTGTCTCAAAAAAAAAAAAAAAAAAAGGTTACTAAAATATATTCAACTATGTATTGTGTAGATGAGCCCTGATGCTGTATGCCAGGATATTCAAATAGAGCTGGACAAGCCACACAAATAAGTGTTCTCTTTATATTTTCTAGTTTGGGAATTATCTGTGATTCTAATGGCCTAGAATAGTGTAATTCACATTTCGTAGGGAACCTAACTAGGTATGTTAATCAAAATAAGCACATGTATTATATGATTATTTCTAATGAAAATGCAGATGTATGTTTGTTTATAAAATAAACCTCATTAACTAAGCATATTCCAAACACAATATGATTCCACTACCTGATATATTTAACAAGTGGAACAAGTTCAGTTTGGCATGTTAGGGTTATAATGTCACAGGACTTACAACTACAGATATTTTATGGGGAAATGACACAAACTAAGTCTTTGAATATAATATGCTAAGCATAAATATCTGTAAAACTGACTGGTGGAAAATTTTTGGATTTCTAACAAGCAAAGGCACTAAAATATGTAAAGTATATAAATTACTATTTTAAATATTTCTTGATGATATAAAGAATATTAGAAACATATATCCCTATAAAAGAAGTGAATATGACTGACTTAGGCACATGAGCATGAACTTACTCTTAGTTGGAAGCTTACTAATAATGGTGTATGACAGTTCATATACTTTGGCATTGATTTAACTTTGGCGTTAACAGTTTCTACCACCTCTTTCAAGGTTTTGATTCAGTTCAATTGAAAATACTTCTGAAATTGCAAAACAGACCATTTAAACACTGGTACAACTTGTAAGCATTTAATTGTAACATTCCAACATTGTCAAAACAAATAAAATATAAAAATAAATTCAATGATGAGACTGATAAAAACTTCAATTGCTGTTTACAATCCCAGTTTTAAAGTTCAGGTGTTATTCCAAATAGCTAGATTGTTCTCATTGATTTATTTATAATAAGTTAGTGTTATGAATTACATACATAAAATAATTTTATACATATACATATGCAAAATATATACCTTGTAATTTGCAATTCCACATAATATTTCAGTCTTTAAAGGTTTATAATTGATAAAAAGTGATTGAAAACCACTAACCTGACCAAAACTCCTCTTTTGACAGATGATGTAAGGAAGGTTGGAAGACTAAAATCTGTGAAATGTCAGTGAGTTAGTGTTTCTGGGCTTCTCCAAGTCTTTAATATGCAAAAGTAATTGTGAATTTCCACAAAGGATGCTATTCTATTGTCTTAGTTTGGGATCCCCCAGAAGCAGACCATAAGAAGAGGATTCAAATGCTAGTGGTATTTGCAGGAGGTGCAGAAAACAAGGGTAGGGAATGGAAAAGTGAAAAAGGAAGAAAAGACAAGCAATCAAGGGTGTGTTATAAAGTCAGCAGGTACTGAGGACAACTGGAGCATAATTCCACAGGGAAATGCTGGGACACAGGTTAGAATCTCTACCTTAGATCTATTCCATCTGAGGGGCAAGAAAGCTCTGGATTTATACAAAAACTGCTGTCAGGCATTGGAAGGGTTTTGCCCCAGAAGTGGGTGAATTCTGGGTACTTCCAGCACAGGCAGTGGGAAGTCAGCTCCAGCATGGAAGTGGGAAGTCCTGAGGAATCCCTCCAGAGCTAAGAGTAGCTGCTACAAGTCAATAGTGTTTCCCAAACTCATTTGATGACAGAACTTGTTTATTTATGCAGCCCTAAATAACTTCCATGAGAACTTCAACGTTTTAGAAACACTACAGTCATACAGTGGTCTAATGAATCCTATAATATAAATAGTGTTTTCATACATATTATCTAACTTGTGTCTCAGAAACCTATGTATTATTATCTCCATTGTACAGATGAGAAAAACTGAGGTCTAGATGGGTTAATGGTTATTGGTACACCCAGGGAGCAAACAAGCTTCTGGTTTCAAGACTCAAATTATTAAGAACATGAAACTTGCTTCTTTTAGAAAATGCACTATGAAGTAACACATAAAAGCCTAACATTTAGAGTAATTTTTGTCTTTTTATTCATGAAAGCCTTCACAAAGAACTTTTGTTCTAATAAATGACCCCACCACCACTACCATATACACAGGTCTAGAAAACTAGTAAATTTAAAATTACTTTTCAGACAACTTTGAATTCCATGGTTATTGCAGAGACGCTGAAGCTTGTTGTCACTTTTATGTACTATGCTGTCTATAGTATTACTGATAGGTACCTGAGATAGCCTTATAAATTTAAGCTTTTATGTGGCTTCTATATTTTGCAGTATAAGATCACAATTTATAATGATATGATGTATTGTTATAGAAATTGTCAGCTAGCAAAGTCTAAATATATTTTAAAGATTTGCAGTTTCTATCTGTACCGCAGGAAAACAAAACGTCTTCAAAAGCATATAGCTCTATGATTTGAGTCTTTTAAAACTAATATCTGAGTACTTGCTAGCAGGGCTATGTGCCCAGCCCTGCTCTAAGTAATTTACAGGTACTAACTCATTTGTCCTCAGAACAGCCCTCTGAGGTTAAATTATCATCTACCTATGTGACAAATAAGAAAACAGGAAAAATGAAATTAGATAACTTTCTAACTTATACAGTTTATAAGTGGTAACGACAAGATCTGAGCTCACAAAATCTAGCTTCATAAGCCACACTCAGAGCTTTGACTAACTAGACTTACCACAAAATTGCTCAGTGTATTGGCCCACTAAGAATTACTCAGATTTGCATTCTTATTTGATCAAGGTAAAGAAAATTATTTCCAAAACTTCTAAACAATCATTATTAGATAAAACATCATTTAAATGTATGTTTACATTTTGCATAATTACTTCCAACAGACTTTACCTGAACTATCTTAAGTAGAATTTTAATTTCCTGAGTTATCCCTAACATTTTATTCTCAAGAGCTTATTAAAAATTTCACTTACTGAAATAAAATCTTCACATGCATGGTCAGAGTTGCATATGGAAAATGAGAGAGAGGGAGTTCAAGAGAGAGAATACAGATTCTCAGACCTAACTTGAAAGTGTTAATAAGTTGAAAGTCATTCCTGCTAAACTAAAGCAATGGACGTTATTCTGAACACAAGTATACCTTTATTTAACAGATGTTCATCTGAAAGTGTTTCCTGTTGGTTTGAGATACGAGAAGTCACATATTAACTGTTTTTTGTAATTGTTTCCCCATTGACTCAACCTTCTAATGTGCTTTACGTCCTTTCTGAGTGACTGAGGACGTAGATGAAACTTTAAACCTGGAAGTACAGTAGCAAACCTTTGTAAACCAAAGCTTCCTTTAAGAATAGTGAAAATGGCCAGGCACAGTGGTGGCTCACGCCTGTAATCCCAGCACTTTGGGAGGCCGAGGAGGGCAGATCACGAGATCAGGAAATCGAGACCATCCCGGCTAACACGGTGAAATCCCATCTCTACTAAAAATACAAAAACAAAATTAGCCAGGTGTGGTGGCAGGCACCTGTAGTCCCAGCTACTCGGGAGACTATGGTGGGAGAATGGCGTGAACCCGGGAGGCGGAGCTTGCGGTGAGCCAAGATCGTGCCACTGCACTCCAGCCTGGGCGACAGAGCGAGACTCTGTCTCAAAAAAAAAAAAAGAAAAAAACGAATAGTGATAACATTGTTAGTTGGACAAAGCAGAAATAAGCAGAAAAGAAGCCTTGATGAGAATCCTATAGCCCTACAACACTATACATGAGAGTAAGGAGGCTGCTAATAGAAGGGTTTGGGAAAAAGCACCTTTCAAGAATATGGAAAGAAACACTGAAAGACTCCAGACACCAATGCGTGAAAGGCTCATGACTCCAAGATCTCTCAAATAAAACTATATTAGCATTGAGATAAACATGCACACTGTAGTTGAAAAATCAATAAAGGGAAACAACATAAATTACAGGGTAATGAGGTCACTACTTATGCAGTGACATCATGTCAGTAAATGACTTCAATATTAACATCAGTGATTGCACCAGCATTCTACCAACTCAACTGATACAACCCATCCTACAACTGCTTATAGGTCTAATGAGTTGCCAAAATCACCAAGGACCAGACACAGCATGGGGAACTGATTACTTCTGAGAGGAATGAAAAAGATAGTTCAATGTTCAGTCAATGCAGTTAATTTGCACTCTGCTTCTCAAGAAAAAAAAAAAAGACAAACAAATAGTTATCTAAATATGTAGATAATGTAAAGTGATTACAAATGTGAACAGGCTTTTATTGTGTGTGTGTGTGCACGGGCATGTGTGTGTGTGCTCAATGTGAGAATTCAAGCTTAAAAAATATTCTTTATATGTGCATTTGAATATCTGTTTTATTAGTATGTGGTCATGGATGGGTGTTCTTTTAGTTCTTACAGCAATTTAAATCTTCAAAGTGACATCAAAAGGAGCTAAGTTGTTCTCTGGCAGAACTTTTTAATAGCTGATATGGTTTGGCTATGTCCCTACCCAAATTTCGACTTGAATTGCATCTCCCAGAATTCCTGCGTGTTGTGGGCAGGTCCCAGGGGGAGATAACTGAATCATGGGGGCTGGTCTTTCCCATGCTATTCTCGTGATAGTCAATAAGTCTCACAAGATCTGATGGGTTTATCAGGGGTTTCTGCTTTTGCTTCTTCCTTATTCTGTCTTGCCACTGCCATGTAAGAAGTGGCCTTTCACCCTCTGCCATGATTGTGAGACCTTCTCCAGCCACGTGGAACTGTAAGTCCAATTAAACCTCTTTCATTTATAAATTGCCCAGTCTTGTGTATGTCTTTATCAGCAGCATGAACTAATACAATAGTCTACTAATGGCTCATTCAAATATAGGCAATTTGTACTCACAAATATGAATGCAAATGTTTGAAGCCACATGGGCATGTTTGAGAAGCCATACATTAGCTGACACGATTTTTAAAAAATCATTTTGGTTTTCAATATCAACTAGTCTGAAGCCAAATTGACCAAATATTAAGACAGAAGAGTATCTGAAGGATAAGACATGTTTCACGGCTTTTTGAAAACAATGACCCAAAAAGCATCACTTGGTTGAAGTTTCTGTGTCTGACTAGTCAAAAGGAAATTAGATAGCCACTCCTATTTTATGATATTGACAGACAGATCTTATTATATATAAGAATAAATACATCTTCGTTCCTGAACCTGAGGAGCTTCCACTCCATCTGCAGGGATGAAAACAAGTTACATCTCACTTGATAAAAATCCTACAGCCTTATAACACTTCATCTGAGGAAAAGGAGGCTGTTAATGGAAATGTTTGTAAAAAATTGTCTTTTAAGAATATGAACAAAAGCACTGAATGAAAGACTCCAGACACCAAGGCATAAAAGGCCCATGATTTAAGACCTCTCAATTCTCAAATTTTGGAAATGATTCAGCGGCAAACAGAGGAGACAGAACATAACTGAACCTTCAAGCATAATTATAGATAAGTAACCAGGGAAAAATAAGTTACTCAAAGTAAAAGAACAGCATGGGAATGGGTATCGCAGGTAGGAATGGGGAGAGAATGGGGAATAGTTCCTTGTGATAGTAAATGAGAGATGATGTTGGAGAATCATGGAAATGTGTTTGAATAGGTTACACAAAATTAATCCAAAATCATGGATGGTAAAGTTTCTGTTGTTCCAACCATTAGAAAAACCTGTTGTATTCTGAATCACCAATGATCAAAAAAAGGCTTAAAGGTTTATTTTCATTGTTTCTTTATGTCCTATTACTCCTTTCTTACTAAAATATATTCTTTCATTGAGAATCTGTGAGTGGTAAAGTTTAACAGCCTTTTTGCAGGGTGGGGTACTGTATTAGTCTGTTCTCACATTGCTATGAAGAAATACCCAAGACTGGGCACTTAATAAAGAAAATAGGTTCAATTGACTCACAGTTCTCGATGGCTGGGGAGACCTCAAGAAGCTTACAATCATGGCAGAAGGCACCTCTTCACAGGGCAGCAGGAGAGAGAATGAGTGCCAGCAAGGGAAATGCCAGATGCTTATAAAACCATCAGATTTCATGAGAACTCACTCATTATCACAAAAACAGTACAGGGGAAACTGCCCCCATGATTCAATTACCCCGACTGGGTCCCTCCCCCGACACATGAGGATTACGGGAACTACAATTCAAGATGAGACTTGGGTGGGAACACAGCCAAACCATATCAAGATTGTCTTTTTTGTCTTTGAGATTTCTTTTATTTGTTTTTTGTAGTAGTGTTTGGGGTTTAGTTTGGCAGGGGGCATCTAAAATTTTTTTATTTTCTCTTTTTCTTGAATGGTACTTTATCAGATATATTCTAAACTGTGGGAGCTTCCAGTGTCCAGTACAGCATGTAAGGAGCTTGGAATTCATCACCTCTACCAATATAACAAGAAAAAAGCTGAATAAAATCAAAATCAACAACTCTCCTTAGAACCATCAGAGAATTAAGGTAACAAAAAATCACTGCCTCCAAAATTGAGGAGACAGGCAGATAGAGAAAACCAAACCTTCCCAGGGTAGAAACCTCTGCAGAAAGCAGTGCCAGTTTAGGAAAACCTAAACTGTAATTAAATTGCTAGAGGCTCAGTGTGGACAAGTTTGAGAGTTAAGAACTAAGGGGTGCCCAGTCTTAGGGTAGTCCCCACACTTACATGGGTTTTATCTTCAAGAATCCTACTAGGTTCTCATAATAAAGATTGGAGAAAAATCCTCTTGTGCTGGAGGAAGGGAAATGTAGCCATTTTGAAATGCCTGGAGTGCTCTCTTCTCTGCTCTCAAGAGAAGCTATTTTACCAGAGAGTTAAAACTATTTTAACTGATCTGGAAAAAGGAAAATACCTAACTCCAGCCCCAACCCCCACCGCCTTCCCTGCCAAACTTCTTGTCCTACCTAAAGGGGAAAAAACAAAACTAAACTAAAAAGCATTTGTGAAGGTCACAGTCCAGGGGCACAGGCTCACTAAAAGACTGAGACATATTTATAGGACTGTAAGCCACTTCCCCTCCTCCCTGCTCACCAACACATCTATAGGATTCCCGTTAATCATAGGGAAATACAACTGAAAGAACTGTCCATCTCAGATGTTATCTAAGAAGTCTCTACGGAAAGGCAAAGACAACAGAGAAGACAAAAATACAGGTACATGAGGAAATTTGAGCCTCTGAAACCTATTGCTAGAGCAAACAGTAAACAGTTCACATAACTTAACCTCTAGTCAGGTAAACATATAACCTCACGCTAAAGGCCTATTTATTTCAGTTACTTTTACTTATACATCATGCTTTCAACAAAAAATACCAGGCATACTAAAAGTTGAGAAAACACAGCATGAAGAGACATCAGAACTAACTCACACATGGCAGAGATGTTGGAATTATCAGAGAAGACAGGCAATTTAAAACAACTATTCTAAACTGACATTTGAACATGTTATTCCATTGTTTTCTTTCCTTTATTGTGGTAGTTATATACACTTTCACCTTAATCATTGTTTCTTTTGTAGGTAATCTGTTTTTTTTTCTCTGTAGTAGCCATTATATTTTTTTCTTTGTTTTTTTTGCATGCTATAGTTTTTCTATGATATTTCCAGGTATGGATTAATTTATGTTGTCAGAACTTGTGTCTCTTAAAATAAAAATGATATGTTTGATCACTTCTGGAAAATTCTAACCCAATGCTCTTTGAATGTTAGATTCTCTCCTTCTAAAATTTCTTTTAGACATGTTGGAACTTCTTATTCTGCCCTACATGTTTGTAAACCTCTCTTCTATATTTTCCATATCATTTTCATCTGAAATGTAATCAACCTAATTTCTTCAGATTGATCTTTCAGTCCATTCTCTCTTAAATTATGTATGATCTGATGTTTAATCTATCTGGTTTTATTTTATAACAATGATTATATTTTATGTCCTTAAAAGTTATTTTTAAGAATATTTTGCAGATATACTACTTTTATGTAATAGCTTCTTCTTTTCTTATACTTAGGTATATATGCTGCATCTGCTGATTCTCAATTATAATTGTAACCTCAAGTTTTTTGTAACTTTTCTGAGGTCATCTTCAACCTGAGTTTTTCTATGTGAATTCTATATAACCTGAATTGGGAAGTCTCCCTCCAAGCTGACTCTGTTTGTCTATGCCAGGTGCTCTGGGGCTAATATTAGCTGAGGGCCATCCTTTATGTTCACTATTCAACTGGAGTTTCCTCACCATGCTGGTAACATAAAATCAGACTCTAAATAAAACTTCTTTTTAAACAGAGATCCTAGGCAAAGGAGTTTTGTCATTTCTCTGGGTCAGTGAGCAGAATCTTAAAATTTCAGCCTTTAGCTATTAACAGTTATATAATATCTGCTCTTCATCTTCCTCCAAACCAGGACTGTTGTAGCACTGGTTCATGAACTTACTATGGACTTACTGCTTTTTTTTTTTCTGGCATCTAGTGATTTTCCTTTCTTACTTACTGACCACATAATAAATTTTTAAAAGAAATTGTTGTATTTGTCTTATTGTGTTGAAGGGTTTACAATGATAGAGTTTTTATATTGGCTTAGACCACATCTTTCTAGAAGTGCTAAAGTATCTTTTAATTCAGATCTCAAAATGACTTTAATCCTCTGCCATATGCAAGAGAACAACCTTTGGAAAATACAGGGAAGATACATCTGTGGCTTTTTTCTGTCAATTCTAAGAATCCAAACTCAAGGATTGAGACTAAACTCACACAGTAGTTTATCTATATATAGGTAAGAAGGTAGATGCACTAAGGGACCTGTTACTACATGAATTACAAAAGTGGAAATGGTGCTCCTTGGGCTACCAGGAATCCCAAATACAAGTGTTTATACAAGCCTCATCTCTAAAATAGAAATAACAGTAGGACCTGCCTTTTTAGAGCTATAGTCAAGGATGATATAAAAAATATTAAGTAACCAGTGAATATTGGCACCAGCCACTAAGAACCAGAGGGAAGAAATCAGTCTAAGCCATACCACTGCTTATAGGTGAATGTCTTAGTTGAGATATGTAGATAGCAGAAGCAAAACATTGCCCATTGTGTCTGACACAGAGCTAGCACTCAATAAATATGACCTATTATTATTAGCCTATTTTTAAAGAAGAAATTAAACTTGGAGTTACAGAGGAAAGAATTTGGACCTGGAATTAGATGAAATCTAGTAAAAGCAAGTTGGAAAAAAACAAGGTTGGGTAGAGTCCTGCATAAATACCTCCAAACACATGACTGAAGTTCTTAGCTCATTTTTATTAACTGGTAGGTAAATGGAGCAAGGGGGCTATATTGGCCCAGAGAACAAAAGTCAGGTCAGCAATGCCCAGAAAGGATAATTGACTCACCCAATGTCACGTAGTAGTTCAAGGACATAACCAGAAGAATTGGGGTTTCCTAATTCTTATTTTATCACATTAAAATCCCTCCACAATATAATACTTCTTTATATTTATATAGATTTTTGTTTGACAGCTTCCAAACATTTTGACATGAACTATCTCATTTTTGGTGATCAATGAATAAACAAACAAATGTACTAGCCTTCAGAGGAAAAAAATTAGCAATACAGCTGGATTTGAAATCCACTTTGGGATAATCCAAATTTAAAGACTGTGTTGTTTTAAATGCCACAGTTCAAGAACCAGGCAAGTTCAATATATACCAATGCAAATATGTTAGATGCAGTGCAGATAGTTGCCATGGTAATCTCCATATGATGGATGGATGGATAGATTTTTTGTTTAGAGCTTCTGGAAACAAAAATTCCACACAACACAAAAATTGCTTGAAATCATATCTCACAAAAGAATCTTTTTCCTAGTAATAGTCAGAACACATCAAAAAGAACTTATCTGTAGGCATGGATTCATCAATTAAGACTTTGACTTGGTTTTCTGCTTTTATGAAATGGAAAATACATATCAGAAAATAGTGGTTAAAAGCCTAGACTCCACAGCAATTTGGGAGGCCGAGGTGGGTGGATCACGAGGCCAAAAGATCAGGCCATCCTGGCCAACATGGTGAAACCCCGTCTCTACTAAAAATACAAAAATTAGCTGGGCATGGTGGCGTGTGCTGGCAGTCCCAGCTACATGGGAGGCGGAGACAGGAGAATCACTTGAACCCAGGATGCAGAGGCGGAGGTTGCAGTGACCTGAGATCGTGCCACTGCACTCCAGCCTGGTGACAGAGTGAGACTCCATCTCAAAAAAAAAAAAAAAAGCCTAGACTCTGGAACCCAGAATCCTGGCTCCATCACCTCTTAGCTTTGGTCCTCAGGCAAGTTGCTTGACCTCACTGTGCCTTTGTTCCATGTATAAAATGGGTATATAACAGAACATGCTCCATAAGCTTACTGTAAGAATTGAATGAGTTGGTGCATGCAAAGGTCTTATGAAAGTGCTTGGCCGGGCGCAGTGGCTCACACCTGTAATCCCAGCACTTTGGGAGGCCGAGGTGGGCAGATCACGAGGTCAGGAGATAGAGACCATCCTAGCTAACACCGTGAAACCCTGTCTCTACCAAAAATAGAAAAAATTACCCGGGCGTGGTGGCGGGCGCCTGTAGTCCCAGCTACTCGGGAGGCTGAGGCAGGAGAATGGCGGGAACCTGGGAGGCGGAGCTTGCAGTGAGCCAAGATCGCGCCACTGCCCTCCAGCCTGGGTGATAGAGCAAGACTCTGTCTCAAAAAAAAAAAAAAAGAAAGAAAGAAAGAAAGTGCTTGGCATATAGCACATTCTCAATAAATGCTAGTTCTACTAGTATATTCCTGTCTGTTGTTACACTTCCATGTGACTATTAAAGAGGTTTTTTTTTAAAATTTTTTGTTTTGTTTTAATGTTGGGCTTTAGCAAGGCTTTTAGATTAGGTGATATAGTTAAGAATGTGATCATCAGAAAGTAACAAAATATGACCTGTAGTGACTTTAAAAAAAAAAAAAAAGAGAGTTATTTTTCTCAGATAAAAAGAATCTCAGAGGAGCTGACTGCTGGTATCAATCACAGCTCACCAAAGTCAGGGTCTATATCTGTGTATCTCTCAACCTGTACTTGGAGCATCTTTAGCTCCACACATTGAAGACAGGGAGGGGTAGAAAAGAGAAGGGTGGCTCCAGAAACATATGCTCTTTTTATTAGGAAAACAAAAAATATTTCCAGAAACCCCCAACAGTCCTCCACTCCTATCCCATTGGCCAGAACTCTGACTTGGCCACCTCTAGCTACAACAAAGGCTGAGGAAGCTAGTATTTAGCCAGGCATTCTGCCATCTTGTTCATAATTGGGATTCTGTTGGCAAGGAAGAAGGAAGAATGGATGGCATTTGCCACAGGTGCATGGGGGAATCTTATTGCCTCTGATAAAAAGGATTCATTAGGTAACACTCTCTCGAACACTTTGAGAATAAAATGAGCTGTATAATGTCTAAGTAGTTTTAGCTGCCAATTAAAGTACATTTTTTGCCTTCTCCTCCTTTCTGAATTTAGTACCTCTCTACTTGGCACACTCATTCTTCCTATAATCAATATTTAGAAATTACCATATGTGGGTTAATGTGGCCACCTTGTCATGAAAGGCAATCACTGCTAGGTTGCCGTGGTATCTCTGCAGGTGTATATAAAGGTATCAGGAAGAAAAATCTAAAATATTCCCTTACAATCTCCCATTGCTTTGCTCCAGAATCCACACACCTACTCTGTCTCTGCAATGTACATAATCAAAAGAATGCAGGTGCTCAGCCTGACTGAATTGAGCCTGCTTCTCTCTCAACTACTGCAATTCTCATTCAGGGGAATTGTACGGTGGATGTGATGAAAGAGACCTTTCCCTAATTATGGAGATTTGTCGTTGGGGTTGGAGGTTATTTTTTGTATTATTTACACTATTCTGTCTGGCGTTAATATTTCTGTCCGCGAGTGACAATTACATTGCTCTTGACTGGCACAGATCAGCAGTTTGTGATAGCTCTGAAAAGCTGGTGTGCAGCACATGTCACTGGCAGACATATTAATGTTGGCAACGAGTAGTGCATGTGATGTAACACGATTAGATGGCGCTAAGATAAAGGACCATCTTGAAGCCCATGAATAACCAAGAAGCAGTGAGGTGACGACTATCAATTATTTATTGCCCTTGTCCAGTACATTATTAACAGCTCCAAGAAAGAATACAGGCTTCCTTTCCTGTTCTGTCTCCCTCATGTTAATGCTCAGCTCCTCAGCTTATGGGAGGTTACATCCTAAGGGAGACATTTTGCTTTCAGCTACCATCAGACAATCTAGAGAAAAAAGTGAAATGACCTCAAGGCAGACTACATTCAACTTTTTTGGCTACCAGAAAAGAGGCATGGCTCTCTGCTCTCTGTGGGTGAATCCTCTTATCACCTTCACATGCAGAGCTTCTCTTTATTCACTGTCCCTCAAGTCAGGGTGGATTGCTGATTTAACAATAGTTCACACTTTTGGAGGAGAAAGTGATGTTCTATGATTAATATTATACATATATCTGTGGTTAGGCTCTCATTTCCAAGGGAGATGGTTACAGGGTTTTTACTGATTTTACTGCTGAGTCAGAAGGAGACTATTTCATACCTCAGTCTATATTAAGCAGAAAGAAGTTATAAATAGCTACTATTTTGGCTGCTTTCAGCTGCAAGTAATAGGCAATCTGTCTCAAAATGATTTTAAACAATAAGCAAAATTTTCTCACCTATACAGACACTCAAACATGTTATCAAGCATGCAGAGGGTCTTTTCACCTCTCTGCACTGCTATCCATGATGATAGTTACCTTCAGGGTTCTAAGATCAAATGAGGCTTTATTCTTCATTGTTTCTGTGCAGGAAACAAGAAAAACCCTCTTCTCAACAAGGAGAAAAAGGAACTGCCTTAAGGCTGGCTAAGTTCACTTGGGTCATGTGTTCATCACTAACAGTAAATGTGATCATTAAACTGAATACTTAGTAGTAGTTATGAAAGCGGAATCCAATTTGGAAGGACAAAGGCAAAAGGATTCTTGTTCAAGTTTTAAATAACATGTACTTTTAAACATAACAATAATAATAATGAGATATAAAGGCCATAAAAATATTTTCATCTTCATTATAACTAACCTAATTCATTCATGCTGTAGTCAGTCTACTTTAATTATAAAGATAACAACTGTAGTAATAACATCAACATAGAGCACATACCATGTGCCGGGATATATGCTAAGAGCTTTGTATGTATTTATCTCATGCTGATACTTACATCAACCATATTAGGTAGATAATATTCTTATCCTTTTGTCACAGAAAAATATGCTCAAGTCAGAGAGGTTCAATAATTTGTTTGCCAAGATCATATAGGCATCAGTTGCACAGGTGAAATAAAAACCTTATAACTTCAAAACCCAAGCCTTTAACAATTTCACTGTGTTTCCTGGTTTCTGGCATTTTTTAAGAACTTGTTCTAGGTCCAAACCACACTAAGTTTGCTAGTAGTTATAAAGGATGAATAATTTCTAAGTTATCTTGCCTGAAAGATATGATTAACACATGAAAATAATTTTTTAAAAGCAGAGTATAATACAGTACTGAACAATGTGGTATAGATTGCCATAGCTTCAGGGGTTCAAAAAAGGAGATCAAAGTGGTCTGATGTAATCAGAACAAGTTTCAAAGGCTGTGAGCCTTGAATTGACTCTTCAAAGGATGGTTAGGTTTTCTTTAGTTAAGTATAGACAAGAGAGAAAAAGCCATTATATAATGAGAGAAAAGCATTGAAGAAGACAAAGTTTTGAACAGCAAGGATCATTTCCCTAAAACTGGTAGGAAACTTCTAGGAAATAGCACTGAAAAACATAGCTGACCCTGGGTTTGGCAATGACTTTTTAGATACTATATCAGAAGTACGATCCATAAAATAAAAAAAATTAATTAAACTGCAATGAAATTAAAAACTTCTGCTCCACAAAAGACACTGTTAACAGAATAAAAGGACAAGCACAAATTGAAAAAAAAAATTTGCAGAAGACATACATATCAGATAATGCAGTTGTATCCAAAATATACAAAGTACTCTTAAGATCCAACAATAAGAAAGCAAACAGCCCAATTTAAAAATAGTCAAAACATCTGAACAGACACCTCACCAAAGAAGATACACATATGGCAAAAAAAAGTATGTGAAAAGATGTTTGATATCGCACATGGTTCGGGAGCTGCAAATTAAATGACTGAAATCCAAAATACTGACAATACCAAATGCTGAAGAGGATATGGAACAACATGAACTCACATTTATCACTGTTGGTAATGCAAATGGTAGAGCCATCTTGAAAGATAGGTTAGTTTCTTTCAAAGCCAAATACTGGCTTACCAAAAGATCCAGAATCCACACTCATAGGTTTTTTCCCACGCTAATTGAAGCCTTATGTCTACACAAAAGTCTTCAAATAAGCATGTCTATTCATAATTAACAAAATTTGGAAGCAACCAATATGTCCTTCAATAGGTGAATAGATAAACTGTGGTACACCCAGATAAGATAATCTTATTCAGTGATAGAAAGAAATAGACTACCAAGATATAAAAAGACATGGAAAAACCTTAAATGCATAATGCTTAGTGAAAGAAGATAGTCTGAACTACATACTGCATGATTCCACCTATATGACTTTCTGGAAAAGACAAAACTATAGATACTGATAGGTCTTTTAAAAAAATTTTTCACAGGTATATAGTAGGTGTATACATTTATCCAATACATAAGATGTTTTGATACAGGCATGCAACGTGAAATAAGTACATCATGGAGAATGGGATGTCCATCCCCTTAAGCATTTATCCTCTGAATTACCAACAATCCAATTACACTCTTTAAGTTACTTTAAAATATACATTTAAGTTTGTATTGACTATAGTCACCCTGTTGTGCTATCAAATAATAGGTCTTATTCATTCTGTTGTAATAGGGGCAATTTTTGAGTGATGTAAAAAGATTGGTGGTTGCCAGAGGTTCAGAGTGAAGGAGGAGGGATGAATAGGTAGAGCATAGGGCATTTTTAGGACAGTGAAACTATTCCATATTATACTGTCATGGTGGATACATGACATTATTCATGTGTCAAAACTGTACAACACAAAGAGTGAACCGTAATGTAAACTATTGACTTCAGTCAATAAAATATCCATATTGGTTAATCAATTGTACCAAATGCACCCCACTATTACAGGATGTTAATAATAGGAGAAACTGGGTGGAAGATGGTAGGTGAAAAGGGATGTATATCTCTACACTTTATGGCCAACTTTTCTGTAAACCTAAAACTTCTCTAAAAAAATGAAGTCTATTTTAAAAACTGATAGAAAAAAATCTATGTTCAGTCTTATCAAGTTTTTCTTTAAACCACCATGTCCACTCCCAGACAGCATCTACAATATGGGATGAATTGGGAAATCCACAAATATTCAACACCCACAGCAATAATTCCTTGCATATGTTCCATCTTGCTTGTAGTTCTCCCAGATGATAACTATTTGTTTCTCATTTTTTATTCTCACTTCACCTTTCTGAGTTAACTCTCAGCCCTATTTCTCTAGGTTTTTAATATTTTTATAGGGTTGAGTATGTATATACACATTAACCTAATAAAAATATACTTACATATATATGTGAACACAGTAGTAGATATCAACATGAATCTACAAGACTAATATTCATTGCAAGCTAAGTAACAACAATAATAGCAAACAGTATATGCCTCATTTCTTCTAAGAACTTCACATTGGTTAAATAAGTTTAATCCTGACAATGCCACCACCATCAAATCAAAAGAAAACTCCATATCAAACTTTAAAGATGTTAACCATTAAATTTTTAAGACTAATAAAATAGTCATAGATTGAAGGCCACATTTAAAGTATGTGTTTTCTCCTGTTCTGACTTGTGTTGATCCTTGACTGTTAAACAGTATCTTGACCTAATGTTGACATTTACCTGGTATAGAATACTAACCTATATATATATATGATGTCAAACAACTTGGTTGCTCGAGACTCAGAACTTGATAGAAATTAGACTGAGTCAGAGTTTTGAAGTGACATTCAACAGAAAACTTCAACAAAATATTTCAACAAAATATAAAGATAATGCATTACAAAATCAGAATCCTTTTTCTCATAGACTACCATCAGATGCATATTTGTGATGATGGTAGTAAGAATAAAAACAAGTTGAGGAAATGTTCATGGCCTGGTAAGATTATGTTATTACAATATTATCTACCTGTATGTCTATTCATCTCTCTATGTGTATATCTGTTATACCAAACTGTTCTATATATTATACCAAATGATATATTACAATATATTATATATTGCATATACTATATTAAATTATCATATTATGCTTGTTGTATGTGCATGTAAGATTATTTCTCTCATGTGAAACATCTCCAATTAGAGCTAATAATATAGAAGACAATGAAAATCTACATATGCAAACACCTGCACCCATATGCATGTGTCACCTTCTGTACCAGCTCTCCAGTCTTATAATATATAATCTAATAAGATTATTTGGCAGTATCCACTGGTTTCCATCACTCACTGGCTGTTTGTAAAAATCAGAAACTCTTCAAATTGTCAAGTGAGAAGGTGGGTGGAAAATTGACTTTCTTATGAATTAACTTGCTGTGTTGGACCATAAGATCTAAACTGTACACACACATACACATACATGGAAATGATTAGTTCCCTGTCTTTTTCTCCAAATACAACCTATCTTAGTAGTAACTTCTTACATATCTTCTTTCCTAGGGAAAAAGATCATTGTCTCAGGGACACTGGGAATACTCCATTTCCCATCCTAACTTTTTATTCCCCAAAAGACAATTCAATTTTAACCCTGGAACTAGATTACAGTTAAAAAGTATTCAGTTAAAATCTTTTTGCTTTACCATTTAGAGACAGATAAAAGGTAAATTATCTAATTCAGTATCAGCATACCTTTTCTGTAAAGGTCTCAAGAGTAAATATTTTAGGCTTTGTGGGCCATACAGTTTATGTAGCAGTTACTCAACTCTGCCATTATAGAGCAAAAGAGCTATAGACAAAGCTGTCTTTGTTCATTTTTTGTTGCTATAAAAAAAACCTGTGGTTAGGTAATTTGTAAAGAAAAAAGGTTTATTTGATTCATAGTTCTGATGGCTGGAAAGGTAAGGTTGGGCATCTGCATCTGGTGGGGGCTTCAGGCTGCTTCTACTCATGGCAGAAGGTGAGCTGGTGTGTGCAGAAATCACATAGTGGGAGGAAGAAAGAGAGAGAGGGGAGAGGTGCCAGGCTCTCTGTAACAACTAACTCACCCCCAAGTAAGAATCCACCCCCATGGCCCAAATACCTCCCATTAGGCTAGATCTCCAACACTGGGCATCAAATTTCAACAAGAAGTGCATGTGGGGTGGGGGTGGGGTTCAAACAACCAAACTATAGCAAATATATAAATAGGTGTGGCTGTGATTCAATAACATTTTATTCACAAAAACAGGTGGCAGGCCAGATTTGTTCCCTAGGCCATAGTTTGCCCACCTGATCTGACCTAATACTCATCTTCTAAAAGAGAAAGCAGTTTAATGTGTTTTGTGTTAGTAATTGTGATCAATTTTTACTCCTTTCTATAAATTCTGGAGAATAATTCTTTTCTATAGCCATTTCCTGTATAGTCCTGTCCCGTGATGACTCTGCTAGGCCAATGAAATATCAGCAAACATGATACAAGCAGAAGCTAAATAAACGTTGTGCATTAGCACTTACCTTTTCTGCCTACTGGGAACTCTTCTACCATTATGTGGAAAAGATTGGGCTAACCTCCTGGAAATTAAGAACATGAAGAGAGTACCCTGAGTTGCCCCAGCCATGGCTCAAATGCAACATTGAGCCTAGTTCAGTATCTGGTGGTACAGAGCCAAACCATCCCAGCAAATCCCAGCCCTAATTGCACATCCACAAAGAATAATGAACAAAGAAATGGTTGTTGTTTTCAACCATTATATTTTGGGTTTGACGGGTGGACCACCATAGGTAAACGCAATAGTAATCTGAGAGGGCAAAAACCCCCAAACACTCATTCTCAAACATATTTGCTCTGTCAGTATAACCAAAGCAAGAAATGAATGAGCTAAATAGTTAATTTGTGAATTTGTGGTTGTCTTCACAGTTAGTTCAGATAATTCCAAATTTCTAGACTGTCTTAATGGCAATTTGATTATTCCAATGTTTCTCTGAACATTCTGAATTTCTATGGGGACTATCTCAGATTCACTGAGTAATAAATAACAAATCTCTATTTTTCTTGATTAAAAAGATTCCATGATGATGATTCACAGAAAAACTAATAGAAATAACTAGTTTTTACAGGGATTTTCCTGACTGAGTTGTTTTTTGTTTGTTTGTTTGTTTTGTTTTTTGTTTATTTTTTTTTTGAGTTGGAGTATTGCTCTGTTGCCCAGGCTGGAGTGCAGTGACGTGATCTCAGCTCACTGAAAGCTCCACCTCCTGGGTTCATGCCATTCTCCTGCCTCAGCCTCCTGGGTAGCTGGGACTACAGGCGCCTGCCACCACACCTGGCTAATTTTTTGTATTTTTAGTAGAGATGGGGTTTCACCATGTTAGCCAGGATTGTCTCCATCTCCTGACCTCGTGATCTGCTTGCCTCAGCCTCCCAAAGTGCTAGGATTACAGGCGTGAGCCACCACACCCGGCCCTGACTGAGATTCTTACAAACTACTTTCCCTTGGTTCCCAAATACCAAATCCAAGTGAAGCTTTATTTAACAAGCTAATTGTCACGCTAAATGGTTAGTGCATAAATCACCAAATTAATAAATATCATGTTTCAAGCTTATGAAAATCCTGGATTCCAACTTTTTTTTATTCTATTATTATACTGTGTTATGCTCATAATAAGTTAAGGATTGCCAATATAGTTTTCTTAAGAGACAACCAAAGAAACAATTTTATGACTATTGATCACATAATTTTATAAACTTAATAATAAGTCTGGAAATATATGCAGCCAAAAAAACCATAGAATACATGTTTCACATTTGAAGTTTTCTTGAAAGAGGTTCAGAGGGCAAATTGAATTTTTCTCAGCATGTAAACACAAGCACAGGCTTTTACATGGAAAACCAGTTTTCCATAGCTGATTTGCAAAGGTCTGCAACAAGACTAAAAGTTTACCAGTTAGAATTAGTAAAATATGCCTATTAATGAATTTTAGGTTTTTCAAGATGTGAAGCCTTGGCATTTCGATTGAATTTCTGGATGTGTTTTCAGAGGTATATTGGTAAGCTATAGACTACACTGCACATGGTTCTTGGAAGACAGAGAATGCTTTCCACGTTAGGAATTGAGGAAGACAGAGAATTGCCTTCCACATAAGATCTTCCACATGAGGTCTTATGTTCTCTCGTCTGTTGAACACTTGGTTCATGCATAATCCTACAACATGTAGTTACTGTTTACTAACTTAAAAACACTGAATAAACCCTAAAGTATTCTGGGGAAGTGGGGTCTCTAAAGCTTGTGGAAAATAGACAAAGAAGGACTCTCCAAGAAACAGATAAGTTCAAAGGTAGCAAAGTTTCAAAAAGGATTTTGGGAGAAGATAAAGGACACTCAAATCAAAGAAATGTAGGTGGTAATAGGAACTTAGAAAGGCTTCATAACTGCACCTGGAGACCAGAGTAAGTATCCTTTCTGGAATAGAGAATGGGGGACATGATATAAGAGAAGGAACTCTCCATTTAAGGTGCCAAAACACATCTGAGAGGGTTGGGATCAGATTCCCCTGTCCTCTTGCCATACTAACCTGGCAATCCTGTGTTAGAAAGTAGTTAGGCATAATAAAACAAAGAAGCAAAACATGCTCCTCAACCACTAAGACATCCACTCCAGCTCTTATTTTTGCTAACCGTGCTGCTGCCTTCAACAACATATAGCCTATATAAATAATAAAACCTACCAGTTTGAAAATTACAGGGGACTTTGACTTACACCTTAGTTACCAGCTTGGCCGCAGTTGGGTAGAGCACCAAGAGAGCTCCTGGGGTCCCCATTTCCAGGCTTTGGCTCTTGGATGGCATTTCTGGACCTGCCCCAAACCACAAGGGAGCCTACTTCCCTTAACTGTGAGTCCCACAAGAGGAAGTATTCATCACAAGCTGACTGAAGGGGGCTTGGCCTTAAGGGAACATTAGCAAAAGCCTGGCAGTACTCCCCATGATCCTGTGGTGGCAGTGGCTATGGGTGAGGCTCCTCTGCCTTTGGAAAGGGGAAAGAAGAGTGAGAAAAACTGCATCTTGTGGTTTGAGTGGCAGCTCAGCCACAGTACAATAGAACCCAAGGCAGAATTTTGTATTAGGTTGTTCTTGCATTGCTATAAAGAAATATCTGACACTGGGCAATTTATTTTTTTAAAAAAGGCTTAATTGGTTCACAGTTCTGCAGGCAATACAAGCATGGCACCATCATTACTTGGCTTCTGGGAGTTCTCAGAGAGCTTTTACTCAGTGGGAAAGTAATGTGGGAGCAGGCACAACACATGGCGAAAGCAGGAGCAAGGGAAGAGGTGCCACATACTTTTAAACAACTAGATCTCACAAGAACTCACTATCATAGGAATAGCACCAAGGGATATTGCTAAACCATTCATGAGAAATCCACTCCCATGATCTAATCTCCTCCCATCAGGCCCCACCTCCAACATTGGGATTACAGTTCAACATGAGATTTGGGCAGGGACACATATCCAAACTATATCAACTTCTCAGGTTATAGACTGTAGTCCCCAGCTCCCAGACTGTACCTCTGGACCTGCCTGGGACTATCTCAAGGATATGTTACATCACAAAATAAGTCAAAACATTCAAAAACAATCTTGAGAAAATATCAAGTATCTTCTCTGACCACAATGGAATAAAACTAGAACTCAATCACAAGAGGAATTCTGAAAACTATACAAATATATGAAAACTAAGCAACATGCTTCTAAATAACCAGGGGGCCAATGAAGAAATTCAAAAGAAAATTGAAAAATTTCGTAAAGCAAATGAAAATGAAAACACAACATACCAAAACCTATGGGATACAGCAAACACATTACTAAGGGAAGTTTACACCTATAATTGCCTACATTAAATAAGAAAAAAAAGAATTTCAAGTGAACAACCTAATGATGCAACTTAAAGACCTAGAAAAGCAAAACCAAACCAAACCCCAAAATTAGTAGGAAAAAAATAGTAAAGATCATAGCAGAAATAAATAAAATTAAAATAAAAAAACAATACAAAAGATTAATGATAAACAAAAAGTTGGATTTTTGAGAAGTTAATCAAAATTGACAAAACATTAGCCAGACTATGAAAAAAAGAAAGAAGACACAAATAAATAAAATCAGAGATGAAAAAGTAGACATTAAAACTGTTACAGCAGAAATTCAAAGGATTATTAGTGGCTACTATGAACAACTATATGCAAATAAACGAGAAAATCCAGAATAAATGGATAAATTCCTGAACACACGCAACCCTGCCAAGATTGAATAATGAAGAAATCCAAAACCTGACTAGACCAATAACAAGTAACAATATCAAAGCCGTAATAAAAAGTTT
The DNA here is from genome assembly GCF_000001405.40 of Homo sapiens. Classification (NCBI taxonomy): domain Eukaryota; kingdom Metazoa; phylum Chordata; class Mammalia; order Primates; family Hominidae; genus Homo; species Homo sapiens. The sequence continues at coordinate 82,246,089 of NC_000009.12, read as the reverse complement.
CCCAGGAAAGAAAAGCCTGGCACCTGACGGCTTCAGTCCTGAATTCTACCAAATATTTAAGAAGAACTAATCCTACTCAAACTGTTCCAAGAAATGGAGGAGGAGGGAACACTTCCAAACTCATTCTGCAAGGAGAGTATTACCCTGATACAAAAACCAGACAAACATCAAAAAAGGAAATTACAGGCACATATCTCTGATAAATATTGATTCAAAAATCATCAACAAAATGCTAACAAACCTAATTCAACAATACATTAAAAAAGATCATTCATCATGACCAAGTAGGATTTACCCCAAGGATGCAAGGATTGTTCAACATATGCAAATCAATCAATGTGATACATCCTATCAACAGAATGAATGATAAAAAACATATGACCATTTCAATTGATGCTGAAAAGGCATTTGATAAAACTTAATATCCCTTCATGATAAAATCTCTCAAAAAACTGGGCATAGAAGAAATACACTTCAACATATAAAAGCCATATATAAGAAACCCACAGCTAGTATCACACTGAATGAAGAAAAACTGAAAAGCTTTCCTCTAAAATCTGGAACAAAATAAGGATGCCCACTTTCACCACTGTTATTCAACACAGTGCTGGAAGTCCTAGCAAGAGCAATCAGACAAGAGAAAGAAATAAAAGGCATCCAAACTGGAATGAAAAATGTCAAATTATCCCTGTTTGCAGATTATATAATCTTATAATTGGAAAAACCTAAAGATTCCTCCAAGAAACTATTAGAACTGATAAATTCAGTAAAGTTGCAGAATACAAAATCAACATGCAAAAATTGGTAGCGTATCTATATGCCTATAGCAAACCATCTGAAAGAGAAATCAAAAAAGTAATCTCATTTACAATAGCCACAAATAAAATTAAATACCTAGGAATTAATTTTACTTTCACTTTAAGTATAACATCTCTATAAAAAAAACTTTTAAACACTGATATAAGGAATTGAAGAAGACACACAAAAAATGGAAAGATATTCCATGTTGATGGATTGGAAAGAACAATATTATTAAAATGTCCATATTACCCAAAGCAATCTACGGATTCAATGCACTCCCTATGAAATACCAATTACATTCTTCACAGGAACTGAAAAAGCAATCCTAAAATTTGTATGTAACAAAAAAAGGATCTAGCACAGCCAAAGCTATCCTAAGCAAAAAGACCAAAATTGGAAAAATCACATTACCCAATTTTAAATTATAATACAGAGCTATAGTAACCGAAACAGCATAATGCTGCCATAAAAACAGACACATAGACCGATAGAACATAATAGAGAACACAGAAACAAATCCATTTACCTACACATTAAATGCATTTTTAAACAAAAGTGCCAAGAACATACACTGGAGAAAAGAGAATCTCTCCAATAAATGGTGCTGGGAAAACTGGATATCCATATGCAAATGAATGAAACTAGACCCTTATCTAGTGCCACACACAAACACAAATGAAAATATGGATTAAAGACTTAAAACTAAGACCTCAAACTATGAGACTACTACAAGAAAACATTAGGGAAATTTTCAAAGACATTGGTTTGGGCAAACATTTCTTGAATAATACCCACAAGCACAGGGAAACAAAGCAAAAATAGACCAATGGAATCACATTAAGTTAAAGAGCTTCTGCACAGCAAAGGAAACAACAAAGATGTGAAGAGACAATCCATCAAATGGGAGAAAATATTTGCAAACTACCCATCTGGCAAGGGATTAATAAACAATATATAAAGGGCTTAAACAATTCCAGAGGAAAAAAAATCTAATAATCTGAATATTCCATCACTATTTTTCATAAAAGTGAAATGCTGTAAATAATCTTATTTTTAAATGGGCAAAAGATTTGAATCAACATTTCTCAAAAAAAGACTTACAAATGGCAAACGGGCATAAGAAAAGGGGCTCAACATCATTGATCATCAGAGAAACACAAATCATAATAAAATGAGATATCAAAACACCCCAGTTAAAATGGCTTTTATCCGAAAGACAGGCAATAACAAATGGGGAAGAGGATGTGGAAAAAAGAGAACCCTCCTACAATACTAGTGGGAATATAAATTAGTACAAACACTATGGGGAACAGTTCAGAGGCTCCCCAAAAAAAACTAAAACTAGAGCTACCATATGATCCAGCAGTCCTACCTCCGGGTATATACCTAAAAGAAAGAACGTCCATATATTAAAGAGATAGCTTAACTCCCATATTTATTCCAGCACTATTCACAATAGCCAATATTTGGAAGCAATCTAAGTATCCATCAACAGATGAATAAATAAAGAAAGTGATGGTACATATACATAATGGAGTACTATTCAGCCATAAAAAATAATGAGATCCTGTCATCTACAACAACATGGATGGATGGTCATTATGTTAAGTGAATTAAGCCAGGCACAGAAAGACAATAATTGCATGTTCTCACTTATTTGTGGAAGATATAAATTAATACAATTAAACTCATGAACATAGAGCAGAAGCATTGTTACCAGAGGCTGGGGAGCATAGTCAGGGAGTGGGGGAACCGAGTTGGGGCTGGGTGATGGTTAATGGGTATAAAAAATAGTTAGAAAAAATAAATAAGACCTACCCTTTGGTGGCTGTCAAGATGACCAAATAGGAACAGCTCTGGTCTGCAGCTCCCAAGGAAATCAACGCAGAAGGCGGGTGATTTCTGCATTTCCAACTGAGGTACCCGGCTCATCTCACTGGGACTCGGTAGGCAGTGGGTGCAGCCCACAGAAGGTGAGCTGAAGCAGGATGGGGTGTCACCTCACCTGAGAAGCAAAAGGGGTCGCAGAACTCCCTTCCCTGCCAAGGGAAGCCATGTGGGACTGTGTTGTGAGGGATGGTGCATTCTGGCCCAGATACTACGCTTTTCCCAAGGTTGTTGCAACCCACAGACCAAGAGATTCCCTCAGGTGCCTACACCACCAGGGACCTGGGTGTTGAGCACAAAAGTGGGCAGCCATTTGGTGAGACACCAAGATAACTGAAGGAGTTTTTATTTCATACCCCAGTGATGTCTGGAACACCAGCGAGAGAGAACCATTCACTCCCCTGAAAAGGAGGCTGAAGCCAGGGGGCCAAGTGGTCAAAATCAGTAGATCCCAACCCCATGGAACCAAGCAAGCTAAGATCCACTGATTTAAAATTCTCACTGCCAGCACAGCAGTCTGAATTCAACCTGGGACACTGGAACTTGATGAGGGGGGAGGGGCATCCACCATTAGGAGGCTTCAGTAGGCGGTTTTCCCCTCACAGTGTAAAGAAAGCCACAAGGAAGTTCAAACTGGGTGGAGCCCACTGCAGCTGGGCATAGCCACTGTAGCCAGACTGCCTGTCTAGATTCCTCCCCTCTGAGGACAGCATCTCTGAAAGAAAGGCAGCAACCCCAGTAAGGGGCTTATAAATAAAACTCCCATCTCCCTGGGACAGAGCACCTAGGGGAAGGGGCGTTTGTGGGCACAGCTTCAGCAGACTTAAAGGTTCCTGCTGGCCAGATCTGAAGACAGCAGCAGATCTCCTAGCACAGAGCTCGAGCTCTACTAAGGGACAGACTGCCTCCTCAAGTGGCTCCCTGACCCTCGTGCCTGCTGACTGGGAGACACCTCCCAGCAGGGGTCAAGAGACACCTCATGGAGGGGAAATCTGGCTAGTATCTGGTGAGTGCCCTTCTGGGACAAAGCTTCCAGGGGAAGGCACAGGCAGCAATCTTTGTTTTGCAGCCTCTGCTGGTGATACCCAGGCAAACAGGGTCTGGAGTGAACGTCCAGCAAAACCCAGCAGACCTGCAGCAGAGGGGCCTGACTGTTAGAAGGAAAACTAACAAAAAGAAAGAAATAGCATCAACATCAACAAAAAGGACATCCGCACGAAAACCCTATCCGAAGGTCACCAACATCCAAGACCAAAGGTAGATAAATCCACAAAGATGAGGAAAAACTGGCGCAAAAAGGCTGAAAATTCCAAAACCCAAAACTCCTCTTCCCCTCAAAAGGATCACAACGCCTTGCCAGCAAGGGAACAAAACTGGACGGAGAATGAGTCTAATGAAATGACAGAAGTAGGCTTCAGAAAGTGGGTGAAAACAAACTCCTCCAAGCTAAAGGAACATGTTCTAACCCAGAGCAAGGAAGCTAAGAACTTTGAAAAAGGGTTAGAGGAATTGCTAAATAGAATAAGCAGTTTAGAGAAGAACATAAATGACTTAATGGAGCTGAAAAACAGCACGAGAATTCGTGAAGCATACACAAGTATCACTAGCTGAATTGATCAAGCAGAAGAAATGATATCAGAGATTGAAGATCACCTTAATGAAATAAAGCCTGAAGACAAAATTAGAGAAAAAAGAATGAAAAGGAATGAAGAAAGCCTCCAAGAAATATGGGACTATGTGAAAAGACCAAACCTATGTTTGATTGCTGTACCTGAGAGTGACTGAGAGAATGAAACCAAGTTGGAAAACACTCTTCAGGATATTATCCAGGAGAACTTTCCCAACCTACCAAGACAGGTCAACATTCAGATTCAGGAAATACAGAGAACACCACAAAAATACTCCTCGAGATGAGCAACCCCAAGCCACATAATCGGCAGATTCACCAAGGTTGAAATGAAGGAAAAAAATTTAAGGGCAGCCAGAGAGAAAGGTCTCATTACCCACAAAGGGAAGCCCATCAGACTAACATTGGATCTCTCAGCAGAAACCCTACAAGCCAGAAGAGAGTGAGGGCCAATATTCAACATTCTTAAAAAAATTTTCAACCCAGAATTTCATACCCAGCCAAACTAAGCTTCATAAGTGAAGGAGAAATAAAATCCTTTACAGACAAGAAAATGCTGAGAGATTTTGTCACAACCAGATCTGCCTTACAAGAGGTCCTGAAGGAAGCACTAAACATGGAAAGGAACAACCAGTACCAGCCACTGTAAAAACATACCAAATTGTAAAGAGCATCAACATTATGAAAAAACTGAATCAACTAACAGGCAAAATAACCAGCTAGCATCATAATATGACAGGATCAAATTTACACATAACAATATTATCCTTAAATGTAACCAGGCTAAATACCCCAATTAAAAGACACTGACAAATTGGATAAAGAGTCAAGACTCACTGGTGTGCTGTATTCAGCAGACCTATCTCACATGCAAAGACAAACATAGGCTCAAAATAAAGGGATGGGGGAATATTTAGCAGCCAAATAGAAAGAAAAAAAAAGCAGGGATTGTAATCCTAGTCTCTGATAAAGCACACTTTAAACCAACAAAGATCAAAAGAGACAAAGAAGGGCATTACATAATAGTAAATGGATCAATGCCACAAGAAGAGCTAACTATCCTAAATATATCTACACCCAATACAGGAGCACCCAGATTCATAAAGCAAGTTCTTAGAAACCTACAAAGAGACTTAGACTCCCACACAAAAATAGTGGGAGACTTTAACACCACACTGTCAATATTAGACTGATCAATGAGACAAAAGATTCACAAGGATATTTAGGACTTGAACTCAGCTCTGGACCAAGTGGACCTAATAGACATCTACAGAACTCTCCATCCCAAATCAACAGAATATACATTCTTCCCAGCACCACATCACACTTATTCTAAAATTGACCACATAATTGGAAGTAAAACACTCCTTAGCAAATGCAAAAGAACCAAAATCATAACAAACAGTCTCCCAGACCACAGTGCAATCAAATTATAACTCAAGATTAAGAAACTCACTCAAAACTGCACAACTACATGGAAACTGAACAACCTGCTCCTGAATGACTACTACGTAAATAACGAAATTAAGGCAGAAATAAATAAGTTCTTTGAAACCAATCAGAACAAAGAAACAAAGTACCAAAATCTCTGGGACACAGCTAAATCAGTGCTTAGAGGGAAATGTATAGCACTAAATGCCCACAGGAGTAAGTGGGAAAGATCTAAAACCAACACCCTAACATCACAATTAAAAGAACTAGAGAAGCAAGAACAAACAAATTCAAAAGCTAGCAGAAGACAAAAAATAACTAAGATCAGAGCAGAACTGATAGAGATATAGAGAAACAAAAAAAAAAAATGGAAAAAATCAATGAATCCAAGAGCTGATTTTTTGAAAAGATTAACAAAATAGATAGACCACTAGCCAGACTAATAAAGAAGAAAAGAGAGAAGAATCAAATAGACACAATAAAAAAATGATAAAGGGCGTATCACCACTGATCCCACAGAAATACAAACTACCATCAGATAATACTATAAACACCTCTACACAAGTAAACTAGAAAATCTACAAGAAATGAAACATTCCTGGATACATACACCCTCCCAAGACTAAACCAGGAAGAAGTTGAATCTCTGAATAGACCAATAAAAAGTTCTGAAATTGAGGTCGTAATTAATAGCCTACAACTCAAAAAAACCCCAGGCCCAGACAGATTCACAGCCAAATTCTATCAGAGGTAAAAAGAAGAGCTGGTACCTTTCCTTCTCAAACTATTCCAAACAAGAGGGACTCCTCCCTAACTCATTTTATGAGGCCAGCATCATCCTGATACCAAAATCTGGCGGAGACACAACAAAAAAAGAAAATTTCAGGCCAATAACCCTGATGAACATTGATGCGAAGAAACTCAATAAAATACTGGCAAACTGAATCCAGTGGCACATCAAAAAGGTTATCCACCACAATCAAGTCGGCTTCATCCCTGGGATGCAAGGCTGGTTCAACATAGACGAATCAATAAACATAATTCATCACATAAACAGAACCAATGGCAAAAGCCATGTGATTTTCTCAATAGATGCAGAAAAGGCCTTTGATAAAATTCAACACCCCTTCATGCTAAAAACACTCAATAAACTAGATATTGATGGAATATATCTCAAAATAACAGGAGCTATTTATGACAAACCCACAGCCAGTATCATACTGAATGGGCAAAAACTGGAACCATTCCCTTTGAAAACTGGCACAAGACAAGGATGCCCTCTCTCACCACTCCATTCAACATAGTATTGGAAGTTCTGGCCAGGGCAATCAGGCAAGAGAAAGAAATAAAGGGTATTCAAATAGGAAGAGAGGAAGTCAAATTGTCTGTTTGCAGATGACATGATTGTATATTTAGAAAACCCCATCATCTCAGCCCAAAATCTCCTTAAGCTGATAAGCAACTTCAGCAAAGTCTCAAGATTCAAAATCAATGTGCAAAAATCACAAGCATTCCTATACACCCATAATAGACAAACAGAGAGCCAAATCCATTAATGAACTCCCATTAACAATTGCTACAAAGAGAATAAAATACCTAGGAATAAAACTTACAAGGGATGTGAAGGACCTCTTCAAGGAGGCTACTTTAAACTTCATTAAATTTAAACTACTTTAAATTTCATATGGAACCAAAAAAGAGCCTGTGTAGCCAAGACAATCCTAAGCAAACAGAACAAAGCTGGAGGCATCATGCTACCTGACTTTAAACTACACTACAAGGCTATAGTAACCAAAACAGCGTGGTACTATATATAGACTACATATATATATATATATGTATATCAATGAAACAGAACAGAGGCCTCAGAAATAATGCCACACATCTACAACCATCTGATCTTTAACAAACCTGACAGAAACAAGCAATGGGGAAAGCATTTCCTGTTTAATAAATAGTGTTGGGAAAACTGGCTAGCCATATGCAGAAAACTGAAACTGGACCCCTTCCTTATGCCTTATACAAAAAATAACTCAAGATGGAATAAAGACTTAAGCATAAGACCTAAAATCATAAAAACCCTAGAAGAAAACCTAGGCAATACCATCCAGGACATAGGCATGGGCAAAGATTTCATGACTAAAACACCAAAAGCAATGGCAACAGAAGCCAAAATTGACAAATAGGATCTATTAAACTATAGTGCCTCTGCCCAGCAAAGCAAACTATCATCAGAGTGAACAGGCAACCTGCAGAATGAGAGAAAATTTTTGCAATTTATCATCTGACAAAGGCTAATATCCAGAATCTACAAGGCACTTAAGCAAATTTACAAGAAAAAAAAAATCCCCATCAAAAAGTGGGCAAAGGATATGAACAGACACTTCTCAAAAGAAGACATTTATGTGGCCAAAAAACATATGAAAAAAACTTCATTATCACTGGTCATTACAGAAATGCAAGTCAAAACCACAATGAGATACCATTTCCTGCCACTTAGAATGGTGATCATTAAAAAGTCAGGAAACAACAGATGCTGGAGAGGATGTGGAGAAACAGGAATGCTTTTACACTGTTGGTGGGAGTGTAAATTAGTTCAATCACTGTGGAAGACAGTGTAGCAATTCCTCAAGGATCTAGAACAAGAAATACCATTGGATCCAGCAATCTCATTAATGGATATATACCCAAAGGATTATAAATGATTCTACTATAAAAACGTATGAACACGTATGTTTACTGCAGCACTATTCACAATAGCAAAGACTTGGAACCGACCCAAATGCCCATCAATGATAGACTGGATAAAGTAAATGTGGCACATATACATGATGGAATACTATGCAGCCATAAAAAAGGATGAGTTCATGTCCTTTGAATGGACATGGATGAAGCTGGAAACCATCATTCTCAGCAAACTAACACAGGAACAGAAAACCAAGCACTGCATGTTCTCACTCATAAGTGGGAATTGAACAATGAGAACACATGGACACAGGGAGGGAAACATCACACACTGGGGCCTGTTGTGGGGTGGGTATCTAGGGGAGGGATAGCATTAGGAGAAATACCTAATGTAGATGACAGGTTGATGGGTACAGCAAACCACCATGGCATGTTACACCACCTATGTAACAAACCTGCATGCTCTGCACATGTATCCCAGAACTTAAAGTATAATTTAAAAAAAAAGAAAGTTTGCCCAGTACATGTCTTCCCAAGTAATTGCTTCCCCTAACAGTTTTATGATTTTCTTTTTGAAAGCACAGCAAGGTAGGCGGAAAATCACACAAAGCTTAATTTAAGGTGCTTGTTAAAGGTTTGTCACATTACAAACTGTTGAAGTATATTTGCTTCTGGCTTTATTTCAAGAATTAACTTAGAGAATTACGTTTTCCTCAATAGTCAATCACCAGAACCGCCAGGTGTCTAGTAAACAAGGTTCTGGAGAGAGCACATGTAGCATCAAAAATGGCACTCAGAGTCATGATCTGCCAACTCAACTGTGTGTTTTACCCACAGGAATATAAATCATTCTACTATAAAGACATGCACATTTATTGCAGCACTATTTACAATAGCAAAGACATGGAACCAACCCAAATGCCCATCAATTATAGACTGGATAAAGAAAATGTGGTACATGTATAACATAGGATACTGCACAGCCATAGAAAGCAATGAGAGTGTGTCCTTTGCAGGGACATGGATGAAACTGGAAGCCATCATCCTCAGCAGACTAACAGAGGAACAGAAAACCAAACACTGCATGTCCTCACTCATAAGTGGGAGTTGAACAATAAGTACACATGGACACAGGGAGGGGAAACACACAACAGGGCCTGTTGTGGGGTGGGAGGCGAGGGGAGGGAACTTAGAGGACGGGTCAATAGCTTCATCAAACCACCATGGCACACGTATACCTATGTAACAAACCTACTCGTTCTTCACATGTATCCTGGAACCTAAAGTAAAATTTGTTTTAAAAAATTATTTTTCAAATTAAAAAAAAAAGATTATCTGTTTTGCCCTCTACCAAAAAGCAAATATATCTATACTGAGAGCTTGGATATTTATATTTATTCATTGTAGAGGCCTCTTTAAAAGAAAAAAAAATCTACCAGAGGTTATTAGTCAGATTCAGTGTCATGCAAATTACACATTACCTAACAGTCACAGGATAGATGGTACATTTGATATATAGGATATACTTAGGTGTTTGTTTTTCTTGTATTTATTGGACATTTCCAAATCTTAGATTTTATGCAATTTGCATAAGTATAGGATCCATTTATTGTTGTTTTTTCAATAGTTTTTCAAAAACTAATGTTAGCTGAATTTCATTTTTAAATTTAAAACTAAAGGAAGCATTAGGCTAGGATTTCAGACTGAAAATGAACTTGAAACCCTAAGCTGAACAAATACACGGGGATAGCATTAATGGGTGATTTTTAGGCAGGAATCCCTGTTGTTTCATGAGAAATTCAAGACAACAAATGCCAGTTTCCCTAAATGTAGGCCATTCATTGTAGCTTTCAAAGCCCCTGAGATAATGTCAGGCTTTTTCTCTTGTTAGAATTAAAAAAAAAAAAAAAAATCTCCAAAGGAAAGACAAAAATGGCTGTAAGTGCAATTTAAATATCCATTCAAACTGTTGCATGTAGATTCATTCAGCCTATCATTTTGCTTTATTTTCTTCACCAAATGACAGTGTTAGGTAATAGCTTAGATACAGCTCACCTGATTTAACCAGTGCTATGTGAAGTTGCAGGATCATAAAATGAATATAAGGATTTGGGGAGAGGGGAGATATTCAGTGATGCTTTAAGGATTGACACCTCCCCACAAAAAAGAAAAATTTAAGATTTTCTCTTTGAAAAATTACATCACATGACTTCAATTTATGATCCTTTTTATGTTTTTTCCTGTGATAAATGTCTAAAAGGCTTAAACAGTGTTTGATAACCATTCTTATTAAAACTAGGTGGAAATATCCAACAAAATGCGGAATGATTACTGTTCCTAGACTCCTTTACACTGCAGGAAATTAGATGGCAGTAGTTAGTTGTATTATCATGTTAAATATTTATTCCTATTATCCTCACATCTTAAAGCATTCTACTACAATGCAGTGAAGGAACTACTAAAGCAGAAAATCAGAAGGTTCAAATAGATAGCCAAAGAAATGAAAATCAGAGAGAGGAAAACCAAATTGTAGCGAAATAATATAAAAATTATAGGAGTAAAAGAAGCCCTTGCCACAAATCACTTACAGGCTTTTCTGACATATATTTGCTATTTTGTCTAAAATCCTATTTCTACTATTTCATTTCTAGGTTTTTTATTATGTAAATACTCACTTTTGCTTAAATTATTGTGCCATTGGAAATATTTTTAAATCTTGAGGGAAAATTTTCTTCAATTTCTAGATACATTAAGAGGGGTTATTTTTATCAATCTGAAGTGCCAGAGATTGGGATATTCAAACAGATGATGGCCTTGACATATTCTCCTCAGTGAAAACTGATAGCAAAACAGTGAGCTTCCTCTGCTGTCACCTCAGTAAACGTTCTGTTTTCAAGATTCCCTTGAGGAGGTTTCCCTTTCATCCTGGAACTTTTGCCATGGAAATTTACAGTCTCCTAAGTGCTGTCATCTATTTAAAATCATTTTAGTGTTGCATTCATACCAACACTCTGAAGTAGGTTTTATCTACATTTTGCAGAGGTGGAAACTGAGACTTAAAGGGTAAATTGGATTGCTCAGGGTCAGGTTCTTCAAACTTTATGTAAACTCACCTGGAATGTTGCCTATAATGTAGATCTTCACAATTTTCAAGCAGCAATATAATCTCTTGGTTCCCCTGTTGTTCTTTTCCTGTCTTTCTTGTCGTTTCTTGGAATCCTCAGCTTTCACCCATGCTCACGTTTCTATTACTGCTGCTTCTGCTTTTCTCATTCAACAAACTCAGCTATCACTTCCTTTTCTTCACCCTGGCAGTTTGCCTTCAGTAGTTTCTGAATAGCAGTTTAAGAGAGTAAACCTTGGAGTTCAAGTTCAGTCAAGTACATTGCTTTTCTTTTCATCCTTTCCAAAAAATCCTCATTGTTCAAGTCTACCGAGGTGCCTAGAAATTCAGTGGCTTTTTGCTTTTGTACCATGGGGTAGCTGCCACACCTGGCACAACATCTAGGTGGATTTGCCCCTAGATTTACCTTTCAGGATTCTGTTGTGGGCCTATGTAGAGGCTTAAAGTAGGTTTCTCCCTATTCCTTATTGCAGGTAATATTTTCCTCTGCCTTGATGCTTCAAAAAAGAGGCGCTCTCTCTAGTCAACCTCACCAGGATGTCTACCTTTTAAAATACATTTAATAATTTAAAGTTTTTACTAGAGTAGTTGCATCTTTTTTTAAAAAATCTTACTTTAAGTTCTGAAATACATGTGCAGAACCTGCAGGTTTGTTAAAATAGGTATACGTGTTCCATGGTAGTTTGCTGCACCTATCGATCCATCCTCTAAGTTCCCTCTCTTCTCTCCCAGCCCCGCAGCAGGCCCTGGGTTGTGTTGTTCCCCTCCCTGTGTCCATGTGTTCTCACTATTCAACTCCCACTTATGAGTGAGAACATGCAGTGTTTAGTTTTCTGTTCCTGTGTTAGTTTACTGAAGATGATGGCTTCCAGCTTCATCCATGTCTCTGCAAAAGACATGATCTCATTCCTTTTTATGGCTGCATAGTGTCCCATGGTATAACGTACCACATTTTCTTTATCAAGTCTATCATTGATGGGCATTTGGGTTGGTTCCATGTCTTTGCTATTGTAAATAGTGCTGCAATAAACATACGTGTGCATGTGTAGAATGATTGATAATCCTTTCGGTATATAACCAGTAATAGGATTGCTGGGTCAAATGCTATTTCTGGTTCTAGATCCTTGAGGAATTGTCATACTGTCTTCCACATTGTCATACTGTCCTGGAATATAAATTAGTGGAATTTTCCTGGAAGGATAATTTGGGTATAGTATTCTTGACTGGCAGTTTCTTTCTTTTATTACTTTGAATATATTACCCCATTCTCCCCTGGCCTGTAAGGTTTCTGCTGAGAAATTTGCTACTAGACTGATGGGGATTTATTTCCTTATGAATGATAGTTGCTTTTCTCTAGCTATTTTTAAAATTCCATCTTTGTCTCTGACTTTTTGTAGTTTAAATATAACATGCCATAGGAGAAGATCTTTTTGAGTTGTATATATTGGGGATCTTTTTGCTTCTTGTACTTAGATGTCTAAAATCTCTTGCTAGACTTGGGAAGTTTTCTTCTATTATTTCACTAACTAGATTTATTTATTTATTTATTTATTTATTTTGAGACAAAGTTTTGCTCTTGTTGCCTGGGCTGGAGTGCAATGTCATGATCTCAGCTCACCACAACCTCCAACCCCCAGGTTCAAGCGATTATCCTGCCTCAGCCTCCAGAGTAGCTGGGATTACAGGCATGCACCACCATGCCCAGCTAATTTTGTACTTTTAGTAGAGACAAGGTTCTCCATGTTGGTCAGGCTGGTCTCAAACTCCCGACCTCAGGTGATCTGCCCGCCTCGACCTCCCAAAGTGCTGGGATTACAGGCATAAGCCACTGCGCCTGGCACTAAATTGATTTTCTATCTCTTTTGTTTTCCCTTTATCTTCTGGGACATTGAAAATTTGAATATTTTGTTACCCTGTGGTGTCCTGTATGTCACTTAAGCTGTGGTCATTCTTTTAAATCTTTTTTATTTTTTGTCTGACTGGGTGGTATGGTTTGGTGCTGTGTCAACGCCCACAATCTCATGTTGTATTGTTAATCTCCAGTGTTGTGGGAAGGATCTGGTGGAAGGTGATTGGAACATGAGGGTGGATTCCCCCTTGCTTCTCATTATAGTGAGTTCTCACAATATCTCGTTGTTTATAAGTGTGTAGCACTTCCCCCTTATCTCTGTCTCTTCTGCTCCACTCTTGCTTCCTCTTTCCTTTCTGCTATGATTGTAAGTTTCCTGATGCCTCCCAGCCATGCTTCCTATAAAGCCTGTGGAACTATGTGTCAATTAAATCTCTTTTCTTCATAAATTGCCCAGTCTCAGGTAGTTATTTATAGCAGCATGAGAATGGATTAATACACTGAGTTATTTTAAAAGATAAGTCTTCGAGGTCTAAAATTCTTTCTTCTGCTTTATCTATTCTATTGTTAAAGCTTTCAAATATATTTTTGTTTTATTTGATAAATTTTTTAATTCTATAATTTCTGTTTGGTTTTTTATGTTATTTATCTGTTTGGTACATTTCTCATCTATACCTTAAATTTTTTTTATGTATTTTCAGAATTTTTTTCTATCACATTGGATGGAGATGTAACTTCTTTAGTATCACTGTTTTGAATTTTTTTCTGGGATTTTATAATTTTCATTTTGATTGCAATCTGTTGCTGGATAATTACTGTGTTCTTTTAGAGGTATCATATTTTCTTCCTTTTTCATATTTGTTTTGTTTTTATGTTGATATCGATGCATCTGGTATAACAGTCACTTCTTCCACTATTTTGAAGTTACTTTCATAGAGGGACTTTTTCCTGAAGATATGTTTATGGTTTTTGTTGGATAGAGCATTTTGACTTTAATTCTGGGTGTGTGCAGTAGTATAATCTCTGTATGATTTATTGGCTATAAACAGATTAGTGGTGACTGTAATTTCCTTAGTAATTTATGGTGTGGAGGCTGTGATGAACTTTTCCTGGAGATGTGTGTGCCATATGGGCCTATTGTTGGGATCCAGTGGTGGCAGTGGCAGCTGAATTGTACCTATTCTTGGGCTCCATGGTGGCAGGTGCTGGCACTGGAATTACTAGGTCCAGCGTGGCTGAATCTTGGGCCTCCAGGTGGCTTGCTTTGGTGCTGGTGGTGACAGAAATGGGCTGGCTGGGTGGGTCGGTTTGGGGTCCTAGGCAGCAGGCATAGCATTAGACAATGGCTATAACAATGACAGGACAATCCTCTGGTTCCCAAGAAATCTGCCCTGGTGTTTGTGGTAGCAGCAATCGGCTGGGTGGTCCTGACCTCAGGCCCTTGGGAGAAGTGCTCAGATGGTTATGGCGGTGGACTGGGCTAAGTGATCCCCAAGCTCATGGATAGTGTCCTCAGACACTGAGGAGTGAGGAGCAAGGCCAGGTGGACCAGTCCTCAGCCCTCCTGGTAGTGCATGCAGGTGCTGGCTGAGGTAGGCAGGGGTGGGGTGATCTCTAGATCCCTGGCAGAATGCTCAGGTGTGGTATGGGAGGGGCTGCCCTGCAACTTTGATACTGGGGAGGGTGGGCTTGCTTTCAATGGAAGCCACTATAAGCAGGCTGCTAGGGAGTGTGCTCTTCTTTTCTCTTTGGCCCCAAGAGCAGCAGCCCACAGCAGTGGTTACTGTAAGCAGGGGAATTTGTCCTCATGACATGTGAAAATGCATGGCAGCTTTGCTGCAGGAGGCAGTGAGGTCATTGACAAGGGCTCACACTTCAGCCCTAATGGAAGCAGCCAGCCACTGAAGTGCCTGTGTGCAAGGAATGACACTGGGGCTCCTATGATAAGGAGTTGCTAAATCTGTTGGGCTCCTGGGTAAAATGGCACCTTACTGTAGCTGCTTGGGACTTTGGGGTGTGTGTGAAACCAGCATATACTCTCTCCCTGGAGTGATGCCTTCACATGGTCTCCAGGCAGTTCCCAATGTTAGTCTCAGGCCCGCAAGGATTTAGGGGCTATCCCATGGCTAGGATTGGAGGAGTCCATGGAGGAGATGTGAACCACTGAGAGTCTCTCACTTAACCTTTGCTTGCACTGAGGAGTCTCTCCAGGCTCCTAGCCAATCCAGGCTAGCAGGCTGCCTTACTTTCCCCTCCTTCCTCACTTTAGAGGTTTCCTATCACTTCTTTGTTGAATTTTAGTGTTCTCTCCTAGCTTATCTATTCCAAGTATGATTATCTCCTCAAAATTTTGGTTGTTCTTTGTGGAGGAGGTGAGTACCAGATGATTCTAGTCAGCTGTCTTGAAGCCCCTCCTCTATATAACCACTTTGATATGGCAGTATAGCATTTATCTTTTTTCATCGTTATTATTATTATTATTTAGAGTTGAGGCTTCCCTCTGTCACCCAGGCTGAAATGCAGTGGTGCAATCATGGCTTATTGCAGTCTCCAACTCCTGGGCTCCTCTGATCCTCTTGCTTCAGCCTCCTGTGTACCTGGGACTATAGGCACGTGCCACCATGCCTAGTAAGCTTTTCATTTTTTTTATTTTTTAAGAGATGGGATCTTGCTATGTTTCCCAAGGTAATCTCAAACTCTTGGCTCCTGCCTCACTCAACCTCCAAAGCTGCTGGACTTACAAGTATAAGCCATCACAACTGTTTTTTTTCCACCATTCTTCTACTTTCCATAATCCAATTATCCTATTATAGTTCTATCACAGGTTTTGGTTAAATCAGTTGTTAGTTTACAAGATCTTTACCTTGTAAATATTATAAATTGCAGAGCCAAGTAATATGCTGTGATTTCTGTTATTTTAGGATTCTTTTTCTGTAGTTAAAATTTTCCTCACACATTGATTTGTTTAGTTTTCCATGAATTTATTGTTATTTTTCCCAAAATAGTTCAACAGTTCTATCATAGTGCTAACAATATTTCTGCAGGCCAAAATATCAAATAATATATTGGTTAATTTTTTTCCATGAAACTTTTTTTGACATCTCTCCAATTTACTTCTATCTAGTCTTTTACTTTCTCCTGTTAGAGTGGCAGCTGTCATTCTGAGACTCTTTTTTACAACTCTCCTGTTTTTCAGTCTCTGTTTCCTAGAATCCATGTGTAATAGATAACCTTCCCATCTTCTGTAGCATGTCCTTCAGGAGCTTTCTAGGAAAAGGTGCATTGAAATTACTCTTATTCTTCTTATAATTATTATTTCATGGATGTCTAAAAATGCTGACTGGTAATATGACTGAGCAGAGATTTTTAGGTCAAAAATAGTTTTCCCTTATAATTTTAAAAAGAGGTCTTCATCATCTTACAGATTCTAATGTTACTAAGAAGTCTTATTCAAGTATGGCCTCAATTTCTTTTTCTATATGAAAGGTTTTATAATCTTTTTATCTATGATCTGAAATTTCATGATGATGTACTTTGATAATTTTTCCATTCACCATTATGGGCTTTCAATTGAATTGTATTATTTGAAATGCATGGATTTCAGTTTTGGGAAATTTTCTTACATTATTTGATAGGTTGTAGCCTTTTCTTTTTCCTTCTCTTTCTTTTTGGAATTACTCTTAATGAGAAGGTAAAAATCCTAAATTAATTATCCAGTTTCTTTTTTCTCAACTCTTCTAGCTCTATCATTTTATTTTACTATCTGAAAGACTTTTCTCAACTTTCTCTTGCAACATTTAAAACAGTATGTTTATCTTGACTGCATATTTATAATTTATAAGAGCTCTGACAGTATTTTTGTTTTTCTATTTACATAGCACGTGGTTATTGTATTATAGACATGACCTTTTCTTTTATTACTCTGAGTATTTGAGAAGTTTTAGAAGTCTCTCATTTAAAAAAATATCTGAGGAGGAGGCCAAGATGGCCAATTATAAACAGCTATGATTCATGACACAGAGAGGAATGAAAAGGGCAAGTAAATACAGCACCTTCAACTGAAATACCCAGGTACTCCCAACTGGGACTGATCAGGGAAACAACTCGACCCACAGAGAATGAAGAAATGCAGGGCAGGGTGATGGCCCACCTGAGTGTGACACAAAACCAAGGGAACCCCTACCCCCCAGCCAAGGGAAGTGGTGAATGAATGTGCAACCCCAGGAAAACATGCTTCACATGCAGATCTTTGACCTTTGGATCAGGAGGTCCCCTTGTGAGCCCACTCTACCAGGGCCTTGGATCCGACACACAGAGCTATGTAGAGTCTTGGCAGGGCAGCTCCTCAGGCATGCACAGAGACCCTGGAGCTTTACATACTCCGACTCCAGGATCCCTGACAAAGGTGACTGCAACTGAGGCAAGGCAGGAGGTCCATATATAGCCCTAGAAATCGGGCTGAACCCAGAGGGCCGAGCAGCATCAGTGTGTGGGCCCCACTACCACGGCACCTCATAAGATAAGACTCACTTACTTGGAATTCCAGCCAGCCACCCGCAACAGGGTACAGCTTGCCTGAGACAGGACAGGGACCCCAAGGAGAGTGGGATGGACTGCCATCTTTGCTGTTTGGATGACTCAGCTGTTCCAACCTGCAGGCTTTGAAGAGTTCAAATGGTCCAGATGCGGAAGGGACCCTTCCCTCCAGCACAGCACAACTTCTTTACCAAAACGTGGCCAGACTGCTTCTTTAAATGGAACACTGACCCATCCCAGCAGGGGTCTCCAGCCACCCCTGTCAGCTAGTATTATGAAGAGAGTTCTGATCTCTCCCTGGGACAGAGTGCCCAGGAAAGGGGCAGGCTGCCATCTTTGCTGTTTGGATGACTTAGCCATTCCAGCTGGCAGGCCTTGGAGTCCAAATGGTCCAGCCAATGAAGGGACTCCCTAGCACAGCACAGCTGCTTTATCAAAATGTGGCCAGACTGCATCTTTAAGCAGGAACCCTGTCCATTCCTCCTCACTTGGTGGGACCTCCCAGCAGGGCCTCCAGCCACCCCTGCCTGTGTTCTATGGACAGAGCTCTAATCTCTCCCTGGGACGAAGTACCCCGGGGGAAGGGCAGGCTGCTGTCTTTGTTGTTTGGATGACTTGGCCATTCCATCTTCGTGAGCTTTGGAGAGTCCAAGCTAACTAGGGAAGAGTCAGTTCCCCAGCATGGCATAGCTGTTTTGTTGAGGCATGGCCAAACTGCTTCATTAAATGGGACCCCAATCTATTCTTCCTTGCTGGGTGGGTCCTCCAAGCCAGGGCCTCCAGCAACCCCCTCCTGTATTCTACAGACAGAGTTATAGATTCAATGCTATTCTTATTAAACTACCATTGACATTCTTCACTGAATTAGAAAAAAACTATTTGAAAATTCATATGGAACCAAAAAGGAGCCTGAATAGTCAAGGCAATCCTAAGCAAAGAAAACAAAGGTGGAGGCATCATGCTCCCTGACCTCAAACTATACTACAGGGCTACAGTAACCAAAACAGCATGGTACTGGTACAAGAACAGACACATAGACCAATGGAACAGAATTGAGAACTCAGAAATAAGGCCACAAACTTACAACCATCTGATCTTCAACAAACCTGACAAAAAGAAGCAATGGGGAAAGGATCCCCTATTTAATAAACGATGCTCGGAGAACTGGCTAGCCATGTGCAGAAAATTAAAACTAGACGCCTTCCTTACACCACAAGGATTAAAGACTTAAATGTGAAACCTAAAACTATAAACATCATAGAAGAATACCTAGGCAATACCATTCAGGACATAGGCATGGGCAAAGATTTCATAGCAAAGATGCCAAAAGCAATCAGAACAAAATCAGATATTGACAAATGGGATCTCATTAAACTAAAGAGCTTCTGAACAGCAGAAGAAACTATCAACAGAGTAAACAGACAACCTACAGAATGGGAGAACATTTTTGCAATATATGCATCTGACAAAGGTCTAATATCCAGGATCTTTATGGAACTTAAGCAAATCTACAAGAAAAAGACAAATAACCCCATTAAAAAGTGGGCAAAGGACATGAACAGACACTTCTCAAAAGAAGACATACATGTGGCTAACAAACATGAGAAAAAGCTCAACATCTCTGATCATTAGAGAAATGCAAATCAAACCCACAATAATATACCATCTCACACCAGTTAGAATGGCTATTATTAAAAAGTCAAAAAAAAACAGGTGCTGGCAAGGCTGTGGAGAAAAATAAACGCTTTTACACTGTTGGTGGGAGTGTAAATTAGTTCAACCATTGTGGAAGACAGTGTGGCGACTCCTCAAAGATCTAGAGGCAGAAATACCATTCGACCCAGCAATCCCATTACTGGGTATATACCTGAAGGAATATAAATCTTTCTATTATAAAGATACATGCATGCATATGTTCATTACAGCACTATTAACAATAGCAAAGACATGGAACCAACCCAAATGCCTATCAATGATGGACTGGATAAACAAAATATGGTACATATACACCATGGAATGTTATGAAGCCATAAAAAGGAATGAAATCATGTCCTTTGTAGGGACATGGGTGGAGCTGGAGGTTATTAGCCTTAGCAAACTAATGCAGGAACAGAAAACCAAATACTGCATGTTCTCACTTATAAGTGGGAGCTAAATAATGAGAACACATGGACACATGGTGGAGAAACAACACACAGTGGGGCCTGTTGGAGGGCAGGGCAGGGTGAGAGGAGGGAGAGGACCAGGAAGAGTATCTAGTAGATACTGGGCTTAATACCTGAGTGATGGGATGATCTGTGCAGAAAACCACCAAAGCATACATTTATTTACCTACGTAACAAACCTTCACATCCTGCACATGTACCTTTGAATGTGTTGGAACAAGTTGGAAATAGAAAAAAAAAAAAAAAAAAGCTTGCTTTCATGTTGGAGTTTTTCTTTAAATGCCAGGTGACCCCTAGCTGTCAGTGAATGGAGGCATCAGAAAAATAAAATCGATGGGTTACTGTACTTGTCAGGATTTTTTTCATTTATGATTTATATAAACTCAGTTTAAACTAGATTAAGTGAAAATGGGAAACCTATTGTTGTACATAAATGTAATGTACAATGTAGTCTTCAGACGTGGCTGGATTCAGAAGCTCATGAAATGTTTTCACAATTACTTATCTTTTTCTCAAGATGGGGTCACCTCGTCTCCTACCACATGAAAAAAGTGAAAGAAAAGAGGGGAAGAGGCATTCTCTTACCATAAGAAGGTTAAGGGAAAGGAGCACTTGAAGGAGAAAAACCATAGCTTTTCCATAAAACCTCTTAGAATGATAGCAAGTAAGACTCAGGATCCTAAAGAAGAGAAAAGAAAAACATGCTCTTTTATAGATGAGTAGTATACACACACATGCACACACACACACAGTGAGAGAGGTGAATGGGGAAGATAATGGAGCAGATGTAGTTGAGGTATGTCTTTCTGAATCATAGTGTAGACTTGAGCAGAAAGTCTTTTAGAAACTGCTTTTCAAACTTTAAGTGCATATAAATCCCCGGGGCTCTCATTCAAATGCAGGTGCTGATTTAGGAGGTCTTAAGTGGGATTGAGATTATGCATTTCTGAAAGCTATCAGGTAATATTGATACTCATGGTTCTCATATTGCACTTTGAATAGTTAAAGGTGAAAGACATCTGGTTTATCTTCTTAAATTGCCATTCGTTAGAAACTTCTCCAAGTAATCTGATAACTAACTGTGGCTATAGGATGCTGCTTTCACAAACTTCGAGACAGAACCAAGTCCTTTATGGCTTTAGGCTTTCTGTGAGTGAGCTAATGCTTCCAGGATGAATAAACTTCCATTGGCCAGAGTGAAAAACCAAACCATGAAAAAATATGATTTTCTGGGAGTGATTTACATTTTCTGACTCTTTCTAGTACCTTAGGCTCTCCCTGCTTCTGTGTGGACACAGAGCTTGAAGGAAGTCTGTAATGTGATTGCAAATAGATGTGAGATTAGCCGAAATCAATCCCCTGCCTAACAGATCCTAAACTGGTTATTTTTACGCAATCTGAAATCCACGAAGTAATTAGAAAAGTGGACAAGAATTAATTCATAGCTCAATACCTGGTAAGTGAATGGCCCCATCATGGGGTCATGGATATTCACAAATAGAAAATGTCTGTCATTCTGTGACAGTGTTCCTCAACTTATACACTTCTTTGGTTATTAAATAGTATTATTTCAGTTCCACAATATTATCACTCTTAAATTTAGCTGTGTCCTTTTCTCTGTGATAAGAATAGAAACTTGAATAATGGGAACATGTATTTTTGATCAAAGTCCCCTCTTTTCTTTGTTTTTTTTTCTTTTTTAAACTTTTTCTGGTAATAGCTTTATTGCGATATAATTCACTTAACATAAAATTCAACCACTTAAAGTGTACAATTTAGTGGTTTTAGCATATTTACAGAGTTGTGCAAACATTTCCACCATCAGTATTAGAACATTTTCATTATTCCAAAAATAAACCCGATACTCTTTAGCCATCACTCTAATTTCCCCAAACCTCCTAGTTCTAGGCAATCAATAATCTACTTAGTGTCTCCAAAGAGTTGCCTATTCTGGATTTTGGAATCATACTATACATGGTCTTTTGTGATGAGCTTCTTTTACATAGCATCGAATTTTCAAGGTTCATCCAAACTGTAGCATTCACCAATACTTCATTTCTTTGTATGGTCAAATAATATTTCATTATATGGATATACAACAATTATTTATCCATTGATCAGTTTATGAACATTTGTTTCTGCTATTATGAACAATGCTGCTATGAACATTTGTGCGCTGGTTTTTGTGTGAACATGTTTTTCATTTATCTTGGTTATATATAACCAGGAGTAGAATTGCTGGGTCATATGGTAACTCTGTATCTTGCCTCTTGAGGAACTGCCAGACTGTTCCAAAGTGACTACACCAGTTTACATTCCCACCAGCAGCGTATAAGGATTCCAATTTCTCCACTACTCCCCAACACTTGTCGTTATCTTTTTTGGATTATAGCCACTTGGTGATTGTAAAGTGGTATCTCATTGTGGTTTTGATTTGCATTTCCTTGATGACTAAAGATGTTGAACATCTTTTTATGTGCTTAATGGCCATTTGTGTATCTTCTTTGGATAAAAGTCTATTCATATCTTTTACCCATTCTTTTTTCTCAGAGCTTTTATTCCAATAAGTAAGACCAAAATCCATAAATATATGTAAAACAACTGCATATGTGCTATGAAGGTGAGGTACATGGTGTTCTTTGAGGGTATAATACAGGAAAATTGACCTAAGCAGGAAGTGAAGGAGCTGAAGAAGGTGTCTCCCAGAAGTGATGGTTGAGCTGAGACTGCAAGGGAGAAAAGAAACTAGATGGTGGATAAGAAGATGCTAAGCTTGTGCAGAGGCCATGGGATATTTCTGGAACTGAAGATGTGGAGCTAAGACAGCTTCCTCCATTTGCCTGGAGTGTTTCTATTTTCTATCTATAGCCTTCCTCATCCACGGGTACTCGCTTGGGGCCAGTGCTGCCATCCACTCCAACCCTCCCAATCATCATGAGGGCACTTGGCAGTGTTTGGGGCTGTTTCATTTTGCTTTGTTTGTGACAATAACTAGAGAACATTACCACATTAATTGAGAAGAAACCAGGGATGCTACACATTCTGCAATGTGCAGGGATAGCTCTACATAAACAAGAATTGTCCCAGCCAACATGACAATAGTGTACTAGTTGAGAATCTACTTCCGTTTCTACTTCTTTTGTGCGTGTAACATAAAATGTACCACCTTAACCAGATTTACATATACAATTCAGTATTGTTAAGTATATTCACATTGTTGAGCAATCAGTCTCCAGAATGCTTTTCATCTTGAAAAACTGAAATTCTATACCCTTTAAAGAACTCCTCATTGTCCCCACCCCCACCACCTCGCAACCATCATTCTACTTTCTGTCTTTCAATGGCCTTAACTAGTCTAAGTACTTCATATAAGTATTTGTCTTTTTGATTGACTTATTTCACTTAGCAGAATGTCCCCAAAGCTCATCCATGTTGTAGCATATGTCACATCTTTTTCCTTTTTAAGGCTAATTAATATTTCATGAATGTATTTACCACATTTTGCTTTTCCATTCATCTGTTGATGGACACTTAGGTTGTGTCCAAGTTTTAGCTGTTGTTAATAATGCTGCTACAAACATGTGTGTGCAAACATCTCTTCAAGATCATGCATTCAATTTAAAAAATATAAATCAGAATTTCTAGTGGTACATAGTAGGTGTGTATACTTATGGGTTATATGAGATATTTTGATACAGGCATGCAATGCATAATAATCACATCAGGTTGAATGGGATATCCATCATCCCAAGCATTTATGCATTCTGTTTCAGACAATCCATTAAACTCTTTCAATGATTTTAAATGTACAATTCAACTAGTTTTTACTATAGTCACCCAGTTCTGCTAGCAAAGACTAGGTCTTTTTTTTTTTTTTTCGTGTCCAAAAGATGTGAAACTATTTCTTCTTATTATTATTATACTTTAAGTTATGGGATACAAGTACAGAACGTGCAGGTTTGTTACATAGGTATACACTTGCCATGGAGGTTTGCTGCACCCATCACCCTGAAATCTACCTTAGGTATTTCTCCTAATGCTATCCCACCCCTAGCCCCCCTCCCCCTGACAGGCCCTGGTGTGTGATGTTCCCCTCCCTGTGTCCATGTGTTCTCATTGTTCAACTCCCACTTATGAGTGAGAATATGTGATGTTTGGTTTTCTGTTCCTGTGTTAGTTTGCTGAGAATGATGGTTTCCAGATTCATCCATGTCCCTGCAAAGGACATGAACTCATCCCTTTTATGACTGCATAGTATTCCATGGTGTATTGTGACACATTTTCTTTATCCAGTCTAACATTGATGGGCTTTTGGGTTGGTTCCAAGTCTTTGCTATCGTGAATAGTGCTGCAATAAACATACGTGTGCATGCGTCTTTATAGTAGAAGGATTTATAATCCTTTGGGTATATAACCAGTATTGGGATTTTTGGGTCAAGTGGTATTTCTGGTTCTAGATCCTTGAGGAATCGCCACACTGTCTTGCACTATGGTTGAACTAATTTACACTCCCACCAACAGTGTGAAAGTGTTCCTATTTCTCCACATCATCTCCAGCATCTGTTGTTTCCTGACTTTTTAAAGATCGCCATTCTAACTGGCATGAGATGTTATCTCATTGTGGTTTTGATATGCATTTCTCTAATGATCAGTGATGATGAGCTGTTTTTCATATGTTTGTTGGCCACATAAATGTCTTCTTTTGAGAAGTGTCTGTTCATATCCTTTGCCCAATTTTTGATGGGGTCGTTTTTTTCTTGTGAATTTGTTTTAGTTCCTTGTAGATTCTGGATATTGTCCTTACACAGATGGATAGATTGCGAAAATTTTCTCCCATTCTGTAGGCTGCCTGTTCACTCTAATGAAAGTTTCTTTTGCTGTACAGAAGCTCTTTAGTTTAATTAGATCCCATTTGTCTATTTTGGCTTTTGTTGCTATTGCTTTTGGTGTTTTAGTCATGAAGTCTTTATCCATGCCTATGCCCTGAATAGTATCGCCTAGGTTTTCTTCAAGGGTTTTATGGTTTTAGGTCTTACATTTAGATTTTAATCCATCTTGAGTTAATTTTTGTATAAGGTATAAGGAAGGGGTCCAGTTTCAGTTTTCTGCATATGGCTAGCCAGTTTTCTAAACACCATTTATTAAATAGGAAATCCTCTCCCCATTGCTTGTTTTTGTCAGGTTTGTCAAAGATCAGATGGTTGTAGATGTATGGTGTTATTTCTGAGGTCTCTGTTCTGTTCCATTGGTCTATATATCTGGTTTGGTATCAGTACCATGCTATTTTGGTTACTGTAGCCTTGTAGTATAGTTTGAAGTCAGGTAGCGCGATGCCTCCAGCTTTGTTCTTTTTGCTTAGGATTGTCTTGGCTATATGGGCTCTTTTTTGGTTCCATATGAAATCTAAAGTAGTTTTTTCTAATTCTGTGAAGAAAGTCAATGGTAGCTTGGTGGCGATAGCATTGAATCTATAAATTACTTTTGGCAGTACAGACATTTCTACGATATTGATTCTTCCTATCCATGAGCATGGAATGTTTTTCCATTTGTTTGTGTCCCCTCTTATTTCCTTGAGCAGTGGTTTGTAGTTCTCCTTGAAGAGGTCCTTCACATCCCTTGTAAGTTGGATTCCTAGGTATTTTATTCTCTTTGTAGCAATTGTGAATGGGAGCTCACTCATGATTTGGTTCTGTTTGTCTATTATTGGTTTATAGGAATTATGTGATTTTTGCACATTGATTTTGTATCCTGAGACTTTGCTGAAGTTGCTTATCAGCTTAAGGGGATTTGGGGCTGAGACAATAGGGTTTTCTAAATATACAATCATGTCATCTGCAAACAGAGACAATTTGACTTGCTCTCTTCCTGTTTGAATACCCTTTTTTTCTTTCTCTTGCCTGATTGCCCTGGCCAGAACTTCCAATACTATGTTGAATAGGAATGGTGAGAGAGGGCATCCTTGTCTTGTGCCAGTTTTCAGAAGGAATGCTTCCAGCTTTGGCCCATTCAGTGTGATATTGGTTGTGGGTTTGTCATAAATGGTTCTTATTAATTTGAGATACATTCCATCAATACCTAGTTTCTTGAGAGTTTTTAGCATGAAGGGATGTTGAATTTTATCGAAAGCCTTTTCCTGCATCTATTGAGATAATCATGTGGTTTTTGTCATAGGTTCTGTTTATGTGATGGATTACGTTTATTGATTGATTTGCGTATGCTGAACCAGCCTTGCATCCCAAGGATGAAGCTGACTTGATCGTGGTGGATAAGCTATTTGATGTGCTGCTGGATTCAGTTTGCCAGTATTTTATTGAGGATTTTCTCATGGATGTACATCAGGGATATTGGCCTGAAATTTTCTTTTTCTGTTATGTCTCTGCCAGGTTCTGATATCAGGATGATGCTGGCCTCATAAAGTGAGTTAGGGAGGAGTCCCTCTTTTTCTATTGTTTGGAATAGTTTCAGAAGGAATGGTACCAGCTCCTCTTTATACCTCTGATAGAATTTGGCTGTGAATCTGTCTGGTCCTGGGCTTTTTTTGGATTGTAAACTATTAACGACTGCCTCAATTTGAGAACCTGTTAATGATCTGTTAAGGGATTTGACTTCTTCCTGGTTTAGTCTTGGGAGAGTGTATGGTCCATGAATTTATCTGTTTCTTCTAAATTTTTTAGTTTGTTTGCATAGAGGTGTTTATAGTATTCTCTGATGGTAGTTTGTATTTATGTGGGATCAGTGGTGATACACCTTTTATCATTTTTATTGTTTCTATTTGACTCTTCTCTCTTTTCTTCCTTGTTAGTCTGTCTAGTGGTCTATTTTGATAATCGTTTCAAAAAACCAGCTCCTAGATTCACTAATTTTTTGAAGAATTTTTTTGTCTCTTTCTCCTTCAGTCCTGCTCTGATCTTAGTTATTTTTTGTCTTTGGCTAGCTTTTGAATTTGTTTGCTCTTGCTTGTCTAGTTCTTTTAATTGTGATGTTAGAGTGTCGAAGTTACATCTTTACTGCTTTCTCCTGTGTGCATTTAGTGCTATAAATTTTTCTCTAAACACTGCTTTAGCTGTGTCCCAGAGATTCTGGTTCTTTTTGTCTTTGTTTTCATTGGTTTCTAAAAACTTATTTATTTCTGCCTTAATTTCATTATTTACCCAGTAGTCATTCAAGAGCAGATTGTTCAGTTTCCATGTATTTCTGCTGTTTTGAGTGAGTTTCTTAATCCTGAGTTATAATTTGATTGCTCTGTGGTCTGAGAGATTGTTTGTTATGATTTCCATTCTTCTGCATTTGCTAATGAGTGTTTTACTTCCAATTATGTGGTCAATTTTAGAATAAATGCAATGTGGTGCTAAGAAGAACGTATATTCTGTTGATTTGGGGTGGAGAGTTCTGTAGATATCTATTAGGTCTGCTTGGTCCAGAGCTGAGTTCAAGTCCTGAATATCCTTGTTAATTTTTTGTCTCATTGATCAGTCTAATATTGACAGTGGGGTGTTAAAGTCTCCCACTATTTTTGTGTGGGAGTCTAAGTCTCTTTGTAGGTCTGTAAGAACTTACTTCATGAATCTGGGTACTCCTGTATTGGGTGCATGTATATTTAGGATAGTTAGCGCTTCTTGTTGCATTGATCCCTTTTCCACTATGTAATGGTCTTCTTTGTTGCTTTTGATCTTTGTTGGTTTAAAGTCTGCTTTATCAGAGACTGGGATTGCAACTCTGCTTTTTTATTTTTTATTTATTTATTTATTTGCTTTCCATTTGCTTGGTAAATATTCTTCCATCCCTTTACTTTGAGCCTCTGTGTGTCTTTGCTCATGAGATGGGTCTCCTGAATACAGCACACTGATGGGTCTTGACTCTTTATCCAATTTGCCAGTCTGTCTTTTAATTGGGGCATTTAGCCCATTTACATTTAAGGTTAATATTGTTATGTGTGAATTTGATCCTGTCATTATGATGTTAGCTGGTTATTTTGCCCGTTAGTTGATGCAGTTTCTTCATAGTGTCAATGAGCTTTACAATTTGGTATGTTTTTGCAGTGGTTGGTACAGGTTGCTCCTCTCCATGTTTAGTGCTTCCTTCAGGAACTCTTGTAAGGCAGGTCTGGCAGTAACAAAATCTCACAGCACTTGCTTGTCTATAAAAGATTTTTTTCTCCTTTGACTATGAAGACTAGTTTGGCTGGATATGTAATTCTGTGTTGAAAATTCTTTTCTTTAAGAATGTTGAATATTGGCCCCCACTCTCTTCTGGCTTATAGGGTTTCTGCTGAGAGTTCCGCTGTTAGTCTGATGGGTTTCCCTTTGGGTTAACCAGAACTTTCTCTCTGGCTGCCCTTAACATTTTTTTCCTCATTTCAACCTTGGTGAATCTGACGATTATGTGTCTTGGGGTTGTTCTTCTCAAGGAGTATCTTTGTGGTGTTCTCTTTATTTCCTGAATTTGAATGTTGGCCTGTCTTGCTAGGTTGGGGAAGTTATCCTGGATAATATCCCGAAGAATGTTTTCCAACTTGATTCCATTCTCCCTGTCACTTTCAGAAACACCAATCAAATGTAGGTTTGGTCTTTTCACATAGTCCCATATTTCTTGAAGGCTTTCTTCGTTCCTTTTCATTATTTTTTTCTCTAATCTTGTCTTTATTTCATTAAGTTGATCTTCAGTCTCTGATATCCTTTCTGCCACTTGATCAATTCAGCTATTGATACTTGTGTATGCTTCACGAAGTTCTTGTGCTGTGTTTTTCAGCTCAATCAGGTCATTTATGTTCTTCTCTAAACTGATTATTCTAGTTAGCAATTCCTCTAACCTTTTTTCAAGGTTCTTAGCTTCCTTGCATCGGGTTAAAACATGCTCCTTTAGCTCGGAGGAGTTTGTTATTACCCACCTTCTGAAGCCTACTTCTGTCAATTCATCACATTTATTCTCCGTCCAGTTTTGTTCCCTTTCTGGCAAGGAGTTGTGATGCTTTGGAGGAGAAGAGATGTTCTGGTTTTTGGAATTTTCAGCCTTTTTGCACTGGTTTTTCCTCATCTTCATGGATTTATCTACCTTTGGTCTTTGATGTTGGTAACCTTCAGATGGGGTTTTGGTGTGGATGTACTTTTTGTTGATGATGATCCTATTTTTTTCTTTTTGTTAGTTTTCCTTCTAAGAGTCAGGCCCCTCTGTGGCAGGTCTGCTGGAGTTTGCTGGAGGTTCACTCCAGACCCTGTTTGCCTGTGTATCACAAGCAGAGGCTGCAGAACGCCAAGTATTGCTGCCTGTACCTTCCTCTGGAAGCTTCGTCCCAGAGTGGCATTGGCCAGATGCCAGCCAGAGCTCTCCTGTATGAGGTGTCTGTTGACCCTTGCTGGGAGGTATCTCCCAGTCACGAGGCATGGGGGACATGGACCCACTTGAGGAGGCAGTCTGTCCCTTAGGAGAGCTCCAGCTCTGTGCTGGGAGATCTGCTGCTCTCTTCAGAGCCAGCAGGAAGGAATGTTTGTCTGCAGAAGCTGTGCCCGTAGGCACCCGTTCCTCCAGAAGCTCTGTCCCAGGGAGAAGGGAGTTTTATCTATAAGCCCTTGACTGTGACTGCTGCCTTTCTTTCAGAGATACACTGCCTTTCTTTCAGAGATACCCTGCCCAGAGAGGAGGAATCTAGAGAGGCAGTCTGGCTACAACTCCTTTGCTGAGCTGCAGTGGGCTCTGCCCAGTTTGAACTTCCTGGCAGCTTTGTTTTCACTGTGAGGGGAAAACCGCCTATTCAAGCCTCAGTAATGGCAGACGCCCCTTCCCCTACTAAGTTTGAGCTTCCCAGTTCTACTTCAGACTGCTGTGCTGGCAGTAAGAATTTCAAGTCAGTGGATCTTAGCCTGCTTGGCTCCATGGGGTTGGGATCCACTGAACTAGACCACTTGGTTCCTAGCTTCAGACCCCTTTCCCAGGGAGGAAACTGTTCTGTTTGCTGGCATTCCAGATGCCACCAGTGTATGAAAAAAAAACTCCTGCAGCTAGCTCAGTGTCTGCTCAAATAGCTGCCCAGTTTTGTGCTTGAAACCCAGGGCCCTGGTGGTGTAGGCACCCGAAGGAATCTCCTGGTCTGTGGGTTGTGAAGACCATGAGAAAAGTGTAATATCTGGGCTGGAATGCACTGTTCTTCATGGCAGTCCCTCACGGCTTCCCTCTGCTAGGGGAGGGAGTTCCCCAATCCCTTCTGCTTCCCGGGTGAGGTGACGCCCCACCCTGCTTTGGCTCGCCCTCTGTGGGCTGCACCCCCTGTCTAACCAGTCCCAATGAGATGAGCCATGTACCTCAGTTGGAAATGCAGAAATCACCCACATTCTGCACTGATCTCACTGGGAGCTGCAGACTGGAGCCTTTCCTATTGCCATCTTGCCTGCCACCCTGAACAAAAATGTAAACTTTCAATCATTCTTTATGCCACACTCCCTGAACAACGAGATTTCATAAATGCTCTATCATCAAATAGTTTCAATTAAACAAAAAGTCTCAACCACAATATGCAGTGCCCTCATGCTCTCTTCTGACAACTCACTGACACAATACACCTTGACTGTGCTGACCACCAGGGCACTCTGTCACTCCAAAAGAACATAATTAGTTCCCTTTGCCATTACAGTCAGTTATACTGAGAAATAGTCACACACACACTGGAATCCAGAATTTGAAATAAGCAGATATAGGCTGGTGGTTTTAAGCTTTGCCAGCAACAGTTCTTGTCTGTAATGTGTTTTTGTTTTGTTTGTTATTGTTGTCGATTTATAATTTATATACCATAAAATTCACCCTGTTAAAGCATACAATTCAGTGGGTTTTAGTGTATTATAAGGCTATGCAAGTATCCTTAATATCTAACTCCAGAATATTTTCATAACTCAAAAGAAAGCCCAGCATTAGCACTCTTTATACACTCACCCTGCTATTCAGCCCCTAGAAATCACTAATCTACTTTCTGTTTCTATAGATATGTATATCCTGACATTTCATGTAAAAAAAAAAAAAAATCAGGTAGGCCAGGTGCAGTGGCTCACACCTGTAATCCCAGGACTTTAGGAGGCCAGGGCAGACAGATTACCTGAGGTCAGAAGTTTGAGACCAGCCTGAATAACATGGTGAAACCCCAGCTCTACTAAAAATACAAAAATTAGCTGGGCATGGTGGCATGTGCCTGTAGTCCTAGCTACTCAGGAGGCTGAGGCAGGAGAATCGCTTGAACCCAGGAGGCGGAGGTTGCAGTGAGCCAGGATCACACCACTGCACTCCAGCCTGGCGACAGAGCAAGACTCTGTCTAATAAAAATAAGTAAATAAATAAAATACAAAAATTAGCCGGGTATAGTGGTGCGTGTTTGTAGTCCCAGCTGCTCGGGATGTTGAGGCAAGAGAATGGTTTGAACCTGGGAGTTGGAGGTTGCAGTGAACCGAGATCGCACCACTGGACTCAAACCTGGGTGACAGAGTGAGACTCTATCTCAAAAAAAAAAAAAAGAAAAAAAAAATCATGTAATATGTAGTATTTTGTGTTTGGCTTTTTTCTCTTAGCATAATGTTTTCGAGGTTCATCTATGTTAAAGCTTGTATCAGAACTTCATTTCTTTTTATGGCTAATCAATATTCAATTGTATGGATAAATCACATTGTGTTTATCCATTCTTCGATTGATGGAAATTTGAAGTTCTTTGTACTTAATGTCTATTATTAATAATGCTGCCATGCACATACATGTACAAGTTTGTGTATTGACATAGGTTTTAAATTAACCTGAGTATATACCTAGGAGTGGAATTACTTGGTCGAATAGTAAATCTATGTTCAACTTTCTGAGACATTGCCAAACCATTTTTTAAAGCAGCTATACTTCACATTCCCATCAGCAATATAGAAGGATATCACTGTCCTCATAACCACGCCAGTACTTCTTACTGCCCATCGCTTTGACTATAGCCATCCTAGTTGGTATGAAGTAGTATTACATTGTGGTTTGATTTGCATTTCCCTAATGACAAATGATGCTGAGTATCTTTTCATGTGCTACTCAGCCACTGTGTATTTGCTTTTAAGAAATGTTTATTCTATTTAAATGCTTTGCTTATTTATTTTTATAAATGCTTTATTGAGATATAATTCTCATACCATACAATTCATCCATTAAAACTGTAAAATTTAATGAGTTTAAGTACAGTCATAAGATTATCCGTATCAATTTTGGAATATTATCGTGAACCCCAAAAGACACCCACATGGTTAGCAGTTATTTTCAATTTTCCTGAAATACCAAACTCTAAGCAACCACCAACATACTTTTTTGTCTCTGGAGATTTTCCTGTTCTGGAAATCTAATATAATTAAATTCATACAATATGTGGTTATATTAGTCTGTTCTCTCATTGCTATAAAGAGATACCTGAGACTGGTTAATTTATAAAGAAAAGAGGTTTAATTGGCTCATAGTTCTGAAGACTGTACAGTAAGCATGTCAGCATCAGCTGGGCTTCTGGGGAGACCTCAGGAAACTTATAATGATGGCAGAAGACAAAAAGGGAGCCAGTACTTCACATGGCTGGAGCAGGAGGAATAGAGAGAGGTGGGAGGTGCTACACACTTTTAAGCAATGAAATCTCATAAGAACCCACTTCCTGTTGTGACACAGTACCAAGAGAAATATCCACCCCCATAATCCCCATAATCCAGTCAGGATAATCCGACCAGGCCCTGCCTCCAACATTGGGGATTACTATTAGACAGGAGGCTTGGGTGGGGACACAGATCCAAACTATATCAGTGGTCCTCTGTAACTGGCTTCTTTCATTCAGCATGATGTTCTCAAAATTCCTTCATGTTGTAGAAGTTATTAGTACTTCATTTCTTTTCATGGCTAAATAATATTCCTTAGTATGGATATACCACAGTTCATCAGTTGACAGACAATTGGGTTATTTCTACTTTTTGGCAATTATGAATAATGCTGCTATGAACATTTGTGTACACATTTGTATAAACATATACTTTCAACTAACTTGGATATATACCTTAAAGTAGAATTGCTGAATGACATAATGACTTCATGTTTAATACTTTTATGAATTGTTAGACTGTTTTCCAAAGCCAAGTACACTATTTTATATTTCCACCAGCAACATATAAGAACTTCAATTTCTCCACATCCTGGTCAACATTCCTTCTTTTTCTCACTCTGCCTCTGCCTCTTGAGTAGCTGGATTACAGGGGTACACCATCACGTCCAGCTAATTTTTATATTTTTAGTAGAGATGGGGTTTCGCCATGTTGGCCCAGCTGGTCTTGAACTCCTGACTTCAAGTGATCTGCCAGCCTCGGCCTCCCAAAGTGCTGGGATTGCAGGCATGAGCCACCATACCTGGCCAACATTTCTTATTATGTTATTATTTGTTATTATTTATAGCCATCTTAGTGGAGGTAAAACGGTATCACCATGTGGTGATCACTCTCAAATGTGCATTTTCCTGAGGAATTATGATGCTAAGCATCTTTTCATATGATTATTGGCCATTTGTAAATCTTCACTGAAGAAATAGCCATTTTTCACTGGAGTATGTACCTTTTTATTGTTGCATTATAAGAGTTTTTCATATATTTTGGATACAAGTCCCTTACCAGATACATACTTTACAAATATTTTTTGCCATTCCATGGCTATCTTTTGACTTGATGGTGATATTTAAAGCAAGATTTTGTTTTTATTTTGAGGGCTTCCAGTTGGGCTATTTTTTTTCTTGTTGCTTGTGCTTTTGGTGTCATATCTAGGAAACCACTACCTAACCAAAGGTCACCAACATTTATTTCTATGTTTTTCTTTAAATTTTTCACTTTTGCATTTATGTTTTTGACACATTTAGAGCTAATTTTTATATATGGTATAAGGTAAGAGCTAAGTTTCATTCTTTTACAGCATCATTTCTGGAAAAGAAATTCTTTTTCCATTGAAGTGTCTTAGAATCCTTATCAAAAATCAATGAACCATAAATATAAGTTTATTTTTGGACTCTCAAATCAATACCATCAATCTATTTGTCTGTCCTTATGCCAGTACTACCTACTCTTTTTCTCTCTCTTTTTTTTTTTTTTTTTTTTTTTTGAGATGGAGTCTCACTCTGTTGCCCAGGCTGGAGTGCAGTGGCACAATCTCAGCTCACTGCAACCTCCACCTCCCAAGTTCATGCCATTCTCCTGCCTCAGCCTCCCCAGTAGCTGGGACTACAGGCGTCTGCCACCATGCCTGGCTAATTTTTTGTGTTTTTAGTAGAGAAGGGGTTTCACCATGTTAGCCAGGATGATCTCGATCTCCTGACCTCGTGATCCACCCACCTCGGCCTCCCAAAGTGCTGGGATTAAAGGCATGAGCCACCACGCCTGGCCTACATACTCTTAATTACTGCAGCTTTGTAGTGAGTTTTAAAATCTACAAGTGTGAGGCCTCCAATTTTGTTCTTTTTCAAGATTGTATTAACTATATCAGGTTTCTTACATTGTTATATAAATTGTAAGGTCTGCTTGGCAACTTCTGGGGGAAAAAAAAAAAGCAGCTAGGAATTTTGACCAGGATTGCATTGAATCTACAGATGAATGTAGGGACTGTTTCTATCTTAAGAGTATTAAGTTTTCTGATCCATAAACATGGATCTTTTCATTTGTTTAGGTCTTCTTCAATTTCTTTCAATGATGTTTTATAGTTTTTTGATGTACAAGTCTTACACATTTTTTGTTAAATTTATTCCTAAACATTTTATTCATTCTTATGTTATTGTAAATTGAATTGTTTTCTCCATTTTATTTTCAGATTGGTATGCAGGATATAAAATACAACTGGAGTGGCATCACCAAAATGACAAAGTAGGAGAAACCAGCCTTCATCCTCCCACAAGAAAACAAATATAGACAGCTATCTGCAAACAAAAATAGACCTGAGAGGGCTCAGGGGCCAATTAAAGAATCTGCAGCAACACAGGGAACAAAAAATTCACAGAATATTCATACAGAAAGTATTGCTGGTGAGATCAGGATACCTGAGAGGCCAGGAGATGGCTAGGAACAAAAAACAGTGAAAGGTGTGGTTATCAGCCATGCAACAGGAACCACCATGGTCCCCAGTGACCTGCTCCACAGAATAGAAGATATCTGCATATTTTGTCACTGAAGTAACCAGTAGTCATTCCTACCAGGAAGCTTGAAAGGAGGGAGAAGTGGCTGCAACCCCTTCCACCCCCAAGATGCAGCCACAATCGTGACACTTCAGGAATAGAGGCATCACCTCTCCCAGCCCAGCTTGTGCCCCTACACCAATAAGTGGCTGCCCCATGAATACCCATACTCTAGACCTAAGCTCTGTGGCTACACTAAAGTCATCCATGTCTCAGACATCACAAGCATCACCACAGCAAACTAGTTCACACTCCAGGGCCTGGAGCCAAGGTCCCTCTGAGCATGTCCATGCTCTGGGCACCAAATTAGCCACCATAAAAAGCTAGGTCCCTGCCCCATTCCCAGAGCCACTATTACTCTGTGCACACCTATACTCCTGTTCTCAGTTCCCTAGATGCTTCACAAGCACTTGTATATCATATATTGTTACCAACATGTCAGGAGGGTAGCCTGCATACCAAGCACAAATGCCATTACCTCCCTGTACCCCCGAGCCATAGTCCCTCCATGTGTGCCTGTGTTTCAAGAGTCAACTCTGACTAACCTACAAGCACCACTCACCAGTCATCAATGCTCACAAATTAGACCCAGTGCCAAGAGAAATGTCCTCAGGCACAGCTTCCAAAGTGGAAGGAAAAGAGATCAGGAAGACCTTACTAGCAATTGCTACCAAAGACCCCCAAAACCCCATCACCACTGCAGACATCCACAGTGTTGGCCACTGAGGATTCCTGTAATCTTTCTCAACACTGACCTCAGCTGACAGACCTGCATAGAGACTACACAGCTGTGTCCTCACTGGTGCTAGAATTTCTGCACCCTACTCAGCCAGTTCTCTCACATCCCCTTCTAGGGGAAGTTCTTTCTATACTGAAACTAGCCTTTAAGCCTATAAAAGGTATCTGCTCCAAAAAATATGCAGGCATCAATGTAAAACAACAAGAAACATGAAAAATCAAAGAGACATATTACCACCAAAGGAACATAATAATTTCCCACTAGTTAACCCCCCAAAAAATGGAGATGTAAGAACTGTGTTAAAAAAACTAAAATATCTGTTTTAAGGAAGTTCAGTGAACATTAAGAAAATATAGAGAAACAATTCAATAAAATCAGGAAAATAATACATGGAACAAATTGAGAAATTTAACAGAGATTGAATTTAAAAAAAAATTCTGAAACTGAGAAGTACAATAAATGAAATGAGAAATGCAACTGACAGTGTCAACCCCCAAACATATCAAGCAGAAAGAAAACACTGTAAACTGAAATGTAGGTTATGTGAAAATATATAGTCACAGGAGAAAAAGGGAAAGAGAATAAAAAGAACTGAAGAAAGTTTATGGGATTTATGAGATAGCATCGAAAGAGAAATATTTGAGTTATAGCAGTTCAAGAAGAAGAGAGAGACAAAGGGACAGAAAGTTTACTTTAATAAATAATGCCATTACTTTCCTGTACCCCTGAGCCATAGTCCCTCCATGTGTGCCTGTGTTTCAAGACTCAACTCTGACTAACCTACAAGCACTACTCATCAGTCATCAATGCTCACAAGTTAGACTCAGTGCCAAGAGGAATGTCCTTTCCAAATCTGGAGGGAAAATGTAAACATCCAGGTACAGGAAGGTCAGTGGTTTCCAATCAAATTCATTCTAAATAAGACCATATCAAGACATATTATAAGAAAACTGTCAAAAATCAAAGACAAAGAGAGGATCCGAAAATTATCAAGAGAAAAGAAGCTTATCACCCACAAGGGAATAGTAAGACTAGCAGTGGATTTCTCAGCAGAAATGTTGCAAACCAAAAATGAGTGGGATGACATATTTGAAGTGCTAAAGGAAAAGATGCCAAGAATATTTTACCCAGCAAAGCTGTTCTTCAAAAATAAAGCTGTTGTTTCCCAAACAAAAGCTGAGGGAACTCATCATCACTAGACCTGTATGGAAAGAAACATTAAAGACAGTTCTTCAAGCTGAAAGAAAAGGATGTTACTTAGCAACATGAAAACATATGAAATATAAAACCTCACTGGTAAAAGCAAATCAGATTCAATCAATTCAGAGTACTCTGTAATACTGCAATAGTTGTATGTAAATCACTTATACCTTTAGGGTGAAGGTAAGAAAAAATTATTAATATAATAGCCACAATAATTTTTAAAAGATACACAGTATTAAAAGATGTAAACTGTGACATCAAAAAATTTAAATGCAGGAAGGAAAGAGAAGGTGGAGTAAAAGTGTAACATTTTTTAATATGATCAAAGGTTGCTATCAGTTCAAAATAGGCCATTATGACTATAAGGTGTTTTATGTAGGCCTCATGTTAACCACAAAGCAAAAACCTGTACTAGAGACACAAAAGACAAATGTAAAAAAAATTGAAGTATATCACCAGAGAAAATCACTTCTTAATCACTAAAAGACAACAAGAGAGGAAGAGAGAAAGAAAGCATCTATAAAACAACCAGAAAACAATTAACAAAATGGCAGGAGTAAGTTTTTATTTATCAATAATTACCTTGAATGTAAATAGATTAAATTTTCTAATCCAAAGATAGAATGTCCAAATTGATTAAAAAACAAGACTCAGCTATATGCTGTCTACAAGACGCTCACTTCACCTTTAAGGACACAGACCGAAAGGGAAGGAATGAAAAAGATATTCCATGCAAATAGAAGCCAAAAGAGAGTAGAAATAGCTATACTCAAATCAGATAAAACAGACTTAAAGATATAGGAAGGAAAAGCAAAAATAGATAAATGAGATCACATTATATTAATAAGCTTCTGCACAGCAAAGGAAATAACCATCAACATAAAGAGACAATCTTCAGAGTGAGAAAATATATTTGCAAACTCTCTATTCAACAAGGATTAATAACCAGAATATATAAGGAACTCAAAAATTACAATGGCAAAATTTAAAAAAAAAATCCATTAAAAACTGTACAAAAGACCTGAACAGATATTTCTATATCAGAATTTCCATCTATAAAATTAGCCAAATATTCTATTTAAGATGTTATCTCAGCATCTATCAGGAAGAAGAAAAAGAGGGTGAGAAAAACTGAGTTTAGACAAGTATAACTCCTATAAGATTTTTTAAAATCAGGAATTCTGCAAAACTTCATCTTACACTGAAATCTTAAAATAAGAATGTCCAGGGGACATATGAAGCCTTTAAATGAATTTTAATTTAATCTCTTTAGATTTTAATGGCTTTTGTGGGCAACACTGTTTTCTAAATGTCAGAGAATATGGGTTTCTATAAGCACTAGTACTAGGAAAAAATCATATTAAATTTGGCTCCTAAGGTGAGTTTAGACGAGAACAAACAGGAAGCTTAAGGTCACAAATTATGTTTAGATAAATGACACACCACAGTAACTAATCTAGCCTTAATATGTATTAGAAGGTAATGTCACCAAGTGCACACACTCAGTGAATGTAAACTGAGCATGCTTAGCACCTCAATTGTCTTAGCATTTGTTAATTTTAAAAGGTAATGTATGAATGCAGCTTACTTGTGCCACTTTTCCTCATTATTACACATTATTATTAACTTGGTAAATATTACACTTAAGCATTGTCATTAGAAATAGCCCCTAAAGGCAGATGCAACCAAAGTGAGTGATATATCAAAAATGGAGGTGGTGGAAGGACAGGAATGAATAATGGGAAGTACCAAAACAGAATGACTTCACAGGTAACAGAACTGAGATCATTGTTCTATTGTTGGGGTGAAAAAAATATTGAGGTAAGTGAATACGTGGAGTGGTTTAGTAATTTCCCCCTCAATCATGGCATTCAAGTTTTCTAACAAAGATATATGAACTAATGATTATAATTATGTAATTATGTTTTTCCTTTTTATACATATGAAAAAAAAAAAAAACCACCTTCCCTACCTTGGACAAACCCACCATATGGTCACTTAAGTTCTGTTTAGTTTGAGGATTTAAGGTTTTTTGTTAAAGATTATATGTTAGAGATATTGGGAATTTGTTTCTTTCAACAAACAAAAGAAAACAGTATAAAACATCTGGGGCAGGGAAAGCCAGAAAGCAGAGAGAGTCAGAGACTAGCCTTAGGGCATGGAGTATGGGAACGATGCATAAAAGCTAAGTGGTCAGAGCAAAAGTGGGGAACGCTGACTAAGAGGCCAGGATCATCCCAGATTGGAAAACACAGCCAGTAGTTTTCTTTATGAGGGATGTGCTCAGAACAACTAGTCGCTAAAAAAAAAATAGAGAAATGTTATGCAAGTAATTAGCAACCTTAGATAATTAGTAGTTAGGTTAAAAACCTGATGTGTTGAACCAGAAAATATTGATTCAGATCCCTGTTCTACCATAAGCAGTGTGAACCTTAACCTCTCCATGCCTCAGTTTTCCTCATCTAGAAACAGGGATGATATTAATAGTGTCTGTCATAGGATTGTGGTGAGGAGTAAATTTGCATATGCTTAGCATATACTAAGTGCTGTTTACATGTTTGCTATCATTGTAATTATTTGACCCAAAAGATATGCAGGCACTGGGGAAAAGAAAAATGGCTGAGGCAGATGAGGATATGTCAAAAAAGGGAACTAAACAGAAGCAGGTTTTTAGAACAGTGGAGTTTGTTAACTGTTAAGTAGTGTTAAAAGCACAAAACTGAAATTCTGAGTTTTTTGCTGCTTTCTTACTTGGGAATGATATTGCAGAGATTATTAAATTAAAGGTATATGAGTTGTAGGATCCCTAAACAAAATCTTAGTCCAGGAAGCTTATGTGAGCAGACTCTGTGCCACATTTTAGATCACATCAAATGACACACTAACAATGACATAATGACATATGAAGCAACTCAGTTGCCAAGTGGCTAAGAATATGGAGCCTAAAATCACTGTCTAATTTGTATCCTGGTTCTGCCTCATCAACAAGGTAAAACTTCCTTTAGAAACAGGTGGGACTTGACAGGGATGTAGGAAACCGAAAAGAACATGCTCCTGCCCTTACTAAAATAAAACCAAAAAACATCGGATAATGTGAAAATTCATTATTTTTCTTGAACTTATCAGAAGGCTAAAACTTCAGGGCAACCAACAAACTGAAAATGTACAGAAAGACAGGTGCTTTCAAGAAGATTCAGGACACCAGCACTTGCTTACCTAAGAGACACACAGCCAGACACTGGGAAGAATTCAACAAAAATTTTACCAAACTAATAAAGGCCAAGCGTGGGCTCATGAAAGAATGTACACTCCCTGGGAAGTTAAAGATACAAGGGTATTTTGCACACACTTATAGGCTCTTTCCCACAGACCTCTCTCTCTCTCACAGACACACACACACACACACACACACAAACTGGAGAAAGTCTAGAGAAACAGTTCCTCTTGGTGCACACTTGCAAAAGGGAACAGCAGTCACCCAGATTATTTTCCCGTCAGAACCAAAGTTTTAAATTGCTAGAGAAAGTGCAATAAACACTGTCACCCTTAGGGCCCTGGTATAAACCTATTTTAATGAGTGAACACACACACACATAGCCTTCACCTATGCAGAAGGGACAGGAATATATATGCTGGGCCCAGGTCTACAGCTGGGAATGGGGCAGCAGCTCTAAGAAGACCAACCCTTGTACCCATGGACACAGCAGCTGCCTAAGACTGAGGCTTAACTGCAGCAGATAATGCCACTTTCACCCACCCCACCCCTCAATCAGGCCAACAAGCATTAAATAGCAATTAACCCTGATACCCGGCTGGAAGAGAGGCAGGAATATGAAGAGGGGACCTCTCTGACACAGAACAAAGGGGACACCTAAAGCTACGAATTGAGCAAATATTGAGAAAAACCTCCAGAAAATGAACTCCCACCCTAAATATAAAGTAATCCCAGAGAAATCTGTAGTCTGTAGTACACTGAGAGTAATTACAGCAACAACAAATCCCTACTCTAAAGGGGAAGAAAATGTGTACGTGTACTCATTTTCAAGCACAAAAACTATTTACCTCAGTTTCTACTATCCTACACAAGATGTCTGATTTTCAACCAAAAAAATTATAAGGATTACAGAAAAGTAAGAATAAAAAAAGCACCATGTCAGAGACAAATTAACAGAATCAGACACAGATATGAAGAGAAATTAGAACTATCAGATAAGGAATTTAAAATAACTATAATTCATATGTTAAAGGCTCTAATAGAAAAGGCAGATAACATGCAAAATCAGGTAGGCAATTTCAACAGAGAAGCAGAAACTATCAGAACAAATCTAATAGAAATGAAGGATAATAGAGATGAAGAATGCCAGTTTCATCAGTAGACTTAACACAAGGGGAAAAATTAATTTGTTGGAAGCTGAGTCAATTGAAATTACTCAACTGAAATATAGAAAAAAATAAAAGGTGGGAAAAAATCAGATAATTCAATACTGTAGGACAATATATAAAAGTCTAACGTAAGTATAATTGGAATATCAAAAGGAGAAGAGAGAGAGAACAAAGCAAAAGAAATATTTGAAGAAATCACAGTGGAGAATTTTCCAAAGTAAAGACAGACACCAAACCACAGATCCAAAAATCACAGGTAATACCAAGCAGGACTTCTAAAAATTATTATTTTTTATTATTTTATTTATTTTTTGAAACAGGGTCTCACTCTGTCACCCGAACTGAAGTGCAGTGGCATGATCATGGCTCACTGTCACTTCAAACTGCTGGGCTCAAGCAC
Source organism: Homo sapiens (assembly GCF_000001405.40). Classification (NCBI taxonomy): domain Eukaryota; kingdom Metazoa; phylum Chordata; class Mammalia; order Primates; family Hominidae; genus Homo; species Homo sapiens. The sequence continues at coordinate 82,204,078 of NC_000009.12, read as the reverse complement.
ATCAGTTAACTGGAGACAATAACATTGTTTGTTCTGCAGATCAGATTTTTAAATTTTACATAAAACGCAACAGTGCCTGAAACACAGTAAATACTTAGTAACTGTTATTATGCAAGAGTACAGCTTTGCTACTCAGGCAGTGTCAGCAGAGTTTAATCCCGAAGGTTCGGCACAATCGGGAACAGATATCTACTGGTAAATCAAGACCACTGTCTGGGAGCCCTTGCTTGCCTGGCCATAACAGCAATAAGACTACCGGCAGGCACAACTAAGATACTTTTCTGGGGGTTCTTAGAAATACTTTGGTAAAAGAACTCTGCAACTTGCTGAATTTTCTCCATGGGTGGGAGCTTGCAATTAGTAAGAAAGTGGAATTAATGTGACTATGATTCCAAACACAACATGGGGTTCACTGGGGAACTAAATGCCTATACTAAGCACTGTGTTATACTCTTTACAGATTTTATTTTATATCTTTCCAGATGCAATTCTTTAGTAAAGTAGGTATTATTTCCACTTTATAAATAAGAATCTGACTGGTTAAGTGACTTCCCCAATGACAACAGCTAATAAGTAGTAGTGCCAAGTTTTGGACCCAGATTTGCCTAAATCCAAAGCTCAAATTCTCTCCCAGACATAGCTCTGTATCCCTGTTATTTGCTGTTATAAGTGCTAAAATTCACTTAATTCCTGGAATTACCTTAAGCTATGTAGGATCACTACTTCACTTGACTTAAGTGATATGATCATCTTCATACCCACCTGCTTAAAAAAAACTTCTAAGTAACAGAGAAGGTCTTATTCGCCACTCCAACATTTACTGAGGTCCTATTATCCCCTAGTCACTGTATTAGGAACTTTATACAGGCTAATTATCTCATTTAGCCTAGCCAAATACCTTTCAAAGAAGGAAGCAGTAAATACATCCTACAAGTTAAAAAATTAAGGAGTATGGCAGACACTCTTAGTGCCCTTCGAATATCCCCTCAGCTCTTACATTCTTGCAGACTGACTTGGATTGCTTTCAGCTATAAGAACCTGTGACTCTGCCAGGGAGCAGCCTCAGTCATTGAGTAATAAACATGATGTAATGAATACTCATTGAGTAATGAACATGATGAACAAACACCTTATCTCCCCTGCCCCTGGAAGTGGGAGATGTAGGCTAAGTATAACACTAAAGGGTGATCGGCCGGGTGCAGTGGTTCATGCCTGTAATCCCAGAACTTTGGGAGGCCAAGGTGGGCAGATCACAAGGTCGGGAGTTTGAGAGCAGCCTGACTAACATAGTGAAATTCTGTCTCTACTAAAAATACAAAAATTAGCCAGGCATGGTGGCATGCACCTGTAATCCCAGCTACTTGGGAGGCTGAGGCAGGAAAATCACTTGACCCTGGGAAGCGAGGTTGCAGTGAGCCAAGATCATGCCACTGCACTCCAGCCTGGGTGGCATAGCGAGACTCCATCTCAAAAAAAAAATAAGAAGAAGAAGAAGAAGAGTGATCTACACTGTCTCCATAGTTCCCCATCGCAGTGGTAACCTGATTGCTAATGCATTCTGGATAGGCTTCCTTGCCTTCCCTGTCTCATTTCCCCATTCCTTTGTGAACAATTTCTAGGATCACCTCAGAATAAGTTACCTCCACTAAAATCTTTGTCACAGGGTCAGCTTCTGGAGGAACTCAAACTAAGTCAAATCACAGTAAATGCTGAGCAAATTTTAAACTGGAAAACAATTTTCAACTGGCTCCATATTATAATCACCTGAAAAACTTTCAAAAGTATTGATGTCCGGACCCCATCCACAAAGATTTTTACTAAGTGTTGTTCGGTGGGATCAGATATCCATATATTTAGAAAGCACCCTAGCTATTCTACTGTGTAGCCAGGGTTGAGAACCTCTGCTACAAAGTGGTTTTCCACTGCAATAATGTGATAATAAATGGTTCACTCTTCCAGTATCTTAATGGTAGGAACTTTGTCTTATTCATCCTTTTTATCTGAAGCTTCTAGATTTCCACATATATGTGCTCTCTTTATATATGGTACATAAATGTATTCTTTAAATATCTGCTGAATAAAAGTAATCCATTCAAGTACTGCTACTCTGGGGAACACCACTTATGGTGGTTTTAAAAGTATATCCATGGCTGGGAGCGGTGGCTCATGCTTGTAATCCCAGCACTTTGGGAGGCCAAGGCGGGTGGATCATGAGGTCTGGAGTTCGAGACCAGCCTGGACAACACAGTGAAACCCCATCTCTACTAAAAATACAAAAATTAGCTGGGCGTGGTAGCAGGCACCTGTAATTCCAGCTACTCGGGAGGCTGAGGCAGGAGAATCCCTTAAACCTGGGAGGTGGAAGTTGCAGTGAGCCAAGATCACGCCCTGCACTCCAGCCCTGGCGACAGAGCTAGACTCCATCTCAAAACAAAACAAAACAAAACAAAACAAAACAAAACAAAAAAACAGTATATCCACACATTCTCTGATACTCCTCCCTTCAAAAGTGGAGCTTAACTCTCCTGCGCTTTAATATGAGCTCATTCTATTTTAATGAATAGAACATGGCAGAAGTAATGGTATGTCACTTATGAGATTAGGTTACAAAAGATTGCAGCTTCTGTCTTCAGTGCCTCCTGTGCGAGCTCTCTCCCTCTCTCAGGTCACTCACTGGAGTGGGAGTCATGTCATGGGCAGCCCAATGAACCATGTGAGTGAGCTTGGAAGTGGATCCCTCAACCCCAGCCAAATCTTGAGAGAATACTGCTCTCGCTGAAGGACTGACTGCAGCATCATGAAGGACCCTAAGTCAGAAACACCCAGGTAAACAGCCAGATTCCTGACCATCAGAAATTGTGCAAGATAATAAAAGTTTGTTGTCTTAAGCTGCTAATTTTGGAGTAATTTGCTATGCAGGAATAGATGATGAAGATACGGTTCTTCATTAGAATATCCCCAGCCAACATGCATTGGGTCATGTAAATTAGATGGCAATCTAGGTTCAATCTGAGAACAAGATGACTGACCCAACCACAATCCACAAATCTCTCCAGGAAAAAAAAAAAGGTAAGACTAAAGTGGATATTTGCTATTTGTAGAAACAACACACCAGAGAAAACTTTACATAAATGAACTTACCTGACATATTGCATTTCTCATCCTCAGGAGAGTCCATACTGCAACCTCAGCATGTTAACCCACTTCCATTTTGGCTGTAGTTCTGATTTTACCATGACAAAGAGAATTTCTGTGGCCCACTGTGCTCTTACCACAGCCCATTCGGTGAAGGAAGTTCTGTTGCTACTCTTTAGGACCACATGGTAAACAGAGTACTCGCTTATGATCTAAAGCTTAGTGAAAAGTGAAAGACTTCTTTCAAGTGAGAACGTTTTTAAAGATTTACATTGCTTGTTTTTTTTTGGTGGTAAACCTTCTTTCTACATAGAGGTAAATAGCCTAAAAAATCATCTTAGATCAGGTATACTAGAAGCAGGTCCTGCACCTGTAGTTGATTCACTAAGTAAGTGCTCCCAGGAGAAGCCAATTAGGGAGTGGGAAAAGCAGAATAGAGAAGAAGCAGCCAAGCAAGAATGGAGTTTCAGATCAAGCTCCACACTCAGCCTCATCCTGGGGGCAAAACTTGCCCTTGTGGACAAGGTGGCTCTAGAGCCAGCCCAAAGGCAATCATCTGGACTAAACTGAAGACGGAAGAAGTTACTAGCAAAGCCTGGAAAAGCTGAAGGATGGGTGGACAGAGTGATTCAAAGGGAACAGAAAGGCGCCCCGAGAGAGTTTTCTACAGAAACTAACTTCGGACACCAGCAACATCACTCTGTTTTTATAGAATTGCCAGGAATTAGCAAATAAAAAACACAGATGCCTACTTACATTTGAAGTTCAGATCAACAACGAAGAATTTTTTAGTTTAAGTATGTGCCAGGCATCCTGTATTTTTTTTTTTTCCTAAATGAGACTTCAGTAGTTAGGAAAGTCAGGTTTGTTTCTTAGGTCACCAGGTATCCCATATTAACTATGAATCAGTTTGAAAGTATACTCTTGTTATGTTTGTACAATCTCAAAAAATCAGGATTAAAACCAAAGAAAGATTCAAATATTCCACTCATTTATTCATTCACCTATCCATGCCATAAATATTTACTGAGTGCTAACTACAAGACAGTGCTGTGTGCTGGAAATATAACAGTGAGAAAAGTCAGACTCTATGTCCTAATGGAGCTAATGCTTTTCAAATATTCATAGATATTTAAATTTCCATAAGTATCTGGCATCCTGTAAACATATCCTGGATCTAAAACAAACACTCCTTATGTGACCAACATTATTTTTCTTAAAATTCTTACTTGCGTTCATTTGGAAGTAATAGGTAGAGGGGAATATCACTATTCACATATTCAACTCATTTGATTCTATGTCTCATTTGATTCTCATTCGACATGTATGACTTAATCTAATTTTACCAATTAAAGAAATAACAGAAGTTAATTTCCAGATGTGTGCTAGGCAGAACTCTCTAGGTATAACTTGTTTGTTTTTTGGAAAAGGCCCATCAGGAGCAAGACACAAGTGTATTATATTTTAATAAAACAATAAATAACTTGTTCAGAGTATGAGAGTCTTGTCAAAAACAGTCTTCTACTAAAATAGTTAACAAAATATCAGAAATGTTTTCAAAATGTTGTACTCTGTTTTTTAAATCATGAATAATCTACACCACTACCGCCACATCCCAGTGGCTTTTTAAGCTATTCTCCTGGTTTCCTTGAGTGTACTACTATTATTTTTAGTTAGAATCAATAGCACACATTCCCTCAGAGATAGTAGACTTTTGTTACATTGCCAATTCAAGTCCTCAGTTCCCTAATTTCATTCAAAAGTACAATATTGTTTAATCTGCTATTGTAGAAAGATGCTGCATCCACTATAGGCCTATGTAGCAGTAACTGGGAAAGACATTATTTTTAAGAAGCTTTGCAAACAAAGCACAAAATATAGATGAGCCTTACTGTGTTCTCTACTTTAATTAATCTGAAAATTGCTTCAATGTGACACTTAGCTTCTTTTCCAAAACTTAAAAGAAAAAGAAAAAAAAAACAGAGAAATAAAACAAACTGAATCAAATTTAGCAGAAGAACAGTCACAAATATCTACACAGGAAAACCTAATGGAGATTTTTAAAGTTTAGTCCTCTAATTTCTGTATGGTATTTCTAAACCTCATTTTGTCCTTCAGAATATTTAAGGAGACAAAGTTTGGTAAAGAACAAATGTCACCACAAAGAATTGGCGGTGCTCCAGTGGAATATAGATTACAGATACTCACTGAAGCTTAGCGAAGGTTTTCTATATAATATTTGTCAAAGTACAGGCAAAACTAAAAATGTCAGCCAGTGAGTTTCCTAATTGCTGACCTAATACCTTTAAGAAGCACACCAGTTCCTCTGTGTCCTATCCACTTGCTCCTCAGCAGAAAGACAAGAGAATTCTATGGTCCCTGGCTGGTGATAAAGATTCTCTCCTTGACCAAATACTACTCAGGCTCCTCTGAACTGTTTTCTCACTAGGCCCTGACTTTGGGGCTTCCATGTTCCTCTCTGAATTGTCTAATTTTAGCAAAGATCCTGGACTTTTTGGGTTAGCCAAATTCCTCTTCCTCTCAATACTAATCACCCTCCATATCTGATTGGGTTCCTGATATCTCATCACCCTAGCTTGTCTTCAGCCAGAGTCTTAAGTCAGGTTAGCCAGAATTCTCCCTTACTTCTGATGTTTCCTCTTAGTAGTTTTCCATCCACTGGCTCCTATCTAGCTCCTTGGCTATAAATTCCCACTTTTCCACTGTTTATTCCGAGTTGAACCTAATCTCTCTCCCACACTGCAAAACCCTACTGCAAAGGTCCCTACACCTATGGTGATGGTCCTGAATAGTCGGCCTTACCATTCTTTAACAAGTGTTATGAATAATTTTTAAACATTGGCTACAGTCTAATGGGAGCCACCACTATGAAGAGCCCCAAAGAAATTCTCTTCTTGTGAAGATAAAATGAATATCTTTAAGCAATCAACAGACAGTTCTAAGGTATTTATCCAGGAAATTGCATGATATCCCTAAGTATAGTCCAGCGGATACTAGTACCAAGAACTCTAAAAGGTATTATCTGGAAAAAAAAAAAAAAAAAAATCCCAAGGTCAAATGTTTGAGACACCTGAAAAAAAATTAGAAGACTATTCCTCCCACTGAATAATGCTAATGAGTACTGTGAACATCCAAGGGTAGAGTACCTATGCAGTTTTCTAATTTTTCTTTAAGCCCAGTGTTCTTTTTCCATATAGATCTTAAGGTCACCACTGTTGTTCAGAGAACACTTATCTCTGTGTTCTCCCATGAACCCACCAAGGAAATTTAAATTTTAAGCAAAGGGTCAAGGCCCTGACCCAAGAGAGTGAAATGCTGAAGGTTAGATTTCACTAAGTAGACAAACAATAGATGCAGAAGATTTTGAGGAGTTATTTAGACTTCACAGGGCTTCTGGAGACACAACCACACCAAAAAGTAGGAACAGCAATGCTGGTACATTCAGAGAAAAACAGTATTTCTTATTCTGAGCCTTCAGATGTGAAAGCTGCTTTTCAGAGTTTCCTCTTATCTTCAAATTATGCTTTTTCAAATTGTAAGGAACCACCTTTAATTTATTTTCTCCTAGGACTGAGACTTAATCTTCTAGGAACAAAAGGGAAAAGCTGTTAAACTATCATATGCAAATATACTCTTTAGAAAAGAGACCAGCTATTCTGCTACAACAGCCACATGGTAATATTCAAAATTTGCAAAGTGTTCTTTGCATCCAAAGCACATGCAAATGAATATTCCCTTGAGGTCAAGTCAACCCATTTCCTTATCCCAAAAATGTCCTATGAAACAGGTCATTTCATTTTAAATGTTGAGTATAATACCTTATTACTCACATACTCTATTGTACAAATTTGCTATATTGAATATTCATTTCCAAAGAGTAAGTTGTTTCTTACACAGTCAACAGTAGCACCACTAAGAATGTAAAAATCTGTTTTTTAAAAAAATCAGATATATTCAGTACTTCAGTGCTGACTGAAAGGAGAAATATCCTCTCAACTAGTATGTGTTCTGTTTTCTCTTTCCTTTCTTTGTGTTTATTATTAATCTGTCAGTCTCTGTGGGTTTTTTGTTATTGAAGAGGGGAGGAAAGAGTGCTGTCAGTTTCAGAACAGTCTGCTACTGACACACTAGAAGGAGATTTAATTATTCTGGCATAAAAAGCTAGGAAAGCAAAATAAATACATTTAATACAGACAGACTCTCAGCTACCCTAATTGCTTATGTGCTATAAGGGCTTTCAAATAATAAGCCCTTAAATAATAAATTGATATGGGAAAGAATAATGATACCCAGGTGTGAAACCTTAATCTGAGGGCTGGGCTGCATACTTAATGGCATAATTGCCTCTATTACCACATTCTGGCCTAACATGAGGGTTTGAGTCACGGAAACTGGATAAAAACGAAAGACAAGCTATGTTCAAATCAGAGGATCATACAATAGAGATGAGGTATCTAAATAACTACTTGAAATATAAAAGCAAGCTTCAGTTTTATATGAGACATTCCCTTTAGACATGTACCGCACTCAGTCGAAACCACAAAAGCATGGGTTAGGAAACTACTCCATTAAGGACTTGTGTTCTTAGTCAAAAATCCTCACGTAAGAAACTTCTTTTATTTCCAAATAATACCCCAACCTACTACACCGTAACCAAATTATGTTATTTAAAAAGATCCTCCTCTGTACTACACCAAGGTCTCTCATTACAGGCTGGGAGATTTGCTCAGTACAGGCTTCCTAATACGCCCATTTGTGTTTATCTTCTATTTTGTATATTCATAAAGTAACTGATCTAAATAGCTAAAATCTGACCTATAATCAATGATATTTCTGGAGTCCACATTTCTTAACTCCAAAAGAAGACATTATTTGAAAAAAAGAAAGATTCGATCAAGTGCCAAAATCTTTTAGATATGTTCTCTTGATTTTCCTTTTTATTATAAGAATTTAAAAGTAGGATATTTCACCAGTCCCCAATTCTGAAATCCAAACAGATCTGAAAATTGAAAGTTTTTCATAATTCAGTTGGCAGCAAAATCTGATTATTCCTACATTTCACTGAAGAGGTATTAATGTATTTTATTAAGTGATATTGCAAACCAAACCTGCTGATATTACAAAATATATGGTGTGTGCTGATGAAGACTCTTCTTGACAAAACTTTATGTGGCCTCCTCTGAACCCTCTTCTCAAGTAGGCCCTGGCCTTTGGGCTTCAGTGCTCCTTTTAGCATCACCCTTTTAGCAAGAGTCTTGCTAAATAAGTTTGGCAAGAATTCTCCATCCTTGATACCACATTACTCTCAGTATTTGATCAAATTCCTCATTCCCATCCTTGGTATCTGATCACCCTGGCCTGCCTGCAGCAAGAATCCTGTTAAGTCAGTTCAGCCAGAATCTCCCCTTACCCCGATGTTTCTTCTTAGGAGTTTCCCATTCACTAACCTTCACCTTGCTCCTTGGTTATAAATTCCCACTTGTCTATGCAGTATTTGGAATTAAGCTCAGTTCTAGACTGAGGATTGTCTTCCCATATTGCACTAGTTCCTGAATAAAATCTGTTTTTACCGCTTTACTGCTTGACTCTGGTTTCCTTTAACAGTGTACCAAACTATCTTTCTAAAATTCTGAAAGATTCCTTATTCCAGCATAAAACTGGCCTAAGGATTTCAGAAAAGAGATTGCAACCCTGCTCGTATATATTCACTGAATTTCAATGTGACTTACATATCAACACACACAAATAATTGAAAACTGTGACAACTCATGCATTACGAGCAAGACTACTAGAGTAAATGGGAGACTTCCCTGATCCTCCTCGCAGGACGTGCAACATGGTTATGGCTCACCTGTTCAGTCGCCCCATTGCTCAAACCCCTTGCAGGAGGGGAAGCATGCAGACAGGCAGGTGCAGAGCCCGGAGCGAGTGCTATTGGGCTCAGGCCCTGCAGTAGTGTCTAGGACTGAGTGCCTGCAAACCCAATGTTACAAAGCTCTTTCAGCTTTGCCATCCACAGACAGCTTGAGTGTTAACCAGCTCAATGGACCCTCTGCCTTTTCACAAAGGCAGAGGGCCAGTGTGACAGCTTTCTGTATCCCTAGTTCTTGCCCAGTGTCCCAGAAAATTCGGGTCACACACGGGCTTGAAGGATGAATGTGAGGTTTTACTGAGTGGTGGAGGTGGCTTTCAGCAGGATGAATGGGGAGCTGGAGGTGGGGGATGGAGTGGGAAGGTGATCTTCCCCTGGAGCTGGGCCACCCATTGGCCCGACTCCTCTCTGAATGCCCCCAGCTGGACTCCTTTCAGCATTCAGACGTTCCTCCTTGATGTGGTTTGGCTCTGTGTCCCCACCCAAATCTCATCTTGAATTGTACTCCCATAATTCCTATGTGTTGTGGGAGGGACCTGGTGAAAGATAATTGAATCATGGGGCGATTTCTCCCATACTGTTCTTTTGGTAGTGAATAAGTCTCACGAGATGTGACGGTTTGATAGGGGAAACCTGTTTCACTTGGCTCTCATTCTCTTTGCCAGCTGCCATCCATGTAAGACATGACTTGCTCCTCCTTGCCTTCCACCATGATTGTGAGGCTTCCTCACCCACATGAAACTGTAAGTCCAATTAAACCTCTTTCTTTTGTAAATTGCCCAGTCTTGGGTATGTCTTTATCAGCAGCATGAAAACGGACTAATACACTCCTCTTCTCTCTTTCTCTGCCATGTTGTTCCACTGTCTGTCTGCTGCTCTAGCTTGCAGATCTGCTTCTGGAGCCTGGGGTTCAGGGTGTATATGTGTGCAGAATAGGAGGTGTGGTGGGCCAAAAGGCAATGTTTTGGGCATGAAAACAGGAATGCCTGTCCTCGTTTAGGGCCATGAGGTCAGTCTTCAGGCTTGAGGGTGGGGCCTTTATCAGGGAACCACCCTTTTCTACCCAGTATTTCCCTGTCTCCTGTTCATAACAACTGCAACCCACTCCTGTGTTGCATATCATTTGATCTGCATCTCACAGCTTAGGCGGCTCTGATGTCACTGATGGATCATTTGGATTAAGCTGATTACTCCATGATAAGGTAACAGAAACATGAGCTTAACATTCTTCCATCATTCAACTGGTATTATAACTGTCTAAGGGGTTCTTCCTGTCTGATGCATAAAAACAGACAAACAGACTACGGTATTGTAGAAGAGAAAGAGTTTAATAGACATGGGGCCAGCTGGCCATGCCGTGCGGGAGATAGAGTTTATACTCAAATCATCTTGTCCAGAGCTTGTAGGTAAGGGGTTTTTCAAAGACAATTTGGGGGTGGTGCGGGGGGTCACCAGGTAATGAATACTTGCTGCTGATTGGTTGGGGTGGAGATGAAATCACAGAGGATCAGAGCTGTCCTCCTGTGGGCTGAATTGCCTCTGGGTGGGGCAACAGGCATGGGGTTGGTGGGTGTCGGACATGCAAAAAGTACCTAAAAAGATCTCGAAAAAGGCCAATCTTAGGTTCTACAATGGTAATGTTATTTGTAGGAGTAATTGGAGAAGTTGCATATCTTATAGTCTCTGGAATAATGGCCGATAATCATTTATGTCTGTGCCTTAGCAGCACTCAGGCTCCTCCCCTTCCCACAAGCCTGAAGGCCTCCCATTAGCTTTACAAAAGCAGTTGAGTTTGGGGCAAGGCCTATGATAATTTAAACTATAGGCTAAATGTCTTCCAAAGTTGGCTTAGCCAAATAGCCCAGAAATAATTAAGAGAAAGGCAAGATGGGTAATAGGTTAACTCAGATCTCTTTCACTGACATCGTTTTCCGCTGATATAATTTTTGCAAAGATGGTTTCAGTACATTTAAAAAAAAACTTTTTAAAGCCTTTTATTAATTCCATTTAGGGTATTTTCAATATTCAGACTCTGAGATAAATAATCATCCACTAGGTGTAGAGGTATATTTGTATTGAACATAACTAAACACAAAAAATGTAAGACTATTATTTAGGGTGTGAGCCTAGAAGCAGAATTTTTATTCTGACCTTACATTTATCTAATAGTGTTATTGTAGGTAGCTAGACAGGCATGAGCAGGGTAGGCGATAGCCCCCAACCCACCAGGAATATCAGGTAACCAACAGGTGATGGTCAGGCAGTTGTCACACTGTCGCTCTAAAATAATAATTGGTCACAGCTAGTGCCAGGGAAAGGCAGTCTCCCAATAGACAGAAAAAAACCTGAAACTGGTGATCAGCAGCTTCCCAAAATATCTTAGGAGTTGGGCGAGTGGGCTCAAACATGCGCACTAAGAGGTAAAATGGTGGAGTTTAACTAGTTTATGACCTTCCAGGAACATTTGACTGGTAAGAGAAGGACACCTCAACTGAGCATCTGTACAACTCCAGTGAACACACTGCACATGTGGACAGCCCACTCCAAGGGAAGAATCACTGAGGAGAAGGGATGCAAGACCCTGGAAGTATGCCAATGTATAAAACCCCAACTCAACAGTCAAACGGAGCACTTGATCTCTCAAACTGCCAGTTTGGCACTCTTCCAAGTATACTTTACTTCCTCTCGTTCTTGCTTTAAGCTTTTTAATAAACTTTCACTCCTGCTCTAAAACTTGCCTCCATCTCTCACTCTGCCTTAGGCCCCTCAGTCGAATTCTTTCTTCTGAGGAGGCAAGAACTGAGGTTGCTGCAGACCCATATGAATTCACTGCTGCTAACAGTAGTCAGATTTTTTTTTACTTTAAACATGTATTACTCTTATAATTAAAAAATAATTGCTTGTACAGTTGTGTATGGCATAATGATGCTTTGGTCAATAACCAATCAAATATATGATGGTTGTCCCATAAGATATAATACTATATTTTTACTATATCTTTTCTATGTTTAGATATGTTTACCTCAAATACTTACAATCGTGTTACAATTGCCTGCAGTATTCAGTACAATAACATGCTGTACAAGCTTGTAGCCTAGGAGTATCAGGCTACACCACGATAGCCTAGGTGTGTAGTAGCCTATACCATCTAGATTTGTATAAGTGCACTCTATGATATTCACACAATGATGAAATCACCTAACACCACATTTGTCAGATGTAACCCCAATTTTAAGTGACACATTACAATATTTTAAAGTTTAATTTTAAAATTTAAATGCTACCATACTGTACTTTATGGTACAGACATAGATACTCTGCTCAGTCATCCTATGGAGGGGATTTTTAAATATGTCTGATTACTGCTGAACCTTCCTTTTCCATTTCTTTCATTCTCACAACACTTGAAGTTCCTCTTACATGAAATCTGTGTGGCTTGTTCCCTGAAGAGCATGCAACAGATACTGTCCAGAACCACAAACGAAAAAAAGTGTCCTTCCCCACATCATTCAAATACTGTTTCAATGTAACCGACATCAAGATAAAGTGAACAAATGCTCAAATAGAGTAGCATCAGAGATTTCTATCTTTGATGGCCAAGACAAAGTCACTGCACATTTTCAGGGCCATTTCAGAATAAGTTAAGGTGAAATTTAACAACTACAGATATCTTACCCTCTTCCATAATCCAGAGTGCACCTTCGGCTGAGAATTATCTACATGAGGTACACCAGTGTTTAAGAGAGTGACACATAAGCATATGAGAAGTGTTTCCTTCCTCTCCTAGCCTCAGCTCCAAAAGTAAAACCACAAAAATTCTCTACATGAATTTACGTCAGTCTGGCCTGGACAATATGGGCTAATGTTCTATACCTAGAACAAATTATATCTGTATTTTTGACAGAAATATGTAGCAAACATATTGAAATTTTGTTACATGTTTCCATTTGTATTAGTGTGTTCTCATGCTGCTAGTAAAGACATACCCAAGACTGGGTAATTTATAAAGAAAAGAGGTTTGGAGGACTCACAGTTCCACTTGACTGTTGGAGGCCTTACAATCATGGCGGAAGATGAAGGAAGAGCAAAGGGACATCTTACATGGCGGCAGGCAAGAGCGCATGTGCAGGGGAACTCTGCTTTATAAACCATCAGATCTCATATGACTTATTCACTATCACGAGAATAGCACAGGAAAGACTCACCCCCATGATTCAATTTCCTCCCCCTGGGTCCCTCTCATGACACGTGGGAATTATGGGAGCTACAATTAAAGATGAGATGTGGGTGGGGACACAGCCAAATCATATCATTCCACCCCGGCCCTTCGCAAATCTCATGTTCCTACATTTCAAAACACAATCATGCCTTCCCAACAGTCCCCCAAAGTCTTAACTTATTTCAGCATTAACTCAAAAGGCCACAGTCCAAAGTCTCATCTGAGACAAGACAAGTCCCTTCTGCCTATAAGCCTGTAAAATCAAAAGCAAGTTAGTTATTTCCTAGATACAATGGGAGTATAGGCATTGGATAAATACACCGATTCAGCCTTCTATGCCCAACATGAGCTTTAACCTTTTCACCTCTCTGGCCTCATCTTCTGCCATTCTCTTTTTAGTACATTCCACTACAGTTCAAATCAGTGTCTTCACTACTCCTTGAACATATTAAAGCACATTCTGATCTCAGGGCCTTCACACTTGCTATTTCTTCTGCCTGGAATCCTTGTCATCCAGATACTGGCATAGCTCATTCTCTCTCCTTATTCAAGTCTCAGCTTAAATTCCACTTTACTGGAAAGACCTTTCTTATCCACCTTACCCAAAATACAAGTCACATTCAGTAACATTACACAACTACTAAATCAAGCTCAGTCAAAGGCCACCTCTGTGATCACCCTCCAGCATATCCATTACTCTCCATTCCCTTATCCTTATCTATTTTTCTTCCTAAAATGTATCAATTTATAATACTATGCTACATATTAATTTGTATACTTATTCATTGTATCTCTCCCTACCACCACTCCTTAGAATGAAAACTCCTTGAAGTCAGGAGATTATGATTTGTTTTGTTCATTGATATAATACCAACACCTAGAAGAGTATCTTCTTGATAAATATTTTAATGAAGGAATTAATGAATGCACAATTAAGATATTTATCTCCAGGTTGTTGGAAAATATAAAACCCCAAGAGATCAAAGCAGTAGACTATCCTAACACTCAAGTTAAAAAAAAAAAAAAAAGCAGGAGTCATAATGCTTGGGCAATTTGGACAAAAATAGCTCTAATTTACTAGAAATTTAAGAAATACAAAAAGCAATACAAGATGAAACTTGGACTGAGATTTAGGAAACTTAGGTGAACTTCCTGACTAGGATTCAAACATGCTTTATGACCCTGTAAAAAGGGAGCCTCGGGGAAATCCATTTTTCATATAAAAACCTGAGGTCCCACTCCTCCCATAAAATGATTTTCTTTTTTAAAGAACACACATGGAATTAATAGATAATGGCTATTGTTCTTAAACAAAGTATGCCAAGATCTCTGTGTCCCTTCCAAGAGAAAACCTACGTGTAACACCTACAAATCCCGCCATCAAATGGCACTTCATTGCCTTACAAATCTTACTTGCTTGCTTTATAAGCTTCTATAAAAGATTATGAGAAATTTTTCCATCAGTGTCCCAAATAAACTGAAAAGAAAAAGGAGTAAGAGGTGGCTAGAAAAGGACTACAGAAGAGGAGGAGGAAAGGAGAAAGAGGTGGAGGAGTGAGAAAAAGAAAAGGAGAAGAAACAGGAGCAATGGAAGGAGTAGGAGGAGGAGAAGAAAAACAAAGATAACTGATAATCACAGGTGGAAATACTACTCTCCAAAACCAACCTAAGCCATTATATGGTGACCTTGTAGGGTTGGAAGGTAAGCCAAGAACAGAACTTCTTGCTATCTGCCCCATTGCCAAGTGAGCTCACTCTACACTAGCTCTGGTGTTCTGAGATAGTTCCTTTGGGTGAAGAACCCCACCTTCAGGTAGAGAGCAGGATGATCACACCTAACAGTGCAATGGTAGGTATTAAAAGGCTCAATCTTATGATGTCCTACAGCTTAAAGGTCATTGCCGTCAAATAATCACAGTGTGATCTTGTTCAGAGAAAACAAAGAGACCCATACAGGCAGAACAAAGTAAGCTACTTTATAAAACTTAGCTTTCCCATCTTTTAGAAAGAAGAAAAATATGGAGGGGCGTGTGCCCTTGCTTCTAACTCTAAAATCATATTTTTCTGATTATTTAAATTATATTTTATCATTTCTTATCTATAACTGGTATTCTAGAGTATTATTTCTTAAGTTATAATTTGTGGAATGCTGTATATAGCAGGTTTTAGTAGGTTTTCTTCATAAAATAGCATTCCATGGTAAAAATAAGTTCAGGAAACATTGGGATAACTGTGGTTTAACATGTTTATTTCTGGCAGGACTTCTCCTTACTACTATGCTAATGAACTTTATGAATCTCCAAATGGAGAACTCTTCACAGTACATAGTGCTTCCAAATTTTATCAAGCACTTTTATTTTAAAATGCTGCCATAACTGATTAAAGATAGTGAATACATAATAAGTGCTTATCTTTTCCTTCCTGAAAGTTATTTAAATTATTGTAAAAGAAAAAAATGAGGTTAAACCCTCAACAGTAAACAAAATTGATGGGCCAATAGTGAATAAGATTTCTCAACAAAGTTGTGGAATAATCAAAGAGGTTCCAGGCATAGGGAAAGAGGATAGGAGAAGCTACATGCTGGATAATGTGTGAAGAGGGATCCAGTGGAGAATACTGTCCATTGATCCAAAAGAACCAGAAAGAGGCTTGGGACTCAGCAATATACATGCTATGTGGTCAGGGAGGGGTAAGTGAGCACGGCAGTGAGATATAGAGTTGAAATAGAAGATTAATTGGAAGTCTGTATATGAAATTGTCAACAGCTCCATCCTGCCCATTCCCACAATACAGAATAAATTTGAGTTCAACATCAAAAAGTTGTAGGCCTTCTCTAAAGATATCAGATGACAGCAGAAGAGACCTCCACATTCAGTCATAAGGAGGATTCCCAATTCACCAGTCTTCTGCCAGACCATTCACTCCAAAGAGAATATAGATATTCTCGCCAATGTATTCAAATCTGCTGATAATCTTTTACCATCTCACTCTTAAATATGAACTGATAATCATGGATACGTAGACATATAAGGAAAGCTCTTACAGAGAAAGAGAAAAAGAAGAAGCAGAAACAGACAACTTAGAAATTAAAGATAGTTCAGGGATTTTATAAGAAGTTGAATTTGCATCCTTGGAGAGATTTGAAAAACCACATTAGGAAAAGATGATTAATAGTTTACGAAAAAGACACAGTCATGAAAGAAGAAAGAAAGAATGCTTTAAAATAAAGAATATAACTGCTAAAGAATAGTAAAAATAAATCACTAAGGATGTAGATCAAAAAGACTAAAAAAAGGAGAAAATATAAACGAATTAGAGTTTGTAGTCCAAGAGTCTAAAATTTAAATGGTAGGAGTCACAGAATAAGAGTACAGAGAAAATGAGTGAGAACATCAGTAAGCACTCAGTCAAAATACGTTCCCAGAATTTAAGGACTCAACTCTTCAGTCAAGCCCAGCACAACAAAAGATATCCATTTCATCGCATCACCATGAAATTTCCAAACATTAAAAATAAGAGAAAAGCTTTAAAGGTTCCAGAGAGAAAATACAACCTACAAGGGAATGAAAATCAGGCTGCCATCAGACTTCTCATCTAAAACAACATATGGTGCAATAACTTTCTATTTCCAAGGAAGAATTATTTTAAGACTAAAATCTACCACCAGCCAAATTATCATGCAACGAGATGATAGTAAAGTAATCATCTCACAGGTTTGAGAAAACCTATCTCTTGGACAATACTTTGCTTTCCTGGAAATTTCAGACCCCTTACTCTCAGATTCCAAAACGCAAGGTTTTCAGAATTCTTATTTTTTTTTTAATTTGGAGAAAGTTATTGAAGTGAATCTAATGTTTCCATTTGTGTTGCATATTTTATTCCCTCAGTATAATGTTCTATTCACTCTTCAATGTGCCCATCAATCCATTTATCCACCAATACACAGTGACTGTGTGCTATATGCTAGGCATTGCACTAGTTGCTGTGAGGTACAGATAATTAAGGCATAGTGCCTGCCTCAAGAGAACTTGCTGTCTGATGAGAGTGAAAGACATAGAAACACGTAATTACAGTCTCCTTGAGATAAGTGCCGTGAGAGATCAGATGGAGTGACACACAGTACAGTGGGAGTATCAGTTCTATTACCTAAAAATCTTCTAATATTCTCCTTTATCTTAATTTCCTTAATTTACAGTCATTTACTCATTTTAAGTTGTTACATCCCAGGTACTTATAGCACTCTTTCTTCTTTTATTTCCGTGATCAAGTCTAGTGCTTCCCAAAAATAGTATTTGGAGTGCAGGGACATACTACTACTATTTTACTTTACAATAAATTCATTATGCTGAATCAATAAATGCTGAGTTCAACACCTTTTAAAATCAGAAGCCCATTGGTATTATCATAATAAAATTGCTTCTAAGAGACTTATGAGAAATACAGCATCTAAATTTTTGACCTTGTGCTATGCTTCCCTTCAAATAATCATGTGTGCAAAACATGGTTTAAAACATACTTTAAACTAAAATATAGTTTTAAGAGACAAATGTATATGATAGTTTCAAGACTGGCAACTAGTGCTGATAATTTATTTTTTTGCTAAACTAATTATGCCTATTTTTACTACTGTCATTCTGGCTATCAGATATCTTTCTGTTAGATATCAAATTCCCAGAGAGCCATGTTCTACCCAGAGGTGTTTCTTTGCTCTGTTTCTGAATCGGAAAGGAAAACAAAGAGCAGTAAAATTATTTTCAAGAGATTAATCATAATGTCAAGAACAAAGCTGAGATTTGATTATTGACTTAGAATTCTGTCCACTAGATTATACCCTTACTAATTATCTATTTTTCTTCACTGTGAATCTGTCAGGCTGAGGTCACACAGTAACTGGGAAACTTGCTACTCCCTGCTATCTTTTAGCCTTGAATTAGGCCTGTCCAACCCTTGGGACTTTCATAAGGGAAATAAATATTTTGTGAGGGCAAGAAGGGCAGCTTTTAGAAATAAATTCTATTCTTTTCCTTATTATTTATAGCTCTGAATGATATTTAATTTAAAGCTTAGAAACAATACTTTTGAAATCAGATCCAAAAGCACAATTTCACATACAATAAAGTGATTTCAAATAAAATGGCAGAGCTTAAACTTAATTTAACCATTCACAGCCATGGAATAGGATCATCCAGTAGCCTGGTGTACCATGGGTTGGGATAAGAGAAGGCACTGGTATTGGGGGTCTAGACGCAATGTGGTACATTTGAAAGGGAATGCTGGAATGCAGTCGATATGTTGCACTTTGAATTTTTACACAAAATTAAGGCTATTGTAATGATTTTATTTGTATTAAGCAAAAAACAAAAACAAACAAAAAAAACCCACAAAGATAAAATGTAAGTTTTCTAAAATAATTTAAACATCAAAGAGCAGTATTTCTCAAAGTCTAATGCTGGAGCTCTGGTCTATTGTATCAGAATTACTTGTGTGCTTTGTTAAAAGTACAGATTCTTGGGCCTCCTGTCTAGTAATTAGAATACCTGAGAAAAAAGGTCTAAAAACCTGCATTTCAATAAGTATTCCTAATGAATTTTTTTGTACACTGAAGTTTAAGAATCACAGAAAAAATAAAAGCTGAAGGATAGAAATTGACAAGCAAGGAAAGAAATTGACAGGCAACTGAATAAAAATAACACATACTCAAAAAATCTCCTGACAGGCCAACAGCCTATATGCAATTAGGTGATCGTAAACATCCATTAAGAGGGAACCTAATGGCCATAGAAACAAAAGTAAGCAAATAGACCATTAGGGATGATGAGGGAGATGAAGAGTTAAATGGGTGAAGCTCACAGTGGCAAGCAGGGGGTAGAATGAATGAACACTATAGAACCTCCTACGAAAAAAGGTGGATTGAGATGTCTGAGGATATTTCTGTAAGCCACTGTACAGTTGGATTTCTTGGCAGTAAAAATATTTCTGAGATGTCAACATCGTCTCAAAACCTCAGGTCCCTAACCACCGAAAGCCACCACTACCCAAGGAAGTGGCCTGAATAATTAAAACAAAAATCTCCCTCTCATCTTCAAAACAACAGGTGTGGCCCTAGCACTATTTTCTGGCTCAAATGGACATCAAGACAGCAAGGCAAGCATTCTACGGTCCTCTCTGCTATTTTCTGCTGAATCTGGTTAACACCTTTTCTCTGTGGGTGCAAAGCTTAAAGAGCTTATAGTCAAATTAGTACAGCAACTAAAAAAATAGGGCAGCCTGTACAAATGCATATTTTATAAGACTTTCTACATTCAAGTCTACAGAAGAATGAAAAGGGAAAGTAGATTTTTAAATTGTGTTGTGGTGGAAAAAGGGGTTATTTAAAATTTTCAATTAGACAGTACGAAGATAAAAACAAACGTGAGCTCTGAAAAGTTTCAGGGGGACAGGTAAAATCTCTAAGCATTTACGATTTATTAAAATATACTTATTATGGCAGTTGCCCCTTATCCAAGGAGGATATGTTCCAAGATACCTAGTGGATGCCTGAAATGGCAGATAGTACTGAATCCTTTTTATAATATGTTATTTCCTATACATACATACCTATGATAAAGTTTAATATAAATAAGGCACTGTCCAAGATTAACAACAATAACTAATAATAAAGTAGAACAATTATAACAACATGCCAGCACCACTACTCTTGCACTTTGAAGCCATTATGGAGAAAAATAAAGGTGACTTAAACACAAGCACTGTGATACCATGACAGCCACTTTGATAACAGAGATGGCTACTAAGCGCATAATAGGCAGGGAGGGTCTTCAGCACAGACACACCGGACAGAGGGGTGATTCACATCCTAGGCGGGATGGAGCAGGATGGAAGGAGATTTCATCACACTACTCAGAACAGCATGCAATTTAAAACTTAGGAATTATTTATTTCTGAAATTTTCCATTTAATATTTTCAGACTACAGTGGACTGCTGGTAACTGAAACCAGAGGAAGCAAAACCATGAATAAGGGGGGGGGAAGACTGTATTCCTAGTTGGTTTATAAACAATGTCCCAAGTTTGCTTCAATAATGAAATGCAACCCTCTTGGAGATCTTCAAAAGGCCAGGGATCAGAGTCTCCATTCTAGGCTCACAGTAAGCATTACTAATCAGTAATAACTTCTTCACACTAAGCACAATGGCACCTCCAAAACTTGCTCAACAGACACATGAAACAGACACATGAAATAACAACTTTTGCAAGTCTGGCTAGAATGTTGTCACTTTTCCAGCTTTTCTTTCAACAGAGCCCATATTTCTATATAAACTGGACAAAAGCTTTGAAACTTGAGTACTGGGTCCCATGAATCAAAGACTCCAACTTTCCTTTAACACCTGTCAGGATGCTACAGTTCTGCTGCCCTGACAGGTGCTCCTGACTCTGCTGTGAGTACTTACAGAAAAGCTGACTTCCTTCCCTCTCTACCATGATGCTTCCTTCTGCAGAGAGCACTCACTTCCCTCAAGTTTGGCAAACAGCTCACACCTACTTAATTTATGTAGCCTCCAATATTTTCCCCTGTGTCTGCAGATAATACAACACAGTCCTTGTGTTTCTATAGTCAAGATCATTTTATTTTGTTTCAGGGCATGGAAGAGACTTCCTTTTCCTTCTGAAGGTACTTAAATAAGATTTCTTTGTAATATTCCACAAGTTAGATTTGAGTATCTAGAAACTATTATATCATATGAGCCTGTGCGCTCCAAGAGTCTTTATCCCCAAAATATGAGGCAATGAAGCAATTCCACCATACTTTCAATCACTAGAGGAAAACTCTGCACAACTGTAAAAATTTCAGCTTTCAGCTGGGTTCCAGGTGAGGTTAGAGTCTAACTTCAGGACAACCTGTAGCAATCAACAACATGAACATCTGAGAACTGCAAATACCTAGTATACAACCAGGTGAAACATGAGGAAAAGTGCACGGATCGGGTGTAGGCTGTGAAGCCATATAACAAATTGTAGACAGTAGTTTATTATGGGTATCCATGCAGGCTTTCGGAAGACATTAGATATCAGGAGACAGTATCCATACTCCAACAATCATTACTGCAAGAGGAATGTTACAGATCTTTTGATATTTAGAATACGTGAGATTTTGAAATATGAATTAATCTGCTAAAAGTTACACAGAGAAGCAAGCTCCAGTTTCCAGGCTCTTAGGCCAGTTCTTTCTCCGCTAGCCAACAGTCCCAACAATCCACCAGTTTGTTGTTGTTGTTGTTTGTTTGTTTTAGAGACAGAGTCTCGCTCTGTCGCCCAAGCTGAAGCACAGAGGCACAATCACAGGTCCCTGCAGCCTTGAGCTCCTGGGCTCAAGTGATCCTCCTGCTTCAGCATCTCAAGTAGCTGGGTCTACAGGTGCACACCACTGTGCCAGGTTAATTTTTTTTTTCTTTTTTTTTTGTAGAGACAAGGTCTCACTGTTTTGACTAGGTTAATCCATCAGTTCTTAGCTAAGAATGGCTCATATTTGTTCAGTGTTCTAGAGGTATTTTTGTTTTTAAAAACAGTTATTTCCAAATGAATCTTCCTTTCTCCCTTCTATTGCCTCCAAATCCTGGGCTCCCTCTACATTAATATTATGTTTAATTATAGTAATATTTTATTAAAGTGTCCATGTTTGATTCTGAAGAACAAATTAGTCATTTAATGAATAAAAATAAATAGCATTTATTATTTAGATTTTAATGACAATTTAGAGGTAATAAAGCAGAAAAGTTTGGAATCCATAAATTATACTGACTAAGCCAGTGATACCTCCTTTTTGGCGTCTCCCTATATGGTTGCAAAACACTGATTTCTAAGAAGTTTTGTAAATAGCTCTCAAAGGAAGAATTGGTGCCGCATATATTTTTCTTTGGTATTTCAGAACATCATACCCAACCCTCTGTAATCCTATGTGAATGTGACCGTATTTTACTCATTATTTGCTTTCCTCAATCTCTTTTTTTGTTCTTACTGACAGTGGGAAGTTGCCTCTGGAATATGCATAGTTTGTCCTATTTTATTTCTTCCTGAAAATACATATCCACTACTATAATTTTTAAAACAATAGCAGACTTTTAATCTCAGCCCAGAGATGTAAAAAGGTAAGAAGAGCATCACTGTCAACATTTCAATGAAAAAAATAGAGAAACAGCAAATTCATGATTTTTCTTGAATCTATTAGCATACTAATGTCACAGTGGAACCAACCGGCCCAGAATCCAGGGAGAAAGAGGTACACACAGGGAGACACAAGAAATGAACAGTAACGTACCTGGGTAAGATACAGTCAAACACCAGTAACAAGAGTTCAGGTAGAGAGAGAGGCAAATTCCTAGAGGCCAATAGTAAACTGATGGGAGGGTGAAGCTCGAAGTGGCAGCAAATACAGGGGACTTTTTTCCCTTACAAGTCCAACTGAACATTCACAGAAGCAATCGGGAGTCCTGAAAAAGTCTTCCTTCTGGTGCAGAACTGAGGAAGGAGAACAGCAATCACTGGAGGAAGGGTAAGAAATTTACCCAGACCCTTCTCTCCCATCTTACCTATGGGGAGTGGGGGGAGGAAAGCTTTAATCTGTGGGGAGAAGAGCAAAAATGCCATCACACTTAGGACATTTGTTAAAGCCCACTGCGGCTGGGGAGAAGAGAACAAGAAATAAACCTGGACCCCTAAGGGAAGAGCAGGAATACGTGCAGAGTTCAGAATATCACTGGGGGTAGGGTAGGATAACTGATAAGGCCACACTCCCAAGATACAGGGACACAGTGACTGCCTAAGACTGAGATCTGAACAAAACAACAGAGAACCCCCTGCCCCCTCAGTCCCCACTACCTGGCTAAACAGCACTGAGTCACAAGCAGCATGCAAGAGACAGACCTCTCTGAGGCACAGAACAAAGGGAAGACTTGAGGCTGAGGATAGAGCAATCATTGAGAATAAACTTCCTCTCTCAAACCAACTCCTATCCTATACACAAGGTATCCCTAAACAAATATAAAGCTCATGTTACACTCAGAGTAATCATTGCAACAGCAAACCTCAATTCCAGTCCAACTCCCAATTAGATTATCTCAAATCCTGGTACTAAAGGCTTAGTTGAAGGAAATTGTATCGCCATTTCCAAGTATAAAAATTAATTACCTCAGTCTCTAACATTCTACACTAGATGTTAAGTTTTCAACAACAACAACAAAAATACAAAGTGTATGAAAAGCAAGAAGAAATACATGCCCAAAAGACAAGTTACCATCACAACTGGAGTGAGATTAAACAAAGATGTTAAATGTCTGACATGCAATTTAAAATAACTATGATTAATATGGTTTGTTTTTGTTTTTGTTTTTTGAGACGGAGTGTCGCTCTGTCACCCAGGCTGGAGTGCAGTGGAGCCATCTCAGCTCACTGAGATTGAGCAAACTCCACCTCCCAGGTTCAAGTGATTCTCCTGCCTCAGCCTCCCAAGTTGCTGGGATTTGCACACACCACCACACCCGACTAATTTTTGTAATTTTAGTAGAGACAGACTTTCATCATGTTGGACAGGCTGGTCTTGAATTCCTGACCTCAGGTAAGCCGCCTGCCTCAGCCTCTCAAAGTGCTGGGATTACAGGCATGAGCCACCACGCCCAGCTGATTAATATGTTAAAGGCTCTAATGGAATATGTGGACAACATGTAATATCAGATGGGTAATTTTAGCACCTAGATCAAAAGTATAGAAAGAATCAAATGGAACTCAAAAGCATAGTAACAGAGAAGAAGAATGCCTTCAACAGGCTCATAAGTAGAGTAGGCACAG
Organism: Homo sapiens; assembly: GCF_000001405.40. NCBI lineage: Eukaryota > Metazoa > Chordata > Mammalia > Primates > Hominidae > Homo > Homo sapiens. Next base: position 82,179,990 of record NC_000009.12, on the reverse strand, counting down.
GCAAGGAAAGAACCAGTGAACTAGAAAATGGGTCAAAAATTTATCCAAATAAAAACAGAAAGAAAAAATAAAGTATAGAATATTCTAGAGCTATGTGACAATGTCAAATGACTGGAATCTCAGAAGGAGAAGAGAGTGAATGGGACAGAGGAAATAATTGAAAAAATAACCACCAAGAATTTTTCAAGATTAATGATAGATGCCAAACCACAGATACAAAAAAATGCAGGAAAGAAAACAAAAGACACACCATAGGCAAATCATATTTAAATTCCTAAAAGCAAAACACCAAGAAAAACCTTTCAAGGCCTCCAGAGAAAATAGACACATTACTTTAGAAGGAAAAATGATTTTAAAAGATAGACATTTCTTCAAAAATTATTCAAACTCAAAGATAATAGAGTAATACCTCTAAAATACTGAGAGATGAAAATATCAAAACAAAATACAATCCCCAGCAAAAATGAATTTCAAAAATAAAGAAATAAAAATCTAAAAATGTTCACAGGCACACAAAAACTATAGAAATTTATTGCCAGCTGACCTACCCTTAAAAAAAATTTAAAGAAAAAACAAAATGTGTATGTCTGTGATCCCAGCTACTCAGGAGGCTGAGGTGGAAAGACAGGTTAAGCCCAGGACTTCAAGGCTGCTGTGAGGTATGATGGTGCCACTGCACTGAAGCCTGGGCAACAGAGCAAGACCTTGCCCCTAAAAAAAAAAAAGAAAGAAGGAGGAATAATACAACACAGAAATGTGTGTGTGTATGTGTGTGTATATATATGTATGTATTTATATATACACGTATATAAGTATACACATATACATATATGTGTATATATATACATAATGTACATATAATATACAAAGAAATAAAGAATACTTGAAATAAATGCAAGTAAAATTCATTTTTTCTGTTTTAATTGTTCTGAAAGATAAATGTGAAAAGCAAAAACTTGGTAGCAATGAATTGTTTGTTTAAAGCATTTGTAGAAATAAAATGTACCATAACAGTACCACAAAAAATGGGAAGCACAGGTTGGGTCTATGCTGTTGTAAGGTCTTTACAGTATACATGAAATGGCATTAAAAATATTCCAAGGTAGATTCTAATAATTAGAATTATATATTGTAAATCCTAATTGCTAAAAAAAATTCAATACAGAACATAAAATAGAATCCTAAAAAGTGTGTACTTAACATAAGAGAAGGAGGAAAAAGAAAATAAGAAACAAATAACAGATGGAACAAATAGAAAGCGCTTTGAAGATAGCAGATTTTAATCCAACCATATCAATAATCACATTAAATGTGAACAGTCTAAACACAACAACTAAAAGAGATTGTCATATTAGATTTCAAAGCTACACCCATCTGTATGCTGTCTATAAGTAATCCACTTTAAACATAAAGATATAGATAAAGTAAAAGTAAAAGGATAAAAAAGATATATAAGACAAACATTAGCTAAAAGAAAGCTGGAATAGCTACAATACCAGACAAAGTAGACATCAGAACAGGAAATATAATCAGGAATAAAGAAAGGCATTATATAATAACAAAGAGATCAATTATCCAACAAGACATAATCCTAAATTGTAAACACATAAAAACAGAGCTTCAAAATACATGAAACAAAACACAATAGAACTAAAAGATGAAATGAACAAATACGTCATTACAATTGGAGATTTCAACATTCCTGTCAGTAACTGATAGAATAAGGTGGGAGAAAATCAGGAAGGATATAGATGACCAAGTTAACCTAATTGATATCTATAGAACATGACATCAAGCAAAAGCACAACACACTTTTTTTTCAAGTGCACATGGAAATTGACAGAGATAAACCATATTTTGAACCATAAAGTAAACCTGACCAACCTGAAAACAAATATAAATCAAATAAAGTATGTCATACCATAATTGAATTAAACTAGAAGTCAATAACAAAAAGACACTTGGAAAACTCCAAGCATTTGGAAAATAAATGATATACTTACAGATCAAAAATATATATTACTAAATTTGGATCAAAAAGGAACTATCAAAGCAACTTTAAAAAATATTTTGAAATGAATCAAAATGAGAGTATAATATGTCAAAATTTGTGGGATGTAGCTAAAACAGTACTTAGAGGAAAATTTACCACATTAATTTTCTTTTTTTTTTTGAGACAGAGTCTTGCTCTGTCACCAGATTGGAGTGCAATGGTGAAATCTCAGCTCACTGCAACCTCCGCCTCCTGGGTTCAAGCGATTCTTCTACCTCAGCCTCCCAAGTAGCTGTGACTACAGGTGCCTGCCACCACGTCCAGCTAATTTTTTGTATTTTTAGTAGAGATGGGGTTTCACCATGTTGGCCAGGATGGTCTCGATATCTTGACCTCGTGATCCGCCCACCTCAGCCGCCCAACATTAAATTTTTATATTTAAAAAGTTTCAAATTAGTAATCAAAAGTTCCACCTTAACTACAGAAAGAACAGCAAAATAAATCCAAAACCTGCAGAAGAAAGTTAATTATACAGATAAGAGCAGAAATCAATACAATTAAAAATAAATAAAGACCATCAATCAAATACATTCAAAATTAAATGGATAACTGAATAGTTCTACATCTATTAAATAAGTTGTATTAACAGTTAAAAACTGTATGCAAAATAAAATTTAAAAAACAAAACTCCAGGCCCAAATGGTTTCATGAGTGAATTCTCCAAACATTTAAGGAAGAAATAGTACTAGAAAGGACAGTACACTTCCCAACTCATTAATAAAGCAAGCGTTACTCTAATAACAAACCGAAGACATTAAAAGAGAAGAAAGCCATGGACAAATATTCTTCATAAACAAAAGTGCAAACATACTAAAAATAATTAGCAAATAAAACTCAGTAATTTGGCGGGGTGCGGTGGCTCATGCCTGTAATTCCAGCACTTTGGGAGGCCGAGGCAGGCGGATCACAAGGTCAGGAGATTGAGACCATCCTGGCTAACACGGTGAAACCCTGTCTCCACTAAAAATGCAAAAAATTAGCCAGGCGTGGTGGCAGGCGCCGGTAGTCCCAGCTACTCAGGAGGCTGAGGCAGGAGAATGGCGTGAACCTAGGAGGCAGAGCTTGCAGTGAGCCAAGACCGCGCCACTGCACTCCAGCCTCGGCAACAGAGCAAGACTCCATCTCAAAAACAAAAAAAGAAAAAGAAAAACTCAGCAATTTATAAGTAGGATAATATTAAATGAATGAGAAGGCAAGCCACAGAAGAAAATATTTGCAAAAGACACATCTGATAAAAGGGCTGTTATCCAAAATATACAAAAAAAAACTTCATAATACTCCACAGTAAGGAAATGGACAACCAGAATAAAAAATGAGCAAAAGACATGAATAGACATCTCACCAAAAAAGATACACAGGTGGCAAATGGGCATATAAAAGGATGCTAAATGTCTTATGTCACTGGAGAATTGCAAATTAAAACACCAATGAGATACCACTGCATACCTTGGAATGGTCAAAATTCAAAACACTAACACCAAATGCTAGCAAGAATGCAGAGCAATAAGAACTCTCGTTCATTGCTAGTAGGAATGCAAAATGGTACAGCCACTTTGGAAAAGAGTTTGGCAATTTGTTACAAAACTAAACATACTCTTACCATACAATTCAGCAATTGCACTCCTTGGTATTTACTCAAATCAGTTAATAACTAAGTCCACACAAAAACCTACACATAGAGGTTTTTAACAGTTTTATTCATAATTGCCACAGGTTGGAAGCAACCTATCTGTCCTTCAATTGGTGCTTGGATAAACAAACTATGGTACATCCAGACAATGAAATATTAGTCAGCACTAAAAAGAAATAACACCATGAAAAGACTTGGTGAAGTTTTAAATGCATATTACTAAGTGAAAGAAGCCAGTCTGAAAAGGCTAGATACTATATGATTCCAACTATACGACATTCTCAAAAAGAGAAAAGTATGGAGACAATAAAAAGATAAGTGGTTGTCAGGGGTTAGAATAGAGGGAGGGATGAATAGACAGAGCACAGAAGATTTTTTTAGGGCAGTGAAACTATTCTGTATGATACTGTAGTGGTGGATACATGTCACTGAACATTTTGTCAAAGGCCACAGAATGAACAACACTAATTTGAACAAAATTCTTTGGATGATAATGATATGTCAATGTAAGTTCATTGATTATAACAAATGTACCACTCAGGTGCTGGATATTGATAGCAGAGGAGACTGGTTGGGGGGCTATGGTATATGGGAACTCTCTGTACTTTCCACTTAATTTTGCTGTGAACCTAAAACTGCACTAAAAAATCAAGTCTATTTTATACATCACAACAAAGTGGGATTCATCTCATGAATGGAAGGCACCCCAGTGGAAATAAGCACACCTAGTTCTCACACTTGCTATCTAACATTATTCTTAACTGAAAACACTCAGGGCTTTTTGGGAAGTGGCTGATTCCAAGGCTGGGGTAAATACAAGATTATCCTAGAACATCTTGTTATATGAGAAATAGAAAAGTGCTCAAAAAACAAAACAAAAAATGATTGGAACATGACAGAAGGACAGAGGAGTCAGTTGAAAGATCACTCAGTAGGCAATTCCAGGAATTGGAAATTGACTGGAAAATTGGAGGCCCAAACTAAGTTCAATAATGAATTATAATCAGTTAGGGGGGAAAGAAAGAGTCTATTCAAATTAATTAAGGGAGAAGGGATGGCTCTTGATTACAGTAAAATGCCAAGTTTAACAGACAAATGTTGAGTGAGTGTTGAAGACAGAAGGTCATCCTTTTGCAACTATCATACTAAAGATTATTTCAGGCAAGAATGGTCAAAGAAAGCTAAACTGAGGGGGAAATTTTAATGAGCAACAGGATTGTATCGCCTTAAATTATCTCCCGACAGAATGCTTATTAATTGCAAAGGAGAAAGTAGAAACTATTAACATATAGTAGAAAAAATGGATAACCCTTTGATGAATAATTAAAATTAACATAAGGACATCATGTGTCTACAGATGCAATATCTTGAAAAGGACATGTCAGTTACATAGTATAAGTGCAAGGAGTACAGATTCTTTCTCTTTTCTTTTCTTTTTTTTTTTTTTTTTGAGAGGGAGTCTGACTCTGTCACTCAGGCTAGAGTGCAGTGGCGCAATTTCGGCTCACTGCAAGCTCCGCCTCTCGGGTTCACGCCATTCTCCTGCCTCAGCCTCCCGAGTAGCTGGGACTACAGGCGCCCGCCACCACGCCTGGCTAATTTTTTGTATTTTTAGTAGAGACGGGGTTTCACCATGTTAGCCAGGATGGCCTCAATCTCCTGACCTCATGATCCGCCCGCCTCGGCCTCCCAAAGTGCTGAGATTACAGGCATGAGCCGCCGCGCCCGGCCCAAGGAGTACAGATTCTAAATCTAATCCTAAGGAAACATCAGACAAATCCATAAAAAGGAATTTTCTATTTTAAAATGTGTGGGTAGGGGTAGAGGAGAAGCAAAGAAAGGCCAAGGCAATATTCCTATGTAAAGCTAACCAAAAGGCATGGCAACTCAATGTAATACCTGGTCCTACACTTAATTTCATACTGGAGGAAAACAAATGCTAGAAAAATTCATTGTTAGGTCAATTGATAAAACTGAAATACAGATAATAAAGTATTGTACCAATGTCAAATTTACTGAAGCTGATAATAATATAATGGCAATGTAAGATAATTTCCCTGTTTTTAGAAAATATACACTGAAATATTTAGGGACAAAGTGCCATAATGTAGGCAATTTACTCTCCAATGATTCAGATAAAAAATATATACCCTTCCATATATACACACACACACGCACACACGCATTCACACACACACACACAAAGAGAGAGAAAGAGAAAGACAAACAAAGTGGGAGACAGAAAGAAGATTGAGATGACAGAGCTCAAATCATAAATCAGATAGGGAAGAATGTTATCAAATACATGAATCTAGGCAAGGGGATAATGTACCATTCTTATTCTTGCAACTTTTCTGTGAGTTTGAAATTATTTCCAAATAAAAAAATTTTTTTAATGACACATATATGTAGATGGTGACACAGAAGTTCTGCAAAACAAATTATGTGAAAAAAGCAAGGTACTATAAAATCTGTATGATATAATTCCATTGTGCAAATTTTAAAAACATTAAAATCAGAAAAAGATTGAGACAGAGAAAGATAGATGAGGGTGTGCAAAATTTTAAAACTTCTCTGGAAAGATATTGAAAACAGATTGTTAACTATAATTATTTGTTCAGTATTGGAAGGGGAGCCTGAAGTGGTAGGAAAAAAAAGGCTTTTTGTTTTTTTCATTTTATACCTCTTTTACTCCTTAAATGTTTTACTTTGTGAATTTATTTTCGATAAGTTAAAAATGAAAGATATCTGATGAGGATGCATTTCCTTTTATTATACATGATAAACATCAGAGTGAATACAAACAATAATATATTATAATTTGGTTTGAACATTAAATTTCCTCCAGTATGTAGAATGTGTGTTTTTATATACTATTAGCCTAAGATGTTAAAGGTCTGGCCCTGGGAAAAAAAACTCCTCCTATTTATTTTCTGTTAAAGGAAAAACTTAAAATTATGAGGCCTCTGCTGGTCCAAAATATTTGAATGTTCAAATTCAAAATTGAAAAGCAGAGTTCAACTTTAAAGCTGTAATAAAACTGAAGCAAGAATGGGCCCACCCTACTTCCTTTCTTACTGTACTCAGCCTCGGGCATTTTCAGAGGAATAAAAAAAAAAAAGTGGCTTTTCTTGTTCATGTTCAATACTGGACACCATCCTATACTACTTAATTTGAAATATAGTTTTTTTAATACCTCAAAACCACCTGATACTAATTCATCTGTTCTAATGTTCCAGGGTTACATCCAGATGCAATGGCTTGTATATGGATGGTTTGTCCCCCACCAAATATGTTGAAATCTGATCCCCAGTGTGAAGGTGTTAGGAGGTGAGGTTAGTGGGAGGTGTTTGGATTATGGGGGTGCATCCCTCAGGAATGGCTTGGTTCTGCTCTTATGGTACAGTGAGTGTGTTCTCACTACTAAAATACTGGATTAGTTCTCATGGGGATGAATGAGTTCCTCAAAAATGGGTGCTATAAAACTAGGATGCCCCTCAGGTTTACCCTCCTTTTCACCTCTCTGCTTCCCCTTTGACCTTCTCCACCATGCTGTGAGGAAGCATGAAATTCCTCACCAGAAGCCAAGGCCATGCCCTTGAACTTCTCAGCTAGGAAAAATGTGAGTTAAATAACATCTTTTCTTTATAAATTACCCAGTCTCAGGTATTCTTTTGGAGCAACACAAAACAGACAAAGACAATATCCAACTAAGAAAATGTTCCTTCTCTTTGGTACTTTTTAAAGGATCAGCCCAACTAGTTATGGCCTCCTAAAACCATGCCCAAAAGCCCTCTAAAGCAGTGCCTCTTGAACTTAAATTGTGCCTATGAATCACCTAGGATTACTGTTAAAATTCAGATTTTGATTCAGTAGGGTCTGGGAAGGGCAGCCGTCTGCATTTCTAACCAATCCTCTGGTGATGTTGATGCTGGGGTCTACAGACCATCAGGTTGAGTAGCGAAGTTCTACAAGATCGAGTATGGCTAAGGATGGTGCACAGGCCTGAGTTTTCCCCTGCTTACCTTTTTTTTTTTAAAAAAAAAGAAGAACAAAAAACTAGTTATTTTATCCCTGCTTTTATCAACCTAGAGATCCTCAGGGCTACTCGAAGGCAGACACTGTATCACTTTCAACTATTCTTGATGGACTGAGACATACCAGAAATTTTAGTCCCACTGGGCCTTTTAAAAAGGCCCATATAGGGGCCAGGCACAGTGGGTCATGCCTGTAATCCCAGCACTTTGGGAGGCCAAGGCGGGAGGATCACAAGGTCAATAGATCAAGACCATCCTGGCCAACATGGTGAAACCCCATCTCTACTTAAAAAAATACAAAAATTAGCTGAGTGTGGTGGCACGCACCTGTAATCCCAGCTACTCTGGAGGCTGAGGCAGGAGAATCACTTGAACCGGCAGGCAGAGGTTGCAGTGAGCCAAGATTGCACCACTGCACTCCAGCCTCGGCAACAAGAGTGAAACTCCATCTCAAAAAAAGAAAAAAAAAAGAAAAAAAAAGGCTCATATACACTTGTGAAATGTGCTCATCTTGCATATTTAAGGCTAATGATCATAATGTTAAAGAAAAAAGGTCAACAGCTGACTAGATGTCTACCTAGTAGAAGAAAAAACTTATAATCATGTTGCCAGAATGTTACTCTGGTAAAAAACATGTTGTGGACTTAAACTATGGGGAAGCTCCAGCCCACAAGCATTATCAAACTGTTTTAAGAAGAGTCGTTTAGAAGGCACTTTTCTATATGTGCATATCTGTCATGCTAAGTCCACAAGTAGCCTCTGTATGAAGCAAGCATCATGTATATTACTTCTGACAGCAACTATTGTCTTCATTCTGTGTCTCTTACAAGCCCGTCAGCAAGAGCAGTACTGTCTGCCTCAGGACGTACTTACACATCCATTACACCTGCAGGAGACTAATGTTTTAAGACTTATGGTTAATTGTCCCTTGCAAAAAGGACATGCATAAAAAGGTATGGAAAACCCATAAAATCCATGGAATATCAATCATAATGTAAAAATAATTAATCCCTCAAGATAAGTGACTTAGCAGGAAACAGTCCAGGTTTTATTAAATACTAAAGACCCCGTTGCATTCTCTGAACTGTTTAAAAGGAAAGTCTGTTGACATCAAACATGTAGCCCACATGGATTAAATTAGGTCACTCTTTGTGTTACAGTTTAAGATTTCATAAAGTACAGCTTGTGGTTAAATCATGTGTTTCAGTTCTGAAGGGCTGGTTGATGACTTCCCAATCTTTTCAATATTGTACCACTAGTGATATTTACCCAGGCACCACCACAGCACTTTTCAATCTGGTCTTAATAATCTAGCCCTCGGTTTTGTAGCCCACTTCACATTTTGATTCCTAATAAACAAATATTTGTGGTGTGTTTGTGGGCCGTTTAACTGCTGACATATTTGGCTCAGGACAGCATTCCATTTAGAAAGGGGACACACATCTGTGGCCCCTGGGCTAAATGTTGCTGAAAATGAGGTTTCATGGGAAGCAATGGGTCTTTTTTTTTGTTTGAAAGGTTCAGTGACAGCTGACGGCGACTAAACTGGGACCACTATTCAAGGGGGACAATTCTTCAGAAGAGTCTCACGAGGAATTTTTCTTCTCCCTCCCCCACCCCTAACTCTATTTGAGAGCAACAAATGCTAAAGCATTAGTGGATTTTCAGATAAGCAGGATACAGAGAAGACAATGGAAAGGAGAGATTTCCTTTATACATATGCAAGGTCTCTGGATGTCACAGTTTCTGAACTCCTTAGCATGACTCTGGGCATAGACTTAACCACTTGGGAGCTCACAAAGACAAAGAATGTTTATTCATCTCAACATCTTCCTGTTTCCAGGATTAGAGGCTGTCAAAAACAAAGACATCAGCAAGTCCATTCTGTCTGTCTTGTTTCACTTAATTCATTTTGTTTGCAGTCATAACAAGCATGTTATTTATTTAGTTGTAAGTACATACCAAAGAAAGGATGCATTCACTTTAATCCTTTAATTTAACAAGATCACATACTTTAGGAAGCCAAAGGCTTTACAGCAAGATTAGGATAAAGAGTTCTGTTTCCTCTTAGATTAAAATAGATATCCTGAATATTTGATTTCTGGTATATCATTATGCTTGATATTTAGGTGCTCTCTTGCTGAGGTCTAAATTAGTATGTTTATTAAATTCCCTCTAAGTGGCATTTTACCCACTGTGTTTACATTTAGAATCATCTTTCATGATAAAGTCTGTCATAAAATGGGAAAACTGATTTACTGCCTACATTTCTTCCAAGTTTGGTAGCTAAGACCCATCTGTCAACAGAAATAAAGTGTACACACACACACACACACACACACACACACACACACACACACACGCTTTGTTTCCTTAAAAGATGTGCAGCCTTTTAGCCCACCTCCCTTCTTAGTTCAGTTTAGTTCAGTTTTTAACAGTAGAAGATAGTCCAAATTGGTTTGTTTTCTTTTCTGATTCTTGCCAAAATTTTTCTTTCAGGGCACCCTCTGCACCATCAGGAGGTCAGGCTGGGTTTGCATTCAAAATCTTCTCCTGCCTAAAAAGGTTTAGGCAGAAACAAACTTTTTTTTTTTTTTTTTGAGACGGAGTCTCGCTCTGTCGCCCAGGCTGGAGTGCAGTGGCGGGATCTCGGCTCACTGCAAGCTCCGCCTCCCGGGTTCACGCCATTCTCCTGCCTCAGCCTCCCAAGTAGCTGGGACTACAGGCGCCCGCCACTACGCCCGGCTAATTTTTTGTATTTTTAGTAGAGACGGGGTTTCGCCGTTTTAGCCGGGATGGTCTCGATCTCCTGACCTCGTGATCCGCCCGCCTCGGCCTCCCAAAGTGAGAAACAAACTTTTGAATAAGAAATTACTTATTTGGCAAACCATCATTCAAGCATCTAGTCTTGTGGTATAGATTGAGATAAATTTTAAAATAAATAATTAGCTTAGCTTGAGAAAACAAACACCAAAATATGTTAACCTATGAATGAAAATCTTACATGGTTTCAGTCACAAAAAGACTATCAAAATAGTCAATCAGTTTCCACAAAGATTCTGGAGTGACCAGCTTTTATTCAGATGACTTACTGCCGCCAGATCTGGCTGGCCTACACACAAGTAAGGAAGGCCTTTAACAAATGGTGAGATATTTGAGAGTTAGGTAAAGGCCTGGTGGCACAAAGATCTGTCATCTAGAATTTGCTGCAATGACTGTACTTCCTGCATTGGTCTTCTCTTTACATAGAAAAGTAGAGCCATCTCTTGCCCAGCTCATGGATCCTCTGTCCACTCTCTCTACCATTTGCTGTTCAACCTCTAAGACAACCTATTCCAAGCCTGTACAACTCAAACCACCAGCATAATAAAAAGCACACCATCGAGCCAGGAGTACTCAGTAACATCTCAGCCTACAGTGAGTCATCGGGTTAAGTAATCCAAACACCTGGTAGTTCCAGAAGAACTGGCATTCAGGGAAGGTAACTTATGGTGGGAGGGAAGGGAGGCAAATGTCTGAAGAATAGTCAGGTGTCATGAGGGAAGCTGGGCTTCTGAAAAGAGAAGTAGCTTATGCATAGTACAAACAGCACTGGAGGCTTAAAGTGAAACAGGCCTGAGTTCGTGCTCCTGCTTCTTCATCATCATTTGTCAGGCAGTGTTCCAAATACCACTACACATAGTGATACATTTAATCCTCCCAACAACCCTAGGACAAAAGAACTATTAGTATTATTATCTCCATTTTACAGATAGGAAAACTGAGCTACAGAAAGGTTTTGTGTGTGTGTGTGTGTGTGTGTGTGTGCACGTGTGTTTTTGAGACAGAGTCTTGCTCTGTCGCCCAGGCTGGAGTACAGTGGCACGATCTGGGCTCACCACAACCTCCGCTTACCAGGTTCAAGCCATTCTCCTGCCTCAGCCTCCCGAGTAGCTGGGACTTCAGGCACCTGCCACCATGCCCGGCTAGTTTTTTTTTTTTTTTTTTTTTTTTTTTTTTTTGTATTTTTAGTGGAGACGGGGTTTCACTATGTTGGCCAGGCTGGTCTTGAACTCCTGACCTCATTATCCACCCACCTCGGCCTCCCAAAGTGCGGGGATTATAGGCAGGAACCACCACACCCAGCCAAGCTACAGAAAGTTTTCAGTAACTTGCCCAATTTCCCACAGCTAGTAAGGGATGAGGCTGGAATTTGAATCCAGACCAGACTGGATCAAAAAGTCCACGTTTTCAACAAACTTTATGCTAAGTTTATGATGCCCCATAAAGTAGGTGACATAACCTCTGAGTCCCAAGGCTCAATTCAGAAAACTGGACATAAAAATACTTAAGTACCAGCTATGCTGTGAGAATTCAATGTGAATACACATGGTAATCATCATTAAAAATAAATTTCCTTCTTAGAAGAGGTATCTGCAGAAAAGGAAACAAAGAGGGCATGAAAGGGGAGCTTTGCCTGCCTCACTCTTTGGCTGTCATGTTCATGGGCTTCTCACCAACTCTCCACATGTGTCCAGCCTGCTGGGCTCCTCCAATTGCTCCTCCAGCCCTGTCTGGAGATAAATGAACAACTGCTTGAGTAGGGCCACAGGGCACTTTCATCTCCAGCAGAACAGAAAGGAACAATCAAGCAGAGAATATTAATAACAAGCCATATCCTCGTCTTCTGGAACTGCTATGGAAAACTTGGGTTATTTGTTTCAATGTGTTTTCATTCTCACTACATGAACAAAATTCCTTAGCGCTAACTGGAAAAGAATTGCCTGCCGAGAATTACTTCCACTTACCAGAAATTGCCTTTTCCCCTTTGCTTTATATTTTCCAAATCAAGGCACTGTTTTGATGTTCTCACATCAACAAAAATGTATTCACTGCCCACGAAGATTCTGGAGGAGGCTGTTGCAGGACCAGCAGAAATTGCACCCAACTGGGATTAGAAAAAGTGAGTTCTACTCCTGGGTCTTCATTCTTCTTAGGGATCCCTGATTTAACTCCTTCATATTTCTTGACTGTTCCCTTGTAAACTGCAGTAATCTCCCTTGTTCCTTTCCAGCTCTAACTAAGAGAGGTCTTAGTCACATGGCACTGTGCTTGCTCTTTGTACAAAGCAATTAATTGAAAAGTAGAAAACAGAAATCCCTCAAATTGCCATTTTAGTGCTGAATTGAAATTTCATCCTATTAAGAGAACAACTACTGAATTCAGTCCTATATACTTGGGCATGTGGAACTATCAAAAGAGACATATGCTGACCTATCACAGAAACACCAAAAGGTTCAAGTTACTCTCTGGGGGTAACAAGGTTACTGTTTGAGTCTGTGTTAACTCTTCCAAAATACTTGTCAATAAATGTTTATTCAGGAAAAAAAAAATGTCATTTATCCAGTCCACCAGTCACAAGACTCCCAACTCTCCTCCTCTAAGTGATTGCTCTTGTTCCCTCTGAATGAATACCTGTCCCAGGGTCCTTCTAAGGCTGGTTTTTTTCTCATTGTTCCAGTCTCACCTAAATGTCAACTTCTCCAAGAGCCCTTCCCTGACCCCTTAATCTAAAGTCACTCTCTATCATGTGTTATTACTGCATTAGTTTGCCAGGGCTGCCATAACAAAGTATCACAAACTGGTTGGCTTAAGCAATGGAAATATATTGTCTCATATCCTTTCACAGTTCTGGAGACTAGAAGTCTGAAATCAGGGTATTAACAGGTTCGTTCCTTCTGATGACTCTGAGAAAGAATCTCTTCCATCCTTCTCTCCTAGCTTCTGGAGATTTGCTAACAATCTTTGGCATTCCTTGGCTTGTAGAAGCATGACCTCAGTCTCTGCCTTCATCTTCACATGGCATTCTCCTTCTCTGTAAGTCTGTCCCCAAATTTCCCCTTTTCATAAGGCCATCAGTCATACTGGATAAGGGGTCCACCCTATCCAGTATAACTTCATCTTCTCTAATTACATCTTCAGTGACCCCATTTCCAAATAAGTCATAGTCTGAGGTACTTGGGATAAGGACTTCAACATATGAATGGGGTTGGGGGTAGCACAATTCAACCTATAACAATTAAACTTTTACATTTCCTTCACAGAAGATTTCCCAAGCTTATTGTCTTTCTTTCTAAATTTTATTTAATTTTAGATTCGGGGGTACATGTGCAGGTTTGTAACACAGGTATAATACATAATGCTGAAAATTCGGTTTCTAATGATCCCATCACCCAAGTCGTGAATATAGTACCAGATAGGTAGTTTTTCAACCCTTGCCCTACTTCCCTCCCTCCCCTTTTTTAGAATCCCTAGTATGTATTGTTCCCATCCTTATGTCCCTGTGTACCCAACGTTTAGCCCCCACTTATAAATGAGAACATGAGTTATTTGGTTTTCTGTTTCTGTGTTAATTTGTTTAAGATAATGGCCTCCAGCTGCATCCATGTTGCTGCAAAGAGCGTGATGCTGAGCTTTTTTATGGCTGCATAGTATTCTGTGATGTACCACATCTTCTTTATCCAATCCACCACTGATGGGCACCTGAGTTGATTCCATGTCTTTGCTATTGTGAATAGTGCTGTAATAAACATATGAGTACAGGTGTCTTTTTGGTAGAATAATTTATTTTCCTTTGAGTATATAACCAGTAATGGGATTCCTGGCTCAAATGGTAGTTCTATTTTTAGTTTTTTGAGGAATCTCCAAATTGCTTTCCACAGTGGCTGAACTAATTTGCATTCCCACCAAGAGTATATAAGCATTCCTTTTTCTCTGCAACCTCACCAGCATCTGTTATTTTTTGACTTTTTAATAATAACCATTCTGAATGATGTGAGATGGCATCTCATTGTGGTTTTAACTTGTATTTCTCTGATGATTAGTAATGTTGAGCATTTTTTCATATATTTTCTGGCCACTACATATATATCTTTTGAGAAGTATCTGTTCATGTCCTTTGCTCACTTTGTAATGGGGTTATTTGGTTTTTGCTTGTGGATCTGTTTAAGTTCCTTACAGATTCTGGATATTAGTCCTTTTACAGATGTGTACTTTGCAGATATTTTCTCTCATTCTGTAGGTTGTCTGTTTACACTGCTGATAGTTTCTTTTGCTGGGCAGAAGCTCTTTAATTAGGTCCCACTTGTCAATTTCTCTTTTTGTTGCATCTGCTTTTGAGAACTTAGTCATAAATTATTTGCCTAGGCCAATATCTAGAAGAGTACTTCCTACATTTTCTTCTAGGATTTTTATAATTTGAGATTGTGACATCCATCTTGAATCTTTAATCCATCTTGAGTTAATTTTTATATACAGTGAGAAGTAGCAGTCCAGTTTCACTCTTGTGCATATGGCTAGCCAGTTTTCCCAGCACAATTTATTGAATAGAATATCCTTTCTCCATTGTTTATTTTTGTTGGCTTTGTTGACGATCCACTTGGCTGTAGATGTGTGGCTTTATTTCTGGGGTCTCTAATCTGTTCCATTTGTCTACTGACTACTGATTTCTGTATATTAATTATGTTACTAGCTACTTTGCAAATTTCCTCATTGGTATATAATAATTCTGGAGCTTTAAAAAATATTAGCCATCACATTAATATATAGATTTATAGAAAATTAATTAGGATATTTGGATTCATTCATTCACAAATATTTATTGAGTATACACTATATGTCAGGAAATCTTCAAGGCTCTAGATATCAGGCCATCATTAGCTTGGGAGGTATTTTTTAAGAATTCACTTCCTTAAGATATTTTACTTATATCTGTTTGGAAATCATTGTATATCCTGATTTTATTGAAAGAGAGTGTTGTACTGCCTTTGCTGAATAATTTTGGCAATAAACATGCACATCTATGATGTCTGTGATTTGAATCACATCCTCTTGAATTGTGCTGCCATCATGTAGCGTACAATCTGCACAAATGCAGCAGCCATGGAAACTGGTGAGTAAGATGGTAAAGAATTCTGCTGTCTTGCAGCTTACCTTCGGCTAAGGAAACAGAGTTTTCACCATCACAATGAGCTTATAGGGCTAATGGAGGGTATTCCTAAAATCATCATTATTTTTGTCTCCTGCTATCTCTTTAAACCTTGTTAGTAGAAGTCATCCTTCCCTTGACTTTTCCATGAAAACTCTAGCAGTCCTATGATCTTTCTTTTGATTCTTAAGTAATAATAAACTACACCTAGGAATAAACTTACAAGGGATGGGAAGGACATCTTCAAGGAGAACTACAAACCACTGCTCAAGGAAATAAGAGAGAACACAAACAAATGGAAAAACATTCCATCCTTATGGCTAGGAAGAACCAATATGGTGAAAATGGCCATATTGCCCACACTAATTTATAGATTCAGTGCTATCCCCATCAAGCTACCATCATTGACTTTCTTCACAGAATTGGAAAAAACTACATTAAATTTCATATGGAACCAAAAAAGAGGCCATATAGCCCAGACAATCCTAAGCAAAAAGAACAAAGCTGGGGCATCATGCTACCTGACTTCAAACTATACTAGAAGGCTACAGTAACCAAAATAGCATGGTACTGGTACCAAAACAGATATATAGACCAATGGAGCAGAACAAAGGCCTCAGAAATAATGCCACACATCTACAACCACCTGATCTTTGACAAACCTGATAAAAACAAGCAATGGGGAAAGGATTCCCTATTTAATAAATGGTGTTGGGAAAACTGGCTAGCCATATGCAGAAAACTGAAACTGGACCCCTTCCTTACACCTTATACAAAAATTAACTCAAGATAGATTAAAGACTTAAATGTAAGACCTAAAACCATAAAAACCCTAGAAGAAAACCTAGTTAACACCATTCAGGACATAGGCATTGGCAAAGACTTCGTGACTAAAACACCAAAAGCAATAGCAAAAAAACCCAAAATTGACAAATGGGACCTAATTAAACTAAAGAGCTTCTGCACAGCAAAAGAAACTACCATCAGAGTGAATAGGCAACCTACAGAATGGGAGAAAAATTTTGCAATCTATCCATCTGACAAAGGGCTAATCTCCAGAATCTACAAGGAACTTAAACAAATTTACAAGAAAAAACAAACAACCCCATCAAAAAGTGAGTGAAGGATATGAACAGATACTTCTCAAAAGAAGACATTTATGTGGCCAAAAAACAAATGAAAAAAAGCTCATCATCACTGGTCATTAGAGAAATGCATATCAAAACCACAATGAGATACCATCTCACGCCAGTTAGAATGGCGATCATTAAAAAGTCAGGAAACAACGGATGCTGGAGAGGATGTGGAGAAATAGGAATTCTTTCACACTGTTGGTGGGAGAGTAAATTAGTTCAACCACTGTGGAAGACAGTGTGGCGATTCCTCAAGGATCTAGAACTAGAAATACCATTTGACCCAGCAATCCCATTACTGGGTATATACCCAAAGAATTATAAATCATTCTACTATAAAGACACATGCACAGGTATATTTATTATAGCACTATTCACAATAGCAAAGACTTGGTACCAACCCAAACGCTCATCAATGATAGACTGGGTAGAGAAAATGTGGCACATATACAATAGCAAAGACTTGGTACCAACCCAAATGCCCATCAGTGATAGACTGGATAAAGAAAAGTAGCACATATACATCATGGAATACTATGCAGCCATAAAAAAGATGAGTTCATGTCCTTTGTTGGGACATGGATGAAGCTGGAAACCATCATTCTCAGCAAACTAACACAGGATCAGAAAACCAAACACTGCATGTTCTCACTCATAAGTGGGAGTTGAACAATGAGAACACATGGACACAGGGAGGGGAACATCACACACTGGGGCCTGTCGGGGGGTGGGGTGCTAGGGGAGGGATAGCATTAGGAGAAATACCGAATGTAGATGATGGGTTGATGGGTGCAGCAAACCACCATGGCACGTGTATACCTGTGTAACAAACCTGCACGTTCTGCACATGTATCCCAGAACTTAAAGCATAAAATAAATCAATAAATGAATGAATAAATTAAATTAAATTAAATTAAAAAAGGAAAGTGCAGGAGCACTCACTTCCCCTGCCCCTCCCTGCTAGCATACTCATGAATGGGCAAGGGTCATTCATGGCGAGAAAAGACTACCCTACGGTGGCACTACAAGGGAATTCTAAAACATTGCCTCACTGTTGCCCTAAAAGTCACTTAGCTGGAACGTTATGATTCAAGTCTTAGCTCAAATGTTATGCCCTCAGAGAAGGTATGCCTAACTACCCCCATCTAATGCCCCACACTCCACAATCACTTCCTATTGTTTTGCAATCTTTAAGATGTTCTCCATAGGCCTAATTCCTGTAAATTATATTTGTTTACTTGCTTACAGTCTGTATCTTTCAGGGAGAATGAAAGCAGAACACTATATTCCCAACATCTAGAATGGTTCCTGGAGCACTTATGATACTCAATACATTTTTAAATTAATTTGTACCTTCTTACTCCTTTGAAAGTTATCATGGCTTCAGGGTTATTTCTTCTAGTTCATCTGTTTCAATGGTATTACCCTCAGCTTACTTAATATTTGTTGGACACCTAATATGTATCTGACACTGTTCTAGACGCTTAGGATACAGTAGAGAAAAACAAATCTCTGCCTTGATGAAGTTTCTATATTACTGCAAAGAGTTCTTAATAAACAAATGAATAAATATATACCCTGTTAGACATATGAGCGCTGTGAGGGGGAAATTAAAGCAAGATAAGAGAGTAGAAAGTGATGGGCTGGTGGACACAAAGCCCTGATGGAAGATCATGGAATATCTGAAGGATTGAGGGAAAGAGCCAAACAGGTAACTGACAGAAGAGCACTGCAGGCAGCCACATGTCAAAGCCCTGAGGAGGAGCATGCTTTGGGGCCCAAGGTGGACAAGACACGAGGTCAGGAGATTGAGACCATCCTGGCTAACATGGTGAAACCCCATCTCTACTGAAAATACAAAAAATTAGCCAGGCATGGTGGCAGTCGCCTGTAGTCCCAGCTACTTTGGAGGCTGAGGCAGGAGAATGGTGTGAACCCGGGAGGTGGAGCTTGCAGTGAGCTGAGATCATGCCACTGCACTCCAGCCTGGGCAGCAGAACAAGACTCTGTCTCAAAAACAAACAAACAAACAAAAAGAAACTAGGAACTAATGTGGCAGGCAGAGAGTGAATAAGGTAGAGACTGGTGGGAAATGAGGTAGGTAAGAAGGTAACTGGGGACTAAATCTGGTGGACCCCTGTGGACCCTGGTAAGGACTTGGGCTTTTATTCTTAGTGAGATGAGGAATCATCCTGAGGGTTCTGGAGTAGAATGATCTCTCTTTTTGAAAGTAAACTGAGGCTGCCAAGTGTGGTAACAGACCATGGCTTAGTGGGAGTAGAAGTGGAGGTGAGAATAAAGGACAGAGGCCATACTGGCTCTATTGCAATAGCACAGGTGAGAAATAATGCTGGCTTGGACTAGGAAATAGGGGAGAAAGTATTTGGGTACATCTTTTGAAGAAAGAGTCAATGGAATTTACAGAAAGATTCAATGAGGGATATAAAAGCAAATATCAAGGTCCAGATTTCAGTTCTTTCCTCTAACCTTTCTGCTTTAAGTTCCTCTAGTGAATTCCTAATTATATCTCCTTGACAAGCTAC
This sequence comes from Homo sapiens, assembly GCF_000001405.40. Classification (NCBI taxonomy): domain Eukaryota; kingdom Metazoa; phylum Chordata; class Mammalia; order Primates; family Hominidae; genus Homo; species Homo sapiens. Next base: position 82,160,628 of record NC_000009.12, on the reverse strand, counting down.
TAACCTCACCTGGGTCTTCCTCCACAGGGCAGGGCCTGGTTCCCACTCTGGATCCCCTTCATGATCATGCAACTAGCTGAAAAGCACTTGCTCCATACATAGTTATCATGAGGAGCCCTTATCTGCCTCTCCTGCTTTATCTTACCAATCTCTATTATCACCCTGCACTCAAATCAAAATATCCTGCCTCTGAAACATTCAAATCCCATCTGTTCCATAAAGCTCACTTGGTCTAATCTCTATGTCCTTTAAAATTTATAGAAATTGTAAAATTCATCAGGAAAGCAATTATGTTTTGCATTGTGACATGTCTTCTTGTCAATTTAAATGTTTTATTATTCCTTAATATTTCATGCAATCTTATATCATTAATGAAAATATAACTTCTTCATGGGCAGAAAAATCTACCTTATATTCCTTTATATTCTCTTATCACATAGCATTTACTGACACATAGTGCCCTGTATTTAGTAGATGATGAATAAAAACGAACTCATATGATTATATAAACTTGATTATATTCTGGCTCTAGTTTCTCCCTCCATTTCCTCACCTTCCATCTCCTTATTGTTCCCACATAACCAATCACACAGCCCCTCAAATGTGTCTGTTTTAGCTGAAAACATGGTTAATAAAGGGAAGAAATGTAATATATAACTAGAAGGATAAGCTGCAGTTTTATCTTGGGGTCTACAATGCAAGACTAGAGACCTAACACTTAATTTGGTAGGCAAATGTAAATTTTTAAACGTTTTTGAACAAGGAGATGCCATGACAATAGCCATGTTTTAGTAAAGAAGGTTAATGTACCTACCTGTATATTATGGATTCTAAGGGAAATAGGTGAGTGAGTGCTGACATTCCTGATCTAACTACTGAGCGGGTTCATGTGAGAAGTATTAAAGGTCAGAAATAAAGCACTGGCTGGCAAAGAAATGTGAAGTATGCAGTAGAAGGGGGTTAGATATCATGACTGAAAAAGAGGAGTTACATGTGAGAGGTTTTAATGTTCAGTTCCTGGGAAAAACAATTATTACATCATTAATAGAAACAGTGAAGTCAAGGAAAAGTCAATTGCAGAAAGAGCACAGTGAATTATTTTCAACATTCTGAATTTGAGATGGCATCATTTATCCACATAGAGCCACCTTGGAGGCAATTGGAGATTAAGGGTTATAAGTTAAAAGAAATGTCTGTAATAGAGATAGAGTTTTATGAGAGACAACGGTTTGCAAAAGCACAACCTTCAGCTTTCCCCAATTTAGCCTGTTTTCCTGACTTAGACAAATCCAGCTGCCACAGCTTAAATTATCTCCAACAACTAGCTTGTAACAGGGATATTCAAGAGACAGAGGGATAAAGGATTAGAAAGAAGGTCCTGCTGTGGCTGAAGCTGCGATTACAAGCTGGACTCCTGCTCTCATGTGAACATCTTTCCTTAATTTACTCAAATTCTTCCCTCATTATGTTATTGGGATATCAAGTCTGGCCAGTGAATTTCTCTCAAATACATTCTGTACCAGTAAATTTCATAGTAATAATATACTAAATATGATAACTAACATGAATTACAGTCATAATGCCTTTTCAGAATTCATGCTGCTGTTTATGTTTAAGTTGTGATATTATTGACTTGCCTTAGTCAACCACACACCATACATGATTTCTAGAAACTGCACTCTCCAGAAAGCCTGGTGCCATTCCATATAGATCACGCACTGCATTTACAGTCAACTCTCCCAGTTGATAGAAGCATGAATCCAAACATGAACTCAGCAAACCTAAGGGAGTGGTTTTGCTGAATTGCATCAATATCTATTGGAAGCAATGGTGAATGAATCATAAAACAGCAAAGGAGTATGGATGTATTTAAAAAGGATTGAAAAAGAACACAAGTGTGATTTCTATTGAGTCTCAAAAGGTAAACCTCTAACTTATAGGCAGGAAATCCAAGAAGAAAAGTACTACCTATAACCCTAGACAAATAGAAAAAGGAATAACAAAAATTACAGCAGAAAGACCAAACCAATCATTATGAGAACAACCAAGTTTACAGTTTATGTGAGGAATTTATACAGAAAATTGACAGTGGGAAAGTGCAGAGATAGACTCTCTGAATGGGTTTCAAGTTCTGAGAACTGACTGAAATTGACAATGAAGAATTTCATGCACTTTTCTCTAGGTTTGTATCTCTTGTAACTGCACATACAAATAAATAATCACTCAATGTACACACAAAAGTTCCTTACTTGAAGGCAAATGAATTATGCAATTATAAAATTATTTCAATATTACATCTGTAAAAGAAGCTTTAGAAACCAACAGTTTCAAAAGAGACTCCAGATGAAATGTAATGTGCTAATTTGGGAAGCTGCAACTTTAAACACTAGGAATGTAAGCATATCAAAAGAAAAAAAGGTTAAGTGTAGGTTAATATCTCTTAAATTCCATTTTTATTACTTTGTCCGTATAACACATATAATGATTTCAAATCAATATTTAACTATTCGGTTGTCATAAATTTCTTAGGCACCAGGAGAGAAAAAGAATAGGAGGAAGAAAACAAAACAGTTCTATAGGGAATAAAGCACTGATTTAAATGTTAATGTTTGTTAGAGAAACACTAACATTGTCTTTGGGGTAGGTGTGTGTGTGTGCACAAGTGAACTCATGCTCACGTGTGCATGAGTGCTTTGGCAGGGGAAAGGTATTCTCACTACCTCAGACATTGTGTGAAAAACCAAAATCAGATCTAATGAAGCAATGGGGACGCAAATAATTAGTGTTTGATAATGCTAAGTAAAAGGATTCTGACTCTCTGAATAAGGTGTAGAAAAATAAACAGAAATGAAACAAAATCTAAAATGAAAACTTCTACGAGTTACTGGGTATATCTTTGTGGAGGCTGAACATTTGACAGCAATAAACAACTCTAAGAAAAGAGTGCCATTCTTAGTCTGTGTGAATGGCTCTCCCTGGAATTATTCTGTGAACAACCTGTGTGGCCATAAGTGGCTACCCTACTTGGTGTAGCTATGCCCAAAGATTTATTTTTTTCTGTCAAGAGTTCTTTTTTGTTTGTTTGTTTGTTTGTTGTTTTTTGTTTTTTTTTTTTGAAATGGAGTCTTGCTCTGTCACCCAGGCTGGAGTGCAGTGGTGCAATCTCAGCTTACTGCAACCTCCACCTCCCTGGTTCAAGTGATCTTCCTGCCTCAGCCTCCTGTGTGGCCCCGGGAAAAGGGCCCATGAAGGAATTACAAGCATGCACCACAACGCCTGGCTAATTTTTTTGTATTTTTAGTAGAGACAGGTTTCACTATGTTGGCCAGGCTGGTCTCAAACTCCTGATCTCAAGTGATCCACCCACCTCGGCCTCCCAAAAGTGCTGAGATTACAGGTGTAAGCCACCATGTCCGGCCTCTGTCAATAATTATTAAGTCTCAAATTACTCAGGTGCCAACTGTGGTTCAAATAATAGGCAAAGCTTTAAAAGATTTCTTGGCTATACACATGCACCCTTAGATCTCCAAATTTCAAAGAGCCTGGGATGAAATATGTACAGGTCTGTTTGCATTGCTATAAAGGAATACATCAGACTAGGTAATTTATAAAGAGGTTTATTTTGGCTTATGCTTCTGCAGGCTGTATAGGAAGTGTGGTGTCAGCAACTGTTTTGGGTGAGGGCCTCAGGAAACTTACAATCATGGCAGAAGGTAAAGGAGGAACCAGCATATTACATGGTGGGAGGGAGCAAGAAAGAGAGGTGTCAGGCTCCTTTTTAAACAGCCAGCTCTGTTGTGAACTAATAGAGTGAGAACTAACTCATTACCATGAGGACAGGATCAAGCCATTCATGAGGGATCTGCCCCCATGACCCAAACACCTCCTATTAGTCCCTATCTCCAACATTAGGGATCACATTTCCACAGAAGATTTGCAGGGGACACACATCCAAACCATAACAAAATGATAACATTTACTGGAAAAAAATTAGGTGTATTTCCCTCCTCTACAGGTAGATTTTATTAATATGACCTCCCTCTAACTAAAAGCAAAGGACAACACAATAAAATATCAAACTTTAAAAGTTGGGCTAAATAACGTTTCTATTTACATTTCTTTCTCAGGTAAGAAATAAATCATTCTTATTTCTTCTGTCTTTCTGTAAGTTACAGTTGTGATCTTTAGAGATTGAGAAAAATTAAGTCAGCCTTTAACAATTTTCAGATAGAATATTTTACTTAAAAAATAGGTAAGAAATAATTATAAAAGTTACTTTGAGACCATTCAATCATTTCAAGAGCCAACATGTAGTTATCAGATGGTATTAAACATTGGTCATTATGAAAGTGACTGTGGTTCAAACTTGTGACCTAAATCTCAAAGCTTACCCTAAATTAACTCTCAAAATAATACATATATGTGACCCTCTCACTGCTGCCAAATATCACTACGGTTTTGAAGTATTCAAATCTTCAAAAGAATCTCATTTATTTAAATGCCTTTAAATTCAGGGCAGCTGTAAAAAGCATTGATAAACTCGAAGCTAATATATTGTTTTCAAGATTTAGTGTGGGCTAATTTTTGGTAATCATATGCAACCATTCTTAAAGCAACCAAAATATCTTTGAAATAATTAGTTATCGCTTAATACTTAAAGCCTGCTTTATCTAATTTAAATTCTAGATTAAATCTATTTAAAGCAATTTAATGGTTTACTTTTTAAATTATTGAGTCAAAAATATGCAAAAGAAATGTTGTAATAATTCCCACCAGTGCTATCAAATCTACTAATAGAGCAATAAGTATTGTATTATTTTTAATTATACCATCACCTTTCTCCCCCGAGAATAAGAAGCATGAGTGAATGTTTACTAAATGAAATTCAAGAAGGCCTCAGGAAAAGGCCACTTTAGAACTGGGTATCTCACAAATTCAAGTTGGTTTTCTAGCACAAATTTAACATCAATACCATTCATACCAAACAAATATCAAGTCTATAATATGGAGGGAGATCTTATTGCAGAGAACCAAAGAATACCACATTTATTCTGCCTTTCAAAGAACTGTCACTGTAATTGCTGTAACTATAGCCTGGTTTTGTGGTAGAACTTATGCCATAATTTGATTCTAAAGAAAAGGCTCAAAGTACCCAGAATTTCCACATACTCTCTCCTGCTTTCTGTAATTAGGAAATCTAGACATTTTCCTGAATTTAATGAAGCAAACTTTAAGGCTGAGTGAAGTAGAATCAGAGCTGTCACGTGCCCCAGTGAGTTAAATTCTTGACCACAGGAAGTGCCTCAATTCTGTATTCCTGGCTCTTGCCTCCAAACTACTTGTCTCCATTTCTAACAGTGACTGTAAAAACAAGGGGTGAAATGTTCCATTCTGACATTCAGAATAATGCTTCTGCAGTTTCCATGTCCCCAGGAAAAGGGCCCATGAAGGTAGCAACGTTATCTATCTTGTTCATTGTTCTGAAACTGGCACTATTTCCAGCATAGAAAAGGTCTCAGTAAATATATGCTAACTGATTGATTCCTAAAGCCTCCAGACAATTCATTCTTGAGTTCAACTTCCATTATTGCTGTAGAAGAGAATACTATTTTCAGGATGTGGCATAACATGCTTTAATGCATAAACAGATTTTTTAATGAATGAACAGCTTCAGGGGAGAGACATGAGAAACCAGTGCTTATATATTTCTCAAATATGTGATGCAAAAGAAAATCTCTATTATGCTTAAGACCAAATCATCCCCTTTCCTCTCTCCAACCCCTGTTCCTCTAATCATCATCTCATCTCATGACAACACACCTACCCAGTCATCTAAGATAGAAATGTCAGAAACCTTTGATTTCTTCTATTTGACCACTGGAACTATCATTAGTTACTATGTCATGGAAATTCTTTTTCTTCATATCCTTCTTGAAACTACTCCCCAACCTCAACTACCATAGCCAGTACAAACTCTTACCTGAAATATAGGTCAGCCCTTCCTTCTTCCTGCGTATATTATTCCGTTGAAAAAGGAAATTACATGAGTCTGAGAGAAGTTTATTTTTTACAAAGCCAGTGGAGTTATTACATAGTTTTTATTTTCAAATTGTATTCTGTGATATTTTTCAACATATTCTTAAATTTAAAGGGTAAACTTACAGGCATAAAAACTGAATCTACTTTTTTGCATCTTTCAAATAATCTATTTTTAAAATATTTTCCACATTGCTTCCAAATCTAGAGAATTATTCCAGGAAGAGAATTCCAGGTTAAAATGAGTTACTTCTATAACCCCTCTTCCAAAAAATTCTGTGTATTACACATGTGTATGTTTTAAGTTCATGGACCCATGATTTACAGAAATGGTTTCAACAGTTTTATTTAGATATTATTGACAGATAATATATGCCATGTATTTAAAGTGTACAGTTTGATAAGATTGGGAATATGTACATACATGTGAAACAATCATGACAAGCAGGGTAATTAACATATCCATTATTCTTAAAAGTTTCTCATATTCCCTTATAATTTCTCCTTCATGTGTCCTACATCTTGAGAATCATCATTTCACATATTTTGTCTGAGTGGGTTTTTTCTTGGTTATTTTAGGCAGTAGAGTAAATGTAGTCCCTGTCTCTCCATCTTTTGCAGAAGTCCCTCAGTTAATATTTTTACTATATAATTTCAGTTACTTTCTTAGTGACTAATGTAAGGATTACAATATGCATTTTAAGTAATCATAATCTATTTGAAACTTAAACCAGCTTAATTCTGGTAAAATATAGAAACTGTCCTGTATCCTCTCTTTGTGCCATTATTGTAATATATATTACATCTATGTTATAAACTCAACAATAGTTACAATTATTATATATATAATATCTTATATATTTATATATTATATATAATTTATATATTATAATACCTTTATATATTATAACACCTTTTTAAAAATTTAAGAGAAAAATATTTATGTAATCTTTTATATTTATCCATATATTTAGCTATTTCCAGTGCTCTTTATTCTTGTAAATAAATACATGAATTTCAGTTGCTATCTAGTGATTTTCAGACTAAAAGATTTTCTTTAGTATTTCTTGTAAGACAAATCTGTTAGTAAAAAATTATTTCAGCCTTTGTTTATGTGAGAATGTCTTTTTTCACTTTCATTTCTGAAAAAGTTTTCCTAGAATAGAGAATTCTTAGTTGAGAGTTATTTTATTTTCTTTCAGCATTTTGAATATGTATTTTGCTGCCTTCTGTCATTCATTATTTCTGATAAGAAATTAATTGTTAATCTTATTGAGGTTCTCCTGTACTTGGTGAGTATTTTTGTTCTTGCTGCTTTCAAGACTCCTTCTATCTTCATGTTTCAGTTTGACTATGACATGACTATGTGTGAATCTTTCTATTTATCCTACTTGGGGTTTGTTGAGATTCTTGAATCTGTAGAGTCATGTTTTTCATTACATTTTGGAAGTTTTCTGTCATTACTCCTAAAAATGTTCTATTTCATTCTTTCTCTCTTATCCATCTGAGAATTCCATTACATGTATACTGATAAACTTGCTATTGACCTAGAGGTCTCCAAGGCTCTGTTCATTATTCTTCAATCTTTATTCTCTCCATTCTTCAAACTAGATAATTTCAACTGATTTATTTGAAGTTTTCTGGTTTGTTTTTTTTTTTCAAATCTTCTACTGAGCTCCTTCAATAAATCTTTCTTTATTGTACTTTCAACTCCAGAATTTTCCATATATTTATTTTTGACACTTTGTATCTCTCTTTATTAATATACTCTAATTGCTAAGTAGTTGTCATCATACTTCTCCTTTAGTTGTTAAAACATGGCTTCCTTTAGTTCTTTGAACACATTTAAAATAGCTTCTTTGAAATCCTCTGTTAAATCCAAAATCTGGACCCACTCGGTTTCTGTTGACTGCTTTTTTCCCCTAGGTATGTTTTGCCTTGTCCTGTTGCTTTGTATGTTTTATTATTTTTATTGAAAATTTGATATTTTAGATAATATATTATAGTAATTCTAGATTCTTATATTTTCCCCAAGAGTTAGAGTTGCTGTGTTTTTGTTTTAGAAACTTATCACTGTAAATCTGTAGAATTGTTTCCCCTATGACATGTGGCCCCTGGTGTGTCTGCTCAGTAATTTAAGTCTTGTTTTTATTTTTAAGCTTGGCTTTCTTGAGGTCATCCCTGTGTCTGTTTAGCTTAATAGTCAGCCAATGATTCATCAGTGGTTTTAATCAAACTCTTTGAACCAATAAACCTTATACTGTTAATCACTGGATCTGTGTGTGGGTTCATTCAAAGTTTAAGAACTTTCAGTCTTGCTCCAGCATTTATTTTCTGCTGGGTTCTTGTGGATCAACTCTACAGGTATATAGCCTCCCAATTAGCCAAGGATACGTAGACAGATTGAGCTCTTGATGGTCTCCCATCTACATATACAATGTAGTTAGAAGAAGGTACAGAAAAAGTATCCATCCCCTCTAAGTCTGTCTTATAGCTAGGATCTCCCTGTTTTATTTCTAATTGGCTCGTTGGTCTGGTGCTTGCTCAAACTGGGTTGACAGCTCAGATGAGAAGTTGCTAGCTTTCCTGATATGCTTGCTTCCAAGATCAGTACTTTTACTGAGAATGCTTTTGAAAGTGAGTTTTTCATATTTTGTACAAAATCAAGTGAATCTGTTCTGGCAACAAAGCTTCTGGTTTTCATAGCTTGCCACACACAGTAGAACTACCCTACTAATCAAGCTGGCAAGAAGGGAATAAGGTCCAGTCAATAACGTGATAGATTCCCAATGTTTTTATCTGGAGTTCAGTAGTTTTTCATAAGCAAATGCTTTTCAATTTGTTTTTTACTTTGATTGATTTCAAGGGCCATGTTTTGGGGAAAGAGGACTTGCCTCCCTCCTCATTCTACAATAAAGAAGTTGGGCTTCTTGACTGATTTTTCTATTCCTTATGGATCAATTTTCCTGCTTCTTTGCATGTTCAGTAACTTTTAATTGAAAGCCAAACATTGTGAATTTTACATTCTTAGGTGCTAGATGACTGTATATCCCTATACATATTCTTGAGCTTTGGTCTGAAACACAGTTGATTGGAAATAATTTGTTCCTTTTGTGTCTTTCTTTTAAGCTTTGGTAGGTGGGAACAGGGCAATGTTTTAGGCTACAGCTAATTTTGTCACATTACTGAGTTTAAAGTCTTCTGAACACTCCACCTGATGACTTTCTCCTGTCAGCTGTTCTACTCTAGCTGGTAAGAACAGGAACTATTCCCAGCCTGTGTGTGTTCTGGTGATTATTCCTTCTAATGCTCTCAGCTGGTTCTTTCCATGGCGTCAGGAAGTTTCCCTAATAGCATGTACTGATCATTATTCAGCTAAAGCTTCAAGGGAGACCTCTGCAGATCTCTAAAGTTCTTTCTCTATGCAGATCTCTCCTCTATGGTCCCTTGCCTGACAAACTCTAGCTACTTTCATCTCCCCAGATTCCCAGCTTTGTCTCCTTAACTCAGGAAAACAACTCCACATGAGTTCCCCCTCACATGCTACAATCTGGAAACTCTCTCCAGGCAATAGGCTAGGGTAATCATATGGCTCTTTTCATCTGCTTCCCATCTCTTAGGAAATTGTCTTTTATTGCTTGATGTTCAGTATCTTGAAACCATTGTTCCATATATTTCATCTGTTATTTTGTTAAGCTGATTCAGGTGGGAGGGAAAATCTGATGCCTGTTATCCCTTCTTTCTCAGAAGTCAGGAATGCTTATTTTGATCAAGGGAACACATTTACTTGAGTCTGTTGATTTTTTTCCCTTAATTTGTTTTTCTATCATCCTCCTGTAAACCATTCATGTTAATTGTCACTTGACCCAATCTTAATCATGCAACATGTATTTTTTTAATACTTACTATAGCCAGCCACTGCCCTAAGTACTGAGGATATAGACACAAATTAAAATACAACCACATGCTGAAGGAATCTGTGGCCAGAATCACCGTCCTAGTTTCTCAGTGTTGGGTCATTCAGATGAGCACTCTCTTCTTCCCTCACCCAGCTCCACACACCTTTACCCTACCTACTAGTCCTGTTGCTTCACACTCTGCATTGCATGTTCCTAATTCATTTAGGTAAAGAGAATATTTTTAAAGCCTCATACACCTTTTCCTTTATGCCATCTCTCTCTAATAAAAAGAAAACGTTTCATCTCTCTGTTATGCAGGCCTATATTTATTATGTTTTTCTCTTATTACATTAATTTTATTTGAGCAAAAGAACAACAATCATGTTTAAGCTTACGATGGGAAACAACACAGCAAGATTCCATAAATAGAGTTTAATTGCAGTAATTACTTACGTTAATTATATATCAACTGATTATTTTTAAGACATATTTATTGAGCACCATCAGCTTTCAGAAGTACCCATCATTCTCCCACTATATTTTTCAGATTTTCTACCCATGCTCAGAATAATCAACTATCATCTGACACATGATATAATAAGTACCTAATGAAATCCCAATTAAAATTGTATTTGAGACGCTTAATTTTAGAGATAAATTAGCAATAATTACATGATTCAAGAATCCACATCAGACAGGAAAGACACAACTATATCTTGACTAACTGGAAAGGACAAGCACAGATGAAGCCTTTTAATGTGCTTTCCAAAACCTGTTACAAAACATTATTGTACCTCAGCAGATGGTACCAAGAGATGTCTTTTTATTTTTTTAAAAATAGACAGTTTCCTTTCATACGCTGACTTGAGTGATTTTAGTCCTCATTATTACTGTCATCTGTTAGAGACAGAAAAAAAAGCAGGAGGGAGCATGTTATTTTCCATAAGGCAAGAACATCAGTATGGAGCCAGCCTTTGAGCATACTAAGTTTAATTTACTGAGCCGCAATACGCAGGAGAATGCACGGACTGGCTCTTAGCTGTTCATTTCAAACAACTTATCTTCATTTGGAGCTGAGACACTTGGTGCTTGCTGAGTACCATGCTTCCTCTCCTTCTCCTCCCTCTACCCAACCCCCAGCTAATTTTTTCCCTCTTTAGATTTAATGAATTCTGGAACCAATCAAAAGCAGGCTGTTAGGAGACACTAGACAAGTAAAAGCTTTAATACCATCTCTTTCAGAGTTCAAAAGGTCGCTTCCCCACACTAGAATAGCAAAAAATATATTTATTCCCTCTGAGGGAGCTATTTAGTCTCCAAGGGGAGGAGAAAACTGCCCCACTAAGTCCACCAAGGCTGTGCTCAGAGCTTCCTCTTCTTGCCCTGCAATATCTTTGTTCAGAGGACAACAGGCTCATTTACAACCTCACTTGGAGAAACTGTTAGCCGTACGTTTCCAATCTATATAATTTGCTGCTAAAGAACACAATAGTGTCTAATAGAAAACAGCTGTTACAAAATCCACTCTTTCTGGCAGGAGCGGTTCCTAACGTAGGATTTTAATTTTATCTCCTGATTGATAACACCCCATTAGCCATATCCAGATTCCTAACTGCAAAATGACGCATGGGCACTATTTTAAGCTCCCTCCCAGATGGATATCATTATGCTTGCTTGTCCCTCTGAACAGAAAGTCCACAGTTTGGGCGGTGTAATATGATACAGGCACTTATAACCACCCTGACACACGAAATGGGAAATACTGGTCACTGCCCATCCAGAGTGTTAAAAATGCATAGATAAGGTGGAGAGATGTAAATAGAAAAGATAATAGGTGTTATGTATTATAATAATCCACAGACAGACATAAAACCAAAAGTAATTTGCATTTCATATTTACCAAGAAATATTTTCCTTTGCTCTTTTGGACTTTTACTATTTATAGGAGAGGCACAGGGAGAGTCTTCTTTCACTAGTCACATAAGATTTTATTTGGGAATGGCTAAATTTGTAGGGAAGATGTCAACTTAGAAGATTAGGATTAATCATTATTGAATCAGGTCTCCACAAGTTCATGGCAGAAGTTAAACAATTACTCTACAAGAAGGGAGGAGCACTTTGACACAGCAACCTGGCTATAAAAGTACGAGGGGTCTGAGAAGGTCTCCTAGAGAAAGTGATACTTAGGTGAAAGGTGAAAACCAAAACTGAGTATGCCTAGTTATATTTAGGAAAAAATTCAGTTTTGAGGCATGACAAAGATCAACACACTGCAGTGAGTGTGTTGGACAATGTGTAGAATCTTCATCAAGATTCAGCTGGAAAATATTCAAGAAAAAATAAATTTCAGTGGATTGGCAGCAGGAAGAAGGCAAAGGAAGGATCTATGCCCAAGTTCTTGAAATTCTCATAAAATTGGTGACTGATTCATCATGCTTTCTGGAATAACTTTAATTATACATCTAAAACCATCCTTTACAACCACAGTCATGACAGAAAGGCACAGAACCATACACCAGCCTTAATGAGATCTATTTATAGCATCTCAACATTTATTTTGTAATGGCTTCAAAGCCCAAAATCGAGGTAGATTTCTCTGTGGAGCTCTTCAACCTCAGGGCTGAAATGCTATATTCATAAGAGGGCACTGTGGTGCATTTAAGGGGATAGGAGCTGGAGAAAATTTCCAGGTTGCATGAGATATTCAAGTTCCTACATAGTTTGTGCAATATTTCTTTGCCAGTAACAAACCTCTTGAACAACCTTGTTTCCTCAGTGTAAACTAGAACACTGATAAAGCAATATCCACTCACTGCAGTGTGTTGATCTTTGTCATGCCTCAAAACTGAATTTTTTCCTAAATACAACTCGGCATACTCAGTTTTGGTTTTCACCTTTCACCTAAGTATCACTTTCTCTGGGAGACCTTCTCAGACCCCTGGAATAGGTTGAGTTCCCCATGGTGTATTTCCCTGGCACCTTATACTACACCATTACTCATCACATTTAAAACTCAGTGTACTCATCACATTTAAATTTTAATGTCCGTCTACAGTAATTCACCTTTTAGTTAACCTATGAATCCATATTGTGGATAATGAACTGAATTCTGTCTAAGTACACCCTCCAATTCAATATTCAAGATCTCTTGGAATTTGGAGACCTCATGTTAGGACCCATGATCTGATCTTATAAATCCCTTGGTTTATGAATGAAGAAATAAGCATAATCTATGCTAATATATCCAATTTGAGGCAGGCTTAGACTAAGACTCAGGTTTTATGGTTCAACACAAGGGAATTCTACTAGGTGTGGAGATCATTAACCCATTACAAGAATCTGACCCACGTTTCCTCCTTTTTCTTAGCACCAGCCAATCATCCCATCTTGCAGTCAGCCTGGCTCAAATAGGAATTTATCAAACTGAAGGACAGACTCTGATTCTATGCTATAACTGAAATCCATAGCATCTGCTAAATACTCTGCTAAGTCCACATCCCTCAAACACCCTGCCTCTGTTTCCCCAAGCCATCCATGTTCGTTCTTCCCCCAGTTTATCACACACTTGCCCTTTTGCCCTTGCAAAGGCTCTCCTCTCCCAGCTCAGACATCTTATATTATCCCCAAACGGTAGCAGCAGGCCTCAGCTAACAATCTTGTGACCTGCAGATTCCCATGATACTGAGTTTAAAAGCTAGATTAGCCACTCTGCCACTCCTACCTATCAATTATCTTTTTTTTTTCCAGTTTCAATAACATGTTAGATGAAAGGGAGTAGCAATACTAGTACTCTTTCCTACTCGGAGAGCATCCACTATTATGCATGTTTTATGCAAAGTGGTGCTAGAGGCAGACATCCCCTTTTCTCTCTCTAAGGCAGGCCAAGCATTGGCTTATTATGTAGGCTTCACTATTATTGCTTCACACTTTTGAACCTGGAATAAGAGAGACGAATATGAAAGAACATTCAGAAAGTATTCATAATCCAGGATTGAAAATCCAGAGACCGAGGGGTGGCAAGTGTACAGGGTAAGGTGCCAGCTGCAGATCTGAGGACTAGATCCTCCAATATATCCTCCTTCCTTTTTGTTTATATTCATGCTGACACATTTTAACTAATTTTCTTTTTCTTCCCTCTCCCAGTCCCAGAACTACTGTATATGAAGTGCATTGGTTAACTTTACAGTTTATTCCTTAGACTGTGGAAAATGGAAAGAGGATCAGGACAGACCTGGAAGAGAAATGGACAATGCCTAGAGATTCTGGGTTTGGAGTGAGATGAAGCAACTGACAAGATTCAGGGCCATGCATTAGGTGCATTCCATCAGGTACATACAGTTGTCTTTTTAGGGTATAGGTAGAAGAAGAAAAGTGTGGTGGTGGATAGCCTATGGAGAGTGCGAGTGGGCACTTTTCATTTTACGGTCACCCAAAAATCTAAACCTCTTCCTAGTTTTGGGGAATCCTCCATTGTGTGGGACTTGGCTATAGAATGACAATAATTTGTCATCCATATTGGAAAGCTATTAAGAATTAGAGAGGGCATGGTTAATAATCCTGTTGGAACAATCAGCATAAGTCAGGTCTGTCCCAGCAAACCAGGACATACAGTCAGCTGAATCTTGGAAAGAGCATTCCCTTCCTTCTACAACAGAAAACAAAGAGAGAAGACAATCTCTCTCCCTGCTCTCTGACAGCTAGGGCACAGGCATGAGACTAACAGTCCTTGAAGGAATGATGTAAACAATGCAGTGGCTATTAAAAATACTGGTAGCAGCAGTGGATTCAGGTTAAGAGTCCAGTCATGGCATTTATGAGTGTCCAGTGGCTATAGGGCGGCAGAAACACCCTAGCCACACTTTTTAAAATATGTCCATAACTAGGTGTGGTTACTAGTCTCCAAAGATGGTTCTCAATGAACTGGACCGCCAGGTATCTACTCTCTTGTATAGTTCTTTTCCACAATGAAACTGTGTTGACCTGTGACTTGCTTTAACCAACAGAATGTGGAGGAAGTGGTGCTGTGCCGGTTCTAGAGCTAAACCTTGAGAAGACCTGGAAGTTTCTACTTTTGTGCTTTGGGGAACCCTGAGCAACTACGGAAGAAGTCTGTTTACCTTACTAGGGAGACCGCTTGAAGAGGGAGAGACCCTGAGATAACAGAGAACAAGAAAGACCTGGTAGTCCCACTGTCCCTGCCAAAGGGCTAAATATGTGAGGAAGCCCTCAAGCACTTAATTCAGATGAGTGCAGCCCCAGGCAACATCACATAGAGTAGAACAGCCTCTCTAAGCCCAGTCAACACAGAGAACTACAAAAGATGTTGTTACTTAAAGTCACTAAGGATCAAGGTGATTTGCTACACAGTAGTAGATAACCAAAATACTAAGCAGTCAGTTTCCCAGCCTGTCTTGTTTTTACCATCTCATGAGACTGGTTCTCTAATTTTCCTGTTTCAGTTCATTAAGTCTTCATACAAACCCCTTTTCTATCCTGATTTACCAATGGCTTTTTTAGAAACATATTTATCTTCACTTTTGTCGCTTCAGGGCAGGGGTGTCCCAACATTTCAAACATGAGGGCTCCATTTTTACTTAAAAAAAGCACATGTAAGAGATGTACCTTTAGGAACCACTGACTGGGAAAAAAAAATAACTAACAGAAAGTTATTAGAATTGAGCAATAACCTTAAATGAATTCTCATTTTCTTCAGCATAACCGCATATACACATTCAAAAACAAAGAACTACGCCTCCATGTGAGAAGCGCATTACATAATAGATACTTAGGAAGTTTATGAACCTTTGACCTCTTTCCATAGCTCTTCACCTTTAAAGTCTATGTCCCACCAGGCAGGAGTCACTAATGTGGCATATGTTTCTCCTTTGACATGTCCTTGAGATGAAGTGGTTCCCAAAACACACTGTTTCTTGGGAAAGAAAAACAATCTGGAAAACATTGCAGCACTGGACAGACAATATCACTGATAACAGAATAAAACTTCAAAAAAATCCGGCCGGGCGCGGTGGCTCACGCCTGTAATCCCAGCACTTTAGGAGGCTGAGGCTGGCGGATCACGAGGTCAGGAGATGGAGACCATTCTAGCTAACACGGTGAAAGCCCGTCTCTACCAAAAATACAAAAAATTAGCTGGGCGCGGTGGCGGGCGCCTGTAGTCCCAGCTACTGGGGAGGCTGAGGCAGGAGAATCGCTTGAACCCGGGAGGCGGAGCTTGCAGTGAGCTGAGATCGTGCCACTGCACTCCAGCCTGGGCAACAGAGCGAGACTCCATCTAAAAAAAAAAAAAAAAAAAAAAAAATTCCAACAAACCAACCTTCTTCAGAGGATATGAGGTAAAATAAATAAATAAATAAACAAACAAACTTTTTAGAGAGAACTGGCTCACAGACAAGTATAAACATTTTGGTAACAAGGCACCTGAATTATAGATGTAAAGCTATTCACAAATTCTAACTATTTATGGTTAACCATGTATACTCCTTCAATCTGGGTGCTTCTCTTTCTTATATTTCTCTTTTAAATGGGAAGATGCCTACAGATAGAGCTTTTTTTATCTGGCTAAGTAGTCACCAGTGGGGAAAAAAATGAGTTTTTCTTGCTTTGATAGTATGCTAAAATTTTAATGGTAAACTTTTAAAAAATTTTGGGGGTTTTGTTTGGCATCCCCAAACATCTTGGATCCAGAGAAGAAAATAATCTGAATAAAGAGGGGAATAGCTTCCTTCCTGATAACACATCCAATCCACTATTCCTTCTATTAAAATAGAAAAATGTTACCCAGCCAAAGTCAGAAACACTTTCTCCTCACTGTATTTTTAATGTGGACCCAGTAGTTACCTCAGATAGGTTCGTTTTTCAGTTGCACATGTGTCTCTCTGGAGATAGTCCCAAGAATATCTTTGTATTTAAAAACAAGCATATAACACCTTAGAGAAATCTAAGAAGCATATCTTGGTGATGTAGATGAATAGTCCAGAGCTCAGCACAAGGGCTGGGAGCTTATAAGATAAACACCCTAAATAGATATGACATCTGTATAGATGATATTTTTAACCTTAATGGTAATATAAAACAATGGCATTAGTGGGAGGTTAAACAAGTTGGAAAAATTCACATTTTGCTTTCTGGCTTACAAATGACCAACACAACTTTTCCTTCTGTGGGCTATAATATTCAAACATCGAACTTCCTCCCCTTTTGTGATCATCAGCTCTGGGAGTTCCTATGAAAATAAATCAATAAAGCAACTTCCTTTCCAGGCTGTCTGTCTAGATTCACTGTCACTATCCAACCATCCAATTTCAAATGAATCCCAAAGTAATAATTGCAGGTATCCAGCAGGATATAATAATCATTTTCTTAAATTAAAAAAAAACAACTCATATTTTGAACAGATATGTTTTTCTCTCTCAACTGAGGCCCCAGGCCTGGCTAGGATTCATTAGCCACTGAATGGATATAAGAAATTCAAACATATTATGAAAATCTTTGAATAATTCAGTTAACAAGCCAGTCAGCCATAAGAGGCAAATGCCCAAGAAATCAGGCTTCATTAGCTAGCTGCTGGCTTCATGTAGAGCTACCCTGAGGATTCAGAGTACTAAAAAATATTTCATATGCCCAGTTCTTTCTGCCATAGCACACCATGAGCTTCTCTAAGTGTTAAAACATAGAGGAAAGCAGGGGGAAGATGCACAGGAATATTATTTAGCAAGTGCCTACACTGTTCCAGACCCCACCCCAGACATACATACATTATTTTATTTATTCCTCATAATAAGCTATGTTAGCTATTATCTTTCCATTTGCCCACTTTACAAATGAGATTCTTGAAACTCAGAGCTGTCTAAGGTCATGAAGCTAATAAATGGTAAATAAAAAATTTGAACACAGGTCTAGCTAACTCCATATATACCTCACTCACCAGCTCTGTGTGAGCACAACCACACAAGTCTGTCTAGCCAGTCCATGACACCTAACAGTCAGCGACTTGAAAGTTGAAAGACTGGAAGAGGACATGCACGATGAGGTAGTATGAAATATCAATTAACAACTTGGTAGTAAGAAAAAAATAAAGTTCAATCAGGCAATGCCAGACTCTTACCTTTTCTAGAAGTGTGTTCTAAAAGAAGTCTGTGGGTCACCCTTTCTTCTTTGTTTAGCCTACCCACAACTGGCATTTAGCAACCTCCCATTGGCCAAAAGCCCAAGCACCTTTCACACTCATCTTTCAGAGCACTTTCAGTGTTCTGTAGAAAATGCTAAATTTCCAGTATTTGTACTCTCTGCCATCTAACAGAAGCATAGATAACTTCCATATCACTAGAGAATACTCACCATAGATTTCCAATTGCTAAGCACATGCTATTTGTTACTAAAGGTGATGCTTACTTTTGTCCAGGCAGGGGCTTTTCCCCTGACTGAGATAATATCACAACCATTTAGTCTGGAACAGTAAGGCTAATATACTGTATCAGACATTTTCAATTTACATTTTAATCAAAGTTGGTCATTCTAATGAAGCTTATTCCCTCATTATCATCTTTAATGCCCCAAACAAAGGTCCTTAAGTTCAGCTAATAATTGGTAAATATAAACTACATGGGAGCAGATTTAGGAACAGATTGTGAGACATATAATAAAATCATTAAAACCCTGTGTAGTCAGAAATGCATTTTTTGGTGTGTGAATCTGGTGCTTTGGGACCTTTGAATCAGGATGAGAGGAGACGATCTGTCCTCATTCTGAAGAGATAGGGCACTTCTTGGCTGTAATTGGGGGTTGTTGATGAAGCCTTTCGAGATGCACCGTCAAGTGGAAGGCTGCTTCACACAGGGGCTTTCTTCCCTGCTGTTGAGTGTCAAGAAACTCTTTTGCCTTTAACACATTTTTAGATGGAGAAGTGAAGACCTCATTCACAAGATCATCTAAGACTCACAGAGCTGCTGCTGTCTCTAGCCGAGTCTCAAATGGGAAAGGGGATGGGAACAGAAGTGGGGAACGTAGGGGCAGGCTGCAGAAACCAGAGCTCCCACTGGTGTTTTTGAATAGCAATTCTCTCTGCAGCGTGAAATAGCAGTAGAAATACAAAGTGGTGCTGCAACACCTACGAGCAGAGGCTGTGGAACAGCAGGAAGGTTTTAATGCCAGAAGTTTTGATTCTACCATATGAAGTTCATAGCCCTCAAACAAACTACGTTTAAAAAGTGGGGTTTGGCCGGGTGCGGTGGCTCACGCCTGTAATCCCAGCACTTTGGAAGGCTGAGGCAGGCAGATCACGAGGTAAGGAGATCGAGACCATCCTGGCTAACACAGTGAAACCCCGTCTCTACTAAAAACACAAAAAATTAGCTGGGCGTGGTGGCGGGCGCCTGCAGTCCCAGCTCCTGTGGAGGCTGCGACCGGAGAATGGCGTGAACCCGGGAGGCGGAGCTTGCAGTGAGCTGAGATTGCGCCACTGCACTCCAGCCTGGGCGACAGAGCGAGACTCCATCTCAAAAACAAAAACAACAACAAAAAAAAACTGGGGTATACTCATTTTCCAACGTTAGAAAGTGTTCAGGGATGGGCCAGGCACGGTAGCTCACGCCTGTAATCCCAGCACTTTGGGAGGCCGAGACGGGCAGATCACGAGGTCAGGAGATCAAGACCACCCTGGCTGACACGGTGAAACCCTGTCTCTACTAAAAATAGAAAAACAAAATTAGCCGTGCGTGGTGGTGGGTACCTGTATTCCCAGCTACTGGGGAGGCTGAGGAGGGAGAATGCTGTGAACCCGGGAGGCGGAGCTTGCAGTAAACCGAGATTGCGCCACCGCACTACAGCCTGGGCGACAGAGCGAGACTCCGTCTGAAAAAAAAAAAAGTGTTTAGGGAAGTGCACCAGTTTTCTATTGTCACGATAATAATGCATTCCAAACATACTGAAGCTGTTTGCTTAAAACATTACCTAATCGTCTGTTTTGCCTCTACAGGTTGGCTGGGTGGTTCTCCTAATCTGGGCCAGGTTTGGGTGATCTTGGCCAAACCCACTCACATGCATACAGTCAGCCAGAATGTGGGCTGGGATCTGGTTTGTCCAGAGTGGCCTTGGCTGGGATGACTTGGCTCTTTTATAAATCTAGAAGGCTAGCTCAAGGATATGCTTAAGATAATAAGCAGAAAATCTCAAGTGCTTTTCAAGCCTCTGCTTGTGTCACATTTATCAAAGCGAATCACATGATCAAGCCCACTGTGGAGTAAGAAGGAGTTACAAACTCACAGGACGAAGAGTATGGATACATTAATTGGGGCCCTTAGTGCACTCAGTTGAGCAGAGAGGTCCTTTAGGGACAAATTCCAAACAGAATCTTTATCACTGGTTAATTCATAGCTCCCTATGACTATCCTCCAGGTAAAAATAAGCTTTCATTAGGCCATACAAATCAGCTGAATAAATGGAAACAGCACAATTATATTATTTAATCTTACCTTTAGATGTACCTTCACTAGACTTTGCCAAGTTTATTGTATATTGGAAAGGGTATAGAGCTGAGAAAAATGTGGCTAATAAGTAATTTAATCTGCCAGTGATCTGGACTGCTAAATGCTAAAAATATGCATTTCTGAAGGTTACAACATTCAAAATCGCCA
Source organism: Homo sapiens (assembly GCF_000001405.40). Taxonomy (NCBI): domain Eukaryota; kingdom Metazoa; phylum Chordata; class Mammalia; order Primates; family Hominidae; genus Homo; species Homo sapiens. Next base: position 82,140,041 of record NC_000009.12, on the reverse strand, counting down.
ACCAAGTCAGGAAAACTGAAGCCAGAGGTTGGTATAGCGAAATTTCCCATGGTATTTGTGATTACAAATTAGGCTATTAAATGAATAGCTTACTATAATGATATAAAAGTGGCAAAGTTAACGTCCCCCTAAGGACCTTCAGTTCTACAGTTTTTGACTCTTGTGGGTTTAAATTTGTAACTTACCATTGCACTCAAGTAGCTTTTGCATTTAATTATTTTGGGGGAGAGAGTTAAGAGGGAGAGATGGAAGGAGGGGAGGAGAATAAATGAGCACATCACTTCTCAGAGCTCACTTTCATACAGCTGATGCTGCCTGCTTCATTCTCAATTCACAAGTTCATTCTCTATTTCCTAAAGGAAGCAGGTGAGACCAGCCTCCTTTCCGCTTCTCCAGCTTTCCATCTGAAGGACAGGTAGAGAATGTTATCATATTTACAGGCTCTGAGTTGATATATCAAGAGGACTTTTCACCCCTTAAATAATCAGCTACATCCTGCTGTTTTTCAAGTCCGCCTGTGAACTATTTTACATCATGCATGTGGGGATTCACCTCCAAACTGAGCATGCCCATATTCCCATCTGAAGTGATTGTTTGCATGGCAATTCTAAAATATGATACATTCTTGAACAGAGGCTTCATAAGTTGTGTTCTTGATTTTCCCTTCCTGTTCCCTTCTCCTCCGTGGCCAAAGAATCAAGACCAAAGCCTAGAAAACACCACTTGTTTAAGACATTTCCCCTCCTCCAAGAGTTGTTAATTGTCCTATAGGAGCAGCAGGTGTCATCCCACAGTGGAAAATGTGAATGTCACCGCTTCCTGACAGATAATTTCTTTCCAAGATCCCAACTTCCCTCAACTTTTTGTAATGCCAAGAGAATTAATTTTTAGAACATAGAGGAAAAAAATATGGAAACTGATTTTAATTTAAAGTCTCATTCTGCTCAGAACATTTAATAAAAACTGCATGATTTTCTAGTTCCTGAGGCCAGAGACACGACTAAACACAGACCCTGCCCTGAGAACATCACTGTCATATGACAAGTTAGATTATTTAAAAGGCAACTAGAACATCATTACAGTTGTTGTTCATCAGGTGCCTGGCAGAGGCACAGGTGGAAAGAAAGCAACCAGATCTGTTGGAGATTAAAAATCAAGGAGACTCCACCATCCCTGCTACAGCCTGGCTGAAGATGGAGAGTGGTAGTAGGCAAAGCACCTTCCCCACATGGGATGGCCAGCAAGGTGTGTAACCTTGGTGAAACCAAGGTACGCCACTGGTTTCCCATATGGAACCAAAAAGAGCTTGTCTAGCCAAAGCAAGCCTAAGCAAAAAGAACAAATCTGGAGTCATCACATTATTGGACTTCAAGTTATACTACAAGGCTATTGTTACCAAAAGAGTATGGTACTGCTATAAAAGTAGTCACACAGACCAATGGAATAGAATAGAGAACTCAGAAATAAAGCCAAATACTTAAAACCAGCTGATCTTTGGCAAAGCACACAAAAACATAGACTAGGGAAAGGATGCCCTATTTAATAAATGGTGCTAGGTACACTGGCTAACCTCATGTAAAAGAATGAAACTGATCTCTCACCTTATACAAAAATCAACTCAAGATGGATCACAGACTTAAATCTAAGACCTCAAACCATAAAAATTCTAGAAGATAACCTTAGGAAAACTCTTCCAGACATTGGCCTAGGCAAAGAATTCATGACTAAAACCCCAAAAGCAAATGCAACAAAAACAAACATAAATAAATGGGACCTGACTAAACTGAAAAGCTTCTGCACAGCAAAAGAAATAATCAGCAAAGTAAACAGACAACTCACAGAATGGGAGAAAATATTTGCAAACTATGCATCTGACAAAAGACTAGTATCCAGAATCTATAAGAAACTCAGATAAGTCAGCAAGAAAAAAATAAGTAATCCCATCAAAAAGTGGACAAATGACATGAATAGACATTTCTCAAAAGAAGATATGCAAATGGCCAACAAGCATATGAAAAAGTGTTCAACATCACTAAATATCAGGCAAATGCAAATTAAAATCACAATGAGAATAACCCTACTTCTGCAATAATGGCCAGTATTAAAAAATCAAAAAACAATAGATGTTGGTGTGGATGTGGTGAAAGGGGAATGCTTATACATTGCTGGTGGTAATGTAAATTAGTACAACCTCTACGGAAATAGTATGGAGATTCCTTAAAGAACTAAAAGTAGATCTACCATTTGATCCAGCAATCCCGTTACCTGGGTGCCTACTCAAAGGGAAAGAAGTCATTATATCAAAAAGACACATGCATATATATGCTTTTTGCACCCCAATTCACAACTGCAAAGATATGGAAGCAACCTAAGTGCCCACTGACCGATGAGTGGATAAAGAAAATGTGTCATATATACACCATGGAGTACTACTCAGCCATAAAATTGAATGAAATAATGTCTTTTGCAGCAATTTGGATGGAGCTAGAGGCCTTATTCCAAGACAAGTAACTCAGGAATAAAAAAAAATACCATATGTTCTCACTTATAAGTGGGAGCTAAGCTATGAGGACACAAAGGCATACAGAGTGATAAAATGAATTCTGGAGACTCAGAAGGGGGAGGTTGGTAGAGGGGTATGGGATGAAAAAACTACATATTGGGCACAAAATACCTTACTCAGGTGACAGATGCACTAAAATCTCATAATTCACCACTATATAATTCATCCATGTAACCAAAAACCACTTATACCTCAAAACTATTAAAATAAAAAAATTAAAAATAGCACATAAAAAAAGAAAAAGAATAATAATGTTCATTTCCTCATAGGTAAAAGAGACATACTGGGAGACACATCCTCACAAGAGTTTTGTGGGGACTAAATGCGTAGATCTACATAAAGTGCCTAGCAAAGTGTCTGCCACATAATGATCATTTAATAAACCTTATGTATTATTATTTATCTTGTTAAAATGTGTTGGTGCTTAGGGCTGCAAGGTATTACCCTAGCAAGTTGCAAACAGTATCTGATTTAATCCTCACCATTTATCAGATGAGGCTACTGAGGCATACAGGAGTTAAGTTTCGAATCCCAGTCTTACTTCCTATCCTTCACCCTGCACTTAAGCATAGTATAGGGTGGTTAAATGGTTCTATAACCACTATTACTTTAGACATAGGTCTCTTTTCCCAGCCTATTCCACCTTACAGCCAGAAAGTTGAAAGATGACAGACAGGAGAGGAGGGCATATACAACGAATGAGTATGAAGTACCAGTTCACAACTTGGTTGTAAGAAACAAGTATAAAGTCAGGCATTAGAATTGGAAAGTATAGCAGTCTGGAACCATTTAGCATTAGGGCAAATAAGCTGCATGATTCAATGGCAATTAGAGGTAACATTATATAAGAGGACAGTGCAATATAGTGAATTGTAGTATATTAATGATCCTATGTTATCAAGAGAAAGTCAAATTATGTTCCGTTTTCTGTTTAAGAAGAATAGGAAGTGTGAGATATTTTAAAGAAATTCTATCAAAAATAGAGTAATTTCTAAAAATTTTGATAATTGAAGAAATAAACTCCACTTACATAAAAAAATCTTATTCCTAAATGGTGATACATAAAATTACAATTGAATTACAGATGGTCCCAACTTAGGATAGTTTGACTTACAATTTTTCCACTTTTTTATTGGGACCCAAATCCACTATAAATTAAGAAGCATCCAGACTTTTAATTTTTTGACTTTACAATGGGTTTATCCGGCTATTAAGTGTATTTTCAACTTATTATATTCTCTACTTAAACAATGGGTTTATCAATACATAGCCCCATCATAAGTCAAGAAACACCTGTGTAGGTGATATGGTTTGGCTCTGTGTCCCCACCCAAATCTCACCTTGAATCGTAATAATCCCCATGTGTCATGGGAGAGACCTGGTGCAAGGTAATTGAATCATGGGGGTGGGTTTTTCCCTTACTGTTCTCATGATAGTGATAAGTCTCAGGAGATCTGATGGTTTCATAAAGGGGAGTTCCCCTGCACATGCTCTCTTCCCTGCTGCCATGTAAAACATGACTTTGCTCCACCTTTGCCTTCCACCGCGATTGTGAGGCCTCCCCAGCCATGTGGAACTGTGAGTCAATTAAACCACTTTCCTTTATAAATTATCCACTCTCAGGTATGTCTTTATTAGCCATCTCAGGTATGTCTTTATTAGCAATCCTATTACAATAGGATTGGCAAATTCTTCAAAAATCCTCCAGTCCCACTCCTACATTTTTCAAGTAAGGAATCAGAAGCCCAGAGGGGTTAAGTGACTTGCCCAAAGTCACACAGATAATCAGTTGGGAGAGTCTAGTGAAATGAGGGAATGGACAGATAATAACCAAGGCTAAAGCTAGAAGCTGAGGTGTGATGGTTTGGCATTCCACGACTAAGAGCTTGAAACTTATCGTGTGAGCTAGCTTTTCATGGTGCATCCCATCAGCTAAAAAGAATTACATATACAAACATAATGTATGCTCATTACATATATCTACTACTATCATTAGCTAATATCTCAAGGCATAGATTACACTGCTGGAGAGGTTCTTTGTTAATGATTAAAATAATCTTCTTGATAGTTTCCATTTCTTTTTTGGCTGACTCTTTCTCAGACCTAATTAGGTCATTCATTATTGTTTCTGCCCCATAATGTGACTGAGAAAGAGGTTGTGCCAAAAGAAGGCAAAGTTCCAGCTCTGCCATTGTCTTATTATTGCTTTGTAAGTCACTTACCCATTTTTCTGGGAGTTCTTTTGGTTAAAATTGGGTGATGTAATCTGTAAGCCCAGTTAAGCAGGTTCACAAGGGCACTGCTGTCTACTGCTCTGTGTTTTGGAATTCCCTCTCTTTCCATTGGTTACCTCAACTACAGAAGTGACACATGGACAGAGTACAGGTACCATTATCACTCCTTGTATTAAGTGATAATTTCTGAATTCTTTAGAATCATTTGTGTGTGCATATGTGTGTTTCCTAATGTCTCTCCTATAATCTGTCTTGTCCTCTTGTGCATTCTCATTGGAGGGCATTGTTATGGGTGACGGATGGAGCACCATGGAAGACTTTATGATTTAAAGGACAAAAAGGTCACTGATGTCCACCTTAAAGAAGGACTTCCAATACTGGAGGTAGGGAAACCAGCTAGGTAGCTGTGGCAAAGGTCAAACTGAGAAATGATTAGGCTGGGGATGAATAAGATAGTGAGAGTAAAAATGAAAAGAAAAAGATGCCTTATGGGAACATTGAGAAAGGGAAGATGGCAGGTCTTATGAATTTGGGTGTGAGAGAAAAAGGAAAAAAAATCAACTGTGGCTCCAAGTTCTCTTCCATAAAGGATCAAGTTATCAAATAAACAGTGACAGCAACACTGGCAAAGGTATCTGTAACCAGCTGTGTGGTTAACACAGCAACTTTCAAAGCTTTCAAGGCTTTTACATTCCCTTTCCTTTTTTAGAATTCATCCATTTATTATCTCTGATAATAAAGTCAATGCAAACTCAGAGAAGCTTATTCCTTACATTTACATGAGAAGCAGACCAAAACCCCCTCTTTGCACCGTCAGTCAGAGCAAACTAGCTTCTTCCACCCCCACCCCGACCCTTTAGAGAGATTTAAACCATGAGACACAATCAAATGAACAGATGAGCCTCTCAATCAGTATCAGTATCTTAACTGCCACAGACACAACCAGCCATGGTGATGCATTATACATTTTTCATGTTGTGTGTGTCTGCCTGGTTTGTCAGAACTCAAATTTCTTTTGCACTTAAACTGCTGTCATCCCAATAATGTTATTCATTGTTAGCAATGACTCCCTGTGCTATATCACAAACACAGGACATGATGCATACAGTTCCAGGAAGAAACTGGCAGGATAATATCTTCTTCTATCCTGTGAGCAATTACCTACTTTCCCTTTATTTTCTTTCATTTCTTTCCCTGTGAAACACAATGTGCACAGTTAACACACAGTTGTGCTGAGTTATGACACTTTGGATATTTTCATCTTAGGAATGTTAAATGCTGATACTCAACCTTATAAATTCAGTTCTGCTATATCAAAGTGAGAAGAGAATGGGGAAGAAGTATATTTGTTTAGGAGTTATTATATTAAATTATATCATATTATATAGCATAGTTTAATATTATATTTTCAATAAAGAATTATATTAATTGCTAAATGGAAACAAGATGTAACACCTCTCACCTTAGATGAGGCATAAAACTACTAGGATTGACATAGTCCTAGACAAGAGTTCCCCTGACAAGGGGGAACAATGCTGTTCTCCCTCTCTGATAATTTTGCAACCACATAAAATACGACTTTCACTCTCTTAGAAGTATGAAGAAACAGTCTTTTATTTTCTTCACCTCTAGCTGTGAAGTTGAGTGATTCATCTAAATTATTGAGATAACACAAATGTGACATTTATTTGTGTCACATTTGTATCTATTGCACGTATATATCTATTGGGCAGAGTTTAAAAACTGAGATTTGCATATGCCTGTGACCTCCTATTCCTATGTTTTCCATACTTGATATGAAGCTTCAGGGCACCAGCTGGGGCAGTGCTCTGTTCTGTAATTTTCCACACATGCTCTCCTAGAAGTCCACTCTTGAAGTGGGGATAGGAGTATCCAGAAGCCCATTTTGGCCTGTGGTCCAGTAAAGAAGGCTGATACCTTGGATTATTATCATCCTGACACCCCCAGTAGAAGGGTCAGGTAATGAATGATGGTAGTTCAAAATAAGAGAAGACAAGGTAACATAAGAATGATGCTACCAGAAACATTGTGGCAAAGATTTGATCCATACCAGTGTTTTTCAAACTTTACTGAGCATTAGACTCACCCAGAAAACTTTTCATAATGCAGATTCCTGGACCCCATCCCCAGAATTTCTGATTCAATAGGTCTGATATGGGGCCCAAGAATTTGTTCAAACAATCTCTAAAGTATTGCTGATTTTGCCAGCCCTTGAACAGCACTTTGAGTAGCACTGATCTGTGCGATCCTGGATACCTGATTAGCAAGAAAAATGAGTCCCAAGAAAGGTAGACCCAGATCTTCCATTCTTTAAGGACAGGTATCAGGTGCAGAAAATCTTTTCCTGAGACCAACCAGTGCAAATGTATGTGGGAGGTGATATATGCAGCTTCACGTTTCCAAAAGGAGAATGCTATCTAGTAGATTGCATCAATGGCCCAACTCTTCAGCCCTCTCTGTATCTACCTGTTTTACCATGTGATTTAGCAACTCCTCCTCCTAAAAGGATGAAGCACATTTCCCTACCCTTTGGCTTTGGGTTTGACCATGTGGCTTACCTTTACCAAATAAATGTCAGCAAGTGCATTGTGACCAAAGACTTGAAAAGCCCTGCATGACTTGCCTTCTCTCTTGTGCCTCTGCCACGACATGACCCTCTGACCCACTGGATCCAGCAAGAGGATGAGAGACTTGGGCAACAGGACCTAACTGCCCATGCTGAGTGCAGCTTATATCAGCCAGTCTCCACCAGAATCCCAGACATCTGAATGAGTTTGGCCAAGAGCAACAGAGCCACCCAGCCAAGCTCAGCTTCATTGTCAACCCTCAATTGGACCTGCATATCTGTAAGAATAAATACTTGTGGTTTGAGCTACTGAGTTTGACATGGTTCTCATGCAGCAGATTTCATGACAACAGCAAACCTATATGTAGTGTCCATCTGGTTGCCCTTGGTGGCTAGAATTTGGAGAACAGCTGGAGGCATCTACAGCTATGCGGAAGTGAATCTGAAGAGACTTGTGAGGTTGATAGGCTCTATTCTTGTAGTTACACATCAGGAGGCTTTAGGAATTGAAAATCAGTTTTGGGGCAATCCTAGGCCTGCTTCTGTGACTTTTAGGTTGTAAAACTGAGGTTCAAAGAAAATGAGTGGTCTTATCTATGGTAACACAGTATCAACAACAGGCTGGAATCAGGTTTCCAACTTCGAAACTTGAGCTTCACCTGCAGACTTTGTGGCTTTTCCTTTGCAGTTTGAAATAAAATTTAAGCCTTTAAAAAAAAACTGCTAAAGTAGCTACTCTGTGTTCCCACTCCCCTTACTTTCCTCAAAACCAAGAAACAATCACTATTAGGATTATCAACAGCTGAGGCCCATATTTTTAGGCTACTAAATTATACATACAGTTGGTAGTAATTATGATCAACAAGAACAAAAATAATTCCTTTCAAAGAAAACAAATAAATTATACCATCAGGTGAGTTGTATTTGTTTATAAGCGATGAAACCATATGCAACATGTTTTGTTAATTTCTTTCTCTTTTCTTTTTAACCAGCTTAATTCACTTTATTTTTCTTGTGTAAAAACCCTGTGTTGTAGCCATAGCTGGAGCCTGGATCTTCTGCACGGAGACTCTGGTGTGGGTCTTGATAAGGTAGTCAGTGAATTCCTGATAGGGAGACTTGGTGAATACAGTCTCCTTCCAGAGGGCGGGTGTTTGGTAGCTGTAAGTCTTAGAGATGGTATCAAAGGTGGCCTTGGCAAAGTTGCCCAGGGCGGAGGTGCAGTCCCTGGCTGAGGGGTAGTAGTCATCGATACCAGCCATCAGCAGCAGCTTCTTGGGCATGGGGGCAAAGACGATGCCAGTGCCCCTGGGCACACCAGCACAGAGCCACAGCGGCCTGTCACCTTTCAAGGGATGGCGTGGGGCTTGCCGATCTTATTCCTCCAGTAGCCTTTGTGCACGGGAACAATGGAGAGCTTGGCTAGGTTGATGGCCCCACAGATGGCAGGGGCCACCACCTTGGAGCACTTAACACCCAGGCCAACGTGGCCATTGTAGTCCCTGATGGCAACAAATGCCTTGAACCTGGTGCGCTGGCCTGCACAGATCTGCTTCTGCACCAGCATAATCTTCAAAACCTCATCCTTGAGAGAGGCCCCCAGGAAAAAGTCAATGATCTCAGACTCCTTGATGGGCAGGGAAAAGAGACAGATCTCCTCCAGGGACTTGATCTTCATGTCCCTGTGAACAGGCGGCCCAGCTTGGTGAAGGCCATGCACTCATTGTCTTGGCCTTGCCTCCGCGAGCTCCGTGGCCTCGGCCCCGGCCTCGGCCCCAGCCCTGACCATGGCCACAACCCTGGCCCCGGATGCCACAAAGCATCTGCGGAAGCCACCGAGGTTCCCCATCCCAGGGCCCCCAGGGCACCTGCCCCGCCCATGCGCTGCACCTGCATCATCTGCCATTTTGTGTTTCTCAAAGAAAAAGCATTAATTTCTTTCTTATTTGCACTCTCTGTTTTTCCAAAACAATTTAAAATAAACTACTGTGTATTATTTTTATAAGAACAATTTTTTAAAAAACTGGGGGTTGGTTCATTGGTTTTTTTTCTGTTTTCCTTGAGAAGTGTGGAATAAAAGGTTCTTTCAGGCTGACCTATGACCCATTTTCACCCCATTCAATAGCTGACTAATACGGCCTTCTCAGAAGGTCCTTAAACACACAGGACTTAGTTGGCCATTAACTGACAATTTTTAGACACATTAATCTCCAAACATTAATGTAACTGAGATCATAAAAATGTCTGTTACCAATAAATGAAAGGTATAGTGGAAAGATCATGAATGTAGAATTAGAAGGCCTAAAGCCTTCACTTAATAATAAGTAATTATAGCTATCATTTTTAAGAATATATTCCAGAGGTGATACTGTGCAAAGCCCTTTTTTTTTTTTTTTTTTTTTTTGAGACAGGGTCTTACTCTGTGATCCAGGCTGGAGTGCAGTGGCACAATCATAGCTTACTTCAGCCTCGAACACCTCAGCCTCCTGAGTAGCTGGCACTAGAGGCATGTACCACCATGCCTTGCTAATTTTATGTTTTTATGGACGGCGGGTGGGGGGGTCTCACTATGTTGCCCAGGCTGGCCTTGAACTCCTGGCCTCAAGCATTCTTCCCAGCTTGGCCTCCCAAAGCACTGGGACTACAGGCATGAGCCACCACTCACAGCCAGCATTTTTCATATATTATATAAAAACATATCTTTGCCCTCCCATTCACATTGCATTTACACATTCCTTTGAGTATTATTATCTTCTTTGTACAAAGGCAAAAACAGAGATTAAGCAATACCCGAGATCACAAAAAGAATAAATGGCAGTTGATTCAAACCCAGGTCATTTCAACTCCTAAGCCTATACTACTGGGCTACGACTGCCTTGGATGATTCTGTATGGTGTGGATAAGCACACTTTGTGTCTCTACAGATATTTCCTCACTGTAAACTCTGGACAATAACAGTTCCCATCTCAGGGAATTTTCGAGATGATCATATATGCAGAAGTGCTTTTTTTTTTTTTTTCTGAGACAGAGTCTGGCTCTGCAGCCCAGGCTGGAGTGCAGTGGCACAATCTCGGCTCACTGCAAGCTCCACCTCCCGGGTTCATGCCATTCTCCTGCCTCAGCCTCCGGAGTAGCTGGAACTACAGGCGCCCGCCACCACGCCCAGCTAATTTTTTTGTGTTTTTAGTAGAGACGGGGTTTCACCGTGTTAGTCAAGATGATCTAGACCTCTTGACCTCGTGATCCACCCACCTCGGCCTCCCAAAGTGCTGGGATTAAAAGCGTGAGCCACCACGCCCAGCCCAGAAGTGCTTTTTAAACTACAAAGTGTTAGACCATGTAAGGTTGGAGAATCAGTACTCTCCTATGATCTGTTCATCCTGTAGTGCAGGGCAGACAGTGTCAATGCCACTGTGGACCCCTCGCTAGGCTGACAAAAAAGTCTGGGGAAGACTGTTCAAAGGAGGACATCCAAAGCTGACACCTGGCATCCCAGGTTATTTTCACAAAACTCTAAAAAGGTACAACAAGGAGGAACCTTGGTGACCACAGGCTAAGTCAACCTTCTTCTCTTCTCAGATTTTACACAGGAGGCATCAGACGCCCTAAAATTTAAGTGCGCAGCATCAGTTTATAACCCTAATTGGTAGTAAAACTAGAGGCAGCACCCCAGTGTCCAGCTACTACTATGCTTTCCATGACACAAGACCATCTCTTAACTCACTTCCACACAATTCTTGTTCAATAACCAGTTAGCATTAATTCATGAGGTACCATATCCTGCTCTAACTCCATGGGAAAAAAAAAAAAAAAACACTAACGTAGAAAGTAGAGCATCAACGTGGAGTTCAATCTTCCAGAACTTCCTAGCATTTTCGAACCAAATAAAATAGGATTAGAAATAGAATTTGTTTTCTCTTTACATTTGTCTCTGTAGAGTCTGCTTTTTATGTAGTCTGAGTATAATACTTTTTTTCTCAATCATTAATACTTCTGGCTATTTCAAATCAACCCTCACAGTTATACTAGAGAACCAGGAAGAGAGTAACACTTCAGGAGAAAACATAAGAAGTCTCAGGCAATTACCATTTTCTAATGCTCTGAGGCAATCTCAGCCAAGTACCCAGCCCACCTGTCCCCAGGGGGCTGTGAACAGTCCTAACACCCAGCTCAATTTATACTGTGCCAAACAGCTTTGGCACATCTGCGCTGAGAATGAGATCCAAGAGTTTCAGACAATATGCTCTCTTGAGCTCCATCATATCCCACATTTTATTTTATTTATAAATGGACAAACGATTTATGGCTGCAGTGTGAAATTCAAAGGAGCTGTGCACTTGGCATTTATAGTAGGTCAGGCAGCAGCACACCACCACAAACAATAACGCAAACAGGAAACAAAGGGTCAAGGTTGGGTAGAGGTTTTCAAGGTTTCTTCTGTTATATACAGGACTAATAATAAACTCAGTGGGGACTTCCCATAATGTATGCCCTGTTCAAAGTCAGCATGGACTGGTAATAATCTGCCCACCCTCATCTGTGGGAGGAAAACAGCCATTAACAACAGATTTCAAATGAGGAAGTTTAACATGGTGAGATTTCTAAAGTTAAAAAAGAAAATTAAGGTGTATAACCTTCTTCTTCTTGCTTAAGGGTATTTTTCCTTAGCATCTTCTTCTGACATCTGCCCAAAGTTGTATAAGACTTAAAAATAAATGAAGTGATTAGTAGATTCAAGGCTACCTAGAGCTCTACTAAATAAAATGTTACCCTTACCCTAATGTGGGTTAAAAAAAAAATGCTGAACCTGGGGCCCATTGATTGCTACAATAACCTTCTTTATAAATCTTAACAAAAGAGCTAACAGTATTTTTAAGCAGACCTAATTTTTAGAGAAGTTTAGGTCACAGAAAAAAATGAGTGGAAAGTACAGAAAGTTCCCATATATCACTTTCCCCCACACAAACACAACCTTCCTCTCTATCAACATCCCACACGAGAATGGTACATTTGTTACAACTGATGAACCTACATTGACCCATCATTATCATCCAAAGCCCGTAGTTCACATTAGGGCTCATTCTTGATATTGCACATTCTCTAAGTTTTGACAAATGTATAATGACATGTCTCCACCATTATAGTATCATACAGAATAGTTTCACTGCCCTAAAAATCCTCTGTGCTTCTCCTATTCATCTTTCTGTCCTGCCTATGCCCTGGAAACTACTGATCTTTCAAATAGTTTTAAAGCTTTTCCAGAATAGTTGGAACCATACAGTATGTAGCCTTTTCAGACTGGCCTCTTTAACTTAGTGATATGCATTTAAGGTTCTTCTATGTCTTTTCATAGCTTGATAGCTCATATATTTTTAGCCCTGAATAATATTCCATTGTCTAGATGTATCACAGTGTATTTATCCATTCACCTATTGAAGGATATCTACTTTTCCTCTAAGTTTTGGCAATTATGAATAAAACTGATAGAAACAACCATATGTAAGTTTTTCTGAGAACATAACTTTTCAGCTTATTTGGATAAATATCAAAAAGCAAGATTGCTGGTTTGTATAGTAAGAAAATATTTAGTTTTGTCAGAAACTGCCAAACTATTTTCCAAAGTGGCTGTATCATTTTGCATTTTTACCAGCAACAAATGAGAGTTCCTTTTGTTCCACATCCTCACCAGCATTTGGTATTGACATTGTTTGGGATTTGGGCCATTTTAACAGGCATAGTATTATCTAATTGTTTTAATTTGCAGTTCCCGAATGACATATGATGTGGAGCATCTTTTTCTATACTTATTTGCCATCTATGTAACTATTTTAGTAAGATGTCTGTTCAGGTCTTTTGTTCATTTTTAATTTGGGTTGTTCATTTTCCTGTTGTTGAGTTTTAAGAGTATTTTGTGTATTCTGGATGACCATTCTTTATCAGATATGTCTTTTGTAAGTATTTTCTCCTAGTCTGTGGCTTGTCTTCTCATTCTCTTGACAGTATTTTCTTGTATTTGAAGCAGTCATATCCTTTCATATTAGCAGGTTAAACAAAAGAATGGTTTCAGACAAGCTGCTTACTTTCCTTAGCCTCGGTTTACTTAGTCATAAAATGGGGCCAATAATAGTAGCTATAGTAAAGGGGTTTGTGAAGAATAAAATAATCGAGCATATAAATGTTGGCTGATGATTGCAGAAGCAGCTGCAGCAGCAGGACCTTAGAAGCTTAAAGGAAGTGATGAAATCACTTTAGGAAAATCTATCCCACTCTTAGTACGCTGTACTGAAATCTCTCTTCAAGTGTCTGCTCTCACACAATACAATCAGTTCCATGAGAACAGGGACCATGTCTATTTTGCTGTCTTTCCAGAGTCAAGGATAATATTTGGCTAAATAGTAAGCACTTAATAAGTGAGAGATGAGCTGGCACTCACTAGGCCTATGGCCTTAGAGAATGTCTTGCACCTCAGTGGGACACATACAGCAGATAAAGATTGTTGACTACAGGTCCTCCAGGGTTCCTACCGTCATTCGTTTAATGAATGACTCTATCTCACATCCCAGATTGCATATAAGAGCTATATGTAAAATATATTACCTCCTATGGGCACTCAAACTCCACTTTGAAAGTTATCCCTTGAGATTTTAATAAAGGACTTCATAGTCTGGACTAATGCTTGGGCTGTTCCTAAACTTACAAGTGCCTGTTGCCATACATGAAGTCAGTGTTTGATCTCTGTTCGGAATACTTCAAACTTCAATGTCTGCGTGCATCTGACACCTGCTTTCTCTGCTTGCGTGGACCTGCTCCTTCTTTATTAAAAGAGATAAGGGCCATAGAATAGAACTAAAATGAGGGACCACAGAAGCTTAGAATTTCAACTGAAGAGAAAGCCGGAGGAGAGGAATGTTCACTTCTGGGATTCCTTTCCAGAGCTACCAAAAATGGATTCATGCTGGGTAAAAAAAAATGTAGGTGCTTCTCCTAGAAAGAGCTGACCAAGTAAGGATCTTTATACAGGATTTGTGTTAATATTCAATATAATCAGCCTAGAAAATTTTTGGACCACTAACCCCAGTAATGTATACAACTTTTTACAACATACATACACACACACACATAAACACACACACACATACACACACACACACACACTTTGCTCCAATGTCTACAAGATCTGAAACCAGGAAAAGTGATCCCCTCTAACTCTGTCAACTCAGAACAAGCAAGCGTGAGTGAGCCACCTTTTTACCCAGGCCACAAAAGAAAGAACATAAACTAATAGCTTTAGGAGCTATTTTAGGAGCAAAATCACGAAAGCTTGGGGCAATGTTTTTGACAAATGCCACATAGACTTAAGTATTTGTAACTATCAAAGCCTATGAGGCTTGATAGAGGGACTACAAGGTATTTCAAACTGTTCAGCAGTGTTTTGTGGGTCATTTGGTTCAAATAGATTTTCAAACATATTTTAACATTTTAAACTGTGTTTAGAAAAAAGAGCTACTGATTTTAATATGTAATTATCAGATTATGTGACACTGAAAATCACCAAAATTTAACCTATGCTGCCAGTTTAATCCTTTTTTCTTATTTTCTACACATATCAGAAGAAAGTCTCCTTTACTTGCATTATACATTTTATGAACTTCTTATAAATGTATAATTAATTGGAAAAGTTACAGGTCTAAACTCATCTTTTGAAAATTTGCTCAGGTAAATATCTAGTGCATCATGGGATACTCTGCTCAGTCCTGTACCAGGAAACACTCATACATGTTCACTTGGCTCAAACACTTGGCATAGCTCAGTATTCACGTATTCAACTATAACTGAACCAGTGACACACAGCATACTACAGAGAACTTTGATGTTTACTATAAGTTGGGGGCTGACCTTCCTATTTAAGTTAAGAAATGCAAGCACTTGGCCTGGTGTGGTGGCTCACGCCTATAATCCCAGCACTTTGGGAGGCCAAGACGGGCGGATCACCTGAGGTCGGGAGTTTCAGACCAGCCGAGCCAACATGGAGAAAACTCATCTCTACTAAAACTACAAAAATTAGCCGGGCGTGGTGGCAGGCACCTGTAATCCCAGCTACTCGGGAGGCTGAGGCAAGACAATCGCTTGAACCCAGGAGGCGGGGGTTGCACTGAGCTGAGATCGCGCCATTGCACTCCAGCCTGGGGGACAAGAGTGAGACTTTGTCTCAAAAAAAAAAAAAAAAAAAAAAAAGAAAGAAAAAAAGAAAGAAATACAAGCACTTATTAGATGATTCAACTTTAAAACAAAACTTTCTCTATTACTCCCCTTTAAGTTTCTGAATCAGTTTAATTGAGGAATGTCCTGAGCAGAGAGACCATTACAACTATTTATCTGCATGAGTCATGAATTCCACGCCATGGCAAACCAAACCAGATAGAAGTAGGTTCGATGCTGAGTAATGTTAAGGCTGTAATTGTTAGTCACAACCTCTGATTTCAAATTATGGTGTTAATTAAAGTCGCTTTATTATTCTCATGGGTTTTTTTTTTTTTTTTTTAATTTTTCAGATGGAATCTTGCCCTGTCGCCCAGGCTGGAGTGCAGTGCCGTGATCTTGGCTCACTGCAGCCTCCGCCTCCAGGGTTCAAGCGATTCTCCTGCCTCAGCCCCCCGAGTAGCTGGGTTTACAGGCCCGCACCACCATGCTCGGCTAATTTTTTATATTTTTATTAGAGACGGGGTTTCACCATGTTGGCCAGGCTGGTCTAGAACTCCTGACCTCAGGTGATCTACCCTCCTTGGCCTCCCAAAGTGCTGGGATTACAGGCGTGAGCCACCTCACCTGACCATGGATTGGCTTTTTAATAGTTAATGTTTAAAACCTGACATTTAAAATACATTTATTGGCTGGGTGCAGTGGCTCATGCCTGTAATCCCAACACTTTGGGAGGCTGAGGCAATGCATTGCTTGAGCCCAGGAAGTTCAAGACCAGCTTGGGCAGCATGGCAAGGTCCTGTCTCTACAAAAAATAAGAAAATTAGCCAAGCAGCATGGTGGCACACATCTATAGTCCCAGCTAATTGGGAGGCTGAGGTCGGAGGATTGCTTGAGCCAGAGAGGTGGAGGTTGCAGTAAGCCAAGGTCATGCCACTGCTCTCCAGCCTGGGAGACAGAGCAAGACTCTGTCTTGAAAAAATAAAATAAAATAAATTTATAGAATTTAAGACAATCGTAAATAGTTTTTTAAAAAGTTATATTTTAGAATTCTACACAAGAATTTATTTTTAGGGAAATATTTTTTGCTGCTAAAAAAATTAAATCTATAGGGTGGTAGAAAAAGCAGTAACAGACTAGTTGGATCAAATCCTATTTCTGCCATTTACTGTCTGTGTAATATTAGACAAATTATTTAACCTCTTTTAAGTTTCTCTTTTGTGAAACTGAAATATCAACTACCTTGCAGATATAATAACCTTCCCATGTTGACACACCTATGTGGACATGCAGCCCTGTTATTAGTACTGTTTGGTAAATGTGTAAAATAGCTCAAAATATCATGGATCTTGCCTGTTTTAACAGATGTAGGCAGCCTTCTCTCCTTGACCACCCCAGCTTCAGAATCTCTCAAAATGTAAAAAAAAAAAAAAAAAAAAAAAAAAAAAAAAAGTCAAATAAGGAAGAAAAACTCAGAATAGCCTCCAAACTTTTCACAGCAACACTCAATGCTTACAAAATTCTAATGGAAACAATGACCCAATATTCTATATCTTTGATATAAACATATAAAAGCTTTGAAGATATGCCAAAGCATTAAACACAGGCAGAACTGCTGATCACCATACTACCACTGTTAGTATGGCAGTGGTAGCCACTACCTACATGTGTTCATTTAAATTTTAATTAACTAATTATTTAAAATCAAATTAAATTTACAATTCAGTTCCTTAGTCACACTAGCCACATTTAAAGTGTTCGAAAGCCACATATGGCTGGTAGTTACTGTACTGAACAGCACAGATACAGAACATTTCTGTCATCACAAAAAGTTCTATTAAACAGTGCTCCACTACAACATGAAAGAGCTCAAGTATAAAAAAAACTTGAGAGCCCTTTATGCAGTTAGCCTGGAGATGAACCTAAAGAAACAACTCGGGACTACAGAAATTATGGTTACAGAAGATAATGCAAATACAACTTGATGATATTAGAATAATAATATAATAATACAAAGATTAAAATGGGTGGGAGAAATAAGAAGAAGTCTAATTTTCTCTTTTTTTTTCTTTTTTTCTTTTTTTTTTTTGAGACAGAGTCTCACTCTGTTGCCCAGACTGGAGTGCAGTGGCACGATCTCGACTCACTGCAAGCTCCGCCTCCTGGGTTCAAGCAATTCCCCTGCCTCAGACTCCCGAGTAGCTGGGACTACAGGCGCCCACCACCACACCCAGCTAATTTTTTTGTATTTTTAGTAGAGACGGGGTTTCACCACGTTAGCCAGGATGGTCTCGATCTCCTGACCTCGTGATCCGCCCACCTTGGCCTCCCAAAGTGCTGGGATTACAGGTGTGAGCCACTGTGTCGGCCTAATTTTCTTTCTTAAAGGCTGAATCAAAGTTGAAACTCATAGCTAAAAAACCAAACCAAACCAAAGAAACCACTACCATCTCTTATAGTCTATCTATACTACTTTGATGAGTAACTTTAAAGGGATACTTTAGGAAGCCCTATATTTTGTTAAACAGAGATTTATCTAAAGTTCAGCAATTACCTCAATTTTATTTTATCTGCCTTTCTCACTGAAACACAGTGCCAGTATGTCTAGAATTATATATAATAAATGTTAATGATAGTTATTTTGGGATATGGAATTTTGAGGGTTTTTTTTTAACTTTCTTTTTGTAGTTTTGAGTTTTGACTGACATTTTTACAATGATTTTTTACAAAACAATCAAATTAGTATTTTAAAATAGATCCTTCAATAAAAATTTAAAAGAATATGGAGAAACAAAAAGTAAGATACATCAATAAATAAAATTACAAAATTGTAATCACTCATGGTAAGAAAAAAATATGTATGCATCTGGATAAGGATTAGAAGGCAACATTTAAAAAATGAAAAGAAGTCATTAATTTTTTTTCTTCAAGCTCTTGGTATATTTTCAACAATATAATTTCATATGATTTGAATTGTTTTACCAGGAGCAGAGCTTTAATGAAACCAATCATTCATACTCTCACTGACATGAGAACTAAACTAATCACCTTGGCCTTATATTACAGGTAGCCACCTAAGCATTTACGAGAGCTTGCTTAAGTTAAAGGAGTACAGTGTTTTTAAGTTTGGGGTTAAAGGGACAGATTCTGGAGTGTAGTTGCTCCTGGAATAGGTAGTCTTCTATGGAGGGGAGTTTTCAATGTCCTCCTTTTGCTAGTTGATACCACAACTGTAACAGCTCCAGATGTGGTGAAAGTGATGAGAAATCTCAAGAGAGCTGTCCACAGACTACCAGGCAGTTCCATGACATTTTGAACTATTTTCTAGATTCACCAACCAAGAGCATAAGGGTGTATGTGAACATGGAAAGGTAATTATCAGGATTCTGAAGATACGTTTGTGTGTATATGTATACTACATATATATGTTTATATATATATTGTGTGTGTACATATATATATATATATGTACAGCTTATTACTGAGAGAAGTTTTAGACAATATTTTGTTTCTTATCTGGCCAACCTTTTGTAGACTTTATGGCTATCTATACTAGTGTTTCAACACTATTCCCCCATTAAATCCCCTCCTTATGTTGTTTCCTAAGCCTAGAGTAAAGTGGTACTCCCTCTCTCTTAACATTCTCCAAGCCTACCCTAAATTCAAGGTCCAGGTCAATGCCACTTCATCCAGGAAGCCTCCCTTGTATCCCAGCTAGAGATAATCTTTAATCTCCCATATCACTGTAATTTCTTATATGTACATTATGACTGTTTCACACATGCCTCATCTTCCCTACTGGATCATAAGCAACCTAAAGGCAAGATTTAAGTCAGATTTACCCCTACATCTCTTTAATCCCATCTGGGGCCTGCGAGTGTGTTTTGAACATAAAGACACTGCGTAAATGCAGGAAATGAGATATTTACAAACTATTTTCTAGGAACTATTAGCCTTGTGAAATATTCCTTCAAAAATGTGTTCCTTGGTCAAGTAAGTTTGACAAAAGCTATATAATCTGTTCGTGATGAATATTAAAATTACTGAGAAGTCTAATAATAAGGAAATTTATTTTATTCCATTCAACTATGCATTGGCCACAGAATCCTACTCTTTGTTTCTTTATCTTTTTATATACACCATGCCAAACTCTGTTGGTGCTTCACTCATATTCCCTCAGCCCTCTTGGAGATCGCCTGTGGATGCTTCCCTTACAAGCCAGTGGCTTCCTGAATTTCTCTGCCTGAAAGCATTATCTGGCCACTGGAGTATATTCCACCAGGAAGTCCCAGGAAGTTGATACCCTCTGGAGTAACCTATGAAAGGGAGTAACAACTTCCTCATCCCTCAGGACAATTCTGAGTTATGTTCTGCACAGTATCTCAAAGGATGTCAGTAGGATTGAGCAAAACAAAATAAAGTAAATAAGGCTAACTTGTGTGTTAGAATGTTAAATAATGATGCTGCTGATAAAATTTAAGTAGCTAAAGATTGAACAGGAGTGTGGCTGGAAATGACCTAATTATATTTTCCTGAGGGTAAACAGACAATTCAGATTATATCACAAAAACAGTTCTTATACCAATACCTATCCAAATATTACTTTTATCCCTTATCATTGCAAGCCTCTTATTTGTTTTAACCTACCTCTCTCTAAAGGTAGCAAGAATAGCTAGCATAAAACATGAGCAAATCAAATGGAATTATAATCAAACTTAATTTTATTAAGATCTTTGAAAATTTTTCAACCCATGTAAATTTTTACAATTCTCGGGACTTTTAAAACCATGGAACACAGTTCTAATCCCAGTTACTAGTTGTGTCATCTATTGAGACCCATCTTTTTTTTTGTTTGTTTGTTTGTTTGAGACAGAGTCTCGCCCTGTCACCCAGGCTGGAGTGCAGTGGCGTGATTTTGACTCACTGCAAGCTCTACCTCCAGGGTTCTCACCATTCTCCTGCCTCAGCCTCCCGAGTAGCTGGGACTACAAGCGCCCGCCACCACGCCCGGCTAATTTTTTGTATTTTTCATTAGAGACGGGGTTTCACCGTGTTAGCCAGGATGGTCTCGATCTCCTGACCTAAATACAGCACCTTCATCAGAAAACTTTCCTTGACCCACTCCCCACCTCAACCATATGTGATCTCCACCTTCTTTAAATCCCTATAACTCTTTAATGCTGTTGTGAATGTGCTTAGCTTACTTTATGTCTCTTACTTAAATGTCTGCCAGTTGAGGTTAAGAACTTTGACATGTGCCATTGCATATGTTCTACCATGTCTGTTCGATAAGAGCTACCCAACAAGTATTTGTTGAAATGCTAAATCTTGGAAAGACCAATTAGCCTTTATAGAAGTTGAATAAGAAAAAAAAAGTTTTAATATATTCTTGCAGGCCTTTTCCTACTAATCTGGAGACAGAAATAATTGGAAATTTTAAATGAATATTTGTTTCTGTAATTAAGATAGCCCTATGAAAAATTCTAAAATATGCCAAGCTTTTCCTCCTCTTTTCTGTATCTTCTCAACCCGGGTCCTCAATACCCCCAGATTTTCTTTGCTGCTTAAGATACCATATTATGCATCTTCTTTGGCTAAACAGGCCCTTAAGCTTCTAATATTTTCCTATTTCACTATTAAAACTGATCTGTCCTATATTCATTTCTTTTAGCGTCCTGATTTATAATAGCGACAATGCCTCTTTTGCCAAGAAAAGTACGGGGAGGTTAATATGTTAGCTAACTACAGTATCATTCTTCATTGATAATGTCCCTTATATAAAATATTTAAATCTTATCCCTTATAAAGGTACTCGGAGGAGATAATCAGGTACTGTGATTGTCCATATGGGAATATCTAGACAGATAAATCTGTCCATGTACCTTAAAATCACACCAATTCAGGTATAACTATGGGTGGTCATACACATTATACACTGTCTAACTACAAACTGAATAGCACTCCCTGAGTTGTGCAGTGTACAACTTGCACAACCACACTCAGTAGCCCTTCACCAATTGAGTAGCTGCTCTATTTTCCTGTGTGTTAAGAGGACCTCCCCACACTTTTTTTCTCCAATCCCTAATTTCCAGTTCACTTAACTTCAACTCGAGAGAAATAACTGCTTATACATACTAAATACTTGGTCAATTTGCATTTTTTCTGAAAGTAAGTGAATTCAAGAAGCCCATATTTGATATTCTGTAGAAAAAAAAAAGTGCGAAATTTTCCAACCCCAGATGCAGTGGTATAATATGGATGAAAGACAGGTTTTCTGAAACTTCCTTTGAATAAAATTCTTCTATTTATCTTAACTTAGCTAAAATCCTTTCATTTTTCTTCATGTGTATACAGTCTACAAAGAAATTTTGATCTCTGAAATTTCTTCAAGGCCTTCTTTAGACCTTAATGTCGTTTATTAGTATTTTCTAGAATAGTTATAACTATACCATTTGAAATCCTATTAGTGAGGGTGTCAGCAGTGCACTTGGCCTTTAAGAAGTACTTAATATTCAGCCTGATGAATGTGAATTTAGGAACTGAACTCATTTCTTGCGCACACGGGATCTAAAACCTCTCACCACTATAGCTGTGCCCAGCTCGTCTTTAAGTAGGCAAAAAACTCCAGCTAAAAATCTGCCTTCTCCTATTTCTCTCCCACCTAGATTTAATTCTCTACAGCCTATCCGAGTTACAAATGAAAGTTTTAAATTCTAAGCACTGAAAGGTATTTGGACTCCAGCATGCTCTTTTCCAATGCATTGCAACCAAGGAATCCCATTTAATTCCAAGCCAGTGAAATAAAAAGCAACATTGTTTAAAACTCTTGAGGTTCAGATCAACTTTTAAGGAGGCACTGAAGCTTTTTAACATCTGCTTCCTTACCAGCAAAGGTAATACATCTTTAAATAATTTGTAAGTGTGTTAGAGCTGCCACACAGTTATTGAGAGCTCTCCTTTGGTAAATAGGGGCTGCAGGCTTCATATTTCAGACAGCTGTCACCCATTAAATATTTTAATATTGAAGGGAATTAACTTTCATATCAATAGCAATGATGAAAAAAATTATCTCTGTAGCCAGGACAGACGACGTCAGTGCATAACTTGTCATTTTCTAATTCAGCTGCTTCCATTTGATTTGGAATTAGAACTAGACCTCAGAAACCGGAGCCACGGCATCCTCACACAAAAGCTGTTTCAAATTATGTGCAGCAAGTTTCTAAGCACATTAGCAACTAGAACAAGCTGTCCTCATGCTAACTGGCCTTGCTTTGTTCTTGATGGTGGAAAATCTCGCTTTAACTGCCCTCTAATTTGTTGCAGAACGCTACTGCACCAGCAGCTGCCTTGGCACAGGATTAAACACACAAAAAAAACATTATTTTTCCACACAAATTATTAACAGTGCCAAAAGCCACAAAATCCTTTTTGAAAAAAAAAAATCTTTTTTTCTCCTCAACCCCTTTATTTTCCCTACCCTATAACACAACCTGCAATGAATTACACCTCAGTGGGGTCTTTTGAGTTACCCCCTCCCCAACTTTCAATGTAAACATACAGAGAGAGTACTTCATTCTGTTTTTGATAAAACACAAAAGATTCAAAAATAGGGCAGAGGGAAACTTTCAACCACACATATAAGTATGTCAATGAATGAGGACTCCTGAGGGGCTATACACAGAACTGTTGGGAAACCTACTTGCCTAGTACCTCGTACGCTTGTTCACAAACTACAGGAGGAAATACGTAAAGTAAGCCTCCCTCTGTTCTAATCTTGGTCTGATTACAGCTGTTTCTGTGAAGCAGTTAAACATCTTGCCAAGGGGAAGAATCTGCTTGATTGCTGCTTCAGAGGAGAATTTATTAATGAAGTCTGCAAATAATTGTTGAGAAGACAACTGTGCCTTTCCTCATTGTCTTTCTCATTCAGCAGGCTTGCAACAGCTTTTTATTTACATTTGTTAGAGAATACCATGAGGACCTTTGAGGTCAATGCATACCTGCGTTCTGACTCTGAGGAAGGCTTAAAAACAATACTTACTGTTTTCAAACAAAAGAAAAATGGAAGAAAGTGGCTGTTTCCCCTTCTTTCAAACAAGACCACTGCCTTTTGTACTGAGAGGTAAGTGTAGTTTGGGGATCTAGGTATCACAGGATATCTCTTCATTGAGACCCCTGCTATCTGCTCATTATCCCTTTTGAGAAGGAGTCTGACATCTGACTAGCAGAAATGAAATCCATCAGGTGCCTTCAGTGCCATCTGGAAAGGAGGCTCTCCATGGAGTGAAGAGCAAAAACAGCCTGGGAGAGAAGTGAAGTTGATGACTTAGCTCTCAAGAAGCACCTACACACAGCTTACTTCCTCACTGATTCTCAGTTCCCATCACTCTCCTGACAAAGATCGGCCCTGTAGTATTCTTGCACAAAGTTTGCTTCCGCTCACTAAGGAAACTCTAGGAATAGAATGGGGTGGTGGTAGAGGTGGTCTGTACAAAGTTCTGCGCAGTTTTACTTTAAGGTTAAGAAACTGAAAGATAGGAATCCGAAAAAGTCTCCAAAATAACTGGCCACCATGAAAACTTCCCCATCCAGGTTCAAAGCTACTTTCTGGCCTTCTCCTGCTCCCAGATGTGCCTTTCTCTTTAATTGTGCTGTCTTTTTGCATTCTTAATACTCACTCTCTTGATCAGTTATGTCGACTCTCAAAAATGGTCGGATGCAATGATTTGAAAAAAGCATGCATTCAAAGCTTCTTTTATTAAAAATTTCATTAAGGGATTTGCAACCTTCTCCTTTGCTTTCTGCTCCAGCTTCTCTCTGAGCTGCAAGTCAGAACATTCCCCCCAGAGGCATTCACTGAAAATTCATCACACATCATCAGTTATTAAGCACACTACTCTCTGGGATTCAGGAAATAAACAGCCAAGAATTCTGAGCCACCCGTTTGTACCTTAAATTCATGAGGTCAAGCAAAGTGTGTGAAATTTGGAATCAAATCAAAGTCTTCTAAATGTAAAGGATATAAAGAGAAAATTCACCATTTTACACAAATGCATTATAATGAGGATCTGTTTTCTGATTTTCTAGTCAACCACATATGCCAGGAAAAGGAAGAAACTGGGATTTTTCCTATTAATAAATGACCGTTTCAGTTCTATCCAGGTGTACGTATGTTGCTTTTGAGTTACTTCTAATACACGTATTAAATAACAGGTCTATATATTTTTGTGTTGTCTAAATTTACATTCATGGAAGATAGTGTTTAGTGTTTATTAACTGTTTTCCTTACAAATTTTTTAGCTATGCTGTTTACCTACTACAAAATGAGAGATAATATAAAATATCTGGTGTTCATGTAAAGAAAGTCTTCAATTCCTACTGGCTTCTTCTTCCTCTATCTATGTCTTCCCCCATCACATTTTGTATACAATAGACATCATTTTACCTAGTAGAAGATGACCAGACACCATAGTGCTGGGCATTTCTCCCCTTCCAGATACCATTTCACCTCACGATTCTCAGTCAGACTATAGAACCATGGTTCTCAGGGTGTGGTCCCTAAACCAGCAACCTTAGGATCACCGGGGAACTTGCTAGAACTGCAGATCCTCAGACACCAAGCCAGACCTTCTGAATCAGAAACTCTGAGAGTGGGGCCCAGCGATCTGTGTTTTAAGAGGCTCTCCAAACGATCTTTGTGTTTGAGAATCTCTAATCTAACCAACATGCCCTCAGCATGCCCCACTGGCAGAGTAAGGCACTTTCATACTTTCCATTGCCATGTCTTCTGCTGGTCACTGGTTTCCTCAGCTCCCCACTGGGGAAACCCCACTTGGGTAAGCCCTCCAAAAGTTAGACCTCATGTTCCAAAAAAATCCCTTCCTCTGTGCTCTCCATCAAAATCTGTATCTCCATAGTAAGCTTTTCCAACCAGAGGGAGAAATAATGTATACCAAAGAAATAAATGTCCAATGGTAGCATTATGATTCCTACAATAGGCATATGGGAAAGGGGAAAATGTTATAAGGGACACCTCAGTGACTAATAAATCATATAAATAATCACAATATGGCTATATGGGAGACCTCAGCAATTGTGACAGATCCAGGTCTATTAACTTTTGATGACAGACCACTTATACTTACTTAAACTCTCTAAAGATCAGATTCCTCATCAACAAAATGGTACTGAGAACATTTTCTTCATGGAATATTTGTGAGAATTAATGATTACTTTCCCCCAAAAGCATCTAGAATTGTGCCTCACACAGCGGAGCTGCTCGATAAGCAGAAAACCTATCAGTATAATGGAAAAAAGGCAACTTTGGAGTCAAGATGACATGAGCTCTAGTTCCTGGGATAACTGTAGGGAAATTAAACACCTTTCTGAGTCACAGTTTTCTATTCTGTTAAGTGGGGATAATAGCAATTTCTGCCATAATATTTATTGTACAAGGTTATCAAAAGGCTTGGATTAAACAACCCTAGACTATATAAATTATGTGACACAAAAATAGAAGCTCATCTTTTCCATTCCTATGCGTGTAGGCTGGGGAGGGAAAGTGATGAAGAGTAAAGACTATATATTTGGAACAAAACTGACCTGCATTATGACCTGGTTATATTTTACTAGCTGTGAAGCCTTGGACAAGTTCTTTAATTACACTGAGCTCCAGCTTCAGTATTTAATGACATTGAAAAGTTACTCCTACCTTTCAAGGTTGTTGCAAGGTTGAAATGCAGTAATGAATATGGGCAAAGAGATTAACATGGTGATTGGCTTAGAGTAGGCCTCCATATTAGTGGTTTTTGTTACTACTACCACTTATTATTATTATTATCATTGTTTTATTAAATGGTGGCTATTTGTTGATGGGGCTGATCTATCAAAACCTAGAGGTTAGTAGCTAGGTAGACAGTTATAAAAGACAGTTATAAAACCTTCTTTGTTCTCTATTGAGATTCCATTTGAGAGAGCAAATTTTGTTGTCTGTATAAAGTACACACATAATGTTTAATAACTTTTATTCAAAACTCATAATTTTGCAGTGGTCTTCTCAAGGAACTTTCTCTTATCCTTTAGGATACATAGAGGAACTAAAAGGTCACAGAAGTTAAGCCACTTGCTTCTCTTTGTACCCACAGGCCCTGGCACAACAGACTAAGTTACCCTCTTTGGCCCTCTGCCTTTTAGAAATAAACCTTGTAGAAAAGGAGGAAAAAACTACACATGCTCCACTCGTAGGCCTACCTCTGCCCAACTCCAACTCACCTACCCCAAGTACACAAAAGGATCCAATTTAATAAATATTTTTTAAGTACCTGCTATGTGACCAATACTATTCTAGGCACTGATTAGAACAAGTATATGTGTTGTTTCAAATCTGAATTCTTATACCTGCCAGTCATCTTTCCTCACACTCAGAATATCCTGAAGTTTGTCAGCTGACACTGCCAAGTCTTTGCCAGTTGCCTCAGGTCATGAATAACACTTAGGAACGTGATCTTAATTGTTCTTGTAGTGACCAGGTGACCAGGTCAGTGTCATCCATCTGGGAGTTAGGTTAGTTTTCTTACCTATGAAGTTCTCATATTCCTCAAAGATTAAGTTTGACTCTCAATTCTCCCACAAAGAATAATGTTTTTCTCTGAGGACCAAGAATCAGACTTTTCAGCATTATGAGTTTTTGTTACCAACTGAATGTCCAACCAAGGCATCCAATTCTGCCACTGCATCCTCATTCAGTGGGTGTACATGCATTTTACATCAACTCCCTCATTCTCGTCTTGGTTCCCAGACTCTATGTCTCCAGTTGCTATGGGAGGTTGGGAATAATTCAAGAATTAATGTTTGGAATGAGGACAGCCCCAGAGACTGTTCTTCTCAAATAAAATTTAAGTCTGAGGTTTAAAACTTCATGGTTTACAGAGATTAGGCAGATAATGTAAATATATAAATCAATTTATGTGTAACACAGTAGGGAGAGATGAGATCTATGGTTAAATGGAGAAATCATGTAAATTCCAATTTAAAAAGAGAAACCTGGGCAGGCTACCAAGTCAGAGCCTCTGCATCCCTTTAAGGACAGGACGGAGGTTTCTCAGGCTTTGTAGGCCCAGCACTTAGCATAGTACCTGTACTTAGTAGGTGCCTGAATCAAGGAACGGATGAAATAGCAAAGAAGTGAGTGAATAAATGAACCAAAGTGGAAGAGCTGAAATAGTCACCTTAGATTGTACCTTCACAATATAAGAGGTGGTAAACCTCACTCATTTGAACTTTCTCTGTTCCCCAAACTATCTCTGAGATCTTTCACACTTATAATAATCCTCAAATTCATTTGCCTAGGGGATTTTATTGTTATTAGTACTAACACACAGGTCATCAACAGATAGATAGATAATATATATTAATATTATGTTTTCCTTTAAAACAATTCAGAGTACTGTATAATACATTTTAAAAGTTCAATACCAACTCCTCTAATGTAACCGTTAGCCCCATAAAGTGAAAACAAAAGAGAAAATAAACGATCTTTGGAAGCCCACATAGCAGAAAAGTAGGAGCGGAAAACATATAAGTAACTTAGAGTCATGGGCTCACATTATGGATCAAGTTGTTTCAGTCCAAGTCATCTTCAGACATCTGCAGACCTTCATTCTTCTGAGGCAGTGGGGATGGAGGAAGATAATGAGGACAAGTTTGGACATTAAGGATAAAGAGGTGCGAATATTTCAGGACTATCAAATTCCCTCTTATACTGCTGCTATACTAATCCTTCTGGTGGCAATCCAAGAAAAAGGGTATTATTTTGTATTCCACAAGGCCCTATTGTAGATTCAGTATCTGGAGATGGTGGCATGTGACTTCAGGGCCTTCTCCCAATCCTACAGGGACAGGTCAAATTACACGAAAACTACCAGAATCCAAGTTCTCATGAGCCAATCCTATTCCTTAGCTGCATTTTGCTCTTTCTCTTCTTTCTCTGTTCTTCCAGTCTCATCTGCTGCCTGTCGCCTCCTGACCTGGGCTGCAGTAGAACAGCTTCACCAGTTCCTGAACTGTTGCCTTTCCCCTAGTTTACCACCCGTTTCCATGTTGATGGCACTGAGTTCCCAGTGACTTGTCAATGATCTGATTTCAGGATTGTATTAGTTCCTATGGTGGCTGTTAAAAACAACAACAACAAAAAACTTGGTGATCTAAAACACTAGAAAGGTATTCTCTCAAGTTCTGGACACCAGAAGTCCAAAATCAGTATCATTGCATCAAAATCAAGATGGTAGCAGGGCCACACTCCATCCGGAGGCTCTATCTAGGGGAGAAAGCATTCCTTGCCTCTTCCAGCTTCTGATGGCTGCTGGCACTCATTAACTTGTGACTAAATTACTGCAATCTGCTTCTGTGGTCACTTTGCCTCATTATCTTCCTCTTTTGTTGGTATAGTGTTCCTCTGCCTCTCTCTTATGAGGACACTTGTGATGGCATTTAGGGCCCACCAGATTATCCAAAGTAATCCTTGCATCTCAGCCAGGCGCGATGGCTCATGCCTGTAATCCCAGCACTTTGGGAGGCTGAGGTGGGCAGATCACGAGGTCAGGAGATCAAGAGGATCCTGGCTAAAATGGTGAAACCCCATCTCTACTAAAAATACAAAAAAAAATTAGCTGGGCGTGGTGGCAGGCACCTGTAGTCCCAGCTACTTGGGAGGCTAAGGCAGGAGAATGGCATGAACCCAGGAGGCAGAGCTTGCAGTGAACCGAGATTGCACCTCTGCACTCCAGCCTGGGCAACAGAGCAAGACTCCTTCTCAAGAAAAAAAAAAATCCTTGCATCTCAACATCCTTAACTTAATCACACCCTTTTTCCAACTAAACTATCATTTATAGCTTCCACAGTCTAGGAGGTGGATATCCTTTGGAGGGTAATTTTGTAGCCTACTACAAGGACCTTTTTACATAATCTGGTTCCATGAGCAGCCTCAACACCAAATCAAGAGTACTGTTCTCAGAAGAATTAGGGTGCTATTCCATTTGAATGCCTATAGCTAAATGCCACAGTTATCCCGGATGGGAAAGTATATTAACCTAAGATGTTTCTTATTGTAAAGGTCTGTCTTGTTTAATACCTGTTTCTTCTTTGTCTATATTTGCACAGATGCTTAAAGCAATAGCAATCTGTATTCTTTCCTTACTTCAATAGTCCAGACTTTTCCCATTCCCCTTTTCTGATCTGGCATCCAAAATAGGACTGGGTAAGAAACTAACAAGAGTCTAACGGCTCATTCCCAAATCTGGCATTGTTACCACTCCTGAAGTCAGCCTCTATAACTCATAGAAGATACGATGTACCTGGCTGCCACCATTTTCCCTCTAAAGATTTAGACAGGATGCCAGACGGGCCTTGGTCTCATATCACTCTTAAGAAAGCAAACTCCACTCAGCTTTTCTAGAGATGAAGACAGAGTGACTACTCTGCCTTCCATCCTGAGAAAGCCTTCTTAGGGAGCCCCATGCTGTGTTCATGTTTGTTCAGGTGGCTTGATATTTGCCACAAGACATTCTTTCCCAAGCAGCCTCAAAAGACAACCTCCTACTTCTGTAAAATATATGGATTGAGTTTCTTTGAATGAAAAGGCATAGCATATTCAACCCACTTAGAGGAACTCCTAAGCCTTCCAATGTGGGGAAATTGTGTGTTACCCAAACCAGCCAAAGGATGCCACTCAAGCATAACCAGGAAAGTGGTTTCCCACTTGAGTCCAACTATGATTTGGGCTCTTTAGGGGATTGATTTATGCTTCCCTCAACCACAAAACTTAGGATAGAAGTTTCTTTTGCCAAGAAACAAAGAACATGTTCTGTATTCTTTATCAGTTCTCATAAGAGTTTTCCAATTCTCCTCATGCTGTGCTGAGAAAGAAAATAAAAATTAGCCATGACTTTGTAAAAATCTATTGCTTTTGGGAAATGTTCTTTTCTGACCAATATGGAAATCTCAGTCTCAGACTAAGACAGAGGAAAATTAAAGTGATATGTTTTTCTAATCCTACGATTTTAAGAAACAACGAGACATTCATGCTGTAGAAATTGTTAAATTTGTTCAAAATCCAAAAAGTCTTACAAAAGCCTACAACCCTTTACAGATGTGCTGGGACCCATACTTCAAAGAGTTTGTTAATGAAGGACTAAAATGCCCAAATCCTTTAAGTAAAAGGATGGAATTTTATTTACATACAGAATACCTCCCTTTTTTCTTTTTGGCAGTATTTCAGGCCAATATTATGTTGGAGATTGAGCCCAGCAAGCTATAAATGAAGCTGAGCATGCATGTGGTTAGCTGTCTGCTAAAGAAGCTCATCATCAAAACAACAAAGCTTATCCCCTTTGAAATGAGGGGACAACTGTTCTTTCTGCTGGTTCCACACTTGTTTCTGTATCAGGATAATAAAAAAGTGTAGTCATGTGTCATTTAGCAATGAGGGTACATTCTGGGAAATGTGTTATGATACAATTTTGTCCTCTTATGAACACCACAGAGTAGACTTACATAAACATAGAGGGTATAGCCTAGAACACACCTTGGTTGTATTGTACAGCCTATCATTCCTAGGCTACAAAACTGTACAGCGTGTTACTACACTGGATACTATAGGCAACTATAATCCAATGATAAATATTTGTGTATCTCAACTTACCTAAACATAGAAAAGGTACAGTAAAGATACAGTAAAAAAGATTAAAAAAATGCTACACTTATACAGGGCACTTGCCATGAACCAAGCTTGCAGGACTGGAAGTTGCTCTGGGTGTGTCAACAAGTGAATAAATGTGAAGGGCTAGGTGAGTAAATATGAAATCTAGTAAATGTTACTGTACATTATTTGGGATTGTATAAACACTATACACTTAGGCTACACTATAAATTTATAAAGAAATATTTTTCTTTCTTCAATAATAAATTAATCTTAGTTGACTGTAACTCTTTTGCTTTATAACTTTTTAATTATTTTAACTTTTTGACTCTTTTGTAATAACACTTAGCTTAAAACACAAACATTGCACAGCTGTACAAAAATATTTTCTTTATATCCTCATTCTATAAGCTTTTTTCTCTTTTTAAAATGTTTAATTTTCTTTCTTTTTTTTTTTTTTTTTACTTTTTAAACATTTTTGTTAAAGACAAAGACACAAACACAAACACTAACCTAAGCCCAAACTGTGTCAGGATCATCAATATCAGTGTTCCACCTCCACACCTTGTCCCACTGGAAGGTTTTCAGGGGAAATAATATGCATAGAGCTGTCATATCCTATAATAACAATGCTGTCTTATGGAATACTTCCTGAAGGATCTGCCTGAGGCTATTTTACGGTTAACTTTTTTTTAATAAGTAGAAGAAGTACACTCTAAACAAAAGCATAGTCTAGTAAATACATAAACCAGTAACATAGTTGTTTATTATCATTGTCAAGTATTATGTACCACACATAACTGTAGGTGCTAATCTTTTATATAACTGGCAGTGTGGTAGATTTGTTTACACCACCATCACCACAAACACATAAGTAATGTGTTTTGCTATGCTATTTCAATGGCTTACAACATCACTATGCAATAAAATTTTTCCAACTCCATTATAAACTTATGGGACTGCCGTTATACATGCAGTACATTGTTGACCAAAAATATCATTATGCAGCACATGACTGTAATCAAAAAGCCCAAAAATACTTGCTGTTAGGCCATTTGAGGATCTATTGGGGAAAATTTTCCAGGTTTTCAAGAACTGGTCAGAACTTAAAACTTTTTCTTTGTTCTTTGGCTCTGACAAGATTGGAGTTCTGGCTTATTGGCTGATGGCTTTAATTTTGACCTCAGCTAATCCTCGTTCAAACACTACCTTTATTGTTTTCAGAGCACCCACTTTCCTTATATTTGAAAAAATGTGTGCACGTGTGCATATATATGTATTTCACTTCAGTTATTTTCCTTTGGGATATTGTGCTAAAAGGAAAGAGATGATCAAGTGACATTTGGAGAACGTTTGCTTCTTTGCTTCTAATTCTCCTGATACTCAACATTGTGCTATTTATGCTCTACTAGAACTGAAGGCTTTTTAGCATTCTGCATACATCATACTATATCCTCCTTATGACTTCAACTTTCCCCAACTACAACTCCTTACCTTAAAAAAAAATAATAATTCAAGATTCAGCTTAGATATTTCTTCTTCCAGGAAGATCTGGAAAACCCTAATCCTAGCTCCCCCATTCACTGTCACAGACTGGGTTAGATTCCTCTCCTCTGTGCTACCATGGAAATCTCCATCACTCTAACCCCAAAGTTCCTGTACTATGTTATACCTGCATGTTGACTTGTTTGGCTTCCTTATTAAAGAGAATCATATCTCCAATGCTTGGCAAAAAGCAGATAATAAATGGCCATTTTTAAGATTTGTGAATGCTAAAAACTTAAGAATGATTTACCTTTGTCAGTTGCATGTCTTTGTAGTCCACTTAGTAAAAAACAAACAAACAAACAAACAAACAAACAAAAAAACCTTCTTTTTCCTAGGCTAAGCCAGAGTCATGGGAAGAGAATATTTCATCTCCAGTTATAGCCTGAGCTATTCCTATAGCTAAAATGCCCTGAATGTTGATTTCTACACACAGTGCCTCTGGCACTTCTGAAAGAAACATTGTTCTTAAAGAGACTGAAGGGATTTAGACTTTCAGTGAACCAGGATGCAGGCTGCCTTGGCTGGACTATTGAGTCTATTTGCCTGCCACCAGAGTCCAGTCCCCAGAATAAAGCAGATTAAAAGAAAATTAACCCTCATAATTGCTTCCCAAACAGATTTTGTTGTCCACATGGGATTACACACAGGATGGCCAAGTTTCCCATAACCATAACCAATGGTCCTGAACTCCCCATCCTGGGCTTATGAGCACAAGTCAAGAATCCAAATCCCTTTTCTCTCAAGGGCTAATCCTTTTCAATGAGATGTTCACAGCCCTATGTTATTAATGTAGATTTAAAGAAAATAAAAAAATCACATTCTCAAGGAATTCAAGGTTGCATGACTAAGAAGGGAACTCAAGATTTTCACGCATAACTGAAGTTCCTGCCAGGTGTAGAATGTGTGCACATCACTTATACCAATGGACATCGTAGACAAAGGAGATCATCTGGATTTACATTTAATAAAATGATCTTTCAGGGTACTAAAGCTAAGACATGAGAAGCTATCATTGAGCTTTCAAAACCCTACAATGGCCTGATTTAAAATCAAATGAAAAATTTCATTTCAGATCAGATTGGTAAAAATCTGGATACAGGCCAGAAAAAAAGTAGCAAAACTTAAACGTATGAGCAGAAGTGCTTAATCATGAAGAGGAGGTCCAGAAGGAATGTTAAAAGTCATTTACCTCTGCCTATACCCTCCAGTCCAACTCACTTTAACTCCCTCCCAGAGGTGAATGTGTAGACCAGTGGCTCCCAGACAAGAACCACCCTCCTCTAGGTGGCGGGGCTCAGTTACTAAAACAGGTTCAAGAATCCACGAGAGCAGCAAATATTGGCTAGGGCTGATTAAACAGTCTGTCTTATACAAACACAAAATACTTTTTAACTATACTTAGATATTGACTATAAAGTGTTACTGGTTTCCTAGCAGTTTTTCTTCCTCAGTGGTTTCTCAAGAAACAGACACTAACTAAAAAGCAACACCACACTCAAGGTTGGAGGCATGGGACAAATGATATGTGAATTTCTTTAAAGTTAATTTTTTATAGAAGAGTAAGATCCATCCATGTAAACATTTAGGGTATTAAAATATTAGAAATCACTGTCTTATACATTTTTATCAACAATCCAGAAAACATTTGCACATTCTCCATATTTAGTTTATTCCAAGGCTTAATTTTTCATGGGAGAAGGACTTCAAAACGTCCATCTAGAAGCTGGAGGCCATAGTAAGTGAATTAATGAAGGAACAGAAAATCAAATGCTGCATGTTATCACTTACAAGTGAGAGCGAAACATGGAGTACACATGGCACAAAGAAGGGAACAACAGACACCAGGGCCTACTTGAGGGTGGAGGGTGGGTGGAGGGTGAGAACTGAAAAACTGCCTATCAAGTGTTATGTTGATTATCTGGGTAACAAAATTATCTCTACACCAACCCCGCCCCCAACACACAGTTTACCCATGTAACAAACCTGCACATGTACTCTTTGAACCTAAAATAGAAGTTGGAAAGTAATAAAAAAAAAGTCTATCTAGGCCGGGCGTGGTGGCTCACGCCTATAATCCCAGCACTTTGGGAGGCCGAGGCCGGCAGATCATGACATCAGGAGATCGAGACCATTCTGGCTAACACAATGAAACCCCATCTCTACTAAAAATACAAATTAGCCGGGCATGGTGGAGGGCACCTGTAGTCCCAGCTACTCGGGAGGCTGAGGCAGGAGAATGGCTTGAACCTGGCAGGCGGAGCTTGCAGTGAGTCGAGATGGTGCCACTGCACTCCAGCCTGGATGACAGAGTGAGACTCTGTCTCAAAAAAAAAAAAAAAAAACAGTCTATCTAAATCCTTCCTGCCACAGTTTTACCTGGTCCTAATTTATTATTCCTCATTTCTGAAACTGCAGGATGATTACCAAAGCTCCTCATGTAGCCAATGACTATTAACTTAGCCTCTATTCCAAGCTCCTCTTCTTGAAGCTAAAAAACTCAAATCTGGCAGTTATATCTCAACATTTACATTGCTATTCTCTAAAACAGTACTGTCCAATGGAACCTTCTGAAGTGATGAAAATATTCTGTTTCTGTGTTGTCCAATAGGATAGCAACTAGCCACGTGTGAATACTGAGCACTTAAATTATGGCCAGTGAGACTGAGGAATTGAATTTTGAATTTAAATTTAATTTAATAAATTAAATTTAAAATAAATTTAACTTTAATTAATTTACATTCAAATTTAAATATAAACATATGGCTAGTGGCTACCATATTGGACAATGTAGCTCTGGACATTATCCTTTTCCTAACCATCTTATTTAATTATAGTATCCCCCAAATGCAGAAAATAGCTCAATAAGAACATAATTGATTTCATACACTGTATTATTTAATTTTACTCATAGCACCATGGTGCCAATGAGGCCAATGACTAAATTTAATTGCTGTGGGGACATATTAGCTTTACAAAAAAAGATAACTAAAATATAAACATAACCTAGTCTAATATAACAAGGCCTATATAAAAGAATGCAGCTCATAAAAAAATTGTATATGTTCTTGGAAAACAGTATATCCAAAGACCTCAGAAGTTCACCTTTCTAGGCAAAGACCTGCTTATTCCATGAATTGTATCTTAAATTATCTTAATTTGGTAACCCTCAGTATGTGATGTTTGATTCTTAGCTCCTTTTTTCTTATATACTTAAACAAAAACAGCAAATAATTTATTTGCTTGATACTGAGATTCTTTTTCCTGCTTCAAGATAATTTGTCTTAATGGGTCCCCACAGAGTTGCCCAAAGACTGACCACTGTGGAGTTTCATTCAAATAATAAATATTCTTATATTGACACTGAAGCATTACAAATCGTGTTGTCAACTAAGTATGAACCCACTTAACAGTAATCTAATTTAAACCATGTTTTTCCAGAAATGCAGAACAAATCTGTCTGTGAATTTGTATTAATAGAATTTATATCCAGCACTGTTCCAGGTGCTGAAAGATGACTATAAGATGATATAAGACCCAATCCCCAATCTAAAGTAACTTATACATTTTGCACAAATAATCAGGAAGATGAGGCGGTCTCTCTTGTTTATCTCTTTTTCATTGTCTAATTACTCTATATTCCCTCAATTTATATTGATGCATCTTGTGGAATCTCTAAGTTCGTGAACCAAGTTTAATTGTGTGGTAATTAATACCTGATCTTCTTAGTACTTCTAGTTTACTGAAATTCTATTGGTAAAGCCTGCTATGATATATCTGTAAATTATTTCCAGCCTCACCTGAGGGCATTATTATTACTCAATATTAAATAAGCTTGTAGTTGATTTTGTACCGTTTTCCTTAACATAAAAGTTATTGTATTGAATAATAATCATAAAATATCTTTTAGATACAAATTTTCTAGACTAACAATAACTAACTTTAAATAGTTCACAAGATCTCACTTGACTTCAAATTATCCCAAGTGCTCTCACTGTCAATTTGCACATTACAAAACTACAGCTTAGAGGTAAAGATAGCTGACTAGACACAGCCAGGAAATGCCTCTCCCACTGAGAGAAACCAAAATGTTGAGTAAACCATCATACTTCAAACAGATCTTTTGAGACAAAATGCTGAAAGTCAATAGGAAGGTGATGTAGACAGTGAGATCCAAGAGGGAGGAAGCTAGGAAGCCTGCATGACATCACCAAGCACCAGGACCAACCAGCTCTTGGTCCTTCATAGGTACTAAGGAAGGGGAGAGTAAAAGAGCTCCAGGACACAACACTCCTGCCACAGACCTCTGGGGTCCTAGCTACAAGAGATCCTACGACCTGAAAAGACATTTGA
Organism: Homo sapiens; assembly: GCF_000001405.40. Taxonomy (NCBI): domain Eukaryota; kingdom Metazoa; phylum Chordata; class Mammalia; order Primates; family Hominidae; genus Homo; species Homo sapiens. The sequence continues at coordinate 82,102,866 of NC_000009.12, read as the reverse complement.
ATTGGCACAGGGAACTGCTGGAGAATAGGCAGAGGCAGAGCTTGAACCTCCATGGAGCCCAGAAGGTTTAACATGCAGGGCAGCTGCGGCAAAATGCGATTATATGTGCCTATCCCCAAGGCTCTCCATTTTACTTTGAGTAACTCTATCCCCTGCTGATTGCTGGGCCAGGAGAAACCAGGGCTGCCTTTACACAGGTCTGGAGCGCATCTGATCTGTGTGCCCCCTTGTCAGCTGGCCCCTCCCAAGGCCCTGCCTGGCCACTCCTACAAGAGGGTGCACACAGCACAGCTTCCACTAAGCCAAGTGTTTTGCCAGTGGCCTGGGAGCAATTCAGTGCCTCCAGCACAGGTGGTACTCAACCCCAAGGGGCCAGAGGGCAAAGTCAAAGGTCGGTTCGAATCCCCCAGGGTTCAAGCACACTGCCCATGGGTATCCAGCTGAGATGTGTGACTTCAGCCTGAGCAGGTAAGGAGCCCCCACTCTCAGAAAACTGAGAAGAGTGAGGTGTGGGTTTGTGTGCCAGCACAAAAGTTTGGTGTCCCTCCCTCCACAAGAAGGGTGCAGGAAGGGTATAGCCTGTTGGGCAGTGTAGCTGCTACCTGAGGGAGCCCTCTGGCCTTGACCAGCCCAGAGATCTGGGCCAAGAAGTTTTGGGACAAAACTAGCTGGTCAGGCCTACTCCTGGGACAGACACTAGAAAGAGTCCCAGCTCGGGGAGCCTGAGCTAGGTGGTCCCTATAACTGTATTCTGGGCAAAAACCCCAAGCTGTAGGTGCCACACCAGCTGCACACCCTTGGCCCCACCATCCTGCCCACCCTGTGGGCATCACCAGACCACCCACAGACATACCCCACAACCTCCTCTGACTCTGCCAAGCTCAGATGACCAGAGAGTCCCTGGGGAGCTGCAAGTCTTCTGGTGGCCTAACCTTCAGCTCAGGCCTCCCTTAAGGGAGGGGAGAGTGCAGTCAACGAGGGGGCCCTTTGGGTTCAGGAAATGCAGGCATAGAACCAGTGATTGGAGGCAGCTTCTCCAAGGCCTGGGAACAAACTTGGTAAAGGGGTAATCCCTGCTCTCCCCATTTCCCACTCACCAGAGCATTGCTGTGAATGCACTGAAATACAAAGGACACAGGGTTAAAAGCCTATCTGCCAGCTCTTACTCTTAAGGGACATCTACTGGATCACAGCCTGAATTACACCACCAACAAAAATAAATTCCTACAGCATGCATCGACTGTGAAACCCAGTGCAGGAAACTAGCCACAACTAAAGAACCTGTACAGAGCCTTAACCCTCTGAAAGCACCCAGAAATGGAGCCAGTCAACTATACACAATATACACCACAGTCAAATCCTCAAGGGAACAAATGATAGAAAAACAAAAAGCCCCTTCCAAATGACAGCAACTTCAAAAAGATAAAGAAATGCCAGCCCCCTAAGATGAGAAGAAACCAGCACAAGGACTCTAGCAACTCAAAAAGTCAAAATGTTTCCTTACCTCCAAAGATTACATTAGCTCCCCAGCACTGGATCCTAACCAGACTGAAATGTCTGAAATGGCAGACATTGACTTTTAGAATCTGGATGACAAGGAAACTCAATAAGATTCAAGAGAAAGTTAAAACCCAATCCAAAAAAGTAAGTAAAATGATTCAAGGGTTAAAACACAACATGGCCATATTAAGGAAGAAACAAACTGAATTTCTAGAATTAAAAATTCACCACAGAAATTTCAAAATACAGTTGTAAACCTTGACAACCGACTAGACCAAGCTGAGGAAAAAATTACAGAGCTCAAAGACTGATGCTTCAGATCAACCCGGTCAGCCAAAATAAAGAAAAAATAATTTTTTAAATGAACAAAACCTCTGAGAAATATGAGATTATGTAAAGAAACTAAACCTACAACTCATTGGTATTCCTGAGAGAGGAGACAGAATAAGCAACCTGGAAAACATATTTGAGGATGTAGTCCATAAAACTTTCCTGAATCTTGCTAGAGAGGTAAGCATGCAAATTCAAGAAATTCAGAGAACCCCTGTGAGGTTAATTACTGTGCAAAATGACCATCCCCAAGACATATAGTCATCAACATTCCAAAGTTGACACAAAAGAAAAAAATCTTAGTAGCTAGAGGAAAGGGTCAGATCAATTACAAAGAGAACTCCATCAGGCTAACCGTAGACTTCTCAGCAGAAACCTCACAAACAGGTTGAGATCGGGGCCTATTTTTAGCATCCTTAAAGAAAAGAAATTCCAACCAAGAATTTCATATCCTGCCAAATTAAGCTTCATAAGCAAAGGAGAAATCAAATCCTTTCCAAACAAGCAAACAGTGAAAGAATCTATTACCACTGAAAGAATCCATTACCACTAGACCAGTCATACAAGAAATTCTTCGAGGGAATTCTAAACATGAAAACAGAATTATACCTGTTACCACAAAAGCACACATAAGTACATAGCCCAAAGTCTGTAAAAGCAACTACACAAGACTATAAAGCAACCAGCTAACAACATCACAACAGCATCAAAACCTCATATATCAATATTAACCTTGAATGTAAACACTCTAAACACTCCATTTTAAAAGCACAGAGTGGGCTGGGTGCAGTGGCTCATGCCTATCATCCCAGCACTTTGGGAGGCCAAGGCAGGTGGATCATGAGGTCAGGAGTTCAAGATTCAAGACCAGTCTGGTCAAGATGGTGAAACCCCGTCTCTACTAAAAATACAAAAAATTAGCTGGGCACAGTGGCAGGCACCTGTAATCCCAGCTACTTGGGATCCTGAGGCAGGAGAATCACTTGAACTCAGAGGGCAGAAGTTGCAGTGAGCCAAGATCGCACCACTGCACTCCAGCCTGGGTGACAGAGTGAGACAACATCAAAAAACAAAAACAAAAACAAAAAGCGCAGAGTGGCAAGGTGGATAACAAAATAATACCCAACCATCTGCTAACTTCAAGAGAACCATCTCACATGTAACAAAACTATAGGCTCAAAGTAAAGGAATGGAGAAAGAGCTATCACACAAATGGAACACAAAAAGAAGCAGGGGTTGCTATTCTTATATTACATAAAACAGACTTTAAACCAGCAACAGTAAAAAAAGGTCAAAGAAAGGCATTACATAACAATAAAGGGTTCAATTAAATGAGAAGACTTAACTATTTTAAATATACATGCCCCCATCATTGAAGCACCAGATTCATAAAACAAGTACTTCTAGACCTATAAAAAGAAATAACCACACAACAACAGTGGGGGACTTCAACATCTCATTGATAACATCAGACAGACCATCAAGGCAGAAAATTAACAAAGACTTCCGGACTTAAATTCAAAACTTGACCAATTGGACCCAACAGATATCTACAGAATACTCCAACAAACAACCACAGAATATACATTCTTCTCATCTGTACATATAACATACTCTAAGATTGACCAGATGCTCAGCCATAAAGCAAGTATCAATAAATTCAAAAAAACTGAAATCATACCAAGCATACTCTTGGACCACAGTGGAATAAAAATAGAAATCAATATCAAGAAGATCTCAAAACTACACAATCATATGGAAATAAAACAACTTGTTTCTGAATGACGTTTGGGTAAACAACAAAATTAAGGCAGAAATCAAAAAGTTCTTTTAAATAAAAATGGAAACAGACACAACATACCAAATCTCTGGGATACAGCAAAACCATGTTAATGTGTCCAGAGTTGGTTCCTTCCAGTGGGTCCTTGGTCTCGCTGACTTCAAGAATGAAACCACGGACCTTTGCAGTGAGTATTACAGCTCTTAAAGGTGGCATGGACCCAAAGAGTGAGCAGCAGCAAGATTTATTGTGAAGAGGAAAAGAACAAAGCTTCCACAGCATGGGAGGGGACCTGAGCGGGTTGCCGCTGCTGGCTGGGGTGGCCAGCTTTTATTCCCTTATTTGTCCCTGTCCATGTCCTGCTGATTGGTCCATTTTACAGAGTGCTGATTGGTGCGTTCACAATCCTTTGGCTAGACACAGAGCGCTGCTTGGTGCGTTTTTACAGAGTGCTGATTGGTGCATTTACAATCCTTTAGCTAGACATGGAGTGCTGACTGGTGCATTTACAATCCTTTAGCTAGACACAGAGCACTGACTGGTGCACTTACAATGCTTTAGCCAGACAGTAAAGTTCTCCAAGTCCCCACTCGACCCAGGAAGTCCAGCTGGCTTCACCTCTCATTAAGAGGAGTTAATAGTGCTAAATGCCTACATCAAGAAAGAAAGATCTCAAATTAACTATCTAACATCACACTTAGAAGAACTAGAAAAACAAGAACAAACTAACTCCAAAGCTAACAGAAGAAAAGAAAGAACTAAAATCAGAGCAGAACTGCATAAAATTGAGACCCTAATATCCATAAAAAGGATGAACAAAACTAAACGTTAGTTCTGTGAAAGGATAAGCAATAGCAACAGCATGCTAGCTAGATTAACAAAGAAAAAAAGAGAACTAAATAAGCACAATCAGAAACAATAAAGGTGACATCACAACCAATCCCACAGAAATACAGATCCCCAGAGACTATTATGAACACTTCTATGCATACAAACTGGAAAATGTAGAAGAAATGCATACATTCCTAGAAACACACAATCTCCCCAGATTGAATCAGGAAGAAATTGAAACCCTGAACAGACCAATATTAAGTTCCTAAATTGAATCAGTAATAAAAAACCAACCAACCAAAAAACCTTGGACAAGATGGATTCAGAGCCGAATTCTACCAGACATACAAAGAAGAGCTGGTACCAATGTTAGTAAAACTATACAAAAACATCAAGGAAGAGGGACTCCTCCCTAACTCATCATAGGAAGCCAGCATCATCCTCATGCAAAATCTGGCAAAGACAATGAAAAAAGAAAACTATAGGCCAGTATCCCTGATGGACATAAATGCAAAAATCCTCAACAAAATACTGGCAAACCAAATCCAGCAGCAAATCAAAAAATTAATTCATCATGATCAAGTAGGTTTTATTCTTGCAATGTAAGAATGATTCAACATATGCAAATCAATAAACTTGATTCACAACATAAACACAATTAGAAACAAAAACCATATGATGATCTCAATAAATGCAGAAAATGCTTTTCATAAAATCTAACATCTCTTTATGATAAAAACCCTCAAAAAACATGGCATCAAAAGAACATACCTTAAAAGACAAAGAGCTATCTATGACAAATTCACAGGCATCATCATACTGCATGGAAAAAAGCTGGAAACATTTCCCTTAAGAACTGGAACAAGATGGGGATGCCCACTCTCATCATAGACACAGAGACCAATGGAACAGGCTAGAGAACCCAGGAATAAAGCTGCACTCCTACAGCCATCTGATCTTTGACAAAGTCAACAGTAACAAGCAATGAGGAAATGGCCCCCTATTCAACAAATGGTGTGAGGATAGTTGGCTAGCCATATGCAGAGGAATAAAACTGGACCCTTACCTTTCACCATATTAAAAAACTGACTCAAGATGGATTAAAAATTTAAATTTAAGACCTCAAACTGTAAGAATCCTAGAAGAACACCTAGGAAACATTATTCTGGACATTGCTCTTGAGAAAGAATTTATGACTAAGTCCTCAAGAGCAATTGTATCAAAACCAAAAAATGACAAGTAGGACCTAATTAAGCTAAAGAGCTGCTGCACAGCAAAAGAAAACTATCAACAGAGTAAACAGACTATCTACAGAATAGGAGAAAATATTTGCAAACTATGCATTCAATGAGGGTCTAATATCCAGAATCTATAAGGAACTTAAACAAATCAACAAACAAAAAAACAAATAATCCCATTAAAAAGTGGGCAAAAGACACAGACACTTCCCAAAAGAAGACATACAAGCAGCCAAAACAAAAATATGAAAAAATACTCAACATCATTAATCATCAGAGAAATGCAAATCAAAACTACAATGAGATACCATCTCATACCAGTCAGAATGGCTATTATTAGAAAGTCAAAAAATAATAGACGTTGGTGAGGCAGCAGATCAAAGGGAACACTTATAAACTGTTGGTGGGAAAGTAAATTAGTTTAGCCACTGTGGAAAGAAGTTTGGAGATTTCTCAAAGAACTTAAAACAGAACTACCATTCAACCCAGAAATCTCATTCCAAAAGAAAAGAAATCATTCTACCAAAAAGACACCTGCACTTGTATGTTCCTAACAGCACTATTCACAATAGCAAACACATGGAATCAATGTAGGCATCCATCAACAGTGGACTGGATGATGGAAATGGGGTACATATACACCATGTAATACTACACAACCATAAAAAAGAATGAAATCATGTCCTTTGCAGCAACATGGATGCAGCTGGAGGCCATTATCCTATGTAAATTAATGCAGAAACAGAAAACCAAATACTGCATGTTCTCACTTATAAGTGAGAGCTAACAAGGTGAAACCGTGTCTGTACTAAAAATACAAAAATTAGCCAGGCGTGGTGGCAGGAGCCTGTAGTCCCAGCTATTCGGGAGGCTGAGGCAGGAGAATGGCCGGAACCTAGGAGGTGGAGCTTGCAGTGAGCCAAGATCACACCACTGCACTCCAGCCCGGGCAACGGAGCAAGACCCCATCTCAAAATAAATAAATAAATAAAAATAAAAATAAGTGAGAGCTAAACACTGGGTACTCATGGACATAAAGATGGGAACAATAGATACTGGGGACTACTGGAGAAGGGGAGGGAGGCAGAGGGGGTAAGTGTTGAAAGATTAACTATTGGGTACTATGCTAACTACCTGGATGACTGCATCATCTGTATCCCAAACCAGCATCATGCAATATACCCATGTAACAAACCTGCACATGTAGTCCCTGAATCTAGAATAAAAGTTGAAAACCATTGTATATAAATAAAAAAGATGTAAAGTGACTCTCCCAAGAGATTACATGTAAATTATGATCTAGAACAATGCTTCCCATATTGTGTCTAGTGGATCTCAGTTTACCATAAAATAGGTGACCATGAATACGGTATACTCTTCTTATAATTGCTAAAAGCACATTACCATATTTAAAGCTCTGAAAAGTCCTGGACTTAAAAAAAATTGTTTAAGTTTCTTAAGCCAACATTCTCCAAACTTATTTAGCTGCAGAATTTTTTATTTTTTAAAATACCATTTATTGTTCTGCCAAATACCCTTTTAAAAATATTAAGCTAGGAATATGTCCTTAAAATATCAAAGATGATAGAAAAATTAGATGACTGAATAAATATTCTCAACTCCAACACACTTGGAGTGGAAGTCTACATGTAATCCCACTTTCTAAATGCCCTTTCTAAATAGCCTCAGCTATTGTATTTGTGTTGTGCCTGTGGTAGAGGAAGAATGCTAAAATGTTGTTCCACTAATGCTTAACAAGAACTATTACAAGTATGAATTTGTTTCTAAATATGAAGGCCAAGAATCTATAATGCAATTACAATTATGTAAGTAGCATCTACCATCTTGAATACTGATCTGACAGATCCTCTCCACAAGACCACATTCTCAAAGCTCCAGGCATTCTTTGAGCCTAGAAGCTGAGCCTCCCAGGTGTTCCTAGAGGGTCTCTCGGATGGAAAGCCTTTGCTTCAAGCAGAACCAGTTGACACCTACACCTACTCACTTCCTCCAGGCATTCAGGCCTGGCACCTTCCTTGCCATGATTAACTTCCCAGATCAGTCCTGTTAATGTCATTCCTGTTTATGTTCATAAAAATAGCAAACTCAGACTACCTAAAGTCCTTGGATGATCTCAAGACATGCCACTTCCTAAGTCAGCCCTCTGCCAGGCACAGTGGCTCATATCTGTAATCTCAACACTTTGGGAGGCAGAGGTGGGATAAATCACTTCAGGCCAGGAGTTTGAGACCAGCCTGGGCAACATAGTGAGTTTTTTGTCTCTACAAATAACTAAAAAATTAGCCAGGTATGGAGGTGCATGCCTGTAGTCCCAGCTACTCAGGAGGCTGAGGCAGGAGGATCTGATGAACTATGATCTATGTGCTATGATTGCACCACTGCACTCCAGCCTGGGCAACAGAGCAAGACCCTGTCTTTAAAACAAATAAACAAAAAAATCCTAAGTCAGCAATCTGGAAAAAAAGTGGCAAAGGAGCCACCAAATGACACATCCTTTCAAGAAAGGCTGTTGAAGCAAAGCAAGGCACAGGACAGTGAGGGTAGTGTAGAAGCTGGCACAGAATGCTTATACTTAAGGACAGGCATAACTTAAAGGGAGTGACTATAGCCTCCAGTAAGAGAAGCACTCCAGCCTGGCTCTTCCCTGCTTCATCCCAATTTCAGCTTTTATCACTTCATGAGAACTGTACCATGGTAGAAGTAAGACCTTTGAATATGCCAGTAATACTTCATCAGATCTGTCCTCTGCAGTCAGCTAGCAACTTCCTATATGTCACTTTCAGTTTGTGGCCCCTGTACCTTAGCTTAGTTGGCCCTGCATTTGCCTCTACTGCCCTCTCTTCCTGACAGACCTATCTTGTCCTGGGCCTCAGTTTCTCAGCTTTTAGAAACTTTAATCATTCTTTGAGGCCTGGCTCAGTCACAGTCAGAATTAGTCTTTCCCTCCTCTGTTTCCCTCCCCTGTCTCCATGAGCTCCATTCTTCTGTAGAGAGCAAAATTAAGGGCTGGGCCAGTTGGGTGGTAGCCCAGAGTAACAATCTATAAGAGGGGGCTTTCACTGAAATAAAATGGTACCATGGTACCCACAAGCAGTTCCATAAATAGCTGAAAATATATACATATAAATTGACCTTAAAAATATGAAAAATCAGCTGGGCGTGGTGGCACACATCTGTAATCCCAGTTACTCAGGAGGTTGAGGCAGGAGAATCACTTGAACCTGGGAGGCAGAGGTTGCAGTGAGCCAAGATCATGCCACTGCACTCCAGCCTGGGTGACAGAGCAAGACCCTGTCTCAAAAAAAAAAAAAAAAAATTGATCTTCCTCATCAAAGCTGAGGGTACACTTGAATAGAATATTAAAAATTCAGGCTGGTAATAATCTCTCCCCTGCTAAATAAATGCAGAATAAATATTTTTTAAATATTGTTTTTTAAGGATATCAAATTATCTTTCCCAGCATCTCTACCTGGTATGATCTGGGCCTGTTTTTGTTACAATCTAACTACAATACAGTTCGTTGCATATCTGCCTTTATCACTTTTATATTTGTATTCCCCAGAAGTTAGCACAGTGCCTTGCATATGGTAGGTGTTCAATTAAACTATGTTAGATAAATTAATTGGTAGTCTTCCTTACACCCAACTATAGGCTATAGTTTAACAGAAATTGGGAAAGAAAGCTGAAAATTATCGCAGTTACACCAAGCTGTTTAATTACCTTAACTCCTCCAGGAAATCTGAAAAAGTAAACAAGCAAATTGAGAGAGATAAACCAGTTCCCTTTGTAAGGATAAATTGTGCCTGCCTAAGAGACACTGCTATGTGAAAGAAGGAAGGAGAGAGATGTTATTCAGCAGAGTTGATGAAAAGCACAGCTTTTCTCTTCCTCCTAAGTTGAACATTGACTAAATGGTCTCATTATTTGTTTTATAATTTTCTAAACCATTACACACAATCACACCCAATGCCAAATACAAATAATTTCATTAATCCAGTTTTGAGATTTTCCACCAGACTCTTTACCTCCGTTAATGCAGAGTAACTGAAAGTGAATAGCCAACATGGTAAATTAGACTAGAAGTAAATTCACCCGTTTGGTTCTTTCCTCCGACTTTCCTATGCTGTTTTCTGTTGACATCTCACCATCACCATAAGCATACACATACAAACACATACATGCACACGTGTGCATAGGTACCCCAAGTAAAATTATTATATGAAATAAATCACCTTCATTACACAGAAAATTACGTCCCATTTCTTAGGTTTCTTATGACATATTCTTTGGATTCAATCAGACTACCAGACCTAAATTCTATACAAGCTCCATGATTTAATATCAATCTAACCTTTGGCAAGTCACATAACTTCTTCTTTGAGTCCCAGCTTTTCTTCTGGAAAATGTTGCTGATGATGTTCATCTTTCAGGCTTTCTGGAGTGTTAACTTGGATGACATAAAAATACCTAGTGCAGTTGCAAACACACAATGAGCACTCAGTTAAAGTGCCCCCTTTCTTACTATCTAAATTTTCTCCTAAAAAGTTGGGTCACATGGTCAATGAATTTCTTTTTTTTTATTTTTATTTATTTTTTTTTTTTGAGATGTAGTCTCACTCTGTCGCCCAGGCTGGAGTGCAGTGGCGCCATCTCAGCTCACTGCAAGCTCCGCCTCCCAGGTTCACGCCATTCTCCTGCCTCAGCTTCCCAAGTAGCTGGGACTACAGGCGCCCACTACTACGCCCAGCTAATTTTTTTGTATTTTTAGTCGAGACGGGGTTTCACCATGTTAGCCAGGATGGTCTCGATCTCCTGACTTTGTGATCCGCCTGCCTCGGCCTCCCAAAGTGCTGGGATTACAGGCGTGAGCCACTGTGCCCAGCCGGTCAATGAATTTCTAAAATAACCAACTATAAGTGTGAAATTGTTTGTATGTACTTAACCCCACGCCCATAGCATTCCCAAGGTTCCTGCTAGCCTACACTGGGACTCCGTGAAAATTAGACCTCCTATCCCCCAACCTTCTACCCTCACCAGTGTCCCACTGAACGCAGCCCTGCAGGCCTACAACTTGTGGAATGGGGCAGGGCCTGAAAGCCTGAGTGTTGCTGCACTCTGAATCAGCATCTTGCCAAACCTTTGTCTTCACCTTATTTCCAATGAACATAAGGGTAGTTCTTCCAATCCAATTTCCCAGGAAAGTTGAGGCAAAATCTCCCGAGGATTCCAGAACTTGGAATTGGTTTACAGCACAGGATGGATGATTTGTGCTGCCACACTCAGTCAGGACCCAGAATATAAATAGCACCAACTGCAAATGAGAAATTTCCCTTCCACCCAGTTCTACTGATGCATATATAATGAGGTGACACTGGGCCTTGCATTTAGGTTTCCTGAGTCACAATTTCCTCATCTACGAAATTGAGTTAATACCTGCCCTATTCCTTACCCTCACCAAACATTATGAGGTCCAAGTAAGTTGGTATGTGCAAACTTTAAATCAAGCCAATATGAGACAATTTATTATCAATTTCTGCCCCCCTAAATTCATCAGAATCACAGTAACAAACCAGCTGCTTAACAAACGTAAAAGAAGCAAGCAAACAAAACACTGTGACTATTATCAAAAGATTTAAGTGTTAACACCCAACCGAGGCATCACCTTTTCTGTAAGCCCATCCCTGATTCTCCATGCCATGTCACCCTCTCCTCAGATGAAATGAACTTGTTCCTCCTGATGTTGCCTCTGCATTTATAGCTACTTCTTTGTTGCACATACCTCAAAGAATTATAGTTAGTTGTTTGCTTGTCTGTCACCCCTGCCAGACTGTGAGCTCATTGAGGGCTGGAGCCATATCTGTAACCTAACCCTGACCTGGCTCACTGCCTGGCACATAAGTCCTACTGTAGGTATCTTCAGAGGTGAAAGGAATGAGGAGCATTCTGACCCGCATTCTTTTCTCAACTCTGCACCTCACTAAGGTCATGAGTGAGCTTGGACAAACTCCTTTTCTTCCATGAAATGAGGACATCAGACTAAATCAAGTTTACAAACTCCTGCTCCACAGGCCCAATCTAGTCCTTCAGACATGGTTTTTGGCCTACATAGTTGATGGAGTTAAAAAGAAACCTCAATTAACTATGAACATTTAGAGAGCAGAAAATTTCATGTAAAACTTGAATTTTTAGCTTCTGTTTAAAAATGAGATTTCATAGCACTGGTTGCAACTCTCTATAGCAACAATGGATGGAGCTGGCTGGTACATCCCCCTCTGAGACAGGCTAGGAGCCACCCAGTCCACCACAGTTCTCTTGATCCAGTCACTCATTTCTATTACCTGCCTCTGTCCTTACATGCATTTCATTAGAGTTTCTAAATGCAATCTAGCTGTAATAACATCACTCTAGGTCTTTAGGAATCTTCTCCTAAACAGATAAACACACATATATTTTTTACCATGCAGACAGGAGGCTCTGAAGCCACCACTCCTATCGCACTACTCACTATCCTCACCCTGGGCTAAAGCCCCTTGCAATTAATGAAAGAAAGGAAAATACATCAAATAGAGGAAAAAACAGGAAGAAGGAGGAGGAGAGGGAGGCTTTAGCTACAAATAGTGCTACTAGAGGTATTATGATATCATGTGTGGAAAATTAGAGAGTTATACAGTGCCAGATTTTCCATACAGCAAAGCAATCATTTTGTCTATGATCCTGGAATCACACATAACAGAGGATGTGAAAAACTGGAGGTTAATCATCAGAAATTATTATGGCTTTGGGTGTCACTCCTACTGGTGTTCTCTCCCTCCTGCTCCCCATGGCTCCCTTGCAAAGAGCTGCAACTAGCAATTTGAAATTTATACACCTTCACGGGAGAGATGCCCCATCTGCAGCATATCCATAACCTCCCAAGGCAAAGCTGCCATTACTTACAGTATAATCAGTAGCACAGCAGGTGCAGAGAGGAGGAGAGAGCTAGGTACATATTACTAAGAAGCCTGATGAGTCCAACATACTGCTCTTCTCTAACAAGTATTGCCCCAGGAAATTTAAAATAGCACATATCGATGTGCATGGCATACATCTGCTAAACCCATGTGGTGTTTGATTGGACAGATCAACACCAACCTAGCCTGCATTTTCTCTCCAGCTTCCTTCATGCTCTGGCTAGATCAGTTTGAGCACAGAGCCCAGCATAAACTCTGTCTTTAGAACGTTTGGCTGGTTTCTTACAAAACTACCCACATCCCTAAATTCCCAGGTTTTCCCCTTTCCCAAAAGCTTCAAGTAGATAACTGAAAGAGAAAATTATATTCTTTTCCCATGCCATCATCTTTTTAGACTAGTATTCTTGTCTCGTACCATGGTCTTTTAGTCTTGAGACTAGTCCCTCAGCTAATGAAGAGCAGAAAAGTCTTATTTTATAAATATTTTTTATTAGCATTTATGCTTCAGAAGTAGAGAATTCTAGTAAGAAAAGTCAATAACAGGCCAGGCACAGTGGCTCACACCTGTAATCCCAGTTAGTCGGGAGGTTGAGGCAGGAGAGTCGCTTGAACCTGGGAGGCAGAGGTTGCAGTGAGCCGAGATCGTGCCACTGCACTCCAGCCTGGGCAACAGAGTGAGACCCTGACACACACACACACACACACACACACACTCAATAACTAGCACAATTAAATTGCAAACTGTTCCACTCTCTCCCGAAATATTCAAAGCAATCTATCTAGGTGCAGCTTTCAGTCAGTTTCTCCATCTCATGAACATTGTTCTCAAAGGTGATAGGTCTGGAGAGAGACGATAATTACAGCAAACCCATTAGCTACATCTCAAAAAGACAGAGTACACTCAAAGTGTACACACTACTGACAATTTATCCACACTTTTTTCTTCTATGTGAAGGATAACACAGGCCCTCATCCACAGCGTTGGAGAGAAGCACAGGTTTGGAATTCAAGAGTTTTTAATTCTAGTCCTGGCTTCATTAGCTAGAATTGTGACCATCAGCAAACTCCGTAACTTCTGTGGATTTTTCTTCAACTTCAAAATAAAACAGATGAAATAACTTCTAAAGCGGTGCTTCTAAAATTTTAAGATGCAAATGAATCACCTGAAGATCTTGTTAAAATACAAAGATTTAGAATGGACTTGACAACCTGCATTCCTAATGAACTCTCAGGTGATCCTGATAACTGTCGGCCCCATGGACCATACTCTGACAGCAAGGTGCTGGAGCACTGGTCATAAACTTGGCTGTGCAGTAGCATCACGTGAGTAGTTTAAAAATACCAACACTCACGCATGCGCCTCTGTGCGTTTTCCGCATGTTGGTTCCATGAGCCTGGCCTTAGGTGTCTCGTGTCTGGGGGTGATCCCAGCTGTCGCTGCCGCCGCAATGGGCAAAACTGCGGACTCTCCGGGTTCGGGAGCCCGACCCGACCCGGTGCGGAGCTTCAATCGCTGGAAGAAAAAACACAGCCACGGGCAGAACAAAAAGAATCAGTTGAGGAAGCAACTGAAGAAACCCGAATGGCAGGTCGAGCGCGAGGGTAACAGCCGCCTCATGCAGAACTATGAGAAGATAAATGTAAATGAAATTACAAGATTTTCAGATTTTTCCTTGTCCAAAAAAACATTGAAAGGTTTGCAAGAAGCTCAGTACCGTTTGGTAACTGAGATACAGAAGCAGACCATTGGATTGGCTTTGCAAGGTAGAGATGTACCTGGAGTGGCCAAAACTGGATCTGGCAAGACTTTGGCTTTCCTTGTTCCAGTGCTAGAAGCCTTATATCGTCTGCAATAGACCTCAACAGATGGGCTGGGGGTTCTCATAATATCACCTATGAGAGAACTGACCTATCAGACCTTTGAGGTTCTCCAAAAGGTAGGAAAGAATCATGACTTCTCAGCTGGTCTCATCATTGGTGGAAAGTATCTGAAACACGAAGCTGAGAGGATCAACAACATAAATATACTCGTGTGCGCACCAGGTCGGCTTCTTCAACACATGGATGAAACGGTGTCTTTTCATGCTACTGCTCTCCTAATGTTAGTTCTTGATGAAGCATATAGAATCTTGGATGTGGGCTTTGCTGATACCATGAATGCTATTATTGAAAATCTCCCCAAGAAACGTCAGACTTTACTTTTCTCAGCAACACAAACTATATCTGTAAAGGACCTTGCACGCTTGAGTTTGAAAAACACTGAGTATGTCTGGGTTCATGAAAAATGCAAAATATAGCACCCCTGCCACTTTGGAACAGAACTACATAGTCTGTGAGCAGCAGCAAAAAATAAGTGTGCTGTATTCCTTTTTGAGAAGGCACCTGAAGAAGAAGAGCATTGTATTTTTTTCCAGTTGCTAAAAGGTCTGATATCTGTACCGAGTGTTTTGCCAGCTACGTCCTGGTATTTCTATCCTTGCCCTCCATGGTCGATAGCAGCAAATGAGAAGAATGGAAGTCTATAATGAGTTTGTCCGTAAGAGAGCTGCAGTACTCTTTGCTAGTGATGTTGCAGCCAGGGGGCTGGATTTCCCGGCTGTGAATTGGGCTCTTCAGTTTGATTGTCCTGAGGATGCCAACACATATATTCACAGAGCAGGTAGAACTGCCAGGTACAAAGAGGATGGTGAAGCTTTATTAATTTTGCTTGCCTCAGAAAAAGCTATAGTGCAGCAGCTTCTTCAGAAGAAAGTACCTATAAAGGAAATCAAAATCAATCCAGAAAAACTTATAGATATCCAGAAAAAATTGGAATCTTTTTCAGCTGAAGATCAAGATTTAAAAGAAAGAGCTCAAAGGTGTTTCATCTCCGATATATGATTGGTATATCTGATGAAGGATAAAGAAGTATTTGATGTGAGCAAGTTACCTATACCTGAATATGCCCTGTCTCTTGGGCTTGCTGTGGCACCATGCATAAGATTTCTTCAGAAAATGCAGAAACAACCCACCAAAGAATTGGTAATGAGCCAAGCCAATAAAGTAACTGAGCCAAGGGCTCCCTCCCTCACCAATGACAAAGTGGAAGAATTTAGAGCCTTCTTCAATGAGAAAATGTCCATCCTTCAGAAAGGTGGAAAAAGACTCAAAGGGACAGAGCACAGACTGGCTAATGATACTAGTGATGAAGAACAGGAGGAAGAGGAAGATAATGAAGAAGAAATGGAAGAGAAACTGGCAAAAGCAAAAGGATCTCAAGCTCCATCTCTTCCTAACACCAGTGAAGCAAAGAAGATCAAGGAAGTTCCTATGCAGTTCCTGGACAGAGATGAGGAGGAAGAAGATGCTGATTTCTTGAAGGTGAAGTGGCACAATGTGTTTGGATTTGACTTTAAAGAGGAGAAAACATTACAGAAGAAAGAACCTTCTAAATCCAGCATCAAGAAAAAAGTGACCAAAGTTGCAGAAGCAAAAAAAGTAATGAAGAGAAATTTTAAAGCGAATAAGAAGATAACATGTACTGATGAAGGGGAGTTGGTTCAACAGTGGCCACAAATGCAGAAATCTGCCATCAAGGATGCTGAGGAAGATGATGACACGGGTGGTATCAACTTAGATAAAGCAAAGGGAAGACTTCAGAAAGAGGACAAATTTGACAAAGAAGAATATAGGAAGAAAATTAAGGCAAAGCATTGGGAGAAAAGACTGAAAGAAAGGGAAGCCAGAAGAGAAGCCAACACGAGACAAGCAAAGGCCAAAGATGAAGAGGAAGACTTTCTGGATTGGAGTGATGATGATGATGATGGATTTGATCCAAGCACACTCCTAGATCCAGATAAGTACAGAAGCTCTGAAGATTCAGATAGTGAAGATATGGAAAATAAAATGTGATACCAAGAAGAAGCAGGGAATGAAAAAGAGGAAGAACAGTGAAGTGGAAGATGTAGGACCAACAAGTCATAACAGAAAGAAGGCCACGTGGGACACTTTAGAGCCTTTGGATACTGGCCTGTCTTTAGCAGAGGATGAAGAGCTGGTGTTACATCTGCTAAGAAGTTAAAGCTAAATACTTCCTGCGCCTGCCTTCTCCTTGAAACCTTGGTTATGATTGTGTAGACAAGATGCTGAAAAACAATTGATTTGGGGGCACTTAGGTACCATATGTCCCATTCCCAAAGGGCACATTTCTGGATAGAAGCAATTGTATTTCCAAGTCCCTCTCACAGGGCATGCTTTGTGCCATCACTGAGCATACTCAGATCGAGGATAGATGATACTATTTCCTGACCCCATTTTCCAGCATGTGTTCTGTTAGATTTTTATCCATGGGTTCCTAAGCCTTGTCATTGGAAATGCTTCCTTTGTTTTACTGGCAAGTTCTGGAGCTCTTGTGTCATTGTTAGAAATTCCTGTCTCGCTTACTGTACAGAAGTTTCTATGTTACTGTTAAAATTGCTCATGATTTTGATGTATTTAATATTTGCAAAGAGACTGAGTATGATGGACCAGCCCTGAGAAAGAATGAGTATTTTTGAATTGAGATGATCAATAATAAACATATTTCCTATTAAAAAAAAATACCAACACCTAGGCTCCACACCAGAGTCTGATTTAATGACTATAAGCTGTGTTTGAGCATGGGGTGCTTTGAAAGCTCCCCAGGTGGTTCTAGTATAGAGCAACGTTTGAGGAACCCTGTCCTATTCCTTAAAATTCTAAAATGATGACCTTTATTGTTCAGTCACATTGCATTTGCAGAGGGAAATTCCTTGTTATCTATTATCTCATGACAACCCAGAGAGCTAGCAGGGCAAACACTATTATTAACTTGGATTTACAAAAGAGATAACCAAGCACCCAAGAATCAGGAGAATTGCCTAATGGCATACAGTTAATGGCGGACCTTCTGCTACTAGAACAACTAGAACATAGCATTCCTGATAAACAACCTGTGTTTTCTTCAGATTGCTTTGCACTGGCTATGCAAACCAATAATGACAAAGAGAAAAAATGATAGTAGCTTTTCTGCCCCAAATTCCACTAAAAATAATATGAATGACAATGTAACAGAGAAATATATGCAACTAGTGAAACAATTAAATGTGTAATTGGTGGAGGAGCTACTTGCCTGCTGTGGGTGATACTTACAAGCACAGTAAGGTTGCTAAGGGTATGTCAGCAGGACCAGCCATTGGACATCAAGTGAGCACAGCTAGATGGATTAATGCAGTACTAGGAATACAACAAAATGTACTGGGGCAATGCCATAACAAATCCTGGGCAAGAGACCAGAGAGTCTTCCATTTGATAAAACTAAGAATTCGTTGGAACTTGTTGAGATAGCCATCCCACTTCTAAACACTGCAAAACCTACACACACAAACAAAACAAACTTAAAGTTCTGGCTTTGGAACTAAGGCAAATGGTGGGAATTAATAAACAACCAAGTAAACAGGAGGTAGAAAAGAAGAAACTGGTATTTTTTAACGCTTACTATGGACCAGCCAGTTGTATGAATTATCTGGCCTTACTCTTATTTGTAAGGTAAGCTTTATTATTCCCATTTTACAAATCAGAAGGTGAGTCACAGAGTTTGTCTGTTACACCAACTTACATTTGAATGTCAGAGGTGGGTTTAAGCCTAGGTCTGCCTGATTCCAAACCTTTCATGTCCTTTCTTCTATCCAAACTAATTCCTGTAACTAAATCAAATATTTTCAGGTAAACTACTGTTCTTCCCAAAATCTTCATCTTGTCTATGTAGCAGGGACAAAATACTATAATAATGTCATAACTTGTTGATCCTGTTATTCCACAAAACAATAAAAACACTATTTATAGATTTGGCCAAAACAAAATCAAAAACAAAAACATTTCCATTGAACTTCTAGCCTTTTGGCTTTGCAAAAGTGAAGCCCAAATCCTTTTCAACAGAGGCTGAGAAATTGCACTCTCAAGGTCAGATGTGGCCTACCAACATGTTTCACTTGAAACATACAATATCAACCCTCATAGTGTTTTTTAAATTTTGGAATTAAAAAACAGTCACCTCATAGAAATGGGAATTCCTGTTGTCTCTCCAAATAGTAGGAAGAGTTGGGAATGCCCCACTCATGCTCTCATGTGGTGTCAACAGCTAAATCTGAGTCCTAGGTTCTCTGTAGGTGAAGCATCTGTTATCCACTTACCATGGTCCCCATCTTTCCCTATTTATTATATATGTCAGATAAATGTCATCCCACTTAAGCTAAATATTTCCTAAACTTTTTCCTATCAAAGGTTGTGTTAAAAAGTACACCCAAGAAGTCCAACCATTTATTTCAAAAAAAGATTGAAGACAGCATACATTTTCTTATACCAAGCCCACATCACCCATATATATATATATATATATTTTTTTTTGGAGATGGAATCTTGCTCTGTCGCCCAGGCTGGAGTGCAGTGCCACAATCTCGGCTCACTATAAGCTCCGCCTCCCGGGTTCATGCCATTCTCCCACCTCAGCCTCCTGAGTATCTGGGACTACAGTCGCCTGCCACCATGCCTGGCTAATTTTTTTTTTTGTATTTTTAGGAGAGATGGGGTTTCACTGTGTTAGCCAGGATGTTCTCGATCTCCTGACCTCGTGATCCGCCCACCTTGGCCTCCCAAAGTGCTGGGATTACAGGCATGAGCCTCCGTGCCCAGCCCATCACCCATTTATATTTACCAGATTACAAAGATATCTGAATTTATAAATCCTGCTTTTCAGGAATGCGTGAGCTGAGAAAACCAGATGCTAAACTCTTCTATCTAATAACATAAAAGGCCTTCTTAAATAGAGGTAGAGTTTCATCTGAAAAGGAGGTTATAGGTTTACTGCAACATGGACCACAGCCTGGAGGTAAAGAGAAAGTGTTTTGTTATTCTTTTTTCTTCACAGTTAGCCCAAGAGAAAGTTGGGGTGTCAGGTCTCTGAATAAAGAAAACCTGGTCAAAGGTTCTCACTCCTGTTGTGGAGGTAAACACTGCCACTGGGTTGGAACAGAGAAGAAGGAAAACCAGTAGACATCATCCTGTAAAAGAATATGGCCTCTGAACTCTAGGAGTTATAATAGGCAAATTCATATTTAAAATTTTTTTCTGTGTTGTAATTTCCTGAATCACCTGCAGCTCTTTAGTAGAGTTTGCAAAATGTTTGCGTTTAACCATAAGTATGCTGCAGAGGGTCAGATGAGGGGCTTGTTTTCACATTTGGAGCAAAGTTGCAAGGGAGTGTGGAAGCAGCCTGGAGAAGCTGCCACAAGACTCCCAAATCCATCCCCCAAAATTAGATTTGGAAAACAGAATGTGTTCCTTGGGGATTTCCAGATACAAGAGGGATGAAAACCTGAAGACAGGTCTTCCTGTGGTTATGCTGAATGTGGCAGTGGGGAGATCTACTATTACTATTCAGATACAAAAGGGGCCTGTGGGCCCTGATACCCAGAGGACCTAGGGATACTTGGTTTACTAACAAACACAGTGGCAGTGAAACCTGATCTGTGCCATAGTTTCTCTCTCTATAGGATGCCTCCAGAGCTGTTTATATGTAAAAATAATAATAAATAAAAGAGTTATTAAAATAATGAATGATATTATATGTGTGGCATGAATGGTATATGTCTTCTTGATAGGTTTTAAGGTTTTTCCAGGCATGTAGCCAAGAAAAATCCAAAAACTGGAAGGAAAAATCAGTGTTTAATGGAATAAAAGTGTGACTAGTGTTTCAAATTACTGTTTGAACCTGTGTAGACTGTGATGCATTTATCTTTGCTCCCTATATATCTAGTACACAAATTCTTCACACATAGTAGGAGCTAAATAATTTTTCATTTTAATTGAAAAAATAAAAATTATCATGAGTATCTGAGAACTATCTTAGTTCTCAGACAGTAAGAGAATTAGTACCTGAGAACTAAGATAGTTGTTCATAAAACTATATTCAGAAAAATTCTGGCTTTCTAGAAAGACATGTCATGGGAATTCTGAGAGATGTCTGCAGTAATTCACAATTATTACTAACAGGATGTAGGTGCTGACAGCTAAGTAAGTCAAGTCAGCTTCATCAGCTAAGAAATCAGCATTGGTGCTAGACACTTCTTTATCTCATGCAATCCTCAATAACCCTACAATGTGAATATTATTCAATTTATAAATTATTACATGGTAAAGACCTTTGTGGCCCTCCTGTATTTTTGAAAATATAAATGTATTTGCAATGCCAAGAGCAAATCATAGAAAAAGGTACTAAAGGCAAGAAACAGCTATTCATGACCTATTACTAAAGAAATCAAAAGATCTGTTCCTCACATTTGCTTGCTCTTTTGGAACATTCATACTGGCCAGAGCAATAATTATTGATAAATGAGCTTCAAAATCATTCTTTGGCACAACAGATCAGTAATAACATCTGTGAAAATGTAATATCACAACATAAACACTCGAAGCCACAGAGAAGAAAATAATGCGGTTTGGTGTGGTTTCATTTAGGGGAGTGCATTACATATTTTTTGAACAAGCCATTCTCTCTATAAAACCCAGCTAGCAAATCTGCCTTGCCTATTATCATTGTGAGAATAATGTAGCAAACAGATGGAGGGTTTCATACAATTTGTTGAACTAAATTTAACAGGTTTGGCTGTGAGTGTTAACTTATTTTTATATTCTATTTGTGCTGTGTTTGTAATAGATGCACACACATGAATAAAAACAGAAAATCTGTACACCTAGTACAGCTGGTTTGATAATGTTTTTATTATAGCACCATATACTTCTAATTATAAGGCTTTATATTTGGGCCACCAAGAAATTCTGGCTGCAGAGCTGCTTATGTGGCATTCACATAACAAAAAATATAAATACCATAGAAACATTTGAACCCCTCCTCCACTGATGGCACCATATGTGAAAGGAACTAGGACCATAGTCATTAAATTAATAATAACCTACTAAATAAATGAACAATCGAAGAGCACACTACAACACTTAATAGGTGGCATTCATTTGGCTTACAGGTCCAAGTAGGACTCATCGGTGACAGATGAAACATAGAACACTATGTCAAAAATATGAGTCCAGAAAATTGAGTGCCATTAAATGTTAAATGGTAGCAAGAATCCTCAAACTTCAACTCAACTTTATGATGTGAATTCTACTGTTAAGGAAGCTCTCATTTTATCAACACAAGGAACCAATTGGAACATAACTGAAAAACCATTTTTAAGCAATATCCTCCTAAAATTACTTATTAACTCATATTACCCTGTGATCATATTTCCCATTCATTGAAATGGCAGGATGGAAGCTATAAAAGTAATGTATGTGATTGTATCGAGAAGTAAAGAGTGCGAGTCATCAGGAACCTCTCCTCTACACCCAAAAATAAGATGGACACA
Source organism: Homo sapiens (assembly GCF_000001405.40). Taxonomy (NCBI): domain Eukaryota; kingdom Metazoa; phylum Chordata; class Mammalia; order Primates; family Hominidae; genus Homo; species Homo sapiens. The sequence goes on along the minus strand of NC_000009.12, from coordinate 82,080,800 downwards.
TAGGAGACACATATAAACACAGTCACATACACACCAAAGAAGATCCAAGTGGGGGAAAAAATAGCAAGGTGCAGGTCCACATTCAGAATTTTACATTCTCCAGGGATACAATAATATAATATACATGAAGCTGGCTTAAGAAAAAGCCTTCTAAATTTATTTGAATTAAACAGTCCTTTATTTAAGTAGACTGTACTCACCAATAAATTGCAACATATTTTGAATTTGCACCTCTGATGTTTGAAAAAACATCTATAATTAGGAAACAAGGCCTGAGCCCTTCTTGCCCTCAATTAAAGTCCCTGCTCTCCTTGTCAAGGCTTCACAGTTCCTCTTTCTCTTATGCTTGACAGAGCAAAGGGAGGTGAAAGAGTCACTGATTTTAATCTCACTAGCCTTTCCCCAGGTGCCAGCCTTAGCAAGATTTTTATTATTGAAGAGGAATATGACACAATCTCATTCATCTGGCAGGTCCTCTTAAGCTATTTTTGTTTGAATATTAATAGTAACAAAACAAAGTTAAAGTAATGGTATGGATCAGACATGGACCACCCAGAGACTATGTTCTTTAAAGCTGATCAGAAGTTAGATTTTTAACACTTTCTAAAGCAAACCAGTATCTGTTACAAAGTAAGAAAAGTGATTTTTACATAATAATCATAGATATGTAGTGATATAGGAAAATGAGATAGAAAACAAGATATAGACTGAAAATAAAACAAAGTGAAAAATTTGCTTGACAAAGTCACCATTGTTCCTGTAGCAAAAAAACCTAGTCCATTCCACTGAGTTTATCTCTTGTCTCTGGACAGTAGGAATTTACCTTCAGTCAATCAATACTCAGTAACCTCTCTGTATGGGGCGCAAAAACTCCCAAAACATTATTTTTAAAGTGTTTAAGTCCCTTTTAATTATATTAATAATAAATGGCACTTTTTGTTTATTCAGTGTCTTTATATTCAGAGATCCAGGATTTTTTACTGAAATTCTCAAATTCAACTACCTTATTATTAACTCTCAATGACTTTTTTGTTTAAATTTTCTAAGAGTATGTACCCTTATGAGTATTTTATATTTTTAAAATTCCCTTCTAATGCTCATCATCACTGGCCATCAGAGAAAGCAAATCAAAACCACAATGAGATACCATCTCACACCAGTTAGAATGGCGATCATTAAAAAGTCAGGAAACAACAGGTGCTGGATACGATGTGGAGAAATAGGAACATTTTTACACTGTTGGTGGGACTGTAAACTCATTCAACCATTGTGGAAGACAGTGTGGCGATTCCTCAGCGATCTAGAACTAGAAATACCATTTGACCCAGCAATCCCATTACTGGGTACATACCCAAAGGATTATAAATCATGCTTCTATAAAGACATATGCACACGTATGTTTATTGTGGCACTCTTCACAATAGCAAAGACTTGGAACCAACCCTAATGTCCAATAATGATAGACTGGATTAAGAAAATGTGGCACATACACACCATGGAATACTATGCAGCCATAAAAAAGGATGAGTTCACGTCCTTTGTAGCGCTTGGGAGCAAACTATCGCAAGAACAAAAAAACAAACACTGCGTGTTCTCACTCATAGGTGGGAATTGAACAATGAGAACACTTGGACAAAGGAAGGGGAACATCACACACCGGGGCCTGTTGTGGGGTGGGGGGATGGGGGGAGGGATAGCATTAGGAGAAATACCTAATGTAAATGACGAGTTAATGGGTGCAGCACACCAACATGGCACATGTATACATATGTAACAAACCTGCATGTTGTGCACATGTACCCTAGAACTTAAAGTATAATAAAAATATATATATAAAAAATAAATAAATAAAATTCCCTTCTAAAAAAATCCCTTCTGGTAATAATCTTTCTTTCAATTACTGTTAGCATTAAATATTTTTTAAAGCCATAATTGCCCATATTCTTCATCTTTCTTTGTATCTCTAGATTCTATTTTTCTCCCCACTTCTTACTAAGAATCTTTATGAGGGATTTTTTTTCTTTTTTAAGTCCTCTGAATTACTTTAATTGCTCAGTTTTCTAAACTATTCTTTTTTTTTTTTTTTTTTTGAGACAGGGTCTTGCTCTGTTGCCCAGGCTGGAGTGCAGTGGTGTGATCTCAGCTCATGCAACCACCACCTCCTGGGCTCAAAGGATCTTCCAACCTCAGCCTCCCAAACAGCTGGAACTATAGGCATGTGCCACCACTCCTGGCTAATTTTTGCATTTTCTTTTTCTTTTTTTTTTTTTTTGTAGAGATAGGATTTCGCCACGTTGCCCAGGCTGGTCTAGGACTCCCGGACTCAAGGGATCTATCTTCCCCTCAGCCTCCCAAAGTGCTGGGATTACAAGTATGAGGACCCCACCTGGCCTAAACTATTCTTTATTGCCTTCATTCTCTGATTCTATCTTCTTACTTTAAAGAATACCTTTAAGTGTTTATTTCCCAATTTGTGCCTACCCCTGTATTAGGATCTGTGAGAAAAAAAAAGAAGTAGAACCCAGTGTTTCTGCCTTTTAAAAGCTTACTACCAAGGACAAATATTTGGAACCCTTTGAAATTTTTATTTCTTGCTGAAGACATAAGACATCCGTACAAACAACAGCAAAGGGTTTGTCATCAAGTTCATATGTAGTATACATTAAGCTGGTTACAGATGTTTCTAGAAAGAAAACACATAACTTCTTCTCAACCTCTCTTGAGATTCATATTTCTAAGTGTCACCAAGATAAACCATAGATGGGTCAAATTCAGAATGTTTAAAATCAGTATCAGCATTTCCACAAACTCCTGTCATTGCTCCAGTTTTCTACACCTGAATTAGTAACTATTTTAATTCACCAGTTCAGTCTCCTATAAGTTGTCCTTAAGGATGAATTCTCATTCTCCATATCTAGAATGAGGTCTGGTTGATGCAAGCTTCTACATACCTCTCAACTCTGTCCCCACTGCCTCCCTTCTCTTCCCATTGCCATTGCCTTAGTGAAAGTGAACCATCTTACTTCACATGGAGCACTGCTCATTCCTCTTCCTGCCTATCCACAAGCAGAAAGATCTTTCTAAAACATACATGGCAACAGAAAACAGCCCACTGATGGTTCCCTGTGGCCTACAGGATAAAGTACAAATCCCCCTTTTCAATCCCTAGAGCCTGTCCCCAGTTTAACCACAGCCTTCCTTTCCAACCTTGTTCTAGCCTCCATTCATGTGCACCGTACATTCCAGCTTCTCATCATTCCCTGCACATCTCAGGCTTCTTCACAACTCCAAACTTCTACTCACTCTGTTCCCTTCAAGAATGCCCTTCTCTCATCAAGAATCCCCTGAATCACAATGCCTCTTACAGGACCGAGCTCCAGTGAGAAACTTTTTACAAATCATTCAACTACAATTAGTCTTCCCCTGCTTGTCTTCCAAAGAACTGTATCCATGTCTCTAGCACAGTGTTTTTCACATATAGTTCACATATATTTAAATAATTTATACCTTCTTCCAAACTCTTCAAATATATAAATTTGGACATTCATATTTAGTCAGCAGTATCTAATACCATGTCTGGCATAATAGCTAGCCAACAAATTTTGAATGAATAAATGGATATGGATAAATTACAGACGGCATTAAGACAGAATGTGGAACTTCAAGATTTGCCTGAAGAAATAAAAGATTTAGTCTGTTGAGGAGGCCACAAATACTCAGGCCTCATCAGAATGAACCTCATTACAAAAATGGCTTATCTAAAGTTTTTTTAGATAAGAAAATAATTTTCCTTCTCTAAATGCAGTCCGTCTAATAGCAGGTCTTCAGAACTATAAAGATCTGATGGATAAGAAGAAGAGAATTGAAATCTTCACAGGTCATTGGGTCTATTATCAAGTAGAAGTTATCTTTCAAATGCCTCATCTATGCCCATCAACTGCAAGAAGAGGACATTATAATTCTCCAACTCCCACCACAAAGAAAACTAATATAATACTCAGGAATTCCAAGGAGCTTAGAGGGACAAGAAGGTGAGTACATGGAATTTTTCTCATTTTCTTGTGAATTCAGAGTATACTCTTTTACTCATTAATTTACTTCTGAGCTATTGTGCACCATCTCTATTTCACCTCAGCTCTTTCAGACACACAAATCTGGAGAAAGGGTTTGGAGGGGGAATATTTCATATTTAGTCAAAGCAATGAATATTTTGAGGTGGCTGTAGACATCTATTGTGATGATTTTAACTGGAGTTATCTTGTGCAAAGGCAACAAATGTTTTCTCCCTGGAAAGGTTTTTCTTGGCCACTGAGTTTCCACTTCCAAAGTAGATTTGGAGACTTGGGCAAGATTTGTATCTCTCCCATCTCAAATTTCTGATTTTATCTAGATCAATGATTCTCAAAGTATGGTCTGGGAACCTCTGGGGATCTGTGAGACTATCAGAAGGTATGTCAAGTCAAAACTACTTTCCTATGAGTAAGAAGATACATGTACATTTGAGTTTTCCAGAGTGATATTGCAGCAGATTGAATGCAGTGGTAGATGTGAGACTCCAGCTGTCTTTCTGACAGACATTAGAGATTTGCAGAAATATAAATAATGCCACTTTTCTCACTAAATATTTTTGTCTTAGAAAATAATTATTTTCATTAAAAATATGCTATTTATGAAAGCATTTAATAGGTTTTTAATGTATTCATAAGTAATTTTTAAGTTTGTTAGCTTTAATTTCTAATATTATTAATATCAATAGATACAAACTACATAAACACGACCTCTTTTTGGTCCTTAATAATTTTTAAGACTGGTAAAAAGTCTTGATATATTTTTTAGAATGATTGGTATAAAACTTGGGCTAAACAAAGGTAAAATTGGCAATTTTTCGTTCCCAAGCCAAATTATTCAAATTACTCTTAAAACGCTTATTTCCAGCAGAGCTTTCTAAAAGACCTAATTTCAGCATCTGACTCTTTCATTAACTTGTTGGGTAACTTCAGCCATGTCAATTAGTTGTTTGAGAATTGTGTTTTTTGAATCATCTGTAAAATGAGAATAACAATAATAGCTTATTGGATGTTACTAAGTGACTGACATTTTTCCCAGTGCTTCATATGTATTAATCGCTTAATCCTCATAACCACCCTGTGAAAAAAGTACTTACTATATTATCCCAACTTTGCAGAGAATAAAATAATTGAAGCATAGAAAGATAAAGTAATGGGTCCCCTAGTCAGATATCTAATAAGCATTAGAACTAGGATTTGAACCCAGCAATATGAGTTCAATGGGTTCATTATATATATTGCCTCTTAGATCCCTTTAGCTGTAAATGGCTGTAAAGAGACAGTGTCTCAAAGAATGCATGTCATATACAATGAGTGCTGATCTCCAGGCTTTCATCTTTAACTTTGTAAAACCTGCCTCCCCTGCCTCTTTACCTTTTTGCTTTGCCTTATGTCTCTTCTTGTAAGCTCTTTCTCTAATATTATTTTCCAAATATGATCCTTTAGAAACATACAAAAAAAGATCATCATGTTACTCTCAGTGTTTATGACAAATTTCTCTATTTGTAAAATTCTGAATGGACCAAGTAAAATATGTCTACGGTCTGTGACCCATAGGCTGTCAGTATGCAAACTCCGATATAATGGAACCAAATCAATCTCATTTCATATGATTTTATAGTACCACATTTCATGTGATATTAAACCATAAATGTGGAGGTAATTATGCAATTATTAAAAAAGAGTAGCAATACAACTACTACCAGTTCATAGAATGAAGCTACTTGAACAGACAGGAACTATCTGGAGAACATATTATCCGAAATATTGACTCAGAAAACCTGTGAAAAAGCTGAATGAGAAAGCACCCGAGAAAAAGCAAGGGGAACAATGGCAGGAGGAAGAAAAAGCAAATCATGTCATTCCCTGACTCAAAACACTGCAGTGACTTCCAAATTCAGTTAGAATAAAATCCAACTCTCAATCACTGTCTACAAGACCTTACACAGTCTTCCCGCATACCACTGTTACCTGTGATCTCTACACTCTGGTCAGGCAGGCTTCCTTTCTCTTTCTTCAACATACTAAACCCTACTTGAAGGTCTTTAAATTGTGATTGCCTAAGCCTCAGATATCTCTTTTCCCAAATCTTCAGCTCAAAGTCACTTCCTTTAAGAGGTCTTCCTTAGCTGTCTAATGTAATAAGCACAGTCAACCCCACTCCCTGCATTATAACACTCCATTTTATTATTTTAAGGCCTATCTAGACTAGCTGTAAAGTATCTTTATATATTGATTTACTTGTTTATTTTTCTGTGTTCTGCTAAATGCTATACAGGTAACAGGGAACTTGCCCACTCTATTCCCAATAGTGCCTGGCATCTAGAACGTACTTAATAAGTGTTTTTGAATGAATGTTGAATAAATGAAGGACTCTGAAATATGTGCTGATTATGCATAACCATGGAGTCATAGGTTCTTATATATATGGAGCCACTGCAGAAAAATATTTTTCATCCTTCTGGGGATAATTTCTTTCCCCTCATTGTCCAAAGGAAGGAGGCTTACTGCAGTCAAGATTCCCCAAAATGTATGAATAATTGGCCAGAGAGATGAGATATTGAGAGACAAGATCTAACAGATACTCTGACTAAACTCTGTGGAGAGCTTCTAGATGCATTATTGATTATGCATGCATTCAGCCTCTTGCTGTTTGCACATCAGCATTTGCACCAATGAATAAACTCTGGGAGGATCTTTCTGAAACTATCTGAACAGAAGTCATTTATTACAGCAATTAAAAGTAAATAAATATGGTCATGAGGTTACTGCAAAAGAATGATATTTATTTAGTACAGTCCTTAAGGAGTTATATTAAACTTTGTATTCTTGAGATGACCCTTAGATTTAACACATTAGATAATATCAGGCCATATTTTATTAGAAATAGATGTTTCTCTTTCATGTCAGTGCACAGTAGATAATTTGAATAAAAATATATTGGCTAAAGAAACAGTGAGCTAATAACTGCTTTTGATCTGGGAAATTTGCCAATCTTGATGGCATCAAATGTGCATTGTATATTAAGAAAAGTTATTATCCCTCTCTATTTAACTTCCTTATTAAGAACTTTCCCACACAATCTGAGGAGATACCTGAACAAAGAAGTACAATATTAAAATATCTTCTCCACTCTTAAACTCACAAATAGAACTCCTACCCTACAGGATTAACTTATCGTTCTGCTCATTTGATGATGCATGACATCCTTTGAAAGTCAATGTGTTTTCAATAACTCTACAGGGTGTTAGTCCTAGAGCTTATTCTTCCAGAATGTACTTCCTGAAAATATAATCTTTATGAAACCATTGTGGGATCTTGGGTCAACCCATACAAATGGAGTTCTACTATCACCAGTCTATGGAACCTGGTTCACAAAAGGTGATCTGTTACTACTTTAATAGCTAAATCCAGTCATCTTCATTTCATCCCATCCTTTTGCTCACAACCAACTTTCTCTCTTCTATTATTTTTTCACTTTTATCTTAGGTTCGGAAGTATATATGCAGGTTTGTTACACAGGTAAACTGTGTGTCTCAGGGGTTTGGTATACAAATTATTTTGTCACCCAGGTAATAAGTATAGTACCCAATAGGTAGTTATTTTTATCCTCTCCCTTCTCCTACCCTCCACCATTGGTGTCTGTTGTTCCCCTCTTTGTGTCCACGTGTTCTTGTGTAGCTTCCACTTATAAGTGAAAACATGCAGTATTTATTTTTCTGTTCCTGTATTAGTTTGCTTAGAAGAATGGCCTCCAATTCTATCCATGTTGCTGCAAAGGACATGATCTGTTTTTTTTTTTGTTGTGGTTGCTGCAAAGGACATGATCTGTTTTTTGTTTGTTTGTTTGTTTGAGATGGAGTTCACTCTGTTGCCCAGGCTGGAGTGCACTGGTGCCATTTCGGCTCACTGCAACCTCCACCTCCCGGGTTTGAGCCATTCTTCTGCCTCAGCCTCATGAGTAGCTAGGATTACAGGCACCCGCCACCACGCCTCACTAATTTTTGGTATTTTTTTGGCAGAGACGGAGTTTCACCACGTTGGTCAGGCTGGTCACAAACTCCTGACCTAGGTGATCCACCTGCCTCAGCCTGCCAGAGTGCTGGGATTACAGGTGTGAGCCACCACACCTGGCCCATCTCATTCTTTTTTATGGCTGCATAGTATTCCATGGTGTATACGTATCACAGTCTCTACGTTCTTTAAGCTTCTGAAATCCAGCACATTCCAAATCTTCACTGAGCCTCCAACGCTCATTTTTGTCTGCTAGATCTGCTCTTTAACCTTTATAACAATTTGTAGAAGTGAAATATGGCCAACAAATGTCAATAAAGAACAAGGAAATGATCACTCCATTATACAGAAAAGCCTATATATAGAGAAAGAGAGAGTGTGTGTGTATATAATATACATATATGTGTACATATATGTATACATAGTATATATAATATACATGTAGATGTATATACAGTGTATATATAATACTGTAATATATTATCTATAGGTATATATATTACAATATACATTTGTGTATATATACACAGTGTATATTATATATAAATTTGACATTTGTGTATATATACATATACATATGTATATATAATATACACTGTGTATATATACACACCATTATACACAGCATATCTATAGATATATACACACACATAGAGATATAACATACTGTCTATATATAGTAGACTATATATATACCATATATGCTATATATAGTATATTATATATACTATGTATACTATATAAATATATATAGCATATATAAATATATAGCATATAAATATATATAGCTTATAAATATATATATAGCAAATAATATATATAGCAAATAAATATATATAGCATACATAGTGTATATAGTATACTATATATAGACAGTATGCTGTATACATACTATATATACTTTATGTGTGTATATATCTATATATAGATACACTGTGTATAATACAGTCTGTCGATATATATTCAGTGTTATATATGCTGTGTATATATATACTATGTATACCATATATTTACATATATATTGTGTATATATAGTATACTATCTGTAGACACATTGTATACTCTATATATATGCTGTGTGTGTGTGCGTGTGTGTATATATATATATATATACACTGTGTGTGTGTGTGTGTGTGTGTGTGTGTGTGTGTGTGTGTGTGTGTATATATATATATATATATATATATATATATATTGCCTAAACAGTTGTATTAGTCAGGGTTCCCCAGAGAAACAGAACAAATAGGATGTGTGTGTGTTTGTGTGTGTGTGTAGAGAGAGATCTTAAGGAATTTTCTCATATGATCATAGAAGCTGGCAAGTCCAAAATCTGAAGGGTAGGATGGAGACCCAAGGAAGAGTTAATGTTGTAGTCTTAAGTCAAAAGGTAATCTGGAGGCAGAATTATTTCTTCTTTGGACCTAAAACCTTTCTCTTAAAGCCTTCAACTTACTGGATGAGTCCCACCCACACTACAGAAGGTAATATGCTTTACTTACTTATTTAAATGTCACTTACATCTAAAAAATATTTTCACAGCAACTTCTAGACTGGTGTTTGACCAAAAACTGGGGACCATGGCCTAGCCAAGTTGACATAAAATTAACCACCACAACAGTTAATATTATTCCAGTTTCACAGATAAAGAAATAGGCTTTGTAAGGCTTATTTAACCAAAGTTACCATCCACCACATGTTGGAGCACACACTAGAAGGTAGATCCTTTTGCTCCTCATCATAACACATTCCATTAGCTGCACTGCATGTTTGTTACTGTATTGCAGAAGATTTTAATTTTTGTGAGAGTAAGTTTTACATTCCCTCCAATAAGAGACCCAAAATCCAGGCTTATTTAGCTCTGACTTGATAGCCAAAGACCTACACCTGCCCAATGTCAAGAGCACAGAACTTGTGCTCAAGAGGTGACTACTGACACATATAATGTGAGCCTTTCAGGGTAAACTAAGACATCAAGTTTGGAATGTCACTCAAGGGAGTACTTCAGAATTCACAAAACTACTTCCTTTCAACATGAATTTCCAAAATTCAAAAGTATTTTGGAGTGCACAGAACCAGACATTACAGAACATAAAGGTTTATATCAAAAATTAAGTTTGATGTGAAAGACAATGTCAAGAGAATAAGAAGATAAACCACAGACTGGGAGAAAATATTTGCAAAGGACATATCTGACAAGGGAATGTTATCCAAAATATACAAAGAACTCTTAAAACTCATCAATAATAAAATGGAATAAACCAATTAAAAATGGTCAAAAGACCTAAACAGACACTTCACTAAAGATATATGAAAGCAAATAAAGCAAATGAAAAAATGCTCAACATTTTGGTGTACATTATATGGGTTTTGGCATGTGTGTGTGTGTGTAGACTGATAAATAACAAAATAGTAGTCAGCCTTCAAAAAGAAGGAAATTCTGCCATTTGCAACAACATGGTTGAATCTGGAGGACATTAAGCTAAGTGAAATAAGGCAGACACAGAAAAGCAAATACTGCTGGATCTCACTTATATGTTAAATCTAACAAAGTCAAAATTCACAGAAGCAGAGAGCAGAGTGGTAGCTACCATAGACTGGGGGTGAGGAAAATGCAGACAAGTTGGTCAAAGGGTACAAAGCAACAGTTATGCAGGATGAATAAGTTTTGTAAATCTAATGTGAAGCATGGTGACTATACTGTATTGAATACTTGAAACTTGCTAAGAGAGTAGATCTCACCAAAAAAAAAAAAAAAAAAAGATAACTATGTGATGTGATAAGTGTTAATTAGCCTGACAGTAGTAATCATTTCACAATGTATACATATATCAAAACATCGTGTTACACACCTTACATATATACAATTTTTATTTGTAAATTATGTATTTTACAAATTTCTATTTGTAAATTATATCTCCCAATAAAACTGAAAAAATAAAGTGTAAAAAAGAAAAAAATAAAAATAAAATGTAACAAAGAAAGAAAAGACATGGAGGAAACTTAAATGCATATTTCTAGGTGAAAGAAGCCAATCTGAAAATGCTATGTACTGTGTGATTACAACTCTGTGACATTCTGTGAGGACAGATCAGAGTATCCATATGATACTATAATTGTGGATACATGTCATTATATACTTGCCAAAACCCATAGAATGGACAACATCAAGAATGAACCCTAGTGTAAATGACAGACTTTAAGTGATAATGATGTATCAACGTAGAATTCATCGATTGTAACGATGAATTACATCATGTGCCCCAGTGGTGCTGATAGTGGAGGAGGTTGTGAGGATACAATGGAACTCTCTATACTTTCTGCTCAATTTTGCTGTGAACCTAAAACTGCTATAAAAATAGACTATAATTAAATGACAAAAAAGAACTTCAGTTTTGAGAATAAAAAGTAAGAATAAAAGTGTAGACTAAGAGACTACAAAGTAGAGAAGTGCGTAAAAGAATACCTTCAAATAGTGATCTGTGGTGAGTTGTAGCAGGAAGCTTGTTCCTATAAATCAGGATATCTGGCTTCTAATCTCAACTCTGTTATCCACTAGGTGGTTTGATCTGGGAAAATTCCCTGTCCGTGACTTGTCTAAATAGCTCATTAGTGGCCTGACCTGAACCCATAGTTTTGTCTATTTACAGTCCTCCCCCATTATCTAAGGTTTGACTTTTTGAAGTTTCAGTTACCCACAGTCAAGCCTGGTCTACAATATTAAATGAAAAATTCCAGAAATAAACAATTCATAAATTTAAATAGCACATCATTCAGATTAGCATAATGAAATCTCAAGCATCCTGCTGTGACCCACTCAGGATGTCAGTCATCTGTCTGTCCAGCATATTCATGCTATACGTATACAGTAACCACTGTTTAGTCACTTAGTAGCCGTCTTGGTTATCAGAGTGCCTGTTGAGATACTGAAGTGCTTCTGTTCAGGTGACTCTTATTTCACTTACAAATGGCCCCAAAACTCAAGAATAGTGAAACTGGCATATTTGTTATAATTGTTCTTTTTTTTTTTTTTTTTTTTTTTTGAGACAGAGTCTTGCTCTGTCTCCCAGGCTGGAGTGCAGTGGCGCAATCTTGGCTCACTGCAAACTCCGTCTCATGGGTTCACGCTATTCTCCTGCCTCAGACTCCCGAGTAGCTGGGACTACAGGTGCCCGCCACCATGCCCGGCTAATTTTTTGTATTTTTAGTAGAGACAGGGTTTCACCATGTTAGCTAGGATGGTCTCGATCCCCTGACCTCATGATCCACCCACCTCGGCCTCCCAAAGTGCTGGGATTACAGGCGTGAGCCACTATGCCCGGCCAATGTTATTTCTATAACCAATGAGAATTCCTGACAAATCGCTTTGTATCAGCCCACTCCTTGTCTCCCTTTTTTGCTTTTAATAAAGGCTATATAGAGTTCCTATCCAGGGTTTCTTGGGTCTGAGTCTTTTGGGCAGCTGTCCTCACTTTCCTTTGTTGTTGTTGTTGTTGTTGTTGTTGGAGAGACAGGATCTTGCTCTGTGGCTCAGGCTGGAAGACTAGAGTGCAGTGGTACAATCAAAGCTCACTGTAACCTTAAACTCCTGGGATCAAGTGATCCTCTCACCTCAGTTTCCCAATTAGCTAGGACTACAGCATGCACTACCACGCCTGGCTATTTATTTTTGGTTTTTGTAGCGATGGAGGTCTCACTATGTTGCCTAGGCTGGTCTTGAATTCCTGGCCTCAAGCAATCCTCCTGCCTTGGCCTCCCAAAATGCTGGGATTACAGGTGTGAGCCACAGTGCCCAGCCCAGCCTCTTACTTTTAGGTCAACAGAAATAAGCACATTAAAAGATCTGGTTCTGCTCCCATATGTAAAGAGCCTGGATTCTCCCACACTTACATGAGTTTTACCTCTAGGAGCCCCACCAGGTGCTCACTGTGAACAGAAAATAAATTCCTTTGTGCACCTGGCAGGGAGAGAGGGAAAGTTACCATTTGACATACAACTAGAACGTAGGGCTCTGTTTAAGAAAGACCTGTCCTCAAAAGGAAATACTTAACAGACCTAGGGGAAGGGCAATTACACAACTCAGCCCACACTAGACTTCCTGTCTCACATAAAGGGTTAAAAAAATGGCTATGAAATTCTTCTAAAGGTCAGAGCCCAGGGACTCAGGCCTACTAGACAATGGATATGTAATCATAAAATTACACACTGCTTTCCCTCTACAATGCCTTACCACCACATCAGCAGGGTTCCAGTATAATAACTGTGAATTATAACTAAGAGAGCAGCGATTGTTCATTTAAGAGGCACCTTAAAACAACAATATCAAAATATTCCTACCATTCAGTAGTCTATTTAATGGGTATGAGGAGACCTCAAGCACAATTTGGACTCAAACATTGCATCCTTAAAATATTATTTAGCTAAAGCTAATGTAAAATATGAGGAACTATCTCCCTAAACAACATCTTTAGACAATATTCCGAATTAGCTCCCAATGTTGACAGTTTTAGTGCCCCTTGGACATTTTTCTTGATGGCCTAAAGCAGAAAGTTGCAAACATGGTATGTAAACAAAAAAGGGACTGAAAAAAATTATCCCATTGTATGAACTTCAACATTTTGTAAACATTTTAAAGAGGCTCGACATAACAAAAACAAACAAACAAACAAAAAACCCTCATAAGCAAATGTTTATCCTCTTTGTCTAAAAGAGAGATCATTTTGGTTAACATGCGAGGCACCCTCTACTTCATCTCCCTATTTGGGGCATTAATAATTCTGGCTTTCTTACTGAAGTAAAATATACAAAACAAAACTTACTATTCCGGCCATTTTAAAGTGTACAGTTCAGTGGTGTTAAGTCTAATACATTAACATTGTTGTAAAACCATCACCACCATCTGCGTCCCAGACATTCTTTTCTTCATCTTCCCAACAGAATTTTTTCATGTTCCCAACTGAATCTATATCTATTAAGCAATAATTTCCCATTCCTTGTACACCCAAACCTGGAAACCAACATTATGCTTTGTCTCTACAATTTGACTACTCTAGGTACCTCATATAAGTAGAATTATATGGTATTTCTTTTTCTGTATCTGGCTTATTTCATTCGGCACAACTTCTTCAAAATTAGTTGATATTGTAGCATGAATCAGAACTTTATTCCTCTCTAAGGCTGAGTAATGTTCCCTAGTATTTATATACCCCCTTTTGTCAATCCATTCACCATGGATGGACATTTGGGTTACTTCCACCTTCTGGTTATTGTGAAATGCTGCTATAAACATTGATGTGCTAGTAATAGTTTGAGTTCCTGGTTTCAATTCTTTGGCGGTATATACCTATCTAGAAGTGGAATTGCTGGATCATATGGTAATTTGATTTTTAAATTTTTGAGGAACTGCCAAATAGTTTTTCACACCAGCTTCACTATTTTACATTCCCACCAGCAATGCACAAGTGTTCCAATTTCTCCACATCCTCATTAACACTTGTTGCTTATTTTTTTTGGATAATATACATTATAATGGATGTGAAATGGTATCTTATTGTGGTTTTGAATTAAATTTCCCTAAAGATTAGTGATGTGGAGCATCTTGTGCATTTGTGTATGTTCTTTGAAGAAATATCCATTCAAATCTTTTGCCCATTTTTGAATCATCTTGTTTGTATCTTTTGCTGTCAAGTTTTGGCAGTTCTTTATATAGTCTCGATATTAATCTTGTATCAGTATGTATGATCTGCAAACATTGTCTTGCAATCCATGAGTTGCCTTTTCACTCTATTGATAGTGTCCTTTGATGCACAAAATATTTTTATTTTGATGAAATCTATCTATTCTTTTATTGCCTGTGCTTTTGGTGTCTTTGATCCAATAAATCATTGCCAAACCGAAGTCAAAAAACTTTTCCTTTATGCTTTTTCTTCTAAGACCTTTATAGTTTTAAGTCTTATGTTTAGGCCTTTGATCCAGTTTGAGTTAGTTTATGTATATAGTATACATAAGGGCCCAACGTCACTCTTTATATATGGATACACTGTACCCAGCTTTCTCAACACCATTTGTTGAAAAGATTGTCCTTCCACATGGTCTTGGCACCCTGGTTGAAAATCATTTGAACATATGTACAAGGGTTTATTTCTGGGCTCTCTATTCTGTTCTTTTTATTTATATGTCTGATATCTGTCTTCCTTTTTTTTTTTTTTTTTTTTTTGAGACAGAGTCTCACTCTGTCACCCAGGCTGGAATGCAGTGGCATGATCTCGGCTCACTGCAACCTCCACTTCCTGGGTTCAAGCGATTCTTCTGCCTCAGCCTCCTGAGTAGCTGAGACTAGAGGCACATGTCACCATGCCCAGCTAATTTTTGTATTTTTAGTAGAGACAGAGTTTCACCATGTTGGCCAGGCTGGTCTCAAACTCCTGACCTTATCTGCCCACCTTGGCCTCCCAAAGTGCTGGGATTACATATATATCTGTCTTTATGCCACACTGTGTACCACGCTGTTTTGATTGCTATAGCCTTAAAGTAAGTTTTGAAATCAGGAAGCATGAGTCCAACTTTATTCTTCTTATTCCAAATTGTTCAGGCTATTTGGACTTTCTTAACACTCCTTATAAATGTTAGGATACGTTTTTTGATTTCTGCAAAAAACATCATTAGAATTTAAACAGGGATTGCACCGAACCTGCAAATTGCTTTGGAAAGTATTGCCATCTTAAGAATATTAAATGTTGTAATCTGGCTGGGCGCCATGCCTCACGTCTGTAATCCCAGCACTTTGGAAGGCCAAGGAGGGTGGATCATGAGATCAAGAGATCAAGACCATCCTGACCAACATGGTGAAACCCCGTCTCAATTAAAAATACAAAAAGTAGCTGGGCGTGGTGGCACACGCCTGTAGCTCCAGCTACTCGGGAGGCTGAGGGAGGAGACTTGCTTGAACCCAGGAGGCAGAGGTTGCAGTGAGCCAAGATCGCACCACTGCACTCCAGCCGGGTAACACAGCGAGATTCTGTTTCAAAAAAAAAAAAGGAAAACTGCATGTCCTGTACATGTACTCTGGAACTTAAAATAAATACTTAAGTACATAAATAAAATTTAAAAAAATAAAAAAAATCTTAATTGTATGTGGGTAGGTCCCTTTGATTGAAAGTGAGATAGAAGGCTGGCCACAGTGGCTCACACCTGTAATCCCAGCACTTTGGGAGGCCGAGGCGGGCGGATCACGAGGTCAGGAGATCGAGACCATCCTGGCTAACACTGCAAAACCACGTCTCTACTAAAAATACAAAAAGAAATTAGCCGGGCGTGGTGGCAGCGGACACCTGTAGTCCCAGCTACTCGGGAGGCTGAGGCAGGAGAATAGCTTGAACCCGGGAGGCGGAGCTTGCAGTGAGCCAAGATCACGCCACTGCACTCCAGCCTGGGTGACAGAGAGAGACTCCGTCTCAAAAAAAGAAAAAAAGAAAAAAAATAGTGAGATAGAAATAATTTTTTTAAACTTACTATTCAAAATTTGCAAAACTAAATAAGAGTAAAAGGAATTTACATTTTGTTCCTGGATTGATATAAGACAAAAACATTGCGTGGGAAAGCTGGAGTTGAGGACGAACGAGATTCTGAGAATAAAAATCCCTGGTACATAGCCAAAATTTCAGAATCAACTTCAGATTTTCAAGGGCTATAAAGTAGGTAACTTCAAGCCACCATCTCCAACAGATAAAAGGAACCAGGTAATATCTGTGTTCCAGGGAGAAAGAATAGAAAATTGGCTGAGTTCTATCACTGACAAAACTTAGTGGGAAGGAGGGATCTGGAAGGTGGGAGGGTGGAGGGATCCCCAGCTTGGGGGGTGGGGAGGGGCTGTCGTTCAGCCTCTCCCTCCCACTGCCCCTCCCCTCTCACTGCCCCTCCCCAACAAAGTTGCCCTTTGCGATGTGAAGCCCCAGCTCTGTGACGCAGGCCTGGGCCCCAGTCCCTAGTCTCCACAGGGATGCCCAGAGCTCAGTTGCTTGAAAGCAACACGCCTATTCACATGGAGAATCTTCCCTTTCCTCTAAAATTACTTAGTGCCTCATCACTAAACACCCCCAGCTCCACACCATGGGTGTTGGATATCTTCCTCACCTTGGTGTTTGCCCTGGGGTTCTTCTTCCTATTACTCCCCTACTTCTCTTACCTCCGTTGTGATGACCCACCCTCACCATCGCCTGGGAAGAGAAAGGTAAGGAGCCCTCAGTCTGGACCCACAGAGCTTGATTCTCTCCTTTCTTTTTATTATTAGTTCCACTTTTCCAAATCCAGTGGAGAGATTTCTGTGATGGGAAGTCTCAGGAGAGACCAGAACATCATCCTTCCAGGGAGAGGCAGGGCAGCCAGGGGTTGGTAGGGGTAGATCGTGTACTGGGATTTCCATGCCAAGCTCTCAGTCCATCTGTGGGGAAGCGCAGGAGGCGTCAAGGCAAAATCAAACCCGTGGGCTCAGTGGCCAGGACCGGTCATGAGACGGGGGAGGTCTCTGGTCATGAGACAGGTGAAGTCTCTGGTCATGAGACAGGGGAGGTCTCTGTCCGAGGCCAGGCCCTGAGCCCTGGCTCATCAGCCCCTTCCTGGGGCAGGTGACTCTGGGCCTAGCCTCCTCTGTGTGGGGTGATATTGGGCCTGTGCTGGGCCCCCGAGGGCCTCCCACCAGGCCCGGTGTCTCCTCTGGTCTCCTGGGAAGCAGAATCCTATCTGACAGCTCAGTGGTGCCTGCGGGCCTGAGCCTGGGTGTTCCTGGAGCCGAGGAACAGGGACTGATGGCGTCCATGGTGGACCTCATATTGAAACTCCCTCCGTCTGTGTGTGTGTGTGTGTGTGTGTGTGTGTGTGTGTGTGTGTATTTTTATTTATTTTATTTTATTTTTTGAGACAGAGTCTTGTTCTGTCACGTGTGCTGCAGTGAAATGGAGCGATATCGGCTACTGCAACTTTTGCTTCCTGAGTTCAAGCTATTCTCCTGTCTTAGCGTCCTGAGTAGCTGGGGATTACAGGCGCCCGTCACCATGCCTGGCTAATTTTTGTATTTTTAGTAGAGACGGGGTTTCACCATGGCCAGGCTGGTCTCAAACTCCTGACCTCAGGTGATCCACCTGCCTCGGCCTCCCAAAGTGCTCGGATTATAGGCGTGAGCCACCGCTCCCGGCCCCCTCTTCCTGTTTTTATAAAAAGAAAAGCAGTTTATCATCCATTTAAACATGAGTGGGAGGAAGCAGACAGAGCTCCCTGAGCAAGACAGAGCCATACGGTTCGTGAGTGCAGCGTGCTGCGGCTGGGCTGGAGGCAGAGAGGGAGAGCTGGTCCTAGATCCTCGCCATTTCTTGTTTCCCAGTGTCATCTTGTCTCCCCACATCATCTTGTCTCCCCATGTCATCGTGTCTCCCAGTGTCCAGTAGGGCAGAGGGGGAGGCCCAGAGGCAGGATGAAAAACCACAGTCTGAGAGGTAAGGCTCTGCCAGGGCACACTAGAGTTAATTTGATCTTGTCTGTCCCAGAGGGAACTGACTCTGAAGAAGTCAGTTGAAGAAGCCTGAGGTGGGGGCTCCTAGGAGGGAAATCAGAACCCCGGGTCCTTCTCAGATTCCATGCCGGAATGAAGCCATGGTGGGCCAGGGACTGGGCGTTACCCAGCAGGGGGCAGTGTGTGTGTCCTGGGGAGACCAATGCCTGCCTGGATGCAGAGAGGGGTGAGGGGGCCTCCCGCTCCCTGGGAACAGCTGTTCAACTCTGCTAAGGCTGATTCCTTTTTGAGACCACCCCAGTCCTTTCTCCCCACAGGGCAGTTGTGAGGACTGTGGGGGTGGAGGGTCCGTGTGTAGAAGTCCTTTGTGAATGACAAAGCCCTGTCCTCTATGCCTTGCTATTACCGTCGGGGCCAAGTGGCTTTGGACATAGATGGGTGGATTCCAGGGTCTAATTCCCCAAGGTCTTCCCTAAAGAAACATACACTCAGCCTCCTGTGAGATCCCAGGCCCCTCCCTCACTGCCCTAACCCGGTCTGATTTCCAGCTTGTAGAGAGTGCCCGAGAGGCCTGGAGGAGACTTGGGACCTGCTTTCACAACTGCAGAGGTGAGGCACTTCCCCTTCCCTGCATCCTTCCTACCAGGGCTGGGATGCCACCCCAGGGCCATAGGCAGCCTGGAGCTGACCTGGGATGGGGAGACCAGGGGGACAGAGGATGGGAGTAAAGGCCTGGGGCGACGGGTAACAGGAGAATTGGGCGGTCAGGATGTGGGGTGGTGGAGGGGCTGTGGCCCTAACGCCCACTCTGCCCTCCAAACCCACCTGCTTCTGGCTGCAGCTTGTGCCTCCTGGCTCCTGCAGCCTCCTGGGGACACACCTTGACAAAGGTGACTTTGGTCAGCTCTCTGGTCCAGAACCCCCAGGTGAGGTGGGCAAAAGAGCACCTGATGGAGCCTCCCGGTCCTCTCTTGAGCCTATGGAAGATGCTGCTCCCATTATCTACCTGTTAGCTTCCCCAGATCCTCGAATCAAGCATCCTCAGGATCTGGCCTCCACCCCATCACCAGGCCCAATGACCACCTCAGTCTCCTCCCTAAGTGCCTCCCAGCCACCAGAACCTTCCCTTCTCCTAGAACGCCCCTCACCCAAGCCACCTGCACTTTTCCTCACCCACCACACACCCCTGATCCTCTGGCCTGCTCTCCTCCTCCTCCAAAAGACTTCACTGCTCCTCCCCTGTGGGACTCCACTCTGATAACTCCATTTCACTGTGACTCAGTGGCACTTCCACTGGGCACCGTCCCTCAAAGCTTGTCTCCACATGAGGATTTGGCGGCTTCTGTCCCAGCCATCTCAGGCCTTGGCAGCTCAAACAGTCAAGTTTCTGCCTTCTCCTGGTGGCAGGAGACTACCAGAACCTGGTGCATCTTCAATTCATCAGTCTAGCAAGATCATCTTTCCCGCCACCCACCAGAGACCTGTCAGATGGAAGCTGGTAGCCCATTTTTGCTCAGCTCTGATGGCCAGAATGTCGTGGGGATACAAGTCACAGAAAGAGCCAAGGTCAACATTTGGGAAGAAAAAGAAAATGATGGATCATTTACAAACCAAATGACCCCAGAAAAGCACTTAAATTCTTTGGGGAATTTGGTTAAATCATTGGATGCTGAGCAGGACACCACAACCCCAAAATCCTTCTGGAACAAGGGAGAGAACTTGAAAGAGCTGCCCAGTCCTCAGAAGTTCTCAGATCTTAGGCTTTTGCAGGAAAGTTTTCAGAAGAATTACAGCCAGCTTTTCTGGGGCCTCCCCTCTCGGCACAGAGAATCCCTGGTGGCTAATGCCTGGGTCACTGACCGGTCTTGCACTTTGCAGTCTCCTCCTTTCTTCAATCAAATTTCCAATGTCTGCCCAATTCAAAGGGAGACTACAATGTCCCCACTGCTTTTCCAGGCCCAGCCCCTGTCCCATCTGGGGCCTGAGTCCCAACCCTTTATTTCATCCACACCCCAATTCTGGCCCACACCTATGGCTCAGGCTGAGGCTCAGGCCCATCTTCAATCCTCTTTCCCAGTCCCATCTCCTACTTTTCCATCCCCGATTAAGAACACTGGAGTAGCTTGCCCTGTGTCACAAAATAAAGTGCAAGCTCTCTCCCTATCTGAAACTCAGCACCCTGAATGGCCTTTGTTGAGGAAGCAACTAGAAGGTGGGTTGGCTTTACCCTCTAGGGTCCAAAAATCTCAGGACGTCTTTAGTGTCTCCACTCCTAACCTTCCCCAGGAAAGCTTGACATCCATTCTGCCTGAGAACTTTCCAGTCAGTCCTGAACTCTGGAGACAACTGGAGCAACACATGGGGCAACCTGGAAGGATCCAAGAGTCTCTGGATCTGATGCAGCTTCAGGATGAATCTCCAGGGACAAGTCAGGCCAAGGGCAAGCCCAGGCCCTGGCAGTCCTCCATGTCCACAGGTGAAAGCAGCAAGGAGACACAGAAGGTGAAGCTCCAGCTAGAGAGGGACCCGTGCCCACATCTGGGGCAAATTCTGGGTGAGACCCCACAAAATCTATCCAGGGGCATGGAAAGCTTCCCAGGGAAGGTTCTGGGGGCGACCTCTGAGGAGTCGGAAAGGAACTTGAGGAAGCCCTTGAGGAGTGACTCGGGAAGTGATTTATTAAGATGCACAGAGAGGAATCATATAGAAAACACCCTGAAAGCCCACATGGGCAGGAAGTTGGGCCAGATCAACAAGGGCTTGATCCCCGTGATGTGCGTCGATCCTGGCTTGCTGTCAACCAGGCTTTTCCCATGTCCAACATCCACGTGAAAACCAACAATCTAGCTCCCCTGAAAAGTGGGAAAGCCTGTGTGAACACAGTGCAGGTGCTTTCCTTCCTTGAGCCGTGTACTCAGCAGGTGCTGGGAGCCCATATTGTGAGGTTTTGGGCCAAACACAGGTGGGGTCTACCCCTCAGGGTCCTCAAGCCTATTCAGTGCCTTAAACTGGAAAAGATTTTGTCCTTGTGCAGTACACAGCTTGCTGGTCCCTCCTCAGCCACCTGTGAACCTGGGGCTGGCTCAAAAGTTGAGGTGGCCACGTTCCTTAGAGAGCCACCAATGCCAAGTCTGAGAAAGCAGGTGCTGACCAAAGCATCTGTTCATATGCCAGAGAGTCTTCAGGCCTCCTCATCTGCATGTAAGCAGTTCCAGAGGGCCCCATGAGGGATCCCATCTTGGAATGATCATGGGTCCTTGAAGGCTCCTACAGCTGGACAGGAGGGCAGGTGGCCATCTAAGCCCCTCACATACAGCCTCACAGGCAGCACCCAGCAGAGCAGGAGCTTAGGAGCCCAATCTTCAAGGGCTGGAGAGACCAGGGAGGCAGAGCCACAACCCAGAGTCCCCTTGGCAACCTGTATGATGGCAAACCTCCAAGCCACAAGTGAGGATGTCCATGGTTTCGAGGCTCCAGGGGCCAGCAAAAGCTCTCTACTCCCTAGAATGTCTGTCTCCCAAGATCCAAGAAAGCTGTGTCTTATGGAGGAGGTTGTTAGTGAATTTGAGCCTGGAATGGCCATGAAGTCAGAGACCCAGCCTCAAGTTTCTGCCGCTGTTGTGCTCCTTCCAGATGGGCAAGCATCTGTTCTGCCCCATGCTTCAGAGAATTTGGCTTCTCAAGTGCCCCAGGGCCATCTCCAGAGCATGCCTACTGGGAACATGCAGGCTTCCCAGGGGCTATGTGACCTCATGGCAGCCAGAAGGAGCAACCTGAGGCACAAGGAGCCCAGGAACCCAAACTGTCAAGGCTCATGCAAGAGCCAAAGCCCAATGTTTCTCCCTACTCACAAGAGGGAGAACTCTAGGAAGCCCAACTTAGAAAAACATGAAGAAATGTATCAAGGATTGAGGACGCCTCAACTTACCCCAGGCAGGAAGACAGAAGACACCCGTCAGAATGAAGGCATCCAGCTACTGCCATCAAAGAAACAGCCTCCTTCAATAAGCCACTTTGGAGAAAACATCAAGCAACTTTTTCAGAGGGTTTTTTTCAAAGAAAAAAAGGAAGCCAGCACCAGTCACTGCCGAGAGCCATAAAACAGTAAAAAACAGATCATGCGTGTACTGCAGCAGTGCTGAAGTGCAGGAGCTCATGACATCAGTTGGACAGATGCTGGAGGAGAAAATGTCACTTTGCCGTGAGTGCCATGCCTCGAAGGTAAATCAGCAAAGACAGCAGTTTCAAGCCCCAGTCTGTGGGTTTCCCTGCAACCACAGGCACCCCTTCTACTCAGAACACAGCAGAATGCTGAACTATGCAGCCAGCAGTCAACAAGCCACTCCCAAGAGCCAGAGTTGTCCCAACAGAGACAGGCAAAGCAGAGATCAGCAGCCCTTGAAAAGTGTCCGGTGCAACAATGAGCAATGGGGCCTGTGACATCCCCAACTCTTGCTCCCCAAGAAAGCTGTATCCCCAGTCAGTCCCCCTCAGCATGGGCCAAAAATACCTGGTGCCTCCAGCCACCATCACCACTGTCCAAGGCACTGTCTTCTTCGGGGAGGTATCTAATTTGGTCAGTCACAAATTCTTTTTTAGCCTTCCCTAGGGAAAAACAAGTCCCCAAGAAAAAATTCACTCTATGTAGAGAAAAAGTATTTTCTCTCATGTTAGTACATGCAGAACATTTAATATTCCACAATATATATGGTTTTTTATTCATAAGAGGGTGATGGCTTTTATTTTTGCCATGCTTGGTGTGGGCTTGGTTTCTAGAAGCGACAGGACATGGAGGGATGCTGACAGTGGTGCTGTAAGCCCACTTTCATCCTGAGTTCCTTTAGTGAATCTTACATTTCCGTAATACTGTCTTTACACAAACAACAAAAAATTCTAAAAACAAGATGAGAAAAACCTATGAAGATCCCACTCTGAAATAAGGTTCAACCCATCTTTCCACTACTTACTGTCTACCTCAAACTTTATGCAGCTGTAGGGAGAAGGTTTGCAGAGATGTCACAGGGCTGAACATCTCCATGCAGGCTCCAGGAAGTACCACAGCCGAGTAGCTTCATGTGTCACAAAATAGTGGAAGTTTGGGTGGGAGAGTGCTGGACCCTGAGTTGAGAAGAGGGAGAAGTCTTGACCCTGGGTATCCTGGTGGAGAATAGATAATGTCTGCCCCTGGGAAGCCCCTTCTCTCCCTGACAAAGGCTGGGATGGAGATGGGCCCTCTTAGCTCAACCAACATGTGAAGCACAGAGTCCCTATCCCACTGCCTCTCCATTTCTCACACTCTGGAGTGGTGGTGGGGACAGACCTTCCAGCTCTGTGCATGTGTAGGTGGGGGGTGGGGGGTTGGGGGGTGGCCTTCATGGAGGCTGCTGAGGGCGGTGAACTCCCCTACCACAGATGAATGAATGACCCTGCTAGGAGGTCAGACCCTGTAAGGGCTGTAGGGGTATCAGGTGGAGTGGGCTCCAGGTGTACCCTCAATGCACTGGGCAGGTCTGAGGCCAGGCTCCCTGGACCTGTCTGGGTGATGTGGTCACTCTCTGGGGGACTGTTGTCAGGCCCCAGCCACCCACCCTGAGCAGCACCGTCCCATCGCAGGGCTGGACATTCTGAGTCCTGAGACAGGACAGTACTGCCCAGGCCTGACAGACTGGGAGGACCTGTTAAGTCCTCCATCCCTAGACCAGCCTCCCACACAGCATGGACAGTCTCTTACATTTACCTTGAGGGCACTGACTGATCCTTCTCACTCTACAGCAACCAAGGCAGAGCTGAGGACCTGTGCCAGGCTGGGAGCCAGTCCCCTCCCTAAATGGGCCTGAGGGAAGCACCATCCCTGTCCCAATCCGCCGCAAGTTTCGGCCCAGGAGACACATAGGGAAGGGACACATAGGCCCAGGACAGGGCCTCCCTGCTAGCTGACACTGGAAAAGTGGGACCTGGGAGAAGAGGGAGTGCAGGGCTGGCAGGGGATGCTCCAGGCCCATGGAGAGCTCAGGCTGCATCATGGGGCTGTCCCTCCTGGGCTGGAGGTTGTGCCCTCTGCAGGATCTGAGAAAGTCCAGTCCTGAGATGGGACAGCACTGCCCAGGGTGGGTGGCTGGGGCCTGATGGCAGTCCCCCAGGGAGTGACCGCATCACTCGGCCAGGGTGCAGGGAGCCTGGGCTGAGACCTGCCCAGTGCACTGAGGGTACACCTGGAGCCCACCCCACCTGATGCCCCCACAGCACTGACAGGGTCTGACCTCCCAGCATGCACCTGCCTCTCCCTGCACCCCAGCTGCCCACCCTGCCTGTTCTCTGGCTTTCTCCATCCTGTGCAGCCCATAGACTGTGACCATCTCACCGGCCACTCTGGCCCTTCCTTTGCCTTTGTCCTGTCAAAATCTCTGAGCAAGATCTCCCAGGTCCATCCAAACACATGCTTCGTCCACTTTTGACTGGGCCTTTGGGCACCACTGGCCCATCCGAGCTGTCCACAGGGCCTTCGATAATGTGCATTGCACCTGACATCTCCCAGCAGTGCTCAGCAGCCCCCGCACCAGGTACTTGCTGACCAGATCCTGGACATCAGGTCCTCCCTGACCACACCCTCACTGATTAAAACCCCATGACAATGCCCCACTAACCAGGCCCCCACTGCCAGGCCCACAATGACCAGGGCCCTACTGACCAGGGCCTTACAGACCAGGGCCTCACTGACCAGGTCCTTACTGACAAGGCCTCATTGATTAGTTTCCACCGATCATGATCCCATTGCCTGGCCCCACAGATGAGGCCCCGCTGACCAGGCCTCCAGGGAACAGGCTGCCACTTACCAGTCCCCTATTAAGCAGGCCCCAGGTGACCAGATGCCCCTGACTATGACCCTAGTGAGTAGGCCCCACTGAATGGGCACCCACTGCTCAGATCCCCGCTGACCAGGTCACCCTATTTTATATTATTGATATCGCAATTTACAATCTTTTTTTTTTTTTTTTTTTGATGGAGTCTTGCTCTGTCACCCAGGCTGAAGTGCAGTGGCGCAATCTTGGCTCATTGCAAGCTCTGCCTCCCAGGTTCATGCCATTCTCCTGCCTCAGCCTCCTGAGTAGCTGGGCCTACAGGTGCCTGCCACCACGCCCGGCTAATTTTTTGTATTTTTAGTAGAGATGGGGTTTCACTATGTTAGCCAGGATGGTCTCTATCTCCTGACCTCGTGATCCACCTGCCTCAGCCTCCCAAAGTGCTGGGATTACAGGAGTGAGCCATCACACCTGGCCTATAATTGTTCTATTTTATTATTAGTCACTGTTGTTAATCTCTTACTGAGAGGTGACAGCATGCTGGCAGCCCTTGCAGCCCTCGCTCGCTCCCAGTGCCTCCTCGGCTTCGGCGCCCACTCTGGCCACACTTGAGGAGCCCTTCAGCCTGCCACTGCACTGTGGGAGCCCTCTCTGGGCTGGCCGAGGCTGGAGCTGGCTCCCTCAG
This sequence comes from Homo sapiens, assembly GCF_000001405.40. Lineage (NCBI taxonomy): Eukaryota > Metazoa > Chordata > Mammalia > Primates > Hominidae > Homo > Homo sapiens. Next base: position 82,054,733 of record NC_000009.12, on the reverse strand, counting down.
CTTGCAGAGATGTGTGGAGGGAGAGGCATGGGTGGGAACCAGGGCTGTGCATGGCGCTTGCAGGCCAGCGTGAGTTCCGGGTGGCGTGGGCTCAGCAGCCCCGCACTCGGAGCAGCCAGCTGGCACCACCAACCCCAGGCAGTCAGGGGCTTAGCAGCTAGGCCAGCAGCTGCAGAGGGTGCACCGGCTCCCCCAGCAGTGCCAGCCCACCAGCGCTGCGCTCAAATTCTCACCGGGCCTCAGCTGCCTCCCCCAACCACCGTGGGCTCCTGCGTGGCCCGAGCCTCCCCAATGAGCACCGCCCCCTGCTCTGCGGCGCCTGGTCCCATTGACCACCCAAGGGCTGAGGAGTGCAGGCACATGGCACGGGACTGGCAGGCAGCTCCGCCTGTGGCCCCGGTGCAGGATCCACTGGGTGAAGCCAGCTGGGCTCCTGAGTCTAGGGGGGACTTGGAGAACCTTTATGTCTAGCTAAGGGATTGTAGATATACCAATCAGCACTCTGTGTCTAGCTCAAGGTTTGTAAACACACCAATCAGCACCCTGTCAAAACGGACCAATCAGCTCTCTGTAAAATGGACCAATCAGCTCTCTGTATCTAGCTAATCTGGTGGGGACTTGGAGAACCTTTATGTCTAGCTAAGGGATTGTAAATACACCAATCAGCACTCTGTGTCTAGCTCAAGGTTTGTAAACACACCAATCAGCACCCTGTCAAAATGTACTAATCAGCTCTCTGTAAAACGGACCAATCAGCTCTCTGTAAAATGGACCAATCAGCAGGATGTGGGTGGGGCCAGATAAGGGAATAAAAGCAGGCTGCCCGAGCCAGCAGTGGCAACCCACTTGGGTCCCCTTCCACACTGGAAGCTTTGTTCTTTCACTCTTTGCAATAAATCTTGCTGCTATTCACTCTTTGGGTCCACACTGCCTTTATGAGCTGTAACACTCACTGCAAAGGTCTGCAGCTTCACTCCTGAGGCCAGTGAGACCATGAACCCACTAGGAGGAACGAACAACTCCAGACGGGAGGCACAAACAACTCCAGACGTGCCGCCTTAAGAGCTGTAACACTCACCGCGAAGGTCTGCAGCTTCACTCCTGAAGCCAGTGAGACCTCAAGTCCACCAGAAGGAAGAAACTCCGAACACGTCTGAATATCAGAAGGAAGAAACTCTGGACACATCACCTTTAAGAACTATAACACTCACCATGAGGGTCCGCGGCTTCATTCTTGAAGTCAGTGAGACCAAGAACCCACCAATTCTGGACACATTACTGTGCCTACAAGTTAAACTTTATCATAGGTATATATGTATAGGAAAAACAGAATGTATATAGTTCAGTACTTTCTACAGTTTCAGGCATCCTACTGGGGGTCTTGGAACGGATCCCACATAGATAAGTGGGAAGCTACTGTATAATTAAATGTCTATATGATACCTATACTCAAATGTTGAAACAGTTCTTCAAATTTGGCATGTCCAGAATTCAACACATAATCTTCTTTCTTCCTGTCAAACTTGGCCCTGATCCAATGTTACCCACCCAAGTCCATCTATCTGCTCATGCCTTGATCCTTGAAATTACTTTGGACATTGTTCTTTCTCTCACACCTTGATACCTTTCTTTCCCTCCCACCTTGACATTACTTAACCAATCATTAAGTCTTGTCTATTTTACCCTTCCTCACTCTCTAAGACCATGATTAATTATCATGGCATTTTCCCTCCTCTTCATAGTTCTTGTGTAATTTTACATTTATTTGTGTGATTATTTTATTAATACCTGAATCGCATACACATCTGTTCTCTGATCACCAAATACCCCAGCAAATGTTTGTCACATAGAATGATTCAATGTATATTCTTAAATGAATGAATGTTCACAGGTAAAATTGATTGAATAAGATACTTCAGACTTTTAAAAAAATATATTAAATCCTGAATATTGATTTCCCCCCCAAAAAAATAAAGTGAAAGTCCAAATGATTTCTCAGGTCTCGTCTTATTTATCTAATCTGTGTGTTTCCAAAAGGCTACCATAAACAGCAAAGAAAACACTCTCTCATCATGGACAGGGAAAAGTAACACAGGAAAAAGTGTGGGTGAAAGCTCTCAAGGGGGGTCTAGGGGACACTTCTGCTGATGGTGAAGGTACAGAGCTGGATGTATTCACAGGGGAAAAACAAAAGATGACAACATGAAACCATGGCCCTCAGAGAATTCAAAAAGGGCTTATTAAAATATGAACTGAGTTTGAGAGTAAACCAAGCAAATCTATCCACTGAGGAAGAGAGCAACTTTCTAGAATTTTGAACAGGGATGAGCAAAAATAGAACAACCCAAAAGACTTACTACAAGAGCAGCAAGAAGGCAGGCACCTGTTTCAAGAAAGCCCAAATAAAGGGTTCCCCATATTTAGAGCCATTAAAAACTAGATTGGCAGACTTTCAAAAGATCAAAAATTTGGCAGGATGGGAGAAGGAGGATTTGCCAGATTAATATACCAACCACTGACAAGAAATCTGTCTATGTTAATTAAGCATATTTATATACATGTATGGTAAGAGTTCCTGTCCCATATATCACACAATCTAAGGACAGCTGGGAGAGGAGAATATAACAGTCTTACCATATTCTGTAGTATAGTGACATCTGGATAATGTAGTAATATCCAATATGAGTATTTCATTGCTACCCCACTAAATGTTAAACCATAAACAGCATCTTCCTTTCTTTTCAAGAGCTATTAGCTGAAAAGACCTGAAGATATAGCAAACATAGATGTTAACACGTGAAAGAAGATCAATTAAAGAAGACTGAATATTCCTCATGGGCAAAGAATATAAAGTTAAGATTTTTTTTCCTTTTTTTAAAGTAATGTATGGAGAGAAATCTAAAAATCAAAAAACAAAAATTAAAAGCATAATTTTAAAAATCTAAAATTCAACCATGCAGCCATAAAAAAGAATGAAATCATGTCTTTTACAGCAACATGGATGGAGCTGAAGGCCATCATCCTAACTGAATTAACTCAGAAACACAAAATCAAATACTGCATGTTCTCACTTATAAGTGAGAGATAAACAATGGATGCACATGGACATAAAGATGGAAATCATAGACACTGGGGGCTCCAAAGGGGGAAGGAGAAAGGGGGAAAAGGATTGAAAACTTACCTATTGGGAACAACATTCACTGCTTGGGTGATGTGTATACTAGCAGCCCAAACCTGACCATTACACAACATATCCATGCAAAAAATTTGCACATATACTCCCTGAATGTGTAACAAGATTTTTAAAATTCAATCAGAAGTTTAAAAAGTAAAGCTGAGGAAATCTTCCAGGATGTGGAATGAGAGAGAATGAAAAAGAGGAGGGAGAGTGAGAGAGAAAGAAAGAAAAACAGAGAGAGAATCAACCTAAGAAGTAAAATATCTAATTAACAGAAATTCTAGTAAGAATAGAGAAAAGGAAGGGAAGATTACTATTAAAGCAATAAAAGAAAATTTCCCAGAGCTTGAGAGACAGAAACTTTAAAAGGATCCAAGAAATATCAACAGAAAATCCATGCTTAAAGACATTTTTGTGAAATTTCAAAGCAAAATGATAGAGAAATCCTACATCTTAGAAAGAGAATAAACAAAATACAGAATCTACAAAGGAACAAGAAAGTCATGCTCTTTCAAATTTTTCATTAGAAGTGGTAAAAACTCGAAGATGGTTGTGCAAGATTTTTTAAATGCTGAAGGAAGATATTCTGATCCTGGAATTCTATATCCAGACAAATTTTTGGTAAACATAGAAGGAAAATAAATCTATTTTCTGACACTCGAAACCTCAGAAAATTTACTTACATTCTGCAGAAGATGGTAAAGCTATCCCCCAGCAAAACAATGGTAAAAATCAAGAAAAGATGTAAGATACAAAGAACTGTGCAACAAACCAAAATATGCACGAAAAGAAATCCCAGGATGACAGCCTGCAAAGCAATCTGTGCAAATTATAACCAAAGTCATTTAGATCCAGGATAACTTTATGAAAAAAAATTGGAATATATTTATTAAAGAAACTAAAGTGCCATAAAATATTATAGGTATTGTAAAGTAAGCACGTATTTCTGCTCAAAAAAGCAAGAGGGCAATAATAATGTCCAGGAAAAAAAACTTTCAAAAAAGCAATGGCCTAATATAAAAGTAAAATAAAATCTAACTTTGGAACAATTGATGAAGTCTGAAATAGATCTCTTTTTTATTAATTTTCTTCATACTGAGTGATGATATTGGAACTGTATAGAATAAACACATATTGGCTCTCCAGTGTAATATTTACATAATAAAGGGGCAATATGTGCCATGGTCAAGGGAATTGTGATAGAATGCAAAGATGACAATCCACCTTCCTGTAAAAGCACACCACAACAATGTAACTTTATAACTATTCATAACAAGAATGGAGTCTACTTCCTTTCTTTTTGAATCTGGGCTAATTTTGTGAGTCCTTTTGACCCAAGGAATGCAGCCAAAGTAGCAGTGTGCCATTCATTTCCAAGCCCAGGTCTCAAGAGGCCTGGCCCGCTTCTGCTCTCTTTCTTCAAACCCTGACAGTAGCCTTGTGAACAGACCAAAGTAGCATGCTAGATGATAAGACACACATGGCCCATTTTCCTGCTTAACCCCAACCAACGTCCACCTACCTTCCAGAAGCAGAACTGCCCAGCTACACGCAGATGCTGGAATGGGCACAGCCAAGACCTGAACAACTGCCCAGTTAAGGCCAGACCAAATTTTTGGCCCATGGAATTGTGAAGTAAAGAAATGGTTGCTGTCGGCCGGGCGCTGTGGCTCATGCCTGTAATCCTAGCACTTTGGGAAGCCAACGCGAGGCCAGAAGTTCGAGACCAGCTGACCAACATGCTGAAACCCCGTCTCTACTAAAACTTAAAAAAAAAACTAGCCGGGCATGGTGGCGCACGCCTGTAATCCCAGCTACTCAGGAGGCTGAGGCAGGAAAATCGCTTGAACCTGGGAGGTGGAGGTGGCAGTGAGCTAAGATCGCGCCATTGCACTCCAGTCTGGGCAACAGAGGGAGACTCTAGCTCAAAAAAAAAAAAAGAAAAAAAAGAAAAGAAAATTTACCAGACTTAGTTTTTGAAAAACACTATATTTTTGACCTAAAGTACAGTTGGTTTGGGGAATCTTTTTGTCTCTTACTTTTATAAAAAAGAAAAGTTATTAAAGTCATGTGTAAATAGGTAACAGAACTAATATAATAAAAGAAATTTCATTGTTTCACCTTTTCCCATCCTAGCCTGTCTGCAGAGGCAGCCTATATGTTTCTTGTTATATCTCTAAGTAAACATGTATAGACCAAAAATTCTTGAGTTTTTGCCTTGAAAATTTATTTGTACATGTATTCTTCCTAGTGTGACAGATAACAGATGATATGAGGATTGAGCTCCTTTACTGCATTTCCCACCTTGATTTCTCCCCATCTTCCTAATTTTTTGATAATACTATTATGATTTCTCATTTGTTTCCTTTATAAATATATACATTTTCATATAACCTCTGTTTCTTATTTTTTAATTTTAGACCATATCCCTTGACTCCCTACTTTATGTTAAACTCCCACTCTTTTTTCCACCTGTCCTTTCCTCTTTTGCCTCCCAGCTTCTGATAGATGCATTTTCATAAGACTGTTAACATTTTAATTTCATTCTATAACTACAATTAAGTCATCTATACCTTGTGGGTAATTCCAGATGTTGAAAATTAATAAGTTCCATTCAAATTTTCTAATTTTAAATAATAGTTAATATTTATTGAGTACTTACAGTGTGCCAGGCACCATTCATTTCTATACATGCAATAACTCAAATTTCTTTATATATATATCTACATATATTAATCTTCAAACAACACAATGAGGTAGATAGTATATTTTACTTATGCTACCGTGCCCAGCCTAAGTCTGGTAAATTTTCCTAATCTTCCTAACCTAAAGAAATATAAGTATTAGTAAACTATTTAAATATTTGCTTACAGGGAATTTAGAAAACTAAAATTTTGGAGCCTAAGTGGGGTACATTTTATGTCAAAAAGAAAAGAAAAGGAAAGACCCTTTCTCCTCTGCCTCATGCTTACCTTACCTTGCCCTCATTTCCTAAAACCTGTGCAGTCTTTCTCCTCCTATTTGTCTCCCCTACATCCCACAGATGTTACTGTCTCCCACATTCATGCTCTGCAGTACAATGAAAAGAGCATCAACTTGGAATAAGACATCGAGTTTAAATAGCTTTGCTACTTGTGCTCTGTGTGGCTATGCTCAAGCTAACTTCTCTTAATGCAAAAGCAACACCTCCCTCCCTGGCTAACTTTCAGGATTAAATAAATAAAACAGTATACTAGGATGCACATATATATGGATGGACTATCTTGAACATAGAAATTATTCAATAAATAGACATTCCCAGGTTGGAGAAAGACAATAGAGAGAGTACAGTAACACAACCAGAACAAAAATTGCTAAAATTCCATCTACTACCTTTTCTATTACCTTCTGTAATCCTAAACCCCTCTCAATCCAAGAACTGAGGGAAACTCCAGAACACTTCTGTAGTCACTGGCAAAACTAACCACGGGTATCTGCAAATCTTCCCCAAAGTTCATGGGCAGCTTTATCTCTTTAAAAAAGCTCACATTTAAGGATAAAATGGGCTCATCTTTTTATAAAACATTTTGAAAGTATTCATTAGAAGGGTAAAAAGTACTAAGAGATATAATATTTATTCTAAAATAGGATCATTGGCAGATGTCTAATTCTAGTGCAGTAAAATAAATGGACAATAATCTCAAATGTAAGACCAGAGAAAACATTACTTGCTCAGCCTTTTAGAATGCTGATTGACTGCTTAAGAACAGACACTCAGATCCATAAAAACAGGGGTCCTTAAGGAATTGTGGTTTCAAAATGCCTTAAAGAAATGCTAAAAGAAGTCCTTCAAGTTGAAGTGAAAGAATACTAACAACATGAAAACATACAAAAGTACAAAATTATCTGTAAAGGTAAAAATATAGACCAGGTACAGTGGCTCATGTGTATAATCCCAGCACTTTGAGAAGCTGAGGCGGGAGAATTGCTTCAAGCTAGGACTTCAAGACCAGCCTGAGCAACAAAGCAAGATCCGGTCTCTACAAAAAAGATTTAAAACTTATCTGGGCCATATAATGTGTACCAGTAGTACTGGCTACTCAGGAGGCTGAGGCAGAAGTATTGCTTGAGCCTAGGAGCTGGAGGCTGGAGTGAGCTGTGATCACATCATTATACTCCAGCCTGGACAGCAGAACAGACCTTGTCTCAAAAGAAAAAAAAAGGTAAGAATATAGTCAAATTCAGAATACTCTAATATTTTAAGGGTGGTGCCTAAATCACTTTTAACTTTAGGATAAAGGTTAAAAGACAAAAATATTAAAATAACTACAGCTACAAAAATTTGTTAAGCAATACACAGTATAAAAAGATGTAAATTGGGCCAGGCGCGGTGGCTCACGCCTGTAATCCCAGCACTTTGGGAGGCTGAGGCGGGTGGATCATGAGGTCAGGAGATCAAGACCATCCCGGATAACACAGTGAAACCCCATCTCTACTAAAAATACAAAAAATTAGCCGGGCGTGGTGGTGGGTGCCTGTAGTCCCAGCTACTCAGGAGGCTGAGGCAGGAAAATGGCATGAACCTGGGAGGTGGAGCTTGCAATGAGCCAAGATTGAGCCACTGCACTCCCTCCTGAGTGACAGAGAAAGACTCCGTCAAAAAAAAAAAAAAAGATTGTAAATTGTGATATCAATAATATAAAATGCAGGGAGAGAAAAAGTTAGTGTAGAGATTTCATATGCAGTTGAAGTTGTTATCAGCTTAAAATAGACTGCTATAACTATGAGTTGTTTTATGTACAATTCATGGTAACCACAAAGAAAATATCTACAGTAGGTACACTAAAAGCAGAGAGAAAGGTATCAAATCATAACACTATAAAAAACTGTCAAATCACAAAAGAAAATAGCAAGACAGGAAGAAAGGCACAAAGAATCTACAAAATAGTCAGAAAACAATTAACAAAATGGCAACGGCAGGTCTTTACCTATCGATAATTACTTTAAATGTAAATCAATTAAATTCTCCAATTAAAAGACATAAAGTGATTGAATGGTTAAAAAAATGAAAAGATTCAACTAATGAGAGTCTACAACAGATTCACATTAGTATTAATGACATGCATAGGATAAAAGTGAAGAAATGGGAAAAATGCAAATGGTAACCAAAAGAGAGCCAGGGTAACTATACTTAATATGCAAAATAAACTTTAAGTCAAAAACTGTCACAACAAACAAAGAAGGCCATTATACAATGATAAAGGGGTCAATTCATCAAGAAGATGTAACAATAATAAACATATATGCACCCAACATCAAACCACCTAGGTAAATAAAGCAAATATTAATAAAACTGAAGGGATACATAGGCAGGAATACAATAATAGTAGGAAACTTCAATATCCCACTTTCAACAATGGATAGATTGCCCAAGCAAAAAAATCAGTAAGGAAACAGCAGACTTGAACACTACAGACTAAATGATCCTAAACGATATATGCTAAACATTGCATCCAACAACAACAGAATACACATTCTTTTCAAGCATACATGAGTCATTCTCCAGGATAGGTTATATGTTACCCCACAAAACAATTCTTAACAAATTTAAGAAAATTGAAATCATATCAAGTATCTTTCCCAACCACAACAGTATGCAATTTAGAAATCAATAACAGTAGTAAAATTGGAAAATTTCACAAAATGTGAAAATTAAACAAACTTCTAAACAACCAGTAGATCAAATGAAAAATCAAAAAAAGAAATAAGGAAAAATATCTTGAAACAAATAAAAATGGAAATACAAGATACCGAACTTAGGAGATCCAGCAAAAACAGTTCTAAGAGGGAAATTTATAATAATAAGTATCTACATTGAGAAAAAAGAGAGATCTCAAATAAACAGCCTAACAATACTCTCCAGGTAACAAGAAGAAGAGGAAAAAACTGAGCCCAAAGTTTATAGAAGGAAGGAAATAATAAAAGAAAAGAGCAGAAACAGAGACTAGAAAAATAGAAAAGATTAATGAAACTAAGACTTGATCTTTTTGAAAATACAAACAAAATTGAGACAACCTCTAGCTAAACTAAGATAAAAGAGAAAGGACTCAAAATTATAAATGAAAGAGGAGGTCGGGCACAGTGGCTCATGCCTGTAATCCCAGCACTTTGGGAGGCCAAGAGGGGCAGATCACTTGAGGTCAGCAGTTTGAGACCAAACTGGCCAACATGGCAAAACCCTGTCTCTACTAAAAATACAAAAAAAAGTAGTCAGGCATAGTAGTGCCCACCTGTAATCTCAGCTACTCCAGTGGCTGAGGCAGGAGAATCTCTTGAACCTGGGAGGCAGAGGTTGCAGTGAGCCAAGATCATGCCAAGGCACTCCAGCCTGGGTGACAAGAGTGAGACTCCATCTTAAATAAATAAATAAATGAAAGAGGAGGCATTGTAACTGACATACAGAAATACAAAAGAGCGTAACAGACTACTAAAACAATTATATGCCAATAAAGTGGATAATTTAGAAGAAATGAATAAATTCATAGAAACATACAACTTATTGCCAGGCACGATGGCTCACACCTGTAATCCTAGCACTTTGGGAGGCCGAGGCAGGCAGATCACAAGGTCAGGAGATCAAGACCATCCTGGCTAACACAGTGAAACCCCATCTCTACTAAAAATATAAAAAGTTAGCCAGGCGTGGTGGCATGTGCCTGTAGTCCCAGCTACTCAGGAGGCTGAGGCAGGAGAATGGCGTGAACCTCGTAGGCAGAGCTTGCAGTGAGCCGAGATCGTGCCACTGCACTCCAGCCTGGGTGACAGAAAGGGACTCCATCTCAAAAAAAAAAAAAAAAGAAAAGAAAAGAAACATACAACTTACCAAGGCTGAATAACAAAGAAATAGAAAATCTGAACAGACCAATAACAAGTAAGGAGACTGAATCAATAAAAAATACCTCTCAACAATGAAAAGCCTAGGGCCTGATGGCTTCACAACTGAATTCAAGCAAACATTTAAAGAATAATTGACACCAATATTTCTCAATCTCTTCCAAAAACTGAGTAGTAGGGAATACTTCCAAACTCATTTTATGAGGCCTGCATTACCCTGACACCAGAGCCAGACAAAGACACTACAAGAATAGACAAATACAGGCCAATATCCTTCATGAACTCAGATGCAAAAACCTTTAACAAAATACTAGCAAGTTAAATTCAACAGCACAATTAAAGGATCATATATCATGATCAAGTGGAGTTTATCCTTGGGATACAAAGATGGTTCGACGTACACAAATTAATAAATGTGATATACCACAATAATGACACGACCATCTCAATAGATGCAGAAAAGACATTTAACAAAATCCAAAATCTTTTTATGAAAAAAAAACTCACAACAAATTAGGTATAGAAAGAAGGTACTTCAACATAATAAAGGTCATATATGACAAATCCACAACTAATATCATGCTCCACAGTGAAAAGCTCAAAGCTTTTCCTCTAAGATCAGGAATAAGACAAGGATGCCCACCTGCTCTCAACACCCTTATTCAACATAGTACTAAAAGTACTAATGAGAGAATCAGAGAAGGAAAAGAAACAAAAGGAACTCTAACTTGGAAAAGAAGAAGTAAAACGGTCTCTGTTTGCAGATGACATGACCTTATATACAGAAAACCCTAAAGACTCCACACAAAAACTGTTAGAACTAATAAATTCAGTAAGATACAAAGTTAGCATACAAAAATCAGTTGCATTTCTATACACTAAAAATAAACTATCCCAAAAAGAAATTAAGAAAATATCCCATTTATATATTGTGATATATCCCAATATATCACATTTATTAATAGCATCAAAAAATAAAACACTTAGGAATAAATATAACCAAGGAGGTGAAAGATCTATACCTTGAAAACTATAAGATATTGATTAAAGAAATTGAAGAAGACAAATAAATGGAAAGTTATCCATGTTCATGGATTGAAAGAATCAATATTGTTAAAATGTCCATATTATCTAAAGTGATCCACAGATTCAACGCAATCTCTATCAAAATCCCAATGGCATTTTTCACAGAAATAGAAAAAAAATCCTAAAACTGATATGAAATCACAAAAGACCCAGAATCAACAAAGCCATCTTAAGCAAGAAAAGGAAAGCTAGAGGCGTCACACTATCTGATTTCAAAATATATTAAAACATTAGACCTGAAACTGTAAAACCACTAGAAGAAAACATATGTAAAAATATTTTGACACTGGTCTTGGCATTGATTCTTTTGATATGACCCCAAAAGCATGGGCAACTAAAGCAAAAATAGGCAAATGAGATTGCATCAAACTAAAAGGCTTCTGCACAGCAAAGGTAACAATCAACAGAATGAAGAGACGACCTATAAAATGGGAAAAGATACTTGGAAACCACACATTTGATAAGAGGTTAATATCACAAATACATAAAGAATTCAAATAACTCAATAGCAAGAAAACAACTTGATTTTAAAATGAGCAAAGGGCCTGAATGGACATTTCTCAAAAGAAGACGTACAAATGGTCAATAGGTATATAAAAAATGCTCATCACCACTAATCAACAGAGAAATGCAAATGAATACCACAGTGCAGTGTCACCTCACATCTAAGGTGATAATTAATACCCTTTAGAATGGGTATTATCAAAAATATAAAAGATGACAAGTGTTGGCAAGGATGTAAAGAAAAAGAAGCCCTTATACACTACTGATGATAAGGTAAATTGGTATAGCCCTTATGGAAAACAGTATAGAGACTCCTCAAAATACTACAAATAGAACTACCATAGGATCCAGCAATCTTGCTTCTGGGTATATATCCAAAGGAAATGAAATCAGTATGTCAAAGAGATATCTACACTCCATGTTTATTGCAGCATTATTCATAATGGCCAAGATATGGAAACTATCCAAGTGTCTGTAGATGGGTGAATAAAGAAAATGTATATACAAACAACAAAATATTATTCCACCTTTAAAAACTGTGCCATCTGCAACAACATGAATGAATCTGGAGAGCATTGTGCTAAGTGAAATAAGCCAAGCACAGAAAGACAAATACTGCATGATCTCACTTACATGTGGAATCTAACAAAGTTGAACTCATAGAAGCAGAGGGTAGAATATTGGTTGCCAGACTTGGGGGTTGGGGAAATAGAGAGAAATTGGTCAAAGGGTACAAAGTATCAAGTATGCAGGATGTGTTAAGTTCTAGAAATCTAATGTACAGCATGGTGACTACAGTCAATAATACTGTATTAAACAGTTAAAATTTTCTAAGAGAGTAGATCTTAATGTTCTCACCACACATACACAAAATAACTATGTGAGGCGATAGATATGTTAATTAGCTTGATAGGGTTTATCATTTCACAATGTAGATATAATCAAAACATTACATTGCATTCCTTAAGTACATACAATTTTTCTTTGTCAGTTATTCCTCAAAACAGCTAGAAAAATGTTTAAGATAAATAAATCAATTTTTTAAAATAACAAACCCTTGGGCTGCATGCATCAAAAAATGTGAAAAAAATAAAAAGAGAGACTCTTTTAAAATCCAAAAAGCAATGATGAATGAAATGTGTAAGTTTCATTTTATCAGCGTTACTCAAATATCTGAACTTAAATGTGAATGGAGGAGGCAGAGAATCCACAATGGTGAATTAGCTCAGGAGACCCACTCCTCAGCAAAAAAACAATTTAACTAGTGAAAATTCTAAAAAGTAATTCCTGAAAGTTTCTGCAAATTGTCCCAGGGGCATAAGCAAGCAGAGAAATATTCATTGAAGAAAATATACTAAATCTCAGTAAGAACTGCAAGAGTCTGTTGGTTTTGAGCCAGGACTCACTCATTATGTGCCCTCTCCCCTAGCTTCCAGTCTAGGGCTATAGTTCCATCCCATGCAGGCTGCTAGTGTTTCTCATATCCCTTAGCCCCATGTTTCAGAAATTCTTCTTTGGCTGGTACAGTCAAGAGGAGAAGGTCCCTTTCTCAACTAGCCCCTACTCTTAGGGCGGAAGCTCTACCCCAGGAGCAAGAGGCCAAGAAAACTGGGGCCTCAACCACCACACCACAGCTCACTCATAAAATGGAGATTCTATGTAAAAATAACAGTGGTTGCCACCTCCCCTCGCACACAGATACGGTAGCGGGGAAAGGGTCACTGTGGACAAGCAAGTCCCTGTCCTTATACCTAGTGCAGCAGCTCAGGGGTTCTGACCATGTACAAAGGCAGACAATAGGGGCAAAATGCTCTACAACTCTGCTTGACGGGACTGATTTATTTAGAACAAAGAGTGGAGAACTACATGCCTAAGGGTGTGGCTGTGTTACAATAAGACTTTATTTACAAACACAGGTGATGTTAGAATTAAAACCAGATGTTCAAATGAAAATTTATACATGAAAGTTTACAGCAACACTATTCACAATAAACAAAAGAAGAAAACAACCCAATGTCCAACAACTGATGAATGAATAAACAAGATATGGTATATCATACAATGGAATATTATTTGGCAAAAAAAAATGAAGTACTAATATGTGCTACAACCGGGATTAAACTGGAAAATTGTACTAAATCAAAGAAGCCAGTCATCACCAAAGGCTACAAATTATATGATTCCATTTATATATACGAAATGCCCAGAATAAGCAAATCTATAGAGACAGAAAGTAGATTAATGGTAGCTTAAGGATGGTGGGGAGGAGATGAGGGAATGGAGAGTGACTGCTAATAAGTACAGAATTTCTTTAGGGAAAATAAGTTGAAAATATTCTAAAATTATACTTAGGTGATTGTTATACAGCCCTGTGAATATGCTAAAAAAAACCCACTGAATTGTATACTTTAAATGGGTTAATGTTATGGTATATGAATTATATCTCAATAAATATGTTTTTATAAAAAGAATTTATACTGACTTAAGTCATATTCCAATAGTTACTTTTTAAACTATCTGCAATGTCATTTTTTTATAACATGTTTCTTCTAGAAGTGGAATATATACCATCTTTATTTAACGTATGAGTCTGTTTACCAGAGTTTTGAAAAGGCTAAATAGATTAAAGGAAAAAGGTGTGAATGGGGCAGGGTAAGAAAAGGTTAAAGCAGAAAGTAGATTTTCTTCCTAGTAAGAGCCTGCAAAATCTCACCCATCCTCACTCCCACTGCTCCTACCATGGCCTTGGCTAATCTTGGGCCCCACTCTCTGCCCCATAAACAGAAATTCATTCCAGCTGGTTAAAAAGTATGAAACTGTACAAAGGTAATCAGACCCTCAGATGTTAGTACACTTATGTCTCTATGCACCTGATTATCCTGACAGACTGACCTCTCCCAACATTCCAGGAGCCCTTTGCTTGCCCCCAGAAGGTCATCTGTCTTCTGTAAAATGCTTAGGTATACTATTTTCCAAAGGTCAGTTGGATGTGGTTTCCCTGTGATCACTCCAGCCTACGAATATAAAAATTCCACAGGAAAACCAAACTTGTCAATTTATGGATATTGACAATCACATACCTTTTAAAGTATTTATTTGCAATTTTTTACATTAAACATAGGGTTTCTATACAGAATGTTAAACACATGTGCCCTATTTGTTTTGAGTATGTCATAGAAGCGACTTTTTGTTTAATTATATTTCATCAAGAAATATTTCTTTTTTTTTTCTTTTTTTTTAAGATGGGGTCTCACTCTGTCACCCAGGCTGGAGTGTACTGGCGAGATCTCAGCTCACTGCAACCTCCACCTCCCAGGTTCAAGTGATTCTCATGCCTCAGCTTCCAGAGTAGCTGGGACTACAGGCGTGCACCACCATGCCTGGCTAATTTTTGTATTTTTAGTAGAGATAGGGTTTCACCATGTTGGCCAGGCTGGTCTCAAACTCCTGATCTCGGGTGACCCGCCCACCTTGGCCTCCCAAAGTGGGATTACAGGCATGAGCCACCATGCCCGGCCTCATCAAAAAATATTTCAATATTCCAGTTCTATATTTAAATAAGACTTTCTGTGACCATATTTTTTAACTACTTGAAGTTACATTACCTAAAAAACAGTTTGGCAAGAGCCCTCAATAACCAAGTAAATTTTCAAGAACTTGGATTAGGTTTGTAAACAGGAAGTCACATATTATCATGGGCAAAAATCTCTTAATATACGAAGACTGGTTTTGGTTTCTTGTGTCAAGCTCTCCATTTCTGAATAGATTCCAAACTTCACTAAGTATATATCTTTTTCATTCTTCCTATTTGTTTTTACATCTCTTAAAAGATACATATGATCTTAAGGCTTAAAGAGACAAGAGAAGGGTTGAAAATAACCTACTTGTAAAGTAGGTATGCCAAAGAAGGGAAAAAATGAAGTCCTGTCTAGACCCAGTCAGCTTTGCTTGACCTAGTTATAGTTAAATGAAATATCAATGGGAAATTCAAGGTAAGCAAAGGAGCCAAATTTCTGCAGGAGGTGGCTCTAATGACTTGAGAATAATGACATCTGATCCCTCTAAAGAAAACACATTTCTCATGGTTGTCAGCATACTACCAAGAAGAGAGGAGAATACGCTAAAGCATAAATATTACTATTCCTAAAGGATGTTCTTCGAGAAAGGAAGGCTTTGTCTTGGCTGTGTTTATATAAATCTTTAAAATATTTGACCAAAAAATTTTACATAAATGTAAGTCACAGCCAATGAAGTAGAAACAAGTTAACTGTGTCCAAACACAAACTCCAGGCAACCATAGAAAAAATATCATGTTCTCATGGACCTTCCATAGTAAATAAATAATGAAGATGACATGCTAAGATTGTACAACATCAGTCAGGCTTCAAATGTGACTTAGTTAATAGGCTGACTAAATGGGAACCCAAGAATGTGTTGGAAGGAGCTGCTGCTAGATGGGTTAGTACAGATTTGTTTAGAAAAACAAATCAAGCACTTCTAGTGAGTAGAATTAAATATTCTCAACTGGATACAGCAAATGAAGCTATGGAGTATACTGATGCCATCAGTTTTTTATTAATGGTTTTCCCCTAAAAAAGGAAAGGATTCAGGTAGATGTTAGAAACAATCACCTTACCTCAGCTCAGTGGGAAAATAGCAAACATAAGCTCCTCTTACCCAAAACCCAGTCATGTGAAGATCTTACATGTGTGGTTCACCTCACCAAGCATTCCTACTTATTAGAGAAATAGAGAATATTTCTTGGGGCACCCATAGCTTATTTCCTTTATGGAAAATAAAAAAGTTGACTACAATGCAAGTCTCAGTAAATAGCAGTATTTCCAAACATCTGTGATTATGTAAATTATGTGTCTCTAAGAAATAGTAAATAAAGCAATGAAAGTACATTAAAATAGTCTGCATTTGGCATCATTCTATGGTCAACCATTCTTTAAAATGAACTGTCTCTCTGTCATTCTTCTTCTCCATCCTTCTCTCTCTCTACATATATACATATGTACATTTACTTATATGTACACATGTATACATACACATAAGCATGTATATGTATATATACATGTATACATACATATGTGTGTACACATGTATATTTATGTATTTGAGATATATATGCCTTTGGTGTATCACAAAATTTATCTAAGAAATAAGGTGACAACAGTAATTCCACATTTACTTAAAGTCTTTTCCCTCAAGATATTTATATCAATTCTTAAAATATCTCTTTAAGAGAACCATGAAGTCAAACTCTTTGCAAGAGTAAACTGGCCAGGCCTCATCAAATATAACTGCAGCTCAATTAAAAATAATACCTCATTTCACTGACTATTAGCTCAGATTGCTCACATAGGATCTCAAGTCTTACACAGTAATTCCTAGGAGTCCCTCAGGTGTGTTTTACAGGAGTTCATGAACAGTCCTCCCTATTACCAAGTGGGTTCCACCATGCTCTTTCCATTCTAACCCCTTTCAATGATGTCTGCAGCTGGAGAAATAACATGAGGCATTTATTAAATTCAGTACAGCAGCAGCTCAATATAACTATGTCTATGGTTGTGGAAAGGTATAGCCTCCTGTTGTTTGCAAAGCTGCCTGCAAAACCTTAAGACAAAAACGATACTAATTCTCCCCAGAAACCTCAATGCTCTGACACAGCCATGCCATTTATGCAGAAGTGGGAAGGCTGTGCTTCTTCCCCACTTTCTGACACCATTTACCACAAGAGGATTAAAGTAGTGAAGTAAGTGCCCATGCATTTCACAGAACCTCTAAGAAAAGGGCTTCCTCAGCTTTCACATTCTGTTCTCTTTGAGATGCTCAGACAAATAAATATTGATGTGGCCAGACCCAGAGGTTAATTTGAAAAAAACAGACTTGTGCTATAATCCTCATTCCCTCATTCCCTACTCCCATCTCAAGTATATACTTCTCCAGCCTCCTCTAGCCAAGAAAACAAACAAAATGGGAACTCAGGTGCAAATTGGTCCATCTAAATAATTTCCTGGCAGTCTGCCCCACCAGTTCATTAGACATCTCCCAGATAAATCTGATTCCCTTCTTCAATTAATTTAAAGACCCTGTTACACAAGGAACCTGGAAATTAAGCAAATCCCACCTGAGACCATCTGGTCTCTGATATAGAGAAGACCAAACCTGAAGCAACTGTAGGCTAAAGGGTGAGTAGAAAACAATTCTATAAGGAGCCATCAATACTAGAAGGATTCCCAGGTTGGGGATACATATGGTGATCCCTGACCAAAAAGACAATGAGAGGGCCGTTGTTGGGGACATCTTAACACTGGTAGCTGTAGGAAGGAGGCAAAGGCCTTTTCTTTGCTGGCAAAGGATGCTGAGCCCAAAGAAGATAACCATGTGGCATGTTTTCCATCTGTCAATCTGTCATCATAAACCAGATAATATTGTGACAGAATCTGAAAATAATATGGGAAGAGAAGAGGGTAATAGGGAGTATAAATATATATCAGTCACCAAAATTACTGTTTTCATCAAATGATATATATCAGGGGCCTTTAGAATTGTCCTGGAAACGAAGTAAGCAGGAAACAAAATTCTGAGAGGTGTAAAATCAAGTCTAACAACATAGTCTTATAGAACTGGCATATCCTTTAGAATTCTGATTATGTCATTTTTTTAAAAGGCAGGGGCGGGGAGAGAAGTACCACATTTTAGTCCCTTGCAGACCATGCCTAACAAGCTTAACTGAGTTAAGCCCAACAAGGCCTTTGATATAACATGGAAGGACGGTTCGTTTCCTCCCACAGAAGGAAGCAAGGAAAATCTTTCTCCCACTGCCATCTGTTTTTTCTGGCTGAAAGCTTTCATATGAAGGGCTTAGACACCCTGGGTATTCTGGGATAAAAGCTCTGGGAAACCCACCAGAAGACCTGGCAGAGTCTAGAAAAGGGAAATTTCAAGAAGAATAAGTAAAATTCTCCTTTGTAACAAGAAAGAAAGGTCACATGTCGGCTCTTCAAAACCGTGTTCTTGGTTAAAGCACCATAAGGTCAGGAAGCATGTAAGTCAATCAGTTACCTTTTTGCTTAAACCAATTCAAATTGTATTTCTGTCCCCTTGCAACCAAAAGAGTTCTGACAAATAACACTGCACAAGAAAGAAGAAATTAAGAATGATGAAAAATGCAATGGGCGCCCAGAAAGTAAACCAACCAGCTAATCAGCTGAGATTAATTTTATGACATGATTTTAAATTCATTTCAGAAAATTAGTAAACAGGAACACAGGGATGACAAACCAGAAATATAGGGTCACATAGGTTTTCTTCTGTGGCATCTGAGGTGAAATTACAACCTAGAAATCCTGTAGCCAACCATTCTCCCTAGCCATTATGTATTAACAATGAGTCCTGATTCAAGAAGGAAAAAAATGGAGCAGCTGATTATGGGCATTTGCTCCCTTGACACGAAATATTTGAAACAGCCCACTGGTCCCTATTTTTAGATTAAAAACCAATCACTGGAAAAGCCCATAACCAGTTCAGTAATGAGCCCATGGCTGTTTATTTATAGTTAACTCTAGCTGATTCATGAGCTGCAACTCAATGTCTGGTAAGTGCTGTGTGACTCCTGGACTTCATCAACTTGTTTATGTGTGGCCAAGACTTGTTCCCGGACCATGTATATATGCAGCCATGCTGCCTAGTGTGTAGGTTTAGAGAAAGAAGAAAGAAATATATATTCAGTAACGTATGATCTGACTACATTTTATGAATCTGTCCAATCACATTTGGCTTTCCCATAACTTACTTAGACCATCCACTCCGAATTTACTGCAGTATGCATGCAAAACTAGCAGAGCAGGCAAGATGGTAATGAGAGCCTAAGAGAGACACATGCATTTTCATATATATTAATAGTTCATATGGAGAAAAAAACTGAAGGATAAAAGAGGCATCAAATATTGCCAGAATGACAGATGAAATGCTGAAATGATGAAATACTGAAATTACAGTCCTTTGAAGTAGGCTCCGGGTAAACTAACTACATAGCACATGGCAAGAAATGTGTGACAACAGTTGTGATGGAATTTGTCTTGATTAATGCTCCCATGTGAAAAGATAAATCCTACTAAGGAGGTTCTGGAAGTTCAATGAATGGAAGCCAAATAGTCACGTTGCCACTGTAGTTCAGAAAGAGAGTTATTCCTAATACTAACCTTACATTTGCATCATCGACAAGCCTTACATGTAATGCCTTAAGAAACATGCATTGTGTATTCACCTTCTTTCCATGTTTGCTATGACTGTTCTGAGTGTTGCTCATTCCATTCCTGAAGTTAAAGCTTACAAATGCATGTGTTTGATAATGTGTTTGATGTCTGTTAGCTTTTATAATATGTCTATTACTATGATCAACTATGAAAAATCATTTTTAGAAAATACGGTGAGGGGGAGAGAAAAAATGGTTCTAGAATGGTATCAATAGATTAATAGTATATCTAATGGCAAAAAAAAGGCTGGCATTAGCTGCAAACTGAAGAAAATTATGTTTAACATTTCTATTGAATAATGTGTATATCAACTAGTATTCCATCATAATTAGACTGTTGTGGTCAAGAGATAAAGGATAATACTCTACTATGAGGCCAGGTCTCCTAAAATTAGGTTAGTCTGGACAACCTTTAAGTCACTGGGCAAGTTTCTTCTACTGAAAAAAGAAAGAAAATTAAAAACACAATCTCCTTTCTTAGTGCCTTATCATGGTCAATAAAACCACAGATGGCAATAAATAGCTTTCATTTGTATACAAATTTATAGTTCACAAAATTGATTCTCATTATGTTTGATCCTCTCTATTCATCTCATTTTGCAGAAATCTGAATTTGGAGAGGTTGAGTCATTTGTCCAGAATTATACATCTCATAAATGTGGGAGCTAAGGTTAAAACTGGCCTTTCCCATGGAATATTATTTAAAGACAGACAGAAGGAAGAGGAATTGCCTACTATATGTTATATAGCATTATAGAGAGTTCTTAGCTCAGATAATTATGATAACCTTATGAGATAAAAATCATTTATTCTCATTCAGAGGTGATAACGCTGAGGTGTCAAGCATTATAAAACTTACCAAAAGTCTCACAGCTATTTAAATGCTGGGGAAGGATGAAAACCTAGTTGTGTCTGATACCAAAACCAGATTTTTTTCCGTGACAAGCAAAGTCATACTTGTATGACATGTACAACTTTTACTATGCAGTGACAGACAAGAGCAAAATTAAGGAGAATATTGACTTTCTTTTCAGAAAATTACTCCATCAGCAAGTACTTACTAAGTGTCAATTAAATACTTAGCAATGCACTCAGCATTATAGGAGAAATGGAAAAAGTATGAAACAGCCTGCCTTTTCCCAAGGAGATTTCAATACTGTTAGAACAACTTTAAAAATGCCAAAAATACACATATTATTATACAATAATATTAAGGAATACTCAGTACAAACAAAGTAGGGGAAAGGTATTAGTAAAAGCTATCACTCTCTTTCACCGGGAAAGAGGATGAGGGCAAGAAGAAAACAACAAAAATATTATGGGCTGGGTAGGTGTGCTATACCAGCAGTATTTAATGTAGGATGGATGATGCTGATCCATGATCTGGCTTAATATGGAGCAGTGTTTAATCCAAAATTTTACTTAGTTACTAGTTGAACTCTGAATTAATTTCCCATACCCATCCTTGTGTTAACTTTCTCATTGTAATTGAGAAGAAGAGAGTCAAGTAGTCAATACTGGTGTAAGTAAAAAGGCACTATATCTAGAAGTGGAGTTTACTGGGGTAAATGTCTAATACATCATTATAAAATTCATGTCATCACTAAACATCATCTATTTTTATTAACCCATTTTTTGTTTACTCTTCCCTTAAATATATTTACTGAGTGCCTACTGCATGCCAGGGGCATCAGACTAGGCACTGTGGACACAGTGGTGACCAAGAGAGCCATGGACCTCACCAAGATCATCTAGAGCAATGCACATACTTCACGGGAATTAAGCCATATAATCTAGGAAGAAAAAGTCAGAATTGGGGATCAGAAGATCTGAGGTTAGTCCCTGATTCACTATTTGCATGACTGAGCAATTATATGAGACTCTGAGGCTCAATGTCCTCATCCGTGAAATAAGAATAAAATAATACCTGTTCACATGTTTTGTACAAGGAAAAACAAAAAAAGCATTTGAAAGCAATTTCAAACATTAAAAGTCTATACAAATGAGATGAATTATTACTTATACATTATGTATCCAGTCTCATAATTCTGGCTCCTTCTCCATATGGGAAGTCATATGTATGTACCACTTATTCTCAGAAATACATGCTCCTGCCTGAGTCAGAACGCAGTTTACTCTGCATATGAATAGTGGCTGCCTTTTGGTTGTTTACTCCTCTTCCATTAGCCCCACCCATACTTCATGTCAATTAACCTGCTATTACTACTTGCTCCTCTGTGTGGGGGGGTATGTGTGTGTGTGTGTGTGTGTGTGTGTGTATATATATATATATATAAACTTTCTTTGCACACAGCTTTTATATTTTCAAAAACTCTTACCTTCCTTGAAGATCACAACTTAGAGGACCTCATAAATCAGAAGTCATGGAAGCCTCCCTCACTCCAAAATATTCCAAGACTCTTATTTGAGCTAGTCAGTTCCCATAATACCCGAGCCCTATCTCAGCTGTTTAGCATGAATACCCCTGCCACAATCCTACTTTAGAACCAGTGAGAAACCTGGCAGCAGTAGCCTAACAGTATGCCCCACAGCAAGAGTAAAATGAATTCACTGCCTCTGGCTGGCAGAGGGATAGCCAGGCACTCCCAAGGTACCCTCCAGTGAAAGCCTAACCCAAGCGCTATTCCCTAAGAGAAGCTCTATCTTGTATCTCAAGGAGGCTGGAGCCTGTTTGCCTGACCCATTCTCCCTTATCGTCTCCCTTATCAGCCCTTATAGTCTCTCTTAACAGCCCTTATAATGCAACCCACTCAGAAATCCTTTATCTCAGCATCTTCAAAATTGTATCTCCCGTTCCTCTGTGCAGGAACTGAAGCTGGTGGATCTTATAAAATGCTCCAGATTAGCCTCATTCCTTTTTAGATTCTATATCCAATGCTCAGACCCCTTCTCTGGGGGCTCCATTTTTACACTCATTTTGTCCCATATTCATCCTGACTTTCCTCTAGTGCTGCCTTCTCCTGGCTCATGGCCTCTTCTCTCCCAGCAAGCCAAGCCACGTGACTGCAGTGTTTCCAACCTTTTGCCGGAAGCCAGTACTGACAGTTGCAGAGTAGGAGGAGGTGTGACTCACTCTTTTGAGGATTGGTTGCCACACATGTCAAAGCCCCAACACATTTTCATGCAACATTTTCATGCAAGAGACAAGGATAAGCTTTAGGACTCAGCCAACTCAAGTTATTTTTTCCTGAAATGTGATGCCAACTAACATCTGCCTCATTTGATTATCTTGATTTGCTTAAATAACTCTCTCCAAGGTTAAGATCTTTATCTAGGGTGATGTAATTTCACCTTGGTGTCTGAAGCCTTGAGTGTAAAACACAGAATCACTGCCTTCAGGTAATCCTCACATAATGTCACGGTGTAGAAAGATGATCTAAGATCTGATACTCTTAAAACCCAGATTAAAGTCCCAGATCTGTTGCATGACAATTGTGGGAACTTGGTTGATCCCTTTAATTTTTCTAGCCTCACTGAAAACGGAGGGAGGAATTTTATCAGTTGATTATTGATAATCAGCTGATATTCTAATATTATTTTCTGTTTTTTACTGAAGATAACTGTGGAGTTTAACAGATGAGTATAAATAGAATTATTTTCATTTTAGGCCAAAAGTGCCCTTCTTCCTAATAAGTTACTGAATAACTTTTTTTTTTTCAGTTTCTTAGCATATCTCCATGAAACCTCTAATCATTCAATCAACAAATTATTAAGTGACGGTATCAGGTGCAGGACATATGAGAAGGAACAAAACAAATATGGTCTCTGACTTCGTAATATTTATAGTCTAGCAGGGAGACAGAGCCTTAGAGGAAAATAACTAAATAAAACAGGTTTTCGCTCTCATTTATGAGTGTATATTAAGAGGTATGCAGAATACCTAAGATGGTATGCAACAATAACTATTTTTGATTTGAGAATCATTGAATGAATGAATGAGCATGAATGAATGAAATTTGCATCACAGAAACTCCCTCATTGTTCCAGGGTGCAAGAAATAATTGTAAGGCAGAAGTGAACAATCTAGTTCTCACTGCACTTAACACTCTTGTAAGAAATGGAATTAGGTACACAAACATTTATCTTGAAAAGTGACCTAATCTGATCATTACAAAATGACCCTTTGGACAAAAAAAAGAACAGATAAAATGTCACAAGATAGGATGTCCAGGTGTATCAGAACATTTTGTGAGGAAGAAGAATAAAGACCTAAATTGGCAGATGTGTACATGAGTGGAAGTGAGTACCAGGGGAGGAAATGAATACATCTCACAGGTGGAAAAGATACTTACATTGCTTATAGCACTCACAAGATTCAAGCTCCCAGTGATATAATACTCTAGAAACATATAGTCTCAACTGGTTTCCATGAATATAATCCATCTTCTACATCCGCAGGACTCTAGCCAACCATAGAGGTATAATAATAGTATCCTGGTTTTAAAAAATAGTGGACAAATGTTTACCTAAATTTATTTATTGGATTTATGAACACACGGGAGAAAATATTTTGAATTTGGTTCCAAGGTCAACATTGTTTTAGATCATTTCTATAGTAAGTTTTCCACAACATTTGTAGCACATAATAATAAGATCCATTTTGGCACATTCTTAGGGTTTTCTGTCCAAAGAAGAGGCAAAGTCATTTTCGATAGCTCTTGGTATAAATCATGCATGGTCAGTGTAAATCAAGTACATTTTATAAATGAGCATAATCAGTTATAATTTTTGCAGCAACTTGCTCATTTGAACAGGGACATAGAACATCTTCTGAGGTCTTAGGTTTATTGAAAAATGAAATGATTTTTAAAACCATGAAAGAAATTTGATATCCTTTATGAAAAGGTATATTTTCCAAGTCCCTATGTACTCTCTAATCATATGCTCTTGAGAATATTCTAAGAATTTTATATTTAGAGCTCTTTACTTAAATCATCATCACACATTTTAATCACATTGTGTCCATGGTACTACTAGGTGCTAAAGTATTCATAGAAAGTGAATAATACTCAGAACTAGACCTGAAAGCATTTATGGTCTGCAGATTTTACTGACTTGTAATAGCCATTTGAATTCTCAGTACAGCTGACAATTTTTTTAAATCAAGAAATTGTAGCATAAAAGTGTATTTAATAAAAGGGCAGTCATTTCCAATAAGGCAGCTCTCAGAGGATGGATGGAAAAGCTTGACATTTGGCTTATGATCAAGTAATTGGATCTTATCCTGATACTTTCATTAGAAAAGAAAGGCATTTGATGTTTCCCTTCAGGACTGAGTTCCAACTAAAACAGCTGCCCCTCTAACTGTCACCACCACCATCACCATAGTTTTCCCAGTAACAAATATTTATCAAGCCCAGCTTATGTGAGTGGTATGGATTGGTGAAAATAGCATGGATTTTAAAACTGGACAGATAAAAATAATAAAGCATTACTATGGGTCAAAAACTCTTCTAAGTGCTATACCCATATTAACAAATATAATCCTCTCAAAAAGCCTATGAAATAAGAAATTTGATGCAAAAAGTTACACACCTTGCCCTCACTGTATGATAATAAAATTGAAATTGAGAGAAGTCAACTAACTTGCTCAAAATCAAAAGTCATGTCAAAGGTGATGGTAGAACTGGGATTTAGACCCAGAATTGTCCAATTAAAACATCCAGGCTCTTAATCACTGAGTTAGGCTACCTTAATGTGAAATTTGATAAAGGAAACTGTTATAAACTCTCAATTCCTCTGTTTTTTATTTATTTGTTTGTTTGTCTCCTTGTTTTTAGGAAAGGTTGCAAAAACAGCCATAAAATGCTTTATAGAGGAAAAACTGAGCCTTTTTTCCTCCAGCTTTATTGGGGTATAATTGTCAAAAACAATTGTATGTATTTAAGGTGTACAACATAACGTTTTGATATAGGTATACATTGTGAGATGATTACCACAATGGAGCTAATTAACATATCTATAACTATAGTCACCATTCTTTACATTAGATCTCCATAACTTATCCATCCTGTAAAAACTTTTCACCCTTTGACCAACATCTCCCCATTTCCCCCACCTTCCAGTCCCTGGTAACCACCACCATTCTACTCTCTGTTCCTTTGAGCTCAACCTTTTAAGATTCCAGATACAAGTGAGGTTATGCAGGATTTGTCGTTCTGTGCCTGGTTTATTTCACTTAGCATAATGTCTTCCAGGTTCATCCATGTTGTCAAAATTGACAGGATTTTCTTCTTTTTTTAAGGCTGAATAATATTCTGGTGTGTGTGTGTGTGTGTGTATGTGTGTGTGTGTGTGGTCACATTTTCTTTATCCACTCGTCCATCAATGGACACTTAGGGTGTTTCTATATTTTGGCTATTGTGAGTAATGCTACAATGAACATGGGAGTGCAGATACTTCTTGGAGATACTGATTTCATCCTCTTTGGATATATACCCACAAGTGGGATGGCTGGATCACTTGGTAGTTCTATTTTTAATTTTTTGAGGAATCTCCACACTATTTTCCATAGTGGATATACCAATTTACATTCTCATCAAAAGTGTGTGAGAATTCAACAATAAAAAATTCAACAATGAGACTTGCAGCAGGAAGACTTTCTAGGCAGAAGGAACAGAATTTATGAGGGCCTAGAGGTATGCTCAAACATGCTCAAACAACAGAGCATGTTTGAGAGATGATAGACAATTAACAATGGGTGGATTGCAATAAACTATAAGAAAACGAATAATTAAATTTAATTTACAATAACATCAAAAAGAATAAAATATTTACAAACACATTTAAGAAAATAAGTATAAAATTTACACTCCAAAAACTACATAACATTGCTAAAAGAAATTAAAGAAGATCTAAATAATAAGAAAAAATACCACATTCATTGGATCAGAAGACTTCACATTTTTAAGATGGCAATATTCACTACATCTATAGATTCGATGCAATCTCATCAGAATCTCAGCTGATGGAAATTGACAAATTGATTCTAAAATTCATCTGCAATTGCAAGGGGCTAGAATAGCCAAAACTAAACAGAAAAACCAAGTAGAACTCTTACTTCCCGGTTTCAAGACTTACTAACAAAGCAACTGTAATCAAGACGCACTGGCACTGGCAAAAGAACAGACATATAGATCAATGGAATAGAACTGACAGTACATAAATAAAGCTTTACATTTATGGTCAACTGATTTTCAACAATAGTACCAAGACCATTCAATGAGGAAAGGACAGTCTTTTCAACAGTTTTTTTCTCTGTGGTACTGAGACAACTGGATAGCTACATGCGAAAGAATGAAGTTGAGCCCTTACTTCACATCATATTTAAAAATTAACTCAAAATGGATCAGACAATGTTAGAGCTAAAACTATAAAACTCTTAGATGAAAAGATAGGGGTAAATCTTTACAACCTTGATTTAGCAAAGGATTCTCAGAACACCAAAAACTTGAGCAACAAAAGAAAAACTAAATAAAATGGACTTCATAACAATTTAAAACTTCTGTGCTTTAAAGCACACCATCAGGAGAGTGAAAAGGCAACCCTCATAACAGGAGAAAATACAGTTGATTCCCATTATTCACAGTAATTATGTTCTATAATGTCACTGCAAACACTGACTTATCAAATACTGAATTGTTTCCCCTAGGGGAAATACAGGATTAGGTTCCTGTGTGCATCTGGTCACATTTTTATTCAACCAGTTCATACATATAAACTTGTTTCATGTGTGTTTCTGTTTAAAGACACTTTATTGAATATATATTGTTAATTCATTAACATTGAACCCATGGCCAGCAGCACTATAGCTTACACCCAAATGAAGCTTATCTAACACATGTATTTTCTCCAAAAGGAACATCACAGCCTCCATGTGCTTTGGAATACTAGACAGCAGTTTTGTGCTCCACTTGAGAGCTATTTTAAACAGCAAAATGATCAATAAAGAGCACAAAAATATGAAAAATATAACACTAAATAGATTGAAAAGGGGAAATTTGTTTACAGGAAGAATGCTGGGAATAAGAAGGTAGAGCATTGACTTGTTCTACCTCAGCTGAAAACTTATCAGATGACTCAAACTTTTTGCCAATCTGCACATCTACATGTCCTTGAATGCCCACAAAACTGCCACCAGTACTGATTTGAAAGTTACAAATACATTTAGTGAGTAGGTAAATTTGCAAATATGGAATCCACAAATAATGAGAATCAATTGTACTTGCAAATCACATATCTCATAAAAATATATATGTAACAAAATATATAAAAAACTATTTAGAATTCAGAAATTAAAAAACTCAACTTAAAAATGAGCAAAGGATGAGAATAAACATTCCTCCAAGGAAGATATTCAAATGATGAATAAGCACATGAAAAGATACTCAACATCATTACCAATGCAAATCAAAACCACAATGAGATACTACTTCACACCCACCAGGATGCCTAGAATCAAAAAGTCAGATAATAACAAGTGTTGTCAAGAATTAGAGAATTTGGAAGCTCCATACACTGCTGGTGGGAATGAAAAATGGCATAATCACTTTGGAAAACAGCCTGCCAGGTCCTCACACAATTACATAGTTACCACATAGCTACTATATGACCCAGCAATTCCACTTCTAGGTGTATACCCAAGATTTTTTAAAAATGTGTTCACAAATAAACTTGTACACAAATTTTTATAGCAGCATTATTCATAATGCCTAAAAGGTGGAAAGAACTGAAATATCTGAATATATAAAATTCAATATATTTAGACAATAGAATATTATTTGGCCATATAAAGTACTGATACATGCTACAACATGGATAAATCTTGAAAACATTATGCTAAGTAAAAGAAACTAGTCACAAAAGACCAGATATTATATAATTATATATAATAATATGAAAGTCCAGAACAGAGAGATCTACAGAGATAGAAAGTAGAGACCAGGCGTGGTGGCTCACACTTGTAATCCCAGCACTTTGGAAGGCCGAGGCCAGTGGATCACCTGAGGTCAGGAGTTTAAGACCAGCCTGGCCAACATCGTGACACCCCTTCTCTACTAAAAATACAAACATTAGCCAAGCGTGGCAGCACACACCTGTAATCCCAGCTATTCAGGAGACTGAGGCAGGAAAATCACTTGAACTCGGGTGCCGGAGATTGCAGTGAGCCAAGATCACGCCACTGCACTCCAGACTAGGCGATGGTCAAAAAAAGAAAGTTCATGTCTGCTTAGCTCTGGGGGTAAGGGGGTTAATGAGATTAGAGGATGACAGCTAAAGGGCAGGGGGTTTTTGAGGTGATGAAAATGTTCTAAAATTGACTGCTGTTGGTTTCACTTATCTGCGGATATACTAAAACTATGGAATTCTACACATTAAATGGGTGAATTGTATAGTACGTTAATTATATCTCAATAAATCTATTTCTTTAAAAAGAATGCATGGAGCATAGAATTTAATAATGGCCACTCAGATAATGGTGCGGAATTGAAGTAGATGTATCATGAGGCAAGAGAAGGCAAAAAGGACAAGCCAAAAATCTTGTTTCTCTCCATATCAAGTTATCTCACTCATCTTTTCTCTGGCTAACTAGGTCAAAGAAAATTTTCTGCTTACAGAAACACTTGCCTAAATGATATAAAATTGAACATTGTGTTTTATCACAACTGATTCCAAGGAACTGAAGTTGATAAATGACCATGAACTCTGAATGACCCTGAGATGCCAGACCCTTCTAGACTAATGAAAGACTCTTTCCTGAGCAATGAATAACAGGATTTATTTGAATCAGCCATATACAGACCAAAGAACTCTTCTATTCTACCCAGAGTACTAGTTTTCAATTTTTATCAACACAGGCATCATGAGACCCCCTTTACAACACATTTCCCACTCCGTGTCCACTCAGTGAATTTCTTGACTAGTATGTGTTCCCTGTCTGACAAAAAAATAGACTCAGCTTTATCTCTTAAAGTTCCTTTGATGTTTGTTTTATTCTTTGATACTCCTTATCCATGTTCTTGGTCCCCGTCTCCTCTCACTTCTTTTTCCATTTTGCCTCTTTTTTCAAAGCTTCATTCTTTCCTTCCCTCCTACCTATACTCCATTCCTAGATTTCCCAAACAAGGGATCTCAGGACTGCTACCATCACAAACCATAGCTGTCTTTCTTTTGACCTTTAAAAGAGTCTGCATTCACCACCTTCATCTACTCAGCCGTATTCATATCCATCCCCATGTATGGAATGCCCTTCTACTTCCCCTTACTATCTTCACCTGTTGAAATCCACCTTGTCCTTTGAGACTCACCTTAAATTGCCTAACAAAGTTTTGCCTGACAAAGAAGCCTTTCAAAAATGGCCTCAGCAAAAAGTGATCCCTGGATTTTCTGTACTCTTGAAATCTTTGCTAATAATTTCCTCATGTCATTTGTCACTTTACATTTGAAGTTTCAGATATTCATATTATTCTAGTAATTTTCCTATAAGACAGCAAGCTCTTTGAGAGTCAGAGTATTTATGAGCACAAGGTACATTGTACATAGCCATTCCAGAGGAAACACTGGCTAAGTTAGGCCTTCAGCCTTTGGGCTCTTCAACTTTTTGCAAAATGGCTCTACTTATTCCTTGTACTATAAAAATAACTGACATATCTATAATGCTGTATCTTTAAAGACATGGGTTTTTTGTTGTTGTTGTTTTGCTGGTTTCGTTTGTTTGTTTGTTTGTTTGTTTTGAGATGGAGTCTTGCTCTGTCGCCCAGGCTGGAGCGCAGTGGCACAATCTCGGCTCACTGCAACCTCTGCCTCCCGGGTTCAAGTAACTCTCCTGCCTCAGACTCCCGAGTAGCTGGGATTACAGGCGCACACCATGATGTCCAGCTAATTTTTTTTGTATTTTTTTAATAGAGATGAGGTTTCACCATGTTGGCCGGGCCGGTCTCGAACTCCTGACCTTGTGATCCGTGCACCTTGGACTCCCAAAGTGCTGGGATTACAGGCGTGAGCCACCACTCCTGGCTGACAAGTTTTAATGTATTTTCTCATTTAGTCCTCAGAGGAATTCTGAGGGTTATTTTTATTAGCTCTATTTTACAAATCAAAGAAATTAGAGAGCTAAGGGGCCTGATGAATGTCAAACAATGGTAACTAGTTAATCCAGTCTGTAAATCCCAGTCACTGCTTCTTGCTAATGGTATCATCAATAAAAACAAGGAGTACTCACTTTCTAATGTGGCAGGCAAAGCCAAGTGGTCAGTATTTCCTCTACATTGTGCTCCAGAATTAGACAATATTAAGGTCTTTAGTATCTTGAATTTCCTCCTCTATCAACAAGCCATACTCTGAAATCTTGTTGGCTGAGACCAATTCATCATTCCTCTAGTTGATATTTAATGTCTACATAATTCTAATGATTTGTCTGATCTATTAATGCTGGATCCCATCTCAATGACACAGAATGCTGAGAACTACTAAGATATACGAGTTAACTTCTCAGAACAAACATCTCTATTTTAGGGGCAAAGGTCATAGTGCCAGGTTGACACCTCCTTGATAATGCCCCATCTTATAATCATGCAAAGAAACAAACTAGGAAGACATTGCAAAACACTGTAATAACGAAACAGGTTTTCCTCTGATTATAAAAGTGTATTCAAAATGTATAATTTTCATGAATTCAGCCAGGATTCATGAAATCAACAACTCTGAGATTCTTAGCCCAGACAGGCCTTCACCTTCTTATAAATTGATCTAGGACTCTAAAGGAATGCACGTTTCTATAAATGGGGCCTGAAAAGAACAATACCTCGCATTAAATAATCCTATTCTCTTCAATCAGACTTTAAGTCTCCTGTGGTTAAGGACCACAGTTTGTCAATCTACATGCCTCCTTATCATCTTACTCCCCTGTATAGACAATGCCTAGTAATGTTCCTTACCTTGAATTAAATTAATTCAAAGAGATAAATTGCTAGAGGAGACAATTCAACATTTAATACAGAAATGATAATGTGTTTATCAAGAAGTCAGGTCCAAATAGTCCTTCATATTGGAAAGGGAAGATCTGATTCTTGTTCTGGGTCCCCTCAACTATTCCTGTTTATTTTGTAAGTAGCAGATCAATAGTAAATCTCTTTTTCACATATGGGCAAACAGAAGTATGTGACTTAATTTCAAAAAAATTCATGAAGAATTAGATTTACTAGATATTAGAAGATTATATATCCTGTAGATGGTACATTTGGATTCCTCATTTAATTTCTGTCTAAAAGGTTCTTAAATAAGAACTATCCACATATATTGAAAAAAAATGCTGTGTTGTTCCTTCTTGGATTTTTTTGAATTATTTAATTTGCTAAACAATGAAATACCCTAATGTTTTAAGCCAAACACTCTTCTTTGGCTCCCAACTGTTTTCAGAAATAACTTTTTCCTTGTTAATTTCCAAATCTTGGCTGCATTTCCTGCTAATTTCAAACATATGTCATATACGAAATACATTATTTTTCCAAACCTAATTTTGGCAAGAGGGAATTTGGAACTGGCATAGAAAGATCTGGGGACAAACAAACAGGACAGCTTGAAGCTGCTACAATTCAATAACAATTTTATCTTTTTCATCCGTCTCTAGGTCCACAAAGGCAAGGGCAGTAACAAGGGGTGAGTGGGCTATGATAAAAATATCAATGTGAGAAAAAACACACCCTGAAGTTTTATGTCTTATCCTATAACTTGATTTCCAAAAAGAATCTGTCACAAATACTAATGATACTAATGATAAAAAATATAAGATGTGAAGTGAACCTAAAACCCTGATAACTAGGGTTATATAACCCTAATATTATTGTTCGAGTTTCCAGAGACTTATAGTCAAAAGAAATAAACAGGTAAAGCAATGTGAAAAAATCCTTCTTAACTTTCAAAAGATTCTCTATATTGGTAACATTTCAATATAGATTCTCTATGCTGAAAACATAAATGCTTTTTATTTTCCTCAGAAACATTCAGACTCATGGTATAGGTAAGTAGGAAGAAAAACTAGTGCAATAAAAAGAAATCGGGTCTAGAGGCATAAAATAGGGTTCTAGTCCCATTCCATCCTTTCCTAAAATAGTGTATTGATTGTAGAAATGACTATAATTATTCACCCCTCTGTATATCAGCAACCTTTCAAATGTTACTTTGCAGTTCATCCCATTAAGAGATGGAGTCTATTTCATGGACCCTTGCAACCTGCTTAGCCAATAAAATGTGAAGGAAGTGGCATTTTGTCAGTTCCAAGCCTAGGCCTCAAGGTGTATGGTGCATTTTCTGTGTTCACTTGTTCTCTCTTATTCACTCTCTCTCTTTCTTCTCCACTCTCCACTGCCTTCATCACAAGAACATGCCTGGGCTAGCCTGCTGGAGGATGAGACACATGGAACAGAGGTGAGTCAGTCTAGTGTCCCAGGCAAAGCTCCAGACAAACAATTAAGTGTAGCCAAGATTAGCAAAGTCACCTAGCCAATTCACAGCTGACCAGAGAAATGTGAGTGAGCTTTGCCAAACCCAGTTCAAGTCAGCAGAAACCACCCAGTTGAGTTAAAGATTCAACTGTTCTAAGCTTCTGGTTATTGTTCCAAGCATATCAATTATTTTTTTTTTAAATAATAGCTAACTGATACCTAGGATAGGTTATGTATAAGCAAGTACAGATGATCCTCAACTTACAATGGGGTTACATCCCAATAAACCCAGTATAAGCTGAAAATACTGTAAATCAAAAATGCACTTAATACACCTAACCTACCAAACATCATAGCTTAGCCTAGCCTCTCTTAAACATGCTCAGAACACTGACATTAGCCTACATTTGGGCAAAATCATCTAACACAAAGCCTTTTTTATAATAAATTATTGAATATCTCATGTAATTTATTGAATATTATACTGAAAGCGAAAAACAGAATGGTTGTATGGGTACTTGAAGTACGGTTTCTACTAAATGTGTATTGCTTTTATACCATCATAAATTTTAAAAATCATGAGTCAAACCACCATAAATCAGCCTATGATAGGTTTATCAGGATGTAACCTCATCATAAGTTGAGAAGCATCTGTGTATTTAAGAAATGTATCTATGTAAGTTACTACTAAGAAGTAAATCTAAGTTTTAGGCAAGTATTAAACTAAAAATCTACAAATGGCTCACTGCTTTTAAAGATGCATGTTTCATCTATCAGAATTAAATATTAAATTTAGGCCCAAATGCAAGAACTGGCTCAGTTACAACTCAGCAGATGGCACCTATTCAAGCACCAAGAGGAGCTTGATTCACAGATTTGAAAAAGTTTAAAAACTCAAACAATAAAATTATTTTTGTATGTCATTGATTTTTAAATGAAGAGATTATTTTAGCAACTTAATTGTTCAATTCAATTTTGAAAAAACTTGCTTTCACTCAGACTCACTTTTAAATTTCCCTTAAGATTAGTTTAGCTTATGGGAGATTCTAGTTTTAAATGGCATCTGGCTGGCTGCCGCTCCCTTATCCTAAAATACCTATACGGACCCAGAAAAAGAGATTAAAAACAGCAATGCTAAAAACTGACTAACTATTGTCTAAATCTGGAAGGAATTTCCTTTAACTATTAAAGCAATGGAGCTGAAATGAGCAAAGAAGGCAATGGCTGATCAATACATCACTCTGAAAATGAAGATGGCCTAGTTGAAGGCTACAGAATTGTCTTTTTCACCCATTCTCTACCCCTTTGGCTTGGAGAGACATGCTTATATCCAATCAGAAGAAAAATAAGTGGTCATTTCTCAACTGAATGGAAGGTGATGTGAGACAGCCATAGTACTTAATACTTCTCCTCCTCTGACTCTTCAACATCTTTTTATATCCTCCAAGTCCCCAAAAATAAAAAGACAGAGTAGTCAAAGAGTACATGAGGATCAGAATTCATATAATGTATCCTAGGTAGAATGATTCCATAATTTTATAAGGTAAGGAAAACACACTAGGAAAGCCTTTAAAAGTTTATTTTAGGAGACCAATCTATGCCCCCTTAACTCAGGCTGCCAAAGAATCAGACTTGGGGCTAAAAAGTGATACTACCATTGTTTAGCTAGAAGAATCAACTTGGTAAATGCCTATAAATATTAATTACTAGAATTTATGCTGAGAACTAAGTACGTCTACCTACCTTTCAGCTAGAAATGGGCTCCATACATTCTCGAGCAGACAATAGAAGAAACTATCTTCACATATACATGTTGGCAAGTAGTAGGTCAAAGATAGCTATTATCTTTCAAGAAGGCATAAAGAAAATAATTATCAAAATAGGGCCAATGGGCTGGGCATGGTGGTTCATGCCTGTAATCCCACCACTTTGGGAAGCCAAGGTGGGTGGATCACCTGAGGTCAGGAGTTCAAGACCAGCCTGCCCAACATTGCAAAACCCCATATCTACTAAAAAACTACGAAAATTAGCTGCGCTTGATGGCGGGAGCCCGTCATCCTAGCTACTCAGGAGACTGAGGCAGGGAGAATGGCTTGAACCTGGGAGGCAGAGGTTGCAGTGTGCCGAGATAGTGCCACTGCACTCCAGCCTGGGTGACAGAGCAAGACTCTGTCTCAAAAAAAAAAAAAAAATTAGAGCCAGTGGACTTCCACTACTAGAAACTAAAGTAGTTATATTTTTCCCTATTTCTCCTGCTAAGTACAATTTAAAAGCCCTGGATGTTTTCTATTAAACAAATATAAGAGGACCCTTTTATTAATATTTTGTGTAGAGACAGAGTCTCACTGTATTGCCCAGGCTGGTCTCACATTCTTAAGCTCAAGCGATCCTCCTGCCTCAGCTTCCCAAAATGCTGAGATTAGAGGCGTGAGCCACTACACCCAACCTTTTCTCTATTCTCTGAGAAATGGAGAAAAGAAGACAGACTAGCTAGACACTTTAAGACCCAAGGAAAAAGACAAGTGGTGGTGAGTTCCCTTTGTTTTCCTATTGCTTCATATATCCCGAGTTTGCAGCTGAAGAAACTGAAAACTGGAAAATGCCAAAGGGTGCCTGCCAAAAAAAAGTCCCCCAAAAAACCTACTCTCTCTAGTTAAAGTACCAGAAAAGGGGTAGCCTTGCAAGACAGAAAGCGTATATAATAATAGCTTCACTACAGCCAAACACAACATGCCACACAGCAGAAAAAGATCAAATTAAATGAAAACAAAGAATGCCTAATACATACCAACACCAACATGACATGAGAGGATTATTTCACAAAAAATTGAAAATGCCATCATAAAAATACTTCAGCAAGTAACTACAAATGCACTTGAAGCAAATAAAAGAATTGAGAGTCTCAGCAAATAAACAGAAAATCTCAGCAAAGATATCAAAGATATAAAGAACCATCAAGTAGAAATATTAGAACTGAAAAATACAATAACCAAAACAAAAAACTCAATGTATGGGTACAACATTAGAATGCAAGTGACAGAGGAAAGAATCAGTGAACTTGAAAATAGTACAATAGAAATTACCCAAACTGAACAACAGACAAAATAGACTGAAAAAAAAAAGTGAACAAAGCCTCAGGAATTTGTGGGACTATTAAAAAAAAAATCTAATATTTGCCTGATAAAAGTCCCAGAGAAGAGGAGGAAAAAGGTGAGGCTGAAAAAGTACTTACAGACGTAATAGCTAAAACTTCCCAAATTTGGCAAAAAGACACAAATTTATAGACTTAAGAAGGTGAGCAAATCTCAAACAGAGTAAATAAAAAAGAAATTCATGTCAAGACCAGGCGCAGTGGCTCACACACATAATCCCAGAACTTTGGGAGACTGAGGCAGGAGAATCGCTTGAGCCCAGGAGTGCAAGACCAGCCACGGCAACACAATGAGACTCCGCCTCTACAAAAAATAAAAGAAAAAGCAGCCAAGCGAGGTGACGTGCCCCTGTGGTCCCAGCTACTCATGGGGCTGAGATGGAAGGATCACTTGAGCCCAGGAGGTAGAGGCTGCAGTGAGCAGTAACTGTGCCACTGCACTCCAGCGAGGGCAGCAGAGCAAGACACTGTCTCAAAGAAAAGAAATCCATATCAAGGCCGTGCGCAGTGGCTCACGCCCGTAATCCCAGCACTTCAGGAGGCCGAGACAGGCAGATCACAAGGTCAGGAGATCGAGACCATCCTGGCTAACACGGTGAAACCCCATCTCTACTAAAAACACACACACACACAAATTCGCCGGTCATGATGGCGGGCGCCTGTAGTCCGAGCTACTCGGGAGGCTGAGGCAGGAGAATGGCGTGAACACGGGAGGCAGAGCTTGCAGTGAGCCGAGATTGCACCACTGCACTCCAGCCTGGGCAACAGAGCGAGACTCTGTGTCAAAAAAAAAAAAAAAGAAAGAAAAGAAAAGAAAAGAAAAAGAAAGAAAAAAAAAGAAATCCATATCAAGACAAATTATAGATAAAACCTTCTTGAAAAGTTAAAAACAAAGGAAAAATATTCAAAGCAACTAAAGAAATGACACTTTACCTTTACAGGAAAAACAAATCCAAGATAGTTAATTCCTCATCAGAACTCATGAAGACCAGAAGCAATTGGTATGACATTTTTCAAATGTTGAAATAAAATACTTCTGAAAGCAGAATATTATATTCAGTGAAAATATCCTTCAAGAGTGAAGGGAAAATCAGTGCATTCTCAGATGAAGGGAAACTAAGAGAATATGTTGCCAGCAGATCTATCCTTAACAAAAGAAAATGACTAAAGAAGTTCTCTAAACAGAAATCAAATGACAAAAGTAGGAATCACGGAAAACCTGGAAGGAAAAAAGAAAAGAGTAAGCAACAACATGGGTAAATACAATTGACTTTCCTTCTTCTCTTGAGTCTTCTAAACTAAGTTTGATAGTTGAAAAAAAATTTATAGGTCAGGTGCAATGGCTCATGCCTGTAATCCTAGCACTTTGGGAGGCCGAGGCAGGTGGATAGCTTGAGCTCAGGAGTTTGACACCAGCCTGGGCAACATGGCAAAACCCCATCTCTACAAAAAGTACAAAAAATTAGCCAGGCATGGTGGTGCAAGGCTGTAGTACCAGCTACTAGGGAGGCAAAGGTGGGAAGATTGCTTTAGCTTGGGAGGTTGAGGTTGCAGTAAGCCGAACTCATGCCACAGCACTCCACCCTGGGTAAGAAAGTGAGACCCTGTCTCAAAAAATTAAATTAAATTAAATTAAATTAAATTAAATTAAATTAAATTAAATTTATAACATTGTCTCGTATAGCAAGAATATAAAATTGCATATACAATTGTTAGGTACCTGGAATTAATTGCCTTACATATATTAAAACTCATTACATATATTAAAACTTACATATATTAAAACTCACATATAAAACTCTATAAAACAACTCTGTTTCAAAAGAAGACATTTATGCAGCCAAAAGACACATGAAAAAATGCTCATCATCACTGGCCATCAGAGAAATGCAAATCAAAACCACAGTGAGATACCATCTCACACCAGTTAGAATGTGATCATTAAAAAGTCAGGAAACAACAGGTGCTGGAGAGGATGTGGAGAAATAGGAACACTTTTACACTGTTGGTGGGACTGTAAACTAGTTCAACCATTGTGGAAGTCAGTGTGGCGATTCCTCAGGGATCTAGAACTAGAAATACCATTTGACCCAGCCATCCCATTACTGGGTATATACCCAAAGAATTATAAATCATGCTGCTATAAAGACACATGCGCACGTATATTTATTGCGGTACTATTCACAATAGCAAAGACTTGGAACCAACCCAAATGTCCAACAATGACAGACTGGATTAAGAAAATGTGGCACATATACACCATGGAATACTACGCAGCCATAAAAAATGATAAGTTCATCTCCTTTGTAGGGACATGGATGAAGCTGGAAACCATCATTCTCAGCAAACTATCACAAGGACAAAAAACCAAACACTGCATGTTCTCACTCATAGGTGGGAACTGAACAATGAGAACACATGGACACAGGAAGGTGAACATCACACACCGGGGCCTGTTGTGGGGTGGGGGGAGAGCGGAGGGATAGCATTAGGAGATATACCTAACGTTAAATGACGAGTTAATGGGTGCAGCACACCAACATGGCACATGTATACATGTGTAACTAACCTGCACAATGTGCACATGTACCCTAAAACTTAAAGTATAATAAAAAAAAAAAAGAAAGAAATACCTGAGACTGGGTAATTCATAAAGAAAAGAGGTTTAATTCATTCATAGTTCTGCAGGTTTTTCAGGAAGCATGGGGCTGGCATCTGCTCAGCTTCTGGGGAAGCCTCAGGAAGCTTACAGTCATGGCAAAAGACAAAGAGGGAGCAGGCAGGTCACATGGCCAGAGCAGGAGCATGAGAGGAAAAAGTTGTGTGTGTGGTGAGCCAGGGGGAAGGAGGGTGCCTGCCACACTTTTAAATGACCCAATCTCATGAGAACTCACTATCACAAAGATAGCACCAAGCCATGAGGGATACGCCCCTGTGATTCAAACACCTCCCAGCAGGCCCCACCTTCAACACTGGAGATTATAATTCAACATGAGATTTGGGCAGGGACAAATATGCAAACTATATCAATTACATGAAAATAAGAAGACTCTCAATCAAAGTTTTATTCACTAATACATGTGATCCTCCAGGAGAAACATGAGGTCCAAACAACAGATATTGACAAAACTCTCTGATTGCAATGGTGGAAGCTAAACTAGTGTAAGCACAAAGGATATTTAATGATTTGCTGAATCAGGAAACCATAGATACATACAGCTTTTAGCACAGCGAGATCAACGGGCTCAGACAATACTATAAGGGATGTTTTTCTCTCCATTTCATCATTCCTACTCTACCTAGCTACAATCTACACACAGGCTATCATCATATGATAGTCAAGATGGCTACCAGCAAACAAACCACACCTTTCCAGCTTAAAATCTCCAGCTTAATATTTCCAGAAACAGAATTTCCCTCTCTAAGTCCACATGGAATACTCTGCTCAATTCTATGGAATAATCTGCTTGGCCCTTACTCAATGTTGGTCAAACTCAAGGTTAAGAGCACAGTCCTCCAGACTACCAAGTCTATCAAGACACCAACTGCAATGAGTCTGCCAAAGTGCAAAGTGAGAAGAGACAGTTCCTATAAGACTGATCTCACTTAGACACCAGCCACAAGTTTGGGGGTTCCCAGGACCGCCTTCACTTTAGACCAGCTGGCTACAAATTTGGTAGATCCCATGATCAGCTCAGGTTCAATAATTTGTTAGAACAACTCACATGACTGGAAAGTATTATACTTATGATTACATTCTTATTATAATAAAAGGATACAAGTAAGAACAAACCAACAGAAAAGATGCACAGGGTGAAGTCTGGGAGGGGTCCAGATGTGAAGCTTCCATCATCCTTAGAGGTGCATTACCCCAGCAGCACTAATACATGACAAAACCCAAACTCTGTGTCCTAAGTTTTTATTGGGGCTTCATGATGTAGGCCTGGTTGAATAAATAATTATCCACATAGTTTAATTTAATTTCCAGCCCTCCACACTCTCCAGATGTCAGTCTGACATCACATGGCCTGAAAGACCTACAGAAGTCACCTTGTGAACATAAACTACCAGTTGTGGTCCCAGGTGCCCACCATGAATAACAAAGGACATCTTAGCAGGAAATGCAAAGGATTAGAAGTTACCTCCCAGGAACTGGAATCAAAGGCCAGCCAGACCTCTGCCTGAGCTGAGGCCAAGTTCTTTATTACACAGCCCTACTTGCCCATCCCTAAAATAATCAATCATTAAGGCTTGGTTAATCAAATAATCTGATTGGCCAAACTGGATCATGTTTATATCTCAGTGGTGAAAATACAGGCTGCTAAAGAGGAAGTTCCTGGAAGGAGCCATGAGAAGAAAGCTAGAACAATATACATGAAAGACAGACATAACCTGCAGCCACAGTTGTCCACAATTGATCATAAATATTACCTAACTACCTAATAGTATTCATACTTTAAAAAATAATGGGAGTCTTAGGGGAAGTAGGAAAAAATTATTCTAAACATCCCAGGACTAGAAACTAATCAAAGAGAAATCCTTCTAAGTAAAACATTAAACATGCATATAAGAAAGCTATTTGAGGAGTATGGTTTCAATACATATTTGTTTGTTTTGTTGTTGCTGTGTTTGTTGTTTTTTGAGACAGAGTCTCCCTCTGTTGCCTAGGATGGAGTGTAGTGGCACGATCTCGGCTCACTGCAACCTCTGCCTCCCAGGTTCAAGTGATTCTCCCACCTCAACCTCCCGAATAGCTGGGATTAAAGGCACCCGCCACCACGCCCAGCTAATTTTTGTTTTTTTAGTAGAGATGGAGTTTCACCATGTTAGCTAGGCTGATTTCAAACTCCTGACCTCAAGTGACCACCCACCTCAGCGTCCCGAAGTGCTGGGATTACAGACGTGAGCCACTGCGCCCAGCCCATATTTGTAGCGTAAACTTTAAATCAGGAATACACTTTTTCTTTTCTTCTTTGCTTTGAACCATAATGCCTAAAAAAATACACTGTTTTGTCAAAGAAAAACATCATTCTAAGCCTCAGTTTTCTTATTTGCAAAATGAGGTTATTATTTATCTACCATATAGGGTTTTTAAGAAGATTAAAGAAAATGTTTGCAAAGTACCAGTAATAACGTCTAACATCTGATAGTGTCAAACTGATAACTGTTGCTGCTGCTGCTGCTCCCAGTAAAACGCCACAGTTCATATACAAGAAGCAAGATAACCAAATCTAAATGATCATTACCTGGGAGAAGCAGAACTCAGAAGAATCACTTTTTAGTGCTTCAGAATGACATCACTGCTAGTCCATAAAGGAAAGACATTTCACTTGGGAAACAAATGTTCTGACATCAGTCTCTTTTCCAGCACTTTTTGTGCTGAGTAACCATGGTCTGTGGGCCTCAACTATTTCATTTGTAAGGTACAAATAATTACAGTACCTTCTTTACTATCCTACAGAATTCTTCATGTGAATTGTTGAGAAAGCATTATGTTAAAAGAGTACCATTACTAGTTTTATCTTTTACTTTGTCCCTACAAAGAAATGTTACACGGTTAAGTAAAATATGCAACTCTCAATGCTTGTATAATTGTTGTATTGAGATAAAGGTTATTATCTTTACCACTCCCCAAACATAAAAAGCACCTTACCATATTAAAAAAGCATAAAATGCTAAAGTTATATCTAGTAATATATGTTGTGTCAAAGGTTACAATTTATGACTACTATAAAGGAAAAGATAGATGGCTGTAAACTGGTATATTTAGCCAAATTAATAGCAGAACTAACCAATGCCAATACTTTCAACTGGAATATTGACACTAGCACAGTATGATGGAATTATGAACACCATTTTATGAATACCCAAAGTCCAAGTTCCTTGGGAACAAATTTTTCAGGCCACATAAGGTATATTTAGTTTTGTTATATTAAGGATCATATGATTTAAACAGTCACTTTTAGCCTGAATGTGGTAACAGAATGTCTAATTCATGACCAAAGAATAATCTAGTCCCTGAGAGAAGCTTCCTCATTAATAATAGCATCTTTCCTTTTCCAACTGAAAATGTCAAAGGGCTATGCTGATATAATTTTCCACATGGTCTGAGAGTCACAGTACTTCAAAGACATTGCTTCAAAGCCAGACTCCCAGCCTGGACATTTTCAAGCCATCTTTGACTCCTCCATCCCCTCAAGCCCTCCCATTCAATCAGTTAGTAAGTCTCTTGAATTTTTCCTTAAACTATCCCTCACATTTGTTTCTTTATGTCCATTTGCTCTGCCACCATCACAGTCTAAGTCATCACCTTTGGCCAAAACTCCATTGTCTCCTCCAGTTTATTCTCCCTTCAGTCCAGTCTAAAAGTCCCTACCAATATATCTCCCTAAAATACTATTTGCATCCTGCCACATCCTTACCCAAGAGTCTATAATCCAGGCAATCATTTGATTCCACAGGAGAAGCTTTTAAAAACCATTGATGCCTAAACTGTACCTGAAGAGGTTCTGATTTAATTCATCTGGGCTTGAGCCAGATGAATTAATTTTTCTTTAAAAGCTCCTCAGGTGCTTCTAATGTGCATCAAGGTTTGCGAACCTGTGACAAATCTCTGTTGCCTATCAAGTCAGGCTAGAATTCCTGAAGCAGACCCCACAAATCCTCTGTCCAGATTCCTTCCCATCCCCACTTTGACCTTTCTGTGTGGCTAGCCTTTGGCCTCAGTGTGTTTTGCTTCTAATGGCCCACAGCACCTGATACTTTCTCCTGAGCTACTTTATACCTGCTCCTGAGAGAAAACAGGAAGGACCTGGAAGTTTACATGCCCTGGAATAGCCCTAAAGTGGAAGCGTGAATATGTGGCTCCCTTGCCTGGGTCTGCACATACTCTGAGGTGTCATTTATACTTGAGAACTCCCTGGCAGGATCAGGCTGAGACTGAGACTTTGCCTAAACATACACACGTGCTTGCTTGGCTTCTTCCCTTTCCCTCTACTCCCTTATAAATCTCTTCTGGAAGCACTTATTTAAGAAATCACTTGCTCACAAATACTCACCGCAGGATCTGCTTATGAAGAATCCAAACTACTACAACACCTTTATCAAAACAATGCATGGTCCCACCAAATTTTCTACAATTATCCTTCATCCACCAGAAGAACTAGTTTTCTAATGCACTGTGCTTATTTCACACTACTCTTTTAGCCTATTTCCCCTAATCCAAGATGCCTCTTCCCTGCCTCTGAGACCATCAATACTTC
This sequence comes from Homo sapiens, assembly GCF_000001405.40. Taxonomy (NCBI): domain Eukaryota; kingdom Metazoa; phylum Chordata; class Mammalia; order Primates; family Hominidae; genus Homo; species Homo sapiens. The sequence continues at coordinate 82,010,953 of NC_000009.12, read as the reverse complement.
CTTTCAAAAACAAGCTCTACCGCATGAATAGCTCAAGGCCATGCCCATGATAGGTCCTCAAGAATCATGGATTGCACTGGTGACTCATCCCCTATGAAACTTACCAACAACTCTAGCACACATAATGCTGTCTTCTCTAACTTCTTCCATATTTCATGTCAAATCCACATTCATTCATTGTTTCATTCAACCAATATTTGTGTGATTACTATGTACCAGGAACTGTGTTCATCCTGGGGAATTAAATGAGGAGCGAGGATATTTCTGCCCACATGGAGCTTATAGTCGAGGGTACAGGCTTTAGCAAATAATTATTCAAATATATACTATTTTATAACAATGAAAACCTAAGGAGAGACATACGGTGTTATGAAAGAACATAAGAGTCGTATATGCCCTTATCTAGGACTCCTCTGAATAAATAATGAAGAAATGGTGACCTAAAATTATAGTCCTGTCCTCCATGTTAGGGTTTTTCCTTGGACCTTCCCCTGCCAAAACTGTGTACAAATTATGTGTGACTGTGTATTATTCTTTCAATAGATTATCAGGGGTCTATGACCCCAAATTTTGTACAATGCCAATCTTGTAGATAAACAATGCCTTGTTTATTCATTGTCTCCTCTATGTGCCTTGTTTGTGGGTCCCTGTTTATAGAAATGTTAGCATTTTTCTTTTCTATCTGATACCATTTAGCATAATTCAGGCACACTCTTATCACTTAACAAATATTTGTTTTCCTCGCTGTTTTCAGCCCCTCTCCGAAGAACTCAGACTCTCAAAAGCAAATAGAAAAGTTTCTTTATTTTCTTATTGAATTAGAGCCCATTTTGAGTAGTTGTGGATGGGGTGAAAATGATTATCTTGCTTTTGTTTGGGTACCAGGAAAACAAGAGCAACAAAACAGGATTTGCATGTTAAATCTTGCTTCTGTTAGACTAGTGCCAAGCAATTGTCACTACATTGCTTCTCAACTCTTTTTCATCAGGGAATTAACACTTTTATTCTAAGAACTCCCTGCTGCTTCTCCGTTCCCCAAACTCTAACTACCCTAAAAAGACCGTATCAGGTAAAAGCAAAAAACATTCATTTCATACACAAAAAGATGAAAGCTGATTATTTAATCAATTATATTGATCAATTTTTTAGAAAAACAAAATGGAATTTAAATTTCATTTCAAATGCCAATAGGAAACATTTGTGACTATACGTACACTGAAAATTGTTTTCATATGTGTATACACTAAAAAATAGGCATTTATAGATGCTAGAAATATGCTTTCGATATGTATATTTATAAATGCATTTATGGTGTTACATATAGATAACTGTATATGTAAGCTATAATTTCTCATTCACATTAATAAATATGCAAACAGAAGTTAATTAAAAAAATTATAACAGGTTCTAATATATTCCTAAAGCACTGTTAAAAATGTAACAGTTTCGGGAGGGATAGCATTAGGAGATATACCTAATGCTAAATGACGAGTTAATGGGTGCAGCACACCAACATGGCACATGTATACATATGTAACAAACCTGCACATTGTGCACATGTACCCTAAAACTTAAAGTACAATAATAATAAAATTTAAAAAAAAGATATGCAAATGCAACAGAAACAAGTTCTCCAAGTCTTTGGCCCTGTCGTTACTCAGCAGATGTTTTTTAAAAAAGTCATACTAAGAAACAACTTGGCCTCAGGTTTAGCATGCTCCTGAGCAATTTTTGTTACACAAAATACAAAAAAAAAATTCTTTTAAATAGCTTTACATGTAATATTATTTAACATAATGCAGCTTTTCAAAAATACCCATAAATATTTTAAATTTCTTTACAATGCAATATTATATACCTTTCAACAAGAACCTGCAAGTAGCTAATTTAAGAGTCCAAAAATTTTGAATTAGTGCTATTTATTATTTTAGAAGTTAGCACATTTGACTACGATGGGCCCTGCAAAGTGAAGAGGGGAATTTGGTTGGGATAAGGCCTGAACAGCATCCTGGGTCTCCCTGATTCAGGCAGGAAAAAAAAAAAAAAAAATGTTAACAGTTTCAACAAATTGTACCTGAATCTCAGGTCTTAAAATACAATGAAGTGAAATAATGGTGTGAAATGTGCAAAACATAGAAACCACAGAAATATATTAAAACAATGGAATACAATAATTAAATTGAATAATCAAAGGACAAAAAAAGGCTTTAAGTTGATTGCACATACCCATCAAAGATCTAAAGAAAGAAAAAGACTTGTATAATTCCATATTCTCATTTTATGCTTTTCCTGAATATTAAGCCCACTAAATTTCAAAGACATGTTGTTAATGGAATATCCTGAACAGATGACACTTTTATTCTAACACATACAAACATCAATACTTGGATAGGCTGCTACTCTTGAATGGTCCAGGAACCAAATGCCAGATTTAATTTTTTTCCCCATAGGCTACCAGACCTTGTTCCTCTGTACTCCTGCTTAGCACTTCCATCATATGTGTGTGATAAAGGGAAAGAAAGTTAGATGTAAATAATATTGGCATTTAATAACAAAACAGGAATAAAGTCTGACAGAGTAGGCTGAAATCCAAAGTTCATTCTCAAAGCAAAATTTGATTTATAGTTTTTTACTGATAGTGTCCCTTTCTTGTTAGCATGTGTGATTGAATGTATGCTAAATACTTATATATTAGAAACCAAGTCTCAAAGATAACGTCAAGAAGAAAGTATGAAGTACAGAATTACCTTCCCATTCAGGGAATGATGACAAGGAATGAGGGAGTCTATACTAATATTGCCATATATTGCTTCTACTTTTGGGGACCTTTTGGCCTAAATCAGTGGTTCTTAACATTTTTTATACTCCCAGAAACATCATACTGTTATGGAAATATGGGATTCTCCATGTTTACCCTACCTTCTTTTCTGCTGTTTCAATGCAAGTAAATGAAATATTATTTTACTGTAATGCTAGCTTAGACTGAGCTCTCATTTTTAAAATAATTTATTCTTAAACATCTGCATTTTAATTATTAATGGCAAATTATCTGCTACACAGTTCATGAGTGATGAAGACTGATCAATATGTTAACAGTCCAAAGGGGACAGTTCCTGGCATTAAACAATTAACAACTAACTTGCCTGTTCTAACCAAAAGGCTATAAAGTATCTTGTATGATATCACAGAAGTCATAGAATACATAGTCGCCGTTTAGTGTCCTATTTGAGAACTCTTCTCTCTGGAACTCTTCTCTTTTAATACATGTGAGAGCAGGTATTAAAACATTATCATAATTTTTATTTCCTCCCTACTGACAGTTTTAGCCATGGGGAGGGAAATGAAGTTGATGGTAATCACAGTAGAAAGGAGGCTAATAATAAGAGGAAGGAAGTTTCATAAATGTATTGTATAAGCAATATGATTGTGGATGTGTGCTATAGACGAGACCATGTCTAGAGGCCAGAAAAATGGCAGTTTCACTGTCCCTCAAGAAAGTTCACTAGGCTGTCACTGACCAGAAAAGATTCACTAAGGTTAGTGAAACACTTAGGGATAAGCCCTAAGTGTTTATTTCACTTCATTTTCAGCCCAGTGCTTGCATTGTTCACATAGGATTTACACTTGGGTTGCAAATGAAACAACCCAAGAATTTGTTATTAACAATAAATTTTTTAATTGGCATATTAAATCCCCACTCCCTACCCCTGCTCCCAAGCCAAGGCATTCCTCCAGTGAGTACCGTTAAGCCTTTTGTAGAATTATAAACTTGGAGAGATTTTTAAAGGAGAGGCGGATGGAACGCCAGGTGGGATTTAGCCAGAGCTGTCACAGCTCTGGTTGTTACCCCTCATAATCCATCTTGCTGAATCAAAAAGCAAACTGTGAACAAACAGCTTAGGCAGTTTGTTTGAAGATACACTCCTGTCTTTCTAGGAGGGATTAAGTCATGGCTACAGTTTGTTTGAAAAATGATTATCCACATGAAAATCATTAAATTCATGTGGCATCTATTTGAGTCAAAATGTTTTATAACTTTTCATCTCTGGATCACAGTGATAGTAATGCTATAGTTTTTATACTGAAACAAACCCTCTCCACAGTCTTTCAAAACATTGTCATATTTTTTGCATTTGCCACAAGAATACAGGAGATGTTAACTTTTAAACAGTAAGGATTCAGGCTCTGCCTTTAAAGAAGAATAAGATGTGGAGAAAAGGGGATTATTTTTAGCATTTATTCCAAACACTGGGCTTCATGAAAGCCCACCTGGCCTGCTGCAATAGGGGAGAAAGATTAGGTAGCTGAGAGCTTGAATAAGAAGGGAAGGATAAAGCCAACACTGTGATACAGTTCAGAAGTAAAGTGTTTTCCCATAGAATGGAGTGATGGTAAATTTTCATTGGGTAAATGGATCTAAATCTTGGAACACAATATCTCTTTATATACCTAAGCATTTTCTGCCTCCTTTGTATCATGAAATACTGAATTTCTCATACTCAAAGTACTTTTGGCATTCAAGTAACCCTTGCAACAAGATGATGGGAGGGAGGTTATTCAACAAACACTAAATGGTTGCTACATGTCAAGTACCATAGTTGGTCTTGGATTAACAGGATTAATAAAAATGCTGCCCCTGTCTTCTTGAGTTCTCAGTCTAGTAAGGCAGACAGAGGGTAAACAGTAGATTACTTAGCACTGTGATGAAGACCACATAGAAGGATAATCATTAGGTTAAACAAATAAGCAGAACTCCATAGGATGCAGGGGGAAAATTTTTCACGTGTTCCCCTCACAGACCCTTCATAAACAATCTGGAGACTTATTTTTCTCTTGCCCTGTGAAGGAAATATTAGGTGATGGAAGGTCCCAGACTGTTCTTAAACATTCTTCTTTTAAGTCATTCATAGTGCCAAGAATAATCTAGCTCAGTAATTAAAACGTCCTGTACAATGTATCCATCAAAACACCAACTTCAGTTTAAGTTAAAATGTCTTCCTTCTGCCAGATTGCTAGTGCTTTTAAGCAGGGAGACCTAGAGTGGACGAGGAGAGGATATGACCTTTTCCTCCATTTGCCCACCTTGCAATTTCTTACCCATCCAATCCCATCTCCACACACAAAGCTGCCTCTGCTTTCATCCAGGATGGAGTCAGGCAAAGACAGGAGAAGGAAGTACCAGGAAATGTCTTAACTTGATTGACACTATTGAAATCCAAACACAATGGATTCTTTCTCTCACAAAGAGTTTTAATTTATTTATTTATTCCACAAATATTAATGGAACGGCAATCACTTTCTAGGAACTGTTCTAAACACAGGAGGCACGTATTAAGAAAATCAAAGTTCCTGATTGCATGGAGTTTATAATCTAGTGGGAGCTATAAGTAAACATACTGTATATAGTATATAGTATATATATAACATATTATATGTATATGTTATACATATATATAACTATATATATAGCATATTATATTTAAAATATGTTAGACAGTGACAAGTACTATGTAGAAATATTAAACCTGATAAGAGAGATAGGAAGTGTGAAAAGGTAGGTGCTATTTTACTTTAGGTGGTCAGGAAAGCTTTCTCTGATAAGGTGATGCTTGCATAGAAATCTGAACAAAATGGAAGGATCTAGCCAGGCAGATATCATGGTAAAGAGCATGCTAGCCTCAGGGAATAACGACTGCAAGGGCCCTGAGGTAAGCAAATGCTTGGTACTTTAAAAGAATAGCAAGAAGGCCAGTAGTGAGACTACAGTAGAATAAGTAAAGGAAAGATTCTGGAAATGGCTCTACAGAAATAGAGAGACGTTAGATCATATAGAAGGTACTCAAAGGCTATTGGGCTTTTTTCTGAGTTGAAAAAGAAGCTTCTGAAAGTTTTGAGCAGAGAAGTGGCATAATACAATATATATTTGAAAAAGATCACTCTGGCTTCAAGGTGGAGAAAAGACCCAAAGGCAAGCATGGAACCAGGAGGACAGTTAAGATGCTACAGCAAGAATTCAGGCAAGAGGTGATGGTGGCTTGATCCACTATAACAGATGAGAAGGAAATAGAATTGGACAGATCCTGGATATATTATAAAGAATTTTATGATGGACCAATTACAGAGTATAAGAATGAGAAAGAAGTCACAGCTGACTCCAGAGTTTCTGGCCTGAGAAACTCAAAGAAGGATGTTGCCATTTACTGAGATGGGGAAAATGTGAGAGAATAAGGTTTGATCTTAAAAAGAAACAAACACAAGGTTTTGGTTTTGTACATATTAAGTTTAGCTTTCTATTTGATAAAATGAATATAGAAATAGACTGTTTGATATACAAAGTTGGAGTTCAGTTCAGAGACATCCAGCCTCATCAACATATATTAATATACAGTATTTAAAAATGTGAACAGGCAAGTGTGTGAATGGAGAAATGTCAGGCCAAAAACCTGAAAAAGAATAATTGATATTGCATTTAAAATATCTGCAGTTATTAGGAAGAAATATAAGATAATCAATGAATCAAATATCACCTTCAATTAAAGATTATTTAATTTAAAAACATATAAATGTGAAAAGTATATAAAGTTTTATATCTGATTCTAATATTAACCATAAATCTTGGAAAGTAAAATGGTAGACGGTCACTTAAACAATTATCAAAAACAGTTTCCAATTAAAGGGAAAATGATTTAAATAAATGCTTAAAATACACCCTCAGAGTTGCTCATAGTTGAACCTTGAAATCAGTTGCTATTATTGTCATTAAAAATGTAAAGTCACTAAGATGTTTTATAGACAGTTTCATATCACATAATTCATTTTCATCATTATACTTTAAAAAGCATAATAATATAATTATCTCCTGAGATATCAAATTAGGATTTTGCTTCTCTTGGTAGTGATAATACAGTATAAATATCTACATATGTGAAATTAGAGATTTTACTCCTTTTGTTATGTTCTAAGATGGTACATTCAGATTCAACTGTCAAATAAAGCTCTATCATCCATGCTTTCATGTTGCATGATTACTGCCACTAGTATACCCCAAGTGAGCGAAAGAATTAATATCAGTCTATCAAACATCACAAGTGTTCCCTGTTTTAAGAAGAATAAGAGCTAGATTTCTCACTGCTGGAAAAAGAGAGAAGAGGGGGAGAGAAAGAAAACTAAAATGAACACTGTGGTGTTGGATATTTGGTAAGAATTTAAGGTATGGGTATGAATTCATAGTTTTCAATGTATATAGATAGGTACAGAAATAAATATAATATAGATAATATTATATATAGATAGATAGATAAATCTGTACACTGAGAAAGCATGGGAGCATTGATACCCCAATAGCAATGAACACACTTAGTGTCCACACACTGGCTTCTAAATATCATTCTCCAGCAAATGGAACTAGGGTATCTTGGAGAAATGGTTAATTCTAGGATTTGTGCAGGAAAAATATAAGATGGCCCGAACACATATTGCTGGATAGCAAAGTAACAAAATGTTCAAACAATGATGGAGATATGTCAAAAGGACCCAGATATCAGTTTGAAGGGGCTCCCACTATTCGAACCTATGACAATATGAACACCAAAATAAATAATGATAGCAACGGATTATAATTAACTAAATAAAATTGAAAACCGTGAGTTCATATGAATATAAATGAATGAATAAATGAAAAGTTTGACGAATAACAAAATATTTATACAGTCTCAAAGTATACAAAACAGTAATTACAAAAAAGAAGAGAGAACTTTACAATGTTAAAGTCTAGCAGACAACACTTAACAAGCAATTAAACTGAAAAACATCAGAAATAGGATTATAAACCATGTATCACCTGACAGTATAAAATGAGAAGTCAGACTAACTGGTATGCTATTTATACCAAAGGCATATATCCTGAAACTAAACATGAAGAAATATTCGACAAACATAAATTGAAAGATATATTTAAAATATTAATAGCTGGCTTGTAATATTTAACACGTAATGAAAGTAAATCACCAACTGAGTCTGTTCAAGATTGAGGGAGACTACTTTTCATTACATAACTTTTCAGTGTTTTTTCTTTTACCATGTGCATTTATTTCCTATTCAAACTATATATATTTTTTAAATAAATAATAATACATGTATTTTAAATGTGAAGTCTGACACTGAAATTTCATTTCTAGGCATACACTCTAGAGAAGCACTTGAAAATATGCACAATAAAGCATATAGAAGGATGTTCATGGCAGCATTGTTAATAATAAAAAATAGGAAATAAATATTCAACAATCGAAAAAATATGAACTATTCATCTAAAGAAATACTACACAGCAGTTAAAAAGCATGAAGTATATCTATATGCACTATTATACATAGAATGACAAGATATTTGTTGAATACAAGAACCGTGCTGCAGAGTAACATGCATAATGTGATCTCTTTTTATGTAAAATGAATAAATAAACTATAAATATTCTAGGTCAATGCACAGCACAAAATGCAATGCACAGCACAGAATGCAATGCACACCACACTGAAAATCGTGATAATAAAGACGGCCAGGCGCAGTGGCTCACGCCTGTAATCCCAGCACTTTGGGAGGCCGAGGAGGGCAGATCACGAGGTCAGGATATCAAGACCGTCCTGGCTAACACAGTGAAACCCCGTCTCTACTAAAAATACAAAAAATTAGCAGGGCGTGGTGGCAGGCGCCTGTAGTCCCAGCTACTCGGGAGGCTGAGGCAGGAGAATGGCGTGAACCCGGGAGGCGGAGGTTGCAGTGAGCCGAGATTGCGCCACTGCACTCCAGCCTGGGTGACTGAGCGAGACTCCATCTCAAAAAATAAAATAAAATAAAATAAAATAAATAAAGAGTTTACCTCCTAGAAAGGGATTATCAGTGGAGGTGTTTAGACTTATGGAGACTGTTTTATTTTTTTAAACTCAGATAATATAATGATGCGTTACTTACATGAGAAAAAATAATTAAAAGAAAATAACACCTATCCTAAGAAACTGATTTCAGGAATATATGGACAATGAGAACTCTAGTATTTCTCAGCCATGCTTTCCCATCCAACTACCCTGATCTTCCAGGAGTTATACCCCTACTTCATGTTGTTTTGGGGACATTCAACCCAGTGCCCTTCTTATCCTAGAGATAAGTCCACAACCCAATCTGGCCCATCAACATTTCTAGCCATATGGCTACATTTTTTGTTTCAGGGATTAGCAAATACTCAATACAAGGCCATCACATCATTGTTTTCCATTTAAGCTACACTGGGTTGGAATTCTATCAACTTGCATCCAAAAAAAGTTCTAACAAATGCAGGGAGACATACACTTAAACAGGTATTTTCAAGAGAATAAGCCAAGTGAATGTAAGAGAAACACTATGGGAAGTGATATATTAGACTGTTGGCCAGGCGAGGTGGCTCACGCCTATAATCCCAGCACTTTGGGAGGCTGAAGTGTGTGGATCACGAGGTCAGGAGATCAAAACCATCCTGGCCAACATGGTGAAACCCCATCTCTACTAAAAATACAAACATTAGCTGGGTGTGGCAGAGTATGCCTGTAATCCCAGCTACTTGGAAGGCTGAGGCTGGAGAATTGCTTGAACCCAGAAGGCACAGGTTGCAGTGAGCCAAGATAGCGTCACTGCACTCCAGCCTAGCGACGGAGCTAGACTCTGTCTCAAAAAAACAACAACAACAAACAACAACAACAACAACAACTAAAACTGTTATAAATTAAAGATGCATACTGTAAAGTCTAAAACAACCACTACAACCACTGAAGAAAGTTATTGCTAATAAGCCTCCCAAAAGGAGAAAAATGATATCATAGAAGATTCAGAATGCACAACACCAAGAATGAACCCTAATGTAGATTACACACTCTGGATGATAATAATGTGTCAATGTAGTTCCATCAAATGTACCATTCTGGTGGAGGATGTTGATAACAAGAGAGGTTGTGCATGTGTGAGGGCAGAGGATGTATGGAAAATCTCTGTACCTTCCATACAATTTTGCTGTGAACCTATAAAGTAGATTGAAACCCAACTATATCAATAATCACACTATATATAAATGGTCTGCATTAGTTTTCTACTGCTGCCATAATAAGTTACCATAAACTTAGTGGCTTAAAGCAACACAAATTTATTATATTACAGTCTGTATGTCAGAAGTCTGGTACTGGTCTTACTAGGCTAAAAGCAAGGTGAGAACACAATTCTTTTTTGGAGACTCTGTAAGAGAATCTGTTTCCTTGCTCATTCAGGTTGTTAGTAGAATTCATTGTCTGATGTTTTCATTTACCTGCTATCTGTCAGGCTGTTTGAGCTTCTAGAGACTGCTTCCTGCCTTAGGTCATGGTCCCCTACCTCCATCTTCAAGACGAGCAAGAGAAATTCAGAGACTCTCTCACAGTTTAAACTGCTCCTGCCTCTTCTGTCTTCAAATCTCTCTAAAGTTTTGGATTTTAGGGCTCATATCATTAGATAGGGCCTATATGGATAATTCAGAATCTTCTCTATTTTAAGATCTACTGATAAACAACCTTAATTCCATCTGAAAACTTAATTCCCTTATGCCATGTAAAGTAACATATTCTTAAGTTCCAGAAATTGGGACATGGACATCTTTAGGGGGCTAGCAATGTGCCTATCATGATCTAATCACTCATTAAAAGTCAGAAATTGTCAGCTGGATTAAAAAGTAAGACCTAACTATATGATGCCTAAAAGAAAACCACTTTAAATATAAAGAAATGAATTGTATGCAATAAAATAATAGGAAAAGATAAACTATCTTGATCAAAAGAAAGCTGGACATAGGGGAGTGATGTCAGCAAAATGGCAGACTAGAGAATTCTGAGAAGGTGACCTTCCTCAGATACACAAAGAAACCTGGCAAACACAGTCAGAGTCAACCTTGTCAAAACTCTGGAAGATGGCCAAAGGTTTACTGCAGCCAAACAAAGGCTAACAAGGAGAAAAACCACTAAAACACTGTACAAAGCATTGTAGCATTTTAATTTACCATTGCTCCACCTCACTCCCAGCCCAGTGGCAGCCTTGAAGATATCAGACCCCATACAGAGTGTGGGTACCTGGTTCCAGAGGAAAAAGCAGAGCAAACCTTGTTCTAAGTAGTTCAGTTTGTCTGTTTTGATCTGTCTGGGAAGTCCCTGAAGAACTGATCCAAGGGGCTTGCCTTTGTTTCACCTAACTCAGAACTTCCTCAGGGCAGAGAAGTAGCTACACAAAGGACTTTCCTCAAAAGCACAAAAGAGCAAATGAACAAGCCACTGTCAAAGGGCCAAAGATTAACCACTGGGGAAAAGAACAGACACACCAGACACTTTGCGTACAAGTTTCTTTGCATGCACATGTTTTCATTTCTCTTGGTATATACCTAGGAGTGGATTTGCTGTGTTATATGCCAACATTTTGAGGAACTGCCTGTTTTCCAAAGCAGCTGCACCATTTTACATTCCCACTCTCAGTGTATGAGGCTTCCAATTTCTCCAAATTATCTCAAACACTTATCTTTTTTATTCCAGCCATCCTAGTAGGTGTGAAGTGGTTATCTCATAGTGATTTTTATTTGTATTTCTGTGATCAGACTAATGATGTTGAGCATCTTTTCATATAATCTTTTACTCTTAATGGCATTTTGGGAAGGAGGGTAGATAAACAAGTATATTTGATCTACTTTATTTAAGTGGAAACACAAAAACTCCTTTTAAATGTGTGATAGAAAACATTTCTTTTAAATATTTGAAAACATTTATATGACAATCTCAAGGTTTCAGCAACATGTACAGTTTCTACTCATATTTTTTTCAACTTATAGTTACTATGTGATTAAGGGACTGCAATATTGTGCACTGAATTTGCTCTGTAAGATTGCTTCTTGTGTGGACTGTGGGTAGGAATTCAAATGACTCCTTGGGGTTGACTTAAAGTCAAAGGAGAACTGATTGCCAAAGCCACTAAAGCTCAATGTGTTTGTCACCAATGCTGTGTATATCTGTTGTACATAAGTGTGTTCCTCATGTGATAAGTATCAAAGGAATGTGACAGCATTGACATATGGCACGTGGCACATCTTCTAAGAGATGGATGGCAAGATGTTTAAATGGACTTTTGCACTTTAATCATAGTATAAAAGATGGGAGGTATCACCCATACCAAATGATAATTGTGAAAGTTAAGTGGTGGGTACATGGGGAGTTATATTGTTCTACCTGCTCTTGCGCATGTTTAACCATCGCTTCAATGAAAGGATTTAAGAAATAAAACATGTTCAGTGCCTCATGAAGAGAAGGAAGCAGCAATAAGGATAGCTGGTGCTTTGTCTACTTTGCTAAGTAAGTTATCTCTCCTCCACAAGGTTTTCATCTTCCAAAAATGTGTTAACTCCTTTTGGTGTACCCTCTTGCATTCTTCTTATCCTCAAGCACTTCTTCTCTTTAAATCCTTTCAGTTTTATTGCAATCTAGTACACATGCCACAAAATTCACCCATTTAAAGCATATACTGTGTACCTATTACAAGGCAAGAATGGATCAGTCCATCAAGACTAGAGTTTAGCTACCACTCAATAGAGACATTTCAGGAAGTATAATTCCTCTGAAGATAGAAACCTTGCAAGGTGGTCAAACATGATGGTTCACACCTGTAATCCCGGCACTTTGAGAGGTCGAGGCAGGCATATCACCTGAGGTTAGGAGTTCAAAAGCAGCCTGGCCAACAAGGAGAAACCTCATCTATACTAAAAATACAAAACTTAACCAGGTGTGGTGGTGCGCACCTGTAATCCCAGCTACTCAGGAGCCTGAGTTGGGAAAATCACTTGAACCCAGGAGGCAGAGGTTGCAGTGAGCCGGGAACGCGCCACTGCACTCCAGCCTGGGCAACAGAGCGAGACTCTGTCTCAAAAAAAAATGAAGAAACCTTGGAAGGAAACAAAGGAGGGATGGATATAGTTTTTTGAAGAATTTTTTATGAAACGTTTCTATCCAATGGATTCTAGTTTCCCGAATGGTGAGGCCAGCACATCTGCTGAGCAAGTGGAGATGGCCTAAACTTGAGAAAAGTGCAGAAGGTTTGAAATACATGGGTGAAAAAGTGGACTAAGGAAAAATGACCAAAGCTTCATTAGTATTGTTCTCTGTTAGTAAGCACAGGATAAGTATTTTTTGGATGAATGAGTGAATTATTTCCAGGTAGTGCTAAGACTGACCATGCATTTATCATGGTGTCAGTAGACTTGATTGTGAGATTTAATCCAACAGTGATAGGTCATTTAAGGGAAGACATTTATGGAAAAGGCAGAGAGATGGGATTTTGTCAGACAGGAAGGATTAAAGGGAATTGCATATGGCATATTTCAAGTAGGGCTTGTTAAATATTGGTTATAGGATAGACCGTAAAACCTGCATTGAAGAAGGAGGAAATTAAGTCAAAAACTTGGTAGACAGATAAGTAGAAAAATAATAACCCAGTGTGAAAATTTGACAAATTGAGGGGCTAGGCTGGAAGGATAGTAGGATGAGGTCAAAGGGTGGAATGTTAGACTGTATTATTACAGATGTAGAGGTGGTTTTGATGAGGCCAGGCATGGTGGCTCATGCCTATAATCCCAGCACTTTGAGAGGCATGGCAGGCGGATCACTTGAGGTCAGGAGTTCAAGACCAGCCTGGCCAACATGGTGAAAGCTTATCTCTACAAAAAAAAAAAAAAAACAAAACAAACAAACAAAAAAAAAACAGCTGGGCATCATGGCATGTGCCTTTAATCCCACCTATGCAGGAGGCTGAGGCAGGAGAATCACTTGAACCTGGTAGGCAGAGGTTGCAGTGAGCCAAGAACGTGCCACTGCACACCAGGCCAGGCAACTGAGCAAGACTCTGCCTCCAAAAAAAGAGGTGTTTCTGATGATAACTTTTAGATGTTTCTGATGACAGCTTCTGGGTGTGGCAGTAACTGAAATGGAATGGAGGTAAAGGACCCTAAGATGGAATGACAGAGGAATTAGGAGGCCAGGTAATTGGCAAGTCTATCCACATGGATGTTTGGGTCCTCCATGGATTCTCCACATCCACAAGTTCTTTGCCCTGGGTTTCATCCCAATTTTGTGCTTCTTAAGGCCTTCACAGAATCTGAATTATTTCTGCAATCCTAAGATTCAGGCACTGCAGGGTCAGTGGCATAAGCATGGACAGGAAAAGAGAAGGATAGTGAAGAAGCTGTAGTGGACATCTGTTTTGTTTTGTTTTGTTTTGTTATGCTTTGTTGTGTTTTGTTTTTGTTTTGACACCAAGCATTCACAAATTTTTCTGGAGAACTTACCTCAAGTGCCCTCTAGAAAACTCACTTCATTTATTAGTCCCAGTCTGTATAAGTGGAATTGCCTTCTCTTCAGGCCCCTAATATTTTAAGTGTGCATATGTGCACACTCTTAGAAATAAGGAGCATTCTGTAAAGATTCATAGTAAGCCCCCAAATATCTGTAACCCTCATGCGTAGTCCAGGACTAACCTCTGGACCATGAGCTGCAGGTATTCTAGACAATATCTATTATATTCCACTAAGCCCATGAACATCATGGGTGACACCTCCATCCTGATAGGTGCACTGTATACACTAAGGGAAGATCTTGCATATTGCCATCAACATGGCTAGAAAGAAGGCACAAAGATCACCTTCCCTAAAGAGAGGGATGCCATGTTGACAACAGCCCTGCAGATACTGTTTAAGTCCTTAAAGAACAGCCCGAGGTACACTTCTGCCAAAATGGCATCTGTAACCTCTGCAGCATCCTGGTAAGCCTCAAGGGGATGGTGCCTAGATCTAGATTAAGAAAGGGTCATGAAATGGGCATGATGGGGCATAAACCTTTTTCCACCAGCATGGTCATTCTTTCCTAGCTTCACTTTTTTCTTACTTTCTCATCATTCTAAGGCATCTTTTCCTTACTCTAAGCTATATTTTACCCTAGGAGGTAGGTGGTTGCCTGGTCAACAGTCCTGCCACAGACAGCTAGGTGAATTTTTGCTCTGTAAAAATGTCATCAATCCAGGCAGCATGGAGAAATACACAGGGAGGGGAACTACATCTCCAGAGTGACTTATTAGTAGAAAGACCTCAACGTTGAGGTCAAAATATGCCTCCCTAAATCATGAGCATGCCCTGCTTGTCAAATTCTTAAGCAGCATCCACAGTGTTCCTGACACTCTACCCCAACCAGCAATATCCCAAACACTCCCACCAACCTATAAGATACTGTGGTCTGTGACAACTTTTTTTAAACAGTGCTTAAACCACTATTTCTGAAAAATATACCTGTCCTTCACCCTGTCTTCAGATATGGAAGGGCTGCCTTCCTCACTGCTCTAAAGGATATGAAGCAGTGAATGGGGAGGAAGGTGAAGGCCGCCATACAATATCAGTAAGTCTCAAGCAAAGAGGTAGGAAAGACCTCATCTCCTCGGACCTCATCAGGGAGAGAAGGGGCTTTTGGAGGCACATGATACTCATTCCACCACAACAGCTCCAGGGGGTTCGGCACATTTTAAAAGTCAAAGCAGGGAGTCAGTAAGAGCTGAGCTAACCCCACCTTTCCCTAACCACTAGCTTCGGTTACCCAAAACCCATACCCCACAACACAATACACAGAAAAGACATCCTTCTTATTGGAACATTTATTGGGGAGAATCAAGATTCTCAACAAGGAGTGAATTATTTTGTGGGGGGAAATTTTCCTCCCTGTAAATGCTTTGGAAGCATTTTCTGTCCAGTTAGGAAAGGCACATCACTAAACACAGGGCTTTTAGCACTGGTTGGGACGGCTGGACACACCAGGCTGACCTGACGCCGGCAAGTGGGGTTTGGATGTGGCACAGGCTTCCTGTGGGGCATGGATTGGGGATGGCTTTGACACAGTATCTTCCCCTTAAATGCCTCAACTTTCTGGGGCTGTCTGTCCTTGTCTATGATCTGTCTAATCCTTGTAGGATAATTCTGGCCAACAAAGATAGCTTGTTGGCTGCAAGATTTGGTACGTGTCACTTTGCAGGAGGGAGCCCTGTAGTTGCAGGGACAGCCCTGGACAGGCTCTGCTCTGACATGCACTTCTGGGTTGTGCTGAGCTTTCCCAAGCCCCACTGGGAAGGAAAGGGGCTCTTGGGGACAGGTGATATCTATCCCATGCCTATGCCCCAGCTTCTCTTCTAGGAACTCCCTAGTGTCTTTCCTAATTTTCTGAGCTTCAGTAGTCCCAGTAAAGGCAGCTCTTATAACTCGACCAATATTCTGCACACATGATGACAGGGAGCTACCCTTTTCCCAGGAACTTTCTTGTTCTTCATATGATATGCTGGGTTTATTAAACCACTGCAAAGAGGTCTTCATCCATTTTCTGAAAAGGTTTTCAGGAGGAGGCTGTGTTTTCAAGGTTGGGGAAGATTTGCTCCCAAGCACCTCCCCTGATGTCTTGTTATGAACAGGGAGGCTCTTTCTCCTGCGTTGGGATGTCCCCAGCCCTGCATCCCCTCCATCAAGCTCTCCTCCTTTGGGTCTCACAGGACTCACTCTGTTTACAGCTGGTGGGAAATTCGTAACTTGACACTTCTGTAAGACACAGGTAGGGACCCTGGGCTCCTGCTTCTGTGCCACACGGATTCCGCTGTCCTCCAAGTGGACATGCACCACCTGGGAAGTTCCCATGTCCCCACTCGAGATGCCCTGGGAATTAGTCAGTAAGTCCTTGGAACTCAAGTTATCTAAGGCAAAAGACATGTCAGTGAAATGGCTCTGAGGTTGGCTATGCTTCCTCTGGACCAACTTTAACTGGCTCAACATCTGATTTTTAAGGTATGATGATTTAGGATCTTGAGGAACTGATATTCTTGGTGGGAAAATTTCAGTTTCATTGGAAGTGCTTGCTTTCACATTTGTCAGTGAGCAGCTTCCTGACTTGCTGGTTGTCAAGTTGTTCCTAGTTTGTGATTGAAGAGCATTGGTGACAGGAAAGGTCTTTCTACTGCCCTGAAGCCTGTCTACATTATGAAAGGAACTCTTTCTCTTATCCCATGACTCACAGCCAGCTCCAGCTTGCATTATGGGCAGCTCTGCGCTGCATCTACTGGCCAGTACAGTCTGTTTCTGACTGACTTCGTCTACGATGCTGTGTGGCGGGGGCAGAAAAGTCTGTCTGCCATCCTCTGTTGTCCGGACACTTTCTGTAAGATCATTGTCAGTATCAGAGAATTCTCTTCTCAGGGTCCCCTGCTTTTCTTGGTTGACAGGTGAAGTGACAAGGTAAGAATGACCGAGGATGGGGAATGAGCTTGTTGAATCTAATTTTTCGCTTTGAAAATCTGTAGTACCTCTTCTAAGGGATGTGGAGGCCCCGTCTTTGGAATCTGTCTCTATAAGGTCATGGTCAGTATCAGAAAATTGTCTTCTCAGGGTCCCCTGCCCTTCTTGGACGACAGGTGAGGAGACAGGGTGAGGACGATCAAGGATGGGGACTGAGCTTGTTGTTCCCAACTTTTCTCCTTGAAAAGTGCTTCGACTACGGGACTTAGAGACCCCATCTTTGGAATCTCCCTGAGAGATGAAGGTGGCTGAGGAGGGAAGGTCGAAATGGGAAAAGGAAGTGGAAAGGTCCGCTTTCGATTTGAAGATTTCTATGGATTCAAGGACCTTGAGGGGAAGGCCCCACAGCATCCTCATACGGAAAGTTTTAATATGGGCTTCCAACATCTTTTGTTTGTTGGAACTAAGGAAGGAAATTTCCTGGGAAGTATCAACGCAGTGGTCCTCACTCACCAATGTTACCAGATTTCGATGTTTAATTTGGCTGTGGGATTTCTCAGGAAGAGACATTGTCTGCTTGACTGAGTGCCATGAACTATGCACAGTCCCAGGCATTCGACCCTCATTGATTTCCTCAAATTTCTTGCTCAAACGTACTGTCAGGGCATTTTCAAGTTGTTTCTGACCTAGTCTCACCCCTGAGTCATTCCCTGACAGATGCATCATATGAGTTTCTAGGTCTCTCTCAGAGTTAGACCTCAGATCCTTGTCTGAAGAAGTCTCCGGACCATGCAACAGGTGATCTTTTGGGACAGTCTCCTGGCTGTATCCCTGATAATTCCCCACATTCTCCATGGAAAGCATATTTGAGCTCCTCTCGTGGAAGCTTCTAGGGAAGCTTGATGCGGACTTCTTTAGAACATTGCACCTCTGACCCTCAACCAAAGAGATATTTAACGGTCCATGAATTCTCTCTGACACAGATAGCTCTGAAATTTTGCTCTGAGGACGTAGCAATGACAGAGACTCATGGATTCTGCGGGGCAGGCCCCATCTGCGCTGGATGAGCCTCCTTCGAATGTGTTGCTCTAGTTTCTTCCTTACCTCAGAGCTGAGTGGAAAATCTCCAGGAATGATGGAGATCGGAACATGGACCTTGAAGGACTTTCTGACCAATTCAGGATTGGGAGCTGGAGGACAAAAGTCTTCCTGGGATTTTTGAACCACAGAGGGTAAGCCCCACAAACTTTCCTGCACTTTCTGCAACACGTTCCACTCCAGATGGTTAATTTCAGATGGCAAAAGAGACCGTGCCTCGTTCTGGGGTCTATGAAAACACACTCCACAGATCCTAATCAGGAATAGAGGACTAGGTAGTAGGGCTCGGAATGGAGATTGAGGTTGAGCCAGGGACTTCACCTGAGTGAGATGTGGGGACTGACCTTGGGGCAGGGTTTGAGGCAAGGGTAGTGGTTGGGTACTAGGCAAGGACAGAGGTTGGGGAGGGGGAAGTACTGGGGATTCATGGGATATAGATGTATTTGTAATGCCATTGAAGAATACAAACATGGAGGAATGGCCACGTTGGACAAGAACAGTAGGATGCAGAGACTCGCTGTGCAAAGATGGGAGACCCCAGAAGAGCTGGACATATTTTTGCTCTAAATGGTCTTCAAAGCATTTAGAGTGTGGAGGCTGCTGATGGATGTGCTGCCATTCTAGTTTGCCTTTACTGGCCCAAAAAGGAAAGGATTCTGCCAAGTCATGCTTAACAGCAATTGAGGTTAACATATTCCGTGAGGAATTTAGTTGGTAGTTTGGCCTAAGTTGTTTTGGGAATGATCCTGGTTTCTTTCCATTTTCTTTCCACATCAGGAAATCACCCCTTTTTTTGACTTGTCTCTCCAGGAGTGCCAGAATGTCATGGCTGAGAAATGAGATGTTAACAGGCTCTATGAGGTTGGCCACAGAGTGCCCCCCTAAAAAGGCCTCAGAAGAATGAAGGGTAAGAAGCTCCTCCATGAAATCAGATGGCACAAAATTAGAGGAAAAAGAGTCCTTGGCATGAGGCTGCCACCAGGTGAATTCTGAAGATGCAAGGTGTGAATGGTCAATGCCTTTGATTGTTGGGGCAGAGGTGGATGACCCACCAGAGCCACCTAGAGATAACATTTCCGGAAAAGTCTTCAAGATGGTGAGACTTGATTTAGACTGAGTCACAGTGCAATCTTCCGGTGGTAAAGCAGATGGGATTGGTGGTCCGTGATGACGAGCACAAGAATCAATGGGATTCATGGCCTGCGAAATATCTTGGCATAGGGTGGAGCCAAATGAAAAGATGGTGTTCAGAGACAAACTGGCTTCAGGTTGGAGGCTGGACTCCACTCTCTCAATGTGATGTGGTGGGAGAAGGGGAAAGGGAAGCTGTTGGGGTGGGGAATGGTCTATGGGGAACTTGGAATCCAAGGGAGAAACAGGCTGTGGTGGCAGAGGGTCCCTCAGTGGTGAGGGTGAAAATAAGTCAGCTAAGGTGGTGATCAGGTCAGGTGAGAGAATTAAGGGGGGTGGTGGAGAGGCCTTAGGCCGAGGGGACAGTATTAGGTCTTCTGGAGGGGTTGCTGAGGGGGTGGAAGCCAGAGTGAACGATGACTCAGTCGCAGAAGCCGAAGAAGCCAAAGGGGACACAGAGGGAGCAGCATCTTTCAGGGACTCCCAAGACAGCAGTTGCTGGATATCAGCAGTTGCTCTCTTACACACCCGACAGACGGGGTCTGGGCATAACAGTCGACGAAAGTGGTTGGTATCATGATGCTGGCCCCGAGGACTGCAGGAAACAGGAGGTCCAAAGCTGCAGTCAGGACCAGAACAAGGAAAGGAGATTTGTTAGCCTGGCAGGGGTGGGTTCCCTAAAGCCTGCTGCCCATATCACATTGCCCCCAACCCAGGACCTCACCGTATATGAGGTCCTATGACCTCACTATAGCCTCTCCCCAACACATTCATTCACATACCCATTCCTATGGCTACCCACTCCCAAAACTACAGCAGGCTACAAGGAATCCCTGAAATGAATAGAACGTACTAAAGAAGAAGGAGTGGGGTGGGAACAGGACACAAAGGGAAAGATTAATCACCTTTTCAGAAGAGAAAGCAGCTTCCTTTCCTCTTCCTCTTCTCTCTGGAAACTTTTCCAGTCTGGGAAACCTGAATAGTATGTTATATGCAATGAAGATAGAGGCACACGGCTCATACAGAAGTCAATCTGTGGAAGACCCTTGGGATATTAAACTCTGAGAGCCCCAAGAATCAGTAGAAAAGGGAAAATAGTCATTGATAATATTCACAAGTTCAC
Organism: Homo sapiens; assembly: GCF_000001405.40. Classification (NCBI taxonomy): domain Eukaryota; kingdom Metazoa; phylum Chordata; class Mammalia; order Primates; family Hominidae; genus Homo; species Homo sapiens. The sequence goes on along the minus strand of NC_000009.12, from coordinate 81,990,268 downwards.
ATGTGTATGTGGCATCATTAGTAAAGTCCTTTCACATACATTACCCCATGTGATGCTCAAAACCACCACGTGAAACACAGACATCAGTGGTTACCTCCAGGAGGAATCCGAGCATTGAGGAAGTCAAAGTACGTATGCAAAGTTGTGAGACAGAAGCTCTGACTCCAAGCCCACCAGCAGTCCCTCCTGGATATCTCAGTTGGCCACCAATTGGGCAACACCCATTGCTCAGGTCCATCACTTTGTCCTGCCCGTAAATGGGCAGAGCAGGGCCTCTGAGCAGTGTCTCAGGTCTGATTGCTTTCCCATGAGCCTGTCTTCTGAGGGCTCTGTTTTCTAAGACTGCATCTAGTAACTGACATTCTAAGAAATCATGGGACTGAGTCATCATGAAAGAGACAGAAAGGGTCACCCCTGAAGCTCAGATAGAGCAGGCTGACATTACCTTTGAATGTCCCACCTTTCCTTCTCCTCTTGGCTCTGCCCTGATGCTGAGAACAAAAGACAGATAATGACAGGCTGGGACTCACTTCTCTCACTCTCTATGAAGCTCATTCATTCATTCATTCATTCATTCATTCATTATACAAGAATATTACTCTTTAATTAATAGAAATATGTTCCTGTTATCAATTTTTAATGGTGATAAAATAGCTCCCATTTTTCCTTCTCTGAAAAATCCTCAAAGAAGATTTTGCTGTGAGAGCCACACTTGATGTACTCAGTTAGCAATTCTGAAGGAGGGCAAAGACTCAGAGGTCAACAGTCACATCTGTGCTCCCTCATGGGACAAGTGTCACGGAGACAGGCCTATAGCTCCAGCCTCTGCTCAGAGACTCTCAGCATTACTCCTCTGGTCAGCCCAACACGAAGGAAGACTTGGTCAAGTGACAGGTGACATGGGAATCTGACTCATGATCAAATTTCAGCAGAGACCGTTCTCCTTCAGAGAGCCCACAATCTCTAAATAATCCCACCTGGGACCACAGAATTACTGTGTTTGGGATTTTATCCTGGAACTCTCCACCACAGCCAGATAGGTAGCTTCACATGGAAAACTATGAGCTTCAGATGGAAACCTTAGTCCTCCTGAACCCCTATGTCTGCCCAACCTCTTCCATAGAAGAGTGAAGTTCTATCCTCTCTTCAGACTTCCCATCTAAAACATGTCTCTGTACCAACCAAACTTATTTAGAAATGTTGGAATAGGATTGGGAAACAACAACAGGGCATCTCTCTTGGGTGTTCACCCACAGTTCCTTACCTTTTGGATGTCATTATTTTTTTCGGTGGGTGACGAATACAGGGTCAATACCACGTAGAACAAGTACAGTATAAACAACCCCAACCCACTCAAGCAGATGAAGTTGGGGTCGATATCCAACCAATGTGAGTCAGGGCTCAGCCCTGTCTCAGTATAGCTGTTCAGAAAACAGAGGATATTCTCCATGGTCTGAATAGCTCAGCTGCCTGAAGCAACTGAGCACTGAGGGTGCCCAGGCTTAACTATAAGCACAGGCCTGCATCACAGAGCATGGAAGAGTCACAGAAGGTTTCTAAGGGTGCAGGGAGCAACAAGAGGAGGGTGTGTCCACAGCCCCAACCCCACCAGCCCAGCTGACTCTCCTGGGCCCTCTAGGTCCCTCTGCCCTACCTTGCCACTCCATTTCCCAACTCCATCCCTTTTCATGTCATATATTTATCTTAGTGGAATTTTTGGTTTGTTCCAACAGTAAACCAGGCATTACCCAAGTCCCGCTTTACTGTTTGGAGCTCTTAACTTGGACCCCACCAACCACACTGCCTTGAAAGCCTGAAATACTGCCTGGAATATTTGTTGTACCCAGGCATTGCCACTCTCAGGATCACATATGTCCTCAAATCCATCTTACCTACAGAACGTTTCTGCCTTACATAAATGCAGATATAAAACTTAAATTTCCTTTATACTTGCTTCGTTTTGTGAATGTTGAACATTACATTTTTTGTTTTGAAGTCAGTTTTTACTATTTCCAATCAGAGTGACTGTCTCAAATGATTAAAACTAATGTTATCAAGGAAAAGAAGCTCACTGCCCAATTTGGGTTTTTGAGAAAAGAAGGTTTTTATTGTAAATTAACGAACAATAAGACAGGAGTCCAGATCAAACCTGTCCCCTGTGCTGGCTTTCATGGGGTCATTTTATTAGAAAAAGTTTAGGGAGTGGCCTCTGGAATTAATAGTTGATTGGTGGAAGGAAAGCGGAGGTCTGTAAGTCCTCCGCATGCACAGTTCTGTTTAACGCTGCCTCATGTATTCCATGTGCACATTTGTGGGGAGTTGGTTGAAACGTGGCAGAAATTTGGGCTGTGACGCCAGCCAGCTTGTTCTGTGCCAACTCCAGTTGGCCTTAATAGTTTTAATTCATTTTAGCCAGTTTTTTAATCTCAGAAGCAGGGAGAGTTTTGGCATTTTAGTAAGTTATTGTTGTTGTTGTTTTTTAATCGCCTATCCTGTAAACTGATTATTTCATTAGTCACTGTTTTCTTCAACTCTCTGGGGCATGGTTTCACTAATAATGCATTATTTAACATCTATAAAACAAAAATAAGTGTACAATAAATATATATAATTAAAACTTCAAGGGATCTTGGGGGTTAATTTATAGAACTTACTTTTCTGAAGTTAGTGAGGTTTAAACTGTTCAAGCACTTTTGGAACATACTCTCTACACAAACACACATACACATCGACCTAAAAGGAAGAAGTTGAGGCAAATTATTATAAACACACAGTTCATTTGGGTCAAGCTTGAGGATTGCGACCTGGGAACACAGATGCAAGTCCCCCTGAATATACACTCCAATTAGCAGCAGTTATGAGTGGGTTTTCAAAGTCAAAAAAAGAGGTCAAGGAGTGGGCTGATACAAAGTTGTAATCAGGAATTCTCATTGGTTTACAGAAGCGACATTGATTAGTGATTGGCTATACATTGTTAAGCTATATGGGGTGGGTTATCCTGTCAGGTGTGGCATTATTGGGTTACTATATAGCTCCATGTGGCAATAGCAAGCAGTTTCAAGAGATGAATACATAGCTCAAGGAGGAAATAGGGCTGTGATTTCTGTCTCATTTTAATGTCTCTCTAGGCCTGATAACTTAAGAGGACTCACATGCCTCAGATAAAAGTTCTTTTCTTTACAAACACACCCACACACCCATCCTGTGACAAATCTATCAGTATTTTCAAATCCAGAATCAATTAGTTCCTCCTTTTATTTCAATCTTATTTGTCATTATGACCCCACATTTCTAACTCTCCCTCAAATACAGACAGTCCCAGCCCTCCACATCAATTTGGTAACAAGTATGCAACTCCCTTAAAGCAGGGATAGGTTACAGTGCGCTAAGCTATTATGACCTAAAAGACCAAAATAGATGCCCCTTTATCAACTAAGACAGGCCCTAAGGGTAAGGAAACAAAGTTACCTATGGGTCAAGGGTTCAGGGCCTGGATGGCATGGCAAATTTCTAACTTTCTATAAATAGACTGCCTCTAACCAAACGAGCTATCAGCTCTGATCGGACAGAGGACCGGCCTTACAAACATTCTTTTCTGATAAGCTACTAATATTACAGATTGCCAGTATCTGCCAGCATATAGAGGCTGCATACAAACCACCTTTGTGTCCCATAGTTTACCTTATGATGTAAAGGACCAAATTCTACCTCATTTTAGTGCTAAAACCCCATTCCAAAGTGAACATGGGATGTATGATACATATATTTACTCATTGTGGTGTGCTCAGCTCCCACAGAAGTATGTATAGCTTCTCCCCAAAACTTGTTGAGTATGTATGAATATGAATGTAAAACACAACCTGTCCTTCCCCTATTCCAACAGAGAGCACCTTCATTCCACACTGGATGCTGTCCCTTCCTGGTTTGCAAACTGATAAGAGCAATGAGGCTCTCCTTTCTACTATTAAGTCATCCTGCTGGTATTGTGGATGATACTACTGATCCCATCAGTGTTTGGTAGCAGAGTGAGACTTAGGTGTGTCAAAGCCTTAGAGCAGAATGTAGTCTTAAGCAACCTCACCTGACTACACTGTGGGTCATGTAAATGTGATCTTTTCCCGAGTGCCTTGGCATCCAAAAAAACTTGAGAACATCTGCTCTATATTCTACATAATCACTTCTGCAAATGTCCAAATACCAACTGCCTGTCACACTTTATTCGGGTGACTCTTGTCAGTTTAAATAATTCCAATATCCCCCACCCCTAACCCACCTTCCTACACATTCTTTTCTAAACTCTTTATCATGACAGCTGTCCTCTAAACTGTCTTTTAATTTCTTATGTCTTTCTTAAACTATTGTTAAAGCAAAGTAAGTATGGCTTGAGAAGGACTCCATACTTCTATATTTGAGTCCTTGGGGATGAACTGTAACCTAGCTTAATAGTCAGACAAATTGAAAACCTAACTCAATAGTATGCACCTGTAACAACAGCTGAGTGTTGGCCAATCCCAGCGGCCATAATTCAACCACTCACAGACTGCTGAATGTTCAAACTGTGTTCAAATAAGGCAAACGCCAAGCTGTAACCAATCTCACTCTTTCTGTACCTCACTTCCAATTCCTATACATCACTTTACCTTTTTTGTCTATAAATTTGTTCTAACCACGAGGCATCCGTGGAGTCTCTGTGAATCTGCTCTGATTCTGGGGTCTGCCCAATTCACAAGTCATTCATTGCTCAAACTCCTTTAAATTTAATTTGTCTGAAGTTTCTTTTAACACTATAAAGCTCTTTATTTGACACCCATTGGCCACCACTGTTTGTTGATCTCTTTTGAAGGGCTAAGACAGCCTCCAAGCCAGGCCAGGTCTCTTTTCAATTATGCAGGAGCAGGTAACCTGCCTTGAGGATAAAATCTGCCAAGAGATGCCCCTTCCTCTTCTCTTTAATATGCAGTCTCGGCCGAGTTTTCATCTAATAAATACTTACTGCTGGAAACTAGGAGACACAAGCATCTGTAAGCCACGGGCTCTGCCATTTACCTCCTGGTGCAGTTGGAGCGATTAATTCTACACAGCTCAAGAGGTATACAAATGCAGAGGAGAGGTTCCCCCGCCTCCAGCATTTACAATCGCCAAGTGATCTCTGGAACAGAGATACTGTGAGTCATAACTCCTCAGACACATCATGCTCTTTAGCAAAAAATCCCTGCATGTGCACTCTCTCCAATTTTCTAATATGGATTAATGATTCTTTGAGGAGATGGTCAAAGAACAGCTTCTCTCTTTTAAACTGTCATTCATTGGCTAGATATCTTTACAAACATATGTATGCCTACAGTTGAAACCTACCAGAAGTTTCAGTAAAAAGGCTTTTCCCCAAATGCTAATAAGATTCCTTTTCTGAACCTGGTAGAAGCGCCTTCAAAATGTAAAGGAACAAGAGACTAGAGATATATTTATTTTCTTTTCCTGTACCACCAACAGTAAATTCCATTGACATTGAGTGACAGTGCTTCACACCACTTATCCTTTCTGCACTAGCACCAACTATAAATAATAAATTTGTCTACTTTATGAAGAATTCTACTTCCAGCCATCTCAGTGCATTTTCACAACTTACAAGGTCAGCAGGTCAGGTATTATACCTATTTTTTTTATTGTTAATATTTGTTTTTATTGTAACAGGCACTTTGATCTTACTCTGAATATTGTGCCTATTTTATCAGTGAATGAAACCGAAGCCCAGAGAGGGTAAGTGACTTCTCTAGATCAGACAGTAGTAAATATTAGAGCCCTAATGAATAAATTCTCTACATTCATAATGCTTCTACTTTACACAATATTAATATGTAATTTCTTTTCTTTTTTTTTTTTTTTTTTTTTGAGACGTAGTCTCGTTCTGTCGCCCAGGCTGGAGTGCAGTGGCACGATCTCGGCTTACTGCAAGCTCCGCCTCCCGAGTTCACACCATTCTCCTGCCTCAGCTTCCTGAGTCACTGGGGCTACAGGCGCCCGCCACCATGCCCGGCTAATTTTTTGTATTTTTAGTACAGATGGGGTTTCACCGTGTTAGCCAGGATGGTCTCAATCTCCTGACCTCGTGATCCGCCCGCCTTGGCCTTCCAAAATCCTGGGATTACAGGCGTGAGCCTCCATGCCCTGCAATATGTAATTTCTTAAAGTAAAAAGTATGCTGTAATATTCAAATTAAAGTAGTCATACATTTAAGAATATTCACTTTGTCCATTAAAAGCTGGCAAATTTGGGAAGTAACGAAAAGCTATTTTTGGTACTCTATCACCTCTTAGATAACTTTTACTTTCCACTCGTAGCATCAGTGTCTTCATAGGTTTTTTTTTTCCTATCCCCCTCTTAAAATCTGCTTTTAAGAACTATATTACTTATGACTACCAGTAACGTATAAAATAAAAGTTTAAAATGTCATCCCTCCCAGGAAAACATTTCACACATTCTACCACCAAGCCTTGTAATAAGCTCTTACCAAAGCATTTTAAGCAGCCTGTGGGAGGTGGCAGAGGTGGCTTCTGGTAGGATAAGACTGTCTCACCCCTGGACCCATGACATCTTCCCAATTTACCTACACCGTCACCCAGAAGTCTGGTCTTAGATTTCACATTGCACTTGGTTTTATTATCTCCAAGGAGAAGTCTTTTCCAAAAGCTCTTAGAGTAATATGCTACCACTTGAGGATGCTCAGTATAGATAAACTACTAGTTTAGGACTTTCATATCTTCCCAATTGCCTAGGAAGGCTCCTCAATGCTCTCGCCCTCATATCGTGACCACTGTCCTTGGGATAAGCCACTTGGAGGCAGCTGTTTTCAGGATCCCCAAAAGCCTGAAGCAGAACAGGTTCTGAGGCAAAATCCTTTATAATTGTATTTTAAAACAGTAGTTTTATCCCAGCACTTTGGGAGGCCAGGGTGGGTGGATCACCTCCCTTTTACATATCAAGGGATCTGCAAAAACACTCCTAGAAGTTATACATTAGTTCAGCAAAGTCAAAGGATACAAAATAAAGACGAAATCCTATTGTTTCTATATATTATCAATCAGTACATAGGCAAGAAATTTAAAAGTGCAGTATCATATGGAATAACTAAAAAAAATACTTAAGTGTAAATCTAATAAAACATGTACAAGACTTGTATGCTAAAAACTACACAGTACCAATGAATGAAATGCAGAAGACCTAAATAAATGGAAAGCTTTAGTATAGCATGTTCATGGGTTGGAAGATTTAATATATAAAGATGTCAGTTCTCCCCTAATTATACAAATGTTTAATACAGTTGCTATCAAAATCTCAGCATATTTTTATACACAAGATTATTCTACAAATTATATAGAAAGGGCAAGGAACAGGAACAGCTCAATTTTGGAAAAGAAGAATAAATTAGAAAAAATCAGTCTATCTAATTTTAAGACTTGCTATGTAACTACAGGAATCAAGACTCTGTAGTGTTAACAGAGAGATACACAGACCAGTGAAACAGAACAGAAAACCCAGAAATAGACCCACACAAATATGCTCGATGAATTTTTGACAAAGTACAAAAAACAATTCAATGGAGTAAACATATTCAATTCAATTCAGTAGTGTTGAGCATATGGATATCCATAGAGGCAAAAAAAAATCCTCTGCCTAAGTCTCACACCTTACACAAAAATTAATTCAAAATGAATCACAGACTTGGATGTAAATACTAAACTATAAAACTTTCAGGGAAAAAAAAGAGAAAGTCTTCAGGGTCAAAGGCCAGGCAGAGTCTTAGACATGACAACAAAAGCACAATTCATAAAAGGAAAAAATGGCTAAGTTGAATTTCATCAAAGTTTAAAACTATTGCTCTGTAAAATACTCTATTGAGAAGATGAAAAGAAGCTACAGACTGGGAGAAACTCTTAACAAATCATCTATCCAACACAGGCGTCGTATCTAGAATATGTTAAGAACTCTGACAACTCAACAATAAAAAAAGCAAACAATCCTACTAGAACATGGACAAAAGCCTTGAAGAGACATTTTACCAGAGAAGATATACAGATGGAAAATAAGCACATGAAAAAGGTTCACCATCATTAGCCACTCAGAAAATGCAAATTAAAACCACAGTGAGATATCACTACACACTTGTCAGAGCAGCGCATTTTGTTTCTAAAAAATAGTGACAACACCAAATGCTGACAAAGATGAGGTGAAACTGGATCACTCATACACTGCTGACGGAAATGTAAAACGGTACGGCTACAGCTTGACAGCTTCATAAAAAACTAAACATGCAACTATCATACAACTCAGCAATCATACTCCTGGTCATTTATCATAAAGAAATGAAGATTTATGTTCACATGAAAACTGTACAGAAATGTTTATGAAAGCTTTATTCATAACAGCTCAACACTGGAAACAACCCAATTGTCATTTAATGAGTGGTAAAGCAAATTGCAGTACACCCATGCCATGGAATAAAAATAATAAACTACTGATAAATCCAACAGCTTAAATGACACTCAAAAGAATTAAGCTGAGGGGGAAAAAATTCCCCCAAAATTATGTACTATATGATTCCATATATATATATATATATATATATATATATATATATATATATATATATATATATTCCATGTGTACATATATATATATATATATAATATTACTGAAATGGCAAAAATGTAACATTGGAAAACAGATTAGATGGAGTGGAGGGAGGTAGGAAGTGGGTATGTCTATAAAATGGCAACATGAGGGGTTCTCATGGTGAGAGAAATGTTCTGTGTCTTGGCTATTTCAATGTCAATGTCAATGGTTGTGATATCATACTACAATTTTGTAAGATGTTACCACTGGAGGAAAATGGGTTAAGTGTACATGAGATCTCTCTATTATTTCTTACAACCACACATGAATGTATATTTATCTCAAAATAAAAAGTTTAATTCAAAAAAAAACCTCAAACTGAATGGGGGAATAAGGATGTGTTTGCTATCTTGAGTGTAATGATTTAACATGTACATATTCATGTATATCAAAACTCCTCAAATTGTACACTTTAAATGCATGCATTTTTTGCATGTCAATTACTCCTCAATAAAATAAGGGGTGGGGTGCTGGGAGGGAATACAGTATGTCTCTTCCTCTTCCCTTCCTAATTCAATCTTATAATCATTAGTTAAGTCAAGCAAAATAGGTATCCAAACCTAAAGAGGAGGAAGGGAGCAGTTAGGAGCTGTTACAGTGTCCCAGAGCAGAGTGTAAGAGCTGAAGCAGGGTGAATAGGCATTTATCATAGAAAGGTTGCCTGGTTCCAGGTTTTGGATATCCAGTGAGTTGAGGAGGGTGCCTACATAACACAGCTGCTGGGCACATAGAGGTCTAAGCCCAAGTGGGTGGAAGAGGACAGCCATACCTGAAGGGCCATGGTGGTGATGAGAGATTGCTTACAGACAGGAGGACTGACTAAATAAGCAAATATGTTTAGGCTAATGGGAACCAGATTTCTCATTGTTGGAGAAAGAAGTCACCAATGTGGAAAGGAAGAAAACTAGAATAAACCCTGTAGTGTTAAATTACAACTAGAGGTACTGATGTAAACTCATGATTTTCAAGATACATAGATATGTAGAGAAATAGGTTGAGATTTAAATGTGTGAACATGTATGTATACTAGCTCTGTCCATCGAGAGGGCCTAAAACCAACACCACCTAAGATTAATAATAATGAACACAAGTAGCACTCCGACCTTGACTTCTAAATACCATTCTCCAATAAAGGAACAAGGGGTACTAAGAGAAATGGCTGGACCCAGGACTGATGCAGCAAAAGTATACGATGAGCCTGAAACATCTTTTTGTATCAGAAAGTAAGAAATAACAGAGATATATCCAAAGAACACAGAAGTCAAATTGAAGTAACTAGCTAAATCTATGACAATTTGGGCATCAAAATAAATATTGATAGTAACAGACTGAATTGGATTCAGTAAGAAAACAAGAATCTACATTGATATAAAGTAAGTCAATAGATAGAAAATTTTATGTGGAATTGCATATCTGTTTTTGTTTTGGAATGGGACATTTAACCTCAACGAGAATATTTTAATTTTGACTCAGATTGTGAACATGTATTACTAATATAATTAAAAATGTACTTCAAAGTACAGCTGATGATCTGAAGGTTCTTAAAGTCTATTGGGGGGAAGCATAGTGAACAGTGAGAATTCTAGGATTTCTTTGCCCAGCATATATTTCCACTTCATCCACATATTAGTAGACTAGCTATGGAGAAAATGAAGAGAGAAGCATAGAATAGCTGTTCTGTTTCTAGCTTGGGTGTCCTGGTGCTACTAATTAATAATGGGGATATCAGAGGAAAAGCAGCTTGGTGACAGAAGACGATAGTTCAGTTCGTAAGATTTTACCTTGAGGATGTTTAGCAATCAGTTGGTTTCACTGGCTTAAAATTCAAAGAATTAAGTTAGTGCTAAAATAGTTAACTACACGAGGGGATAACTTATCTAAGGAAACTGAAAAAAAAAGAAAAGTAGTAGACCAAGGGCAGTAAGAAAATAAACACTTAGAAAAAAGCTTTCTGCAGTTTGTAATAGGACAGTTTATAAGCAAGTACAATTACGAACAAACACAGTAAGCAAAATATTTTTTAAAATGTTTTAATTAGCAACTGCTCAAATGTCAACAAAAAGTAAAATTAACAGATATTTCTCATAAGAAGACATACAAGCTGCCAAACATGAAAAAATGCTCAGCATTACTAATCATCAGAGAAATGCAAATTAAAGCCACAGTGAGATACCATCTCACACCCGTCAGAATGGCTACTAAGAAGTCAAAAAACAACAGGTGCTGGTGAGGCCACAGAAAAAAGTGAATGCTTATACACTGCTGTGAGGAATGTAAATTACTTCAGCCACTGTGGAAAGCAATTTGGGGATTTCTCAAAGAACTTAAAACAGACCCACCATTCTGTCCCACATTCTCACTCTGGGTATATATCCAAAATTATTCACTCTCCCAAAAACACGCATGCACTCATATGTTCGTTGCAGCACTATTCACAATAGCAAACACATGGAATCAACCGAGGTGTCTATCAATGGTGAAGTGGATAAAGACATTGTGGTACATGTACAGCGTGGAATACTATGCATCCATAAAAAAACGAGGAAATCATGTCCTCTGCAGCAGCATGGGTGCAGCTGGAAGCCATTACACTTTGCAAATTAAAGCAGGAACAGAAAGTCAAATACCGCATGTTCTCACTTATAGTGGGAATTAAACACTGGGTACTCATGGACATAAAGATGGCAACAATAGACACTAGGGACTACTAGAGGGGGGCAGGAAGGGGAAAGCGTTGAAAAAGTAACAATTGAGTATTATGCTCAGTACCTGGGTGACAGGATCATTTGTATCCAACACCTCAGCATCATGCAATATACCCAGGTAATGAACCTGCATATGTACCCCCTGAATCTAAAATAAAAGTTGAAATTATATTTTAAAAAACTAGAAACTACTCAAACATCGATACAAAGTAAAATTAATATTCTACCATTTAATATATTATAAAAAGATTATGAAAGTTTATAATCACATAAAATGTACATGATGTGTTTTTCTTTTTAAGTACTTATTTAAGCAATGTAAAAAAATTTTTCATAGCAAAATCTGGAAATAAACATCAAAATGCTAAGAATAATTGTTTTAAGGATGGAAATCTACAGGGTTCTGCCTTCTACTTTTCCGTATCTTTCAAATTTGCTATACAGATGCTCCTTGACTTACAAGGGGGTCGCATCTGATTAAACCCATCATGAGTTGAAAATACCATAAGTAGAACCATCAAGTCAGGGACTGTCCGTATACTACTTTCCTTTCTTTTTTTTTTTTTTTTTTTTTTTTGAGAGGGAGTCTTGCTCTGTCACCCAGGCTGGAGTGCAGTGGCTTGATTTTGGCTCACTGCAAGCTCCGCCTCCCTGGTTCACACCATTCTCCTGCCTCAACCTCCCAAGTAGCTGGGACTACAGGCGCCTGCCACCATGCCCGGCTAATTTTTTTTGCATTTTTAGTAGAGACGGGGTTTCACCATGTTAGCCAGGATGGGCTCGATCTCCTGACCTCGTGATCTGCCCGTCTCGGCCTCCCAAAGTGCTGGGATTACAAAGGCATGAGCCACCGCGCCCGGCCTGTACTACTTTCTAAAAAGGGAAACAGTCACAAAAAGGACGCCCTCTCACCTGTTATGAGGGCAAACATAGTGATATTCCTGTCTTACAAGGAACACGGACACGTAGTAGGCTCTCAATAAATGCATGAATATATCAATATTTGTGTAATTAAAGACAGTTACCTGAGATTTTCTGTCCTGCAAAAGCCTGCAGTCCTCTCTGCTGGAGAGCCTCCTGTCTTGCTGTTCTGTATCTTGAAAGGCGTGACAAATGGCTGTGCTTCCACTCTCAGGAGTACACCTAATCTCTGTCCACTGGCACTGCGCCTTGGTAGACCTTTACCTGGGGTTCCCAGCCACGGTTCCTACCAGACACACTTCTGGCTCCCTCAGAGAAGGGGAAAAAGCACTTGTTGACGCCTCTGAAAAACAGCGTGTAGAGACAGCATCCTTCTTCCGGTTACTGATCCTACAGAGAGGGATGATGATCTCTTAATTTTGTGTGTGGACCAGCATTTTGACATCTTACACTGTCCTCCTGTCCAGCGCAGGCATTTATTTCCAAGGCACTGGCCTCTCTGGTGTCTGAAAAATCCCATGTTGTAACTGCATCAGGGCCCTTAGCCCATTCCTTAACTTCGGCCCTTAACTGAACAAAGTTCTTTACTTGTTCATTGCAGTACTCAGGGCCAACCCTACTAGCAGATATCAGTATCTCCTCAAAAATTACGTGAAATATGAGATTCAAAGCCAGGCAGCCAATGCAAAGCGAAGCCTTAATAGCGGTCAACATTGTTACTCTAATTATTATACCATCATCTCCCTCGAGTTCCATCGAGTATCCTTGGCAGGTGCAGCCCCGCGCCCAGGGCTCTGAGCGGTTTCCGAGGCCTCACGCGCTGGCGGGGCTGTTGAGATCGGTTGGGGGCTCCCAGGCCGCGAGGCGCGCTGCCAGTTGGGATGAAAATGGCGGATGAGGCCGGGCGCGGTGGCTCACGCCTGTGGTCCCAGCACTTTGGGAGGCCGAGGCGGGCGGATCACAAGGTCAGGAAATCGAGACCATCCTGGCGAACACTGTGAAACCCCGTCTCTTCTAAAAATACAAAAAAAAATTAGCCAGGCGTGGTGGCGGGCGCTTGTAGTCCCAGCTACTCAGGATGCTGAGGCAGGAGAATGGCGTGAACCCGGGAGGCGCAGCTTGCAGCGAGCCAAGATGGCGCCGCTGCACTCCAGCCTGGGCAGCAGAGCGAGACTCCATCTCAAAAAAAAAAAAAAAAAAAAAGAAAAGAAAAGAAACTGGCGGACAAAGGAAGAGATCCTCCTTCAGGCAGGGTAGGGAAGAAGGGCACTCGGTGACCAGAGACCTTTTCCAGGACCATGTCTTTGAAGCAAATCTCAGCTCTTGTCTTCCGGAAGCGATGGAGACAGAATCCAGAAGCCTGAGGTGAGATTTGTGGCCAACGCTGCCGCCTTTAGGAAGCCCAGCAGCGCTTCCTCGCAGGCCGGGTCTCTGGATGAAGCCTTGCCCCTGGCCGTGGCTCCACCCCCAGGCAAGGTTGGGCCCCAAAGGACGCTATACAAATTTGCTGTACAGATGCTGTAGTATGCCTCCTGTCTGAAATCTTTCCTATTGCTCTTTCATTCCTCCAGAAGTTTCTGAGCTATCTAATTACCAAGTGCAGGGCACAGAGCCGTGATGAGGGAGACATGATCTCAGTCTGGAAGACAGACTATTAAGCCAAATATTCCAAAACACTGTGGAGGGTGTTGTGAATTGGAAACCAAGGACGGATCACAGCTTGGGAGGATCAAGGCAGGTATCTGAGGGAAACCTCTTTAAGTATAATGGAAGGAAAGAGCAAAGTTATTTGATGGGAGTTCAAGGTGTTTGGGATATTTTTAAGTTTTATGATGAAAGGTTCCCATCTGTTGTCTTCTCATTCCTTTGTAATATATGTGGTCCAGCACATATGTTCAATGGGTGAGTGGGGTGGAGAAAATTAGGAAAGTGAAATTGTAATTTTGAGTAGAAAAGCAAAGAAATTTACTAAGAAAATAATAAGATAAACTCCACAAGACAGAGAGCTTTGCTTCCTCACTGGTGTGTCCCAAGTGCTTAGAAGACTGCCTAGCACAAAGTACTCACTGGAGGAATGAATGGATTATTTTCAGGCAGTGTTAGAAACTGGCCATTAGTTGTAGATAATAAATTAATGGTGGCACCAAACACTTAATTGTGTGATTTTATCCAAAAAGAATCAGCTTGTTTTTAGAAGACAGGTCTAGTAAAGGTAGCAAGTTGGATTTTCCCAGGCAGGAAAGATGAAAAGACACTGGGATAGGTTGTTTGGAGTAGACCATAAAGTCCAGATCTTAACCAGGTTTGTGGTTAAGTGTGGATCATGAAGTTTTTCTTGGAGAGGAAGGAAATTAAAAGGGTATTGGATTGACAAGGAGAAAGTTTAAAGTGGCTTGCAATTCCTGAATTGGTTGAAGAATTGGCATACTGAGGGCATAAGTGAGAAGGACAAAGGGTGGAATGTCAGACTGTATTTTTTCAAAAAGCAGAGATGTTCCTGGTAGTTCTAGGGTATGGCAGTAACTGAACTGGAATGAAGGTAAAGGGCTTTAAGATGACATCTATTCACCTGGATGTTGAGGCCTTCAACTGATTTCCTTCACATTGAGGGTTCCTTACCCTGAACCCCAATCCCAACTTTTTCCCCTCCCAAGGCTATCCACAGAATTACCATTCTTCCTGAACGTCTAAGCTTTGGTCAATGACATCACTCTGAACAAGAAGGAAGAAATGGAGCAGTAAGAGAGAGGGCTTTAGTAAATCCATCTTACTTTTGTCACCCAGAATTTACTCACCTTCTGGAAATATTTCCTCTATTGCCTTATGGGAAACTAAACCCAATTTCGATTTCAGTCTACGTGCAGGTGGAGTTGCCTTTCCCAACACTCCTATTTTGAGGATGGTATGTAACTCAGACTTGGCCAAAAAGATCATTCCACGTTTTTGGCAACAGTGATTGGTTAGGAATGGGCATGTGACCCGATTGGAGCCAGCAGGGTACTAATGGAACTTTTGAAGTAACTAGTGGGAGAGGCAACCTATTTTTATCTGCACTTGAAGCCTGGAGAATATAGCTATGAACTTGCCAGACACAAAGTCTTAATGAAGCCAACTCATAACACAGAGCAAAGACATGGATAGAAATGGAAGCTGAGGAAATTAATCGAGTTCCTATATGAACCCTCCTGCCTAGGGCCAGTCTTACTTCCAGACTTTTTGCCCCTAATTTCTTCTCTAAGTTTGAATACTGGCAGTGGTATTTCAGGTGGTTCTAAGGGATCTTTTCACTTTACCACACAATTTCTACCTTCATACCAACTTTCTCTTTTTCTTTGGATGCTACAACTTCTTTGATATTTGCGGGTTGTTTGTGTGTGTGTATGTGTGTTTTTTTTTAACTAGCCACCACTCCACACAGCTGTTAAACAACTTCCACCTTGATCATCTGGATATGGATCAGGATGATGACCTATTTGGCACCTTTGGCCACTTTGGCTTCAGTGAACTCAATGGGATGGCCAAAAAGAAACCCTTGTGTTAGGAAGTCTTCTAAGAAGTCTCCAGTGACTCTACCTCATGGTATTGACACACGTGTAATTATCCCTCCCCTTAAATGTGGGCTGGACATTCTGATTTGCTTCTAACCAGTAGAAAAAAGATACAGATGACGGGATATCATTTTCAATTTTAGTTTACAAAAGGTGTAACTTCTGTTTTGTTAGCAGACTCTCTCCTTTCCTGGCTTTGATGAAGCAAGCTGCCACACTGGAGAGGCCTACATGATAAGGACCTGAAGGTGGCCTCCAGCTAGCTCCAGCCAACAGTTGGCAAGGAATTGAGGACCTGAGTCCAATAGACCTTGAGGAACTGAATCCTGCAACAGCTACACAAGTGAGCATGGCAGTGTATCCTTCCCCAGTAAAGCCTTCAGATGAGACCCCAGCCCCAGCTGACACCTTGATTGAAGCCTTGTGAGAGACCCTGAAGCAGAGAAACCAGCTAGGCCTTGCCTGGATTCCTGATCCACAAACTGTAAGATAATAAATATATATTTTTAGGCCACTAAATTTTGAGGTATCTATTACACAGCAATACATATCTAACATACTTGTAAATCATCATAACCTTGGTGTAAGATGTAGTAGCATGGCTGGAAGGCAGGGACCAAGATCACCTTCTCCAAATAGGATGATATTGTGTCTGACAACATCCCTGCAAATATTGTCTTTATGCTCAAAGATCATCCCTCATACTCTTATACTGAAGTGGCATCACTGTGCTCTAAATATCGCTTATTAGACTCTAGGAAGTGAGGCCTAGGTAAAGGAGTGTTGGGTGCAGTGGATGCCAGGATGGAGTTATGAGCAGGGATGATGAGGTTATACTTTTCCCTCTTCTCTTTTTTTCCTTGCCCACTCACTCTCCCATTACATTTTTCTTGGTCTCTGTCTCCTTTTTTCCCAAGTTCTGAGTAACTGCCTGGTGACCATTCCTACAAGTCATTGCCAGGCAATCTCTTGGTCTTGTAAGAGTGCTATCAAGCCATGCATCTTGAAGAGATTCCCTAGAGAAGGGAGTCTTCTCTTTCCTCAAGATAACCTCATAAGCAAAGAGACCTTATGGTCAACTTCAAAATGTTCTTTTTAGACACAGTAACATGCCACATATAACAGATTTTTCAGCAGGACCCACACTGCCTGGACCATACCTCAGCCAAATAAGTGTCCACAATAGCAAAATCCACCCATTCATGCCTCATACAATGACCACTCACCTGTCTGATGCTCTGGAGTCAGTAGCTTTTTAAAAATGAAAGTAAACCACTATTTTCAGAAAATTATTTTTATTCCTGGCCTCTTTCAGAGATGCATTTTCTATCCCCACTACTGCTCCAAAAAGGGTACAGAAAGGGAAAAGATGTACTACTACCCATTTTCCATTTTCATTAGGGTAAGGTAGGAGGTGGGGAACATGGCACATTGCCCCAAACTTCATGAGGGAGAGAAGGGCTGCCTCTTGGGAGGAATATTTATTCCTCACCAAGAGATCCAAGAAAAAGATTTCTCCATGTCACTGATTTTAGGGTCTAAAACCCCCCACATTTCCAACTCTAAAACTTCCTAAAGGCCGGGCACAGTGGCTCATGCCTGTAATCCCAGCATTTTGGGAGGCTGAGGTGGGCGGATCACCTGAGGTCAGGAGTTCGAGACCAGCCTGACCAACATGGAGAAACCCTGTTTCTACTAAAAATATGCAATTAGCCAGGTGTGGTGGCACATGCCTGTATTCCCAGCTACTCGGGAGGCTGAGGCAGGAGAATCGCTTGAACCCAGGAGGCAGAGGTTGCAGTGAGCCGAGATCATGCCATTGCACTCCAGCCTGGGCAACAAGAGCAAAACTCGAAAAAGGAAGGGAAGGGAAGGGTAGGGTAGGGTAGGGTACGGTAGGGTAGGGGGAACTTCCTGAAAGGTTTTAGAGTAAACTTTTTGTACTTTTATGAAATAATAGTGTTTTAATTACAGGACATCTGAAAAGTGTCAAAAGATCCTAGGATAAGACTGAGGAGGCCATTATCAGGCTCCCTACAAGGGACTGGTCATCTTTTAGAAGCCAAAAGAGAAAAATAGTAAGACCTAAACTAATTCCTTCCTTTCCCTGAGCACAAGCTCTGGAATACCCAAAATCCACACCTCCAGAGCAGTACATGGAGAACACCACTCTATATTAAAAGAAACATTTATTGGGGAGGGTCAATATTCTTGGTTATGCTAAAAAGAGATTGCTCTCATCAGAGGATATACTATCATGAAAACTGAGAGGCTCTACAAGAACTGGATTATTCTTTGTGGAAAATTTTTCCTTCCTGTAAGTGCTGGAGAAGCATTTTCTGTTTGCAAAGAAGGGCCAAATCTCTGAACACAGTGCCTTAAGCTGGTTTAATGTCAGCCAGGGGCACCTGGCATACTTGCATGCAGATGGGGCTTGGATGGGACACAGGCTCACTAGAGGGCAGCAGGGGGGGGGGATTACTCTGGCATAATAGCTGCTCTTTAAATGTCACAACTTTCTGAGGATGACTAATCCTAGTCCTGATCCATCTAACACTTGAAAGATAACTTGGGCCATCAGAGACAGCTTCTTGGTTATAAGGGTTGGTACTTGACTCTTCCCCTTGCCACTGTTCAGAGGGAAGCCCATAGTTGGAGGGTTGTCTGTTGTCAGGCTCTGCCTGAGTCTGTGGCTCTTCTTTGGCTGACTTAATTCCAAGTCCTCAGGTTCCTGCCTACATGCCAGTTTCTCCTCTAGTATCTTCCCAATGGCTGTCATGAGCTCAAGAGCTTCACGAGTCCTCATAAAGACAGGTCTACCTTCAACTAGGTCTTGGTGCTGTAGAAAGGCTGGCATTAACTTGTCTTTTTGCATGGGACTTTCTTGCCCATTGCTTTTTCTCTTGAAATCAATCCACTGAAGAAAATGCCTCATCTTTTTTCCAAAGTAACTTTCAAGACAAAATGGTTCTTTCTGTGACAGAGACATTGAAGTCTCCTCTAATTTCCTGTCCTTGCCAAGATGGCTCTTCCTTGTGGCTTTGGATGTTCCTAATCCCAAGTCCTCGCTCCCACATTCTCTTGCTTTGGGTCCCAAAAGGCTCTTGCTTTGGGTCCCCTCTTGGCTAATGGGAAATTCTTATCCTGGCACTCCCATAAGACGTACTTAGAGACTTGGGGCTCTTGCAACTGCTTCATGCTGATCCGTCATCATCCGGGTGTATATGCTGTACCTGGGAAGCTGCCCTATCCTCACTGGAGACATTCAGGGAGTGAGCCAGTGAGGAATCAGAAATCAAGCTATCTGAAGTAAAGAACATGTCGCGGGGACAGCCTTGAGCCTGACTATGTTCCCCACTCTCCAATTTAAACTTTAACTCACCAGCTGTCCTTTAAAGTCTGATGATTTAGGATCTTCAGCAATCAATATTCTTGGTGGGGAGTATTTGGTGGTCAGAGTAGTTTCTTCTTTACTTGTATTCGTGTTCATCACTGAGGAGCTTCCCAACTCACTGGTTGTCAAGATATGATTAGATTGTGATTGAAAAGCACAGAGCTCCTCTATCTCCCTGGACACGTTGGACATAGAAAAATGTTCTGAAGTCTCTGCTACCATTTTGTTTGCCCTGAAGCCTTTCTACACTATTGCTGGGACTCACTTTCTCATTCCTTGATTCATCTCTACCCCCGTCTTGCCTTGTGGACAGCTCTGAGCTGTGTCTGTTGGCTAGTACAGTCTCATTCTGATTCTCTTTGTCTATGATGCTGTGTGTAGAGGGCAGAAAAGTCTATCTGCCATTCTCAATTGTCTGGGCATTCTCTGTAAGTTTATGGCGAGTAGCAGAGGGTGATTGTCTCAAGGCTCCCTGTCCTGTGTTTACAGATGAAGTGGCAGGTAGAGGACAATCCAAGCTGGGAACTGGATTTGTCATTTCTAACTTGTCTCCCTGAAAAGCATTAGAGCATCCCTCGAGAGACCTTGAAACCATACCTTTAGAAACCATCCTAGAAATATAGGTGGCAGACAAAGGAAAGTTAAGCTGGGGAAGAGGCCATGTTTTGGCTTTTCTCAACATATAGAATTTTATGGATTCAAGAACCTTGAAGGGTAGAGCCCCCCTCTGATTTACCCTAACCC
This sequence comes from Homo sapiens, assembly GCF_000001405.40. NCBI lineage: Eukaryota > Metazoa > Chordata > Mammalia > Primates > Hominidae > Homo > Homo sapiens. The sequence continues at coordinate 81,970,286 of NC_000009.12, read as the reverse complement.
TCATCATATGAGCCTCCAACACCTGATGGGTTTTGGAATCAAGAAAGGAAAGCTCCAGAGTGGTAATCTTGCAGTACACCCTGCCCACCAGTGGTGCCACATTTCTGTTTTCCTTATTGGTATGGGAACTCCCACAAGGAGGCAAGGTATTGTTAGCCAGCCATGAATGACATACTCTGATAGGAATCCTATCCAAAGTGACCTGCCAAAACTTCCTGCTCAAATGTAATCTAAGAATGGTTTTCACTTGATTCTGGTCTATGTTCCTCCTTGATAAACTTAGTAATTCATTCCTTGAGTTATCTACCCAGTTACTTTTTCTGTCAGAGACAGCCCTCAAACCCTTCACCAGGTAGTTTTCTGAGACCATTGGTGGGTTGTGTAATGAACACTTCGCTAAGATATACCCAAGATTCTTTGCCATGTCATTTCATAGCTGAAACTTTGTTGGGACCTCTCATGGAAACTTCCTGGGAGATTCAATTCTGTCTTCCCTAGATTTTTGCTACTGTGACCCTGAAGTTCAAGGGGTTGTGAGTGAGTATGTCTGCAATTCTGCTAAGATATTTCTGTTGATTTGCACCAAGTCTTCATCAGTGCTAGATATCCTAGATTCCTGCAGGTATGGAGGCACCAGTGTAAGACTGGCCTCTTTGGAACATGGAGCTCCAATTTCTCTTGGGGATCATTTCTGATATGAAAATAACCAGGAAAGGTGGAGACTGGAACATAGGCCTGGAAGGACTGGCTGACCAATGGAAGGTTGGGAGCTGGAGGATGAAGGGCTTCTTAAGATTTTTGGAGCAAAGGGACTAAACCCTTCAAACCTTCCTGTTGTTTCTGCAACACATGGCATTCCAGATGTTGATTTGAGGTGTAAGAGTCAGCCTCATTCTGGAGTATATGGGAAGATATTCCACAGTCCTTAACCTGGGATGGAGAAGGTGATGGTAGGGTAGGGAGTGAGGAGTGAAGGTGAGCCTGGGAATGGACCTGAGTGATAGGTAGGATCTGGGGTTGGTGGTTGGTTTGAGGAAAGGATTGGGGATGTATAGGGGTGAGGGGATAATGGTGGAACTGAGGAAGTGGTAGAGATTCTTGATCATGCATTTGGACTGTATTGAATACAATAAAGCAACACACTAGTGGGGAGCTGCTCCTAGACACCAGGAGAGTAGCCACTGAGGACTCACTATGCAGAGAGGGAAGACCCTAGAAGAGCTAGCTATATTTCTGTTGCAAATTTCCCCCCAAAGTTTTGACATACAGGAGCTGCTGACAAACCTGCAGCTGCTCTGCTGTGCCTTTGGTGTTCCAGCTGCTTTGGGGGGCTGTGGTGTCCTGCTCATCAACAAGTGACTGCAATAGAATTCCTGAAGATGTCAGTTGGTATTCTGGCCACATTTATTTTGAAAATAATCCCTTCTCCTTTTCTTTCTTCTCCAAAATCTGGAAAGCCATTCTTTTTTTTATTTGTTTTTCCAAGAGTGCCTGTATCTTAAGGCCAAAAACGAATATCTACTGGCCTCCAAGTGCTTGGTATCAGAGTCTCCCCAGAGACAGGTCTCTGGTGAAGGAAGGGAAACATGCTCCCGCTGAAAATAAGGATATGGTAATCTGGGGAGGAACATGTTCCTGACGTAAGGCTGCCACCATGAGAATTCTGAGTTGGAATGGTCCATGCCTCTGATTGTCGGAACATAAGTGGACAACCAAATAGGACTTTCCATAGAGGATATCTCTGAAACAGGTTTCAATAAGATGGAACTTGATTTAGACTGAGTCACAGTTCAGTCTTGTGGCGGTGAAGCAGACAGGGTTAGTGGTGTATGATCACAATCACGTAAATCAGTGGGATTCATTGCCTGGGAAACATCTGATAAGGGGTTGATATCTTGGGAAAGGGTGGGGTCAAGGGTGGGGTTCAGAGACAGAGAGGCCTTGGGTTGGAAATCAGTATCTGCCTTCTGAGTGTGTTGTGGTGGGAGAGGGGGAAAAGCAAGCTGTTGGTATGGGAAATGGTCCACAGAGAATTTGGAATCCAAGGGAGGAACAGGCTGTGGTGGCAGACGGTCACTCAGCGGTGAGGGTGAAAATGAGTCAGCTAAGGGGATATTCAGGTCAGGTGAGAGAATGGAGCACGGCAGTGGAGAAGGCTCAGGCAGAGGAGCCAGTATTAGATCTTCTGGAAGGGTTGCTGGAAGGGCAGAGATCAAAGTGAATGATGACTTGGTCACAAAAGCTGTGGAAGCCAAAGGGGACGCAGAGGGAGCAGCATCTTCTGGGGACTCCTGGAACAGCAGTCACTTGACCTCAGCACTTGCTCTATTACTCACCTCACAGAGGGGGTCTGGACATAATAGTTGCCGAAAATGGATGGTATTGTAATGCTGGCCCAGAGGACTACAGGAGACGAGGTACAAAGCTGCAGCCAAACATATGTGACCTTGACAGGTCTTGCAAAGCTAAGGCCTCACAATGCGTGCTGTCTTTTCATATGACCCCCTCCGCTTTCCTTATCTCACAGTATATCTTTTACCCCTTTCCCTATGGCTCTTACATTCTGACACTGGATTTTTCCTCCCATTTCAACCCCAGGCTTTTGTGATGCCCTATAATTACATGAACTCTACTAAAAAGAGGGATACTGGAAAGAAGAATAATGTTGAGACACCTTTGCAGAAGAAAAAACAACTTCCTCTCTTCCTCTACTTCACTCTGGCAAGTTCTCCAACCTGACAAGCCAGTAGGGTGAGTAACAGGATAGTGATGAAGTTAGAAGCAAAGAGATCTTATAGGAGCCTGAGTAGAATGCCCCTTAGGGGTGCCCTTAGTTGATTGGTCTTGAAGAACCTCAAGGATCTGTAGAAAAGCTCAAATTGTCATTGATAATATTAACATGGTTCACATATGTAAGTGGCTTCATTTATAAAGTCCTTTTACATACAGTATTCCATGTGATGCTCAAAACCATCACATGGGGCCAGGTGTGGTGGCTTATGCCTGTAATCCCAGCACTTTGGGAGGCCAGGGCGGGAGGATCACAAGGTCAGGAGATTGAGACCATCCTGGCTAACATGGTGAAACCCCATTTCTACTAAAAATACAAAAAATTAGCCAGGCATGGTGGCCAGCGCCTGTAGTCCCAGGTACTCAAAAGTTGAGGCAAGAGAATGGCGTGAACCCGGGAGGTGGAGCTTGCAGTGAGTGGAGATCGCACCACTGCACTCCAGCCTGGGCAGCAGAGCAAGACTCTGTCTCAAATAAAATAAAATAAAATAAAAATAATAAAAATAAATCACATGAAGTACGGATGTCAGTGGTTATCTCAAAGAGGAGGAAGTCAAAGTACTTATACAAAGTGGAGAGGCAGAAGTTGTGACTCCAAACCAACCAACCAGTAGTCCTTCCACAATAGATCTCACATGGCCACCTATTGGGCAGCACCTATTGTCCAGGTTCATCACTCTTTCATGTGCATGGATGGGCAGAGCAGGGACTCCCAGAGGTGTCTCAGGTCTGATTGCTTTCCCGTGAGCCTCTCCTGTGAGGACTGTTTTCTAAGAGAGACTGTATCTAGTAACTGACATCCTCAGAAATTGGGAACCTGAGACCTCATGGAAGAGACAGGAAGGGTCATCCTTGGCGAGCTGAAGTTGAATGGGCAGAACCTTACCTTTAAATGTCCCATTTTTCTTTCTCCTCTTGGCTCTGCCTTGATGCTAAGAACAAAAAGAAAATAATGCGAGGCCAGAAATCACTTCTCTCACTCGTCTAGGAAGCTCAGACCTTCATTATACGAGAATAATATGACTCTCTATCTTAATTAATAAAAATGTGTTTCTTCCGGCCGGGCGCGATGGCTCACCCCTGTAATCCCAGCACTTTGGGAGGCCGAGACGGGCGGATCACGAAGTCAGGAGATCAATACCATCCTGGATAACATGGTGAAACCCTGTCTCTACTAAAAATACAAAAAATTAGCCAGGCGTGGTGGCGGGCGCCTGTAGTCCCAGCTACTCAGGAGGCTGAGGCAGGAGAATGGCGTGAACCCAGGAGGTGGAGCTTGCAGTGAGCCGAGATGGCGCCTCTGAACTCCAGCCTGGGCGACAGAGCAAGACTCCGTCTCAAAAAAAAAAAAGAAAAGAAAAGAAATGTGTTTCTTCCAGGTGTGATGGCGGAAGCCTGTAATCCCAGTTACTCAGGAATCTGAGGCATGAGAATTTTTTGAACCCGGGAGGCGGAGACTGCAGTGAGCCAAGTCATGCCACTGCACTCTAGCCTAGGCAATAGAGCGAGACTCAGTATCAAAAAAAAAAACAAAAAAACAAACAAAAAAAACGCTTCTTTTTTCAAGTTTTAAAGGTGATAAAATATTTCCAATTTTTCCCTTTGAAAAATTCAAAGGACAGTTTTGTCTGTGAGAGCTGCACTTGATGTTCTCAGTTAGCAGTCCTCAGTTCAAGGAAGGCACAGATTCAGAGGCCAACAGTCACATCTTGCTCCCTCACAGAACCTGTGTCCTGGAAACAGCACTCCAGCTCCAGCTTCTGCTCAGGGGCCCTCAGCATTGCCCTCCTCGTCAGCCCAACATGAAGGAAGGTTTGGTCGAGTGACACGTGACATGGAAATATTACTCATGATCAAGTGTCAGGAGAAACTGTTCTTTTGAGAGCCCAGTCTCTAAATAATTTAATCCAGGACCACAGAATTACTGTGTTTGGGATTTTATCCTGGAATTCTCCATTACAGCCAGATAGGTAGTCTGTGAGCTTCAGATGGAAACCTTAGTCCTCCTGAACCCCTGCCCTGTCTGACATCTTCCCTTAGAAGAGTGATGTTCTAGCCTCTCCTCAGACTTCCCATGTCAAGTGTCTCTCTAAGCCAACCAAACTCATTTATAAATTTGGGAAGAAGAACAGGAAAATAAGGAATCATTTTCTGAGGGGATACTTCTGGTTCCAGCTCTGACATTCAAAAAACTTACCACTCCCATCTTTGGAAGCAAAAAGCTGAACAAACTGAAAATAACTATTCTTGGAGCCACTGGGGAATTGAGGTTGTAGGGCAAACCCTCCTAAAATCCTCAGAAAGATGAATAAAGAGAATCATAATTGAGATCAGCTTACCTGGAGCAGAAGCCACTGAAGCCATAAACTGGTAGGAACATTTAAATGGACACTTTGACAAATTGCTGGAGGATGTTTGTGAACTAGTATGAGAGTGAGAAAATTCCTGGGGTCACAGTCTTAGGGACTCCCCTGCATTTTCATGGGTTTTACCCCTGGGAAACCCATCAGGTTCTCACAATGAATAGCAATGAGAAAACTCTCATGCTTCTGGCAGGGACAAGGGAAAGTTTACCATTTTCAAATATACTGAGTGTTCTTCATAATAGAGGCCTACTCATTAGGGAAAAAGGCTACCAGAGCATGATCCCACATGAGGAAAGGGAAGTTACCCAACTCCAGCCCTCTCTAGCCTTCGTGTCTCACCTAAGAGGTGGGGGAGAAAAGGCTTGGAAACACTTGTGAACATCACAACCCAGGGACACAGGACTAAAAGACTGACGTTTAATTGCATCACCTCCTACATACCTTACACCACATTAACAGAGCTCCAGTATAGTAACAGGGGATGACGGCACAAAGAGCTACAAGGTGTAGACTCTGTTTAAGAAGGTAATCTTAGGGAAAGCTAATGATACCAGAGGAGACAAAAACAAGGAAACTGGAGAAAATTCAGGAGGCTCTGTCATATACTACAACAGCAAACACTTAACACAGCTCAAGTACTAGCCACATTAACATAAATCCTAGCACTAATAGCCTGTTTACCTCATTTCCTATTACCCAATACATTGGGTCTGGCTTTCAACTAAAAATCACAAGGCATGCCAAAAGGCAAGGAAAAAATTCTAAATAAACAAAGTAAGCATCAGTTCTGCACTCACATATGGCACCAATTTAGGATTTATCATACGTGGAATAGAAAAAACTATGATTATTAAGCGTTCTAATGGAAGAAGTAGGCAACATGCAAGAACAGATGACGACTGTAAATAAAGAGATGGAAACTCTAAGAATCAAAAAGGAATGTTAGAAATAAAAAAAATCACAATGGACATGAAGAATGCCTTTGATGGGCCATCGGGGTGACAGAGTGAGACTCTGTCTCAAAAAAAATATATATATATACAGCTGGGCATGTCATACTCAAACTGCAGAAAACTCAGTGAAAAAGATCTTGAAAGAATCCAGAGGGGTAAAAAACACCTTACCTATAAAGGAACAAGAATAAAAATTTTGGATTTCTCATGATAAACAATGCAAGGAAGAAGAATAGAGTAAAATATTTAAAGTGTTGCTAGAAGCCTAGAAGCCCACCCCCTTTACCCCACACCCCACCCCCAGAATTCTGTATCCAGCAAAATTATCTTTCAAAGGTGAAGAAGAAGTAAAAACTTTCCCTGGCCAAAACAAACAAGCAAACAAACAAAACAGGAGGAATTAATTACCAGCAAATCTGCCCTACAAGAAATTTAAAGGTAGCTCTTCAGAGAGAAGGAAAATGATCACTCAGATCTATCTATCTATCTATCATCTATCTATCTATCTATCTATCTATCTATCTATCTATTTTTTTAAAAAAAAGATAGGACACCAACAAAGGAATAAATGAAGGTAAAATAAAACTTTCATTGTTCTTATTCTTAATTGCCATAATAAGAACGACACCAAAAACAACATTTTTGTGATTATAGTATCATGGATGAGTAAAATGAATGACAATAATGTTATAAGTGAGAGGAAGAAAGAATTGGAAGCATTTTATTATAAGGTACCTGTGCTACTACACTGTGAAACTGTATAGTGTTATTTGAAAGTGAATTAAGATTGGCTGTAAATGCAATATATTACAAACTAGGGCAACCACTAATTTTTTTTTTTTAAGAAATGTAATTTATGGCTGGGCACAGTGGCTCATACCTGTAATCCCAGCACTTTAGGAGACCAAAGCAGGAGGATCACTTTAACCTAGGAGTTAAAGACCAGCCTAGGCAACATAGTGAGACTCCAACTGTACAAAAAGGTTTTTTAAAAATTAGCTGGGCATGGTGGCACATTCCTGTTATCCCAGCTACTTGGGAGGCTGAGGTGGGAGCATTTTGTGAGCCCAAGAGGTAAAGGCCGCAGTGAGTCATTACCATCCCACTGTACTCCAGTCTGGGCAACAGAGCTAGACCCCATATCAAAAATAATCAAATATAATTTACAACCTAAGAGAAAAGAGAATAATTGAATCATATAAAATGCTTGTTTAAAAAAAATCCTCAAACCAGCCGGGCGCAGTGGCTCAAGCCTGTAATCCCAGCACTTTGGAAGGCCGAGGCAGGCGGATCACGAGGTCAGGAGATCGAGACCATCCTGGCAAACACGGTGAAACCCCGTCTCTACTAAAAATACAAAAAAAATTAGCCGGGCGTGGTGGCAGGTGCCTATAGTCCCAGCTACTCGGGAGGCTGAGGCAGGAGAATGGCATGAACCCGGGGGGCAGAGCTTGCAGTGAACGGAGATCACACCACTGCACTCCAGCCTGGGCAACAGAGCGAGACTCTGTCTCAAAAAAAAAAAAATCCTCAAATCATAAAGGAAGTTGGTAAAAGGAACAAAGGAACTACAAAACAGAAATTGATAAAATGGCCATAGGAAATCCTTACATATCAATAATTATTTTAAATGTGAATCTCCCATCAAAAGACATAGAGTGCCTGGGTTTTAAAAAAAGATATAACTGGCCAGGCTTGGTGGCTCACGCCTGTAATCCGAGCACTTTGAGAGGCCGAGGCAGGTGGATCACCTGAGGTTGGCAGTTCATGACCAGCCCGCCCAACATGGAGAAACCCCGTCTCTACTAAAAATACAAAATTAGCCGGGCATGGTGGCGCATGCCTGTAATCCCAGCTACTTGGGAGGCTGAGGCAGGAGAATAGCTTGAACCCGGGATGTGGAAGTTGTGGTGAGCTGAGATCGCACCACTGCACTCCAGCCTAGGCAACAAGAGTGAAACTCCGTCTCAAAAATAAATAAATTAAAAAGTAAATAATAATAATAATAAAGATATAATTAACTCTTATACTGCCTACAAGAGATTCATTTTAGCTTTAAGAACACACATAGACTGAAAGTAAAGAGATGGAAAAAGATATTTCGTGCAAATGGTAACCAGAAGAGAGCAGGAGTGGCTATACTTATATCAGACAAAATAGATATAATGTATACCAAAAGAAAATGAAATCAGTACCTTGTAGAGATATCTACACTCCCATGTTCATTGCAACATTACTCACAATAGCCAAGATATAAGAACAACCAAACTGTTCATCAGTTAATGAATAAAGGAATTATGAGATATATATATATCAGCCTTTAAAAAAGAAGGAGATCCTGTCATTTGCAAAAACATGGATGAACCTGGTGGGCTTATGCTAAATGAAATAAGTCAAGACACAGAATGAAAAATACTACATGGTCTCACTTGTATTTGGAATCTTTTTTTATAAAAAGTTGAATATATAGAAACAGAGTAGAACAGTGGTTACCAGGGTGGGGGCAGTGGGAGTGAAGGAAGCAGGGAAGAAGTAGGTACAAAATTGTAGTTATGTAGGATAAAAAAGTCTAGAGACTTGATAATGTACAACATGATTTTAGGTAATAATACTGTATTGTATGCTGGAAGCTTGCTAAAAGAGTAGGTTTTAGATGCTCTTGCCACAAAAAAAGTAACTGATGGCTATGTTAATTGGCTTGACTATAGTAATCATTTCACTATGTTTATCAAAACATCATGTTTTACACCTTAAATATGAATAATTAAAAATAAATAGTGTAAAATTCTTGTTTAAAACCATAGAAGGCAAAAAAGTGAGGGAGAAAAAGGAAAGAACTGGTACAATGAATAGTAAGCAGTTGCAGAAATGGTAGATATTAATCCAACTGTATTTTAAAAATTGCTTTAAATGTGAATCGCCTAAATTAACCAATTAAAAGACAAACTGTCAGAGTAGATTAAAAAACAAGACCCAACTATGTGTTGTCCACAAGATACCCATTTATTTATTTATTTATTTGTTTGTTTATTTAGGGACAGTTTTGCTCTTGTCGCCCAGGCTGGAGTGCAATGGCGTGATCGTGACTCACTGCAACCTCCGTCTTCCGGGTTCAAGTGATTCTTCTGCCTCAGCCCCAGTGAGTAGCTGGGATTACAGGCACCTGCTGCCATGCCCAGCTAATTTTTGTATTTTTTTTTTTTTTTTTTTTTTTTTTTTTTGAGACGGAGTCTCGCTCTGTCGCCCAGGCTGGAGTGCAGTGGCGGGATCTCGGCTCACTGCAAGCTCCGCCTCCCGGGTTCACGCCATTCTCCTGCCTCAGCCTCCCAAGTAGCTGGGACTACAGGCGCCCGCCACTACGCCCGGCTAATTTTTTGTATTTTTAGTAGAGACGGGGTTTCACCATGTTGGCCAGGCTGGTCTGGAACTCCTGACCTCAGGTGATCCACCTGCCTCGGCCTCCCAAAGTGCTGGGATTGCACCTCAGGTAAGCCACCATGTCCAGCCCACAAGATAGCCATCTAATATATAAAGGCACAGATAGATTAAAAGCAAAGGGATGGAGATAAACATACCATACTAACAGTAATCGGAAGAAAATAGAGGCAGCTATATTAATTTAAAACAAGTCAGATTTCAGCACAAGGAAAATTGTCAGGGATAAAGAGGGGCATTACATGATAACAAAGGGGTCAATTTTCCAAAAAGCCATAATAATTCCTAATGTGTACACATCTAACAACAAGAGTGTCAAAATATATGAGGCAAAAGTGGTAGAACTACAAGGAGAAATAGATAAATCCACTATTATTGTGGGAGATTTCAAAATGTCTCTATTAGTAATTGACAGATAAAGCAGAAAATCTGTGAAGATATAGTTGATCAGAACACCACTAGTAATCAGCTTGATCTAACTGACATGTATTGAATACTTCATTCAACAGCATTCTGTTCAAGCTTACATGGAACATTAACTAAGGTAGATAACATTCTGGGCCATAAAGCATACCTTAATAACTATAAAAGAAATTATATAATGTCTACTCATATAATGCTACATATGGTCTAACCATAATGTAGCAAAACTAGAAATCAATAACATAAAGATATCCAGAAAATCCCAAAATACATGAAGATTAAACAACACACATGGGCAAAGAAGAAGTATCAAGAGAAATTTTAAAATATTTTAAACTAAATGAAAGTGGAAAAATCAAAATTTGCTGCAAAATCAAAATTGTAGCAAAAATAGTGTTTAGAAGGAAATTTCTAGCATTAAATACACATGTTAGAAAAGAATAAAGACCTAAAATCTCTGTACAGCTCTGGCTCACTTAACTGACAGATGTCTCTCTGTTTCCAAAATATTGGAAAACACAGATTACTCTTTAGGTAGCACAGAGATAGAAGGAGGAGCCCCATCCTACACAGGAAGGCAAGGATAGGAATACCCAGGAAGTCAAGCTGGAGCTCAGCCATGGTGCAGTAAGGCTTCTGAGACAAAGAAGGTAGTCTTCATTATCAGAAGCTGAGTGCTGAGTCCCCATTCCAGATCAGAGTTCCAGGCCTATATCATGGAACTTTAACACAGACACCAGAAGTTCTTGAGGGTGGGGCGGGGACAACAAATGGAAGATGAACCCACAGTTCTTCCCCCTATCATCTAGCCCAACTGATCTGTCCATTCCCCTGGGTCCTTTTAGATCTTCATCTTACCCTCCAACTGCACCCTTTCATGATACTATATGTTTACATTAGTAACATTTTCTATTTATTCCACCTATTACCTTTTACTGCTTCATGATCCGCCTTTGGAGCCCACTATCTTTGAAAGTGACGTGGCCATGGATTTACACCTTCAAGATCTACTCTGTCCTCAACTATAACCTCCCCATGAACACAATGTTTTTTTTTCACCTGTACAAAACCAGGAATATACTCAGCAGCAACCTATCCCCTCCATATTTCTTCAAAAAGATCCATGTTTACCAAAAGCCATCAGAGAACAGAGTAACCTGTACAACAAAGAGGGACACAAAGGCATGGCCCATCTCTGGCAAAAAATTTGGAACTCTTTCAGTAATTTTTTCTCCTCTAATCTCTCTTAGGCTATTCACCCCTAAGGGCTCTCAAATCTAGCTCCCTCTACCTATACAGTGTTCTATCCTATGCACCTTCTTTCTTCTCTTTACCAAACCCCCTCTCTTCTTCCCAGCATTTTAAAATTCTGCCTCAATTTCACAGAGCAACTGTGCTGAACCACAACCCACATAACCAAACTTATCCTGATTTAGGAAGCAGATTTCTCCTTAGTGTAATATAGCCTATAATGAGCACAACTGAAACTTAGCATAGCATTTTGTTTTGAATTATGCCTATGATTACTTCTTTTATGAAAGTTTTTATTATTTTTTTCCATCTACTTCCTAACTTTTCACCCCAATTCCTATGGCTCCTCTATACTTTTTTCAAACAATGTCTATTTTGTTTATAGTATATATGTATTTATCTCCCCATGTTAGCCAGTCATTTAACAGTTACAACCCTTGAAGCTTCTCTACTTAGGTTATGAACTGCTGAAATTAAGCCTTGTGTCATTGCCTTACACTGCTTGCCTAAATTCCCTCACTGAGTCTGATGACTCCATCTTGACCCCAGGCACCCAATCCTTTTCATCTGATGAGGGTTTACCAGTGATGACAGCTTTGCCTGTCTTCTGTATCCACAGCTTCTCCATTTTCTCTACCCAAAAGGAGGTAAACTTTAAGCCTGCCTCCTCACATCTACCCTCCCTTGACTACAGGAGGTCTCTCTGTTGAGAAATATATCTCCATACAGCCTTGCATCCTGATGGTTTTTGTTGTTTTGTATGTTTGGTTTCATTCTGTTTGTTTATAATGTCTGGTCCTAACAGCCTGTATGGTCCCTAGAACTCACAAATGTAAAAATGTCCTTTACAGCCAGAGCAAGATAAGCTCCACCATAAACTTTCTAAGAAGAGAGGATTATAAAAATTACACATTGAATATATTCTTCAAAAAGGGTGATGCCATAAAAAAATGTTGAGAAACTGCTCTAGATTAGAGACTAAAGACACATGAGAACTAAATGCAATACATAATTCTAGACTGGATCCTGTAATGGAGGTTATTTTTAAGCCACAAAGGATATTACTGACAAAAATGGAATATGGATAAGAGATTAATTAAAAGTTTTACACCAATGCTCAATTTACTGAAGGGGATAATTGACTATGTAAAAGAATATTCTTTTCTTAAGAAATACACAGTGAAATAGTCAAGAAGAAAGTGGATGATGTATGAAAAGTATTCTCTGATGTCCAGGAATTCGTGTGTGTGTGTGTGTGTGTGTGTTTGTGTGTGTGTGTGTGTGTAGAGAGAGAGAGAGAAGAGAGGAGGTAGGAGGGAGGGATATAGGAGAGAGATCACAAATGGGTCAAAATGTGAATAGGCAAATCTGGATAAAAGTTACACTGTTGTGATATGGTTTGGATGTTTCGTTTCCTCCAAATCTCATGTTAAAATATGACCACCAGTGTTGGAGGTGGGTCTAGTGGGAGGTGTTTGTGTCAAAGGGGTGGATCCCTCATGAATGGCTTGGTGCCCTCCCCATGGTAATAAATGAGTTCATATGAGATCTGGCTGTTTAAAAGAATGTGCCACCTCCTCCACTCTCTCTCCTGATCCCTCTCCCACCATGTGACATGTTGGCTCTAGTCTTCATTCTGCCATGATTAAAAATCTTCTGAGGCCCTCTCCAGAAGCAGATGCTGTTGCCACCTTTCCTGTATAGCCTGCAGAACTGTGAGCCAAAATAAAATTCTTTTTGTCATAAATTACCCAGCCTCAGGTATTTCTTTATGGCAATGCAAATGAACCAATATATTGTTGTTTACCATCCATGCAACTCTTCTGCAAGTTTAATTATATTAAACTTCAAATAAATACATTTTTAATGGACCATTGACTACATTTTTATATAACATTTGAGATTTTTGGCTTTGATTCCCACAGTTGCCACCACCACACCTGGACCTAGTAGTGTACAAAGTTGGCATGGTGTACTAATACACCAAAGTAGTATGCCATGCCAACTTTAAAACACTTGTTTCAGGTTCTGTTCCAGGCAAGAACCTGGGATTCCCTTTCCACATTTGAAGCATGCTGACATTTCAACAGGGTTTTACAATATACTGAAAAAGAGCTCCCCCAAAAAAAGATTTTAATTATGTATAAAAAATTTATACACTGCAATATGGTTTGGCTGTATCCCCACCCAAATCTCATCTTGAATTGTAGCTCCCATAATTCCCATGTGTTGTGGGAGGGCCCTGATGGGAGATAATTTAGTCATGGGGGCAGTTTCCCCCATCCTGTTCTCATGGTAGTGAATACATCTCATGAGAGCTGACCGTTTTATAAGGGTTTTCCCCTTTCACTTGGCTCTTATTATCTCTTGTCTGCCACCATGTAAGACGTGCCTTTTACCATCCACCATGATTGTGAGGCCTCCCCAGACACATGGAACTCTGATTCCATTAAACCTTTCTTTATAAATTACCTAGTCTCAGATATGTCTTTATCAGCAGTGTGACAATGGACTAATAAAGTAAATTGGTACCGGGTGTAGTGGGGTGCTGCTCTAAAGATACCTGAAAATGTGGAAGCGACTTTGGAACTGGGTAACAGGCAGAGGTTGGAACAGTTTGGAGGGCTCAGAAGAAGACAGGAAAATGTGGGAAAGTTTGGAACTTCCTAGAGACTTGTTGAATGGCTTTGACCAAAAGGTTGATGATGATATAGACAATGAAATCCAGGCTGAGGTGGTCTCAGATGGAGATGAGGAACTTGTTGGGAACTGGAATAAAGGTGACTCTTGCTATGTTTTAGCAAAGAGACTGGGAGAATTTTGCCCCGCACTAGAGATTTGCAGAACTTTGAAGTTGAGGGAGATGATTTAGGGTGTCTGGCAGAAGAAATTTCTAAGCAACAAAAAGCATTGAAGAGGTGACTTGGGTGCTGTTAAAAGCATTCAGTTTTAAAAAGACAACAGAGCATAAAAGTTTGGATAATTTGCAGCCTGACAATGCAATAGCAAAGAAAAACCCATTTTCTGAGAAGAAATTCAAGTCAGGTGCAGAAATTTGCATGAGTAATGAGGACCCAATTGTTAATCCTCAAGACAATGGGGAAAATGTATTTAGGGCATGTCAGAGACCTTTGCAGCAGCCCCTCCCATCACAGACCCAGAGGCCTAGGAGGAAAAAATGGTTTCATGGGACAGGCCCAGGGTCCTCCTGCTTTGTGAAGCCTAGGGACTTAGTGCCCTGCATCCCAGCTGCTCTACCCATAGCTAAAAGTGTCCAAGGTACAGCTCAGGCTGTGGCTTCAGAGGGTGCAAGCCCAAAGCCTTGGCAGTTTCTACATGGTATTCCTGTGGGTGCCCAGAAGAATTGAGATTTGGGAACCTCTGCATAGATTTCAGAGGATCTATAGAAATTCCTGGATGTCCAGGCAGAAGTTTGCTGCAGGGGTGGGGACCTCATGGAGAACCTCTGCTAGGGAAATGTGGAAGGAAAATGCCAAAACCATGGGAACTCACCTCTTGCATCAGCATGACCTGGATGTGAGACATGGGGTGAAAAGAGATAATTTTGGAGATTTGACTGCCTTGCTGGATTTTGGACTTGCATGGGACCTGGAGCCCCCTTTGTTTTGGCCAATTTCTCCAATTTGAAATGGCTGTATATACCTAATGCCTGTAACCCCATTGTATCTAGGAAGTAACTAACTTGTTTTGATTTTACAGGCTTATAAGTTGAAGGGACTTGCATTGTCTCAGAAGAGACTTTGAACTGTGGATTTTTGAGTTAATGCTGAAGTGAGTCAAGACTTTGGGGGACTGTTGGGAGACATGATTGGTTTTCAAATGTGAGTACATGAGATTTAGGAGGGGCCACAGGAGGAATAATATGGTTTGGCTATCCCCACCCAAATCTCATCTTTTTTTTTTTTTTTTTTTTTTTGAGACGGAGTCTTGCTCTGTCACATCAGGTTGGAGTGCAGTGGTGTGATCTCCACTCACTGCAAGCTCTGCCTCATGGGTTCATGCCATTCTCTTGCCTCAGCCTCCCGAGTAGCTGGGACTACAGTTGCCTGCCACCATGCCTGGCTAATTTTTTGTATTTTTTAGTAGAAACGGGGTTTCACCATGTTAGCCAGGATGGCCTCGATCTCCTGACCTCATGATCCACCCACCTCAGCCTCCCAAAATGCTGGGATTACAGGCGTGAGCCACTGCACCTGTCCCCAGATCTCATCTTGAATTGTAGCTCTCATAATTCCCATGTGTTGTGGGAGGGACCTTGTAGGAGATCACTGAATCATGGGGGCAGTTTCCCCCATACTGTTCTCATGGTAGTGAATAAGTCTTACAATATCTGACTGTTTTATAAGGGGTTTCCCCTTTCACTTGACTGTCATTCTCTCTTGTCCATTGCCATGTAAGATGTGCCTTTCACCTTCTGCCATGATTGTGAGGCCTCCCCAACCACATGGAACTGTGAGTCCATTAAACCTCTTTTTCTTTAAAAATTACCCAGTCTCAGGTATGTCTTTATCCGCACCATGAGAACAGACTAATATACAATGTAAAACAAAAAAGAATCAAAATTTCAATGAACCTTGTTTATGGCATGTAACTCCTAATTTCTTGTTTGGTTCCATCATGTCACTTGTATTCTGCAGTTTTGTGGTGTGATGTGGTTTGACTCTCTGTCCCCTCCCAAATCTCATGTTGAATTGTAATCTCCAGTGTTGGGGGAGAGATCCAGTGGGAGGTGATTGGATCATGGGGGTAGATCTTCCCTTTGCTGTTCTTGTGTTAGCAAGTTCTCACAAGACCTGATTGTCTGAAAGTGTGTAGTACTTCCTCCTTAGCTTTCTCTCTCCTGTGCCATGTGAAGACATGCTTGCTTTCCCTTTGCCTTCTGCCATGATTGTAAGTTTCCTGAGGCCTCCCCAGCCATGCCTCCTGAACAACTTGTGGAACTATCAGTCAATGAAACCTCTTTTCTTCATAAATTACCCACTCTGAGGTAGTTCTTTATAGCAGCATGAAAATGGACTAATACATGGTGTGAATTGGTTTGCAGGCACTAAGTCAATTACCTGTCCTCTACCAGATTTCCACCTTCCAAAAATGAGTTGACCTTTTTTGTTGTATCCTCTCCTGTCCCTGTCATGTCAAGCATTTATTTTTTAAATCCTTCAGTTTTTAAAGCAGTTTTATTGAAATACAGTTCACATACCGTATAAGTCACCCATTTTAAGTGTATAATTCAGTGATTTTTATATTCACAGAGTTGTGTATCCATCACCAGTCATTTTAAAAACATTTTTATGACTTCAAAAAGAAACCATATATCCTTTAGCTATTACATTTCTTGCACCTCATTAATCTAGTTCTAAGTCTACTTTATCTCTGTGTAATAATGTCTCTATTCTGGACATCAGAATGGAATCATTTGTGGTTATTTGTGATTGACCTTTCACTCAGCATAAAATTTTCAAGGTTTATCTATGTTGTACCATGTGTCAATACTTTATTCCTTTTTATGGCTAGATAGTAATCTGTTGTATGGATATACCACATTCTGTTTATACATTCATCAGTTGATGGATATTTGAATTGTTTCCATCTTTTGGCTATTTGAATAATGCTGCGATGAACCTTTGTGTACAAGTTACTTTGCACTCACATATTTTCATTTCTCTTGGTATATACTTAGGATTGGATTTGCTGGGTTATATGCCAACATTTTGAGGAACTGCCTGTTTTCCAAAGCAGCTGTACCATTTCACATTCCCACTCTCAGTGTATGAGGCTTCCAATTTCTCCAACTTATCTCAAACACTTGTCTATTTTATTCCAGCCATCCTAGTGGGCATGAAGTGCTATCTCATGTTGATTTTTATTTGTATTTTTCTGATGACTAATGATGTTGAGCCTCTTTTCATATAATCTTTTACTCTTAATTGCACTATGGGAAGGAGGGTAGATAAACATGTATATTTGATCTAATTTATATAAGTGGAAACATGAATACTCATTTTAAATATGTGATAGAAAAAATTTCTTTTAAATATTTGAAAACACTTATATGGCAATCTCAAGTTTTTAGCAACATGCACAGTTTTCTACTGTTATTTTCGTGTTATAGTTACTGTGTGATTAAGGGACTGCAATATTGTGCACTGAATTTGCTCTGTAAGGTTGCTTCTTGTATGGACTGTGGGTAAAAATTCAAATGACTCCTTGGGGTTGACTTAAAGGAGAAGTTTAAAGAGAACTGATTGCAAAGGCCACTAAAGTTCAATGTGTTTGTCACCAATGCTGTGTACATCTGTTGTAGATAAGTGTGTTCCTCGTGTGATAAATATCAAAGGAATGTGACAGCATTGACATATGGCACATAGCATATCTTCTAAGAGATGGATGGCAAGATGTTTAAATGGACTTTTGCACTTTAATCATATGTAAAACATGGGATGCATCATCCATACTAAATGATAATTGTGAAATTTAGGTGGTGGGTACATCGGGAGTTATATTGTTCTACCTGCTCTTGTGTATGTTTAACCATCTCTTCAATGAAAGGACTTAAGAAATAAAACATGTTCAGTGCCTCATGAAGAGAAGGAAGCAGCAATAAGCATAACTGGTGCTTTGTCTACTTTGCTAAATCAGCTTTCTCTCCTCCACCAGGTTTTCATCTTCCAAAAATGTGTTAACTCCTTTTTGGTGTATCGTATTGTATTCTTATTATCCTCAAGCACTTCTTCTTTTTAAATCCTTTAAGTTTTATTGCAATATAATACATGAACCACAAAATTCACCCATTTAAAGCATATACTGTGTACCTATTTCAAGGCAAGAATGGATCAGTCCATCAAGACTAGAGTTTAGCTACCACTCAATAGATGCATTTCAGGACATATAATTCCTCTGAAGATAAAACCCTTGGAAGGTGGCCGAGAGCAGTGCTTCACACCTATAATCCCGGCACTTTGAGAGGCCAAGGCAGGCAGATCACTTGAGGTCAGGAGTTCTAGACCAGCCTGGCCAACATGGTGAAAACTTGTCTCTACGAAAAAAAACAAAACAAAACCCGGCATCATGGCATGTGCCTTTAATCCCAGCTATTCAGGAGGCTGAGGCAGGAGAATCACTTGAACCTGGCAGGCGGAGGTTGCAGTGAGCCAAGAACATGCCACTACACACCAGGCTGGGCGAATGAACAAGACTCTGCCTCCAAAAACAGAGGGTTTCTGATGATAACTTTTAGATGTTTCTGATGATAGCTTCTGGGTGTGGCAGTAACTGAACTGGAATGGAGGTAAAGGACCTAACATGGAATGACAGAGGAATTAGGAGGCCAGGTTATTGGAAGCCTATCCACATGGATGCTTGGGCCCTCCATGGATACTCCACCTCCTTAAGTTCTTTGCTCTGGGCTTCATCCCAATTTTGTCCTTCTTAAGGCCTTCACGAAATCTGAATTATTTCTGCAATCCTAAGTTTCACACACAGTAGGGTCAGTGGCATAAGCAAGGACAGGAAAAGAGAAGGATGGTGAAGGAGCTGTAGTGGACATCTGTTTTGTTTTGTTTTGTTTTGTTTTTGTTTTCACACCAAGAATTCACACATTTTTCTGGAAAACCTACCTCAAGTGCCCTCTAGAAAACTCACCTCATTTATTAGTCCCAGTCTGTATAAGTGGAGTTCCCTTCTCTTCAGACCTCTAATATTTTAAGGGTGCATATATGCACACTCTTAGTCATAAGGAGCATTCTGTAAAGATTCATAGCTAGCCTCCAAATGTCTTTAATCCTCATGCATAGTCAAGGACTCATCTCTGGACCATGAGCTGCAGGTGTTCTAGACAATATCTATTATATTCCACTAACCCCATGAAGATCATAGGTTGCACTTCCATCCTGATAGGTGCACCGTATAAACTAAGGGAAGATCTTGCTTGTTACCATAAACATGGCTAGAAAGAAGGCACAAAGATCACCTTCCCTAAAGAGAGGGATGCCATGTTGACAACAGCCCTGCAGATACTGTTTTACTCCTTAAAGAACAGCCCCATGTACACTTCTGCCAAAATGGCATCTGTCAGCTCTTCAAGTGCCCTGGTAAACCTCAAAGGGGCAGTGCCTAGATCCAGATTAAGAAAGGGTCATGATATGGACATGATGGGGCATAAACCTTTTTCGACTAGCATGGTCATCCTTTCCTAGCTTCACTTTTTTCTTACTTTCTCATTCAAAGACATCTTTTCCTTACTGTAAGCTATATTTTACCCTAGGAGGTAGGTGGCTGCCTGGTCAACATTCCTGCCACAGACAGCCAGGTGATTTTTTTGCTCTGTAAAAATGTCATCAATCCAGGCAGCGTGGAGAAATACACAGGGAGGGGAACTACTTCCCCAAGTGACTTAACAGTAGAAAGACCTCAACGTTGAGGTCAAAATATGCTTCCCTAAATCATGGGCATGCCTTTCGTGTCAAATTCTTAAGCAGCATCCACAGTGTTCCTGACACCCTACCCCAACCAGCAATACCCCAAACACTCCCACCAACTTATATGATCCTGTGGTCAGTGACAACTTTTTTTAAATAGTGATTAAACCACTATTTCTGAAAAATGTACCTGTCCTTGAACCTTTCTTCAGATATGGAAGGGCTGCCTTCCTTACTGCTCTAAGGGATATGAAGCAGTGAATGGGGAGGAAGGTGCAGGCTGCCATACGATATCAGTAAGTCTAAAGCAAAGAGGTAGAAAAGAGCTCATCTCCTCAGACTTCATCAGGGAGAGAAGGGGCTTTTGGAGGCACATGATACTCATTCTTCCACAAGAGCTCCAGGGGATTGGTCATCTTTTAAAATTCAAAAGAGGGAGTCAGTAAGGGCTGAGCTAACTCCTACCTTTCCCTAACCACAAGCTTGGGTTACCCAAAACCTATACCTCCAACACAATACACAGAAAAGACATCCTTCTTATTCTTATTAGAACGTTTATTGGGGAGAGTCAAGATTCTCAACAAGGAGTTAATTATTTTTTGGGGGGAAATTTTCCTCCCTGCAAATGCTTTGGAAGTATTTTCTGTCCAGTTAGTAAAGGCACATCACTGAACACAGTGTTTTTAGCACTGGTCAGGATGACCGGAGGCACCAGGTTGACTTCACACTGCAAGTGGGGTTTGGCTGTGGCACAGGCTTCCTGTGGGGCATGGATTGGGGATGCCTTTGACACAATATCTTCCCCTTAAATGTCCAACTTCCTGGGGCTATCTGTCCTTGTCTATGATCTGTCTAATCATTGCAGGATAATTCTGGCCGACAAAGATAGCTTGTTGGCTGCAAGATTTGGTACATGTCACTTTGCAGGAGGGAGCCATGTAGTTGCAGGGATAGCCCTGGACAGGCTCTGCTCTGACCTGCAGTTCTGGCACATTCTGAGATTTCCCAAGCTGCACTGGGGAGGAAAGGGGCTCCTGGGGACAGGTGATATCTATTCAATGTCTATGCCCCAGCTTCTCTTCTATGAACTCCCCAGTGTCTTTCCTAATTTTCTGAGCTTCAATAGTCCCAGTAAAGACAGCTCTACTTTTAACTCGACCTCTATTCTGCACAGATGATGACAAGGAGCTACCCTTTTCCTAGGAACTTTCTTGTTTTCCATATGTTATGATGGGTTTATTAGACTGCTGCAAAAAGGTCTTCATCAATGTTCCGAAAAGGTTTTCAGGAGGAGGCTGTGTTTTCAAGGTTGGGGAAGATTTGCTCCCAAGCGACTCCCTTGATGTCTTGTTATGAATAGCATGGCTCTTTCTTCTGAGTTGGGATGTCCCCAGCCCTGCATCCCCTCCACCAAGCTCTCCTCCATTAGGTCTTAGAGGGCTCACTCTCTTTGTAGCTGGTGAAAAATTCTTAACTTGGCATTTCTGTAAGACATGCGTAGGGACCCTGGGCTCCTGCTGCTGTGCCACACGGATTCCTCTGACCTCCAAGTGGACATGCAGCACCTGGGAAGTTCCCAAGTCCTGATTCGAGATGCCCTGGGCATGAGTCAGTAAGTCCTTGGAACTCAAGTTATCTAAGGCAAGAGACATGCCAGTGAAATGGCTCTGAGGTTGGCTATGCTTCCTCTGGACCAACTTTAACTGGCTCAACATCTGATTTTTAAGATATGATGATTTAGGAGTTTGAGGAACTGATATTCTTGGTGGGAAAATTTCAGTTTCATGAGAAGTGCTTCTTTTCACGTTTGTCACTAAGCAGCTTCCTGACTTGCTGGTTGTCAAGTTGTTCCTAGTTTGTGATTGAAGAGTACAGATCTCCTCTTCCTTGAACATCTCCTTCGACCCATTGGTGACAGGAAAGGTCTTTCTACTGCCCTGAAGCCTGTTAACATTATTACTGGCACTCTCTCTCTTATCCCTTGAATCACGGCCAACTCCAGCTTGCAGTATGGGCAGCTCTGCACTGCATCTACTGGCAAGTACAGTCTGTTTCTGACTGACTTCGTCTATGATGCTGTGTGTGGGGGGCAGAAAAGTCTGTCTGCCATCCTCAGTTGTCCAGACACTTTCTGTAAGATCCTCGTCAGTATCAGCGAATTCTCTTCTGAGGGTCCCCTGCTTTTCTTGATCAACAGGTGAGGTGACGAGGTGAGGATGACCCAAGATGGAGAATGAGCTTGTTGTTTCTAATTTTTCTCCTTGAAAATATGTAGTGCCTCTTCTAAGGGGCGTGGAGGCACCATCTTTGGCATCTGTCTCTATAAGGTCATGGTCAGTATCAGAAAATTGTCTTCTCAGGGTCCCCTGCCCTTCTTTGCCAATAGGTGAGGAGACAGGCTGAGGATGATTAAGGACAGGGACTGAGCTTGTTGTTCCCAACTTTTCTCCTTGAAAAGTGCTTCGTCTACAAGACTTAGAGACCCCATCTTTGGAATCTCCCTGAGAAATAAAGCTGGCTGAGGAGGGAAGGTAGAAATGGGAAAAGGAATTGGAAATATCCTCTTCTGATTTGAAGATTTCTGTGGGTTCACGGATCTTGCGGGGAAGGCCCCACAGCATCCTCATATGGAAAGATTTAATATGGGCTTCATATGGAAAGATTTAATATGGGCTTCCAACATCTTTTGTTTGTTGGAACTAAGGAAGGACATCTCCTGGGAGGTATCAACGCGGTGGTCCTCACTCACCAATGCTGCCAAATTTCGATGTTTAATTTGGCTGTGGGATTTCTCAGGAAGACATATTGTCTGCTTGACTGAGTGCCATGAACTATGCACAGTCCCAGGCATTCGACCCTCATTGATTTCCTCAAATTTCTTGCTCAAATGTACTGTCAGGGCATTTTCAAGTTGTTTCTGACCTAGTCTCACCCCTGAATCATTCCCTGACAGATGCATCATATGAGTTCCTAGGTCTCTCTCAGAGTTAGACCTCAGATCCTCCTCTGAAGATGTCTCCGGATCATGCAAGAGATGGTTTTTTGGGGCAGTCTCCTGGCTGCATCCCTGATAATTCCCCACATTCTCCATGGAAAGCATATTTGAGCTCCTCTCGTGGAAGCTTCTAGGGAAGCTTGATGCGGACTTCTTTAGAACATTGCACCTCTGACCCTCAACCAAAGAGATATTTAATGGACCATGAATGCTCTCTGACACAGATAGCTCTGAAATTTTGTTCTGAGGACGTAGCAATGACAGAGACTCATGGATTCTGCGGGGCAGGCCCCATCTGCGCTGGATGAGCCTCTTTCGAATGTGTTGCTCTAGTTTCTTCCTTACCTCAGAGCTGAGTGGAAAATCTCCAGGAATGATGGAGATGGGAACATGGACCTTGAAGGACTTTCTGACCAATACAGGATTGGGAGCTGGAGGACAAAAGTCTTCCTGGGATTTTTGAACCACAGAGGGTAAACCCCACACACTTTCCTGCACTTTCTGCAACACGTTCCACTCCAGATGATTAATTTCAGATGGCATAAGAGACCGTGCCTCATTCTGGGGTCTATGAAAACACACGCCACACACCCTAATCAGGAATAGAGGACTAGGTGGTAGGGCTGGGAATGGAGATTGAGGTTGAGCCAGGGACTTCACCTGAGTGAGATGTAGGGACTGACCTCGGGGCAGGGTTTGAGGCAAGGGTAGAGGTTGGGTACTAGGCAAGAACAGAGGTTGGGGAGGGGGAAGTACTGGGGATTCATGGGACATAGATGTATTTGTAATGCCATTGAAGAATACAAACATGGAGGAACGGCCATGTTGGACAAAAACAGTAGGATGCAGAGACTCGCTGTGCAAAGATGGGAGACCCCAGAAGAGCTGGACATATTTTTGCTCTAAATGGTCCTCAAAACACTTAGAATATGGGGGCTGCTGATGGATGTGCTGCCACTCTAGTTTGCCTTTACTGGCCCAAAAAGGAAAGGATTCTGCTAAGTCATGCTTAACAGCAGTTGAGGTTAACATATTCCGTGAGGAATTTAGTTGGTAGTTTGGCCTAAGTTGTGTTGGGAATGATCCTGGTTTCTTTCCATTTTCTTTCCACATCAGGAAATCACCCCTTCTTTTGACTTGTCTCTCCAGGAGTGCCGGAATGTCATGGCTGAGAAAAGAGATGTTAACAGGCTGTATGATGTTGGCCACAGAGTGCCCCCCTAAAGAGGCCTCAGAAGAATGAAGGGTAAGAAGCTCCTCCATGAAATCAGATGGCACAAAATTAGAGGAAAAAGAGTCCTTGGCATGAGGCTGCCACCAGGAGAATTCTGAAGATGCAGGGCATGAATGGTCAATGCCTTTCGTTGTTGGGGCAGAGGTGGATGACCCACCAGAGCCACCTAGAGATAACATTTCCGGAAAAGTCTTCAAGACGGTGAGATTTGATTTAGACTGAGTCACAGTGCAATCTTCCGGTGGTAAAGCAGATGGGGTTGGTGGTCCATGATGACGAGCACATGAATCAGTGCGATTCACGGCCTGGGAAATATCTTGGCATAGGGTGGAGCCAAATGAAAAGATGGTGTTCAGAGACAAACTGGCCTCAGGTTGGAGGCTGGGCTCCACTCTCTCAATGTGATGTGGTGGGAGAAGGGGAAAGGGAAGCTGTTGGGGTGGGGAATGGTCTATGGGGAACTTGGAATCCAAGGGAGAAACAGGCTGTGGTGGCAGAGGGTCCCTCAGTGGTGAGGGTGAAAATAAGTCAGCTAAGGTGGTGATCAGGTCAGGTGAGAGAATTAAGGGGGGTGGTGGAGAGGGCTTAGGCCGAGAGGACAATATTAGGTCTTCTGGAGTGGTTGCTGAGGGGGTGGAAGCCAGAGTGAACGATGACTCAGCCCCAGAAGCTGAAGAAGCCAAAGGGGACACAGAGGGAGCAGCATCTTTCAGGGACTCCCAAGACAGCAGTCGCTGGATATCAGCAGTTGCTCTGTTACACACCCGACAGACAGGGTCTGGGCATAACAGTCGACGAAAGAGGGTGGTATCATGATGCTGGCCCAGGGGACTGCAGGAAACAGGAGGTCCAAAGCTGCAGCCAGGATCAGAACAAGGAAATGAGGATCTGTTAGCCTGGCAGGGGTGGGGCCCCCTGAATCCTGCTTCACATTACCCCCCATCCATGAGCTCACCGTATGTGAGGTCATATGACCTCACTATAGCCTCTCCTCAAAGCATTCATTCACATATCCGTTCCTATGGCTACCCACTCCCAAAACTACAGCAGGCTACAAGGAATCCCTGAAATGAATAGAACATGCAAAAAAAAAAAAAAAAAAAAAAAAAAAAAAAAAAAAAAAAAAAAGAAGGCGGTGGGAACAGGATAGAAGGGGAATGATTAATCACCTTTTCAGAAAAGAATGTAGCTTTCTTTCCTCTTCTGCTTCCTTCTGCAAACTTTTCCGGTCTGGAAACCAGAACAGCATGTTACATGCAATGAAGGTAGAGGCACAGGGATCATACAGAAGTAACTCTGTGGAAGACCCTTGGGATATTAAACTCTGATAGCCCCAAGAATCAGTAGAAAAGGGCAAATATTCATTGATAATGTTCACAAGTTCACATGTGTATGTGGAATCATTAGTAGAATTCTTTCATATACATTATCCCATGTGATGCTCAAAACCACCACGTGAAACATAGACATCAGTGGTTACCTCCAGGAGGAATCCGAGCATCAAGGAAGTCAAAGTACTTATGCAAAGTTGTAAGACAGAAACTCTGACTCCAAGCCAACCAGTAGTCCTTCCTCGATATCTCAGGTGGCCACCAATTGGGCAACACCCATTACTCAGGTCCATCACTTTGTCATGCCCATGAATGGGCAGAGCAGGGCCTATGAGCAGTGTCTCAGGTCTGATTGATTTCCCACGAGCCTGTCTTCTGAGGGCTCTGTTTTCTGAGACTATCTAGTAACTGACATTCTAAGAAATCATGGGACTGAGTCCTCATGAAAGAGACAGAAAGGGTCACCCTGAAGCTCAGATAGAATAGGCTGACATTACCTTTAAATGTCACGCTTTTTCTTTTCCTCCTGGCTCTGCCCTGATGCTGAGAATGAAACAAAGATAATGACAGGCTGGTACTCACTTCTCTCACACTCTTTGAAGCTCATTCATTCATTCATTCATTCATTCATTATACAAGAATGATATGACTCTCTAATTAATAGAAATATATTCTTGTTATCAATTTTTAAAGGTCATAAAATATTTCTTGTTTTCCCTTCTCTGAAAAGCTGAAAGAGGATTTCTTCTGTGAGAGCCACACTTGATGTGCTCAGTTAGAAGTCCTCATCCAGGGCACAGACTCAGAGGTCGACAGTCACATCTGTGCTCCCTCACAGGGCAAGCATCCCAGAGACAGAGCTCTGGCTCCAGCCTCTGCTCAGAGACTCTCAGCGTTACTCCCCTGGTCAGCCCAACAAGAAGGAAGGCTTTGTTGAATGACGGGTGACATGGGAATCTGACTCATGATCAAATTTCAGCAGAGACTATTCTCCTTCAGAGAGCCCAGACTCTCTAAATAATCCCACCTGGGACCACAGAATTACTGTTTGGGATTTTATCCTGGAACTCTCCACCACAGCCGGATAGGTAGTCTATGAGCTACAGATGGAAACCTTTGTCCTCCTGAACCCCTACATCTGCCCAACCTGTTCCACAGAAGAGTGAAGTTCTATCCTCTCTTCAGACTTCCCATCTAAGACATGTCTCTGTACTAACCAAACTTATTTAGAAATGTGGGAATAGGATTCGGAAACAAAAACAGGGCATCTCTCTTGGGTGTTCACCCACAGTTCCTTACCTTTTGGGTGTCATTATTTTTTTCGGTGGGTGATGAATACAGGGTCAATACCATGTAGAACAAGTACAGTATAAACAACCCCAACCCACTCAAGCAGATGAAGTTGAGGTCAATATCCAAACAATGTGAGTCAGGGCTCAGCCCTGTCTCAGTATAGCTGTTCAGAAAACAGAGGATATTCTCCATGGTCTGAATAGCTCAGCTGCCTGAAGCAACTGAGCACTGAGGGTGCCCAGGCTTAACTGTAAGCACAGGCCTGCATCACAGAGCGTGGAAGAGTCACAGAGGGTTTCTGAGGGTGGAGGGATCAACAAGAGGAGGGTGTGTCCACAGCCCCAACCCCACCAGCCCAGCTGACTCCACCTTCCTGGGCCCTCTAGGTCGCTCTGTCCTACCCTAACACTCCATTTCCCAACTCCATCCTTTTTCAAGTCATATATTTATCTTAGTTGAATTTTCCGTTTGTTCCAACAGTAAACCAGGCATTACCCAAGTCCCACTTCGCTGTTTGGAGCCCTTAACTTGGACCCCACCAACTACACTGCCTTGAAAGCCTGAAATACTGCCTGGAATATTTGTTGTACCCAGGCTTTTCTACTCTCAGGATCACATATGTCCTCAAATCCGTCTTATCTACAGTATGTTTTTGCCTTACATAAATGCAGATATAAAACTTAAACTTCCTTTATTCTTACTTCGTTTCGTGAATGGTGAACATTACATTCTTTGTTTGAAGTCAGTTTTTACTATTTCCAATCAGAGGGACTGACTCAAATGATTAAAACTAACGTTATCAAGGAAAAGAAGCTCCCTGCCCAATTTGATTTTTTTGAGAAAAGATGTTTTTATTGGAAATTAACCAAAAAGGAGACAGGAGTCCAGCTCAAATCAGTCCTGTGTGCTGGCTTTCATGCAGTCATTTTATTAGAAAACATTTAGGGAGTGGCCTCTGGAATTAATAGTTGATTGCTGGAAGGAAAGGGGAGGTCTGAAAATCCTCGGCATGCACAGTTTTCTTTAACGCTGCCTCATGTATTCCATGGGCACATTTGTGGGGAGTTGGTTAAAATGTGGCAGAAATTTGGGCTGTGACGCCAGCCAGCTTGTTCTGTGCAAACTCCAGTTGGCCTTAATAGTTTTAATCCATTTTAGCCAGTTTTTAAATCTCAGAAGCAGGGAGAGTTTCGGCATTTTAGCAAGTTACTGTTGTTGTTTTTGTTTGATCTCCTTTCTTGTAAACTGATTAATTTCATTAGTCATTGTTTTCTTCAACTCTCTGGGGCATGGTTTCACTAATAATGCATTATTTAACATCTACAAAATGAAAATAAGTGTACAATAAATGTATATAATTGAAACTTCCAGGGACCTTAGGGGTAAATTTATAGAACTTATTTTTCTCAAGTTAGTGAAGTTTAAACTGTTCAAGCACTTTTGGAACATACTCTGTACACAAACACACATACGCATCGACCTAAAAGGGAGAAGTTGATGGAAAATTATTATAAGTAGAGAGTTAATTTGGGTCAAGCTTGAGGATTGCAACCTGGGAACACAGATGCAAGTCAGCCTAAATATACACTCCAATTACCAGTAGTTATGAGTGGGTTTTTAAAGTGGAAAAAGGGGACAAGGAGTCGGCTGATACAAAGTTGTAATCAGGAATTCTCATTGGTTTACAGGAGTGACATTGCTTAGTGATTGGCTGTACATTATTAAGCTATAGGGGGTGGGTTATCCTGTCAGGTGTGGCATTATTGGGTTACTATATAGCTCCATATGGCAATAGCAAGCAGTTTCAAGAGATGAATGTGTAGCTCAAGGAGGAAATAAGGCTGTGATTTCTGTCTCATTTTAATGTCTCTCTAGGCCTGATAACTTAAAAGGACTCACATGCCTCAGATAAAAGTTCTTTTCTTTACAAACACATCCACACACCCATCCTGTGACAAATCAATGAGTGTTTTCAAATCCAGAATCAATTAGTTCCTCCTTTTATTTTAATTTCTTATTTGTCATTTTGACCCCACATTTTCTAACTCTACCGCAAACACAACCAGGCCCAACCCTCCACATCACTTTGGTGGCAAGTATGCAACTCCCTTAAAGCAGGGATAGGTTACAGTGCGCTAAGCTATTGTGATCTAAAAGACCAAAATAGATGCCCCTTTATCAACTAAGACAGACCCTTAGGTTAAGGAAACAAAGTTACCGATGGGTCAAGGGTTCAGGGCCTGGATGGCATGGCAAATTTCTAACTTTCTATAACTAAACTCCCTCTCACCAAATGAGCTATCGGCTCTGATTGGACAGAGGACCGGCCTTACAAACATTCTTTTCTGATAAGCTACTAATATTAGAGATTTCCAGTTTCTGCCAGATTATAGAGGCGGCACACAAACCGCCTCTGTCCTACAGTTCACCTTATCATGTAAAGGGCCAAATTCTACCTCATTTTAGTGCTAAAACCAAGGTGAACATGGGATGTATGTTACATATGTTTACTCATTATGGTGTGCTTGGCTCCTGCATAAATATATATAGCTTTTCCCCCAAACTTATTGAATATGTATGAATATGAATATAAAACCCAACCTGTCCTTCCCCTATTCCAACAGACAGCAGCTTTATTCCACACTGGATGCTTTCCCTTCCTGGCTTGCAAACTGATTAAGCAATAAGGCTCTCCTTTCTACTATTTAGTCATCTTGGTGCTCTTTTGGATGATACTACTGATCCCATCAGTGTTTGGTAGCAGAGTGAGACTTAGGTGTGTCAAAGCCTTAGAGCAGAACGTAGTCTTAAGCAACCTCACCTGACTACACTGTGGGCCATGTAAATGTGATCTTTTCCTGAGTGCCTTGGCATCCAAAAAACTTGAGAACATCTGCTTTATATTCTATATAATCACTTCTGCAAATGTCCAAATACCAACTACCTGTCATACTTTATTCAGGTGACTCCTGTCAGGTTTAAATGATCCCAATATCCTCCACCCCTAACCCATCTTCCTACACATTCTTTTCTAAA
This sequence comes from Homo sapiens, assembly GCF_000001405.40. NCBI lineage: Eukaryota > Metazoa > Chordata > Mammalia > Primates > Hominidae > Homo > Homo sapiens. Next base: position 81,940,741 of record NC_000009.12, on the reverse strand, counting down.
CTCTTTATCATGACAGCTGTCATCTGAACTGGCTCTTAACTTCTCATGTCTTTCTTAAACTATTGTTAAAGCAAACAAATATGGCTTGAGGACTCCATGCTTCTATATTTGAGTGCTTGCAGATGAATTGTAACCTAGCCTAATAGTTACACAAATTGAAAATCTAACTCAATAGTATGCACCTGTAACAATAGCTGAGTGTTGGCCAATCCCGGCAGCCATAATTCAACCACTCATAGACTGCTTAATGTTCAAACTGCATTCAAAAAGGCAAACGCCGAGTTGTAATCAATCTCACTCTTTCTGTACCTCTCACCTCTGATTCATGTACGTCACTTTGCCTTTTTGTCTATAAATTTGTTCTAACCACAAAGCACCCCTGGAGTCTCTGTGAATCTGCTGTGATTCTGGGGGCTGGACGATTCGCAAATCTTTCATTGCTCAGTTAAACTACTTTAAATTTAATTTCTCTGAAGTTTCTTTTAATACTATAAAGCTCCTTATTAGACACCCATGGGCCACCACAGTTACCCATGGGCCACCACTGTTACTGATCTCCTTTGAAAGGATAAGACAGCCTTCAAGCCAGGCCAGGTCTCCTTTCATTTATGCAAGAGCAGGTAACCTGCCTTGAGAATAAAATCTGCCAAGAGATGCCCCTTCCTCCTCTCTTTTATATGTAGCCTCAGCCAAGTTTTCATCTCATAAATATTTGCTGCTGGAAACTAGGAGACACAGGCATCTGTAAGCCACAGGCTCTGCCCTTGACCTCATGTGCCTATTTTATCAATGAATGAAACCGAAGCCCAGAGAGGGTAAGTGACTTCTCTAAATCAGACAGTAGTAAATATCAAAGCCCTAATGAATAAATTCTCTACATTCATAATGCTTCTACTTTACACATATTAATATGTAATTTCTTAAAGTAAAAAGTATGCCCTAATGTTAAAATAGTTAGATGCTTAAGAATATTCACTTTGTCTGTTAAATGCTGACAAATTTGGGAAGTAAGGGAAAAGCTATTTTTGGTACTCTATCACCTCTTAGATAACTTTTCCTTTCCACTCTTAGCATCAAAGTCTTCATAGTTTTTTTTTCCTAGCCCCCTCTTAAAATCTACATATGACTCCCAGTAATGTAGAAAATAAAAGTTTAAAATGTCATCCCTCCCAGGAAAACATTTCACACATTCTACGTATATCTATCCCCATGCCTTGTAATAAGCTCTTACCAAAGCATTTTAGGCAGCCTTTGGGAGGTGGCAGAGGTGGCTTCTGGTAGGATGGACTGTCTCACCATTGGCCCCATGACATCTTCTCAATTTACCTAAACCACCACCCAGAAGTCTGGTCTTGGATTTCACACTGCACTTGGTTTTATTATCTCCAAGGAGGAATCTTTTCCAAAAGCTCTTAGAGTAATATGTTACCACTTGAGGATGCTCAGTATAGATAAACTATTAGTTTAGGACTTTCATATGTTCCCAATTTCCTAGGACGTTTCCTCAATGCTCACGCCCTCACATCCTGACCACTGTCCCTGGAATAAGTCACTTGGAGGCAGCTGTTTTCAGGTTCCCCAAAAGCCTGAAGCAGAACAGGTTCTGAGCCAAAATCCTTTATAATTGTATTTTTAAACAGTAGTTTTATCCCAGCTCCTGGGGAGACCAAGGCAGGCGGAACACCTGAGGTCAGGAGTTCAAGACAAGCTTGGCCAACATGGTGAAATCCAGTCTCTACTAAAGATACAAAAATTTAACCAGGCATGGTGGGAGACACCTGTAATCCCAGTTACTTGGGAGGCCGAGGCAGGAGATTAGATTGAACCCAGAAGGGTAAGTTATAGTGAGACGAGATTACACCACTGTACTACAGCCTGGGCAACAGAGTGAAACTCTGTCCCAGAAAAATAAAAATAATAAAACAGTAGTCGTAAGATGTTCTTCATACATTCACACAACAAATATTTATTGAACTTTACTATGTAGTATTCCTACTACTGTAAAAATATCAGTAAAATAAGACATTGCCTCTGCCCTTGGACAGGTCATAGTACAGAAAGTGAGACCTGCAAACAAGTGTAATTAAATATGCTACAAAAAGCTGTAAAACAAGCAAAAATAATACACAATGGGAAGATAGATAAAGAAGTAGAATTCTTCTGCCAGGAGGAAGGGAAAACAGGGTTCAGGGAATACTTCAGAGAGTTGATGCCAACTCTCTGATGTTGGGCCTTGTGAGATATTAACAACCTCCTCTTCTTTTTTTTAACTGACTTTTATTTTTTACAGATATTTTATGTTGACAGCAAAAGTAAGTGGGAAAATTCCTATATACCAACTATCCCCACACAGGCACAGCTTCCCCAGTTGTCAACATCCCATACTAGAGTGGTACATTTGTTACACATCACTATTATCCAAAGTCCGTAGTTTACATTAACGTTCACTCTTGATGTTGTACATTCTGTGGGTTTTGACAAACGTATAATGACCCATATCCACTATTGTACTATCATGTAGAATAGTTCACTGCCCTAAAAATCCTCTGTGCTGTTTCTTCATCCCCCCCTCCCCACTAGCCCCTGACAACCATTGCCCTTTTTACTGCCTTCATAGTTTTGCCCATTTTCAAATGTCATATAGTTGGAATCATACACCCTTTTCAGATTGTATTCTTTCACTTAATAGTTTTCCTCCTTTTTTATGTTTTGCCAGTTTATTTCTTTTCAATGGCATATAATATTCCATTTTAGGATATACAAAAAAATTTACTTACCTACTGAAAGACATTTCTGTTGCTTCTAATTTTGCCAATTATGAATAAAGCTACTATATAAACTTTCTTTTTAAAAATTATTTATTGAAACATAATTTGTATACTATACAATTCACTCGCCAAAAGTATACCATTCAACAGTTTTTAGCATATTCACAGTTATGCATGTATCACCACAATCAATTTTAGAACATTTTCATCACCCCAAAAAGAAACTCTGCTTCACTTAGCCTTCACCCCTCAATATTTGCCTTCCTCCCTATGTTACCAGTAATCTACTTTCTGTCTCTATCTATTTTTCATTTCTAGACATTTCATCTAAATGGAATCATACAATATGTGGATTTTTGTGTCTGGCTTCTTACCATGATGTTTTCAAGGTCCGTTCATGTTGCAGCATGTATAGATACTTCATTTCTTTTTATGGACAAGTGACATCCCATTGTATGGATATATCACATTTTGTTTATCTATTGATTTAGTTGGTGAACATTTGGGTTGTTTTCACTTTGGGGCTATAATGCTGCTGATACAGTAGTTAAGAAGAAATTACCTAGGCAGATAATAAGGGTATGGGAGTCCTCAGTAAATCTTTTCTTTTTAATGAGAATCAGCCCCAAATCATTTTCTAACAAAGAGCAGCCTGTAAATTCGAGCTGCAGACATAGATAAGCAAGCTGGGAGCTTGCACAAGTGAATGCCAGCAGGAATTAGGGGACTAGACATGTTCAAGATGGTGGCTCCATCTTCTTTTCTCTGTCAGCCACATGTACAGTAAGGAGCAGACAAGATGGCACCGATCAACTGGAAAGCCCATTTGTGCAATAAGATTACGTTGGGGCAACCAGCCTTGCCTGTACACTATGTAAACATCATACCTGATTGAACCAATCTGTGAGCCCTATGGAAATCAGACACTGCCTCCTCAAACCTGACTATAAAATCTGGTGCATTCGCTGCCAGCCAGTCTTTTCCACTTGGAGACTTTTCTTGGTCTGTAGAGAGAGCTGTTTCTCTTTCTCTTATCTTCTGCCTATTAAACATCTGCTCCTAAACTCCTCGTGTGTGTCTGTGTTCTAAATTTTCCTGGCACAAGATGATGAACGCCAGGGCATATACCCCAGATAATGTAGCCCCTTCAAACTGGGGGCTCATGTCTGATACCAAGGTACAACCTTTATTGACATGGTGAATAGAGGAGCGGACTCCAACTCTGTCCCTTCATTTCAAGGCTCTCGGCCTTCATTTTAGAACCAAATCAAACCAAATACTGGGCCCCCTTCAGTCATTTTAAAACAATTAGCATGGCTGGCTGCCTTACAAGACTTAGGGGACAGGCTTACAGGGAAGAACATGGAGAATCCCCAGGCATCCATGGGTCGCTGATTCTCCACCTCCACAAGTTCTTTGCCCTGGACTTCATCCCAATTTTGTTCTCTTAAAGCCTTCCTGAAATCTGAATTATTTCTGCAATCCCAAACTTCAGACACTGCAGGGTCAGTGGCATACGCATGGACAGGAAAAGAGAAGGATGGTTGAGTGAGGGAGCTGTAGTGGACATCTGTTTTGATTTGTTTTGTTTTGCTTTTGTTTTGACACCAAGCATTCACAAATTTTTCTGGAAAACCTACCTCAAGTGCCCTCTAGAAAACTCACCTCATTTATTAGTCCCAGTCTGTATAAGTGGAGTTCCCTTCTCTTCAGACCTCTAATATTTTAAGGGTGCATATGTGCACACTCTTAGTCATAAGGAGCATTCTGTAAAGATTCATAGCTAGCCTCCAAATGTCTGTAATACTCATGCATAGTCAAGGACTCACCTCTGGATCATGAGCTTCAGGTGTTCTACACAATATTTATTATATTCCACTAACCCCATGAAGATCAGAGGTGACACATCCATCCTGAGGTGCACCGTATACATTAAGGGAAGATCTTGCATGTTGCCATCAACATGGCTAGAAAGAAGGCACAAAGATCACCTTCCCTAAAGAGAGGGATGCCATGTTGACAACAGCCCTGCAGATACTGTTTTACTCCTTAAAGAACAGCCCCATGTACACTTCTGCCAAAATGGCATCTGTCAGCTCTTCAGTGCCCTGGTAATCCTCAAGGTGGTGGTACCTAGATCCAGATTGAGAAAGGGTCATGATATGGGCATGATGGGGCATAAACCTTTTTCGACTAGCATGGTCATCCTTTCCTAGCTTCACTTTTTTCTTACTTTCTCATTCAAAGACATATTTTCCTTACTGTAAGCTATATTTTACCCTAGGAGGTAGGTGGTTGTCTGGTCAGCAGTCCTGCCACAGACAGCCAGGTGATCTTTTTGCTCTGTAAAAATGTCATCAATCCAGGTAGCATAGAGAAATACACAGGGAGGGGAACTACTTTCCCAAGTGACTTATTAGTAGAAAGACCTCAACGTTGAGGTCAAAATATGCCTCCCTAAATCATGAGCATGCCCTGCTTGTCAAATTCTTAAGCAGCATCCACAGTGTTCCTGACACCCTACCCCAACCAGCAATACCCTAAACACTCCCACCAACTTATATGATCCTGTGGTCAGTGACAACTTTTTTTAAATAGTGATTAAACCACTATTTCTGAAAAATGTATCTGTCCTTCACTCTCTCTTCAGATATGGAAGGGCTGCCTTCCTTACTGCTCTAAAGGATATGAAGCAGTGAATGGGGAGGAAGGTGCAGGCTGCCATACGGTATCAGTAAGTCTAAAGCAAAGAGGTAGAAAAGAGCCCATCTCCTCAGACTTGATCAGGGAGAAAAGGGGCTTTTGGAGGCACATGATACTCATTCCTTCACACTAGTTCCAGGGGATTGGTCACCTTTTAAAAGTCAAAAGAGGGAGTCAGTAAGAGCTGAGCTAACTCCTACCTTTCCCTAAGCACAAGCTTGGGTTACCCAAAACCTATACCTCCCAACACAGTACACAGAAAAGACACCAATCTTATTAGAACATTTATTAGGGAGAATCAAGATTCTCAACAAGTAGTGAATTATTTTGTGGGGGGAGATTTGCCTCCCTGCAAATACTTCCAATGCATTTTGTGTCCAGTTAGTAAAGGCACATCACTGAACACAGTGCTTTTGCCACTAATTGGGACAGCTGGACACACCAGGGTGACTTGACGCTGACAAGTGGGGTTTAGATGTGGCACAGGATCCCTGTGGGGCATGGATTGGGGATGCCTTTGATACAATATCTTCCCCTTAAATGCCTCAACTTCCTGGGGCTGTCTGTCCTTGTCTATGATCTGTCTAATCCTTGTAGGATAATTCTGTCCAACAAAGATAGCTTGTTGGCTGCAAGATTTGGTACATGTCACTTTGCGGGAGGGAGCTGTGTAGTTGCGGGGATAGCCCTGGAAGGGCTCTGCTCTGACCTGCACTTCTGGGTTGTGCTGAGCTTTCCCAAGCTCCACTGGGAAGGAAAAGGGTTCTTAGGGACAGGTGATATCTATCCCATGGCTATGCCCCAGCTTTTCTTCTAGGAACTCCCCAGTGTCTTTCCTAATTTTCTGAGCTTCAGTAGCACCAGTAAAAGCAGCTCTACTTGTAACTCGACTTCTATTCTGCACAGATGATGACAGGGAGCTACCCTTTTCCCAAGAACTTTCTTGTTCTTCACACATTATGCTAGGTTTATTAAACCACTGCAATAAGGTCTGCATCCATTTTCTGAAAAGGTTTTCAGAAGGAGGCTGTGTTTTCAAGGTTGGGGAAGATTTGCTCCCAGGCACCTCTCCTGATGCCTTGTTATGAACAGGGAGGCTCTTTCTAGTGAGTTGGGATGTCCCCAACCCTGCATCCCCTCCACCAAGCTCTCCTCCATTGGGTCTTAAAGGGCTCACTCTCTTTGTAGCTGGTGAAAAATTCTTAACTTGGCATTTCTGTAAGACATGCGTAGGGACCCTGTGCTCCTGCTGCTGTGCCACACGGATTCCTCTGACCTCCAAGTGGACATGCAGCACCTGGGAAGTTCCCAAGTCCTGATTCGAGATGCCCTGGGCATGAGTCAGTAAGTCCTTGGAACTCAAGTTATCTAAGGCAAGAGACATGCCAGTGAAATGGCTCTGAGGTTGGCTATGCTTCCTCTGGACCAACTTTAACTGGCTCAACATCTGATTTTTAAGATATGATGATTTAGGAGTTTGAGGAACTGATATTCTTGGTGGGAAAATTTCAGTTTCATGAGAAGTGCTTCTTTTCACGTTTGTCACTAAGCAGCTTCCTGACTTGCTGGTTGTCAAGTTGTTCCTAGTTTGTGATTGAAGAGTACAGATCTCCTCTTCCTTGAACATCTCCTTCGACCCATTGGTGACAGGAAAGGTCTTTCTACTGCCCTGAAGCCTGTTAACATTATTACTGGCACTCTCTCTCTTATCCCTTGAATCACGGCCAACTCCAGCTTGCAGTATGGGCAGCTCTGCACTGCATCTACTGGCAAGTACAGTCTGTTTCTGACTGACTTCGTCTATGATGCTGTGTGTGGGGGGCAGAAAAGTCTGTCTGCCATCCTCAGTTGTCCAGACACTTTCTGTAAGATCCTCGTCAGTATCAGCGAATTCTCTTCTGAGGGTCCCCTGCTTTTCTTGATCAACAGGTGAGGTGACGAGGTGAGGATGACCCAAGATGGAGAATGAGCTTGTTGTTTCTAATTTTTCTCCTTGAAAATATGTAGTGCCTCTTCTAAGGGGCGTGGAGGCACCATCTTTGGCATCTGTCTCTATAAGGTCATGGTCAGTATCAGAAAATTGTCTTCTCAGGGTCCCCTGCCCTTCTTTGCCAATAGGTGAGGAGACAGGCTGAGGATGATTAAGGACAGGGACTGAGCTTGTTGTTCCCAACTTTTCTCCTTGAAAAGTGCTTCGTCTATGAGACTTAGAGACCCCATCTTTGGAATCTCCCTGAGAAATAAAGCTGGCTGAGGAGGGAAGGTAGAAATGGGAAAAGGAATTGGAAATATCCTCTTCTGATTTGAAGATTTCTATGGGTTCACGGATCTTGCGGGGAAGGCCCCACAGCATCCTCATATGGAAAGATTTAATATGGGCTTCATATGGAAAGATTTAATATGGGCTTCCAACATCTTTTGTTTGTTGGAACTAAGGAAGGACATCTCCTGGGAGGTATCAACGCCGTGGTCCTCACTCACCAATGCTGCCAAATTTCGATGTTTAATTTGGCTGTGGGATTTCTCAGGAAGACATATTGTCTGCTTGACTGAGTGCCATGAACTATGCACAGTCCCAGGCATTCGACCCTCATTGATTTCCTCAAATTTCTTGCTCAAATGTACTGTCAGGGCATTTTCAAGTTGTTTCTGACCTAGTCTCACCCCTGAATCATTCCCTGACAGATGCATCATATGAGTTCCTAGGTCTCTCTCAGAGTTAGACCTCAGATCCTCGTCTGAAGATGTCTCCGGATCATGCAAGAGATGGTTTTTTGGGGCAGTCTCCTGGCTGCATCCCTGATAATTCCCCACATTCTCCATGGAAAGCATATTTGAGCTCCTCTCGTGGAAGCTTCTAGGGAAGCTTGATGCGGACTTCTTTAGAACATTGCACCTCTGACCCTCAACCAAAGAGATATTTAATGGACCATGAATGCTCTCTGACACAGATAGCTCTGAAATTTTGTTCTGAGGACGTAGCAATGACAGAGACTCATGGATTCTGCGGGGCAGGCCCCATCTGCGCTGGATGAGCCTCTTTCGAATGTGTTGCTCTAGTTTCTTCCTTACCTCAGAGCTGAGTGGAAAATCTCCAGGAATGATGGAGATGGGAACATGGACCTTGAAGGACTTTCTGACCAATACAGGATTGGGAGCTGGAGGACAAAAGTCTTCCTGGGATTTTTGAACCACAGAGGGTAAACCCCACACACTTTCCTGCACTTTCTGCAACACGTTCCACTCCAGATGATTAATTTCAGATGGCATAAGAGACCGTGCCTCATTCTGGGGTCTATGAAAACACACGCCACACACCCTAATCAGGAATAGAGGACTAGGTGGTAGGGCTGGGAATGGAGATTGAGGTTGAGCCAGGGACTTCACCTGAGTGAGATGTAGGGACTGACCTCGGGGCAGGGTTTGAGGCAAGGGTAGAGGTTGGGTACTAGGCAAGAACAGAGGTTGGGGAGGGGGAAGTACTGGGGATTCATGGGACATAGATGTATTTGTAATGCCATTGAAGAATACAAACATGGAGGAACGGCCATGTTGGACAAAAACAGTAGGATGCAGAGACTCGCTGTGCAAAGATGGGAGACCCCAGAAGAGCTGGACATATTTTTGCTCTAAATGGTCCTCAAAACACTTAGAATATGGGGGCTGCTGATGGATGTGCTGCCACTCTAGTTTGCCTTTACTGGCCCAAAAAGGAAAGGATTCTGCTAAGTCATGCTTAACAGCAGTTGAGGTTAACATATTCCGTGAGGAATTTAGTTGGTAGTTTGGCCTAAGTTGTGTTGGGAATGATCCTGGTTTCTTTCCATTTTCTTTCCACATCAGGAAATCACCCCTTCTTTTGACTTGTCTCTCCAGGAGTGCCGGAATGTCATGGCTGAGAAAAGAGATGTTAACAGGCTGTATGATGTTGGCCACAGAGTGCCCCCCTAAAGAGGCCTCAGAAGAATGAAGGGTAAGAAGCTCCTCCATGAAATCAGATGGCACAAAATTAGAGGAAAAAGAGTCCTTGGCATGAGGCTGCCACCAGGAGAATTCTGAAGATGCAGGGCATGAATGGTCAATGCCTTTCGTTGTTGGGGCAGAGGTGGATGACCCACCAGAGCCACCTAGAGATAACATTTCCGGAAAAGTCTTCAAGACGGTGAGATTTGATTTAGACTGAGTCACAGTGCAATCTTCCGGTGGTAAAGCAGATGGGGTTGGTGGTCCATGATGACGAGCACATGAATCAGTGCGATTCACGGCCTGGGAAATATCTTGGCATAGGGTGGAGCCAAATGAAAAGATGGTGTTCAGAGACAAACTGGCCTCAGGTTGGAGGCTGGGCTCCACTCTCTCAATGTGATGTGGTGGGAGAAGGGGAAAGGGAAGCTGTTGGGGTGGGGAATGGTCTATGGGGAACTTGGAATCCAAGGGAGAAACAGGCTGTGGTGGCAGAGGGTCCCTCAGTGGTGAGGGTGAAAATAAGTCAGCTAAGGTGGTGATCAGGTCAGGTGAGAGAATTAAGGGGGGTGGTGGAGAGGGCTTAGGCCGAGAGGACAATATTAGGTCTTCTGGAGTGGTTGCTGAGGGGGTGGAAGCCAGAGTGAACGATGACTCAGCCCCAGAAGCTGAAGAAGCCAAAGGGGACACAGAGGGAGCAGCATCTTTCAGGGACTCCCAAGACAGCAGTCGCTGGATATCAGCAGTTGCTCTGTTACACACCCGACAGACAGGGTCTGGGCATAACAGTCGACGAAAGAGGGTGGTATCATGATGCTGGCCCAGGGGACTGCAGGAAACAGGAGGTCCAAAGCTGCAGCCAGGATCAGAACAAGGAAATGAGGATCTGTTAGCCTGGCAGGGGTGGGGCCCCCTGAATCCTGCTTCACATTACCCCCCATCCATGAGCTCACCGTATGTGAGGTCATATGACCTCACTATAGCCTCTCCTCAAAGCATTCATTCACATATCCGTTCCTATGGCTACCCACTCCCAAAACTACAGCAGGCTACAAGGAATCCCTGAAATGAATAGAACATGCAAAAAAAAAAAAAAAAAAAAAAAAGAAGGCGGTGGGAACAGGATAGAAGGGGAATGATTAATCACCTTTTCAGAAAAGAATGTAGCTTTCTTTCCTCTTCTGCTTCCTTCTGCAAACTTTTCCGGTCTGGAAACCAGAACAGCATGTTACATGCAATGAAGGTAGAGGCACAGGGATCATACAGAAGTAACTCTGTGGAAGACCCTTGGGATATTAAACTCTGATAGCCCCAAGAATCAGTAGAAAAGGGCAAATATTCATTGATAATGTTCACAAGTTCACATGTGTATGTGGAATCATTAGTAGAATTCTTTCATATACATTATCCCATGTGATGCTCAAAACCACCACGTGAAACATAGACATCAGTGGTTACCTCCAGGAGGAATCCGAGCATCAAGGAAGTCAAAGTACTTATGCAAAGTTGTAAGACAGAAACTCTGACTCCAAGCCAACCAGTAGTCCTTCCTCGATATCTCAGGTGGCCACCAATTGGGCAACACCCATTACTCAGGTCCATCACTTTGTCATGCCCATGAATGGGCAGAGCAGGGCCTATGAGCAGTGTCTCAGGTCTGATTGATTTCCCACGAGCCTGTCTTCTGAGGGCTCTGTTTTCTGAGACTATCTAGTAACTGACATTCTAAGAAATCATGGGACTGAGTCCTCATGAAAGAGACAGAAAGGGTCACCCTGAAGCTCAGATAGAATAGGCTGACATTACCTTTAAATGTCACGCTTTTTCTTTTCCTCCTGGCTCTGCCCTGATGCTGAGAATGAAACAAAGATAATGACAGGCTGGTACTCACTTCTCTCACACTCTTTGAAGCTCATTCATTCATTCATTCATTCATTCATTATACAAGAATGATATGACTCTCTAATTAATAGAAATATATTCTTGTTATCAATTTTTAAAGGTCATAAAATATTTCTTGTTTTCCCTTCTCTGAAAAGCTGAAAGAGGATTTCTTCTGTGAGAGCCACACTTGATGTGCTCAGTTAGAAGTCCTCATCCAGGGCACAGACTCAGAGGTCGACAGTCACATCTGTGCTCCCTCACAGGGCAAGCATCCCAGAGACAGAGCTCTGGCTCCAGCCTCTGCTCAGAGACTCTCAGCGTTACTCCCCTGGTCAGCCCAACAAGAAGGAAGGCTTTGTTGAATGACGGGTGACATGGGAATCTGACTCATGATCAAATTTCAGCAGAGACTATTCTCCTTCAGAGAGCCCAGACTCTCTAAATAATCCCACCTGGGACCACAGAATTACTGTTTGGGATTTTATCCTGGAACTCTCCACCACAGCCGGATAGGTAGTCTATGAGCTACAGATGGAAACCTTTGTCCTCCTGAACCCCTACATCTGCCCAACCTGTTCCACAGAAGAGTGAAGTTCTATCCTCTCTTCAGACTTCCCATCTAAGACATGTCTCTGTACTAACCAAACTTATTTAGAAATGTGGGAATAGGATTCGGAAACAAAAACAGGGCATCTCTCTTGGGTGTTCACCCACAGTTCCTTACCTTTTGGGTGTCATTATTTTTTTCGGTGGGTGATGAATACAGGGTCAATACCATGTAGAACAAGTACAGTATAAACAACCCCAACCCACTCAAGCAGATGAAGTTGAGGTCAATATCCAAACAATGTGAGTCAGGGCTCAGCCCTGTCTCAGTATAGCTGTTCAGAAAACAGAGGATATTCTCCATGGTCTGAATAGCTCAGCTGCCTGAAGCAACTGAGCACTGAGGGTGCCCAGGCTTAACTGTAAGCACAGGCCTGCATCACAGAGCGTGGAAGAGTCACAGAGGGTTTCTGAGGGTGGAGGGATCAACAAGAGGAGGGTGTGTCCACAGCCCCAACCCCACCAGCCCAGCTGACTCCACCTTCCTGGGCCCTCTAGGTCGCTCTGTCCTACCCTAACACTCCATTTCCCAACTCCATCCTTTTTCAAGTCATATATTTATCTTAGTTGAATTTTCCGTTTGTTCCAACAGTAAACCAGGCATTACCCAAGTCCCACTTCGCTGTTTGGAGCCCTTAACTTGGACCCCACCAACTACACTGCCTTGAAAGCCTGAAATACTGCCTGGAATATTTGTTGTACCCAGGCTTTTCTACTCTCAGGATCACATATGTCCTCAAATCCGTCTTATCTACAGTATGTTTTTGCCTTACATAAATGCAGATATAAAACTTAAACTTCCTTTATTCTTACTTCGTTTCGTGAATGGTGAACATTACATTCTTTGTTTGAAGTCAGTTTTTACTATTTCCAATCAGAGGGACTGACTCAAATGATTAAAACTAACGTTATCAAGGAAAAGAAGCTCCCTGCCCAATTTGATTTTTTTGAGAAAAGATGTTTTTATTGGAAATTAACCAAAAAGGAGACAGGAGTCCAGCTCAAATCAGTCCTGTGTGCTGGCTTTCATGCAGTCATTTTATTAGAAAACATTTAGGGAGTGGCCTCTGGAATTAATAGTTGATTGCTGGAAGGAAAGGGGAGGTCTGAAAATCCTCGGCATGCACAGTTTTCTTTAACGCTGCCTCATGTATTCCATGGGCACATTTGTGGGGAGTTGGTTAAAATGTGGCAGAAATTTGGGCTGTGACGCCAGCCAGCTTGTTCTGTGCAAACTCCAGTTGGCCTTAATAGTTTTAATCCATTTTAGCCAGTTTTTAAATCTCAGAAGCAGGGAGAGTTTCGGCATTTTAGCAAGTTACTGTTGTTGTTTTTGTTTGATCTCCTTTCTTGTAAACTGATTAATTTCATTAGTCATTGTTTTCTTCAACTCTCTGGGGCATGGTTTCACTAATAATGCATTATTTAACATCTACAAAATGAAAATAAGTGTACAATAAATGTATATAATTGAAACTTCCAGGGACCTTAGGGGTAAATTTATAGAACTTATTTTTCTCAAGTTAGTGAAGTTTAAACTGTTCAAGCACTTTTGGAACATACTCTGTACACAAACACACATACGCATCGACCTAAAAGGGAGAAGTTGATGGAAAATTATTATAAGTAGAGAGTTAATTTGGGTCAAGCTTGAGGATTGCAACCTGGGAACACAGATGCAAGTCAGCCTAAATATACACTCCAATTACCAGTAGTTATGAGTGGGTTTTTAAAGTGGAAAAAGGGGACAAGGAGTCGGCTGATACAAAGTTGTAATCAGGAATTCTCATTGGTTTACAGGAGTGACATTGCTTAGTGATTGGCTGTACATTATTAAGCTATAGGGGGTGGGTTATCCTGTCAGGTGTGGCATTATTGGGTTACTATATAGCTCCATATGGCAATAGCAAGCAGTTTCAAGAGATGAATGTGTAGCTCAAGGAGGAAATAAGGCTGTGATTTCTGTCTCATTTTAATGTCTCTCTAGGCCTGATAACTTAAAAGGACTCACATGCCTCAGATAAAAGTTCTTTTCTTTACAAACACATCCACACACCCATCCTGTGACAAATCAATGAGTGTTTTCAAATCCAGAATCAATTAGTTCCTCCTTTTATTTTAATTTCTTATTTGTCATTTTGACCCCACATTTTCTAACTCTACCGCAAACACAACCAGGCCCAACCCTCCACATCACTTTGGTGGCAAGTATGCAACTCCCTTAAAGCAGGGATAGGTTACAGTGCGCTAAGCTATTGTGATCTAAAAGACCAAAATAGATGCCCCTTTATCAACTAAGACAGACCCTTAGGTTAAGGAAACAAAGTTACCGATGGGTCAAGGGTTCAGGGCCTGGATGGCATGGCAAATTTCTAACTTTCTATAACTAAACTCCCTCTCACCAAATGAGCTATCGGCTCTGATTGGACAGAGGACCGGCCTTACAAACATTCTTTTCTGATAAGCTACTAATATTAGAGATTTCCAGTTTCTGCCAGATTATAGAGGCGGCACACAAACCGCCTCTGTCCTACAGTTCACCTTATCATGTAAAGGGCCAAATTCTACCTCATTTTAGTGCTAAAACCAAGGTGAACATGGGATGTATGTTACATATGTTTACTCATTATGGTGTGCTTGGCTCCTGCATAAATATATATAGCTTTTCCCCCAAACTTATTGAATATGTATGAATATGAATATAAAACCCAACCTGTCCTTCCCCTATTCCAACAGACAGCAGCTTTATTCCACACTGGATGCTTTCCCTTCCTGGCTTGCAAACTGATTAAGCAATAAGGCTCTCCTTTCTACTATTTAGTCATCTTGGTGCTCTTTTGGATGATACTACTGATCCCATCAGTGTTTGGTAGCAGAGTGAGACTTAGGTGTGTCAAAGCCTTAGAGCAGAACGTAGTCTTAAGCAACCTCACCTGACTACACTGTGGGCCATGTAAATGTGATCTTTTCCTGAGTGCCTTGGCATCCAAAAAACTTGAGAACATCTGCTTTATATTCTATATAATCACTTCTGCAAATGTCCAAATACCAACTACCTGTCATACTTTATTCAGGTGACTCCTGTCAGGTTTAAATGATCCCAATATCCTCCACCCCTAACCCATCTTCCTACACATTCTTTTCTAAACTCTTTATCATGACAGCTGTCATCTGAACTGGCTCTTAACTTCTCATGTCTTTCTTAAACTATTGTTAAAGCAAACAAATATGGCTTGAGGACTCCATGCTTCTATATTTGAGTGCTTGCAGATGAATTGTAACCTAGCCTAATAGTTACACAAATTGAAAATCTAACTCAATAGTATGCACCTGTAACAATAGCTGAGTGTTGGCCAATCCCGGCAGCCATAATTCAACCACTCATAGACTGCTTAATGTTCAAACTGCATTCAAAAAGGCAAACGCCGAGTTGTAATCAATCTCACTCTTTCTGTACCTCTCACCTCTGATTCATGTACGTCACTTTGCCTTTTTGTCTATAAATTTGTTCTAACCACAAAGCACCCCTGGAGTCTCTGTGAATCTGCTGTGATTCTGGGGGCTGGACGATTCGCAAATCTTTCATTGCTCAGTTAAACTACTTTAAATTTAATTTCTCTGAAGTTTCTTTTAATACTATAAAGCTCCTTATTAGACACCCATGGGCCACCACAGTTACCCATGGGCCACCACTGTTACTGATCTCCTTTGAAAGGATAAGACAGCCTTCAAGCCAGGCCAGGTCTCCTTTCATTTATGCAAGAGCAGGTAACCTGCCTTGAGAATAAAATCTGCCAAGAGATGCCCCTTCCTCCTCTCTTTTATATGTAGCCTCAGCCAAGTTTTCATCTCATAAATATTTGCTGCTGGAAACTAGGAGACACAGGCATCTGTAAGCCACAGGCTCTGCCCTTGACCTCATGTGCCTATTTTATCAATGAATGAAACCGAAGCCCAGAGAGGGTAAGTGACTTCTCTAAATCAGACAGTAGTAAATATCAAAGCCCTAATGAATAAATTCTCTACATTCATAATGCTTCTACTTTACACATATTAATATGTAATTTCTTAAAGTAAAAAGTATGCCCTAATGTTAAAATAGTTAGATGCTTAAGAATATTCACTTTGTCTGTTAAATGCTGACAAATTTGGGAAGTAAGGGAAAAGCTATTTTTGGTACTCTATCACCTCTTAGATAACTTTTCCTTTCCACTCTTAGCATCAAAGTCTTCATAGTTTTTTTTTCCTAGCCCCCTCTTAAAATCTACATATGACTCCCAGTAATGTAGAAAATAAAAGTTTAAAATGTCATCCCTCCCAGGAAAACATTTCACACATTCTACGTATATCTATCCCCATGCCTTGTAATAAGCTCTTACCAAAGCATTTTAGGCAGCCTTTGGGAGGTGGCAGAGGTGGCTTCTGGTAGGATGGACTGTCTCACCATTGGCCCCATGACATCTTCTCAATTTACCTAAACCACCACCCAGAAGTCTGGTCTTGGATTTCACACTGCACTTGGTTTTATTATCTCCAAGGAGGAATCTTTTCCAAAAGCTCTTAGAGTAATATGTTACCACTTGAGGATGCTCAGTATAGATAAACTATTAGTTTAGGACTTTCATATGTTCCCAATTTCCTAGGACGTTTCCTCAATGCTCACGCCCTCACATCCTGACCACTGTCCCTGGAATAAGTCACTTGGAGGCAGCTGTTTTCAGGTTCCCCAAAAGCCTGAAGCAGAACAGGTTCTGAGCCAAAATCCTTTATAATTGTATTTTTAAACAGTAGTTTTATCCCAGCTCCTGGGGAGACCAAGGCAGGCGGAACACCTGAGGTCAGGAGTTCAAGACAAGCTTGGCCAACATGGTGAAATCCAGTCTCTACTAAAGATACAAAAATTTAACCAGGCATGGTGGGAGACACCTGTAATCCCAGTTACTTGGGAGGCCGAGGCAGGAGATTAGATTGAACCCAGAAGGGTAAGTTATAGTGAGACGAGATTACACCACTGTACTACAGCCTGGGCAACAGAGTGAAACTCTGTCCCAGAAAAATAAAAATAATAAAACAGTAGTCGTAAGATGTTCTTCATACATTCACACAACAAATATTTATTGAACTTTACTATGTAGTATTCCTACTACTGTAAAAATATCAGTAAAATAAGACATTGCCTCTGCCCTTGGACAGGTCATAGTACAGAAAGTGAGACCTGCAAACAAGTGTAATTAAATATGCTACAAAAAGCTGTAAAACAAGCAAAAATAATACACAATGGGAAGATAGATAAAGAAGTAGAATTCTTCTGCCAGGAGGAAGGGAAAACAGGGTTCAGGGAATACTTCAGAGAGTTGATGCCAACTCTCTGATGTTGGGCCTTGTGAGATATTAACAACCTCCTCTTCTTTTTTTTAACTGACTTTTATTTTTTACAGATATTTTATGTTGACAGCAAAAGTAAGTGGGAAAATTCCTATATACCAACTATCCCCACACAGGCACAGCTTCCCCAGTTGTCAACATCCCATACTAGAGTGGTACATTTGTTACACATCACTATTATCCAAAGTCCGTAGTTTACATTAACGTTCACTCTTGATGTTGTACATTCTGTGGGTTTTGACAAACGTATAATGACCCATATCCACTATTGTACTATCATGTAGAATAGTTCACTGCCCTAAAAATCCTCTGTGCTGTTTCTTCATCCCCCCCTCCCCACTAGCCCCTGACAACCATTGCCCTTTTTACTGCCTTCATAGTTTTGCCCATTTTCAAATGTCATATAGTTGGAATCATACACCCTTTTCAGATTGTATTCTTTCACTTAATAGTTTTCCTCCTTTTTTATGTTTTGCCAGTTTATTTCTTTTCAATGGCATATAATATTCCATTTTAGGATATACAAAAAAATTTACTTACCTACTGAAAGACATTTCTGTTGCTTCTAATTTTGCCAATTATGAATAAAGCTACTATATAAACTTTCTTTTTAAAAATTATTTATTGAAACATAATTTGTATACTATACAATTCACTCGCCAAAAGTATACCATTCAACAGTTTTTAGCATATTCACAGTTATGCATGTATCACCACAATCAATTTTAGAACATTTTCATCACCCCAAAAAGAAACTCTGCTTCACTTAGCCTTCACCCCTCAATATTTGCCTTCCTCCCTATGTTACCAGTAATCTACTTTCTGTCTCTATCTATTTTTCATTTCTAGACATTTCATCTAAATGGAATCATACAATATGTGGATTTTTGTGTCTGGCTTCTTACCATGATGTTTTCAAGGTCCGTTCATGTTGCAGCATGTATAGATACTTCATTTCTTTTTATGGACAAGTGACATCCCATTGTATGGATATATCACATTTTGTTTATCTATTGATTTAGTTGGTGAACATTTGGGTTGTTTTCACTTTGGGGCTATAATGCTGCTGATACAGTAGTTAAGAAGAAATTACCTAGGCAGATAATAAGGGTATGGGAGTCCTCAGTAAATCTTTTCTTTTTAATGAGAATCAGCCCCAAATCATTTTCTAACAAAGAGCAGCCTGTAAATTCGAGCTGCAGACATAGATAAGCAAGCTGGGAGCTTGCACAAGTGAATGCCAGCAGGAATTAGGGGACTAGACATGTTCAAGATGGTGGCTCCATCTTCTTTTCTCTGTCAGCCACATGTACAGTAAGGAGCAGACAAGATGGCACCGATCAACTGGAAAGCCCATTTGTGCAATAAGATTACGTTGGGGCAACCAGCCTTGCCTGTACACTATGTAAACATCATACCTGATTGAACCAATCTGTGAGCCCTATGGAAATCAGACACTGCCTCCTCAAACCTGACTATAAAATCTGGTGCATTCGCTGCCAGCCAGTCTTTTCCACTTGGAGACTTTTCTTGGTCTGTAGAGAGAGCTGTTTCTCTTTCTCTTATCTTCTGCCTATTAAACATCTGCTCCTAAACTCCTCGTGTGTGTCTGTGTTCTAAATTTTCCTGGCACAAGATGATGAACGCCAGGGCATATACCCCAGATAATGTAGCCCCTTCAAACTGGGGGCTCATGTCTGATACCAAGGTACAACCTTTATTGACATGGTGAATAGAGGAGCGGACTCCAACTCTGTCCCTTCATTTCAAGGCTCTCGGCCTTCATTTTAGAACCAAATCAAACCAAATACTGGGCCCCCTTCAGTCATTTTAAAACAATTAGCATGGCTGGCTGCCTTACAAGACTTAGGGGACAGGCTTACAGGGAAGAACATGGAGAATCCCCAGGCATCCATGGGTCGCTGATTCTCCACCTCCACAAGTTCTTTGCCCTGGACTTCATCCCAATTTTGTTCTCTTAAAGCCTTCCTGAAATCTGAATTATTTCTGCAATCCCAAACTTCAGACACTGCAGGGTCAGTGGCATACGCATGGACAGGAAAAGAGAAGGATGGTTGAGTGAGGGAGCTGTAGTGGACATCTGTTTTGATTTGTTTTGTTTTGCTTTTGTTTTGACACCAAGCATTCACAAATTTTTCTGGAAAACCTACCTCAAGTGCCCTCTAGAAAACTCACCTCATTTATTAGTCCCAGTCTGTATAAGTGGAGTTCCCTTCTCTTCAGACCTCTAATATTTTAAGGGTGCATATGTGCACACTCTTAGTCATAAGGAGCATTCTGTAAAGATTCATAGCTAGCCTCCAAATGTCTGTAATACTCATGCATAGTCAAGGACTCACCTCTGGATCATGAGCTTCAGGTGTTCTACACAATATTTATTATATTCCACTAACCCCATGAAGATCAGAGGTGACACATCCATCCTGAGGTGCACCGTATACATTAAGGGAAGATCTTGCATGTTGCCATCAACATGGCTAGAAAGAAGGCACAAAGATCACCTTCCCTAAAGAGAGGGATGCCATGTTGACAACAGCCCTGCAGATACTGTTTTACTCCTTAAAGAACAGCCCCATGTACACTTCTGCCAAAATGGCATCTGTCAGCTCTTCAGTGCCCTGGTAATCCTCAAGGTGGTGGTACCTAGATCCAGATTGAGAAAGGGTCATGATATGGGCATGATGGGGCATAAACCTTTTTCGACTAGCATGGTCATCCTTTCCTAGCTTCACTTTTTTCTTACTTTCTCATTCAAAGACATATTTTCCTTACTGTAAGCTATATTTTACCCTAGGAGGTAGGTGGTTGTCTGGTCAGCAGTCCTGCCACAGACAGCCAGGTGATCTTTTTGCTCTGTAAAAATGTCATCAATCCAGGTAGCATAGAGAAATACACAGGGAGGGGAACTACTTTCCCAAGTGACTTATTAGTAGAAAGACCTCAACGTTGAGGTCAAAATATGCCTCCCTAAATCATGAGCATGCCCTGCTTGTCAAATTCTTAAGCAGCATCCACAGTGTTCCTGACACCCTACCCCAACCAGCAATACCCTAAACACTCCCACCAACTTATATGATCCTGTGGTCAGTGACAACTTTTTTTAAATAGTGATTAAACCACTATTTCTGAAAAATGTATCTGTCCTTCACTCTCTCTTCAGATATGGAAGGGCTGCCTTCCTTACTGCTCTAAAGGATATGAAGCAGTGAATGGGGAGGAAGGTGCAGGCTGCCATACGGTATCAGTAAGTCTAAAGCAAAGAGGTAGAAAAGAGCCCATCTCCTCAGACTTGATCAGGGAGAAAAGGGGCTTTTGGAGGCACATGATACTCATTCCTTCACACTAGTTCCAGGGGATTGGTCACCTTTTAAAAGTCAAAAGAGGGAGTCAGTAAGAGCTGAGCTAACTCCTACCTTTCCCTAAGCACAAGCTTGGGTTACCCAAAACCTATACCTCCCAACACAGTACACAGAAAAGACACCAATCTTATTAGAACATTTATTAGGGAGAATCAAGATTCTCAACAAGTAGTGAATTATTTTGTGGGGGGAGATTTGCCTCCCTGCAAATACTTCCAATGCATTTTGTGTCCAGTTAGTAAAGGCACATCACTGAACACAGTGCTTTTGCCACTAATTGGGACAGCTGGACACACCAGGGTGACTTGACGCTGACAAGTGGGGTTTAGATGTGGTACAGGATCCCTGTGGGGCATGGATTGGGGATGCCTTTGATACAATATCTTCCCCTTAAATGCCTCAACTTCCTGGGGCTGTCTGTCCTTGTCTATGATCTGTCTAATCCTTGTAGGATAATTCTGTCCAACAAAGATAGCTTGTTGGCTGCAAGATTTGGTACATGTCACTTTGCGGGAGGGAGCTGTGTAGTTGCGGGGATAGCCCTGGAAAGGCTCTGCTCTGACCTGCACTTCTGGGTTGTGCTGAGCTTTCCCAAGCTCCACTGGGAAGGAAAAGGGTTCTTAGGGACAGGTGATATCTATCCCATGGCTATGCCCCAGCTTTTCTTCTAGGAACTCCCCAGTGTCTTTCCTAATTTTCTGAGCTTCAGTAGCACCAGTAAAAGCAGCTCTACTTGTAACTCGACTTCTATTCTGCACAGATGATGACAGGGAGCTACCCTTTTCCCAAGAACTTTCTTGTTCTTCACACATTATGCTAGGTTTATTAAACCACTGCAATAAGGTCTGCATCCATTTTCTGAAAAGGTTTTCAGAAGGAGGCTGTGTTTTCAAGGTTGGGGAAGATTTGCTCCCAGGCACCTCTCCTGATGCCTTGTTATGAACAGGGAGGCTCTTTCTAGTGAGTTGGGATGTCCCCAGCCCTGCATCCCCTCCACCAAGCTCTCCTCCATTGGGTCTTAAAGGGCTCACTCTCTTTGCAGCTGGTGAAAAATTCTTAACTTGGCATTTCTGTAAGACATGCGTAGGGACCCTGTGCTCCTGCTGCTGTGCCACACGGATTCCTCTGACCTCCAAGTGGACATGCAGCACCTGGGAAGTTCCCAAGTCCTGATTCGAGATGCCCTGGGCATGAGTCAGTAAGTCCTTGGAACTCAAGTTATCTAAGGCAAGAGACATGCCAGTGAAATGGCTCTGAGGTTGGCTATGCTTCCTCTGGACCAACTTTAACTGGCTCAACATCTGATTTTTAAGATATGATGATTTAGGAGTTTGAGGAACTGATATTCTTGGTGGGAAAATTTCAGTTTCATGAGAAGTGCTTCTTTTCACGTTTGTCACTAAGCAGCTTCCTGACTTGCTGGTTGTCAAGTTGTTCCTAGTTTGTGATTGAAGAGTACAGATCTCCTCTTCCTTGAACATCTCCTTCGACCCATTGGTGACAGGAAAGGTCTTTCCACTGCCCTGAAGCCTGTTAACATTATTACTGGCACTCTCTCTCTTATCCCTTGAATCACGGCCAACTCCAGCTTGCAGTATGGGCAGCTCTGCGCTGCATCTACTGGCAAGTATAGTCTGTTTCTGACTGACTTCGTCTATGATGCTGTATGTGGGGGGCAGAAAAGTCTGTCTGCCATCCTCAGTTGTCCAGACACTTTCTGTAAGATCCTCGTCAGTATCAGCGAATTCTCTTCTGAGGGTCCCCTGCTTTTCTTGATCAACAGGTGAGGTGACGAGGTGAGGATGACCCAAGATGGAGAATGAGCTTGTTGTTTCTAATTTTTCTCCTTGAAAATATGTAGTGCCTCTTCTAAGGGGCGTGGAGGCACCATCTTTGGCATCTGTCTCTATAAGGTCATGGTCAATATCAGAAAATTGTCTTCTCAGGGTCCCCTGCCCTTCTTTGCCAATAGGTGAGGAGACAGGCTGAGGATGATTAAGGACAGGGACTGAGCTTGTTGTTCCCAACTTTTCTCCTTGAAAAGTGCTTCGTCTACAAGACTTAGAGACCCCATCTTTGGAATCTCCCTGAGAAATAAAGCTGGCTGAGGAGGGAAGGTAGAAATGGGAAAAGGAATTGGAAATATCCTCTTCCGATTTGAAGATTTCTATGGATTCAAGGACCTTGCAGGGAAGGCCCCACAGCATCCTCATACGGAAAGTTTTAATATGGGCTTCCAACATCTTTTGTTTGTTGGAACTAAGGAAGGAAATCTCCTGGGAAGTATCAACGCAGTGGTCCTCACTCACCAATGCTACCAGATTTTGATGTTTAATTTGGCTTTGGGATTTCTCAGGAAGAGACATTGTCTGCTTGACTGAGTGCCATGAACTATGCACAGTCCCAGGCATTCGACCCTCATTGATTTTCTCAAATTTCTTGCTCAAACGTACTGTCAGGGCATTTTCAAGTTGTTTCTGACCTAGTCTCACCCCTGAGTCATTCCCTGACAGATGCATCATATGAGTTTCTAGGTCTCTCTCAGAGTTAGACCTCAGATCCTCGTCTGAAGATGTCTCTGGATCATGCAATAGGTGATCTTTTGGGGCAGTCTCCTGGCTGTATCCCTGATAATTCCCCACATTCTCCATGGAAAGCATATTTGAGCTCCTCTCGTGGAAGCTTCTAGGGAAGCTTGATGCGGACTTCTTTAGAACATTGCACCTCTGACCCTCAACCAAAGAGATATTTAACGGTCCATGAATGCTGTCTGACACAGATAGCTCTGAAATTTTGCTCTGAGGACGTAGCAATGACAGAGACTCATGGATTCTGCGGGGCAGGCCCCATCTGCGCTGGATGAGCCTCTTTCGAATGTGTTGCTCTAGTTTCTTCCTTACCTCAGAGCTGAGTGGAAAATCTCCAGGAATGATGGAGATGGGAACATGGACCTTGAAAGACTTTCTGACCAATACAGCATTGGTACCTGGAGGACAAAAGTCTTCCTGGGATTTTTGAACCACAGAGGGTAAACCCCACACACTTTCCTGCACTTTCTGCAACACGTTCTACTCCAGATGATTAATTTCAGATGGCATAAGAGACCGTGCCTCATCCTGGGGTCTATGAAAACACAATCCACACACCTAAACAGAAATAGAGGACTAGGTAGTAGGGCTGGGATTGGAGATTGATATTGAGCCTGGGACTGGACCTGAGTGAGATGTGGGGACTGACCTCTGGGCAGGGTTTGAGGCGAGGGTAGAGGTTGGGTACTAGGCAAGGACAGAGTCTGGGGAGGGGGAAGTACTGGGGATTCATGGGATATAGATGTATTTGTAATGCCATTGAAGAATACAAACATGGAGGAATGGCCACGTTGGACAAGAATAGTAGGATGCAGAGACTCACTGTGCAAAGATGGGAGACCCCAGAAGAGCTGGACATATTTTTGCTCCAAATGGTCCTCAAAACACTTAGAATATGGGGGCTGCTGATGGATGTGCAGTTGTTCTAGTCTGTCTTTACTGGCCCCAAAAAGGAAGGGAGGTTGCCAAGTCTTGCTTATCTGCAATTGAGGCTAACATTTTCTGTGAAGAATTTAGTTGATAGTTTGGCCTACGTTGTTTTGGAAAAGATTCTGCTTTATTTTCATTTTCTTTCCACATCAGGAAATCACTCCTTTTTTTGACTTGTCTCTCCAGGAGTGCCAGAATGTCATGACTGATAAATGAGAGGTTAATAGGCTCTGTGAGGTTGACCACAGAGTGCCCTCCTATAGTGATCTCAGAAGAATGAAGGGTAAGAAGCTCTTGCATGAAATCATATGGTGCAATAGTGGAAGGAAAAAAGTCCTTGTCATGAGGCTGCCACCAGGAGAATTCTGAAGATGCAGGGCATGAATGTCAATGCCTCTGATTGTTGGGGCACATGTGGATGATCCACCAGAACTACCTAGAGATAACATCTCCGGAAAAGGCTTCAATACTGTGGGACTTGCTTTAGACTGAGTTACAGGGCAGTCCTCCAGTGGTAAAGCAGATGGGTTTGGTGGTTCGTGATGCCAAGCACATGAATCAGTGGCATTCATGGCCTGGGAAATATTTGATAAGGGGTTCATATCTTGGGATAGGGTGGAGTCAAATAAAAAGACAGTGTTCAGAGACAAACTGGCCTCAGGTTGGAGACTGGGCTCCGCTCTCTGAATGTGATGCGGTGGGAAAAGGGGAGAGGGAAGCTGTTGGGGTAGGGAATGGTCTATGGGGAACTTGGAATCCAAGGGAGAAACAGGCTGTGGTGGCAGAGGGTCCCTCAGTGGTGAGGGTGAAAATAAGTCAGCTAAGGTGGTGATCAGGTCAGGGGAGAGAATTAAGTGGGGCAGTAGAGAAGGCTTAGGCTGCGGGGACAATATTAGGTCTTCTGGAGTGGTTGCTGAGGGGGTGGAAGCCAGAGTGAATGATGACTCAGTCGCAGAAGCTGAAGAAGCCAAAGGGGACACAAAGGGAACAGCATCTTTCAGGGACTCCCAAGACAGCAGTCGCTGGATATCAGCAGTTGCTCTGTTACACACCTGACAGACGGGGTCTGGGCATAACAGTCGATGAAAGCGGGTGGTATCATGATGCTGACCCAGGGGACTGCAGGAAGCAGGAGGTCCAAAGCTGCAGCCAGGACGAGAACAAAGAAAGGAGGGTCTGTTAGCCTGGCAGGGGTGGGGGCCCCTGAATCCTGCTACCTGTTTCACATTGCCCCCCACCCATGACCTCACTATGCACTCTGTAGCCTCTCCCCAGTGCATTCAATTCACATACCCATTCCTGTGGGGACCCACGCCCACAACTATAGCAGGCTACAAGGAATCCCTGAAGTGAATAGAACGTGCTAAAAAAAAAAAAAAAAAAAGGGGGGGGTGGGAACAAGGACAGAAGGGGAATGATTAATCACCTTTTCAGAATAGAAAGCAACTTCCTTTCCTCTTCGGCTTCTCTCTGGAAACTTTTCCGGTCTGGGAAAGCAGAACAGTATGTTATATGCAATGAAGGTAGAGGCACATGGCTCATACAGAAGTCACTCTGTGGAAGACCCTTGGGATATTAAACTCTGATAGTCCCAAGAATCAGTAGAAAAGGGCAAATAGTCATTGATAATATTCACAAGTTCACATGTGTATGTGGCATCATTAGTAAAGTCCTTTCACATACATTACCCCATGTGATGCTCAAAACCACCACGTGAAACATAGACATCAGTGGTTACCTCCAGGAGGAATCTGAGCATCAAGGAAGTCAAATTACTTATGCAAAGTTGTGAGACAGAAGCTCTGACTCCAAGTCAACCAGTAGTCCTTCCTCGATATCTAACTTGGCTGCCTATTGGGCAACACTCATTGCTCAGGTCCATCACTAAGTCTTGCCCATGGATGGGCAGAGCAGGGCCTCTGAGCGGTGTCTCAGGTCTTATCGCTTTCCCATGAGCCTGTCTTCTGAGGGCTCTGTTTTCTGAGACTGTATCTAGTAACTGACATTCTAAGAAGTCATGGGACTGAGTCCTCATGAAAGAGACAGGAAGGGTCACCCTGAAGCTCAGATAGAGCAGGTCGACATTACCTTTATATGTCCCACCTTTCTTTCTCCTCCTGGCTCTGCCCTGATGCTGAGAATGAAAGAAAGATAATGAGAGGCTAGGACTCACTTATCTCACTCCTCTAGGAAGCACATTCATTCATTATACAAGAATAATATGACTCTGTAATTAATAGAAAAGTGTTCCTGTTATCAATTTTTGAAGGTGATAAAATATTTCCAATTTTTCCTTCTCTGAAAGACTCAAAGAGGATTTTGTCTGTGCAAACCACACTTGATGTATTCAGTTAGCAGTCCTCAAGGAGGGCACAGACTCAGAGGCCAACAGTCACATCTGTGCTCCCTCACAGGACAAGTGTCCCGCAGACAGAACTCTGGTTCCAGCCTCTGCTCAGAGACTATCAGCATTACTCCTCTTGTCAGCCCAACATGAAGGAAGACTTGGTCAAGTGACAGGTGACATGGGAATCTGACTCATGATCAAACTTTAGGAGAGACTATTCTCCTTCAGAGAGCCCACATTTTCTAAATAATTCAATCCAGGACCACAGAATTATTGTGTTTTGGATTTTATCCTGTAACTCTTCACCACAGCCAGATAGGTAGTCTATGAGCTTCATATGGAAACCTTAGTCCTTCTGAACCCCTACATCTGCCCAACCTCTTCCATAGAAGAATGAAGTTCTATCCTCTCTTCAGACTTCCCATCTAAGACATCTCTCTGAACCACCCAAATTTATTTAGAAATGTGGAAATGGGATTGGGAAACAACAAGAGGGAATCTCTCTTGGGTGTTCATCCACAGTTCCTTACCTTTTGGATATCATTATTTTTCCCAAGGGTTGACAAACACAGCATCAATACCACATAGAAAAAGTACAGCATAAACAACCCCAACCCACTCAAGTAGATGCAGTTGTGGTCAATATCCATCCAAACAAGGTGAGTCAGGGCTAAGCCCTGTCTCAGTATAGCTGTTTAGAAAACAGAGGATATTCTCCATGGTTTGAATAGCATGGCTTCCTAAGGCAACTGAGTGTTGTAGGTGCCCAGTCTTAACTATAGGCCCAGACCTGCATCACAGAGCATGGAAGAGTCATAGACGGTTTCTGAGGGTGGGGGTAGCAAGAAGAGAAGGGTGTGTCCACAGCCCTGCCTTTTACCCGTCCAGCTGTCTCCACCCCTCCTGGGCCCTCTAGGTCCCTCTGTCCTACCCTGACACTCTGTTTCCCAACTCCATCCTTTCTTCATGTCATATATTTACCTTAGTCGAATTTTCGGTTTGTTCCAACAGTAAACCAGGTATTATCCGAGTCCCCCTTTACTGTTTGGAGCCCTTAACTTGGACCCCACCAACTACACTGCCTTGAAAGCCTGAAATACTGCCTGGAATATTTGCTGTACCCAGGCTTTGCTACTCTCAGGATCACATATGTCCTCAAATCCGTCTTATCTACAGAATGTTTTTGCCTTACATTAACCCAGATATGAAACTTTAATTTCCTTTATACTTACTTCATTTTGTGAATGTTGAACATTACACCAACAAGGAGACAGGAGTCCAGCTCAGATCTGTCCCGTGTGCTGGCTTTCATGCAATCTTTTTATTAGAAAAGGTTTAGGAGGTGGCCTCTGGGATTAGTAGGTGATCTGTGGAAGGAAAGAGGAGGTCTGGGACATCCTCAGGCATGCACAGTTTTGTTTAACGCTACTTCATGGATCGCATGTGCACATTTTGGGGGAGTTAGTTTGAAACATGGTAGAAATTTGGCCTATGACTTCAGCAAGCCTGTTCTGGCCAACTCCAGTTGGCCTTATTAGTTTTAATCCATTTTAGCCGGTTTTTTAATCTTACAAGCAGAGACATTTTTGGTGTTTTAGCAACTTGTTGTTTAATCTGCTATCCTGTAAACTGATAATTTTTGTTAGTCATTGGCTTTTTAACTCTCTGGGGCATGGTTTAACTAATAATTCATTATTTAACATCTTCAAAACTAAAACGAGTATAAAATAAACATATATAATTAAAACTTCAAGGTTCTTGGGGGTGAATTTATAACACTTATTTTTCTGAAGTTAGTGAAGTTTAAACTGTTCAAAGACCTTTGGAACATGCTCTATACACAAACACACATACGCATCGACCCAAAAAGAAGAATTCAGGCAAAATCAATATAAATAGAGAATTCATTTGGGTGAAGCTTGAGGATCGCAACCTGGGAACACAGATGCAAGTCACCCTAAATATACGCTGTAATTAGCACCAGTTACAAATGGGTTTTTAAAGTTGAAAAAGCGGACAAGGAGTGGGCTGATACAAAGTTGTTATCAGGAATTCTCATTGGTTTACAGAAGCGACATTGATTAGTGATTGGCTATACTTTGTTAAGCTATAGAGTGTGGGTTATATTGTCAAATGTGGCATTATTTGGTTAATGTCTAGCTACACGTGGCAATACCAAGCAGTTTCAAGAGATGAATACATAGCTCAAGGAGGAAGTAGGGCCATGATTGCTGTCTCATTTTAATGTCTATCTAGGCCTGATAACTTAAAAGGACTCACATTCCTCAGATAAAATTCCTTTCTTTATAGACACACCCACGTACCTATAGTGTGACAAATCAATCAGTATTTTCAAATCCAAAATCAATTAGTTCCTCTTTTATTTCAATCTCTTATTTGTCATTTGGACCCACATTTTCTAACTGTACCTCAAATACACACAGTCCCAGCCCTCCTCATCAGTTTCATAACAAGTCTATGACTCCCTTCAACCAGATACAAGTTACAGTGTCCTTAGCTATTGTGATGTGCCCTGTGCTGTAGCTCAGTAGCTAAGGTATTGCCCTTTCACACTGGCAGTCAGATTTGATTCCCTACTTAGAAAGTAAGTTCTTTCTGGTTTAATATCTACATGACCTTGTATAGTCTCTTCTCCTCCACAGGTGTCTTAAATTTTCCTTTCTCTGAGCACCTGGGAGGTTACTTTCAGTAAAGTTCAAAAGCCAGAAATATCAGCCATTTGGCCTGGCTAAAATAAGGTAATAAGAAATTTTAAAAGACTTTATTAAAGAGTACTATGGTTAAAAGTCGGCTTACTTAAAAGTGGATATTTAAGCTCTAAAAGCCTGGACTCCTTGGGAAAAACAGGAGGAACCAGAGACCCCTTTCTTGGCCCTGTTCTTCCAAGGACTCCACCATAAAGCCAGTAAGCAATTGAGAAACTTAAAAACTGGCAAATGAAAAATCTTACAATTATTGTAGTAATCTTCTTCTCTCTGTCTGTGTAATTATACATGTGTTGTGTGTAATGTTCATATAAAAGAGCTCTAATTAATTGGCTTAAGCAAAAACAAGCACTTAAATCAAATATTTTGAAAGCAAAATAAAAACTGTAATGCCTTTTAGTTCATGTAACTTTAGTAATCTTTGGGAAATAAAAACAGCTTTAAAGATTATTGATAAAATAAAGACATTTTGGCCAGGCGCAGTGGCTCACGCCTGTAATCCCAGCACTTTGGGAGGCCGAGGTGGGCAGATCACGAGGTCAGGAGATCGAGACCATCCTGGCCAACATGGTGAAACCTCATCTCTGCTAAAAATACAAAAAAATTAGCTGGGCATGGTGTTGGGTGCCTGTAGTCCCAGGTACTCTGGAAGCTGAGGAGGGAGAATGATGTGAACCCAGGAGATGGAGCTTGCAGTGAGTCGAGATCATGCCACTGCACTCCAGCCTGGGTGACAGAGCAAGACTCCATCTCAAAAATAAATAAATAAATAAAATAATGACATTTTGTCTCAATTATGCAGGTCAGATATTAGGTCTGCTAAATGCTTTAAGGTCATAAACTACTTTGACTTTTGAAAATTGTTCAATTTATTTTGGAGATGTTATATTCTAAATAAGGCCTGGGGATTTATGGAATTAACCATGCCCCCTAGCTATGCAAAGAACGTTATAAAAAAAGAGATTTTATATAAGAAAGGATGTTGTATGGTAAATTCTTGTCCTGAAGTAAAATGACTGGTTGTTTAAAAAGAGGGATATTTAGGGCAAGTCAGAAAGTCTAAATATGTTGTACATGGTCTGTGTAAGTCATGAAAGAATTTATAAAAAAGAATTTATGCCAGAAATGTCGTACAATTTAAAGGTGATTAGGCCTCCTAAATGCTTCACAAAATGCCACTATGACTCTTAACTGTACAGCCTGCAAGCTTTACAGCTTGGTAAGGCCTGGAACACATGTAGTTAGATGTTGGAAACAGTCAGGCCTTATCTGCATTTCTGTCTGGGTCCCAGGCTCCACACCTAGTACATCATTGAAATCCCTTACTTACCAAGGCTTTCACCAAAAGTAAAAGTTGCTAAGAGTTAACATTGTAATATGTAATTGAGACTGCTGAAAAAATAGGTTTAGATTCAAGATGTGTAAGGAGAATGAAATGTGTTTTTTATAAGAGATTATATGAAGGTATGAGAATGTAAATTTTTTGCCTAGGTTAGAGGGTTAAAGGATTGTTTTAAATTAAATAAAGCTAAAGGTTAGAACAAGTTGTGGAAAGTTTATGAAAAATTGATTGTAAGAGATTCTATGTGTGAACAAATTGGCTAAAGTTAAAATGGCATTATTCAGTTTTTTCTATAAATTGGACATTGGAATAAAAGCACAACAGAGTTTTCTTAGAACGTTGTTCTGCTCTGAGAAAAAAAAATTGTAAAGGGTTGTAAAAGGCTTATAAAAATTTTACTTTATGGTCAAATTAGTTAAAACTGAATAGATTTATAAGATGTTATTAAAAACTAGCTTTAGCATTAAAAATACACTAATAAAAACATAAAATTTGGATTTTCTCTTTTAAAAAGGATTTTTATGTAGTATTAAAAGATGAAAGTTTTTTGTTTACCTTTTAAGTAAACTACAAAGGACAAAGCGGGGAAGGGAAGGAAAGAAGAGAGAGTCAGTTGGCCTCATGCTATCTTCATTGGGTCTTGTTTGGGAAGCTGAGTCTCTTCTCTATCAGAATGATGTTTTTCCTTTAAAAAAAAGTTTTCAGTCATCTTTTTGGCTAAATGAATGACTTATGGTAACCTAAGATTCTATTTTGTAATATCCAACATTTTAAACCTGTGGTATTTAATAAACCTTTCAAAACCAAGCTCTGGATTATCATGCTAAATCAGCCAATACTAAAATTGTTTAAACATACAATTTGAATGAACTCCATGGTCTAAGTCAAATTATCTATGATAACCCATTAGTTGTCAGTGCTATGCACCCAAATTGGAGAAACAACTGGTATTCAAGAGGACATAAGACCATTGTTAAGCATGGACTCATGAAGAAACAGTACAGCTGCCTTATCCTTCCTGAGTCCTTAAAGCTTTTGTTATTAAAGGCTCTGCATTCCATGACTCATCATGGAAGAGATAAAATAATCCAAATTGAAGATATTGATGTGATGATTTATCAATTGCAGAAATAGCTTAAAACCAATGTTTGGTTCCATATTCCTGGGAAGACAATCAAAGCTTCAGGTACCTGATGGGCCATATAAACATTTATAAAGGGGTTTCATGCAATTGTCATTTTCAATGCATATTTTCTTGTTGTATAAAAGCTTTCCCATGCAAGAAGGCTGATGTTATAACAGTAGATTATTATGCTACAGTGTATTTTCACTAGGTAAAGAAAGCTCTTTATGGTTCACTGAGGACAATCCCTTCACAATCTAGAACCTGATTGGATCTTCTGAGAATATCAGAGAAAGACTGTCCTTGCCATCCACACTACAGCAAAACTGGAGCCTTGAACTTTGGGGTCATAATCTCACAACTGAGAAGAGTTCCTCCACACTCCTGGAACTGTACCTCCATTGGTACCCTTAAGGTAAAACTAACCAGGAAAGTTTCTCCCCAGAAGAAGATGGCATCCCTGATGTGAACAGCTTTTCCCAAGATCACGGATCAAGACTTCTACTATCACAAGACTCTTATCTTTGAATATTTTTTCTGTGTTTATGCCTCTATGAACAATAGAAATGAAAAGGAGGTCTATTATGTAAACTTACAGGGTAAACTTTTATTTGTGAATGATTTTGCAGCCAGCCTTATATATGAATAAACTTATACTTTAATTGATAGAAGATGAAGGCCCAATGTAGGTGAGAAAGTTTAGTGGTTCATACATTGCTTTATAATCAGTCAAAACTCCTCTTAACACACATCATGGATTAAAGAGAACATTGCCATGAGGCCTTCACTCTTCTAGAAGGACATCATTTGTTAGTTCCTTTTTCCATGACTTAGAATAAAAGAAGCAATAATTAGAAATGTCTCCCTCGTAATAGGCTTTACAGCAAATTCTACTTTAAAGGCTATCATTACACAACAGACTAAATTCTCTCCTGAAAGTTATGCTAAATAATAGAATTGGCTAAACAGAAAAGTGCCTTTGCAGCTGCTGACACTTGTGGCCTATGGAGAAACACATAAAATGTAGATTATAAAAATTCAGTTTCAAGGGATTAATGAAAAATCCACTTAGTCACATGAGTAGACTCTTCACCTAGCTCATTCTTTAATCTATTTAATTTTATGTCCTTTGGTTTATGGGGGCCCTGGGTAAGGGTCACACTCCAAACTCTTGGTATTATCCTCCCAGTAGTCATAACAGTCTCCCTGGTGGGGTGTATTCCCTCAAAAGTTTTAAATGTTTGCACACAGCCATCTCTAGAACACCAAATGTTCTCTCTTCAACTGGAATGGCAAAAGCTGAAAGAAATGTGTGACTACGAGGACACAGTAACCTATGAATAACATGCTGAGACCAGAAACCAAAATGATGGTAACTGAGAGTGGCACTAAGGCCCTAAGTTTTGGTCACATTCTCACTTAAGTGAGAACCTGGCCAAAAGGGGGGAATTTTTTTTTAAATAAAATTATGGGAGGCCATTATTTTGGACTGACCTCATGCACTTGGCCCCACCAAACCAAACCAAACTAAAATGAAGTCACTCATGCTAAATGTGACATAATCAAACTAAGGCTTAAAAGAAAATTGATCCTATAACAGACAAGGTTTTGCTTTTCTCCTATAAACAGGATGCTCCAGTGTAAGGAGGTTCCCTCTACTCTGTCTTTATTCTCTCCTTGCAAAACCTACTGTTCTACTCTTTCCCAGTGGGTTTCAAAACCATATAAGTGCATTTACAATCGTGATAGTAACATCAATGACTAATGTTATGGACAATCTCTCAAAATTGAGAAAATGACCAAAAGGGGGGAATTTTTAAAGCAAACTAAATATGGCCTGAGAAGGACTCTGCACCTCTGTATTTGAGTCCTCATAGATGAACTGTAACCTAGCTTAATAGTCAGAAAAATTTAAAACCTAACTCAATAGTATGCACATGTAACAACAGCTGAGTGTTGGCCAATCCCAGCGGACATACTTCAACCACTCATAGCCTGCTGAATGTTCAAACTGCATTCAAATAAGGCAAATGCCAAGCTATAACCAATCTCACTGTTTCTGTACCTCACTTCCAATTCCTGTATGTCATTTTACCTTTTTTGTCTATAAATTTGTTTTAACCACGAGGCACCCCTGGAGTCTCTGTGAATCTGCTATGATTCTGGAGGCTGCCCAATTCATGAATCATTCATTGCTCAATTAAATTCCTTTAAATTTAATTTGGCTGAAGTTTTTCTTTTATCAAAGTAGAGTGTTCATTTGGGTCAAGCTTGAGGATTACAACCTGGGAACACAGATGCAAGTCGACCTAAATATACACTCCAATTAGCAGCAGTTACAAGTGGGTTTTTAAAGTCATAAAAGGGGACAAGGAGTGGGCTGATACAAAGTTGTTATCACGAATTCTCATTGGTTTACAGAAATGACATTGGTTAGTGATTGGCTATACGTTGTTAAGCTATAGGGGGTGGGTTATATTGTCAGGTGTGGCATTATTTGATTAATGTCTAGCTACATGTGGCAATACCAGGCAGTTTCAAGAGATGAATACATAGCTCAAGGAGGAAGTAGGGCCATGATTCCTGCCTCATTTTAATGTCTCTCTAGGCCTGATAACTTAAGAGGACTCACAGTCCTCAGATAAAAGTTCTTTTCTTTACAAACACACCCACACACCCATCCTGTGACAAATCTATCAGTATTTTCAAATCCAGAATCAATTAGTTCCTCCTTTTATTTCAATCTCTTGTCATTTTTACCCCACATTTTCTAACTCTACCTCAAACACAACCAGGCCCAGCCCTCCACATCAATTTGGTAACAAGTATGCAACTCCCTTAAAGCAGGGATAGGTTACAGTGCCCTAAGCTATTGTGATCTAAGAGACCAAAATAGATGCCCCTTTATCAACCAAGACAGATCCTTAGGTTAAGGAAACAAAGTTACCGATGGGTCAAGGGTTCAGGGCCTGGATGGCATGGCAAATTTCTAACTTTGTATAAATAGACTGCCTCTAACCAAACGAGCTATCAGCTCTGATTGGACAGAGGACCGGCCTTACAAACGTCTTTTTCTGATAAGCTACTAATATTAGACTGCCAGTTTCTACCAGCTTATAGAGGCTGCACACGAACCACATTTGCATCCTGTAGTTCACCTTATGATGTAAAGGGCCAAATTCTACCTCATTTTAGTGCTAAACCCCCACTCCAAAGTCAACATGGGATGTATGTTACATATGTTTACTCATTATGGTGTGCTCGGCTCCCGCATAAATATATATAGCTTTTCCCCCAAACTTGTTGAATATGTGTGAATATGAATATAAAACCCAACCTGTCCTTCCCCTATTCCAACAGACAGCACCTTCATTCCACAGTGGATGCTTTCCCCTCCTGGATTGCAAATTGATAAGAGCAATGAGGCTCTCCTTTCTACTATTTAACCATCTTGGTAGTCTTTTGGATGATACTATTGATCCCATCAGTGTTTGGTGGCAGAGTGAGACTTAGGTGTGTCAAAGACTTAGAGCAGAACGTAGTCTTAAGCAACCTCACCTGACTACACTGTGGGCCATGTACATGTGATCTTTTCCTGAGTGCCTTGGTATCCAAAAAAACTTGAGAACAACTGCTCTATATTCTATATAATTACCCGTGCAAATATCCAAATACCAACTGCCTGTCATACTTTATTCAGGCTCCTCTTGTCAGGTTTGAATGATCCCAATATCCCCCATCCCTAACCCGTCTTCCTACACATTCTTTTCTAAACTCTATCATGACAGCTGTCCTCTGAACTGTCTCTTAATTTCTCATGTCTTTCTTAAACTATGAAGCCCTTTATCTGACACCCATGGGCCACCACTGCTATTTGATCCCTTTTGAAGGGGTAAGACAGCCTTCAAGCCAGGCCAGGTCTCCTTTCAATTATACAGGAGAAGGTAACCTGCCTTGAGGATAAAATCTGCCAAGAGATGCCCCTTCCTCCTCTCTTTGATATGCAGTCTCAGTCAAGCTTTCATCTAATAAATATTTACTGCTGGAAACTAGGAGACACAAGCATCTGTAAGCCACCGGCTCTGCCCTTGACCTCCTGGTGCAGTTGGAGCAATTAGTTCTACACAGCTCAAGATCTATACAAACGTAGAGGAGAGTTCCCCCGCCTCCAGCATTTACAATCGCCAAACGATCTCTGGAACAGATCAGATACTGTGGGTCATAACTCCTCAGACACATCATGCTCTTTAGCAAGAAATCCCTGCATGTCCACCCTCTCCAATTTTCTGATACCAATTAATAATTCTTTGAGAAGATGGTCAAAGAACAGCTTCTCTCTTTTAAAATGTCATTCATTAGCTAGATATCTTTACAAACATACGTGTGCCCACAGTTGAAAGCTTCAAGAAGTTTCAGTAAAAAGGCTTTTCCCCAAATGCTAATAAGATTCCCTTTCTGAACCTGGTAGAAGCTCCTTCAAAATTTAAAGGAACAAGAGACTAGAGATATATTTATTTTCTTTTTTTGTACCACCAACAGTAAATTCCATTGACATTGAGTGGCAGTGCTTCACACCACTTATCCTTTCTGCACTAGCACCAACTAGAAATAATAGATTTGTCTACCTTATAAAGAGGTCTACTTCCAGCCATCTCAGTGCATTTTCACAACCTATGAGGTTAGCAGGTCAGGTATTATGCCTGGTTTTTTTTTGTTTTTTTCCCTTTTAATTTGCTTTTATTACAACAGGCACTTAGATTTTCTCTGAATATTGTGCCTATTTTATCAATGAATGCAACCAAAGCTCAGAGAGGGTAAGTGACTTCTCTAGATCAGACAGCAAATAAGTATTAGAGCTCTAATGAATAAATTCTCTACATTCTCGATGCTTCCACTTTAAACAATAGTAATATGTAATTTTGTAAAATTAAAAGTATCCCCTAATCCTAAAATTAAAGCAGTTGTATAGCTAAGAATATTCACTTTGCCCATTAAATGCTGACAAATTTGAGAAGTAATGAAAAACTATTTTGGTACTCTATCACCTCTTAGGTAACTTTTTCTTTCCACACTTAGCATCATTTTCTTTATAGGGTTTTTTTTTTCCTATCCTCTTCTTAAAACTTGCTTTCAAGAACTATGTTACATATGACTCCCATTAATGTATAAAAGTTTAAAATATCATTCCTCCCAGGAAAACATTTCACACATTCTACATGTATCTACCTCCATGCCTTGTAATAAGCTCTTACAAGAGCATTTTAGGCAGCCTTTGGGAGGTGGCAGAGGTGGCTTCTGGTAGAGTGGGACTGTCTCACCACTACCCCATGACATCTTCCCAATTTACCTACATCACCACCCAGAAGTCTGTTCTTGGATTTCACACTGCACTTGGTTATATTGTCTCCAAGGAGGAGTCTTTTCCAAAAACGCTACTACAGTAATATGCTACCATTTGAGGATACTCAGTATACATGGCAATAAAGTTACATTTTGTCCAAGCTTGTTGCTCTCTGAGATTTTTGTAGTACAACCAACCATATTAGAATCTTTATGAAATGAGAGCTTTGGGGTCTAAATGCACTTTTCATCAAGTCTCTGGGTGCCTCACTTTGCCCTCTTGCCAACACTCTCAAACTCACTGCAAACTCTGCCTCCCGTGTTCGCGCCATTGTCCTGCCTCAGCCTCCTGAGTAGCTGGGAC
The DNA here is from genome assembly GCF_000001405.40 of Homo sapiens. Lineage (NCBI taxonomy): Eukaryota > Metazoa > Chordata > Mammalia > Primates > Hominidae > Homo > Homo sapiens. The sequence goes on along the minus strand of NC_000009.12, from coordinate 81,903,292 downwards.
TCAGGCTACTGCCAGCACGCCCGGTTAATTTTTGTATTTTTAGTAGAGATGGGGTTTCACCATGTTAGCCAGGATGGTCTCGATCTCCCCACCTCGTGATCTGCCCTCCTCGGCCTCCCAAAGTGCTGGGATTACAGGCCTGAGCCACCACGCCCGGCCTTGTGTGTCATTTTTTTTCGTTGATTCATTTTTTTTGTATTTTACACAAGTATCAATCCACAGTGGATGCAGGGGTGGGGAGTCCTTCACCACAGATAGTTTTAGAATCTGTGGCTTAATGTACATGCTCCACTCTGAAGCGTTGGTGTGTGGTTAATTTTATGAGTTAACATAAGGGAAAGAAGAATTTGCCCCTTTTTTCTACCTTCCTGCCTGAGCTGGGACATCAATCTTCTCCCGCCCTCAGACTGAGACTTACACCATGGGCCCCTTTGGTTCTCAGGCCATAGCTTATATGTATCTTACTGGTTCTGTTTTTCTGGAGAACACTGACTAATACAGTAAGGGTGTGTCAGGATCCGGGAAGCACATGGGGAGAATGCTGGGGAAACCTTTCCCTCTGGCTATGAGAAAGGACTAAAACAAATGTCCACTATAATCCTGGGGCTTAATTTGGAGAGGGAAAGGACTCTCCCAGACTTATTTTCTCCCTCCTATTTTCTCATGCTTTCCTCCACAGTGACCCATCCTTAGTCCGAGTCTAGTAAAAATTTACTCTGGAAAAGCTTTGGCTATGGCCATTATAATAAGCTAAACATTACATGCCCATTCACCCACCTTCCCATTGGAACTTTATTGCTAGAATCAAAGTATCCAAATGGCTCTCCTAAGCCATTAAGAGCAAAACAATTTTGAGCTAGACTAACATGAGGTAATTACTAAATTGAGTCAAATTCCTTTGCTATGCTCTTGGCACTGAGATATGGAAACTCCAGAGTCCTGTAAGAGGTCTGAAGAAAAAAAAAATGTTCAAGACAAATTTCAGAGATTGGAGTTTTTCATTAAAAGTACATTTTAGAAAATCGTTTTAGTTAACTTGCTAAAGAAGTCGTATGGGGATGGAAACTTGAGGTTTTCATTTCTCTTTTTGAAATAAAATGGAAACAATAAAAACACAATTAAAAATAAAATTTAAAAAACATAATCTAAGAGTATTTTGTTTCTTTTTCTAATTAAAGCTCTGCAATTAAAGTTTCACTGGAGAGCAACCTGTGTTTTTAATCTCACTGTCCATGAAGGGCTAATACGGGCAACAGGAGGTGAGATGTCTGCTACACTCTTGGAAGTGACCTTGGAGAACTTTCCAGTCTGACTGAGAAACCCCGTCTGCTTTCTCATTTTACAAATTGGAAACTGAGGCCAACATAGGTTTAATTCTTTTCTCCTTAATTCATTGTTGCATGCACGTGTGTATGTGTGTGTCTGTATGTGTGTTTTCTCTCAGGGACCTTGGAAACTGGATGTCTGCACAGTTTTAACATAATTTAGACACAGAATATGAGATTTCTTCCTTTCCAAGGCCCTAAATAACCTACCAGCACCAAGAGGAGGGCTCAAAAAGCACCAAGTTTTATCTTGTGTTGCCTTGAAATACATAATTTTTGCCTAAGTGAACTTCACAAACAATTAAGATAGTAATGCTTTTTGTGAAAATCTAACTAAAATCTATCTGAAAACGTATGAAAATCCAACTAAAACGTGACTCACATCACTCAAGATTCTCACATCTAGAAATACTTTGGGAGTATTTCCAAAGATCAGCTTTGGAAGGTAAGTGCACCTCATGTGCCAATTCTAATAATGGTGGCTATCTGGGCACATTTTAAGGATTCGGAGGGTCTGTCTGAAAAAAAAAAATGCAGTGCTCTGTTAGTGACATCTGGTAGGAGAAGGGAGGAAAGGGGTCAGACTGATAATAAACTTGCTACATATTTGCCACCTTTGGCTTGGATATTAAGGAAACTACCCAAGATTATTTTTTCTGAGCCCTTTCCAATCCTTACTCAAACAAGGTATTAAATACATCAATTTAAAAAATTGCATTCCAGTCATTTCTCAAATTTACATTCGTAGGCAAAGTCAACCAAGGGCATTCAAACAAAGGTAGAAAAAGTACAGAATACAGGCTACATTGCTTCCCAAACACTTCCTTTTTTTCATGTAATAACAAATTGCAAAACAGAATTTGCCTGCTGGAAGAGTGAGTGGAGAATGCAAATATCCCCAGCATCCTGGCTTAGCTATTTCTTGGCCATGCTGCCCAGCACCTGACACTGAGGCATCCTTAGAAATACTTTTGGGAGATTAGGTATGAAAATTCTCTTTGTAAAGCAAAAGTTACATTGGTCTCTTCCCATCCCTGGATTGCTGGAATGAGAACACAGGCAACTCTTTGGAGGGCACCAAGATCAGAGTCTGCCCTATTGACGCAGGTATTTTTGAGAATCAATCTAAAATTGTCGTTATTAAAAAATCATTCAGCCAGGCACGATGGCTCACACCTGTAATCCCAGCACTTTGAGAGTCCAAGGTGGCTTCTGCCTCCTGCCATAAAACCAGTGAGTGTCATGGTGCAGGCAAACCCTGCAGGCTGCTGAGCTGAGAGGAGGCCAGATCCCCAGAGAGCTATGCAGCAGGCACTGGGATACCCCACCCCACCTGGTCCTGCCCCCACACGGAACTCCCGTGATTAGTAGTCCATATGGATCATGTAGACCCATCCAACACACTCCTGGCCTGTGGCTCGGTGACACCCTGCACATGTATTTAACCTCCCCCTTCCTTATATCAGATGTTAAGTGATCAGGTCTGTGGCCCTGTCTCATTAAAGGCTTGTGATTAACTGTGAAAAGAAGGAAGAAAAAGGAAAGGAGAGGAGAGGAGAGGAGAGGGGAGCAGAGGGGAGGGGAGGGGAGGAGAGGAGAGGAGAAGAGAGGAGAGGAGAGGAGAGGAAGAACGGAGGAAGGGAGAAAGGGAGGGAGGGAGGGAGGGAAGCAGGGAAGGAGGGAGGGAGTAAGGAAGAAAGGAAGGAAGGAAGGAAATACAAAGGCTTTGTGTAGACAGTGCCACCAGCTCAGCTTATATAACAAAGCAGCTCACGTCCCAAAGTTCATCACACTTTTCCTCATCATATGATTAAATTTCATAGTGTCCTGGAGATTAGAGAGACAAGCACTCTGTTTTACTGTGAAACCTAATTCCAGACAGATTCAGTGATAGTCAATGGCAGAATCATTGCCAATATTCACAAAATGATACTCATTTCTGGCCACCAAACTAACTTCACTTCCACATCACAGATGTGTCTGCTCTAACCCAAGTGTGTGTGTGTGTGTGTGTGTGTGTGTGTGTGTGTGTGTATCTTTAATATTTGGAGCCCATCAAAATATCCCAAAGATGTCAGCTGACAAATTTAGTACATCTTTTACCCGACATTAGGTACTTATATTTTCAAAGAGGATTTTTTAAAGACCAAAGAGTCTTTCAAGGCCTGAATAATGATTTTGTAATGGCAAAACTTGAAACATCATGAGCAATAAAATAACTTAATGGAACAAAGGAAGTAGGCTCTTCCGCAACTAACCCTGGCTATTAGTTTCCCAAACACTTAAGAAACAGTTTTTTTCAATCAAGTTAGTAATGGATAACCAGCTGTCCATCCACCATATTCATTTCTCACCATTTTCACACAAATTGCATATCATAGCAAGCTATCCAATGGACTTGGTTAACTAAGTTCTTTTTTTTTTCTTTTTTTTTGAGACAGGGTCTTGCTCTGTCACCCAGGCTGGAGTACAGTGGTGAAATCATAGCTCACTGCAGCCTCAAACTCCCTGGCTCAAGTGGTCTTCCTGCCTCAGCCTCACAAGTAGCTGTAACTACAGGCACGTGCCACTACACCCAGCTAATTTTTGTTGTTGATTTTTTTTTTTTTTTTTTTTTTGTAGAGACAGGTTTCGCTATGTTGCCCAGGCTGGTTTTGAACTCCACAGCTCAAGCAATCCACCTGCTTCAGCCTCCCAAACTGCTGAGATTACAGGCATGATCCATAGTGCCCAGCCAACTTAGTTTCTTTGTAAGTGTGTTTACATAAAACCTCACCCTCAAGAATCTGAAATAGAACAGGCAGCACACATTTCTTTGTTCCCCAACTCTACTTACTGTATAGTATGAAATGCTGGGAACTCTAAGAAATGTAAGCTATGGTTCCTGTCCTAAAGAAACTGGCGTAGTCAACACAAAAATAAACAATAGAGCAAATTATCATTTGGCCAATGTAATTCCCACAAAAATGTAATAATACACATACCAAAACCACTCCACTTTTCACTGGTTTCCCTCTGCATTTAGGATAAAGACAAAGCTTCCTAAAAGGGCCTGTGAGAATCTGTGTGCTCTGGGAAACAGCCTTTCTTCTGGACATAGATCCACTTGCTCTCTCTGCTCCAGATACCCTGTCTTTCGGTTCCCTGTCTGAGTATGCTCCCTTCTATCTCAGGGCCTTTGAGCAGACTCTTTCCTGGGCCTGGAAGGCTCTGCACTCCCCTTTTCCCTAGACCATTTCTTTTCATCAGCAGCACTCACCCCACACTCCATATACTTCCACTGTACCCACTGGGTATCTTTCTTGGCACTTTTCACTACAGCAAATCTTTCATTCATTATATAATTATTTTATATTTGTTTCTCTTCAGTCTGAAGATAACCCAAGAAAAGAAAAAGAAAAAAATTTTTAAGTAAAAGATATGCATCTCTCCACTTTTATGCTTAGCATATAAATAAATGGACCCATGAATGAATAGTTATGTAAATAAATTAATCCATACATAACGTTTTCATGTTTCTTTCTTTTTTTTTTTTTTTTTTTTTGAGATGGAGTCTCGCTCTGTCGCCCAGGTTGGAGTGCAGTGGTGGGATCTTGGCTCACTGCAAGCTCCGCCTCCCAGGTTCATGTCATTCTCCTGCCTCAGCCTCCCAAGTAGCTGGGACTACAGGCACCCGCCACCACACCCGGCTAATTTTCTGTATTTTTTAGTAGAGACGGGGTTTCACCGTGTTAGCCAGGATGGTCTCGATCTCCTGACCTCGTGATCCACCTGCCTCGGCCTCCCAAAGTGCTGAGACTACAGGCATAAGCCACCGCACCTGGCCCATTTTTATTTCAATAGCTTTTATTTCAATAGGGGTACAGGTGGTTTTTAGTTACATGGATAAGTTCTTTAGTGGTGATTTCTAAGATTTTGGTGCACCCATTCCCAAAGTAGTGTACACAGTACCCAATATATAGTCTTATCCCTCACCCTTTTCCAACCCTTCCCCGCTGAGTCCCCAAAGTCCATTATATCATTCTGATACCTTTGCATCCTCATAGCTTAGCTCCCACTTATAAGTGAGAATATATGATATTGAGTTTTCCATTCCTGAATTACTTTACTTAGAATAAAGGCCTCCAGCTCTATCTAAGATGCTGCAAAAAATATTATTTCATTCTTTTTCAGGGCTAAGTAGTATTCTATGGTGTGTATATATACTACATTTTTTTTACCCATTCATTTCTTGATAGGCCCTTAGGTTGGTTTCATATCATTGCAATTGCAAATTGTGCTACTATAAACATGTGTGTACATGTGTCTTTCTCAAATGACTTTTTAAAATTAACCCATATCTTTTTATTGGATAGTAACATTTAATAAAGTTATTAAAAGTCTAAAGTTTGCTCAGCAAATATCTCTAAAATTCCCACTGTATACTCTGCTAGGCACTGGAATATAAAGATAAAGGCATTGTCCCTACGCATGCTGCCTACTGAGAGAGACAGACAAGAAAACAAATAATTACAATGCACCCTGCATTCTAGACAACAGAAATCCAAAGTGTCAGAAGATAGAGGCAAGAATTAACTCCTCCTGGAGGAGCTACAGAAGATTTCCTTTTACTTTATTTTAGTTTTATTTATTTTTTGTTTTCCATTTTTTATTTTCGATTCAGTGGGTACATGTGCTGCTTTGTTACATGGGTATATTACTTGATGCTGAGGTGTGGGGTATAAATGATCCCGTCACCCAGAGAGTGAACATAGTAACCAACAGGAAGTTTTTCAGCCCTTTCCCCATCCCTTCCACCCTCCTTGTGGAGTCCCCAGTGTCTATTGCTCCCATCTTGATGTCCATGAGTACCCAGTGTTCAGCTCCCTCTTACAGGTAAGAACCTGCAGCATTTGGATTTCTGTTTCTGTGTTAATTCACTTAGGATAATGGCCTCCAGCTGCATCCACGTTGCTGCAAAGAACTTGATTTTCTTCTTTTTATGGCTGCATAGTATTCCATGGTGTATATGTCCCACATTTTCTTTTTTTTTTTTTTTTTTTTTTTGAGACAGAGTCTCGCTGTGTCACCCAGGCTAGAGTGCAGTAGCATCATCTCTCACCACAACCTCTGCCTCCCAGGTTCAAGTGATTCTCCTGCCTCAGCCTCCCAAGTAGCTGGGACTACAGGTGTGCACCACCACGCCCAGCTAATTTTTGTATTTTTAGTAGAGACAGGGTTTCACTATGTTGGCCAGGCTGGTCTCGAGCTCCTGACCTCATGATCCACCCGCCTTGACTTCCCGAAGTGCTGGGATTACGGCCGTGATTTGTTTATCCAGTCCACCACTGATGGACACCTACGTTGATTCCAGGTTTTTGTTATTATGAATAGTGCTGCAATGAATATATGAGTGCATGTGTCTTTTTAGTAGAATGATTTATTTTCCTCTGGGTATATACCCAGTGATTAGATTGCTGGGTCAAATGATAGCTCTACTTTTAGGTCTTTGACAAATCTCCAAATTAATTCCACAGTGGCTTAACTATTAGGTTGGTGCAAAAGTAACTGAGGTTTTTGCCATTGCTTTTAATGGCAATAACTGCAGTTACTTTTGCACTAACCTATAATTTATATTCCCACCAACAGTGGATAAGCATTCCCTTTTCCCCACAGCCTTGACAGCATCTGTTATGTTTTTACTTTTTAGTAATAGTCATTCTGCCTGATGTGAGATGGTATCTCATTGTGGTTTTGATTTGAATCTCTCTGATGATTAGTGATGCTGAGCATTTTTTTGTACTTTTGTTGGCCATTTGTATGTCTTCTTTTGAGAAGTGTCTGTCCATGTCCTTTGCCTACTTTTTAATGGTGTTATGCTTTTTTGTGTGTTGATTTAAGTTCCTTATAGATTCTGGATATTAATCCTTTATTAGATGCATAGTTTGAGAATTTTCTGCCATTCTGTCAGTTGTCTATTTACTCTTTTGATAGTTTTTTTTTTCTTTTTCTTTTTCTTTTTTTCTGGCAGAAGCTCTTTAGTTTAATTTGGTCTCAATTGTCAATTTTTATTTTTGCTGCAATTGCTTTTGAGGACTTGGTCATAAATTCTTTGCCAAGGCTGATGTCCAGAGGGGATTTCTTAGATCTTATTCTAGAAACTTTATAGTTTGAGGTCTTACATTTATCTTTAATCCATCTTGAGTTAATTTTTGTCTATGGTGATAGGTAGGGGTCCAGTTTCATCTTTCTGCATATGGTTAGCCAGCTTTCCCTAGGGAAATGATGTATGAACTCTTGAAGAAGAAACAGAAGTGCAATGGGCTGAATAGTGAGAGAAGGCAGTGTATGCAGAAAATGCAACGTGGAAACGTAAAAAGGTTTGAAGAGCATGATATAGGGTGGAATAGCAAATCACTTGGTGCCACTATGACTCAGTGTGTAGAATGGGTATGACTTGAAATGGAATGGAAATTGTTGACAGAGGTGAAATGATGAGGACACGATAAATTTGAGGTAAGAATAAGACAACCAGGTGGGACTGAGTGGTAATTAGTGGGAGGTAGACAATAGAGGTTTGAGAAAGTGGTAAGAAAGAGAGAAATATTCTAAGGCAATGATGGTGGATATTTGGGAATCAGGGACTCCCAGTCTCTGACCACTTTTTCAAAATCATACTACATAGGGTAGTGCTTCCCACACTTCTCTAATGACAAAAATCACATGGTTATTAAAAATACATATTCCAGGGACATATCTCAATCTTAATGAGCATCCCCAAAGGAAAAGCCTGGAAATCTGTATGTCTAACCAACACTGCAGGTAACCCGTATTATCAGAGAAGCTTGAGAAATATGTTCAAAGGGAATTCCCTTTTCTCTTACAGATATGACTCACCATCCTGTTCCCCAGCACTGCCCACTCCCCCATCAGGGATGATGGCTACCCAAAACATCCACTTCAACCATTAACATAATGACCTTTATTTCCAATATGACAATAAAATATGACTAGACTAGCACAGAGAAAGTACTGGTCATTGGGATAATTATGCACACTACTGGAGGAAATTTTCAGCCAATTATGCTCAAAAGGTAGAGAAGTTGGGCGCAGTGGCTGACACCTGTAATCCCAGCACTTTGGGAGGCAAGGCAGGTGGATCAGTTGAGGCCAGGAGTTTGAGACCAGCCTGGACAACATGGTGAAACCCCATCTCTACTAAAAATACAAAAATTAGCCGGGCATGGTGGCACATGCCTATAATCCCAGCTACTTGGGAGGCTGGGGTGGGAGGATTGTTTAAGCCCAGGAAGTGGAGGTTGCAGTGAGTCAAGATCATGCCACCCTACTCCAGACTGTGTGACAGAGTGAGACCCTGTCTCAAAAAAAAAAAAAAAAAAAAGTAGAGAACTATGCTCTCAGAGCAGAAAGTGGAGGGCCCATGCACATCTTAGCATGGTAGCTATGGGTGACTTCTTAGGTCTCCAAACCTGTTTGCTTCTCCCCAGTTGATCATCAGTTCATCAGTTGAGGTCCCACATGCTGGGCAGTTGGCTACAGAATAATTGAAATTCTTTCCACACTTAGTTGTTGGGCTTCTTACTGACAGAGAATGGAGAAATGGTATATACCACATAACATGGCTCATTCTGAGGCCATCACACCCCATATACTGAAGAAAAAAACAAAAAGTCCCTTTCTGTGCTGTTGAAAAATTCTGTGCTGTTCAGAATTGGAGGTGGTGATACCGTAATCATGCGAATAGCAACCCTTCATTTAGCCCACACACTTTTCCTGTGACCAGCTGGGTCACCACTTGACTATCCACAACTACAGATATAAATGGAAACTGGGTATTGCAAGCCTGAACCATTTCTAATGGAAAGCTGCTGCCCTCCCTGGGAATCCAGCTGGGTGACTGCCTCCAACCTCAGAACTCACTGAAAAGCAATGCAGTAAAATCTCGTGTTGTTTATACAATTTCCTTCATGGTTTTAGCTAAGTAATTTCACAGCTGTGTTCCTCAGTTTCCTAACCTGTGATTCATCACAAATGCAATCTTTTTAACTTGTTTTATATAATACTATAAAAATAAGGGTTTTTTGTTTTGTTTTTGTTGTTGTTGTTTTGTTTTTTTTGAGATGGAGTGTCACTCTGTCGCCCAGGCTGAAGTGCAGTAGCAAGATCTCGGCTCAACCACTGCCTCCTGGGTTCAAGCATTTCTCTGTCTCGGCCTCCCAAGTAGCTGAGATTACAAGCGCTCACCACCACGCCCGGCTAAGCTTTGTATTTTTAGTGGAGACAGGGTTTCACCATCTTGGCCAGGCTGGTCTTGAACTCCTGACCTCATGATCCGCCAGCCTCGGCCTCCCAAAGTACTGGGATTACAGGCGTGAGCAACCGTGCCTGGCCTAAAAGTTGTTTTTAAGAGCTTGCTTGACCAAAATTACTTTGCTGGTATTAAACTACATTTAAACAGAAGTCTCTTTTTCCAGCAGGCAAGTATGTATAATATATTGAGGGGTTTTTTCTCTCTCTCTCTTTTTTTTTTTTTTTTTTTGAGATGGAGTCTCGTTCTGTTGCCAGGCTGGAGTGCAGTGGCACAATCTTGGCCCACTGCAACCTCTGCCTCCTGGGTTCAAGCAATTCTCCCACCTCAGCCTCCTGAGTAGCTGGGACTACAGGCATGCACCACCATGCCCAGCTAATTTTTAAATTTTTAGTAGTGATGACGTTTCACCATGTTGGTCAGGATGGTCTCGATCTCTTGACTTCGTGATCCGCCTGCCTCAGCCTCCCAAAGTGCTGGGATTGCAAGCATGAGCCACCGTGCCTGGCCTTTTTTCTCATTTTTAAATCTAACTCAATCAAGCTACATTTACAACAGGCACCCTATTTGAGGCAGTAGCAAATTGCTGGGAGGAGAAAACTTTGTTCAAAGGTAGAACAGCTGAGAGATAAATAACTAAGTCTATATTTTGTCTTTCTTTCCTGATGACATTTGAATGTCAGATAAGGTGCTCTTAATAAAAGAGGACTTGTTTTCCAAAATGTTGTACTACTGATTTGGCAAAGGAGGTTTTGGGGAAGGAAAGCAATGAAAATAGAGAGGGGAAAAAGAGTAGTTCCTGGGTGTTACTGAACTATATACAGATTTCTGAAAACATCAGAAATTGTATTTGGTAGATCATATGGATATATTTAAATGAGGATTCCAGGAAATGCTGGGCACTGCTTTCTAAATGACCATCTCTAAATTTTACTGATATTATGCCCACTCATAAAATGATTCATGGGGTGTTCCAAGGTTTCTTGCCCTTTGATCCACAGAAGAATTTCTCAAAGTGTGTTTACAATGGATGATGATAGGGATTATATAGAGAGAATAAAATAGGAGAGTCATGCCTAGAACTTGAGTACATATGGACACTTGATTTACGACAAAAAATGAAACTACCAGCAATGGAGAAAGAATGGTCATTACAATAAATGGTGCTGGGACAGCTAGATATACACAAGGTGGAAACTTGTGTTGAATAAAATATTGTTGGATACAAAATAATTCACACTGTGTATTTGGCATCTCATAGTACAGAGCAGTGCTTTTCAAAGTGTGGTTCATGGACCACTTGATCCAACTTACCGGGGTTATAGTTAAAGATGTACATTCTTGAGCCTTAGACTCATTGATTCTCTAGAAGTGAAACCTAACAATCTGCATTTTTGTTAAACTCCCTTAGATGATTTCCTTTTTTTTTTTTTTTGAGACAGAGTCTCGTTCTGTCACCCACGCTGGAGTGCAGTGGCACGATCTTGGCTCCCGGGTTCACGCCTTTCTTCTGCCTCAGCCTCCTGAGTAGCTGGGACTACAGGCGTCTGCCACCATGCCCGGCTAATTTTTTGTATTTTTAGTAGAGATGGGATTTCACCGTGTTAGCCAGGATGGTCTCGATCTCCTGACCTCATGATCCACCCGCCTTGGCCTCCCAAAGTGCTGAGATTACAGGCATGAGCCACCGCGCCTGGCCTAAACTCCCTTAGATGATTTTCAGTACACTAAAGCTTCAGCTTCATCAGCACAGTGTTTGTTTTGTTTTGTTTTGTTTTTTGAGACAGCGTCTCACTCTGTTTCCCAGACTGGAGTGCAGTGGCTCGATCTCGCCTCACTGTAACCTCTTCCTCCTTGGTTCAAGCGATTCTCCTGCCTCAGCCTCCTGAGTAGCTGGGATTACAGGCACGCACCACCACATCCAGCTCATTTTTGTATTTTTAGTAGAGACAGGGCTTCATCATGTTGCCCAGGCTGGTCTCGAACTCTTGGCCTCAAGTGATCCACCTGCCTCGGTCTCCCAAAGTGCTGGGATTACAGGCATGAGCCACCACACCCAACTGGCACAGTGTTTTTCATTTAGGAAAACAACCATCTGAATCCCACCTTTGCCACATATAGGCATATTTATTAATCCATCTGTATTTCAGTTTTTTCACCAATAAAGCAATGATAATTTACAAACTCATAGGCAAGTTATGATGATTAAGTGACATGCTACATAGACTGTGCTTAGCATAGTCCTGGTTTATAATAAGTACTCAGTAAATGTTAAAATTACTTTTCATATACAAAAACTTACTAGAAATAAAGTATGTTAAATCACTTACAAAAATTTTCCCTTGTCAAATTTTGACTTTGTATTGGTATTCCTGAATTATTTCTATATCTAAAGGACAAGTGTATCAACAGATAAGTGGAGAGTATTTGATCTTGAAGACTTGTTCAAGAGTTTTCAAGATCAAACCAGGGGGTACCACCTGGAGAACATAAGTATTCATTCACACATCTCACCAAAGAAAGCAAGATCCTATTCAAATGATGCAACTTCAGGGTTTGTGCATGTGCTGCAACTCCGGACATCTGCCCAGTGACCCACCTGAGCTAAATAAGCTTGGTGATTAATGCAATAGCAGATAAATTCACTCAGCAAACATTTACTGGAAAATTATGATATTCCAGGTACTCTACTAGATGCTGAGCATTGAGTAAAAAGATATGGTCCTTCTTCTCAAGTAACACATAGTCTATGAGATTTTGCAGCATATCATCTTCATATCTGCATGTACTTCTTTCTTTTTTTTTTTTGATACAGAGTCTCGCTTTGTCACCCAGGCTGGAGTGCAGTGGTACGATCTCGGCTCACTGAAACCTCTGCCTCCCGGGTTCAAGCAATTCTCCTGCCTCAGCCTCCTGGGTAGCTGGGACTGCAGGCACACACCACCATGCCCAGCTAATTTTTGTATTTTTAGTAGAAACTGGGTCTCACCATGTTGGCCAGGCTGGTCTTGAACTCTTGACCTCATGATCACCCCGCCTTAGCCTCCCAAAGTGCTAGGATTACAGGCATGAGCCACCATGCCCCGCCTACATGTATTTCTCAACCAATTTTTTTGTTGTTGTTAACATAGCTAAAAAACTAGAAAACATTTGTTTTATGGACAAGGTATTTATGGCTATTCCTTCTGAACTGGGGATAATAGAAAGATATTAAACAAGTGCACCTCGCTTCCTCTCCTCTTCCTGTCTTCAAAAGCAAATAATTTTCTTTGGAACTTTGAAGACATTGTTACATTTTCTTCTGGCATCCAGCACTGCTGATAGGAAGTGTGATGCAATGAAGGAAGGGAGCTACTCTGGTAGGGTGAAGGCTACCTTGGCAACTTCTCTGACCTGTGCAATTCTCTGCTTGCTCTTCAGTACTGCAGGATTATATATCTGTGCTGGGAAGTGGACAGCAAGCTCTAGAAAGTAACGGGCAAAGAGTTTAGGAATCTGGGCCCAACTGTGCCGAGATAATCAAAGCCACAGAGGCCTAAGATTCAAACAAGACATTTTGCAGGGATACTTTGTATTAGTTTTTAGGGCTGCCACATCAAAGTTTCACAAGCTAGGTGGCTTAAAACAACAAAATTTAGGCCGGGCACAGTGGCTCACGCCTGTAATCCCAGCACTTTGGGAGACCGAGGCAGGCGGATCATGAGGTCAGGAGATTGAGACCATCCTGGCTAACACGGTAAAACCCCGTCTCTACTAAAAATACAAAAAATTACCCGGGCGTGATGGCGGGCGCCTGTAGTCCTAGCTACTCAGGAGGCTGAGGCAGGAGAATGGCGTGAACCTGGGAGGCGGAGGTTGCAGTGAGCCGACATCACACCACTGCACTCCAGCCTGGGCGACAGAGCGAGACTCCGTCTCAAAAAAAAAAAAAAAAAAGTATTCTCTCATCATTCTGGAGGCTAGAAATTCAGCATCAAGGTGTCAGCAGGCGCATGCTCCCTCTGAAGGCTCTAAAGAAGAAACTGTTCCATGCCTCTCTTCTAGCTTCTGGTAATTGCTGGGAAACTTGGCTTTCCTTGGCTTCTGGCTGTATCACCCCAATCTCTGCCTCCATAGTCAATGGCTGTGACGTTGCCCTCCCTCTGTGTTCTCCCCACTTCCAAGGACACCAGTCATTTAATTTAGGGCCCTAATTCAGGACATTCACCTAAATTTAACTAATTATATCTACAAGGATTATATTTCTAAATAAGACACATCCTGAGGTTCCAGGAGGACATAAATTTTGGGGGGACACTGTTGTTCAACCCAGTACAGTCTCAGTAGAGCAGGGACTTTAGAAAAAGAAGGTAATAGGTTTAGTTGGAATCCAGGCAGGTAGGAAATGGAAGCAAAGACCAGACACAGAACCAGCTACACACTTGGCACCCCAGCATCCCTGAACCACACAGGGCTGGCTCTCCACAGGATTCCAACTTCACTAACAGGGTCAGTTTATCCATTACACACAGTAGGCACAATGCCAAGTTCCCATGATACTTTTAGAAACCCATGAAAATGTTTTAATCTCTTTCAAAATCTAAAAATAAATAAACAAATATATTCCAACCTGGATTATATTCATATGTATATCAATGCAGTCATAAAATTTAATTTTAATGCTTTTTTATGCAGTGGTTCAGAAACAGCCTCTGGGTTTCAGCACAGGCATTCAGATGGAATGTTGGGGTCATCACCACCCGAATTTTTTTTTTTTTTTTTTGAGATGGAGTTTCACTCTTATTGCCCAGGCTGGAGTGCAGTAGTGCTATCTCGGTTCACTGCAACCTCTGCCTCCTGGGTTAAGCAATTCTCCTGTCTCAGCCTCCCAAGTAGCTGGGATTACAGGCTCGCACCACCACTCCTGGCTAATTTTGTATTTTTAGTACAGATGGGGATTCACCATGTTGGCCAGGCTGATCTCGAACTCCTGACCTCAGGTGATGTGCTCACCTCGGCCTCCAAAGCGCTGGAATTACAGGTGTGAGCCACCATGCCCAGCCCACCACCCTAATTTTTTTTGTGTGTGTGTGACGGAGTCTCGCTCTGTAGCCCAGGCTGGAGTGCAGTGATGCTGTCTGGGGTCACTGCAAGCTCCTCCTTCCACGTTCACGCCATTCTCTTGCCTCAGCTTCCCGAGTAGCTGGGACTACAGGTGTTCGCCACCACGCCTGGCTAAGTTTTTTGTACTTTTTTAGTAGAGACAGGGTTTCATCATGTTAGCCAGGATGATCTCCATCTCCTGACCTCATGCTCCACCCACCTCGGCCTCCCAAAGTGCTGGGATTACTGGTATGAGCCACCGTGCCTGGCCCCACCACCCTAATTTTTAATATATTGTTTAATGAAGGAAGGAGCCCTTAGAAGGCAAAAGTGCCCAGAGCACACAAAAGTCATCACACAGCTGTGTTCACCAGTACACATGCTCATACACTTGGCCTGGAGAAGCTGGAGAGTCTGCATGGACTTTCACTCATCCCTGCTCTCAGGGTGGTCCATAGCCAATCACTGGTGGTGGCAGGGATATCACAGCCCAGCACCTTTGCTGATGGGGAGAATAACCTGTATGGGTATAATTCACTCTCCATAGTGCCCCATCAAATCACATCATTGCCTTGCTTCTTCCCCTACCTTATACTGTATCCCTCCTACCTTTGCAGCATTCCCTCACTAAATTACTTGCCTAAGAATTCCTATCTCAATCTCTGTTTCTAGGCAACATGACCTACGACGCTTTGGATCTCCATGGCAAGCATTGACACTGGCAAAAATTATCTAATAAACACTTATATTGAATGAGTAAACGTTAGAGAGACATGGAAGCAAGTATGAAAGACCTCGCCAGGACTTTAGATGGACTGAACTGATCATAAAAGAAACTTCAGTTCTTGGCCGGGCGCAGTGGCTCACGCCTGTAATCCCAGCACTTTGGGAGGCTGAGGTGGGTGGATTACCTGAGGTCGAGAATTCAAGACCAGCCTAGCCAACATGGTAAAACTGTCTCTACTGAAAATACAAAAATTAGCCAGGTGTGGTGACACGTTCCTGTAATCCCAGCTACTTGGGAGGCTGAGGCAGGAGAATCACTTGAACCCGGGAGGCGGAGGTTGCAGTGAGCCAAGATCCCACTACTGCACTCCAGCCTGGGTGACAGAGTGAGGCTCCATCTCAAAAAGAAAAAAAAAGAAACTTCAGTTCCTGACAAATTATAGACTGGAGACATAGAGAAAAGATAATGATGTGGATTCTTGAACAAGGGCACAAGACAATGAATTTGCTCATAAACGTGGGCAGATCTACCGATTAGACCTGAGGAACAATGCCTACTGTGTGCCCAGCACTGTGTAAGTTACTTTCATATGTACCAACAGACTAAGATAACAGTAAGCTGTCAAAACTGACTGAGGTCTCCTTGAATTCTCTCAGGCTTGATTGGCCCCAGAGCTGGGGATGAGATGAGCAAGCATGGACTATGAGGTTGGTTCAGATGAATTTTTGTGAACAATCGTCTGTTGATGAAAGGACTGCCTTTGAAGACAGTATCCTTGGTGATCTTAAGAGTATGGTCCTCTGAAGCCAGTGTTCAATAAGATGTAAAAATGAGAAGATTTCATGCCATGGAATTTCTATCATAGATATGGTTTTTTGTAATTTTAGCAGTTCCTCTCAACCTTTGCAGCAGTTTTGGAGCCGAGCAGATGGCAGGGGAGGGCTTAACTAAGTGGTGAAGTTTCAGCTGCAAAAGGCAATTCCTAGAATGACAATTCAGAAACTCATTTCCCCCAACACTTATCATATTGGCAGAGGGTTAGTGAATCTTTTTAGAAAAACAAGAAGAAGGCAATGCATCAGAATAAGGCAGCCTATGTTTGGTTAGGTTATGTGCAGGCAAACACTACTGAGTCCAAATCTTTCCTTGCATTGCAATTCCCAAGGCAACAGGCCAGTCTTGTTTGTAAATTAAATAATATCCAAAATAGCTAAAGCTTAGGATCTGAAATATAAGGCACCTCCAGCACATGGAGCAACTGCTACATGCATCCGAAACCAGGGGATGACAGTTTCAGCTAAGTTGTTCCAACCCTGGCTGGCATTAAGGACCCCTAGAGTTTCCAGCTATATATCATAAGGAAACAGCAAGTTTGTAGAAAGAGCATAATCTGTGCTCAAATCCTGCCTCTGATACTAAATAACTATATGATCTTGAAAAAATTACTTTTCCTCTCTGAGCCTCTTTCCACAAATGGTGGTGGGGTGGGGGAGGGGATAATTGCAATCTCAAAGGCTTATTATAAGAATTCAGTGTGATAATATACATGAAAGTAATGAGCAAACCACAAATCTTAAACTGGTATCCATTTTTCTTCATTTCTATTCTGCCTAGCTCGGCAGAAGTTTGTCAAAATATCTGTTGCTCTTTCAAACTGCTTCAGCTTTGGCTCATCCATAATTTTTTCTTTATCTTCAAACAACTTTAATTATAATGGTTTGCTTTTCTTAAAATTTCATAGCCCATATTCTTTGTGAATGAGACAGTGAGGTTTGGCTTTTGGGACTTTAGTTTTGATCCTTTACAATATGCATATAACAAAAACAATAAATGTATTTTATATTCTGAAGCTATAAATGTACCCTTTTTTAATGAGGCCTGTTTGTTTCAATTAAGCCTAAATTACTCAAGCACAACAAAGGAACTATCGATTGAGATTATTTCTGTGTCAAGTAACAGAAAAGCTATTCAACTGGCTTAAACAATTAAGGGAATTTACTGGCTCCTGTAACTGAAAAGTCCACAGGACTTTTCATGGCTTGATCCAGGGATGGTTTGGTCCAGGCTCTGGCTCAATTTTTCCTGCAATCCTCTCAGTTTTTTCTGCCTCTAAATGTTGGCTTTGTTCTCAGGCTGGCCTCATAAAATGACTGCTAACAGCATTCGTGATGGTTTCTCATTCACATCCAACACAGAGCTAAGGCCAAGGCCAGTTTTTAGGACCTCCATACAGAAGTCCCAAGCTTCACTCTGATTGGACTACCCTGATCCTATTTCTCCCATCCAAGCACTTCCCAGGCCCAACCCTGTTTAACTTCTGAGATCAAGCATGCGCAGGGTGATATGGCCATAGATTCTGATCCTATTTCTGTAGCTAGGGAAGTGCCATCCTCTAATTGACTTAAATTCGTATCAATCCCTATGACAAGGAAATGGAATTATTCTCAGTGATCTAGAAAATCAGGTCCCTCTTCTGGATCTGAATATGAGGTCCACTCCTCCTAAACATCATGGTTGTCACTCAAGGGAACTGAAATGGGTAGTAGAAGAATAATTTCAATGTCTGCTACAATTAAAAAATAATTTTGGCCGGGCGCAGTGGCTCACGCCTGTAATCCCAGCACTTTGGGAGGCCGAGGCGGGCGGATCACGAGGTCAGGAGATTGAGACCATCCTGGCTAACACGGTGAAACCCTATCTCTACTAAAAATACAAAAACTTAGTCGGGCATGGTGGCGGGCGCCTGTAGTCCCAGCTACTCGGCAGGCTGAGGCAGGAGAATGGCGTGAACCCGGGAGGCGGAGCTTGCAGTGAGCCTAGATGGTGCCACTACGCTCCAGCCTGGATGACAGAGCAAGACTCCATCTCCAAAAATAATAATAATAGTAAGAATAATTTTAGCAATTTAATGCAGGGCTCCTAAATGCCTTTTCTTCATTTTAAAATTATCACTTAGGCTGGGCACAGTGGCCCACGCCTGTCATCACAGCACTTTGGGAGGCCGAGGTGGGTGGATCACAAGGTCAGGAGTTTGAGACAAGCCTGGCCAATATGGTGAAACCCCATCTCTACTAAAAATACAAAAATTAGCCGAGCATGGTGGTGGGTGCCTGTAGTCCCACCTACTTGGGAAGCTGAGGCAGGAGAATCACTTGAACCTGGGAGGTGGAGGTTGCAGTGAGCCGAGATCACGCCACTGCACTCCAGTCTGAGCGACAGAGCAAGACTCTGTCTCAAAAAAAAAAAAAAAAGAAAAAAAAATTACTTATTTCACTATATTGGACTCTTTCCAAATAAAATATTAGGCTTTAATATCCAAAGGCAACCATAAACTAAGAGTCAACTAATGCAAAGCAAAATGTTAGGAGGCATTTCAAGACATCTAAGTTAGGAGTTTTTCTTGTTCTTTTTTTCTCTCCACTTCCTCTTGTTTTTCTTTCGCTCAATTTTGTTGATAATCTTTTCTTTTTCTCACTTTCTTCCTTCCATTTATATAGTCCTGTTTGCTTCTTTCAATATGCATTTTAATATATGCAAACATAACAGGATGTACGATTAGACATTTTCTGATCTCTCACAATTTTAGCTACAGTCTCAAAGCTGTTGACACAGGTGACAGAGTCCTCCCACAGAGGCATGGACAAACCCTCTCAGGAATTACTAAGAGGGGGCCAAACTTATCCACTGCAGTTCTCTCCAGCAGCCTGTAAAAAAGAAAACTAGAGATTCATTAGGAAGGAAGTTTTCAAAGCTGAATTTTTATGTAGAGATAATAAATGGATGGTCTCAGCCTGAGCCAAGTGAGGAAGGCTTTTAAGTGGATCACTCATAGAGTGCTGGTGCTTGTCAGAAGCTGGTATCTTATTCTTAAACTAGATATTTATCAAGAGCCACAATCTTGGAGTATAGGGGAGTCAGGAGAGGAAGGGAAAGTAAAAGAACAGATATTGCCTATCCTTCCCACTGCTGAACCCAAGCTTTGCATCAGGATTGTGTTGGGCAGAGGGTGGGAGGTTGTAGGAACCTTAAGTTGTATGAAGGATGAAAGATTTATTTAGATTGAACTGGGCTTCCAAGTACCTGAAAACATCACTCTCTACTGATATCCAAAAATAACCTTGCTAGGCTGGGCGCGGTAGCTCACGCCTGTAATCCCGGCACTTTGAGAGGCCAAGGCGGGCAGATCACCTGAGGTCAGGAGTTCAAGACCAGCCTGGCCAACGTGGTGAAACCCCCTCTCTACTAAAAATACAAAAAAATTAGCCGGGTATGGTGGCATGTGCCTATAGTCCCAGCTATTTGGGAGGCTGAGGCACACGAATCATTTGAACCCAGGAGGTGGAGGTTGCAATGTGCCAAGATGGCACCACTGCACTCCAGCCTGGATAACAGAGTGAGACTCCGTCTCAAAAAACAAAACAAAACAAAAGGAAACAAAAAACACAAAACCTTGTTGAAGCTGTTTTCCAGAGGTGAGGAAGAAAAATCCAAAAGAACATTATTTTACATTCGTTGTGGAAACACTTTTTAAAGTTTTACATTACTATTTTAAATTTCTGTATCATGGCCAGGCACAGTGGCTCACACCTGTAATTCCAGCACTTTGGGAGGCCAAGGTGGGCAGATCACTAGGTCAGGAGATGGAGACCATCCTGGCTAACACAGTGAAACCCCGTCTCTGCTAAAAATACAAAAAATTAGCCGGGCGTGGTGGCGGGCGCCTGTAGGCCCAGCTACTCAGGAGGCCGAAGCAGGAGAATGGCATGAACCCGAGAGGAGGAGCTTGCAGTGAGCCGAGATTGCGCCACTGCACTCCAGCCTGGGCAGCAGAGCGAGACTCTGTCTCAAAAACAAAACCTAACAAAACAAAACAAAACAAAAAAATCTATATCTCAAGTCATCAAGCAATACATTTTTTATGTAAAGAAAAATGCAGTTTCCTAATTGTACCCTACTAAATTCAGTTTATTTAATAAGCTTAGCACATAAATGCAAAGCATCATATATGTATCTTCAATATACTTTGTGAGCACACCTAAATAATGCATCAGTTGGGTCTGCAAGAAACCATGCTTTCAAAGAGAGCAATTAAGGAGAATTCAATGAATATACTGTTTACAAAGATGTGGGTGGGGCTCTTAAGGAATTAGCAAACCAACCAAAGACAGCAGGAGCCCTAGTAATGCTTAGGCTAGGGGCTTCCACCATCTTTGGTTGATTTGCCTGGGGGATCAGTGGGGTGGGGATGGGTGGGTTGGGGAGTAGAGGGAGTGGTTGCCTCAGATAGCCTTGGACACCAGCAAGCAAGGAAAGTACAGGCAGTGCTGGGCACAGAACAGAATTGAGAGAGAGATAAACAGCTCATTTCAATTGGCAAATGGTGAATATTTAGCACATATATTTCAATTTCTGTTTGGGCATGACGGCTGCTACCTGTGATCTCAGCACTTCGGGAGGCATAGGTGGGAGGCTCACTTGAGGCCAGGAGTTCAAGACCAAACTGAACAATATAGGGAGACCCCATCTCTACAAAAAAAAAAAAAAAAAAAAAAAATTAGCCAGGGTGGTGGTGTGAGCCTGTGGTCCCAGCTACTTGGGAGGCTGAGGTGGGAGGATCATTTGAGCCTGGAAGTTGGAGGCTGCAGTGAGCTATGATCCTGCCACTGCACCCCAGCTTGGGTGACAGAGTAAAACCCTGTCTCTAAAAAAAAATAGTAATAAATAATATATTTCAATTTCTCAATTCTGGCAAATGGAATTTTAATTGATACATGAAATACTCAAATTACTTGAACCTGGTAGGAATTTGTAGACTAAAGTAGAATTTTTCCCCTGAATTCCTTGGTAAGAATGAAACTATATTTCCCAAGGAAAGAAAAGTTAAGCTCAGGTCAATGAAATCAGCCTGCAAAGTGTAGAAAATGTATTTGAACAAAAATATTATTAGCCTAAAATCTAAAGTGAATATGGATAAATATATGATAGAAAATAATCACCAAGGCTGGGCGCGGTGGCTCACACCTGCAATCCCAGCACTTTAGGAGGCCGAGGTGGGCGGATCACCTGAGGTCAGGAGTTCGAGACCAGCCTGGCCAACATGGAGAAACCCTGTCTGTACTAAAAATACAAAATTAGGCTGGGCGCGGTGGCTCACGCCTGTAATCCCAGCACTTTGGGAGGCCGAGGCGGGCGAATCACGAGGTCAGGAGATCGAGACCATTCTGGCTAACATGGTGAAATCCTGTCTCTACTAAAAATACAAAAACGAAAATTAGCCGGGAGTGGTGGCGGGTGCCTGTAGTCTCAGCTACTGAGGAGGCTGAGGCAGGAGAATGGCCTGAACCCGGGAAGCGGAGCTTGCAGTGAGCCAAGATCATGCCACTGCACTCCAGCCTGGGTGACAGAGGGAGACTCTGTATCCAAAATAATAATAATAATAATAAAATAAAAATACAAAATTAGCCAGGCGTGGTGGCCCATGCCTGTAATCCCAGCTACTCGGGAGCCTGAGGCAGGAGAATCACTTGAACCCGGGAGGCAGAGGTTGCAGTGAGTTGAGATCGCGCCATTGCACTCCAGCCTGGGCAACGAGAGCGAAACGATGTCTCAAAAATAAAAATAAATAAATAAAATAATAATAATAATCACCAAAACAAAATCTCAGAATAAAATTGCTGAAAATGGAAAGTGAAGAAATCACGATCCTATGTAAGACCACAAATGGAGGCCAGAAGCCGGGGACCCGTTTCACCCCACACCAGCACCTCCACATCTAACATTCAAGTCCTGCCCTCCACAACGTTTTTGCTGTGACAGGCCTTCAGTAGTATGTTTTCTGACTCCTGACATCTAAAATCATGCTATTATAAAATCATCTGTACTCCAAGGAAAACAGGAAGCTTTGTCCTTCATAGCATCTCAGAAGATCATCTCCTCCGCGTCATTTTTCCATGACTCTTTGCATTCTCATTTTTGTGAAGGCAAAGTAGGTCACCTAAATGTTCTACACGTTTGTTTTTTCTCACTGATGCAATAGGGACATGAGATATGGTCAATTAAACTCTTTCCCCAACCTGCCCCTCCAACTGGTTCCCACATTCCAACCATGAAAGTATCTCTTTCTAACCTCAGTGAAACTCAAGAGTTCTGTGTTTTCTAGACAGCTTTCTTCCCTCTCCCCAACACTCACACCCACTCATAAGCACATCTTCCCTCACCCTCCCAGTTTTAAAGTCCTCTCTTTTCTCAAACTCTCATGAGTTTCACCCCATACTACACCCCCCTATCCCCAGTGTGACCAACATAATCAAACATCTCATCTCTGCTCACCTAGTATTTAGTCCACAAACTTTAGAATGGTCCTTATCACCCGCATTACAGTTGCTGTTTATGGGACCATCTTTCCCATGAGACTGTGGGCTTTTGGGGGCAGAAACTGTGCCATTTATTTTTATGTCCCCAGTGGCAGAGGGAGAAGGTTCATAATGTATGCTAAAAGAAAGAAAATAAGTCTGAAAAGGTTTTCAAGCTTTCTTAAACGTTTCCTAAGCACTGGAAGTCACCCTGTGCCCGCTCCTCTGCTCACTGCTTCCTTAGAGCCTGGACGACAAGGCGCTGGCTGACTTCTGGGCTTCCCACTTTGACCCTGGCAAGGACCCCGAAATTGGGTCAAGGCCACCTCCAAATTCCTTTAAAACAAACACAGGGAACTGCATGTAATAAATCAAAACCTCCTTCTGCAATCCTTATTTCTTAGCTAAATTCTATATGTCAAGTTGCCTTGAAATGAGAGGTGGCTGTTTATTAATATCTTCCTGTTTATTAATAAGCAATGAGGTGGCTGTGTTTACGAACAGGGTTGTTGCTACAACACATTTACACAGTTATAAATAAAGCAAACTGCAAAGAGATTAACAGTGGAAGATCTGAGGTTTTATTTGTTTTCACGAGAACTCTGCCAGTTGCTTCCCACTGCACCTTAAGATCTTTTTAGCCTTCTCTGAGGCAGTTATCAGTCCCATAAATGCCACAGCAAGCTTGGTGGAGCTGCTTGCAGACCAGGGAGGTGAAACGGTGTCGCCCAGCTTTTTATAGACCCAGTTCTGAAGTCCTGAGTTTCCTTTGCAGTCAGTAAAGAGAGACCCAAAGTGCAGGAAGTTTCTGTCTGTGAATGTTTAAGAGTTCCCTTCTGGCCAACTCTTCCTCTTGAGTCACGTTTATTACACATATTGGATAGGTCACTAAATGTACAGTAAGCTCCTATTGTTTGCAACCCATTGTTCTCTTAAATGGCTTTGTAAACTATGAAGGGCTTGAACAATTCACTTGTTTTCCAGCCTCCAACTGCAATTCTCAACACACGCTTAACACTACTATCCGCCAGTGAGGAAGGACTTTCCACGACTTCTGAAGCAACATATTAAGGTAAAAAGTGCACTTTATTTAGAGAACCAAAGGCTTAGGTCTGACCTCTGGCTACATTACCAGGACTGGGACTAGGGTAAGTTGATTGAGAAACCTAGGGTGCAAAATTTAAGGCAGCACTCACTCCCAGGGTGAAAAAGTAACAACTTGTGTTACTTTTTTAAATTGCAGTGGAATTCACATAACACAAAATTAACCATTTTGAAGCACAGAATTCATTTTATACTGCAACTGGCATAGTCACAATGCTGCACAACCATCCATCTGGTTCCAAAATGCTTTTATCGCCAAACAAAAAAACCCCACACCTAGTAAGCTATTACTCCCATTCTCCCTCCCACTCCCCACCAAGCCTCTGGCACCCAGCGACAACCTTGCTGTCTCAATGGATTTACCTCTTCTGGAGACAACCTGTGTGTTTTGAGAAGTAGTAATAATAGCTAACTCACTTGTACCAAGACACCAGTTGAAGGGTTTTTTGTGCTCAAATTCAATTAATCCTCACAAAACCCAATGAGGTGGGCCCTAATATCTTCAGGTAAATGGTTCACTATTTAATTCTCTAATCATTATTTCTTCATCTGTAAAATGAGGAAAATTGCAACACACTACCAGTTTACTAAGCACATTTGTGTGAGAGGCATTGTTCTAGGCCAGGAACTGGATTGATCTGTAACCAATCGGGAGTAACTTCTTGTAGAACAGTGGGAGATGAATTCTCAAGATGGATTACTGGGACAAAGTGAAGTAATCATTGACTAGTGATGTCTGCCGTGGACAGAGGAATGAGTGAAGGGGCTGTAAGTAACAGATTTGCCTTCCCTCCTAGGCAACTGAGAGAGAGTGAAAAAGACAAGTAAAATGCAGACTCTGCCTCAGTCCAGTGCAAGAGGGAAGCATTACCCATGGAAGTACAATGACAGATGCAGGCAGTGTGTAGAGTGTTAAGAACAGAGGCACTGGAATGAAAACCAAACCAAACCAAAACAAAGCAAAGCATGTTCAAATCTCAACGCTGCAACTCATAGACACATCTTGAAAGAAGTTATTTAATCTTTCCTGTTCTCATTTCTTCTTCTGTAAAATAGATAATAAATCTAATTCATAGACTTCCAGTGGGAATGGCATAAGACAGTGTGAGCAAAGTACTAAGCACAGTATCTGACACATGCGAAGAGCTTAATAAGTGGTAAGGAAATAAAGCCTATATCTACAAGGCCGGGCACGGTGGCTCACGCCTGTAATCCCAGCACTTTGGGAGGTTGAGGCGGGCAGATCGCTTGAGGCCAGGAGTTTTAAACTAGCCTGGCCAACATGGTGAGACCCCGTCTCTAATAAAAATACAAAAATTAGCCAGACGTGGTGGTGCATACTTGTAATCCCAACTGCTCAGGAGGCTGAGGCAGGAGAATCGCTTGAACCTGGGAGGTGGAGGTTGCAGTAAGCTGAGATCGTGCCACTGCACTCCAGCTTGGATGACAGAGTGAGACTCCATCTCAAAAAACAAACAAAAAACAAACAAACAAAACATATCTATAATAGTATACTTAATATGTATTACATATTATATATTACTTATATTACATTTTATATTTATCTTTATATAATATGTTATATATGACAATATAATGTATATTATATATGTCTTTATACATATATAGTGTGTATATGTATATACATTCTCTCCTCTTTATAGGACAAAGAATAAACACAGAAGAATCAGGTATACTCGCAAGAGGAAGAAGAGGTCAGGAAAGCCTTCACATAAGAAGTGGTGCTTCTTGAAGGAACAGAGGTGCTTCTTGAAGGAACAGAACCATGTGCCTGCCTCACCTTGCTGTTCTGAAGATTTAGTAACATCATTTATTTCAAGCATTCAGCATACCTGCAGTCCACAAATGTTAGTGAAAAACAAATGTTTTTGTTGGTTGTTTTATTATTCCACAGTGACCCTCTGAATCTGTCAGAATTCTCGATGCCAAACAACAAAAACTTCCTCCGGGTAATCTAAGCAGAAGAGAAAGTTATTGGAAGGGTCTTAGAGAGCGCAGTGAACCAACAGGAAGCAGGCTCCATACAGTGGCAGGAACCAAGCGAGGCTGGGCAGTTGAGGACACAGCCGAGGCCAGCCCAGGAGCAGTCTGGTTAGGTTGATGCCATGCGACAACCAGGGTGGTTGTCAGCCATCCCCGGAACTGTGCGTCACTCCCTCAGGGTGTCACACCCTTGGTGAGAGAACCCATCGGCTAATCCAGGTCAATTTACACAGAAGGAAGTAGGGCCCTTGTTTCTAAGAAAAATTACATTCCAGGGCCTATTTTTTTTTTATTTGTTTGTTTTTTGAGACGGAGCTTTGCTCTTATTGCTCAGGCTGGAGTGCGGTGACACAATCTCGGCTCACCACAACCTCCGCCTCCCAGGTTCAAGCAATTCTCCTGCCTCAGCCTCCCGAGTAGCTGGGATTACAAGCATGCACCACCACGCCCGGCTAATTTTTTGTATTTTTAGTAGACATGGGGTTTCTCCATGTTGTTCAGGCTGATCTCGAACTCCCTACCGCAGGTGATTCCCCCGCCTCGTCCTCTCAAAGTGCTGGGATTACAGGCGTGAGCCACTGTGCCCGGCCTAGCAGGGCCTATTTTAAAAATAGAGAGCAAATTTGGATGCCAGGTGTCCAAAAAAAAAAGTTTCAGCTATAACTTAAAGAACACTGTTTTTGACATAGCGGAGAATATTGTACCAAAAATGTAGAAAATCACCATAAACTGCAGAAATTTACATTCAAAATATAAAATAACTTAAAAATCAAGATTTTCAGATCATCCTTAGGTATTTCATGCTAGGTATCTGCTATATAGTAGGTAATGAATAAATAAATATATTTACATGGCAGGACGCAGTGGCTCATGCCTGTAACCCTAGCACTTTGGGAGGCCGAGGCAGGTGGATCACATGAGATCAGGAGTTTGAGACCAGCCTAGCCAACCTGGCGAAATCCCATCTATACTAAAAATACAAAAATTAGCCGGCTGTGGTGGCACGCACCTGTAATCTCAGCTACTTGGGAGTCTGAGTCACGAGCATTGCTTGAATTTAGGAGACGGAGGTTGCAGTGAGCCAAGATTGCACCACTGCACTCCAACCTGGGTGACAGAGTGAGATTGTCTCAAAAAAAAAAAAAAATATATATATATATATATATATACACACACACACATATATATATACACACACACACACACTCATATATATATATATGTATGTATGTATAGGCCAGGCACTGTGCTCACACCTGTAATCCCAGCACTTTGGGAGGCCAAGGCGGGCAGATCATGAGGACAGGAGATCGAGACCATCCTGGCTAACACAGTGAAACCCCGTCTCTACTAAAAATACAAAAAAATTAGCCAGGCGTGGTGGGGGGCACCTGTAGTCCCAGCTACTCAGGAGGCCGAAGCAGGAGAATGGCGTGAACCCTAGAGGCAGAGCTTGCAGTGAGACGAGATGGTGCAACTGCACTCCAGCCTGGGCCACAGAGCAAGACTCCGTCTCAAAAAAAAAAATACACACACACACACACACACACACACACACACATATATTTACCTCACTAGGTAAATATAGAGCCAGTTGTTAGATGCATGATTAATATTAATGGTAAATAATGTTATTCAAATCTTCTTCTAAAACTGATCTTAAATGAGAATCTCCCAGTTTGAACTCACATCCAGGCCAATTTGAAAAGTGGATAAATTGCTTTTGCTTGCTTTACTCCTGCTAACAAATTTGAGAGATGCTTTTTTTCTAACATGAATGTGAGCATTCAGGACAGAGTCCATGGGGAATGTAGGCATATGGATTGATAACAAGAGCTGGTAGTCAAAAGTTAGTTGATAATGGATCCATAAGAGATAATTCTGATGCTCCTAAAAGATCTGCTCCACAATTTCCAGGAACTACACAGACATTTAGACAGAAGGCAGGAACCAGAAAAGAGAAAAATTACTTCCATAGAAAAATTGGCCCTTTCCCATCAGCACTTAAACATGCCCAACTTGCTCTTGTATCAAATAAAACCATTTTTCTACATCTTCTCTGGTAGGTATAACCCTACTTTCCCCCTTTCCTTAACCGTCCCAAACTTCTTGATAGTTGTTTACATTCCCTTTTTCTACTTCCTCTCCTCCCACTCATTTCTCAGCTCGCTACTTTGGCTTCTAACCCCATGCTCCATTGAAACACCACTTGCCAAGATCAACAACAACTTCCTTATAGCTAAACGTAACATGTTTCCATCTGTGTCTTAATTGGCCTCACAGAGGCTATGGATGAGAAAAACTCCCTCTTGGAAAAACTCTCTTCACTAACTTTTATGACTCAGTACTCTCGTTGTTTTCCTTCTGTTTATGTTCCATTGTAATATGTTGTCTTGGATTCATAAAGCCACCCAAGATGCAACACTCCCAAACTAAACTCACAATCTTTCTCTGCAGATATACCTTTCCTCCTGTGTCCTCCTTCAAAATTAACTCTTCCCATTTGTACGGATACTAAAGCTACAGTTCCAAGCAGCATCCTTGAATCTTCCCCCTCCCTCAGCACCCAATCCCACCACCAAACCAGTCCATCAGCATTGACTTTTTGTTGTTGTTGTTTTGAGACATGGTCTCAGTCCCATCACCCAGGCTGGAGTGTAGTGGCGCAATTGGCCTCAATTGGCTCGCTGCAGCCTCAATTTCCCAGGCTCAGGTGATCCTCCCACCTCAGCCTCCCAAGTAGCTGGGACTACAGGCGCACACCACCACGCCCAGTCAGTATTGACTGTCACGATTCCTAAATGCCTTTCAAATATTTCTACTTTTCTGCATCCTTTCTGAAAACACTCTAGTCAAGTAACAAAATAATGAATTATCTTAATGACTTCCTGTCCCTGAGCCTCAATTTCCTAGTATGTAGAGTACGACAGATAAAATGAATGCCAAGTTTCTGTCTTCTGTATCCTGTAATTATAAGAATGTATAACCAAGGAGAGGCTCAGGGAAAGTCAATTCCGGTGCTTTGAGACATGATTTTACTTTCCCTATTGAAATTAAACACGGTGGTAACCAAAACTGTGCCTCGCATCCTCAGTCATAACACTGCTTTTAAGGACAATCTAAGAGTCTGCAAGACAACTTGTAACAAGGTCTTTCCCCTTAAATAGACATCTGCTTTCTGCCACATTTCGACCTGTAGAAAAGATTTCAGAATGAAATTCTAATGCTGTTAACAAATTTACTTATTTTATTTCCTTAATCCATCTAAAGTTCTTAAGAAAAGGGATTATAGCTATTCTTGAAAATGTCCCATGCAGAAAAAAAAATATATCTTATGTAAAGATTCAGTCAATCTTTTTTGACTACTGTCTAGAGTGCATATTTTAAAAACCTGGATAGGCCGGGCATGGTGGCTCACACCTGTAATCCTAGAACTTTGGGAGGCCAAAGTGGGCAGATCACCTGAGGTCAGCAGTTCGACATCAGCCTGGCCAATATGGTGAAACCCTAGCTCTACTAAAAATACAAAAATTAGCTGGGCATGGTGCCAGGTGCCTGTAATCCCACCTACTCAGGAGGTTGAGGCAGGAGAATCGCTTGAACCCAGGAGGCGGAGGTTGCAGTGAGCCAAGATCACACCATTGCACTCCAGCCTGGGCAACAAGAGCAAGACTCTGAAAAAAAATAAAAATAAAAACAAAAAAATAAACCTGGATAACAGATAAAGGTTGATAGAGATTAGGGAGCAGGGGCGGGGAGGAGTAATAATGAAGTTTAGTTGATTTTCAGCAGTAATAAGGTGAAAATAAAAGCATTATAAAAGAAGAATAAAATATAAGTCAGGGCTGCTCTATGAAAAAAATAAATAACAATAAGCAGTGGGAAAAGTTAAGTGACACAATAAGGCCACTTTAATGGGAGAGAAAGTAAATTGCAAAATTGGGAGAAGCTGGGGAAACCTAAATGGCCAGTGTCAGAAATGTAAGGGGTCACTTCCTGCCCGAAGGATTCTTTGTTTCTGAAGTGTGTTGGTCCAGCTGAGAGAAGCATGGGGAGGATGTCATTTATCCTCTAAAAGGGAAATCCATCAACTGGAGAGATGTGCCGTGTCTCTCCAAAGGTCATTAGCAGATTGAAATTGCGACACTGCATTACTCTGATTAAGGATTAATTTTCTAATTCCAGGAATGGAACTTTCCTCAAATGAGTAGGCCTTTACACAAAAGCCCAGACTCACATGATATGAATAAAAGAGAAATAACCTCCCATGCTGCCTCCTATCTTCCTAAGATCCAGTGGGAAAGAAAGGGGAGGTTCTCTAGTAAAGAAAGGAGTTCAGGACGGGCTCGGTGGCTGACGCCTGTAATCCCAACACTTTGGGAGGCTGAGGCAGGTGGATCACGAAGTCAGGAGATCAAGACCATCCTGGCTAACACAGTGAAACCCCGTCTCTACTAAAAATACAAAAAATTGGCTGGGTGTGATGGTCGGTGCCTGCAGTCCCAGCTACTCGGGAGGCTGAGGCAGGAGAATCGTGTGAACCCAGGAGGCGGAGCTTGCAGTGAGCCAAGATGGTGCCACCATTGCACCCCAGCCTGGGCGACAGAGCAAGACTCTGCCTCAAAAAAAAAAAAAAAAAAGAAAAGAAAAGAAAGGAGTTCAGGATTAGAATTTGCCAGCCTTCCAAGCAAAGTGCAGGTCCCATTAATGACGGAGAAGTGTGTGCCGTCTTCCCAGCAGAATGAGACCTGGGGAAAACTGGGTCCTTCTCATCTGGTAGGATAAGACATCATATTGCCAACAGACAACATCAGCAGGGCAGCAGCAGTATCAAGACTACATGAATAACCTGTTTCATCAGACCCTCCCAGGGAGATAGCACTTGGGCTCCTACAGGACCCAGTTACATGGGGATGACTGTGTCCCTGCCCTTTGGAAAATGCCCAGTCGTGCCAGGGAAAGGCTTCCCAGGCAAAGGCAACGTGCTAATCTTTTTAAAATATGTGACTAAAAGCAATCTACACTTTTATATTTCAAGTATATTGTCATTTTAAACTGCTGTATTATCAAATTGCCTCAGACAGCTTTAAATCCAAGACTCTGGCTTTCAAACTCTTTGGACAGCAACTCACAAAAAAATAAGTAAAATAATTTTTATCATAAACTAATATACACAAACACACAAAACTAATACAAAAGTTTTGTGAAACTTTCCTTTCCTTTGTTACATGTAATACATCTAATATTATCTACTTCAGTTAGTTTTGTTGTTTCTTAAGTGCTTTTCACAATTCCCAGAATTATTTTATGATCCAGGACCTGAAGTTTGAAAAACACTATTCTAAGATTATAGATTCCAGCTACTCTATCCAGGAGTTGGGTATCCAAATTTTTTAAAGCTCATTAAAATGCATCATCAAAAAGCCACATTTGCTGAAGAATCCTCAGGCCCCATCAAGAGCATTGTCTTGGAGAGTCTCACCATGACTCATCAAATGAATACCCAGCTTTCCTGTCGCAGAACTGAGATGTGAGCTAAACATGAAGTGAAAATGACACAGAAAAGAACAGAATTGAAAAAGAAGGGCACTCCATCACTAAATGCAAAGTTTATCCCTCTGGAAAAACATAAAACAGCCTACAATGAAGCAAGGGCAACAAAACAGAACAGAAAAATATATATATTAATAGAGAAAGGCATAAGCTTCTGACTCTATCTCCAAGCTTCACGAATTGCATTTGAATACTTTCCAACCCTGTAAAACAGGGAAATATTCAAGATGATTCCACAAATCATGTGGCCTTGAGTATCTCAGCAGACATCATTTAAGTCATTTAAAAGGATAACTGCAAATTAAATTAGTTTGTCCTAATTATGCAAAAATGATAAATTCAAATAAGCAAGGTAATTCACTTCTAAATTAAAAATTTTTTCATCACTTGGCATCTCAAATCAAAGCAAATCTGTAATGTTACCAATTATATCAATTTGACTCTTAAATTTAAATACATAAACATATGATGAACTGAATTAAAATTCTTATTTGATATTCACTTAACTTATTAACATTTGCACTGGAGTAGGGAACCACATTCAAGATGTGAAACAGGGTCATGTCCTTGAAAATCAAAGAAGGTTGCCACAAAAGTGCCTTTGTAAGATTCTAGCAACAAAATGACTCCTCAAAAATCTATTAAACAATTCATCCCCACAGGAAAACTAAGGTAGATCCATGACTAAAAGCAACACTATGGAAGCTCATGAAATACTTATTAAGAGCTTATCAAGAGAGATATTTGATAAATAATAAAATATTATGCTTTAGGAAGTCATACAAAACCATGTTAAGCTTCAAAATGGTTGTACTTATGAGTGCAGGATTTCATAGCAAAGAAAAAAACCTTTATTGAATGTCTGTTTTGTCAGGCATTACTAAATACTTTTTTTTTTTTTTTTTTTGAGATGGAGTCTCACTCTGTCACCCAGGCTGGAGTGCAGTGGTGCCATCTCGGCTCACTGCAACCTCCACCTCCGATGTTCAAGCGATTCTCCTGCCTCAGCCTCCCAAGTAGCTGGAAATACAGGCACCCGCCACCATGCCCGGCTAAGTTTTTGTATTTTTAGTAGAGACAGGGTTTCACCTTGTTAGCCAGGATGGTCTCGATCTCCTGACCTCATGATCCGCTCACCTCAGCCTCCCGAAGTGCTGGGAATACAGGCGTGAGCCACTGTGCCCGGCCTACTAAATACTTTCAAATACAGTCATGTGTCACTTAACAACAGGGATATATTCCGAGAAATGCATCATTAGGTGATTTCGTCATTGTGTGAACAACACAGAGTGCATGTACACAAGCGTCGACAGTATAGTGTACTACACATCTAGGCTATATTGTTTCTAGTCTACAAGCCTGTGTAGCATGTTACTGCAGTGTATACTTTAGGTAATCATAACACAATGATAAGCATTTGTGTATCTAAACATAAAAAAGCACAGTAAAAATACAGTATAGAATATAAAAATGGTACGCCTGTGTAGAGCTCCATTGCAATCTTACGGTACCACCGCTGTAAATGCAATCTGCTGTTGACCAGAACATCGTTATGCAGCACATTAAGATACACGATAGCACTGGAAACCAGGAATCAGAGATGTTAAATAATTTGCTCCAGGTCGCACAGTGATAAATGACAAAATTAATATTTAAACCCATCCTCTGATTACACATCAATTATTCTTGTCACATCTACATCACTTTATCCTGATTAGTACTGAAAATATTATAGTGATTAGGCCGGGCTCCATGGCTCATGTCTATAATCCCAGCACTTTGGGAGGCCGAGGCGGGCGGATTGCCTGAGGTCAGGAGTTCAAGTCCAGCCTGGCTAACATGGTGAAACCCCATCTCTACTAAAAATACAAAAATTAGCCGGGCATGGTGGTGGGTGCCTGTAATCTCAGCTACTCAGGAGGCTGAGGCAGGAGAATCGCTTGAATCTGGAAGGCAGAGGTTGCAGTGAGCCGAGATCACGCCACTGTACTCCAGCCTGGGTGACAGAGCAAGACTCTGTCTCAAAAAAAAAAAATTATAGTGATTAAAATATTTGCTTAACTATTTATAATAGCAAAGACATGGAATCAACCAAGATGCCCACCAATGGTGGACTAGATAAAGAAAATGTGGTACATATATACCGTGGAGTACTGTGCAGCCATAAAAACAAAAAACAAAATCATGACCTCTGCAGCAACATGGATGGAGCTGGAGACCATTATCCTAAGCAAGTTAACACAGGAAAAGAAAACCAAATACTGCATGTTGTCACTTACAAGTGGCAGCTAAACACTGAGTGCACATAGGCACAAAGAACGGAACAATAGACACTGGTGCCTACTTGAGGGTGGGGGGTGGAAGGAGGGTGTGGATTGAAAAACTATCTATCAGGTGGGAGGCTGAGGCAGGAGAATCACTTGAACCTGGGAGGCGGAGGTTGCTGTGAGCCGAGATCGCACCATTGCACTCCAGCCTGGGCAACAAGAGTGAAACTCCGTCAAAAAAAAGAAAAGAAGGAAGGAAGGGAGGGAGGGAGGGAGGGAGGGAGGGAGGCAGGAAGGAAGAAAGAAAGACTACCTATCTACCTATCGGGTACTAAGTTGATTACCTTAATGACAAAATTATCTGTACACCAAACCCCATAACATGCAATTTGCCCATGTAACAAACCTGCACATGTGCCGCCAAAACTAAAATTAAAGTTGGAAAAAATTTTGCTTAAATTCTTCCAAGGAATTCTGTTTAAGAATAGGTCAATTCAGATTCTAGTATCAAAGGCTAATGAGTAATAAAGTGATCTTTAAAATTAAAAAAAAAATAAAAAATATACATGCATTTTGGGTTGCATTATGAATCTTTCAAACATTTGATTAAGCATATGTATTCTTTATGTTTTGTATAAGGGTAAAATAAGCCAAAATGTTTTAGTTATCTATTACTGTATAACAAATCATAGTAAGCCTGGCAGCTTAAGAAGGTAATTTATTCCTTATTTTTCTTTGTTTCTTTTTTTTTTTTTTTGAGACAGAGTCTTGCTCTGTTGCCCAGGCTGGAGTGCAGTGGCACGATATGGGATCACTGCAAGCTCCGCCTCCCGGGTTCAAGCGATTCTCCTGCCTCAGCCTCCTGAGTAGCTGGGACTACAGGCGCCCACCACCATGCCTGGCTAATTTTTTTTGTATTTTTAGTAGAGATGGGGTTTCATTATGTTAGCCAGGATGGTCTTGATCTCCTGACCTCGTGATCCGACCACTTCGGCCTCCCAAAGTGCTGGGATTACAGGCATGGGCGACCATGCCCGGCTGAAGATAATTTATTCTTGACTCTTGGATTCTTGACAATCTGTGGATTGACGGGAATTGGCTAGGCAGTTCTTGCTTGGGGTCTCCCTGGGAGTACAGTCAGATGTCAGCTGGAGCTGCAGTCATCTGAAAGCTCAACTGGGCTGGACATCAAAACAGCTCATTCACACAGCTAGCAGAGATGTGGGCTCTTGTCTTACTTGGGGCTGCCAGCTGGAGTGCCTACATGTGGTCTCTCCATGTGACTTGGACTTCCCACAGTATGGTGGCTGGGTTCCAAAAGAAAGAATCCCAGGAGTAAACGTTCCAAAGACCCAGGCTTCTTGAAACATAGCCTCAGAAGTCCCAGAAAGTCACTTCCACAGCAATGCACTGGTTGAACCAACACCAAGGCCAGCCCAGTTTCAAAGGGTTGAGATTTAGACTCTACCTTTTGAAACAAAAACAAGATGTGCATAGAGCGAAGGAAGGAGGCTACCAATCACACCTTCATCTTCTGTCTGCCATTCCTAGCATCTCTACTCTATTCCAGTGTGTTAGAAGGGAAAATAACTCATACAATTACAATAAAATTTGTTATTTTGTTGTATTTTCTTTGTACATTTGGTTCTATCTTTTTCTCTGGAAACACGGCATTTCTTGAACTAATGAATGAGTGAAGGTCTCTATATTTTCTGTTCTACTTTTGCCTCCTCATGCCTTTTCTCTCTTTTCTTTCCTTCTTTCTAACTGAAGACAACAGAGTTTTTAAAACTAACTAACATCACACCTGTAATCCCAGCACTTTGGGAGGCCGAGGTGGGCAGATCACGAGGTCAGGAGATCGAGACTATCCTGGCTAACACGGTGAAACCCCGTCTCTACTAAAAATACACACACACACAAAAATTAGCCAGGCGTGGTGGCGGGCACCTGTAGTCCCAGCTACTGGAGAGGCTGAGGCCGGAGAATGGAGTGAACCCGGGAGGCAGAGGTTGAAGTGAGCTGAGATCGCACCACTGCACCCCAGCCTGGGTGACATAGCGAGACTCTGTCTCAAAAAAAAAAAAAAAAAAAAACTAACAAACAAAAAACCAGCACAACATACTCTAATTAGTTAGTAAATCTTATGGTTAGTGAATTTCTACCCACATCTCCCATTTGATATCTGCCTGACTGATTTAGTCATCATCCCATATAGGAAAGTAGTAAGAGAGTGTCTTAAATGCAAGCAAAGAAAAGGAGAGAGAAAAAAAATGGGAAAGAAAAAGGCTATTGAGGGAAGAAGAAAAGCATAAAGGGAAAGAGAAATAAATCCGGAATATTGAACAGCCTCAAGCCTGAGTGACTGAAAAAGCAAAAAGAAAGAAGCCAAATTCTCCCTTTAAAATGTGTGCTGCATCTATCCCTTTCTCCCCAGTTCATTGCCACCATTGCCAGTCTAGTCCAACCTTATATCCCAAAAGCTGGATTATTGCTGCATCATTATACCTAGTCTCCCTGCCAGAGTCTTTATCCCCTTAGACTAGCCATCAGAAACAGTTTTCCTCATGGTTTCCCCAATTAATAATTAGTTAATTAATCAACCAACCACTAAATGACTTCTGAAGGATAAAGTCCAATATAAGCTTTTTTTTTTTTTTTTTTTTTTTTTTTTTGAGACAGAGTCTCGGTCTGTCCCCCAGGCTGGAGTGCAGTGGCGCAATCTCGGCTCACTGCAAGCTCCGCCTCCCAGGTTCACGCCGTTCTCCTGCCTCAGCCTCCCAAGTAGCTGAGATTACAGGCGCCCGCCACCACACCTGGCTAATTTTTTGTATTTTTAGTAGAGACGGGGTTTTACCTTGTTAACCAGGATGGTCTCGATTTCCTGACCTCATGATCTGCCCGCCTTGGCCTCCCAAAGTGCTGGGATTACAGGCGTGAGCCACTGCACCCGGCCAGGGTCCTGATAACTTCTTAAGAATACAGACCTCGGCCGAGCGCGGTGGCTCACGCCTGTAATACCAACACTTTAGGAGACCGAGGCGGGCGGATCACGAGGTCAGGAGTCCAAGACCAGCCTGACCAACATGGTGAAACCCTGTTTCTACTAAAAATACAAAAATTAGCCGGGTGTGGTGGCAGGTGCCTGCAGTTCCAGCTACTCAGGAGGCTTAGGGAGGAGAATCGCTTGAACCCGGGAGACGGAGGTTGCAGTGAGCTGAGATCGCACCACTGCTCTCCAGCCTGGGCGACAGAGCGAGACTCCATCTCTAAGAAAGAGAAAAAGAAAAAAAGAGACCTCATTTTTGTCTCCTGTCCTTTGTACCAATGAACCTCACTAGGTGTTTTCATTCCTCCTCTCTGCCTTCCCAAAGCCTGTCTCACAAGGACCCACAAGAAGACCTCTTCTTCATAGGAATTGATATTAGCTGAACAATTTGCAGTTGCAAAAATGTGGAACCAACCCAAATGCTCATCAATCGAGTGGATAAAGAAACTGTGGTATATATACACGATGGAACACAGTTCAGCCATAGAAAGGAATGTATTAATGGCATTCACAGTAACCTGGATGGGATTGGAGACTACTATTCTAAGTGAACTAACTCAGGAATGGAAAACCAAACAAAGTATGTTCTCACTCATAAGTGGGAGCTAAGCTATGAGGGTGTAAAGGCATAAGAACGACATAACAGATTTTGGGGACTCAGGGGTAAAGGGTGGAAAGAGGGTGAGAGATAAAAGACTACAAATCGGGTGCAGTATATACTGCGCAGGTGATGGGTGCACCAAAAATCTCACAAATCACCACTAAAGAACTTACTCATGTAAACAAATACCACCTGTTTCCCAACAACCTATGAACATTTAAAAAAAGTGTTTTAAAAAGGCAAGAAACCGGAGGGATACACACACACACACACACACACACACACAAAGGAATTGATATAGCTGAGTCATTGGGAAGCTGATGTGATTAGCAGGATTATTCTGGACCCAAAGTCACTATACCATCTGATATGATTCTCTGTGGAGATCAAATCACCCAATTTCCATTGCACTTTTTACTCAATAGACTTGTACAACATACAGTAGTAGTTCAAAGGACTATCTCACCTCAGTTTGGTAGGTAATTCAGCTAGCATTCAATCATTTGTCACAAGTTTGATTTGCAATAATTACAAAAAATTTACAGCAACAGTTAAAAACACTGTCGCTAGTGTTATAGCTCTTTAAAAGCACAATATAAATTGAGATTTTCTAAAAAATAGAATATCTGGAGATGATATCTGATTACATAATCTAGTGTGGTACATGATCAAACAGATTTTGTGGTAAAAGCAGTTTATTGTCAGGTATAATTAAAGCTGTAGATACCATTTTGAAAGTACTTTAGGGGGCAGGGGAAGAGACTTTTTGAAGCAAAGTACAAATTAGGAATAATTACAGTGATGTTCAAGGAATGTCAACACCTATTTCATCATGGTGAGCTCAATATCCTTCAAAGTTTCATTGAATCAGGGAAAGCATTAGTATAAGACCAAAGGCAGCTTTGGGAAAGGATATCTTTGAAGTATTAAGGAGTAGGTCGACTGGCAGTCAGCAAACATAAAAGTAGACTAACGCATAAATGTCTTGATCTCCAATAGATATCAGTACACTTCAAAATATCTTACTTAAAAGAAAAAAAAATGGTTTCCTTTTTAAGTCCAATATTGAACGTACACACAGTTGTTGTTTTTAAAAATCTATTTTGGGGGTTGGGAGGATGGCTCACCCCTGTAATCCCAGCATTTTGGGAGGCTGAGGCGGGCAGATCGCCTGAGGTCAGGAGTTCGAGACCAGCCTGAGCAACATGGAGAAATCCCGGCACTACTAAAAATAGAAAATTAGTCAGGTGTCGTGGAGCATGCTTGTAATCCCAGCTACTCGGGAGGCTGAGGCAGCAGAATTGCTTGAGGTTGCGGTGAGCCAAGATCGCGCCATTGCACTCCAGCCTGGGCAACAAGAGCAAAACTCCACCTCAAAAAAAAAATCTATTTTGGGTTCAAAACTGGGTAAAATTAAACTTTATTTAGGGTAGTTTATAAAGGTAGTACAATTTTGGGCCGGGCGCAGTGGTTCACACCTGTAATCCCAGTACTTTCGGAGGCCAAGGCAGGCGAATCACAAGGTCAGGAGTTTGAGACCAGCCTGGCCAACATATACATTATTAGTATTTTATATACTAATAATACAAAAAATTAGCTGGGCGTGATGGCAGATGCCTGTAATCCCAGCTACTAGGGAGGCTGAGGCAGGAGAATCGCTTGAACCTGGGAGGCAGAGGTTGCAGTTAGCTGAGATTGCACCACTGCACTCTAACCCAGGCAACAGTGCAAGACTCTGTCTCAAAAAAAAAAAAAAAAAGGCCGGGCGCGGTGGCTCACGCCTGTAATCCCAGCACTTTGGGAGGCCGAGGCGGGTGGATCATGAGGTCAGGAGATCGAGACCATCCTGGCTAACAAGGTGAAACCCCGTCTCTACTAAAAATACAAAAAATTAGCCGGGCGCGGTGGCGGGCGCCTGTAGTCCCAGCTACTCGGGAGGCTGAGGCAGGAGAATGGCGTGAACCCGGGAAGCGGAGCTTGCAGTGAGCCGAGATTGCGCCACTGCAGTCCGCAGTCCGACCTGGGCGACAGAGCGAGACTCCGTCTCAAAAAAAAAAAAAAAAAAAAAAAGTAGTACAATTTTAAAAAGAAAAATAAGTAAAAGCTTATTGTAACAGACAGGAGACTCAAGGCTTCTGGGATCATGTCAAAGTTGTGTTCCTTGAGATGGGGGTTGATTCCCTCAGTGCTCACTTTATGTTATTTGTCTTGTTTTATGCATTTTGCTGTTTATAAAGACATTAGGTAGAAAACCCACTGATAGCAATGAAGCATTCGACTTCCACGATGTATTAGCTCATGTCTGTTACTGCCGTAACCAATATTTTACTAACATTTCATTTTAAGAGATGACTTCTTGTTTTCCAAAATAAATAGTGAACCTTGTCTGGCTTTCTGTGATACTTTAAAACAGTCTTTTTGTGAGTGATGGATATGAGAAGATGCATTTTTTTTTTTGAGACATAGTCTCACTGTCGCTGACTGGAGTGCAGTGGCACCGTGTCGGCTCACTGCAACCTCCGCCTCCTGGGTTCAAGCAATTCTCCTGCCTCAGCCTCCCAAGCAACTGGGATTACAGGTGCATGCCACCATGCCTGGCTAATTTTTGTATTTCTAGTAAAGATGGTGTTTCACTATGTTGGCCAGGCTCTGTCTCGAACCCTTGACCTCAGTTTTACCAAGTTTTGAACCCAGTCCTCCCGCGTTGGCCTCCCAAAGTGCTGGGATTACAGACTTGAGCCACCGTGCCCAGCCAAGATGCACTACTTAAGCCAAGAACTAAGCCTTACATTTTGTATTATGTAAAGTGCCTGATACAATACAATACTTCCAAACTAGTATGCATTTAGGAATTGATACCCATTCACTCATTCATTTGACAAGTATTACTGACTTTTCTACAAACCTTGGCAAGTCAGAGGAGTTGGCCAACTAGCATGGTTAAATGGCACCTGATAGTGCTATAAAGACACTACAGAAGCCAGGCGTGGTGGCTCACGCCTGTAATCCCAGCACTTTGGGAGGCAGAAGGGTGGTGAATCACAAGGTCAGGAGTTCAAGGTCAGCTTGGCCAACATGGTGAAACCCCATCTGTACTAAAAATACAAAAATTAGCCGGCTGTGGTAGTGGGCACCTGTAATCACAGCTACTTGGGAAGCTGAGGCAGGAGAATCGCTTGAACCCGGGAGGTGGAGGTTGCCGTGGGCCGAGATTACACCACTGCACTCCAGCCTTGGTGACAGAGCGAGACTCCATCTCAAAAAAAAAAAAAAAAGACACTACAGAGTCAGCAGTTTCTCCCAGCCATCCAACTTATTTTAGCTAATGGATATCATTGACTCTCACTCCCACTTAAGTCTTACAAAGGGATGCTAGGGGAGTCTAGACCAGTTACAAGGCTGAGGTTTAATACAAATAAAAAGAGAAAGAGGGGGCCGGGCGCGGTGGCTCACGCCTGTAATCCCAGCACTTTGGGAGGCCGAGGCGGGCGGATCACGAGGTCAGGAGATCGAGACCATCCCGGCTAAAACGGTGAAACCCCGTCTCTACTAAAAATACAAAAAATTAGCTGGGCGTAGTGGCGGGCGCCTGTAGTCCCAGCTACTCGGGAGGCTGAGGCAGGAGAATGGCGTGAACCCGGGAGGCGGAGCTTGCAGTGAGCCGAGATCCCGCCACTGCACTCCAGCCTGGGCGACAGAGCGAGACTCCGTCTCAAAAAAAAAAAAAATAAATAAAATAAAAAAAAAAAAAAAAGAGAAAGAGTCAGGATGGAAGGGAACAAAACAAAACAAACCCCATGAGCAAAGCAGCTTAAGTTGAGCCAGATATTCTTCCTCTTTCCTTGCTGGGTCTTTCCTCTTGCCAACCCCCACCCCCATCTGTGGCAGAGTCAAGCACAGTATGGATGCCACAGAGATAGGTCAAAGCCAGGCAAGAGTCCTGGGATCAAAACTTGACTGAGTAGGGTTAAAACTTCTGCACAGCCAGAAGTAGAAAGAGTTACCAGATAGATATAACCCATTTTTGAGGGAGTGCCAAAAATGAGAAGCAGGAAAGTCAAAATTAGTCATCAAATCCAAAGGAGTGAGCAACAGATACTGAGGCTGAGGAGAGAAGGTGAGTCAAGAAAGTCAAGTGCCAGGTGACGTTTTCTTTTTGAGGGGGAAAAGAAAAATAAAAAAAGGCAAGATCAAGAAGAAATAAAGGGTCCAAGACAATAACTTGAATTCCTTGAAGTTCAATCCTGGATTTTGTTGGGTATGGGTTATCTTAATTTAAAAGCATGAGATCTGAGCAGGTATCTTCCTTCCTTATAACTTGCCCTCCCACTTTATTGACAGTTCAAGGCATTAAAAATACCAAACAAGGCCGGGAGTGGTGGCTTATACCTGTAATCCCAGCACTTTGGGTGGCCGAGGTGGGCAGATCACCTGAGGTCAGGAGTTCGAGACCAGCCTGGCCAACATGGCAAAACCCCATCTCTACTAAAAATACAAAAAGTAGCCGAATGTGGTGGCAGGCACCTGCAATCCCTTCTACTCAGGAGGCTGAGGCAGGAGAATCACTTGAACCTGGGAGGTGGAGGTTGCAGTAAGCTGAGATTGCACCACTGCACTCCAGCATAGGTGACAGAGAGAGACTTTGTCTCAAAAACCTAACAAATAAACAAACAAACAAAATCTGGAAGCCATGTAGACATGCCTGCTAATGAAACAACCTAATCTAGACTGATTTGGCCATAAAGATAACCACATCTCCTGAGAACAATTTTCCCCAGATTCCTCCATTGACTATTTTTGGAATAAAGCCTTTGAACAAAGGTTATACTTGAACATATGAGTTCAGTTATAAGCAGCCTGAGGTACTGGGAGATGGAAATCAATACCACACCTTACTTAACAACCGAAATTTTACTGAGCACTTACTATGTCCTGCCTGGGTCCCCAACACCCCGGTGGGGGACCTGTACCAGTCCATGGCCTGTTAGGAACTGGGCCGCACAGCAGGAGGTGAGCAGTCAGCTGACAAGCATTACAGCATGAGCTCCGTCTCCTGGCACATCAGTGGTGGCCTCTGCAGGGAGGCCAAAGCTGGCCCCAGGTCAGTGGTTATTTATTTTGTGTCCTTCTGTCAATATGTCTAAAACCGCCCCAGGACCCCTGATTTATTACCTCTACAATGGGCACTGCTAATTGTAGAATTTGAGACTAGATTCTCATAAGAGCGCAAACCCTACTGTGAACTGCTCATGCGAGAGATCTAGGTTGCAGCTCCTTATGAGAACCTAACGAACGCCTGATGATCTGAGGTGAAACAGCTTCATCCCAAAACCATCCTCCCCACCCCTCGATCCATGGAAAAATTGTCTTCCACAAAACTGGTCCCGGGTGCCAAAAATGTAGGGGACCACTGCATATAGCATACTGGCCCCAAGTACTCTAAATACAGTATCACAGTATAGTTAACATTTGAATATTATCCCATTTGGTTAAAATCAATTAGACTTTTTCTAGGATCTTGATCCTGCCTCACTCAAATTTAAACCATAACTTCCTATAGACTAAGACTATCTTGCCATATTCTTTTTTAACCCCCTCATTTCTAGCCAATCCTCAAAAGGTTAAATATGCACTGGGATCTCATAGCACCTCAGAGAGCATATGGAGTCTACCTGTCCCACCATGGAAAAGTGACTTGCTCAGTCACTATGGAGCATTAGTCAATATGCAGCAAAGTATTAAGTGTCAGATATCAGCCTTAAAATAAATATCTGCTTTTTTGTTTGTTTGTTTGAGACAGAGTCTCGCTCTGTCGCCCAGGCTGGAGTGCAGTGGCGCCATCTCGGCTCACTGCAACCTCTGCCTCCCGGGTTCAAGCGATTCTCCTGCCTCAGCCTCCTGAGTAGCTGGGACTACAGGCACCCACCACCATGCCTGGCTAATTTTTGTATTTTTAGTAGAGACGGGGTTTCACCATATTGGCCAGGCTTGTCTTGAAATCCTGACCTTGTGATCCGCCCGCCTCGGCCTCCCAAAGTGCTGGGATTACAGGCGTGAGCCATCGCGCCCGGCCAATATCTGCTTTTTTAATTGTTATCTTTCTTTCTGCTTTTCAACAAGAAGCAACTATAATTTAAATTTTTCTGCTATGTGGCCTACACTCCACAAGCATTCTGTAATAACTGAGCCAGGGTTTAACAAAGGAGGGCTGTGTGTGTGTGCATGTACGTGTGAGCACACGTGTATGTGCCCCTATATGGCCGCATAATTGCTGATGTGGGGTGGGAGTCAGGAAAGAATGTTCAGGCACATCGATATTTATATCAAAGAGATAGTA
The DNA here is from genome assembly GCF_000001405.40 of Homo sapiens. Classification (NCBI taxonomy): domain Eukaryota; kingdom Metazoa; phylum Chordata; class Mammalia; order Primates; family Hominidae; genus Homo; species Homo sapiens. The sequence goes on along the minus strand of NC_000009.12, from coordinate 81,859,583 downwards.
TGACACACAAAAATTATAATTTTATAGTGTTAATATAATGTTGGGGGGAGGAGAGATTTAGAGAAAAGGAAGGAAGGGGGGTTTCAGGGAAAGGAGGAACAACTAGAAGGATGGATTCCTATCTGCAATTGTATAGGGAAGCTCCACTATGAAGACTGCAGAAGCCTCTCCAGGCATTGGGATATTTCAGATATTTCATTCTAGAAAGGAGAAAATGCAATGCTCATTCCCCCCTCCCCTCCCTCCCCACTTCCTTGGTGCCCTTCCAAGGGAGGGCCCTTGGTACCAGCTTCTTAGTTCTCCCCCAGGGAGGTTTACTAAGGCCAAGAGGGCCAGATGGGGCTGCTGGCAAAGATGTTGCTGATCCGGCTCTTTCTCATCCCACTTTCTGTCTGCCAGTGCTTTTGGTGGTGGCAGCGCCTGTCCTGATGAGGGTACAATACTCATCCTGGAGTGGGCAGAGTGTGCCCCAGCAAGCATCCAGTTGCATTTCCCAGTTATCCTCTAGCTGGTCTGTGCTGCAATGTGCCATTATGTTGCTACTCCCATTTTACACTTCACACACCAGCTTTCTCTCAAGACAGTTATTTGATCACTAACCACTTTGAATATCATGATCATCGGCTCATTTATTTTTTCTATTTTAAAGGATGGTGCTGGTGTGCTCAGGGAGCAGCCGTATTGATTTCCACATTTGCCAAAGCATCCGAGTGTGAGCTGCCTATCACAGTACTGACTTGAATAAAAGGTTATTACTGTGATCATTATTTAGCATTTATATAGCTCCTCACAATTGTTTACCTATTATTCCTCAGAGCACCCCTGTCAAGGTGATCTGTATTAGCAACGCCCATTGTAGAGGCAATAAATCAGGGGTCCTGGAGCAGTTTTAGGAATATTGACAGAAGGACACAAAATGAATACAGACCTGGGGTCAGCTTTGGCCTCTCTGCAGCATATGTGGCTAGTTCAGTCATTCCATCGTTCGGTTAGCAAATCTTCTCAGGCTGGCTCTTTTTCCCCTCGTAGGTTGTAGCTCAAATATCATCTCCTTGGAGAGGGCTTCCCTGGTTCCCTATCTAAAATAGCATCCCCTCCCCCAGGCACTATCGCTGTGCCTTATGGATGTCACAGTTCTTAGTGTCACCTGGAATTATCTTGTTTGCATATTAATGTTCTTGTTTATTATCTGTTTTCACCATTTAAGAGATCATCTCGGGCCAGGCACAGTGGCTTACGCCTGTAATCCCAGCACTTTGGGAGGCCAAGGCAGGCAGATCACGAGGTCAGGAGATTGAGACCATCCTGGCCAACATGGTGAAACCCCACCTCTACTAAAAATACAAAAATTAGCTGGGCATGGTGGCATGTGCCTGTAATCCCAGCTACTTGGGAGGCTGAGGCAGGAGAATCACTTGAACCCAGGAGGCGGAGGTTGCAGTGAGCCAAGATCACACCACTGCACTCCAGCCCTGCAACAGAGCAAGACTCCATCTCAAAAAAAAAAAAAAAGGAAAAAAAGAAGATCATCTCAGTGATGGTAGCATCCTTGCCTGAGTTGTTCACTTCTTCACCTGTCGTCTTTGTTTAGAGCAATGTCTGGCATACAGTAGGTGCTCAATAATGCTTGTTGAATGAATGACAATAAGAGCCCTGTAAATACTGTTATTTACACAGCATTTCCTATGCCTTTTTGTCTCTTTCTGGCCTTTCTGGATAGAGTCACACCTACAGTCAATTACTCTTAATTACCCTGGAGCTAATATCATGGATAGCTCAGGTCCTTGGCTTTCCTTTCCTTCTTGTTCCAGATCTTTCCGTCATTTCTTGCCTTCAGTTGAGAGGGGTGAAGAAGAGAGTAAGGCAATAAAAGTCCTATTAGACAATTTCACTAGCTCTAATAGCTTATAAAAGGTACAAAGTTGAAATTATTGATTCCAAGATTTTTTTGCCTTATTTGTGAATTTCCAAAAAAAAATCATCTGTTTTATATATGCAATTCAGTGAAAAGTGCTTTGAAGAAGTTAAAAGCACTGTATAAATGTAAGATGTAATTATGTATGCATGTAGTCCCATTAACCTTGGTAATTGAGAGTTGGTTATACATTTAAGGTTTAATTAGTTTCGATAGAACAGTAGCTCACACTTTCTAATGGGTAGGGCCGGACAAGGGCTTAGAAAACGTGCCTTTGGTTAATTTTTTTTTTTTTAAATCAAATCAAGATAAAGTTTAAAATCCCTTCAGAGCCTGAAAGGTTGGCAGTAAAGCTGATTTCTCATCAACAAGTAAGAATAGGTAAATGATACTAAATGTTTGAATTTTCTTGCTTCAAATTTCAGACAATGAGAATACAATTTCACCCAACAACTCTTAAGCTGATCTTGGAAGAAAGAACTGCTGGATAATCTAAAAATGAACTTTTCTATTTAAAGGTTATTGTTAATGTTTTTTGTACCCTTATGTGCAACAACAAAAATTGGGTTGCCTTTTGGTTTTAAATATAAGGAATCAACATAAGCTTTATAACATGCTTTGTTGTAATTGCTCCTCACTACAACCCACCTTTTTTTTTTCTTTTTTTTTCTTTTTTGTTTTTTTGAGACGGAGTCTTGCTCTTTCACCCAGGCTGGAGTGCAATGATGCGATCTCGGCTCACTGCAACCTCTGCCTCTCGAGTTCAAGCGATCCTCCTGCCTCAGCCTCCCGAGTAGCTGGGATTACAGGTGTGCACCACCACATCCAGCTAATTTTTTTGTATTTTTAGTAGAGACAGGGTTTCACCATGTTGGCCAGGCTGGTCTCAAACTACTGACCTCAGGGGATCTACCCGCTTCGGCCTCCCAAAGCGCTGGGATTACAGGTGTGAGCCATCGTGCCCAAACCAACCCATCATTTTACTGATGAAAAAAATGGGTCAAGCACAGTGGCTCATGCCTGTAATCCCAGCACTTTGGGAGGTCGAGGCAGGTGGATCCCCCGAGGTCAGGAGTTCAAGGCCAGCCTATCCAACATGGCAAAACCCCGTCTCTACTAAAAATACAAAAATTAGCTGGGCATGGTGGCAGGAGCCTGTAAACTCAGCTACTTGGGAGGCTGAGGCAGAAGAATCGCTTGAACTTGGGTAGCGGAAGTTGCAGTGAGCAGAGATCACACCATTGCACTCCAGCCTGGGCAATAAGAGCGAAACTCTGTCTCAAAATAAAAAGGAAAAAAAGAAAAAATGGGCAGGGCACGGTGGCTCCTGCCTGTAATCCCAGCACTTTGGGAGGCTGAGGCAGGCAGATCACGAGGTCAGGAGATCGAGACCATCCTGGCTAACATGGTAAAACTCCGTCTGTACTAAAAACACAAAAAATTAGCAAGGCATGGTGGTGGGCGCCTGTAGTCCCAGCTACTGGGGAGGCTGAGGCAGGAGAATGGCCTGAACCCAGGAGGCAGAGCTTGCAGTGAGCCGAGATTACACCACTGCACTCCAGCCTGGGCGACAGAGTGAGAGTCCGTCTCAAAAGAAAAAAGAAAAAATGGACAAAGCCATCAGGCACCTCACGGAAGGTCGTAGAAGAAGTCACCAAGAAGACTGGCGTGACTTAAGTCTCCTGACTCCAGGTTTACTATTCCTTGCAATAATGTTGGAAAAACACATTGGAAAGAAAAGCCATATTCTTAGTACTGATGTAACAGCACAAAGGTTCAAAGTTGGACAAATGTATTTTACTGTATTGTGAAATCTGCCACATTTACTTAGTGTGTACACTCATACACTGCATAACAACGTTTCAGGCAATAACAGACCACATATACATTGGTGGTCTCATGAGGTTATAATGGAGATGAAAAATTCCTATCACCTACTAATGTCACAGCTATTGTAACATCATCATAGCACAACTCATTACTCACGATGCTTATATAAACAAACCTACTGTGCTGCCAGTGGTATAAAAGTCTAGCACAAACAATTAGGTACAGTATATGATGCCTGATAATAATAATAAATGACTGTGTTACTGGTTTATCTATTTACTCTACTATACTTTTATTATTATTTTTAAACTGTACTTTTCTACTCATTAAAAAAAGTTGCCAGTGATGCAGTTTCAAAAAAAAAAAAGAGAGAGAAAGAGCTAACTGTAAAACAGCCTCAGGCAGATCCTTCAGGAGGTATCCCAGAAGAAGACATTGTTATCATAGGAAATGACAGCTTCATGGGTGTTATTGCCCCTGAAGACCTTCCAACTGGGGCAAGATGTGGAGGTGGAAGACAGTGATATTGATGATCCTGACCCTGTGTAGGCCTAGGATAATGTTTGAGTTTGTGTCTTAGTTTTTAAGAAAAAATTTAAAAAGTTAAAAAAATAAATTTTGTAAAATAGAGAAAGCTTATAGAATAAGAACATAAAGGAAATATTTTTTGTCTAGCTGTACAATGTGTTTGTTTTAAGCTAAGAGTTATTACAAGAGTCAAAAAGGTTTTTTAAAATTTAAAAGTTCACAAAGTTAGAAAAGTTATAGTAAGCTAAGGTTTATTTATTATTGAAGAAAAAATATTTTAATAAGTTTACTATAGCCTAAGTGTACAGTGTTTAAGAAGTCCACAGTAGTGTACATGAGTGAATATCCTAGGCCCTCACATTCCCTTACCACTCACCCACTCACTCACCCAAAGCCACTTCCAGCCCTATAAGCTCCATTCAAGGTAAGTGCCCTATACAAGTGTATCATTTCTGTCTTTCATACTATATTTTTACTGCACCTTTTTAATGTTTGGATATGTTTAGATATACAAATACTTACCATCTTGCTACACTTGCCTACAGTATTCAGTGCAGTAATGTGCTGTACAGGTTTGTAGCTTAGAAGCAATAGACTGTCCCATATATCCTAGGTGTGTAGTATGCTCTACACCTAGGTTTGGGCAAATATGCTCTATGACGTTTGCACAATAATGAAACTGCCTAAGGATGCACTTCTCAGAACATACCCCCATCATCATGCAACATGTGACTGTACAATGTCCCAGGTCCTGTGGTTAGCCCTGGGAAGATACAAAGAAAATAAAACACAAGTTAGATTTCCTTAGCTCTTATAACCTAGCTGGGGTAGGAAACGCACACTTTCAAACATTGCTGTAATACAAGGCAGAGCTGGCGTGCATTAAAAGAGAGAAGCAAAGCACTATCATGGCAGGGAAGAGAGGAGTATCTGAAAACACTCCCTGAAAAGGATAAACTTGGCACAGGATCAAGATTTAACTGAAGATATATTGGGAAGAGTCAAGAGGAGAAATGAGGTATCTATCAAATTTTATCTACCTAAAATTTTATTTATTCAAATTGTATAGAGCTCTGTCCCTTTAGAAAACTGTGACTGATACACTACCATAGCAAAAATTAGTCAATAAACATAAAAGTTAGTAGATGAAATGTTTAATTATTTTTAATTGAGGTGTTTGCAGATTAGTTATATAAATAAAGGTCATCATAAGAAAAAGTGAAAATAACAAAGATTAAAGTTACTTTCCCTGGGGAACAGAAAAGAGTGGTTGAGAGGTCGGGTAGGGCCTGCTGTGTTTCTTCGTAGACCCTTTAATACCAGTTGATTTTAAAACCACATGTATGAATTACTTAGATAAATGTTAAGTTTTTAATGAGCTCTAAAGAATGAGTATGGTTTCTACAAGAAGAAATAAGACAGGGAAAAACAAGTATTCTATCTGAATTGTGCAGTGTGGGATACACTTATATGTTTAGGGAAACAAGCTGGTGTTCTATGGTAGAAAGCATTGAATAGAGGGATATAAAAACACACACTTAGACAGGTTTTGTAAAAAAAAAGAAAAGACAAAATGTGTTGAACAAAGAGGTGATATACTTAGAATGAGCTTTATATATGCTAGCAGTTCTCAAATTTGAAAGTGCATCAAAATCACTTACTTATTAAAACAAAACCACTAAGGCCTCCAGTGTCTTCTCTAGTAGGTCTAGGGCAGGGCTCAGGAAATTGCATTTCTTTTTATTTTATTTTATTTTATTTTATTGAAAGGGAGTCTCACTTTGTCACCTAAGCTTGAGTGCAGTGGCACGATCTCGGCTCACTACAACCTCTGCCTCCCAGGTTCAAGTGATTCTCCTGCCTCAGCCTCACAAGTAACTGGGATTACAGGTGCATGCCACCATGCCTGGCTAATTTTTTTGTATTTTTAGTAGAGTTGGGGTTTCACCATGTTGACCAGGCTGGTCTTGAACTCCTAACCTCAAGTGAGCCGCCCACCTTGGCCTCCCAAAGTGCTGGGATTACAGGCATGAGCTACCGTGCCCAGCCAGGAATTTGCACTTGTAATACGTTTCCAGGTGATGCTAATGTGCTGGTCTGGGGACCACAATTTGAGAAGCACTAACATACAGTAATCCAGCAACAAGGAGAAATTAAGAATGAAGTGGAAAGAGACTGTTCCAATAGAACAGACCAGAAGGAATGGGGCCCTTATGAGAGAGCTGAGAGTGGGAAAGTACAGAGCAGCAGTCAAGAGAACGGGCCAATTGCTTCAAAGGACAAGGGACCATTGGACCATATTCTGGGTAATTACAAATCACAAATCACCAGTAAATCCCCCAGTGCCTATGCTGGGTATGCAAGAAGCACTTAAAATTCATTTTTTAAATAGCAATCCTGTGTAGAAATTAAGTTGTGAGTTTTGTCTTACTTTCCCTTCCTCCCACATCAATAACCTCACTTCAGTGCAATTAAGTTGCAGAAGTATCTTCCAGGCAGAGCATCTCTATGCGCACCTGGTCAGCAAATGTATGTATCTGTACATGCAAAATGGTACTCAAAAATGATTTCTTTATTATTTCATTTTAGAACATCGTTGTAGCTAAAGGTCAAAATAAATAAAGAGCACAGGAAGTGATTGTCTCTACCAAGTAGAACAAAAAATGTTCAACTCTGACCAAGTGCAGTAGCTCACACCTGTAATCCCAGCAGTTTGGGAGGCCAAGATTGGTGAATCACCTGAGGTCAGGAGTTCAAGACCAACCTGGCCAACATGGTGAAACACCGTCCCTACTAAAAATACAAAAAATTAGCTGGGTGTGGTGGCGCCTGTAGTCCCAGCTACTCAGCAGGCTGAGGCAGGAGGATCGCCTGAACCCAGGAGATGGAGGTTGCAGTGAGCCATGATCGTGCCACTGCACTCCAGCCTGGGCAACAAGAGCAGAACTCCATCTCAAAAAAAAAAAAGCACTCAACTCACCACACCACACCACACCATAGAAATAATACTCCATGAAAACATTAACGAGCGGCTGGGCACGGTGGCTCATGCCTGTAATCCCAGCACTTTGGGAGGCCGAGGCGGGTGGATCACCTAAGGTCAGGAGTTCAAGACCAGCTTGGCCAACACAGTGAAACCCATCTCTACTAAGAATACAAAAATTAGCTGGGCATGGTGGCATGCGCCTGTAATCACAGCTACTTAGGAGGCTGAGGCAGGAGAATTGCTTGAATCCTGGAAGCCGCAGTTGCTGTGAGCCAAGATCGGGCCATTGCACTCCAGCCTGGATGACAGAGCAAGACTCCATCTCAAAAAAAAAAAAAAAAGAAAAGAAAAAGAAAAAGAAAAGGAAAGAAAACATCAACGAATCTTTTATCCAACCAATATTTTGGGGGCATCTACTAAATGAGAAGCACTGTGGATATGCTTGGGATACAAAGAATAATAAAACACAGGTTCTGTTCACAGTCAAAATCTAGCAGTCTTCTTCCTATGCTCCTAAATCTGCCCAAGGATTGTGTTTAGTTTGTAATAAAAATCCTAAAACACATACAGAAGAAGAGAGCTAGCTTCTCTAAAGTGACCACTTACGTTGTCTAATTATTCAACAGAAGAGAACACTTTGGTCCTGGGTTATTTCGGTGAGCTCAGCGGTATTTTGCAGCCACGAATAGAGACACTAGAGAGCCTCCAGCACCTGTGTGCTCCCCTGCTCCTTCAGCATAGTGAGCGTTTTATCACTTACACACCATTCAGTGTCCAAAGAGAGTGCCACTTGAGGTTTTAAAAATATCATTTCCTTTACTACCTCCCAAAATAACAGGGTCACTTCAGGACCAGCAAGTGGTTGGCACTGTGACATGATTCCCAGGAGTACTAATAGTTCTGAAGAGGAGCAAGTATTTTCACAGCTGTAGGTCTTTGTGCTGAACTTTCTACTGTCAGTGAGAATCATGTCCAAGTGAAAATATAGAAGTGGAACCAGGCATCAAAAGGATAAGGCGACAGGAATTGTTGTTTACGGGAGTCAGAGAACAACTGAAAATGACTTCTGCAGCTGGAAAAAAAAAAAACAAAGACAAGGGTTGAAGGTCAACTTCCTTATTTTATTTTGGCTAATTAGCATGCCCAAGCAGTGTTGTTCAAATGTTTTGGGTGACACTGATTATTTCAGCTCTGTACAAGATTCCACACGTCAGCTTATGGGCCTAGGAGGTAAAGGCACTCAAGAGGAACAAAAGGAAAGACATTCAACCTCACTAGAATAAACGAAGTCACCATGGCACCCAGCCCTCTCTGCCCCATTCCCAACTTCTTCCATCTCCAAACAGTATGAATTGTATTTGCTAAATGCCATTCGCCTCTATCCTCACCACTGTACCTTGGCCACTGCCAGCACGGCCATGCCGTCAACATCTCTCCTGTAGATTACTGCAACAGCCTTCTTACCAGTCTCTCAGCAACCTGATTAGCTCTTCTGAACCATTCTTCACACTGCAGCCACAACAATCTTTCGGAAACTCACATACAACTACTAAAATCTGAATACCACTGCCACCCCTAACACACACACACAAACACACACAAAACCTAGCTTAAGGCCAGGTGCAGTGGCTCACGCCTGTAATCCCAGTGCTTTGGGAGGCCAGGGCCGGCTGATCACCTGAAGTCAGGAGTTCAAGACCAGCCTGGACAACATGGTGAAACCTCATCTCTACTAAAAATACAAAAATTAGCCGGGATCAGTGGCGCACGCCTGTAATCTCGCTACTTGGGAGGCTGAGGCAGGAGAATCGCTTGAACCCAGGAAGCGGAGGTTGCAGTGAGCCAACTGCACTGTAGCCTGGGCGACAGAGCAAAACTCTATCTCAAAAAATAAAAATAAAAATAGAACCTAGCTTAAAATTGTTTGCAGGCTCCCCATTGCTCTGAAGTTTATTTTTATTTTTTATTTATTTATTTATTTTGAGACAGAGTTTCACTCTGTTGCCCAGGCTGGAGTGCAATGGCACAATCTCGGCTCACTGCAACCTCTGCCTACCGGATTCAAGAGATTCACCTGCTTCAGCCTCCCGAGTAGCTGGGACTACAGGCATGTGCCACCACACCCAGCTAATTTTGTTTGTATTTAGTAGAGACAGGTTTTCACCATGTTGGTCAGGCTGGTCTCCAACTCCTGACCTCAGGTGATTCTTCTTCCTCGACCTCCACAAGTGCCGGAATTACAGGCATGAGTCACCGCACCCAGCTGCTCTGACAACTTTAACTAGTTGAATTGCCCAGAGAGCTCTGCGTTATCTGTGTGGCCGCCCTTTCCCTCTTCCTGTTGCATCTTACAGCCCAGATTCCCCTACCTGGAGCACTCTTCCCTCTTCGCTTTACCAACTCATCTTCTCCTCACCTCTAAGCTCTTAACTTATATCAGTTCCTCAGGAGCACTTGAGGAAGAACCTCTGCTTCCTGCTTAAGCCAAATTCCTATGTTGTAAACTCCTTTGCACCATCAGCCAGCTCATGAATTCTTCATGGAATGCTTCACAGGGCACTTACATGATCTCACATGATCATCTGACTTCTGCCTGGTCTCCCCACTAGACTGTGAGCTCCATGAAGGCAAGGATTCTATTTTTGCTTACCACCGCATCCCAGAGCCCAGCACAGTGCCTGGCACATATTAGATACTGAATAAATACATTTGGAAGGAAGGATGGACAGAAGGAATGACGAATGAATAAATAAGAGGGGCAAACTGATACTGCTAAAATAAGAATGAGGGCTAGAATTTTAAGTGAATGATAATAGTAGGTAACACATATTTAACTTCCAATGTTAGGTACTATTCTAATATATATATACCATACATACATATACCAATTTCTTTCTTATGACAACCCTATAAGGTAGTTATTTTTATTCTCCCCACTTCGTAGATGAGGAAACTGAGCCACATAGAGGTTCCTCAAAATCACACAGCTAGCAAATGCAATATATTATACTTTATAATGGAAGAGATATTATGACCATACATAACACAAGAATACAATCTGCCCTGGGACCCTTCTTGCCTAACCACTTTAAAGGGTTTCAGAGACTGCTGCTTTTAAGGGTTAAGGATTTATCTTATTTGGGATTGGACTGTGAAAGTGAAAAACTGTGTCAATCACCCCAATAGATGAAGATCGGAGAATCTCTGACCCCTGGACTTCAGCTGCCTCTGTGTCACCTTTTGAGGTAAGATATTTCCACTTCAAAGTAAGAGTGGTCTGATTAAAACAAACTCACATAAAGTAATAACCTGTTCTCACCTCAGTTTTGACTATATTGTTTTAAAATCAGCAGGACAGAAATTGAAGCAGCTAAATGCATAAAACAAAGAGAAAAAAAGAGCTCAGAGTATGGGAAGAAAAAGGAAACAGTATTTCCCTAGGAAAAAAGATTGAAATCGAGATGTATTTGTTTAGAAAAGAGAAGGTGAAAAGGAATGTGCTGCCCTCAGATATCTACAGGAAACCACTCACTGAACATGCCACCATAGACTGATTTATTTTTGGCTTAACCTGGACTAGAAAGCCTAATGTTTAGACAAGGCAAATTCATCTTGGAAAGGGAAGAAGAGAGGAAGAGCACTAAATGGAAACAACAAATAACTTAGTTGCAAAATGAAACTCTAGATGGAGCAGTTCCCTCTATTTGAATTTCCTTTGGTGACTGATACTGATTTCGCTGGATTAGCAACTATTGGAAAAAGGACTGGTTGGAATACATTAGCTCTGTGATAGGAAATAAAAATTGGATGATGTACCACTTACAAAATAGAACCTGAATCTCTGGGCAGGATCCATGTAAAGAGAGGAAGGCAGAAGAGAAAAAGGAGGAGGATGACAGAGAGGAAGAAGAGGAGAGGGAGCGAGAGGAGTTATAGTAAGAAGAATTTCGAAAAGGTGTCCAGAAACTTGGTGTGTCCTGTGGAATATGATAGAGGGCACAAGCTCTGGAGTCCAACTGCTAGAGTTTGAATCCAGCCTCAGTCAACTACTAGTTGTAACCTCCCTAAACTCAGGTTTCCTATCTTTGAAATTGGGATTATAATTGTACTTAGCTCATAGGATTTCTTTAAGGAGTAAAGAAACTAATCCTTGTTAACTTCATAGCACATAGTAAATGCTTAATAAATATTTGTGCCACTGCTGTTGTTGAAGATGATCTATCCCCCTGATAACATAAATCTGAAATACCAGCTGTACTGAATAATGTTGGAATTGACCAGAAATAACCAGGGGTAGTGTTATATTAGACTCTCTTCTGGAAGGGGTCATCACCAAACAGTGAGCTTTACACTTAGATACAGAAACCCAAGATAAGATACAATTTTCCAGAAATTGTCCATTCTAGGCTGGTTCTATGAAATCATTTTCTCTCTCTCTTTTAGCTTTCAGTCACCATCCTTTTTCCCTCTGCTTACTTTTCTACTTTGTACTCTGTTTTCTAGTCCTTTGAAATCTCCGCTCTTCTCCCCATGTGAGGATCCTGTCCAGACAGACTAACCAGACCTGTTTCCTCCATGCTTTAAACACTGGGGGCCTAACGGGGAAAACGTTTTCTTTGGGTGGGTGCCAAGTAACGTTGGGGAGTGGGAGAGAGTTTTTAATGACACAGTAAGAAAGAAAATATTTATGTTTCATTTTAATTGAACTTTTCAAGCTCACTATTTTTTAGTAGATGAAAAAGATCAACATATGAGAACGCTGGAAATTACACATAGCTCTGGTTTCATGCACAAAAGTGGAAAAAGCAAATGGGGCAAAGGGAAGTCTGTTGGAGGCATCTTATGGGAAGAGCTGCCCCAGCAAAAAAAAAAAAAAATTGAGCTTAGTGGCACTGCCTTTATCACTGCATTTCTATGATTGGGACAGATCCTGTTGGACAGGCCCATAAAATTGGCAAGATAATGAACAAGTTCATTAAATACCTTTCTATTTGTTGGGTCTACTGCAGTGCCTTCGGGAGCAAGTTTATAGAGTGTCACACCTGTTAAACCTGGCAAAGGGACCATTGTGAAAGGACGCGGTTTACCTTGTTGAGAGACTCCAGAAATCACTGCTTTTGTCACTGTTAAGCGTTTACCATGTGTTAGGTACTGTACTAACTGCTTTAGACATACGATCTCATTTAAATCTCCCAGCAGCTCTGTGAAGTAGGTATTGTTAAAATTACTAGGCAATTTACTTGGGTCACACAGCTGATGAATACAGGAGCTGGGGTCTTAGGTCAGTAAAACACCAAACTACGTGCATGTAAACTGCAATATCAGGTGCAGCCCAATCAGACCAGTTTTCTATCTCTAACAATACTTTGAAAGACTCATTATCTTAGGATTTATGAAGGCAACAAACAGAATAGCTGAGAATGAACTACTTGTGTGTGTGTATAATATATTTAATTAAATAATATATAGCATTATTTTTCTATTGAGTAAATCATAGTGGGATTATGCACTATTTCCAATTAAAAGAATCCTAACAGGTGTGGTGGCTCATGCCTGTAATTCCAGCACTTTGGGAGGCGAGGCAGGCAGATCATTTGAGGCCAGGAGTTCAAGACTAGCATGGCCAACATGGTAAAACCCCACTACTACTAAAAATACAAAAATTAGCTGGACATGGTGGTGCACGCCTGTTGTCTCAGCTATTCGGGAGGCTGAGGCAGGAGAATCACTTGAACCCAGGAGGCAGAGGTTGTAGTGTGAGCCGAGATTGTGCCACTGCACTACAACCTGAGTGACAAGAGTAAGACTGTCTCAAAAAAAAAAAAAAAAACCTTGTATTTCCTTGGTAGGTTTCTCTTCTCCCCGTGATACCCAGCTTTTCCTAATGCATTTCTGTGTGGACCTACAACCTTTAAATCTCAGCTGTGCCTCAGTTTTATCATCTATTATAAGAGGTACTAAACTCGGAGCATTTTCAGGATTAACACAATTAATGCATTTAGAACACCTGGAGGAGTATTATTGGTATTTTGAAAATGTTACCAATTGGCATCATGTCCCTTCCTTGAATGGGGATCATTTTACCATTGGAAGAATTGACTTTAGTCCTTGTTGATGGATTTTGCTTGAAAATATAGACATTGTCATGACAATGCCACAGAGACTTTGCTTCTCTCCAATGCTTTCTGTAAAATGCTCTTACCTGACTTGCTTAGTAACTGCTCAGAAAATGTTCTCCCTCCATCCACAACCCCATGTAGCTCCTTGGCATCCTCTGAGGAGGGTGATGGTGTATGCTAAAGTCCCCTTGCCACACCACAAGAAGAAAGATATTTTCGAGGCTGATAGTAAAAAGAATCACCTCCTGTTTCTGGTCCAAGCTACAAATAGATTTTATTTTTTTCTACTGGGTAGAAACATGAAGGGCATGAAACATCCTGTGTATGTGCACTAAAATCCCCTGGGAAGCAGAAACTCAGGAATGTTTCTGTTTAACGCTAAGCTTAAACAGGCCTTAGAGAAATAGATAAGATACCTGCCTCAAATTGAGGGTCTTCTCCATAGATCCTCAAAAAAGATTATCTATCTAGTTTGAAACATCTCACGGTGGCTCACGCCGGTAATCCCAGCACTTTGGGAGGCCGAGGTGGGTGGATCACCAGAGATAGGGAGGTCGAGACAAGCCTGACCAACATGGAGAAACCCCGTCTCTACTAAAAATACAAAATTAGCCAGGTGTGGTGGCGGCGAATGCCTGTAATCCCAGCTACTCAGGAGGCTGAGGCAGGAGAATTGCTTGAACTCCGGAGGTGGAGGTTGCAGTGAATATATTCTTTTCTCACCTAATTTTAACTCCACTGTTGCCCAAGAGATAGTCTGTTCTTATAGGTCAAAAATATTAAAGATTCTCAGTTTTATGTGTTTCAACTTAATACCTAGAAGTCAATTACAGTCTCTGTTTCTAGGTTTATGTAGTCATTGATACTGTGAATTTTGCTTGTTGCTTCTTTGTTTTTTGGTATACAGTGTGCTTTTTTATTTTTTAGTAGAGACGGGGTTTCACCATATTGGCCAGGCTGGTCTTTAACTCCTGACCTCGTGATCTACCCTCCTCGGCCTCCCAAAGTGCTGGGATTACAGGTGTAAACCACCGTGCCCGGCCTACAGTGTACTTTAAAGTAAATATTACAAAGTCAAAAGATCTACTGTAGGCTGGGCACGGTGGCTTACACCTGCAATCCCAGCACTTTGGGAGGCTGAGGTGGGTGGATCACCTGAGGTCAGGAGTTTGAGACCAGCCTGGCCAACAAGGCAAAACCCCATCTATACTAATAATAACAAAAAAAAAAGGTAGCCAAGCATGGTAGCAGGCACCTGTAGTCCCAGCTACTCGGGAGGCTGAAGCAAGAGAAACACTTGAACCCAGGAGGCAGAGACTGCAGTGAGCCAAGATGGTGCCACTGCACTCCAGCCTGGGCGAGAGAGTGAAACTCTGTCTCAAAAAAAAATTTGCGGTGCAAATAAACATGCACAGATATGAACTAATGACCCATTAATATGCCCTTTGGCTTTCAGTCTCTCACAACACATCGAGGGCAACTATTTTGGGGCCCTGTCTCATCTGGAATGTCTACTATAAGACACCAGGTAGGGAAATCAATTTGCTAAAGAAGTTCAAACCTGTTGTGTGACTAAACAGAAAACAGTAAATTAAATTAGCAGCCACATGAGGTTGAATGGTGTACCTGGGAATGACAATGACAGCAACCTAGCCATGAGACTGTCCTCTGGGCCAGAGGGCAGAGAGGTCAGAGTTCATAGTGGACCCTGACATATGTTCCCTCTCTGCTGACCTGGACCAGCTGTCCCTTCCTATGTACACAATGAGCAGAGGCCCCAGCTTCTGATGTCAGTGTGTTGGTGACAGTGCAGCTGAAGGTGTGAGAGGTGTCAGGGAATGTGACTGCTGATCTACATGCATTCCCTAAAAGGAAGTCTCAGATATGACTCAAAGCACTTATCAATCACTCATGTGGGCAGAAAATGACAAGCAAATTGCAGGCCCCATCAAACATTTCTTATGCTGATGCATCCGTAAGACAACCTATGGGGAGGACTCCCACAGAGCAGTGAATGTTTATGAGCGAAGTGATTAAAAGCTGCTTCAGATCCAGCTTTAAAACTGGTGAACAAAACACGAACTCAGTAGCGGTTTCCCCAGGACCCCGTAGACAATTATTTCAATCCAGTGGGGGTGCATGTCTGCCTGCGGGAGAGGGGACAGCAGTGCTGCCGAGCCGCAGACTCAGGCCCACCTCTGCTAAAGCCTGGCTGAGCCCTTCTCTGCTCGAGTCACCTTGGGCCAGTGAACACCTCTGAGGCTCAGTTTCTTCACCTGCAAAACAGGAGATACCTAAGTCATAAGAGTTGTGAGAAATAGTGGTAGGTGGTCATTAGTGTTCTGACAGCTTATAGAATGGTGCCACGTGTGCTGCAGGAGGTCAATACAAGAAGAACTAACACTTATTTAGAGCTTGCTTTGTGTGCCACATATTGCTTTAAGAACTTTAAGTGTATTGTTTATTTAATCCTCTCAGTACCACCAAGGCAAGTACTAATGTCATCTGCATTTTATAAGAGAGGAAAATGAGGAAAAGCAGTAAGTTCCCACATCTAATAAGTGAAAGAATTGGGACTCAAACTCAAGCTTTTTTCTGACACCAAAGTCCATGCTCTTCACCCGTAAATGGTGACAAGTCTTTGTCCTGAGAATTACTCATAGAAGACAAGATGGTGGCCGGGCGCGGTGGCTCACGCCTGTAATCCCAGCACTTTGGGAGGCCGAGGCGGGCGGATCACGAGGTCAAGAGATCGAGACCATCCCGGCTAAAACGGTGAAACCCCGTCTCTACTAAAAAATACAAAAAAATTAGCCGGGCGTAGTGGCGGGCGCCTGTAGTCCCAGCTACTTGGGAGGCTGAGGCAGGAGAATGGCGTGAACCCGGGAGGCGGAGCTTGCAGTGAGCCGAGATCCCGCCACTGCACTCCAGCCTGGGCGACAGAGCGAGACTCCGTCTCAAAAAAAAAAAAAAAAAAAAAAAAAAAGACAAGATGGTGTCAACAAACTGTGTCTTCTTTTTTTCTCCCCCCTAACTCCCTCCACCCTGTGAATCTTGCTCTCCTTGCACTCTGAAGGGGACTCAAGTCTTGCAGGAGCCCCCAAATCCTGCAGAGGCTGCTGAGTCCAAGCTAAACTGCTCTGGGTTGAGGGGAAATCACTCCAGAGCCTTTTCTAGCTTTGCTATGGGCACTCAGCCTAACCTTTATTTTGTAACTGATTTACCCTGCCCAGAAGTCAGCCTCAGCTACTTTCTGTGAGAACTGGGTAGACGCAGGAAATACTCGGCTGGCCAACCAGAAAATTAAATAAGAAAGTCATCAGGCCCTGAAGCTTAATACTCAAATGCCAAACAATTTAGAACAATGAGTCACTCTTTCAAAATAGAAATAGTTGTCTTCCAATGTCTTAGTTCTTGCAGAATAACATAGCGTCATGGTTAAAAACACAACCTGTGACTGGGCGCGGTGGCTCACGCCTGTAATCCCAGCACTTTGAGAGGCCGAGGCAGGCAGATCATGAGGTCAGGAGTTGGAGAGCAGCCTAGCCAACATGGTGAAACCCCGCCACTACTAAAAATACAAAAATTAGCCAGGCATGGTGGCACATGCCTGTAATCCCAGCACTTTGAGAGGCCAAGGTGGGCGTATCACAAGGTCAGGAGTTCGAGACCAGCCTGGCTAACATGGTGAAACCCCATCTCTACTAAAAATACAAAAATTAGCCGGGCATGGTGGCACACGCCTGTAATGTCAGCTACTCGGGAGGCTGCGGCAGGAGAATTGCTTGAACCCGGGAGGCAGAGGTTGCTATGAGCCAAGATCATGCCATTTCACTCCAACTCTGGGCAACAGAGCAAGACTACATCTCAGGTAAAAAAAATAAAATAAAATAAAATAAAAACCACAGCCTGCAAGCCAGAGCTCTAGTACCAGCTCTAGCTGTGTGACCTTGAGCAAGTTTCTTAACCTCTCTGTGCTACAGTTTCCTTATTTTTTAACATGAGAATAATAGGTTCTACCTCAGAAGTGGTTGTGGGGATTAATGAATTAATATTAGTGTTTCTATAACTCATGTCTTTCTTGCAATTCCCTATAAAGATCAAACAAATTCCCCTATGTTAAATTACTCATTTTGATAACTATGTGAGGAGATGATGCACAGATGGCTTTCAAGAACACTAATGACCACGTTCTTAAATACTTTGGAACATACCTGGCACATAATAAGAGCTATATAAATATTAGCTTGTATTACCATTATTATTCTATTGTGTTTCAGTCCAGGCATATAGGCTTTGCAGCAATGTCTTGAAAGAATTTTTCTTGAAAATCTTTTTTCCTATTTTTACCCTCTCACTACTAGCTACCCAACCCCTCTAAACCCCCTCCCCACCAACCCATCTTTTCCTTAAAAGCAAAGGAAATCACATTTAAAGGCCTCGTGGAATTACAACACTCAACATGCTCATAAAAGTCAGGAAATGCGAAAGTTAGTATTCTCTGAAGACGTTAAGTCAGTATAGTGGTTCTAACATAAACATTTCAGAGGGCTCAGTGTAGCCTCTTGAAGTTTCTGGTGGTGAGCTTTGAGGTCTTCACAACTGCCCCCGCCTCACCAACTGCTTTTGTCTTGTAGAATGCCTCCTATGGGTATCAGGTGGCCTCTGGACCTGTCATTTCAAAGGAACACTGCCCCTGCTGTAGACTCACAGCCATCTCATAGAGCAGTGCTTCTCACACTTAAGCATCAGAATCCCCTGGCAGGCTTGCCAAAACACAGATCGCCAGGCCCCACTCCCGGAGTTTCAGACTTAGTAGATCTGAGATGGGGCCTGATGATCTGCATTTCCATCAAGCGCCCAGATGATGCTGATGCCACTGGTCTGGACCACATTTTGGGAACCACCGCATGGGCACTTCTCTCCACTAGAAATATACTTCCCTCACTTCAAATCCCATAGAGCTCCCCCAGCTGCACCAAAAATGGAATGAAAAATTCTGTTCGCGGCCGGGCGCAGTCCAGAACTTTGGGAGGCCCAGGCGGGCGGATCACGAGGTCAGGAGATCGAGACCATCCTGGCTAACACAGTGAAACTCCGTCTCTACTAAAATTATAAAAAAAATTAGCCGGGCATGGTGGTGGGCGCCTGTAGTCCCAGCTACTCGAGAGGCTGAAGCAGGAAAATGGCGAGAACCCGGGAGGCGGAGCTTGCAGTGAGCCGAGATCGCGCCACTGCACTCCAGCCTGGGCGACAGAGCGAGACTCGTCTCAAAAAAAAAAAAAAAAAAGGAAAAGAAAAATTCTGTTCGTGAATGTATATGATTCCTCAATTTTTTAAGAAATGGAAAACAAATTCTGTTGCCACTCCAACACAGCCTAGACAAAACAAGACTCACCTCACCTCAGCTGCTGCACTCATTTTACACACACCCCCTTTGTCTTTTCCACCCGTATCTTTGCACAGATGCTCAGGATGGTGTGTATGTTTAGACATCTCCAACCCTGCTTGTTTACATGTACACATTTGTGTTTTTCCTTCTCCCCCATTAAACTATAAAGTCCTTGAATGTCTTTCTCGCCAAGGCTCCAAAGCACCTGATGCTGAACACACGGTGGGTGTTGAATAAATGCAGCTGACTGATAAAAATGTCGACTCTACTATTGTACCTGGTAAGCAAAGTGAACAGATATTGCCATGAGAACTTAAAACTCTGCATCAGAGACCAAAGTGTGTTTATTTTTGCAGCATTAATATAGTCAAAAGATGACTTTCCACTCATATATAAATATGCGATATGTTGCCAATCAGCATTTTAAATGCTTTGATGCCATTCTCAGAAATACCATCTGTGCCTCATCTTCTCACATAGTTATCAAAATGAGTAATTTAACATAGGGCAATTTGTTTTATCCTTATAGGGAATTGCAAGAAAGACATGAGTTATGGAAATATTAGTGTCATTGTAATCAACTTTGATTTTATGAGACATTCAAGGATGTGCAGCACCTATATCTCAATCTTTCCATAATTAAATAAACGAATGATATTAGCCCTGGAAGCTATTAATGAGAATATTTTCTGAGAGTTAATAATTAACCCAAAATTATTATTATTATGTACTGATTTACAAATCACATTTAGTTTCATGATAAAAAGGATGAGATCATTATTGTTTTATCTATTGAACAGCTAGGAGTTGAACTGCACCAAGTTAAGGATAGAGTATATTACCAGTCGTTCCCAAGCAAACAAAGACTTTTAGAGAGCCAGTCAGAAAGGTTGTCTTCCGTCCTAATGTCCTCTGAGGTCTAGAATATACATTAACCATAATGACATTGGAGGTCAAATATTTACCCAATACTGTTGAAAGAAGTCAGTGTTATACCTAGTCCCATGCGATGTGATAATGTGTGGTCTTTTAGCAGATTTTTTTTTTTTTTTTAAAGATTTGATGCTTAGCTGGGCGCGGTGGCTCATGCCTGTAATCCCAGCACTTTGGGAGTCTGAGGCCACCTGAGGTCAGGAGTTCAAGACTAACCTGGCCAACATGGTGAAACCCCATCTCTACTAAAAATACAAAAATTAGGCGGGCATGGTGGTGGGCACCCATAATCCCAGCTACTCGGGAGGCTGAGGCAGGAAAATCGCTTGAACCTGGAGGGCGGAGGTTGCAAAGAGCTGAGATCATGCCACTGCACTCCAGCCTGGGTGACAGAGAGAGACTCCATCCACCCCCCCCCCCCCCAAAAAAAAGAGAGAGAGAGATTTAATACTACATCTCACCTTCTACTGATTCTATTCTCTTCCAATCATTAAATTAAGGAGAATTTTGCTGGTGCATTCTGAACATTTAGTTTCTTTCAGCTTAAATCTTTCTAAAGTTCAACCAGGGACCAATAATGAGTTCTAACTGAGAATAAGTGTAGGTTGTTTCTGAATTTTTAAAAAAGTGATTTCATGCTATTGTTACTTTCATAATGAAACTTAGTGACATCTGGGTTGATTTCTTTTTCTGGTCTGATTCCCAGTGTTGCTTTTATACACCCAAGTCAGATCTTGTTTTATAAAAGAAGCTGTATTCTTTCACTTGAGCTGGCCTTTTCTTACACATACCACATAATTACAGGCAACACACCTCTCCTTCTTGCAATTAATTCATCTTTACCCCCAAAGAAATTAGGACAGTAGAGGACAAAGGGTACTCTTTTGTCTTTACAGGTTGAAATCACATGTTGCTATATCATATATAGATTTTAAGCTAGTCAGACTTTTGGCTTATGGAGTGAATTTAGAACCAAAAGGGCAGATGCTACACATTAAGATATGCCAAGAGCAACCATGGTCAAGAAAACCTGGAAAATAATCTTGATTCTCCTCTGCTCTTCCAAAAGCAGAGCTAGAACTGACTTCAAAGGAAACTGATCAATACTTGGGCTAATTCCTAGAAGATGAGAATTCAATTTAGTTTAACTGGTGCTAAAAACTGTAGATAATATGAAAGCAATAGTCCACACAAACCCAGTTTCAAGAAAGTTAGAGAACACTAAAGGAATGATAAGGGGTCAAAAGCTTTGGTAGCAAAGTATTTTATTTTTCCAGGATTTTGTTGTGGTTTATTTTCTGAATTCTATTGAGTTTCCAGTTAATAGACTCCTCCTAGACTTTGGAATCAGTAAAAGACAGTAATCAGTGGTGTAACTAAGCAGCATATTTCCATTAA
The DNA here is from genome assembly GCF_000001405.40 of Homo sapiens. Lineage (NCBI taxonomy): Eukaryota > Metazoa > Chordata > Mammalia > Primates > Hominidae > Homo > Homo sapiens. The sequence goes on along the minus strand of NC_000009.12, from coordinate 81,838,482 downwards.
TAAACACAGATTTTTAAAAAGCCTTTTAAAATGCCTTTGGTGAGGAAATTCTTAGTGTGAAAAATATTTTTTAAACCTTTTTATTTGTTTACTAAGTTTAACCTTGTGGGATAAAAGAACTAAGCCTTAAATGAAATGATCTAGAATCAAGCCCATTTTCTGCAATTCACTTATAGGAGAATGCTGGCAACTTAGCATCTCTGCAAATGGACACTGGTTTATTTGCTGAAGATTCATACAGAGTTTGAGCTCATCACATACAAATTAATTGGGAATGTTTCAGGCTGAATCTTTTACAATTTTTTTTTGCAAGTCTCACATTTGTACCTGTTTGCTTTACTCAGTTACTGCCTACTGCAAAATCAATTTTGTCTCCATAAAAAATTCTTTGCAAGTTCCCAAATATGTAATTTCATCTCTCAGCAAACTCAGAATCTTCTCAGCTATATTTCCATGTATTTCTGAAGACATGTTCCTTTGAAGCTTAATGCTTTTGAGAAAACATGCCTCAGAGGCTAGTCAAATTCTGATGCTGTTCTGGACCTCTCCCTGTGATGGATGTAACTTGGCAATATGGCGGAATATGCACATGAGCTTTGAAATCAGACCTGCGTTCAGGCCCCAGTCCACTACTCAGCGCCTGTGTGATCTATGAGATTTTACTCAACCCACCCAAACCTCACTTTCCTCCTCATTTATAACATAGAGATGATAATAACTACCTGACGGGATTATTGTAAAACTAAATAATGTATGTCAGCCACTTTGAAGAGTGTCAGCAGATAGCAGCCACTCACTAGAGGTGACTTATTATTGCTGTTTAGTTAATATTAAGTAGCTTCCTCTTAAGTCCTCCTTTCACATTCTTTTTTTTTCTTTCTTTTTTCTTTGAGACAGCATCTCGCTCTGTTGCCCAGGCTGGAGTTCAGTTGTGTAATACCTGCTCACTGCAACCTCCATCTCCCAGGTTAAAGCCATTCTCCTGCACCAGCCTCCCAAATAAATGGGATTACAGGTGTGCACCACCACACCGGACTAATTTTTTGTGTTTTTAGCAGCAACAGTGTTTTACCATGTTAGCCAGGCTGGTCTTGAACTCCTGACCTCAAGTGATGCACCCGCCTGAGCCACCCAAACTGCTGGGATTACAAGCGTGAGCCACCACTCCCGGCCCACATTGGTTTTAAAATACATTGACATTTTCCTCAGAAATAGCTCATTCACATTACTCTGTATTAGTTTGCTAGGGCTACCATAACAAAATACCACAAACACGGTGGCTTAAACAACCGAAATTGATTTTCTCACAGTGATGGGGGCTAGTAGTCCGAGATCAAGGTGTGGGCAGGTTTGATTTCTCCTGAGGCCTCTCTCCTTGGCTTGAAGATGGCCACCATCTACCTGTGTCCTCACGCGGCTTGTTCCCTGGGCCTGTGATTCCCTGGTGCCTCTTTGTGTGCTTGAATCCTATAGTGCAATACATTTTGGATATTTCTCCCCACCCAAACCTCATGTTGAATTGTAATCTCCAGTGCTGGAGGGGGTGCCTAGTTAGAGGTGTTTGGATCATAGGGGTGGGTCCTTCATGGCTTGGTGCTGTCTTCACGATAGTGAGTTCTTGCAAGATCTGCTCCTTAAAAAGTGTATGTGGCACCTTTCCCCCATGACACTCTCTGTCTTCCCCGTTTCTGCCATGTGATGTGTAAGCTCCCACGTTGCCTTCTGCCATGAGTAAAAGCCTCTTGAGGTCTTACCAGAAGCCATGTTTCTTGTACAACCTGCAGAACCATAAGTCAATTAAATCTCTTTTCTTTATAAATTATCCAGTCTTGCCGGGTGCGGTGTCTCACATCTGTAATGCCAGCACTTTGGGAGGCCGAGGCGGATGGATCACCTGAGGTCGGGAGTTCAATACCAGCCTGACCAACATGGTGAAACCCTGTCTCTACTAAATACAAAAAAAAAAAATTAACCGGGTGTGGTGGTGCATGCTTGTAATCCCAGCCTCTTGGGTGGCTGAGGCAGAAGAATCACTTGAATCCGGGAGGTAGAAGTTGCAGTGAGCTGAGATCACACCACTGCACTCCAGCCTGGGTGACAGAGTGAAACTCCATCTCAAAATAATAACAATAAATAAATAAATAAATAAATAAATAAATAAATAAATAAACTATCCAGTCTCAAGTATTCCTTTATAGCAATGCAAGAATGGGCAAACATATGGTATCTCTTCTTATAAGGACAGCAGTGAGATTAGATGAAGGCCCACCCTAACAATGACCTCATTTTAACTTAATCACCTCTTTGAAGACCCTGTCTCCAAAAACACTCACATTCAGAGGTACTTGGGGGTTAGGACTGTAATACATGAATTTTGAGGGAAACAATTCGGCCCATAATACTCTGCTACAACACACCGTCTAACATTGATTCACCCACAAATTGCTCTTCACTCACTCCATGTATTTATTCAATATCCAGTCCTCAAGGATGTATTCAGTGCTTCCTTCAGACTAGATGTGACACTTGGGGAAGAGGGAACTCTTCATAGTGAGACTATAACACCATCACTCTTGTCAAGCTCACAGTTTCATGAAAAAGCCAGGTAATTTTCTAAAATTATGATTTAGTATAAAAGAGTTAAGAAAGGAGGCCAGGCACAGTGGCTCATGCCTGTAATCTCAGCACTTTGGGAGGCCAAGGCAGGCAAATCACCAGGTCAGGAGTTCGAGACCAACCTGACCAACATGGTGAAACCCTGTCTTTCCTAAAAATACAAAAATTAACCAGGCATGGTGGCGTGCACCTGTAATCCCAGCTACTAAGGAGGCTGAGGCAGGAGAATCACTTGAACCCAGGAGGCAGAGGTTGCAGTGAGTCAAGATCGCGCCACTGCACTCCAGCCTGGGCAACAGAGCGAGGCTCCATCTCAAAAAAAAAAAAAGAGTTAAGAAAATAGCAGACAAATGAATCTTTTTAAAAAAGGACATCTTTTTTGTTTTTTTTTCTTTTTGAGACAGAGTCTTACTCTGTCACCCAGGCTAGCGTGCAGTGGTGCAATCATGGCTCACTGCAAGCCTTGACCTCCTGGGCTCAAATGATCCTCTTGCCTCAGCCTCCTGAGTAGCTGGGACCACAGGTACATACTACCACACCTAGCAAAATTTTTTTAAAATTTTTTGTAGAGACAAGGTCTTGCCATGTTGCCCAGGCTAGTCTCGAACTCCTGGACTCAAGTGATCCCCTTGCTTCAGCTTCCCAAAGTGCCGGGATTACAGGTGTGAGCCACCGCACCTAGCAAAGAGGACATCTTGAAGGATAAATAGGAGTTGATTAGGGAGAAAGGACAGTGGCTGAAGGAGGTTTCAGGCAAAAGTATTGGGAAAGATGAGTTAAATTAATCAGAAGTTGACTAATGATCACAACATCAGAACAAGGGAAAGAAAATCAGTGATGGTGGGGAAAGCACTCTTGCACCTACGGATTGAGGGGGGACCCTGAGCTGTCTCTAGCTGACCACAGACATCAGCTCTCAGAGTGCAGATTGTGTCTGATATCCAGATCTTACGTCTCTCTGCTTGGTGAGCAACAAGCGTTGCCTCTATGATCTCCATTTGCTATGCTGGCCACCTATGCTTTAATGAGATACTGCTTCTCTTCTTCCAAATGTATTCTCTTTATTTTCTAAATAATTTAGCTATAAATGTAAATGATAAAATGCAGGTGACTTTGGCAAAGAAACAAACAAGCAAAAAAAAAAACAAAAAAACATCCTGCCCTTCTCATTTTAGCATTTGAGTATTTCTCTCTCTCTTTTTTTTTTTTTTTTTTTTTTTTGAGACGGAGTTTTGCTCTTGTTGCCCAGGCTGGAGTGCAATGGCGCAATCTTGGCTCGCCGCAACCTCCGCCTCCCGGGTTCAAGCAATTCCCAGCCTCAGCCTCCTGAGTAGCTGGGATTACAGGCATGGGCCACCACGCCCGGCTAATTTTGTATTTTTAGTAGAGACAGTTCTCCACTTTGGTCAGACTGGTCTCGAACTCCTGACCTCAAGTGATCCACCTGCCTCAGCCTCCCAAAGTGCTGGAATTATAGGCATGAGCCACCACGCCTGGCCCAAATATTTCTGTTTTAAGGGGTGTGTGCTTGGTGCTCTGATGGCAAGAGCTTCCCAGGGCTGCATGCCCATTATACCCCAGTTACACGTTTCCTTTACCTCATTTAGTCCTCTAGAAGAGCCTTTTTTCCTTGCTTTGGAGACAGGATCTCACTGTGTCATGCAGGCTGGAGTGCAGTGGATCATGGTTCACTATTGCCCCAAACTACTGGGCATAAGAGATCCTCCCACTTCAGCCTCCCGAGTAGCTGGGACTACAGGCACATGCCACCACACTCAGCTAATTTTTAATTTCTTTGTAGAAATGGGGTCTTGCTATGTTTGCCAGGCTGAATTCAAACTCCTGGCCTCAAGCGATCCTCCCACCTCGGTCCCCTAAAGTGCTGGGATTATAGGCGTGAGTGACCACGCCTGGCCTTCAACAGCCTTATGAAGGGAAGGTTTCAGTCTTATTCACTTTGTATAGATGCAGAAACAGAAAGTTTAGCAAATAGCTTGCCCAAGGCCACACAGCCACCCAGTGGCAAGGCACAGGCTTGACCCCAGGTCATCTGACTTCAAAGCCGAAGCACTAACACCAGGACTTGAACTGGGGCCAGGCAGTAAGGACACGCTCACTGATCTGCTGTGAAATGAACACAACAAAAACCAAAAGACCAAGGACCTTTCATTCGGGGATAGGTTTATTAAATATATCTTCCTCCTTGTGAGTCACATGTTTATCTTCTGCTGTCCACATGGTAACCATTGTGATCTTGAACTTTCCATTTTTTTTCTTTTCTTTTTCTTTTCTTTTTTTTTTTTTTTGAGACTGGGTTTCACTCTTGTTGCCCAGGCTGGAGTACAATGGCGCTATCTTGGCTCACCGCAACCTCCACCTCCTGGGTTCAAGTGGTTCTTCCGCCTCAGTCTCCCGAGTAGCTGGAATTACAGGCATGTGCCACTACACCCAGCTAATTTTGTATTTTTAGTAGAGACGGGGTTTCTCCATGTTTGTCAGGCTAGTCTCAAACTCCTGACCTCAGGTGATCCACCCGCCTCGACCACCCAAAGTGCTGAGATTACAGGCGTGAGCCACCGCGCCGGGGCAAACTTTCCATTTTTCATTGCCTGACTTTTAAGTGCTGCCACCTCACCTCCCCTAACGAGGACCCATTTCTTAAATGCATTTATATTTACAGGAGAGCAAGTGAATAGATAATATAATGGCTTTCTTCTGCCGTGGTTTCCACAAGAGTAAAAAGTCCAGCCCTTTCCTATCATAACTGGCTGGAAACATTCCACATCGGAGATGTCAAGTCATAACAATGTGGGGGAAAAAAACCCACTTTGCTCTCAGAACTACACAGTGCTATAGAAAAGACATTCTTAAAAGCTGTCTGCAATATCCTTCATTAATTTCCTCTGGTAAGGCATCTCAGACAAAGGGGTCTTATAAATGGATTAAATGTGGCTGGGTGCAAAAGTACAGTAAGCCCTCTGTGAGATGCTTTTGAGGGTGGACACCAAAACAGGGGCTTCCTTCATGAGGGTTCCCAGCAAACAGCTGACTTGAAGTTTTGTGGCCAGTAATAACCTCCTTCAAAATAAACCACTTATACCATTGCTTGACAGTGCCCCATCAATTATACCAAGAATGTGTGGCTTTTCTACCCTGGCAAACATCATCCACGTTGACAAAAGGATAAACAGAGGGAGGAGGCCGGAATGCTCCTTCAATGCTGTCACTGAACTCCACCATTTTTTGGCCTGTGCCTGGGCTCAGCATCTTCCTCAGCTGGAAGAAGTCTGGGATGGGGCCAGGCATGGTGGCTCATGCCTGTAATCCCAGCACTTTGGGAGGCCGAGGCCGGTGGATCACGTGAGGTCAGGAGTTCGAGACCAGCCTGACCAATATGGTGAAACACCATCTCTAGTAAAAATACAAAAAATTAGCCGGGCGTGGTAGCACATGCCTGTAATCTCAGCTATTTGGGAGGCTGAGGCATGAGAATTGCTTGAACCCAGGAGGTGGAGGTTGCAGTGAGCCGAGATTGCACCACTGCACTCCAGCCTGGGTGACAAGAGCGAAACTCCATCTCAAAAAAAAAAAAAAAAAGAAAGAAAAGAAAAGAAATTACAGAATTACAGAATGTGGAACCTGGAGGATCTCTCCAGAAACATCATAATTTCCATAAAGCAACAACTTCAAAATTCCTCCAAACTCAAAACAGCTTTCATAGGCCACTCCCCAGATCATAACAAGAAACAATTTTGTCTGACACTTATTCTGAAGTGCTATGCCTTGAAATCATAGCTATATAGTTTTATTTGGCTTTTCTTTAGTTAAGTAACGCAAGTAATCGCCAAATTAATATCCCTAGAAAACTTAATTAAGCCTTTCTCCTAAATAATTTTTTTTGCTCTTAAAAATGAAACCAAATATGTCAACAACAGTGGAAAGAAAAAAAAATCTCAAAAAAAGGCCCTATGTTCAGGAAATGAGAAAATTAAAGAGAAAAATTCTTGCACTTACACCAAATAAATCATATTATACTGGGTGTCATCCAAACCAAGATTTTTTTCTCAAGGAAACTGCAAACAAGATGGCTTGAAATTAAAGTCTTCATTCTCCACCCAGCCAAGCAATCTCCCAGAAAGTCAGTCTCCATTATGTCCTGAGGTATCTAGAGAAGGATGTTCCACTGCTGGTTTCAGCTGGCTGCATTCTGTCTGAGATTAGAGTTTTTCAGAGGAGTGCGTTACAGGTGTGCGTGTGTGTGTGTGTGGTTGCAGGAGCCAGCAGCAGCATTCAGAAGTACCAAGAAAGCATTGTCCTGAAGGGTAGAATAAGTACCACACCAAACACTGTGTGGACAAGCTTGCTGGCTGTACCAGGAGAAGGGCTGCTCACCTGTTTTCAACACCCCTCTTTCCTTCCAGGCACGCTCAGCCCTCCTTTAGACAAGAAAGGGAAAGAAACTGGAGGTGAGGCTGCGCACGGTGGCTCACACCTGTAATCCCTGCACTTTGGGAGGCCGAGGTGAGTGGATCACCTGAGGTCAGAAGTTCAAGACCAGCCTGGCCAACATGGTGAAACGCTACTTCTACAAAAATACAAAAAAGTAGCCAAGCATGATGGCAGGTGCCTGTAATCCCAGCTACTCTGGAGGCTGAGGCAGGAGAATCACTTGAACCTGGGAGACAGAGGTTGCAGTGAGCCGAGATCACCTGTTGCAGTGAGCCGAGATCACGTCACTGCACTCCAGCCTGGGCGACAGAGCGAGACTCCGTCTCAAAATTAAAAAGAAAAAAAAAAAAGAAAGAAACTTGAGGTGACACTGAGCTAGCTAGGCAAGAGAGGCATAGGCATAAAATAAGGAAGGCCAACTTCCAGCTACTCACAAATCCAGAGGATGTGTTGTTTTACCTTCCACATTATTCACGTTAATGTCTGGAGCTGACGAGCAGAAAATATGACTGTTAGGATGTTGAGAGAAAGAGAAACATGACTCCACAGTGCATACATATTTCAAAACATGATGTTGTACACCATTACACAAATTGTATAAATATACACAATTTTTGTTTTTTGTTGAGACAGAGTCTCACTCTCTCGCCCAGGCTGGAGTGCAGTGGCGCAATCTCAGCTCACTGCACCCTCCACCTCCTGAGTTCAAGCAGTTCTCCTGACTCAGCCTCCCAGGTAGCTGGGATTATAAGCATGCACCACTATGCCCGGCTAACTGTTTTGTGTTTTTAGTAGAGACGGGGTTTCACCATGTGGGCCAGGCTGGTTTCGAATTCCTGACCTCAAGCGATTTGCGCACCTCAGCCTCCCATAGTGCTGGGATTACAGGAGTGAGCCACCACGCCTGGCCAAATATACACAATTTTTATTGGTCAAAATTTAAAAGAAAGCTATGAATGTAGTGGCAGGAAAGACTAGAAGTGAGGGATGGTCATTCCGACACTTGTCTCAGCTAAATCCAGGCTCAGCCTCTTGAGTGTCGCACTTTATCTTCAAATGGTGGACTCTGGCCGGCAATTTGGAATTTCTGGACTTCCTCTATTGCACTGAAGATATTTATTTGGGTAGTTGGGCCTCCTTCCTCTTAAAATGGTAACATAAAAAGTCTCTTGCCAGGTGTGGTGGCTCACACCTGTAATCCCAACATTTTGGGAGGCCAAGGAGTGAAGACTGCTTGAGGCCAGGATTTTGAGACCAGCCTGGGCAACAAAGCAAGACCCCTGTCTCTACAAAAATTATGGGCTTGGTGGCACACGCCTATAGTTTCAGCTATTCAGGAGACTGAGGCAGAAGGCTGAGGCGGGAAGATTGCTTGAGCCCAAAAGTTCCAGGCTGCAGTAAGTTATGATCACACCACTGCACTCCAGCCTGGGTGATAAACCAAGACTCTGTCTCTTAAAAAAAAAAGAAAAAAAACTCCCTTATTTCATAAGTTGGAGAAACTGCAGGAAAACTCAAAGACTGGAGAAGCCTAATATACAGTTTCCCTCAAACTTACTACGTTTTCCCTTCTTCCTTTCATTCTGTGTTCCTCCAACCCCCACCCTTTTTGTTGTTTTCCTGTAACTTATTCAGGCATCTTTTCCTGGAACCTATAGTGAACACAACCCTTTTAAACTGAGAAATTACTCTTGAAAATTTCTCAAGGCAAAATTCCTTCAATTCCAGCAATCATATAATAAACTCCTATTATGAGCAAAGCATCCCATTATGAGCTTTAGAGAATACAAAAACATGCAAGCCCTGTGTATTTAGTTATCTATTGGCGCATAACAAATTACCTCCGAATTTAGCAACTTAGAGCAATAAACATTTATCATCTCATAGTTTCTGTGGCTCAGGAATGGAGACACAGCTTAACTGGGTGGTTCTAGCTCAGGGTCACTCTTAAGGCTTCAAATCAAGGCTCTTCTCCTCGCAGCCTCACCCCAGAACCTCTCTAGCAGGACAGCTGGGCTTGTTTACGTGGTGGCTGGGCTGAGAGAGAGGGAGAGGAATTCAGTAAGTCTGGGATGGAGCATGAGAATTTGCATTTCAGGTGATGCTGATGGCCTGGGTCCAGGGACCTCACTCTGAGAAACACAGACTTGAGCAAAGGCTCAGAAGTACAGCATATTTGGAAAGTAGCAAATAGATCTTTTTATTTGTCAATTTGGACTGATTCAGTTAGTTTCCTGATCCTCTTAGAAACAGTGGAAATGAAAGGCATTAGTCTATACTTAAAGAATCTTTAAAAACTAGAAACTTTTGGTGCTGGGGGGTATTCAGAGAATATAAACCCATCATTCTACAAATGAGCAAAGTGAGGGTAAGAAGACAGGCTGAAACAAATCGTAACAGTTTTCTCTAAAGTTAAATGGGTTTGTGTGGTTCCCTCACTCAGGGGCTCCTGGAGGAAAGAAGGAGCCTCTTTGCCTTTGGAGTCTTAGTGCTTTCTGTTTGAAATGAGATAAAGAGTTTGTGATGGATTCTCCCAATAGACTACTCTCCCGTTATAAAATGCATATGCCCATACTTTGGCATAGAAGGGAGGCTGAAAGAACTCTCAGAAAATCTCTGAGTCCATTAGACAAGTTTCCCTGTGCAAATGGATCTATGTAGCTCCTTCCTGCCTTCTATGGGATGAGAAGCCTTAGTCACATTTCTGCCAACTCCAGAGAGGCTGTTGTCCTTTTTCTTTCACAATGCCTCAGGTGTATAAATTTGACTGCCTAAACTTGTCTGCAAAACTTGGATTTGGGACACTGTTCCTTTTTAAAATCCAAATAATTAGCAAAATAAAATCTAAATGCAAACTGGGATGAACCCATCTTGACTCCTGAAATATACTTTCTTTGGAAAGAGGGTAGTGAAGCTCTGCAGTTTACTGCTTGCAATGTGTGCACAAAATTAGCTTGGTTCTTTTGTTCTGTCGTCTGAGTTTTTGTCACCTTTTATTTGACTGTACTTAGGGAACAGTATGAAGGCATTTAAAAGAAGCCCAAAGGAATCTCATCTGCACATGCAAATATAAGTGTTTTTATCATGATTAAGCCAGCTACCCCTGGCTTCCTTTACCTTCACTCTTCCCCTAATTTACCACCTCTGCCCCACTCTAATACATAGTCCTGCACCCAAGAATATATATGTGCATGCATATTCTTATATAGAAGCAAAGATTCTAAAGGCAGCTGACCCATAACCCCCTTGTGGTTTCCACTTGTGGTTTCTGCATAAACTTACTTAAATACAGGTGTCTCTTTAGTTATGACATTCAGCGAAGTCCTAGAGTTCACAGCTCTCACTTCCTCAGAAGGGTAAGACCTGTCCCAAGGTTTAACCTTGAGTAAGAAGGTAAACTACAGATGGAGAGAGGGTAGCCAAAACCTCACTGCTGCTTCTTTCATACTTAAACCTGGTTTCTGAGCCTACGTTTGTTAAGTCGTATGAAAGGATGCCACATAGCTAATGTCTTCCTTCGAGAAAGCTAAGAGGTCAGAGTGGCAGACTGTAAATTCATTTGATTCATTGCCTTTACCAGTTCAACCACAAATTGTTTTCTCCCACTGGGCACCATTTAATAAGCCATATCAGGTGCACAATGGAAACAGCAAACCACAGATAGAAAGGGATCACATCTTGTAAGGAAGTGCATGGGTCAGACCTGCCTTCCCACTTCCCAGCTCTTTGGTTTGGGCTTGGCCAAGTCACTTAACATTGCCCCAACTGAGGCTCCTCGTTTGGGCCTTGGTTTCTCCACTTGGGAAATGGAGTTGTCCTGCAGGTCAGGGACACTATGTGAAAATCCAAATCACCTGGTACTATCACCTATCACCCACCTCACTCAGCAGGTGTTCAATAAATGGTAGTCGTGATGGACCCAGGCAGTAAATGAAACATATGATTTTTCTCCCAAAGAAGCTCAGAATCTTTGTCTATGTTTTACCAGCTTAATTTTGTTTTTCCCTGGCTGAGAACCACTTTGTGTATCCTACTCTCAATTCCTGCTAAACTAGAGAAAGGCAAAGTTACATGAACACGAATCTAGAGTCAGCTTCTGACTGAAAACCTCTGCTATTGCACTGATGAGCTCTGGAATGCTTTTCCCAAGCAAGATGGAGTTATTAACAATAACATTATGTTCTAAGTCATTAGTAAGGACCTGTCAGAAAGGAATCAGTCCCTGCATCTTCTGGGGTTTGATAGAAAAAAAAAAAAGAATTAAAAAATGTTGGAGGCTGAAGCATCAGCAACTGACATATATTCATCTGAAACAAAGACAACTTTTTAAAAAAGGAATCTGTGGTGCACACAGACCTGGAAAGAAAGACACTTTGGCTGCGAAATCCCCCCATCTTCTCTGGGGAGACTCCTGCCTCCGCCTGCTGTTCATCAGCCCTGATTTTGATGGGGCGATTTTTAGTCAGCTGCCTCGATCATTTTGGCACAGACAAAAATCCTTTAAAAAATGTTACACTTCATCAAAGTGTATCATGAGACTTCACGGTCATTATCTCAATGGCCGCTCTGATGTGCTACAATTGGCAGAGACACAAACGGTAGGGGGTGTATGAGAAGAAAGCCAGCGTTTCATGCGGAAAGCTGGCAGGCCTCGCCAAGCTTCTGTCAACAACTCCGCGGTCTGATCCGATGCACTGAGCGTGCTGATGATGCTCTTGTTTCTGGAGGAAGTAAACAAGAAAATGAATTCCACCGCGCAACACAGCCTCTTTGTATCTTCAAAATGGTGTGACTGGACTTGGGCCAGCTGCGTTGAAAGTTGGGCCATTTATGTCATCAGGGCCCCAGTACTGATGGAGGCTTTGATTACGACTTGGACCCAGCTGTAAGACCCTTCGGGGGCAGCCACTCAGCAAATAAAGGCATTGATTGGTTGTTGGGTCAATTTAGCCATAAGGGGACAGAGCATGGCTCTTTTGAAAAGCCTAATGGATTAGCTACACAACCAGTCCCACTGTAGGCCTTATTTTTCAAGTAACTTCATGACAGTTTTCCAGCTTGGCAGGGAACCCTCCTCCAGAGCAAGCTTCAGAGCTGTTCTTGTTATCAATAGTGGGGCTCAAAGGATTAGACACAGCGGGCTTTACAATTTAATGAAAACAGCTGTTGAAACAACAATTACTGCAAACAGTAGTTTGCATGGAAAACTATTAATTATGTAAAGTTATGCAGAAAGTGGAATACTCTTTTATTCAGGGCCTTCTAAAACCAACTGATGAGGACAACGTGGAGCCACCTTCCATTCTGTGCCTCTCAAGTGCCAGGAAGTGGGGGTGCTTGTAGGAAGGGGCTCCATGGTGTGTGAGCTGCATGTAAGTAGAGCTCCAGGCTGCCACTTCACTGCAAAGTGAGTCAGAGGTAAAATATTGAGGAAAAGAATGTCCATTCAACTTACATTACCTTGGGTACCTCAGGTCTTCTCATACCAACTCAGGACTGCGTTTTCACAAGAATCTGAAATTCCATTTGAGTCTTAGTGGTTGGGGTCTCAACTTTAGCTTTTTTGAATAAAACCACTTCTATAATATGCTCTCCTTCAGGCCTCACTCACCCTAAGGAGACAATGCTGAAAAAATGATGGAGCCCCTTGTTCTCTGGACTAAATCAACTTTAATTACTTTATTATGATCCAATGTGGACTCGCAACCATTCCCCTTCCACCTTCATTCCCTCCTCCTCGAAATGTACAGTTCATCTTCTCCTTCCACTCTCTCAGCTTGCTGGGGCTTTTAAATTCATTGCTTCTCTCTTTGCAATTTCCATCCTTGACTAACAGTGCTGGGAATTGACTTACGGCCCTTCGCCTACCCTGTGCTCCACATCTCACTTTCCTCCCCGTCCGGGAATCACCAAGCCAAGAAGTCCCATTAAGAAGGTTATTAACTGTATACATAAACATTGCCTCCTGCCTATGGTTAGATTTATTTCTCATCACTTCCAAGTAACTGGTTTTAACACTCTTTCCAGCACGCCCAACACCTTTTATTTGACTATATTGTTTTAGAAAGGCCTTTGGGAATTTAGCTAATTTCATGCTGGAACTTAATAAGTGGGATTTGACACTCTTTGATAATTCCAAAACCATTAGTCAAGTCTCACTCCCTTCAGGGAAAGAATGAAAGCTTTATTAGTCATAGGGTCTCTATTCTAAACATGTCACCTGAATTTAGTAGTGTATCTGTGCTGAAATGCAATTGACTTTGTGATTGAATAGAACTTTCCCTGAAACTACAAGAAAGCTGTCACTGGCTATCAACAGCAAGAGAGCATCTGCCTTTTTCTGAAAATTTTCACTGGGTTCACATGTGCATTTTGAAATAATTCAGTGAATTTAATTTATCAACCTCTGCATGTTAATAAAATGAGAAGCACACACCCACACACCCACACCAACACTCTAATTCTCTCTGAGGACTTAGTTCAGTCTTTTCTTCACCCAAGATACAAGAATAGAGAATAATTTCCTTCCCCTCTTCTGACAGTTTAAAAAAAAATTTTTTTTTTTTTGAGATGGAGTCTCAGTCTGCCACCCAGGCTGGAGGGCAGTGGCACGATTTTGGCTCACTGCAAGCTCCACCTCCCGGGTTCACGCCATTCTCCTGCCTCAGCCTCCCCAGTAGCTGGGACTACAGGCGCCCACCACCATGCCCGGCTAATTTTTTTTGTATTTTAGTAGAGACAGGGTTTCACTGTGTTAGTCAGGATGGTCTCGATCTCCTGACCTCATGATCTTCCTGCCTCGGCCTCCCAAAGTGCTGGGATTACAGGCATGAGCCAGTTTAAAAAACCTTGAAAGATCATACCTCCAGAAAGCCCCAGAGCATAATTGAGTGTGCAAATGAAATTCATTACTATGGTCACAAACAATAATCCAATTAACATGTATTTGTGTAATGCCTTTAAAATCATTCTAAACTCAAGAACACATTCATCTTTGAAGTACAATGCCAGCTCAGTGCCATGTCCCAGCATACTCCAGTTCACACTTTGCACTGGAGATTACAAAACAGCATCAAGATTGCAAAAGCAATTATTCCAGTTATCCAGATGTGATTTTTCAATCATTGTAGGATTTTTTTTTTTTTTTTTTTAAGCAGTTCTTATTACGTGGCACAGATCGCAGCGCTCATGCTGGCTCGGTGCTTACATCTCTTCATTATTAATTCAGCTCATGGAGCTTAATTGGACAAGGCTAGAGCGAATTTGACAAACATCACAGCAGCAGAAAAAGCAATCACTCTTTCAAGATGAAAATTTGTTTGATGTCTTACTGTGTAACTCATTTACTCTCCTCGGGAGTCATGTGACCTGAATGTTAATCAGCCATTGATTGGTTTCTCTCCTTGGACAGTCACGTGACCCGAATATTAATGGGCTGGCACTCCGTAGCTGTACTGTTAGGCAACCTTGTGATTGGCTGCCAGGTTAAGATACGGAGATAAGTGGGTGCTTGATGAGCACTTGACAGAACTTCACAGAAAATTAAGGCCCTAAAATAGCATGAGAAAGTCTTGTCAAATCAAGCATGATTATCACTGAATGCTTAAGGAATTCATCATCTGCATGAAATTGATACACTTCAGCACCAACAGGCCCTGTAGTCAGCAGGGACTCGTCAGATTTTTATTTATATGTGTTCACCAAATCACATTAATTCTGAGAGCTAAAACATGCTAAGGATGAAGGTTATTTTCTGTTCAATCTAATTTATCTATGACAATAATCATCACTAATAATGTGTCAAATTGGATTGCAGTCATTTTATGCATGCATGCTGATTTGGAAAATAGTGTTAAACCATCCCGCAGTAATTAACAACCGGTAAAGGTATGCCGAGCCCAAAGTAATCAGCCTATCTAGATGGAAAATTAAGTTTTATAGAATGGATTTATAGATACATATCCTTATTTAATTCAGAATATAAATTATTCCTGGTAAAAGCCGACATCATTTTTATAACACCATTAAGGCCAATAACCATTGAGGGACTCGCATCCTTAATTTGCTCTATCCTTCATTTTTTCTCTCATTTTCTGTGGTTAACTTTCTAATGGGTGTGACTTCCTTATTGGCAAGTCCTCATTTTAGCAGGGTTTGGTAGGGCTAAGAGATGAATGAATATGCATTGGTGTAAGTGTTAATCATGGATGAAGGAAGCCACATCATACCTCTTAATACACAATGCCTTATAATTACTGGTGGGGGCTGGGAGGTGGGCAGTGAGGAGAATACAAAGAGCGGGGTGGAGCTAGACTTTGGCCTTTTGGTGTTTCTCTATTATTTCTCCTCACAAAAGAACAATAGGAAATTTTGCAGATTGACTCATAAAGGATTAATGTTTCTTGGGGAATCACTTAAGCCTAAATTGCTTTTGTTGAAATACCTTTTATGGAACAGAAGTTGTTTTTTTGGTGGTTTTTTTCTCTCTAACTTCCTGACTTATAGGGCATTTTTGGAGCAATGGAGGGTTGGAGTCATGGAATCTTAAAGAAATGTTTATACACTTTGCTGAGTGTGGCTAAAATATTTGAGAAGAGAATTACACCTCTAAAAAAGGGGAGAAATATCTATGTATAAACTGTTGTTTCTTTCCCATAACTCCCCCAACCCGGTCTTAATCCCTGAGCCACCAGCACTGCCCATTCTCTCCCTGTCTCTCAGGAGGTCTCTTTATTGATTAAATGAATCTGCTCCAAAGGCTGGCTCCCAGGCTCTTTGATCTAATCCGATCTGATTTTATCCTATCGCTTCAGCAGGACATCGGGGAATTAACAATAAGCAGCTTTACCACAAGTGTTTAATAACTCAACACAATCTCCTTATGGCTCCGAGCTGCTCAAGTTCCCACCCAGTCCACGGCAAACAGTGTAACAGATTGGCCATCCCCCCCTGAACCTGAGGAATTTTCATGCACTGTGAAACTAATCGCTTCAAGTTCCTTCATAAATCACACAAAGCAGATTTCAGCATCTTAACAAATTGAAAAAAAAAAAGAAAAACAAAACCCCAAAGGTGGAGGGGGAGAAGGGCTGGCAGAGAGGGCTCACCCTCCAGCTAAAAGTGGGTGGGAGGATATTGCAGAGAGGGGAAGGCCCAGAAATAAATTAACTTCTGTCCTCTCGTTCAATATGTTTCTCATCTCTTTATATATATATATATATTTTTTTTTTTTTTTTTTTTTTTTTTTTTTTTTGAGACGGAGTCTCCCTCTGTCGCCCAGGCTGGAGTGCAGTGGCGCGATCTCGGCTCATTGCAAGCTCCGCCTCCCGGGTTCACGCCATTCTCCTGCCTCAGCCTCCCAAGTAGCTGGGACTACAGGCGCCCGCCACTACGCCCGGCTAATTTTTGTATTTTTAGTAGAGACGGGGTTTCACCGTTTTTTTAGCCGGGATGGTCTCGATCTCCTGACCTCGTGATCCGCCCGCCTCGGCCTCCCAAAGTGCTGGGATTACAGGCGTGTGCCACCGCGCCCGGCCATCTCTTTATATTTTAACATGAATAAAATAATGTGGGCAGGCTCAAACCTAACCATGCTCCAAACCTGCAATGACCTTATTTTTTTTCCACTGTGATGAAAACGATGTGGTTTCAACCACAGGCCTCTTATTGCTGTTCCTGTGTCAGCCTTGAAATATGTAAGAAGCATACAATTAAACTAGGTCTGTGAGTCCTCCGTGATACAGACAGCAGAGAGGCTAGGCTGAAGTGGTGTGTCCCCTGGATTTCAAACCAGCATGCATGCATACAGGGGTGTCTTAAATGATCACTCGAGGTTGGGCACAGTGGCTCACGCCTATAATCCCAACACTTTGGGAGGGTAAGTCAGGTGGATCACCTGAGGTCAGGAGTTTGAGACCAGCCTGGCCAACATGGCAAAACCCTGTCTCTACTAAAAACACAAACATTAGCTGGGCATGGTGGTGCGTGCCTGTAATCCCAGCTACTAGGGGGGCCGAGGCAGGAGGATCGCTCAAACCTGGGAGGCGGAGGTTGCAGTGAGCCAAGATTGTGCCACTATACTCCAGCCAGGGCAACAGAGCAAGACTCTGTCTTAGAAAAAAAAAAATCACTCAATTACAAAAAGCCGTTCTTGAAATATTTTTACCCCCTATATATATTCCTATCTCTACATTGCAAAAGCAGAACTTATTTAATATCTTCCTCCCCACCAGAAAAAAATGCACCATGTCCCTCTAGTCTAAATATAAAATGCATAATATATAAAGTTGATCTTCTACTTTTCCAAGGCAGAAATTTCAATGCAATGGCTTACCCTTCTGCCAAAACAGTGCTGGGAGTCTATGAGAAACTGGGAGAGGAAATAGGCTTTAGAAAGCAGCCAGATTATTAGTGCCATGGGGGAAATATCACTCTAGCAGTAATCTAAAATAAAACATCTTTTCGTTGCTCTATTTAATACCTACTGTACATCAGAATTACCTATGAAAACATGTTTCATAACAGAGAAACAGCCGTCTCTCCCCATCTCTGTCACTGCACTCTCCATTACCATGGCAGTTCTGCGATTTCTCACTACATCAGCAGAGTAATGAAGTGCCCTCATACTGCACATCTGGGGGCAGAGAGAATTTTACGACTCAGGTTTAGGCCAGATTACTATGACTATGGTAGAATCTTTTTCCATATCCTCAGGGTCCAGGGTACGTGCAAATTCCCTCAGATACAGCTGGATGCCTTCTAATTGCTTTCTTAAGTAAAAAAAATTTACGTATATATCCTTCTCCACCCACATCCATTCATTAGTATTTATCTAGATTTTGCCACCACTGTCCATGAGTCCAAAATTTTGAAACTCCACCCCCGCCTCCAGAAAAAATGTCTACTCCAATTTTGTGATCTGCTCATTAGGGAATGGAATGCTAGTATAAATAGTGTTGTTCGTTCCTCTTTGGAAATGTCTTTTGCCTTACTTTTTTTTCTCCTGATAAACTATGTCATAACAGAAAAATCCCTATGAAGTTCTCCAAAGAACTTTGTGCTGTTTCCAGACCCTGGGACTATAATTATGCCATGTGTAATTAAAACAGAAAGAGCATCCCCTGCCAACTGTGAATGCCCCTGTTTACATCACAAAGAGATAGCAAAATGTACTCAGGAAGGTTCCAGCCAAAGTAATTGAGAGGGCTGCCTGAACCCGCTCTGCTTTCTAAATACTGTCCCTGGGTTAAGAACAGCGAGAGGCAGAAGAAATGAGAGGAGTGGAGGGGACCCGGGCCAGAGGCCTGTTGACTTTCTCTGCCTGGGCATGATGTCATTGAGTTCAGTGACTTGGGGGGCTGGTGTGGACTGGTCTTGTTGCACGTTTAATCCAGTTGCTTCTGCTAGGGAGCTTCATTCCACTGCGTGGTGGCCTTCAGAGGTCCTGAAGTCCTGCACTCAGATGCAAAAGTTCAGAGCATTAGGCCAGGGGGTAAACACATTCTTGACCTCGAGCAGTACAAAGAAGATTCTTCTGCCTGCAGCTCAGTAGGGTCACAGGTTGTCTTTCTCTGCTGCTTTCCTCCTAGGCTGCTGCAACTGGAACATTAAAAAGAGAGACAGAGACAAAGAGACAGGGACAGAGAGGAAAGAAAGGGCAGTGAGGAAAAGAAAGAAAGAAAGAAAAAGAAAAAAACAAAGCCACAAGTTGAAAAAAAATTCCCTATAAAATAAAAGTGCATTATGTTTTTGTATATTTTCAAAATGTAGCCAAACTAAACCATTAAATGAGGATTTTGTTTCACAAAGTCTGCAAACTATTCAACCACTAACCCACTATACCAAGAATGTGGTGCCAACCAAAATATGTCAAGATTAGTAGTACTCAATAAAATCTCAAAACCAAATGACATGCAAGCTGTATTTCGTGATTAGAGCGCTTCCTTATGTCAAGGAACATACATATTAACTTGTTTAAACACAGCACTGGGCTGTCACTCTGTTTGTCATAAGCAGAGGAAAGAGAATCTCGTGCTTACCAAACCCATCCAGATGATACTTCACACTTTCTATCTTCCTGGCAGACAGCATGGACACCATCCAATTAATCCTTACAGCTTCTCAGAGAAGAAGAGTTGAAGGCGAGAGAGACCACTTCCCACTTTGCAAAGCTGTACCCGACAAGCAGGGTTTGCAAATGGCTCACATGCAACAACAGAGCCGGGCTGAGAATCGAAAATGCTCATTTTTTTTTCTAGTAAGGCAGCAAGTCACCAAAATTGCAAAATGCAAACACCTTGTGTCTTTCTAGTAAGGTGAATCCTTTTTATTTTTAATCCCCAGAACTAACATTTGCATAGCGCTTCAATGACTGCAAAGGGCTCTTGGTGAATCCTCACCACTATCCTGGTCATTTATACATGATTATCCCCATTTTGTAAAAGAGAAGCCCAAGTGGTAGAAGAAGTGACCTGCTCAAGGAGCCTTATCAGAAACGAGTCAAACCAGAGCAGGATGCCTCTGTCTCAGGCCTCTGAACCAAATGGGAACTACACAAAACAACGCTGCTCCTCCCAACGCGTTGTCTCTTTTTGCACCAAAATGCCTGAGTTTGAGCAGGAATCTAAAAATGGAGAAGGGTAATTATCTCATTCTCTGACTGTCAACAGCCATGAGCTGCTGTGTGCTTCTACCTGGCAGGAGAAAGAAAGGGAGGCTGTTCTCTCATTTACACAACACAGTAGTAAGAGATGTGATTCTGTTACGAACACTTGAAGGGGCTTCTGGGCGAAAAGAAAACACCAGAGCTGGCTTCATCCGTTCTCTGGTGCTTCTTCACTTGCATGAGCTGCAGTACCTTCCGACTGGAAAGCCGTTCACTGACTTCACACAGCGACAGGGACTTCACAGGCAAACGATCAGCTGTCGCTGCCTCCATTGCCCCATCCACCTGCCCCCTACAACCACACACGTCCTTGTTCTCATGGACACTCTTGCTACTGGGGAATCCTTGCCTCCCCTAAACTGCTATGCAGACCCTGGGGTGTGGTGGAAGAGAACTCGAATTCAAATCCATATCTCATCAGACAGAGTACAGGGTGGCTTCTTGTAGTCTGCCCCTCACACTGCAGCCTGGGCGGCCAGCAGAGCCTATATAAGGTGGTGGTGTCCATTCCCCAATATCCTTCTCATCCTGATGAGAGGCCAGGCCTTTCAAGATGCAGAATGCCTGGTGTTCTGGCTTCATCCCAGAACACACATCCACACGACCTGACCCTAGCCCTCCTTCACAGATGGTTCTGTTATGGGCTGAAGTGTATCCCACAAAAACATATGCTGAAATCCTCAACCCCCAGTACCTCAGAATGTATTTGGAGAAAGTCCCTTTAAAGAGGCCACTGAGGCAAAATGAGATCACATAGGTGGGCCTAATTCAAACCGACTGCTGTCCTTATAAGAAGAGATTAGGACACCAGGGATGTGAGGGAAGACCACGTGGGGACACAGCGAGAAGGTGGCCATCTAGAAGCCCAGGCCCTGAGGCCTCAGAGAACCAATCCTGCCAACACCTTGCTCTCTGACTTCTAGCTTCCAGAACTGTGAGGAAATACATTTCTATTTTCTTTTCTTTTTTTTTTTTTTTGGAGAGATCGAATCTTGCTCTGGCACCAGGCTGGAGTGCAGTGGCACGATCTTGGCTCACTGTGACCCCCCCGCCTCCCAGTTTCAAGCAATTCTCCTGCCTCAGCCTCCTGAGTAGCTGGGATTACAGACGCGTGCCACCATGCCAAGCCAATTTCTTTTTTTGTATTTCAGTAGAGACTGGGTTTTACCGTGTTGCCCAGGCTGGTCTCGAACTCCTGAGCTCAGGCAATCCACCCACCTCGGCCTCCCAGAGTGCTAGGGTTACAGGCGTGAGCCGCTGCACCCAGCCTCTTTTTTTTCTTTTTTAATTTTTTTTTTTTTGAGACAGAGTCTCTGTTGCCCAGGCTGAAGTGCAGTGGCACAATCTCGGCTCACTGCAACCTCCACCTCCTGGATTCAAGCAATTCTCTTGCCTCGGCCTCCCGAGTAGCTGGGAATACAGGCGTGCGCCACCACTCTGACTAAATTTTTTGTATTTTTAGTAGAGAGGGAGTTTCACTATGTTGGTCAGGCTGGTCTCGAACTCCTGACCTCAAGTCATCCACCCACCTCGGCCTCCCAAAGTGCTGGAATTACAGGCGTGAGCCACCACTCCCGGCCTTACGTTTCTGTTTTCTAAGCAATCCCATCTGTGGTCTTTTGTTACAGGCAACCAAAGAAAAATAATACAACTTCTCATTCCCCTCATTTCATGCATACTGATTACTCTGCCCACGTGCACATCCCTGGACTATTGGCCTGGCAAACACTTCTTGATCTCCAATATTCAACTCCAATGCCTGGTCTCCTCCATGAGGCCTTCGCAGCTAACCATGGGCATCAAACATATCACGTGTGATTACATGACACCATGACATCTCCTGCACTTAGCTGATGGCCTATGCCTTCACAGACTGTGAGTTCCAGGGAACAGGGACATCTCTGACTCAGTCCTGAGGCTTAGCCTAATGCTCATCAGAGAGAAGATGATTAATATTTGATGAGGGAAGAATGGAAGGAAACAACAACAACAATAATAATAATAAGACTTACTCCATCTTTGTTATGTGCCAGACGCTGTTCTAACTGTGAGAATTAGTATATTTGTATTATTATTATCTTCTCAATCACCGTATGAAGTAGATAATATTGTTATCCTCATTTTACTGCTGAGGGCGGACATACTAAGATAAGAAACTTGCCCAAGGTCATGTAGAACCAGGGATTTAAAACCAGGCCTTTGGCTTCAAGAGTCTACATTCTTTTTTTTTTTTTTTTTTTTGAGATGAAATCTTGCTCTGTTGCCCAGGTTGGAGTGCAATGGTGCGATCTCGGCTCACTGCAGCCTCCTCCTCCCAGGTTCAAGCGATTCTCCTGCCTCAGCCTCCTGAGTAGCTGGGACTACAGTCGCGCGCTGCCACACCTGGCTAATTTTTGTATTTTTAGTAGAGATGGGGTTTCACCATGTTGGCCAGGATGGTCTTGATCTCCTGACCTCGTGATCCGCCTGCCTTGGCCTCCCAAAGTGCTGGGATTATAGGCGTGAGCCACTGCGCCTGGCCAGAGTCTACATTCTTAATAATATGTGTTTGGAGGGGAAAGGAAAGAAGAAAAGCAAGAAGACAAGAAGGGAACAAAAGAAGGGAAGAAATCACCAACTGTATAAACTCAAGATACTTAAATTCTTTGAAACTCAGTCTCTTCATCTGCTTATCTTAAGAGAGGCTCAAGTGAGATAATGTACCTGAAGGCATTTTAATTGCAGAGTACTGCAGCCTCTATTTTCAGTGGCCAGAAATCAGTCAAGTAATCACAGGCCTGTGACTTGAAGGCTGAATTAGCAGTGGGTGGTGGGCACATTTTGCATAGTGGGTAATCCTGAGGAGATAAATTTCAAAAAAGTGAAGAATGGGGTAGACAAGGATAAGAGTTGCAAAAAAGGCCCAGCGCAGTGGCTCAAGCCTGTAATCCCAGCACCCTGGGAGGCCGAGGTGGGCGGATCACAAGGTCAAGAGATCGAGATCATCCTGGCCAACATGGTGAAACCCTGTCTCTAGTAAAAATACAAATATTAGCTGGGCGTGGTGGTGCGTGCCTGTAGTCCCAGCTACTCAGGAGGCTGAGGCAGGAGAATCGCTTGAACCTGGGAGGCAGAGGTTGCAGTGAGCCGAGATCGTGCCACTGCACTCCAGCCTGGTGACAGAGCAAGACTCTGTCTCAAAAAAAACAAAAAGTTACAAAAAAATGCTCTTTTGCCTCCCACTAAGGAATGGAAGTAGTGCCACCTTTTTTCAGTAATCCAATGGCACCACTCCTGTTACAATACATGTGAATTCTGCCTCTGGGATTGTGCATTCCAACTGCCCTGACCAGGAGAAGCTTTGAGGATGCCCTACATGTGTGTTGCCGTTGGTTTAGAAACCACAGACTGATTACAGCATTTAGAGAATGCTATCAATCAATGTCATATTCAAATTTCATTTTACTAATGCAGCTTATTGGACCTAATAGTTAGAGCTGGAGTCCCAGTGTTACCTGTGGGTAGGATTTCCTGTTCTGTTTTCAGCCTGGACTTTCCTGTTGTTCTTTGGTTTTGGTTTGTTTAATAAAGCACCACTTTGTTCTTTTGGTTCTTTGGTTTCCTGTTATTCTTTGCTTTTGGTGTTTTCAATGAAACACCACTATATCTCTTTGTTCTTCGATTCAGAAATGCATTGAGCATGAAACAATGACTTAATGGGGCTTGGTAAAGAGACATGTCTCATTGTTTCACACCTGCAAAGACTCCTCTTCCTTGAAGGTTTTCAGATGACCTACTTACTTAGGCTGGGAGCAGAATGGTTAAAGCACTCGGAGGAAATCAACTGCAAATAGAAAGGCTATGTTTAACATAATCCTCTCCAGAAGCCTCTCTCTTCTCCAGGCACTGTAATCAACCCTGTAGTGTCAGGCAAGGTTCTTGATTATCTCCCTGTAGCATTATGTCTCACCACATAGCTGATAATAAACTGATGGATTATCAAACAAGATTACAGCTTTAGCAAATAAAATCATGTTTTGTGTTAAGAGAGAAAATGCTTACTATCCCTATCTGCCTGGCTAAATATTTACATATCACAGACTTTCTAGGGTCCCTGTTCTTTCAAATCTGATTTTAAAAAAACAACACAGAGGTTAAGTTAACAAAGAGGGAACACACTGTGCTTTTAACACTAAGCTAAATGCTCTTCTGGGAGAAAACAGGTACTGCCTAAAAGGGAGAACTAAGTCAATTCAAGGCCTCAGGTACCAGGGAGATCAATGGGTGCATGTGACAAATGACAGAGCTGGCTGTGCTTGGAGGGATTCAAATGCCTACTTTTAAAGGGAACATAGGTGAAAGATAAAAAGAAACCCAAAGAGCATGCATGCAGCTGTGGCTGTGTGTGTGTGTGTGTGTGTGTGTGACTGTATGTGCACAAGAAGAGGAGAAAGGGGCTTGTATGAAGTCTCATGCTGATCTGATGTTTTATGCCTTTCGAAAACTCTTTCTTCTTTATCACCTACACCCACCTCCCCAATTTTCCCCATCCTCTCCATTTGACAGCTGACACAAAGTGAAGCCTAGAAGAGACTTGCAAAAGGTTCCAGAAGGCAGGCGTCAAACCTCAGTCTTCTGACTCCTAGTGCATCCCATTTTCTGTGTCACTTCTCTGCTCAAACTCAAGGATGCAGAGGGAAAGAATAGCAGAGAGGTGTTTTTTCAGAAGTTGCATGTATTCAAATTGTCAGGATCTGTAGTTAAATTAGTATTTGGTTTAAGACTGGGCAGCAGCCAGGCGCATGGGCTCATGCCTGTAATCCCAACACTTTGGGAGGCCAAGGCAGACGGATCACATGAGACCAGGAGCTCTAGAGCAGCCTGGCCAACATGGTGAAACCCATCTCTACTAAAAATACAAAAATTAGCTGGGCATGGTGGTACACGCCTGTAATCCCAACTACTCGGGAGGCTGAAGCAGGAGAATTGTTTGAACCTGGGAGGCAGAGGCTGCAGCAAGCCAAGATGGTGCCACTGCACTCCAGCCTGTGTGACAGAGGGACAATCTGTCTCAAAAAAAAAAAAAAAAAAAAAAAAAAAAAAGAGACTATGGGCAGAAAAGGATGTAACTGAAAATATCAAATGGGCATGTAAAATACCTGTCTTTTAAAAGAGAGAGAGAAATAGGTTTGTACACTGGTCAGTTTAAATTTGTTTCTATCCCAGGGAAGAATACAAACCACGAATAGCCACCAACATGGCTAGTTGCAGAGAAAGTTATTTCAAATAATTTGACTTTCTTCTGTGAAAAATAGATCTTGTAAACAGAAGGGCAAAGATTCCAAATGTGATCCCTTACATGTGAAATTCACAGAAGCTCTTGGTCCCAGTGACTTTTTCCTCTGCCACACACAAAATAGCACTGGCCTAGCCACCATCACCAAGGAATCTCTGTTCAGTACACTAGGGAGATGCACAAAAGTACCGGAGGAAGATGCTCTATGCCTCTTCCTAGGCTTTGTCACGGGGCATGTGATCTTTCAGGCAAATCAACCAAAGTAATGCTGGAATGAGAACATGCCCACTCTCAGCCACTGAGCCTGAGGATAGTGTTTAATGCACAAATTGAGCACCCAATAAATATTATTGAGTGAAAAAAATAGCATAACACATAATAAAAATACAGTGTTTCTCTTTTGTAATGGAACATCATCTACAAAATATATCCAATATAAACTGGTGGATTCATGACTTTTCCCCTTTATAATTAGAAATATGAAAGGAGATAGAGGCTTTTCAAAATACAACAAAGAATGCATTTCAAATTATTCACAAGTTTATATTAACATCAGCGATGAAAGTACATCTTCCCTCCGCAACAATCCTTTTTTCCCTACTCCACAGGATAATCGATTTACAGTGTGGCATGTAATATGTAGTTTAGTTTTGGTTAACATATAACATAGATCAGGTCAAACTTTAGACCAGGCACGGTGGCTCACTTCTGTAATCCCAGCACTTTGGGAGGCTGAGGCAGGTGGATCACCTGATGTCAGGAGTTCGAGACCAGCCTGAACAACATAGTGAAACCTGTCTCCACCAAAAATACAAAAATTAGCTGGGCATAGTGGCAGGCACCTGTAACCCCAGCTAGTTGGGAGGCTGAGGCAAGAGAATCGCTTGAACTCAGGAAGCGGAGGTTGCAGTGAGCCAAGACTGTGCCATCACACTCCAGCCTAGACAACAAGAGTGAAACTCTGTCTAAAAACAACAACAACAACAACAAAACCTTTACACAGGTTTTGCCACTTTATTTTTTCCTCTAATATTATGTGTATAGATGCTCCATAAATTATTATGAATTCTTCTAACCTCAGGACACGGAGGTTATTTCCAATTTGGGGCTATCATGGGCAACAATGCCATAAATATTCGTGTGTGTATTACTTTGTTGAAAGTAATCCTGAGTTGAAAGAAATATCCAGCTTTAATTTTAATAGGTACTGCTATTAAGACTGTTTATAGGCTGGGCGCAGTGGCTCACGCCTGTAATCCCAGCACTTTGGGAGGCCAAGGCAGGCAGATCACAAGGTCAGGAGTTTGAGACCAGCCTGGCCAACATGGTGAAACACCATCTCTACTAAAAAAAATACAAAAAAATTAGTTGGGCGTGGTAGTGGGAGCCTGTAATCCCAGCATTTTGGGAGGCTGAGGTGGGCAGATGACTTGAGGTCCAGAGTTCGAGACCAGCCTGGCCAACATAACAAAACCCTATCTCTACTAGAAATACAAAAATTAGCCAGGTGTGGTAGTGCACACCTGTAATCCCAGCTACTTGGGAATCTGAGGCAAGAGGATCGCTTGAATCCAGGAGGCAGAGATTGCAGTGAGCTGAGATTGCATCATTGCACTCCAGCCTGGGTGACAGCGTGAGATCCTGTCTCAGAAAAAAAAAAACAAAAAAAAACAAAAAACTTTTGTTTCTCTTCAGATCAATAACTCTTTCAATTTTACCAAGTTAATAAAGTTTTATTCTCTATGTTAGAAGTTATTTTATTATGATTACTTTAAATCACAAATGGGTGTTGATATATATCAACTGCTTTTAGCACTATCAGGATGAACAAATGATTTTTCTCTAACTTTTTTTTTTTTTTGAGATGGAGTCTCTCTCTGTCGCCCAGGCTGGAGTGCAGTGACACGATCTTGGTTCACTGCAACCTCTGCCTCCCGGGTTCAAGTGATTCTCCTGCCTCAGCCTCCTGAGTAGCTGGGATTGTAGGCGCCGCCACCACGCCTGGCTAATTTTTGTATTTTTAGTAGAGATGGTGTTTCACCATGTTGGCCAAGCTGGTCTGCAACTCCTGACCTCGTGATCCACCTGCCTCGGCCTCCCAAAGTGTTGGGATTATAGGCGTAAGCCACCGTGCCCTGCCCTCTAACTTTTTAATATAGTAAAATATATGAACAGATTTCCTAGTGTCCAATCATCATTACATTCCTGGATTTAATACTAGTTGGCAATAATGAATTCAATTTGATAATATTTTCCTTGCAGTTCTGTATTTATACTTATAAGGTAGATTGGCTTATAGTGGTCATTTTGTGTGTGTGTGAAGTCATTGTCACTTCTGGTATCAACAAAGTGATACCAGAAACAGAAAAAACAAAACAAAACAATGAACTTTATCTATGAAACCCAAAGCTACTTTTCTGAAGTGGTGTATGAAGTAGGCAAAACCTTTGGTGAGACTGATCAAGAAAAAGTTGGACTGAATGATAATTGATAGAATGATAGTTGAGTTGGGGTGATTTCCATCTATTTTTTTTTTTTTTTTTGAGACAGAGATTTTGCTCTTGTTGCCCAAGCTGGAGTGCAATGGCACAATCTCGGCTCACTGCAACCTCTGCCTCCTGGGTTCAAGTGATTCTCCTGCCGCAGCCTCCCAAGTAGCTGGGATTACAGGCATGCACCACCATGCCCGGCTAATTTTTTTGTATCTTTAGTAGAAACGGGATTTCACCGTGTTAGCCATGGCTGGTCTCTAACTCCTGACCTCAGGTGATCCGCCCACCTTGGCCTCCCAAAGTGCTGGGATTACAGGTGAGAGCTACCGCACCCAGCTCCATCTATTTATTTACAGCAGGGATTAACTAGTTCTTCAAAGTTTGAATGTTTTTAAAGCCCATGTAACTGTCCAGGCCTTGTATCTTTTGAGAGTAGTTTTTATTATTATTACTATTACTGTGTAAATTTCTTCTATGCTTATTTTTCTCTTTAGATTTTCTACTACCTCTTGAAATAATATTTGTAATCTATGTATTCCTAGAAAAATTACCCTTTTCAAATAAATTTTGAATTTGTTATTTTAAGGTAAAAGACCCTGTACTTGAATAATTTTTTTTAACTTCCTCCGAATCTGTAGTTAACTCCTCTCCTTTATTTCCAAAGTGTATTTGCATATTTTTGGTTTTTTGTTTTGGTTTGGTTTTTGAGACAGGGTCTCACTCTGTCATCCAGACCGGAGTGCAGTGGCACAAACATAGTTCACTGCAGCCTCAGCTTCCTGGGTTCAAGTGATCTTCCCACCTTAGCCTCCAGAGTAGCTGGGACCACAGGTACATGCCACCATGCCTGGCTAAATCTTTTTTTTTTTTTGTACAGACAGGGTTTCACCATGTTGCCCAGACTGCTCTTGAACTCCTGGGCTCACACCATCCACCCGGTTTGGCCTCCCAGGTGCTGGGATTATATGCATGACCCACCAGCCCAACTTCCTCTTGATCAGTCTCACCAAAAGTTTTGCCTACTTCATACACCACTTTGGAAAAGTAGCTTTGGGTTTCATAGATAAAGTTCATTGTTTTGTTTTTTCTGTTTCTCTATCCTTAATTCAGTTTATTATCTCCCTTCTTGTGCTTTCTTTGGGCTTATTTTACTGCTTCTTCTCTTATTAGTGTTTTTTTTAAACCTTTGTTAGATTCTAATAAATGAACTGAGGTTGTAAAATTTACTTGAAGTGCTGCTTTAGCCATAGTAAGTCTTGATTGGTAGAGCTTCCAATTTTTATTTATATATTAATGGTGAATGGTTTTATTTTGGTTTTATTTTGTTGTTGTTTTTTTTTTTTTTTTTTGGAGACAGAGTCTCGCTCTGTTGCCTTGCTGGAGTGCTGTGGCGCGATCTCAGCTACTGCAATCTCCGGCTCCCTGGTTCAAGCTATTCTCCTGCCTCAGCTTCCCGAGTAGCTGGGATTACAGGTGCCTGCCACCATACCTGGCTAATTTTTGTATTTTTAGTAGAGACCGGGTTTCACCATGTTGGCCAGGATGGTCTCGATCTCCTGACCTCGTGATCCGCCCGCCTTGGCTTCCCAAAGTGCTGGGATTACAGGCGTGAGCCACTGCGCCTGGCCAGTTTCTTTCCTCTTTAACCTAAAAATTCTTTAGAATAGTATGGTGTTTTTTTTTTTTTTTTTTTTGGTTTTTGGTTTTTGTTTTTGAGGCAGAGTCTTGCTCTGACACCCAGGCTGGAGTGCAGTGGCACGATCTTGGCTCACTGCAACCTCCACCTCCCAGGTTCAAGCGATTCTCCTGCCACAGCCTCCCAAGTAGCCGGGACAATAGGAGCATGCCAGCACGCCCGGCTAATTTTTTGTATTTTTAGTAGAGATGGG
This sequence comes from Homo sapiens, assembly GCF_000001405.40. Taxonomy (NCBI): domain Eukaryota; kingdom Metazoa; phylum Chordata; class Mammalia; order Primates; family Hominidae; genus Homo; species Homo sapiens. Next base: position 81,809,097 of record NC_000009.12, on the reverse strand, counting down.
GTTTCGCCATGTTGGCCAGGCTGGTCTTGAACTCCTGACCTCAGGTGATCCGCCTCCCTTGGCCTCCCAAAGTGCTGGGATTACAGGCATGAACAACTACCCGGCCCAATAAATAGTATGTACTTTTTTCAAAATTGATTAATTAGGCCTGGAGAATTCTTCTTTTGTTGTTACTATTTAATTTTACTGTATTTTGTTCAGAGATATGGACTATGATTTCTGCTATTTGGGTTTTATGGAGATTTTCCTAGTGAACTAACACATGATCAAATTTTGTAAATGTGCCATAGATTGAAAATAATGGGCCAGGCGCGGTGGCTCAAGCCTGTAATCCCAGTACTTTGGGAGGCCGAGGCAGATGGATCACGAGGTCAGGAGATGGAGACCATCCTGGATAACACGTTGAAGCCCCGTCTCTACTAAAAGTACAAAAATAATTAGCCGGGAGTGGTGGAGGGCGCCTGTAGTCCCAGCTACTCGGGAGGCTGAGGCAGAAGTATGGCGTGAACCCCGGAGGCGGGGCTTGCAGTGAGCCAAGATCGCGCTACTGCGCTCCAGCCACGACTACAGAGCAAGACTCCGTCTCAAAAAAAATAATAATAATGTGAATTTGAAGGTCATAAATACATAAAATATATATTTCATGTTTTATATCAGGACTATTAAATGTGTTTTAAAATTCTGACTCCTGGCCGGGCGCGGTGGCTCATGCCTGTAATCCCAGCACTTTGGGAGGCCAAGGTGGGCGGATCACGAGGTCAGAAGATCGAGACCATCCTGACTAACTAACATGGTGAAACCCCGTCTCTACCAAAAATACAAAAAATTAGCCAGGCGTGGTGGCGGGCGCCTGTAGTCCCAGCTACTCGGGAAGCTGAGGCAGGAGAATGGCGTGAACCCGGAAGAGAGAACGTGCAGTGAGCCAAGATTGCGCCACTGCACTCCAGCCTGGGGGACAGGGCAAGACTTTGCCTCAAAAAAAAAACAAAAAAATTCCGACTCCTAGATTTATTAGTTTTTGAGAAAGTTGTATTAAGTTTTCCCACTATAGGCCAGGCGCGGTGGCTCACGCCCATAATTCCAGCACTTTGGGAGGCCAAGGTGGGTGGATCACCTGAGGTCAGGAGTTCAAGACCAGCCTGACCAACATGGAGAAACCCCATCTCTACTAAAAATAGAAAATTAGCCGGACGTGGTGGCATATGCCTGTAATCCCAGCTACTCAGGAGGCTGAGGCAGGAGAATTGCTTGAACCCAGTAGGCGGAGGTTGCAGTGAGCCAAGATCGCACCATTGCACTCAGGCCTGGGCAAGAAGAGTGAAACTCTGTCCTAAAAAAAAAAGTTTTCCCTCTATAACTGTGAGTTTACAAACTTCTCTTTGCATTTGCATAATTTTTGTGGGTTTTTTTTTGTTTTTTGGGGGGGTTTGTATTTCATAACTTTGTCCTGCATACAATTTCATGACTATTGCTGTTCTTGTCAAACCTTTTGTATTATTTTGCTTTGGAGTGTCACATATTTTCATGGTATAAATTTGGATTTTTTTTCTTTATCCCGTCTGAAAGTCTGATTTTTAAAGGAAGAATATAAACCATTGACATTTAATGCAAGTACTTATATGTTCTACTTATTTCTTACCATTTATTTATTTATTTTTGAGACAGAGTTTCGCTCTTGTTGCCCAGGCTGGAGTGCAATGGCACGATCTCGGCTCACCGCAACCTCTGCCTCCCAAGTTCAAGCGATTCTCCTGCCTCAGCCTCCTGAGTAGCTAGGATTACAGGGGAGTGCCACCACCCCTGGCTAATGTTGTATTTTTAGTAGAGATGGGGTTTCTCCATGTTGGTCAGGCTTGTCTTGAACTCCTGACCTCAGGTGATTCGCCCACCTTGGCCTCCCAAAGTGCTGGGATTACAGGTGTGAGCCACTGCGGCCAGCCTTTCACCATTTACTTATATGTTTTTATTTGTCATCATTTTGCATTCTATCTCTTTTTATTCTCTGTCTTTTGTTTGATTAATCTAGTTGTTCTGTATTTTCTTCTTTTCTAAATGTTTTTTTAAAAACTGTTTCCTTTTCTATTCTTCTTAAGAATTGCCTTTACATTTTAATACTCACATTTAAATATCTACATCTTATCAATGTCTAGAAATAATCAGGGCCTCCATTGTCATCTTGATTAAGGCATGAATTTTAAAGATTTTAATTTTGACCCCACTTCTGTTTCCTATTCTCTAATCTCTGTACTCCCACATCTTCTACTTACAGGTTGAAATTCTAGTTCCATATTAACAATTGTTTCTATATTATGCATCAATAGTTCTTTAGACTCAGCTACATTTTTAATGTTTTTCGACCCACATCTTTCCCATTGTTCTATTCATAAAATACCTGTGTCTGGGCGCGGTGGTTCATGCCTATAATCTTAGCACTTTGGGAGGCCGAAGCAGGCAGATCACCTGAGTTCAGGAGCTCGAGACCAGCCTGGCCAACATGGTAAAACCCCGTCTCTACTAAAATACAAAAATTAGGCGGACATTGTGGCACACGCCTATAATCCCAGCTTACTTGGGAGGCTGACACACGAGAATCGCTTGAACCCGGGAGGCAGAGTTTGCAGTGAGCCGAGATCGGGTCTCTGCACTCCAGCCTGAATGACAGAGCAAGAGTCAGTCTCGAAAAAAAAAAAAAAAAACTAAACAAACAAAAAACATGTATTCATACATACATGTGTACAAATACAAATTTTATAAGTGTATAAAACTTATAAAATTTATTTTTCTTGTTTTCCAGCAAAGTGTTTTGAAGATTACTTTTGAAGAATGTCTGTGGTCATATCCCAAAGTATATTTTGTCCTCCCACTGGAACACAAGTTTGGTTGGGTATAGAATTTGAAGTACAAAATTAGTTGCTCTAAGGAATGTATAATTGTTAGTATTCTAGCTTTTTGCACCTAGTCACTAGTTTCAAAAACAGTGAAAAGAAAATGTGCGCAATTTTTCTGCTTGCAAAACATATTGAGGTTGGTGCAAAAGTAATCGTGGTTTTTGCCATTGAAAGTAGTGGCAAAAACCACGAGTAGTTTTGCACCAACCTAATATTATTGAGGCTGGCGTTTAATGCATATGAGAATTGCCTTTTTTCCCCCTTCTTCTTCTTCTTTTTTTTTTTTTTTTTCTGAGACAGAGTCTTGGTCTGTCACCCAGGCTGGAGTGCAGTGGTGCGATCTCGGCTCACAGCAACCTCCACCTCCCGGGTTCAAGCAATTCTCCTGCCTCAGCCTCCGAAGTAGCTCAGATTACAGGTGCCTGCCACCACTTCCGGCTAATTTTTGTATTTTTAGTAGAGACAGGGTTTTACTATGTTGGCCAGGATGGTCTCATACTCCTGACCTCGTGATACGCCCACCTCAACCTCCCAAAGTGCTGGGATTACAGGCATGAGCCACTGCTGCCAGCCTTTTCCCCATTCTTCTAATTTTACCTGGGGCAAAGAAAGAAAGAAACTGAAACTGAAAATGGAATTCAATCTTATAAATGTAAAATGAGTTATAAGTACCACCTGTTAAAAGTGAAGAGATTAACAGTAGGAAGGCAACTACAGGAGCTTCATGTGCCTGTTAATCATGTTCTTAAAGCCTGGGAACTATGTTCACTCTAGAAGAGGTCTAATTTGGTGCAGTGGCTCATGCCTGTAATCCCAGCACTTTGGGAGGCTGAGTTGGGCAGATCACCTGAGGTCAGGAGTTCGAGATCAGCCTGGCCAACATGGTGAGACCCCGTCTCTTCTAAAAATACAAAAATTAGCCTGGCGTGGTGGCGGGTGCCTGTTGTCCCAGCTACTTGGGAGGCTGAGGCAGGAGAATTGTTTGAATCTGGGAGGTGGAGGTTGCAGTGAGCCGAGATCATGCCATTGCACTCCAGCCTGGGCAACTCCATCTCAAAAAAAAAAAAAATGGTTCTCTACAATAGTAGTGTTGTTCAAATAATTAGCTATTGATAATAGGTAGTGCTAGTAACAAAGGAACCAGATCATAACAATGCATTTGTATTTCTTTAAATTTTGCTCTTAAGTACCCTGCTGTTTATACAATAATTTGGCAGTAGAAATTGTCATATTTTATCATCTTAACAGAGAACATTTTTCTAAAGAAATATTGTATCTATCTACATAGAATTTAACCAAAATCTATGTCCTCAATTACTCTAGTCAATGGACAAATTACTCACTGAAGTCACAAAACACAATCCCAAAAAAATTCTTAACCACATAAGTTTCATGAGCTATAGTGAAGAAAATCTCTGAAAGACTAGTTTTCCACACTGAAATATATAAAATGATGGAGAACACTCTTTTTCTCCCTCACTCTTCTCACCACCACCTCCTTCCTCTCCAATTTTCTTGTCATTCAAAAGGTAAAGAACTAACTTCACAGACTCTTATTCAAACCAAGGAGAATAATTCTTTGTTCATGTTTCAGATCTTCTACTGAAAGCTTGTGCTTTTGAGATCATCCACACCATTCCTCACAAGCCCGGCCTCTTAAATGACTAACAGCATCCAAAATAGAACGCACAAATCATAGCAGCTGAAAGGTTACAGAGAAGCAAGTTTGCATGACAAAATTTTATTATACAAATTAATCAAGGAATGTTCATGTAAGTAGTTATCTTTGGCTGTGGAAGGAGGGGTGGGAAAGACAGCGAAGCTGAAGGGACTCTACAGCCATTTTCTGTACACTTGTATACTTGCGTGCTATTTAAAATTTTACAGCCAGGCGCAGTGGCTCACGCCTGTAATCCCAACACTTTGGGAGTCTGAGGTGGGTGGATCACAAGGTCAGGAGTTCAAAACCAGCCTGGTCAATATGGTGAAACCCCGTCTCTACTAAAAATACAAAAATTAGCCGAGTGTGGTAGCGGGCGCCTGTAATCCCAGCTACTCAGGAGGCTGAGGCAGAATTGCTTGAACCCAGGAGGCTGAGGTTGCAGTGAGCGGAGATTGCACCATTGCACTCCAGCCTGGGTGACAGAGTGAGACTCTGACTTAAAAAAAAACAAAAACAAAAACAAAAACCTTTTACAATGAGAATATAATCATACATTAATTGTGTAATATTTAAGAATTAGGCAAAAATCGTAAACAAAATAGAATGTTAACAATGAAAGGACTATCAGAGATGACCTAGTCCCAAATCTCCCAATTTTAATACTGTAGACTAAATGTGTAGGTCCCCCCAAAATTCATATGTTGAAATCAGATCCCCAATGTGATGGTATTTGAGGGTGAGGCCTTTGGGAGGTGATTAGGGTCATGAGGATGGATGGTGGGATTAGTGACATTATAAAAGGGACCCCCCAGAGAGCCCCCTGGCCCCTTCTGCCATGTGGTAACAGTGAGAAGGCACTATCTATGAGCCAGAAAACAGACATCAACAGACAACAAATCTATCAATGCTTTGATCTAGGACTTCCCAGCCTCCAGAACTATGAGAGGTAAATTTCTGCCACCCAGTTTATAGTATTTTGTTACAGCATCCTGAACCACCTAAGACATGTATAAATGGTGAAACTGAGACTAAGAGGATCTAACTGATTTACCCCAGGTCATAAAGTAACCCAATTCTGAACTCCCAAACTCCATTTAAAGGCAGAGTGGGGGACTGCACAGAGCTTCTCTGATAACAGCCAATCCACCCTGGAGAAAACAAGAGATGCCAGGGTCTGAGAGATGAGTTAATCCAGAAGCTATACAGAAATGCTTTTGTTTAAATACTGGAGGAAGTAAGGAAATATGCCAAAAACAGAGGATATGGGTTGTGGAAGAGGCAAGTATTCAAGTCATAGATTCAATCCAAGGATTTAGGATCTAGGATATGGGAACCAATCAAGACATTCGCTTCAAACTGAACCAACTGGTTGCCTCCAGCACTGCGAGAGATTAGGTCTTTCCTTTGGGAGTTTATTTAGTGGATCCATTTGTTGCAAACAGCCAGTGGGATGGGGTGGCAGCTGATGGCAGAGAGCTGGCTAAAATACAAATACTATATGTCAAAATTTTATTTTAAAGATCTTTGTGCCACTCTATCATGTGTCAAACATCAGTAGAGCAAATTTCTTAGGCCCTCTGAGTGACACAAGAGCAGATATAAAAAGTTACAGATCCATGGGTAAGAGGAGCTAAAATCCTTCAACTAGAATGAGAAGCAATCACTAAGGGCTATATCTTTTAGATTCCTTAACCTAGTAATATTATTTTCATGTGATTGGGACTGAGTCTCGGGAAATCTTTTGGGCCACTATTTGGCAGAATCTAAAAAGACTGTGAGTTTCAGTGGACACAAAAGAGATGAATAACTTAAGGATCTGGACACAAATGGTTTTGGTAACCATAATAACTTCTGCTAGTCATGTATCTGCACCATACTCTTCTCAGAAAGAAAAACAAAATGGTGTCTTACAGGACAATAGAATAATATTATAGAATTCTAAATACCAAAGTACATTGAGATTCAAGTTAACTTTCACATTTATTAAAAGTCTAAATAAAATTCTTGATAATCTCTAAAATGTATAAATCTGCTGCAGACATGTGCACATAAATTATAATAAAGAACGTTGGTATGCAATTTGATTCAAAGTGCTTTTTAGTAAAGTACATAATGATGCACGCTGAGGAGATGCAGGTATATTTAATTGGATATAATTAAAATAATGATGTGTGTTTAAAATAATAATATATTTAAAAATTTTAAATGTAAGTGGCTGAAGAACCTATAATAAAAAGTCAAAGCAGTAACTAGTTTTTGATTACCTGATTATTCACAGAGTTAATGCCTTTCATTTACCAAGTAATGCAGGTAATGCTGTAATAATGTCACACTGGAGGGATTCAGGAAGCCGTGCTGACAACATAGGTTTCTGCTTCCCCCTCTTCAAACTAGCTTTACCTTCCAGGTCTCTTCTCCTTATGCCAACTCTCTTCATCAAAAAAAGAAAAAATCGCTGGGCGCAGTGGTTCACACCTGTAATCCCAGCTCTGGGGGAGGCAGAGGCGAGAGGATAGCTTGAGCCCAGGAGTTTGAGACCTGCTTGGGCAATATAGCGAGACCATATTCTCAAAAAAAGAAAAAAAATCTTCCCAAGCACAGCTACAATTAAGGAAGAAAAGGTAAATGTTGACAGTTGTTGAAGCTGGGCAGTGGTAACATGAGCTTCAGTATATTTTTCCTCTCTACTTCCTTGTATATTTGAAGTGTTCTTTTATTAATAGAAAAAAACTCCAGAAGTCTGTCTATATTTGAATGTAAGTTCTAGAATGTTTGATAACTTTGCTTCTTCCCTATGCAAAGGATGTAATTCATTAATGTGTGTGTGCATGCACTGGTGCTACTATATGAGGCCTCAGAAATTCCCTTCAAGTAAGTGGACAAATAGCAGATCAAGGCACATTTCTAACTCTTAGCCCTGGTTAGACAATGCCCCCTGTAAAGTCTGCTTTTCATCTCGATGTCTCCTACCATCTTGAGTTATTTTTTGGTCCCCTTCCTTGTCTTTCACTATTCTTCTGCTTCAAGTTGAACCAATGAGTCATATCTGCCTCATTATTTTTCAGAGTCTGGTCCTCATCCATACACCAGGATTCCTCAGATGAGCAGCCAATGAGCCAATGCCCTACTGCCCAGACATCTCATTACCTCTGTCCTCTGCTGCCCTGCTGTGACCTCCAACCGAGCTTAGTTCAACTCCCTGCAGGGTTGCATGGGCAATTAGTGTCCTTGAATCCCAAGTTCTATAATTCATGATCAGATCTTGGGAGAGGCGAGTAGCTTGGTTGATTTTTTAAAAAAATTCCTGCTTAGATGACTAAGCTTCTGCACTCAAAAGGAGAAACCAGGCTGATGGTGTATTTGTAATCTTTCTTTCTTCTTTCTTTCTCTTTCTTTCTTTCTTTCTTTCTTTCTTTCTTTCTTCTTTCTCTGTCTTTTTCTTTCTCTTTCTCTCTTTCTCTCTTTTTCTTTCTCTTTCTTTCTCTCTTTTTCTTTCTCTTTCTCTTTCCCTTCCTTCCTTCCTTCCCTCCCTCCCTCCCTCCCTCCCTCCCTCCCTCCCTCCTTTCTTTCTTTCTTTCTTTCTTTCTTTCTTTCTTTCTTTCTTTCTTTCTTTCTTTCTTTCTTTCTTTCCTTTCTTTCCTCTCTCCTTCTTTCTTTCTTTCTTTCTCTTTCAAAAGCATCTCGCTCTGTCACCCAGGCTGGAGTGCGGTGGTGTGATCTCGGCTCACTGCAACCTCTGCCTCCTGGGTCAAGCAATTCTCCCACCTCACCCTCCAGAGCAGCTGGGATTATAGGCACCCACCACCACGCATGGCTAATTTTTGTATTTTTTAGTAGAGACAGGGATTCACCATGTTGGACAGGCTGGTCTCAACCTCCTGACCTTAGGTGATCCACCCACCTCGGCCTTCCAAAGTGCTGGGATTACAGGCGTGAGCCACTGAGCCTGGCCTGTAACATTTCTTAGGACAAAAACTGTACATACATGTCTTCTGTATTTCCCTTCTTGTTTTTTTTTTTTTTTTTTTTTTTTTTGAGACGGAGTCTCGCTCTGTCGCCCAGGCTGGAGTGCAGTGGCGGGATCTCGGCTCACTGCAAGCTCCGCCTCCCGGGTTCACGCCATTCTCCTGCCTCAGCCTCCCAAGTAGCTGGGACTACAGGCGCCCGCCACTACGCCCGGCTAATTTTTTGTATTTTTAGTAGAGACGGGGTTTCACCGTTTTAGCCGGGATAGTCTCGATCTCCTGACCTCGTGATCCGCCCGCCTCGGCCTCCCAAAGTCCCTTCTTGTTTTTACGTTTAATTATTGTTACTTTATGACCATGTTTTTACTAGTTTGAAATAGCTATTCTGCACTTTTGAAAAATGATTCTCAAAAATTTGTTAATTCCTCTAGCAGTTAATAGTAACAGTTTTGCAGCTTCATTTTAAAAATAATCATAAAGTAGGGATATTGTCTTTGCACAAACACACACAGGACATCCTGAAAACAACATACATTGGAAATAAAGGTCTAGAAACTTTTTGGCATAATTTTGCCTTATGGCAATTCAATTTCAACTTATATGGACTACGATGCCAAGCTTTTTAATCATTCAATGGTGGTCGAGCACGGTGGCTCACGCCTGTAATCCCAGCACTTTGGGAGGCCGAGGCGGACAGATCACATGAGGCCAGGAGTTCTAGGCCAGCCTGGCTAACACAGCGAAACCCCATCTCTACTAAAAATACAAAAATTAGCTGGCCATGGTGGCACACACCTGTAATCCAGAGGCTGAGGCAGGAGAATTGCTTGAACCCGGGAGGCAGAGGTTGCAGTGAGCCAAGTTCATGCCATCGCACTCCAGCCTGGGCAACAAGAGCAAAACTCCAACTCAAAAAAAAAAAAAAAATCATTCAATGGTGATAATCCCATCTATAAATTGTACCTATCTTCAATTCCTATTTTTGTTCTGTTCATTTTTTCAATACTTTACTGCTCAATATCAACTTTAGTAAAGAAGAGGTCAAGAAATAATGGTTAAAAAAAAAACCCCACAAGCTAATCTACTGCACACGTTTTAGCATCTCTCCAATGAGACTGTTTGGAAGGAAACCTGAAGCCATTGACCAAAATGAAAACTCTGGAGTTTGAAGACACATGCCAATTACTCTTCTCCCAATGTTAGAGTCAATGAGGGAGTCATTTTTACATCTCAAATGTTAGCGAGATAACCACAAAATCCAATTCTTAAATACTGTGACTGAATGTTTATGAGATTTTTTTCAGCTAACATGGTATATATAAACAGTACCCTGTGAGTATTGGGATCCTAGCTGGATGTCTGAAAAAAATCATAGTCTGCATCCTACAATAGTGTTTGTGTTTGAATTCGTACATGTTATCAATGTCCCAAAGAACAGTTGAAGAATGAACTAATTTAAAATACTTTTAAAAAATTTTAGATAAATTTTTAATTAAAAAAATTTTCTCAGCACGTGTTAACATTGCCAAGTTTTGTTTTCTTGACGTTTCTCCCTGTTCCCTCTCATTTCCTTCTTAAGCATTCACTATCACTGACCCAGATCTCCACCACCAGATTTGTCCATGGCGGAGAAGAGGGAAACACACGGAGAACAAGGAAGGGTGAGGAGGAATAAAAGAGCCAACAGAAACTTACTGGGGCCAGGGTTTGGAGATTATGCTATAAACTAAACACAAAGCAGCCAAATTGTTTATTTTGCATTCAGTGGAATTTTCTTCTTCAACGTCAAGAGGCAGGAGCCAGACTTTTAGAAAGTCACAGTTTTCCCAAGACTTAAAAGAAAGATAGCCTTGATCATGCACATATTCTTGGAATGCTTGTAGGTTAGCACTGATGTTCTTCCACTGGGTGTATTTACAGGCCAAAATGCAATCAAGCCTAGGGGACCTTGGCTCCAGCTCCAGCTGCAAATGAGGTAAGTACAGATTTCCAAATCACATCTTCAATCTGCCACTGCATTCTCTACCACTCAACCCCCTTCCCCAAATTTGAAATTCTAATAATGACTCCATATTATTTGAAGTATTATAATCTAAGGAATTCACCTTATTTTCTAAGCCTTTGAAGGACAAAAAAAGGTATGCAGAGGTCAAAATACATAAGGTGTTCAATGCCATGCCAAGAGACAGTTTTCCTTTAGTAGGAGCTAAACAGGTTTTAAAGCAGAATATAAATGAACCTGGTTTATTTTAGAAAGATAGTTCTGGGCTGGGTGCAGTGGCTCACAACTGTAATCCCAGCACTTTGGGAGGCCGAGGTGGGTGGATCACCTGAGGTCAGGAGTTTGAAACCAGCCTGGCCAACATGGTGAAACCCCGTCTCTACTAAAAAATACAAAAAATTAGCCAGGCGTGGTGGTGGGTGCCTATAATCCCAGTTACTCGGGAGGCTGAGGCAGGAGAATCAGTTGAACCCAGGGGAGGAGGTTTCAGTGAGCTGAGATCGTGCCATTGCACTCCAGCCTGGGCAACAAGAGCGAAACTCCATCTCAAAAAAAAAAAAAAAAAAAAAAAGATAGTTCTGAAGATGCCAAACTCATCCAAAATAATGTATAAATTTATTACAATCAACATAAAACTCTCAGCACGTTTGTTTTCTTTAAAAAAAATTTAATAAAATGGTATTAAATTATATTTGAAAATAAAATGTGGGAAAAGAAACATTGGAAAGCCTCTGCCAGAAGATAAATAAATGAATAAATAAATAAGTTAAAGGGGAGGAGCAAAATAGGAGGACTTGGCCTACCAACTAAAGCTATTACATTTAAAACAACAAGGCATTTTTGTTTAAATTTGCAGCCAGGCTGATAGACTAGAATAGAAAGCCCAGAAAGAAACCCAAAGTATATATAAGAATTTAGTGTATGACAGAGTCAGCACTTCAAATCATTGGAAAAAGATTGCATTTAACTACAAATAATATTGAGAAAGCTGGTTAAACATGTTAGGAAAAACGAAGTTCAGACCATGAATTCATACCTCATGCTAAGGATTTCTAAATAAAAAAAATTTAAAACTTAATTATAAATCACAAAACTACAAAAATATTAAAAGAAATTGTATGTGATCAAGAATTCCATTTTACATTGAGAGATTAGTAAACAGATATGAAATATTTTCTTATTAAATTTCATTTATATGCCAAAAAAATCCATTTTAAGTAAATTTTTCCTAAGAAACAGAAAGATGGAGATCTATATATAGGTAAATCTAGAAAGACATTTAACACATCATTCATAAAAGCAAAATAATCTGAATGGCTATTGTATTAGTCCATTTTCACGCTGCTGTTAAAGACATACCCAAGACTGGATAATTTATAAAGAAAAAGAGGTTTAATGGATTCACAGTTCCACGTGGCTGGGGAGGCCTCACGATCATGGCAGAAAGTGAAAGATACATCTTACATGGTAACAGGCAAGAGAGAGAATGAGAGCCAAGAGAAAGGAGAATCCCCTTATAAAATCATCAGATCTCATGAGAATTATTCACTACCACAAGAACAGTAGGGGGAACCACCCCCATGATTCAATTATCTCCCACCGGGTCCCTCCCACAATACATGAGAATTATGGGAGCTATAATTCAAGATGATATTTGGGTGGGGACACAGCAAAACCATATCATCTATCAAAAGAAAATCATTTAAATAACTTATAGTACACTCACATAATGAAATAATTTCAAGCCACCAAAATTGATGTCGCATGTTTACTCATTTAGAAAAACACCCACACTCTATTAAATAAAAATGCAGATTATCAAACAATTATATTACAATCCAATTTTTGATAAAATAAAAATATAACAAGGTTGTGTATATCTGTATAATCACAGAAGAAAGTTCTAGGAGAATGCACATTGGCTTTTCATTGGGTGACAGAATTTTAGCTATTTAACAATAATGAAGTTATTACTTTTGTAGTGGAGATAAAACATTAAAAGGCTAGCATTTTTTATAAAAAATAAGATTTGTTCTGGTAGTAGAGGGGTTGGAGTAAAGAAAGCTGGTGTTGGCTGGGCGTTGTGGCTCACACTTGTAATCCCAGCACTTTGGGAGGCCGAGACGGGTGGATCACGAGGTCAGGAGATCGAGACCATCCTGGCTAACACGCTGAAACCCCGTCTTTAATAAATATAGAAAAAATTAGCCGGGCAAGATGGCGGGTGCCTGTAGACCCAGCTACTAGGGAGGCTGAGGCAGGAGAATGGCATGAACCCGGGAGGCGGAGCTTGCAGTGAGCCAAGATTGTGCCATTGCACTCCAGCCTGGGTGAGAGAGCGAGACTCCGTCTCAAAAAAAAAAAAAAAGAAAGAAAGCTGGTGATAAGGTAGGAGATTGCTACAAAAGTCCTGGTGATAGCTGATGATAACCTGAAGAGAGACAGAGACAATGAAGACAAATCCGAGACATATTTAGGTGGTAGAAGAAGCAGGACTTGGTGATCATCTGGGCTTCTGTAATTGGATTGTCATTTAGGATGCCTATAACTTGAGTAAATCACTAATAAAGGTGGAGCATACCACTGAACCTTAGAGTAGGTGGGCAAGGGAATAGATTTGCCTTTAGATATGAATTTCAGGACATTGTGGAAGACCTGTCCAGCAGAAAATTGGAAATAGGCTGGAAATTCAGACTTGGAATTTATTTGCTTGAAGGTATTGGTCAAAACCATAATTGTGGCTTTTAAAAGTACCTATAATTCTCAAGGGAAAATGGTCACCAGGTCCACACTGCTTCCAGAGCTTTTTTCACACTAGACTCCATTTTCCCAATTACATGGAATTTTATTTCCTGAAACTCTAATCATCAAGTTCTCCTATATCATTAGGACTATGACTCTATCATATTCTGGATTAAGTAACTGTCAGTCCCTGCTTTAAATCCTTCATTGGCTTCTCATTTCATTTTTGGAGGAAAAAAAAAAAAAATTCCTGGCTAGGATCTACCAGCCAGGAAGATGATCTAGACCAGTGCTATCTCTGGCCACATTTTCCTTCACTTTCTCCAAATAATGGGGAACAGATCTATTAGCTTACTGTGATCTCAACATTCTGGCCTTCTTTCTGATGCTTGAGCACACTGAGTTCTCTCCTATTTCCGGGCTTTGCACATGCTCTTCCCTTTGCTAGGAAGGTTCTTTCTTGGCTTGTCTCATGGGTGGTTCCTTCTCTTCATTCAGATCTCAGCTCAACTGCTACTTCCTCCAATAGACCTTCCCTGATGCCATTTCTGAAGAACCACCTTCACCCATATTCGTCCACTCTGTCACATCACCTTATCATACTTCTTTTATAGAAGTATGCCTCTACCCAAAATTATTTTGTTACTTGTTTATTGTCAATCTTTCCTTCAAGAATGTAAGCACTATAAGACAGACCATGGAGCACCTATAATAGAGCCCGACACAGAGCAAGCTTTCAAGTATTTGTGGAATACTATAATGTGGAATGAACGAAAAATGGAGACGTTTATCGTAAGTAGCACTAGATTTGCAAACAGAAGACCCAAATGAAATATATGCTTGGCTAAGTCAACCTCAATTCCCATATTTCTAAAACGTGGCCACAAAATGTCTACTCTGCCTATGTATTAGGATTTTCATGAGACTTGTTACACATTCATTTATTCATTCATCAACAGATGTTTCCCAAGTACCTTCTCTGTGATAGGCACTGTATTAATGCTGGGGCACCGCTATGAACAAGGAGTTTTGCCGGGTGCGGTGGCTCATGCCTGTAATCCCAGCACTTTGGGAGGCCAAGGAGGGCGTGTCACCTGAGGTTGGGAGATCGAGACCAGCCTGGCCAGCATGGTGAAATCCTGTCTCTACTAAAAGTATAAAAATTAGCCAGGCATGGTGGCAGGCACCTCTAATCCCAGCTACTCGGGAAGCCGAGGCAGGAGAATTGCTTGAACCCGGGAGGCAGAGGTTGCAATGAGCCTAGATCGCATCATTGCACTCCAGCCTGGGCAACAGAGCAAGACACTGTCTCAAAAACAAACAAACAAACAAACAAACAAATAAATAAGGAGTTTCATCTAGTATCTGAGATAGCCAGGTTTAGCAGCAATTACACATAGTACAACTGTTATCAAAAGGACCAAGCACAGAGTGCTATAAGAGCACATAGGAGCAGGGGCACCAAATCTATCCTCATGGAATCAAAGAAGGGTGGCAGTAGTTAGAAATCGACATGGTGAAGAAGGCTGGGGAGGTGGGTGGGCAGAGAAGGGGGAAATAGTACAGACAGAGGTAACAACATGTGCAAAGGCCCAAAGGCAAACAAAGACAAGGCATATTGAGGAACTACATGTTATTCAGTATGGCTAAGACTAGGAAGAAGGGATGATGGCAAAATTAAAGACTGGAGCCCCAGGGAGAATCCAGGCCATAATGGGCCTCTGCACAAGCATGGATATTTTGGAGAATTTTATCGGAACCAAAACAAAGGAGGCAGTGGAGAGGGGGCAAGGTTAACAAGGACATATCAGAGGTGTATCTAGAAATAGGGAAAAACCCGATTAGAGAAGGCTTTGGATGTCTTGTTAAGGGGTTATACTTCATGCTTAGTGTGATGAGAAGCTACTCAAAGAGTTTTAAGCTGGGCAATGACCATCCCAGCACGGAAAAAAACAAATTGGAAAGAGACAAAACAACAAGAGAGTTGTTCATTAAGCCAAGAGAGGAGGAATAGGTGGCTTGAATCAAGAATGATGATGGTCATGGATCAGAGAGACAACTCCAAGAGATACTTAGGAGACAGTGTGTTGTGACTTGGTGAATTAGGGAACACAGGAGAGGGAGGTCTGAAGGACAACTCTCAGGGTTGGGCCTGATCAGCTGAAATGATGTTGGTGTCATTCGTGGGCACAGAAAGCCCAGCAAGGGGATCAGATTAGAAGAAAGATGACATGTTAAATTCTGGCTGTGAACAGGCTCCTGAAAATCAAAATTGCCAGCTGTCAAGCCATGTCGCTGGGGGGACATCAGTGTGTTAAAGGCTTCCACTGACGAGTCCTTTTTTTTCTTTCTTTCTTTCTTTCTTTTCTTTTAACGGAGTTTCACTCTTGTTGTCCAGGCAGGAGTGCAATGTCACAATCTCAGCTCACCACAACCTCTGCCTCCCAGGTTCAAACGATTCTGCTGCCTCAGCTTCCCGAGTAGCTGGGATTACAGGCATGCGCCACCACGCCTGGCTAATTTTGTATTTTTAGTAGAGACAGGTTTTCTCCACGTTGGTCAGGCTGGTCTCGAACACCCGACCTCAGGTGATCCACCTACCTCGGCTTCCCAAAATGCTGGGATTACAGGCGTGAGCCACCATGCCCAGCGAAGTTTTTAATAATAGCTCTCTTTTTCTAAATCAGTGAAATTATAATAATTAATGGATAGCATTTCCTTAAACTCTTCCATGCATTTTTCTTAAGTTTTATATTCTGTTTCTGCTTGTTTATAATTATCTAGCTCAAGATAAAATTCTATGCTTAGTGATTGTTCAAGATTCGGGTCTGTAGGAAGTCGACTCCAAGACAGAGTTTAATGTGCAGGATATTTATTAAGGAGAGTCCTTGGGATCAACATCTGTGGAAAGGCAGTGGAAGCAGTACTGGGTGAGGCAGAGGTCAAAGGCAATGTGGGCCAATGACAGCCTTGGACAACCCCACAAGGAGCTCTGGAGCTAAAAACAGCCTGTCAGGGTTGTCCCATGCTGGACTGAAATGGCCAAGCCTCTATACCCATCTCAATCACCCACTGTGTGTGGGCCATCCCGAGAAGGGTGTACTTGGGCAAGGCAGTTTTCTGCAGTTGAGATTATCCCTAATAACTAAAGATTGTCTGCGGACCACATTTCCAGCAGCTGAGCCAATACACTCTTCAATGAAGGGGAATTGAAGCAGTGCACCTCCATGCCACAGAGTGATTATAGGTCTGTATTTCTTTCTTTCTTTCTTTTTGGAGATGGAGTTTCGCTCCATCGCAAAGGCTAGAGTGCAGTGGTGCGATCTCGGCTCACTGCAACCTCCATCTCCTAGGTTCAAGCAATTCTCCTGCCTCAGCCTCCTGAGTAGCTGGGACTACAGGCACACGCTGCCACGTCTGGCTAATTTTTTTGTATTTTTAGTAGAGATGGGGTTTCACCGTGTTGTCCAGGCTGGTTTTGAACTCATGAGCTCAGGCAATCTGCCTGCCTCAGCCTCCCAAAGTGATAGGATTAGAGGCATGAGCCACTGCACCCAGCATAAGTCTGTATTTCAATATCTCAAGATCCTCAGAGGACACCCTGCCAGCCAGGAAATATGCCACCCTGAGCAAGTTTGAGAACTTCTTCCCTTCCTATATTCTTTTAGCAAACATTTATTGAGCACATTTTTTATGTTAGGCACAGTGTTAGGCACTGGGTCAATGGCAGACAATACAGAAATAGCCTTCATCGAAATAATCTAATGGGGGAAACTTTAAATAATAATAATAATAATAATCATACAATTAAAGTAGTTTCCCATAGAGATAAGCACTCTAAAGAAAGTGAGGCTGGGTGTGGTGGTTCATGCCTGTACTCCCAGAACTTTGGGAGGCCAAGGCGGGAGGATCACCTGAAGTCAGGAGTTCAAGACCAGCCTGGCCAACATGGTGAAACCTTGTCTCTACTAAAAATACACAAAAATTAGCTGAGTGTGGTGACATGGGCCTGTAATCCCAGCAACATGGGAGGCTGAGGCACGAGAACCGTTGAGCCTGGGCGGCGGAGGTTGCAGTGAGCTAAAATTGCATTGCTGCACTCCAGCCTGGGCAACTGAGGGAAACTCTGAAAAAAAAAAAAAGAAAGAAGAAAGAAAAAAAAAGAAAAAAAGAAAGAGAAGGAAAGAAAGAAAGAAAGAAAGAAAGAAAGGAAGGAAAAAGAAAGAAAGGGAAAGAAAGGGAAGGAAGGAAAGAAGGAAGGAAGGAAAGAAGGAAGGAAGGAAAGAAAGAAGAAAAGAAAGAAAGAAAGAAAGAAAGAAAGAAAGAGGAAGGGAGGGAGGGAGGGAAGGAAGGAGAGAAAGTGAACAGGGTGAGTAACTGGGAGGAGTCTCATTACACAAAGTGCCCAGGGAAAGCCCCTCTAGAAGCCACCCACATCCCTGGGATCATGGCCCCTTCATCTTCAAAGCCAGCTGTGTGGCATCTTCTCTCCTCTCTGACCTCTGCTTTTGTCCTTATATCGTCTCGCTCTCACACCGATCCTCCTGCCCCCTTATATAGAGGCCCTATGATTACATCACGCACACAGGGATAATCCGGGATAATCTCCCCATCTCAGAATTCTTAACTCAATCACATCTGCCAAGTCCCTTCTGCTATATAATGCAATATATTCACAGGTTCTGGTATTAGGGTATGGCAGCCCGGGGGATGGGGGCGGCAGTATTCAGACTACCACATTCAATTACCTCATCTTTGTTTTTGTTTTTTGTTTTTTTGGAGATGGAGTCTTGTTCTGTTGCCCAGGCTGGAGTGCAGTGGTGTAATCTCGGCTCACTGCAACCTCCGCCTCCCGGGCTCAAGCTATTCTCATGTCTCAGTCTCCCGAGTAGCTGGGATCACAGGTGCCCGCCACCGCGCCAGGCTAATTTTTTGTATTTTCAGAAAGGACGGGGTTTCACCATGTTGGTCAGGTTGGTCTCGAACTCCTGACTTCAGGTGATCCGCCCGCCTAGGCCTCCCAAAGCGCTGGAATTACAGGCATGAGCCACCGCGCCCGGCTCAATTGCCTCATCTTTAAAATGGGTGTAATAACAGGTCCGCCTTATATGGTGGTTGAGAAAATTAAATTCATATAAAATGCTAAGAAAATCCTCAACAAATGTTAGTAGTTATTTTTACCATGTGGACTTCTTTATCTATCCCCTCTTCTTCATGCCTAGGGTTTCTAACTTAGTTCAGCCCCTGATGATTTCAAATGTTTTCACAATCATCTCTTTGTCTTCAGTTTTTGTCTTCTTATACACATATCCCTACAACCCACACTCACCACCCTCTATACCACCATCAGATAGAAACAAAATAATCACATTTCATTAATTCATCCACTCAATCAATATGTAGCAGGCAGCTACCGATGCCAAACACATGCAATTATTGTCCTCATTTCCAATTCCTGTGCCAGCTGGACTTCTTGAGCCAGGTGTTGAATCCTGTTTATCTCTTTCCACCAGCAGTTTACAGTCCCTGGACTAAACTAGGAGCTCAATAATGCCTAATGAATGAGTTAATGAATGGATGAATCTAGTTATAACATTCTATAGTTCTGTGATTCTATAAGGGTAGGAGCCCTATTAAATTCTCATCAGTGGAACGTATTTGGATGATTTGTAAGGCAGTTGAGATGCTGTAAAAATTCACCACTGTAGTTTGGTGCATCCCCAAGAAGCATACCTTAAGCCATCTTAGCCAGACTGCACAGAGACACTGTTGCAGAGAGAGCAACTGGGTAAGCTGACAAAGAGTCAGAATCAAGGAATGTCGCTACCATTTTGGTTAAGATATATTTTCTCTCTTTCAACATAATCTCATTTCCTCTTCACCACAAAAATTTAAAAAAATGAAAAGTAAGATACTGAGAAGGGCCTTTCTCAATGTTCCCCATTCAAGAGTGCCTGCCAAACCAATTAATACCTCCTGAATGTTATCTCCCTGCTATGTTAATGTTATGTTAATAAATGCAATTAAGATAACATTCAGGAGGTGTTAATTGGTTTGGCAGATGTACATGAATAAGAAGCACAGATATTTTGCTTTCCCTATTTATGGAGGCAGGAAGTGACACAAAGTTGGACAAAAGGAAACTTAATTTGCCTCCAGTCTCTTTTGATACCACTTAGGTCTTTTCTGTTAAGTAATATATGGGATTTTTTAAAATGCTAATTTAGATGGTATTACAAAGATGAAGCGATTGTCAAATGTTGCAAAAACACTGAAATTGTCTTTTGCCACAGGAATTAGCATGATGTTTACTCTCTTGAAAATGCTATATATGCCATATATGCTATATATACACATATACACACTCTCTCTTTTAAATGTGTCTATAGCATATATGCAAATGAGCTCTCATGCTAATCTATGAAGCAGATTGTTCCAGAAGACTAACTTCTAGACTATTCTTGATGTAATTACTCTTTAATGTATTCCAGTGATTTAAGAGCTAATGGTTCTTTTATTCTAACTTACCATAAGATGGTGGCTTTTACTTTTTGTGTTGGAGATTACACACACACACGCACACACACACACCAGTGCCTTTGCAAAACAGAGGTTTTCTCTGAAATGAAGACTAAATTTGCATAGACTTGGAGCAAAGAGAGATGACATCGCTTTGCCATCAAAGACATTGTGTTCATTTCTGGAAGGTGGCACTTGCCCGTGCATCACATGGCCTTTGTCAGGCTTAGCCCTCCCAGGGCTTTATCAGGACACAGCTCTGGTAGGAGTCCCACTAAGATCTGAGATACAAGAGGATGTCAGTGCACAGACCCATGGAGGTGCCTTCCAGTTTTGGAGGGCAAATTATTAATGTCGACTCTGCAACCAAATGGGGAAAACTAAACTGAGACACTATTAAAGACTTTATTCAACCTAGACTTCAAACAAATTGGAAGTGTATTACCTCAATTTCAAGATGCCAACTGTAAAATGCACCTGCTCTTTAATAAGGGTTTTCCAGGAGGACAAAAATAAGAAGGGAAAAGAGGATGAATAGAAGGAAGAGAAAGAACACATTACATTTTATGTTTATTGCGAGACTGAAGTCCAACTGCAGATATGCTAAAATGTACATCTCAAAGAATAAGCTGGGCACGGTGGTATGTGTTTCTAATCCCAGCTATTTGGGAGGCTAAGGTGGAAGGGTCACTTGAGCCCAGGAGTTTGAAACCAGCCTGGGCAACATATTGAGACCCTGTCATACCCCCACCTCCCAAAAAGGAAAAAAAGAATATTATGTATTACCTGGAAAAAAGTAAGAATAAGTTAGCCAGAGCATAGTCACTGCTCTGGTTCAGGAATACTGTTTTCAGCCAGTATCTGTTGCGCAATCCCAGAGACTGCTCCAATCCTGAGAAACATATGTAAAAGTTTGTTTGCTGAATGCCCATCTGTAACCCTTACATGTCCCTTCCTCACTTTTCTCTGTGAAATTTCCTTGGCTCTTACATACAGAATATTGGGAGTGTTCCTAGCTTTCAACCTGTGGGTATTGGTCTTAAGTGATAAGGAATTACTGTTGCTCTCCAGTGACAATGTCAGATGAAGATTGTTGTGAAATACCTTTCTAATCTATGTGCATGTGTGTGCAAATGTAACTGCAATATTTTCCAGTAACAGAATCATTGTGGCTCAAATTCTTTGGTTTTACAGTCCTGGCTTTCCTCCAGCCTAAGGAGGTAGAGGAACCCTCCCAAGTGCAGTGATGCTGACTCAGTGTTTAGGGGCAGTCCACACTTGGCTGTTGGCCTTGGTTGTCTCTGGTGGCAGCAATGCCTGGACACAAATTCCAATGAGAACCTATTTCCTTGCTGTATCCTTTAGGGGAGTATTGCTCACACTGGATACCTCCCCCCTGCACTGCCCTAAAAGCTCAGGAGCCCGCCTGAAGATGAGATTATGCAATGAACTCTCATGCTCAAAGCAATGAACTTTAGTCAGGAGGTCGGCAAACATTTTCAGGCTATTTCTTTTTAAGTAGGTTATCTTCGCTTATGGCAGAGATAGCAAATAGATTATATCTGAGTGCTATGGACTGAATTGTGTCACTCCAAAACTTGTATGATAAAGCCCTAACCCCTCGTACCTGAGAATGTGACTGTATTTGAAAAAAAGGTCTTTTAAAAAGATGATTTAAGTAAAAGAGGCAATTAGGGTGGGCCCTAATCCAATCTAACTGGTGTGCCTTCTAAGACGAGGAAGAGAGACACCAGGGATATGTGAGCCCAGAGAAATGGCCGTGTGAAGACAGAGCCAGAAGGCGGCCATCAAAAAGCCAAGGAGAGGCCTTAGGAGAAATCCAAACTGCCAACATCTTGCTCTTGGACTTCCAGCCTCCAGAGCTGGGAAAAATAAATCTCTGTTGTTTAAGCCTCCCAGTCTATGGTATTTTGTTATGGCAGCCCTGGAAAACTAATACACTGAGTTGTTGCTGTTGGCTGCCTGCAGCACTACATTTAAAAGGATTCTGGCAGTGGGGAGCAAAGACATGAAAGCAGAGGGGTGGAGCACACAGTAGATATCAGCCACCCTTACTCCATGAGGTGAATGGGGAAGGTTGGACCACCTATAAATGCACCTGTATATAAAAACAAACATGAAAGTACTGCATTAGAAAAAACTGGGTCATACTCAAGGGTGTTTATACATTCCACCCTCTAGTTAAAAACACGGCCAGGTGCAGTAGCTCATGTCTGTAATCCCAGTGCTTTGAGACCCTGAGGTAGAAGGATCATTAGAAGCCAAGAGTTCAAGACCAGCCTGGGCAACAAAGCAAGACTCGGTCTTTATAAAACATTTTTAAACAATTAGTTAGTCCTGATAACACATGCCTGTAGTCCCAGCTACTCAGGAGGCTGAGGCAATAGGATTGCTTGAGTGCAGGAGTTTGAGGTTACAGCAAACTATAACCTCAGAGCTCTATTGCCCAGGCTGGAGTGTATCACAGTACTGCACTCTAGCCTGGGCAATAGAGTGAGATCTTCTTTTTTAAAAAAAGATAAAATGTGTATGTCATCATCAGGTTCCTTAACTTTCACAAAAGAATATCCATCTTACCCCCAACTTTGCCAATTAGTAAGCATTACACTGCAAAGGAATTGAATCAACAACCCAGAATAGCTGCTTTTCCTGTCAGGAAGAAAAACTGGAAACTTAACTAATAATGTTAGGTGGGAAATCAATAAATATTCTTTATAAATAAATGAATTTCACTTGATGATTTTATTTTTTCTTGTTTTTTTTGAGACGGAGAATCACTCTGTTGCCAAGGCTGGAGTGAAGTGGGGTGATCTCGGCTCACTGCAAGCTCCGCCTCCCTGGTTCACACTATTCTCCTGCCTCAGCCTCCCGAGTAGCTGGGACTACAGGCGCTCGCCGCCATGCTGGGCTACTTTTTTTGTATTTTTTAGTAGAGACGGGGTTTCACCATGTTGGCCAGGCTGGTCTTGACCTCCTGATCTTGTGATCCGCCCGCTTCAGCCTCCCAAAGTGCTGGGATTACAGGTGTGAGCCACCATGCCCGGGCTTATTATTTGTTATTTTTTGAGAACACTCATTTTTAGCTTCATTTCTCCCTCCATTGGATTTTGGAAAACCAGTATTCCTTCCTTAAAGGATTTGTGATCAAAAGCCGTAAGTTGTGTATTTATGAAGGAGGGCCTATATGAGAGTCTAGTAAGGTTGCTTGATTTTTATTTTATTTATCTTCTAATACTTGTATTCATAATTTGGGGTGTGTTTTTAAAATTTATCATATACTTTTGGTTCTAACTAATCTTAACTGAAAAAGTGGATAACTGGGTTTGGGTTTTCTTGTTTGTTTGTTTGCTATAGTTTAATGTGTCCCTAAAGAATAAGTGTATTAATTTGCAAATGTCCCAGTGGAGTGCACAGTATTAAAAGTGGCTAAAAGTCTAAAAGAAATCTTGGTATAAAAATACCAGAGACTTGGGCTGGGCGCGGTGGCTCACGACTGTAATCCCAGCACTTTGGGAGGCCAAGGCAGGTGGATCACGAGGTCAGGAGATTGAGACCATCCTGGCTAACATGGTGAAACCCCGTCTCTACCAAAAATACAAAAAAAAAAAAAATTATCTGGGCATGGTGGCGGGCACCTGTAGTCCCAGCTACTTGGGAGGCTGAGGCCCGAGAATGGCGTGCACCCAGGAGGCAGAGCTTGCAGCGAGCAGAGATCGCGCCACTGCACTCCAGCCTGGGCGACAGAGCAAGACTCTGTCTCAAAAACAAAAACAAAAACAAACAAACAAACAAAAAATACCAGAGACTCACTGGGCACGGTGGCTCATGCCTGTAACCCCAGCTCTTTGGGAGGCTGAGGCCAGCGGATGACCTGAGGTCGGTAGTTCAAGACCAGGCTGACCAACATGGAGAAACCTCATCTCTACTAAAAATACAAAATTAGCTGGGCGTGGTGGCTCATTCCTGTAGTCCCAGCTACTTGGGAGGCTGAGGCAGGAGAATCGCTTCAACCCCGGGAGGTGGAGATTGCAGTGAGCTGAGATTGTGCCATTGCACTCCAGCCTGGACCACAAGAGCGAAACTCTGTCTCAAAAAAAAATAAAAAAAAATACCAGAGACTCTTGCCTGATGGACCCATCCTCCCTTACTCATGAACAAGGAAGAGGGGACAAGGGAGTGGTTATGCAATATTAGGACTTCAGAGAAACTTTTATTCCACTTAGTCTATTGTTTTTTTTTTTTTTTTTTTTGAGATGGAGTCTCGCACTGTCGCCCAGGCTGGAGTGCAGTGGCGCTATCACGGTTCACTGCAAGCTCCGCTTCCTGGGTTCACGCCATTCTCCTGCCTCAGCCTCCAGAGTGGCTGGGACTACAGGCGCCCGCCACCACACCTGGCTAATTTTTTTGTATTTTTAGTAGAGACAGGTTTTCACCATGTTAGCCATGATGGTCTCAATCTCCTGACCTCGTGATCTGCCCGTCTGGGCCTTCCAAAGTGCTGGGATTACAGGCATGAGCCACCGTGCTCGGCCTCCACTTAGTCTATTCTTGACCAAGAGAACTAGCTAGGTATCACCAACACAAGTAAACCCAATTTGAGCAATTCAGGAAGAACTCAAGAATTCAAGCAGGCCACTTGTATCCCTTTCACACATTTGAATCTTACTTAACTGTCCTCTCTAATTATTCTTTGCTTTCTCCAGCCCAGACCCTTTTATGTCCCCTACTACATAGTCTTGCCAACAGCATGCACTTGATTAGGTATCTGTATTCTTTTCTAAAAGAATTGTAGTTTTCACTAGGGCAAGGGGCAGAGGGGTTAGATCCTCTCCTCCCAGCTTACTGCATTTGTGTGATTTTCAACCTAAAGCCATCTTTTTACTATTTAAAATTATATTTTTAATTTATATACAATAAAATTTACTTTGTTGATATATAATTCCAAGAGTTTTGACAAAGGCATAGAGACTATGAAAATAAGTAATTCAAAAATCTAAGCTGGTAATATTTTGAACCTTAAGAGAATGTGATTATGGGAACTGAGTCATGTAAACAGACAGCTATAACTTAGGCAGCTGTAACCTTTGTTTCTCTAATTATAGATGAGCCTTTTTCCTTACTTACATTGTTTTGTAAAATGTTGTGAATGACTTAAGTGCACCAGGGCAGACCTCATTTCTCTTCACTGTTGATCTTCATTATAGATTAACTTTCTTCTTGCCTTTCTCACATAAAGACTTCATGACTGTCACATTGTCTAGGATTGAATGTTAAATACGTACTTTTCAATAGGAAAGAAAAAAATAAGCATATTAAAAAAAACTGTAACTAATTAAATTGTTGTCACTGATAAACCAGGCTTATATAAAAAAATTGTAATCCTACTAAATTTCTTTGTTTTGGGCCTATATATGAAAGACGTTAAGTTTTATTTATTTATTTATTTATATAATTTTTTTTTGAGATGGAGTCTTGCTCTGTCACCCAGGATGGAGTGCAGTGGTGAGATCCCAGCTCACTGCAACCTCCGCCTCCCAGGTTCAAGCGATTCTCCTGCCTCAGCCTCCAGAGTAGCTGGGATTACAGCTACCTGCCACCATGCCCGGCTAATTTTTGTATTTTTAGTAGAGATGGGGTTTCACCAGGTTGGTCAGGCTGGTCTCGAACTCCTGACCTCGTGATCTGCCGGCCTCAGCCTCCCAA
Organism: Homo sapiens; assembly: GCF_000001405.40. Classification (NCBI taxonomy): domain Eukaryota; kingdom Metazoa; phylum Chordata; class Mammalia; order Primates; family Hominidae; genus Homo; species Homo sapiens. Next base: position 81,783,594 of record NC_000009.12, on the reverse strand, counting down.
AGTGCTAGGATTACAGGCGTGAGCCACTGTGCCTGGCTGATGTGAAGTTTTGATTCTGGAGCACTGATCCCCACTTCTCTGACATCCATATCTGCTGGATGACCATTCCCAGCTTTTCTCTTGAATAAACTTTTAAAAACTGGATTCTGATCCTTTTGATTATTTCAGGTTGACAAGACATATAACCAAAACCATAATCAAGATACAAAAAAGTTCCGTTACTTCCCCAAACTTCCTCAGACTGTTTTTAGTCAAACACCCCTCCACGTCCACACACACACACATACAACCGACCATGGAAAACTACTGGTCTATTCTCTATCTCTGTATCTTCAGCTTGTACAGGATGATATATAAATTGAATCACACGGTATGCAAACTTCGGAATTTGGCTTTTTTCACTCAAAATAATGGCTTTGAAATTCATTAATGTTGTTGCATGTATCAAAGTTTGTTCTTTCTATTGCTGAGTAATATTCTACTGCATGAGGGTACCAAAGTTTGGTTATCCATTTCCTCATTAAAGAACATTTGGGCCGGGTGTGGTGACTCATGCCTATAATCCCAGAAGGATTTTGGGAGGCTGAGGCTAGTGGATCACCTGAGGTCAGGAGCTTGAGACAAGCCTGACCAACATGGAGAAACCCAGTCTTTACTAAAAATAGAAAATTAGCTAGGCGTGGTGGCGCATGCCTGTAATCCCAGCTACTCGGGAAGCTGAGGCAGGAGAATGGCTTGAACCGGGGAGGTGAAAGTTGCAGTGAGGGGAGATTGCGCCATTACACTCCAGCTTGGGCAATAAGAGTGAAACTCCGTCTTAAAAAAAAAAAAAAAAGAAGAACATTTGGGTTGTTTCACTTCACTTTGGGGCAAATACAAATAAAGCTGCTATAAACATTCTTGTACAACTTTTCGTGTGAACATAAGCTTATAATTCTCCAGGATAAACAGCCAGGAGTGGCATGACTGAATGATATGGTAAATATATGTTTAATTTTATAAGAAACTGTCAAACTTTTTCAGAATGGCTGTGCCATTTTGCATTCCCATAGCAATGTGAGAATTCCAGTTGTTACGCAACTTCATCAAGACTCGGTATTGTCACTTGTCTGTTTTTTATTTTAGTTATTCTAATACATGTATAGGATATCTCACTGTGATTGTAATGTGCCTTTTCCTAACAGCTACTGCCTAATGATACTGGGAATTTTTTGATGCACTTACTTGCCATCTGATATGGTTTGGCTCTGTGTCCCCACCCAAATCTCATCTCGAATTGTAATCCCACATGTCAGGAGAGAGAGCTGATGGGAGGTGATTGGATCATGGCGGTGGTTTCCTCCGCACTGTTCTCATGATAGTGAGGGAGTTCTCACGAGAGCTGATGGCTTTAAAAATGTTTGGTAGTTCTTTTTTGTTTGCCCTCTCTCCTGCCACCGTGTAAGACAGGCCTTGCTTCCCCTTCACCTTCCACCATGATTGTAAATTTCCTGAGGCCTCCCCAGCCATGTGGAACAGTAAGTCAATTAAGCCTCTTTTCTTTACAAATTACCCAGTCTCAGGTAGCACCTTTACAGCAGTGTGAAAATGAACTAATATAGCATCTATACGTTTTCTTTCGTAAAGTAACTGTCGAAATTTGCTTTTCTTTCTTTCTTTCTTTCTTTCTTCTTTCTTTCTTTTCTTCTTTCTTCTCTTCTCTTTTCTTTTCTTCTCTTTTCTTGTCTTCTCTTTTCTTCACTTTTTTTTTTTTTGACAGAGTCTTGCTCTGTCACCCAGGCTGGAGTACAGTGGAGTGATCTCTGCTCACTGCAACCTCCACCTCCCAGGTTCAAGCAACTCTTGTACCTCAGCCTCCCAAGTAGCTGGGACTACAGGCATGCGTCACCATCCTGGCTAATTTTTGTATTTTTAGTAGATATGGGGTTTCACCATGTTGACCAGGCTGGTCTTGAACTCCTGACCTCAGGTGATCCACCCACCTCGGCCTCCCAAAGTGCTGGGATTACAGGTGTGAGCCACTGTACCCAATCGGCTTTTTCTTGCTTATAGTTGAGTTTTGAGAGTTCTTTATGTGTTTTAAGTTCAAACCCTTTGTCAAATATACGATGTGTAGGTATTTTTTCCCACCCTATGACTTGTCTTTTTATCCTCTTAACAGCAACTTGGACAAAGCCAAACATTTAATTATGGTAGATTTTCTCATATAAATCTTGCTTATGGTATCATATGTAGGAAATCTTTGCCAACTCAAGCCCATTAAGATTTTTTTCCTAGATTTTCTTCAAAATCTTTATGTTTTACATTGAAGTCTATTATCCATTTTGAGGTAATTTTGTATAAACTGTGAAGTATAAGTCAAGGTTCATTTTTTTCTTTCTTTTTTTTTTGTACATGGATGTCCAGTTGTTCAAACACCAGTTTTTGAAGACACTATTCATTATCTATTGAATTGGCTTTGTACCTTTTTCAAAAATCAACTGACCATATTTTTGTGAATCTATAAGAAGTCTCTACTCCATTTTATTGAACTGTGTGTCTATCTGCTCACCCATATTCATTGTCCTGATGACTGTAGCTTTATTCCAAGGCTTGAAATCAGGTAGTATGAGTCCCTCAACTTTGCTCATTTTCAAAATTGTATTGGATATTCTACTTTTTTGCCTTGAATGTGTTTACTTTTCACCTCTGAATTCTTGGCACCCTAATCCAGGCTACCATAATATCTCACCTGCACTAAGGTAACAGTCTCCTAACTGGTCTCTCCTTGTGCTGGGTCGCTGTTCATACTATTTCTTTCTTTTTTTTTTTTTTTGAGATGGAGTCTTGCTCTGTTGCCCAGGCTGGAGTGCAGTGACATGATCTCGGCTCACTGCAACCTCTGCCTCCTGGGTTCAAGCGATTCTTCTGCCTCAGCCTCCCCAGTAACTGGGACTACATGTGCCTGCCATTACGCCCGGCTAATTTTTGTATTTTTAGGAGCGATGGGGTTTCACCATATTGGCCAGGCTGATCTCGAACTCCTGACCTCATGATCCACCTGCCTTGGCCTCCCAAAGTGATGGGATTACAGGTGTGAGCCACCAGCCCCGGCCTCATACTATTTCTCATACAGGAGCCAAAGTGTACTTTGGTTGTTTTGATTAAAGAAGAATTTTAAGGCCAGATGCAGTGGCTCACGCCTGTAACCCCAGCACTTTGGGAGGACGAGGCGGGTGGATTGCTTGAGGTTAGGAGTTTGAGACCAGCCTGGCCAACATGGCGAAACCCCATCTCTACAAAAATACAAAAATTAGCCAGGTGTGGTGGCACACGCCTGTAATCCCAGCTACTCTGGAGGCTAAGGCAGGAGAATTGCTTGAACCTGGGAGGTGGAAGTTGCAGTGAGCCGAGATTGCACCACTGCACCCCAGCCTGGACAACAGAACGAGATCTTGTCCCCCCACCAATCCCCCCCAAGAAAAGAATTTTAGTAGAAACTGGATCATGTTTAGCTTCAAAACTCTGCAATGTTTTGGGCCCCCATGCTCACCTGTCTTCTGTTTCAGTCCCACTCTTGGCCCTATCTTAACGTGGTGTTTATCACCTCAAAGCCTGTCTTCCCACTTCTGCTATATATGTCTGCTCAGGTCGCCATCACAAAATACCACAGAGTGGGTAGCTGAAACAACAGCTCTGGAGGCTAGAAGCCGAAGATCAAGAAGCCAGGAGGGTGGTTTGGGGTAAGGCCTCTCTTCCTGGCTTTTAGACAGCTGCCTTCCTGCTATGTTCTCACATGGCCTTTCCTCTGTGTGCATTTAGGAAGACAGAAAGAGAGCACTCTGCTAGCTCGTCCTGTTTTTATAAGGACCCCAGTCCTATGAGATTAGGGATTCACCTTTGACCTCATTTAGCCTTAATCACCTCCATATAGGCCTTATCTCCAATACAGTTACTTTGAGGGTTTGGGCCTCAATGTATGAATTTGGTAGGGAACACAAATCAGTCCATAAGAGTATGTATCCCTAAAATATAGGCAGGCAGATAGATTGGCAGGTAGGCAGGTGGATAGATAGATAGAGTTACACTGTGGTAAAAGATATCTAACTATATTATATTTACATCAACTAATGAAACCTAAGGAAATTGCTATTAGTAATTTTCCACTTAATAGCTATGCTTTCCTCCACCAAAAACTCATATCAATCATGTTTTCAAGAACTGTTTCCAAGCTCTACTTTTTAAAAATCTACATGTGAATTCAAATTACAAAGTAGTAAAGTCACCTCTGAGACTTCATTATATGATTTACACAATGTGATGGAAATTATGATCATACAATTTTATATTCTTCATCTTTATATCCATATACTTGAAATCTCTCCTGTCTGAAATAAGTATTTTGTAATCATACAAATTAAACTTTAACTGTTTTTTAGTCCAGGCACAGTGGATTACACAGCTGTAATTCCAGCACTTTGGGAGGCCAAGGAGAGCGGATCACTTGAGCCCAGAAGTTTGAGACCAGCCTGGGCAACATGGTGAAACTTCATCTCTACAAAAAATTAGCCAGGTATGGTGCACTCCTGAAGTCCCAAGCTACTCAAGAGGCTGAGGTGGAAGGATTGGTTGAGCCCAGGAGGTAGAGGCTGCAGTGAGCCAAGATCGTGCCACTGCACTCCAGCCTGGGCAACATAGTGAGACCCTGTCTAAAAAAAAAAAATGCTTTTTAGAGGTGTAAGGATGGGAAGAAGAGAAATTGGTTAATGTGTACAGAAATAGTTATATAGAGAGAATACATTCTAGTATTCAATAGCACAGCAGGGTGACTATAGTTATCAATAATGTATATATTTCAAAATAGCTAGAACATTTGGAATGTTCCCAACACAAAGAAATGATACCTATTTGAGGTGAGAGAGATCCCAATTTGATCATTACACATTGAATGCATATATCAAAATATCACAAGTATCCCATAAATGTGTACAATTATATATCAATAAAATTTGTTTTTAAAGAATGAAGCCAAGAACTTTATTTCTAATAAAAAGGAAATTTCTTTTTAAAAAACAAAATCCTTTATTTAAAATTATGTGGACTGAGCGCACCTGCAATCCAAGCACTTTGAAAGGCCAAGGCAGGAGGATTGCTTGAGCACAGGAGCTGGAGACCAGCCTGGGTAACAGAGTGAGACCCCATCTCTACAAAATAAAATAATAAAATAATTAGCCAGGCATGGTGACATGCACCTGTAGTCCCAGCTACTTGGGAGGCTGAGTCAGAAGGATTGCTTGAGCCCAGGAGGTAGAGGCTGCAGTGAGCTGTGACTGTGCTGCTGCATCCCAGCCTGGACAACAGAACGAGACCCTGTCAAAAAAAAAAAAAAAAGAAAGAGAAAGAGAGAAACAAACAAACAAACAAACAAACAAACAAACTCAGGAGGCCGAGGCAGGAGAATGGCGTGAACCTGGGAGGCGGAGCTTGCAGTGAGCTGAGATTGTGCCACTGGACTCCAGCCTGGGGACACAGCGAGACTCCATCTCAAAAAAAAGAAAGAAAGAAAGAAGGAAGGAAGAAAGAGAAAGAAAGAAGGAAAGAAAGAAAGGAAGGAAGGAAGCCTCTGTAGAGAAGAAAAGTGTTATTTTCAAAGCCTTTTAACTATTCAAGTTTAGTGTAATGAAAAAAATTATAATCCTTATCTGGCACTGGAGTCATCATATTTCTAGTAAATTGGTTAAATTTTCTTTCATTACATCTCTCAGAATTTTGTCCTTTTGAGGAAGGCAAACAACTCAGCCTCGGCAATACTGTGTCTTATTTAACAATCTATTTCAGTCTTATTCTTGGCAGTTACCAATGACCTGGCGCTGTTGACACATTTTCAGTGTGTGTGGCTATGTGTGAAATGCTGCCATGTTGCTATTTTCCTACACAGCTCTCCCCTTTGATCACCAACCTTGTCTTGTCTCCCACTCTCCCTTGCAGCTCTAATTGTTTTTTATTCCTTTGAAACCATCTGGAAAAAAAGAAGGTCCTTAAAGAATAGTCTCCTTTCCAGTCGTTGCTGCCAACTTAGAAATATTCCAATTTCTTTCTTGCTGTGTATTTTTAGTTTGCTAAGAAGATTTTTTCTTCCCACCTAGCGAAGATTAGTTAAAACCTAGGTCTACCCGATTGTCCTCCAGCGGTAACATCCCAGGGCCCTCAGGTGTCACAGTGGGAGGATTACAGGATTAAAAATAAAAACATTTTATTTTATTTCAAGTCATAATCCCACCACTTTCCCAGCTAGAGACCTTGGGCAATCACTGAGCCACTCTGGGATTCAGTGTCCTCATCTGTAAAATGGGGGTGATCATACCATCTAGTTTTCAGGGTTGTTTTAAGGATTAAATAAATGAATGTACATGAATATCCCTTGAGAAGTATAATGCAGTGATGTTAATGTTTGCTCAGTTCAATAAACATTTCTTTAATAACTAATAGGGGTGGCAAACTCAAAGGACTACAGGTAACAGGTAACGTAAATGCATGCAGCAGGCAGGGCTCCACGTCTCAAGGACTGGGGAAGGTGTGTGTCTGGAGACCTTGAGCTCACAAGCCTGTCTGAGGACAACCTTGGCTCAGCTCCAGCCCACAGTCTCCATCTCAGAAAAAGATCTAGTGTTGCCAGATGTTTTGATTTTTCAAGAAAAGCTAGAAAATATGATAATTTCAATGTGAAATCTTTTTATTTTTAAATGTTGACAACTAATTTTTAAAAATCTCTTTGTGGGTGAAAAAACAATACTCATCTACTAGCTGAATTTGCCCTACAGACCTCCAGTTTTGCCTACTATGTGCCATATACTATGGGAGGCCCTAGGAATGCAAAGAAAAAATATATAGTCCATGGTGGACACGGAGATGCAACTGCCTTGATCCCCTTTTGAGAAAGGATGTGCTGCCCAGCTGCAGGGAGTACTGTCAGCAGATGGCCCTCAGCTGTCAGCCTCTTCAGTTATTGCTTCAGCTGCAGAGCTGCATCACTCATGGTCATGCCCCTTCCTGGTTGGCCCATACCCAATAATGGGTGGTGGCAGGGGTGTAAAGACCTAGCTACCTCACACCAATTCAGAACAACAAAAGGCCATTCTAGCTCCAGAGCTCTTCATGGTGTCAGGTGAGGCAGTTGTCAGGTTTGCATCAGAGCTTCACTTCACCCTAGGTCCACTCCTGCTTCCTTCTCTTCCTTTTCACAGGTGATGATCCAAAGGCCCACATAAATATTTAGTACACTAAACTCCATCTCAGAATCAGCTTCCGGGGGAATCCAGCATGCAGCATGATCCTTGAACTCATGGAACAATTTGTATGATGAGCCAGGTGGACAGATGAATTCAACACTGTGTGAGAAGTGCTAGGATAGACACATAAAGAAAATGCTATAGGAAGGGAGGAGAAGTACACCAATTCAATCAATGAGGCTCAAGTTCTTCCTGGAGTGGATAATCTTGAGATAATTTTTGAAGGTTTTTAAGCCTATAAAGAAGGAAGAACAGCCCAGGCTCAGTGGCTCACGCCTGGGATTTGGCTCAGTGGTGCCAAATCCCAGCACTTTGGCAGTCCAAGATGAGAGGATAACTTCAGGCCAGGAGTTGAAGACCAGCCTAGGCAACATAGTGAGACCTTGTCTCTACAAAAAAAAGAAGAAGAAAGAAGAAAGCGTAAGTAGAAAGGAGAGGAAGAAGAAGAAGGAGGAGGAGGAGGAAAGAAGTAGGGAAGGAGGAGGGGAGGAGGAGGATGGGGAGAAAGAACAGGTATTTCAGGCAAAGCAAACACTGAAAGCAAGCAGTAAATGGACATCCAAGAAACAGAGACCCAATATACATGGAGGATCAGCAGCAGTTTGGTACTAACAGAGCTTAAAATGTTAAGTTGGGAATGGGCCTGAGATGAAGTTGAAGAGAAAAATTTTAACGTGAGAACTTGGACCTTGGCAGGGCGCGATGGCTCACACCTGTAATCCCAGCACCTTGGGAAGCCGAGGTGGGCGGATCACGAGGTCAGGAGATCGAGACCATCCTGGCTAACACGGTGAAACCCCATCTCTACTAAAAATACAAAAAATTAGCTGGGTGTGGTGGCAGGCGCCTGTAGTCCCAGCTACTCAGGAGGCTGAGGCAGGAGAATGACATGAACCTGGGAGGCGGAGCTTGATAAAGTAAACTGAAAACTTTTTCTCCTAGTTTACTAAACATTTATTCTTTCTTTCTTCCAATAAGCTTTATATGTTGGTCCTTCCTGGAGCCTATTTTCATTCAATAGGCATTCCTTGAAAAGTTTCATCTTCTATCATAATCGAAAATCTAGACATGACCATCCAACTCATCTCCATGAAAATGGCCCATAGGAATCACAAATTCAGCATGTCCAAAATCAATTTAATCACCTGACTCTGCTAACGCCTTATCTTTCCAAATTTCCTACCTTAGTGAATGCTAGCACTGTCCACCCAATTGCTCAAGCTAGGGTCCTAAGCATCAGTCTTGGTTCCTTTCACTCCTTTACCCTCCCAATTCAGTCTCTTTTAATGTGTCCTATAAGTAATCTCACTTTAATATAGTTCTGATTACTCCATATCCAGTGCCACTTCCTTAGTTCAGTCAGAGCTCCTTACAGTTGGCTAATTTGCCTCTAGTCTTTTTTTTTTTTTTTTTTTTTACAAAAGAAAGAGGTTTAATGGACTTACAGTTCCATGTGGCTGGGGAGGCCTCACAATCATGGCAGAAGGTGAAAGACATGTCTCACATTTAATTTGCCTCTAGTCTTATCCCCTTTCAAGTCTATTCACCAAATAACTGCAAGAATAATCCCTCCAAAGCACAAATATGATCATGTCAAACTTCAACCTAAAGTCCTCCAGGGGTCTCCATAATCTTTGAGATAAAGTCCAAAGTCCTCAACAAAATTCATCATCTGATACTGATTTCACACTTTCTGCTTCACACACAATATATTACTTTAAATTCCTCTAGTTCTTTATGCCCTCTCTCACTCCAGAACTTGTACCAGCTTGCACACATAGTCTGCAACTTCTTTCCCTGGCTGTCTCTCCTCTCCTTCTTTTTACCTGGTTAACCCCTGTTAGTTGTTCAGGGCTAAATGTAGGTGTTGCTTTCTCTACCACCTTTACCCCATTATAAGCTAAGTGCCTTGTTTATAATTCTGTCATTGCACCTATCAATCTGTACTTCTGTCTCTCTACCACAAGATACAACTGAATGCAGAAAACATATCTATTCATTCCCAAATGTCCAGTGCTTAGCACAATATCACTTCCAAATAAATGAATGAATGAAATATGTTTTATTTCTAAATGCACCCTCTATAGCAATGTGACTAATTGTTTCAAGAGTGAACTCACTAGAGGCCAAGAGACATGTTATAAGAGGCAGTGATGACCTAAACCAGAAAAGCAGGAGTGGAAAAAAAGTAGCTATATGGAGAAATAGTTTAGAGGTAAAATCAGCAGAATTGATTATTGGATATTGGGGCTAAGAGAAAGATTACGGTATGAAATAATTTTTGGATTTCTGACTTGGGCACCAGGATAGTGATATCTTAACTAGGATACAGAATACAAGAGGAGAAGCAGGTTGGATAAAGGGCATAGAGATGATGAGTTTTAATGAGTTTGCTCAGGGCACGTTGAGGATTAAGTGCGTATGGAAAGACCAGGTGGACTTATTTGGACTTTGGCATGTGGAGTGAGGGGAGTAGTAAAAACCATAAATGAAATGGCATGATTAGCTTGTAGTCCCAGCTACTCGGGAGGCTGAGGCAGGAGAATGGTGTGAACCCGGGAGGTGGAGCTTGCAGCAGTGAGCCGAGATCGCGCCACTGCACTCCAGCCTGGGCAACAGAGCGAGACTCAGTCTCAAAAAAAAAAAAAAAAAAGGAAATGGCATGGGGGGCGAGCGCGGTGGCTCACACCTGTAACCCCAGCACTTTGGGAGGCTGAGGCGGGCAGATCACCTGAGGTCAGGAGTTCCAGACCAGCCTGACCAACATGGAGAAACCGTCTCTACTGAAAATACAAAATTAGCTGGGCGTGGTGGCGCATGCCTGTAATCCCAGCTACTCAGGAGGCTGAGGCAGGAGAATCACTTGCACCCGGGAGGAGGAGGATGGGGTGAGCCGAGATAGCACCATTGCACTTCAGCCTAGGCAACAAGAGCAAAATTCCATCTCAAAAAAAAAAAAAAAAAAAAAAGAAAGAAAGAAATGGCATGGGGGAATAGTTGGTGTAAGAAAGAGGTCAAGCACAGTGCCCTGGGAACATCAACTTTGTTACAGGTTGCACTAGATTTCTTCCTTTTGCCCCTCCAGATCCACTGTCTATCCCACCCCAGGAGATTGACCAATATGGACTATGCCAATGGGCTTCCTTGCCCTCTGGTTTTGCTTTGGTTTAGTTCGTGAGAAAGCCTACCAGTAGACAGAAGGAGAGAAGAGAATGACATCCAGTTATTTATTCTCCAGCTCACTCCCTGCTTCATCCCTCTACCAACTACCTCTTCAGGTTCCAGCAATGGCCCTCCCTACCTATCAGGGCCAGGTGTGGTAAGGAAGCCTCGCTGATACTAGCCAGGGGTACTGTCCTAGTCCTTCTTGCTTTTCCTAAGCCATACACACTTTTTAAATAACTCTTTTATTAAAATCTCCCCAATTACGGCCAGGCGTGGTGGCTCACACCTGTAATCCCAGCTCTTTGGGAGGCCGAGGCGGGCGGATAACCTGAGGTCAGGGGTTCAAGACCAGCCTGACCAACATGGAGAAACCCCATCTCTACTAAAAATACAAAATTAGCCAGGCATGGTGGCACATGCCTGTAATCCCAGCTACTCCACAGGCTGAGGCAGAAGAATCACTCGAACCTGGAAGGTGGAGGTTGCGGTGAGCCGATATCCCGCCATTGCACTCCAGCCTGGGCAACAAGAGTGAAACTCTGCCTCAAAAAATAATACATAAATAAATAAATAAATAATCCCCAATTATTCAGCTTGAAAATGCCATCAGTTTCCTAAAGAGACCCTGAGTGATACACAAAGGATGCTAGGAAAGAGAGGCAAACTAATCTGATAAACTAACTCTATCAAGGTGCTTTAGTAGATTACTCTTCCCAAGTAAACAGAGTTATCTGAAAACTAAACAATAACCCTAAAAGTGGAAATTTCAAGCACCAGGACAAAGGAGGAAGTGGTTGCTAGCTAGAATGAATGTAATGGCAAATAACTTGGAAATTCTAAAGGATTAAATTCCAACGAGGCACATTCCAAAGGGCTAAATAACTCTACATATAAGTCACTTCTATGTGCCTATGGTGACATGGTCTCATATTATAATAAACTTTGAAAGAGTTAAATGGCAGGGGTTCAAAATAACTGAGTATAAAATACTGGCATGTGGGGGATGGATCTAAAAGTATAGCAGTCTTGCTAACTTAATGGGATCCAACTAAGGGGTCCAATAGCTGAGCATCAAAATAGCACAAAAGATACGCAAAAATATTAAGAGAAATTCAGCTGTCTGCTCCATTGGAACCACAAATAAGTAATATTAACATATTCGGTTGTATTAAGATAGGATTTTGATATACATGTATATGGCCTCAACATTATTTTGAATACATTCAAGCTGGATAGTAGCCTTTATTGGAGTTCTTCAGATTATAAAATAGGTCACGCTGACTCTGGGCCAGTTCTGTGATATCCCCTTCCCTGTCTGTATCCTCCTGGTCATCTTTACTGCGCCACAATGTATGACTCACTTCTTACATGAGCCCTCTAAACAGATTCCACTTCATTCTAGGCAGCTGTTGTCGTAGCTACAACCCCCTCAGGACCCTTATACTGCCAGCTTGTTTACAGAAATTGGCTAGATTGCAAATTTAATTTGCTTTTCTATGATTTAGCCAATCAACCCTGCAAGAACACAGAAAAAAAAATAGTGGAGGCAACTCAAGAACAATTAAAATGTCAGCCGGGCACAGTGGCTTGTGCCTGTAATCTCGGTGATTCGGGAGGATCGGTTGCGGTCAGGAGTTTGAGGCTGCAGTGAGCTATGATGGTACCAGTGCACTTTAGCCTGGGTGACAAAGTGAGACCCTGTCTCTAAAAAAAATTTTTTTTTAAGGAACAATTAAAATGTCAACGTGTTTAGAAAGAAACCTATTCGTATTACAAATATGAAATACTTTTGATGTTGATATTCAGGTCATTAGAACTTAGTGTCAATCAGAGTTGTTAGAATTTTGCTTTGACTTACCAATGAGGCAAAAAAAAGGCAGCAGACCCGGAGCTTGTTTCCCCTACTTATCTCAAGTCAACAATCTAAAATCAAAGAAAAATCCCGAACTTCGAAATAACTCTAAAGTTCACCTCTTCTAACTTGCTTCTTAATTTGCTAATATCTTCTATGATGTCCCTGATAAAGTCACTTGTTCATGCATTCAACAGACACAAATTGAGCACCTGTTCTTGCCAAGCACCACTTATTTAACTCCAAAGATGAAAGCACTTTGGTCGCTACTTCCAAGAAACTCACACTAAGCCTGTCCTTGAATGGTGACTTCATGACATAAATCATTATGATCAAGTTCTCTTGAATCGAAATTGCCTCTGCACTACTTCGAGAAGAGAAAATTTTGTACTGTCTTCAAATATTTTTAGGGAGTATTAAGTTTTTGTGCTATCCACCCTGACCTCAAGATATTTTGGCAAAACATACCAAGTTCACTCAATTACTCCTCATATGATTTAGCATCTAAAACATTCAGAACCCTGGTCACACTCCTCTAAACACATTCAAGTTTGTCAAAGCCCCTCTTAAAGTGAGGAGATCAAAATAGAAAATCTATCACAGATGTTTTCTAGAATGACCTGGGTACTCACTTTTTTTTTTTTCTTAGATGGAGTTTCACACTTGTTGCCCAGGCTGGAGTGCAATGGCGTGATCTCAGCTCACTGCAACCTCCACCTCCCGGGTTCAAGTGATTCTCCTGCCTCAGCCTCCCGAGTAGCTGGGATTACAGGCACACACCACCACACCTGGCTAATCTTGTGTTTTTAGTGGAGATGGGGTTTCTCCATGTTGGTCAGGCTGGTCTCTAACTCCTGACCTCAGGTGATCTGCCCGCCTCGGCCTCCCAAAGTGCTGGGATTACAGGCGTGAGCCACTGCACCCGGCTGGATACTGACTTTTTCTAATGCAACTACAATTCCTTGGCCTTTTGAAAACACTTGTCTTTGGAGTCAGACCCAAGTTCATATAAATAGATGATTTTGTAATCTTGGACAAGTTGCTTCACGTCTCTGAATCCTACCTTCATCTGTGAAACAGAGATAATCATTATTTCCTTATAGATTTTTTGGTGAGGGTGAAAATATATGACATGTAAAGCCCCTTAGCACAGTACCTGGTACATAGTAGATGCTCAAAAAATTGCTATTGGGCTGGGCACAGTGGCTCACACCCAGCACTTTGGGAGGCTGAGGTGGGCGTATCATTTGAGGTCAGGAGTTCGAGACCAGCCTGGCCAATATGGTGAAACCCCATCTCTACTAAAACTACAAAAATTAGCCAGGCGTAGGGGCACATGCCTGTAGTCGCAGCTACTAGGGAGGCTGAAGCACAAGAATCTCTTGAACCTGGGAGGCAAAGGTTGCAGTGAGCAGAGTTCGCGCCACTGCACTCCAGCCTGGGGGACAGAGAAAGACTTTGTCTCAAAAAAAAAATTGCTAATTGATGCCCTTAATATAATTTTTACTTTCACAGACACAGCAATTGCTTTTTTTTTTTTTTTTTTAAACAGAGTCTCTTTTTGTCACCCAGGCTGGAGTGCAATGGTGCTATCTTGGCTCACTGGAACCTCTGCCTCCTGAGTTCAAGCGATTCTCCTGCCTCAGCCTCCCGAGTAGCTGAGACTACAGGTGCCCGCCACTATGCCCGAGTAATTTTTTTGTATTTTTCAGTAGAGACAGTGTTTCACTATGTTGGCCAGGCTGGTCTCGAACTGCTGATCTCAGATGATCTGTCCACCTCGGCCTCCTAAAGTGCTGGGATTACTGGTGTGAGCCACTGTACCCAGCCTTGTTTTTAATTTTCCACAGAAACTGACACCAAATTCAGTCCCATCCTTCCTTTATTCAACTGATTTTCTCCCTGACATTTCAGACTTCATGTTTACTATTGTAACATTAATGTGTGTTCATCTTATCTTCCCAGCGTATTGAGATTTTCTTTAGATTTATATACTGTTGTGTCACCTGCAGATCAGATACACCTGACCTTCAAGTCTTCATCCTGGTTGCTGGTCATGCTACAGATAGATGGACCAAGGACAGACACCCCCATGACACACCAGGAGACCTTCATCAGGTTTATGCCTGTTCGCAGTTTTCAGCAGTCGTTTAATGAGTTGTGAATAGACGTGCTGCATTGACACCCTACACAAATGCTATTATATTTCCACAAGCACATCCTAAGAGAAAAACCGGAGGATCAATTTGTCTCTGGCATTCCCCATATCTATTTGCCTAGTAACTCTGCTACATAAGAAAATATCTGCTATGATTTAATGAATTTATACTGGCTCTTGATGCTCATTTTCTTTTCTAATTATTTATAAGTCATCTCTCTAATAATTCACAGTATGTCTTTTCCTCCTCCTTCTTCTTTGTATTAGGCAAAATAATAATGGATCCCCAAATATGTCCATATCTTAATGCCAGAGCCTGTGAAATTGTTCTTTCTGTGGCAAAGGGACCTTATGGATGTGATTTTAAGGTTAAGAACTTTGACATAAGGAGAGAAGCCTGAATTATCCAATTTCCCAATCTAATTACATGAGTCTTTTTTTTTTTTTTTTTTTTTTTGAGATGAGAGTCTTGTTCTGTCGCCCAGGCTGGAGTGCAGTGGCTCGATCTCAGCTCACTGCAACCTCCACCTCCCGGGCTTAAGCGAATCTCATGCCTCAGCCTCCCTAGTAGCTGGGATTATAGGGGCCTGCCTGGTTAATTTTTGTAGTTTTTAAAGTAGAGACGGGGTTTTGCTATGTTCGCCAGACTGGTCTTGAGCTCCTGGCCTCAAGTGATCTGCCTGCCTCAGTCCCCCAAAGTGCTGGGATTACAGGCGTGAGCCACTGTGCCCAGTCTAATCACATGAGTCTTAAAAGCAGAGAACCTTTTTCAGCTGTGGTCAGGGGGGTGATAAAGTTCCCTGAGGGAGGTGCAATGTCGCTGGCTTTAGCAGAAGAGGAGGAGGGCCACAAGCCAAGGAAAGTGGGCAGTCTTTGGAAGTCAGAAAAGGCAGAAAACAAATTCTCCTCTACAACCTCCAGAAAGGAATGTAGCTGTGCCAAAAGTTGATTCAGCCCACTGAGACCTGTGTTGGACTTCTGGTCTTCAGAACTGTAAAATAATAAATCTGTGTTGTTTGAAGCCCCAAAAGTGCTAACTTGTTATAGCAGCCATAGGAAACTAATACCTTCTCATCATCTTTCTCCTGCTCTTTTGTGAATTCATACTTTGAGTTAACATAGATTTTTTTTTCAATTTCACTTTTGGCCAATTGGGGCTTAATTTGGCCATGACATTGGAGACCAGGATAAGTCTGGTGAATAGCAGGAAGTCATCAGTTAATCTCTCAATAACAAATCATTCTTGTCTCTCCATTTATGTAGGTTACAATGACATGCCTGTGTAGCAAAACTTTGTTGGAATTGTAATCACTATGACAACATAACTGTATTTCTTTTTTGACACAAGATCTCACTTGGTTATTCAGACTGAAGTGGCGTGAATATGGCTCACTGCAGCTTCAACCACATGGGCTTAAGTGATCCTCCCACCTCAGCCTTCCAAGTAGCTGGGACTACAGATGCACCATCACACCTGGCTAATTTTTTGCTTGTTTGTAAAGAGGAAGTCTCACTTTTTGCCCAGGCTAGTCTTGAACTCCTGGGCTCAAATAATCCTCCTGCCTCAGTCTCCCAAAGTGCTGGGATTACAACTATATTTCTTTTTTAAAAAAACATCTAAAAATTCATCTAGTCTTTACTCCCTTGCACTTCTGATGTAAATCAACAAAATTTGGTGTGGTTTTACTAAATATATTCTATCCTTACAACCTGTACAATAATGGTATTGTGGAAGCTACACTTGTGAGCCAGAGCCCAACTCTGTCACTTAACAGTTTTGTGACTTTCAATAGTTATTTCTTTCTGCACCTCAGTTTTCATACCTAGAAAAAAAAGGACATATGATGAGATAATCTCTAAAGTCTCTTTCTTCCTCCAAATTGCCGTGTTTTATCAGAGTATAGACCAAAAAAAAAAAATTGTCCCTGTTTCTTTGCCAAAAGGATAAACCAATTAAAATACATTACTTTATTCCTTTGTTCATGCCAGTCCATTTACATGAAATGCACTCTCCTTCTCCTTTATTTTCTTTGACCACTTATTTTTCCAGCTAGTAAAATGCTCCTCTGCTTTCAAGTCCCAAATCAAATGCCACTTCTCATGAAAACTTCCTTGATCACAGCATCAGGAGTTAATCTTGCTCTCTTCTGAAATACTACAGCACTCATTTCCTGTAGGCTTATCACACACTGAGTTATTCTCCTTTGTTGCCATGTCTTGCCACTCCAACCAGACTGCAGCCTTCTGGAGATGGGACCATGTTCCTTGTCTGCCAGTCATAAGTGTTGAGTAAATATCCTGGCCGGGCACAGTGGCTCACGCCTGTAATCCCAGTACTTTGGGAGGCCTAGGTGGGTGGATCACTTGAGGTCAGGAGTTCAAGACCAGCCTGGCCAACACGGTGAAACCCTGTCTCTGCTAAAAATACAAAAATTAGCCAGGCGTGGTGGCACACGCCTGTAATCCCAGCTACTCAGGAGGCTGAGGCAGGAGAATCGCTTGAACCCAGGAAGCGGGGGTTGCAGTGAGCTGTGATTGTGCCACTGCACTCCATCCTGGGTGACAGAGTGAGACTCAGTCTCAAAACAAACAAACAAAAATCCTGCCTTTTCTCCTGTTATAATGGAAGCAGTGTCCTACTTCTCCTATTTAAAGCCCATCCTCTTATAGTCTTCTGATTCCTCCCCTCCTGCCTCTCACAGACTCCATGACATCCATCAGCTCCTATCTCTCCTTTTCCTTTAACTTTTCCAGCTTCAGCCCATCAGCTCAACTGTCTCCCATTTGATTAAAAAAAAAAAAAAAATTCCTCCAAAGGCCCTATATCCAACTCCAGCCCCATCCCCAGATCTCCCACTGTCACATGTCCTGGAGGAGTGGAGGTGTGTACATCCACCCCCTCTACTTCACCACCGCCTCCTTGTGCTTCTGCTCACTGCCGTCTGCCTTCCACCCCATCACTCCACAGAACTTCCCCCAAGGCTACCAATGCCCCCTACTCACTATAGACAGTGGACACTATACTTATCCTCTAGGCATCACTTTCTGCTATTGACCAAGAGCTCCTTCCCGAAACCCTTTCTTCCATGGCCCTCTGTGGCAGGATGCAGCTCTTTCTGCCTGGATGCTCCTTCAGTCTCCAGAGCCTGCTCTCCTTCTGTCATTCACCTCCTGCACACTTACCCTCCTTAGAGTTCTATCCTGGGCCTTCTCCTGCATGGTCTACAGGTTTCCCTGTACCCTTTCTATCCTCAAAGCGCCCATCGTCACGCAAAAGAGCAAATTAGACTAGCAAGGCCTTTGCTCTCCAGAAGTTTATATCCTGATGTACAAACATAGACAACAGACAAGCAAACAAATAAATCCTAAGATAATTTCAGACAGTGATAATTGCAATGAAGGAAATAATTAACTGGAGGTGGATATTTTAGGAAGGGGGGTGAGAGAAGGCTTATCTGAGGAGGTGACACAGAAGCTGAAAAAAAAATACCTCTGGTTACTAAAAGAGCCAGTTCTGAGATGAGCCAAGGAAAAGCATTCCAGGCAAAGGGAATTTACAAGTGAGAAGGTCCTGAGATGGAGAAGATTCTGTCCTGTTTCAGAGAGACAATAGGAGGTCATGGCATTTGATGAGGTGGCAGCAGGATGCTGGAGTCCAATGCAAAGGGCCTTGTAGGCTGAGATGAGGAATTTGGATTTTCGTCTAAGTGCACAGAACAGCTATGGGTGATTGCAGCAGCCCCTCCTGCAAATTTCCTACAGAAGCCAAGTGTTTTTTAAAATGCAGATCTGTTCTTATCACTGCCCTGAGGAAATCTCCCCAGTAGCTTCCTATGGCCCTTAGGAAGGTCTGAACCCTTGAAATGACCTCCAAGGGCAATCATGCCTGCTGTGATCACTGCCTATATCCAGGCCTGTCCTTGCCACAACCCCCTTGCCCTTCACGTGCTAACCACACTCTAGTAGCTTTAGGTCCCTGGACACATTGGACTCACCGTAAACTCCAGACAGTGTTGTCCAAGAGAAATATACTGTGAGCCGCATATATAATTTTAAGCTTTCTAGTAGTCACATTATGCAAATAGAAAGAAACAGGTGAAACTAGTTTTTTGTTTGTTTGTTTGCTTGTTTTTGAGACAGGGACTCACTCTGTTGCCTAGGCTGGAGTTCAGTGGTGCCATCTCAGCTCACTGCAACCTCTGCCTCCTGGGCTCAAGCAGTCTTCCCAGCTCAGCCTCCCAAGTAGCTGGGATTACAGGCATGTGCCACCATGCCCGGCTAATTTTTGTATTTTTTTGTAGAGCCCTATTAATGGGATTTGTACTGTTCACCTGGTTGAAGGGATCACCTGGTTGAAGAGCAAAGACAATAGAGATAGGACCTCTTGGCAGTGTCAGGAGACATAAGGTGCATCTTTCGTTGTTGTTTTATTGACAGATGCATTGTTACAAAATTCAAAAGGTACAGATGTGAAGAGTAAGTCTTTCTTCATCCCAATTTCTAAGCCATCCCCTTTCTGGAGACTACAAATATTACTTGTTTCTTATATTTACTTCTGTTCTCTTCTAATGGAAAAAACAGAATCATCTTACAGACTAACATTTTTTAGTTTTCTCAATAATGCGAAGAATGAAAGAACCAACAACCCTTCCTTAGGAGGCACGCTTTAGACTATTATCTGCTCTCGGGCGTGTGCTACAGAATTAATGGATTTCTGTACTTTCATTTAAATGGGGAAGCAATAGAATTGGGAATTGAAATTTTTTTTTCTTGCTATGGGAATTGAAATGTTTTTATCCAAACAATTATCCTTAGTTGAGGTCTTTTCCACTGAAATATTACTAATCACTAAATGGAGTAGACAATTTTTTTCTCTTTTTTTGAGACGGAGATTCGTTCTTGTTGCCCAGGTTTGAGTGCTATGGCACGGTCTTGGCTCACTGCAACCTCCAGTTCCCGGGTTCAAGTGATTCTCCTGCCTCAGCCTCCCAAGTAGCTGGGATTACAGGTACCCACCACTATGGCTGGCTAATTTTTTTGTATTTTTAGTAGAGACGGGGTTTCACCATGTTGGCCAGGCTGGTCTTGAACTCCTGACCTTGGGTGATCCGCCCGCCTCAGCCTCCCAAAGTGCTGGGATTACAGGCATGAGCCACTGCACCCGGCTGGAGTAGTCAAATCTTTAGACTTACGTATCACTGGCCATGTAAGTAGCATTAAATGCCCAAGTCCATCCTTTTACATGGTGTAAGTGTTAGGTATTATTCTGTCTATGTCTGAGACGGAAATTTTCAATACAAAATGCCTTGACCAGTCAGGCACGGTGGCTCACACCTATAATCCCAGCACTTTGGGAGGCCAAGGTGGGAGGGTCATTTGAGCCCAGGAGTTTGAGACCAGCCTGGGCAACACAGGGAGACCCCATCTCTACAAAATATAAAAAATAAAAAACAAACAAAAAAACCCCAAAATGCTTTGACCAAGGCTGAAAGGTCATGAAGGGAACACTTTTAGGCATATGATTATTGATTTTTATTTATATTCCATTCCAGTCTCCACAGCCCCAACCCCTTGCTTGTATCTCTCTGGGCCTAGCAAAGCCTCAGCAGACCCTACAAAAGAGAAGTGGAGCCAGAAACCAAAAGATTCTCAGGGCCCATATGCCCTGACCCTTCCTGCCCCCTCTTCCCCACCTTTGGCCACCCGAGTAGCTGGAGAAGAGGCTCTAAAAGAACCCTCAATTGGTTCTGGCCCCTTTTATCATCACAAGAATGCGGGCCTGAAAAAAAAAATGTCTGTTAAAGGTACATTTTAAAAATTGGTAAAAATCAGGCCAGGCGCAGTGGCTCACGCCTGTAATCCCAGCACTTTGGGAAGCTGAGGCAGGTGGATCACCTGAGGTCAGGAGTTTGAGACCAGCCTGGCCAACGTGGCAAAACCCGTCTCTATTAAGAACACAAAAATTAGCCAGGTGTGGTGGTGGGTGCCTATAGTCCCAGCTATTCAGGAGGTTGAGGCAGGAGAGTAGCTTGAACCCAGGTGCCAGAGGTTGCAGTGAGCCGAGATCGTGCCACTTCACTCCAGGCTGGGCAAAAGAGTGAAACTCCGTTTCAAAAAACTAAATAAATTGGTCAAAATCTTTCAGATTTTGCTGTTTGAATGGCATGTGTGTGTGTGTGTGTGTGTGTGTGCGTGTGTGACAGGGTCTTGCTCTGTTGCCCAGGCTGGAGTGAGGTAGCCCAATCTTGGCTCATTGCAACCTCTGCCTCCTGGGTTCAAGCGATTCTCATGCCTCAGCCTCCCCAGTAGCTGGAACCACAGGCGCTTACCACCACACTCGGCTAATTTTTGTATTTTTAGTAGAGACAGCATTTCACTATGTTGGGCACGCTGGTCTTGAACTCCTGGGCTCAAGCAGTCCGCCTGCCTCGGCCTCCCAAAGTGCTGGGATTACAGGCCTTGAACCACAATGCCTGACCTTGAATGGCACATTTTTATAGACTGTTGTTGTTGTTGTTGTTTCGAGACAGAGTTTCACTCTTGTTACCCAGGCTGGAGTGCAATGGCACGACCTCGGCTCACTGCAACCTCCGCCTCCTGGGTTCAAGCAATTCTCCTGCCTCAGCCTCCCGAGTAACTGGGATTACAGGCGTGTGCCACCACACCCAACTAATTTTTGTATTTTTAGTAGAGACAGGGTTTCACTGTGTTGGCCAGGCTGGTCTTAAACTCCTGACCTCAGGTGATCCGCCCCCCTTGGCCTCCCAAAATACTGGGATTAGAGGCATGAGCCACCGCGCCTGGCCATTGTTGCTGTTGAGACGGAGTTTCACTCTGTCGCCCAGGCTGGAGTGCAGTGGCGCGATCTCGGCTCACTGCACACTCTGCCTCCTGGGTTCACGCCATTCTCCTGCCTCAGCCTCCCGAGTAGCTGGGACTACAGGTGCCCGCCACCACACCCAGCTAATGTTTTTGTATTTTTAGTAGAGACGGGGTTTCACCGAGTTAGCCAGGATGGTCTCCATCTCCTGACCTCGTGATCCGCCTGCCTCAGCCTCCCAGAGTGCTGGGATTACAGGTGTGAGCCACTGCGCCCGGCCTTTTATAGGCTTTTTACAAAATTAATTTAGCAATATGAATAAGGAATCTCAAAAATGCCCATTCAAGGGACTGGCCTAGGAATACCACTTCTTTGAATATATCTTAAAGAAATAACCCAAACATGGAAAAGTTTCAAGCACAAAGATGTTTATCACAGTGTTATTTACAATAGCAAATAATTGTCATATGCTGAAAAGGTAAAGTAATGGCAATACAATAATTTGAACTAATATTACTAAGATTATATGTTAATTTATAACAAAGCTGATGTCAGAATTAATACAAAACAAAAAGATAAATACATAGAAAGTACAGCATAGAAACTGGGATGAAGAAAAACTTACTATTCACTTCTGTACCTTTTGTATTTTGTAACAAGGACACAGTATAAGATTAGAAGAAAATATAAACAAAAAGTCCCCTGGGTCATTAGGCAATGGGTAAACTTCTGCCTTTACTGCATCAAATACATAAATACATTAAATAGTGTGTTTGAGGATAAGTCATGTGGGAAAAATGAAGCAGAGAAAGAGGGGGGAAGCACTGGAGGGGTGGGGTTCAAAATTTTTGTTTGTTTGTTTGTTTGAGACAGAGTTTCGCTCTTGTTGCCCAGGCTGGAATGCAATGGCACGATCTCGGCTTACCGCAAACTCCGCCTCCTGAGTTCAAGCGATTCTTTTGCCTCAGCCTCCCACATAGCTGGGGTTACAGACATGCGCCACCACGCCCAGCTAATTTTGTATTTTTAGTAGAGACAGGGTTTCTCCATGTTGGTCAGGCTGGTCTCAAACTCCCGACCTCAGGTGATCCGCCCACTTCAGCCTCCCAAAGTGCCGGGATTACAGGCGTGAGCCATCGTGCCCAGCCTAGGGTTTACAGTTTTATACAGAGTGGTCAGGAAGGCATCACTGCCAACATGAGATTTGAGAGAAGACTTGAGCCAAGGGAGGCAGGCAGCCACTGGGCATCTGGGGAAAAGCTTCCCAAGCAGTGGGAAAGGAAGTGCAAAGGTCCCGAGGCAGGAGTAGGCCTGGTGTGTTCCAGGAGCAAGGAGGGGTCAGTGGGGCTGCAGTGGTGGGAGCACAGTGGGAGCCGTGGAGACGCTGGAGCGGCACAGGGGCTAGTGCAGGGCCTGCTGGTAAGGGGGCCTTTGGCAGTCACTCTGAGAGGGAGGGGAGCCATTTAGCAGGTGGGAAGAAGAGGAGTCACAGGATCAGGCTCAGGCTTGAGCAGCCTCCCTCTGGTTGTAGGTTGAGAATGGACAGAGGGGTTGGCAGGAGCTGGGAGCTGTGGCTGTCATCTAGGCAGCTGAGAAATGGTGACTAGACCAGGCACTAAGAATAGAGGGAGTAAAAGCAACTGGACTCGATATATTTTGAAGGTAGGGCCTCTGGTGCTGTTAACAAGTCACCAACATAAATTGCATAAAACTCAAACATGGGCCGGTGCAGTGGCTCATGCCTGCACTCCCAGCACTTTGGGAGGCCAAGGCGGGTGGATCACCTGAGGTCAGGGATTCACGACCAGCCTGGCCAACGTGGTGAAACCCCATCCCTACTAAAACTACAAAAAATTAGGCATGATGGCAGGCGCCTGTAATCTCAGCTACTTGGAGGCTGGGGCAGGAGAATCGCTTGAACCTGGTAGGCGGAGGCTACAGTGAGCCAAGATCGCGCCATTGCACTCCAGCCTGGGCAACAAGAGCGAAACTCTGTCAAAAAAAAAAAAAAAAAGAAAAAAGAACAAAACAAAACAAAACAAAAACCCTCAAATATACTTTCCTCTTTCCTAAAACTTCTTTGGAAACTTAGCCTATGATGGAGTGCTGATGGAATAATGTGTGACCGTCTTTAAGGGAAAGACATTCTCATGGACCTCTGATGTCATCCCTAAGTGATTTTTATTAAAATGTTATTTTTAATATATGTAAACTTAAAACTAGATACAAAGAATGTTTTCATATAGACTTCATGCCACAATAAAACCAAAACAAACTTATAGGTGAACAAATGTAGGAAAGTCATACGATTCAAATGAATACTTTTAATTTAATGGAACAAATACAGAATGGTCACTCCCCTCAACGGCATGAAAGTGGTGCTCCCTGCCCAGGCTCTCCTGAGTTCAGCCTGCTGGCCTCATGCTTTGCAGTGACTCAATGCTTCCACTGCTTGTCTCTATTTACGTTATGCAGAACCTTCCTTTGTACATCCTGTGATGAGGTCATCGGACCTTCACTTGGTGAGAACACAACATTCACATGTCTGTGTGTTTTGTTTTTTTAAAAATTATTTACAATGATTTTTCAATGACAAAGAAACTGTCACTCCCTGTCACCAAGAAAATCTTAAACACAGATAAAAATGCAGGCCCTGAAAGTATGTGGAAGCTCTCCGTTAAGTTGATCATCCAAATGAACCAAAATATGTTGATCTTCACTGATTATTAGCATCAAAATGAAAATACAAAATTGAATTCTCACAGAGAACTCAAGGCCCCTTCAGAATACGACTGAAGACTTTCAAGGATCTTCAGACTTTAATTTGAGAAATATAAATGAAGTGAAAAAGGTCCTTGATTAAAAGTCAAAAAAATCTGGCTAAAAATCGCAGCCCTGACATTTGTAGCGAGTGGGCCTGGGATGTTTACCTCATAGATCTGTTAGAAAGATTAACTATGATCTGATAAAAATTATTTCTGAAATCATCTTATAACATGTTAGAAGATGCCTTGGCCAAGTATCCTGGAAAACAGTATGAGAGTAAGTGATACGTGCGTGACAGTGGGCGCTGCTGTCCCAGGGAAGCAGAGGAAAGAAAAGGGGAAAGGCCTATTGTTCAGTCATCATTATGGATAAGAATATTCCAACCTTCCCTTGCCCCCATTAGGGGGTTCAGATTTTGAATACAATTAGAAAAATACTAGTTCGCAATTTTGCATTTAAATTACATACAGAATTATTCTGTTTTTAAAATAAAGCCAACCCTCACCCCAAATTTTTATTATAAATAGAAAACATAAAATCTTTTATTCCTAGAAGCCATTTTGGGATTTTATTGTAGTATAGTCTCACGCCCTGATTACGGTCATGTGTACATGAAGTATATTTGCTGAAACTCGTTGCCTGATTTGAAATTCAAAACTTTAGAAATGCAAACATGCAAACATGATTGCAAATATGCAAAGTACAAGGTCTTATACGAATGGCCCTAATCAAGGCAAAGTCCTTTAAAATAAATACATAAAACAGAGTTTAGAATAGGCTAAGAAGCAGTAACACATGCAAAGTAGCTAATTGCTCTTGGTTCACCATGAATATTAATCTTATTTAACCTGTAAAAGATAACTACAGGGAAAATACCAAAAGGCCTGCTCCATGTCCCATCATTTTTTCCACCCAGCCATTTTGCAGTTTTCACTTCTCAATTTCAGGCTCTGTGCCTATTCTTAGACATTCAATAATACCCAGTATAAGCCACTGCATGTTAGGCATGAATTAATTAACAATAATATCCAGGTTGCTGGCAACATACTACCCGCAAGTAGGGTCAAGCAAGATGGGTGGTGGAGAGAAGGTGTGTTCTGTGGTCTTATGTCAGATACCACTGAGTTGAGTAAATGGACATTTGGTGCATTTCATGCTGCCTATGGGTCTTTGGACATTTTACCCACCATCACAGCCCTTGCAGAGATAGCCACCCATGCAGAAAGAGATAGGACCCTTTGAGAGCGTGCTGACTGACTCATCCAGGTAAGGAGGCCACAGTGAGCACAGCCCGTCCAGTGAGCTAGCAGAGGCAAGTCTCCAACATGACAGTCCTCCAGTAAAGGGTGGACATCTCAGCTCAGACCAAATCAAGCAAGAAAAAAACAACAGTGAGCATGCCAAAGAGAATCCAATCCAAGTAAGCCTAGAAAACCCCCTTAGCTGCGTCAATCCGCAGTGGTCACTGCTTCCTTAGGGAGGAGAAACTGAGGTGAATATAAGAACTCATTGAAGTCCCGTGCGCTATGGTACATATAAATATGAGTGTAACTGCTGTGTATTTAGTTTGCTTTAGAGTGTGGGTCCAGCCATTCTCAATATCTTCTGTCATCTTTGGAGTTTCGAGTTAAAAACAAACAAATGAAAGAATCTTATAGTTTTTGCCATATAGATGCATCTGATTAGGTTTTTGATTTCTGACTTTTACCAAGACTCTGATTATTACCAAGATGGCAAAAATCCCTAAGAAACATTTCTCAAGTCCATATGCAAGTATGTTATGTATGTTTAGTAAATGACTGCTGCTTGCTTTGATTAGAACCCATCCTTCCTTCCAAGAAAGCAGCTCCCTGTTTGGAATTGCTCCTTTCCGCCCTCTAAACATGTGGTTCAGGGGATGCGGGGAGTGTGGCCATGTTCTTACATGACCCCACCTCCACTAACTAGAGTTGCCTGGACCTGGCTGGGGCCCCTGCCTGAAGCCAGCACAGTCAGAGCCTTCCCCAAGACTTTTCTATCTAGAATTAAGAAACAAAATCAGGTTCTCGTTGGTGTTTTAACCCACAGTATGTAAGACTCAGATCTACAATGAGAGAGAAAGCCCTGGATACCAGGAGGGATAGAGCTGCAGACAGAGAGAGAAGGAATCCAGGGAGCACTTGGAGTCCTGGTTCCAGTTTTATTTCATTTTATTGTTAAATTTCTGGCTAGTTCCTTGTCTTTCTCATAGATTGACCTCTTAACCCCGCCTTCAGTTACTTAAAATATCCCAATATTTTCCCAATAAATTCCTCCTTTATTCTTAAACAAATTCAATTTGGGTTTCAGTTGCCAGCAACCCAGGGGATCCTGAATAATAAAACAATATGTAGTTATTGTCTCACTCCTCAAAGGATAAACATGAAAATGTACAACTGCTAAAGGACTAGGTGGTGATTCCAGCTACAACTTTATTTTAGCTAACATGGATAGGTGGCTTACCACAAGTTTAGCCTCAAGGGTTAGGCTGATATCAAAGCAAAAAAAAAAAAAAAACACTCGATTTCCACATTGTTGGATTTCCACACTAATGAAAGGGCAATCGCTGTAGGAGATAGTGGGAAACAGTAAGGATTTTCAAAGAGGGCTTCTTTCTTTCATTTTTTTTTATTATTATATTTTTAAAAATGCTCTGCTTCTGAACCCTTTGCTCCACAGGCAGTACAGCTGGGGAAGCCATGGGCGATCTCCCCCTCACTCTACCAGCAAGGCCCGAAATGACTTGCCTCCCGGTCATTGCCCCTAACTAAACAGGGCCCAAGGCTGGGAGAAATCAAAGAAGTTATTTTTACAAAGGAGGGTTTTTTTGCATGCTGTGCAGGTCCATTAGGAACTGTCTGGCTGGAAGCTGAACCGTCTGAAGCGACTGCAGCAGGAAGAAATGGCAATCAAGATCCCTCTGCCTAACTCTTCCCTCTGCTTTCCCTTCACTCCTGCCACCTTCACCAAACCCACATCCAAATGGCAGCAGAGACATCAGCACCTGTCTGGTTCAGAAGAGCCTTTGAATCTCCCCTAGGAGGGCACAGTTGGGAAGCAAAAAGTGTTTGCTTGTTTGTTTGGTTTTGCTTTCTTGAAGGAAACCTTAAGATAACACAGCACTGCCCTCAACATCTCCCACCATGTCGGTGATTGGGAGATGAAAAGGACAGACAGCACCACCCAAGGTGGAAAAGACAAATTAAGACTTGATCAACTGAGCAATCCCCTGCTGAGGCCCCCAACTTGGCCAGACCTCATACCAACACAGAGACAATCCCACAATGGACAGGCCAGCTCTGCTGCTGCCTGTGCAGTCAATTATTATTTTAAAGAAAATCTGAAATCTTCACCTCCCACACACATCTCCCAAACAATAGTCCTCCCCTCTGCTTCATCATGGAGGAAGTCTAAAAGGGTTGCAATTAGTGATTCCTCTCCCTTCCTCCTATATGTGGGCATTAGCTTCAGTCCGAAGACTGGCCTGATGTTAGCTAAATGAAATCTAGAGGGTTAGATTTTCAGCTGTTGTGAGTGTGCGTCCCTTCACAAAGACACATTAAGAACTACAGAAAGAAATGCCCTGAGATGAACGGAATTCATGCGTGGGTTTGCTCTCCTGTACCTTGGCAGAAAGGGCTATGCCTACGCAAAGAGAGTAGCTTCACTGAAAGTTGCACAAGTTAGGCTAATGTTTCAATGTGTCATTGAGTTAGTAGAGTGAGGATTATTTATCTTTTAATCAGTAAAAATACTTTTGCTGAGTATGAAAACCAATGAAAGTGTTTTATTGCCTGAATTGTATTCAGATCCGTTTATTACTTTTCATTGTTTTTAAGCCCTTAATCAAAGACTTCACAGCACATGGACCGAGTCCTGTGGATTTGTTTTGCAAATGGGTTTTCGCATGTGTTAACTGTGACTTCTGGTAAAGAAAACCAGAGCTAGACAGTGGATAAAGTGGTAAAAACAGATTTTATTCAGGAACTATTGCAATCAGGAAAAAGAGACCCCAGTGTAGAACTGAGCTCTATTGCAAATAAGACAAGAAGGGGTAGGGACTTATAGCCAAGGAGCAGGTTTGAAGAGTGGGGAGAGATTGGTGGATGGAAAATTATTAAGAGGAGACATCAAGGGTGAGGGTAGATTCTTGGTGCAAACAGGGCAGAGTGATCAGATATTGAAGGTAGGGGATGAGGAATTTGTTTAGATATGGAAGAATCTGATATCAAAGCTGTGAGATTCTCTTTCACTTAACTGGACTCTTGCTAAAACTGAGCAATGCAGGCCCAACAAAATGTACACTGAAGCCCAAGGTTGAGCCATGTTGAGAAGAGGGCTTAGAGCAGTCTCACTAGAGCTGGGTCAAGGAGAGAGTTTTTGTCATATTTACCATCCAGAATTTACAGGGCAGATGTATACTGTTCCCCTGAAAGCAGTCTTCTGAGGAGGCAACACTAACGCTGGCGTCACTTAAAGTATTCCTGGATCCTCCTTAAACACTGCCTACAGAAAAAGCGAACCAGATCTGGGTTTGAATTCTTGCTTTACCACTCATTTACAATCTAATCTGATAATTAATTTCTCAGCCTGTTCTTTCATCCATGAAATGGGGGTACTAATACCTACCTTTCAGGGTTGTTGAGAGGGTTAGAGAAGATAGCTGATGTGAAACACTGGTTAACTTTGGAAACACACAAAGCCTAAATAAATAGCTATTCTAAAGATCGCCTTTAGAGCTGGCGATGTTCTTCTGAATGTCCCTAGTGGTTACAGACTTGGTTTTCTGGATTTTTGAAATGGCCTAAATTTATCAAAGCCCATCCCTACGGGAAAGATATCAAACTGAGTAATACTGTTTTTGGTCAGAAACAAAATTTACCTCTTAACATTATGAGGCTGCTTTTGTCATATTACTTGGAAACTGGTTCTGAAGAAATGGCCAAAAAGAAATTCCTAAGTGGTTGCCATGGCCTTCCCTGGTGGTTGTTGGCTTCCACTCCAAGTCTGCACAGCTCTGTCTACCACTGTCCCCTGCCCATGTATAGTCTCAGACCCAACACCCATCTCAACCTAGGCTGCCTGGCTTCTTGTCCATTCAGAGGCTTAATGTTTAGTCACCTTCCCAGACCTGGTTTCTAGTAACACATTTACAAGAGCTGGACTCCTGAATCAGCCCCTGAATCATTCTATTACCATACAGACTGCATGCCCAAAAATCATACTTTTTTGTTTGTTTGTTTTGTTTTTGAGACAGAGTCTCATTCTGTTTTCCAGGTTGGAGTGCAGTGGTACAACCTCAGCTGACTGCATCCTCTACCTCCTGGGTTCAAGCGATTCTCCTGCCTCAGCCTCCCAAGTAGCTGGTTCTACAGGCATGCACTACCACACCCAGATAATTTTGTATTCTTAGTAGAGACAGGGTTTTACCACGTTGGCCAGGCTGGTCTCAAACTCCTGGCCTCAAGTAATCCACCTGCCTCAGCCTCCCAAAGTTGTGGAGGTGTGGCCGGCCATAGATGTTAACTTCTTTTTCTTTTTTTTTTTTTTTTTTTTTTGAGATGGAGTCTTGCTCTGTCACCCAGGCTGGAGTGCAATGGTGCAATCTTGGCTCACTGCAACCTCTGCCTCCTGGGTTCAAGTGATTCTACTGCCTCAGCCTCCCAAGTAGCTGAGACCACAGGCGTGTGCCATCACACCCGGCTAATTTTTTGTATTTTTAGTAGAGACGGTGTTTCATCATGTTAGCCAGAATGATCTCGATCTCCTGAACTTGTGATCCACTGGCCTCAGCCTCCCAAAGTTCTGGGATTACAGGCATGAGCCACTGTGCCTGGCTGATGTTAACTTCTTAAGAAGCTATTTTTACCTTCAGATTCCAATATTGTCCCAGTTCACTGACCTGGGCTCTTCCAACTCCCAGCCCTGACACGTGACCACGTTGAGCTCTCTCTATCACCCTGGCACCCCCTCAGCATGCCAATTCTCCTACTATTTGAAATGGGCCTTGCTACACAGAAGAAGAATCCCTGTATAGAAGATTCATCAAATTCTTCTTTGCAAGCAATAGAATCAAACTGACTAGTTTTAATAGAAAAGTAATTTATTGAAGGATACTGGGACTTAGAAGATCAGGAAAGGCTAGACAACCAGGCTCAGTAAATGGGCAAGAAGAAGAAAAACTAGAATCAGCCACAGCCAGAGCCAAAATCATACCTAAGTCCTTACTGGTGAGGACACTGCTGCCACCAGCACTGAGTGCTGGACCTCATGGCCACCACCTCAGCTCTGTACATCAGATGCAGCACCCCTCAGCTCCTGCCACTACAGGCATCCCCCAAAGGGATTCTCAACTGTACTTCTTGGTTTAAACAGCCTCTGCCGCAGTCTGGAGGGAGCCAATTGGATTGGTCTATCCCAGGTCGCAGGGCAGTGCCCCCACTTCAAGAGATCCTGGGAAAGTATCTGGCATCTTCAGCTTCCACAACAGGTGTCCAAAACAAGTATCTGTGAAGCCTCACAGGCTGTGTCTGCTATGACGAGGACATTAATCTCAATGTAGTAAACTTTAGCTCACTGGAATTTTAAAAGTTTGGAACACTTTTCTAGAAAGCTTTAAAAGAGGTTAAACCTTTGCATTAAGAAATTTCATTGCTGGGTGCAACGGATCATGTCTGTAATCCCAGCACTTTGGGAGACCAAGGCTGGTGGATCACCTGAGGTCAGGAGTCGGAGACCAGCCTGGCCAACATGGTGAAACCCCGTCTCTACTAAAAATACAAAAATTGGCTGGGCATGGTGGCGGGCACCGGTAATCCCAGCTACTCAGGAGGCTGAAGCAGTAGAATCGCT
This sequence comes from Homo sapiens, assembly GCF_000001405.40. Taxonomy (NCBI): domain Eukaryota; kingdom Metazoa; phylum Chordata; class Mammalia; order Primates; family Hominidae; genus Homo; species Homo sapiens. The sequence goes on along the minus strand of NC_000009.12, from coordinate 81,752,695 downwards.
TGAACCCGGGAGGCAGAGGCTGCAGTGAGCCAAGATTGTGCCATTGCACTCCAGCCTGGGCGACAAGAGTGAAACTTTGTCTCAAGAAAAAAAAAAAAAAGAAAAAGAAAAAAGAAATATCACTTTTAAGAGTCTAGGATTAGGCTATAATGTGAAGCAGACTAAAATTTCTTTAAAAATATGTTTATTTTTATTAACAATTACAATTGGAAAAAACTAAATATTCAACAGAAGATGTTTGTTTACAAAATTAGCGTAGTCACTTAATGGTACAATATGCAGCCATTAAAAATACAATTACTGGCAAGTTGTGGTGGCTCACGCCTGTAATCCCTGTGCTTTGGGAGGCTGAGGTGAGAGGATAGCTTGAGGCCAGGAGTTTGAGACCAGCCTGGGCAACAATGCAAGTGATCCCATTCTATAAAAACATTTTTTTTTAATGAGCTGGGTGCAGTGGTATGCACCTGTAGTTCCAACTAGTTGGAAGGCTGAAGCAGGAGAATCACTTAAATCCAGGAGTTCAAGGCTGTTGTGAACTATGATCATGCCACAGCACTCCAGCCTAGCTTGGGCAACAAAGTGAGACCCTGTCTCTTAAAAAAAAAATTATAATCATATTAATTTTAAAGATACAAAGCAAGATATAAAACTGCCTACAGTAAAGGTAGAATTACATACAGAATGGTCTCACCTTGTAAAAGTATTGACAGATAAGGAGCTAGACAGAGATAAATGTATCAGGAAGGTAGTCATGCTCACAATTGGTAAAAGCCATAAAAATATTTATTTTCTTATTTCTACATTCTCTACCTTTCTGATTTTTCTTATAAAGGGGATGTACTGAATATATTCCTTATGTATTTTTAAGAGTGATTTTTAAAATATCTGTTTCATTTCCTATGGTCACTCCTGACATAACAATTTATCAATTAAGTTAGCTTATTTTAGATTTTAAAAGACTAAGAGCCATACAGTTAAATGCAATGACACACACAGTTCTTTTTTCTTTCTTTCTTTTTTTTTGAGATGGAGTCTCACTCTGTTGCCCAGGCTGGAGTGTAGTGGCATGATCTTGGCTCACTGTAACCTCCACTTTCCAAGTTCAAGCAATTCTCCGCCTCAGCCTCCGGAATAGTTGGGACTACAGGCGTGCACCACCATGCCCGGCTAATTTTTGTATTTTTAGTAGAGATGGAGTGTCACCATATTGGCCAGGCTGATCTCGAACTCCTGACCTCGTGATCTGCCCTCCTCGGCCTCCCAAAGTGCTGGGATTACAGGCGCAAGCCATCGCGACTGGCCAACACACACAGTTCTAAAAGTCACGTTATAAACAACTGGAGTTAGCTGAGTGTGGGCTCGGTGTTAGATGATATTAAGGAATTATTTTTGGAGATATGTTTGTTTGAATATTCACAATGTCTATAATTTAATTTTTAAAAATCAGAGAAAATATATGTAAAGGAAATATTAAAAAATTAAGGAGGCTGGGGGCGGTGGCTCACACCTGTAATCCCAGCACTGTGGGAGGCGGAGGTGGACGGATCACGAGGTCAGGAGATCAAGACCATCCTGGCTAACATGGTGAAACCCCATCTCTACTAAAAATACAAAAAATAATTAGCCGGGCATGGTGGCGGCTCCCTGTAGTCCCAGCTACTCGGGAGGCTGAGGCAGGAGAATGGAGTGAACTCGGGAGGCGGAGCTTGCAGTGAGCCGAGATTGCACCACTGCACTCCAGCCTGGGTGACAGAGTGAGACTCCGTCTCAAAAAAAAAAAAAAAAAAAAAAAAAAATTAAGGAAAGCCATATGAAATGTTCAAAATGATCAAAAATAATTGGATAGGAAAAGGAAAAGGATAAAAAAAGGATGGGCCTGGTGCGGTGCCTCATGCCTATAATCCCAGCACTTTAGGAGGCCAAGGCGGGAGGATCACCTGAGGTTAGGAGTTCAAGACCTGCCTGGCCAACATGGTGAACCCCCATCTCTACCAAAAATACAAAAATTAGCTGGGCGTGGTGGCAAGTGCCTGTAATCCCAGCTACTCTAGCTACTCGAGAGGTTGAAGCAAGAGAATCGTTGGAATCCCAGGAGGCAGAGGTTGCGGTGAGCCAAGATGGGGCCACTGCGCTCCAGCTTGGGTGACAGAGCGAGACTCCATCTCAAAAAACAAAACAAAACGAAAACAAGCAAACAAAAAAACCGGATGCAAGCATTAACCAGAAGAAAGAAGGTATAGCTATATTAATATTAAATTAGTGGTTACAGCAGAAAGTATCGCTAGAGATAAATAGGAAAACTTTATTATGAGAAAAAGGTTAAGTTTACCAGAAGATATAAGAATTCTAAATTTGAATTCATCCTAATAACCTAGCCTCAAAATATTTATAGCAAAAACTGAAGAAAGAAATGAAGTCATACTTTCAGTGAGAGATTTTAACACCCCTCTCTCAATAAATGATAGAATAAGCAAACACTCAAAACAAGCAAAAAATAAGAAAATCATTAACAATACAGAAGGCTTGAACAAGGTTAATAAACTTGACACAATTGACAAGAGGAACACTCCCACCAACAACCACAGAAAACATTTCCTTTTCAAGTGTATTTGGAACATTTATGAAATTGATGTATGCTGGACAACAAAGCAAGTCTGAACTATCACATTACTGAAATCATACAGAATCTGTTCCCTGGGCTTCACAGAATTATGCTAAAACATCACTTGTAAAAGAAATACAGGGCTGGGCACGGTGGCTCCCAGTGCATTGGGAGGCAGAGGGAGGGTCGCATGAGGCCAGGAATTCAAGACCAGCCTGGGCAACAAAGCAAGATCCCGTCTCCACAAAAAATAACAATTAGTTGGGTGTGGTGGTACGTACCTGTAGTCTCAGCTACTTGAGGGGGAATATGGTTTCAGGCGAGAGGGTCACCTGAGCCCAGGAAGTCGAGGCTGCAGTGAGCTATGATCGCACCACTGCACTCCAGCCTGAGCAGTAGAGAGACACCCTGTCGAAAGAAAGAGAGAGAGAAAGAAAAGAAAAGAAAAGAAAGGAAGGAAAGGAAAGGAAAGGAAAGGAAAGGAAGGAAGGAAGGAAGGAAGGAAAGAAAGAAAGAAAGAAAGAAAGAAAGAAAGAAAGAAAGAAAGAAAGAAAGAAAGAAACCGTTAGGAAAAAGGTAACTAGAAAATTCATAAATTGACCCGGCGCAGTGGCTAATGCCTGTAATCCCAGCACTTTGGGAGGCCGAGGTGGGCGGATCACCTGAGGTCAGGAGTTTGAGACCATCCTGACCAACATGATGAAACCCCGTCTCTACTAAAAATACAAAAATTAGCCGGGCGTGGTGGCATGAGCCTCTAATTCCAGCTATTCGGGAGGCTGGGACAGGAGAACTGCTTGAAGCCGGGAGGCGGAGGTTGCAGTGAGTGGAGATCGCACCATTGCACTCCAGCCTGCGCAACAAGAGCAAAACTCCGTCTTGAAAAAAAAAAAAAGAAAGAAAGAAAATTCACAAATTAAGTGACCTAGTTTTAAATATCTTGTGGTACAAAGACTAAATCACAAAAGAAATTAGAAAATATCTAGAACCGAATGATGAATAACTCATCCCCCTCTAAGATATTTTTATGCCACATTACCAATTTACTAAACCAAAGACACTCCATTTTTGTATAAAATAACAATACTTTTCTTATTCCAAAAAGAGCTACACATGACCAGGCAAAAAATATCAAGGTCAACTTTTTTTTTTTTTTTTTTTTGAGACGGAGTTTCGCTCTTGTTGCCCAGGCTGGAGTGCAATGGCGCGATCTCGGCTCACGCCTGTAATCCCAGCACTTTGGGAGGGCGAGGCAGATGGATCACCTGAGGTCAGGAGTTCGCCAGCCTGACCATCATGGTGAAACCCCATCTCGACTAAAAATACAAAAAATTAGCCAGGCATGGTGGTGCATGCCTGTAATCCCAGCTATTCGTGAAGCTGATGCAGGAGAATTGCTTGAACTCTGGAGACGGAGGCTGCAGTGAGCCACGACTGCACCACTGCACTCCAGCCTGGGCAACAGAGCAAGACTCCATCTCAAAAAAAAAAAAAAAAAAAAGTCAAATTAAGAAAACTAAGAAAGGCAGAGAAATTTCTCCATATTAGAGGAAACAAAGGAGACATAGGAACTCAGTACAAGGCATGATCCTAGACTGGATCCTAACCTGGGGAAAAAATTAGTTTATAATCAATTATTGGGACATCATTGGAACAATTGAGAAAATCTGAATTTACATTTGAACTATGGCTTACATAGATAACACAAAGCAAGACAGCAAGTGGGGCAAGATATAAATAATGAATGAATGTAAAGGGCATATGGGAGTTCCTTGCACAATTCTTGAAACTTTTCATGAGATGAAAGGAAATAATTGTTCCTGAACCATCATAACGGACTGGGTAGAAACAAACCCTGTCTTGTTCCCTTTTTGGCCTTTTAATTTGAAGTCAATATTTTAATAATCTTTTTGATGCTCCAGTTGGTTGCTCCCAGCCTGCAAATGGACCACTACCAATATGTAATTAAAGGAGAATAACAAATAGAATATAGATTACACAGGTGCTGACTTACAAATGCAAATGTTGTAGCAGAAGATTAAGCTCCCCGGAGGCTAGAGGTGCGAATCTTTGCTTATTGCCATCATAATTCATTAATGGTCAAAGTAACGCTGAGATCAATATTCCTGCAGTCATGGGAATGAAAAAAAATGATCACCACCAAAACAAGATACAGAGACAGTCTCAAAATGTTTCTCCCTACATAATTAAGAAACCAGTCATTGTCATGAATTTTAAAACTTAACAGATTTTCTTAGCTATTGTGTGTTCAAGAGGTGGCTTACATTAAAGGATGTTGAAAAGAATTATTGTTCCCTTACATAGAAGGGTATGCAAGAGAGAGAGAAACAGAAAGAGAGAGAAACAGAAAGAAAGAGAGAAGCAGAGTTGCATATGTTTATCTTGTTATCTTTTTAGCTCCTCAAGAACAAATATTTTCCTTGAAGTCTTTTTTTCTTTTCTTTTTTTTTTTTTTGAGACGGAGTCTTGCTCTGTCAACGGGCTGGAATGCAGTGACACGATCTTGGCTCACTGCAACCTCTGCCTCCCGGGTTCAAGCAATTTTCCTGCCTCAGCCTCCCAAGTAGCAGTGACTACAGGCGCCCACGACCATGCCCAGTTAATTTTTTTTTTTTTTTTTTTGAGATGGAGTCTCGCTCTGCCACCCAGGCTGGAGTGCAGTGGTGCCATCTCAGCTCACTGCAAGCTCCGCCTCCCGGGTTCACATCATTCTCCTGCCTCGGCCTCCTGAGTAGCTGGGACTACAGGCACCCGCCACCACGCCCAGCTAATTTTTTGTATTTTTAGTAGAGACGGGGTTTCACCATGTTGGCCAGGATGGTCTCAATCTCTTGACCTCATGATCCACCTGTCTCGGCCTCCCAAAGTGCTGGGATTACAGGCATGAGCCACCACGCCTGGCCTACATTTTTCCTATTGGCCATTTGTGTGTCTTCTTTTGAAAAGCGCCTATTAAGGTCTTTTGCCCATTTTTAAACTGGATTATTTATTTTTTGCTATTGAGTTGAATTCCTTATATATTTTGCATATTAATTCCTTGTCAGATGCACAGTTTGTAAATATTTTCTCCCATTCTATAGGTTGTCTTTTCACTCTGTTGATTGTTTCCTTTGCTGTGCAGAAGCTTTTTGGTTTGATGTAATTCCACTTGTCCATTTTTGCTTGTGCTTTTTTTTTTTTTTGTTTTTGAGAGGGAGTCTCACTCTGTCACCCAGGCTGGAGTGCAATGGTGCAATCTCAGCTCACTGCAACTTCAGCCTCCCGGATCCAAGCGATTCTTGTGCCTCAGCCTCCCAAGTAGCTGGGATTACAGTCACTTACCACCACGCCTGGCTAATTTTTTTGTATTTTTAGTAGAGATGGGGTTTCGTCACGTTGGCCAGGCTGGTCTTGAACTCCTGACCTCAGGTGATCCACCCATCTTGGCCTCCCAGAGTGCTGGGATTACAGGCATGAGCCACTGCGTCCGGCTGTGCTTTTGAGTTCTCATCCAAAAAAATCTTTCCCCAGATCGATGTCATGAAGTATTTCCCTTATGTTTTTTTTTCCAGTAGTTTTATAGTTTCAGATCTTACATTTAAGTCTTTAATCCATTTTGAGTTGATTTTTGTATATGGTGAGAGTTTGGTGTCTAGTTTCATTCTTCTGCATATGGACATTCAGTTTTCCCCACATCATTTATTGAAGACACTGTCCTTTTTCCAATGTATGTTCTTGCTACCATCACAGAAAATCAGCTGGCTGTGTGTGGATTTATTTCTGTGTTTCCTATTTAGTGGCATTGATTTATGTGTCTATTTTTATGCCAATACCATGCTATTTTGGTTATCATAGCTTTGTATAGTATATTTTGAAGTCAGATAGTGTGATGTCTCCAGTTTGTTCTTTTTGTTCAAGAATGCTGTGATTATTTGGGAACTTTTGTGATTCCATACAAATTGTAGAATTGATTTTTTTCTATTTTTGTGAAGAATGTCATTTAAAGTTCGACAGGGATTGCACTGAATCTGTAGATCACTTTGAGTAGTATGTACATTTTAACAATATTAATTCTTTCAGTCCATGAACACAGAATATCTTTCCATTTATTTGTATCCTCTTCAATTTCTTTCATCAATGCTTTATAGTTTCCATTGTAGAGATATTGTACCTCCTTGGTTAAATGTATTCCTAGATTTTATATATTTATATATATTAGTTATTATAAATGGGATTATTTTCTTGATTTCTTTTTTGGATAGTTCATTATTGGCATAAAAAAACACTACTGATTTTTGTATGTTGATTTTGCATCCTGCAACTTTACTAAATTGGTTTATCAGTTCTAACAGTTTTTTTGGTGGAGTCATTAGGGTTTTCTATACATAATATCATGTCACCTGCAAACAGGGACAATTTGACTTCCTCCTTTCCAATTTGGAAGTCTTTTATTTCTTTCTCTTGCCTAATTACTTTGGCTAGCAGTTCTAGGACTATGTTGAATAAAAGTGATGAAAGTGGACATCCTTGTCTTGATCCAGATCTTAGAGGAAAACTTTTCAACTTTTCTCCATACAGTATGATGTTAGCTGTGGGTTTGTGTGAGACTTTCTGTTAAACATTTCTTTTTTTTTTTTTTTTTGGATGGAGTCTTGCTCTGTTGCCCAGGCTGGAGTGCAGTGGTGCTATCTTGGCTCACTGCAACCTCTGCCTCCTGGGTTCAAGTGATGCTCCTGCCTAAGCCTCCCGAGTAGCTGGGACTACTGGTGCCCACCACCACACCTGGCTAATTTTTGTATTTTCAGTAGAGATGGGGTTTCACCATGTTGGTCAGGCTAGTCTTGAACTCCCGACCTCAGGTGATCTGCCCTCCTTGACCCCCCAAAGTGCTGGGATTACAGGCATGAGCCACTGTGCCAGGCCTCTCTTAAACATTTCTGCTTTTAGTTTTCTAGTTGTAAAGAGGCTCTCTCACCCAAAACTTTTAAAATAAATACTGCTCTTTTATGATATGCTCATATTTTACATAAGTTGGAATAACAAGGCTAAGAGTGGTGTGACTCACGCCTGTAATCCCAACATTTTGGGAGGCTGAGGCGGGAGGATAGCTTGAGTGCAGGAGTTCGAGACCAGCCTGGGCAACATAGAGGGACACTGTCTCTACAAAAAAAAAATTAGCTAGGTGTGGTGGTGTGTGCTTGTAGTCCCAGCTACTTGGAAGGCTGAGGTGGGAGGATCACTTGAGCCTGGGAAGTCAAGGCTGCAGTGAGCCCTGATCGTACCACTCGCACTTAGCCTGGGCAACAGAGCAAGACCCTGTCTCAAAAACAAGCAAACAAAGAATAATGAATATTTGAAATAGTATAACTGGCCTAGTAAGAAAGTCCCAGCTTTGGCAGGCACAGTGACTTACTCCTGTAATCCTAATATTTTGGGAGGCTGAGGTGGGAGGATCACTTGAGCCCAGGTTTTTAAGACCAGCCTGGGCAACATGGTGAGACCCCACCTCTGAAAAAAATTTTTTAAAAATTAAAAAAATAGGCCAGGTGCCGTGGCACATGCCTGTAATCCCAACACTTTGGGAGGCCGAGGCAGGCAGATCATGAGGTTAAGAGATCGAGACCATCCTGGCCAACATGGTGAAACCCCATCTTTACTAAAAATACAAAAACTAGCCAGGCGTAGTGGTGTGTGCCTGTAGTCCCAGCTACTTGGGAGGCTGAGGCAGGAGAATTGCTTGAACCTGGGAGGTGGAGGTTGCAGTGAGCTGAGATCACGCCACTGCACTCCAGCCTGGCGACAGAGCGAGACTCTGTCTAAAAAATAAAAATAAAAAAATAAAAAATAAAAAAAATAGGCCGGGCGCAGCGGCTCACGCCTGTAATCCCAGCACTTTGGGAGGTCGAGGTGGGCAGATCACCTGAGGTCAGGATTTCAAGACCAACCTGGCTAACATGGTGAAACGCCATTTTTACTAAAAATACAAAAATTAGCCAGATGTGGTGACACACACCTGTAGTCCCAGTTACTTGGGAGGCTGTGGCAGAAGAATTGCTTGAACCCAGGAGACAGAGTTTGCAATGAGCTGAGATCACGCCACTGCACTCCAGCCTGGGTGACAGAGCAAGACTCCGTCTCAAAAAATAAATAAATAATAAATAAATAAATAAATAAAAATAAATGTTTTAAAAATAAGAAAGTCCCAGTTTTGTGCAAAATTTGAAATCATTTAACTCCTGTCAAGAGTAATTTTTTAGGCCGGGTGCGGTGGTTCACGCCTGTAATCCCAACACTTTGGGAGGCTGAGGCCAGTGGATCACCTGAGGTCAGGAGTTCAAGACCAGCCTGGACAACATGGTGAAACCTTGTTTCTACTAAAAATACAAAAATTACCCAGGCATGGTGGTGGGCACCTGTAATTCCAGCTACTTTGGAGGCTGAGGCAGGAGAATTGCTTGAATCTGGGAGGTGGAGGTTGCAGTGAGCCAAGATTGTGCCACTGCACTCCAGCCTGGGCGACAGGAGCGAGACTCTGTCTCAAAAAATAAATAAATAAGCTGGACTTGGTGGCTCACGCCTGTAATCCCAGCACTTTGGGAGGCCGAGGCGTGTGGATCACGATGTCAGGAGCTCGAGACTAGCCTGACCAACATGGTGAAACCCCATTTCTACTAAAAATATAAAAATTAGCCAGGCGTGGTGGCATGCGCCTGTAATTGCAGCTACTCAGGAGGCCGAGGCAGGAGAATCGCTTGAACCCAGGAGGCGGAGGTTGCAGTGAGCCAAGATGGCATCACTGCATTCCAGCCTGGGCTACCCAGGGAGACTCCGTCTCAAAAAAAAAAAAATTAAATAAATAAGTAAATAAATAAAAATAAAAAGTTATTTTTTAAAAGCTGCACAATTTCAAAGCTAAGAGGCAGTAAGAATGGCAACTGTCTTAATCTTTGTGGCTATGTGGCATGCCACTTTAGCTGGTAATCAGAAGTACAATGGAACTTGTAATTATGTCCTCTTTGATAACATGAATTTGGATATGACGAGTTTGGTGATTGGCTCCTGTCCTTTTGCAGCAGGATCATCTTAGTCATTTTATTAACTTTGTACTAAATTGGCATCACATGTTATGGAATTGAATATTGTAGACCCTACTTACTGAGTTACAATGAGGTTTTACTTGCACCTGCCATCATTTAACAGTGGGTTGTAGACCATGCTATTATTGAAAAGTTATGTAAATTTAAATCTAGAAGTGGTTCAATGGACTTTTATGTTGTTAACTTATTATTGTTATTATTATTATTTGAGATGTAGTCTCACTCACTCTATCACCCAGGCAGGAGTGCAATGGCACGATCTTGGCTCACTGCAACCTCCAGCTCCCAGGTTCAAGCGATTCTCATGTCTCAGCCTCCTGAGTAGCAAAGATTACAGATGCCTGCCATCACACTCGGTTAATTTTTGTATTTTTAGTAGAGATGGGGTTTCACCATGTTGGTCAGGCTGGTCTTGAACTCCTGGCCACAAGTAATCCACCTGCCTTGGCCTCGCAAAGTGCTGCAATTACAGGCGTGAGCCACTGCACCTGGCTGATGTTGTTATTTTAATTTCAATTGTAATTTTAAATTAATTAATTAATTTTTTAAGACAGTGTCTCACCCTGCATGATCATAGCTCATCTCAATTATTTAAAAATGTATTTAAGGGGCCAGGCGCAGTGGTTCACGCCTGTAATCCCAGCACTTTCGGAGGCCGAGGTGGGTGGATCACCTGAGGTCAGAAGTTCAAGACCAGGCTGCTCAACATGGTGAAACCCCGTCTCTACTAAATATACAAAAATTAGCCAGATGTGGTGGCGGATGCCTGTAATCCCAGCTACTCGGGAGGCTGAGGCAGGAGAATCACTTGAACCCAGGAGGCAGAGGTTGCAGTGAGCTGAGATCGTGCCATTGTGCTTCAGCCTGGGCAACAAGAGCAAAACTTTGTCTCAAAAAAAAAAAAGTTCTTTAAATAAAAAAAATAATAATATTTTGTAGAGGTGAGGTCTTACTTTGTTGCCCAGGCTGGTCTCAAGCTCCTGGGCTCTAGTGATCTTCCCACCTCAAGTTCTCAAAGTACCGGGATTACAGGTGTGAGCTACCACCCCCGGCCTATTATTTTAATTTTTAGAGTTACAATGTATAAATAGTTTTTATTCTATAACAAGGTCATCTAAGGAGCAAGTTCCAGTGAGCATTTAATTCAGTGAGAACAATAACCCAATCTTGAAAATATATTCTTTTGGAACAGAAGTCAGAGACAATAAAACACTAGATAAAGGCCACATGGCCGTGTACCAAGCTATTAAATTTTGGAGACAGTACTCTGTGAAATATCAAAGATAATTCCGGGAAAATTTAAGAGAGTATTAAAGCAAATACAACTTTAAGTTTGCAAATACAATCTTATAACTGGGCATGGATAATGAAATGGAAAAAATGCTATGGCTGCAAGATCATTCGTAACACAATGTGTCCTTATGCTACAGAGATTGTCTGCACCTGTGCTCTGAGATTATACCCCCATGACCATACAGATCTGCCTATAAAAAAACTACTCATGAATTATGCATGCTTTGAATATATGAAGTGTTTGGAAAAAATCACTCTTCTTTCCAATTTCTTGGTTATCTAATGGCCTCCAGGTATAAAAGATAAGAATTTAGCTCATTTATGTTTTCTTCTTCCTCCCAATTCCTTCAGTGTTAGGTAGTTATGTCATTATTTTTAAGTTTTGTTGTGGTTACCCTTTAACTTAAAATAGTATGCTACACATCAATTTTTCATTCCAAAAACTTGAGTCAGTATCCTGACTTCAGATTATAGAAGTTGCAGGTATCTATGATACTATCCTTCTCTTCATATTTCCTTCTTTCCACTTCCCACCTTTTGTCAGCTATACTTTTATATTATGAAGAATAATGCTTGCCTTTTTTTGCAAAATAATCAAGATCTTCCTTTCTTTGTCCTTAAGTTGACTGTAAAGGATGAACTTTAACTTAGAAGATGAATACATTCTAGAGATCTAATATACAGGATGGTGACTGTAGTTAAAACAACAACAACAAAAAGTAATTACATTAGTAAGACTACATCAATATTGTGCACTGCTGAACTAGGTAGCATATTAGGAATGCAATTTTCCTTTCTATGAGGGCAGTGTCATATCTTCATATGTTTATCATACCCTTCATATATTCAATGAAAAATGTCTTAGCACCATGTACTAGTCTTTTTCTTACACTCCCTAAATTACTGAAAATTATATGTTATTCTTCTAAATTGGGCCATAACATACTCAACTGGCTTTTTGTTTTTCTGGAATTATTAATTGCCTATCTTTTTATTGACTAAATATATAGTTTATCATATACTAAAACTTTTGTTGTTGTTGTTCTCCTAGTAACACTATGGACTACATGCAATTCTTTTGTCCCAGAGTCCTTCTCTTTGGCACTCTTTGTCCTCCTACTTCAAAATGGATGATTTTTTTTTTTTTTTTATCACACACTACTTTCCTTTCTCGTGTTAGAAAGATCCCTTGCCTTAATCTTTCTTGGGTAACTTCTTCATCCTGCTGGAATACATGCTCAAATAACTTAAAAAAGGAGTCTTTCCAAGTAAATTTTACAAGTCCTGGTTTGTATGAAACACCAACATTCTACCCTCACAGTTGATTGATAGGTAGGCTGGATATGTAAATTAGTTTCAAATTTAATTTCTCCCAGAACTGAAAGGACTACTCTATTATTTTCCAGCAGCCAGAGATGTTAATGAGAATTTGGCTGTTCAATTTACATTCCTCTATAGGTGGCCTAATTTTTCCTTCTCAAAGCTTTCAAAAATTTTGTTTATTCTTAGAGTTCTAAAATTTTACAAAATTATGTCCAAGTGGGTTATCTTCCCCATTTATCACAGTTGGCACTTAGAGGGTTATTTTAATGTAAAAATGTGTCCTTTTCTCGGAAATTTTCTTATATAATTTCTCGAGTAATGTCCCTTATACCGTTTTGTCTGTTCTCCACTTCTGGATCTCATATTACTTAGCTGTTGGACCCCTTAAATGAGTTTTTACATCTTCTATTTTCTGTCATATTTCTCATCAGTGATGGAGAATGCCATCTTCACCTCACTACTGTCATCTTTGTCTACATCAATTGATTAAAATAATAATAACAATGGCCAGGCACGGTGGCTCACGCCTGTAATCCCAGCACTTTGGGAGGCCGAGGCGGGCAGATCACGAGGTCAGGAGATCAAGACCATCCTGGCTAACATGGTGAAACCCCGTCTCTACTAAAAATACAAAAAATTAGCTGGGCGTAGTGGCGGGTGCCTGTAGTCCCAGCTACTCGGGAGGCTGAGGCAGGAGAATGGCATGAACCCAGGAGGCGGAGACTGCAGTGAGCGGAGATCACGCCACTGCACTCCAGCCTGGGCGACAGAGCGAGACTCCGTCTCAAAAAAAATAAATAAATAAAAAATAAAATAATAATAATAATAATAATAATAATAATAATAACAACTACTACTAATACCTATGTCAACCTGGAGTAGAATCCTTGTTTTTACCATTTTGAGGGTTTTACCCAGAATCATGCCTACCCAACTGCTGTTCAAGTAGCATCCTCTCAGAAGATTGATGCTGAAAAAGCCAGGAAATGGAATATTTTAAATAAAAAAATGAAAATTAAAAACCTTATTGAAGTCCAGTTGTAGATATTGCTTTCCCCTCTTCTGCCAGGCTCATCACTCTATCATAGATAAAATTAAATTGGTGTGGCATAATTTGCACTTCACAAAATCACGTTGATTACGACCCAGTAGCTTGTACTCTTCTAGGTGGTTGCAAATTGATTGTTTGATGATTTGCTCTTGTATCTTCCCAGGTATCCAAGATAAACTGAATAGTCTATAATTACTACAGCTGTCCTTTTCCCTCTTTTAAAAAACAGGTACTCCATCTGCTGATTTTACTTGTCAGGACCTTCTTCTGTCCAACCTTCATTTTCTAAAATAAAGGCTGGTGGTCTTGCAATTATATTTGCCAATTCCTTAAGTGTCCTGGGATGCGAGTAATCAAGCCCTGCTGATTTGAATGTACCAAGCTTTCTGAAGTGCTCTTCAATCACTTCTTTCTCCTTGTTTGCCTTTGCACCTCCAAGATGATAGCACTTAATCCAGTTTAGTTTCCTTATCATTGCTGATTAAAAAGGAAAATGAAACAGGTTAAAAACACAGTGAAAGCCTCTGCTATTACAGTTCTTTGTTAATAGTTTTTATTTAGCAGTATCTGTTGATAGTATTTTTTTTTAGTAGTTTTAGTGGTTGCATTTTACATCCTATAGAGCAAATTCCTGCCGGTATTCTTCCTTCCATTTTTTCTCCCTTCCTGCCTCATTCATTCCTTCCTTTCTTCTTCCCTCCCTCCTATTTTCCCTCCTTCCTTCTCTCTATCTCTTTCTTTCTTTTAAATTTCTTACAGAGGATAAGATAAGGGGAAGGGAGGAAAAAAAGAGGCCAAGAATCCCACATCACATTATGACCAAGACATCTACTAATCACCAAATGCCCACATGCTCCCCACAATTTCTCAGCCTGTTTGTAGCTGGAGTGAGGGGGCACATGACTAGTTCTGGTTAATAGGTACTGAAGACCTATGAGTCCCCAGGATCTCTTTCCTCTGCACCAGTTAGCTAGAAGTCACATGTTCTGGATGGTGAACCAACAAAAGGCAAGCAGCGTGGACCCCTGAGTCACCATTAGAAGGCCGCAGTCCTGGAGTGTCATCAGATCCCCAGGGGACTATGTGTTAAGCCACAGATATTTGGGCGTTTGTTTTTTCTAGCTTATCATCACTAATACAGTACCAATTTCTGGGTTAATCAGATTAGGCTAGGTTTTTGCCAAGGGAACAAATTAACCCTGAAATCTAAGTGGCTTAACATGACAAAGGTTTGTTTCTTACTCATGGTATGTGGTAGCTAGTCTCCAAAAAGGGCTCCCAATGACTCTTCCCTCCTGGCAATCGCACCCTTGGAAAGTTACCTCCCACTCTGACTCTGCACGATCTCATGACTCATTTTAAACAAGGAAGTGTACAGAAATAAGTGTGGCAGAAGTGACACTGTGGCTCTCCCCAGTGCCTTAGAAATCCGGGCACTTCCTGATACTGCATTTGGAGCCATTCACAATATAAAATATCTGAAGAATGAACCTCTATGCAGAGGAGCACCAAAGTGCCAGACATAAGCAAAGAAGCATCTTTAGTTCAATCACAGTCAAGCTTCCTAAGCACCCCAGACCCAGGCACCATCTGAACACAACCACAGGACAGACTCTAAGCGAGACTGTAAGAACTCCCCAGGTGAGCCCAGCCAACTCATAAAATTGGAGAAGTAACAACAAATTGTTGTTTTAAACCATTTTGTATGGGATAGCTTGTTAGGCAGTAGTAGCAAACTGAAGCATCGTACATACCCAGTGTGGGTGAATGGGCATTGGGCTCCACACAGACATTCATGGAAACAGGTTGATATGGGTTACACCATCTTGTATCTGCACCATTGGGAATGCGACCTCTCTGATGGCAGTAGTAAGGGAAGAGAGGGCTGAGGGGTTCCACAACTTTTAAATGTTTCCATCTCTGCTCCCAGTCCATTGGCCGATGAGAATTATCAGGGAGTAAATGGAGATTCAATGCACATTACATGACTCTGCCACAGACCTTGCCAATAAAATTTGCCCTTGTTTCCTATAGTATTATAAGAAGGCTTATCCAAGTACCTACCACCCAACTGGCTTTCCAAGAATTATAAACAATGATGTAGGACTCGCTCATACATCTCACAGAACCAACTGGGTGTATCTCCTCCCAACTTCGCATTCTGTGATGCCATGTGGTAGCCAGAAGTCAAACATGGTAGAAATATTTGCACCATATAGCTTGGCAAATGCTACAAATCAGGGCTTTCTTCCCATGTATCTAGTTACACCAGATCCAAAATATACCTACTATTCAGGCTGCCTCTATATTCATGCATATTTGTTTATTATTATAGGTAGAATTTTTTAAGCTAGCCATTGATGGTCTCATTTCTTTCCCTATTGCAAACAGACCAATCTATGAAGTGAAGATGTTAACATAAACCTGATTAACCTTTTATTAATAATAAAAAGATGGCTGTTTGAAGTTTCTTCTATATAACCAGAATGTGCATATTTTAATACACAGACACTATGTTAATATTCACATTAGTACAGTATTGGAAATGTTGCTATAAAAGAAGTATTAAATGTACCTATTTTCAGTCAGCATCAACAAGGTTTTCACCCCTCCAGTAATTATTGCATCTAATGACACTGTCATAGCTACTGATTCATTCTGGAAGCTTCAGTATCTTTTAGGCTTTAGAGTTTATAAGACTAAACTCCTTTATTTTAAGCCTTGCTGAAAGAGTTAATTCAGTGTTCTGTTCTAGTTCACCAACTCTTTATTCCCAAACCTTCACCCTCCACATACAAACAATCAGGAGAAAGGCCATCAATAAGGTTTCAGCTTCTATTACGGGATATGAAGCAATAACATTTTAAATAGCACCTAGGAGGCCTGGAGGAATGAATACATCTTTCAGCAGTCTCTACTTTATAGCTCTGAAGTATTTTGAACCCTGAAAATCTGGATTATTTACGAGGAGATTGAGAAGGGTCCAGTTGGAGGGAAACCTCATTTCTTGTTTCTCATACAAACAAGAAAGGGTATGCTTTGATAAGGTTTGAATCTGTGTCCCTTCCCAAATTTCATGTCAAACTGTAACCCCCAATGTTGGAGGTGGGACCTGGTAGGAGGTGACTGGATTTTGGGAGCAGTTTCTCACGAATGCTTTAGCACTATCCCCTCGGGGCTGTTCTTGTGATAGTGAGCTATCATGAGATCTAGTTATTTAAAAGCGTGTAGCACCTGGCCGGGCGCGGTGGCTCATGCCTGTAATCCCAGCACTTTGGGAGGCCGAGGCGGGTGTATCACAAGATCAGGAGATCGAGACAATCCTGGCTAACGCGGTGAAACCCGGTCTCTAGTAAAAATACAAAAAATTAGCCAGGCGAGGTGGCGGGTGCCCGTAGTCCCAGCTACTCAGGAGGCTGAGGCAGGAGAATGGCGAGAACCGGAGAGGCAGAGTTTGCAGCAAGCTGAGGTCGCGCCACTGCACTCCAGCCCGGGCGACAGAGCGAGACTCTGTCTCAAAAAAAAAAAAAAAAAAAAGTGTGTAGCACCTCCCCCACCCCCAGCCCTTGCTTCTGCTCCAGCCACGTAAGGTGTGTCTGCTTTCCCTCCGCACCTTCTGCCATGATTGTAAGTTTTCTGAGGGCTCCCCAGAAGCAGAAACAACCTTGCCTCCTATACAGCCTGTGAAATCATGAGCCAATGAAACCTATTTTCTTTATAAATTACCCAGTCTCTAGTCTTTTTCTTTCTTTCCTTTCTTCCTTCCTCTCTCTCTCTCTTTCTCTCTTTCTTTCTTTCTTACTTATTTGAGACAGAGTCTCGCTCTTTTGCCCAGGCTGGAGTGCAGTGGCGCAATCTGGGCTCACTGCAACCTCCGCCTCCCAGGTGCAAACGATTCTCCTGCCTCAGCCACCCGAGTAGCTGGGACTACAGGTGCCTGCCACCACGTTTGGCTAATTTTTTGTATTTTTTAGCAGAGACTGGGTTTCACCGTGTTAGAAAGGAGGGTCTCCATCTCCTGACCTCGTGATCCACCCACCTCGGCCTCCCAAAGTGCTGGGATTACAGGCGTGAGCCACCGCGCCCAGCCTCCAGTATTTCATTATAGCAATTCAAGAACGAACTAATACATGCTTACAAGTAACATTTGAAAACAAGATGACTAGAAACCTTTCATTACAAATAACAAGGGATTTGAACTTGATTCATGCCAAATTATGTAGTAAAATAAAACACAGGACAATTACAGAACGAAAGACCAGTCATCTTTAAAATGCTGCTTCTTGGATAGAATTCAGTGAGACTACCTACGGATGAGTTTGATGTTCATCAATTCAGAGCAGGAGGGTAAAGAAAGAATTATCACTACACCCACCAACCCATTTCCCATCACAACACTGATAATTTTCTAGGAATTCTAATGCCTTTTTTATTTTTTGGGATTAATCCACATTTTTTTTTCTTTTTCCTTTTTCTCTTTTGAGACAGGGTCTCACTCTGTCACCCAGGCGGGGGTGCAGTGGTGAGATCATAGCTCACTGCAGCCTCGATCTTCTGGGCTCAAGTGATCCTTTCACCTTAGCCTGGAACTTCAGGCTGCACCGTAGCTGGAACTTCAGGCATATGCCACCGTACTCAGCTAATTAATCCACATGTTAATCAACATTCGTTTGTTTACAAGTATCACTGATTGTATTTTCCAAAGATGGACACCTAATATACCTTCTGGCCACACGCTCATTTTAAAATGTAATGCTGGCCGGGCGCAGTGGCTTACGCCTGTAATCCCTGCATTTTGGGAGGCCCAGGCAGGCGGATCACAAGGTCAGGAGATCGAGACCATCCTGGCTAACACGTTGAAACCTCATCTCTACTAAAAATACAAAAAATTAGCAGGGCATGGTGGCAGGAACCTGTAATCCCAGCTGCTTGGGAGGCCTGAGACAGGAGAATCACTTGAACCCGGGAGGCAGAGGTTGCAGTGAACTGAGAATGCACCACTGCACTCCAGCCTGGACAACAAGAGCAAAACTCCGTCTCAAAAAAAAAAAATGTGATGCTGACATTCCTTCACTGAGAGATGGGGTCCCCCAACCAAGGTGGATCTTTGTAACTGCTTCCACAAATAGAATGAGATCAAATGATATTCCATGGCTTCGGAGGCTGGGTACTAAAAGGCGATGTGGCTTCCACCTGTCCCTCTCTCCTTGGGACCTGTGCATTTGGAGCCCTTAGCCTCCATGGGAAAGTTCATCTATCCTGAAGCTACCATGATAAGAGACCACAGAGAAACAGAGCGGTTCCTATGCAGCCCCAACTCTTCCAGCCCCAACTGCTTGGGTCTTTGCAACCCAGGAATCAGGCATGTGTGAGTGTTATACAGTGTCAGCCCCCAGCCTTCAAGCTGTCAGCTGAAACCAAGTTGGAGTGGAAACGAGCTGTCCATGCTAAGCTTTGCTCAAATTACAGATCTGTAAGAAACGTAAGTGTTGCTCTTGTTTTAAGCCACTGAATTTTGCAGCCATTGTTTCTGAAACAGCAAGTAACAGATGCCCTTCAAGCTAGCATCAGCAACATGTTGAAGAAAGTTATAGTATGAAGGTCTACAATCATCTGAGGAGCCCAAAAATAAGAGGAACAGCTGGGTCTCATGATGGGTTGACCAGAACCTAAACCAGAAGACCAGCAGAAGTCAAGTCAGCTACTTTGCTCCAGTGCCCTCCTCTCTGTGCCTCCATGGTCTTCTCTGGTCTCTTACTTTGTGGCCCTCCTCTCTGCCTCTCGGCACGTCAACTTCCTTCCTTCTCTCTGCAGTCTGGTGTTGTGTGTTTCTTCTTGACTGTGATGCAATGCCAAAGCTCTTCAGTTGAGATGCCCTTAGTTTAAGAGACCAGCCTATACTAACTTGCATCCTTTCTCTCCAGTGAAAAATTCTTGGGATAGATGATCTAATTGGCCAGCCTGAGTCAGATGTCTCTTTCCGGTCCAATCAGATGACACTGGGGCAAGGCCACATTGCACCAACATGACTGCCACTCCCGCTGCCCAGCTCCCTGTGAAAATTCTTAGAAAGGGGCTCAGAGGCTCCCAAACATAGCAATACATCCGATGCCTGAATATTAGAAGGCATTTTGGATAGTCTTATCCATGTGTAAAAATCTACCACAGCCAGGCATGGTGGCTCACACCTGTAATCCCAGAACTTTGGGAGGCCGAGGCGGGCGGATCACCTGAGGTCTGGAGTTTGAGACCAGCTTGACCAAAATGGAGAAACTTCAACTCTACTAAAAACACAAAATTAGCCGGGCATGGTGGTGCAGGCCTGTAATCCCAGCTACTCGGGAGGCTGAGACAGAAGAATCGCTTGAACCCGGGAGGCAGAGGTTGTGAGTTGAGATTGTGTCATTGCACTCCAGCCTGGGCAACAAGAGTGAAACTCCGTCTCAAAAACAACAACAACAACAACAAAACCCTACCACAGACTCCCCTGTAAATTGCTTTTTGCTTTATTTACAAATATGCTTAGATAAGTGTATGCCAGCCCCTTCCTCATTCCCAGCCCATTCTCACAGGTATTTGAAAGGGCACTTCTGGATCTCCACAAGAAGGTGGTGGATTCGAATGATGTAACCTCAAGAAACGGAACTCAATGATTGATTTCTCTTATATTTATTGTTTTAGGTTTATCTTATAATGTGAAGTTGGCACCTTACTTTCTTTTTTCTTTTTTTTTTTGAGACAGAGTCTTACTCTGTCGCCCAGGCTGGAGTGCAGTGGCGCAATCTCGGCTCACTGCAACCTCTGCATCCCGGGTTCAAGCAATTCTCCTGCCTCAGCCTCCCGAGTAGCTGGGATTACAGACGCACGCCACCATGCCCAGCTAATTTTTGTATTTTTAGTAGAGTTGGTGTTTCACCATGTTGGCCAGTCTGGTCTCAAACTCCTGATATCAGGTGATCTGCCCCCCTCAGCCTCCCGAAGTGCTGGGATTACAGGCGTGAGCCACCACACCCAGCCAAAACTGAGGCTTCTTGATGAACTTCGACAATTTTCCCACATTAAAAATTTTCTGGCCACGTACGGTGGCTCATGCCTGTAATCTGAGCATTTTGGGAGGCCAAGGCAGAAGGCTGGCTCGAGGCCAAGAGTTCAAGATCAGCCTGGGAAACATAGCAAGTCTCTGAAAATAAGAAAAAGATTTTAAAATTTCCCATTGCTAAGTAATCTATGGTGTCAGAAGTCAGGATAGAGGCTGCACCTAGGGGAGGGAGAGACTGGACCGGGTCTCTGGAGTACTGGGAATGTTTTGTTTCTTGTTCTGGGAGGTGGATGCATGAGTGTATTCCAGTTTGTGAAAACTCATGAAGCTATACACATATGATATGTACATTTTTCTGTAGGTATATTATCCTTCAATAAATGTTTAAATATACTTCACTAATTATAAAAGATTGCTCAAACTAGCGTCACTATCACATGTTGCTGATTAGTTTGTAGAAATATAGATAAAATATATGGTGTACATATATATACATATGATTTAACAGTACAAATAACATCTTCTATAAATACATACATGTTTGTTAAGGTGCAAACTCCGTAATTTCTTCAGGATGCTGTATACATATACTACCTCTCATAGAAAACTCAGGTCCCTAAAATGCTCCATTTGAGAGACAGTGGAATAGTGAATGGCTCCAGAGTCAGACTGTTGGGGCTCCAATTCTACTGCATGCTAGGTTTTTGTTGTTGTTGTTGGTTTTTTTTTTTTTTTTTTGAGACGGAGTTTTGCTCTTGTTGCTGAGGCTGGAGTGCAATAGCACAATCTCGGCTCACTGCAACCTCTGCCTCCCGGGTTCAAATGATTCTCCTGCCTCAGCCTCCCCAGTACCTGGGATTACAGGCATGTGTGACCACACCCAGCTAATTTTGTATTTTTAGTAGAGACAGGGTTTCTCCATGTTGGTCAGGCTGGTATCGAACTCCCAATCTCAGGTCATCTGCCCACCTTGGCCTCCCAAAGTGCTGGGATTACAGGCGTGAGCCACCACGCCCACCCTTTGTTTTGTTTTTGAGATAGGGTCTCAAACTTTTTTTTTTTTTTTTTTTTTTGAGACAGAGTCTCGCTGTGTAGCCCAGGCTGGAGTGCAATGGCGCAATTTCAGCTCACTGCAACCTCTGCCTCCTGGTGTGTCTGGAGTTGGTTCTTGCTGGTGGGTTTGTGCTCTCACCGAATTCAAGAACGGAGCCACGGACCTTCACGGTGAGTATTACAGCTCTTAAAGGTGAGTATTACAGCTCTTAAAGGTGAGTGTTACAGCTCTTAAAGATGGCATGGACCCAAAGAGTGAGCGGTAGCAAGGTTTATTGTGAAGAGCAAAAGGACAAAGCTTCCACAGCGTGGAAGGGGACCAGAGTGGGTTGCTGCTGCTGGCTGGGGTGGCCAGCTTATCTTCCCTTATTTGTCCCCTTCCATGTTCAGTTTCTGTCCTATCAAAATGCCCTTTTTTCAATCCTCCCTGCGACTGGCTACTTTTAGGATCCTGCTGATTGGTGTGTTTTACAGAGTGGTGATTGGTGCATTTTACAATCCTCTTGCTAGCTACAGAGTGCTGATTGATGCATTTTTACAGAGTGCTGATTGGTGCATTTTACAATCCCCTTGCTAGCTACAGAGCGCTGATTGGTGTGTTTTACAGTCCTAGCTACAGAGTGCTGATTGGTGCATTTTACAATCCTCTTGCTAGACAGAAAAGTTCTCCAAGTCTCCACTTGACCCAGGAAGTCCAGCTGGCTTCGCCTCTCACTGGGTTCAAGCAATTCTTCTGCCTCAGCCTCCTGAGTAGCTGGGATTACAGGCACCTGCCACTATGCCCAGCTAATTTTTGTATTTTTAGTAGAAACGGGGTTTCACCATGTTGGTCAGGCTGGTCTTGAACTCCTGACCTCAAGCAATCCACCTGCCTCAGCCTCCCAAAGTGTTGGGATTACAGGTGTGAGCCACCGTGCCAGGGGAGACAGGGTCTCATTCTGTTGCTCAGGCTAGAGTCCAGAGTGGCGTGATCACTGCAGCCTTGACCTCCCAGGCTCAGGTGATTCTCCCACCTTCTCCCAACTTAGCCTCCCTAGTAGCTAGAACTACAGGTATGCACCACTGCACCTGGCTAATTTTTTAATTTTTATTTTTGTAGAGACAAGATTTCACTATATTGCCCAAGCTGGTCTTGAACCCCTAGGTTCAAGCAATCCTCCTGCCTTGGCCTCCCAAAGTGCTGGAATTACAGATATGAGCCACCAAGCCTAGCCTGCATGCTAGTTTTATGACCTTGGGACAGTGATTTAACTTCAGCTTTCTCATCTAAAATGGAAACATTAAAAATACCTACTTCATGGGAATGTTGTATGAATTTAAAAAAAAATGCATGTAAAGTGCTTGAAAACAGGCCTGTCCTATAGCAAACACTTCATAGATATTAATTATTATTGTTGTTGTTATTAGACTACCTGAAAATCAAAGAAGAGAGCATCACACCTTTTTCTACCTTTTACTATCCCATCCACTCTAACTCAACAGAACTCACTTCAATTCAGTTTATATTGATTGGGCATCTCTAGGGGCCAGGCAACATGCTCAAATCTGGGCAGAGTAGATGCTTAAAGCATATTTCTGGCTGTACAGAGTCCCCTACTGCAGAGACCTAACCCCCTGGGAAGATTCTATGCTGGTAGCATTTCCCAAAGGTTCTGTGGCTCATTTCTACCCAAGTTCACTTCTGGTGCTATTAGAAATTCTACAGAGTTCACTCTTGTGCCAGTGTGTGAACACAGGCAAATCTCTCTGGTGGGGTTCTCATCAGAGGAGCCTGGCAAGGTAAAAAAGAGGAAGCAGGTTGAAGGCTGTGTTTATTTTTTGTTGTGGATATTGTGTTGTGTTTCACTGGGGTGCCAGTCTACTTGACGTAAACAGAAACAACCTGTGTAGTCTTGTGTGACACTGGTATTGTTTTAAGTCAACATTAGGAGGTGGGACAAGAGAAAATGGCTGTTAATTAGAACTTAAGCCCCAAGCTCTCTCTATATACAATGGGGCACCTGTGGAGCTGTCCAAGCTGAACAGCTGTTTGGAGGTCATTTGTAACCAAGATAAACTGCTACGGACAGTATTGAAAACGATAGTCACCTCCTTCGTGACAGAATTCACTGTCACCGTTGTCTTTAATAACTCCTATTTTTACTGTTCACATCTAGCACTGCACCAATGGATGAGCTGAGAACCTCTTCAAAAGGAACTTGTGAAAAATGTAAAGGAAATATTACTGCTAAATAGGCAAGGCTAATGTTCTTGCAATTGTGGAAAACAAAACTGAAAACAAAACACACCACCAAAGTCCTAAAGCAGTGTTTTTGCATTCATTTTCTCCCTCCATCCTTCCTTCCTGAATAAGCAGCTAACGGAGAACAGCCTGATAGGCATTCCTCTTCCCTTCCAGATAGAGAACTGGGTGCTCTGCAGCTGGGCTTCTGTCCTGTCCATACCCGGCAGGACACAGCTGGTAAAAGAGGAAGAAGAGACTGGGTGCAGGTGGCTCACGCCTGTAATCCCGGCACTTTGGGAGGCCGAGACTGGCAGATCACCTGAGGTCGGGAGTTCCAAGACCAGCCTGACCAAGATGGAGAAACCCTGTCTCTACTAAAAAAATAAAATAAAATACAAAATTAGCCAGGCGTGGTGGCACATGCCTGTAATCCCAGCTACTCGGGAGGCTGAGGCAGGAGAATTGCTTGAACCCAAGAGGTGGAGGTTGCGGTGAGCTGAGATCGCACCATTGCACTCCAGCCTGGGCAACAAAAGCGAAACTGTCTGAAAAAAAAAAAAGGCCGGGCGCAGTGGCTCACACCTGTAATCCCAGCACTTTGGGAGGCTGAGGCGGGTGGATCACGAGGTCAGGAGATTGAGACCATCCTGGCTAACACGGTGAAACCCCGCCCCCCCGTCTCTACTAAAAATACAAAAAATTAGCCGGGCGTGGTGGTGGGTGCCTGTAGTCCCAGCTACTCGGGAGGCTGAGGCAGGAGAATGGCGTGAACCCGGGAGGCGGAGCTTGCAGTGAGCCGAGATTGCGCCACGGCACTCCAGCCTGGGCGACAGAGCGAGACTCCATCTCAAAAAAAAAAAAAAAAAAAAAAAAAAGAGGAAGCAAGAAGAGCAAGGGTAGAGGAAGCAGGAACTCCGCAGTGAGCAGGGAGGTTAGGCAGCCCTGTACCATGTACAGTGTCATGTGGGAGGTAAGGACCCTTCCCCACATGATTGTTTCTGGGCAGAATCCAGCATGGTTAATAGCATGGGCTGGCACCCAAAGTGCTTGGCTTTGAGTCCTGGCTCAGCCATTTACCTTGCATAAGTAATTTAGCCTCTCTGTGCCTCAGCTTCCCCATCTGTAAAATGGGGATAACAGTAGCACCTGCCTTCTAGAGTTGTGATGAAATTAAAGTAGTATGTGAAAAACAGTTAAAACAGAGCTTAGCACATATAAACCACCCAATAAATGTTAGCTGCTATTATTACCTCCTTTAAATAGCTCCAAATCATAATTACAGTGAACATCATTGTATTATTTTGTTCTCCAGTTGCATCCCATGAAACCACAATATAGGCAAAAATTACCAAGTCCTTTTCCTATTTTAGTGACTAAACAAACACTTTATCAGACTCAAGATGAAACACTTTGGGCTGACTTAACAGTGATGACTAAAGTGAGGTCCAGGATGCTATTTTACTAGAAATCTTACCTCTAGAAATACCTTCTAAGGGAATTTTCAGATATGCAAATCCAAGGTACAAAGTGGATCACTGCAGTATTATTTATGGAGTGAAAAACTGGACCCGGCCTAAGTGTGGAACAATCTGAGAATGATGAAATGTGTTATGGTGCAGAAATAGGCTTTTGAAGAATTTTTAATGACTAGGAAATGCTCATGAAATAAACCTAAGTAGAAAAGCAGGCTTCAAAACTGTTTACAATTGGATCACATTTGGTAACTATGTAAGCACATTTGCAGAGAAAACAAAACCCTAGTGAAATCTAGCAAGATGTTCACAGTGGAGTTTCTGAGGGTGGAACTTAAGCATGGTTTTTGTTTACATTTTCTTTATATTTTTTAGTGCCTTCCATGTTTTACACAGGAACACACACAATTTTTATATTTGGGAAAAACATTAAGTCATAAAACCAAAACATTTAAAGAAAGAAAGAATCCTTCAGAAGACATACAGTGGACTGAGAGGAACTAGGAATTGAACCCATGTTTCCTAAACTCTAGTTTTTTGTTTTTTTTTAAAGCCCAGAATGCCACATAAAAGAGACAGGTGTTGCTACTTTTTTAAAATTAATTAACTTTTTAAAAAATTTTTTTTGAGGCAGAGTCTTGCTCTGTCGCCCAGGCTGGAGTGTAATAGCGTGATTTCGGCTCACTGCAACCTCCTCCTCCTGGGTTCAAGTGATTCTCCTGCCTTGGACTCCTGAGTAGCTGGGATTACAGGTGCGCACCACCACACCCGGCTAATTTTTTGTATCTTTAGTAGAGACGGGGTTTCTCCATGTTGGCCAGGCTGGTCTCAAACTCCTGACCTTGTGATCCACCCCCCTCAGCCTCCCAAAGTGCTGGGATTACAGGCGTGAGCCACCATGCCCGGCTGGTGTTGCTACTTTTCAACTTACTTTGCTCTGGGAAGAAAAGCTACGTGAAATCTGTGGGTTAAAAAATTGTAGACAGCCCAGCGCAGTGGCATGTAACTGTAGTCCTTAGGAGGCTAAGGCAGGAGTATTGCTTGAGCCCAGGAGTTTGAGGCTGTAGAGTGATATGATTGAGTCTGTGTACAGCCACTGCACTCCAGCCTGGGCAATACAGCCAAGACCCCGTCTCTAAAATTAAAAAAAAAAAAAAAAAAGATAAATGAAAAGATACAGGGCCGGGTGTGGGTGCAGTGGCTCACGCCTATACTCCCAGCACTTTGGGAGGCTGAGGCAGGCAGATCACGTGAGGTCAGGAGTTCAAGACCAGCCTGATCAACATGGAAAAATGCTGTCTCTACCAAAAATACAAAATTAGCTGGGTGTGGTGGCATGAGCCTGTAATCCCAGCTACTTGGGAGGCTGAGGCAGAAGAATCACTTGAACCCAAGAGGTGGAGGTTGCGGTGAGCCGAGATTGCACCATTGCACTCCAGCCTAGGTAACAAGAGCGAAATTCCATCTCAAAAAAAGAAAAGAAAAGAAAAGATACATAGATATGGATGAGGACAGCTGGGGAAAATAGCAGGGACTTCTTAAGGTGTAGGATACAATTTGATATTGAATAATCACAACCATTTGTTTTTACATGGGGGAGAAACATGCTTGGCCCACAGAAGAATGGACGAAAGCCATCCATCCACTCTTTTGGAAGAAGTTTTAAAAAAAATTCCGTGGTTTAGCCAGGCGAGGTGGCTCACGCCTGTAATCCCAGCACTTTGGGAGGCTGAGGTAGGCGGATCACGAGGTCAGGAGTTGGAGACCAGCCTGGCCAACATGGTGAAACCCCGTCTCTACTAAAAATACAAAAAAAAAAAAAAAAAAAAAATTAGCCAGGCATAGTGGCGGGCACCTGTAATCCCAGCTACTCAGGAGGCTGAGGCAGGAGAATCGTTTGAACCCGGGAGGCAGAGGTTGCAGTGAGCCGAGATTGCGCCATTGCACTCCAGCTGGGCGACAGGGCGAGACTCTGTCTAGGAAAAAAAAAATCTATGGTTTAAAAAAAAAAAGAAAAAGAAAAGCTAACTAACACAAACAAACAGGACAAGAGACATATCTAAATAGACAAGTAACAGAATTCCCAAATTCCCATGACTCTGCACCCAGGACCTTGCTAATAAACCTCCCATTTGGAGTCCTACACCTCAAGGAAGATTACTAAGAAGAACTCAACTTCGAAAGGGCTTGGAGTGCTCACTTTGGCAGCACGTACACTAAAACTGGAACAATACAGAGGAGATTAGCATGCCCCCTGCGTAAGGATGACATGCAAATCTGTGAAGCGTTCCATTTTTTTTTTTTTTTTTTTTTTTTTTTGAGACAGAGTCTGGCTCTGTCACCCAGGCTGGAGTGCAGTGGCGCAACCTCGGCTCACTGCAAGCTCCGTCTCCCGGGTTCACGCCATTCTCCTGACTCAGCCTCCCGAGTAGCTGGGACTACAGGTGCCCGCCACCATGCCCAGCTAATTTTTTGTATTTTTAGTAGAGACGGGGTTTCACCGTGTTGGCCAGGATGGTCTCTATCTCCTGACCTCGTGATCCACCCACCTCGGCCTCCCAAAGTGCTGGGATTAGGGCATGAGCCACCGCGCCTGGCCCATATTTTTTTAAGAAAGTTTTTTTAAAGAAAAATAAAAAAATGAAACAGCTTGGAAAACATCAGAGAAAGCCAGCAGACGATACAGGCCACTGGATCCTATTCAGCCAAGCCTGGGATCCTGCCCTGTGCAGCTGTGTGCCTGGGCCTGCAGCTTAGCAGGAGAGGGACCTTGCAGGACTCACACGTTGGCCTGAGAGGGCAGAGTAATAAAATTAGGATTATTTATGATGCAGAAGTGATTTAATAACATTTTTCAAGAACCTGAAGGATTCATGTAGAGGAACTGCTGTTCTAGTAACTAAACCCTTTTGGGTGGACTCCAAGATAAACCAGGCTTGTCTAGCTTCCGCCCTGAGCCCCTCCACCTCTTCCAGTTGCTCTTGGCAAATAATCTCTTCCACTTTACTGGAGGGTGATGGTCAAGGAGATGACCTTCTTGGCTGCTTTATGTACTCTCCTCCCCACCTCAAAATATCTCTCAATATCTCTCTTTGTTCCTTCACTTCACAAAGGAAGAATCAAAGGAGGAGGGAGCTAACATTTATTGACTGCCTGCTATGTGCCAGCAGTTTGCAGAAACATTACCTCATTTAATTCCCACAAACACCCTGTGAGGTAGGCATAATTATCCCTGTTTTGCTTGTTAGAGGATGGAGGAAATCATATTCTTTTAGCAGCTGGTATGAGAATTTCTCTTGGGGGCGAGGCGTGGTGGCTCAGGGCTGTAATCCCAGCACTTTGGGAGGCCGAGGCGGGCGGATGACTTGAGGTCAAGAGTTTGAGACCAGGCTGGCCAACATGGCAAAACCCGTCTCTACTAAAAATACAAAAAATCAGCCAGGTGTGGTGGTGTACGCCTGTAATCCCAGCTTCTCAGGAGGCTGAGGCATGAGAATAGCTTGAGCCCAGGAGGCGGAAATTGCAGTCTGCACTCCAGCCTGGGTGACAGAGCAAGACTCTGTTTAAAAAAAAAAAAAAAATTTATCTTGGGGAGAGAATCATCTTCATGGGAAAATGCCTTGATCAGCCTCTTTGGACAATGTGGCGGGAGGGGAGAGAGATGAGGAAATATGTGTGGAATGGGCAGGGTGAGGGGATGGTGGGCTCCTCATTCAGAAAGAAGAGGAGAGGGGAAGAGGCAAGAAAAGAGCAGGAGCTTTAGAGAAAGGCTTCGTGTGGCACAATATGCCCCTACCCTCAAAAGCATAAGTCTTAAAATCTCAAGTAAATTTACTAAGCTCATGAAATGCTGAAAGAGAATTTTTGAATGGGCTTTCTGGCATAGGGTGAAACAGAAGCCACGTGTGTTTCACCTGAGATGGTGACAGGCAGTACTATAAAGGAAGTACATTTCCTAAATTCAAGAGCAGGAAGGCCCCCCACCCCCACCCCTTGACATCTGAGTTCCATAGAGGGGGGAAAACCAAGGCTCAGAAGTTAATCAACTTTACTAAAGTCACATAGCATCACTAACAAAGGGAATTGATCCCAGGTCTGTTTATCTCGAATGCCTGTTGTTTTTACTCTATTCCACATGCTGCTCGAAGAAAGATAGCTTTTTCCTCTCCCAGGCCAACTCTTCCTCTGTTGTACTCCATCTAATCACAGTAATTAATAGCAGTGAATATTTATTAAGTGTCTACCATATGCCAGACATTGTTGATGCATTAGCTCATTTGCTCCTCACAATGACACTATATATTTGACCATATAATTATTCACATTTTATTATATGGAAACTGCTGCTCAGAGAGGTTAAGACACTTGCTCAAGGTCCGTCCCACTGCTATAAGTGGTGAAATCAACATTTGAATCAGAGCCCATGGTCTTAACTCCATCGCGTTCTCTCATCTCATCCCTTCTCACCTCTTGAAAGAATAGTTCCTCAAATTAACCCATCTAATTAACCTGTTCTCTCCCTACCGCTCCTAGGATGGGACCTGGTGGGGTTTGCAGAGGTCAGGCAACACTGAACAGGGAATGTGTTCTGATGGGCTTGGGTCAAAGCCACTGTCACAGCTCAGACTAATAGTGTAACTTGGGGGTTGGTAAATTTTTTCTGTAAAGGGCCAGACAGTAAATATTTCAGGCTTAGGGGCCATATGGTCTCTGTAGCCAACTACTCAACTGTGCTGTTGTAACATGAAAGCAGCCATAGTCATAAGTGAATGGGCAGGACTGTGTTCCAATAAAGCTTTATTGATGGACACTGACATTTGAATTTCCTAAAATTTTTATGTGTCACAAAATACTATTCTTCTTTTGTTTTTTTCTCCAATCATGTAAAAAGGTAAAAACCATGCTTAGTGTAAAAGTTACATAAAAGCTGGAAGCAGGCTGGATTTGGCCTGCAGGTGACAGTTTGCTGACTCTAGTTTTACCAAACCTTCCCTTCTTTTGGATTCTACATCCAGCTGGGCCAACTCCAGACTAAACAGCTTCTAGGCCGGGCTTTGAGCCTGCTCTCCTTTGCCCGCTCCTCTCACCTATGAAACCACACGGTTCCAGTCCACAAGCCTCTGCTCATCACTGCCCCATCAGGAGCTCTCCTCCAGTCTTCCAGCATCTCCTGACCAACCACAAGCAGTTATTCTGCTGTCCCTGCAGGAGGTGGCCATAAAGAAAGATGGAACTGCCATCATTTAGATGACCCTGGTGAAGCAAAGCCCCCAGGACAGGTTAAAGGGGCATCACCCAAACACTATGACAAGGTTTGCAAATAATATGCTTCAAATAGACTGAACATCATAAAAGGAAATCTCTAGGAAAGGTGGAGAAGACATTGCTAACAATCTGGGTCCAAGGAAGCAGTCCCGAAGACAGAAATGGAAATGCCTTTCTCCTCCAGGAGACCAAGGCCAGAGGACAAGATATGGAAGACAGGAGTGCACCAGGGTCAGAGGACAGTTTAGGTCTAGTACCACAGAGAGGACTAAAAAGCACTGACAGCTGGTCGTGGTGGCTCACGCCTGTAATCCCAGCACTTTGGGAGGCCGAGGCGGGTGGATCACCTGAGGTCAGGAGTTTGAGACCAGCCTGGCCAACATGGCAAAACCCCATCTCTACTAGAAATACAAAAATTAGCCAGGCATGGTGGCACATGCCTGTAATCCCAGCTACTCAGGAGGGAGGCTGAGACAGAAGAATCGCTTGAACCCAGGAGGCAGAGGTGCAGTGAGCTGAGATCGCGCCACTGCACTCCAGCCTGGGTGACAGAGCAAGACTCTGTCTCAAAAAAAAAAAAAAAAAAAAAAAAAGGCCGGGCGCGGTGGCTCACGCCTGTAATCCCAGCACTTCGGGAGGCCGAGGTGGGTGGATCACGAGGTCAGGAGTTCAAGACCAGCCTGGCCAAGATGGTGAAACCCCCGTCTCTACTAAAAATACAAAAAATTAGCCAGGCGTGGTGGTGGGCACCTGTAATCCCAGCTACTCAGGAGGCTGAGGCAGAGAATTGCTTGAACCCGGGAGGTGCAGGTTGCAGTGAACCAAGATCGTGCCACTGCACTCCAGCCTTGGCGAGAGTCCGAGACTCCATCTCAAAAAAAGCAAAAAACAAAAACAAAAACAAAAAAAGCACTAAGGAAAGCCTGAGAATAACAACAACAACAACAACAAACTGATAACATTTATTTTTTATTAAACACCTACTGTGTTCTAGGCATACGTTGTTGGTTTTTAAAAAATAACACTGTCTCTTATTTAACTCTTTCAACACTCTGGCAAAATAGTCATTTAAAAAATCTTCTTGCATTCACTTTTTTAAAATAAATATTATGCATCTTTTATGTGGCAGACACTATGCTAGATGCTGAGGATAAGTAAGTAAGCAAAAATAGACCTTGTGCTTGCTTTCATGGAGATTATACAGGGATTGGCAATTTTTTTTTCCATAAAGGACCAGATTGTAAGTATTTTAGGTTTTGTGGGCCATAAGGCCTCTGCCGCAACTACTCAACTCTGCCACTGTAGTGAAAAAGCAACCACACAATATGTAAAAAAGTAGGTGTGGCTGCATGCCAATAAAACTTTTTTATAAAAACAGGCTTCAGGCCAAAGCTGGCTATGGTTTGCTGACCCCTGTTCTAGTAGGAGACAAACATTAAGCAAATAATTACACAAAAAGCAATCATTAAGTGACATCAGGTAGAAGTTCCTGATACTAAAAAACACTATAATCAGAGAGATTTAACCTATTCAGGGAGAGCAGAGGTTTCCCTGAAGGAGTAGGTCTTAGATCTAATGTAGTAGTTAATTAGTGAGGTGAGGGCAAGACTATTGCAGACAAAGGAAACAGCGTGTGCAAAGGCCTGGGGCAGAAAGGAGCACAGTAAACCCAAGTTAAAAGAGGTCTATAGGCCGGGCGCGGTGGCTCACGCCTGTAATCCCAACATTTTGGGAGGCCGAGGCGGGTGGATCACAAGGTCAGGAGTTCAAGACCAGCCTGGCAAAGATGGTAAAACCCCGTCTCTACTAAAAATACAAAAATTAGCTGAGCGTGGTGGCAAGTGCCTGTAATTCCAGCTACGCTGGAGGCTGAGCGAGAGAAGTGCTTGAACCGAGGAGGCAGAGGTTGCAGTGAGCCGAGATCTTGCCACCTTACTCCAGGCTGGGTGACAGAGTGAGACTCCGTCTCAAATAAACAAATAAATAAATAAAAGAGGTTTATGTAGCTGGGGCAGAGTCAGTGAGTGTGAGCTCAGGCTGAAAACAGCAGGGAGTGCCGGGCCCTATAAGGTCTTGTGGGTCTTGTTAGGGGATAAGCTCCCTATTTAAATACAGAGACAGCTGCACATGGAGTTAAGTAACATGCTCAAGGCCATGTAGCCTGCAAAAGGTGGAGCTAGAAGCCTTATCTCTAGACCCATGTATTCTCTTTGTGTTCATTTTGGTTCTATGTTTGCCCAGTGTCTTTACAAATTTCCCTCTATGAAATTCCCAAATCATTCAACGAAATTAAAAGGAAAGGGAAAGCCGAGTCCTGCACCTAGGCTAGGAGGCTAGCAGGGCCCTGACACCAGCGGGAAACCAGAGTGAACTGGGCAGATAAGTCCTACCACGGAGGACCTAGAGGTCTGGGGAGAGCTGTGTTCCTGCTTCTTTTTTCTCTGATGACCCCTTATATGGAGTCTTAGCAAAGCTTCCTCTGTCCTCGATGTCAAAGAAGCCTTCAGAATATTGCCCAGACTCCTCCCCCTGCGCTGCCATGCTCCCTGGATCTCGCCCTGCCCACCTCTGCACCCTGTCCTCACTGCCTCACTTGCACGCTCCCCTTGGGGACACTTGCACGGCTTGCTGCTCTGTGAACACTCCACATCCCCTCCTCAGTTCCACGCTGTTCTGCTGCTGGAAGAGCACATGCCTCGCCTTGCCCCTTTGTCTGGAAACCTTCTCTTCTTGAAAAATCCACAAAAATGTGGCACATATACACAATGGAATACTATGTAGCCATAAAAAAGGATGAGTTCATGTCCTTTGCAGGGACATGGATGAAGCTGGAAACCATCATTCTCAGCAAACCAACACAGGAACAGAAAACCAAACACCGCATGTTCTCACTCATAAGTGGGAGCTGAACAATGAGAATACATGGACACAGGGAGGGGGACATCACACATTGGGGCCTGTTGGGGGGTGGGGGGCTAGGGGAGGGATAGCATTAGGAGAAATACCTAATGTAGATGATGGGTTGATGGGTGCAGCAAACCACCATGGCACGTGTATACCTAGGTAACAAACCTGTACGTTTTGCACATGTATCCCAGAACTTAAAGTATAATAAAACAAAACAAAACAAAAAACCTTCAAAGAGGAATCTCCAAAAGAAAAAAAAGAAAAAAAAAAGGATCTACCCAGGAGACCGGGCTCAGTGGCTCACACCTGTAATCTCAGCACTTTGGGAGACAGAGGTAGGTGGCAGGTGTCTGTAATTCCAGCTATTTGGGAGGCCGAGGCAGGAGAATTGCTTGAACTGGGGAGGTGGTTGCAGTGAGCCGAGATTGTGCCACTGCACTCCAGCCTTGGCGACAAGAGCAAAACTCCATCTCAAAAAAACAAAAACAAAAGCAAAACAAAACAAACAAACAAATCCACCCAGGAATGGTTCCTGATGCTTTCAGGTCTGCAGGAAGCTGTGCTCCCCTTCAATGCCCACACAGTTCTTGGTGTGAATGGCTAACATCCTAAACTATTGTTCACGTCGGCCTCCCACACTGCACCTTGAGCTAGAAAAGGGCTTATGTGATGGGCGTTTGGCACTTTCCATATGGAGGTTAACCCATTTACTTGTTAACTCCACTTATTCCCACCTCTTAGGCATCTGCATATTTCTATCCTTCAGATTTCCTAGCACTGATAGCAGCAGTTCTTGAAGTGGGGTCCCCAGTCCAACAGCATCGGCATCACCTGGGAACTCTCTAGAAATGCAAATTCTAGAGCCCTCCTTGGACCTCTGAGATCGGAAACTGGGGGCGTGCAGCGATCTGTGCTTTCATAAGCCCTCCAGGTGACGCTGATGCAGGCTAACATTTGAGAACCACAGCCTCACCAGAAGTTATTGCTCATTAAATTGTTGATTCCCTGAGGATGGTAACTGGTTATTTTCAGCCTAGAAAAGAAAAAGAGTAACCGAGAAAATGACAAGAAAAGCTTTTACTAGGCTGGGTTTTTAGAAAAGAAATTTTCTGACATGGTATTTCAAATATGGGACTTTCAAAGAAGGCTCTGCTTTGTAAGCGTTGAAAAACAAGATAGATTCTCCTCTGTCTGGCTTGGGTGTGGTCTTGCTGAAGGGCAGGGGTTTGGATGAGATAACCTTGCCACATGCCCTCCACTGCTCAGATTCTCTGCTTCTGGATATTCTATGCTCTAGGAAAGAAATATAAGTTAGGGAGCAGGGCATTATTGCTAGGGGACTTTGGGCTTTCAGCCCACAAGGAAGTATATACTTTTTTCCTCTTCTAAGGTGAGTCTTTGCCAGTCTATACTCATAAAAAGAGATGACCAGGACCTTTGAGAAAGGTAATTGTTTGTTTTTAGGTCATAAAAATGAATCCTTGCTTTGTTTTCAAAGGAACATGCTCTTCATGCAATCTATACAATCTGAATGACAAGTAGGTGAGGTCTAAGATTGGAAAGATAAAACTTCATTGTTGGTTTTTGGCCTGGAGCTGAAACAATGGGACAAAGGAGTGATTTGTTGGTATAAGCTCTATAAAACACAATAATATTAGTCATGTAAACAGGAGAAAATAGGAGAGGCTTAATGAGATAAATTACACCGAGTCACCACATTAGGGATTAAAATATTCTGATTAAGCAAACGCTAAAAGGTACAAAAGAAAGGATAAAGGGAAGAGTGGTAACTAGTTTTAGAAAACAATGGGTCCTTCTATCTCGGGTGCTGTTTGACAAGGGGAGCTTTCAGAGGCTGCCTGAGCCGACTGTGAGCGTCCATTAAGATCCCACTTTTCATATAAAAAAAAAAAAAAAAGAAATCATCCTATACTCAAACCAGGGCTCACAAAGCCAACACATTCTTCTTTTCTTCCTTATTCTTTTTTTTCCTCTTCACAATTGCAAAGCAATCTATTTTGCTAGATGAGTCTGTGAAGGGAATAAAAGCACTCCAGGTTTCTGACTCTATTTGCATTCCCAGATTTGCTGGCCTAACTTCCAAAGTGTGACTGGCCATTCTTAGGCTAAAGGGGAAAACAGCCAACTCATTGATGTTTAAGATTGCCTGTGTACCTGTGAGAACAGCCACTTTTTCATAACTATTTTTATAGGGACATTTGAACAACTGAAGTAGAGGGTACAGATGTGTACTATTTCAACTAACAGAGCTGCTGAGCCTTGAGTCAGTATTACATGCTCATCATGTAGCTGTCTGTATTAAAGTGCACATCTACAAATGAGAAGATATAAAACTCTGTCAAAACGTAGAGCGGGGAAACTCTCACTGGCTCACACTTTCACACACTTCTTGGCAATGGTAATAAGTGCAAGGTTGCCAAAGGCCAGCGAGCCTTTATATATATGTCTATTTTGAGACAGAGTCTTGCTCTGTCACCCAGGCTGGAGCACAGTGGCACCAGCTCGGCTCATTGCAACCACTGCCTCCCAGGTTCAAGCGATTCTTGTGCCTCAGCCTCCCGAGTAGCTGGGATTAGAGGTGCGTGCCACCACAACTGGCTTGGAACAAATTTTTTTTTACATAAGTGTAAAAAATAAGCTCCCAGAAGTAGAATTGCTTTCAAAGGGTAGGAATATTTTAAAATTTTTGACATTACTTACACATGCCTTTCAGAATAGTGATACTAGGCCAGGAACGGTGACTCACGCCTGTAATCGCAGCACTTTGGGAGGCCAAGGCTGGCGAATCACTGGAACCCAGGGAGTTCAAGACCAGCTGGGCAACATGGGGAAACCCCATCTCTACTAAAAATACAAAAAATTAGCCAGGTGTGGTGGTGCACACCTGTGGTCTTAGCTAGGGAGGCTGAGTTAGGAGAATCACCTGGGCCCAGGGAGGTACAAGCTGCAGTGAGCCAAGATCCTAACCTGGGAGTGCACTTCAGCCTGGGAGTGAGACCCTGTCTCAACAACAACAAAAGAAAAGTGATACCAAATTCATTTCTACTAACAGAGAATGACTTTGCTTATTTCCTTGATTCCCTGAGCCATACGTTCTCATACAAGTATTTGCCAATTTGAGGAGCTAAAAATGACATTCCATTTTTTGTTTTAATAAGTATGTCATATTCATGTTCTATATATAGAGAGAGAAAATTGTTTTTTCTTTTTTCTTTGGGAATTGCGTATTCATGTGTTTGCACATATTTTTTACTGAAATAGCAGTAGTTTTCTGCACGGATTATAAAAACTTCATATATTAATGATACTACTTTACATGCTCATATATGCTGTAGGATTTCCCTCTAATTTTTCATGTTAATTTTTTTCATGGTGTTTTTGACATGCTGAAGTATTTAACATTCATGTAGTCAGATCTGGAAATGCTTTGTTTTCTTCCTTTGCTTTTAAGCTTACAAAATTCTCTACTGGCAAGGTATGGTGGCTAAAGCCCGTAATCCAGCACTTTGGGAGGCTAAGGTGAGAGGACGGCTTGAGGCCCAGAATTCAAGACCAGCCTGGGCAACGTAGCGAGACCCCATCTCAAATTTTAAAAATTAAAAACTTTAAACATTAAAAATAAATAAGTAGGGCCAGGCGTGGTGGCTTACACCTGTAAAACCAACACTCTGGGAGGCTGAGACAGGAGGATCACTTGAGCCCAGGAGTTTGAGACCAGCCTGAGCAACACAGCAAAACCCTGTGTCTATGAAAAATAGAAAAATTAACCAGGCGTGGTGGTGCATGCCTGTAGTCCTAGCTACTCAGAAGGCTGAGGTGGGAGGATAGCTTGAATCCAGGCATTCAAGGTTGCTGTGGGCTATGATCATGCCACCACCCTTCAGCCTGGGCAACAGAGTGAGACTCTGTCTCTAAATAGTAAATAAAAAATAAATAGAAACAAAGTTCTCTCTCTTGTGAACAGGTGAAAAATGTACTTATGTATTCTTTTTTTTTTTTTTGAGACGGAGTTTCACTCTTGTTGCCCAGGCTGGAGTGCAATGGCATGATCTTGGCTCACTGCAGCCTCCGCCTCCCAGGTTCAAGCAATTCTCCTGCCTCCGCCTCCCGAGTAGCTGGGATTACAGGCATGTACCACCACACCCGGCTAATTTTTTGTATTTTTAGTAGAGACGGGATTTCTCCATGTTGAGGCTAGTCTCGAACTCCTGACCTCAGGTGATCCGCCCGCCTCGGCCTCCCAAAGTGCTGGGATTACAGGCGTGAGCAACCACACCCGGCCATGTACTTATATATTCTTCTGTTATTTTATGGTTTCTCCAAAATTTTTTTTTTCTTTTTTGGTTTTGTTTTGTTTTGTTTTGTGTTAAGAGATGGGGTTCTCTCTCGCTATGTTGCCCAGGCTGGAGTGCAGTGACTAGGTGACTATTCACAGGCATGATCATGGCCATCATGGTACACTATGGCTTCAAACTCCTGGCCTCAAGTGATTCTACAGCCTTAGCCTCAAGAGTAGCTGGTACTACAGGAGGGCCCATCACGCGTGACTGCTGGCATTCCTTGTTACATTTATGCCTTTGTTACTTCTCCTGTCCTCTCAGTGGCACTCCACAGGGCTCTGCAGGGAAGTGCTGTTCCTTCCTGGGAAGCACAGAATGTCCTGGTTCCCTCTTCTGCTCTTGCTTCTCCAACTCTTCTCAGCTTCCCATAGTGGCTCTTGCATTTCACAATCCCTTAAATAAGTATTTATTTTTATTTATTTTTTTGAGACAGCATCTTGCCCTGTCACCCAGGCTATAGTGCAGTGGCAGGATCATGGCTCACTGCAGCCTCGACCTCCTGGGCTCACATGATCCTCCCACCTTAGCCTCCTAAGTAGCTGGGACTACAGGCATGTGACACCATGGTGGGTGTCTTTTGGGCTGGATGCGGTGGCTCGTGTCTGCAATCTCAGCACTTTGGGAGGTTGAGGCAGGAAAATTGCTTG
The DNA here is from genome assembly GCF_000001405.40 of Homo sapiens. Taxonomy (NCBI): domain Eukaryota; kingdom Metazoa; phylum Chordata; class Mammalia; order Primates; family Hominidae; genus Homo; species Homo sapiens. The sequence goes on along the minus strand of NC_000009.12, from coordinate 81,714,361 downwards.
AGCCCAGGAGTTTGAGACCAGCCTGGGTAACGTGTTAAAACCCCATTTCTACAAAAAATACAAAAATTAGCCAGGTGTGGTGGTGCACACCTGTAATCCCAGCTGTTCAGAGGCTGAGGTGGGAGGATCGTGTGAGCCCAGGAAGTTGAGGCTGCTGTGAGCCATGATCCTGCCACTGCACTGCACCTGGGTGACAGGGTGAGACCCTGTCTCAAAAAAAGATTAAAAAAAAAAAAAAGTAAGTATTTCTTAAGCTAATGTGTGCTTTAAAAAGTCACTTGGAGGCCAGGCGCGGTGGCTCACGCCTGTAATCCCAGCACTTTGGGAGGCTGAGATGGGCGGATCATGAGGTCAGGAGATCGAGACCATCCTGGCTAACACGGTGAAACCCCATCTCTACTAAAAATACAAAAAAATTAGCCTGGCGTAGTGGCGGGCACCTGTAGTCCCAGCTACTAGGGAGGCTGAGGCAGGAGAATGGCGTGAACCCGGGAGGCGGAGCTTGCAGTGAGCCGAGATCGCGCCACTGCACTCCAGCCTGGGCAACTGAGCAAGACTCCGTCTCCAAAAAAAAAAGTCACTTGGAGGCTGGGCATGGTGGCTCACACCTGTAATCCCAGCACTTTGGGAGGCCAAGGCGGGTGGATCACCTGAGGTCAGGAGTTTGAGACCAGCCTGACCAATATGGTGAAACCCTGTCTCTACTAAAAATACAAAAATTAGCTGGGCGCGGTGGCAGGTGCCTGTAATCCCAGCTACTTGGGAGGCTAAGACAGGAGAATGGCTTGAACCCGGTAGGCAGAGGTTGCAGTGAGCCAAGATCACGCCACTGCACTCCAGCCTGGGCAACAGAGCAAGACTCCGTCTGAAGAAAAAAAAAAAAAAAGTCACTTGGAGAGCATCAGAACATCTTTAAAATGCAGTTGCCTCATCCTCTGAGGTGGGACCTAGAAATCTGCATTTTCGCCAAGCATCAGAGAGAATTCTTCTGCAAGGTGGCACAAGAAAATTTTCAACACTGATTATCTGATTTGATACACAGGTATAAATCAACACCCAAATCTGTATAGTACCACTGATCATCTCCAGCTGTACATCTCCCGGGTACCTACAGCTCAATCCAAAACAGAATTCAACACCTCTCTACCCAAAACCGTTCCTCCTCTAAGTATCATTTTCCTTTCTGACACACACCACGAGGTTTCCTTGCCCCAGATCTGAATCAGCCATGTCTCCAAGGAGCTCTGGTACCTTCTCATGGGTAATGGCATTCAGATACTAAGATATTGGCAGTAGGTATCATTAGAATTCTCTTGTCTTAATTTGAATTGTTTTCTCAGGATGCAGTTCCAACAGTGGGATTATTGAATTAGGAAAGGTAAAATATTTTATGGCTCTTAGTTCAATATTTACAAAGGTACAGCCAGTCTACTGTTGGGCTCTGTTGGGACTGTATTCCTTTGCCTCTCCTTCGCCTATTAGTGTCAGTCGCTAATATTAAAGCAGTAGCATTGGCTGACAGTGTCCTCAAATATGAGAGCTTCAGAGAAGAGTTCTGATGCACAGCTCCTGTCATTCCCCTCTCTGGTCCTCTAGGGATCTTTGCTGAAGAGACACATTCTGAACTAGAGCCAGAGGGGGAAGAAAGAACTAGCTTGGTAAGTGTATAAACAGCTTGACTTCTACCTCCTCCCCAAATTAGTGCAGCTGTGGTTAATTTTGTGTGTGTGTGTGTGTGTGTGTGTGTTGAGATAGAGTCTCACATTGTCACCCAGGCTGGAGTGCAGTGGCCTGATCTAGGCTCACCGCAACCTCTGCCTTCTGGTTTCAAGCGATTCTCCTGCCTCAGCCTCCTGAGTAACTAAGATTATAGGCGCCCACCACCACGCCTGGCTAATTTTTGTATTTTTAGTAGAGATAGCATTTCACCATGTTGGCCAGGCTGGTCTCGAACTTCTGACCTCGTGATCTGCCCACCTCAGCCTCCCAAACTGCTGGGATTACAGGCATGAGCCACTGCACCCGGCCAACTCTGGTTAATTTTTAGGAGAAGATATGGCCAAGGCCGGAACTCCTGAGCAGGGCATTCCACTTCTGTTTCTTTCCTGAGTCTAAGCAGCATCAGAATGTACAAGGAAGACTAGCTTGATCCTTTGGGGTGGCAGGAGGTAAGAAAGAGTAAAATGGAATGTGGTTTCTCAACTTTAATGAACAGTAATGACACACGCTGATAAATGTGGCCCAGATTAGTATACTGAGGGGAATGCAGGGTGGTGAGGGGGTAGTCAAGTGGAAGGTACAAAGGGGACGGAAGTATGAGGGCAAAGAGGGCTCTGCTAGAGCCATTTTATTTTTTTTTTTTTTTTTTTTTTTTTTTTTTTTTTTTTTAGCTTTTTTTTTTTTATTTTATTTATTTATTTATTTATTTATTTATTTATTTTTAATTTATTTTTTTATTGATAATTCTTGGGTGTTTCTCACAGAGGGGGATTTGGCAGGGTCATGGGACAATAGTGGAGGGAAGGTCAGCAGATAAACAAGTGAACAAAGGTCTCTGGTTTTCCTAGGCAGAGGACCCTGCGGCCTTCCGCAGTGTTTGTGTCCCTGATTACTTGAGATTAGGGATTGGTGATGACTCTTAACGAGCATGCTGCCTTCAAGCATCTGTTTAACAAAGCACATCTTGCACCGCCCTTAATCCATTTAACCCTGAGTGGACACAGCACATGTTTCAGAGAGCACAGGGTTGGGGGTAAGGTCACAGATCAACAGGATCCCAAGACAGAGGAATTTTTCTTAGTGCAGAACAAAATGAAAAGTCTCCCATGTCTACTTCTTTCTACACAGACACGGCAACCATCCGATTTCTCAATCTTTTCCCCGCCTTTCCCGCCTTTCTATTCCACAAGGCCGCCATTGTCATCCTGGCCCGTTCTCAATGAGCTGTTGGGCACACCTCCCAGACGGGGTGGTGGCTGGGCAGAGGCGCCCCTCACCTCCCGGACGGGGCGGCTGGCCGGGCGGGGGGGGCTGACCCCCCCCCCACCTCCCTCCCGGACGGGGCGGCTGGCCGGGCAGAGGGGCTCCTCACTTCCCAGTAGGGGCGGCCGGGCAGAGGCGCCCCTCACCTCCCGGACGGGGCGGCTGGCCGGGCAGGGGGGCTGACCCCCCCCACCTCCCTCCCGGACGGGGCGGCTGGCCGGGCGTGGGGCTGACACCCCCACCTCCCTCCCGGACAGGGCGGCTGGCCGGGCGGGGGGCTGACCCCCCCACCTCCCTCCCGGATGGGGCGGCTGGTCGGGCGGGGGGCCGACCCCCCCCACCTCCCTCCCGGACGGGGCGGCTGGCCGGGCAGAGGGGCTCCTCACTTCCCAGTAGGGGCGGCCGGGCAGAGGCGCCCCTCACCTCCCAGACGGGGCGGCTGGCCGGGCGGAGGGCTGACCCCCCCACCTCCCTCCCGGACAGGGCGGCTGGCCGGGCGGGGGGCTGACCCCCCCACCTCCCTCCCGGACGGGGCGGCTGGCCGGGCAGAGGGGCTCCTCACTTCCCAGTAGGGGCGGCCGGGCAGAGGCGCCCCTCACCTCCCAGACGGGGCGGCTGGCCGGGCGGGGGGCTGACCCCCCCACCTCCCTCCCGGACGGGGCGGCTGGCCAGGCGGGGGGCTGACCCCCCCACCTCCCTCCCGGACGGGGCGGCTGGCCGGGTGGGGGGGCTGACCCCCCCATCTCCCTCCCGGACGGGGTGGCTGGCCGGGCTGAGGGGCTCCTCACTTCCCAGTAGGGGCGGCCGGGCAGAGGCGCCCCTCACCTCCCGGACGGGGCGGCTGGCCGGGAGGGGGGCTGACCCCCCCACCTCCCTCCCGGATGGCACAGCTGGCCGGGCGGGGGGGGCTGACCCCCCACCTCCCTCCCGGATGGGGCGGCTGGCCGGGTGGGGGGCTGACCCCCCCCCCCACCTCCCTCCCGGACGGGGTGGCTGCTGGGCAGAGATGCTCCTCACTTCCCAGATGGGGTGGCTGCCGGGCGGAGGGGCTCCTCACTTCTCAGACGGGGTGGTTGCCAGGCAGAGGGTCTCCTCACTTCTCAGACGGGGCGGCCGGGCAGAGACGCTCCTCACCTCCCAGACGGGGTCTCGGCCGGGCAGAGGCGCTCCTCACATCCCAGATGGGGCGGCGGGGCAGAGGCGCTCCCCACATCTCAGACGATGGGCGGCCGGGCAGAGACGCTCCTCACTTCCTAGATGTGATGGCGGCTGGGAAGAGGTGCTCCTCACTTCCTAGATGGGATGGCGGCCGGGCGGAGACGCTCCTCACTTTCCAGACTGGGCAGCCAGGCAGAGGGGCTCCTCACATCCCAGACGATGGGCAGCCAGGCAGAGACACTCCTCACTTCCCAGACGGGGTGGCGGCCGGGCAGAGGCTGCAATCTCGGCACTTTGGGAGGCCAAGGCAGGCGGCTGGGAGGTGTAGGTTGTAGTGAGCCGAGATCACGCCACTGCACTCCAGCCTGGGCACCATTGAGCACTGAGTGAACGAGACTCCGTCTGCAATCCCGGCACCTCGGGAGGCCGAGGTTGGCGGATCACTCGCGGTTAGGGGCTGGAGACCGGCCCGGCCAACACAGCGAAACCCTGTCTCCACCAAAACCAGTCAGGCGTGGCGGCGCGTGCCTGCAATCGCAGGCACTCGGCAGACTGAGGCAGGAGAATCAGGCAGGGAGGATGCAGTGAGCCGAGATGGCAGCAGTACAGTCCAGCTTCGGCTCCGCATGAGAGGGAGACCGTGGGGAGAGGGAGAGCGAGAGGGAGACGGAGAGCGAGAGGGAGACGGAGAGGGAGAGGGAGGGGGAGGGGGAGGGGGAGGGGGAGGGGGAGGGGGAGGGGGAGGGGGAGGGGGAGGGGGAGGGGGAGAGGGCGCTAGAGCCATTTTAGATGTGCAGGAGAAGAAATTCCCTCTCCCAAATCTACTGCCAGGCATACCCTCCAGCCATGTTTACCTCTCCCTTCCGTTGGTAAAGCCCACCGAAACTAACTCCAAAAGAGACTGAGAACCCTAGAAAGAACAGGTCTTGCTTCAAGCTGTTTCAATATCTTTTTTTTTTTTTTTTTTTTTTTTGAGAAGGAATCTGGCTCTGTCGCCCAGGCTGGAGTGCATGTTGCAATCTCGGCTCACTGCAACCTCTACCTCCCAGGTTCAAGCAATTCTCTGCCTCAGCCTCCCGAGTAGCTGGGATTACAGGTGCCCGCTACCACGCCTGGCTAATTTTTGTTTTAGTAGAGACGGGGTTTCACCATCTTGGCCAGGCTGGTCTTGACCTCCTGACCTTGTGATCTACCCACCTCGGCCTCCCAAAGTGCTGGGTTTACAGGCGTGAGCTACCATACCGGGCCTGTTTCAACATCTTTAAGAACTAGAAGTGAAGAAAAAGATGTTAGGTAAGAACCAGAGCATATATTGTTCAACTTGACAAATCTTGTACTTATCTAAAACGTGCTAATACTATGTTGCTTCTACTGTCTGTGAGCTCAAGAGAGAGAGTGCTTCCTTCCCAGGCTTTTCTGCTGCTCCTGGGTAATAGAGATCCTAATATCTTCTGATTGACCTTCTCTTTTTATTCTATTTATTTATTTATAATCTAATTTTAGAGACAGGGTCTCACTTTGTCTGTAAACTTCAACTCCCGGGCTCAAGCCATCTTCCTGTGTTAGCCTCCCAACTAGCTAGAAATATAGGCGTGTGCCACCAAACTCAGCTATTTTTTTTTTCTTTTTGTAGAGATGAGTGTCTCACTCTATTATTGCCCAGGCTGGTCTTGAACTTCTGGCCTCAAGTGATCCTCCAGCCTTGGCCTCCCAAAGTGTTGGGATTACAAGTGTGAGCCACCTCACCTGGCCCAAATTAGGTTAACAAATAGAAATTTTTAAATTTAAATTTTCATGCCATAAGTTTTTATACCTTTAGTGCTAATAAGTATTTGGAAATAATTAACACGTAGAAAACGAGTATTATTGGAAAAGTTCAGAAACAGTTGCTTAGGCCTAGCACAACGGCCAGATTATTTTTCATGAAGATATATCTGTGGTTTTTTTTTTAGCCTGCGTAGATAGGAGAGCCATTTTCCACGAGTAAAATTGTCTTCATTTGGTTGTGTTCTTCCAGGAGCACAGCATCAAGACTCAGTGACACTCATGACACCATTTCAAGTCACATGGCCTCACTAGTTCATCCAGCGCTCTCTGAAGCTAACCCTTATTTGATCCGTAGCATATATTCTGTGATAGTCTTCTACTATTACTTATAATTTAAAGTATGAGTTTTGGATTCCTGGCTATCCTGTATGTTTTGAGAGAAGAATTAACATTTATGTAATAGTTCCTTATGTCCTCAATACCTAGAAGAGAACTGTATTTTTTGGTAGATCTAAATAAACATATTGGCTGATAACTTGTTACCTGGAACAGATTATGCTTGAAAACTTTAACTTTCATTAACGCATACACGCCCATCCTTGAAAGTGGATATGGGGCAGCTAAATCTTGATGAGTAAGGGATTAGACAATGTCCACCTACTAAGGACCAACAGCCCAGGAGTTTGAATTCTACGAGGACCATGAGAGGTGTACAGCTGGACTTCGATGAGAAGGCCATTAGCCCCTAAAAGAATTGTCATAGCTTTTGGGGAGAAAATGCTTCACTAAAGAAATTCTATTTATTTTATGACAAGATGGGGCGCATTCAGGACGGTATGGCCTATTTATTCTATTTATTTTAAAGGCTTGCTGGACGCCATCTAGCCACTAGCAAACTGCAAACTATTTGCACTTTTCTGGGTCCCAAAGCCAACTTAAGAAGAGGCTGCTTCCCTACCATTCCTTGTACCTGTGAAAGAACTGTTTTTTTTTTTTTCTATACAGACCTCTGAGCTAAACTCAGTGAAACTAATTCCAACTTGGGGTACTTACTAATTATCTGTTGAGATTGTAGAACTAGGCAGTGTCCTATCAGAGTATTTTTCAAGAACTGAGAATGATAGTATTCATAAAACACATCAGGCTCTTTTTGCAATGGAAATAACAATTCTCAACATTAATCCCTTCCACCTGCCACCACCACCACCATCACTACCTTCCCACCTTTTCCTAATACCATCTTGGCTGCTATCTTCAATCCAAAAGGATGATGGGGAATAGAATATTCCCTCCTTATGAAAGAGCTTCCTAGGGCTGGGTGCAGTGGCTCATACCTGTAATCCCACCACTTTAAGAAGCTGAGGTATGAGGATCACTTGAGCCCAGAAGTTCAAGACCAACATGAGCAATATAGTGAGACTTCATCTCTCCAAAAAGTTGAAAAATTAGGCCTGGTACAGTGGCTCTACACCTGTAATCCCAGCATTTTGAGAGGCCAAGGTGGGTGGATTGCTTGAGCTCAGGAGTTTGGGACCAGCCTGGACAACATGATGAAACCCCGTCTCTACAAAAAATACAAAAATTAAGCCGGGCGTGGTGGCTCATGCCTGTAATCCCAGCACTTTGGGAGGCTGAAGTGGGAGGATCACGAGGTCAGGAGTTCAAGACCAGCCTGGCCAACATAGTGAAACCCTGTCTCTACTAAAAATACAAAAATTATCCAGGCATGGTGGCACATGCCTGTAGTCCCAGCTACTTAGGAGGCTGAGGCAGGGGAATTGCTTGAACCCTGGAGGCGGAGGTTGCAGTGAGCCAAGATGGTACCACTGCACTCCAGCCTGGGCTACAGAGTGAGACTCTGACAAAAAAAAAAAAAAAAAAATTAGCCAGGCATGGTGGTACACACCTGTGGTCCCAGCTACTTGGGAGGCTGAGGTGTGAGGATCTCTTGAGCCCAGGAGGTCGAGGCTGCAGTGAGCTATGATTGTGCCACTGCACTCCAGTCTGGGTGACAGAGCAAGACCCTGTATATATATTTAAAAAGTAGGCTGGGCATGGTGGTTCATGCCTGTAATCCCAGCACTTTGGGAGGTCGAGGCAGGCAGATCACAAGGTCAAGAGATAAAGACCATCCTGGCCAACATGGTGAAATGACATCTCTACTAAAAATACAAAAATTAGCCAGGTGTGGTGGTACGTGCCTGTAATCCCAGCTACTCGGGAGGCTCAGGCAGGAGAATTGCTTAAACCTGGGAGGTGGAGGTTGCAGTGAGCCGAGATTGCGCCACTCCACTCCAGCCTGGTGACAGAACGAGATTCCATCTCAAAAATAAATAAATAAATAAATAAAATAAAAATAATAAATAAGTAATAAATAAAATAAATAAAAAAAGTTTCCTAGCTCTAGCCTGGTACAATCGTGGACCTTCCAGTCCATGCTGTTCCTAATGCCTGCTAATGTATTATTATGTGAATATACCTATCGAAAAAAGAGGAATATATTCCAAAGAATGTATCTGAAAACATTGGATGACATATAACAAACTGCAAATCCTAAGGATGCCTCCCCATTTGACACTGAAGAAATTCTTACTAAGTGAAATTTAAGCAGAAACTAAATACCACCTTCTCCTCCTCCTTGTTCATTATTCCTTTCTCTTCTCCCCTCCTCCAAATCTGAGAGCTAGGCACTGCTTACAGCATAAAGATAGGCTTTGTTCTATCTTCCCAAATAGAAATTTTCTTAAATGGCTGCAATGGGGAAGGGAGTAATAGCAATGTAAAAGCTGGTAGAATTCGTCTAGGGATACAGCAGTGCTAAGCAATCTATGGTTTTTGTTTGTTTTGTTTTTTGCTTGAACTGTGTAGCCAAGATTGATTACCTGATGGTCTAATATTTCCTTACTGAGAAAAGCTAAATCTAGAGAAAAATCCCTTCTCCTTTTCTTTCATTTTTCACAAATGAAGGTTTTGTATTTTGATTTTTTTTTTCGTCTTTCTAAAGTAGGCCTGATTTCAAAGGAAAGATTTCAAATGAAAAAAGACACAAAGAAGAGGTTCTAGGAGTCTCCTGGTAGACAGAGAATTGTTGAGTTAAAAGATAATTGGGTTAGGCCAGGCGTGGTGGCTCACACGTATAATCCTAGCACTTTGGGAGGCTGAGGCAGGTGGATCACTTGAGGCCAGGAGTTCAAGACCAGCCTGGCCAACATAGCGAAACCGCATCTCTACTAAAAATACAAAAATTAGTCTGGCATGGTGGTGCATGCCTGTAATCCCAGCTACTTGAGAGGCTGAGGCCAGAGAATTGCTTGAACCAGGAGGCGGAGGTCTGAGTGAGCTGAGATCCCACTGCTGTACCCCAGCCTAGGTGACAGAGAGAGACTTTGCCTCAAAAAAAAAAAAAAAAAAAGATAATTGAGTTTGACTTCTACCACATAGCGGCAACCCATAGCCATTAGAATTCTTATTTAACCAGGGCTCATCAATTCTCCCTAAACCTTATTCACAGATTTGAGAGACCTCAGCCATCACTAATAAAATTGATGTGAAAGGAAAGTCTCCAGGAGGAAAAATGGAAGTTCCTAGTTAAAAACTAATACTAGACCAGATCATATTCCTTTTTTTTTTTTTGAGACAGGGTCTCGTTCCATCACCTAGGCTGGAGTGCAGTGGTGTGATCTCTCGGCTCACTGCAAACTCCGCCTCCCGGGTTCATGCCATTCTCCTGCCTCAGCCTCCCGAGTAGCTGGGACCACAGGCGCCTGCCACCACGCTCGGCTAATTTTTTGTATTTTTAGTAGAGACGGGGTTTCACCGTGTTAACCAAGATGGTCTCCATCTCCTGACCTCGTGATCCGCCCACCTTGGCCTCCCAAAGTGCTGGGATTACAGGCGTGAGCCAACGTGCCCGGCCTCAGATCATATTCCTGAAAAGAATCCAGCAGATATCTCATTGACTTCCTAATTTCTATACGTGTTTCTCAAGGTCTTTCTAACATACAACTTCATATTCATTGGGTGACATTCTTTGGATGGCCAATACTCATTGGATGGCATGACATTCAAGGAGAGCATATGTGAGACCTGATTCCATTAACCTCTCACTGATTAGCACCATTTGTTCTATTATTTAAATGGGCAACTCAGGGCAGTAGCCACCAAAAATAGCTGATGTATATTGTTCATTATTTGTTTTCACAGCCCTCTCACCCAAAGTTTGAAAGTTTGCATTTCCAGTTCCAAAAAGATATGTTCGTGCTGCTTTTTCTTTCTCTTTCTTTTTTCCTTTTTTTTTGAGACAAGGTCTTGGCTCTGTCACCCCGGCTGGAGTACAGTGGCACGATCTCGGCTCACTGCAACCTCCGCCTCCTGGGTTCAAGCAATTCTCCAGCCTCAGCCTCCTAAGTAGCTGGGACTATAGGCATGTGCCACCACACTCAGCTAATTTTTGTATTTTTAGTAGAGACAGGGTTTTGCCTGTTGGCCAGGCTGGTCTCCAACTCCTGACCTCAAGTGATCCACCCACCTCGGCCTCCCAAAGTACTGGGATTATAGGCGTGAGCTACCGCGCCCGGCCTCTAGTGCTGTTTTTTCATGAGTATGAAACAGTCTATGAATGGGTAGGGGGTGGGAGGGCATTCAAGGTCATTGGCTGCTGCCTTTCCCTGAGATCCATTTATCCTGCCCCCTAGAAATACCATGATGATGTCTTTCTTGGACCCTGGAGTTTTGGGCCATAATTGGACTAGAGTTTCACAGAACATTACTTTTGGAGTCCATGCTGCCCTGTGATTGTCCAGGATGCATCTCTAGTCAGGGTGTTATTTTCCCAGCACCTGCTGACCTCAGACAGGGCCTTCAACATGCCTCAGGCAAAAAAGGGAAAGGGAACAATGTTCACAAAGTTAAAACACTGTGTTAATTACTTTACTACCCTATCTCAGTTCTCCTCTTTCAGTCCAAGAAACCACCTTGAGAGACTGTTATTATCCTCATTTTATAAGTGAGGAAACTGAGGCCCGGAGAGTGGCAGTGGTTTGCCCAAGGTCAATCTAGTAAGGTGGGGGGTGGGGGGCGAGGAATTCCCTTTCAGGACCCTCTGTCTCCAAGCTTGGTTCTCTGTTTTTGGACCACTCTAGGCTTGGGGTGAGTAGATGGGCAGGGAGGCAGCTGAGAGATGCCATGAGATGTGGCAGACAGGATAGGGGTGCTGAGATTGGGGGTTCAGGTGGGGGCCTCAAGGCAGAAAAGAGCCAGCAGGGAAGGGAGCGACTACAGAGTTATTCAGAAATTCTCTGAAGAGCTTTGAATCCTACTGATTTGAAATTTAAGGTTAACTTCACCAAAGGCAGGGATTACGACTTCTCATTGCAAAAGGGATAAAGGAAAGAAAAATCTGTTCTGACATTATTGAGCAGACTATGTTGCCATTTTTCATGAGAACATGGTTTTGAGGACAATAACTTTCCAAGCTAGAGGGTTAATAATCAAATTGAAAAATCCTATAGCATAATTTAAAGCAATGTTTTAAAGCTGTGTGTTGCAACCTGTATGTGTGTGTATATGTGCACAACGCTTGTTTGAGATGTTTAAAATATACTTCTTTTTTTTTTTTTGAGACTAAGTCTGGCTCTGTCACCCAGGCTGGAGTGCAATGGTGTGATCTCAGCTCACTGCAACCCCCGCCTCCCCAGTTCAAGCAATTTTCCTTCCTCAGCTTCTGGAGTAGCTGAGATTACAGGCACCTGCCATCATGCCTGGCTAGTTTTTGTATTTTTTGTAGAGACAGGGTTTCACCATGTTGGCCAGGCTGGTCTTGAACTCCTGACCTCAGGTGATCCGCCCGCCTCGGCCTCCCAAAGTATTGGGATTACATGAGTGAGCCACCGTGCCCAGCCTAAAATTTACTTCTTACTACAGTTCATGGTTAAAGATCTTTAAAACTATTGATTTCAATAGGGCATTGCAGGCTAGAAACACATCCATTGACATTCAGCAGACCAAATGTTTCCAAATGTGACATCAGTACTCAGACTACACGTCTACTATTACCAAGATCATCCCAAACCATTGTTAATCACAGAACTTTAGATAGATAGATAGATAGATAGATAGATAGATAGATAGACAGACAGATAATCTTCTGCTTTTCCCCCCTTAATTATAGCATTTACCAAGTTGTAAATCATCCTTCCTTTCTTTGTGGAACTGCAATTTAGGGGATGAATTGGGTGTTGCCAGAAAGCACACAACTGAAGGTGGCCATGTTTTTCCACTGGCAGATACAGTTCTAGAGACCTGAGGCAGCTAGAATAGAACTATTTGCAGGAATATGAATTCTTAAAGTATCAACTTCACCTCAAAAGTACCAAGAGAAATCCTACCAAGCTTGTGGGCAAAATACATATACACATTTTTCTATCAGTAGATCCATGGGGAATGTGAGAACAGAGGAAGAAATGGCACTGGAAGACTAGCTAAGAAGTCAGCTGTGGCTACTGGCTGCCAGTGAACTCTCTAGAGCACCAGGATGGGACACCCAGCTCTCCTGCTTGTGACTCTAGGAAAAGTACTGGGCCCCACATGCCTTTTCAGTGAAATAGGGATGATAACAGTGCCTACCTAATAGAAATGATGTGGGAATTGAACAATGAGAACACATGGACACAGGAAGGGGAACATCACACACTGGGGCCTGTTGTAGGGTGGGGGGAAGGGGGGAGGGATAGCATTAGGAGATATACCTAATGTTAAATGACGAGTTAATGGGTACAGCACACCAACATGGCACATGTATACATATGTAACAAACCTGCACGTTGTGCACATGTACCCTAAAACTTAAAGTATAATTAAAAAAAAAAAGAAATGATGGGTACAGTAAATTACATCATATTAACATGTAAACTACTTAGAACAGCATCTGGCACATAGTAAGTACTCAATAAAAAATTATAGGCCAGGGGCTGGGCATGATGGCTCATGCCTGTAAACCTAGCACTTTGGGAAGCTGAGGCAGGAGGACCACTTGAAGCCAGGAATTTCAGATCAGCCTGGGCAACTTAGAGAAACCCTATGTCTACAAAAACAAAACAAAACAAAACAAAATAAAATAAAATAAAACAAAATAAAATAAATCTTTAAAAATGTCATGCAGGCCCAGCACGGTGGTTCATGCCTGTAATCCCAGCACTTTGGGAGGCCAAGGCGTGCAGATCACCTGAGGTCAGGAGTTCAAGACTAGCCTGACCAACATGGAGAAACCCTGTCTCTACTAAAAACACAAAATTAGCCGCCATGGTGGTGCATGCCGGTAATCCCAGCTACTCGGGAGGCTGAGGCAGGAGAATCGCTTGAACTCGGAAGGCAGAGGTTGCGGCAAGCTGAGATCACGCCGTTGCACTCCAGCCTGGGCAACAAGAGCAAAACTCCGTCTCAAAAAAAAAAAAAAAAAAGTCATGCCATGCATAACTTTAGAAAATGAATAGGCGCCGGGCGCAGTGGCTCACACCTGCAATCCCAGCACTTTGGGAGGCCAAGGCGGGTGGATCATGAGGTCAGGACCAGCCTGGCCAACATGGTGAAACCCCCTCTCTACTAAAACTACAAAAAATAAGCCAGGCATGGTAGCATGAGCCTGTAATCCCAGCTACTCAGGAGGCTGAGACAGGAGAATTGCTTAAACCCAGGAGACAGAGGTTGCAGTGAGCCGAGATCGTGCCACTGCAGTCTGGGTGACAGAGTGAGACTATGTCTCAAAAATAAATAAATAAATAAATAAATAAATAAAATAAAAAAGAAAGTGAATTGGATGAGAATCCAAAATAAAACTGGTACATGAAAAAAGGAATCCTATTTTTTTTTTTTTTTTAGATTGTGGTAAAATATAGATAACATAAAATTTACCATCTCACCTTTTTTTTTTTGAGACGGAGTTTTGCTTTTGTTGCCCAGGCTGGAGAGCAATGGCGTGATATCGGCTCACTGCAACCTCTGCCCCCTGGGTTCAAGCAATTCTCCTGCTTCAGCCTCCCACATATCTGAGACTACAGGCATGCGCCACCATGCCAGGCTAATTTTTGTACTTTTAGTAGAGACAGGGTTTCACTATGTTGGCCAGGCTGGTATCCAACTCCTGACCTCGTGATCCGCCCACCTTGGCCTCCCAAAGTGCTGGGACTACAGGCGTGAGCCACCGCACCCAGCCTAATTTACCATCTTACTAATTTTTTTTTTTTTAAGACATCTCATTTTGTCATCCAGGCTGGAATGCAGCGGTGTGATCTGGGCTCACTGCAACCTCTGCCTCCCTGGCGTGAGCGATTCTCCCACCTCAGCCTTCCCGAGTAGCTGGGACCATGCACGGCTAATTTTTGTGTGTGTGTGTGTGTTTTTTTTTTTTTTTTGTAGCGACGGGTTTTCGCCATGTTGGCCAGGCTGGTCTCGACCTCCTGGTCTCAAGTGATCGTGCCTCAGTCTCCCAAAGTGCTGGATTACAGGTGTGAGCCACAGTGCCCGGCCATCTTACCCATTTTCAAGCATACAGTTCGGTGCCACTGAGTGCATTTACCTTGTTGTGCAACCATCACTGCCATCCATCCACAGAACTGTTTCACCCTGCAAAGCTGAAGCTCCATACCCATTAAACAAGAACTCTCCGTTACACCCTACTCCCAGCCTTGGGCAACCACCATTCTACTGTTGCCTCCAAGAATGTATTACTGTAGGCCCCTCATATAAGTGGAAGCATTTGGCATTTTCTTTTTGTGACGGGCTTATTTAACTTAGCATAACGTCCTCAAGGTTCATCCATGTTGTAGCATGTGTCAGAATTTCCTTCTTTTTTGGGCCTATTGACTTTTAATCTGTCAATTCTTTTTTCAAATTTTCAGAAAGTTAAGATGTAAATATGATAATCCTCTCTTCTCTCCAGCAAAGGCAAAAATCACATCTCTTCAAACACTGCATTTACCTGCACATAGAAATGCGAATTGAAAACTGCTTAAGAAAGGTATCATTCCTTGAGGCAGGCTGTTTACATTAATCAACGTTTCTCTAATACTTGTCAGTGTTTTGTAACACTTTTTCAAGTGCCAATTGCAACTTGCTAGTTCTTCTGAAGTGTGGAGGCTGCAAACGGGGGAAACCAGGAATGGGAACTCTGTTCCCCTGGGGCATCTACTGCCATGGAGAAGCATCAATTCTTTTCATGGTTTCGTTTTACATAATAATTAGTTATGTGGATGGTGGCTCAAAGTATTGGATGGATGGATTATCACCATGTGTGAAAAGTCCTGGTTTCCCAGTATTTTCATATTTGCCTCCCTAAACACTCAAATTTTACATCACAAATAGAGGATTTAATCTGTTCACTCGTTAACTAGAATCTTGTTTACTAATGTCACAGAAAGTTTTCCCTTCAATAAACATAACAGTGATAGGAAAAACACAACATACTAAATAGCTATGATTAAAGGAAAAAAGAATTGATAGACGGGATATCCCAACTGTCATCTCTCAGATTATGCCTTGTCGTTTTTCACAACTTTTCTGGAAAACTGCTTATTTATTAGCACATCATGAATACATGCCCTTATGATTCTGCATGAGCACAACTTCAGTGTCCAAGATTTAGTGCTATTTTCATTTCTTTTTTTTTTTTGAGACGGAGTCTCGCTCTGTTGCCCAGGCTGGAGTGCAGTGGCGCCATCTCTGCTCACTGCAAGCTCCGCCTCCCGGGTTCATGCCATTCTCCTGCCTCAGCCTCCCAAGTAGCTGGGACTGCAGGCGCCCACCACCACACCCGGCTAATTTTTTGTATTTTTAGTAGAGACGGGGTTTCACCGTGTTAGCCAGGATGGTCTCAATCTCCTGACCTCGTGATCCGCCTGCCTCGGCCTCCCAAAGTGCTAGGATTACAGGCGTGAGCCACCGTGCCCACCCATTTTCATTTCTTTTCATGAGTAATATTTAAAGCTTGGTACACGCAATAATCTGTATCAGCATTACATTTCAAAATATTAAGGAAATTTAAAAATCAAACTAACAATTTCTAAGTTTCACTGCTAGGTCAAATGATGAAAAGGCTAGCAAAACAACTATTCATAATAGAAATATAGGGGCTGGGTGCAGTGGCTCATGCCTGTAATCCCAGCACTTTGGGAGGCCGAGGCGGGCAGATCACCTGAGGTTGGGAGTTCAAGACCAGCCTGATCAACATGGAGAAAACCCGTCTCTACTAAAAATACAAAATTAGCGGGGTGTGGTGGCCCGCACCTGTAATCCCAGCTACTCAGGAGGCTGAGGCAGGAGAATCACTTGAACCCAGGAGGAGGAGGTTGCAGTGATGGTGCCATTGCACTGCAGTCTGGGCAACAAGAGCAAAACTCCGTCTCAAAAAAAAAAAAAAGGCCGGGCGTGGTGGCTCACCTCTGTAATCCCAGCACTTTGGGAAGCCAAGATGGGTGGATCATCTGAGGTCGGGAGTTCAAGACCAGCCTGACCAACATGGTGAAACCCCATCTCTACTAAAAATAGAAAATTAGCTGGGTGTGGTGGCGCATGCCTGTAATCCCAGCTACTTGGGAGGCTGAGGCAGGAGAATCGCTGGAACCCAGGAGGCAGAGGTTGCAGCCGAGATCGCGCCATTGCACTCCAGCCTGGGCAACAAGAGTGAAACTCAGTCTCAAAAAAAAAAAAGAGAAAGAAATAAAGAAAAAAAGAAAGGAATAAAGGAATTAACGTTTATTTGCTGTTGCCTTATTCTTAACATAAAACAGTTTTCTTCTTTATTTTATAATAGATTTTCTGGTGATTCTGAGATTTATGGATCATAAAACAATGCTTTAGAGGATTATTAATGTAATACCCTAATGTATTTAAAGATTTACATTTTATATTAATTGGTAACTAATGGACATTTGGGACTCCTGAAGAAAACCAAACAAAAATAAAATATCATAAATAATAAAATAAAACTACTAAAAGATCCAGAGCAAAAACACTGGGTAATACTTCGGTTATTAGTATGACAGCTTTCCCATGATCAGGGGAAAAAATCATTTTTTCATATATATATGTATATACATATACATATATATACACATATATACATATATGTGTATATATGTGTGTGTGTGTATATATATGTGTGTGTATATATATGTGTGTGTGTGTGTGTGTATATATATATATATATATATATATTTTTTTTTTTTTTTTTTTTTTTTTTTTCCGAGACGGAGTCTTGCTCTGGCTCTGTCACCCAGGCTGGAGTGCAGTAGCAAGATCTCAGCTCACTGCAACTTCTGCCTCCTGGGTTCAAGCAATTCTCCTGCCTCAGCCTCCCGAGTAGCTGGGATTATAGGCACCCGCCACCACACCCGGCTAATTTTTTGTACTTTTAGTAGTGATGGGGTTTCACCATGTTGGCCAGGCTGGTCTCGAACTCCTGACTTCGTGATCCACCAGCCTCGGCCTCCCAAGTGCTGGGATTACAGGCGTGAGCCACTGCGGCTGGCCTCATACTTTTTCTTTTTTCTTTTTTTACTAGAAACATTACAAGTAAATCTTTTAACTATGAAGTGAATTCCATTATAATGCACAAAAAAAAGAGATGTAGACAATGAACCTAGAATTGTTTTCCCAGACTTTTCATCATGAAAAATTTTCAAACATAGAAATATTGAAAGAATAGTAAAATGAATAGCTATAGACATTATCCTGAAATTCTGTAATGGTTAACACATTGCCAAATTTGCTTTCTTTTTCTCTCTCTACATACACTTTTTATTTGCAGTTGCAGGTGTTATTTGAAGTTGTATGCTTCACCATCTATCTTCTCAGAATAACATCTTCCAAAATAACCACAATATTCTAACATCAAAAAAAGGAGAAGCATAATTCTATACTATCTATAAATATCCAGTCCAAATTAAAGTTGCCCAAGACATCTTGCATGTTTTTTTTTTAAATCCAGGGGCCAATAAAGATTTACACATTGCTTTTTCATTATATATCTTTGTTTTTAAGGAATAGTCCTTCCCCACTTCTCTCCTGTCTCTCTCGACATTAACTTTTTAAATAGCTCAGGCTAGCTGTCCTGTAGAATGTCCCAACATTCTGTATTTATTCCATTTAACTTGCTCAACTAGACTTAAAGTTTGTATTCTGGAAACGTGAAGGTACCTGGAACATACACTTGCACTCTAGTCCCCTTCCCATCCCGAGAGTTCGCCTGCCTTCAGCTCTGAAGAACATCTGAAGATCATCAATTAGTTGAACTCAAGCTTTAACCCTTCAATGATATGGCTGGCTTCAGGAAGAAAAGTTATTTAAATGATGCTGCCAAAGTGAAAGCTTTTAAAGGAAAAGGAAAGATGTCTCAGTTTAAAGTTGATTTCCTAGCAAGTCCTTGGCCTGCAGCAAAGGTGGCTCAAGCAGAGAACATTAAGGGGCCCAGGTCTGCTCTTGTTATGTGAATATGTAGGAAGGAGCATCAAAGGTGCTTCCTTTACTTTTTTCTTTTTTCTACCAAATGCTCTTCAGCTTCAGTCGAGCTAAATGCTAAACTGAATGAATTTTTTTAAAAAGTGTATAATCCCAACTTTCCTCAGACTTTAGAACGGGTTAAAAAAATAAAAAGAAGGCCGGGCGCGGTGGCTCACGCCTGTAATCCCAGCACTTTGGGAGGCCGAGGCGGGTGGATCACAAGGTCAGGAGATTGAGACCATCCTGGCTAACACGGTGAAACCCCGCCTTGACTAAAAATTCAAAAAATTAGCCGGGTGTGGTGGCGGGCGCCTGTAATTCCAGCTACCCCGGAGGCTGAGGCAGGAGAATGGCGTGAACGCGGGAGGCGGAGGTTGCAGTGAGCTGAGATCGCGCCACTGCACTCCAGCCTGGGCGACAGAGCGAGACTCCGTCTCAAAGAGGGGCAGGACAAACTTCACTGAGATCTTTTATTATGGTCTGAACTCCAGGCAGTGTTTCATCGAGCCCCAAAATACTGTTCTTGCTTTTCCGGGGCATCTCGCTGGTAGACAGGGAAAGCTCTGGCAGAAAGGCCCTCTGCTTGAACTACTTCAAAGAAACTAATCATGAATATATCCTATTGGTGTGAAAATCCCAAATTAATCAGGTAACATTAATACATAGGAGTGTGCCGTACATATGCATTAGTTGTAAACAGACTTGGTCGGGCGTGGTGGCTCACACCTGTAATCCTAGCACTTTGGGAGGCCGAGGCAGGCAGATCACGAGGTCAGGAGTTCGAGAACAGCCTGGCCAACACGGTGAAACCCTGTCTCTACTAAAAATACAAAAATTAGCTGGATGTGGTGGTGGGCGCCTGTAATCCCAGCTACTCGGGAGGCTGAGGTAGGAGAATTGCTTGAACCTGGGAGGCGGAGGTTGCAGTGAGCTGAGATCGTGCCACTGCACTCCAGCCTGGGTGACAGAGCAAGACTCTGTCTTGGGGGGAGGGGAAAAAAAGATGTAAACAGACTTAGTAAGGGGCATTAACAGGCAGAAGAACGTCGTACAATGGGATTTATATCTGCACTGCTATGATTGCTTATAAACACATGCTATTTTAGACTGATATCTTTCTTGAAATATAGACTTAAGTAAACAAAAGTTCGGCCGCAGCTGAGGTGGTGTTCTTCTGCAAGCCTCAGACACAGTCAAGCTTTTTTACAAACGTGATTGGTGGGCTAAGAAGTTTATCCGCCTGGTTCCTCAAATTCCCAAACAGTTTATTTGAATACTGAGTGAATAGCTAATCTGGTACAAGTTCTGGGGCTTTAACAAGGTAAACGAATGGGTGGGCTGTGAAAGTAAACACTGCATTTCCTCCCAGGCTCACCCTAGCTTCCAAAATTCCTCTCCCTCACTCCTTTCACTCTCCCCAGCCTTCTAGTTCCCAAGCTTGGTCTCTCGTATCCTGTAAAAGTACTGAAATTGCAAAGGAGACATTTTTAATTATAAGTACTACAGTAACGAATTCAAGTACACTCGTTTATCATAAAGGGCTTTCCCATCTGTCTCTAAAGTATACTTAAAAATGCTGTGTATTTGATAACATTAGCACCAAGCATCTTCCACATGTTAATATCCAGTGTTTTAGATGTTCGCTCCCCCCACCTCAAAAGACCGCACAGTGCTGGTTCCAGAAAGAGAACATTTATCTCTCCATGTTTGGGAGTGCCTGTGTGGTCTCTTCCTACTTTATTTGCACTCCAATCCTTGGGGATCTCATCGCAATCCCCCTAGGCAAAGGGAGATTAGGGAATAGGGCTTTCTGCTTCTCCCCACTCTGACAGAGAAGGGAAAACAACTTCCCCAAGTCCCTCAAGTTCTTCTGGCCACAGTACAAATTGTTCTTGAGCATGGAGGGCTTCCAAAAGCCCTAATTAGCAACTCACAGCAAACATTTCTTTGCATTAGCTAATGATCCGGCTGCACTTGTAAGCAAACAGAACCAACATATCTAATCAATGCTGAAAAACCAACCAAATGCCTATTAAACATCTGGATGTAATTTTCTAGTTAGAACAAAATGAAAACATATGCAGGTTCCTTTGATCTTCGTCTTAACAAAGAAATTGTTGATAAAAAAGCATACTGGTCAGTCAATGTGTCATTTTCATAAAGTCTGCTCATTTCTCTTCAAATGCTCCCAGTTTAATTTAGTTGGTTTCCTGCAATCTCTAATTTTACCATATTGTGTGAAACCGCAAGAGATTCTTTGGAAGTGATTTTATTTGAGGTTTTACTGCTGCATGGATCTGCTACTGATTTTTTTTCCCTTCTCTGCGTTCTTCCTTTCACCTCCACGTCCATCTTGCCCTTTTCTTTGGTAAAGGAGTGGGGGAGAAAAAGATTACCAAGAAATGCTGGGAAAAATTCTTCTGGACCCTACATTCTTAGGTTTAAGAAAACTATCAATTAAAAAAAAAAAAAGGTGGGGCGGGGTGGCTCACGCTTGTAATCCCGGCACTTTGGGAGGCCAAGGCGGTCGGATCACCTGATGTTAGAAGTTCGAGACCAGCCTGGCCAACATGGTGAAACCCTGTCTCCGCTAAAAATACAAAAATTAGCCGGGCGTGGTGGTACACGCCTGTTATCCCAGCTGCTCAGGAGACTGAGGCACATGAATCGCTTGAACCTCGGAGGCGGAGGTTGCAACGAGCTGA
Organism: Homo sapiens; assembly: GCF_000001405.40. Taxonomy (NCBI): domain Eukaryota; kingdom Metazoa; phylum Chordata; class Mammalia; order Primates; family Hominidae; genus Homo; species Homo sapiens. The sequence continues at coordinate 81,693,257 of NC_000009.12, read as the reverse complement.
GATCGCACCACTGCACTCCAGCTTGGGTGACAGAGCGAGATGCTGACTCAAAAAAAAAAAAAAAGTCAAATGAGGAAATGTATGAGCAATAATTCTCAGCTAAAAGGAAGAGAACACAACAAAAGTGGTCTGTTAAAAACTATAATTATTGGCCAGGTGTGGTGGTGCATGCCTGTAATCCCAGCACTTTGGGAGGCTGAGGAGGGCGGATCACGAGGTCAGGAGTTTGAGACCAGCCTGGCCAACAAGGCGAAACCCCGTCTATACTAAAAATATAAAAATTAGCCGGGTGTGGTGGCACACGCCTGTAGTCCCAGCTACTGGGGAGGCTGAGGCAGGAGAATCTCGAACCCAAGAGGCAGAGGTTGCAGTGAGCTGAGATGGCACCACTGCACTTCAGCCTGGGAGACAGAGTGAGACTCCGTCTCCAAAAAAAATTAAAAAATTACAATTATTATTTCAAATAAAAAAGTAATAGATTTAAAAGATGTCTAGTTGCTACGATCAGCATCTATAACTTTTCCTATTTTGTTTAGTATCTGTACTAGATAACATCTAGCTTTTGTAATTACTTAGGCTATTGCTGAGTTGAAAATTTGATAATCAGCAACAAATGAATGGGAATATACCCACATATGCATCAAAAGAAAATGAACAAGCTGACAATCTTTCTGTTTCTCTGCAGAGCATAAAAAGGGTACTGTGTTTTTCAGAGAAAATTTCCAGTGGGAGCATCATACATTTCACATAAAAACATCATTGACATATGAATGTTAAAGGTAAAGAAGATTATGGTTAACAGGCTTTAAATGGAAGACCAAAATTATAGATTTCATGAGGAGGACTATTTTCTTTTAAACAGGCTGTAGGCAATCTGCACATATATTATTTATTTAAAACATAAGATTAAAGCTACTTGACTGTTTAAACGCCGTCATTTGTAATGCAGTTTGATGAGAGTTTTGTAGTATAATTATTACAGCATGACAATCGTGGAGAAAATATGACCTTGAAAAGGGCAGAGCCTTCTCCCACTCTGACAGACGATGCTCTAAATGGGAAAAAAAGGCTTCAAAAACCAAAACCAACCATTTTTATGCACACAATTAAAGGCCTTCCAATTTTAAATTCATAATGCTCTGTAGATACTACAGATACTTCATTATAAGGAAATCAGAAGGCCTGGTGTTTCAAACTCTATTGGCAAGGAAAGACTAGTTAAAAGAGAATTTCTAGTGTTTACTCATGGCAAACTGGGAAATATGGTGAGCAGACACATTGTCTGTGAGTAGTTATGTTAGAGAACATTTAAAGATGCCTTAGTACTGATTTTGAGGGCAGCGGGGTGGGGAAAGAAGAGAAGTAGCAACACTTTTGCCCCATCTCAAAGCATATTTTAATGGCTCTGTTTAAACTTAATGGGAGTGTGCCAGTTATTCAAGATACAGGCACCACATAAAGCCTGGGTAAGCCGGGGAGGAATATCAGTTGCTCCAGTTGTCACAGCATGTATACAAGCATACTTGTGGCATCCAAGCACTTTCTGTCCGGTCCTGGAGCTGATTATGGGATGAACTGGCCGCAGACTGGTATATGTGGCTCAATCACTAGATAATTTCAAGGAAAACAGGTTGCTAAAGGCCCTGGGATCCTATGATTCCAAAAAGTCCTGTATGTCGAGCAAAACTGTCATCGTCACCAAATTTAACCAAGGAAAGTGAGGCAGTGCTTTCTTCTTTTTTGTTCTCCATGTTAGCAAAATGAATAATACAGCCGCCTTCCCAACTGTACTTAATGAGAACACCACAAAGCTACAATGCCCAACTTGTTTAAGAATTTACTATGGCTTCGTACAGACTGGTTAAAATCGCTTTTTTATTTTTTCATTTATAATTGATATTTGGGAGTGATGCAATTATAGACAAATCAATATCATACATATTTAAAAACAACTCCAACAGTGAAATGTATTATCTAAAATGACTTCTAAAACTATTTCAAGAAAAAGAACTCTGTAAAAGCACATCTTTAAATAAAATGTATGTCTGTTTAAATAAGCTCCTTCCCGTAAGTCTCTTGAAGGTAAAATAATAAAATAATAACGTGGGGGTTATTAATACCAAAAACTTAACTAGTTTCCAACATAAGATAAATACTTGTCCAAGATGTGCCCTTATGGAAGAAGTTACCACCGTTTGGCTAAACCAGCATTATTCATTCACTGCTCATGTGGAAATGTTCCTCAAACAAAAGCATAAATGCGGCAATACTGACGGTTTTCTGCTGTGTATTTAGAGACATACACAAAAACCAAAGACTCTCAGCATTAATTATACAGCATGTCTTGATTATTACAATCTCAAAATCCCTTTTAACTCAAGTTCCACTTCATAAGAACCTTAGCCACGTCATTTACCTAACTCTTCCCATTTAGCTCTTCACACAGCTCAGCTCAGGAGTACCACCCAGACTGTGGGGGTGGGGTGTGCGGGACAGGTTTTTCAGGTCTCAGTGCTGGTTTATTACATTGTCTCTCTTTGTTCCCAGGAATTGGAAACAGACTCGTAGTCTTGTAGCTGAGAAGTTCCTAAAAACCTCAGCCGCTCCCCACCTCTCCCAACACAGCGAAGTCAGGACTTTTAAGACGAAGACCTGGGATTTCGCGCCCCGGGCAAAACGTCTCATCTGCGGACACGCGTGCCTTGTTCTGGCAGCACCCTGGGAATCCTTCCCGCCAAACGGGACAGGACGATCTTTTTGAAAAGTGGCTTGAAATCCTGCAATAAAAATCAAATCCTACCACTTTGGGTGCAAAGGGGGTGGGTGGGGTGGGAGGACATCACAGTCGTCTTTGCTGGTGTACCTACGCCAACCGTGGCGTTGCTCATTTACGCATTTCCAACTAAGTGCACAGTCCACTCCCTCTCGTACATCCGTAAAAAGGCAGCTCAAGGAAAAACAAACCTCAGATAAATTTTTGAATGTGGCCTCACTTTTAGAGTAGCATCAAACAAGGGGTCCAGCACTGAAAAACACATTTGCTCGAATTACCAAAAGCCCCCCTCCGCCTCCAATAAGAAACTCCGCAGCTAGTCTTTGAGTTACTTTCACTTAGATCTGAGGATTTTCATTAAAGGGAAAAGTGAGCAAGTGGCAGGATTTTTGCTAACTCGAGCCCTCAGCTTCCCCGGCTGCACGCTCGCCAGTCCCTCCCGCTAGCGCGCGCCCGCGCGCTCTCTAGCCAGCCCCACGTTACTTTGATTGACAGCCCAGCCCCGCCGCTCTCCTTCCCACCGACCTTCCCATCATCAGTGCCAATCTCCGCGAATCGCCGCTTCCCATTGGCTGGTTTTGGCGTCCCGCGGCTCCTCCAGGAACAGTTCCTCACCAAGCCCGGGAGGACGCGGCTGGCGGAGGAGGGGCCGGGATGGGAAGGGAGACCGAGGAGACGGCGGAGATGGAAGCGAGAGGAGGGGGGGAGGGAGAACGCCCCGTCCGGCGCTGCGCTGCCATACGCTCCGGGGAGGAGCGCGTCAGCGCCCCACGTTGGTTGCAGCGCACGCGATTGGCTGATGCGGGCCTTCTGCCCCCCCCCCACCCCCCAACCTCCCGGGCTCACGTCCCCCGCCGGCTCCGCGCTCGCGCCCCCCGCCCGAACGGGGCTGGGCGGGGCCGGCGCTGGTTAGCTCCGGAGTGTGAAACCGCGTGTTAATGTAAGCGGCGCGAGAGGCGCGGGCGGCGGCGGCGGTGGGAGCGGCGGCTGCAGAAGCAGCAGCAGCAGAAACAGCGGCGGGTACTCTGTGCCCCGCGTCCCGGAGGCAGCCGACTGCGCCACCCCACCCTCGCACGGCCGGGCGGGACCCGCGCCACCAGCCCGGACCTCCGTCGTCCCGCGGCGACCAAAACCCCCGCTGGCCCCACCGCTGTGACTACTCTGGACTCGCCCGCAGAGTTTGCCCGCCGGGGAGGGTGGCCGATTGGCGGAGCGCACTCCTGCTGTTTTCCCCACCATCTCGTGGATGTCGTCCCTCGGGTGGTGAGAGAACTTTGCAGTGGGCTGGAGCGCCCTTTGCGGAGAAGCACACGAAGGTGAAGGAAGGAAAGAAAGAAGACCGAGGAAGAAGGAGCTCGGAAGAAGGGTCCGGAGCGGCCGGTCCGGCCGTGCAGGGCGAGTGCGCCCGAGGCGCGGCGCCCTGATGCTCCCCGGGCTCGAGGAGCATTGGGCACTTGCGGGACTGCTCTCGGTGGAGTAGCCCCGTCGGGCCCGGAGGGTTTGTGCAACCGCGGAGAACACCGAGTGCTGGTCGCACGGGGCGTGCCGAGCCGCCTCCCGGCGCGCCCTCCGCACTTTCCCCGCCTCGTCATCCGTCGCTCCCCGGCCAGGAGCCTCCGCTGCGTCTTCAACCTCGCTCCCCTTTGCGTCCCGGGAGCCTGCGAGCACCCGGCCGAAGGCGCAGCCGAATCTTGCGGGAGTCGCCCCGAAAGCGTCGGGTTTGTGTGGGGTTAGCGGGGGCCGCCGCGCCACCTGCACCTCGCCCGCCGCCGCCTCGGGGAAAGCCCGAAGAGGAGGCGGACCAGGAGAAGAGCAAAGAAAAGCAGTCCGTCTGGATTTGTTTGCCCAGGACTGGCGCCGCGCACGCGGATCGCCGAGGGGAGTGCGGTCGGAGTCACCGCGCCCCCGCCTCCCCGCCCGGGCAGCTGAGGCCGGGGGTTGGAGCGCTGCCCCCGCGCACAGTCCCCGAGCGCCCGACGTCTCCGCGCAGGTTCTTGAAGCAGCTGGGCCTGGGGCGCCCACTAATGTGGCCCTGAGGGCCGGAGCCCGCACCGACGGGAGCGGGAGCCGGAGCAGCTGCGGGCGCCGAGTGGCCGGTGCGCCCGGCGGAGCGCGCGTGCGTGGCCAGCGCGCTCCCCGCTTCTGCTTGGCTTTCCGGCTTAATTTTCCTCGGCGGGATTAAAGTTGGAAATTGACCGGAGAATTGAGTTGCCGGGGAACAGAGCCCCGGCCGCCGCCAGAGCGATGTTCCCGCAGAGCCGGCACCCGGTGAGGCGCGGCTGGGTGGTGGTGGGGGGCCAGGATCGTTGGGGAGGCGCTTCTCCCGGGCGGTAGGGAGACTGGTGGCTTCTGAGGCCCGGCGGACCTTCTCGCCCTCAGCGGTGTAAGGCTGGGGAGGTCTGGGGCCCTCTCTTCCTGGGGTGGGGAGTGGGCCGAAACTCTTAATTTTCTCCCTCCCTTTGGGCTCCTTCCTACTTGACGTCTATACCGAGCGGACAGGGGCGCTGGGGAAGGCTGGGGTTTCTCTCCTGCAGCCATATCCCCTCTACCTTCCCCGAGTGGGGGCAGGGCGCCCCCCCCTTTGTTTCTCCTCTCGCCTATTTACATGTCAATGCGGCCCCGGTTCCGGTGCGTCTGGAGGTGGCCCCGGCGACTCTGGGAATGGGGAGCGTAAAGGAGTTGTTTTTCTCCTCTGGTCCCCGGGGTCATTATCGCCGCCGTGGGGGAAGGGGCGGCGACACCGACAATCTGGCCTGGTCTTCCCTGGCCGCCGGGGAGCCCCCTTCCCTTTGGCCTGGTGACCCGGGCGCACTTAGCGCAATCCGCCCTGGAGACTGGGAAGAGCTTCCGAGCCTCTTTAGAAGCCGGGGCCCGGGGAGGGTCCGCTTTCCCCCTCCCCATAGTGAAGGGCAAACTCGAGTTTGGGGCCTCGTTTTCAGCCACTTCTAACTTTATGTTTATGTCCCACCCGTTCTTGCCTTCTCTGACTTACTGCTTTATTCATCCGCCCGCATTCCCGTCCCTCGGTCCCCCTCGCTGGTCGCCCCCAGACGCCGCACCAGGCTGCAGGCCAGCCCTTCAAGTTCACTATCCCGGAGTCCCTGGACCGGATTAAAGAGGAATTCCAGTTCCTGCAGGCGCAGTATCACAGGTGCGTGTCCGGCCGCGCCATGCGAGTGGTCGCGGGCGTCCCGGTGCCCCTTGCACCCAGCCGGGTGGCGGCGGCGCCTGTACTTAGTTCTTGCGTCCAGGCGGTGGCGTGTGGAGTCTCAGTTAAGACCTGTCATTCAAGTTACCCCCTTTCCTGGTTCTTCCCGGGCCGCCTCTTCTCTTGTCTCCTCCTCCTCCCATTGTTTCCCTTTTGCCGGTTTGCACTGTTCCAGGGAGTCCTTTTTCATGTCTTTAGGAGTTGCATGAGAATCGTCAATATTTGCACTTCATGTATTTATTTTTCAGCAGACTGAGCTGAAACATTGGTTCAATCGATGTCTCAGTCCTGGAGTGTGGGTTCAGGGAAGCAAAGCCATGTTGAAATCGCTGTTTGCCATACTAGAAAATTGGGTTTTCTGAGGCAAAGTCCATTAAGGAAGGCTAGATGCTTATAACATTGCCCATCATTGGTGATGGTGAGGGAGGTGGGTATAATAGTATAAAGAAGAAAGCTCACCTGCTTTGGCGTCATTTCGGATTGGTTTGGGTAGGATGAGAGAGTGGAGTCACATTTATATCCATCTCAGCCTTAGTTTCTTCAAGTAATGAGACTTACCTTCAAAGGACTTATAAATTTTTGTAAAATACTTTGCCAATAGTGAACTTCCCAGAAAGGTTAGTTTCTTTCCCTTGTTCCTATGAAGTTTTACCTGATTCTAACTCAGAAATAACTGTATTGACATTTTTTGCTTTTGTCATGCTTGAGAAAAAGCACACAGATGAGGCGAAGTGGCTTGGGTGTGAATTTTCTTACTTTGTCAGGGGCTTTCTCATTATTGACCTTTTGTCTACTTGTAGATAATATCTCTGCAGCTTGAGGCATACTTGCACACACCGTGTTTACCCAGCAGGGAGAACTTCAACCCACTTTATTGCAGTAGCTACTTGACATATTTTGGCAGGGATTTAAAAACCAAAGGTTTTGAAAGGGACCAGCAATTGTAGGAGTAACTTAACAGATAGGATTTTCAAACCTAGAGACCGTTTGAGTTGGCAAAGATGGCACAGCCTATGCCTAAGAGTGAAGATTGTGCAAGGGCCGGATTTTGGTGGAGTACAGAGAAACAAACTGATGCAGGAAGGTAGGGAGCAGATGACCATGAGGAGGAATCAGTTAGAGGTTCTGACAGATTTTTTTCATTCTTGTCATCTAACCAGATAGGCACCAAGAAGAATGGTAGCTGAATGGACACCTTGTATTGTTCACATTATTCCTTTTCCCTATTAAATGCAAGGACAAAGCTTTTGGGTGTTTACCTAGATAGTTTATGGCTTTTCCAAATTGGTCTGTGTTTTTACTTGAAGTGCAAATATGTGAGGCAGATGTTAAAACAAGTGACATAATGTTTACATTAAGTTGCCTGTTTTGTTTTCCTAGCCTTAAATTGGAATGTGAGAAACTGGCAAGTGAAAAGACAGAAATGCAGAGGCACTATGTGATGGTAGGTATCAAAGATTGGACTTTTTCCTTTTTCATATGATATTAGCAAACGTGTTAGCAGAGTGTAAAAAACATGAGTTAATGAAATGCTTGATTCTTTTTTCTCTTTACAGTATTATGAAATGTCATATGGATTAAACATTGAAATGCACAAACAGGTAAGCTTTAGTTGAACTTCAAGCTGAAATGAGACATCAGTTCATATGATTTAATAATACTGGCTTTGTTCTCAGTAGTGGGCTCTAGGGGTGGGGGTTTGTATGCTATTTTTCTGCCTTGGTTTCCTGTCCTGTGGATTGATGGTAGTATTCTGCATCAAGGGTTGCTTCTTGATAATTACAAGTGTTTAAATGACTAGGAGAGGGAGAGGTGTTTTGGAAATATAAACTAGCCTCTTTATTGACAGATAGGAATTAAGACTTGAGTTTACTTTTTCACCTGTATAGATTTATCCTCTTGAAAGGGCTGGGTATCTTCTACAGTTGCTGAAGTTTAGAATAGTTAATGTTTTTGTGCTGTTTTGCAAGGAAGTGTGGACCTGTTGGGGGGAAAGAAGGGTATTCAGGAGTTTTTTTTAATCGTGGTAATCAAGGTATATGACTATCTGTGGAGTATTCTTTATGCTTTGGGGCTGCATGAAGCAATAGTCAGGATTAGTGGCTTATTAGCAAACAAATTTTTGAAAAATTTCTCAGTTGTTGCAGGTGTGGATGTGAAAAAAGCATCTTTTTATGGCCAGAGCATATGTTGGGAGTTGCTTCAGTCCTAGTGGTTTTTAAAGCATGAAAAGATTAGTGACTGGAAAGCTCTAGCAATGACTATGAGTTTGCAAGTTCCCATAAAATTCACACTTATGGCTACTATAATGGTGTATAAAAAGAGTATTGAGCTGGAACAAGGCACTAAGGACCTCATAAGAGAAGAAAAGCTAAATGATTGCTCAGCCCAAAGGACCCTCGATTGAGTAGTCATTGTCTGCCAAAGAAAGCATTAATGGCAGGGTGTAAGTATTCTGGAGATACGCTGACATTCACTTTTTCATCAAGACGCTGGTACAATAAGTCTTTTAGAAATCGATTGCCTCTTAAAAAATTATCATCAGATGAAGTTGCACAGTTGGACACATTTCAAAGTGCAACAATACAATTCTTACTTGATGTATATGTGCTATTTCATCTCAAACCCTTGTTTCATTAAATTAAAGAGCATGGCTGACCGGCTGGGGCACAGTGGAGAAATTGATTAGTTCAGCCTTCAGATCTTCCTTATATTCAAAGACTTTCATTAAGCAAGTGTGTTTCAGAGTTGAATTCTGCTTTTGTAACTCCGCACTCTTTGATTTTTAATTCATCATAGATTTCATAATGTTAAGTTATCGTGTACATTAGATCTGTTCTCAGATTTGTGTTTGGAAAGAGATTGTGATTTTCAGGGCCTTTTATTAATAATGTAATTGGGCCTTTAAAAATGCAGATTTTACTATGATTTACAAAGTTGGTAGCCTACTTTATGTTGGGTTTGTGCCTTTGTTTTTGTGTGTTTCTCAGTGGCTAGTGCCTTATTCAGGCACTTGTAACTTCTTGATAGTAAATGGGCTAGAAGATCTGTGGCTAACATCTATCGTCATTTAAGTGAATTATGCAAATAAACTTGGCCTAGGCGGTTTAATCTTTTTTTTTTTTTTTAATTTACTCTGAAGGGCACTTTTTTTTGGATAACAGATATTATGGAAGAGTAAGAGGAGACTGAGCTTTTTCTTAAACCCATAAACTCAAAGGATTTAATAACCTCATTGACTCTTTTACAAGGGAACACCACCTCAGTGTGATGCTATATGCTGGTGCTGGGTTTATTGGAGGAGCTAAAAGAGGTGTGTAATTCTTCTGGGTTCCTGTAGGTTATGTGGCGGGATGACCTCTTCTTTATCATGTAGGGAGAAGGGGTGAAGTGGGTCAGAAGCACCATGGTGTGAGAATAGTTTTCTAATGAGTTTCTATACAGAGTGAGGCATTTGTGGCTATATACTGTCTGTCCGTGAGCCTGTATGCATTAATAATATGCTGTGTATAATTGGCTTAGCAATTTGAAAAACGTGAAAAGCTGAGAGACACCATGTTCTTCATAGTAGGGTACTGAGCCTCCTGAAATTTAGTTGATATTGGAAATGCTGACAGACCCTTAACTAGAGTGCTGTGCAAAGTAGTGCTATAATTCAGTTTAAAGTGGACTTACATTTGAAAAACATCCTTCTGAATGTCACACATTAATAATAAGTTCTGAGGAGGCATTTGGTGCAGCTAGTAATCATAATTCTTATTAAAACTGGTGACGTCTGGCCCCCAGGGTGTAGCCAAGCTCAAATTGATGCTTTTTGCCGCCTGATCACCAGCATGGCCTAAGTGCTCATTATATTGTAGAGAGGGCCTTTGGAGCTCTCATTAGATTTGACAGGAATTCTCTCTAGGGGGAAACTGGGCATTAGCGAGACTCCTGACAGGCTGAAATTATTCCTGCTTTATGGCTTATAACCAAATGCTAGCAAGGCATCATCAGGGGACACAAAAAATTGTCATTTTTGACAACATCTTTGTTACTAAAAAAAAAAAAAAAATGCAGTGATGGGGAAACTTTCCGTACAGAGAGCTTTAATGCTGTTAAGATTTGTCTCCAGTGTGACGACCGCTCTCCCTTCCCACCTTTCAACGGGTTTGTCGGAGTGAGTTCTAGAGATTTCAGTGTCAAATCTCACTGCTGACTTTCCTGTCTGGAAGTTTTAAAGTGAAAGTGCATCCAAATCAAGAATGGTATAATTGTGGTTTCCTTTCCTGGTGTGGTGCCCACAGCCCGTGTTTAGGTTGTGTCAACACTTCCTGATAAGCCTTGCCTTTACTTTCTCTGCTCCCGTTTGTGGCGGGTTACCGAAAAGGCAATGAAACAGGAATGGTAATAGATACTTAAGTCTTTCATGGTAGCACTAAGAATATTTTTTTCTTGGAGCCCTTTATAGATCCCTGTCTGCCCATCTTTATCTGTGTGGATGGTAAACTCTAGATATCTCTATACAGTAGAGGTAGACAATGTCTCATGGAAAATTGAGGCAGTTCTGATACCATCAGAGTGTTAGGGTGCATTAAAAAACAGCAAGTTGATGTGAGCCTGGTGGTTTGCCTAGCTGTGCCTAGTGTGTGTGGTGGCGTGATCTTTAAATGTTTTTGTCTGTCATATGGTTTGATATTACCTCATTTGATATTTTTGGGAACAAGATGTACTGTAAATGCACACATAAACCTTATTTTAGCCCACTCATGTTATCTTTTCAGCATGCTGATGAAGCCATGCTATAAATTGTCATTGGTGGCTTTAATTTGCACAGTAATGAACAGTTTTCAATGTGATTTGTCTTCTGTGACCTCCATAGGCATCCTCCAGAGTAGATTGGGTAGGTGTTTTGCTCTGCCTACAGCTGTGTGCACGTGTTCAGAGTCTGGGACTTGCTCAAGGCCACGCATCTATTGAAGCTTGAGTTGGGTTGCCTCCTCCAGGGTTGTCTGTGCTGCTGCTGCTGCTTTTTTTTTTTTTTTGAGATGGAATCTCGCTTTGTTCCCCAGGCTGGAGTGCAGTGGTCGATCTCTGCTTACTGCAGCCTTTGCCTCCTGGGTTCAAGCAATTCTCCTGCCTCAGCCTCCGGAGTAGCTGGGATTACAGGTGTCCGCCACCATGCCCGGCTAACTTTTTTTTTCTTTTTTTTGTAGTAGAGAGAGGGTTTCACCCATGTTCGCAGGCTGGTTTCGAACTCCTGACCTCAAGTGATCCACCCACCTTGGCCTCCCAAAGTGCTAGGATTACAGGCATGAGCTACCACACCCGGCCTGTCTGTGCTTCTTCCTATCCCCTCATGCTGCCATCAGGAAGATGAGGTGGACCATGTCTCCCTAGTGCCTGCCTCTTCAGTTCTGACTCTTTGTGCTGATGAACTTCATGATTTGTAAGACATGTCAGGACTGAATGTATGTTCTAAAAGTTAGGAGAATCAGCAGTGCCGCTGACTGGTCTTTCTGGGGAGAGGAGGGTCACAGGCCATGGGTAGATAAAACTACTGAGCAGTACTGTCCTCAGGTTAAAGTATGTTTAAGAAGAAACAAGTCAGGAATCCTGGTGGAGACCCAGTGATGGGGAGGGAGTTTGATCAGTCACTTTGTGCCTGTGTTCTGCTGAAGAATGGGCAGAGTGAGAGCACTGGGCTCTCCAGGATGGTGAAGAATTTTTTTTCTTTTTTTTTTTTGCGCGACGGAATCTCGTTCCGTCACCCAGGCTGGAGTGTGGTGGCACAGTCTCGGCTCACTGCAACCTCCGCCTCCCAGGTTCAAGCGATTCTCCTGCCTCAGCCTCCTCAGTAGTTGGGATTACAGGAGTCCACCACCATGCCTGGCTAATTTTTTATTTTTAGTAGAGATGGGGTTTCACTATATTGGCTAGGCTGGTCTCGAACTCCTGACCTCAAGTGATTCCCCCCGCCTCGGCTTCGCAAAGTGCTGGGATTACAGGCATAAACCACTGTGCCCGGCCGATGGTGAAGCATTTAAAAATAAATGAAAAGACTAGCTCTGAAAATCTGAAAGGAAGGATGATATATTCTGCAATCCTGGTTGGGAAAGGGAAAGAGCTCCATGTGATATTTCAGCAAGCAACATCTCAGGCCATGTAAATTTTGGAGTGAAACTGCTTTTACAGTTTTGATGTGTGCTTTAAAATTTCTCTTAGAAAAATGCGTTGTTCTTTAGTGGGTTTTTAAAAAAGTATTTAGATGGGACTGTTAGGGACTCACCTGTGGGATATTTCCTTAGATGTGATTCTTTTACTCTTTTGCAAATTTTACCTTAGTGTTTTTTTTGTTTTTTTTTTTTAACCCTGTGTGTTTTTGTCTACAGTTTCTCACTTTGAGATTTTTTTTCCCCCTAAGTCAACATCTCACACAGGGAAATGACTAGCTAGAGTATAGGCACTTAGAGTTAAGCTCCAGCAGGTGTTAATAATCTTGTCATACAAAGAGGGTAGCTGTCATCAAGATTGGAGTGGTCCTCAACTTCATTAGCCAGGCCTGTTCTTTGCAAGCATAAGTTAAAAGAGAGAAAGCTCTCTGCATTTAGAGCCTAGATTCCGAGGTGCAAGATTAGCCTTTGTTTCTTATCAGCAAGCAGGACTGATCTCTCACCTCTCAGTCACCTTCCCCACCCTTCAGCAGTGGGCCAGTGGCTGGTTTTTGTCCTGGACTTGCACTGGAGTAAGGCAAGGGAGTCCCTGGGCATGGATTTTAAGAAAATCACAAAACATAGTTATCATGATCAATATTTTGAAAATTCAAACGGAATGCCCCCAAAATCTTCAAGGAACAACATGTCCAAATTTTGTATTAGGGCAGGATCCAACAGGGGGAGTTGGGAATAGGGTGAGGACAGGAGGTAGAGTCAGGCCATTGCAGGGCCACAGCACCTCCCTTGCCTCCCCCTCTTTCTGCCTTTGGTTACCTGTCCTGTGGGGAGTGGCCATGAACTATAGGCTCTGACTTGGTTCCGTTGTAGTTCATTGAAGTCATTTAATTGGGGATTTCCATTCGGGACTGGGCAAGTCATGAACACGTTCCCTGGCTTCAGTTCCCCTCTCTGTATAATGAGGGTTAGACTAGACAAAAGTCTGTTTGTTCCCTCGCATGGTGGGAGCCATCCCAGCATACACCCGCAGAACCCAGCACCTCGTGCGTGCAAATTGAGGAGCGTCCTTCGCCAGAGGACTTAAGATGTTCTCCCAAATAGTGTTTATTAAGAAACAGAAAGAAAATCTGTTTCTTTAGTAAATATTTAAATAAATCATCTTGAGTGGTAGTTAAACTAAAAATATATTCAGTTACTGGCTCATGGAACCATTTTAAGTTTCCATGGATCTGAGTCTTTGCTGTTTTATTATTAAACCTTTTGTGGTCTCCAGAAGTGGATTAAAGGGGAGGAAACTGAGAAACTTACTGGCTTTCCTCAAAGCTTTGATTGATTTCGTTTCCTACCCTCTCCCCTCCCCATTGCTTATTGTTGCCTCTGATTTTTAAAAATGGAAATTCTCACAACTAGTACCTTTACTACAGGGTATTTAGTATAGTGGTTTTTAAGTAAATTTTAGACAGCTGTTTCTGTCGGTGGGCTTATTTGACAAGAATAGGCATCTGTACCTTCAAAATACTCCTCACCAGAGGATTGTTCTGTGAATACGGTGTGATGTTTTAAGTGGAACTAGGATGCGCAGGTGTGGGCAGGAGGAGAGAGGTTTTCTGATTTTTTTTCCCCGTGAGGTGTGGTTTGATCTGAAAAGTGAAATAAATTTGCACTGAAATTTTAACATAAATTAAGATATTCATGTATTGCCATTCACCTGATTTAACAAAAGTATGGTTTCTAAAATTGTTTGCAAAGGAATGATTTCAGATTTGCTGCTTGTGTTTCTTCCTGAGCAGGGTCCACAGGGGAAAAAAAAAGAAAAAAAAGTGAAGAAAAATTTTTAAAATTATTGTTTGTAGACTACCCAGTCACCGTAATATTTTTTAATGAAAATCCAGGAAGTGTTGATATATGATTTTATCAAATAACCTGTGATTTAGCAAAATTACATGTTTCATTATTTAACATTTAATTTTTTTAATGGCGATAGAGTCTTAATCTGTTACCCAGACTGGAGTATAGTAGCGCAATCTTGGTTCACTGCAGCCTCCGCCTCCTGGGTTCAGGTGATTCTCCTGCCTCAGCCTCTGGAATAGCTGGGATTACAGGCGTGCATCACCACGCCTGGTTAATTTTTTTTAAATTATTTTTTGGTAGAGATGGGGTTTCTGCATGTTGTCCAGGCTGGTCTCAAACTCCTAGCCTCAGGTGATCCACCTTCCTCAGCCTCCCAAAGTGTTGGCATTACAGGTGTGAGACACTGGTCCCAGCCCCTAATTTTTTTTTTCTTTGAGATGGAGTCTTGCTCTGTCATCCAGGCTGGAGTGCAGTGGCTCGATCTCGGCTCACTGCAACCTCTACCTCCCTGAGTAGCCGGGATTACAGGTATGTAGGTTCAAGCAGTTCCCCTGCCTCAGCCTTCCAAGTATCCGGGATTACAGGCACGTGCCACCACACTCAGCTATTTTTTGTGTTTTTAGTATAGACGGAGTTTTGCCATGTTGGCCAGGCTGGTATTGAACTTGTGGTTTCAAGTGAGCCACGTGCCTCAGCCTCCCAAAGTGCTGGAATTAACAGGCGTGAGCCACTGCTCCCAGCCCCTAAATTTTTAATAATTACTAAGTTGCAAGCCAGGCATGTGGCTCATGCCTATAATCCCAGCTCCAGAGGATCACTTGAGCCCAGGAGTTAGAGACCAGCCTGGCCAACATAGCGAGACCCTATCTCTACAATAAAAGATTTAAAAAAAATTAATTGGGCCTGGTGGTACAGACCTGTAGTACTAGCTAGTACTAGTGCTGAGTGAGGCAGGAGGATCTTTTGATCCCAGGAGTGGGGAGGTTATAGTGAGCTGTGATCACACCTCTGTACTCTAGACTGTATGACACAAGCAAGACCTTGTCTCAGAACACACAAACAATAAATTGTATTCTATTTACCTTCTTTGAAGCAATATAAAAATCATAATGGTGGGCACAATTGTTTATCCCCTCCCCTGTAAGGTCTCATAGTAGGTATAAAAAACAGCTATTTATTTTAGTTTTTCTTATAGTAGTATTTGCTGCTTAGTCATTCTTTGACCACAAAATATGTTAGCAGAAAAAGAGTAGGATACAAGTCACTTTGGGTAGAAGGAAAAAGCTGGGAGGAAAAAACAAATTCTGAAAATTCTATCCGTTGAATTAACTTTTTCATCTTCCAAATAGAGAAAAAATTAAGTATGCTAGATATACACCACTGTACGCTGGAAGGGATAGAGTTGTATATGTAGCTTGCTGATCATCCCTGAAATCTATTCCCAGTGTACTAATGGATATTCATTATCCATTAGATGAAGTGGAAT
The DNA here is from genome assembly GCF_000001405.40 of Homo sapiens. NCBI lineage: Eukaryota > Metazoa > Chordata > Mammalia > Primates > Hominidae > Homo > Homo sapiens. The sequence continues at coordinate 81,677,787 of NC_000009.12, read as the reverse complement.
CAGTCTTTGAGAATGTAGGTGTGTTTGAACTTGCGCGTCCAAATCTTGCAGTTTGTCAAACTACTGAAATACATGTACCATGAGACTGGGTTTGGTATTAGCACCATGACTGATCTAAGTAGGTTACTAGTCTATGATACTAGTCTAGGTATACGTACAACCTCTTGGTGAAAAGCTTGAGTGCGTTTACCTGAGTTGTTTACTTTTTTTTTTTTTTTTTTTTGAGATGGAGTCTCGCTCTGTTACCCAGGCTGGGGTGCAGTGGCATGATCTCAGCTCACTGCAAGCTCCGCCTCCCGGGTTCACACCATTTTCCTGCCTCAGCCTGCTGAGTAGCTGGAATTACAGGCGTCTGCCACGATGCCCGGCTAATTTTTCGTATTTTTAGTAGAGACAGGATTTCATCATGTTAGCCAGGATGGTCTCGATCTCCTGACCTCATGATCTGCCCACCTCAGCCTCCCAAAGTGCTGGGATTACAGGTGTGAGCCACTGCGCCCGGCCTGAGTTGTTTACTTTTAAATTTGTAAGGTCTTTTTTTTGGGGGGGGGAAGACGAGTCTCGTTCTGTCTCCCAGGCTGGAGTGCAGTGGCACAATCTCAGCTCACTGCAACCTCTGCCTCTGGGGTTCAAGCTATTCTCCTGCCTCAGTCCCACGAGTAGCTGGGACTACAGGCACGTGCCACCACGGACCCAGCTAATTGTTACATTTTGGTAGAGACGGGGTTTCTCCATGTTGTCCAGGCTGGTCTTGAACTCCTGGCCTCAAGTGATCCGTCCATTTTGGCCTCCCAAAGTGTTGGGATTATAGGCGTGAGCCACCATGCCCGGCCAAATTTGTAAGTTACATACATACATTGTTGTATTACACTGTTGTATACATTTAAAATAAATGAACATTTTAAACAGTGGTAAAATGAAATGTCAGCACACATTCCATTGACTTGCCCAGTGTCCCCACTGCTCAGAGACTGCTAGCCCATATGTCAAACCTGGCCGCACCCTGGGAACTCCAGCCCTGGAAAGGGAGCATCTTTAAGATAGCAGATGTAAATTGTCTTCAGGGTCTTGGGATTACATCCATCCTATCCTGCATGTGTGTTCTTTTAAATTTTGACTTCCCCCTGTGATGACCTCTTTGTCCCTCATAGCCTGCTGTGTCTACCCCTGAGTACTTTCCCTTCCTGTCTTGGCCACTGCTTCTTTCTCTTCCTGCATTTCCTTTTATCCTGCCAAATAGGCCTCTTCTTGCTGAAAGTATGTTTTGAGTTTTCCTGTTTTCTTTATAAAAAGTCCAGGCTTTTGTATCAACCTTCAGATGGCCTTCCTCAGTCTCCTTCAAGTCCCAGTTCAAACACCACCACCTGTTTACTTCAAGGCGGCCTGGGACTACCCAGTGGCAGGCTGTCACAGCACTTGTTTTGCTCAGTGTCCTGTAATAATGGTTTTTCATGTGCTTCTTTCCTTGCTCCGACTAGGTTGCAGTCTGCTTGAAGCTGAGTTAGGGACTTCCATCTACCCTTCCCGATGAGTTATCCAGAGTAGGCATTGATTATATTGTGTTTTGGGTACTCCTTATGTGTAGTGGTAGTTGTATCCATTTTGGACCCTGAACGTTTGAAAATCAGGTGAAAGCTACTTTGCAAGAAAAGTTTGTACATGTTTTTACACACAAATACCCAGGATAGCTTTGCCCAACGATTTTGGCTGTTTGTGTGCATCTCAAGATCCTTCAACAAGTCCATGGAATTCAGATTAAAAACTCGAATCAAGAAAACTAGTGTGGGTCGGCCTGGTGTGGTGGCTCACGCCCGTAATCCCAGCACTTTGGGAGGCTGAGGCGGGCGGATCACGAGGTCAGGAGATCGAGACCATCCTGGCCAACATGGTGAAACCCCGTCTCTGCTGAAAATACGAAAATTAGCTGGGCGTGGTGGCAGGCACCTGTCATCCCAGCTACTCGGGAGGCTGAGGCAGGAAAATCACTTGAACCAGGGGGTTGGAGGTTGTGGTGAGCTGAGATCATGCCACTGCACTCCAGCCTGGCGACAGAGCGAGACTCCGTCTCAAAAAAAAAAACAAAAAAAAACTAGTGTGAGTCCTTATGCTAAAATTAAAAATGAAATCTTTTCAGTTCTAATAACCTTATCTAACCAGTTTTGCTCAGTTTTTCTTTTGGAAGAGTGATCTGTAGTCAGTAACCACTGAGAGTTCTTAGTGAGGAGTTTTATTGTAGTAATATGTTTGGGTTTGGACTAAAAAAGAGAGATAAACAAAACTAGCATGTTGCTGGGGCCTAGGTTTGGTGTGAATTGAGCATGTGCAGGCATTACTGTCCCTGGAACTGCAGCTGCCAATAGAGTGTAGATGAATTGCATGACAAGCTTCTCTCAAGGCATTAAACTTGACTTGTCACCAGATTTCTTAGTAATAATGAGTATAACCACTGATTATTTACTTAGTCTTTACATAGTGTCTTCCATTCTCCCAAACATTTTATTATGAAAAATTTCAAATTACAGAATAAAAGAGAAATACACAGCAATACCCATATTATACCCACCTGTATGATACCTGGAGTCTATAAATTAACATTTTGTAATATCTATCTGTCATATATCTTCCATAGGCTCCTCCTTCCCCCAAAATCAAGAAATAAATTAATAATATGGGGAATTTGGAAGGACTTGATAGAGGATCAGGCCTTTCTTTAGCTACCGACCTTGGCTTAGACTGATAACATGAAGCAGGGATTTCCATGTACTTTTTTTAAAATTTATTTTTTGATTTTTTTCAGTAGAGATGAGGTCTCACTATGTTGTCCAGGATGGTCTCGAATTCCTGGACTCAAGTGATCCTCCCACCTCAGCCTCCCAAAGGGCTGGGATTACAGGTGTGAGCCACCACACCTGGCGTCCATGTACATTTTAAGAATTCTGTCTTCACCTGTTTTTATAGGGTTTTCCTCCTAGACTTGCCCTTTGTACTTTTGGCGTGGTTGTATTAGGTGATCCACCATTACACGGTTTTTAGGTGATTTCTTTCTCAACTGTCACTTGAGATTTTATTTAACGCAGAAAAGCTGGACTCCCCTTACAAAGTCCTCCTCTCTTTGTTCTGACCCCTCAATGAAACTTGACTTATACTTTACCTTTAAGATGTAACCAGTATATTTGCTGGGGGAAATATTGTTAGCAACGATAGGTAAGAAAATAGAAATAATTTTGCAAAAGGACTCTGATTTTGAACTTTGTGTGTATGGAATTGTCGTGATGGAGATTTTCAGTTGGCCTCAGGGACCTTGGGTGGTAAGGGGGTAAGGACCAGAAACAAAACCTCATTGAGGACCCCAGTGTGTGGAACCAGGCCCTTCAATGCTGTGGCCTTCCGGTTGCTCCTCAGGAGCATAGTCTTTGTTTCCTCTTGGTGCCCTCTTGATGCCTTGAGCAAACAGCTGGTCAGAGCTTCTTATAAGTACAGTGGCCAGCCAGTGTATTGACACGCACAGACACAATAGAAAACTGCATTAGAAGGCAAGCCATTGGGATTTGCAGTAAATGTATTACAGAACACAAGTGACTTGCTGATACTGCTTGTTTAGCAGTTTGCAAGGGCAATGGCAGTATGGATTTTTGAATTAGAAGGGAAGGGCTGTTCTTTCTCTGTGTGGGAACATCTAGTTGATGGCTGGGGAGAAAATTGATTTAGAGAACAAAATGCAGCCACCGTTATTTGTGCCATTTGAAAGGCCTCTATGGATTAGTGAGTGAAAATAAAAAGGTTGCTTTCGGTTTAGGAAAGAGGGTCTTAACATTGATCTGCGTCTTGGTCTGGTATGGAGAGAATAAAGGATGGACCACCAGATGGAGAAAGGGCATCCAGGCCCCATGCAGCCTGCAGATACAGGTACACACTCCATTCTCACATAGTTGTCTTTCTCAGCTCTTTGGCTTTCAGAAGTCGGCTTTTTGGGTTTATTATTACAGTAAGCTTTTCCAATGACAACATTAGAGTTGTCATAGCCCCCATCCGTGGAGCTCCCATGTGCCCTAGGAATTGGTCCGCCAGAAGCCGCCCCCTCCCCGTGTCAACCTTCCCAGCCTCCCTTTGTGTGGATACTAATTATTCCACCTTGAAAAAGAGAAAACAGGTGAGTGGGATTAGGGGATGACAGTAGCACCTACCCCATAGGGTAATTACCAAGATTAAGTGAGTTACCAAATGCAGGAGCAGTTGCGTAGTTTCCTGGCATGGGGGCGCTCTGAGGGATAGCTGTGATCTAAATAGCAGTCCCTTTAAAACTCTACCCCTGCTCTTGGACTTCTAGGCCATGCTTCACTGATACTTCCGTTTTGTTTTTGCAAACCCAGCTTCCTTCCTACCTCTGAACTGATTTTCCCATTACCGTGTTTTATTTCTTTCCTTCTAAGATCATAAGCATTTATCTTTAGGCTTAAAAGGAGAAAAAAAAAAAAGGACTTGTTGGCAGTCTGTTTTTTTTTTTTTTTTTTTTTTAAATGAAGTCTCGCTCTTGTCCCCCAGGCTGGAGTGCAATGGCGCAATCTTGGTTCACTGCAACCTCCACCTCCCAGGTTCAAGCGATTCTGTTGCCTCAGCCTCCCGAGTAGCTGGGATTACAGGCGTGCACCACCATGCCCAGCTGATTTTTGTATTTTTAGTAGAGTCGGGATTTCACCATGTTGGCCAGGCTGGTCACAAACTCCTGACCTCAAGTAATCTGCCTCCCTCAGCCTCCCAAAGTGCTGGGATTACAGGCGTGAGCCACCGCGTCCGGCCTTGTTGGCAGTCTTTATTGTCTAAGTAAAATGTCTTACTTTGGCCAAACAGCAGAATGTGTCCTTGGAAGGCAATAGCTTTAAGTAATGTAACTATCAGTAAGAATAAAGTTGTGTTGAGTTTTTTCATTTAAAGGGATGGAAGAACAACAAAGGATTTGGTTCATTCTATCAAAGTAAGTTTTGGCAGAATAAGGACTAGGAGGTATATTTCAGAGTTTTTCTTTCGAATGTAACATGGAAAATTTGTCATTTTGAAAACAAGCAGGGTATGGAATTAGAGGGTCAAGTTGTTGCTTGGTTACAGAAAGAAAAAATTTCATTTTGATGAGGGATATGTACACCTGTGGGGAGTGTGTGCATGTAGTTTTCTTTTTGCTCTGTAAAGTACTGTGCAAAAGTTGTGAGTAGAGTAGTTGTGGTGCTGTCTTTCTTCGTCTACTCCATGGGCTTGAGATTTTTGTTGACAGTCAAGGTTCACAGCTGCTGCTGATGTACTAATATTTGGGGAAGCAAAAAAAAAAAAAATTGTTGGGAGGCTGAGGCGGGACAATCACTTGAACCTGGGAGGCGGAGGTTGCAGTGAGCCAAGATCGCACCATCACACTCCAGCCTGGGCAAAAAGAGTGAAACTCCATCTCAAATAATAATAATAATAATAATAATAATTTATTGCAGGGGAGAAAGGCAGAGCCATTGGGATTGGTCAAACTGGAAGTTTAGGCTGTTTACTCTTAATCCCAAGCACAATGCAGTAGAAACTTCTTGTGTGTCTTTGTAAGTATTTGAGATAAAGCAGGGCACAGTTCAGACAAGTTGTGCCAGTACCTGCTCTCAAACAAGCTCCAAAGTTGGCCGCCTTCTGATCTGGGTGTGCTGAGAAGCTCCGCGTTCATGGCTCTTTCTGCTTAGCTTGAGAAGTGGCCCTGACACCCTGAGGATCTGTAGGGGAAGCACTAGGTTCTTGACAACCCCCTAGCCTGCCAGTTGGCCTGGGTCCCAGAACTTTTTCCATTTGTAAGTGGGCTGGCTCATTTACAGTGCTTGGGCCATGAGCTCCCTCAGAGCCAATGTCTCTGCACAGCTACTGAGGAGATTGGAATTGGACCATTGAAATGTATCCAACTTCTGTACTTTTTAGCTGACCAAAGGCCAAAATCATACCACTAACTTAGGAGGGGAACTGCTGACATTTGAATCTTATAAGAAATCTGTATTTTATAATCGACTACCCTAGATGCTATGATATTTATGAATTAAATGGAAGTATAAGGAGGAAGTATAAGGAGGTTTCAAATACTGACTGGATTTTTCTGAGTATATAGATTTTTTTTCTTTTTTTTTTTTGAGACGGAGTCTCACTCTGTCGCCCAGGTTGGAGTGTAGTGGCGCAATCTTGGCTCACTGCAAGCTTCGCCTCCCGGGTTCAAGCGATTCTCCTGCCTTGGCCTCTCGAGTAGCTGGGATTACAGGCACATGCCACCACGCCCTGCTAATTTTTGTATTTTTAGTAGAGGTGGGGTTTCACCATGTTGGTCAGGCTGGTCTTGAACTCCTGACCTTGTGATCCGCCCACCTTGGCCTCCCAAAGTGCTAGGATTACAGGTATGAGCCACCATGCCCGGCCTTCATTTTTCTTAAATAGAGACAGGGTTTCGCCATGTTGCCCAGGCTGGTCTTGAACTCCAGGGCTCAAGCAATCCGCCCGCTTCAGCCTTCCAAAGTGCTGGGATTACAGGCATTTGCTACCATACCCAGCCTAAGAATACATTAGTTTTGAACTGGTTGTTAAATCTGTATTCATCCTTGTTTCTTTTTTGTTTTGAGACAGAGTCTCACTCTGTTGCCCAGGCTGCAGTGCAGTGGCGTGATCTCAGTTCACCGCAGTCATTGCCTCCCAGGTTCAAGCTATTCTCCTGTCTCAGCCTCCCAAGTAGCTGGGATTACAGGTGCTCACCACCATGCCTAGCTAATTTTGGATTTTTAGTAGAGATGGGGTTTTGCCATGTTGGTCAGGCTGGTCTCGAACTCCTGACCTCAGGTGATCCATCTGCCTCGGCCTCCCAAAGTGCTGGGATTAACAGCATGAGCCACGGCACCCAGCCCATCCTTATTTCTTGACTAATTTATTAAGTATGGCTTACCTACCGAAAGGGTCCCAGACAGATCAATGTCAGTGTATCACTGATCTTATGCAGCCATTGTTTGGGTTATTATTTTATCCAAGATCAAATACCCAAAAAAAGCTGTGATTTTTTTTTTTTAATTTTTTTTTTTCTGATTAGCTTCTGGAACTCTCAAAGTGCTGAAATTGCTCAAAGTTAATAAGGAATAAGTAACAATTGTTGCTTCTCAAAGCAATATAAAAGGTGGCCATGCCTGCAATCCCAGCACTTTGGGAGGCTGAGGTGGGCAGATCACAAGGTGTCAGGAGGGTCAGGAGTTCGAGACCAGTCTGGCCAATATGGTGAAACCCCGTCTCTACTAAAAATACAAAAATAAGCTGGGCACAGTGGCGCACGCCTGTAGTCCCAGCTACTAGGGAGGCTGAGGCAGAAGAATCACTTGAGCCCGGGAGGCGGAGGTTGCAGTGAGCCAAGATTGCCCCACTGCACTCCAGCCTGGGCGACAGACCCAGACTCTGTCTCAAAAAAAAAAGGGAAGGGACTTTTGTGTAGACTTTGCATTGTGAGAATATTGGTATTGACACCATTTATAATTTGGAGTAGAGTTTGAAGACCAGATTCTACTGTTTGTCGCATACTGGTTAATATGGCTGTAAAGAGGAGATGAATGTGGCTACTTTTCCAAGTCTATTACTCAGGAGGACTGTAAATTTGATTGGCTGTTACAATTCTAGCAGAATCATTCGATTTGAGAGCAATAGAAAGATAAGATATCCAATTACCCAAATGATTTGCAGGGTTGGCCAACGTTGTCATGGAGACACGAGTTGGAACAAATTAAATTTTAAGCAATAAAATAATCTTAAAGCCCGTCTGGGAACAAGAAAATTTGGCAGTGGCACTTACCTGAATTGAATCTTAGCTTGACACGATGTTGTTTGACATTGATATACTGTGGGGGCCTAAACTTATATGTGGTACAACATTATCTTTAAAAAGTCGCTCGGCCAAACCAGCAAAGGGGGACCGTTGGTATAAAGTCAGGGTTATTAACATTTATTTATTCTATGGCTTAAATGATGATTAGACTCTGGGTTCCCAAGAATATTTTGTATCTAAGGATTGAAATGCCTAAATAATGATTAAGCAGCTTTAATTGGACACTTGGGGAAAAAAAGATTTATTTAGCAGCAATGCGCAGTTTTTGGAACTGCCCTTCCTCTTTGTGTGCATGTCTTTTGGTGTGGGGGGGGAGGGTGGAGGTGTAAGCATGCATATATTTGCATGTACAAGTGAGGAGATTTTGGCACATGCCCCTACACTGCAGATGATTCTCTGTATTAGTTAAAATTTCTACTTTACAGTACTGCTTGCAGACTGGAAAATTGCGTTCCAGACTTCAGCTGATGATCTAAAACCTGAATAAGCATTAGTCTGTGGCTTAGAAGGTTATTTCCCCTCATTAATATATTGTTTAACTGGTTCCTGGCTTGTGCCACGGATTTGAAAACAGCCGAGTGGCCCAGAAGGAGGGAGGGCTTTTTATCCACATGTCTATTAGACAGATGGAGATGAAAATTGGTCTGAGGTCAAGCCATTTGCAGCGTTCTCACAGCCTTCGATTTTCCTCTCATCCTCACCACAGATCATCTCAAATGATTCAGTAATGACCAAAAGTGCAACATTGACCTTTATTCCCTGGTGGATTACTGTGTTTCACAGTCCAAATGGCAGGAAGTCTTTTCTGTTCTTCCAGAAGGAGTGCAGCATTATTGAGCCAACCCAGCCCTGTGGGAACCACACAAATGCAGACCAGTGTAACAGAATACGTGGGTTAAATTTGGTTTCTGGTGCTGTGGGAAACGAGAATTGACATGTCCTGGAACCCACATAATTAATGGAAGACTATCTAGGATGTTTTCTAAAAACACACAGGAGCATATAAATTGATTTGTCCACTTGTAAAATAACTTGTGAATTACAGGAGTGGTAACTTCTGGTGGCCCCTGGTTTATAAATTGTTCTTGTTTCCATTATCTTCAGTTCCTCTCTCCTTATTTAATGCTTCCCTAGTATATCTTAGACAATACTGTAAGGCTTTATAATTTTAAAATTATAAATTGACATGACTGAGCATAAAGGGATGAAGGCCTTTTTTTTGGCATACTTTTAATTATGTGTATTTTTGGTCAGTCCCTGTAACTCTGAATAGATTCTGTCCCATACGACACTTTTTTTCCCATCCTGAAAGTAGGTTGATTGTTATCTTGGAGGAATGGTGATTATTTTTCTCTTACTTAGATTCCTCTGTGGATTGTATAATGATGCAGTGATTGGGGTTTTTTTTGGTAAAGAAGTAATTTGTATTTAAAATGTTATTCCTGTTTGCCTCCACATGCATGGGTGAGTCAATATTCTGTGAATCCATACACCATGGCACCTGTCATCTAGGATCCTTTTGCTTACTCTCTTCTAAATACTTAAAATAATCTTTTCCAAAGGTTATGCTTTGAAAAATTTAGCTAGCATCCCAGATTTCATTTTAATCGTGACTAAAATGCTTTTGAGAAAATAAAACTTCTTGACTGTTAACTGTTCACAGGTTCTTTTTCTGCCTCAGTGGCTCCAAATTTTAATCCCTACCCTTGCCCACCACAACTTCCAACTTCCTTTACATATCCTTCTTTTTTTTTTTTTCGAGATGCAGTCTTGTTCTGTCGCCCAGGCTGCTGGAGTGCAGTGGCGCGATCTCGGCTCATCGCGACCTCCGTCTCCTGGGTTCAAGCAATTCTTATGCCTCAGCCTCCTGATGTAGCTGGGATTATAGGCATGTGCCACCACGCCCGGCTAATTTTTGTAATTTTAATAGAGACAGGGTTTCACCATGTTGGCCAGGCTGATCTCGAACTCTTGGCCTCAGGCAATCCACCCTCCTCAGCCTCCCAAAATGCTGGGGTTACAGGTGTGAGCCATCACGCCCGGGTCTGAGTATCCTTCTGGCTACTTTGAGAGTGAGTTGCGGAACATTGCAGGTTTTTTGGCATGTGATATTGATTAAAAACATAATTCCAGGTTCCATCCGGGAAGGCAGCAACCTTATCTTCCTTCCCAAAGGACCACCTCTCCCCAGCCACTCAGCTTGGGGGGGAGCAGGAATACAGCTCAAGGGCTGGGACTTCCCCGCTGAAGTTTCAGCACTGAGTTTGAGGGGCCAGGAATGGCTTTGATACATATATCAAAATTGGAGCCATTATGTGGCACTGGGGGCCTAGATCTCCTTGTAGAGAGCTGTTTTCCCTAAGAAGTTGCTCAGGAAGGAGAGTGGCAGCTGTTACTCATGTATGTGGGTCATTCAGCTGTAGCATGGCCCATGTGCAGAAAGTTCCTTTTCTACCATCTAGATTGGCTGAAGATTTAAATGTGTTAGGGAAACATTCAGAGGTAACTTGATTTTTGCTTCTTTTTTTTTTTTTTTTTTTTGAGACAGTCTGTCTCTGTCTCCCAGGCTGGAGTGATCTCTCGGCTCACTGCAACTTCTGCCACCCGGGTTTAAGCGATTCTTGTACCTCAGCCTTCTGAGTAGCTGGATTACAGGTGTGCACCACTACACCCAGCTAATTTTTGTATTTCTAGCCATGTTGGCCAGGCTGGTCTCAAACTCCTGACCTAAAGTGATCCACCTGCCTCGGCCTCCCGAAATGCTGGAATTGTAGGTGTGAGCCACCGTGCCCGGCTGATTTTTACATATTTTTATCTCACTCTGTTGCCCAGGCTGGAGTGCAGTGGCTTAATCAAAACTCCAAACTCCAAACCAAGGATTACTCCGAACAAGTGATCCTTTGCCTAAGCATCCCCAGTAGCTGGGACTATAGGCCACACCACCACACCCGGCTAATTTTTAAATTTTTTCTGTAGAAATGAGGTCTCACTATGTTGCCCAGGCTGGTCTTGAACTCCTGCTCTGCGGTGATCCTCTTACCTTGCTCTCAAAAGTGCTGATAGATGTGAGCCAGTGCTTCAGGCCTTTGTCTTTATTTACACAGGCATATTTTATTTTATTTATTTATTTATTTATTTATTTATTTATTTTGTGAGACGAGTCTTGCTCTGTCACCCAGGCTGGAGTGCAGTGGCATGATCTTGGCTCATTGCAACCTCCGCTTCCCGGGTTCAAGCGATTCTCCTGCCTCAGCCCCCTGAGTAGCTGGGATTACAGGCGTGCACCACCACGCCTGGCTAATTTTTGTATTTTTAGTAGAGACTGCGTTTCGTCATGTTAGTCAGGCTGGTCTTGAACTCCTGACCTCATAATCCGCCTGCCTCGGCCTCCCAGAATGCTGGGATTACAGGTGTGAGCCACCGCGCCTGGCTACACAGGCATATTTTAGTTTCATAATTGTAATTTTAACCTTCAACCAGTGATGATGATGATGTAGTCTACTTTTCCTCCCACTAATCCTGCCATTGTGTGGTATTACCTAATTTCTTATGAGCTCTCTAATGACTAAGATATGTGAAGAGGTTTAAAGGTATAGGCTTGCTTGGGGTGTGGCCCAGGGAGAGGCTTGCTTGCTTTCCACAGGAGAGTAGGTGATGACTTCACGGTGATGATCTGTGATTCACTCTGCGGAGTTTGGAGAAAGATTTCTTTCTCCACCACAGAGTGCATTTTCCTTTAAGCCCACCAAAAGCTGTCCTTTTTCCATCCTGGGACAAGTCAATACCATTTCCTGTGAACAGGCTCTTTCTGAACTCCATAACAAGGGTTTCTGAATAATGGAAATGTGCTATTTAGGAACTAAAACAGCTGTGATGCTTTTGTCAAAGATGCATCTTTACCAAAATGACAAATTAAAGCCCAAATGCTCTGCTTGGCAACAGTTGGGTCAAAACATTTAAGTCATTAATTAGACGGAACTGAAGGGGGAAAAATTTACACAAACAGCATTGCAGACTCAACTTCATCTTGGAAAATGCAACTGAATTCTTTAAAAAAAAAAAAATGAGGGCAGCCCTCAAGTGGGGCCTGGCAAGCTTGTCATTTGCAAATAAATCAAAAGACCATCATTGCAGGAAGGAGAACCAATGAATAGAGTTGCTTTGTCATTCTTTGATGGGCCCCACACTCAAGCCCGCTATTAAAAATGAATGCATTCAAGAGCCTCTGCATTAAGAACATAAACAATTAAGGGCACTTGAGTTGCTCTGCTGAGAGCTGCTGCGAAGATAGGAGAGCTTTCTCCGGAGATGCAGGCCCCTGCAATCTGCCTCACGAGGAGCTAGAGAATGGGAGCAATTAGTGTTGCTATCTGTGCCCAAGCAGCCTTCAGCACGGTTTTTTTTTTCCTTCCTTTCTTTTAACCCCTCCTTGTTTTCAGAGAACTGCGAGTGTGAAAGATGAGGAGTGAAAGGATAGTATCTGGGCCCAGTTGGAGAGAGCTCAGATTTAGAATGCTGCAGGAGCTGCCAAGTGAGGAGATGGAACATAAAAGTTATTATCTGCCAGTAATTGGTGACTTGTGTTCTGATTAGTTGAGCCACTAAAGGGTTTCTGTCATCTGGTACTCTTTGTTTTGTTTTAATCACAGGCTTGAAGAAGGGGCGAGATTACATTGCCATGGGTGGAATAACTTAAATGAATATTGTGCGAGGTTTTCCACAGAAGGCAAATGTGTTCCTACACCCCCGGTTTGTGTTCTTGCCTCAGTGTTTTGTAAAAATGTGTGAGAGGGCAGCTCTCATGTTGCTGCAGGGCTCTGGAGAGAGACAGGCCTGACCTCTCCTCTCCACTGTCTTGTTCTGATCTTAGGCAAGTTATTTTAGTCTGTTCTCCCAGGGGACCTGGTGTCCACATGAAGATTAGAGAGAGGGTGTCAGAGCACCTGGCAGGTGCTAAGCAGTAGATGCTGCTGAAATAGATGGCAGTGCTTCTCAAAGCATGTTCCCCAGTCCAAGAGCCTCAGGGTCACCTGGGAACTTGTTAGAAACGAATATTCTCAGGCCTAGACTCCAACAGGAACTCCGCAGGTGGGCCTAGTCATCTGTGTATTAACAAGCACAAGACCATCCTCGTGTACGCTGGAGTTTGAGAACCACTGATAACCTCACTAACCATTATAAGGTCAACTTAAAGGTACCTCACTTATTTTTTTTTTTCTTAATTAAAAGAGAGATTGAGTTTCCCTATGTTGCCCAGGCTGGTTTCAAACTCCTGGGCTCAAGGTATCCTCCTGCCTCAGCCCCGCAAAAGTGCTGGGATTGTAGGCGTGAGCCACTGTGCCCGACCTCCCCACATTTTTTAAATTTGGATTTCCCCAAAATGTGATTAGTTATTTTATCGGCATAATTATATTTTAAACAAAAGCTACTCAGACACATTAGATTTAAAGATGAATTTACCTTTTCATGAGCTATTGGTGAGCAAGGCACTGTGATGGGAGAAATCTTAAGACTCTGAGTAGCAGATATCCTGAAGGAGGCCTCTTGGCAAAGAACTCTTCCTTTCCTATGAAGGGAAAGAGAGTATTGGAAGATTATTTGCAGTGTTTTGTGTGTATCATTTTTGGTACACAGTTTTTATTCATGTATCCCTAATTAAGTTTTTTTTTTTTTTGGTAGAGGCAGTGTCTTGCTGTGTTGCCCAGGCTGGTCTCGAACTCCTGGCCTCAAGTGATCCATCCCGCCCAAAATGGTGGGATTATAGGCATGAGCCACCATGCCTGGCTCCTAACTTTCTTTAGGTATAAAAATAAGACGTCATCTTCAGGAACTAGAGATGTGTTTGTGGATTTTGTTCTACTGGTGGGCCAGATGGTCTGATGTTAGGGTTGATGCATCATTCTTTCTGCCTGTGAAGGAGAATATTAAAGTGGAGTTTGGCTGCAACTCATTTACTTAAGGTTTGCAATTTATAATTGAGGTCCCTTATAAAATGTCTATTCTGGCCAGGTGTGGTGGCTCACACCTGTAATCCCAGCACTTTGGGAGGCTGAGGTGGGCGGATCACGAGGTCAGAAGATCGAGACCATCCTGCCGACATGGTGAAACCCCGTCTCTACTAAAAATACAAAAATTAGCCGGGCGTGGTGGCAGGTGCCTGTAGTCCCAGCTACTCGGGAGGCTGAGGCAGGCGTGAGAATGGCGTGAACCCGGGAGGCAGAGCTTGCAGTGAGCCGAGATTGCGCCACTGCACTCCAGCCTGGGTGACAGAGCGAGACTCCATCTCAAAAAAAAAAAAAAAAAAGTCTATTCTGTGCGGATACCTCTGCTAGGGTAGCAAGGGCACGGTGACCCTGTCATTGACAGATGAGAGGCACTTTCTGTAGTCCCTTTGTTGGCTGAGGGATCATGCGGACTTGTCCTTGTGCTGCTGCAGCCCTGTTTGGGCTGTATGGCCTTTCAGCAGCTGCGTTGCTTTGCAGGCAGGGCCGAGTTCATCAGCTCTTTCTTGTTTTATCTCCCAATTCTCAACTTCTGCTTTCTGGAGAAAGAACTAGACAGGGAATATGTGGCTTCTTGCTCTATGATCTTGGACAAATCATTTCCTTTAGACCTCTGTTTTTCTACCTGTGATTTGAGGATCGTAAGAGGGCTGGGTACCCAAATAGTTCCAGGTTTGCCAGCATTGTTGTGTCTCAGCACCACTGTTGATCGCAAACGTGGTGAGCCTGACGGCGCTTATCTCCCTTCCTGATGAAATATTAAATTTAAACAGTAAATTGGTCAGGTGCAATGGCTTGTGCCTGTAATCCCAGCACTTTGGGGGGCCGAGGCGTGTGGATAATTTGAGGTAAGGAGTTCGAGACCAGCCTTGCCAATATGGTGAAACCCCATCTACTAAAAATGCAAAAATTAGCTGCACGTGGTGGTGCACACCTGTAGTCCCAGCCACTCGGGAGGCTGAGGCATGAGAATCGCTTAAGCCCAGGAAGCAGAGGTTGCAGTGAGCTGAGATCATGCCACTGCACTCCAGCCTGGGCAACAGGGTGAGACCCTGTCTCAAAACAACAACAACAAAAACATTTAAACAGTAAATCAAGGGCAATGATTCCAAGTCACTGGAGGGAAGAAAAAAAGGTCACTAAAAGCCCTACCACCTCAGCATAATTACTCTTAATTTTGGATATCAATTTACGGTGCTTGGCCACTTTGCTAATTTTTTTTTTTTGATACGGAGTTTCACTTTTGTTGCCCAGGCTGGAGTGCAATGGTGCGATCTTGGCTCACTGCAACCTCTGCCTCATGGGTTCAAGCTATTCTACCACCTCAGCTCCTCAAGTAGCTGGGATTACAGGCATGCATCACCATGCCCTGCTAATTTTTTTTGTATTTTTAGTAGAGACAGGGTTCACCATGTTGGCCAGGATGGTCTCGAACTCCTGACCTCAGGTGATCCACCCACCTCGGCCCCCGCAAAGTGTTGGGATTACAGGCGTGAGCCACAGCTCCTGGCCCTTTAAACACACACACACACACACACACACACACACACACACACACACACAAAACAGGCACACTAATACTAACACCGTGTCTCCTGCATCATCTAGTGAATGTCTTGGTCATTTTAGCATCATTATCAAAGTATGACTTTAATGGCTACTTGCCATGCCTGTGGGTTGGTGTGTAGCGTATTTAACTGTTCTCTTAGTTTTAGACAACTGATTTATTAGGAGGGCAAATGTTAACTTTCTCAAAAACTCGGTAGATGGTTGTGATGTGTTGAATTGCTGTTACATCTTTACCTGTTTTTTTCTCTTTTCGCTTTGAAACTAGTGCTGCAGTGAACAGCTTCATGCATGGAATGCTTTTCATTTGAACTATTTCCTTAGGATAAATTCTTAGCTGTGGGAAGCCTTACCAACGGGTTTGAATAATTTCATGCTCTTGAAACACATTGCCCAGTTGCCTTCCAAGACAGCGCTACCAATTTAATGTCATCAGTAACGTATGATTGTTCCACTTTCCCTGAGGATGCTTCATCATTGGATTTTGTTAATTTTTTAAAAATTGCCTTAACTTCCTGAATGACCTACCTTACTTACAACAAAATTTACATTTTTGTTTGGTTGCCGGTGAGGTTTCTGTGTACATTTTTTTTGGGGGGGGGATTTAAGGTTGTCATTTCACAGACTCAGAAACTTCTAGTCAGAAGGGATTTAGAGGTTATCTGTTTATTTCCTTTGTGTGCTTTGTTTTCATGTTCTTGCCCATGTATCTGTTGCCAGACACTTCTTACCAACACTCCACTGTGTTTTTATCTTGGCTTCCCGCTTGGTTCAAAGAAACCAGAAGATCAGTTTGCCAGCCCTCAGCATAAGCACCATTTTTTTATGATCCATCAATTTGCAATTTAATGCTGGTGGAGTTTCCCCTCCCTAAGCTGACTTTGGGCAAGGTGCCATTGGATTGCTTTGAGGCCCATGGGCAATTACTCTTAAGCAGTCCTCACCCTGTTTTGAGCTTCAAACAGCACTCATTATGCACTACTGTATGTGTAGTGGGGAAGTGTGCGGGCGCTGAGGAGTGGGCTCTTCCGTATTGCAGTTAGACAAAGTATGAGAAGTAGGAAAGGTGGTTTTAGGAATTATAGAACCCTAAACTCTTAAGTTCAGCTACTCAGAAGACCATATCTTGAAAAAAAGATATATATATATATAAAAATACATATATATATAAAAATACATATATATAAATATATATGTATTTTTTATTTTTATTTATTTTTATTTATTTTTATTTTTGAGACCGAGTCTCACTCTGCCAGGCTGGAGTGCAGTGGCGCCATCTCAGCTCACTGCAACCTCTGCCTCCCAGGTTCAAGCAATTCTGCCTCAGGCTTCTGAGTAGCTGGAACTACAGGCACGTGCCACCACGCCAGGCTAAATGTGTGTGTGTGTGTGTGTGTGTGTGTGTGTGTGTGTGTGTGTGTTTAGTAGGGATGGGGTTTCACCGTGTTAGCCAGAATGGTCTTGACCTCCTGACCTCGTGATCCTCCCGCCTCGGCCTCCCAAAGTGCTGGGATTACAGGCGTGAGCCACCACGCCCGGCCATATCTTGAATTTAAAAGTCGCAGAATACACTAGAGTTTGATTGATTGCTGATCTCTGAGGTCCTTGGCCGTATTTCTGCTCAGTTAAAACATACATGTAGCTGGGCATGGTGGCTCATGCCTGTAATCCCAGCACTTTGGGAGGCTGAGACCGGCGAATCACGAGGTCAGGAGTTGGAGACCATCCTGGCTAACACAGTGAAACCCCGTCTCTACTAAAAATACAAAAAAAAATTAGCCGGGTGTGGTAGCAGGCACCTGTAGTCCCAGCTACTCAGGAGGCTGAGGCAGGAGAATGGCATGAACCCAGGAGGCATAGCTTGCAGTGAGCCGAGATCGCGCCACTGCTCTCCAGCTTGGGCGACAGAACGAGACTCTGTCTCAAAAAATAATAATAATAAAATAAAAAAATAAAACCATACATGTACATGAATTTTATACTTACCAACGTATGATTTTGTTTTTTTTTTTTTGTGAACAGCCTTTGTCTAGCACTGTTTAGTAATGGTTTATCTGGTTGCACCTTGGCCATTGAATTTAGGGGTGCATGGAGATTAAGTTTTGGTTCATTGAGGCATGACTTTGAAAGTATATTAAATATGTACCCTGGCATCAGTTTTAGTAGGGGAGGTACGGCAAAGAAATGTGTCACAGTATTTAGTAGGAGTCGTGTTCTCGTAATGCTTCCCATCTTGTTGTGTTGAGAAGGCTTTTAGGTAGAAAGCTGTTAAGAAACTGTATGGAAGCTTTCTTTGTATGACATGGTGATTTTTAAGCACATAGGTTTAGTTTACCAAATGACAGTAAGTGCTGTGGAGGATCTTGAAGGGCCTAGAGAAGAGTGCGTTTATTGGCGTTATGGGGGAAAGGCAGCTTCTCAGTGAATTTGAGGCAGGCCTTGAGGGATTGGGAAGATCTCTCATATTTGTACAGCACTTTGGAATAGTATACCTTACATACCAGCTCATCAGCTCACTCGATTTTGATGAAACTCTCAAGTAGATTGGTGGTAATCCTGTTAAGTACGAGACCTGGTTGGGACCCAGTGGTTTAAGTGATTTAACATAGAACCCCTAGCAGTAGTTTGCCAAGATGCAAACCCTAATTTTTGGATGATGAGGGCTAACTGTATTACCATATGCAAATCAGTGAGGAGAGTTGGCATAGGTAAGGAGAATGAAAGACTGTTGTAGACAGGTAATTTGGACTCCTGCTTCCTCCTGCCTCAGTAGGTGGTGGCCATCCATGAAGAAAGTCTTGTTGCTGGAGCCTTCATCCTGCTGCTTACATTTCTGAGTGGAGGGTTTCATGCAGATTTGGTTTGTGGATAGCTCTTGAATGCAGATTTATTGTTGTTGCCTTACACAGTATTAAAAAATCTAGGCACAGGGAAAGTTTATAAGCATTATGACTTAGTGGGTACCAAATAGGTATTCATCATTGGGTAGGAAAATTATTTCTAGGTGGGAAATACAGTTAGCCCTCAGTTTTTCACTGGAGTTGTCTAGCCTTTGCAAGAGGTGGAAGGCAGCAGGGTCAAATACCCAGGTTAACCTGCCAGCACACTCCAATCAAGAATAGAAGCATGGGCAGGAGTCACTACGAGAGGCCAGGCGCGGTGGCTCACGCCTGTAATCCCACCACTTTGGGAGGCTGAGGTGGGCGGATCACGAGGATCAGGAGATCGAGACCATCCTGGCCAACATGGTGAAACCCCATCTCTACTAAAAATAGAAAAATTAGCCAGGTGTGGTGGCGCGTGCCTGTCATCCCAGCTACTCGCGAGGCTGAGGAAGGAGAATTGCTTTAACCAGGGAGTCGGAGGTTGCAGTGAGCTAAGATGGCTCCACTGTACTCCAGCCTGGTGACAGAGCAAGACTCCATCTAAAAAAAAAATAAATAAATAGATAAATAAATACATAAATAAAATAAAGTCACTACGAGACTTGTTAATTTGTGCTAAATTAAGAATCTTACCAGAATACCCTTTTGTTGAAGCAAGAGATAATACTAAGAATTATTGCCAGTTTGTATGCTGCTGCAATCCAGACTATTTGAAGGGAAGATGTTCATGAAGTCCTCTTGGAGAGCTAGTGATGTTTTAGGACTCACAGAGCATTGTTGGGTAAGCTGTGTACCCTCACCTGCCAGGAGGTAGGTTGTGCAGGTGAAGGAGCCAGGGTATTTCAGAGGACGTCAGCGCCTTTTCTGGGGTAAACCAGCTTGTTAATAGAACAGTCCAAGACTTGGATTTAGATTTTCTGGCTCAAAAGTCAAGCTGGCTTGTCAGTATAGTTTAAGATTAGGGTTTAGAGACCTGGCAGACGGAGGGGAAGTCTTGGGTAAGACTCTCCTCTATTGCTCCTATTTGCTTCTTCTCCAGACCATTTATGTAGAATTTCCAGGACATATGGTATGGCTTTCGATGTTTTTCATCAGTTTGAGCTTTGATTTCTAACTTTTCTCCTCCTGTTTCAGGCTTATCCAGTCTAACCCAACTTACATAGTACAGTCGGCCCTTTGTATCTGTGGGTTCTGCATCTGTGAATTCAGCTAACCATGGTTTGAAAATACTTTTTTTTAAAAAACATTGCATCGGCCAGGCACAGTGGCTCATGCTAGGATTATAAATCCTAGCACTTTGGGAGGCTGAGGCAGGTGGATCACTTGAGGTCAGGAGTTTAAAATCAGCCTGTTCTACATGGTGAAACCCCGTCTTTACTAAAAATACAAAAAATTAGCCGGGCATGGTGGCACGTGCCTGTAATCCCAGCTACTTGGGAGGCTGAGGCAGGAGAGTTCCTTAGAACCCGGGAGGTGGAGGTTGCAGTGAGCCAAGACTGTGCCACTGCACTCCAGCCTAGGTGACAGAGCGAGACTCTGTCTTAAAAAAAAAAAAAAAAAAAAAAATTATGTCTGTAGTGAACATGTACAGACTTTTTTCTTGTCATTATTTCCTAAATAATACAACAACCATTTACCTAGGATTTACATTGTATTAGGTATTTTAAGTAATCTGGAGATGATTTAAAGTGTATGGGTAGATGTGCATAGGTTATATGCAAATACACCATTTTATATAAAGGACTTGAGCATCCTTAGATTTTGGTTTCCATGGGGGATTCTGAACCAATCCCTCACAGATACCGAGAGACCACTGTATTCATTGCCTTTGCTTTCATATGTCTTTCTTTTCTTTATTTTATTTTTGATAACTTTAATATTATTAAAGGTTTACAAGTTCATTTCATTCAGACTGGATCTTAACTGTCCTCCGACCATGTTCAAGTCTACTTTGATGCCATTCTAGGTAGTAACACATAGTTGCTATCATAGTTAAAGATGAGGGCATCTTTTCTTAAACCAAAATAAATTCCAGTTAAATAGTTAAGCATAAAAAGTGCAGCCATAGCACACTAGAAGAAAAGTAAGAATGGCTTTTATGATATTGATGTGTTCTAATCTTTACCTAAAGGCCAGGAGCATAGGAAGAAAATGCTTTCATTTGACCACATAAAGACTTAAAGTTCTATACAGCAAAAAAATCATATTAAGCAAGGTTGAAAGACAAGTGGCAAGCTGAGCAAACTCTGATAAAGGGTTAATATTTGTCCCATTCAAGGAAGCACCACCAAAGGACAAAAATGATTAAGCAACAATGGAAGAATGGAGAAAGGAAACATAGAGTGGAGCAATAAATACATGAAAAGATGTTTAACTAGAGGAAGAATTCAAGTAATGCAAATAAAAATGAGGTCATTTTTTAATCCATTAGATGGATGAAGATTAAAGGAAGGTCAACAAAACTCAATATTGACACTGGGTGGGAGAGCAGGAACCCTCCTAAACTCGCAATAATTGGTACAGCTTTTCTGCTGGGCAGTTTGGCAGCATGCATTGCAACTTAAAATATGCATACACTTTGACCCAGCAGTTTCACATCTAGGGATTCCTTTTAGAGATCTGTGTGGAGGCGTATTTGACAGAGTTGTTAATTGTGCAAAATTAAATGAAACATAAATATTCACTGGTGTCAATAGTACTTAGACATCTATATGCTTGTATGGTGGAATGTTTCAAGGTACTTGTTAATCTGTATTGACTGGGATGGTGTCCCTGACACATGTTTGATTAACAAATTATAGAAAGGCAGGGTATGTAACGGAAACCCCTTGGTATTAAAATGTGTCTCTCACTCTGGGCTTCTGTGCACATAAGTGAGAACCTGGAATGATGGTATCCTAAAATCACCAATATGTTACCCATGCTTATCCTTGGATGATGGGCTCAGGGTTATTTTAACTTTCTTTTATATTTCTGTATATGTATCTGTGTGCATGTGTATGAGTTCAAAGTGAGCATATATCATTTTTAAAACTGGAAACCTTCAATGTGAATTTCCGAGAAGAGGAATGTACAGAGTGTTGCAGGAATGTGTGGTAGGTAGGGAGTTGGGAGCAAGGACCTAAGTAGGATACCTACCAAAGGCATCTCTACTCCTTTACATGCACTCAAATAGACAGTGCAGAACCCTGTTGCAAAGGAAAGCCTTGCCCATGCTTTCGAGGAGAGCCATGACCTTGAGGTAGCTTGAGTGGGTGGCTGTGATCAAATGAACTGGGTGGGGCTGACCCAGTTCTGTTTTTGTACCTGGTACAGCTGCACCCTTTTTGCATATATCTGCCTCGCTGGCTAAAGCAAGGTCATGCACGGGCTTCCTCTCTCTACCAGTCATTTCCCCTTCTAGTACATTTTGTCCAAGGCATGGTCTGTCTGTAACCTTGTCTCATTGGTGGTCAGGGAGAATTGGGTTGGGTCAGACTAAATCCAATCTTATAAAACCAAAGACTTTGCTTAGTTAATTCAGATCATCTTAGAAGATACAAGGCTGCTGTTTTTTATATGCTTGATTGTAAAGTTCCTGGGGTTTTGTTCTTTTCTTTTCTTTTTTTTTTTTTTTTTGAGACAGGGTCTTGCTCTGTCGCCTTGGCTGGAGTATAGTGGCGCGATCTCAGCTCACCGCAGGCTCGACTTTGTTCCTGGGATTTCTACTTTGTCTTTTTCCATTCTCTATTTCTCAAGGTCATGGACTGCGTGCTTTTAAGTTTTTTTCTTGTGATCCTTTTCATTGCTTAATTCAGTAATATAGGTGGCATTTAGTAAGCATTGACAAAATGATGAAATAAGTAAGGTCAAGGATGGGCCTCTTTACAGATGACTTTTTTTTTCTTTTTTAAAAAAGCAGAACTGGTTCTTCCTAGGTAGAGGAAAGCAGAGCTGCTTTGCATTGCTGTAGGGTGTTGGAGGTGCTGCAGGTGGACCCTTCCCTGGGCTAGAAGTAGAGTACCCTCTGTTCCCTCTCTTGCCAGTTTTTGTCCCTTGTAGCAGAGGGACTGCTGTGGATGTGGAGCGGAGCAAAGGTTTTTCCAGCCTTCTTTATTTTTTTTATTTTTTGAGGTGGAGTCTCACTGTCGCACAGGCTGGAGTGCAGTGGCGTGATCTCGGCTCACTGCAGCCTGCACCTCCCTCGTTCAAGCAGTTCTCTGCCGCAGCCTCCCGAGTAGCTGGTATTACAGGCGCCCACCATCACGCCCGGCTAATTTTTGTATTTTGAGTAGAGACGGGGTTTCACCATCTTGGCTAGGCTGGTCTTGAACTCCTGACCTCATAATCCACATGCCTTGGCCTCAGAAAGTGCTGGGATTACAGGCGCGAGCCACCGCACCCGGCCTTTCCTGCCTTCTTTAAAACAGCCCGTGCTATAGACACTAAGGACACCTTTTATTATGTTCAGCTGACCCCTGGGCCCTGTCGGTGAGGTCTTTGAGTTTGTTACTGAACTGTGGCGAAACTTTCCGAATACTCAGGATATCATGACTTGACCATCACCCTCTAGACTGGAATGTTTTTAGTCATGTTTTCTTGGTTTGTTTGAAAGTTTGAGACTTAGGGAAGCTATGAACAATAAAATCCTTTTTCAGTTGTACAAGAGCTGGGACAAGTGGCAAAGAGGTCAGCAGGCCTTTCTTCTACTCTATCACCTTAGGCCTCATCTTTGAAAGGTGGACTGCTTT
The DNA here is from genome assembly GCF_000001405.40 of Homo sapiens. Classification (NCBI taxonomy): domain Eukaryota; kingdom Metazoa; phylum Chordata; class Mammalia; order Primates; family Hominidae; genus Homo; species Homo sapiens. The sequence continues at coordinate 81,654,740 of NC_000009.12, read as the reverse complement.
GACAGTGCTGCAGCTGCAGTGGCTTCTGACACCCGCTTGAATGAACTTGCAATAATGACATAAATGTGTCATGGTGTGCCATCATTGAAAAAGTACACTTGGCTGGGTGCAGTGGCTCACGCCTGTAATCCCAGCACTTTGGGAGGCCGAGGCGGGCGGATCACGAGGTCAGGAGATCGAGACCATCCTGGCTAACACGGTGAAACCCCACCTCTACTAAAAATAGAAAAAAATTAGCCGGGAGTGGTGGCGGGCGCCTGTAGTCCCAGCTACTTGGGAGGCTGAGGCAGGAGAAGGGTGTGAACCCGGGAGGCAGAGCTTGTGGTGAGCCGAGATCGTGCCACTGCACTCCAGCCTGGGCGACAGAGCAAGACTCTGTCTCAAAAATACATATATATATGTGTATATATATATAGTCACCATATTAAATGATCATATAGCCTTAAACCGCCTAGATTTTCCAACTCAATCAAACTACTCATCTCTTATTACAATGAAGTGTGCAGTTGTGGCTTACTTTGCAAGTGGGATTAATATCTACTGTTTATTTCAAGATAAGTATTAGTAACATAACCTGGGGAAACCATTTTATACACATTTCCAGAGCAAGGGAGAGGAGGACTGAAGTGTTAGGGGTATGAAGTTTTACCTTTCTGAACTGATTGTGAAGTATTCTAAACATTTGTGTGGCTTTGTCTTTATAGACTGAAATCGCCAAGAGATTGAATACGATTTGTGCACAAGTCATCCCATTTCTGTCTCAGGAAGTAAGTAAAATTGTTCAGCTGTTAAAGTGCAATTATGTTGCTTCTCTGTTTGCAAATTAGCTAGTTTTAAGATGTTAATTTTATCACAAGGAACAAGTGTGAAGAACATCTGTTACAGCTGAAGTGTGTAAACCCCCTGCTAGTCTATCCAACACATCTGAGGGCACACTGTAGAAATGGTGACAATAGCTCAACCCCCAAATTAATTTTTTTTCCTGTGGAAAACTGCAAAATGACTATCCAATGTACAGCTTTTGCTTTAAGTAGCATAAGCTTGAGAGCTACTGAAAATTCAGGTGTCTTTTATATCTTTTAAATAGAAAGCTGTTCTCATACTGACTTTTAAAAATGGTTCCATCAAGGTAGACTTTACTATGGAGGCAGATAGTTCTTTTGTACTTATGTATCAAGGCAGTTGTCTTAATGCTGTCCTTGAAGGGGTGGATGATAATAGTCCAAAATACATTAACTTAATGAGTCATATGTATGTATAAGCTATTTTGTTTAGTTACAAAGTCATAGAGGTTTAATCTTAACATTCTTTGAGGGAGGAATCTCTTTATATGAGTAATCTATGAAACTGACTCAAGACTATTGTATTTTAGCTTTGCCTTGAAAAGTTTACCTTCCTTCTGGATATAAGCTAGTAAATGCTGTAACGTGTTCTAAGTGTGCACGGGATGAATGCATCTTCACGCAGGGTGGAAAGTTTATTGGACTAGGAGTTGGAATACTGGGTATCCTGGTTGGCACCTGTTGCTCCATGCCGGATGGTCACCATCTCATTATTGTTGTAACAGCCTCTTCCACCATAACCTTTGTCTGTCTGATATGACAATAGATTTGTCTGCCTTTTGAGTATATCAGTAGTTGTTAGACTTTAGTGATCCACGGCTCTATGTTACATTCTCATGCCTCCCAAAGTAAATTTATGGCTTTGTTTTTATTTGTGGGTGGAGTTGGGAGTTGGGAGGTGTGGGGTGAGTTTCCATCTCTGAATTGAGGCTGGAGTCCTTCCTTTGCCTTGTGGAGGGTAAAGAATCAAAAGGCTATAAAAGAATGAGAGGAATTCCAGGAGTTTCCGAAAATGACTGGTGGGTCAAGATTGGTTGATCAGACAAGTGATCAACCAATCAACGGATTTAATATTAAAGTTTTAGGTATTAAAATGGGTATTTTATTTATTTATTTTAAAAATAGAGACAGGGTTCTGCCATGTTGCCCATGCTGGTCTTGAACTCCTGGGCTCACCCTGTCTTGGCCTCCCAAAGTGCTGGGATTACAGGCATGAGCCATTGCATCTGGCTGTAAAATGCATATTTTAAAATTGCTGTAAACTTATGAACCCCTTTTGTGAACAAGGGTGATCTTCCAAATTCTGTTCTATTTATTTTTTAAGGTCCTATGTTATCATTCTTTATGTCCTTTTTTGTTTTCTACCATTCCAAGCCGAAATTTACAGCCAGAAGTAGTGACTGGTGTTGTTTAGAAATAAAGGGCAGCGCCATTCTCAGTTTTTCTTTCCCTATCTATGTTCTGTGAAAATAAAGTGTGGTTGAGAAATTCTGCATTTAAACCCTTCTACTTCAGCCTGCATTGCACACAGCATTTGACTTTTTGTTGTTAGAATATACAGTGAAGTTTTTGGCTGTTGCTAATGCCCTTTCTTCTCCTTGTTTTCAAAGCATCAACAACAGGTGGCCCAGGCTGTTGAACGTGCCAAACAGGTGACCATGGCAGAATTGAATGCCATCATCGGGGTACGTGGCCTACCAGGTCTACCTCCTACAGTGTGTATAACCAGCTTTCATTTCTTATTAATTTGATGGCTTTACGTGTGTGTGTGTGTGTGTGTGTGTGTGTGTGTATCTTAACGTTGACCTATTTGATAAGGGTGGGAGGAGGAGAGGAAGAGACTTGGGATGTGCTAAGGTATATGGAGGAAGAGGGCTTAGCATAAGGAAGATGACAGGAGAAGCATTTTAGGAGGGGACAAAAAATCTATTAATTAAAAAAATTCTTTTTAAACAGACCGGGGTCTTGGTATTTTGCCTACTCTGGCCTGGAACTCAAGTGATCCTCCTGCCTTAGCCTCCTGAGTAGCTGGGTCCAAAGGCAGGCACCCCCTTGCCCGTCCCTAAATCTACTTTTAAGTGGGAAAATAAATGTAGTTCATCCTGTGACACCTAAACCACCCTTGCTTCATTAGTCTAGTAAAAGCTTTAGGTTAGAATTTTAAATACTTTCCTCACTTCTGTCTTACAATGTTAGATCACAGTGAGGTCAAAATGGGTCTCTGAATTATCATTTCATTTAGTTATCCTTGCTTTTTGCCTTTTGCTTTCTGGGGTATTCGAACCTATAGAACTGTTGGCTCTTGTTCTTTCTTGTGCCTCTTTCATGAATTTTTAAGTCACACACCAATGAAAAGAGCGCTCTCTTGCCATGGAAGAATTGTTAATTGTCTGCCCTAGTGCTCCCTGGCTTTTCACCGGGGTTCTGCTCTCCTCTCTTGAGTTCAGTTAGTGCTCCGTGCTAGCCACTGGTTGTCAATCACAAGTCATTTGCTCTGCATTAATGAATCTGGTGAACCGTGCATTCCATCCCCTGCATGAGTTCATCCTCCGCCCCCCACTGCAGGACCTGGGATGGTTCTCATGTGTTCGTCCCCTTCCACACTAAGCCAAAGAAGGAGCTGAAACAAGGGACCGTCCTTTCTGATTTTATTCATATGTGAGTGCCTTGAGCAGATTCAAATCACTCATTTATCAATTTATGTTAATTGCTTGTGAGATGATGCCCTGCTGGTCTTTATAGTTCCCTCAGACACTTTGTAATGATAATTAGACATGCTGCTGTACGGATTAAGAGTGCCATAGTCCAATGACGGCCACAGACAATGGAACCAGTTAATCCATCAGGGCTTAAAATTACATCCCAACTGGAGATGGAGAAAAAACATAAGAGCCAAGGAGGATTAAAGAATGAGCCTCAGCTTGAAAACTCTCCTTTCATCAGTTTCTCAATTGCAGATCTGCAGTTGAGTTGTCTGTGGTAAGCTATTGGCAGTCAATTAGGTGAAATAAACTAGGAGGGTGACCTTCATTTCCTTTTAATAGCTTTTTCCTCCCTGAAATGGGGAGCTTCAGTGGATTTTCAGCTTAAATTTTATTCAAGCTGCTTTATTACACTTGACAGCTTAGCTCTGCATAAACAATTCTCCCTCCTCTTCCCCCCAGATCCAGGCACTGCCTTCCCCCTCCTTCAGTATCACATTTTTGACTGTTACTTAGTGGGCTCTCTAATCACATTCAACAAAAAACACAATTACATCTGCATTTGTCTGCTGCCTTCTGTACCCTTTTCTTGTGTAATGAATTGCTTTATTTCAGAGATCAAATCAAATATTCACTGGTACTTTTGCATGTACTGTGTTTGATTAGCAAAGACTAATAGTGAATTGTACTTGTAGCTCAAGCACAGAATTTTTTCACCCAAATGAATGAGGATGGAAAAGCCTGTTTTGATTAAAAGAAAACATATGCAAAGCAGTTCTCAAGTACCCGGTTAAACTTTGTGGAACATGTTTGTTTTCTGATAGACTCTACATTACGACATATAATTTCATGATGGCAAAACTCTGACGTTTAAATTCTCAAAGGCACCGCCCAGCTCTTGTGAATCTCCTTTGCACCTACACTTTAGGAAGGAGGAAATCGCATTAACCAGATGTTCATAGGTAATACCCATTTTGAGCTGAATCAGAGAATAAAAATAGCAGATCTTTTTAGAAGGGCAAATGAATTTCTAATTTTACGAATGGCTTTAGTCCAGGAAAAATGTTGTGGAGGTTATTATAAAGGCAGGTTAGCTCTGGATGCCTTGGCAACAGTAAACCAAAGTGGTGAATCAGGCGCAATGCAAGCGAGACTTAGGCCCATTGTGTGTCTTGGGCATACTGGCATGTGCGGTTTTTATCATTGTAATTTTTGGATTAGTATATGAATTTATGTCCGAAGGCTCTTTTCAAGTTTGTGGTGATCAATAATTATCCCACACCTTAAGTTTCATGCTGTGGCATATGCTTGATTTTTGCCTGAAAGGAATTGTGTGCGTTCTGGAAAATTGAAGTAGCATAAAATTGGGTTGACAATTCAGTGGACCTTTGCACCCCTTCATTGAACATGCAGTGTGTCAACCTGTCTCCCCAGAGGGGAGGAGGTACCGGGAAACTGTCTGTTCCTACAAGCAGCAGCTGCGCGCAGAGTAAATGCAGCCTGGTTTGATAGCAGCTGTCAGTATTGTTCAGGGGCCGACTTAGGGTAAAGAACAATGGGAGAGGCCACGCTCTTAGTCTGCATCCACTTTCAGGCTAAGAAAAGAAATAGTAATTTAACGGTTTAGACATCTATTACAAGTGTGAAAGATCATGAAAGAGTACCCTTTAAAATGCAAATGAGCCGAAACATTCTCATTCCCTTTAAGGTACAATCAAGGAGCTTTACTGCTTGCTTGACAGGGCTAAAGATATTTCTCTTTATCAAACCTGGAAAAAGTAAATCATCTCAAGGACATCCAGCTTCTAGGTTAGTTCAAGGTGTGTCTTGGGCCTGTGGGTGCTCTTCGAGGAGACAGAGAGAGGTTGTATTTTTTCTGTGCTTGTTGAGTGAATTAACAGTCCCCATTTCTCACCAGCATAGAAATTGTAGTTCTCCTGTCTGACAAAAAATACTGAATTTTAATTCTTTCTCACCATAGCACCTGCCTTCAACTTACATAGAGTACCGGTATTTAAGAAAAATAAGCTTCTTAGGTATTTGATACTGGAGAGACTATTGAAATATTTTTGTAGACCTTTTTTTAAACAGCTTTGACAGCAAATTTGATGACTGGCAGAATAATAACTACAGCCCTACTTTTTGACTGTTGCTTCTTACCAATTCTTTTCCTATTAAATGTATTGTAGTCTTGTCACAATGAAAAGGATAATTTATAGTGCAAAGGTGTACAAAATATGTACAAGGTTTATTTGGTTTGACACACAGCTCACTTAGGCCTTAGAAAACAAGTCGCATTGTGGGAGGGGAACTTACTCATTTGAGACCTTGAGTTTTTAGATCAGGATCGTTTTTACACCATAAGCAACATTTTTGTTTGTTTTTTAAAATTTCTATTAAGAATGATCAAAACAAAATTGGTTATTAAATGTTGTAACATCTTATTTGTGGAATGGCTAATGGCTGCCTGAATGCAGGGATAATTGATTGAAAGACTCTTCAAGACCACTTCTCCACTTTATTATTTGGGGAGTTTGGAACTAAAAGCTCTCTTCTACCTGCTCTGATAGATATTGAATAATTGATTTCAGTTGGGATTGGGATTTTAAATAATTATTGTTCTCTTTACATCACAGATAATCGAGGGATAATATAGAGAGATACATATCTGTACACACATATATTTGTTTTTTTCAGTTGATGTATAATTGTAATATAGTGAAATGCACAGCTTGATTTTTGATACCTGTGTATACCTGGTAACCCACATTCCACAATAAGGGGGTGGTTTCCAGGACCCCAGTGAATTCCATTATTCTTACAGTTTTTCCCCTTCTCCTAAAGAAAGATATTTGCTTTTTTTTTTCTTTCTTTCTTTTGGCATGTGAAAGAAGAGCTAAAGATGCTTGGGTTTTTTTTTTTTTTGGAGACAGTGTTACTCTGTAACCCAGGCTGGAGTGCAGTGGTGTGATCTCGGCTCACTGCAACCTCTGCCTCCCAGGGTTCCAGTGATTCTCCTGCCTCAGCCGCCCGAGTAGCTGGGATTACAGGCATGCACCGCCATACCCAGCTAATTTTTGTATTTTTAGTAGAGACAGGGTTTCACCATGTTGGCCAGGCTGGTCTTGAACTCCCAAACTTAGGTGATCCACCCGCCTCAGCCTCCCAAAGTGTTGGGATTACAGGTGTAAGCCACCGTGCCTGCCCATAAAGATGCTTGTTTTTTTAACTGAAAAGTTAAAAGAGAATCAGCTAATTGCATTTTTAAAAATATTAATAGTAAACAATGGCACAGTTGTATATTTTATTTCTAACCACCTGTTGGTCCATTTCATGGTGTTTTTGGTAATCCACATAGGAATATTTACATTGTGTTGCCTTGGACAAAGCATGGGCCTTGGGATCAGATGGACTTGGGGAGGATACTTAGCTGCCATCTATTAGCTTTATGACCTCATATAGTCAGTTAACCTCTATCAGTGTCCCCTATCTGTAGATGGTAATACCGTCTACCTTCCCACCCTTCCCTGAACATGTGGTCCTGACTCCTTGAACTGCAGTTTTGTCTGCCTGGTTTCCCTAAGTGCTTGTAGCAGATCTGTGGGTCCAGTTGGTCAAGTCCTGGTTGGTGGTGGTTGTGCCAAGCAGCAGTGCACCTCCTCCTTTGTCTTTAGTGGTTACAGGGATGTGGGTGTTTGAGATTAGACCCAGCCAGAGGCTTTGCTCCTGCCATTAAGTTGTTGTGCATGAATGACTTTTAATAAGGAAACAGTAGTGAAAAAGGATGGCCATTTAGCTTTTGATGTGCAAACTTAAGTTTGGGGAACAGATGGAGACAGAATTGAGAGCAAAAACGTGAAGACATCATTGGCTTCCTTACCTAACACAAAGAATAAGGCAGATAGTGTCATTGTTGGCACAAGAGGTTATAGGAATCATTCTGTTAAAATTGGGAGGGAAGAGAGAGTTAGAAGACATCGTCAGATGACCAGTGGGGACTGTCCTCCCGTCCACAAAATGCCAGGTTTCTATTTGTGGCCTCAGAGCTGACAGTTGGGTGCAAGAAAATTTGAGCAGTTACCCATAGTAATGCCTGTGAACTTCAGGAGATCAAGAAATTTGAGTTTGTTTACATATAACCTATGCACAAGAGAAAAAAAAAACCATGAAATTCGGGTTTAGGCAACCTCATTTTTCTTTCTCACTTATTTGGATGTAGTCTGACTTATTTTTCATGAACATAACCTTGGTCAAGGCATATGGGGCTTATATGGGAATCTGTTTATTGGTCAGATTTCTATATTCCTTCTCCATAGGCAAATATCTGATTTTGTATATTTTAAAACAACTTAGTATAAAATTAAAAATAAGTCTAGGGTATTTTGTGATGTCTGACTAGATGTTTTTGTGTAGGGGATGGCTGTGAATTCAAACTCCTAAAACATTTGTAGAAGGAGCCTGTCTATCCCTAAGAGATTGAGTTGTAGACCTAAAGGGCTCTCCACTCTTGCATGAGATGATTGGTTTAAGGATTAGTAAAATGTTGGATTATTTTTCTCCTTTGGCTATAGCTGTCAGCTATCTATGGGATTGTAGTGTGTGAAGTTTAAGAGGATGAGGTTGGCCTCTTATTCTTATGAGTATGTGGTTAATCCCTGGAAAGCCATCAGTAACCCAGCTGTAAGTTTCTTTATAAAACAAATTCTCCCTAGGAGAATAATGCATATCCTGCTACCGAGAGAAGACTAAATAGCTACAACAAACATGGATCTTCTAGCTCTACTAACTTGTATTTAGTGACGTACTCTCTACTTAAATTCCAACACTCTAGCCCTTTTATTAAATTTCCGAAGGGAAAGAGCAATATTGCAAAGAAGTCTTCGCAGTCCGTTTCTCCTTTGGTTAAATTTGTTTGTTTGTTTTTACTGAGAGCACAACTAGGCGCCTGACAAATGCAGAACTTTTCCTCAGTGTCCGGATTATTGTCATCATGCTTTGTAGTTATTAGAAAAGTGTTGAAGCATTTACTTTTTAATTTCCCCACATATTTCTTTCCTTTTTTAAAAAAATTTTAATTTAAGTTCCGGGATACATGTATAGGATGTGCAGGTTTGTTTCATAGGTAAACGTGTGCTGTGATTGCTGCACCTATCAACCCACCCACATAGTTTCCTGTGATTTTTACTTGATTCCCTGGAATAAAGCATTATATATTCTTCATTTTTCCAGAAGGAGAAAAAAGCTTCAGAATAGAAAATAGAGTACCCCATTATAGGAGTTACACCTGTGTGTTTTTAAATTTTTTATTTTTGTGTGTACTAGGTGTATATATTTATGAGGTACAGGAGATGTTTTGATGCAGGCATGCAGTGTTTAATAAACACATCATAAAGAATGGGGTATCTATCCCCTCAAGCATTTATTTTTATTTTATTTTATTTTATTTTATTTTTTTGGAGACAGAGTTTCACTCTTGTTGCCCAGGCTGGAGTGCAGTGGCTTGATCTCAGCTCACCACAGCCTCTGCCTCCCGGGTTCAAGCGGTTCTCCTGCCTCAGCCTCCCAAGGAGCTTGGATTATAGGCATGTGCCACCACGCCTGGCTAATTTTGTATTTTTAGTAGAGACGAGGTTTCTCCATGTTGGCCAGGCTGATCTGGAGCTCCTGACCTCAGGGGATCCACCCATCTCGGCCTCTCAAAGTGCTGGGATTATAAGTGTGAGCCACCAGACCCAGCAAGCATTTATCTTTTGTGTTACAATCTAATGACACGCTTTTAGTTATTTTAAAATTACAATTGAATTATTATTACTATTATTTTTTTTTTTTTGGAGACGGAGTTTCTCTCTTGTTGCCCAGGCTGGAGTGCAATGGCGCGATCTTGGCGCTCACTGCAACCTCTGCCTCCCGGGTTAAGCGATTCTTCTGCCTCAGCCTCCCCTCCCAAGTAGCTGGGATTACAGACATGCGCCACCATGCCTGGCTAATTTTGTATTTTTAGTAGAGACAGGGTTTCTCCATGTTGGTCAGGCTGGTCTGGAACTCCTGACCTCAGGTGATCCACCTGCCTTGGCCTCCCAAAGTGCTGGGATTACTGACGTGAGGCACTGCACCCAGCCTATTGTGTGTTATTTTTAAAATTGAGATATGATATATACACCATGAAATTCACCTTTTTTTTTTTTTTTTTTTTTTTGAGACAGTGTCTCACTCTATCACCCAGGCTGGAGTGCAGTGTGCAGTGGTGCGATATCGGCTCACTGCAACCTCCGCTTCCCGGGTTCAAACGATTCTCCTGCCTCAGCCTCCCGAGTAATTGGGATTACAGGCACACACCACCATGCCTGGCTAATTTTTGCATTTTTAATAGAGATGGGGTTTCACCATATTGGCCAGGCTGTTCTCAAACTCCTGACCTCAGGTGATTCACCTGTCTCTGCCTCCCAAAGTGCTGGGATTACAGGCATGAGTCACTGCACCTGGCCAAATTCGTCTTTTTTAAAGCATACACTTCTGTGGTTTTTAGCGTATTCACATTGCTGTACAACCATCACGACTATAAAATTTTTCTAGAACATTTTTGTCACCCTGTAAAGAAACTCCGTATTCATTACCATTTATTCTTCATGTCTCCTCCCCTAACCTCTGGCTGCTACCAATGTGCTTATCCATCTCTATGAATTTGCCTATTCTGGACATCTCATATGAATGGAATCATATAATATGTAGCCTTGTATGCCTGGCTTCTTTTACTTAGCATGTTTTCAAGGTTTATCCATGTTGTCGTATCACCAGTATTTTAGTCCTTTTTATTGACAATTAACATTTCATCAATATACTGCAGTTGCTTATTCATTCATAAGTTGATGGATATTTAGGTTATTTCCACTGATTGGCTATTTTGAATAATGCTGCTATGAACATTTGTGTACAGGTTTTTGTGTGGGCATGTTTTCTCTTGGATTTGTCTCTGGGAGTAGAATCACTGGGTCTATGGTAACTTTTTGAGCAACAGCCAGACTGTTTTCCAAAGCGGCTGCATCATTTTACATTCCCACAATAGCGTACGAGAATTCCAATTTCTCTACATGATCTCTGGCATTTCCTGTCCATCTTTTTTATTCTCCGCATCCTAATGGGTGTGAGGCCGCATCTCCCGTTTTTGATTTGCATTTTCCTGATGGCTGATGATGTTGAACATCTTTTCAATCAAAACCTGTATAGTTTTTGTAGTGGATCCACCTTCACATGGCTTGTCATAGCCTTAATGGCCTTCCAGGGAAATGGGATGAGCAAGGCAGTGGTCATGCAGGAGGAGTTGGCCTATGTGGATTAGCTGAAATGGAGAAAGAATAAAGACAGGCCAGGCATGGTGGCTCACACATGTAATCCCAGCAGTTTGGGAGGCCAAGGCAGGAGGATTGCTTGAGCTCAGGTGTTGGACACCAGCCTGGGCAACATAGCAAGACTTTTTTTCCACTGAAAATCAAAAAAATTAGCTGAGTGTGGTGGTGCGTGCCTGTAGTCCCAGCTACTCAGGAGGTTGAGGTGGGAGGATTGCTTGAGTCTGGGACTTCAAGGCTGCAATGAGATAAAATCATGCCACTGTATCCCACCTGGGTGACCAAATGAGACCCTGTCTCTAAGAAAACAAAACAAAGGGCTGGGTGCGGTGGCTCATGCCTGTAATCCCAGCACTTTGGGAGGCTGAGGTGGGCGGATCACCTGAGGTTGGGAGTTCCAGACCAGCCTGACTAACATGGAGAAACCCCATCTCTACTAAAAATGCAAAATTAGCCTGGCGTGGTGGCACATGCCTGTAACCCCAGCTACTCAGGAGGCTGAGGCAGGAGAATCGCTTGAACCCAGGAGGTGGAGGTTGCCGTGAGCCGAGATCGCACCATTGTACTCCAGCCTGGGCAACGAGAGCGAAACTCTGTCAAAAAAAAAAACCAAAAAACAAAAAACAAACACACCACAAAGTACCATTTTAGCAAATTTCAAGTATACAATACCGTTATTATTAACTATAGTCACCGTGTTGTACCTTGGAAATCCAGATCTTCTTTATCTTGGGTAACTGAAACCTTGTACCCTTTGACCAATTGCTCCTCATTTTCCCCTACCCCGCAAGGCAGCCGCCATTCTACTCTCTGCTTCTGTGAGTTGTACTCTTAGATTCCACATAGAAAGGAGATTATGCATTATTTGTCTTTCTGAATCTGCTTATTTCGCTTAGCCTACTGTTCTGCACATCTGCCCATGTTGTCGTAAGTGGTAGGATTTTCTTCTTTTTCAAGGCTGAATGGTATTCCATTGTGTTTATAGGTACCACATTTTCTTTATCTGTTCATCCATCAACAGACATTTGGGTTGTTCGGTATCTTGGCTCTCGTGAATAGCACTGCAGTGGTCATGGATTGCAGATGTATCTTTGATATACTGATTTCATTTTCTCTCTCTTTCTTTCTTTCTTTCCTTTCTTTCTTTTCTTTCATTTTTTGAGACGGAGTCTCACTCTGTCACCCAGGCTGGAGTGCAGTGGCACCGTGTTGGCTCACTGCAACCTCTATCTCTTGGGTTCAAGCAGTTCTCCTGCCTCAGCCTCTGGAGTAGCTGGGATTATAGGCACCCACCACCATGCCTGGCTAATTTTTTTTTTTTTTAAGTAGAGACGGGGTTTCACCATGTTGGCCAGGCTGGTCTCGAACTCCTGACCTCAGGTGATCCACCTTCCTCGGCCTCCCAAAGGCTGGGATTACAGGCATGAGCCACTGTGCCCGGACCTCGGACCCCAATTTCATTTTCTTTAGATATATACCCAGAAGTGGGATTGCTGGATCATGTACAGATTGAGCAGCCCTAATTCTCAGCCAGTAAGAATATTGCAAATATTTAAAAATCTGAAAAAAATCCAGAATCCAAACATTGCTGGTCCCAAGCACTTCAGAAAAGGGATAATTAACCTTTTTGAGAAAGTAGTTCTATTTTTAACTTTTTGAGAAACCTCTATACTGTTGTTTTGCATCAGGGCTGTACCAATTTACATTCCTAAGAACAGTGTACAAAGGTTTCCTTTTCTCCACACCATCACTAACACTATCTTTGTCTTTTTGTTACCCACCATTTCAGCAGGTTTGAGGTGACATTTCTTTCTTTCTTTCTTTTTTTTTGGAGATGGAGTTTTGCTCTTGTTGCCCAGGCTGGAGTGCAATGGCGCGATCTCCGCTTACTGCAACCTCTGCCTCCCAGGTTCAAGCAATTCTCCTGCCTCAACCTCCTGAGTAGCTGGGATTGCAGGCATGCGCCACCACACCTGGCTAATTTTGTATTTTTAGTAGACACTGGGTTTCTCCATGTTGGTTGGGCTGGTCTCAAACTCCCAAACTCAGGTGATCCGTCCACCTCGGCCTCCCAAAGTGCTGGGATTACAGGCGTGAGCCACTGCGCCCAGCCTGAGGTGATATTTCATTGTGGCTCTGATTTGCGTTTCCTTCATGATTAATGATATTGAGCATTTTTTTGTATATCTGTTGGCCATTTGTGTGTCTTCTTTGAGAAATGTCTGTTCAGGAGGTCCTTTGCCCATTTTTAAATTAGGATACTTATTTTTTAATTTTTGTACTATTGAGTTTTTTGGATGTTAACTCTTATTTGAGGTATGGTTTGCAAATATTTTCTCCCATTCCTTAGGTTGCCCATGCATCATTTTCTGTGTGCTCCTGCATTGAGATGGGGCCTTTAGTGGATTGTTATTTTAGTTTTTGTTATTGTCTTCAAGTGGCTGGAGAATTCTTGGCCCCATAAGCAGTTTCTTCCTGTTGATCACCCTTGCCCCTCTTTACGTGAGAGGCCATTCACATAATGGGAGGTTTTGCGATAACTCCTGCAGTAGTGTCCTTGATGTTTTCTGCTGCCAGACAGCTCTTTTGCACGTGTTTACGTAGCATACCAGTTTTCTTCTTTATTTTTATTTATTTATTTATTTATTTTGCTGTCTCCCAAGATAGGAATTGAGTGTTTTAAAGAACAGGGAAATAGCAGAAATCAAGGAAGAGTGATTTGGAGAGAACTGTCAACAAATGCTCTTTTTCACGTTTTTGTCCCCTTAAAAGAAAGTGTTTAAATACCGGGTGCTATAAATGCCACTTACTGTCACTCTTAGCATCAGAGGTGCCACTTAGGGGCATGGTTTTAGTTTGGGTTGGGTTAAGTCTGTGATTTTTATGACATAGTTTTTCTTGGGGTTACAAAGCGGGTGAAGTTTCAGAAATTAAAGTTGATTCCATGGTTGGTGGTAAGGAGCTTAGTTTCCGGTCAGGAGAAGGTGGGCATTGGCCTGTGTTTTCATACTGGGTGTCCTTCCCAGTTGTTAGAGGCTACAACAACATGGTGATAAGCCATGTGCTGTGACTGTGTGTAGAAACTATACCATTACAGTAACACTCTGAATGTAAACAGCAAAGTCAGTTTCATTATAGTAATATAATTGACCCAAGCTGCACTAAGTAAAATGTGAATTAAAATTCTCAATGCGTGGCTGTTGTTTGACATGGATGAGATCGCTTTATTCCTTGTGGGTTTTCAGTATCATTAACTCAGGGTTTGGCATTTGTTTTATTTGTCTCACTCTCAGCCTATTCAAATGATTTTGGTTAGAGCAAGTGCACTGATCTCTTTATCCCCAAATCTGAATGTTTGTCATTCCCTTTAGGGCCCCAGAACACCAGTATGTAAAATTTCCCAGTGTAGTCCTTTCTCAAATTGCTTTGTAAAATACAAGGATTTTTTTTTTTTTTTAATTTTTGAAATTGTTAGTGGAATCAGCTTAAGAAAGCAGATGTTCATTTTTTTGTGTTGTGACAGGGTACTCAGATGGCGATGAAAGGACAGTGAATGTGATTGAATGTTGAATAGTATTTTTATTTTTTAAACAAGAATTTGGCAAGTCTTTTAGCATACAAGAACATGAATTCTAATTAATGGCACAGAATATCAGCTTAGGTCTAAATTCAAGTTAGTGAACCTTAGCACTGTTGACATTTTGGGCAGGATAATTCTCTGTGGTGAGGGCTGTCCTGTGCATTGTAGGATGTTCACAGCATCCTTGGCCTTCACCCATTAGATGCACCAGTAGCATTCTTTTCCCTCCCCCGCAGTGACCTCCACACATGGCCATATGTCCCTGAAGCAGGGAGGGGAGGGGTGTCAAAATTGGTTCTGCTTGAGAACCAGTGGTCTAGAATCATAGCCTGAGAAACCAGCTATATTGCTAGAAACTGTCATTGCTTATCAAAAATGCTTTTTCTCAGCTGGGCGCGGTGGTTCATGCCTGTTGTAATCCCAGCACTTTGGGAGGCCGAGGTGGGCTGATCATTCGAAGCCAGGAGTTCGAGACTAGCCTGGCCAACATGGCAAAACCCCATCTCTACTAAAAATACAAAAATTAGCTGGGTGTGGTGGTGCTCACCTGTAATCCCAGCTACTGTGGAGGCTGAGGCACAAAGAATAGCTTGAACCCGGGAGGTGGAGGTTGCAGTGAGCCGAGATTGCACCACTGCACTCCAGCCTGGGCGACAGAGCGAGACTGTCTCAAAAAAAAAAAAAACAAAAAAAAAAAACAACTTTTACTAATCACTTTACAAACTTTTGCATGTGTGTTCTATGTTGTATAAATCTACAAGCATTTTGACTTTTAAGCAAATTTCCTAATTACTGTAAACTAATGCCTAGATAGAAGAATAAATTTCCTCATCCTTCCTGTCATGTTGAAAAAAACATCTTGCAGTTTTCCAAATGACGGGCAGGTTTTGGTTAGAGAGTACAGATGCAGGCCAGCTATGGTAGCTTACGCTTGTAATCTAGCACTTTGGAAGGCCGAGGCAGGAGGATTGCTTGAAGCCAGGAGTTCTAGACCAGCCTGGGCAACATGGTGAGACCCCATCTGTGTAAAAAAAATTAGCCAAGCTGTGGCCAGGCACAGTGGCCCACACCTGTAATCCCAGCACTTTGGGAGGCTGAGGCAGGAGGATTGCTTGAAAACAGGAGTTCCAGACCAGCCTGGGCAACATGGTGAGACCCCATCTCTATAAAAAAAAATTAGCCAAGTGTAGTGGTGCACACCTGTAGTCCCAGCTAAGTATGTACTTAGGAGCCTGAGGTGAGAGGATTGCTTGAGCCCAGGCATTTGAGCTGCAGTGAGCCATGATTGCACTGCTGCACTCCAGCCTGGGTAACAGAGTGAGACTTTGCTTCAAAAAAAATGCATGTATCGGCTGGTGTGGTGGCGCACGCTTGTAATCTCAGCACTTTGGGAGGCCGGAGTGGGAGGATCACTTGAGGTCAGGAGTTGCAGACCAGCCTGGCCAATGTGGTAAAACCTCATCTCTACTAAAAATACAAAAATTAGCTGGGCGTGGTGGTGTGCACCTGGAATCCCAGGTATTTGGGTGGCTGAGGCAGGAGAATCGCTTGAACCCAGAAGGAGGAGATTGTAGTGAGCCAAGATTGCGCCACTGTATTCCAGCCTGGGCAACAGTGAAGACTCTGTCTCAAAAAAAGAAAAGTGTGCATAAATTCTCCTGATTGGCAGAGCTATTGGGTTTTGGCTATATAGTAGTATCAGTATCACTTTTTCCTAAAATATATTCAAGTAGCATCCATACTTTTTCCTTTGTTGAAGGTGATAAGTACAAGATTGTCTCAGGTAAGCCTTGTTGAGAAAAAATGGGCTTCCAAAGACAGATGGGACAGAGGAGCGCTGTCCTTTTGGAGATAGCTGTTTTACTCTTCTAGATTTGGACCCTCTACTCATTTAAATAAATATGTTATCTTAGAAATGACACTTTGTGTTTATAATGTTAAGCATCTACTTCTGAGAAAAGCCAGAGCCAGCACTGTTAGGCTTGATTCTTCTTGACGTGCTTCTTTGGAAGAGAGCTGGGGGCAAGGGATAGTGTCCTTTTGCAGATGTAGGACAGGCATTGAGAAGGGGGGACAGGAGATGGTACTCATGCAGTCTAAGCGTAAACTCCCCCGTCACTGCCATTAGGCCTGTTGGTGAGGGTGGATTTGTCTCTGTGTATGTAGTATCAGGTGTTCTCAAGAGCATCTGGTTAGCTGAGCAGTGGGGGAAATGCGAAGTCTCAGTAGAGAATGGCTTTGCCCTTTTCCTTTCTTATTCTGGAGAACATGATTGAGCTGCTGGGGTTACAGGAGAAATCTTGTCCTAGGAAACAAAAGGTTTGTAGCCCTCATTCTGGCTCTGAGCCCTGTAGCAAGCCTCTTGGCTTTGAGCCAGTATCGTCTGTGAAATGGGTAGGTATCATGATACCTACCCTCCCTGACTCAGATGTGTTCCAAGCTTGTGCCAGACGATGGACACTTAGATATTATCTAGGAGCACTGCCCTGCAGAAACAAGAAGTCGAATATGAGGTGGAATGGCCACATTTCCTAGAATCACGACATCTTCAGCAGTTGTGATCCATTTGATTGTTACTTAGTACTCCTTTCAATTTGATAGGATTTTGCTTAAAAAAAAAAAAAAAAAAGAAACTTTCATTGTAGCCAAGCAATGGATGGAAGAACCCAGTTACCTCTAATAACAGACAGTGAGCTGTTTGTTCAGGGGACCTAGAAGGTCAGATTAGGGTAGAGGTGGAAGTTACCCATGGCCAGTTAGGCTGTTGAATGTTGCTGTTGATAGATATTAGTCAAACTGTTGGGTTTAACCACAAAAGTTTACTTCACAGCTGTGGCAAAGCCCCATTATGTAAGCCATCACCTCTTCACAGTAAGATATCAGAATCTACTACCCAGTTCATCTTTTTTCTTTTGGAGACTGAGTCTCACTCTTGTCACCCAGGCTGGAGTGCAGTGGCACGATCTCAGCTCACTACAGCCTCTGCTTTCCAAGTTCAAGCGATTCTCCCACCTCAGCCTTTCAAGTAGCTGGGATTACAGGCATGCACCACCACGCCCGGCTAATTTGTATATTTTTAGTAGAGACAGGGTTTCACTATGTTGGTCAGGCTGGTCTCAAACTCCTGACCTCAAGTGTTACACCCGCCTCAGCCTCCCAAAGTGCTGGGATTACAGGCATGACCCACCTTCCCCAGTTCATCTTTCTGAAAGCTAGCTTGGATTTATGGGAGGGGAAATCTTTTTTTTTCTTTTTTCTTTTTTTTTTTTTTGAGACGGAGTCTCCCTCTGTCGTCCAGGCTGGAGTACAGTGGCGTGATCTCAGCTGACTGCAACCTCTGCCACTCGGGTTCAAATGATTCTCCTGCCTCAGCCTCCCCAGTAGTTGGGATTACAGGCATCCGCCACCACACCTGGCTTATTGTTGTATTTTTAGTAGAGACGGGGTTTCACCATCTTGGCCAGGCTGGTCTTGAACTCCTGACCTCGTGATCCACTTGCCTTGGGCCCCCAAAGTGTTGGGATTATGGGGGTGAGCCACTGTGCCTGGCCGGAAATCTTTACTTTGTTAGTATCTAAATATTACCGGAGTATGTTTGGTCTGACATAAGAATCCCACCTCTGAAGTCATCTTCTGGTGACTCCATTCTAGATTTTTAGGGGAGTGGGGGAAGCAGGGAGAGGGGTGAGAGGGTGGCATCCTCCACCCTGTAGTTAGATTCCTTCCCCTCTGCTTAGCCTCTCTCATCTTCTTTTAATTAGTGCCGTGCTTAATTACCCGCTGCACTTGCTTGTGTATGCATCATTGCATTCCCCCCACCCCCCACCCAGAAGCCTGACACAGCTCTTACTCTCCAAGTAATGATAGTAATTGCTGGTAGGGCAGTCCTGTTCCTCATCCTTCTCCAAGCACATTTCTTATGGCAGGTGTCTAGTTCCTAATTAAGTGCTAATGAGCATGCCTAGTGGACCGTGATGCCACTGCAAGCTTCTTCAGTTTTATGTCTCACTATTGCCAAGCTCTTAAAAGGTGACAGAGCAAGAATTAGTGTCTTTGGGATGACAGGAAGGTGATTTTATGCATAAAGAAATTGTTATTATGATCTCAAATGGTGAATGAGTAGTTTATACTTTCCAAGAATGCTATGAATGCTGCCTGTTCTGACCTCATCCCCTTTTCCATTTTGCTTCTAATTAGAACCATGCTCTCTTTGAAAAGAATGAAAGTTTATAAAGATGGTTGGCTGGCTCTTAGACATTTTTATTTATTTATTTTTAAATAGAGATGGAATCTCCCTATGTTGCCCAGGCTGGTCTCAAACTCTTGGGCTGCAGTGATCTTCCTGCCTTGGCCTCCAAAGTGTTGGGATTATAGGATTATAGTGAGCCACTGTGCCTGACCCTAAACATTTTTAGAAAAGTTGGAGTGCTTGAAAATTCATTGTAAAATTTCCACAGACACTGATTTCTGCCTTAAGATGGTGTTTTCTCTAACTTTTGAGGCTGGGAACTGTGTTTGGGATTCCATTAAAAATCAGTGGGCTGGGTAGAAATGACTGAAGATCTGGCATGAAGATTTAATATGTTCAGTGCACGCAAAGGGATAATAAATAAAATGAGTAATTGAGTCCCAAGGAAGTGAGCACAAATCAGAATCTGGAGAATTTTCTAACATTGCACCTTAGAAATTGAGCCTTAATCATTTTTACTGTCTCATCAAAAATAAGTTTTATATTGGACAGCTGAAATGTGGCCAGATTCATGGTACAGGGGCCATTTCTTGGATACTTTTTCATTTCATACAATGTGCTTTTAAATATAATGTATAAGAGCAATGATACTGTGTAATGAGAACAGACTTAGAACTTCTGGAATGGGTTAAGCAATGGGGGCAAAGTGCAGTCATGGAAAAGGCATTTGGGAACGGGGGCTTGGCTCGCTGGCTGGAGTCCCACACATAAGTGCTTTCCTCATCCACGGTCCTACCCATTCTAGGTCTCAGTATTTTCATCAGTCACAATGAAAGAGTGGGTTTGAGTTGTGGAGCTTGGTAGGAAGGAAAGGATAAACAAAGTTTCGTTTCTAATGTTTCTTCCAGCGGCCACAAGCCTGGCTCCCTGAGATCCTCTCCCCTGTCTGTGGCAGCATGGTAAACAGCAGCCTTAAGAGTTGCTCCTGTACTGACTGCAGTCCCCTCTTGCCTAGGGATAGAGTTTCAGCAATTTAGTCAGTGCCTTTGAGCCTTCATTCCTTCTGGGAAATGGGAATTGCAATACTTCCTCACAGTACTGAGAGGGATTGATGGAATAAGGGGGCATAAGTGCCTGGGTGGTGCATGAGACACCCACCCAGATTACTGGGTCTTCCTTTCCAAATTCTATTCCTTAGTGATAGTATTTTGGTTTTGTCTCATCATACTACTGTGGTAAGTCAATGCAAGGGTGTAGGGTGAAATGGAGTTACCTGGTGACAGGTTGAGAGTATGGCTACTATATTGTGGGATGCATCCCCACCCCCATTTTAATCCCTCTGAAAACAGCGTGAGTCTGAAAATCTGTGGCATCTTAGATTGAGTGACATGCTGGATCTCATCCCTGGAGGCGCATAAAGACAGAACTAGCTCATGTTTACTTACTGATGTAGCCAGCCTTGCTTAATAATAAACAGCTCCCCTCTCGGAGTGAGTGATACCAGAAAGTGACAGTGTAGATGTGAGGATTATATTTTGGGAAGGTGGGAGAGGTAATTGAGCAGGTGAAAGCTTTTGATGAACTGAAAGCACTAATCGCATTTTTTCCCCTTTCCTCCCTCTCTTTCTTGGCTCCTTTTGTGTGTTTGTTGAACCTCCTGTTCTGTTTCCGCCTTCCCCTCCTGTCATGTCTGTTTTCCCCTGGATGCCGCCTCCATCGCCATCACTGTCACCACTACCTCCTCCTCCTCCT
Source organism: Homo sapiens (assembly GCF_000001405.40). Classification (NCBI taxonomy): domain Eukaryota; kingdom Metazoa; phylum Chordata; class Mammalia; order Primates; family Hominidae; genus Homo; species Homo sapiens. The sequence continues at coordinate 81,634,332 of NC_000009.12, read as the reverse complement.
CCTTTTTCTCTCTCACCACCACCACCAACAGCAGCAGCAGTTGCAAGCTCAGCATCTTTCTCATGGCCACGGACCCCCAGTTCCCCTTACGCCTCACCCTTCGGGACTTCAGCCTCCTGGAATCCCGCCCCTCGGGGGCAGTGCCGGCCTTCTTGCGCTGTCTAGTGCTCTGAGTGGGCAGTCTCACTTGGCAATAAAAGATGACAAGAAGCACCACGATGCAGAGCACCACAGAGGTGAGAGGCCGGGCAAGCCAGATTAGGACTTTGTCCTCATACTCTTACAGTGCTGCAAAGTTGTGTGCATCGCTAAAGAGAGCCCCAACCTATACAGAGAGCAAACAATGAGATAAGAGGAACTGTCGCAAAGCTTTCCACTGAAACACAGGTCACCCTGGAAGTTTGCAGGGTTTGCTGTGGGCATCTGTAGATTTCTCGATCTCGTTAGATTGCAGGCATCTTGACATCTTGGCAACTGCCTAGTTAATGCCAGTGGCCTGTACCATATTATGGAAAACTGTTAACTGCTTAATTGGGTAATTTTCAAAGAAAGTAATGTTGTTAAATGGGGCGAAATAAGAAGTTAAATTTGAAAGTGAATGTGTTCAAATGAAAGGTTTGATAATTGCATCTGTTACTACTTAGTTTCATAGGCTTTAATTCTAGTATGCATTAAATATTGGGCAAAATTGCACTTGACTAATTTTTTGAAGAAAAGTAATTTATTCTGTCAAGAAATAAAAAAATAGGCTTTGTGTATGGTTAAACTGTAAATCTTATGTTTACAAAATACTGTAATTTTCAGGAAATCACTGTATTAGGAATGTGCAATGACTTATATAAATAAAAGCCATTTTTAAAACTGTTTGGGGCTTGTGTTCTAATTATTCCCCCCTTTTTTTTATTTCTGTTCTTGCCTCTGTGTCTGAACGGGCATGTCTGTGCGTTTCTTGGTAACCTCGGGAGCAGACAGAGAGCCGGGCACAGTAAGTACTCAAACGCCTGCTGCACACACACACACACACACACACACACACACACACACGGTCCCCTTCTGACAACACTTCTCCACACAGGCACAGACAGACATGCACACTCTCCCTGTCTCTCTCAGTGACCTGGCTTTTTTCTTTTACTTTTTTTCCTTTAAAATTTCTTTTTCTTATATGACTGTTCGCTCTGCTCTTGTCTTTTTACAAAACTTGCATCAGACAAGAGAGGCATAATTTGGAGGCAAAACTATTTGCTGTGATTACTTACTTGGAAATACACTTTGATCTGTATATTCCCCTGCCTCACTTTAAAAGTGTTAATGGTTGCATTCTAAGTCTGGTTGACTGTAGTTTAAAAGAATATTCATTTTTATATCTTAAATCAGTTTTAGAGGCAAGAGATCACAATCCCTTTGTGAAGTTGGTTAGTAATGTACCATTTCTACTTAAACCAGTCATCCTCTGTGAATGCATCTTGGTTGCTAGGTTTCCATATCTTGTTTTCTTTGCATAATTGTCCTTGGAATGTGAACTTGATCTTATATCTATTTTAGACATAAGAACTGAGCATACCAGTAAGCTCTTAAAAAGAAGGAAATTCAGTGGACAGGGCTGTGTGCGTAGAGTTCATGTTTTCACCAGCCTAAGTCACACTCATTTTTCATGTGTACATTTGATCTGTACATGCATCTGCCAGTTAGCTCTGGAGAGACCTGTACTTAAAGTGTGTCTCAAATGTTGTGTAGCAAATAGAGAGAATTCAGCCCCTTTTCAGCTGGGATAACCTACAGGTTTTGCCTCCTTCTTTCTGAACATAGCAGTATTTTGACTGTGTTTAATATGGTAAAAAAAAAAAAAAAAAAAAAGGGATACTGAACATTTAAATCTGATAACTTTTTTGGTATAAGTTTTGGGGGGAAGATAAAAGTTCAGGGTTTTTTCCCCCCTCTTCTGTGTAGAATAGTAGCTACTTTTAAAATTGTCTTTGAGACAGATCTTGGTATATTTCATGTATCTGGATGTGCGTGGAGGAGTGAGGAATGGTTGAAGGAAAGGGTAGCTAGTTTTAAAATTCTTGTCCTATAAATTTCTCTGGAAAATGTTGAGAGGGGATTGGGGGGACAAAAAATTATAGCTGGGAAATAAAATATTCTACACACAGAGTACAGATAAGTAAACTGGCTTTAGTTTATGGAGGAAGCCTTATTGTTTTGCCATTCCAGGGTTCCTATAGATAGTCTTTTTTTTTTTGAGATGGAGTCTTCGCTCTGTCACCCAGGCTGGGGTGCAGTAGCACTATCTCGGCTCACTGCAACCTCCGCCTCCTGGGTTCAAGCGATTTTTCTGCCTCAGCTGGGATTACAGGCCTGTGCCACCACACCTGGCTAATTTTGTATTTTTAGTACAGACGGGGTTTCTCCATGTTGGTCAGGCTGGTCTGGAACTCCCAACCTCAGGTGATCCGCCTGCCTCAGCCTCCCAACGTGCTGGGATTGCAGGCCTGAGCCACCATGCCCGGTGAGATAGTCATCTTTTATGTCTGTTCAGTAGAGTGTCAAATTTAAAAACCTAACCCTGGATGAAATCACAGAAGAAATTTGGGGAAAGCCCATGCCCTTTAGGCTGTTATGCGTTTTAAATCTATTGAACTTATTCTAGCTTTGGGACTTCAATTTAACATGTTTTCTTCAGTACTCCTGTTTCACCTTAAATGGCTATGTTCATTGAGTGCATACCATATATGTAAGGCATTATGGGACACGCATCTGCAATTCGAGGTATGTAAGCATGCAACAAAGCCCTTTCCCAGAGAATCGAGGAGGAGTGAGTGACACAATTACTAAAAGAAGCAAGACTGGAGAAAGTTTCAGCAAAAGTCCTATAACTTACTGGTATCAGAATTGTGGAAGTGATACCACGTGGTATGTGCCTCTCTGAAATGCCAGGGGTGTGAATAGGCAGAGGTTTGTATGCTTAAGCTAGTAGAGATGTATTTTATACCTCTGTGTCTTTCTGAATTTCCGAATGTGTCGGATAACCTCCTGTTGGTATTTTTGACAGAAAAATATATGCAAGTACTTAATTCATGGGTTCATTGGAGTGGGTGGAGGGAGGGTTATTGGTTGTCCCCTTCAAGAAGTATGAAGCAGTTCTTGAGTTACAGGCAACTGTGGGTTATTTGTAAGTCTATAAGTTAGGGTTAGCAGTCAACGAACTTTCTAGTTCAAATGTGGATTTATGTGTTTTGGACATGTATCTTTTTTATATCAAATTTTTGACAAGTTCTAATCATTTCAATGAATATTTTCAGAACAAGTATATATGCTGTGTTTCCTGCCTAATTACTGCAGAAAACTGTTGGGCAATGATGATTAAAATGGGAAAACTACACTAATTGTAACCTAAGCATTTAATTCAGTCCATAGAGAGGAATTAAACTGTTCACTGTCCACATTAGTGGGATTTTGCTACAGTTACATAAAATTAAGTAGCTCTTCAAACTTTGTATAAAAATGAGTATGAAAAGCAGTGGATAATGAGATGATGTGTACTATTAGTGCCTAAAATATTATAGTACTTATCTATTTAATAAAGTGGTTTGAATTAGAAAGTCTAATTTTACTTGGCAGATTAAGTCAGCCAATTGCTGTTTGCTGCTGTTTTTTAATCCAGTGAAAGGTTAAGGGTGGTTGCTACAGGCCAGTGATTTTCAAAGCCTTATGGCCTCATGATCTTGATACCCTTGAAATCAAATTATTGAGGGCCCTGAAGAACTTTTTGTTTATCTGGGTTATATTTTGATATTTACTAGGTTAATATTTTGATTTTTGATACTTACTGGGTAAGAAAGAAAATTAAATCACTTAAACAGATGAAGAGCTACTTAATTTAAATTGTGTTAATACAAATAACATTATTAATGAAAAATAACTTTTCCAAAGCAAAAAAAATTATAGTGGGAAGAGTGGCATTGTTATGTATGTCTACAAATGTCTTGAATGCCTTGTAGTTTATTGAGTTTTAAAGAGGATAGCTGGATTCTCATCCTCTGCATTCGCTCTTTTGTGGTATTTAGTTGACGTTTAGGAAGAGAATCTGCCCTCATAGATTTGCGAGGGTCTCCGGGACCCTTAAGGGATCCTCGGACCAAAGTCTGAGAACCTTTGGCCATAAATAAGACGAACTCCTTACTGTTTTTTTTTTTCTTCTTGTTTGTCTTTCTATATTGAACATATTATTTATACCAAGTGCAGAAATCAGAGACTGATGGGATCCGCAGGGAATGTGGGTGTGTATGGATTTTTATCTGTGAGCCTAAAACTGGTTGGTAGGTAGTTTGTTTATTTTTAGTGGCAGAAATTAATTTGCTAGTTAAAGATTTTATGGTAGGAAAACAAATGAGCCTTAAATAAGCAATCTGTTTTAATGTGAAGCCTAGGAAATAGAAGTGTAATCAGTGCACTGCATAACAACACTTCCATCAACAGTGGATTGCATATATGATGGTGGTCCCCTAAGTGTATAACACCGTATTTTTACTGTACCTTTTCTATGTTTAGGTGTGTTTAGATACACAAATACTTACATTGTGTTGTAGCTGCCTGTAATATTCAGGACAGTAACATGTACAGGTTTGTAGCCTAGGAGCAGTAGCCTAGGTGTGTAGTAGGCTATACCACCCAGGTTTGTGTAAACACACTATTCGATATTTGCACAATGATGAAATTGCCTGACATGGCTTTCTTACAAAGTATCCCTGTTGTTTAGTGACACATGGCTGTTCTAAGAGTGAAAGTTTTTATGGAAACTGCTTTAAAGTTTCTTATTTCTGAAAGGGATGAACAATAAAGCTAGCAACTTTATAGAGGTTTGGCTTTGGTTTAAAAAATTATTTTGGCTGTTTTAAAATTTTGATTTCTGTTTTTTCTTATATAAGTGCAGCTCTTGAGCAGAGAAATATGAAATGACCTAAGAAAGGCCATTATTTCTTAGTAGCATTCAGTAGTAATAAAAAAATAACTTTAGATATTTTAATTAATTTAAGGATAAATTGCATTAAATTTTGGCTGAAGGGAATGCTATTTTTATCTGCTTGAAAGAGATAATTGACAAAAAGTTGTATGGTTTAAAAAAATTTATAATAGGGCATGCTTTTAAATACTTTGAGTCATTTGACAAATATTTGTTGAGCCCTGACTATGTGCCCGAGTACTGTTTGAGGTGCTGCGTATACTTGCTATCATTTTGCAGTGATCCATTTTATGTCACAGTTAAACATTTGTTGAATGTAAGGCACTGAAATACCTAGCTAGTGTGATCACTATTTGGAAAAGGGAGGAGACTCTGGAGGAGACTCCAGAGCAGACGGTGTATAGACCTACGCAGTGGCATTCATGGATGGACTGGGTGGGTCCGTGCTCTTTTGCAGAATTCTGGGGAGAGACTATAACTCATCAAATTCTCAGAAAGGGCTTCCTAACTCAGAACAGTCTAAGCACCACTCATCTGTCTTTCAGGTCATATGGCACAGCACCATGGTTTTATCAAGGAGGCTGGGTGCATCCGGTCACATACTTAGTTAACAGATTGAGAGTTAGTAATCTGAGCGACCATGTTGTCACTCTGTAATTGACTTCTAAAATCACCAGGAGTTTGTATTTAGAACTTGCCTAGAGATAATTATGACAAACATCACCTTGTTTTATATAAAGTGGTTTCTTTCTTTTGTTACTCTTCTCTAGCTGTTCTTGACTAGTTAATTTTGTCAGAGGCAGGACCAAATCCTAGTTAGGACCACCCATCCATCACTTTGTCTCAAAATGACAACATTATAGAAGGCAAGGAGGAGTTAAGATGTGAGGCTTGCTTTGGAAAAGAATACTGTTGGTCTTTTTCTGGAAAAAAAAAGAAAAATCACGTTCATTCCCGGAGGCCTATGGGAACCATGGCGGCATCAGGGGTGGTAGAATGAACATGAGTTTTGTACAAAGGCAGACTTTAGTGGAATTCTGGCTACACAGGCAAGGCTTTTTCATCCTTTTGTGCCTTCCTAGTCCCATCTATAAATGGTGATAGTAGTGGTTGCCTCACAGGGAGGGGGTTAGGAGGCCTCAGGTGGGAGGGTAGCAGACAGCATAGAAGGTGCTTAGGGAATGCCCTCCTCCCACCGCCATTTGCAGAGTAGCAAGACGGCAGTGAATGCATCATTCATTACATTCAATGCAGTTACTTCTGGGTTTCTCTCCTATTTGTTTTTTAAATTAAAACAATTTTCTTTTAATTTTTGTACAGTCAGAGTCTCAGTATGTTGCCTAGGCTGGTGTCGAATTCCTGGCTTCAAGTGATTCTCCCACCTTGGTCTCCCAAAGTGCTGAGATTACAGGCGTGAGCCACCGCACCCAGCCTTGGTTTTCTCTCCCTTTTTAAAATACACATTACACAGGCGGTTATGGAAATAAGGGTCCACGTGCCAAGGTGGCAGTTACTGATGGTTCTCAGCATGTCAGCACCGTGAAACTGATCTCAGCTGCTTATTAACGTGATCACTTTCCTGATAATCAAATTTCTCAAAAGTAGACACAGCCTAGGAGGTACTGTTTTTGCCTAAATATTTATGAATTAATCATGACCTGACATGTTAAGAGATTGCCTGGAAATAAAGGCTAAAACTGAGATGAGTCACCTAAAATTTCAATTTTTGGGCACAATGGAAAACACTTAGGTTTTCTTAAGCAGACTCCTGGGCAGGTTTCCCTTCTGGCCAAGTTTAAAACTCTGCTTAAAAAAATGGTTCTTCTTTGAGAAAGTTGGCATCACTGCTGTGAATAGGGTGAACCCTTCAAAGGAAAGCCCCAGTGGTTTCTAGATTGTCAGGAGCCTGTACCAGGTAGAGGTGTCTGTTTACTGTGGATGCAATAAGTCAGGTGGATATCGGGGCCTTGGTGGGACTGGATTAACGTTCAGGTTTTATTGCACTGTGATTACAGTGAAAATAGGGCATCTTTACTCTTAAAAAAAAAAAAGTGAGAGAACAATTTTTCCCTCCAAAACCTCTTTTTGACTTGAGTTTGTGCTCTGTAATTAGAAAACCTGCAATTGTGAGCAGGTTTTTTTCTTTTGTCCCTATAATCTTTTTATCATTTCCTCACTGGGACATAGGTGGACAACAAACTCTGTGTCCTCATCTTTGAGATAAGGAGGTATAAATGTAAGTGCTGTCCGATACACAGATGACTTAGTCAAGTCCTGACCTAATGGCTTTTTAGTTTCAGGGCCATTTCTTGCATTAGCAAGTATTTCAACAGGGGCTGGAGAGCAAAGAGGCACAGAAACAGCTGAGCAGCTCTTAGAAACCATGCTTTCAAAAAAGCTTTGACATAGAGATTTTGTTTTTGCTGTGATTAGGTCCTGAGCTGGGGAACGGCAGTGTCATGAGGTTATTTAAAAATTAATTTTAAATAATTGTATTTATTGTCTGCTCCAGAGTTTGTTTTGTTTTGCCTGGAGGAGGGTAGAAGGGCCAGCTACAAATGAGAGGGTGGTGACGAAGGCATCGTGGTTTTAGCACCCTGTCCTGCCTCAACATTAACCGGCCCTGTGTGTCACCTGCACAGCTATCTTTCCATGAGTCCTCCTAACTGAGTCACCCACCTGGATTCTACAGTGATGAGTTGCAAAATCGAGTTGCAGGAATGCACTGGTTCTTTCCCATAGTTTGCATTTAAACTGTGTGAAACATCAATGTGTGCCCTTCAGACTGGCTGCACAGGCAGGGTTCTGAGATATGATATGGTTGCCAGTGGACAGATTTTCAACTTTGTCCATGTTGTTAACAAGTGGGGATCTCATTAGTTTTATGGGTTAAAAATACATTAGTTGAAGTGTTAGGCAGAGTACGTGAATGACCAGTTGGACCGTAGCAAAAAGTGCAGCGCAGGGTGATGGCTTGATTGACACCAGGTGTAGATGGAGAAGGCACACAGATGTGATGGGGTGCGTCGTTACCTAATTGTTTTAATGTTCACCGAGAAGTTAATTGTCAGTGTGGAGTGTGCTAGTAAATTAGGTTCCTACTGCCTTAGTGTAACTGAGGATAAATGAGGTGTCACGAGTTTCCAATCTGTACCTCTGACACAAACACTTTTCCTGCGGGGAGGAGAAAGTTCCCAAGGGGAATCAGCATGGCAGCTAAAGAAATCCATTTGAATAATGTGCTTTATTTTTGCATTAGGGAAACCTGTCTTGCTTTTGCTGTATGCATGAATGGGTTTTCCTTTCCATTTTGCTGCTGGTGGTTTCAGGGTTCGAACTTGTTGGCAGAGAAGTTGCTTGGAGGTCTTAGGATTCATGAAGGCCTCTGTAACTAGTGTTTGATAGCATTGACAGGGCAGCATTTTATTAAAGTTGCTTTTTTTTTTTTTTTTTTTTTTAGTAGTTTCTGAGGTTACTTTCCAGAACATGTTAGTAGATGTGAACAACCATTACTGTTAAATTGCTAAAGAAAAGTCAAATTCTTGGAACAAGACTATAAAGACTGGTTGTTATCCTTATTGAAGTGGCTGGGTCTTTGCTACCTTGGTCTTGAATAGGTGTTTGGAGCATGAAATAGACACATCACTTGTGTTGAATGGTCAGGATAAAGTAATACAGAGTCCCAATCTTAACATTTTCTTTTGACGCCACTGGGTGCTCTCTGAGGTTCAGTCAACCCACCTACTTACATTGTAAGTTCTTACATGAAGGTATGTGGTTTCATAATTGTGTTGGAATGTTTAGTTTTGTTTTATTTTAAAAGAATATATTGGCCTCTCGCATCCAGGAAATTCAAACACTTCGCCAATTATCTGGTTACCTTCAGGCCATTGAGCTACCACAGGGAAAGATCCTGCTGTGTGTTTAATAAAACATGGTTCCCAGAGTTAGGAAATTGTGCTCAGAATTTGTCTCAGAATGCACACAGGCTGTAATATCAGAAGATCTGCCATTCCTCTTTTCTTCTGACCAGCTCTTTTGCTGTCATAGCCATTCTGTTCTGTCATCCTATTAGTGCAAGTTAGATGTAACCCTTAGGAAGCATATATTAATAAATAGCAATTTGCTTGTTGCCAGTGAAGATGCCCTCTTGAGATCTGGTGTTCTCACAGAATTCCAGATTTTCGTGAGAGAGAGAGTCCAGTCCCTTCTTATGGAGTATATGGTTTCTGTGTTCTTGCACCTCATCTAATCATCTCAAGTACTTTCTATATAAAAGTTATGCCAGTTCTGCCCATTTTTGGACCCTCTTTATGTTTCTGATACTGAGCATTCTAGGAGGATCTTTTCTTTTAGACTTCTCAGATATGCTTCTCCCTTTATGTACAGGGTACTTGACCCTGTACCCACAAGTGTATGCCATATGTAGGTGTAGAAAATTATTTGGTTTTAGAATTTCAGTTTGTTTTGAACAGTGTGTTTTCAGCTGATTTGCCCAGGTTTGTAATGTCCTCCGTGGGCTGTATTACTCCTATTTTGAGTTTCTGTAGGAGATGTAAATAAGGTGATTTTGTTTATTTGTTTATTTTTTTAATTTTAAATGAAAACTTACATACAGTCTAGAAACCTCAGTCCTTGGGACACTTGTAATAGAAGTCTGCCCAACATTTAAAGTCTTTAAAAAAATCCTGGCAGATATTTACATTTTACCAGCTGCAAGGTGAAATAAAACTTTGGGTTTCTTGGCTGGAATTAGAGTACATCAGTCAGGATAGTAACACTGGTTCTCATGTTGATCAAAAAGCTGATTCTCGATTAAATATTTATTTGGCAAATAAATATTTGAAAAATGAATTCTACTTGATGAATCCTGTTTGGTAGATTAAAATCTTTCAAAGTATAGACTCTAGGAAGAGGTGTCTGCAGTGGCAAATAGGTCTGTAGGATGATTACCTCTGGTGATTGGCATGCCATGAAGCCTGTGTGTACCTGGGCTGCTTTGTCACTCTGCTGAGGCCTTTTTCAGTGTTAATTTTGGGTTCTGAGTGGAAAGGCAGGAATTTGGGACTATTCCTAGTTCATTTTAAAGTAGAGTTTAAAATGTTCATTTAAAAATTACACGTTTCTATTTTTGGTATGGAAGACATCTAACCTGATTAAAGCAAGGCATTCTGTTGGTTAGGAGGTAGGTCAGAGAAACCATGCGTCAGGTATTATGTCACATTAGAATGTTAAGTGCAGTAGTTGAAAGAGCCAGGGTGGATTTTAAGTAAGTTTTTGGGTACAAGTGTTCCATGTATGTAAACTTGAGTTTAAAAATCACTCTTCTGAGAGGGGAGGCACTTTGGCTGTAATGGGAATCAGCAGGTGGTGGACAGAGCCGCTTGGCCTCAGGCAAATCACCTCTGTCTCTGGACATCCTAGTCCTCCAGATTAAAGGAGCAGGAGGAGGAAGAGGAACGAAATGTCTCAGTGGTTGCTTTGGCCTCTTCTCAGGTTTGATTCCAGTTATTTTCTGTGTTTAGAAAGCATGACCATTTTTATTTTTTTGATTTTTATTTTTCATTTTATTATTTTTTTGAGGCAGAGTCTCACTCTGTCACCCAGGCTGGAGTGCAGTGGCACGATCTCTGCTCATTGCAACCTCCGCCTCCCAGGTTCAAGTGATTCTTGTGCTGCAGCCTCCTGAGTAGCTGGGATTACAGGTGTCTACCACCACCCGGCTAATTTTTTTTTTTTTTTTTTTTTTTTTAAGTACAGATGGGGTTTCACCATGTTGGCCAGGCTGGTCTCGAACTCCTTTTCACAGGCGATCTGCCTGCCTCGGCCTCCCTAAGTGCTGGGATTACAGGCATGAGCCACTGTGCCCGGCCTCATGACCATTTTCAAATAGCTTAATGCAAAGCAACCTCTGTTTCATTCTTTTGCAAATGGTGTCCTCATAAATGTTGCCTCGATTTGTTAGAATGGGACCCAGACAACATAGCATTCGAAATTTTGGAGGATCAAAATGACAATTTAGTCAATACCCAGGTTTAGTCTCTGAATTCTCGAAATATGTATAAAGTAGCTCTTAATGGCCATCAAAATGACTGTATTCTACCCTGGAGCCATAAGCAACACACAGTAGGGAGTGCACGAGGAGAAATCACAACATGAGGGAAAAACACCTCAAGAAATGCAGTACCCACAAAGTCACTTTTGGGTTTCTGGGAACAAATGAGGGAATCATGAAGGTAAGGGTCCCCCAGGCAGTAGTTTAAAAACCAGAATGTTTGCTGTTGCTGCCAGCGAAGCTCATTAGGCTGGAACTGTTTGCTTATATCAAGAACAACAATGAAAGCAGCGTCAGGGCTGGAAGAAGTCAGGGGCAATTATACACAGAAAACTGGGTTCATGGGAGCAAGAGTAAAAGGAAGCGGTCTGTTTTTGGTGGGGTAGACTTTAGGTGGAAAGCCTGCCGGGCGTCCGGCAGCTGCGTGGGCCAGGGATCCCTGGGTCTGAGTGTGGTGTTTCTGGGCCTTTCCAGCCCACACTCTGCTGCCTTGTTTTGAGTCAGTTTTACAGCATCAAAGGTATGATGAGGCATCTTGTTTTGTAACTTGTTGAAGTCTGCTGTTGAATGGGGCCCATTTTCAGATAAGCAGGGGTGCTAATTACTAGCCCTGTCCACCACATTTAGAGGAACTTTCAGAGCTTTTCAAAACCTATTCAGATTATAAGCTTCATTTAAGCCGCTCAAGCGGAAATTACAGTAGTAACTTTGAACACATAGACGCAGAGGCCTCAAAGCTTGACAGTCTTAAAGGTCCAGCCACGGAAAGGTTATTGTTTCTAACAGAAATTGTATTGTTTCTAACAGAAGTGTAGTTTACTTTTACGTTCACAGTACCATTTGACATCATTAAACGACAACAACAAAAAAAAACAAGACATTAAGAAGCTGTCTTGGAATGGCCCTGTGGCTTGGATGCGCAGTGCTGATGACAGCAGGAGGGCTTGGAAGGCTGTGGAGAGAGACTTGAACTTAAAACTGGTCAGCACACCCAGCCTCTGTGCCCCATTTTGCTGGGCACTTGGGCGGATTTAAAGTTGAATAAGATACAGCCCTGCCGTGGATGCTGCACAGAGTCTGGAGGAGGAGACCTCGGGGCTGAAGTAAACTAGGAGGGGTGTATTTAAACACGTTTCCCATGTGTGAACAAGCAGCTGCTGCCCCGGCCCAGCTTTTCAGAGGGCGTGTTAGCACTTTGCAAGAGTTAGGTCTCCTGCAGCCTTGTCAGCTGGGGGTCTGGGTTGGAGGGGTTAGCTTTTAGCGGACATGTATCTAGGTAATTAGTTCGGGGATCCAGCCGGCTCACCTTTCATCCCCAAACACTGTGGTAAAGACATTACTTAGAGCTTCTCTATATTGAATTGCGTTGGTCCCTCCCAGCTGCTTTTATCTAAGCCTCCTGGCATTTGTGTAGCTTGAACAGTCATGAATAAAAGAGCCCAGCTCCTCTAGAGTCAGTCCCTGAGGCGGGCCAAGAGGCTTGGGATTGCCTTCCGGTCCTCAGTTTTGATTTCCTCCTGCATATGGTTGAGCTGGAGACAACCCTCCCATGGTGGGGTCCATGGTTTTCAGGGGAGCTTTGAGGGCTGGCCACCTGGCTGATTACCTCTGGCTGGTTAGGAATGAAACTCAGGGCTTTTAAAAAGATACCATAAAATATTTGCTCCTGTTGTATACTGTTGCATTAGATGTGGTCTAACTTAAAGGTATCCCCCAGCCCCTTCTATTTTAAATTGTGGCAGAGAAAGGTAACATAATTGTCTGTTGGCCCTGGACACTGTCCTCTTAGTGCTCAAACATCTTTCAGAGATTGGGGTTATCTGGGCTTTGTGAAAGGAGGTTTTTGCACAGCTCATTCAACATTGTTCAGGGCAGTAACACATCACTGAACAAATTGCCCCCTTGCATATGCTAATCCCACACTTAAAAGAACTCATTGTAACATGTTCTGATGCTTTAGCCTGAGGGGAGATGGGAATTGAAGAGATGTCAGATCATGTCATGTGACCCCAAAATATCTAAAATGCCTGTTTTCTTTGGGTCAACAGTTCCTACTCGGCATATGCGAATGAAAGTATCCTGTGTCATTTGTGGAAAAGATTAGTCCTTGTTCCTGCTTTTGTGTGTGGGAGCTGGCCTTGCTATTGAAGATTCACTGGCTGAAATTCCCCCCTTAGATCTTAAATTTCAGTGCTATTGGCGAGGAACACCAAGTCTTATTTTCAACAATAAATTAAAAGAATTCAAAAGAGTTCCTTCATTGTTGCTGTGGAAAATGTGATTTGCCTTTTAGGAAACCATGCTGTTAATCCCACCGCTTCCTTTGTGCCTTTTTAGAGTGGTACACATTGACTCTTACAGTTAAAGAATATGTCTAATAGAGTAATCTCAAGATTTGCTCATAGGCCATTCGTATTCCTGACCAGGAAGTCGCAGTGGGAAAGAATAAAAACACATCCACATACAACACAGCAAGCTCCTATTTCTCAAACAGTAAATAGGACAGAAGCACATTTCCAAGGAGGCCTGAAGAATCCACCTAGCTTTGGATGGTTTGATTGCAAAGTCAGGGTCTCCCTTTTAAGTGTGTAAACCTGTAGATATGTTTGCCATCAAAGTCTTTAGATGAGATGAATTAAATGGAATGAAAGGCTGTGTAGGTATCACCTTTCAAAAATAGTTCTCACATCGAGGTTGGGTTTCATGTGTACAAAGAGGCTTGGGAAGAAATCTTTGATTAATTTTTTTGTCTTGCAGAGTAATTCCCTCCTGGTCCCAGACAGTCTAAGAGGCACAGATAAACGCAGAAATGGACCTGAATTTTCCAATGACATCAAGAAAAGGAAGGTGGATGATAAGGACTCCAGCCACTATGTAAGTAATTAAAGGACTTGAAATAATATTTGTTTGCTTACTGCTCACCTGAGTATCCAAGTATATTCTAAGATCTTAGTGATAATTCCATGTCCTTAAACATAATACTGTAAAGAGGAGAGGTTCTTACATTGTAGGATAGTATTTCCCTTTGGGGCTGTAAATTATGCTTCTGCCGGGCTCAGTGTTAAGCTTTAGACTTCCTGCCTTTGTTACTCAAAAGGGAATATGAAAATGCAGGGCTGACTTTGTGGGCTGTGCGGTTGCTCAGGGCCCTGCTCTTGTTAGGAGTCCCCCGGGCCCCCCGCCTCCCTTGGTGTAATGCTCTGATCTCACCATCTTTGCGTTCTCAATTTTTGAATAAGGTCTCTGCATTTTTCATTTTGTCCTGGACTCTGTGAATTTAGTAGCCACTCCTGCTAAAATAGAGTAAAAATTATAGTGTCACAAAAGCTTTGTGGATGCTGTTCTGATAATATAGGCTCATGGTACTTCTCAAGGCAGAGCTCAATGTCTTCCATAGTGAGCATTCTAGTGATCTAAGTTCATGGTCAAAATGGAAGAAACCCCAGAGGCATCTTGTTTAAATTCTGTAGATGAGATCACTCTACTGGTTGATGGAGTGAGGGCTCTTGTCACAGATCCAGCTAAAACCACATTCAAAAGGAAACCAAACCAAGCCAGATGGCCATTGGCTCTGTTCTCAGGGTTATAAACATTGCAGCCGATGTATGACTTGGAGTTGCCTGTGTGTCCCTGAGTGTCTGTTTCAGGATGGATGCATTCTCAGGAACAGTATGAAAGTAAAGTTGCTGAAATGGGGCTACGTCCCTGATGCCCTTGCAGGAAGAGGTATCTACTGTGCAGGCTATGTGGAGGTCTAAACACTAGACAGAGGATAGTGTCTCCTGCTGGCTGGCCCAAGCCTATAGCTGATGATAGGTAACATCTTTTTGAGTGCCACCTGGAGTTAGTGCCAGGTACCTTGTGATTTTTTCATGGATTATTTCATTTAACTCTTATAACATCCCAGTGATTTGCTGGAGCCAGCTGTAGTATCTCTGCTCTTCGACACAATGCTAAGATGTGCAAACCCACCTCCAGTATTGGATTATTTTACCAGAGATCCTCAAATTGGTTCACACTTTGCACTATGCTTTAATAACATACTAAGAAACAAAGCTGTTGGTTCTCCCCACCCTAGCCCAACACTTTTTAGCACATATCATTCTCCCCTTGCCTGTTGCCCAGAGCTGATGTCCCATGCATGTACTTTCATTGTGTACTTTCAGTGTTAATAAGCAAGTTGGAAGGTTTATGACATGCAGAGATTTGCTGATGTAGAATTCTGAATTGCCCTTCATGAGGCTGTTGTGTATAGTAAGTTATTTAGTAATGAGTGCTCTAGAATCCATAAAGCTTGCCGTGGTAGTTTTGTAACCTGCATGTACTAGGTTTGTCTGGTTGGATAGATGGTTAGGGACCATGTGTGGAGAGTATGTTGGAGAATCTGGAACAGAGGCCTCAGACCTTAGATCACTGATGACAGACATGTACTGTCCTGTGAAGGTTTATATTTGCAGAAGGGTCCGGTACAAAGCTAAGATTTAAATTACGGTAAACTCACTTCAGAGTTCCATTGTAACAAAGGAATAGTTTGCTACTTTTTGCTAGTTCCTTATGTGTACTAAATTAGCCATTTTCATAATTTTCTTTTTAGAAGAGAAACTCTTTTAGTTTATATTTTTTCACCACCACCACCCTTAATACCTGGAAACATTTGTGCTTTGCTGTGGGCTTTACCAAGAGAAAACAGATTTTCGTTAGTATTAGTTTTGTTCTTTATTGCATGAAAATATTTATTTCAGTAGACTGTTATTTAGGATTACCCAGGCTTCCTCATTGGTTGTAATTTGAAGTTGTTACTAGTGAATTGCATGGTGACCCTGTAACCATGGCTAAAATATATCTTGTAACACGCTATTGAAGAAAATAAATTGGGTCTCTCACGTGTAGTGCTCTGGGTATGATTAGGAAATAAATCATTTAAGACCTGAATTTAGAGTTGAGGGTAAACTTTCTAGACTAGATTTGTGGGCCTACTTCAGAAGGCCAATGTGGATAATATTTGCACTTGTTTGTACTAATATTTTTCAGATATTATTTCTATATTCTTCACTGACAACAGCATCAGTAAGAGAATTGTTTAGATCATAAATTCAGGACCTCTTCCTTTCCAAGAATTCAAAACCATTGAGATGTCCTGCTTTTTCCATATGCCTACATTGTATAATGTATTACTCTGCCCTAAAGGACATGAGACGTTTTGGCTAAGAAGGTAGACTTTTTCAGCCTGCCTCAAACTTGATGTAGGGATGATCGCATCATTGAATTTTTTGTTGTTGTTGTTGTTTTGAGACGGAGTCTTGCTTTTGTCACTCAGGCTGGAGTGCAATGGCACAATCTCGGCTCACTGCAACCTCCACCTCCCAGGTTCAAGCGATTCTCCTGCCTCAGCCTCCGGAGTAGCTGGGATTAACAGATGCACGCCACTAAACCCAGCTAATTTTTGTATTTTTAGTAGAGACGGGGTTTCACCATGTTGTCCAGGCTGGTCTCGAGCTCCTGACCTCGTGATCCACCTGCCTCGGCCTCCCAAAGTGCTGGGATTATAGGCTTGAGCCACCGCGCCCAGCCCACATCATTAAATTGAACAGGCTTTATTTTATTTATTTTTTTGTGACAGAGTCTTGCTATGTCGGCTAGGCCAGAGTGCAGTGGCACGATCTCAGCTCACTGCAACCTGCACCTGCTGGGTTCAAACGATCCTTGTGCCTCAGCTGCCTGAATAGCTGTGACTGCAGGCATGCGCCACCACGCCCGGCTAATTTTTGTATTTTTAGTAGAGACAGGGTTTCACCACGTTGGCCAGGCTGGTCTTGAACTCCTGGCCTCAAGCGATCCACCTGCCCGCCTCGGCCTCCCAAAGTGCTGGGATTACAGGCGTGAGCCACTGTGCCCGGCTGAACAGCTTTTCCGAATCTTTTCCAAACCCAGTGCTACCTTGGAGTTTCCTCTGATTAGTAAATATGATAGCTTTATGAGGGGACAATGAGAGCCCTATTGCAGAATGCCATTGCCCTTCAAATATTGCCATCTATTATCTTTCCAAAAATACTTCAAGCTGATTGCTAAAAAGGTTTATTTTTAATTTACTTTTTTGTTACTTAAGAGAAAAAGATTGGGTTTTGTTTGCTTATTCGATCCACCAGCTAGCTTTCCAGGATTCTTTTTTTTTTTTTTTTTTGCATTAACTAGTAATCCCATGGGAAAATGGTTTCCCTTGAAATCATATGGAAAAACTCTGATATAAGGGTGTGCAGATCTCAAATTAAAGATTTCATCCCTCGAGAAATTCAGCTGTTGCAACCATTTACTGAGCTCTTACAATCTGCCAAGTATTTGCAACTTGCCATCACCTGTAAACAAGTTGTGATTGGATAGTTGGTTTGCTACTGCTACAGAATTCCTGCCTGAAGCTTTGCCTAGCCCCAGGTCAGATGAGAAGAGGGGGAAGATGATAATAATTACTAGGACTGGCAAACTGATAGAGAGCCTGCAGGCCTGTCCCAGGTAGTTTTTTTAGTCTGTCTGCTACCAGGAACTATAGAAAGAAATCTAACTGTGCCTCAAACCTATTCTTAGCTTTTAGTAAATGGCGTTAATGTTTCTTTTTTCCAGGACAGTGATGGTGACAAAAGCGATGACAACTTAGTTGTGGATGTGTCTAATGAGGTAACCATTCTTTTCATCAAAGTTTGTCTTCAGAATGATTTGAATAATGTTATGAAAAAAAACTAACAGTGAATGAAGGAAGTAGAGCCCCTCGGTGGGGGGACCTCTTGCAACTTCTTACATTAAGAAGTTAATGGTTGCTCATGTATGGAGCAATAATGGTCTAACTGACATAAAGTTTTATTTCCTTTAAAAAAAGATATTTCTCTAGACATTTTGAATGCCTAAGTTGGATGTTTGGCTCCCCTTTCCTTCCAGTGCCCTCTAGGCAAAGTTCTTAAGCATGAGGCACAAAGAGGGATATGACTGCGGGGTTTTTTTTTTATGGCATGTTTGCAGGTATGTTTGCCGACACCATATTGCTCATTTATAACATGGTGTTGGTCACCTTGTACAACCCCAACCCGAAGGACTTTCAGCTCTGTCCTTAAATTTAGAGAATGAGTGTGGAAAGGGAAAAGTCTGTCTGTTACAAGCTAAATCACGAAAACTTTTGATTATGCTTGTTGAGGACCCTTCTTCTCCGCGAGCAAGCCCTGCCCACTCGCCCCGGGAAAATGGAATCGACAAAAATCGCCTGCTAAAGAAGGATGCTTCTAGCAGTCCAGCTTCCACGGCCTCCTCGGCAAGTTCCACTTCTTTGAAATCCAAAGAAATGAGCTTGGTAGGTAAAGAAAACTGACACTTGCCTGTTTGGCAGTGTATTTTTCATTGTGGACTGGAGGACTCTGAAGTATTGGAAATGTGGGGGTTTTGCTGCTTGAGGGTTGTATTTTTAAGAGTTTAATAGTGAAACTCATCCTTCTGTTCTTTGTCACCATTCAGGGTTTACTTTTTCCCCTCAGTCATCTCTTTTCGGCCATGATTAGAGGGTGTACACGCATCTGTGTTCATTGCCTTCTTCTTCTTCTTCTTCTTTTTTTTTTTTTTTTTGAGACGGAGTCTCACTCCATCATCCAGGCTAGAGTGCAGTGGTGCAGTCTCAGCTCACTGCAGCCTCTGCCTCCTGGGTTCAAGCGATTCTCCTGCCTCTGCCCCCTGAGTAGCTGGGATTACAGGCGCGCGCGACCATGCCCAGCTAATTTTTTTTTTTTTTTTTTTGTATTTTTAGTAGAGATGGGGTTTTGCCATGTTTGTCAGGCTGGTCTTGAACTCCTGACCTCTTTGATCCACCCGCCTCAGCCTCCCAAAGTGTTGGGATTACAAGCCCAGCCTCATTGCCGTCTTACTTGGGGGATATGTTCTTGCCACACAGCTCTCTGAAACTTCCCAGTTGACAAATGGTTCAAACTTCTGAGATTCTTTTTTTTTTTTTCTGAGACGGAGTCTCACTCTGTTGCCCAGGCTGGAGTGCAGTGGCGTGATCTCGGCACACTGCAACCTCCACCTCCCAGGTTCAAACAATTCTCCTGCCTCAGCCTCCCCAGTAGCTGGGATTACAGGCACTCACCACCACGCCTGGTACCACCATACATTAGAGAGGGTGTACACGCATCCATGTTCATTGCCTTCTTCTTCTTCTTCTTTTTTTTTTTTTTTTTTTTTTTTTTTTTTTTTTTTTTTTGAGAT
This sequence comes from Homo sapiens, assembly GCF_000001405.40. Lineage (NCBI taxonomy): Eukaryota > Metazoa > Chordata > Mammalia > Primates > Hominidae > Homo > Homo sapiens. The sequence continues at coordinate 81,615,076 of NC_000009.12, read as the reverse complement.
GGAGTCTCACTCTGTCACCCAGGCTGGAGTGCAGTGGTGCAATCTTGGCTTATTACAGGGTTTCATGTTGGCCATGCTGGTCTTGAACTCCTGACCTCAGGCAATCTGCCTGCCTTGGCCTCCCAAAGTGCTGGGATTACAGGTGTGAGCCACCGCACCTGGCCTCAAACTTCCGAGATTCTTAAGTCTTCATTTTCTTAGGCTGGTCATTTACCTGGTAGACTGATCCTTAATATCGGGGCATGTCATAGAGCATGCCCCGATATTATGGAGCTCGTCAGATCAGTGATGCACAAAGGAGGCCCCAGGGGAAGCCAGGAACTGGTGCATCAGAACCCACTCATGTGGTCACTCATTCAATCAAACTTTGTAGACTGCATCATCTTTTAACAATAACATTTCATAACAACCCTTCAGTTAATCCTTACCTGGTCCCGGTAGGCATTATCCCATTTTACCGGTTGGGAGGGATGAATAACTTAACAAGGCTACACAGCCGTGGCTCATGATCCAAGGTCAGAAAGAGCTCTCTTTAGCCCGTGCTCTTTGCCACGCTGTAGTGGTTCTTGGACTGTGTTGTAAAGCACATGAAAGGTTGAAAGGCCAGAGAAGGTGCCCTGTAACCCTGTTACTGTCTGGTCTCCGAAAGGCCCCTTGCTGGTGTTCAGTCTCTGATCTGCACTGGTGGGTCCACTTTGGTTATGTAGGCAAGTGGGCAGTGACTCTTAACTCCAAAGTGTTGTTCTTTTTAGGCATATTGGTAAGGTTAGCCCTGGGGCTTTTGTCTCTGAGATACTGGCCCCACTCTCTCTCACCATTTGTCTCAATCCCAGGGCTACCTAAAAAGGAGACTTGAAAAGGGGTCTTCTGGCCTGGCGCGGTGGCTCAGGCCTGTAATCCCAGCACTTTGGGAGGCCAAGGCGGGTGGATCACGAGGTCAGGAGATCGAGACCATCCTGGCTAACATGGTGAAACCCCGTCTCCACTAAAAATACAAAAAAATTAGCTGGGCATGGTGGCGGGCACCTGTAGTCCCAGCTACTCAGGAGGCAGAGGCAGGAGAATGGCGTGAACCCGGGAGGCGGAGCTTGTAGTAGGCCGAGATTGCGCCACTGCACTCCAGCTTGGGTGACAGAGTGAGACTCCATCTCAAAAAAAAAAAAAAAAAAAGAAAAGAAAAGGGGTCTTCCTTGGACTTGGCGGCCAGGACATGTGTTTCTGAGTGCCTGGGAAATATTCTCTGGGTGGTCATCTTTCTAACTTGGCGTAGACCCAAAGTCCACAAGGCTGATGGAAAATACTTTTAAAATAAAATCTGCGGAGGAAGAAGTGTGATCATGTTCTGTGTCTCTAGCTCGAGTTTTAATTCTGGCAGGAAGAGGAAAGGTCAACATTTCTCGCTCACAAGTTAATGCTGTCAACATTGTGTGGATTTATGAAAATTGGCTGAGGGAGTAGCTAGAAGGTGCCCAGTGTCCCAGCTGCTGTTGTGATAAATTGTGTAATATGGCTTGGATTAAAAATAATACTCATTTAATTTGTTTAATGACACCAGCATGAAAAAGCCAGCACGCCTGTTCTGAAATCCAGCACACCAACGCCTCGGAGCGACATGCCAACGCCGGGCACCAGCGCCACTCCAGGCCTCCGTCCAGGTCTCGGCAAGCCTCCAGCCATAGACCCCCTCGTTAACCAAGCGGGTACAGCATCGCCTCTTGTTGTGCTTTGTTTGGTTTCTCCCATTCCCAGCTTGATTTGTTGTCTGTTAATGTTGTGACGCAATTGCCCTACAAATATGAAATGTACGTAGGGCCACCCTCCTTCCTATCTCTGAAAAAGCCATGATAAGAAACAGATGTTTGTCCTGGGGTTTCAGCAGCTGCACTCTGTTCAGTCTCCAACTGTTTACATTCAGCTTTTCTTTTTTTCTTGAGACGAAGTCTCGCTCTTGTCCCCCCAGGCTGGAATGCAATGGCGTGATCTCAGCTCACTGCAACCTCTGCCTCCTGGGCTTTGAGACGAAAGTCTTGCTCTTGTCCCCCCCAGGCTGGAATGCAATGGCGGGATCTCAGCTCACTGCAACCTCTGCCTCCTGGGTTCAAGCGATTCTCTTGCCTGAGCCTCCTAAAGAGCTGGGATTACAGGCGCCTGCCACCACGCCTGGCTAATTTTTGTATTTTTAGTAGAGACGGGGTTTCACCATGTTGGCCAGGCTGGTCTCAAACTCCTGACCTCAGGTGATCTGCCCATCTCGGCCTCCCAAAGTGCTGGGATTACAGGCGTGAGCTACCTTGCCCAGCCTTCTTTTAGTTTTAAATAATTCAAATCCTAGGGACTTCAGTAAAGTTTCTGATAATTATTTTGAACACAAGCCTCCCCACCTAACTAGCATTGTGCGTCTGACTTTGCTAATACTGGCTGAAACAGCGGTTTGGCTGGCCCAACCGTGCTCCTTGCAGACTATAGTTTGCTGGTTTTCTGCTAGGGGAGGCTTCAGGAATCAGTGGTCTCTCCTGCAGTAGAAATTAGGAGGGTTTCTCTGCGACTCCAGCCCTTAAAAAACTCATAATTTGCAACCTGATATTCCCCAGTGGGAAAGGAAAAAAGCAACAACCTGGGCCCAAAGGAAAATAGGCAACAGAATATTCCTCCTAAACCCGTGCTTTGGTTTACGTAAATCCAGGATTGGATTTTCATTTGGAATTGGTACCAGGGAATGGAAAGTTCGGACTGAAAGAGAAATCTTGGATTTTATCGAGAAAATCTTCTTTTGAGATTAAGTCAGGTAAACACTTGGTGCCTGTGCCTTGGTTTGCCCTCTGTAAATTGGGTAGGGAATACTCTTAATTCCCCTGGCTTCCTGGTGCTGCCATTTACACAAATGAGAAAATGTGTGGGTTGTGCTTCCCCTGGAGTCTTTTCTTTCCTGGAGATGCATTCGCTCTGGGGAAGGAGGGATCCAGTGTATAAATTGGAGGTGATTTTCCCCCTCCCCTAGAAGCCTTACCTCTTTCTCTCTCCCCATGAGTGACACTAACAAATGATGAGGCCAGACTTGCTGGTCAGGTTTGATGGAGTGGGTCAGTTGAATGATGTGCGGCTTGTGTTTCCTTTCAGCAGCTGGCTTGAGGACACCCCTGGCAGTGCCCGGCCCATATCCTGCTCCTTTTGGGATGGTCCCCCACGCTGGCATGAACGGCGAGCTGACCAGCCCAGGCGCTGCCTACGCCAGTTTACACAACATGTCGCCCCAGATGAGCGCCGCAGCCGCCGCGGCCGCCGTGGTGGCCTACGGGCGCTCCCCCATGGTAGGCCGCTGTCGGGTGGGCTGTGGTTGGGGTAGGAACGCTGCATGCTCCATTGAGCGCTGTCAGGTTTGGGGCCAGGCCTCTCTGCGCTGCGTGGGCAGGAGCAGCCAGCCCCACACACCTCGGAGACAAAGACGCCCAGTCTCCCAGCCACACACTCACCTTCCTCTTGTCAGCTTTCATCAGCATGCTGCTTCATTAAGTGAGGGCCAAACGTTTTTTGTTTTAGTGTTTTTGTGGATGAAAAAGGCAGTGTTTAGAAGCTCCTTCAGTGGTTCAGGGGACATCTGGTTTTCTCCCACCAAAGTCGATTTTTTTTATTTGAAGGCGATGAAATGATTCGAGTGGTTCACAGAAGCCTTTTCATTCATTTTCTTGAACTTTTTTTTTCTCATTAAACCTTAGGAAAAAATGTCTGAGAAGCCATCGCTTTCTCTTTCTATGCCTATGTTACACTTTAAACCCAATAGCATGACTTATATATAAGCAGTGGTCTCTGTAAACAGGTAGAATTCTGGACAGACTGAACCACGGGGGCAGGCTGTCTCTCGTCTGTTTGCCCTGCCTCTTGCCACTGTGCAAATGATCTAATTTTTGAACAAGAAGAAACAAAACTGCATTTGAAGGGTAGAATTGGCTCTGTGATCGTTGATTGCATTAAGGGTATAAAGTCCCACCGTCATTTCTCTTGGCTGTTTGAAAAATGTCCTCTACCTTTCTCTCTTGTCCCCTCTTCACATAGCATTACCTCCACTAGTTTGCGGTGACATTAAGATTCATTTGTTTTTCCTGATATTGCACTTGTAGGAGAGGCTGTGCAGTGGCGGGCAAAGTGTTGAAAGTAAGGTGGTCAGCTGAGAGACTACATGCTGTCCTTAACGCTGCACAAAGTAGGGAATCCATGTATGAATCCTTAAGCATTAAATTAGACCCATGTATGCAACTGGGGATGATTTTGTCCCTTGAGGACATTTGATAATATCTGGAGACACTTTTGATTATCATAACTGGGGGTGGGAGGGGGGGCAGGTATGGATTCCTCTTGGCACATAAACAGTAGGGGCCAGGAATGATATTCAGCATCCTGCAACGCCCAGGACGGCCCCTAACAAAGAAAAGAACTGTTTGGCCCCAAATGTCAATAGTGCTGAGGTTGAGAAATCCTAATACAACATACTGCTCTGTGAACTTGCTTGCAAGTCTAAGGGAAGTATTTACCATGGGGAAGTGGTTCTCAGTGCACAAATAGATCACATCTCCTCTCTACCTCCCAAAAAGGAAGTGGGTCTTGTGGCGTTCAGGGGTGCTTATATTACCTCTTGCATAGTAATTAAAAAGAAAAACACTAGGCCATGTTACTGTTCCCATTTATGTTGCTTTGGGGATCTGTGAGTTTCTAATGAACAGTATTGATGTTCACAAAGTGCCTGCTGCAATAAACTGAGTCTGCAATGCCTTATTTTTGTTTCCAGGTGGGGTTTGATCCTCCCCCTCACATGAGAGTACCTACCATTCCTCCAAACCTGGCAGGAATCCCTGGGGGGAAACCGTAAGTACCTCAAAGACCTTGGTTTTGTTTTAAAGGTGGTTACTCAGTCATTGGTATTAGCAGACTAGAATTCCAAAGGGAGTACAGGCTTGGGCGTTTCCAAGGAGATTTCTGGTGTCTTTTCCTGAGGAGTGTTAACACTTTCTATAAATAGGCAGCTTGTAGGTGTCATGCCTCTGTCTTCTCCCTGGGGGTGATCTCCTTAGTTATTTCTGGAGAGAAACTGTTGGAGATGAGGACGAGGTGGGAGGAAAGAGCTGGAGGTGGCTGGCCCTCTTCGCCTGACCCCTCAGAAAGCTGCTCTGCTCTGCTCTGCCATTTGGCTAGAGGGCAGCTGCTGGAGATTCCCAACAGTGCTGTGCTGTGGGCAGTCAGCTGTCACGAACTCTTGCAGGCTTAGACACTTTTTTGAAATGTGTCATCTCTTTACTCAGCTCTGTGCCACCTTTTTCTTATTTTGGTGGAAACAAGAGTTATTTGAAGGGTAGGTTGTGTTGGATGCCAGCACCCCAGGTTTACCCCCAAGTAAAGTTTTGATGAGTGCTCCAAGAGATCTAGAATTATAAAAAGCAAAGTGGCTTCGTGGGGAAGCAGGAAAAGTTAATGTTCATTTTGTGTCCAGTGCACAAAAGAATTGGAATTTAAAAAAACTCAATTGGCTATTCTTCCTGGGTCACTTTAAAAATTGCTTCATTTTCATAATGTTAGTAATTAGAAGTGTGATTTCAAAGAATTGCTAAAGTTCTCAAATTTTTTAAACAGCAGAATTGAAATGTGAAGGTCTGTTTTGCTTAGCAGCAAAACTCTGCCTTCTCCTAAGATAGAAAATAGCAGAGGCCAGGCGCAGTGGCTCACGCCTATAATCCTAGCACTTTGGGAGGCTGAGGCGGGTGGATCACCTGAGGTCGGGGGTTCGAGACCAGCCTGGCCAATGTGGCGAAACCCCGTCTCTACTAAAAATACAAAAATTAGCTGGGCGTGGTGGTATGTGCCTGTAATCCCAGCTACTCGGGAGGCTGAGACCAGAGAATCGCTTGAACCTGGGTGGCGGAGGTTGCAGTGAGTGAAGATCATGCCACTGCACTCCAGCCTGGGTGACAGAAGGAGACTCTGTCTCAAAAAGGAAAGGAAAGGAAAGGAGAGGAGAGGAAAGGGGAGGGGAGGGGGCAGGTCTTTGCAAATGTTGTTTTTTTTCTTTTTCTTTAAGGCAGCAGATCTTTGCAAATGTTGTTGCTTTTTTTTCTTTTTCTTTTTCTTTCTTTCTTTCTTTTTTTTATTATTTTTGAGACGGAGTTTCACTCGTTGCCGAGGCTGGAGTGCAGTGGTGCGATCTCGGCTCACTGCAACCTCTGCCTCCCGGGTTCAAGCAATTCTTCTGTCTCAGCCTCTCGAGTAGCTGGGATTATGGGTGCATGCCACTATGCCTGGCTAATTTTTGTATTTTTAGTAGAGATGGGGTTTCATCATATTGGTCAGGCTGGTTTTGAACTCCTGACCTCAGCTGATCTGCCCTGCTCAGCCTCCCAAAGTGTTGCGATTACAGGCGTGAGCCACCGTGCCCAGCTGATTTTGTTTCAATAAAGGTACTGGTGCTACATGTCTTAGGCCTTCAGTTTGTTTTTGTCATACCCTTGCCTTCATGTGGTTGCTTTCAGCTTTTATCAGTACGTCACTTGCATGTCACATTAGTGAGTTTTTTATTTTTAGAAACAGGGTCTTGCTCTGTTGCCCAGGCTGAAATGCAGTGGCACAATCACAGCTCACTGCAGCCTCGACCTCCTAGGCTCCAGCCATCCTCCTGCCTTGGCTTCCTGAGTAGCTAAGACTACAGGCGTGTGTCACCATACCTGGCCAATTTTTAAATTTATTTTTGTAGTGACAGGGTCTCCCTATGTTGCCCAGGCTGGTCGTTGGGGCACTTGTGAGCATTTCCTATCTGTGGTTGCCAGCAGTGTTGTAGCTATTGTATTCCACTGATTGGTGAGTGGATAAGGGGCAAACCGGTAAAGTTGTGAGGCCCTGGCTTCACACAGTCCTCCTGCCTTGGCCTCCCAAAGTGCTTGGATTACAGGCATGAGCCACCACGCCCAGCATGGTGAATTATTTTGAGCAGTCCACTCAGCTGCCCGGTCATCCTTGTGTGGTTTTGATAAGAGCCTTGTTTCAAATAAACCACCAGCATGAGATAAAATTGAATTTCTTACCCTGTCACCTGCTTTTTAGGAAAGCCGATTCCCATTGCTCTACTTTTCATATATTATAATATCTGTTTCACAATAATTTGATTCATTATGAAATGAGGTTTTTGTCTACACTAGGAATCAGTAGCAATGTTAGGAATTTATGATGACCTCTGTGCCCAATGAAGGGAGTCAGGGGTAGTATTGCTTAATGTTCACTTAGCTGGTAGTTCTCTTCCAGTTGAGTACCCATGAACTAGTTACTACCTGGTGTGTTTTCTTGGGAATTTGGGAATGCCCCCCTGCTTCCAGCCTGGGAGGTCCTTGGGGCACTTGCGAGCATTTCCTATCTGTGGTTGCCAGCAGTGTTGTAGCTGTTGTGTTCTACTGATTGGTGAGTGGATAAAGGGCAAACCAGTAAAGTTGTGATGAGAAGCAGTAATACCAGTAACCAATGAACCTTTGGTGGAATAACAGGCAAATAAGGCCAAGTTCAGCTGATCCTTAGGGAAAAAGCTAGCTTCAAGAGTTAGAGGTACGGGGCGTGTGTTCAGCTGCTAAGCCCCCACTTGGGTGTAATAGAAGATGCAGTGGGGGAAGGCGGGTGAGCAGAGCTGTGAGCTGTGATGCTAGGGTGGAAGGCTGGTGGGTGGGCACAGTTAAATTGGACCCTATTCCTTATATGTGTGTGTGTGTGTGTGTATTAACAGGGTCAGTTGTAAGACAGAAGTAATATCATGCTTATTAAAGTATTCATGTCCTTGGCTTGTGAGCACCTTGCATTTCTTTGTGTTCAGAGCCATGCAAACTAGAATCACAATGTGCCTAAGGACAAGGACAGTGGACACAGTGGCCAATGTTGTGATACTATGTCGGGGTACTTTTCTCATCTTGGTCAAAATCGCCATTGGCCTTTGGCAATCATTGCTTGCTCTAAAATAATTAAAATCTCTCTCTCTCTCCATTTTTTTTTTTTTTTAGAGACACTGGGTCTCCCTGGGTTGCCTAGGCTGGTTTCAAACTCCTGGGCTCAAGTGATCCTCTTGCCATGGCCTCCCAAAGTGCTGGGACTACAGGCATGAGCCACCATGCCTGGCCTAAAATATATTTTTTAGGATTCTCTTTCATGTTTGAGCCATATTATGTGAGGAAGATAGACTTAATATCAGAAGGAAAAATGAACTTTGCCATTGTTGCCAGGATCTGGGTTATATACAATCTTACTGCCTCTCTCTCTATATATATATATATGGTTTTTTTTTTAATTATACTTTAAGTTCTAGGGTACATGTGTACAATGTTCAGGTTTGTTACATAGGTATACATGTGCCATGTTGGTTTTCTGCACCCATCAACTCGTTATTTACATTAGGTATTTCTCCTAATGCTATCCCTCCCCCAGTCCCCCACCTGCTGACAGGCCCCAGTGTGTGATGTTCCCCACCTGTGTCCAAGTGTTCTCATTGTTCAGCTCCCACCTATGAGTGAAAACATGCAGTGTTTGGTTTTCTGTCCTTGTGCTTGTGATAGTTTGCTGAGAATGATGGTTTCCAGCTTCATCCATGTCCCTGCAAAGGACATGAACTCATCCTTTTTTATGGCTGCATAGTATTCCATGGTGTGTATGTGCCACATTTTCTTAATCCAGTCTATCATTGATGGACATTTGGGTTGGTTCCAAGTCTTTGCTGTTTTGAATAGTGCTACAATAAACATATGTGTGCATGTGTCTTTATAGCAGCATGATTTATAATCCTTTGGGTATACACCCAGTAATGGGATGGCTGGGTCAAATGGTATTTCTAGTTCTAGATCCTTGAGGAATTGCCATGCTGTCTTCCACAATGGTTGAACTAGTTTACAGTCCCATCAACAGTGTAAAAGTGTTCTTATTTCTCCACATCCTCTCCAGCATCTGTTGTCTCCTGACTTTTTAATGATCGCCATTCTAACTGGCATGAGATGGTATCTCATTGTGGTTTTGATTTGCATTTCTCTGATGGCCAGTGATGATGAGCATTTTTTCATGTGTCTGTTGGCTGCATAAATGTCTTCTTTTGAGAAGTGTCTGTTCATATCCTTTGCCCACTTTTTGATGGGGTTGTTTTTTTCTTGTAAATTTGTTTAAGTTCTTTGTAGATTCTGGATATTAGCCCTTTGTCAGATGGGTAGATTGCAAAAATTTTCTCCCATTCTGTAGGTTGCCTGTTCACTCTAATGGTAGTTTTTTTTTTTTTGCCGTGCAGAAACTCTTTAGTTTAATTAGATCCCATTTGTCTATTTTGGCTTTTGTTGCCATTGCTTTTGGTGTTTTAGTCATGAAGTCTTTGCCCATGCCTATGTCCTGAATGGTATTGCCTAGGTTTTCTTCTAGGGTTTTTATGGTTTTAGGTCTAATATTTAAATCTTTAATCCATCTTGAATTAATTTTTATATAAGGTGTAAGGAAGGGATTCAGTTTCAGCTTTCTACGTATGACTGCCCATATCTATTAATTAGTATGAGAGGACTTGTTGTTCTTACTATTTAGTAAAGTAATATTGCCTGAGGCAGTGCTGCTCAAACTATTTATGGTGACAGACCAGTTCCCCGCCCCGCCCCGTAAGTCAAAGATAGGTACATTTGTAACATACAATACAAATGAATAGGAGGGAAAAGATACCAAATCCAAGTCCATTTTTTGTTGTTACAAGAGTCAACAGCCCTAAGTCCTCAGGTTGCTGTCGCTCACTCTCGATGACTGCACTCATCTCACTGCAAACAGTAGCCAGTGTTTGCTGACCACACGTTGAGTAGGGCTGGTCTGAGGCACTTAAGAGAAATGAGGACAAACTCATGTGTCCAGGATAGAGTGAACAAGGCGTTAAAAGTTATACAAATAATTCTCTGAAAAATACCCACGGAAAGAATGCTTGGGTGAGGCAGACGGAAGGCACAGTTGCCATTCATAGACTGAGTGTGAACTGTCAGGCTTTGTGTGCGATGCCAGGCATGCTCCAGGAAAGAGGGTGCTCTCAGCCTTCTCTGCCCTTGGGGGCTTGATGATGTCATTAAAAGAAAAGTAAATATCCTGGTTTGACTTGTGATATGTGCTCTTGAGGCAGAGCAGTGGGTGATAGGGAGACATGTAAAGAAGTGACCAAAATTAGGGTCAGAAAGACTTCGTGGGGTGAAGCTGAAGCGCATGCAGGAAGGAATGAGTTTCCCATGGAACCGGGGAGGCACAGTCTGTGTCGTGCACAGAGAGAGAGCTTGAGGGATCCATGTGCAGGTGGATGAGTGCCTCCTGAGTGTTACAGCCAGAAGAGTTCAGTTGGGGCAGGAGGGACCTTAATGTCCCTTTAGTATAAATGCTCATCCATGGTTCAAGTCTGCTAAGATAGCCTCGTGCAGTGACAGTGTGCCTCTGACCGTGCGTGTCCAAGGATGGGGGACCCACTGCTGCCCAGAACAATGCATTTTCCATGACTGTGTGAAAACTCTTCTAGCCCTTGAGCTGAATCTGTCTCCCTGGAACTTTGACTCATCAATCCTGGCTCTTTCCTACCCGCTGAGACCACACAGCACACTGCTAATCTATCATCCTCATGGCAGCTCTTCAGTGTTTGGAGACCTCCACACCACCCTGAGGCTTCTCTTCTGGCTAGAATTTGTCTGTCGCTTCAGCCCTCTCTTGTGGGCCATGGTTTAGGGTTCCCACATCACCTGCTCACTAAGATCCAGATCCTGTCACTTCCTTTCCATCCACACTTTCACAGATTTTATTGAGACCTCCTGCATAGGCATAGGGGACCCCACCGGGAGCTCACAGCCTAGGATGGGGTGCAGGGAAGGAAAAATTCTCCTTTGCCCTCTCAGAGTCTGCCGCTGGGCCTGAGAATCAAACTGACATAAGATAGATTAACAGGAGAAATGCATGCAAGTCTTATTAAGAATTTAGGTGTACATGGGAGTCTTCACAAGGAAATGAAGACCCAAAGAAGCGACCAGAGCAGACAGCTTGTATCACCTTTTTTTGTTGTTCTGTTTTGTTTTTTTGAGACAAAGTCTCGTTCTGTCATCCAGGCTGGAGTGTAGTGGCCCAATCTCGGCTCACTGCAACTTCTACCTCCCGGGTTCAAGCGATTCTCCTGCCTCAGCCTCCCGAGTCGCTGGGATTACAAGCGTACACCGCCATGTCCGGCTAATTTTTGTGTTTTTAGTAGAGACAGGGTTTCACCATGTTGGCCAGGCTGGTCTTGAATTCATAACCTCAGGTGATCCACCCACCTTGGCCTCCCAAAGTGCTGGGATTACAGGCATGAGCCACCACGCCTGACCTTGTATCACTTTTATACAAAGAAATGACAAATTTGTGAAGACATGACAAGAAAAAGAGTTTTGGGCTGGAGGCAGTAAATTGTGGGGAAGTAACTAAGAGATAGATATATTGGGGGAAAACTTGTGGGAGACAAAGGTTATTTTGGTAAGTTTATTTGTGGAAATCCCTTTTAGTGTTGATTCCCAGACTCTGGTGATAAGGCTGTTCTTCTGTTTCTGGTACAGGGAGGGCACCTTTCTCGTGGGAAATTTTATGGCCTGTTTTTGTATAGAAAGAGAGAGGTCAGAAAGTCTTTCCTGGATCTCTCATTTCTCAAGTGTTTTCAGCTCAATATAACCAATATACCGAAAGGGCATATTTGGTGTGGCATATCCTGAACAGGATCCTTCAAGGGGAACATGAGTTAAATAATCACAAAATCCAAGGCAGAATTGTAGACCCTGAGGCTACCACGGAGCTATTACAGAGGAACAGTGTCCTAGAAAGCCTATGACACAGCATGGGGGACTGATCCCATTGAGAATAGTCAAGCAGGGATTCCCTGCAGAAGGGTTTTCAGAGCTGCACTAACCCAATAGGGGAAGGGGCTGAACCTCTAGGTGGAGAGAGCAGCATGTGCAAAGGCCCGGTGACTTCACGCTGTTGTCAATCAGAGTGGAACAGAGTAAGATGACTTGTAGTGCTACCATTCCACACTCCTGTTTCCGGTGTTAAGATGACAAGATGGGTTTCCCAACCACCCTGGTCACCTTCCCTCCTCTCTCATACCCATTCCAGCCTCCCCAAACTTCTTCTCTTTGTTAAAGCATCATTCCCATTCCCTCTGACATCTGAGCCCAAACTTTAGTGTTAGATTCTTCCCCATTTAACTCGTTTTTTTTTTAACAGTCTTATTCTTTGTTAAAATTCTCACCTTTCTCATGCCCAGTTTTGTCAGTAAGGTCCTAGCTGAGTGTTGTCTTCCTTCCTCATCAGATTGCTGTCAGTGTATTCTTTATTGTAAAGCACTTATCAGGTCCATGTGTTGCACAGAGATCTTCAAAAGTTGAATACAGATTGAGCATCTTAATTCGAAAATTCAAAATCCAAAATGCTTCAAAATCTGAAACTTTTTGAGTACCGACATGAGCCACACATGGAAAATTCCACACCTGACCTCATGTGACAAGGTGCGGTCAAAACACACAACACACAGTTTATTTGGTATCCCCAAGGGAAAACTAAAATCACCTTCAGGCTAAGTGCATAAGGTCTGTATGAAACAGAAATGAATTTTGTGTTTAGACTGGGTCCCATCCCCAAGATGACTCATTTATGTATATGTAAATATTCTGAAGTCTGAAAAAAATCCGACATCAGAAACACTTCTGGTCCTGAAGCATTTTGGATAAGGGATGTTCGACCTGTATAAACCGACGTGCCCTTCAAGGCCCCGCTGGTAATATCCCCCCAGCCTGCTTTTCCGGTGCCATGTCCTGTGTGCTTTACATCCTGTGCTAACACAATGGGATGAGCCTCTGTTCCCTGATGACTCCAGCCCCTGCTCCCTGGAGCAGCTTCCCTTCTCACTGGTCTCTTTCTGTTGAAGTATTTTCTGTCCTTCAAAGCCCACTTGAGTTGCTACCTCCTTCATGAAGCCTTCATGGATGCCTTCCCATCTATGGTCTCCCTCCAGTTGCACCGTGAAACATCTTATGACACTTCTCACACTTTTGAGAGCTTGGATTATAATCGTGTACAAGCCGTGTTTCTATCTGCTTCCTCCCCAGGAGGATGGAAGTTCCCGAAGTCTTGTCCCTTGAGCATAGATACCCAGGAAACAAATGTTCGTTGCCTTGAATAGGTGGGAGACAGGTCCAGGATTGTGTAAGATCCTGTGATTCATTCTTTTCTAAAGGAGATCCCTTGTTCGCATTTTCGAATTATTAAGTAGTGTTGGTTTATAAGAGGTAACCCTGAGCTTGTTTTCATACCCTCAAGGCTGGATTTAATTGGTATTGTTTAGTTCAGCATAACTTGAATTCATTTTTAGTTTTAGGACATTTATTCCCCTGAGCTCTGTGGAGATCATTGGTAAGAGAAATTCCAAAGTTTAGTTAGACTTTTTTTTTTTTTTTCTGGCACTGTAGCACTGCTGTTCTCCCTATAAATACCTGGGGGCTGTGCTCTACCTGCCTTATATATTAGCACCTAGAGGTCAGTAATAACTCAGGCTAATAATAGTTTGGCTTAAGAGTCTAGGGTAGTTACAGGTCCTTTCACCCTATGTTTTAATGCCAGACATGTAATTTAGAAATCTTCTACCCACTTGTTTAGTGTTTAAATAAATCTTTAAAGTACCTTTTTGGTTTAGAGCCTAAAGGGAAAAGAAAAATCTTAACTACGTTTGGGGTAAAATTGCCTCATAGGAAAACACTTGCAGCAGTGATTAGAGACCCTTTCCAGGCTTTTAGCCAAGAAAAAGTTTCAGTGGCCGGGGGCTTCCCCCTTTCACCCCACTTTTTCTGTTTCTGATCTTCTGGTTTCTCTGTTTTTGTCTAGATTCCACAGCTCGCTTATTTAGTGGACTTGAAAATTGATTCAGCCCTCTTTTTATTTGATGGGGTTGTATGACTCTGGGTTCTCCAGAGAAACAGAACCAATAAACTATAGATATGGATATGGAGAAGGAGTTATTTGGAGGGATTGGCTCACACGACTGTGTAGACTGAGAAATCCCATGATTTATTGTCTGCAAGCTGGAGGCCCGGGAAAGCTGGCGCAGTTCTACTCCAAGCTGAGGCCTGAGAACCAGTAGCACTGATAATCGAGAGCAGCAGGTAGATGTTCCAGCTCAAGTGAAGGGCACACTTGCTCCTCCTCTAACTTTCTGTCCTGTCCAGGCCTTCAGTGATACCCACCTGCACTGGTGGGGGACCTTCTTTACTCAGGTTACCTATTCAAATGCTAATCTCTTCTAGAAACAGCCTCAGAGGCACACCTAGAAATAGTTTTATCAGCCACTCTGGTGTCCCTTAGTTGATTTAATCAAGTTGACATATAAAATTGACCATCACAGTGATATTTGGGTAGGTTTTTTTTTTTTTTTTTGGTCTATTAAATGCTAAAAATAACATGCCCATTTTGTTCCTTATTATTGCCATGTGGGTATTAGTTTAATTTCTGTTTTTCTACCTTCTGATATAGGAATATGTAGCTTAATTTTTTGAAATTAAGTTGAGGTGAGGCCGTTCCTTTTTAAAAAGAAAAATGAGATGGGGATCTCCAGGGTGACCTCAAACTCCTGAGCTCAGGGGATCCTCCTGCCTCAGCCTCCTGAGTAGCTGGGAGGACCTTCCTTTTGATGTCAGTTGTGTTTAGCTATAATAATTCCTCACTTTACTTCTCTCTCTCCCTCTTCACCTTGTCAGAAATGACTTTTGGTTTATGGGATATAAATGTAGTGTGTATATTTCTTGCTTGGATAATGCTCGTTTTTGTCTGTAGTGATAGTTCCTTTGCTGGAATTTTTTAGTTTAGCTTTGAAATAGCAATATATTAAGCCTCTTTTTGTTTTACTTTCCATCCAAGAATTTCTCCATTTGTATCTTTGTCCTGTTTAGGAGCCTTGTTCCTGCCCCAGCACATTGAGAAGTTTGGAAACGTGTAATTGATAGAGGAAGTTAGGTCCTAGAACTCAGAATCTTAAATGTTGACTTTGGCTGGAATACTTCCTCATTTATCAACTTAGGTCATCTGTTTCTTGTTTTCTTTGCTTGTAATCTTCTTTTACATATCCATTTTAAGAAGTTTTGTATTTGCCTTTAAAAAAAATAAATGAAAATAGAGTGTATGCCTCTAAATAAGGAAACAAAGAGTCTCCCAACCTAATGCTTTGAAGTTTGCTACTTTCAAGTTAGTTGTTAATAAAGCCCTCCGTTAACACAGAAATGCTGTCTTCCAAATAAGGTGGGAATTATACCCTGTTCTGCATATTTTCTATTTGGAAGAATACGCAAATGGCCAAACTGGAAAAATTTTGTAGATGTCATGGGTTAGATGTGCAGACCCTTAAAAAAAATTGACAGAGGAAGGTTTTACCCATAGCAGGTAAATTATACTTTCTTCTAAAGTCTTAGAATAATAAGACTGATTTTCTTATGAGCCCCATGTCACTATTCCTCCCAGCCACCGCCTTTATTAGTTTTCAGGCTAAGAGTATCCTCTGGAATCATAAATTACATTATTCTCATCCATTCCATAAGGAGCCCGGTTCCCCCAGCCCCCACAGTCACACTCACGATGTCGACATGCCTTATGTTGCTCACGATGTGTGGGGTAGGTGTCTTTGTCCTGGTGGGTCCCACGTTATCCCTCTTGAGGGGATAACGTCACAGGTAGTGCTGATGTGGAAGCTAAGGTAAAGATTAACAGCTCCACTTTTGCAGCTGGGCTGAGCTGGAGTTGGTCTACCGCTTACTAGCCGTGGTTATGGGCGAGTTACTTAGCCTATCCTGTGCCACCTTCCCTCATCTCTAAACAGTAAGGGATAGTGAGCCCCCTCCTGTGATGTGGCAAACAAAGGTTGACTATATTGCGCTTCATAGTTTTCTTGAAGTACTTTCCCATGTGGCTTCATTACTTCACACCTCAGCAGTCCTGTTCATAGGCTAAGTTTTGTCAGGGCACATTGTAAAAATGGGGAAATGAGGCTCAAGTTAGTTAGGCTTGGTGCCCACATGTTACTGGTCATTAAACTGAAGCAATTGCTTGTGCCTTCTGACTTCTTGCACTTGACTGTGTGGGTCCTGCTTTCCAGGGCCCAGATGCAGGATGGAGCTTGTTCCATGTGACCTCTGGTTGCTTCTGCCACAGCTTACTTGGGAAGGGCCCAGCATCCACTGGATTTAGCTGGCTTAGGGGAAAGCTATGGATTTCACTTCATTATTGTCATTGCTTTCATTATCTTTTCTGTGGTCTAAGTCAGCTGTCTAGAGACTGCCTTTCCCCCTTAGGAAACTGCTACCATCTCTTAGTGACATTTGGTATAATTGCTAGACGTTGCCTGGGAAAAGTTGGCTGGCATAACCCAGGGGCTTAGAGAGGAATGCCCACCTTATTTTAGCAGATTTTCCTTACCAGGGCAACTTTTCCTCAATATATAAGTGATTAGGTAACAGTAGACAGCTTGTGGTGTTCTGATCCTTTGATGGAGTGCTGGCTGGTGAAACCTTCTGCCTGCCCCTGAAGAACTCTGGAATCGGAAAGACTTAAATGTTCACCATATGAGAAGTACTATTAGAGAGGTTAATAGGAAAGGTTAGGACCCTGGGAAAGAATCATCAAGGCTGGGGAGTTCGTGGCAGGCAGAGGGAGGGAGGAAGCGGCGTGTACTTGGGAGGGAAGCGGTGCTGTTCTAGCGGGAGGGAACAGTTTGTGCGCAACTTGGAGATGTGACAGCATGTGATATTTTAGGGGACTGGCCTGTTGTCCTGTGTGGCTGGGAGTTTAAGGTCACATGAAGTAAGACTTGTTGGCACTAAATTGTAAAGGGCTTCATGAGCCCTAAAGAGCTTGAAGAGCGAATGAAGGTTTTTGACACGATCAGATTTTTGATCCTTGTTAATATAGCTAACAATTTCACATCCAGAGTGCCAAGTCCGTAGGCAGCGGGGCTTGACCACAGCCGTCCTCTCTGGGGTCTGTGGTTCTTCATTATTGTTTACTTGATTCTGCCACTGCAGTTCCTATTTCCAGGAAACCAACAACCCTGTAAACACCTGTTTTCCTTTGACCACAGAACACAGCATAGTTTTATTAACAGGAGCCTGGTCTGCTAGGAAAAAACAACCTGCCCCCTTGGAACACAGTCTTGTTTTCCAGTTCACCACAGCTGCGAAGGAGCCCGGTGGGGACTCTTTGCTTTTAGTTCCTTCACCTCTGCTGTGTGCCCAGTAAATGAAAAGCCCCTTGCTCTTAATGGGTTTTTATATCATTCATGTTTTACATCTGTGAAGTCGAGTGGGCTTTATTCTTTTCGATTCTGACACCAGACTTCAGAAGCAGAAGCGATCCTGATCTGTAGGAGCTTGATTCAGAAAGCTAGGTGGGGGCTGGGTCTCAGTTCTGAGGCTTTCTGAGATGCAGGTGGGCTTCGCTGTATGGCCCCTAAGGAGGGATCCAGGACTGACTGTCTGCCCTGCAGTTTGCCACGATTCTATCCAAACGTCCATCTCTACTCTTTGGGCGTTTGTTCTAGTCTTTGCCAACTGCCATTTCCCCCACTCTCACCTTTGATGACTTAAGAATTTTGTATTTTTTGTTGCCTCATCACTGCCCTTGTGCTTTCCTGATCCCCACCCTGCGTCTTCCTCCCTTTCCGCATTCCCTGACCCACATACTTGTCCACTGGTTGAGATAAAGCCCTCAATTCAACGTATCTTCACTTGGCTTTTTTTTAAGTCGTGGTGGTGCGATAACAATACTGTCATTTCCTGAAGACTCACTGCAGGTGTCAAGTGCTGTGTTAAGTGTTTTGCAGCTGTTACCACTTTAATCCTTACAGCAACCCCTGCGACCTCTGTGTTTTATTATTATTCCTATCTTATGGATCACGAAACAGACACATTCTAGACTGCAGGCTGGCTGATTGGCAAGACCGCAGTTGACGTAGCCAGAGAACCAGAGAGAGGTTCATTTAACAGCAAAGTTTGGGCACTTGATTTGCCTGTGGACCTAATCTAATGTGTTAACTGGTTACGAGCCTTCCCCTCGACTTCCTCTTGAATAAGTAAATGAATCTAAACTTTAAATATTGGAATACCATACACATACAGAAAAGTGCATGAATCATACATGTCTAGCTCAGTGACTTTTCACCAAAGGCAGCCACCTGTGTAACCAGCCCTTGGATCAAGGAACAGAGCAGGATCATTGCCCAGAAAC
Source organism: Homo sapiens (assembly GCF_000001405.40). Taxonomy (NCBI): domain Eukaryota; kingdom Metazoa; phylum Chordata; class Mammalia; order Primates; family Hominidae; genus Homo; species Homo sapiens. The sequence continues at coordinate 81,596,794 of NC_000009.12, read as the reverse complement.
CCCTCCCATGCCCCTTGCAGTCACCAAGGTTAACCACCACCTTGACTTTCAATACTGCAGATGAATTTTGCCTGTGTTCGAAATTCTAGAAATGCGGTCATTTCCATGTCCATTATTTTGTATCTGGCTTCATTCTGAATTCAGGTGTGAGCGATATTCATGAATGCTCACTATCTGTTTATACATTCCTCTTTCTGATTGGTTTTACTTTTCCTAGTTCCTCAACCAGTAGAGAAAGTTAAGTTTCCTTCTGGGATCCCTTCACCATGGTCATGATGAGCCCTCAGTGTGGCCTTTTATTGAAAAAGCTCTGTTATTATTGTAGGTGAATAATTTCCTCCCCTGGTTTTTTCCTTCCAGTTGATCCCTCCTAAAGGCCCATCCACCCTTTGTGTTGCTCTGGCGTGTTCATTTGATTTGGCTCTCCAGCACAGCAGGCAGCACCAGCTTCCTGCGAGGCCCCCTGTGACTGATGTATTAACATCCATATGGGCTTCCCGTGGGACGGATGAGTGTTCACAGCTTCTGACAGCAGCTCGCTGCATTGTGAATCAATTTTAAATTGCCTCCATATGATGATCGCAGGCCTCCTGTGCAGTTTAAAGAAGAGGACACCTGGGAGAGAAGTGGGTGTCTTCCAAAGATCAGCAGACAGATCTCCCGTCTGTTACTCGGTGCATCTATTTAATCTGGAACATTTAACTCTATGATAAGCAGGCTTCCAGTTGGAGGAAGATAAAATCTCCTTTCTCTGAAAAATCTGAGATTGATGAAAGGGTGCCTCATGGAAACCTGGCCTTACCTGGAGGCGCCCAGCTTGATTTGTGGTACACAGAGAAAAACTAATCCTCACATGTGTAATTTCTCTCATGGCACCGAGATCTTTGAGAAGCAGTTTCTCCATCTTAAACACCATCCTTTAAATCATGTGCAACTCAATTGTTTTACTTTTATTTTTTAATTTTTTTTTTTTTTTTTTTGAGACAGAGTCTCTGTCGCCCAGGCTGGAGTGCAGTGGCACAATCTCGGCTCACCACAAGCTCCGCCTCCCAGGTTCACGCCATTCTCCTGCCTCAGCCTCCCGAGTAGCTGGGACTACAAGCGCCCGCCACCATACCCGGCTGATTTTTTTGTATTTTTAGTAGAGATGGGGTTTCACTCTGTTAGCCAGGATGGTCTTGATCTCCTGATCTCGTGATCCGCCCGCCTTGGCCTCCCAGAGTGCTGGGATTACAGGCGTGAGCCACCGCGCCCAGCCTCAATTGTTTAATTTTATGGAAATTTACTTGTCATTTCTTCAGTATCACCTGGCAATTTTTTTGTTGTTTTTGGACCCAGAGTATGGAGCCTGATTCTGAGTCATAGAACTTGGCTACTGGACTTTGTTCGTTGAGCATTCTTCAAAGCCTAGAATTCTTGTAGGACATGAATAGACTTAAACTCCCATAGTTCTGTGGCAGTCTTCAAGGGCAACAAAATGCTATTTGATTATGACTCCAAGTATCCCATAATAAGTGGCATAGGTTCCTGTTCAACTAACTATAATGTGCATGTTGAAATATCATGTGGACTCGATATATTGCTAAGGACACCAAATAATCCTGTTGGATAAAAAATGAGATTGAGTGGTTTGGTGATGTGAGGGCTTTGAGCTATATTGTTTTTATATGTGTATTTATTCCCCAGGACAGTCTCCATGGTTCCCATTATACGTGCTTATTCATTCAAATTAAGAGTAACATTAAGGATTTGGGCCAAAAAGCTATTTACTATTAGTTACTGGAACCAATTTGCCAGCAGATAACAGATTGAGATTATGTCCTGTGATTGAGTGGAGGGGAAGTTTAAAAGTCTTCATGTGTCTGATATTTTGCTTTTATGGAGGGAAGATAATAGCATGCATTTTATTTTCAAGCAAATGTATGTGGGTTTTAAGTGCAGGGTGCTAGAGACCTGGCATAATCGGTTTTCAGTTTTGTGCTTGCTAAGTTACTTTACAAAATTTGAGTTTGTATTAAAATGAAAATTTAAGCTCTGTGTTAGTACTCATGGTGTTTACATTATATTTAAAGCTGCCAATGACAAGCTCCAGAAAGGGCCCAGACTTTCTCGAGGGTAATGGGAAGGAGGAAGCAGTGCATACTTCACTTATTGTTTATGGTTTGAACTTCTAGCTCTCTTAGTGATTTCAAGTTAAGAAAGTGGAAGTAGTGGTCTTCAAAGTAGAATGTGCATAATTTTTTTTTTTTTTAAGACGTAGTCTTGCTCTTGTCGCCTAGGCTGGAGTGCAGTGGCGCGATCTCATTGTTCTCATTGTCCAACTCCCATTTATGAGTGAGAACATGCAGGGTTTGGTTTTCTGTTCCTGTGTTAGTTTGCTGGGAATGATGGTTTCCAGTTTCATCCATGTCCCTGCAAGGGACATGAACTCATCCTTTTTTTTATGGCTGCATAGTATTCCATGGTGTATATGTGCCACATTTTCTTTATCCATTCTGTCATTGATGGGCATTTGGGTTGGTTCCAAGTCTTTGCTATCCAGCAATTGATTTCTGTCTTTGAAATCAACTTGTGGCCCAGAGGGGCCGTAGGAGCACCAGTCATCTTGCTCTTAGCTCAGGCAGTGGGAAGGAAGAAGAGAAGAGGGCAAGTATGCTCTCTCCCTATTTATTTTTTTAGAGCAGTTATAGGTTCTTGGCAAAATAGAGTGGAAAGTTACAGAGAGTTCCCATATCCCCCATCCCTCTCCCCTCTTTCAAGTTCAGAGCTTCCTCAAAATGCCATCCAACAGCTTCTTCTTACACCTCATTGGTCAGAACATAGGCAGGCTGGGCTAAAGGAGACCGGGGAAGAGTAGTTTTTTAGCTGCACACTTTGCTGTTTTATATAATGGCGTTCCTGACCAAGGTAGGCAAGGAAGATTGTTGAGTAGGAAACCTAAAATCTCTGTTTACAGCCATATAAGATAATCTCTTATTTTCTCTTCCTTAAGCAAGAGAAAGTTGAAGTCCATACCATAAACTGGTATTTTTAGAAAGCTGTTTTTTTGGAGGTTGTTTTTGCTGTTGAAATATATCTACTCTGTTTAATTATTATTAGTTCTTAAGGGCTTCATCTTTAGCAGGGAAAACAATCATTTAAAATTATACTAAGAAATCATACAATTACACAAGATACATGGAAGGAGGTATTTTATGTTCATTTGGAAGTACATTAAGTGTTTTATAATGAGATTTGAGGGAATGCTTTACAGAATGGGTAAGAACAATTTAAAACCCTTAAAAAATTTTACATACAGTTCAATATATATGTCATTTGGTACACGCTAGATTTCTGCTATTAATTATTTTAAATTTGCACCAGCAGTAAATGCTTCAATTTGTATTGATTTCAAAGGAAACTATACAAGAGAATCTTTCCTTTTTTTCATCTTTTTCATAGTCGTAGCACATTGCCGAGATAGGGATTGCTTCCTCTGTAAATGTGTTTTCTGTCTTCTCTCCAATCGTTTTTCCAAAAGTGCATACTCCTTCCACGTTACTGCAGACGGTCAGATGCAGCCTGTCCCTTTTCCCCCCGACGCCCTCATCGGACCCGGAATCCCCCGGCATGCTCGCCAGATCAACACCCTCAACCACGGGGAGGTGGTGTGCGCTGTGACCATCAGCAACCCCACGAGACACGTGTACACAGGCGGGAAGGGCTGCGTCAAGGTCTGGGACATCAGCCACCCTGGCAATAAGAGCCCTGTCTCCCAGCTCGACTGTCTGGTGAGTGAACAGGAACTGGTGCACAAGGGCAATTTCTCCCTGGAGATTCAATAAGGAAATAGCTGTGTGGGCCTGGGTTTTATTCCCATTATGAGGAAATAGAAGCCCCTTCTGTTTCCTGTGTTGGTTATTTAACCCCCTCGGCTCCCCATTTAAATGCGAAGGTTTCATTTGTTGCTGTTGTACTGGCTAAATCCCAGAGTTGATGGATTTCTTTTTAAAAAATATTTTACAGTGGTTTACAGAGGCTCTCCTCATGTATGGATGTGTATTACAAAAGAGAGTTTCCCATTTAATGGACAAAAGCACAACTGGGCCTGGACTCTGATCCCTGCCATCCACTCGTTTTTTAATTGACCTACAGCCTTTAGATAAATATAGAATAGTAAATATTTGATAACATGGCATAAAAACCATTCTGAACAGGGTCTGTGTTTTTAAGGGAGACCTGAGAGAGCTGGTTAGGTTTTATGGCCTTAACTTCAGGAAAGGGTTAAAGGCTGTCACTGCAAAGACCCGGGGCAGCCATCAACGAAAGAGAGCAGTGAGAATGCTTTCCCAGAGTACCTAAGCCACGTCCGCTCAGAGCCTGAGAATACCATTTAGCATTTTTCAGGGACATAAAACATGTTGGGACATGTTCGGATCTCTTTTTTCTTTTTTCTTTGAGACGGAGTCTTGCTCTGTCGCCCAGGCTGGAGTGCAGTGGCCGGATCTCGGCTCACTGCAGGCTCCGCCTCCGGGGTTTACGCCGTTCTCCTGCCTCAGCCTCCCAAGTAGCTGGGACTACGGGCGCCCACCACCACGCCCGGCTAATTTTTTGTATTTTTAGTAGAGACGGGGTTTCACCATGTTAGCCAGAATGGTCTCGATCTCCTGACCTTGTGATCCGCCCGCCTTGGCCTTCCAAAGTGCTGGGATTATAGGCGTGAGCCACCGCGCCCGGCCATGTTCCGATTTCTAAACCATAACCCCAGGATTTACAGAGCACATACCACTGGCCTTAAGCAGACTCCGAGCTGCCCTGCCCTGCCCTGCCCTGGTGTGGTGTCTGCCTGCACTCTGCTGTTGCAGATGGTGCCACGTACCCACTGCCTGCCTGGAAAATTGTAAGGATTCCAGAGAAGGTGTTTCCAAAAAGCAGAGTGGCGGTGTTTTGGAAACACAGACTTTTTTTAGAGTAGTTATTAGTGCATTTTTTAAAAAAACCAAATAACTTCAAAATGTCTTCATTCATGAAATTCTTATTTAAATATGGCCCAATATTCTATAGCAGTAGGAGTATCCTTTGTTGAAGTCATGTGCTTAAAGTTTCTTTAATCTTTGAAAGATAATCCATCGTTAAAAGCATGTAAGCAAACTTTAGCCATATCTGCATCTTTCAGGAGTTGATCATATGAGGGCCCCCCACCCACAGCCCCTTCATATGTGTCGGTTTTGATGGAAAGATGCCTGCTTTTATCAGGTTCTTTGGCCTTTGCATTGAGGGGCTTAAGTGTAACAGCAGCCACATGACAACTTGAGAAAGCAGCTCTGGTAAATTCTTAGCAAGAATCCTTCTGACTAATGAGGTAATGTGCTCAGCATAACGAAGACCGAAACATAGAGGATGGGCCTGCAGTTTCCAAGTGGTAAATAATGCAGGGTGATGAGGTAGATTTATAAACTAGCTTGGAAAAGTGGTTTCTTCTCAGGGAACTATGTGTACACCTGTACCTCATACCTAGATAGTTTCAGCTCTGTGATGCAGGACACCAGAAGCAGTTACCTAAGCTCCTGTGAATTTGTTTTGTTTACTATTTTGAAGGAGACAGTTGTACTTGGACCCCAATCTTGACTAGAGAACTCTTGCTCTGTTAGAGTGTCCATGAAACACCACTCTTAACTCAAAAAACCAAGACAGCCATTAGAGAACATGGTGCTATGATTGCTCGGTAATTCATTATAGCAATGAATTATGTTTATTCTACAGAACAGAGACAATTATATCCGTTCCTGTAAATTGCTACCCGATGGCTGCACTCTCATAGTGGGAGGGGAAGCCAGTACTTTGTCCATTTGGGACCTGGCGGCTCCAACCCCGCGCATCAAGGCGGAGCTGACGTCCTCGGCCCCCGCCTGCTACGCCCTGGCCATCAGCCCCGATTCCAAGGTCTGCTTCTCATGCTGCAGCGACGGCAACATCGCTGTGTGGGATCTGCACAACCAGACACTAGTGAGGTGAGCAAAGATGGTCGTCTAAGGAGGGGTTCGCTTCTTTAGCAGCTGGGCCTATCACCTCTGCTTCTCTCTGGCTGCCTGCAGCCCACACAATAAGAGCCTCTTGAATGCCAGGCATGGGGCTAGGTGATGAGGGAACAAAGACAACTGTGTTGCTGCCTTTGGGGGGCTTACAGTCTTATTACTATGCCTGGTGTCACCCGAGACTTTCTATCTCCTTAATGTGCCAATTCTTCAGCCCACATACAGACTCCAAACTTGTTCTAAAAATATTTCTGGCTTTTGCCAAGGGGTGGCCTAATGTGGATTACACGGCAGCACAAAAGGCCCTTGATACTAGATGTTTTGGGCTTTGGCTAGAACTTGGTGCAGACAAGAGCCAACTGATAAAAGATAACAGAAAATCAACAAAGGGACATGAGAAGAGGAGATTCTGTGAATTTTGCCTACAAAATGATTTTAAAGTATCTCAATAATGAAATAGACCTGCCCAGGGGTGGTTCCACCCAGGAGCCCGCAGGGCTCTGCCTGGCCTTCTGGCATCAGCCCTGTCACCTTAGCAGCAGCTGCAGTTCTGGTACCCATGTGTCTCTCCTCAGCTCCCCCGCCAAATGCTCCCTTCAGAAGTCAGTGCTCACACCAGAGCTGTTCTCAAAAAGTCTTTTTAAAGTAAGCATGAATGAAACATGAAAGGTAAAATGAGTACATGTTTTACTCTTGTTTCATCTTTGCTGGGAAGCCGTCCCTGCGGATGGTGCAGTTTGGGGTCTGTGGCTTGTTTGGTAAGTCCCCTCTCATGCTGCACAGAGAAGGGACGGGCTCCAGAAGTCATCATGACAGCTCACTCTCTTCAAACCTCCGCTGTAGAAATCCATGAAGTGTCATTGAGCCGGGCCCGGTCCCTGCGTGTGGGTGACAGTGCGGCAGTTACTTTCCTCTTCTGTTTGCTGGGTAGTGTAGGTGAGCAAAATGGAATGATGGAGCCAGGGCCGAACGCCCTCTCCACCTTTTATCCTAGCAAAAGTTACTTGTTTTTTTCTTTTTTTAAAACTCCATAAGTAGCACTTTCAAAATATCAATTCTAAGCACTTTTCAAATATTCCTCCACTTAGTTCTCATAACGTCTGTCCTGCTATTTGCCCCATTTTATAGAGGAAGTGCCTGAGGCTCAGAGAGGGTAAGTTACTGGCTTCAGGTCACACAGTCAGATGTGGTGGAGCCAAGTTGAGGCCCAGGCATTCTGCTCTCGTCTGTACTCTGAACCCTTGCTCCGTGCCGGCTCCTGGGGAGTAAATACCTGTTGGATAGAATGGGGTAGCGTCTTACAAATCTTTCTCTGGACCACTCACAGGTGGCTAGTGGCTGCTGCATGTAATAGGGCCATGTAAAGCCTATTGAATGTCTTTGTATCCACTGTAACCCAGCACGTTCTGAACAGTCATAGGATGTGCCTGAGAGTAATGCTGGAGTATAGTATATGGACGGAGAGAGGGCAGAGGGATGGGGGAGCAGCTGCCAGGTACTGTATGTCAGCAGAGGAAGGTGTTTTCAGTCAAGGAGGAACAGCGTTTCATGAGTTAGAAAGGTCAAAAGAAGTCAGAGGGTCACTGGATTTCCAGAGCTGTTTGAAGGGAAGGAAAGCAACACTTTCACCAAGTGAAGCAGGGACTGCTCCAGGCCTGGGTGTTCTGTGGGGATGTCTGGGAAGCAAGCGGAAACATTGGAGGTCCAGCTGCACGGCCGCAGGAGAGAGGACTCAACCTGGATCCTAAAGTGCAGAAGTTGGGGATGGCTTGCAGAGAGAAGATTTTAAAAGTGATGGTTCACGTCTTGGCTTAGAATTTAGGGCAGTAGTGGTGCTTTTTCCTTCCCTTGCACTCTTTAAAATCCAAGCTCAGGTTAAAAGTTTGGAGCTCTACAGGAATGATAAGGTGTGGGGATCCTGGAGGAAGAAGCAGCATGGTAACTTTCTTCTCAGTGTTGAAATTCCCACGCAGTTCTTTACTGGATCCCGCCTGCTTCTGAGGGTGGGTCTAGACTTTGCTCGCCTTTTCTGGCTGCCTCCCCCACCACCTTCCTCTCAGCATGCAGAACTGAGTCCACCAGTCACCGTCCCTGCTGGGGCTTACACTGACCTCCCCTCAGCAGCTCTGCTAGTTGCCTTGCACAGCATCTGTGCTCAGCAGATCCCTGTTGGCTGATCGTTTCTGATGGCGATTTTTGAATGAAGCACAAGGTTCTTTAAAGAACAACCTTGTGCTCCGCTTGGAGGCAGAGTCTTGCTGAGGTGCCCGTGGGTCTGCCTCAGCAATTACCTGTGTCTCTGCCCAATGCCTCTGAGGTCAGGAGGCCGGCATGCGTGACCCTTTGTCTCTGGGAGTCCAGATTTCCTAATGCAGGGCTCTTTCTAACACAGAAAGCAAGGTTGAGTAAATACATGAGCTCATGCTCTGTTGGCACGTAGGGCATTGCTGTGTTGATTCACTCATGGAAACAGGAATGCTTCTGTACACCCTGTGCTTGTAACGTCCCCATTTCTTTCTCTCACGGACTCAGGCCTGCACGATTAAAGAACAGACCTTTATCTTCCCATAAGGAATACAATCGGGATTTTGTGTGTTTGTCTTTTATTTTCTATTTAACAATTAAACACTTTTCCAGACCTGGAAAGAATTTTACCTTCCAGACGGTTTTGTCAGAGTAGCATATTTAAGTTCTGGGTAGTGACCTGCAGTGGCATTCCATTTCTTTAGCACTTGGATCGTGGAAAACAGGGAAAGACAATCGCAGGTGCTGTTTCCCCTCCTCCTCAGGGGAAGGTTAGTTTGATCTTGCACATCAGCAGACACTGGCGGGATCACACACACACACACACACACACACACACACACACACACGGTCCAAAACTAACAACACAACAGTGTTTACCTTGAGCTCTGGCAGGAAATCATTATTCAATCTGGTTTGTTTTATCAGGCAATTCCAGGGCCACACAGACGGAGCCAGCTGTATTGACATTTCTAATGATGGCACCAAGCTCTGGACGGGTGGTTTGGACAACACAGTCAGGTCCTGGGACCTGCGCGAGGGGCGGCAGCTGCAGCAGCACGACTTCACCTCCCAGGTGACTGAGTGGCTTCCGCCTGCCCTGGAGTCTGGGAGGTGGCTGGGGTGTGTCTTCCTCCTCACAACCCTCCCTCCTTTACCCTAGGATGGTAGTGGCTGGACAAACAGATCAGGGCTGAATTTGAGATAACTAATTTAAAAACAATGACCACCACCTCCTCCTTCACGACCCTCCCCCTACCTTCCCCAAAACTAGAGTGGTTTTTAGAATCCTGTAGGTTAAGGTGTGTTCTCTGTTATATTTACATATGAGTTTGTTTAAGGGATTTGTACATTGAAGAATGTATAGTTTTCCTTCAGCAGTGTTTGATCTGTGGCACATATTCTCACCATCTAATGCAGGAGTAGGAGATGATTTTTTGATTCCTAAATAAATAGAACTTGAGAAATCTGCAGAATGTCACTAAGAGTAGAGAAAAGTCACAGCTCCTCTGAAAGTTCATTTATTTACCCCGCACCAGAGAGCTCAAAAAAATGCACAGATACCTCAGTGATACCCATTTTATTCCTCATCCTTTAAAAAATGAACTGGTGGCTGACTAGATTTGCAGACTTTTGAAATAATGTATAAATGGCAACTTTGTAGATTGTGAAAAGTATTTTGATGTCCAATGTCTGAATGTAGACTTGTTTTGGAAAAAACAGTGTTTGCCATTTTAAATGCTTTCTGGTGGTAGAATTGTTCTTTCGATCATGACTTGGCATTTATTTTTTACCTTGTTTTGTAATAAAAATAATTCTACTCAGAAAACTAGGACAGAAACAGAAAACAAGCATATATACTTCTAAATTTCATATTCCTGTTAACATTTTGTTGAGTTTCTTAGAGTCTTGCTGTTTTCACTCTTTCCCAACATAAGCAGGATACAATTTTTGTTCTGCCTTTTTTTAAAACTTCTTAGAGAAATTCTCAAATACATATGAGTACAGCAAATGTCCAAGCATTTATGAAAGCACAGAGAATTGTACAATAAATGCCACATGCCCATCGCTCAGCTTGAAGTTATTTGGCCATATGATAACTCTCGTTCCCACCCCCAGACACTGGATTATTTTAAAATAAACTCTAGCAGCATATCATTGTATCCATAAGCACAGCCATGCACCATATAACCTTTTAGCCAAGGACAGACCGCATATGTGACAGTGGTCCCTTAAGATTATAATACTATATTTTTACTGTACCTTTTCAATGTTTAGATGTATCTGGATGTACAAATACTTCCCGTTATGCTACAGTTGCCTACAGTATTCAGTACAGTAACATGCTGTGCAGGGTTGTAGCCTACAAGCGATAGGCTCCACTCTCTAGGTGTGTGTAAGTGCACTCTCTGAAGTTCACACAATAAAGTCACCTAACAAGGCCAGGCACGGAGGCTCACGCCTGTAATCCCAGCACTTTGGGAGGCCGAGGCGGGTGGATCACAAAGTCAGGAGATCGAGACCATCCTGGCTGGCACGGTGAAACCCCGTCTTTACTAAAAATACAAAAAATTAGCCGGGCGTGGTGGTGGGCGCCTGTAGTCCCAGCTACTTGGGAGGCTGAGGCAGGAGAATGGCGTGAACCCAAGAGGCGGAGCTTGCAGTGAGCCGAGATAACGCCGCTTCACTCCAGCCTGGGCGACAGAGCAAGACTCCGTCTCAAAAAAAAAAAAAAAAAAGTCACCTAACGACACATTTCTCAGAATGTATCCCCCTTGATAGGTGATATATGATCGTATTTCAGTTAGTGTCTCTAAAAGGTAAAGCCTCCTTTAAAATGTACAGATGAATGCCATTATTATTAGGAATCATTTCTTAATTTTATCCCAAAAGACAGAGGGGTTCAAATGTTTCCAGTTTCCTAAAGGTTTTGACACTTGGTTCATCTGCGTTAGATCACTTGCCCTGTGGACCTCCCCACAGTCTGGACTTGGCTGATTACTTCCCCCCATTCTTGCTATTTCCCCACTTTTCACATTGCGTCTTCCCTTCCTAAGTGTATCAGGCGGAATAATGAGTGAGCCTGTCTTGCTCCTTGTAGATCTTCTCCCTGGGGTACTGCCCCACCGGGGAGTGGCTGGCAGTGGGCATGGAGAGCAGCAATGTGGAGGTGCTGCACGTGAACAAGCCTGACAAGTACCAGCTGCACCTGCATGAGAGCTGCGTGCTGTCCCTGAAATTTGCTTACTGTGGTGAGTTCAGCCGAAAGGAAACTGGAGGCCGTTGATGGCCCAAATGGAAAATGCTTCTTAAAAAAATATGGTAGAGATCATAATCTGGAAAAAATGTTCTCCGAGCAGCTGGATGCAATAATTCTATTGTTTTAATATGCCCTTCAGAGCACAGCAATGTCTGTTTCAGTCTGTTTTGCTAATTTGAGAAAAGTCAGCAGGCAATGTGATTGCCTAATACACGGTTTGGACACAAGTTTGTTTTGGAGGGGTTGGGAGACGACAATGAGTTTCTACTCTGAAGAGGGGTGGGCGGGAATTTATTGAAGAATGGAGCAGGGGCAGTGGAAGTCATTATGAGCTGGCCATGATGAGGAATCCAGGGTTAGAGAAGTCGATATTTAGGTATACGCAGACACTTAGTTACACTCTACTCTACAGTGAGGATGAAGAGGGAAGAAGTTCATGTGGTGACCCTTCTTGTGTGCTGCAGATGGGCAGATATCTGTTCACAGTATGCATAGATGGATGGATGGATGGATGGATGGATGGATGGATGGGTGGATGAGTGCCTATCACTTATTGAGCATTTTTCTTCATGCTATATGATGTGACTGGCATTTTACTTAAGTTGGATGTTTAATCCTTTAATTCCCATTAAAGATGGGAATCTTTAATCCCATTTTATCATGAGGAGACTGACTAAAATAGAACACATTCTTCATTGATTTCTATATTTGAGGGTTACCGTGTGTTGGATATGATGCTACTAGTCCTGTATCCAGTGACTAAGGAGGCTGATACCTCTTAGATTATACCCAAGATCACTGATAAATCACTGAGGAGCCCAGATTAAAACCTCTGTTCATATCATGGACCAGTCCTTAGGGCATGATAGTTCATATATTAAAAATGTTCTTAGTTTGATTAAGTCCAAGTTGCTAATTGTATAGTAGGAATTTTAACCTTGTGAAAACTAGATATTCCTTTGCTAATTCTAGGTAAATGGTTTGTGAGTACTGGAAAAGATAACCTCCTCAATGCTTGGCGGACCCCCTATGGAGCCAGCATATTCCAGGTGAGTAAGTACTCCTCACCTAGATCCACAGTTTGACCACAGTGTCGCCTCTGAAGCCAGGAGTGAAGGTGCCTCCGAGGGAGCAGGGCCTCTGAGTACCGTTGTTCCACATTAAACACATGTCCATTGTTTTCTCTTCCAGTCCAAAGAGTCCTCGTCAGTGCTTAGCTGTGACATCTCTGTGGATGATAAGTACATAGTCACTGGCTCGGGGGACAAGAAGGCTACAGTCTATGAAGTCATCTACTGAAAACATTATGTGGTTTAACGTTTATAGTTGAATTGGGCCAAAATGTTTCGAATTTATAGAAATAGAAAAGTTGTAACTTTAAAAGAGAAAAAAAATTACAAACACCTGTTTCCAAACCTTGACAGAAAACTACTTTGAGTCTACAAAGAGGAGGCGACAAGTCCATCAGCAGAAAGTCACCTGTCTACATAGACCAAATGGAGCACCAAGGCCAAGCGGACAGAGGGGCCATGGGTTGTAGGATTGAGGAACGGAATCTGCCGACTCACATGACAGCCCATTCTTTCTTTCTGGGTGATCTGGGGATCACGCCTTGCCCAAGTGTGAGATTACCTTTCTGTTCCTTGCAGTTCACCTCACTTTCCGTCCTTTGTAGAGCAGTGGTGTCTCCAATGAACTTGTTTCCTGGTTTTGCATCTTGTGAAATGTTTTTTTGTATTTTTGTTGAAGGTTAAACATTTGTATAAATTGTAAATATATTTGGTTTATTACAGTAAAGGCTTTAGTACCAATAAGTGGTTTTCCTTTTCTTTCTTTATTGTTTTTTATTAAAGCTTTGGGATCATCAATGTGGGTTTTATAAGCAAAGATTATACATTTGTAGAGGAAGTTTTGAATTGCACTGCTTATTTTATAAATATATTTGGTGGTAGGCTCCCATTGCATTAGAACCTAATCCTTCACAAGCTTGAGTTACTGGGAGCTCAAGACTAGGAATTGTGAGTAATTGAAGGTTTACTAATGACAGTTTTCTTTAGGAAAGTAAAATTACTTCATCAAGATTTGTTCTTTTGTTATGATACTATTGTGATTCAAGGTCAAAGATTAAAGCTCTACTTTTTTCTGGTGATTCATTGGAAGGCAAAATATTCCTTTTTCTAGGAAGGCCCAATCTCCTCTTCCTTTTCCCTTTCTCTTTCCCTTTCTCTCTTTCTTTCGTTCTCTCTCTCTCTCTCCTTTTTTTTTTTTTTTTTTTTTGTTTAAAGATTTGAGTTCACATTGTTTGTTACCCAGGTTGGAGTGCAATGGCATGATCACATCTCACTGCAGCCTTGAACTCCTGGGCTTAAGCAATCCTCCCACCTCAGCCTCCTGAATAGCCAGGCTAATTTTTTTTTTTTTTTTAATTTTTATTTTTTGTAGAGGCAGACTCTCACTTTGTTGCCCAGGCTGGTCTCGACCTCCTGGCCTCAAGTGATCCTCCCGCCTTGGTCTCCTAAAGTGCTAGGATTAAAGGCATGACCCACTACATGCTGGCCTCAGTAGTTTCAAATCTGTATTCTCTCTCTTCACAAGCTTCACTTGGGTTTTGTGTTATGATCTATGATACACAGAAAGCTGCAGAGTTCATTAACCTGTAAAAGGTGGAAAGTCAGCTGGTTTTGTCTTCATTAATACTTATTTGGTCTATTATATTAAGTTACTTAAGCCAACCATACCCATCACTTCTCCGCATTCTTCTCATTAAGGCCCTCCCTGCAGCTCTAGCCATTATTATCTATCATTAGTCTTTGGTCTTTATCTTTGTGGACATGCTTTTACTAATGTGATTAGATGAAATCTGTAATCCTGGGCTTTTAATAAGTTACCATCCATGTTTCCTCCTGAAAAAGCTACATGGCTTATTTTTTATATACTATATACTATTATACACCATTATTTTCTATTATTTTATAAAATAATAGCTAATAAATTTAAGGCAGTGTTCCCGGCTGTTTAAAAATAGCACCTAAGGAATTTTTAATGTTCTTGTTCTCTTATGATCCAGCGAGTTGTTGGCAGTTTGTCTTAATATTTTTCATTTGTTACCAAGACCTTGTTCTTTATATATTCAAAAACATTACTTTGTTTGCTTTTTGCCAAAAAAAAATGTTTATATACTGAGTTAAATATTTTCACTTCTCATTAAGTGAATGGCAAACCCCCATTACTAAAGCTGATTATGCTGTCATCCCTTCCTTGTATAACGAAGTAGGTTTCTATCTGACAGACTCAGATGGCTTGTTAATGGAGTAATGGAGTGTTTATCTTTTCTGTTCTCTCTCCCTCCCCGCCTTACTTCCCTATTTTCTCTAATACCAACAATGAAGTAGCTTAAAGACCATTAGAGTTTGTCTCCCTCCTACCTGTGACCCGGAGACCCAGGCCCACAATGCAGCTCTGCACTTGTAAGGCCTCTCTAGTTGCCACCACTTCCAGCCAGCAGTGGGGAAAGAGCAGAAGTCCAGGGAAAGCGATGTGTTTTTAAGCAGGTGACTAGAATTTGTTCCATCACTTTTATTTGCCAGTCCGTCGGCAGGGAGTTTGTCACATGGTGGCCACAAGGGAGACTGGAAATGCGATGTCTTGCTTTGCAGCCATATGCCCGTGGAGAAGGGGGATGCATGTGTGTGGGTTAAAGAGATACTCCCGTTTTCTGTTAGTGGATTTTCTCCCTTCATTTTCCCTCATACTTTATAGTTCCCAAACTTGTGACATTCTTTCTGTAACGGTATTTTTCTGAAACTTTTATCAACTCATAGATCATCTTGAATCTGATGAAGCCACTTCTATTTGATTTTGGAAGAGGCTCTGACTGTGTTGGTGGCAAGAGTCCTGGAGATGACTAGTGCAAGCCCAGCTACAGAAGGGTTAGAGTCTTAGGAAATTGCCCAGACAATTGAGTGTTTCCCACTTGGAAAATGGGAACAGTAAAAATTGTGTCTACCTTTCAGGGTCTGGAGGATGGCGGTAGGTATGAGAACAGGGTTGTGAGTAGTGATTCTCACAAATGCAAGTGCAAGTGGGAGAGCAATTTCTTCCTAAGCTGTGACCGTAGGAGTCACCACTCCTGTCCCCCAGGAGACTGGAATCATGTGATTGTTGAGATCTAGTAAGCCAAATATTTGTATACCTTTTGCCCTGAATATGGGTTACAAAGTAAGTTTCAACAAATTCAGATTCTTTGGTCACCATGTGCCAAGAGGTATGTGGCAGTCTCGCATATAAAAATGTCAGAAGGTGGTTATCATTATCCTCATATAACCAAGGGTCAGGGAAGCTGTGTCCCCATGGCCTCACAGGACAGACCAAATGCAGGTTCTGCCATGAGCCTTGTCTGTGTTCTTTCAAATTTCATACAGTGGGCTGTGATTTTTTTTTTTTTTTTTTTTTTTGAGTTGGAGTCTTGCTCTGTCGCCCAGGCTGGAGTGCAGTGGCACGATCTTGGCTCACTGCAAGCTCTGCCTCCCGGGTTCACGCCATTCTCCTGCCTCAGCCTCCCAGGTAGCTGGGACTACAGGCGCGCGCCACCACGCCCGGCTAATTTTTTGCATTTTTTTTTTAGTAGAGATGGGGTTTCACCGTGTTAGCCAGGATGGTCTCGATCTCCTGACCTCGTGATCCGCCCGCCTCGGCCTCCCAAAGTGCTGGGATTACAGGCGTGAGCCACCGCACCCAGCCAAGTGGGCTGTGATTTTTGTTTTTCCCCCTAGTTCTCCAAATTCCCTCTTCATTTCATTTTAAAGATTTATAATTTGTGGCCGGGCACGGTGGCTCACGCCTGTAATCCCAGCACTTTGGGAGGCCGAGGCGGGCGGATCACGAGGTCAGGAGATCGAGACCATCCTGGCTAACACGGTGAAACCCCGTCTCTACTAAAAATGCAAAAATTAGCTGGGCGTGGTGTCGGGTGCCTGTAGTCCCAGCTACTCGGGAGGCTGAGGCAGGAGAATGGCGTGAACCTGGAACCCGGGAGGCAGAGCTTGCAGTGAGCCAAGATCGTGCCACTGCACTCCAGCCCGTGCGACAGAGCGATACTCCGTCTCAAAAAAATATATAATTTGCACAGTTCCCTTAAGTAGCACTCTTATGTAATATTAGGTATATAAATACGTTCGCGTTCACTAATTTATAACCTAATTTATGTAAATATTTGTTTTCCTTGTTCTTTACCAACAAATCATATATATTTAATATTGATGTTTTAAATCACTCACAGTCTTTACTCATGCCTTGCATGTATGTTTCTACCATGTAACTCATCTATGGAATTGGGTTGAAAAATCAAAGTCCTAGTGAGATTGGTTTTGTAATACTTTTTTCATAGCTAGATGTTTCTAGCACCTATTATATAATAAGGACAAAATATTGCATCAATATAATTACCATTTATTAAGTTTCTGTTGTTTGTGAGGTGATAGGGTAGGGGTTTGACATAAATTCTAATTTTTGTGGTGGCTGATGGGATTTTGATGGGCTCTTTTAAGATATGACTGGTAAATAGCAGCTGCCCCAAAGCTGAGAACATTGATATGGGGATTTTTATTTTTATTTTATTTTTTGTATTTTTTGTAGAGGTGGGGGTTTCACCATGTTGGCCAGGCTGGTCTGGAACTCCTGACCAAGGTAATTTGCCTGCCTTGGCCTCCCAAAGTGCTGGGATTTCAGGAGTGAGCCACCATGCTCAGCCCATATGGGGATTTTTAAAATTACACTTCTGCTAATAGTTTTGACTTTTCCCAGATTTGCCAACAGATCAGAGAAAGGGATCAGATTCTTAATTTCAGCATGTTGTTTAATTCCCTCAAGAGACTGCTGCCTCTGTCATCATGGCGAGGAAGTTGAGTGGTGACATTTCAAACTCTCTGCTCGGGTGCGTGGATTGTTTACTTCTCAAAGATGTCCTCTCTTCATGTGGCAGTGACATCATCAGATCACCACAATTTCAGGCTTCCCTGAGCAAGATGAAGCCATATAAGGGTCATTTTCTGCCCCGGGGAATTTACTATCCAGATATCCAAAGCTTTTTTGCCTCATATTTTAAACTAGCACTTAATAAACAGTTAAATATTTTGTTCTTAATCAGGTTCACGTTTCTGGAGAAGTTGTCAAACTTTTGTCTGCATCAGCATCACTAGTTAAAATTCTGATTTCTAGACCCCAGTCTCAGAGTTTCTGTTTCGGTAGGCCATGTTGGGACCCGAGAATTTGCATTTCTAAAGCGAGTTCCCAGGTGGTCCTGAGACTGCTGGACTGGGGACCACACTTTGAGAACTAGTGATCTGGCATAATAATCTTTACAACAGAGCCATCAATTTAATAAACTGTGAGAGTATATTAATATTTCCTAAAGACTGGAACCCTCTCAAGTATTTGAGAGTTTGAGGCTGAAGATTAAAAGGAAGATGGCAATAAAGTGTAAGGCTTACTGTTTTGAAGTTGCTTGACATCTGTTCTTTGAGTAGTCTCTGCCCAAAACTAACTTTTGAAGCAGAGTACTATAAGAGCCCTACAATAATTGAGTTCTTAAAAATGTTGCTTCTTTCTTAGACATAAATCAATGTGAGTCTGTGGAGGTTTGGAAAACATACCACAAGGACCTAATGTGGAGGCCACAAGAATGTACATGGTGTTTAACTGGAGTGGTGATGCAGAGTTAGAAATCATTCCTTGAAAATTGGAATACCTAACTGTGTAAAACAGTAAGCTGCTGACTTGACAGAGTGTTGTCCTTCAAATTATCATATTAGATTCAGTCAACCAGCCATTTGACTAAAGCAGGGTGGTCACTGGGCTGGTGACTAAGATGGAGTTATTCCAAAGAGGGAAGTTGGGGAAGAAGCTGCTGATGGCAGAGAAGAAAATTAAAACCCACCATAATTGTTTCACCTAGAAACTGTTCTTTTTTTTTTTTTTGAGGCAGTCTTACTCTGTTGCCCAGGCTGGAGTGCAGTGGCACGATCTAGGCTCACTGCAACCTCCACCTCCCAGGTTCAAGTGATTCTCGTGCCTCAGCCTTTCCAATGCTGAGATTACAGGCACATGCCACCACACCCAGCTAATTTTTGTATTTTTAGTAGAGACAAGGTTTCACTGTGTTAGCCAAGCTGATCTCAAACTCCTGACCTCAAGTGATCCACCCACCTCGGCCTCCCAGAGCACTGGGATTACAGGCATGAGCCACTGCGCCCGGCCAAAACTACTCTTTTTTGTGCCAATCATGCCAAATGTAATACAGATTATTAACAATGTGTTTGCTACTTACCAAAGGACAGTTAAGCACTTTGTGTTATCTCACTGAACCTTCACAAAAGCCCAATGAGGTAGTTACTGGGTTCATGCTTATTTAACAGATGAGGGAACCGAGGCACAGAGATTAACTTGCTTGAGATCACACAGCGAATTGTGGCATCAGATTTTAACTCAGATGTTCAGACTCCAAAGTTTTAATTCCGTTCTACCTTCTTGTCCATGAAGTTTTATAACCTGCTTCTCACTTTTTTTTATCACTTGAAATTTACAGTGTTGGGTATATTATAATTTACCTATTTCTCATTTGTTAGGTATGTAGGCCATTTTAAACATGAAGATATTATAATCCTTATAAAGAAAATGTTCATATATAATTTTCTCTCCTCATTTCTGCTCCTTTCCTTAGGATTAATCCTAAGAAGTTGAATTACCACATCAAAAGATAAGATATTTCAGATCTTTGATATTATAAACTGCCAAATTGCTTTCCAGAAATACTGGGCTTATGTATACTGTCCCTAGCAAAGCACGGCAATAGCTGCTTTTCTCAGGTCAACCTCATTAATATTCTTACTCTAAGAAAGTATTTGCTAATGATAGGCAATAAATATCTTGTGTTCCATCTAGTTTTGTTCTAGCTTCCATTCATTATTTTCTAAAGGATCCTGAAGTCAGTTCATAGGCTAACACCATCTTTAAGAACAATAGATGTCTGTCCTGTTAACAATTCCTAGAAAAGCTTTCATAGACTCTTGATAGCTTCTTTTAGACACTTAATGTGAATGCCTAATTTTCTTGATCAGTTTCTGTTGTATATACTTGTGTGTTCTGTTTTTCAATATTAAGAATCTATAGTTTTCCAGGATCATAATTATTTTTCATTGTTATCATTTACTTGCCACAAAGGGGTAATTTAGAAACCCCAATGATGATAAACCTTAATAAGAGTGGGGACCTATAACCTACTCCTATATTCGTATTATTTAAAAGGATCTTCTGTAGTTGTAAGAGTAATATGCCATGGGCACTGTAGTGTGTTAAGAAGGACACTGCATTTGTAATCAACTCCAGACCAGGCACAGATGGCAGGTGTGATACGTAGTTACCTTTTCTGTATATCCTTGAGCGACTTCCTCAGCCCTTCTTAGAATCTTCAGCTGCAAGATTGGAATAAAAGCGTATACCTCACAGAGTTGTTAACAGGTACTGCACTTTGAGAATTTAACATGGAGGCTAGTCATGCATTTCCTTGAGAAGTTGCCATGTTGGGCCCAGTTTGGCTGGCCACTGGACCTCCCCAGCTGGTATCTACTTGGGCCTGCCTTGAGTGGTAAATAAATGGGTAGACTTTAACAAAAGCTTGTACAAAGTGTAACTAGCACAGTCAGCAACTCTTGTTTAGTTTGTTTAAGGGCATGGGTGGTGACTGGGAAGTCAGGCCTCAACATCCAGGACCTTCTGAACTGGCGTCTTTTCCTAGAAATAACCAAATTCAAATGTTACCTTCGGAAAAGGTGATGTTTGAAGAAACTTGTAATGCTTTGCAGCATGCCTGGATTGTAGGGGTATGGTCGATTGTGTGAGTCCTGATATGATCAACTTATGTTTGTCCAATCTGTGGATAGCTTCTCTCAGCTCTAAAAAAAAGATGCTGATGGTGTCAGTAAATGGGTTACCTAGTATGTTACTGGTCTTGAGGATACCCTTATTATCCTAGAACAATGATTGTTCAGACCATTTTCCATAGAAAGAAAATGTGTTTCAATACCCCTTAAAGCATAGGTGGCATTTATCTCTTGCAATTTAAAGGCTATACTTACATTCATATCTCTCGAAATGAGTGAGCTCTATTAAGGCTTGCACAGTTTCCACCTGTTATATGTTCCTGTTAATTGTCAAGTTTTCAGCAATTTCTTGATGTAAGTGGTCATTTCCTTTGCTGTGAATAGGATATGCTACTCTTTATCCTGTTTTCCTTATGCTAAGTCTAGTTAGAGAAGTAACCAGTGTAATGACTCAGCTCACATGCCACGAACTGATGCAGTAAGCAACAGCCAACATGCAAATCCACTTGCAAAAGTGAGGCAGGAAGGGCCCAAACATTCAGTTTACTGCCTTATTTTATATATTGTTGGAGGAAAAGCCTACAAAGCATTAAAAAACAAAACTGCCAGGCAAAAATATCTCTGTTTTGGTGCATTTCCCTTACATTTATTTCTACATGCATGCAGACATATGTAAACACACCACCCATTCCATTTTGTGTTCTGCTCTCACTAGCTATCACAAATTGTTTCCCCTTTATTTCTGCATAGTCTTCTGGCTCATGCCTGTAATCCCAGCACTTTGGGAGGCCAAGGTGGGCGGATTGCTTGAGCTCAGGAGTTTGAGACCAGCCTGGGCACCATGGTGAAACCCCATCTCTACAAAAATTAGCCAGGCATGGTGGCAGGTGCCTGAAGTCCCAGCTCTTCAGGAGGCTGAGGTGGGAGGATCGCTTGTGCCTGGGAGGTGGACGTTGCAGTGAGCCAAGATTGCTCCACTGTACTCCAGCCTGGGTGACAGAGTAAGATCCTGTTTCAAAACAAAAACAAAACTCTTCCATCCTAGTATTTCTATTTTTGGTATATTTCCCTTACATTTATTTCTTCATGCATGCATACATATGTAAGCACAACACCCATTCCATTTGCTATCACAAATTTTTCCCCTTTATTTCTGCATAGTCTTCTGTACTTTTTATTGACCCCATCAAATAATACAATGCCATTTATTAGACTACTGCCATTTTGCATGGTTTGGTTTTGTTTTTTCCTTGAGATGGTCTCACTCCTCTTACCCAGGCTGGAGTGCAGTGGCACAATCTCAGCTCACCTTCCTGGGCTCAAGTGATCCTCCCATCTCAGCCCCCTGGGTAGCTGGGACTATAAGGCGCACACCACCATGGCTGGCTAATTTTTTGTATTTTTAATAGAAACAGGGTTTCACCATGTTGGCCAAGCTGGTCTTGAACTCGTGGGCTCAAGACATCTGCCCATCTTGGCCTCCCAAAGTGCTGGGATTACAGGCGTGAGCCACTGTGCTTGGCCTTGCATGGTTATTTTAACTCTAATAACTAATACTGCATTAAAGTCTCCATATATAGAACTTTCTTTTTATTCTTTTGAACTATTACCTTGCAATAATCTCAAGAATGAGATTGCTACATCATAGAGTGTGACTATATCATAAGCCTATTTTCCATTTCTGTTGTTGGCTTGCATAAAAGTAAAATTTACCTCCACCTGACACAAGCATCTCAATCAAGAGTTTTCTATTTATCAAGCAATTTTGGTATAGCCTTTCATAAGAATGTTTTATATGGCAAAATTAAAGAAAAGGAACAAACTGTTTCCCTTTTCATTATAGAAACCATCAACACTCAAGTACGGCCTATGCCAAAGCCTGTGCCCTTCTAGATTTCTTCTGATGTTGTGTGTAGTGACCCATATCCTTCTGCATAAAAGACAGTCGAGAAAGACAAAGCTCTTGGTCTTTGGGTGAGTGATTCATTGGTTGATTGCCTGGAGTTTTCCACTTGGGAGCAAATTCCTTCTGTGGTTTCCAGGCTTTAAGAGACATTAGTTTGCTTTTCAATTTACATGGCCATTCTACTGAATCCACTGCACAGCTCTCTGCCATTGTAATAGCCCTGATACATAACTTCACATTTGGAATGTAGAGTGCAACCATTCTTAATAGTTTACTTTAATGGCCACTCTTTTCTTTCCCTTATGGTTTCTTGTATAGTATTATTTTTTTAAGCAGACAGCCATTGTAGTGCCACCACATTCTGCATTTAGCATACCCTCTGCAGCGAAAATCCTTTAAAAACAACTATAGTTCCTTGGAAAGCAAAGCACTCAGTATGAAGAACATTGATTGGTGGGGAAAGAAAATGACCTAATGAGCCCTTGTCTGGAATTTTCCTTTCTTTTTTTCTATCTAAGAAAAGTGAGCATGATGTCTAAGACAGCGCACGAGCAGGTGGTCCAAGCCACAGAGAGAGGAGCTGTGTGGACCAGCGGGATTAGGTAGTTACCCGCATGATGGCAGTTTTTAAGGTCTGAGCCAGGCCTCACTACCCGTGTATTTGTTTTACTTGAATGACTAGTTTTTGAAATAAAGGAAACCCTGTTGTGTTTCTTTTAACCTTCTTAGAAAGTTTCAGGTCACTTCCAATTCCTTTTCTTCTTGACCCCCTTCTGCTGATTGAGGGAGTTGCAGCCTGGGCTGATTGTCCTCTTCAATGCCGTCGTTTGAGACCAGCGAAGTAAGAGTTCTTGCTCTCAGATCTTGGGGGGGCAGCACCCCTGATGCCGTTGTCAGGGAAACCAGTTTCAGATGGGTGCAAAGAAGGTAAAGGATTCAAACATCTCATTTGAAATAATGAAATAAAAACGCAACCCATAACTCTCCCCTCCCCCTCACCTATCTAATGTCAATTTCCATGGAAACAAGATCAGAAAGGCCGCTGACAGCCGGCCGCTGACAGCCAGCAGCTGACAGCAAACTCCCGTGTCTCTCTAGGTGGCAGGCATCCTTTTGATATCTGCAAATGCCAATTTGTACAATCCCATGACATATCACTGGGCTGGAAAGACTCTTATTTGAAGAGTGAATAAAATAGAATACACCTAGCCAAGATGTCTATCCTTCTAGCATTTTATCAAACAAATTATAATTCAGGAATATGGCCCAGGTGCTTATTATTGCTTTTCATGATATCCACTTTGTCAATGTGCAAAACTCGTCATCTACCATGTTTGTCTTTCTCATTTCTGGACCTGCACGTAGCAGCATGGTAACCATCTACTCAGAGATTTGGAAGATGCAGACCTCCTGTACCTTCAGTTTACAGAACATAAATATTAGTGTTGTCTTTTTTCTGAAAATCTCTGTTAGTGCCTAAAAACTTGGTCATAAGCCGGGCATGGTGGCTCATGCCTGTAATCCCAGCACTTTGGGAGGCCAAGGCAGGCGGATCACCTCAGGTTGGGAGTTCAAGACCAGCCTGACCAACATGGAGAGACCCCATCTCTACTAAAAATACAAAAAATTAGCCGGGGGTGGTGGCACATGTCTGTAATCCCAGCTACTTGGGAGGCTGAGACAGGAGAATCACTAGAGTCTGGGAGGCAGAGGTTGTGGTGAGCCGGGATCACGCCATTGCACTCCAGCCTGGGCAACAAGAGCGAAACACCGTCTAAAAAATTAAAAAAAAAAAACTTGGTCATACTGTCTACTAATTTATATCCATTTCATTTTATTTCATTATTTTATTTTACTTTAGACAGGGTCTCACTCTGTCACTCAGGCTGGAGTGCAGTGGTGCAATCACAGCTCACTGCAGCCTCGAGCTCCTGGGCTCAAGAAATCCTCCCATCTCAGCCTCTCGAGTAGCTTGAGAATACAGCCACACACCATCATGCCTGGCTAATATTTTCTATTTTTTTAGAGACAGGGTCTCATTATGTTGCCCAGCCTGGTCTTGAACTCCTACATTCAACTGATCCTCCCGCCTTGGCCTCCCAAACTGTTGGGATTATAGGCGTGAGCCACTGTGCCTGGCTTGTATCCATTTTAGATGTTTTAACTTTTAGACAACATGGATTTTTAGTGTGTAATATTTAGAAATCTCTAATATACGCATCTAAATAGTTAAAAGCTCTATGCTGTTGCTAGCATCTGTGGAGCAGAATCCTCCACAGGTAAGTGAGATACTAATGTCTCATCACAGCCATAATTCAATTGAGCATTTCAACAAAGCATGATTATTTCTTAGTAACGTGGACAAATTCGTAGCAGAAAGGACTCAATGAAGGAAAAGAAGCTGAGTGCAGTGGCACACGCTTGTAGTCTCAGCTACTCAGGAGGCTGAGGCAGAAGGATCCCTTGAGGCCAGGAGTTCAAGGCTGCTGTGTGCGTTGATCATTCCTGTGAATTGCCACTGCACTCCAGCCTGGGCCTTTCCCATGTAGGGATGCCAGATCACTCACATGAATTTTAGATGGGTTTTAGCCTTTCCAGCCATCTTTTGTTAAAGTGAATACAATTCAGAATGCTCTCTACTCTCTACTCTACTGACATTAGACTTAAATCATTGAAAGTAAATCTATTAGAAGTTTTCTGCTTTAAGTTTTAAACCTCAATGAATGATTTGCACTTAGTAAATATCAATTGCTACCTATTAATGGTGGTTCAGAATATATAAATTATACTTTTTTAGCATAGACCTGCCTGTGTGGTAAGAGAAATCTAAGGCAACACACAGGTATGAGGAGCTCAGCACCATGGCCGTACTGTCCTTGCCAGGCATGTTCCTCTTACCATCAGCAGCTGAAGGAAGCGTTCATGGTAGCCACAACTGAACACGTTTCTGAGAGTGAGGTGCTTGGTTGAATGGCTCACATAAAAAAAATAGTGAATGGGCTGGGTGCGGTGACTCATGCCTGTAATCCCAGTACTTTGGGAGGCTGAGGCGGGTGGATCACCTGAGGTCGGGAGTTCGAGACCAGCCTGACCAACATGGAGAAACCCATTTTGTACTAAAAATACAAAATTAGCTGGGCATGGTGGTACATGCCTGTAATTCCAGCTACTCGGGCAGGAGAATCACTTGAATCCGGGAGGCAGAGGTTGCAGTGAGCTGGGATCACACCACTGCACCCCAGCCTGGGCAACAAGAGCAAAACTCCATTTCAAAAAAGAAAAAGGAAAAAAAGTACTGAATGGATTTTGTTGCTGATCTTTCTTTCCACTCCTGGGAGCAGGAAAACATTAAGATAAATCACCAGTTAGCTAATACTATCACAAGCTAAAAAAATATTAAACTGATCACTTTCCCTTTTCCTTCCCCTTCTGCTTCTATCTTTACTCAACTGGTAAACGGGGCTAGGATTGACTGAAGTCCTTGATGCATGTGTGATTTCTTTATTTTGGTGGGGAGATACACAAATGTGTGAAATAAACCTTTGATTTGATTTGAACAGAAATTTCGTTGTGTTGTGGTAAATGTGATCCTTTATTTTGGCAACTGACAGCTGTTCAAAAGCAGGTTATTAAGTGGCTTGCCTCGCGTAATTGTGAGAACTTTGGGAATAGCTTCTTGATACAGTCACAAAAATATCAGTGACTATCCTGCCAGAATGGGAAATTTTTCTCCCAGCCTTTCTGTAGGCTGTTTTCACAAGATTCAATTGTCACTATTGTTTACATTGAGAATTCTGGTTTATGGCTATTTCTACTTTAAGAATTACAATTCTGTAATTTGCTAGTAATTGAAATCTTTTTTTTTTTTTTTTTGAGACAGGGTCTTGCTCTGTTGCCCAGGCTGGAGTGCAGTGGTGCAATTATAGCTTACTGCGGTCTTGAACTCCTGGGCTCAAGCGATCCTCCTGCCTCAGCAATTGAAATTTTTAAAGTCATTTGGACCAACTCTTCAATGATTCTATACTGTGAGGAAAATCAGAAGACTGTACATAAAACTACAATTGATGAAAACATTGGAGCAAATCCTAAAGTCAGTACTGAATTATACTTTATTTTATTGAACTTTAAATAGAAAACAACCACAGTGACATGTAATCATCTGGAAGAGAGGCTGCCTGGTGCACTTTTTATTGAATTATAATGTTATTTTAATCACCAGTAGAATCTCAGAGCAAATGTGTATCCTCACTGCACTGCATAACAAGGAAAGCAAGAGAAACTGCCTTTTTTTCTCGCCCAAGTAGAAAATCTTTTCTCCATCCGGGATTCATCTGCTCTACCTGAAAGCACAAGGCTTGACTTTTAAAAATGCAACCTTCGAAATGTTAGAAGTGAATATAAAGCTATGGACAGGCCGCAAATAACAAATTTGCTGAGCTGGACAAAATAGGCAACAATGTGCTTTTATTAATAAAATAGGTGAAAGGTAAAGGTAAAAGGATATTTCAATTATATAAAAAGCAGTTACATCATTGAACATTTAGTATGTACAAATAACTCTGGTAGGCACTATTTCATAATAGTAATTACTATGATTAACATTTTTCCAGCACTTACTATATGTCAGGCACTTTCCTAAGTACTTTACTTGAGATATTTTCAAAAATTAGAAGAAATGGTTTCTGCCCTGAAGGAGCTAAATCAAGAGCCAGGATTAGAGTGAGGTGAGGAAGGCATTGGCCTTAGGCTCAAAATTTAAAGTGGTGCCAAAAAATGCAGTGACCAATATATTTTACTGCAATATTAAAAATATAAAAATTAGTTCAAAATATGTATGAGGATGTGGAGCAATAGGAACTCTCATTTTTTGCTGGTGAGAATGCAAAGTACAGCCACTTTGGAAGACAGTTTGTTGGTTTCTTACAACTAAACAAACTCTTACCAGAGGATCCAGCAATCTCACTCCTTGGTGTTTACCCAAATGAACTGAAAACTTATGTTCACACCAAAACCTACACACGGATGTTTATAGCAGCTTTACTATAATTG
The DNA here is from genome assembly GCF_000001405.40 of Homo sapiens. NCBI lineage: Eukaryota > Metazoa > Chordata > Mammalia > Primates > Hominidae > Homo > Homo sapiens. Next base: position 81,569,665 of record NC_000009.12, on the reverse strand, counting down.
CCCAAACTTGGAAACTACCAAGATATCCTACAGTAAGTGAGTAGATGTGATGCTTTATTTTGTGTGTCAACTTGACTGGTCCATAGGGTGTCCAGATATTTGATTGAGCATTATTCTGGCTGTGTCTGTGAAGGTGCTTCTGGATGGGAAGAACATTTTATTTGGTAGACTGAGCAAAGTAGATTGTTCTCCCTAATGTGGGTGGACTTCATCCAAACTGTTGATGGCCCGAATAGAACAAAAAGGCTAAGAGAGAATTTGCTTTGTCTATCATTGAGTTGAAACATGAGTCTTTTCTGCCTTTGGACTTGGTCTCAGACTGGAACTTAACATCATAGGCTCTCTGCATTCTCAGGCTTCTGGACTTGGACTGGATCTGTACCATCAGCCCTCCTGTGCTGGGTTTCTGCTTGCCAACCTCAGACCTTCAGATTTCTCAGCTTCTATAACTGCATGAGCCAGTTCCTTATCATCAGTCCATTTCCCTGTACCTTCTGTACCTACCTATATACATATATACGTACATACACACATATATATACACATGTATATATATATCCTATTGGATAACCCAGCCTAATATAGTAGATAAACTGGAACATCCAGACAAAGGAATATTATTCAGTACTAACAAGAAACAAGCTATCAAGTCACAAAAAGACATGGAGGAAATTGATATATTACTAGCCTAAGAAGCCAATCTGAAAAGGATACATGTTGCATGATTCCAGCTATAGACGTACTGGAAAAGGAAAAACTATAGAGACAGTAAATAAGTCAGTGGTTGCCAGGGCTTAGAGGGGAGGGAGGAATGAATAGGCAAAGCACTAAGGATTTTTAGGGCAGTGAAATATTCTGTGTGCTACCATAATGGTGGATATGTGTTATTATACATTTGTCCAAACCCACAGAATGCACACCAGCATAAGTGAACCCTAATGTAAATGATGGACTTTGAATGGTGATGATGTGACAATGTAGGTTCCCTGATTGTAATAAACGCACCACTCTGGTGTGGGATGTTGATAGTGGGGAAGGCTGTGCATGTGTGGAGACGGGGCGTGCACAGGAACTCGCTGTATGTTCCACTCAATACTGCTGTGAATCCAAAAACTCTTGTTAAAAAATCTCATATCTCAGATTGTGTTTCATGGATGAACACAGTATGAACATGTAGAATAAAGACTGTGCAACTCTGCATTTGCACACAGCCTCACTCGCCTAATGCTAATCTTGGCCCTGTTGGAGGCTGTCTTTACTTAAAACTTTCATACTGTGTTCATCATGGATCTTTTTTGCATTAACTTTGATTTTTAAAATATTGCATTAAAATAGTACTTATTTTGATTACAGGGTTTTCTGGTGTTTCCTTAAATTTTGTGCACATGACAAATGCCTTAGTCACCTCACCCTGGTCCTAGTCCTGAGTATGGTAGATGTCACACACACGATTAATTATAAAATAAGGTAATAAATTATGCATTGCATGAAGGTAACTTTTATCATCTCCAAAGAGGTGTGAAACATGATCCACCAGAGGCATAGGAAGAAAAAAACAGGTATAATATACATAAATATATAATTAATATAATTTATAATAATATAAAATATATAGTTATATAAAATCTGTAATAAATAATAAAATAAGGCTTCCTACTATTTAATAGCAGGTTTGATGATATAACCCCTACCTGATCCATATGTCAGCAGGACACATATCACATTCAGTTCACAAGGTATCTCGAGGGATGGCAGGGATGGTGAAGAGGGATTGACACTGTTGTTCTATTAGCAAATTATGATGTGTTGCAGATTCCATGTTCAGGTAAAGCAGATTTCTGTATTAGCCTGTCCAATTTTAAGCAACGCTTACCAATTTTATAGGTGGTTTAGAAACCCTCCAGCGATGGAGCTGGAGGTTGAATAAGATAATAGTAATCATGCAAACATAAGGCAATCAAAAATGCCTATGCTGACACTTTTCCATTTTGGAATACTTGAAACTCTTCATCAGCCAAATTATGAGGTTCAAAAAAAAATGAGGTTTTCATTAGGCCTAACAAGTTTTTCCTGAAGAAAAATTCAAAATTATCAAGAAGACGATTTGTAAAAAAGGGTTTACATCTATTCTGACAAAGGATGTACTTCAACCTAATTTGTTGGATTCTTTCGTTGAATGATCAGCAGTGGGTAGAAATTCTTTGCCTCCTCTGCCACCATCTCACTACCAGATGAGGGAATCGATCAATATAATAATGGCTTTCATGGGTCATTCTTTCCTGTGGCCATGCCTCTTTGCAATGTGATGTTGCTGCTAGTCCTAACAAGAGACAGAGTCTATTTCTCCGCCCCTGTTGAATCTGGGCTGGCCTGTAACTCACTTTGACCAAGGGCATATGTCAGAAGTGATGTTGAGCTAGTCCTCTAGAGGCTATTTAGCTTCCACTCTCATGCCCTTGGAAGCCTGAGATCATCATGCTGTGACAAAGCTTAGCACTGTCTCCTGGGGAAGCATTAACAGAGGTGCCCCCATCGACAGCTGGCACCAACAGCCAGACATGGGATTCAGGACAGTCCCAGCACTTTGGGAGGCCAAGGCAGGCGAATCACGAGGTCAGGAGTTCAAGACCAGCCTGGCCAACATGGTGAAACCCCATCTCTACTAAAAATACAAAGATTAGCTGGGTGTGGTGGTGGGTGCCTGTAATCCCAGCTACTTGGGAGACTGAGGCAGGAGAATCGTTTGAACCCGGGAGGCAGTGGCTGCAGCGAACTGAGATTGCGCCACTGCATTCCAGCCTGGGCGGCAGGGTGAGGCTCCATCTAAAAAAAAAAAAAAGGACCCAGATTGCCAACCAACAGAATCATGAAACATAATAAATCATCGCTTCAAGCCATTGGGTTTGGGGGTGGTCAATAGCAGCAGATAAGTGAAACAGGTTAAAAATGGAAGCTGGTCTCAGACAGAATTCTTTCACGTGTAGAGACTTGTAAGAAAACAGGTTCAAAAGCATCATACAACCTTTTTTCTAGGCTTGGTGCAGCCCCTGTTCTCTGTCCTTTTGGGCGTTCAGAACAGCCCCCTGCGGGGAAGAATCAGCAAGTCTTCCAGCTAGATCAGGCAGCAGAGTCCTCTGTGAATGGGGCCATTCAGGACCACATGGAGTTCTGTAACTGGGGTACCGCTTGGAAGGTGTTGGACTGCAGGGCGGTGGTGCATGCATAATCATTTTAGCCAACTATACACCTTGAAAACATTTTCCCAATGTAAAGCCTAAATCTAACATCCATATGCTAATTTAGGAGCCTTCTGGTGCTGATTTAGAGGTTGCTATTTGGAGCATTTGCAGAATCTGGAGAATGGACTCATGTTTAGGATTCTTCACTTCCTAATCATCTGCCCCTAGAGTGGGGATTCCTGAGGAGGGCTTGTACTAACTCACAGCAACCAAGGAGATTGACATTAACTAGCACATACATGTGGATCACTGATTTTATTTGTTTCCTCCCTTTCTCCAGGCAGCAGCCTCAAAGGTAAGTGTAACATGGTCCTATACAAGGCTGGTGAATGGAAAGAGGATAGGAAGTCTCCAAGACAGACAAGCAGAGCTGGTGATGGAGGACGGAAGGGTGCTGGGGTCCCACCATGGAGAAGCCAGGCGAAAGCAAGAAGGCCTTGTGTCACTTTTGACTTCCATCCATCCAGTATTTTAAAATCAGATTTCCCAGTGTTCTGCAGTTCATGGCACTTACAAAAAAGGAAAATATTCATAAAATACTACAAGGAAGACAGAGGCTGCCAGTACTGTGGATCACTGAGGGGATCTTGTGGTTTCCCCAGGGTGCCTCAAGGCAACAATGGGATGTTTTGTATATTTGTTTAAAAAAAAAAGCCCTTCTGTATAACTTATATATTTAATTAAAGTAAATGAAAGTTGACAGTTTCAATAAAATGTAGGAAAAATTCAATACCCCTTGAGATCACTGGGAACACCCTAGGCAGAGCACAGCCAGGGGTAAGTCTCTGCACTCAATCATATTTAACCACAAAAAAACTCAGTAGGAATAAGCAGAAGAGTGAGAGGAAGGAGACAAGTCTAAATCAATGGCAATTTAAAGTTATATATTTTAGAAACAAAAGATTGCTTTACTACTTCCATAAACTTTACAAGTTAGACACTAAGGTATAAGTAGTAATTTCATAGGTTAAATGAGAAGAGTTAACGAACTACAATTCCCAAGTAAACAGAAGTCTCCCAAATTGCCACATCTGCTGTCTCGAGCTAGTTGGGTCAAAGTACAATTTAGTCACATGGGTAATGATGGGAACCTCATGTATTGAGTGACTGCTGTGTTCCAGAGACTTCCGCATCCTACCTCATTCCCTTCAGCATATTTCAGCTCATGTAGCTGTCCTATCTCCCACCTTAAAACCAAAAACCAAAACCTAAAACCCAAAGCCCCAAACAAAAACCAAATCAAAACTAAGTTTTCTTAACTCCACGTTCCCCTCCCCTCCCCCCTCCCCCCTCCCCAGGTACTGCCCCATTTGTTTTCTCACAACATCAGTTCTTTTCAGAATTATTCCACACTGCTTGTCTCCACGTCTTCGTTTCCCGGCTTCAATTCAACACACTCATCAGGCTTTTAATCCCAAGCACGCCATGGAAACTGCTCTTGACAAGGTCTGCAAAGCACTCCTTGCCAAATCCGTTGGCCAATTCTTTATGTTCTTCTTGTTCAACCTCTCAGCAGCATTTAGAACAGTGGATGACTCTGTCCTTCTAAAAACGCTCTCTTTTCTTGGCTTTGGAGACACCAAACCCTTCCAGCTCCCTTCCCGCCTCCCTGGATTCTGGCTTCTCCTCACTGGCATTCTCCTGTTTCTTTACTACTCTCCAGCTGCACTTGCCTGCTTTCTGTTTCTGAAGCATGCCAAGCTTGTGCCTCCTGCCCAGTGCCTTTGCACAAGCTGTTCCCTCTGTCTGGTTGCCACATGGAGGTTCTTTTGCATCGTTCAGCTCAAATATCATGACCACATAGAGTCCCTGGCCTCATTATCTGAAATCACAGCCCCATCCCACCCCGTTGCCTGCTTGTTTTATTTTTTTTTATACATGTATTTCTGTCTTAAATCCCTATTTGTGGACTTGCTTACTGTTTGTTGTCTTCCTCAGGAATGCAAACTCCTTGAGAGCAAAAGCAATGTCTGTGGCTACCTGAAGATACCCACTACGACAGCCAGCCTCCAAACTGACCTCCAGTTATCCTTGCCTCCTGCTATTCACGCTCTCGTGCAGTCCTTTCCTACCTCGCACTGGGGCTAACCTATGTGAGCAATAGAATACTAAACAAAGTGACAGCCTCAGACTTTCTGCCTTGGCCTCTTGGATTGCTTCCTTTTGGGGAAGCCAGTTGCCATTTTGTGAGGTCACTCAAGCAGCCATCAGTGGAGAGGAACTCAAGCCTTTGCTTGACTTTAGCCTGCCAATATCTGGCTGCAACCTCATCAGAGACCCCAAGCCAAGCCAGAACTGCCAGCCACATGTGTCCTGAATTCCTGATCCACAGAAACCATGAGAAATAATAAATGAGTATTGTCACTTTAAGCCATTAAGTTTTTTGGTGGTTTGTTATGCAGCATTAGGTATTCACAGAAATGCCTATATTCAGTTGAAAAGGATGCTCGAACTAGAAAATGAATTCCTGCATGTCACTTCATATTTGACTTCAACATGAATCCACATAATACCCATCAGCCTATCGAGAAGTATTTGTTGAGCAAATGCCATGTGGCAAACACTGTGCTAAGCTGGAAATACAGAGCTACACAAGGTATGGCCCCTGCTCTCAAGCAGCTCTTGATGTCATTTCTAAGACAAGACAATAGCTATTTGGGAGATAAATATGACTGTTGAAAAGTTAACAACATAAAATAGAAATTTAAGGGATGGTGATTTCAGAGGAAGGTAAGAGACCTTAGGGTTCGGTTAGCATAAAACATTTTTATTGTAGAGATGGGCATGGACCTACACGAAAACACAGATCTAGAATATTTGCAGTTCTCAAACTTTAGAATGCATCAGAACACCTGGAGAGCTTAAAAGTCAGATTTCTGGACCCTATTCCCAGAGTTTCTGATTCAGTTGGACTGGAGTGGAGGTCTAAGAATTTGCATTTGTAACAAGCTCCCAGATGTACTGATGATGCTGGTGTAAGGGCTACCCTTTGAGAAACCACATACCTCTAGATGCCTGCCACTCAGCGTGGTTCACACACCAGCAGCAGAAATGTCTCCTGGAACCTTGTTAGAAATGTAGACTCTCAGACCCCCACCTTATGCCTACTAAATCAGATTCTGCAAGTTAACAAGGTCCCCAGGTGTCTCACATACACAGGGAAGCTTGAGAAATCCTGCTGCAGAGGGTAGATGGGTTATGCTCCCTTTAGCAAGCTGGGCAAGAGCTGGATTTGCTGGGCACATCTGAGGTCAGGTATGACTTGTGTGTATGTGAGAATTTTTCTCGATGGTCACCCCGTTTGGGTTTCATTGATTTTCTCAGGCAGACCTTTTTTTGTTTTGTTTTGTAACTCATTGATTTTTGCGGCAGACTGAGTCCTCCTCATCAGTTCTCTGCAGGTAATTTCAATTCATTTTGATTCACTTCCTCACCGCCTTGGCATTTCTCCACCCGCACTTGGCAGTACCACTAATTGTGCTTGCCCGTGAGTGACTGGATATGACACAACTGTGGAAAACTGCAAAAGGTCAAGGGGTTACTGCCTTGTGCAAAAGCAGAGAGGCCTGCATGCCTTTTGGAAAGCCAGGAAATTTGAACCAGGGCCAGGCACAGGAGCCCCGTGATGTTCATGCTTTTCACCAAGTAAGAAGCAGGTGACAAAATGAACATGGCTGTGGCAATGCTTTGAACACAGCTGAAAAATTCTATGCTTGCTCAAGGCGAATGGGCTGTTTTCCACTGGTGATTATGAGATAGATATGGTGACATCAACTGCTCTAATGTTCAGCCCAAGGAATTTTATCTTATGTCTTTTGTGCTCACATGAAGGCCAAGCCACTCCCAGGGACAGAGGAGGCCATTGTGTCTGCTCTGTCATGTCAGGACACAGGGAAAGCCCCATTCCTCACATCTCCCTGTCTAAAAATTTCCTTGCTTTCTTCTCTGTTTTGTGGGTTTTCAAATTTTATCCCGTCAATTGAAATCACACGTTAGCCACGCTCTTCTGGGAGTAACAAGCTGCTAATGTTCCCCCTTTCATTCAACTGCCATTCAGCAAACATTCTCTGTCTTTGGACAGACAAAGACGATTAAGACAATGCCTTTTTTCAAGGGGGAGGAAACACGCTTACTTTCAAAAACTGCAAATCAGTGTGCTATGTATTGTATAAATACTGCTAAATTTATACAATCATTCAGTTCTCTTAGGCAGAGGTTCCCAAACTTTCTCTGTTCACGGTACCCAGTGATGTTTTCATGGCACTCCAAACCTAAAGAAAATATCTACAGTTCTGCTTTTTTTTTTTTTTTTTTTTTTTTTTTGAGACAGAGAGACAGAGTCTTGCTCTGTCTCCCAGGCTGGAGTGCAGTGGTATGATCTCAGCTCACTGCAACCTCTGCCTCTTGGGTTCAAGCAATTCTCCTCCTTCAGCCTCCTGAGTAACTGGGACTACAGGTGCACACCACCACGCCCAGCTAATTTTTGTATTTTTAGTAGAGACAGGGTTTCACCATGTTGGCCAGGCTGGTATTGAACTCCTGGCCTCAAGTGATCCTCCCCTCTCGACCTCCCAAAGTGCTGGGATTATAGGCGTGAGCCACCATGCCTGGCCCAGTTCTGCTTATTAAGTAATTAGGGTAAAACAACTTAATAGTACCTGCGCCCTATATATTACTTAGTAAACATTTAAATAAATACACATAAATCGGAAGAAAAAAAATTTTTTAGATGACCACACTTACTAATGAGATTGTGTACGCTAGTTGAGAACACTACGGCTTCTCAAATTATGGAAGCACCACCAACCCTCACTTTCTGTTTCATATTGAATTTTGTGACCTCATGTTAAAACTGAACTAGTTGAGGCTAGCAGTTTGTACAGTGTCTGGCAGTTGTTAAGTACCTCTGTGTTTCTCTTGAGAATTTAAAATATCTCATGGTATCTCTATGAGTTTGCTGGGGAACCACAGGGAACCATGAGGTCTTATGTAAATACTGAAAAAATAGGCAACTCGAAAAATCCTGGAGCCGTGTATTAGTCCATTTTCATGCTGCTGATAAAGACATACCTGAGACTGGGCAATTTACAAAAGAAAGAGGTTTAGTGGGACTCACAGTTCCACGTGGCTGGGGAAGCCTTACAGTCACGGCGGAATACAAGGAGGGGCAAGTCCTCTCTTACATGGATGGCAGCAGGCAAAGAGAGAATGAGGAAGACGCAAAAGTGGAAACCCCTGATAAAACCATCAGATCTCGTGAGACCTACTCACTACCATGAGAACAGTAAGGGAGAAACTGCCCCCATGATTCAATTACCTCCCACCGGGTCCCTCCCACAACACGTGGGAATTATGGGAGTATAATTCAAGATGAGATGTGGGTGGGGACACGGAGCCAAACCACATCAAGTGCATATTGCTCAGTCTCCTCAAGGACTCAAATTTATTAAAGTGCATTCCAATGAACAAATGTTAAAAATGAGGTCCATTTTTTTTCTGATGTTATTTAGATTCATTATCCCATTATCTAATTCATTTTTTTAACCCATTTTAAGGTCTCTGATACTGTAAATAGTTTTGTTGGTTTAGAATTATTTCTGTCATAAGTTTATTTATTATAATATACATACAGTAAAAAGAGCAAGGGTGCTTCGAGCAAGTGTCTTCTTGCTGGGTTTTTACATAGGTATACACTATTGCTGTGTGGGCTGGATAATTCTTTGTTGTGGGGGACTGTCCTGTGCAATACAGGATGTTTAGCAGCCTCCCTGGCCTCCACCCTCTGGGTACCAGCGGCATACCCACCCAGTTGTGACAGCCAAAAATATCTTCAGACATTGCCAAATGTCTGCAGGGGCAAAATCACCCCCAGTTGATTTTATATCATGTCTGCAGGGGCAAAATCACCCCCAGGTGGTTACCTGTTCTATACCATGTAACCACCACCCTCAGGTTGCCAGATTTAACAAACAAAAATGCAAGACAGCCAGGTACATTTGATGTCAGATAAACAACAAATAATTTTTTGTATTAATGTGTCCCAAATATTTAACTGGGCATCCTGTATTTTATCTGGCACGCCTACACCTCCCAGATCAAGATAGAGAACATTTCCAGAACCACAGAGGGCTCCTTTGTGCCCCTTCTCAGTCAGTCAATACCCACACCCCAGGGCCAACCACCATTTTGAATGAAGTCAACTTTTATGTTTTTGTGAAATCCACAGCAACACTTCCCAACAACCCCTTTCTCTGTTGCTCAGTTTTTTTCTCCCCTGAAGGGCCTCAAAACCTCTCCCATGCTAAACTTAAAGAATCTCTTAGACCCGACTCCTGTACCTTTTCAGTTTCCCTCCCCCTCCTCACTCCCTGTGACCCATTCACCTTCTTGTTTTGCTCTTTCTGCCCTGCTACTTCTCTTCACAGAAATAAGAAACTGAGAACCAATCCCGCAAGCAGTTATCATTCCACATTCCTGTTGCCTGTCTCATACTCTTCCTGCCACACATTTTCTGGATTCTGCATGACCACAAACTCAGAGCTAGGCTGACAAAGCCTTCTCTGTAGGGAGGAGAGGGATCTGGAGGGCAAATCTGCAAGAAGTAAACGGCAGGCAGTCTTCGCCAGTCCATCCAGTGGCTGTCAGGGTTGATGTAATCTCTGGATCCTTGTAGCATCTCCCCCACCTCAGTCCCTTTAGGCCTTTCTCCTGGCATCTAACTGGGGGACAAGACTGAAGGATATGGCTTCAGGATCCCTCATTCCGGGAACAGGAACAAATCGCAAGCCTCCTCTTTGTGTTGGTGTCTCTCTACCACACACTCTCATTGCATAGCATTTACGCACACACTGAATTACCTTGTTTTTTTGTTCGTACAAAAGTGTCATGTCAGTCACATTTTAGAGGTAATTAAGGGAACAATTTGGGTAGGGCTGAATTTGCAGAAATCAAGTGAATGTTGCTGAGAGTCGCTGTCATGAACTAGGTAAGGTTTTGACACCAAAAGTAAGCCACGACCTTTGCTTGAGTGGGTGTGAGTCAGGGAAGTTTCTAGAGGAGGTAATGCTTGAACTAAGATTTTGGCCTCAGATTTTGCTAAATAGTTGTGACTGAGCAAGTGTGTTCTAGATTAAGAAGATTTAGAAGAAAGGTAATCATGTCAGTCTGGGTTCTGGGACAAGAAGAGAGAGAAGCAGGGTTGATGTCTGGGCAGAGCTGGGTTGAATAGGGTGAGGATCCAGGAGGAGTAAAGTTGGGAACTTTCACATTTTCTGTGGGTCACAGGGAATCATCATTTTAGACCGTTCACCCTAGTGGTTCTGTGGAGAGGGAAGAGTCAAGAGATTTGTAATTTAGGTCAAGGGGCCAATCATTCACCCCTTAGTGTGAATTTCTATACACCTATCAATTCTGTCCAAAGCTCTAGATGGCATTGGCAGTAAGGAGAGAGGGTTTTACTGAGGCAGTGAGAAGACAGTAAGACGTTTTGAGGCAGTGGATCCTGTGAGGGAGTTCAGGCTTGGCGGAGGGCTGTGCCTCACTGCAGAAGGGCTATCTCCAGTGGTTTTCTGTGACTGAACACATGAAGTTGGGACAGGGAGGCACACGGGGGATTAAAGAAAGAGTGGAAAGGACACAGATGGCCCATGTCACAAGTCTGCCTGGAGTAGGTATCAGCCACATGAATGGATATGCCAGTAGGGGATTGTCAAGTGCTCTCAGAACCCAGGGTTACAGGTGTGACACCTCCGGAACATTTGTTCTTGTATTTATCAACGTGGCCAAGAATGAGTACGAGATTAAGAGAACAAATAGTTTGAAGATTAAGTAATCATGCATTCTGTCTTGGCAGTCTCTGTAGTGCCTCGTTTGATCAGTTTAGTAGAAGCAAGAGACAGTAGTTTACAATTGCAGAGCATGAAAGCTGTTCTCCCAGAAAGGTCTGAGTTCCTGGTAAAGGAATAATGAGCTCACAGGCTGGAAAGGTCACAAGCAAAGTTAACCCATAGCATGGAAAACTAAAAAATGACTTGTTACATCCCTTGTCATGGGCCTAATTTGTTTAAAATCAAATCCATCTGTTCATTTCACACCCTTTGTTCCACTTCCTTGCTGCAATCCACAGTGGATTACTCCATTACTTTAAAACTGGCTGCACTTACAATAAGCTAATAACTTATTTTGTGGTTAACTGCGTCAAGATATTCTGGAACACAACCAACATTCATTCTCTCTCTGTCTCTCAGTCTCTCTCTCCCTCTCTGCCCCTTTGAAGAAAGAACTTCTTAGTGCAGCACATTGACCAGGAAAATCCTTTAAGTCTCCTTCAAAAAATGTTGTGTTTACAGGCTCTGATGAGAGGCAGGTAGGAGAAGAGGTTTGTGTCGCTCTCTAGCCTTTCCTCTCACCACTCGAATAACCTGCTGCAAAGGCTTATTTGTCTCCCATGGGCCATACATTACAAAAGACTTCTTGGCTCAATTGATTCCATTTATGATCTCCAAATCTTAATTTCAAATGAAGCTTGCTCCTTTTCAGGAAAGAATTATCTTCTATGTAATAAACCAGAGTCCCCTGAGGCATTCATTTGAGATGCATCAATTCCCTTAAGGTCCCCTAACCCATTAAAATATGTACAGTATTTCTGGTTAACTAATGGATCACTGGAAAAAATGGGATTGCATGTAAGATATAATTCAAAGAAATGCACTTGGGGTTGTTGGCCAATCCATTCATAGGAACATTTGCTGATTGGGAAAATATTTAATTTTTTTGGCTTAATCTTTTGCCAGACCACACAAACTAGTGGAGGTTGTTATTTCTGATTTGTTGGACCCAATTCTGAAGACAGAGCAGCAATGGAATTTGTGATTTTGTCACTGCTCCTGATGAAGAAATGACTGGCTGGCATTTAAACACAGTTGGAGTTGTACAATCCATGGATATTGCCATTTTTTTTTTTCTTGTTGAGTGCAAGTTATGGCTAGATGTTATCATGTATTCACTCCTGCCTTGTTCTGAAGGGCCAAACATTTTGGAAATATTGTATTTATGAAATTGGATATTAAAATGGCAAGTGATTTAAGCTGAGGAGTGGGTGTTGAAAGATCCCAGCACACACGCTTGTAGTAATTTTACATTTTTCATTACTGTGGTAATTAAAAAATTCCTTAGGGCTGAATTATAGTAAAATTTTAAGTATCCTTATACTAAGCATAAACTAATTTTCTTTCCCACTGGACAGTGTTAAGTAGGAAATATTTTTAATTCTATCTCATTTATTCATATCATGAAAAATTGCAAACCTTGCTAATTTTATTCAATATCATTTCTTTCTAAATATTCTTAGATTTAGTAACTGATATGCATTTAGTATTAAAGGGTAAGCATAACTGAAAGTTCTTTTTTTTTGTCTCATCATGACCTCTACAAGTTCACTCCTAGTTCTTTTTTTAAATTTTATTGTATTTATTTTTATTTTTATTTTTATTTTTTTTGAGACGGAGTCTTGCTCTGTCGCCCAGGCTGGAAGGCAGTGGTGTGATCTCGGCTCACCGCAAGCTCCGCCTCCCGGGTTCACGCCATTCTCCTGCCTCAGCCTCCTGAGTAGCTGGGACTACAGGTGCCCGCCACCACGCCCAGCTAATTTTTTGTATTTTTTAGTAGAGACGGGGTTTCACCGTGTTAGCCAGGGTGGTGTTGATCTTCTGACCTCGTGGTCCGCCTGCCTTGGCCTCCCAAAGTGCTGGGATTCCAGGCATGAGCCACTGCACCCGGCTGTTCATTCCTAGTTCTTACATGCCCTGAGAAAAGTTATAGAGTCTGCACTTCTTGTTATCTAAGTTTATGAAGGTCATGAAAATGTGTCCATAAGTTTTTCTTTTAATTTTGAGATTGAGGAATATATGAAATGCTATGTGACCTTGGACAAGTCCTTAACTTGTCTTTATCTTTGAAGGAAATTTAATGAGCCAAATTCTCCCTGACCTAATTCCTGTTCTTGAAGTAACAAGTAAAACACTCAGAGATGCCCTCTGACTCTTTCAAGGCAAAAGGATGCCATTTTGTATATTATTTCCAATGGTATTAACTATAGGGTTCACTTTTCTGTTACTTATGGAAAGAGAAGTGAATGTAGCATATAAGGCATAGTACAGAATCTGATTCAAAACCATTTTATCTAGAAATGACAAGAAGGAACTGACTGCATCCATTCATGGAGCAAGAATATTCTATCATGGCTCACCCATTTGGAAGTTATGCCCAAGAGGCATGCAATGCCAGAGAAAGGGAAGAGGGAGAACAAAGAGAAAACACTATACCTCAGTGCTTAGGCTGATTCCATGTGATACCTGAGACCTGGGGGAAGCTTTGCACTTCATATATTAGGGGGTGGCTTAAGCAGGGGGAGCAGAGCATCCGTTGCCAACCTGGGAGATGGAGGAGGAGGATGATGAACAGAATAGGAAGAGGAAGAGTAGAAGGAGGAGAGGAAGGAGGGGCTTTCTGTAAGTGTACCCTGTATAAGGTGCTCTGCCAGTGCTGGTCATAATGGCTGAGGTTAGTAAGCATTACCCTCTTCATAAGCGCTGCTTCCATGGTGCTACATAAGCACTACCTCCTGTAATCCACCTGCACTGTAACAGACAAGGAAACAAAGCCACAACTAGTTCACTTGGCTAAATGCCCATAGCTGGTAAGATTTAAAGTGGGTCTTTAAATTGAGGGCTCATTCCTATGCTTTTTCTACAGTGTGTCATTGCCATTCTTAGAGATTCATTATGAGGTATACATTTGGTGTCCGTTCCATTCCTCTCACCCCATACCTATCCCAGGGGTTTTCAACCTAGCTATGTGGCAGAATCCGCCAGGAGATGCCAGGAGTCTTTCCTGAGACCTATTCAATTGGAACCTCCTCAAGTGAGGGGCAAATGGATAGTGACTGGTTTATACCAGAAAGTATTAGCATTTTAGCTAAGGGCTTCTTCATTCTACTTAGTCAGTCAGTGTTTATGTAGGATTATTAGGGGCCTAGCCCTGGACACTTTGAGATTAAAAACATTCTGTCTTCAAGACTCATGATCATCAAAATAAGTTTTCAGGATAGGAATAAGTATGGATGATGAAGCTTCAGATCCCACAATCGGCGAGTGGAACAGATGGTTTGGAGCAGAGACCTTATTGCTTTTCTACTGCTTGGGCAAACCTCCCCTGCCTGTCCTCCACACCAGCAAGCCAGGATAATCTGCTTAAATCAACCCTGCAACTCTCAAGGTTTGAAAATTTCCATGCCAAAACTTGTTGCTTTTTCTCTTTGAGGTGATCTTTTTTTGTGTACTGCTTACACATACTGGTATGATAATGAGCCAAAAATAAAGCACCATAATACTACTTTTTATAGAGGTATCAGCAATATCAGCAAATAGAGCAGAGACTACCTACTCTTTCCAGAGGCTAATCCAGTTCAGAGAGATGAGAGGTGTTTCTGCCTCAGTGTTTATTAACCTGTGAAGATTAGGTACTTCCTAATCTTTAGGAAGTGATGGTTTTAGTTTTTTATTTTCTTTCTTCCTTTAAAAAAAACTCAGACTTCTTTAAGTTCTTTGAAGATAGATATTATTTAGAAATGAGGTTCACAAGATTAGCAAGGGGTTCTGCATTCCTCTCTGGCACATACTCTGCTCTTTTTTTTTGAGGCGGAGTTTTGCTCTTGTCACCCAGGCTGGAGTGCAATGACAGAATCTCGGCTCACTGCAACCTCCGCCTCCCTGGTTCAAGAGATTCTCCTGCCTCAGCCTCCTGAGTAGCTGGGATTACAGGCATGAGCCACCATGCCCGGCTAATTTTGTACTTTTAGTAGAGATGGGTTTTCTCCATGTTGGTCAGGCTGGTCTCAAATTTCTGACCTCAGGTGATCCGCCCACCTCGGCCTCCCAAAGTGCTGGGATTACAGGCGTGAGCCACCGCACCCGGCCACATACTCTGCTCTTAACCCCTTCTTGTAGACTCCTGTAACCTTGAGACTCACTCCAGCCTCCTTATGCCAGGGCACGAGTGTGCAATTATCCTAATGTGAGAGTAATTTAGAGCATAGATCAGGTTGTCCAAAACATTCCTGTTGATCTGCTTTTCCAGTGACAGTCCCTAGATGCAAATAATCACAGAGTGCATTGGTTACTATTTCCATACGCTTCCATCAGTCCCTTCACATACAACCACTTGAGGAAAGCTGACCTGACTGAATCTCTGCTGTTTATTTACTTGCACTGTTTAATTCCATCTGAGTTGTTCTGTTTCTCACCTCAGTTTACTTTTGTAGGCAGTTTTTTCCCCCTTTCTTCAAAAGAAGCATCCAGGCAACTGTGGCCACAACATCTTGCAATTTATCTGTTTATATGCTGGTCTCCTCCACTAGACTGTGAAATCCCCAGCAGCAGGGATCCTGTCTTATTCATCTTTGTAAACCTCAGGACGTGCCAGGCCTGGCACAGAGTAGGTCTTTTATAAATAAAGTTTTTAAAAAATGCCTGAGTTGGTACAATGATTATGTTTTTTCTTTAATCAGACCTCCCCCCTTCCCTTATCTATCCTAAATCTTTTAGGTTGAACATGTATTATTTATGTAATATGAAAGAAGATTTAAATACAAAATAAAGATGTTTCTATTTCATTCTATGAAAACATTTCCACTGTTTTTAAGAAACATTCTAGGCAAAGCATAAATCAGTGTTGCAAGCATATTTTGCAAATGTTTATGTTATTTTTTGAAATGCATTTCACTGTACACAAGAACATGGTCAGAGGAGATATAAGAAAGAGTCTCGGCCGGGCACGGTGGCTCACGCCTGTAATCACAGCACTTTGGGAGGCTGAGGCGGGTGGATCACGAGGTCAGGATATCGAGACGATCCTGGCTAACACAGTGAAACCCCGTCTCTACTAAAAACACACACACAAAAATTAGCCAGGCGTGGTGGCGGGCACCTGTAGTCCCAGCTATTCGGGAGGCTGAGGCAGGAGAATGGCATGAACCCGGGAGGTGGAGCTTGCAGTGAGCCTAGATCACGCCACTGCACTCTAGCCTGGGTGACAGAGCGAGACTCCATCTCAAAAAAAAAAAAAAAAGTCTCTATTTGCTACCCAAAGGATTGCAACCTGTTGCATGGTGCCTTCTTCCTTCCAACATTCCCACCCCATGACTTAAAAATTACCAGCTTAGCCCTAACTCTGTAGACAGAAATTATTGAATGCTAATAATCTCTGGTAAGCCATTTAAGAGACATTGAAGTCGCTAATATATATGTGATCCCCTTTTTACTGCAATTTCCAGGGAAAGTGCTACAAAGTGATATGTGGCAATAACAAATTCAGAAGGAAGGGAATATGAAATTCGGCGAGCAGCGTGAATGATTTGCTGTTAGCATGGGGCCCAATAACACTACAAAGCTATAAACTCTGTCGATCTAGATTGCCCAGTTAGGTGGCAGAGATGCAATTTGTCTTTTCTGAAGCCGCCTGCTGCTTGCTAGCTCCATCTCCTGTCACAGCCTATTAGCTCCCCAAGAAAATTGGTGGGAAATTGCCTGCAGATTGTAGGAAATTGCATCTCCAGGCCCTGGAAAAAATGTAGGATAGCACAACACTGACCCTCCCAGAGCAGCTATTAATACAGCAAAAACTGACCTTTGACTTTCTGGGAAACGACTTTGCTATTTGCTGAATAAAGACTGTATTATATGTGGCTGAAGGAGGGTGCAAATGATTATCCTAGTGAGGCTCGCAGCCAACCTGCTTTTGAAAGCTTAAATATTAGTTAGAAGTTTTTTTTTCCTTCTTCTCTTTTTTTTGGTTTGTTTGTTTGTTTCAGCTGGAGAGGGTTTGAGTGTTGTACCTCTGCAGGGAGAAAACAGTCCAGTTGGCTTGTTTATGAAAGCAGCTTTTCCCCTGAGTTAAAAAGAAAAACTAAATTATGTCAAGGAAATGCTCATGAATCTCTAAGGCAAAAATCCAGGAAGTCAGTCTTTTAAAGACGAGATTAAAAAACAAAGATGAGCACATTTGAGCATTGTTTTTCTTTCCCCTCTGTTGTGCGGTACATACATTTGGGGCTTCCCCCGCAATCCCCAATTGCGTTTTACAATTCTACAATTCTGTCTATTTCTACTCACTTCTGAATTATTTTCTTTATAGGCCATCCTCAGAAGTTCAGACATCAAGATAATTCAGTGTTCCACAGGGGTACATATTGTGCATATTTTAAGCATCATTAACTTTATGTTACAAAAAAAATAAAGACCCTGACATGGTATTTACAGGCTTGCATTTCTCCCTAGAAGGATCTGAGCTCCCATTTACGAGCAGTGTTTTTGCAGAGGGAGAAGAGCAGCTTAGTTGCTCCTGAATGGGTGGGATGCCCTCAGTGCTGCTATATCCTAAATATTGTCCCCTCGGCACCAGCCTCACCCCCCTCCCATTACTGGGTCATTTGCTTTCAGTACCCTTGGGAACAAATCTGAAATCAGATGGTCGAATGCAGATCATCATTTCTATAAAGCAGTAAGATATAGACCATGTTGACAAGAAGGCACCCCACTCAGGGGAAAATAGCTCCAATGAAACTCCAAATTTATACATGATAGAAAGCATTGCCCATTCATTCATATGCTCATAATTTAAGAGCAAAATTGCTCTCAGTTATGATATACCGGCTTCTCTTTCCTTGTGAAGTGCAATGTCCCCCCTTTTATTATTTGTACAGATTGAAAAATTACTGAACGGGACTCCTCTCAGCTTTTCCAGAGTCCAGAGAGGTTTTCTTTCTTTCTTTTTTTTTTTTGACACAAGGTCTCACTCTGTCACCCAGGGTAGAGTGCAGTCTCGAATTCCTGGGCTCAAGCGATCCTTCTGCCTCAGCCTCCCGCGTAGCTGGGACTGAGGCGTGCACTGCTGCACCTGGCCAGAGGTATTCTTTCAACCTGCTGCTTTCTTACATTTCATTCTTGTTTCTAGAGAGAAAACTACTGGACACCATATTGTATCAGAGAGTGCTGAATCTAGCCTGAGAATTTCTGAGCTCTTATATGGGCTCTGATGCTCTAGCTGTGTGATCTTGGATAATTAAAAAAAAACTTATTAGAGCCTCAGTTTCATTATCTAAAAAATGAATGTTCTCCAAGAACTCTTCCAAATATTAAATTCCATGGTAACGGATAAGAAGCTGTGGTAGGATGGAAGGCTGGGCTGGTCCTAAGTCAGGCTCCCTTACCCTGCTGCCTGCCTATTTCTTATGCTTGACTGACTGTTCTTGGGGAAAGAGTTCTGTTTTGTCAAAGAATCTACTTTGGAGTCTACAAGCACTCAACAATCAACCAGCTAATTTACCAGTCATTATATATCAAGTAAACTACTTCCTTGTAAGTACAGAAGAACCCTAAGGAGTTCTTAAGAAATAGCCCCTCGAAACATTGGCTGTCAGAGTCAGTGGACATTGGGTGTAGGAGACCCATCACAAGGGGGCTGCTGGGGTATGGAGTTTAGGTATAGAGTTGGTCTTTATAGCTCAGTGTTATACAATATGAAAAGGAATATTGAAAGAATTCTGGTTAACCTCAAGAACATATACTAAGTGAAAAAAGCCAGACACAAAAAAATCGTACATTATGTGATTCTATATGTATGAAATATCCAGAATAGGTAAATCCACAGAAATACAAAATAGGTCAGTGGTTGCCAGAGGCTAGGGGTGTTGGGGTTGGAGTAGCAGGGAGTGACTGCTTAGTGGTACTGTTTTCCTTTTGGAGAGGTGACAATGTTTTGGAACTAGATAAAGGTGATGATTGAACAACAGTGTGGATGTACTAAATGCCACTGAATTGTACATTTTAAAATAGTTAATTTTATGTTATGTGAATTTTACCTCAATGAAAGAAGGAGATCTAGTTACATTGATAAATGAACAAATGTAAGGAGATACAATTACTTAACATTTAAAATGGGGACTTTAGCCTAGGCAGTGTAGCTCTTGCCACAAACTACCCCCGTGACCTTTCTTATCTGCCTCTGTTTCCACTTTAATCTTTGACCATGAGGACGATGTGAGAAATGACTGAATGTTCTGATTCTGCAGACCCTCAAATAATTCTACAGCTTCAAAGCCCAAGGCTAGGGCTGGTTTTGAGATATTTTAATTTTCAGGCGATTTATGAACACTATTTTCCCTACAAGCTCCTTCAAAATCCAATTCAGGTGCTACGCCTTTTCTGAAAAGTTTCCAATCCTTCCAGCTCAGAGAGCTCTCAGCCTTCTCTGAATGAATGGCATTTATCGACCCTTTTAGGGCTTTACTCACTTCCTACCTTGGATTATGGTTGTTTATTTTTCAGACAAGCCTTACCTCCCCTGCTTGAGGCCAGAATCAAATCTTTGGATCCTCCCAGACACCAGGGCAGTATGTGCTCAGTAAACATTTGTGCTTTTGCTCGTTTTCTTCTCTACCTGAAGTGTGCTTTGTAGAATTCCACAGCAGTTCTTTCCCTCCTTCTGCTTAGCTGCCGAGATATTTTTTTGTAGGGATCCACTCCTTTTGCATTCTCAGTCCCCATGACAACAGTTAAGCTAAATGCCTCCCCCATTTGCATACCACCCTTCCAACCATCTCCAGGGGTGAGCTCATTTACATATTCCAAATCTGAGATTCTTTCTACCATAGATTGCAGATTTGCGCTCACTATACCTGAAGGGGCAGGTGACCTTTTGCCATGGTGTGGGAAGAGGCTGCCTGGGAATAAAGCCAACACAAAGAAAAGCAGAGCCAAGCAAAGGAGAGAGACTGGTTCCGGGAATATTGTTTGCATCCCAAGGCTCTGCCCACCTAGAGTTAAATTTGCCCTTGGATTTCTTAGTTTCATGAGCCAACCATTTCCTCTTTTTTTTTTTTCCATGTCCAATATATTCTTTGAGGCTTTGGGTAAGGGCAGATGTGCTCTGGGAAGCCCTTGCATCTTTTTTTTTTTTTTTTTTTTTTTAATTTTTTTATCTCGTTCACCTGTTTTTCATAATTCCACTTTCAACAGAGGTTTATTAGGCAATAGAATATAAATAGGTACATAAAAGAATAAGACTTTTTTTTTACCTCTAGGGAGTTATATTTAGAGAAAACCTTGTGTTTAGTCAATTTTGCTTAACTTTATCTCCTTTAATCCTTATAGTAGTCTTGTGAGACGAGTATTACCACTCGGATTTTATAGATGAGGAAACAGAATCAGAGGCTATAAAATTATTCAAAGGAATAAGCCCACAGTTTGGTTATTTGAACTCCAACTTGGACATCTACTTCCTTTGCTCTTCCAGTGCAGTCTACTTTGCACTATGATTTATGTATGTTTTGTCTTCTTTACTAGTCTAGGTTCCTTCAGGGCAGGGACTGTGGCTTACTTATTTTTCAATCAGCCACAACTCTTAGCATAGTCTTTTAATGATGATAGGGTTTAGTGAGTATTTTGGGGGTAACTTGATAGATATATGAGTGAACCACAGCTGAATGAATAATTTGTGTCCTCTGAAGTCTGGAGCAGTATCCATATCACAATATTCATGGAAGCTAGAAATGCCAAAATGCTACTCCTGAAGTTCACTCTATTTGATACCTTAATAGCAGTCTATTTCCTCAAAGGCATCACCTCCATCATGGGAGCAGGTGTGGAGACATCAAGACTCAGGATCAGAGGAAGTTTTATCATGGAATGAATGATGGTTAAATTTTAGGGCCATCCATTTGCAAAGTCATATGTTTCTGTAAAATTTGCAAAAGTATGACATATAGTTTAAGATCACAGTGAAAACATATTGTTTAAGATCACAGTCTCTTTCCATTCCAACTTCCCTTTTACTACTCCTTCTCTCATATAGGATGGCATTGGAATGGCCATGAGTGTTGGGAATCCAAGTTAGAGGAAGTTGAATTGGGAATGCAGGTAGTTTGAGGTTAACAGGATGTGTTTATGTGGTTCCCAGTCACTTTCTGGAAGTACGCAGTGAATGTTTATTTAGAATGATAATTAGGCTAGGTATCCTCATATGGGAATGGTTTCTAGAAATACTCCTATTGCCTGTTGTGTTAATTGACCCAGCATTGTGCCATGAAGATATGGGGAAGAATTTTCTTGCACTATGAACGTGTCTTTTAGAGCCCAACATTGTAAATGAGTAAGTGATGGAGGGAAACACACAGAGTCAGTAGCAAACATGGAAAATTTGTCCAATTGTCAGCTCTAAGTAGAAAATTTGGTTCCCATTGAAGCCTAGTAAATGGAAGGTCTTTCTTCTCAGGAATACAACCTGATAGTACAACATGTACAATTATAAAAACACCATTTTTTATTTTCTTTTTAAATGAGAATTGAGGAAAATACAAGATTGGTATAGGGCCTTGCAAGGGACCCATGGGAGTGAGAGGTCCTGAAGCTCAAGTTTGATGGTAAATCCACTTCTGGAAACACTTTTTCAAAATGGTTGTTCTGTGAAGCAGTTGTCAAGAATGCAGACCAAAAAATATAGAAAAAATAATATAGAGGGGTATCAGACAGTCACAAATATTGTTTTTGCATTTTGTAACATTTGTGATATTAATATTTAAGAAATTTAGAATGTGACTTTTTTCATTCTAAAGACATAGTTATTAAGTAATCCTCTTACTAAAGAGTACTCACCTTTCCCTTACAAAAGTGTAAATACTTCAGACCTCACAAAATCTAGATTTGCTCCTGCTGGGAATAACTATCAAATGACTTTCGTTAGGTCATCTCCCTAAACACCCATGAAATTTAGCTCGCAGTGTTTCTTCCTGGAGAAGAATTCACTTTTGGTTTTCCTTAGGGACATGGACAGGCATGTTGTGATCTCTGAGTTTGCAAATTCCCAAGTGATAAGATGCCTCTTGCTTTCCAATTGTGTGGCAGTTTCTTTGGTTCTGTGTAATAACTTCAACTTCAGGATCTGTTAGGGCATCACTTTTTGCCAGTGAGAAGCACACAAGGCAAGGCTTTTTGGCTTACCATAAAATACTGAAATTGTATATTGCTGTGGAGTACTATTAACTACAATTTGTGCACAGATAGGCCAAGACCCAGGGGGGAAAATTACTTTACCCAAGTTCATGGGATAATGAGTATCAGAGCTGCAATTACAGTTTTCTGACTCCCCAACTGTACATGCAATTTGCAGGTTTACAGTCCTGCACAAAAAACCGCCAGAGAACACAGATGGGCTTCTAACCCCTGCTAATGAGAGCATCACTCTTCATTGATGGGATAATTAAGCAAATATTTAGTGGTCAAAAACCCACCCAGACTTTAAATAAAATCAATCAAATCCCAATCCCCTGGGAGTTGTTAGATTTGGAATTTAAAAAAAAAAATCTAAACTGTAAGTGTGTGTGTGTGTGTGTGTGTGTGTGTGTGTATATAGTTCTTACTTTTAAGATTTAAAGCAGAGAAGAGTTAATCCAATAGCATTATGCCTATTGAAAAGCCACATTCCTCAGAAAGGCCGTGCTTCTGACACTCAAAAGGCTCAAGGTCAAGACAGCATTTTCTCTTTGTTGATTGCTCTTTTTCTTTCCCCACTGAATTTTCCTTCTTCCTTATGGAATTAGACCCTTTAAGTAAATTGCAAACAGTTCCCCCTGTGTGAAGCATTGTCTAGCCTACCAAACTGCCTGAAACAATCGTTGACATTTCTTGTGTAAATAACAGCAGTGGATTCAGCGCTTCCAAGAATGGGAGTTGAAAAAATAATGAACTATGTTTTTTTCAAGATAAAACACACTGTGCTCTCCAGAAATCAGAAGGGTCGAAGGAATGAAAGAACAGATTAATACATAATTCCTGTGTTATTTTTATTACAACCCATTCCTTCCACCCTTCCACCCACAACTACTAATTCTCTTTACTCAGCTATATTTTTGCTTATTTCCATAGAATGTATCAACTCTGAACAAATTGTAGACTTTATTTATTTATTGCAACTATAGTTTATAAACTGTCTCTGCTTGCTAGAATAGAAGATCTAAGGGGACAAGAATTTTTATCTGGATATATTCCAAGCATCTAAAATAGCACGCGGGACATAATAGGAGATCAATAAAGAGTTTTTGAAAGACTGCATACTGTGTGTCAGCTCATGGAGAGCAAAAAGTAAATATGATATTTCCCTGAGAAGCCAAATTACTGTCTCCGTGGATTGAAATTCTAGAATTTTGGCATTAAATTTCATGCCATTCTTTCTCATCATTGGTATCAAGACCTTGATTTGTTTGTGGTAACAATGTGTCTACTAAAAACAGCCCATTTCCCAGCCTTCCCTGCAGCTTTTCTCTCACTTCTGGCCAGTGAGGCATAAGTTGAATTCTATAGGGATATCTAGGGAAGTTTTGCTTTCCTGATATTGTCACACCCTTTTCCTCTTTGTCACTTTTTTCTTCTTCCTGCCTGGAATGTGGACGTGATGCCCAGAGGAATAGCTACTATCATGAGACCCCGAGGATGATAGCAAAATGCTAAAGAAGGCAGACAAAAAAGATAGAAATAGAATAAAATGGCTTAGGGCGAGCACGGTGGCTCATGCCTGTAATCCCAGCACTTTGGGAGGCCGAGGTGGGCGGATCACCTGAGGTTGGGAGTTCCAGACCAGCCTGATCAACATGGAGAAACCTGTCTCTACTGAAAATACAAAATTAGCCGGGCATGTTGGCACATACCTGTAATCCCAGCTACTCAGGAGGCTGAGGCGGGAGAATTGCTTGAACCCGGGAGGCGGAGATTGTGGTGAGCCGAGATCACACCATTGCACTCCAGCCTGGGCAACAGGAGCGAAACTCCATCTTAGAAGAAGAAGAATAATAATAATAATAATAATAATAATAATAATATGGCCTACTCTTGGACTTCTTACATGAGGTCAATAAAACCCTATTTGGTTAAAGCCTTTTTATATGGATCTATAAATTGAATGGAAAACAATCCTCAAAAATATACCCGTATCAAGTCATGACTTAGTGAAATATCTTTAATATTTAATATTTTTCATAATCCCAATCCTTCAGAAAGTTAAGCCCATTGGATAAATTCTACATTTTGGTGCCTTACTATCACAGATCCAGGGAGTCTCAAAAATAGAGGAAAAAGAAAGATGACTGGAGTGCAGAGGATTGCTGCAGGATCTGCTCCAAAGAATAAACTTAAATAAATCTCGATTCAGTTAAAATGTACATAAAAATATATCGATCATATCTACCCTTCAAAAAGCAGCCCATTTCTAGCAGAGCCTTTCTTGTTTGCTTTCTTCCCGCTTGCAGTACTATATTATGATAGATTTATTGCTGTCCATGGCCGGGCGCGGTGGCTCATGCCTGTAATCCCAGCACTTTGGGAGGCCGAGGCGGGTGGATCACGAGATCAGGAGATCGAGACCATCCTGGCTAACACGGTGAAACCCTGTCTCTACTAAAAATACAAAAAATTAGCCGGGTGTGGTGGCAGGTGCCTGCAGTCCCAGCTACTTGGGAGGCTAAGGCAGGAGAATGGCATGAACCCGGGAGACGGAGCTTGCAGTGAGCCGAGATCTTGCCACCGCACTCCAGCCTGGGTGACAGAGCAAGACTCTGTCTCAATAAATAAATAAATAAATAAATAAAGATTTATTGCTGTCCATTTTCATGGACTAAGTATAGATCTGAAATCTGAAGTTTCAGATAATAGGGCTGAATCATTCAGCAATCTTTTGTGCTCATATAGTGGGTTGTTGTGACTCACATTCAGGTGTGTGTCTACAGGTGTATGTACAAGTGTGAAAGAATCGTGTGAATGTCTGAGAGACTTCAACAGGAGGTTCCCTCTTTGCACCCCAAATCAGCCAGTGATTTAGTCCACTCTTGCCTTAGCCAAGACAATCATTCCCGCCAGTCATTGTCATTTTGATAATTGCCCAACAGCAAGTTTTAACTTTTTTTTTTTTTTTTGTAGATTAGCTGAAGCACTACACAAAAATAAAATATCTTCCTTATTTCTGAGAAATTACATAGGCCCTTCTTGTGGACTTTCAGATTTGGTGCTCTGATTTTTTTTTTTATACTGTATAGCTAATCCTATAAAGAGAAACTTACAATTGCCTTCCACCAAGAAATTTAGAGCATTAGCTATCTGTATGTGTTTTTATTTTTTGAATGAATTAAATAATTTTAAATTTAATTTTATTATAATAATAATTATGATTTTCTTAGATATGGGGTCTCACTATGTTGCCCAGGGTGGTCTCAAGCTCCTGGGCTCAGTGATTCCTCACCCCAACTTCCTGAGTAGCTGGGACTATAGGCCTACGCCACTTTGCCCAGCTTGTGTGTCTGTTTTTAAAAGATGTTATCTGATTGTAGAAAATATCCCTTTTAAAAAGTTTAAAAAGTTTAACTTTGCAATTTCCTATGCTTTGGTCAGACACCTAAAAAAACAAAAAAGAACAAAAAACAACATTCCATTAAAAGGAAACCATTCAGTTACTTCTCTGTTTTTCTAGCTTTGCAGGGGGGCTTTACCATTACACTCTTTTGAGGAAACTTGTGTTATGAGGAGCAAAATGAAGGAAATAGAGAAGAAATAGTAAGGCTGCTTCAGTTCTGATCAGCTTTGTCTACCCTAGGGACTGCAAGTTCTCCTAGACATAGAACTTTAACTTAATTGCACTTTATGTAATTTCTTGCTCTTGAATTCTTCTTTCCTTTTTCCTATTATTTAACAAATTGATTCTCAATTTCAAATATTATATTTTTATACTTTTTTTTTTTTTTTTTTTTCACAGAGTCTTGCTCTGTCGCCCAGGCTAGAGTGCAGTGGCGCAACTTCGGCTCACTGCAACTTCTGCCTCCCGGGTTCCAACAATTCTCCTGCCTTAGGCTCCCGAGTAGCTGGGATTACAGGTGCGCGGCAACACGCCAGGGTAATTTTTTTACTTTTAGTAGAGATGGGGTTTCACCATGTTGGCCAAGCTGTCTCGAACTCCTGACTTCGTGATCCACTCGCCTCGGCCTCCCAAAGTGCTGGGATTACAGGCGTGAGCCACCGTGCCTGGCCTATTTTTATACTTTTTAAATGAAAAGTTGAAACGAGGCTGGGCGCCGTGGCTCACATCTGTAATCCCAGCACTTTGGGAGGCTGAGGCCGGTGGATCACGAGGTCAGGAGATGGAGACCATCCTGGCTAACTCGGTGAAACCCTGTCTCTACTAAAAATACAAAAAAATTAGCTGGATGTGGTGGCGGGCGCCTGTAGTCCCAGCTACTCGGGAGGCTGAGGCAGGAGAATGGCGTGAACCTGGGAGGTGGAGCTTGTAGTGAGCCGAGATCAGGCCACTGCACTCCAGCCTGGGCAACAGAGACTCTGTCTCAAAAAAGAAAAGAAAAGAAAAGAAAAGTTGAAACAAAACAAAACTGATTTATTCCACAATAAATCTCATAAAAACAAACAAAAAGATGTCCAAGGAGAAAGTATTGCCTTAATTCTCTCTTTGGGAGTTGTCTCAGGATTTGAAGATCAAGGCGGAGCTTACTCTCACTCCCCACCCTCAATATTCATTCTTCAGTTTCTCTTCATAAATAGAACCTTGGAACTCATAATAAAGACTACTTTTTCCAGCATCCTTCATAGCTAAGCATGGTCATGTGACTAAGTTCTGGCCAGAATTGGTGTGTACAACTTCATAGCATGTGGATGTGACGGCTGGACCACTTAAAGAAAACATTGTTTTTTAGTATGTGTGTTTTTTTTTTTGGAGTCATGCAGACAACGAAAATTCTGACATCAAACTCACACAAATAAGGCTTGTGTTTAGAAATCCTTAATGGGACAGTATAATTTTTTTTTATTTTTTTACTTCACTCAAATCCAAAGCCAACGTCAACAGAAGCATAAATGCCAAACATTACCCTCTGCAGTGTGTGGAATAATTTTCCCCTACACTCTGAGAATGTATATATTTGGAGGAACCAGTTTTATGCCAAAGCTCTTTAATCCGACCTGTTTCTTTGCTAGAGCCCCAACTTGTACTGGATGTAGCCCAGTAAAATATGAGCTACAGGCCACTTGAGGGCTCTTCAATGCCTTCTCTACTGCTTGCTTATCTTTCTAGATTCACACTTTTCATCTCTGGCCTCCTATCCATCCATATATTTTCCTGCCAGCCAAGCCATGCATTCCAATGACATTTTAAATATTTTATACAGCATTTTAGTTATGCCCGGAGGGATTAGTCTGCCATGTTGCTGGAAATAGAATTCTAAATCCTGTTTTGTCTCATCTTCAAAAAATAGTGCTTACTTGATCACTTTATATTCATCAACATTACTTCCTTTATTATCCCACCATTCTTCATGTTAGACATGGAGCTATGGGGTTTCTTTTATTTATTTGTCTTTCCTTTCTTTCTTTTTGAAAAACCTCTCCTCTTCATTTTCTTCCCTCCTCTCACATTTCTCCCCCTTTTTTTCTCTCCTGCTCTCTCTATCTCACTCTTTCTTTCTTTTGGAGAAATCTAGGGCCACAGAGCCATGTCACCAGTGGGCTTTTATTTATTTATTTGTTTATTTTTGAGATAGCCTTGCTGTCACTCAGGCGAGAGTGCAGTGGCACGATCTTGGCTCACTGCAGCCTCTGCCTCCCGGGTTCCAGCGATTCTCCTGCCTCAGCCTTCTGGGTAGCTGGGATTACAGGCACCCACCACCATGCCCGGCTAATTTTTGTATTTTTAGTAGAGACAGGGTTTCACCATGTTGGCCAGGCTGGTCTCAAACTCCCGACCTCAGGTGATCTGCCTGCCTTGGCCTCCCAAAGTGCTGGGATTACAGGTGTGAGCCACTGCACCTGGCCGAGTTTTAAAAAGTAGAAGAATCACTGTTCACTTCTCCAGTCAAGAATATATTGTGAATTCTCAGTCATTTGTATTATAAGGTATCTTAGTTAGTTTGGGCTTCTATAAAAAAGTACCACAGATTGGGTGGCTTATAAACAACAGGAACTTATTTCTTACAGTTCTGGAGGATGGAAGTCCAAGATCAGGGTATGAGCATAGACAGGTTCTGACGAGGGCTGTCTTCTCAGTTGTAGACTGTCATCTTCTCCTTATATCTTCAAATGGTAGAAGAAGGGTGTAAGAGCTCTCTGGAGTCCCTTTCATATGTGTACTAATCCCATTCATGAGGTTTAACCCTCATGACTTAATTACCTCTCAGTGTCCCCACCTTCTGATACCACTACATTAGGGGTTAGGATTTCAACATATGATTTTTTTTTTTTTTTTTTAGACGGAGTCTCATCTCTGTCACCCAGGCTGGAATGCAGTGGTTCGATCTTGGGTCACTGCAACGTCCTCCCAGGTTCAAGAGATTCTCCTGTCTCAGCCTCCTGAGCAGCTGGGATTACAAGCATGTGCCACCACGCCTGGCTAATTTTTGTATTTTTAGTAGAGACAGGGTTTCACCATGTTGGCCAGGCTGGTCTCGAACTCCTGACCTCAGGCGATCCACCCGCCTCGGCCTCCCAAAGTGCTGGGATTACTGGCATGAGCCATCGTGCCCCACCTCTCAACATATAAATTTTAAGAGGGCCCATTCATTCCATTGCATAAAACATACTGTCTAATAATGTTTTATAGATTAAAAGATCAGATTTATTTAAGACACATCCATCAAGCACTTGCTATAAACAGTGATAGGGGATCCAAGATAAATATAGCGTGGTCCCTGCCCCTGAAGTCCTTACAATTCAGAGAAGCTGACGCACTAGATCAGTCACTGAGCATACAGCTGTACAACACGGGTCTCTCACTCGGCTTCAGAACAGCACCCAGTGACTGGAGAAGGAAGAACAGACAGAACACCTGTTGATGAAGGAGACGGGCCTTCTCATCTCATATGACACTGTGGGCTTGCACCAGACTTAAAATATCATGACTGGTGTCCTGAACTTTGTTTCATTCATTCATAGAGCACATGTTAATTGAGTGCCAACTGTGTGTCAGGCACTGTGGGAGGCACTGGGGCTCCACAGATGAGTAAGATCCTGCCTTAAAATAGCTGGTTGTGTGGGGTGGCTGTGCAGTGTGTTAGTGCCATGGCAAGTGGAAGCACAAGGTGCTACGTGAACAGGGGGGTGGGGCAGATGTAGAAGGTGTCTAGAGGAGGTTAATCTGTATGTGGGAGTTCCCCTTTAAGAGACCCCCCACATGAGAGGGGCGCGGTGGCTCCCTCCTGTAATCCCAGCACTTTGGGAGCCCAAGGCGGGTGGATCACAAAGTCAGGAGATCGAGACCATCCTGGCTGGCACGGTGAAACCCCGTCTTTACTAAAAATACAAAAAAATTGCTGGGCGTTGTGGCTGGCGCCTGTAGTCCCAGCTACTTTGGAGGCTGAGGCAGGAGAATGGCGTGAACCCAGGAGGCAGAGTTTGCAGTGAGCCGAGATCACGCCACTGCACTCCAGCCTGGGTGACAGAGCGAGACTCCGTCTCAAAAAAAAAAAAAAAAAAAAAAAAAAAAAGACCCCACATGAGCTAATCTTGTAGCTCAAGAATGTAGTGACAGAGGTAGTCAGGTCCCTGGAATTGGAGTTTTGTCTGGGAAACAAACACCATATAATTATTGTTTATATTATGTGTGTGAGACTGTTTTTGGCCTTAAAGAAATCACAAACACATTTCTTGTGGGAGTGTAGAGGAATCTTCTGCTTTTGAATGAGTGGATAAACTGATCAGGAAGCTCCAAATTCAAAAAACAGACCCGCCGTAAGTCAGAATGTAGATGTCAGCCTCAGAGATCTGATGTGGTTTCTTTTCTATCACAGCTTGGTGACCTCAAATAGCCCCTTGCAAAAGAGCTGGCACAGGCCATTACAAAAAGTGTTATATTGCACTTTAGTATTTGAACACATCCTAATTGGGATAGGTGAAATAATGACCTAGATATAGGACTGTTTCCACAGGCTCATTTTCCAATTACCACAACGTACAGTGGAAATAATCACTTTGTTAAGATCCATTCTATTAGGATCATGCTTTACATTGGTGTCCCAAGACATACAAATTTTTATTAGTACAAAAGCGCAAAGGGAGAAAACAGACAATTCATAGAACTGCAGGATAATGGACGTTTCTCAGTGTATATACTGTCTCTATTCTTGGTAGATCGGTTGGCTGGAGTAGGGCCTAGCAGATGACATACTGAATGTATTCTTGGTTGTAGATCACAGCTGAACAAACTGCTCTGGAGTGTGAAGGGTCAGCGCAGTGTAAACAGAACTCAGCAGTGACCTATGGAGTCGTCTCAAGACATAATAAATACAGTCTTCATGCTCCCTCCCACCTTCTGCTGATTCAGGTATTCTCCAGCACCATGGGGCTCGTCTCTGGAGCAATATTTCAAACCCAGCAGACCATTGTATTTGGAGTAGATTTTCTAACTATGCTTTTAATTTTGGCAAAATAGCATTTAGCTCTTTCTGAAAGTGTCATCATACACATGGAGCTTCACTGAGAAAGAATAAAACACTTTTAGAACACTCCATTAGCTTTGGCTACCATTAGTTTTGCTATTCTGGAAGAATTTCTCTTAGATTTAGGGGATAAAAACAGAATTACTTCTTTCAGTTCAGAATAGAATTTGTGGCAGAATCATTAACTTTTCTCTCCTTGAAATCCTCCAATGACAATTTAGTCCTCCTGTCTTCCTTCATTGAGGGGTGTCTAGGCTAGTATTACCTCCTGCCAAAGTACCATTGAGCCCACATCCACCCTGTTTCCTTCCCTGGACAGCCACAAGTCAATCAGGAGAGCGTGTACCAGTTCCTGCCCTTCTTGGATAAAAAGGCTCTCTGATTAGGCTCTGCTATCAGCTAGCTTATACTCACTTATGGAGGTATTTGAAGACAAAGCTGCTCACCTGGACCTGAGGCGACTGGAGCTGGTGAGAGGGTAACATAATCCTTATGTTCCCTGTGTACCCCAGGGCAGAGGAGAAAGAGATTTAGGAAGCTGTGCGAATATATCTAGGAATGCTTTCCAACCTTCATCATGTGCAAAATTCACACAGATTTGCTTATCCAATGGGGTAGTCTTACCTGAAGACAAAAGCTGCTCATAGAATGGTACTCTCTGACACTGCACTGTTAGATACAGTGTAACTTCCCTTCACCCCAAACCAAGCCAAACAGACAGCTCAGTCCATAACCTACAGTAATTTAATCCAGATGGTCATATTTTCTTTACATTGCAAACCATTTCCAGTGAATTCACTGTTTTTTTTTCTTTCCTATTTTTATAAAGTTTTGGCTTGCTAAGTACTAGCTATCCAAGAAGAGGAAAGATCAGATGCTTAAGATTAAGCATTGAAAGTCAATGATGTTTGATCATATGCTCTCACTCATAAGGGGAAGCTAAGCTATGAGGATGCAAAGGCATAAGAATGAAACAATGGACTTTGGGGACTAGGGGGAAAGGGTGGGAGGGGGGTGAGGGATAAAAGACTATAAATTGGGTACAGTGTATGCTGCTTAGGTGATGGGTGCACCAAAATCTCAGAAATCAACTCTTATTATTATTGGTTAACTTATTCATGTAACCAAACATCACCTGTTCCCCCAAAAACCTGTGGAAAAAAAGAAAGTCAATGATGTTTGCTTAAAATACAATGGAATAAAATGAGCTGCAGACCCACAGGTCCAAAAGTTAAAACTTGACTGAGACTTATGCTATTAGATAGTTAGTTTTATTTGGAAGTCAAGTGTTCGTGAAGGATAAAGCTAATAATGGTGGCATTGAGGAGAAGATGGGGATGTTATGGTAAAGAAGTGGCCCATACCCAGCTGTTGCGTGGCATCATTTAAAATCTCAACAGAATTTTCCGGTGAAATAAAAAGACAACAAGAAATTGATACAGAGGGCTAGAATATGTTGGTCATTAACTTCTTCAACTTGGAGACTGTGATGAGTCAGGGTAGGAAATTTCAAGAGAAAAAACAAAATTAAAAGTTAAAAAGAACAACCGAAAGAGATCTGATTTAGAGAATTATGCGCATCCATGTATGTCTTAGCCACTCTTCATCTTACACTAGATGCATTTAAAAGTGAAAAACAAGGTCTCATATGACTGGCTAAAAATAATTTCAAGACCTTTCATCAGTCATTTTTACCCAACACCTACTTGATTTACAAACTCATCGCTTTGCTTGGCAAATAAAGATGTTCTTAGCTTACTTTGAATACTGTTTCTTCTTTGGCCTTTATGTCTACCCCATATATATGAAACTTTCCATGCTCATCTCTCTTCGCTTCTTCACAGCACTGTGTAAATCTAGCACTTGCCTAAAATTATTCCCAACTTAGAAGATTCAACTTACTCTTCAATACAAAAGGAAACATATCTCTCCTGGACAGCTACACAACATTCTGTACACGTCCACATGGTCTTTGTTGGCATAAGTACTTTGCAAGGGCAAAAACCATGTCTTTTGTAAGTTTGTGTGGTTTCTGCTCCTGTGTCATGACCCATACGGACGCTCAATAAATGTTGAATCAAAGTGAATTGCTTTCCAGTGCATTTATTGGCGCACGTACTCTGGTAGGTCAAGATCCATCTCTTTTTGCAGTGCTCAGTGGTTTTCTGTTTGAATGCATTCCTGACCAGGCCAGAGTTGTTGGATGGCTCTAAAAATTGTTCACAGCTTGCTAAACAAGGAAGCTGCATGGTTGCATTATTGTATTGTGGCCATGTCCCAGGTTTACAAATCAAGAAAATCCCTCTTATGTTGTACAAATGGTTGTTCTTTCTCTTTTGTTCTCTTTTCCTTTTTCCTTCCTTCCTTGCTCCCTTCCTTTCTTTCCTTTCCTTCTTCCTTCCCCTCTTCCTCCTCTATGCCCTCTTCCATTTCTTTCTAACAAAGCTCTGATGTGAAGCTCAAACACTTATAACAAGATCAACAGCAGTGAAGGGCTGTCTTTTTCAGCCCAGCGAAGATAACAAACGCAACTCCACAAGACTGGCCTCATACCCCAATTGAGGAAGGTGTCAACAAGATGAGTTGAATCAAGGTTGGCCCTGTTCTCTGCCTGGGGATGGCACTGGCCCTACCAGCAGGGACACCGCGTTTCCAGCTTCAGGCTTTCAATTCTCTCTATAGCTTAATGGCTCACAGACCTTTTCTGAGACAGCTGGATAACAATGTGCCTTTATGACAGCCTGACTCTTTTCTCCCCGTTGAAATCTCAAACTGAACTGTATAAGACAATCCGTCTCCTATCATTCCATCAACAAGGCCTGAATAGGTAAGGCAAGCGCTCCTGCAGCACTAGTTTATTTTCTTGAATTTTTTTTTTTTTTCCCACAATAAAAGAGTAAGGGGAAAGGACAGTCCAGGGTGTGAAAGATGGCTGGCAAAGGCCTCTGTGTGAGGTCCTTAGCGAGATAATCTCATTCTAAAGATCTGGGTGACTGGAATTTCCATTCCCCCTATCCCCCCGCAGACATTGCCCTCCCCAACATCCTTCTAATACAAATTCTTAAGCATTAAGTCAGGCGGAAAATGAGTCTACTCTACATTTATCTTCCTGAATGGCAGTCAACTCCCGCTTAATCTTTCAACATATATTTGTTCAATGGATCAACAGATTGTGTAAGCAGCATGACGGTTGGATTTAGAAATGTGTCTGCTCATGTTTGGTTTGTGCTGAACCATTGACCATTTTGTTTGTGAATCCATGATAAATTATATCTCTGCATTACCCAGCACTAGGGATGGGACAGAGGACAGTGCTCACACAGGCGGAAAGACTTTTTTAGTCACTGTCATTTTCCAGCATTGAGAATGCTGACTTGTTTTATTTTGTGATTGCTTTTTTTTTTTTTAAGAGAAACATTTTCATACTAGAAAACTTCCAATTTGATTTATCTTCTTTTCCCAAAAGCGTCTCTTACACATTCTTTTGCTATCTTTTTCCCCATTAAAATAAAGAAGACTTTCAGGATATATGGTAAGTAATAAAATAGTATAAAATATGAATAAAAAGGTTAAGAATTAACAACCTTTCCTAATGTCCTATATGGACATATTTCATTCATTCATTAGGACTTTCCTACTGTCCTATATAGACATATTTAATTCAAACTACTGTTCCTCAAAAATGAGAAGAAGAGTTTATTTGGGTATTAAAAGATTGAAGAGTTGATCAGTCAATTCATGACACAACTGATATACGCTCTTTTTCAAAAATGAATTGTCAGTTGTTGCACTGAATATTTAGCCAAGCAACCACTGTTTATTGAGCAGCTGAGCTGCTACATTAAAATCCACGGAGAAAATATAAAAAAAGATAAATCTCCTGACCTCAATAACTTAAATCAAATTGGAGGACTAAAATTATAAACATATTTTTAAAGTTTTATGAGGATTCCTAAATAAAAATGAGGGGAAGAGAAAATTCGTGTTGCAGTAGTATAGTCAGTGAATAAAAAGGAATAATTTTTAGGGCAGTTTTACTCATTGACTTGAAAACTGTTCATCAATATTTATTGTGGAATACCTAGTGTTTTTTGAGCACAGGGTGCATAATATAAAGTAAGATTTACTTTCTATCTACATGACACTTAAGATTGAAATAGGAAGAGAGGAAGTGGGGCTGTGGATGAGAATGGAAAATTGATGTCAGTCGTCATGTCCGAGTCACATCTAACTCATGTCCATGTCAGGCCTGAGGTCAGGAACACCAAGCTGACTGCATTTGCTGGTTCCCAGGAGTAGATTCTGCATGTCGAAGTGGAGGCATTAGATAAAAGGACATTTCCATATATTTCAAATGTCACATTCTTATATTTTAAAATGGAAGCATAAGCATTACTTTGAAATAATCAAGGCAGACTTGTACTTAGACCAGTAGATAATACAACATTTTAAAAAAACCTATTGTTCATGTTGCATTCTAATTACTGAGTCACCGCTGTGCATCCATTGTTGCTGACTCCCCATAAGGACCCTGTCAATAGCTCAGGTAGCTGTTGTTATGCTCAGAGAGGTAAAGAAACTGCAAGGGCTGATGGGCAAGTGCCTGAGGACACAGAGTTATTTGCTGAGTGATCTGGCACAGTGTCTAGGCCTCCTGATTTCTAGCTCTGGGTTCTTTCCTCTTCTGTATTCAGCATCCTTTGATTGAGCTTCACAATGACTGGGAAGAACCCTGATTTGAAAACTCATCTATTGGTTCTTTGTTTTCTTTTTCCTGCTAAGCAATATCAACTGGAGTTTTTCTTTAACTCAAGGTATGTTTTATTATTTATAGGTAAATCCATCTGCAGATGCCAAGACAAATGCTTTGCAAATGGAGATACCATGTTAAGGTGATTCAGTACTGACTGATGCCTCACACACTTTGAATATGGAATAACAGTAATAAAAAAGTCACATAATGTCTAATAAACAGAACGTCAACAAAAAATCCTTTTTGTTACTAGAGACACTAGATTGAGGGACATTCAGGCATTGGAGTGTTTTCCTAGATTTGATGACATTGAAAGGCACAGCCGAACTAGAGTGCTGAACCCCAAATTAGTAGTGATAGTTCCCTTGATTGCAGAAAGAAAACCTTACAGCAGCCAGCCCAAGAAAAGAGAAGGGGTTCTTATGAGGTTTTGCTGCATCTGTCAGGAAGTAGTGCTAACAAATGGACCTTATGGGCCTGGTTGCTGCGAGGATGTGGGAACAATGACCTTTCCTTGACTAATATAAGGTTAGGCAAATCTTGGGTTAGGAATCCACCCCAGGTCTAACCACCTGAGGGTCCCCAGGTGCTGCGCATCACCATGTCCATTCAGAGGAGGGTATAGTCAGAGCTAGCAAGGACCTGTGTCTCTTGTTAAGAATATTCTTTTTATTCTGTTTACCTTACACCACAGCTAATGGACTCAGTAGACTCTAAATGCTCCCTCAATTTGATTAGGGTTGATCTGGTTATTTATAATTGCTGAGAAGCATAACATAGTTTTGTTTTTGCTACAGTTTATTATGCAATATTTGATTTCCTCTAAAAATAGAAGAAAATTGTAATATTCAAAATGACCATATTAGTCAATGGCGGGGACAGAAATCAGAATGCTGCATATTCTGGCCATGTGGACTATGGTTATCCCAATGCTTACTAATACAAGAGAAGGATACAATTATCCATTATTTAGTTATCTCTGATAAATAATAAATATGGAATCTCTGCTAACAGTGACAGAGAAAATATACAAGCTAAGTTGTGTCGTTTTCTTCTTCTCCCTACCACCCCTCCTTTCCCTCCTCCTCTTCCTCCCCCACTCCTTCTTTGGAGACTTTCCCAAAGCAGTGCCCCTCGATTTGGTCTTCTTTATCTCTTCTTATTCCCTGCACACATTTCAAGGCAGGAGTTCCCATCATAGACTGTGAAAAATCTGGGAATTATTGAAATCATGCAAGGTAGGTGTTAGGGACTGAATTATGTCTTCTCAAAATTCATATTTTTATTTATTTATTTATTTATTTTTGAGACAGAGTCTTGCTCTACTGCCCAGGCTGGAGTGCAGTGGCACAATCTTGGCTCATTGCAACCTCTGCCTCCCAGGTTCAAGCGATTCTCCTGCCTCAGCTTCCTGAGTAGCTGGGATTACAGGTGTGTGCCACCACATTGGCTAGTTTTATTTTTTTTGTATTTTTGGTAGACATGGGGTTTCCCCATGTTGGCCAAGCTGGTCTTGAACTCCTGACCTCAAGTGACCCGCCTGCCTTAGCCTCCCAAAGTGCTGGAATTGCAGTCATGAGCCACTGCGCCCAGCCCAAAATTTGTATTTTAAAGCCCTAAGCCCCAATGTAACAGGAGACAGGGACTTTAAAGTGGTGATCAGGGTTAAATGAGGTCATAAGGGTGGGTTCCTAGTCCAGCATGACTGGCAGCCCATAAAAAGAGAGAAAAACACCAGGGATGTGTGCACACAGAGAAAGGCCACGTAGAAGGTGGCCGTCTGCAAGCCAAGGAGAGAGACCACAGGAGAAACCAACCCTATTGGCACCTTGATCTTGGACTTCCAGTCTCTGGAACTGTGAGAAATAAATTTCTGTTGTTTAAGCCTCCTAGACTGTGGCATTTTGTTAAGGGAGCTCTAGCAGGTTAATACAGTAGAAATGGGTATTTTGCAGTTATTTCTAATATTTTGAAAGCATAGGCTATATGTTTTCAAATTATAGGCATATAATTAAACAAGTCAATATTTGTTTTGATAGCTCATATTTCATTATATATTGCATTTCTAAATGGGAAAAGGAATTAATAATGAATAATTTTTAAGAAATGTAGACCAAATAATGAATAATTTTTAAGAAGCATAGAACAAATGTGAAAACCATGTATGTGTACCTCTTGGATGTTTGACTTTAGGGAGCATTTTTCTTTACTTTTTTTTTTTTTTTTTTTTGTAGAGATGGAGTTTTGCTATGTTGCCCAGACTGGTCTCAAACTCCTGGGCTCAAGCAATCTTCCTGCCTCAGCCTCCCAAAGTATTGTGATTACAGGCATGAGCCACTGTGCTCAGCCCAAGGAATGTAATTAACCGAAAGCCCCAAGCTACTGCACGCGGAAGTTCACCACCACGTTCATGCCAAGGCACACTTCCCCTGGCTGTTCCCTGCTATTGACCGAGTGTGGCAGAGATGCTAAGGCAGGCCCATTCTGGGGGATGGGGACTGCTGTGACAGGCAACTGAAGCTCCATAACTATGCATTGATCTTGCTAAAATTTCCCTAGAACTGCATGGCAGTCCAGGTCTCTTGCAAACCTGGCTCGGCCTCCTTTTCTCTCTCCTCACAGGAGTCAGACCTCCATTAAGATCTGACAGCTCTCCCAGCTTCCTCCTGTTTCCTCCCAGTTTTTTCTCACAAGTGGCTTCCCCAATAAGTTTTTTTGCACATTCATTCTGTTTTGGTATCTGCTTTTTGGAGGACCCAATATAACACACCATATTTTTTCAAAACAAAAGATGGTTGAGAGTGGTGATAAAGAGAGGAACTTACTGGGAATGGTAACTCTTCTTTATTATGATCAATTCTCTGAGGTGCCAGTTCCTCCGGAAACGACAAAACTAGATTCTTCTTTGTATCCTTCCCATCCTCTTCCAAACCTCCATCCCCGAAGACAGTAGGGCTCATCTCCCCTTTCCTGTGCTCCCGCAATACCTCTGTCCATAGTAATGATGTGTTTATTCACCTTTCTCTCCCACTACATAGTAAGCTCCTTCGAGGCTGCAACCTTGGCTTTTTTCTTTGAATCACTCATGCCTAGCACAGAGCTACCATGTGAAAATTACTCATTAAATATGAATTAAATGGGCAAATCAACCACTAAGTTAATATATGGTCACTGTCTCAGGAAGTAAGCTAACTGAGGGATTACAGAAGATCATGAAGGATAACCAGGAAAACATGGGTTTCCGAATCTTCCAACAAAAATCTAATGAAGGAAGATTTTGGTGGAGTGGTTTGAAACTGGGGGAGAGGGCAGACTAGTAGAGAGACCTTTCCAACAGCTGTAGATACTGTCTCAGGAACATGCCCTCAAAATGTTAAAAGTCAGCAATGAACACTACAGATGTGACTACTGTTCCCTCTTCACTTCCTCACTCAGTTTCTTAGCCACTTAGGGCTGAGTGGGAGATGCAGAGAAAACGGCTTCGTTCCTTACCTCTGCCTTTTTTAGACTTCGGGGTAAAATGAGTAAAACTTGACATTTTATGTTCCGAACTATTATTCAGTGTCATGGGGGAAAAAGTGCCTGCTATATGGAAATACATTTGCTTGAAAGGGGAAGGGAAACTCACTCAACAAGTGTGCAAAGTTCTTGGCAGCATGCTCTGTACTTCTCGTAGGTTGTCTCATTTACATCTTGTACAACCTTTGATTTTGTTGTCTCCATTTTTATAGATGAGGAAGCTGAAATGCAGAGAGGTTAAGTGGTAGGTCACAAAGATACTAAGTGGAGAAACCAGAATTTGCAAACAGGCCCTCCCTCCTGAATCCCAAGATGATGGTCTTTATCCTACATGGTCTGCCGCTTCATAGCCTAAAAGCTTTTATTTTGAAAACTCTTACCATTGTCAAATTTACAGGCAGATAAAAAATTTTGGTAAGGCCACTGGCAGGTAGAGAAATGCTGGGTGAAAATAGAGGTGGAGAAGGAGAATAATCCAGATTCTAAATAATTCCCTCTAGTAACTACAGGTTGGCTGTAATGAGGTAGAAAAGTGAACGCCCTGGAAGCTGGCCTCCAGGCAAACACATGGTGCTGAGTCACACTAAGAAAGTCACTTCTTCCAAGAGAAGCAGAGAAATGGGGCCATTTAAATATCAGCTGGAAATGGAATTGGGAAAGATCAGAGGAAGCTAGAGAATTCTCAGGCTACTGCCTCTTTGTGTTCAGAACTGAGACTATTAGGAGCAGTTTAAGGAAGAGGGTCTTGCATAGAGGGGGTAAAAATATGAAAAGAATTGGCAGCAACATTTACTGTTAAGGAGATGTTGAAATGCTGCCAGTTAATTTAACAATAGTCTGCCTTAAAAAAAAAATCACATGGGTTTACATAGCCTTCATTTGTATTTGCTAAGCAAAGCTTATCATCACACTCTTTCCTTAATTTTTTATCTTCCTCATACAATGTCCAATGTGGAATTTCATCAGTATTTTCTTTTTTATCCTTGGATGATGGAAGCCTCCAATTTTTTCCCCTTTCCTCTTTACTTTAGAGAGAGGAAGAACACTTAGAATTTGCCCTTGAGATACAATGTCTTCCAAATATTAGCTGAGGGAATAGCAAGGCTCTGAGTTGCCGTGTGCTGTTGTTTGCTGGAATAAATAATCATACAAAGGCCTCGTTCTTTCCTGTCTCTTTCAGCAGAGTTCAAACCAGGGCTATTTACAGGTATCCTCTTAAAACCAATGGAAAGACTCTGAATATCTCAGCTTTTCAATCTTGCTTTTGCTTTTTCTTTTCTATCACCGTGCCCCTTTTTATTTCTTTCTAGGCTCTTGACCTTATTTTTTTATTTTTCCCAAACAATAGGAGCTCTTCTGTGTGTGAGTGAACATGCATATGCTCATGTGTGTATGTGTGCACATTTGTGCATACTTCTGTGTGTGTCTGTGTGTACATGTCTCTCTGTGTGGTATTTCTTTTCTTTAAAAGCAATACTGCCAGGTACAGTGGCTCATGCCTGTAATCCCAGCATTTTGGGAGGCCAAGGTGGGAGGATCACTTGAGGCCTGGAGGTCGAGACCAGCCTGGCCAACATGGCAAAACCCCATCTCTACAAAAAATTGCCAGGCATGGTGGCACAAGCCTCTAATCCCAGCTATTCGGGAGGCTGAAGCATGAGAATTGCTTGAGCCTGGGAGGCGGAGGTTGCAGTGAGCTGAGATGGCGCCACTGCACTCCAGCAGCCTGGATGACAGAGTGGACTTTGTCTCAAAAAAAAAGCAATACTCACTGTACCATCACTGAATTTCCAAGGCTCTGCCTTCCGTAATTATAATTTGCTAGGTGTTGATAGACTAAAAGTCAAATAGAGATCTTAAATACTCACTCCCCAATTCTACTGCCATTTGGAAATTTAAATGTATGAAATGCCTTGAGATGCCTTGAGGAGGTTATGACACTCTGGGCTCAGATTTCTCAAATGTTCACATATGTATCTGCTTTTAAAAACAGGAATTTCTTTTCTTTTTTGAAAGAGTAAGCACCTTACAAATTGGAAGTCATCAGAATTTTGCCTCTCCCTATTCATCATTTGCCGAACACAGATTAAGGCACATTATCAACCTACTCAATTACAATGGAACTCCTATGGAAATTTCTGCTACAACCACATTAATATCTCATTAGTTCATCGTGTTAATGTTATTACAATGGTTATCAAAGGAATTGGCACTGATTGGTACCTAATTTTGAAGGGTTGTTGCCCCGAGCATCATTGGAGAGGGAGGCTCAGGAGTAGTGGAAACCTGCTCTCTGTCATCTTCCTTAAAAAAAAAAAGAAAAAAAGAAAGAAAGGACAAGTGAATATTCCTGGCAAAAACATGCTGCAGAGACTGAGACTCAAGATATAAATCTATTTTGACAGGTGAAGTCATTATTCTTATCAGCTAGGATAGCATTATTCTTTTGTTTTATTGGCAAAGCTAGCAAGAAGACAAAATTTGTCTTTACATAAATGCATTAGAAGGTAATAACAATTAGTTGATATAATTAAATTATTACTAATGGTGATAACATCCCGTCTGTGTCTTTACAATGAACATGTAGCTCTGCTTATTTACATCTTTCCCCAAAGGAGTTCAAATAGATTTACAGAAGAGTTAAACCACTCCTACTTTCCCATTCATTTGCATACATTAAAAGAAATAAGGCATAGAAGTCAATTATGCCATTTTATCAGGAAAATAATGTCTCTGCAGTTTTAAGCCTTTCATTAAGTTGGTAATCCTCCATGTTAGGGCAGTAACATTTGTGCAGCAGTAAGATGGGCAGAACCAAGACTAAGATCCAGGTGCTATGACTTCCGATGGGTGTTAATTTCCATGTCTGCGAGGTCTCCGGCTGGCAGTCCTCCACAGTGATATCAGAGCTGGCCTTGAAGACAGATAGAAAGAAGGTAAAGCCCATTGCTTATGCTGCCTATACTTTTCCCACCTGTTTCCCTACTTTTCCTTTATTTATTTATTTATTGAGTCAGGGTCTCACTCTATCACCCATGCTGGAGTGCAGTGGCACAATCTCGGCTCACTGCAACCTCCGCCTCCCAGGTTCAAGTGATCCTCCCACCTAAGCCTCCCCAGTATCTGGGACTACAGATGCGCACCATCACACCCGGGTACTTTTTTTATTTTTTGGTAGAGACGGGGTTTAACCATGTTGGCCAGGCTAGTCTAGAACTCCTGACCTCAGGTGATCTGCCTGCCTCAGCCTCCCAAAGTGCTGGGATTACAGGCATGAGCCACCGCACCCGGCCACTTTTCCTTTAGATATTCAGAACACTCATGGTCTTTTCTATGAAATTTTGAGGTGGGTTCTCATTGCGGTTTACCTTTTGGTTTGTTTTTATTTTCTTAGCCAAAAAAAAAAAAAAAAAAGCTGAAAGTGAGTTATAGGGAGTAGTTGTTATTGAAGTTTTGCAGAGAAAGCAGACATGGTGAAACAGGCCTCCTGGAGAGTGGAAGAGCAAATTATGTCAGAAAATGTTGACTAGGGCTTGTCTGGCAGTGCCGATGCCCCGTCCGAAATTAGCACAAACATTTAATGAGTGAGCCATCAGTGTGGTTGTGAGGATTTCTCCTTTCGTGTTCAGCTGCTTAAATGCAGACACATAGTTGTACTGGGATCTTGCTGGGTTTGGAGGACAAAAGAAGAAAAGAACAAAAACACCGAAGGTATATGAAAGGGAAACATTACAGTAGGGGATTGTGGAGTCTAACCAGGGTGAGGAGGCAGTGGTAGAAGTATGACAGACAGTGAAAAGTGGAAGAGGCAGTCAATGGGAGATTCCACTGTGGTTGAAGCATATTGGCTCAGAATTGTTGGAGGAATGCCCAAGAAAAACAGAAGATGATGAGCTCAGTGAGACTCTTGACATGGAAATTTTGGAGTCAGTATAGTTGTTGAGAATGACGCTGTCTAGGACATCAACATGAATGGAAAGTAGATTATTGCAACAAGGGCAGGTTAATCTGGTCATTTATTCTGACAATACATGCTTCCAGGTAACTGGGGAATTTTAGAGTAGAGGGGAAACAATAGTTTGGCAGTAGAAATAAGGAGCAAGGGGAAACCTAGCCCATCTTCAACAGTTGTTGAGTGTTGGATGTGAGAATAAAAACAGTCCTTGCTTGAAAGGGCTGCCCTTGAAGTGATACCTGAAAACTCCAGCTAGAACAAGAAGGTGAAGGTAACTTTCAGAGGGAAGGTCACCAGCATAGGGCATTTTGAGTTCTTCAGGGTACAGGGCAAGGTGTTAGGGAGTCATGTGGGGGGGGTGATTGCGTCAGATTAGAGGAGGTGCAAACCCATATGGGGATAGAGTCTACGTGGTAAGAGATGACTCTGGGGAGTGGACTCTTTGTTGAGACTGGGATGGCAGGTATGCAATGTATGATGCATGTAGTCCTGATCACTTTAAGGGGACATGAAAATCAGTTCTTATCATGGCATCCACCGTGGGCATAATCTGCTATATGATGTGAAATGTGAGACTGCAGATACATAGTGGGATGTTGAATGGGAGGATCTTGCCAGAAATACAAAGGGTTCTATGGGTTTTCCTGAAATTGAGTTGTGGGCAATTTATGAGTGGATGGGATAGGAAGTCTTTCCAAAAGATAAAGAGTTCTGTTTAGAAATTTTGAAATAAATGTTGAAAGAAGAATTATAAAAAAAAGTCTAAAATAGTTATTTTAAAATTTTTATAATAAGCCTTTGGGGGCTATTATTTAACTGAAAAACTGCATATTTATTATTTTGTTAAATAAACAAATGATTTTAAAAAATGATGAGTTTCTAGAGAGGATGGGGATTATTTTAAGAGAGAACACTGAATAAAAAGGATATATATAAAGAAGAAATGGCAAAGACTCCTAATTGCTGATCCCAATGTCCATTTACTTCTTCCTCCTTAATAACAGAAC
The DNA here is from genome assembly GCF_000001405.40 of Homo sapiens. Classification (NCBI taxonomy): domain Eukaryota; kingdom Metazoa; phylum Chordata; class Mammalia; order Primates; family Hominidae; genus Homo; species Homo sapiens. The sequence continues at coordinate 81,525,663 of NC_000009.12, read as the reverse complement.
CTCAGTTTTTGGCAGGGCACTGCTACATAAGTGAATAAATAAACAAACAAATAAATGAAAAGATTGCGTTACATAAAGTATTTTCCCAGCCTCCCTTGATGCTAGATGGGACCAAATGTCTAGCTTCTGGCCAATGAGATATAGTGGAAGTTGGACTGACCAATGGTGGGTTAAAAATGGCCAAACATCCTTTGGCAAGTCATTCATCCAGAGATGCAGTCTAACCTCCCTCACCTTGAATCTGGTCAGGTTCTAAGGCTGCATTCTACCTGCTGTGCTGTGAGAAGCCCAAGTTACATGCAAAGGCCATGTGCAGATGCTCAGGTTTAGAGTCCCAGCTGAGCTTCTGGCTGACAGCCAGCTTCATCTCCTAGCCATGTGAGTGATGCATCTTAGATGTACAGCCCAATTGAGCCTTCAGATGACACAGCCCCATCTGACTATAGTGACCCCCAAATGACAATTGTTCAGTTGAACCCAGTCCATCCACACAACTGTGAGGAATAATAATAAATCAAAGCCACTATGTTTTGGTATAGCTTCTGCACAGTAATAGATAACCAGAACAGTGTCTTTGTGGTAATGTTATTATTGTTTTTACCATTTGCTGCCCACCTGTGAAAGAATTATATGTCCATCCCCATAACCATGTGACTTGCAGTGTTTCCCTCTAAGAAGATTCTACTCTGTTTCTCAATTAGTGTAGAGTTTGGTCATATAATTGTCTTTGGTCAATGGAATGTGAAGAACAGGTGACAAATGCCACATACAATCAGAAGCTTTAAGAGAAATTGCATAGATCAGCCATTGTTCTCTTCCCTCTGCCACGAGACTTAAGCCTGCTTCTTTAGTTTAGATCCCTGTGTTAGTTTGCTAAGGCTGTTAGAATACCACAGACTGGGTGGCTTAATCAACAGAAATTTATTTCTCACAATTTCTGGAGGCTACAAGTCAGAGATCACAATGTCTGCAGAGCTGGTTCATTCTGAGAGCCACGAGGGAAGGATCTGTTCCAGGCGTCTCTCCTTGGCTTATAGATGACTGTCTTCTCCTGTCTTCACACTGCACATGTCTGTGTCCTAATTTCCTCTTATAAGGTCACCAGTTATATTGGATTAGGACCCACTCTAATGACATCATTTTGAAATTAATTACCTTTTAAAAGACCCCATCTCCAAATATAGTTATATTCGGAGCTACTACGTATTAGGACATCAATGTATGAATTTTTGGAGTGACAAATTTAGCCCATAACAATTCCCAAATGGGAGAAAATGTGGAATAGAGTTTCAGCCAACCCACAGACAACTTGTGAAGAGAGTGAGAAAAATATGTTGTAAGCCTCTGTTATTTTGGACTTTGTTGCCACAGCATAACCTAGCATAAGATAACCAATGCAGTCCTTTAAAGGGAAGAACACATTCTTCTGCACCTCTTTCTCCTTCGTGCTGCTTGGGATATGGACAACCTTGACACTCTTAGCCAGTTGGACCATGAGGTTTATGCTAAAGATTGCTGACTATGATGACTATGAAACTGCCACACCTACCATGGGTGAGCTACCTCTGGACTTTTTCTGGGACAAAGAAACTTCTATCTAATTTAATATAGGAAAGAAAATGATGACAATGCTTCCTTAATTAGAACTGTGCTTCAAGGAGCTCCGACTGGGCAAAGGGAAAGAGAGAACCCCAAACAGGTAAAGAAATTGTAAAGAGAGGGTAAAGCACACCCCCGTGTTGTAAATGCATATTTTTCTATAAATGATATTTCCACTTTTTTTTTTGAGACAGAGTTCTGCTCTTGTTGCCTGGGCTGGAGTGCAATGGCACGATCTCGGCTCACCGCAACCTCTGCCTCCCGGGTTCAAGCAATTCTCCTGTCTCAGCCTCCCGAGTAGCTGGGATTACAGGCATGCGCCACCACACCTGGCTAATTTTGTATTTTTAGTAGAGACGCGGTTTCTCCATGTTGGTCAGGCTGGTCTCAAACTCCCGACCTCAGGTGATCCGCCCGCCTCGGCCTCCCAAAGTGCTGGGATTACAGGCGTGAGCCACCGCACCCGGCCGATATTTCCACATCTTAAAAAAAATCTTGTAAATGAGATTGGTGAGTAATCTCAGCAAACATGGAGTATGTTAAAAGATCAGATATGGGTAAATGCCATTTTACCTACCATTCCAGTTTTCAAAAGGAGGAAGGGAGATTCTGCAAACTGTTGAACTGTGAGCTTTATTTCCGGGAGTTCCAAGAAGAGGAATTGGTTGGGTCATCATTACAGTAACCTCATTTCCTTCTTTGACAGATATATTGGACTATGGAGCCAGGGGAAATGCAGCAGTGTGTACTTTTGAACCAAAGCAAGTCATTTGAAAGGGCTTTCAAAATGTCTTCATAGATCAATTAGAAAACTATCCGTTTATAGATCAAAAAGGTGTACGAAGAGTAGTTTCTGTTGGACAACCAGAACGTAGTTTCTATCTCTATCTACTGTCATGGTGTCAGCTTCAACGTAAGGATTGGCTCCCTCTTGTGGTTAAGAGATGGCTTCATTGCTACTTGTTTCAAATATGGAGAGAGGATTCCTTCTGGATCTTCCTTCTCTGTGGTCAAAAAGCTTCAGTCCCAGATTGTGACAAAAGAAAGTCCCCAAAAGACAAACAAAAAAACCTTTTTCTCATATTTAATTGACTTGCAATTGAATCAGGAGTCCATCCCTGAACCAATTATTCTGCCCAGGGAGAGGAATGCTCTGCTTACCTTGGGGCTGACTAGCTAGGGGCGGAGCTTGGCTTTCCCCAAAACACATTGACTTCATGGGCTGGGAGGGTGTGCTTACGTATGGATGTGGATGTCTAAAGAGAGCTGACGAGTTAACAAAACAGGGAGTGGATTTTTTTGGTGGCCAAATATAATATTCACTGTTCTTGGAAGATTTTGAGACTGAGATTCTTTAATGATATAATGCAGAAGTTTAAATTTTGATGAGCTCATGATAGATTTATCAGGATTCCATTAACCACAAAATATCCTCCAGTTAATCAGATGAGTGAACCCAAGGGGCCGAATTGTTTATCATTATTTATCTTGTGGCAGAGACATGTGGGCCAAAAATGGACTTTGGCTTAATTATAATCAAAGTTAACACTCTACTACCTAATTATAGTGGACAAATATGTTTATCTTCTTTAGAACATTAGAGAAGGAGTATGTTCTCAGAATGGATAAGAACGACAGTCATTCTTTTTTTAATTACAGGAGAGCCCATATCTAGTTTATCTGAAGATTTGTTTCAAGTTGCGGGCAGGACATGGTGGCTCATACCTGTAATCCCAGCACTTTGGGAGGCCAAGGTGTGAGGACTGCTTGAGTTCAAGGGTTCAAGATCAGCCTGAGCAACACAGTGAGTCCTCATCTATGCTAAAAGTCAAAAGAATTAGCCAGGAGTGGTGGAGTGTGTCTGTAGTTCCAGCTGCTCAGGAGGCTGAGGCCATAGTATCACTTGACCCCAGGATATTGAGGTTGCAGCAAGCTATGATTGCTCCTTTGCTCTCCAGCCTGGGTGAAGAGTGAGACTCCGTCTCTAAATAAATAAATAGGCCAGGTGTGGTGACTCATGCCTGTAATCCCAGCACTCTGGGAGGCCGAGGTGGGTGGATCACTTGAGGTCAAGAGTTCGAGACCAGATTGGCTAACATAGGTAAAACTGAAAATACAAAAATTATTATTATTATTATTATTATTTTATTTTCTCTACTGAAAATACAAAAACTAGCCAGGCATGGTGGTGCGTGCCTATAATCCCAGCTACTTGGGAGGCTGAGGCAGGAAAATTGGCTGAGCCTGAGAGGTAGAAGTTGCAGTGAGTGGAGATTGTGCCACTGCACTCCAGCCTAGGAGACAGAGTGAGAACCTGTATCAAATAAAATTAGATAAAATGAATAAGTAAATAAATCAAAAAAGATTTGTATTAAATTGTGCTGGTATAAATTAAAAAGGAATTTGCTAGAATGCAGTCCTTTTTAAAATGCCATCTGAAATAGTAGTTTGGAATACTTAAACTTCAGTGTTATCCTCAGGGTGATATTCTTAAAAAGTCTCTCAAAAGATCCTTAAGCGTCTTGGATCATTTTATTGAGATCAGACAGATTTTACTTAAAAATGCTTAGAGTTATTCAATAGCTGTTGCTGTTTTTAATGAGATCCTCTGTTCATTGATGCAGAGTGTATCAAGGGTCAATGGTAAAAAGTTCATCTGAAACTACTTTGTTCCTTATGCTGACTATCTAATTGAGAAATCAATGTGTACAATGTATTGAAGAAAAAGAGACCACAGAGTTTAGGTTGATATTTGGTGAAATGACAGATCTGTAATTTTGGGGATGTTGAGAGAAGTCCTTGTAGATAAATCATCCTTTAGGGTGTGTTGCACGAGATCTAAACCTAAGAACTTAAAGAAGTTTTGAAAACCCTGTCATTCACAGGGTTTAATGAGTTCCATCAGCAGAAGATTGTCCCTGGGGGCTTTTATCACCTGAAAATGGTTAAATATTCTACAGCTCCTTATTACTCAAAACCTGTGGTCCACGAGCTAGCAATATCATTACCACGGGAAGCTTGTTAGACTTGCAGAACCTCACCTCCATCCCTGGCCTGCTGGTTGGAATCTGCCTTTTTACAAGATGCCCAGAGGACTCATGTGCCTGTTAAAGTTTGATCCTGGATTATTAAAGCTCAGTCAGGGAGATTTCCACAGTCCACAGAGCATTGTGAAGTGTGGGTGGGGGCAAACAAATTCATGTTTCTTCCGGTCCTCTTAAAGATAGTCCTTCAGCTTTCTCACGGAATTTTCATTTCCATTAACTGTAATGGCTACTCATGATGTTTCCTCTTAAAATCTGTACTACTTTCTTCTTTTTTTTTTTTTTCAAATTAGCTGTCTCCAGAACAAAGCCTTTGGATTGGAGCAACCTCAGTTTGAAATCTGGATCTGCAACTTCCTGGAAGTATGACTTTGGTCAAGTTACTTCAACTGTTGAAGCACAGTTTTTTTTATTTCTAGAATGGGTTAATATTGATCTTATACTATTGAGAGAATGAGTTGAGATGATATGGGAAAGCATGTAGCCCAGTGCCTGCCAAATATAAAAAAAAAAATCACTGAGTATTAGTTCCCTTTCTCCTTGCTAGAACATGCAGTCAATTGAAACAGAGTTATCTACTACAAATGATGCAGAAACTACAGAAAGTTTTCCCCTGCATAGCAAAATCCCAGTGTGGCTCCCATAAAACAGATTTGAAGCAGCTCTACTTGCCAAGTAAGTGACTTGCAAAATGATATTTAAATAATTAAGTAGAATTGAATTGTTTAGTGTGGTCCATCTGGACGCCAAATTGCACCCGCCAAAATGATAATTTGGATTTTAACATAATTGATACTTTACTGTTCTTCCTGAGTCTGATTTGTCAACAAGCTTTGCTACTTCTTTGCTACTTAGCTTTTTACTCTGTGGCTGCTTCTGAGTTCTGATAAAAGGTTTACATCTTGCTAAGTTTCCTTGACTTTTTTGTAATTTTTGTCCCTGGAGGAGCCAGAGTGGTGCATTTCCTGGTTCTCAGATATATGGCTAAGTGGGTCTTGATGAGTCATTGAGCAATTGGCTGAGAAACTGCACCTGAAAGATAGCCTGGGCTGAAAGCTATAACCATCATTAGCTCTTTACAGTTAAACTGTGACTCTATCTTGAATTCCATGATCACTCTATCCCAGGATAGATGGATTGTGAAATGACACTGATATGGTTTGGCTCTGTGTCCCCACCCAAATCTCATCTCAAACTGTAATCCCCACGTGTTGAGGGAGGTAGGTAGGTAATTGGATCATGGGGGCGGTTTCCCCCATGCTATTCTTGTGATAGTGAGTGAGTTCTCACGAGATCTGATGGTTTTATAAGCTTCTGGCATTTCCCTGGCTTGCACTTCTCTCTCCAGCTGCCTTGTAAGGAAGGTGTCTGCTTCACTTTCGCCTTCCACCATCACTAAGTTTCCTGAGGCCTCCCCAGCCATGCAGAACTGTGAGTTAATTAAACCTCTTTCCTTTATAAATTACTCAGTCTCAGGCATTTCTTTATAGTACTGTGAAAATGGATGAATACAGACAGCCGACTGCATGGCAGCACTTCACACATGGAGGGGGGCCTTGAGGGCCGTGCACAGGCAAGTCCATGTGACTGAAGATGAGGTGTCCATTCCTGGGTTCTTGATGTGAACTGCAGGTCTCCACAATTCCTTCCTCCCAGAGAACTTCATGAAGTAGGTTCTCAAGATATTATCATTTATTTATAGATGCTTTTTAAAATTCAAAATATAATAAACCATACAAGGGAACATAACAAACACCTGTATTCCCACCACCCAGAACTGTTAGTATCCCATTTAACCCTCATTTCTTGTCCCATTTTTTTCCCCAATACCTCCAAAGGCAAACACCATCAAGTTTGGTGTGTGTCATATATACCTTTATTAAAAAAAAAAACCCTGTCCTGGTGCCGGGCGCGGTGGCTCAAGCCTGTAATCCCAGCACTTTGGGAGGCCGAGGCAGGCAGATCACGAGGTCAGGAGCTCGAGACCATCCTGGCTAACACGGTGAAAGCCCGCCTCTACTAAAAATACAAAAAATTAGCTGGGCGTGGTGGTGGGCGCCTGCAGTCCCAGCTAATTGGGAGGCTGAGGCAGGAGAATGGCGTGAACCTGGGAGGCGCAGTGTGCAGTGAGCCGAGATCGTGCCACTGCACTCCAGCCTGGGCGACAGAGCAAGACTCCGTCTCAAAAAAACAAACAAAAAACTCTATCCTGTCTAGCTATCTATCTTTATCTCTCTCTCTCTATCTATATTTAATATGTAGTAGTATTTTGTGAGTGCTTTTTAAAATTTACATAAATGGCATCAAATTGCATCATTTATCACCTCCCTCCCTTCAACATTATGATTTTATGATCTAGCCATGTTGACAGAGCCAGTTAATTTCTTGTAATATAGACCCAATCAATTTCATTTAACGGTAGAACTTTGAATCTTGGAAACAGACCACACTTCTCTCTTTTTAGGATTTATGAGTTGTGGCTAATATCTAGACACCATCAATAGATCTATGCCATGCGCCGGCATTTATGTTCCCACCCTAATGGTTTGCTTATTTAACTAATGTCTGCTGTTTCATTAGATTAGCATATTAATTAAAACAGTACTTATCCGTCCTGGTAAAGTGATGACTTGTATGGTTTATTCTTTTGTTCATAAAGTTAAGAGGTGATGTTTGTGCTCTTTGGTGAGCTCAGACACCCCAAATAAAGGTCAACATATTAAACAACCCATTTGGTAAAAACAGGAGTAGTCCACTTAAGTATCCTCTTCTAATTTGTTGGCTATTGTTAGACCCAGACCAATGAATAGATTGCTTCCATGTTTAGACAGGTCTCGGCTTAACCCAGCATTCACAGCTTGCCTTTCTGTTTGGCAGCTGGGGTGAGAAGTTTCTGTGGCTTCTGTCTGTCAAAGAAAAATGTGTTTACCCTTATTAACAAAGTCAACAGAGTAATGACACTAAGGTCTTTGAGGTCATCTTCGTGCCACACTGAATGGAGTAGTTATTTTAGTGGGAACATTATCCCCCATATAAACTATATTTTCCAGGTGCCTCAGAACTCTATCTTCTGACACCCTTTATTAGGGATTTTTTCCAAATTGTCAAATAAAAATGTCGCTATGCAAAGTTGTACATTGAAGTGAAATATACTACAAAGAAGTCAATAGCCCTGGAAGTTGAGTTAAGTTCTAATTTCAGGGAGAATGAACATGTAAGCAGGACTAAGTGTGTGTGTGTATGTGTGTGTGTGTATGTGTGTGTGTGTGTCTGCATGGGCACACAAGGGCCATATTTTTGGATTGTGGTGTAAACAAGCACATTTTAAATGAGCTTTGTGCTGACTACCCTCTCTGATCATTGATGTTTTACTTTTCATTCCAATTAGATATTTCTCCCTACTCCTCCATGGTAATCTTTCTGGTTAAAGTCACCAGTGACTACGCATTGTCAAATTCTGTAGCTAATTCTCAATCTTTGTCTTACTCTAGCCCTTAGAATGTTTGACACAATTGATCACTCCCTCTTTGAAACACTTTCTTCATCAGGCTTCTAGGGACAACATTTGTTTCCTGTTGTTTATCCATTCTTTTTCTGTCTCTTGTGTGAGGTGTCCTTTATCTTCCAGACTCCTTAATGTCAGTGTAACCAAGGGGTCAGCCCTCCCATTTCTTTACTTTTTAAAAACATACAAAAAGATGTGATCACATCTGGTCCATACCCATGAGGTAATGATTCCCAGATTTATATCTAGTCCAAATCTCTTCCTTGACTTTTCAACTCTTATGTCCAATTTGCCTCTTGGGCAACTCCACCTTAAAAACTGTAAAACTGAAGACTTCAGTTCCATACCCCAAATCTTTGTGACCTCAGTATTCCCCATTTTAATAAATGGGACCTCCATCTATCTAATTGTTCAGGCCACAAACTTTGAGTCCTTTGCTCACCTTCATAATCTGTACCCATTCTATCAGTGTATCTGTTGTGTTTAGCCTTAAAAATATATCCAGACTGTGACCCTTTCTTAACATCTCCACTGCTACCACTCTAGTCCAAGTTGCTGTAGTCTCTGCATGGACTATGTCAATTGCCTCAAGTAGCTTGTCTTTTCCCACTCTTGTCATGTTACAGATTAGTCGCTGACCAGTAGTTAGAATGATTCTTTCAAAACATAAATCTGATCATGTCATTTTGTCACTTTAATCCTTAAATGGCTTCCCATCGCACTTGGAATGAAAGAGAAAGCCCTTCTAGTAACCTTCCACATCCTATAAGATCTGATCTTTCTTAAAGCCTTTGTACTCACTGTTTTCTCAGCCTGGAGTATTGGTTGAGACATTTTCATGATTTGCTTTCTCACTTCACTCGGATTTCTGCACAAATGCCACTTCATTAATGAAGCCTTTTCCGACTACCTTATCTAAATCTTTCCTCTACTCTTTCCCCCTTAACTTGCTTTATTTTTTCCCTTTATTTGTGTAGTGTCTATTTTCTTCAACTAGAACCTAAGGTCTTAGTGAGCAGGGACTCTGTTCAATTCACTACGTATACCCAGATCTAGAAGAATCCCTGGCACATGCATTTGGTGAAGTGAGGAATAATGGATTCTATGTCATTCTTCCCCCCATTTACATTTTCATTGTAGTTGTAGTTATTGAAAAAGTGTCACTTTAAAGAGTGTTGTCAGGAGGGCATCTGGTTCCCTTGTGATTATCCCCATCCTGTTCTGATCTGTTACACATTTTCACAGATATTAAGAAATTTGCTCAAGAAGCATGAATACTTCTGCAAACATTTTGTAGACAATGGTACCTCATGTACTGCTCAGGTTCCCATCTTTATTCTAAACATTTTCTTCAGCTTTAATAAATTGTGACTGAGAATGACATAAAATCAGCAGAAATGTTATATGTAGATTACTTTGCTTGTTTAGAACAATAGGAGATGAGGAGAGACTGTCTAAATTAATAACTTTTAGTCTTGCATATGCACATATATGAATATGTAGCTTTAAGTATATATATTTTTCTTTTTTTTTTTTTTTTTGAGACAGAGTCTCGTGGCTCACTGCAGCCTCCACTTCTTGGGTTCAAGCGATTCTCCTGCCTCAGTCTCTCAAGTAGTTGGGACTATAGGCACATGTCACCATGCCCAGCTAATTTTTGTATTTTTAGTAGAGACGGGGTTTCACCATGTTTGCCAGGCTGGTCTTGAACTCCTGGCCTCAAGTGATCCATCTGACTCGGCTTCCCAGAGTGTTGGGATTACAGGTGTGAGCCACCATGCTGCCCCTTAAGTATATATTTCTTGGTGCAAATATCTACTAAAATTTGCCAAGTAAAAATTCTGTTGAATTTGCTTAAGATTATAAATGTAACATTGATAATTATTATAATAACTGTATGCAAATGAGCCTCAAAATTTTTAGCATGATTGGAGACAAGTGAATTTCTTTAGTAAATAGTTGTTTGTCTTCTACTTGGTATGCAGTAAAAGGGGTAAACATCGGCCTTGTATGATTTTTTTTTTTTTTTTTTTTGAGACAGAGTCTTGCTCTGCCTCCCAGGTTGGAGTGCAGTGGCGCAATCTCGGCTCACTGCAACCTCTGCCTCCCAGGTTCAAGTGATTCTCCTGCCTCAGCCTCCTGAGTAGCTGGGATTACAGGTGCATGCCAGCATGCCCGGCTAATTTTTGTATTTTTAGTAGAGATGGGGTTTCACCATGTTGGCCAGGATGTTCTTGAACTCCTGATCCCAGATGATCCACCCGCCTCGGCCTCCCAAAGTGTTGGGATTGCAGGCGTGAGCCACCGTGCCCGGCAGGCCTTGTATGATTAAATCACTGCAAATGTTGAGTTAAAATTTTCTAAACTGAGGAAGTGTTCCTGTGATTTTAAGAGTTAAAAGGGGCCGGGCGCGGTGGCTCACGCCTGTAATCCCAGCACTTTGGGAGGCCGAGACGGGCAGATCACGAGATCAGGAGATTGAGACCATCCTGGCTAACATGGTGAAACCCCATCTCTACTAAAAATACAAAAAATTAGCTAGACGTGGTGGTTGGTGCCTGTAATCCCAGCTAGTCGGGAGGCTGAGGCAGGAGAATGGTGTGAACCCGGGAGGCGGAGCTGGCAGTGAGCCGAGACTGCGCCACTGTACTCCAGGCTGGGCGACAGAGCAAGACTCAGTCTCAAAAAAAAAAAAAAAAAAAAAAAAAGAGTTAAAAGGAAGAGCTGAGACTCCGGTTTTCTTGGTTTAAATGTGAGGAGGGTCTTTTGGTGACTTAATCTTGACCCTTGTGAGGGTTTCTATTTCCTCAGAGAAGCCACAGAAAACAATGTAATCCCCTAAATTGGGAAGGGCATTACTTACTTCTGACACTTCAGGTAACTCCAGAGTGACCCATTTTCTTGCTCACCCTGGTGGTTCTAGAAACTGTGGCGGAGAAAGATGGCCTAGTAAGAGATCAGTTGGGCTAATTTGAAGTTGAAAAGAATCCCCTCCCCACTTTCTAAACTATCTCTTGTCTTACTGAATTATCCCTTGGAAACAAAGGAAGAATGGCAAAATGTTAAATGCAATAATCATGCAAGCAAAAATATTGTCCAGTATCAAATTAGATAAACTGACAGTGCATATCCTGAGAGTACCTCAAGAAACTTCTCCGTCATGACCACTGGGGAAGTGAGTTAAGTGGATTTAGATAATGCTTTTTGTTCTGGCTGAAAGTATTCTCCCTGAATTTTCTTCCTTGAATCCCTTCTCCTCCCTTTCAAGTCTCTAGTGTCATTGATTCTCTTCCAACAAGAGTACCTAAGTATGACATCAAAAGAGCTAGCATGCCAAAATGGTGCCATATTTATTTTCTGGGGTGACCTTCTTGTAGGCTTCTAGTTATTAAGTTAGGGGCCTGAGGGTGGGCCTGGTGACTGGGTGGTAAAGTGCTTTGATGGGTAAAAGTGCAAGCCCACAATAATGCTTTTGTCTGAAAACAAATCTTTGTATCATGTGTAAAACAGAACAATTCCTGCTTTCATAACTTTTTATGATAAGCCAATTGTCATGTTAACACATTACCTTAAAAAATTGTTGAAAAGGCCTACACCCAACTAGGTAGTCAGTAATGATAGGGTGAGAAACATATCCAGTCGTATTACAGAAAAAAAGATGAATATTGACATTGGATACTAGGCTCAACAAGAAAGGCAGAAGAGCGCATAGATTCAGCAAAGGGCAAAAATTTCATGCTCAAGAACAAAGTGATGTTTGTGCTCAGCTGCTGAAAACAGAAGGATCCAACTCTGAGTTCCATAAAACCAAACTGGATTCCTTCCTTCCTTATTTTATACACACATTTCTCTATTCTGTACAAACTCTTCTGAACCTTGCTTTTAAACTTATCAGTATATTTTGGAGATTGTTTCATAATATTACATATAGAGCTACCTTAGCATTTTCAATAGTGCCATAATATTTTGTTATTTTGTTGTATTGTAATGGTTTAAAATGATGTCTATTATTGAATATTTTAATTACTTCCAATACACAAATATGGTCTTTTTTGGGAGGAATGCTCTACATAAATTTCATGTACGTACATCTTTGTGTGCATCTGTAAGTGTATTTGAAGCATAATTTCCTGAAAGTGCAATTGCTGGGTCAAGAGTATGTGAATAATTTGAAAAGACACTGCCAAATTGTCATTCATTAAGAACATGCCAGTTCACACTTCCACTTACAATAAGCAGGAGTGGCTGTTTCCTCATTCTTTTTGTCAACATGGGATGTTACCAAATGTGTTGATCTTTGCCAATGTGCTAGTTAAACCACAGAATCTCGTTATAAGTCTATTTGTATTTCTCTTATTATTAATGATGTTTAACATCTTTTGAAATGTTTAAAGGTCATTTTTAGTTTCTTCTCTTTGAACTGTCTTTTCATATCTTTTGTTAATTTGTGCTTTTTCCCATTAAACAATTAGATGAGTTAATGGTTTATCTATTTGATTTGTTTTTTTCAAGAAACCAAATTGTGAATTTAATTATTAGTAGTGCCACTTTTTTTCCTGATTTCTAAGTCATTGCTGTTTTCATCTGCTTCACTAGTTGTGTGTGTGTGTGTGTGTGTGTGTGTGTTAACATTAAATGAAACAAGACTGGCAAAATGATGAAAATAGCTGACAGTGGATTAATGAGTACATAAGAGTTCATTATAATGTCTTTTATACTTTTATGTTTGTTAGAAAAATTTTAGAATAAATGAATACTCTCCTTAAGCTTTGTGCAAATTAATTTGAAAGCTTTACACAGTAAATGGTTTTCTTGAAAAGATACAACTTAATAGAACGACTCTTGTATTCCTTTCTTGGTCTCTTCATCCCCCCACCACACCCCGAAATGGTCCCAGGCTGGAGTGCAGTGGCACCACCTTGGCTCATTGCAACCTCTGCCTCCCAGGTTCAAGTCATTCTCATGCCTCAGCTTCCTGAGTAGCTGGGATTACTGGCGTGCGCCACCACACCCAGCTAATTTTTATTATTTTTACTAGAGATGGGGTTTTGCCATGTTGACCAGGCTGGTCTAGAGATGAACTCCTGACCTCAGGTGATCTGCCTGACTCGACCTCCCAAAGTGCTGGGATTATAGGTGTGAGCCACTGTGCCTGGCCTCCTGCCCTCTTTTTAAAAAATATATATTTACTGACATTATTTAAAAAAGTGAACTTCTAATTCAAAATTTTACATTTACAGAAAAGTTACAAAGATAGTAGAGAAGTTCCTTATTCACTTATATCTTTATACCCCTTATCCACTTTCCTCACTGTTTACATTACCAGGGTACATTTGTCAAAGCTAAGAAACCCATATGGGCACATTACTATTAATTAAATAGCAGACTTTATTTTTATTTAAAAAATATTTTTTTTTGAGACAGGGTCTGGCTTTGTTGCCCAGGCTGGAGTGCAGTGGTACAATCTCAGCTCACTGCAACCTCCGCCTCCTGGGCTCAAGTGGTCCCCTCACCTCAGCCTTCTGAGTAGCTGGGACTACAGGTGTGCACTACAATGCTGGGCTAATTTTTTGTATTTTTTGTAGAGATGGGGTCTTGCTATGTTGTCCATTCTGGTCTGGAATGCCTGGGCTCAAGCAATCCACCTGTCTTGGTCTCCCAAAATGCTGGGATTATAGACATGAGCCACCGTGCCTGGCCAGCAGACTTTATTTGGATTTCACTAATTTTCCATTAATGTCCTCTTTTTGTTCCAGGACCCAACCAAAAGGGTCATGCTGTATATAGTTGTCATATTCCCCTGGTCTGTGACATTTTCTCAATCTTTCCTTGTTTTTCATGATCTTGACAGTCTTGAGGAGTACTGGACAGATATTCTGTAGAATGTTCCCCAATCTGGGTTTGTCTGGTGTTTTTCTCATGATTAGACTGAAGTTATGAGATTTTAGAAAGAAGACCACAGTGCCCTACTGATCATATTTTATCAAGGCATACATAATATTCTCATGGCATCACTGAGGATGTTAACTTTGATTATTTGAATAAGGTAGTATTGGCTGGGTGCAGTGGCTCACGTCTGTAATCCCAGCACTTTGGGAGGCCGAAGCGGGTGGATCACTGGAGGTCAGGAGTTCAAGACCAGCCTGGCTAACATGGTGAAACCCTGTCTCTATTAAAAAAAAAATATATATATATATATATATATATATATATATATATATATATATATATATATATATATATATATATATATATATATATATATATAATTAGCTGGGCATGGTGGCAGGCACCTGTAATCTCAGCTACTCAGGAGGCTGTGGCAGGAGAATTGCTTGAACCCCAGAGGCGGAGGTTGCAGTGAGCCGAGACCGTGCCATTGCACTCCAGCCTGCACAACAGAGTGAGACTCTCTCTAAAAAAAGAAAATGAAAAACAGAATAAGGTACACTTTTTTCCCTTTTCCTATTCTATTCTTTGGAAGTGAATCATTAAGTCAAGCTTACCCTTACAGAGTGCTGGAGGTAGAAATTAAGCCCCAGTTCCTCGCTTTATATACCCTCTCCAGTAAGAAGTCTCTACACATATTATTTGGTGTATTTCTGTAAGAAAGATTTGCACTTTATCTATTATCTATCTATCTATCTATGTATCAGTCATCTTTTCAATCATTTATTTTCGAGTGGACTCATGGATATGTATTCATTTAATACTTTGAGTTATAATAATCTAATACTACGTTATTTACTGTATTGTCCAAATTGTTCCAGCTCTGGCCATTGGAAGCTCTTTCAGGTTGGTTCCTGTGTCCTTTTGACATGACCCCATCTGTTCTTTGTGTGTTTCTTACATTCTGATACTATAAGATGTGGCAGCCTCATTTTCCTTACCCTATGTGTAGACTTAGCCATTTTTTCAAGAGTCATTTGTTTTTCTTTCTTTCTTTTTTTTTTTTGAGAGGGAGTCTCACTCTGCCGCCCAGGCTGGAGTGCAGTGGCGCGATCTCAGCTCACTGCAAGCTCTGCCTCCCGGGTTCACGCCATTCTCCTGCCTCAGCCTCCCGAGTAGCTGAGACTACAGGGGCCCGCCACCATGCCCGGCTAATTTTTTTTTTCTTTTTTTTTTTTTTTTTTTTTGTATTTTTAGTAGAGACGGGTTTTCACCGTGTTAGCCAGGATGGTCTCAATCTCCTGACCTCGTGATCCTCCCGTCTCGGCCTCCCAAAGTGCAGGGATTATAGATAGGCATGAGCCATGGTCCCTTGCTCGAGTGATTTCCTTTTATTGGAGAATTAGAAACCAAGATCGTCCTGCCGCCTTTTTGTTCGGTTATTTTTTTATCATTCTATTTTCTCCTTTATTAGGTTGAAATTAAATACTCTCTTTTTGTCTTTTCTTAGTGGCTAGGCCAGAAATGGCTACATATACCTTTGACTTGTCCAAGTCTAATGTCTGTAATGTCTTCAGTTTTGTTTATTTTTCCATTATTTGAAATGTATTCGAATAGGCTTTCTAATATCCCCAGCTCCCGCTTCCATTGCAGCATGTCCTGTTCAGACAGACTTGCTGTCTGAGGTTTCCTAGCATTGCTTCCTCCCTGACTCTGATGTGGACCTCTTCTTGCATTGGCTCTAAGGTCTCTGTTCCACTCACTTGTGATTCCATTTCCATGAAGTCCTTCTCAGGGCAGGATCCTTTCCTAGAAGGGAGCTTGCCTGGCAGCTCCCAGGGCTTATGTGGCCCAGGCTGCTCCAGCACCTTGAGACCTCACACTGGCCCTCGCACTCACCTGCTATTTGCTTGGGCTGAAACTCCTCCTCGTTTTTGCTGCTCTTCCAGGGTGTACCAGCTGGCTTTCCAGTGAATACTGTGCTCCTGTTCTCAGAGCTTCAGATGCTCTTTTAGCCAAGTTTTGTGGCTATTGGTCATTTGTCCCCACTTATTTATATTTTGGTATTCATGGTTTGTTGTAATTGTTGTTCTTGCATGTTTGGCTTATCATATATTTCCTTTGTTTGCTTTTATGTGAAGATTGTGAGACCTAAAAACTGTGCTGCCCCTTCTGCTTCAATCATCTCAATCCCTTTACGAGTTTTATTTTTATTTTTATTTTTTTTGAGACGGAGTCTCACTCTTTCACCCACACCTTACTGCAGTGGCGCGATCTCGGCTCACTGCAAGCTCCGCCTCCCGGGTTCACGCCATTCTCCTTCCTCAGCTTTCCTAGTAGCTGGGACTACAGGCGCCTGCAACCGCGCCCAGCTAATTTTTTGTATTTTTAGTAGAGATGGTGTTTCACCGTGTTAGCCAGGGTGGTCTCGAGCTCCTGACCTCGTGATCCGCCTGTCTCGGCCTCCCAAAGTGCTGGGATTACAGGAGTGAACCACTGCGCCTGGCCCCTTCACGCGTTTTAATGATGCTATATTTGCCTAGATATATGCCTAATGGATCTTTGCTTTTTAATACTATGAGTTCATTTTTAAAAACTACTGGAATGTATTACCTCTTCCTTTCCTCTTTTCTTCCTTCTTCCCACCTCCTCCCCCTTTCATTTTCAAGGTTTGCTTTTGCCACGTTGAAATCAGTCTACATTAGAGGTAGACCTTGCATAGCATTAATAGTTGGGTTTTGTCTTTGTTATGTGAGTAAATTTTGAATATATGGCATCATTCCATTCACAATTTCTAATGACAGATTTTTGGGGATTTATTGCTGCTGGCACCATGTTATATGTTATTGTGTCCGGAATTGGTGGGTTCTTGGTCTCGCTGACTTCAAGAATGAAGCCACAGACCTTCGCGGTGAGTGTTACAGTTCTTCAAGATGGATGTCCGGAGTTTGTTCCTTCAGATGTTCAGACGTGCCCAGAGTTTCCTCCTTCTGGTGGGTTCGTGGTCTTGCTGGCTTCAAGAGTAAAGCTGCAGACCTTTGGGGTTAAGTGTTACAGCTCTTAAAGGTGCTGCGTGTGGAGTTGTTTGTTTCTTCCATCTGGAGTTGTTCGTCCCTCCCGGTGGGTTCGTGGTCTCGCTGGCTTCAGAAGTGAAGCTGCAGACCTTCAAGGTGAGTGTTATAGCTCACAAAGGTGGCACAGACCAAAACACGGAGCAGCAGCGAGATTTATTGGGAAGAGTGAAAGAACAAAGCTACCACAGTTGCAACCGTACCCTACCAGGTTGCGACTGCTAGCGCCTGCTTTTATTCCCTTATCTGACCCCACCCACATTCTGCTGATTGGTCCATTTTACAGAGAGCTGATTGGCCCATTTTACAGACAGCAGATTGGCCCATTGTACAGGGTGCTGATTGGTGTGTTTAGGAACCTTGAGCTAGACACAAAAGTTCTCCAAGTCCTCAGTAGATTAGCTAGACACAGAGCACTGATTGGTAGGTACACAAACCTTGAGCTAGACACAGGGTGCTAATTGGTGCGTTTACAAACCTTGAGCTAGGCACAGAGTGCTGACTGGTGTATTTACAAACCTTGAGTTAGACACAAAGTGCTGATTGGTGTATTTACAATCCTCCAGCTAGACATAAAAGTTCTCCAAGTCCCCACCAGATTAGCTAGATACAGAGTGCTGATTGGTGCATCCACAAACCCCGACTTAGATACAGAGTGCTGATTGGTGCATATACAATCCTCCAGCTAGACATAAAAGTTCTCCAAGTCCTCACCGGACTCAAAAGCCCAGCTGGCTTCACCTAGTGGGTCCTGTGCCAGGGCGGCGGGTGGAGCTGCTCGCCAGTCCCGCCGTCACGCCCCTGTACTCCTCAGCCTTTGGGTGGTCAATGGGACTGGGGGCCGTAGAGCAGGGGATGGCGCCAGTTGGGGAGGGTTGTGCCCCGTGGGAGCCCACTGGGGGAGGGGGGGCTTGGTCATGTTGTGCATGTTCAGAGCCCTGCCCCGCGGGGAGGTGGCTGAGGCCCAGTGAGAATTCGAGTGGGGTGTGGGCAGGCCAGCAGTGCTGGGGGACCTGGCGCACCCTCCGCAGCTGCTGGCCGGGTGCTAAGCCCCTCACTGCCTGGGGCCGGTGGCACTGGCCAGAGGCTCTGAGTGCGGGGCCCGCTGAGCCCTCGCCCACCTGGAACTCGCGCTGGCCGCAATTGCTGCGTGCAGCCCCAGTTCCTGCCCGCGCCTCTCCCTCCACACCTCCCTGCAAGCAGAGGGAGCCAGATCTGGCCTCGGCCAGCCCAGAGAGGGGCCCCTACAGTGCAGCGGCGGCTGAAGGGGTCCTCAAGGGCAGCCAGGGTGGACCCCAAGGCCAAGGAGGCGCCGAGAGCGAGTGAGGGCTGCTAGCACTTTGTCACCTCTCAATATTACAGGAAAATGTTAAATAGAGAAAAAGTTATGTAAAATAATATGCAGATACAGCAAAAATCATGAAACTCTTACATACAACTGAATTTAGGAATATGCTCATCTAGAACTCACTCTAATACTCACTAGATGTGATAACTGAGTTCTCCAAGCCTGTTTCCTCATCTATAAAGTCTACAGACATTCTTAATATCTCTCATGACTCTAGTGAGGCTTCATTTTTGAAATCTGTTCATAAACTTTATAAAAGTCTAACTAGAAATCTTTTAGGTGTCAAAATAATACCATTTTAAGAAATTAAAATCTTTTCAAAGTCTAAATTTAACTTGAACATGAATGTAATTAAACCATTTGCGTTCCCCAAATGAGATTATTTTAAGAGAAAAATACCTAAGATTTCCCTACCGTTCATTAATGCAAGTATGCTAGGCTATCCTAGAATTAGCCAACAGGTTATACAGTTAGGTTAAAAATTGTTCAACCTACTTTACTAAGTGTGTCTATTCCTGAATGGTTACCTCTCTGAAGTAGTTTAAGAGAATGAATGAATTTCCTTCTCAATCCCGTCTTAAACTCATATTACAAATTTCAAAAATGAATGATGCAGAGTCTTCCAATTTTACAAAGGCAAAATGAACACATCCTTCCACCATTTTGCTTTGAAATTGCCTAAAAGCAACAAGACATCTGAAAGGCAGTAAGGCAGCTTTCAACTTGAACAAAACCTAGGCACTAGGTATACTCTGTATTTGAGAACCAAATTTTAAGAGAATGAGTTCTCAAACTTAGCAAATACCAGCCTAGAGCACAGAACTGTGCTGAAGAGACAACGGTACCTGGAGGTTAAAGAGCCCAAAAAAGGTGGCATCCTCAAAGGTAGAAGCCATAGTCCTTTATTTGCAGCCACAGGGTGACACTGTGCAGTGACAGTGTGAGTTTCCTTGGTTTCTTTTTAGCAGGAAGGAATAAGAGACTCCAGGATAGAAAAAGAAACAAACTTGCCATCATTTCTTGGCATTGTATGGTGCTGAGGTAGGAGAGAGGAAAGATCCTGAAGTTTGAGATGTTGAGCTCTGACAGCCTCTGAGATGTTTGAGTTAACTAGCTGACACTTAAAACCCTAAAGCTAAGGAGTTTCACTGTGCACCATCAAGGCTTCCTGCTGCTCCGGAACACTGCAACACCAAACACCTCCCAAAATCTGGTTTTATCACTCGAAGATGAGTGATAATATAAAGGAATTAGCAAAACATCAAGACAAAGATACTATAGTAAAACACAAAAGAAAAAACAATGGCAAAAAATACACATCATAAAAAATATTATAATGAAGTAGATGAAAGTCACAAATACGTATCCAGAATCTCAGAGAATTAAATAAAATAAATGTTAATTTAAAACAAGAGCACAAAGAAAAGACACAAATATTCAAGAGGGAAGAAAAGATGACACATCAGAAGATTAGATACGAAGTGGCCAGGGCTCAGGAAATAAGTGAAAGAAAAAAATGAAGCTGCCACAGAAATTAAGGCCAGTATGGAAATATCAAAGAGGAAAATAGACACCACAGAAAAGATAGGACTGAGAAAAGAGAATAAACTTAAATGAATATGGTGACTTTCATAGGATTAGAGAGGGGATAGAAGATATGGCTGTGAGATAAAAGAGATCCTACATTCAAATAATTTTTATTCCTGAAAAAAAAGAATCAAACAGAAGAAAAAAAATCAAAGATATAATTTAACATAGCTATCTTAAGTAAAAGCAGATTTAAAACTACAGATTGAAGGTTATACTACACGCCAAGAAATAATGAATCAGAGAGATAAACATCAAGACATACCTCAGGAAAGTAATTAAATGTAAAGTTAATGAAATAGTTCTTTGGGTAGCCATCCAATAACAACCATGAAACTGGCAATATACTATCATTTTAACCTATAAAAATGGCAATTTCTTCTGGTTCCAGTTAATAACAAAAGTTTGAAAATAAGGACTGAAAGAACATGAGAATGTAGTGCAATTACATTGTCTGAAATTAAATGGATCATTTAATTCTGAACAATCCAGTAATAGAAGTATAAATGTATTTAAAAGTTTAAAGTAAACACTAGGGACCAGGTGTGGTTGCTCACGTCTGTAATTCCAGCAGTTGGGAGGCCAAGGCAGGAGGATCACTTGAGCCCAGGAGTTTGAGACCAGCCGGGGCAACATAGTGAGACCTCATCTCTACAAATAATTTTTTTTTAACTAGCCGAGCATGGTGGCATATGCCTGTGGCCCAGCTCCTTGTGATACTGAAGCAGGAGGATCGCCTAAGCCCGGTAGATGGAGGCTGCAGTGAGCCATGATCATGCCACCACACTCCAGCCTGGGTGACAGAGTGAGAACCTGTCTCAAAAAGAAACAAACAAATGGCCAGGCACAGTGGCTCACACCTGTAATCTCAGCACCTTGGGAGGCCGAGGCGGGCGGATCACGAGGTCAGGAGATTGAGACCATCCTGGCTAACATGGTGAAACCCTGTCTCTACTAAAAATACAAAAATTACTAGTGCATGGCGGCACACGCCTGTAGTCTCAACTGCTCGGGAGGCTGAGGCAGAAGAATCGCTTGAACCCAGGAGGTAGAGGTTGCGGTGAGTCGAGATCGCACCATTGCACTCCAGCCTGGGTGACAGAGCAAGATTCCATCTTTGAAAAAAATAAAAAAATAAAATAAATAAAAAGAAAACACTAGGAAAACAGAAAAAGACAATATAATTAGCTAAAATCAGGTGAGGCAGGGAGAAAATGGGGGTAGACCAAATTGCAGGAACATTTTTTATCAGTGTTCACAATAGTAAAGATTAAGCATATATGTAAGATTGTAACTATAAGGCTAATCATGATATACAAAAACAATACAAAACTTTCAGATTATCAGATGACTATATACCAAGCAAAGAAGAGCAAAAAGACCAGAGGATAAATAAGAAAGAAAAAGGAAACATTAATTCTCATAATGAGAGGTGACAAGTACTGCTGTTCACTGTTTGGGTCTGCGGCCCTTATGAGCTGTAACACTCACCGTGAAGGTCTGCAGCTTCACTCCTGAGGCCAGCAAGACCACGAAGCCACTGGAAAGAACGAACAACTCCAGACGCGCCGCCTTTAAGAGCTGTAACACTCACTGGGAAGGTCTACAGCTTCACTCCTGAAGTCAGGGAGACCACGAACCCACCAAAAGGAAGAAACTCCAGACACATCTGAACATCTGAAGGAACAAACTCCAGACACACCATCTTTAAGAACTGTAACACTCACCGCGAGTGTCCGCGGCTTCATTCTTGAAGTTAGCAAGACCAAGAACCTACCAATTCCGGACACAATGTGACTCAATCTCTTTTATTAAAATAACATTTTTTTTCTTTTTAAGAGACAAGGTCTTGCTCTGTCATCCAGGCTGGAGTGCAGTGGCATGATCATAGCTTACTGCAACTTGAAACTCCTGGGCTCAAGCGATCCTTCTGCCTCAGCCTCCCGAATAGCTGGGACTACACGCATGCATCACCATGCCCAGCTGATTTTTTATTTTATGGAGAGACAGGGTCTTGCTTTGTTGCCCAAACTGGTCTTAAACTCCTGGCCTTAAGTAATTCTCCCTTCTTGGCTTTCCAAAGTCCTGCCATTACAGGTATGAGCCACTGCACCCAGCCTAAAATAACTTTTTTTTTTTAAAGAAGAAATTTTGTGTAATTACCCTGATAGTACTCCAGGTATAGCCCTCTGAGCAGTAGCATTAGCATCACGTAGGAACTAGTTAAAATTGCAAATTTATGGTCCCTCTGCTGACCTAGTGAACCAGAATCTCTAGAGATGAGGTCCAGAAATCTGTGTTTTAATAACTCTCCATTGATTTTTGTGCACATTCAAGTTTAAGAACCACTGCATTATTGTCAATTGAAAGCCAGCATCAGTTGCTATCAATGAAAGGAACTATAGAAAATAAAAATGGATCAACAACATCAAATTTTAGCTGGATACTCTTTCTTGCAGAGGCTCTGAGTTTTAGGCTTGCTCTCCTTTTATTAAAAGTGCAATTAGCAAATGCTATAAAGGTATTAAATATATACAAACACCACATGGAGAGTTTATCCTTGAAATATTGAAACAATGAAGAAAATCACTTTCTTACCATGTCCTACACCATGTAAAATAGCTTCTGTTACTACCAAGTGATACCTATTCTACATTTTAGTACATATTGGTACAATTCCCAAATGTGTGGTAAACTTGAACTTCCAGCACCATGCTGTTTCCTTCATATCCAGCTCTCTTAGACTCTGATCTCTGATTTGGAAGCTGATTATTTCAGCCTTTGGTCACCTTGACTTCTTTGTTTCTGTATATACAGAGGTGTGGTTTTGTGGGCAGAAATGCTTTATATCCTCTCCGTGAAACTAGATTATCTTTAGTCTTTTTTAAAAATCAAATCATCCTGGCCGGGCGTGGTGCCTCATGCCTATAAGCCCAGCACTTCAGGAGGCCGAGGTGGGTGGATCATGAGGTTAAGAGATCAAGACCATCCTGGCTGACATGGTGAAACCCCGTCTCTACTAAAAATACAAAAAGTAGCTGGGCGTGGTGGCACGCGCCTATAGTCTCAGCTACTTGGGAGGCTGAAACAGGAGAATTGCTTGAACCCGGGAGGCAGAGGTTGCAGTGAGCTGAGATCACACCACTGCACTCCAGCCTGGGCGACTGAGCGAGACTCCATCTCAAAAAAAAAAAAAAAGAAAAAAAAATTAAATCATCCCATCTCCACTTACTTTTCTAATGAAGCCCAATTTTATGTCCCTTCAACGGTGTTCAGTCCTTCATTGTAGAGCTGGAAGCCAACTTGGAATTCAACTCCCTTCCTCTTACTGGTAGGCAAACTTATCAGAGAATTGATTGGCAATAGAGGGTTGTACAGCCTTGAACTAAGTTAAAACCTGGATTAAAATCTCATCATATAAGTCTTAGCTTCTTCACTTGTAAGACGAGGCTAAAAGGCTAACGAGACCTATTTTAGAGGTTTTAGTGAGGATTAAAGAAAATAATGCATATGAAAGCATTTCCATGATGCTTGGTATATAACAATTGATCAACATGGTGCTATTACGACTCTTGTTACTACTGCAGGTATTATTATTAGTATCATTATTTGTATTTCTAGCACTACTACTACTACCGTTACTATTATTGCTGTGACTAAAGGTCTCAAAGTTCGTGTGAATCATTTTACCACGCTAGGTAAGCAATGCCTCAGTTTCACCTGCCATTTAAGAGGTTATTCCCTTTACTTGACAATGGTTTTTATGGTTAAATGTACCAAAAGTGACAAAAAGATCTACTTATTTATCCAATCTGAAGCACATCAAGGGCAGTATCACATAGGGGAATAATGTCTATTTGCCAAATGGTGTGGTTGGAAGTATTCACAAATATATCTTCCACAGTCTCAGCACCAACTTGGAAATTATCATATACCATATTGGGGTAGGCAAGTACAATAGTTAAGACATAGAGCCTGAAGCTAGACAGTACCAGTTTAAAAGCTGACTCATCCACTTACCTAGTTGTGTTACTCTGGGTAAATTACATTAATCCTGTGTCTCAGTTTCTCCATCTCTAAATTGAAGATAACACCTACCTCATTAGGTTTGAGGGATTAAGGGAGCTACTATATACAAAGCACTTAGACTAGGTACTGGTCTATCTTTGCTATCTATGCTATCTTTGTGTTAGATCTCATTATTTTAGTCATCATACCTTTCAGCTTAGGTTAACACAGTATTCTAGGGTTAGTCGTTAAGATCGTAGTTTGAATTGGATGATCAATTTAGATTGGGAGATCAAGGTGTGTGGGAATAGCACAGACAAAAATGCATATTTTTAAGATTTAATTGACTAAACAACAAAATTATATACTCATACGCAATAAGCGCACATATATAAACACTCACACACACACACACATGCATACACACATTCTCACATTCTTGACCTTGATGACATTTCTGTGATTGCAGCAGTTTAAAACCAATGATCAGGAATGATGTTTTTTGATGCAGTGGCAAGGGGTCAGGAGAGGGCTGAGAGGGAAAGCTCAGATTTCTCAGGAAAGGCCCAGAGGGCCGGGCAGCAGTCTCAACACCCCAACTAGGGTAGAATGGGATCGATAACGTGAAAAGAATAATAAGAATGGGCTAAAGGTGATAATAAAATGAATAGTCTCTTACATTTACAGAGCAGGTTATCATTTCCTTAGCATAAATCTTGCAATAACCTTGGGAAGATGGAAAAGAGAAAAATAGGGAGGAAAATGGGCCTGGAAGAAAAACCCTCTCTCATCATTTCATTTTAGACTCCTGGTGTCTGCTGGTAACATCATGGAGTTTTGAGTCTGGGTGCTTTCTTTGGGCTTTTCTTAAAAATTAGATATTGATGAAAATACTCAATGGGATATTGAGGGAAAATATGATCATCTCTTAAGCATTTTATAGTTTGCTTCCTGTCTATGCTCATCAACTTGCCATTTTTAGAGAGCCGAGAACTTTCTTTGAATTTCTACATAAGTGAGTATAGCATGAGCATCAAGACTGTTTATTCTCCAATTGTGTGAAGAGATGCAATAGTCCTTATCAATCTGAAGCCCCTCAAGAC
Source organism: Homo sapiens (assembly GCF_000001405.40). Lineage (NCBI taxonomy): Eukaryota > Metazoa > Chordata > Mammalia > Primates > Hominidae > Homo > Homo sapiens. The sequence goes on along the minus strand of NC_000009.12, from coordinate 81,500,509 downwards.
CACAGTCCATAGCATTGCTAGCTTATTCGAAGGTCACACCATGATATAGACAAGAAGGGCAAATCTTTAGGGAAAATTGAGGTTGTGGTCTGGTGCACTGTTGTGTTGTTGACTGTATCACCACCTTGATCTTTTCAGCCAGGGGTCATAGCAGGGTTATGGCATGGAATGGTATAGCTCTTGGCTGATGAAGCCACTCTCTGGGTCGTAGTAGCCCTGGTGGCCTCATTGTGGGGGACCACCTGAATAAGAAGTGCATAATTGAATGTGTGGTTCTAATCAAAGCTACTTCGAAATGTTTTGATGGACCATCATATCTGTCTTGGTATTTAAAACTCCCTTAGTAAGTGGTCATTAGACTGCCTCTCCACATCTCCCCTCCCTCTTTTTTCCCAGTGTCTTCTCTTGGCATGGAATGATAGAAATATCCCCAAATATTCGCACACTTCAGAAACATGCTGTACCCTGAGTATGTCTCACAAAGAAAATGTTGATAGACTTTGCATCGGGCTCATAAAATTCTAACCTAAAAAAATTATGGGCCTGGGTCAAAAGAAGTATGTACAAAAAGCCATTTGGACTCTGTGCAAAGGATTGTTGACACAGAACATACTCTTCTTTTAGACCATCAGTGGGAGACTGGCTGGTCTCGAGCCATGCATAAATCTGTCCATGTGCAATTGGTAGCAGTTCCTAATTGTGGAAAAGGAGGGTAGGAACGGACTCAAGCAGAGAAAGCTGAGACTGGCAGGCAGGGCAGAGCCAGGAGGGAGACACCCAGCACTTGATGCCACCCTTCCAGAAAGCCTCCACCAAGGGACTGCATTGAGCATACATTACCATATTTTCTGGAGCTCAGGAAAATAAGACCATAAATAATGAATAGGTACACCAGACTGCATTGTGGAATGGTTGGATATTGAGAGGAAGAATGTGTCCAGGCTAAGAGATGGGCAAGTAGAGCAGCATTTGCTGAATATTGGGAAAAGCTGAGTGTCCCAATTAATTTTTATGAAAACTTCTCCTGTACCCCAGCTATCCAGCCTGTGCTCTCCAATAGGGGAAGGAGGGGAAGGACATTAATACTCTTGGTTCTTGATGGGTAATACATTGTAAATAGCCTTGGATGGGGGCATTCTTACATGTCTGGAAGGCTAATTTTCAGGCGCTGAGTTTACTCTCCAAACGTTTCCCTGTGAACTGTCTTTCTCTGGGTTGGAACACTTTGTGCCACCATTGGAAAGCCTCTTTTGTAAATTTTTACTCCATTATGTTGCAATTTTAACATCTCATGCTTTTGGCACTCGAAGCATTTTTATAATGGTCTTTGGTTTATTTTTGGCTCAGTTTTACGGCTCTCTGCCAGCCTCCAACTTCTGCTGTGTAGCTGACCCAAAATAGTTTCAAAGGCTCAGATGCAACTTGATATCAAAATTTTTTCCCCACGTATTAAAGTTAGCCTTGTAAATGCTGAAGGCACGGAAAAAGTTTTCCTGAGTAGTTATTAGACTCACAGGACGTGTCGTACCTTCGGCTCATGAGATGAGAAAGGCAAATTTCTATGTCACTTGTAGGTAAATCCAAATAAAAGATGCCTCTGCAGTAAGGTGCTTTCTACAAGTCAGAAAAAAGTTCCAGATGTATAGAAATTGGGTTGACATTTAAAGGGTTCTAAATATGCTCCATAACCAGCTAGGCTGACGAGTGTCCTCATGAATCTTCACCATCTGATTCCTCGTGACTATATATTACTACTTCCACCACCACCAGCTAACAATGCTAACAATTATTCTCTGATTACTTTTAATGTGCCAAGACTTTTACCATCTACGATCTTGTTAAAGTATCTCATTAACTGTTTATAATTGGAACGATTTTCACCACTGTTTTACAGATAAGAGAATTTGTGATTTAGAGCAACGATTTCCAAACAGGGTTGTAGAATTTCCTGGGGGGTTTTCAAAAATCTCAATGCCTCGGCAGCAACCTGTGCCCATTGCATCAGAATGACTAGGGGTGGAAACCAGGCATTAGTATTTTTAAAAAATACTAATGAAAAAGATGATTTTAATGTACAGTAGTTTCATGTTTGGAAACCACTGGCTTAAACAGATTTGAGAGATTAGCTGAGAATTACCCTGCTACCAAACAGTAAAACGAAGAGACCATTTGAGTCTAAACCTTGTACTTTTACTAATATACCAGGATGCCTTTCATACTCCTGCAGAAAAAATTATAAAATTTATACAATAATGTAGTCTATGGACCCTACTCTCAATGAATTTATGGTCTGAGGAAAAAAATGATGTAAGTAAAGACCAAATCAGCATTAAGCGACGTAGCACTGGTTATGAACTCAGGAAAATTTGAGAGCTACTCAACTAGCCAAGGACATGGGATGGCTTGGATTTGGTGCCTTATGTAAAAGAAACACTGAAAAAAAGCCACTCTAACAAAAGTTGAGATCTGTTAAAATCAGAGGTAGAGATTGAAGAACACTGACAGCAATGATGTTAGCACTAGGGAAATGGATTCTTTGGGAAATTATATCATACATTCACTTATCAAATAATTTACTCATTATTAGAGGCAGGGTGCTTTAGACGTATTTAATGCCACAGTAACCCAGAGTGGTATGATTATCCCTATTTTACAGATAGAAAAACTGAAACTCAGTGTAGATAAAACTGGAACTCACATAACTTAGAAGTTTCAGACTTGGAATTCACATTCAGATTTATTTAACTAATATTGATAAAGGCCCTACTGTGTGCCAAGGAGTGAGATAGATGCTGGGGATATAAGGGCATATAAAAGCATAGTCCGTGGTCTTATTGACCTTCAAGTCTAGTGAGTAAAACAGACATGAACCAAACTTTCATACAAAACACATAAAAATGTAAATGTGTTCTAGTATATAAGGCAAGAAGCATAGTAGGTGTTAATTAGGCAATTAAAGGGAAGGAAACAGACTAAGGGAACAGCTCATGACATTTTTCTATGTTAAAAGGAAACATGGAAATCAGAAGGAGATGAAAGAAGCCTCATGAAGGGGGAGCACTGGAAAAGAGGGTAAATCAAGATAAGGTTGGAGCTGGAGAGATGGCCAGTGTTAGCTGTGGATGGTGGGAGAAGCTGTGGGAAGTGACATCAGATTCATGTACTGAAAGAATCACTCTGGTTGTCTTATAGAGAACGTTTTGCAGGAGGCCAGACTGGATTATGTCAGTGGCTGTCAAACATTTTTTGTAGGTGATTCCTTATAAGAAATACATTTTGTATGGTGACTTGGTATGCTCACATACAGACACACATGCAGACACACACCAGAAGTTAGTGTCAAGACCTAAGCCTTTTTATGAATGAATATTTCTTTTATGTTTTATCTAGTCTATTTTAGTTTTTTAAAAAAGGGCTGGTTGCTATCCACTTTATTTATTTCACAGTCTACAAATGGTGTGCAGTTTGTAAGAATAGTGATTGAGGCCGGGCGTAGTGGCTCACACCTGTAATCCCAGCACTTTGGGAGGCCGAGGTGGGCGGATCACCTGAGGTCAGGAGTTCAATACCAGCCTGGCCAACATGGTGAAACCCCATCTCTACTAAAAACATAAAAATTAGCCAGGCGTGGTGGCATGTGCCTGTAATCCCAGCTACTCAGGAGGCTGAGGCAGGAGAATCGCTTGAACCCGGGAAGCAGAGGTTGCAGTGAGTTGAGATTGCACCATTGCACTCCAGCCTGGGCAACAGAGTGAGACATCGTCTCCAAAAAAAAAAAAGAATACTGATTGAAGCTGGGCAGGGTGGCTCACGCTTGTAATCCCAGCACTTCAGGAAGCCAAAGCAGGAGGATTGCTTGAAGTCAGGAGTTTGAGACCAGCTTAGGCAACAAAGTGATACCCTGTCTCTACAAAAACAAATTGAAAAAATTAGGTGTGATGGTGTGCACCAGTAGACTTTAGCTACTCAAGAGGCTGAGGTGGGAAGTTGGCTTGATCCCAGGAATTTGAGGCTGCAGTGAGCTATGATTGTTTCACTGCACTCCAGCCTGGGCGAAAGATAAAAAACAAAAAAAAAAAAACAAAACTTCGTGAGCTATAATAGCTACTAGTCTATTACAGTGGTCTCAATGAGAGGATAATAGAGAGTGAGATGAACTGAGAGATAACAGGATAGGGAAGAGATAAGGAAATCTATGAAGGATGACTTAGTTTTCTGGCTTGAGAAACTATAGATGGTGGTTTCATAAATGGAGAAACGATACCTTAGAGGACGACCATCCTTGGTGGGGATAAATTATGGGTTCAGCTTTGGACATTTTGGGTTTACGGTACCATGGAGATACCTCTCAGGAGTTGTCTGTGGGAGAGGTCTGGACTGAAGATGTACGTTTTTGTGTTTTCATCAGGCGATTGAGGGACAGTCCTAAGTGAGGCTGTCAGGAGACAAGGAGTATGAGAAGAGAAGAGAAGACCCAGCACCAAAGTTTGAGAAACTCCAAAATTTAACTCGCAGGTACAGGAGGATGAACCTGTGAAGAGGATGAGAAGAATGGGCTGGTAGGAAAAAACAGATGACTTGAAGCTGAGAAGAGAGTGCTTAAAAAAAGAAGTCAACAGTGCCAAATGCTGCCACACAGGGTCAAGCGGGAGAATAAAGAGTCTGCTGTCTCTGTGGATATGAATGTCAGTGGTGGCCCTCCATAGAGCTGTTCTGATGGATTCATGGGGGTAGAAGCCATACTGCAGTACTTTGAGGCCCTAGAAAGGGAGTGATAGACATAACTCCCTGAGAAAGCATCCTGCCACCTTGGTGAGAGGCCAGAAACCAAATGTACTGTTCAGAAAAGGCTTTTGTAGCAACAGAAGAGCTCCCAGCTTTCTGAACGGGTCCTGGGGCTGGCTCTGGGCTGCCCCCTTCCCTGTAGATTCTCAGTTTCTTTGGTCACCACCAACTAAGTTAATTCTCCAACCCAAGCATAAGTCACATGGGCTATCGATATGAGTGCACTTGTGCAGGTGGGAAGTTTAAAGTAATGGATGCAAAAATCAGGGACACTGAGTATTACATCCACTGACAGTGCTAGCTCCTGACAGAAGGGCCTTTGGGCATCTCCCATGTGCATTACCATACACTGTACACTCCTGTAAGTAAGAAATAGACATGCAGAGAGGTAAGGAACTTGGCTCATGTGGCAAGGGCCAGAGCTGGGATTCCACCTCAAGTCCTATTCTCTAAGACTTTTGGTTGCTGGTCAAAAGTCTAGAGGCACCAGAAGGGTAAGAACCTATCAGGGTAAGGGTGTGGCTGTGCAGAAGGTTGCTTTGATTGCCTGTTGTAGAGGGCTTGACATACGTGGGCCATTTTCGACAATAGAACTTCTTTCTATGCATCTGCTCTCACCACCAGGACATTCCTCATCTACCCTCGTGTTACTGAACACTTCACCATAATGGTGGCCTGTTCCACCTTTAGGAATGGATATTAGATTCACCTGAGCCATGAAAACAATATAAGGCTAATAACACTGGGAGCAAATCAATAGGAAATAATAGAATATGGACTTTATTATACATTATATTTTATCTTAGATATATCTTGACATCCTTGGAAATTTTCTCTCATTCCTTTCATTTTGGTAAGGTGAAGGTCTGATCTTGGAGTTGTAGATGTTCTCATGTTGAAACAAACTCATTAATAAAGGCTACTGCTTACAATGCTAACTAAATGTCAGATATATTACGTACATTTTATCTGATCCTCAAAACAGTCATATAAAATAGTTTTTTTGTGGTCTTTATTTCACAAATGAGGAAACTGAGTCTGGGGCGGATTAAAAATGGCTGCAAATTCTTTGCCACCTTTCCATCAAGAAGTGGGTGCTTTCTCCCCTCCTTTGACTCTGAGTTGGCCCTTGTGGCTGACTTGACCAACAGCATTTGGCGGAAGGGACACTGCATGTTCTAGATCTAGTTTTTAAGAGGCCTGGAAGCTTTTGCTTTAGTTCTAGCTGCCATGTGAGGATTTCAAGTACCCTGAGACTGTTATGCTTTGAGGAAGCCCAGGCTAGCCATGTGGAGAGGCTACCCGGGGAGGGGGCAGAGGAGGACAGAGAGACAGACAGAGATCTATACCCAGCCAGCACTAGCTCATCAGCCATCTTAGCCTAGAAGTCATCTTGGACATATTCTAGCTTCATTAGAAACTGGGGAAAAGACCTGCCCCCTATCCCCTCAGGAAACCGTGACTGTCAGTTAAAATGTGGGCCCCAAATGTATGAACAGAGTTGGGCCATCCCAGTCATTTTCAGTTCTCTGTACTACTCTGTTTGAGGCCACAGACATTGTAGAGCAGAGATAATCTTTCCCTGCTGTGCACTGCCCTAATTCTAGACTCTGCAAAACCATGACTATGGTAAGATGGTTGTTTTAAATTACTGAGTTTTGAGGTGGTTTGTTATGCAGCAATAAGTAACTTAAACAGTATTTCATTAAGCAATTTTGCCTGATGACAGAGGAAGGAGCGGAGTCTGGATTCAAACCCACATTTGCCTGATTACAGAGCTGGCCACTCTCTGCTACTTTGTGTGGTCCCTTCTTCTGGAACTTTTAGATTGGTGTTTCATTTTCTACTAGGTCTCCCACTAAATTTCCCTTAGCTTAAATCCTGGACAAATAGAAGGGATAAAAAGATTTGTTGTCCTTCATCATAACAATAAAAAGTTAAATTATAGGTGAAGAAGTTCTGAAGATAATGTTGTGACAGCCTATTTTTAATTCTTTTTCCTAGATCTTGTTAGGAAAATAGGAGGGTCCAGAAGACCATGCTAGCCAGAACTTCATCCCTGCCTACTCCTACTTTTCAATTGTTAAAATGAGACTATTTTCCCTACTTCTTGATTTTTTTTTTATGTTTTAAAATAAAGCATGATGAAGGTAATTCTGCCAGAGGAAGGAGGCAAAAGAGGATTTGTGGAAAACAAATGCATTACCCCCTATTCCAAATTACCATGAAGTAGGAACACGTGGAGTCATTTTGTGGGATCTTTGGGAAATGGCAGGAATTCAGCTTACAGGATAAATAGGGGCTGTTCCTTTAGAAGACGTTCTGTGTTTCTGTGGTAGCAAATATACCATGTGATGATAGCCCTGTGAATAGCTGTGTTTATCAAATTCCAAAGCAAATACTCAAGTGAAACTCCACATGAAAGGCCAAACCACAAGCTGGAGGTTCCCCATGGCACTGCCAAATTTGCAAAAATGTCTGTGGTTTGTGTATGTGTGTATGTTTGAATTACACATCCATTATACATGCATCTATTTCTAGTAACTGCTGCATACAACCAGAAGAAAGGCTTATCTCTTACCTAATGCTCTAATATCTGTTTATTATCTCATTTCTCTTACCTAATGCTGAGTAGGCAATGATGGGTAGACCTCATGAAAGTTTTGTTATAGAGACAACTTCCCTATCCATAGAGGTATTGTATTATCTAACTTCTAACTCTGGCAATATCTGGCAAGAAAGACATAAATATTGAGTTGCAGGGAAATGTTTAGTGTGTAAGGAGTAACTAGCTGATGTGTACATAGGTGTTGTAGATTAGATCATTGTTTGGCAAATATTTACTTTCTTTATCCCCACTACCTCCATGAGAGGAGTATATTTCCCCACTCTACTAATGTGGACTTGGCATTGTGATTTGCTTTGGTTAATGGAATACATAGGAAGTGACAGTGTGTGAGTTCTGATTCCAGGCCTTAAGATGCTTTGCATGTGTCCACATGAACTTCTGGAAGCCTTCAACTTCTTCTCTTGATACCAGCAGCTGTCTCTCTAGCAAAGGGCCCAGAATGACCACTGTGGAATAGAGTTATTTCAGCTGACTTGCAGCCTAAGGAAGAGTGTATTAGTCTTTTCTCACACTGCTATAAAGAAATACCTGAGACTGGGTAATTTATAAAGAAAAGAGGTTTTATTGGGTCATGGTTCCATAGGCTGTACAGGAGGCATGGCTGGGGAGTCCTCAGGAAACTTACAATCATGGCAGAAGATGAAGGGGAGGCAGGCACATCTTCACATGGCCAGGGCAGAAGAGAGAGAGAGGTGGGAGGTGCTACATACTTTTTTTTTTTTTTTGAGATGGAGCCTTGCTATGTTGCCCAGGCTGGAGTGCAGTGGTGCAATCTCAGCTCACTACAACCTCCGCTTCCCGGGTTCAAGCGATTCTCCTGCCTCAGCCTCCCAAGTAGCTGGGACTACAGGCGTGTGCCACCACACCCAGCTAATTTTTTGTATTTTTAGTAGAGACGGGGTTTCACCGTGTTCGCTAGGATGGTCTGGATCTCCTGACCTTGTGATTCACCCGCCTCGGCCTCTCAAAGTGCTGGGATTACAGGCATGAGCCACCGGGCCCAGCCTGTACACTTTTAAGCAACCAGATCTTATGAGAACTCTATAATGAGAACAGCACTAGGAGGATGGTGCTAAACTATTAGAAACTGATCTAATTGCCTCACACCAGGCCCCACCTCTAACATTGGGGATTACAATTGAACATGAGATTTGGATGGGGACACAGATCCAAACCATATCACAGAGCCTTATGGTGTAGTCACTGAGTTCTAGGTTGGCTAGTTACTCAGCATTATTGTGACAGTTGCTGATTGATATAATAAGTGTGTTTCAACTTATGTGCAAATTTCTTTTTCCCTGAGCTTGTTCTTATACATTAAGTTTGCTTTTATGGTTTCAAGTTGGATGAAACAGTAATAAAAAAAAAAACCCAAAATATGAAAATCAAACCTTTGGTTTATTCAGAGTAGAGTTTGTGATGAGAAAGGATGGCTGTCAGCTGAGGACAGGATAGAGGACTGTGTGTAAGGTTATAGAATAGCTATAAACTAGACAACTGGACAACTGGGCATGCATCACAAGGGAGATGGGGCAGTTTTTTCATTGCTAGGGATTGCATCAGTTATGTGAATTAGGTAAGTGGCCTGATTGGGCATATGCAGTTGAGGAAGAGCCCTATAATGGTTCCTGGCAAAAGGGGAAGGTGAGAGTATGGATTTGCTGCTGCCATGTGAAATTGATGGTCTACTGTTCTAAAATATCTTGTGGGAAGGAAGAGAGCTTAATTTCCTTTAGAGGTGGTTGGATTCACCTGCTTCATGAGGCACTATATGGCTGACTCACTCTCCAAGCTTTAACCAACAGAATGACATATTTTCTGTGATGCCAACATTTTCCCTGGACCACAAGAGACCAGCAGAGGAAGAGTGGTCTGGGCGGACAGTCAACTCTGACCACATAACAACTCTGCCTTTTTTCTTCAGATTGTATATTCTGGAGGGACACTGGCAAACATCTTTGCCTTTTAGTGTGGACACATCAGCATCTTAGGAAACACATCCAGAATTCAGTCACAGACAAGAAATCCCTCTTCACAGCCCTTTTGGCTGCTGCCAGTCTCCTCGCTTTAGCTGAGTACCAATGATAGACTGCCAAGCAAGTACTGTAGTACTTCTTTGTGAGGTTGAACTAAAATGTGAAAAAAAAAAAATCAACCAATGTTTATGGAATGACTCACATGTCCTGGGTTAGTTGTTTTAAGTGGCTTACTTCATTTGCTCCTCATACAATAACACTGTGAGGTAAGTATTATTGTAACCATTTTACAGATGAAGAAACTGAAACCCACAGTTAATCAACTTAACTTCCGGTCACACAGCGAATTGGCAGAACTGTCCTGTTGACCCAGGTCTTTTGGTTCTCAATCCAGTCTTCTTTCCATTATGCCTGGAACTTTCCTAAAATTTAATTTTTGGCTTAGGAGGTACAAATTTGGTAGAGAGATGGTGGTTGACTCTGTTAGATACAAATTGCGGGAATGTAAGGGAAGGCAGTTCAGACCGTCTCCTGCAGCGGAAACAAGACATCCTTGGAGCCCTTGTCAGGAGGATAGATTAAGAAAATGTTGGGGACTTTTCTGTCAGCCTCAAGCTTTCTTCAGAGCCTTGAACCTGTATTAGAATAGATATTTGCAGCAGGCAGAAAGAGGGCAGGAGTTTCCTCTGGCCTATAAGCCTTTTTCTACTACCTGGTTATGGCAGTGAGAAGACTCCTGATATCTGGACAATGGTGACTTCTGTTTGATGAGAACCCGTAATACTGCAGGAGCCAATCTAACTGTGAGTGTACATCTGTTTTCTGTTGGTACCTTTGTCAGTCTCGAAGCTGAGAAGGAGGAATGAGCAGAGTGAAAATCAGAACGGGCTTTTATTATCAACTCTGCTGTGTGATTGTTGCAACTTACTTAGCATTCTTCAACTTTGCCTTTCTGTATTGTGAGGAGATTAGATGATATCATTGCTTCTTTCTTCTTTGTAGCAGCAAAAATATTTTTTAAAAATAACATCTGATGTGGAATCTTAAGATGTAATATAGATTCAACTCTTCTGGATGAAGCGAGGATTGGATTAGGTGCCCGATATGGTCTGAATGTTTGTGTTTACCCAAAATTCCTGTGTTAAAACCTAATTACCAATGTGGTAGTAGGAGGTGGGGCCTTTGGGAGGTGATTAGGTCATGAGAGCATGTCATGCATGGGATTGTTGCCTTATAAAAGAGGGCTCAGAGAGATCCCTTGCTATCATGTCAAGACACAGCAAGAAGGTGCCATCTATGAACCAGAAAGTGGGCCCTCACCCAACAGCAAATCTATTGGTGCCTTGATCTTTGACTTCCCAACCTCCAGAACTATGAGAAATAAGTGTCTGTTGTTTATAAGCCACCCAATCTATGGTGTTTTGTTATGACAGTGTGAAGGGAATAAGACAGACCCAAACCGAGGGGCTGTCTGGAAGCCCTTGAGTCACGTATGAGAAACCCAGAGCTTTGTGGACGAGATTTAAAACTGCCATTCTGGATGATCTCTTGGGTCTTTTTCAAAATTAACAGCATGGGATTACAGAACATGGTGGTCTACGTCACCCTCTAACTGCCCTCCAGGTGTTCATTTCTTGGTTATTTCCAACTTCCAGCCTTGGGGAGGCATCCTTCATTATGTATTTACATTTTCTTTTAATTGTCAAATGAACTGGCTTGAGCTTCTACCTATAAGCTTCTCACCACCCTTTCCATCCATATCTGAGGATTCTTGAGGAGTGTCCATATCTCTCAGTCATATGTTGCTCCAGTTTTCTGCTTCTGCTAACCACACATTTCCTCTTTTGCAGTTGTCTCTTTCTTCTGCCTATATCAGCTCAACATAAACAGCAGCTGTCTTTGGTTCTTTTCCAAGAACCACTCACATATGGCTGCATGAGCCTTGCTTTTACTGAAGGTTGGCAATAGTGGAGGGTTGGGGGGTCACGGCACCTTATAGCACAGCAGATAATTCAAAATTGAATTTTAGCCATCCCTGTTTTACAGTCTCATAGCCATAGCTAGCACTGAAAATTTCTTTCTTTTTTTCAAGGTCATGCCCTCTGGGGCTTTATTCACCAGGGCCTTCTGAAACCCTCCATGACCCCACACAAGGCACAGCCTCAGCAGCCTGGAGCTCGGCCACTTGCAGCCCCTGGTGTGGTAGGGGGTGGGGGTGGGGTGGGGGTATGGAGTGTTGGATTTGGGGCCTGTTTTCTGAGTTTTCATTTCTGAGTCAATCCCAAATTAGGGGAAGGGGCTGGATTAACCGCCTGCCCCTCTGCTTTCAGGGTCCAGACAAGGCAGTCGCTGGGGAAGCGCTTATGCTCTGGGGCGCTCCCGTAGCTTGGGAGGCTTTGGCCTCAGAAGCAGGTAGGGGGTGTTACTGGGCTGCACGTCGTACTGGCCGCCGTCCCTCACACGCTGGTACTGCCTCTGCTCCCGCTTGGCTTGTTCTCACAAGGGCAGATCCATCCCTTCCACACAGTTCAGCACCAATGCCTTTATCATGGAGCCTCCGTGCTGCTGGTCCTGGAGCCCCCCGAGGACAATGTACAGGGAGCCCACCTGGGCTTGGAAGGGCTTCACCAACTTGGTACAGACAAGAACCTGGTGCCGATCAGATCCATGATGAGCCATCAGCGTCACTCCGGACTGATCACGTCACGTCATAGAGGCACAACCTGCCAAATGTTCTCAGTGTGACCCCACCAGGAACTTGGCTTGTACTGACCTCCCAGTGGAGGGAATAAGTCCCAGGTTTGGGCAGCATCACTGGCTCCTTCTCTGCCCCCTCCACCTGGGTTGCTGTTGGTTACCTGCCAAGGGGAAAATTTCTTTATGGAAAAGACTTCCTTCCAGGGTGCTAGGTTCCCTTGCTGTCTGTATTTCCTTAGATCTTTTCTCCTTCCTTCTGAGGCCATTCACTTCTCAGCTTCCTGTGCATGTCCCAATTCTCATTTTTTAAAGTCATAAGAAGGCATTTATTCTTCTCATTCTTCTACTATTTTCTTCTAGACTACCACCATTGTTCTACCTAAATGGCTCATTTTTTGCTTAACAAAAGACAGTTCTGTTCTTATAAGAAATTCTGCCAAGATCCTTTAAAATAATATTGTCCCTTCTTTCTAATGGTTGGTCATGGAACTATTAATACATGAGGTCTTTCTTGATTTAGCTATAAAATAGGTGTTTTCTTCCAAGCCTTAATATTCATTCAGAGAAATAAGATACCTTTAAATCGAAGATGGATAATTTGGATATTTGTGATTGTTCTGGAATTTTAAACTTTTACTATCTTTACACAAAAAGGAGAAAAAAACAGTAAAGAACATCCATATTCTCATCACCTGTTGAGCAACTTTCAACTCATGGCAAATCCTGTTTTATTTAACTCCCTGCTACTACTCGCAGATGGATCATTTTGAAGCAAATCCAGGACACTGAATCATTTTATTCATAATTTTAGTATGTATCTAAAAGGTAAGGACTCTCTTAAGACAACATAATTATGTTACCATTGTCATAAGATTAATAATAATTCTTTAATATCATCAAACAGCTAATTGGTGGTCAAATTCCCCAGATAGGCTAGAAATCTATTTTTTAAACAATTGTTCAAATCAAGATTAGAATAAAGTTTGTCTATTGCAATTGGTTGATATGTCTCTCAATTCTCTTTTAATTTATAGGTTGTCTCTTCCTCACTTATTTTTTTTTCTTTGCAATTTGTTAGTTGAAAAACTTGGGTCATTGGTCCTGTAGAACTTTTCACATTCTTGATTTTGCATCTTCAAACTGTCATTTAGTGAGATTCTTATTCCCCTACATATCTATTAGAAACTGGGTGATCCACAAGCTTCTCTGTATAAGTGGTGGTATCTACTTTCAGAAGGAGACATATATCTGGTTATCTCTCTTTTGTTGATGTTAGGAGCCAATAATGATCATTTTCTGCGTTCATTATTTTATCAGAGTTTGCAAAAATGATGATAATACAATTCAGTAATTCCTTCCTGATTTATAAGCTGGAATATTTCTGTAAAGAAATATACTATTCCTCATTAACTATTTGCTTATCCTCAAGTATAGTTGGTATAGGAGAGGAAAGGTATTACTTGATGCTTTATTTTGATTCATCAGTTTTCAGAATATTAAATTAATTCCCTAACACTTTCCAAAGGTAGCCAGTGAGTATTTATTTTAGAATAATAATTATCTAATGCATTTAAACATATACAAATGTTTTAATCCATTGCAGTTGTTATTATTACTTTTTGACACAGGATCTCACTGTGTTGCCCAGGCTAGAGTCAAGTGATTCTCTTGCCTCAGCTTCCTGAGTAGCTAGGACTACAGGCAGGTACTATCATGCTTGGTTATTTAATTTTTTTTTTTTTTTTAAGAGCTGGGATCTTACTGTGTCATTCAGGCTGGTCTCAAACTCTTGGCCTCAAGTGATCCTCCCACCTTGGCCTCCCAAAGTGCTGGGATTACAGGTGTGAGTCACCATGTTTGGCCCATTGCAGTGATGATTAATATTAAATGTTCACATTGTTCCATCTTTGCCACTGTAATGCTTTTCAAATTGGCTCCTGGACCATTTTGACAATTATGATAGCATGTGATAGTTTTCTTGCTTTCTAGTTTGGCAAAATGTTCCAGGTTCATCTAGAATGGGCCATTTCTTCAAATATAGCTGGTTCCTTTTGGTGGGAAAAGGTATTTAGAAACCACAATCTGAGTGTTAGAGTGCTTATTGCTACTAGAATGCTGATTATTTCTAAGCCTTTTCAATGGACAGAGCTAGGAAATGTATTTGTGTATTTTTTAATGAGAAAATACATCTTAAGTTTATACTGGTATTTCAAATTGATATTTAGAATTACCAAGTTTTTAATTTAACTTGAAAATTTCTTGTTTCTCTTTGCTGAAAATCTTGTATCCTAATGATGTATGTATCATTGGGATATATATATTTAAAATTTTTAGCCTATATATTTAAATTTTTATGAGTACATAGTAGGTATATATATATACAGTTTTTTGAGACAGAGCTTTCTGTGTCATCCAAGCTGGAGTACAGTGGTGCAGTCTCGACTCACTACAACCTCCATCTTTTGGGTTCAAGTGATTCTTCTTCCTCAGCCTCCCGAGTAGCTGGGACTACAGGTGCACGCCACCACGCCTGGCCAAGTTTTGTAGAGACAGGGTTTCACCATGCTGGCCAGGCTGGTCTTGAACTCCTGGCCTCAAGTGATCCACCCGCCTTGGACTCCCAAAGTGCTGGGATTATAGGCCTGAGCCACTGTGCCTAGCTGTAAGTGTATATATTTATGGGATATATGAGATGTTTTGATGCAGGCATGCAATGTGGAATATGCACATCATGGAGAATGGGTATCCATCCCCTCAAGCATTTATCCCCTAATGATGTTAACATGAATATTTCTTAGTTTTATCTTATAAATAATATTTTCAGAATATTAAATTTAATATGATTACAAACAACGTAATGACTTGTGTTAGTTCATTTGGGCTGTTATACTAAAATACCATAAACTGGGTAGCTTATAAGCAACAGAAATTTATCTATCACAGTTTTGGAAGCTGGGAAGTCAAGGCACTGTCAGACTTGATGTCTGGTGAGGGCCCACTTCCTGCTTCATAGACTGTGCTTCTCATTGTGTCCTTATATGGTGGAAGGGGGAAAGAAACTCCCTTAGGCCTCTTTTGTAAGGACACTAATCCCATTCACTAGGGTGGAGCCCTGATCGTTTCCTAAGGTCCCACCTTTTAATACCATCACATTGAGGTTTAGATTTCAACACATTAGTTTTGGGAGACGCAAACATTCAGACTCTAGAATTACTGAAAACAGTTTCCAAGAAGTTCTTTTTGTCCTTCAGGTATACTCGTCTAAGAACGTGCAGTCTGATTTTTATGCTTTAAAATCACTTGAAATAATTTTTCTATGTTAATGTTACCACTTTAGTACAAAATCTAGGTTAATTTATTTTATCTTGCTTTAAGTTTTTAGAAATTTTTTGCTTAAAATTTATTTTGTAATCTTATAAAACACATACAGCATTCCAAAATCAAATAAGTCCAGCATCTACCTCATCCCTTTTACCCTGTCTGTACCCTACCTCTCCACATTGCTTTGTTTTTAAAGGTGTGTGTGCACACGTGTGTGTGTATTTATATTCTCTGTCTTCCTTGGATAAATGACATCATTGCATGCATACTTTTCTCCATTTTGCTTTTCTCATTTAATAGTGTTTTTGGAGACATCTTCATAGTGATATAGAAAGATATTCTTTATTCATTTTTACAGCTGCACAGTATTACATGATACTACATTGTATGAATGTACTTATATTTATTTAGCTAGTTTCCTATTTATGAATATTTGGGTTGTTTTCTTTTTTTGCTATTACTGATTGTATTGCAATAGCTATATAAATATGATCTTTAATATTTTCTGATTAACAATAATGAAGCTAGTGTATCGTTTGGATGTATTTCTAGAAGTAGGTTTGCTTGGTTAAAGGGTAAATATGTATCAAATCCTGCTGGACATTTCTAATAGTTCACCAATGGAGTTGTGTCATTCTGCATTTCTACCAGTACAGGTAATCGTATCTCAGTGTAATTTTAATTTGAACGTAAAAGAAGTTTGAAGAAATCCAGAAGCTTTTACAGTTGCGAGAATTAAGGACCTTCTATCTAGAAAGTCTTCAAAAGTCCGCTGTGTAGAGTTGAACCATTTCTTATTTATGAGGAGTGGACATCCAGGTTTCCTATCCGGGCTTTCTTTCTCCTGCTCGCCACAGGTACAGGTGAACAGTACAGGCATGCCACAGAGGTCTTTCTATATCACCTCTGAGCCAGGACTAGTGGTTTAAAAATATTTTTTTCTTAGTTTTATTGTAAATGGAGATTTTTCTAATTTTTTTTTCTTTTTTTTTGAGGCAGAGTTTTGCTCTGTCACCCAGGCTAGAGTGCAGTGGCCCTATCTCGGCTCACTGCAAGCTCCGCCTCCAGGGTTCATGCCATTCTCCCCTGCCTCAGCCTTCTGAATAGCTGGGACTACAGGCGCCCACCACCACGACCAGCTAATTTTTTGTACTTTTAGTAGAGATGGGGTTTCACCATGTTAGCCAGGATGGTCTCAATCTCCTGACCTCGTGATCCGCCCACTTCAGCCTCCCAAAGTACTGGGATTACGGGCGTAAGCCACTGCGCCCGGCCGTAAATTGAGATTTTTCTACAGCTAGACCATTCTGTTAAATGCTTTTGCCTGTGGACTTGATTTTGTTATATATTTTCAATGATAGAATTTTGATTGATTTGGGATTTGACAACCTGGTATATCTATGTATTTACCTACCCATCCATCTATCCGTTCATCCACCCTAGCTATAGCCAAAATGAATTGGGGTGGCTTATACACTATTAGTGAAATAAGATTTTTAAAAGGTAAATACAGGGTAACAGGTTAAAAATGTGGTAAAGGGGTAGAAAAATAGGGAGAAAAATAAATCATGAAATTATAAGCTGAAAAAGCCAGGAATATAAGCTCTGATTTTCAACATGTAGGCTCAGAGTAAAACACAGTACATTATGTAACTCTCATTGTATAATGGTAACAATTGTACCAGCTCATTAGAAAAGAGGTACAGAATTGAAGAAAAGTTTAGGCTGGGTGCAGTGGCCCATGCCTGTACTCGTAGCACTTTGGGAGGCCAGTGCAGGAGGATTGCTTGAGCCTAGGAGTTCAAGAACAGCCTGGGCAACATACTGAGATCTTGTCTCTATTAAAAATAAAAAAAATTAGTCGAGGGTGGTGGCATGTGCCTGTAGTCCTAGCTACTCAAGAGGCTGAGGTGGAAGAATCATTTGAGCTCAGGAGGTCAAGGCTGCAGTGAGCTATGACCATGCCGCTGCATTCCAGCCTGGTGACAGAGTGAAAACCCGTCTCGATAAAACCAAAAAACCAAAAAGCAAAACCACCAAAAAGTTTGGTTGGAAGTTCTGTTTCTAAAACATGGCTAACAAGCTTGTTATAGTCAATCTTCGTGTTCATACATACATGTTACATATATATATGCATATATATGTTTGTGTGTGTATTCATCTGTTTGAAGTTTTAAAATATCTTAAGGCTACAAAAAAAAAAAAAAAAAAACCCACAAAAAACAAAAAAACCAGCAGTGAGGATTTGCAGGCCAAGATTCCCGGAAAGTAAGGAAGGACAGAGAGGACATTTGGCCCCATGTGACTTTTCCACTAGGGAAATCTGCTGATTTGCAATTAGTATGGAGAAGCCAAGAGGCTGAGCAGAGATTTAAGTACTCTTATGGGGCTAGGATGAAATAATTGGAACTAAAGACCTGCCAAGGAGAAAGGGTCTTAGTAGTCATCCCAGGCTTTCATTTGGGATTCTGAAGAACCAAATCTTAAAAGTAAATAACCTGGGCCGGGCGCGGTGGCTCACGCCTGTAATCCCAGCACTTTGGGAGGCCAAGGTGGGCGGATCACGAGGTCAGAGATTGAGACCATCCTGGCTAACATGGTGAAACCCTGTCTCTACTAAAAATACAAAAAAATTAGCCGGGCATGGTGGTGGGCGCCTGTAGTCCCAGCTACTTGGGAGACTGAGGCGGGAGAATGGCGTCAACCCGGGAGGTGGCGCTTGCAGTGAGCAGAGATCACGCCACTGCACTCCAACCTGGGCGACAGAACAAGACTCCGTCTCTAACTAACTAACTAATCAACCAACCTGGGCTGGGTGCTGTGGCTCAAGCCTGTAATCCCAGCACTTTGGCCGAGGCGGGCGGATCACGAGGTCAGGAGATTGAGACCATCCTGGCTAACACGGTGAAACCCTGTCTCTAGTGAAAATACAAAAAAATTAGCCAGGCGTACTCAGGAGGCTGAGGCAGGAGAACGGCATGAACCTGGGAGGCGGAGCTTGCAGTGAGCCGAGATCACGCCACTGCACTCCAGCTTGGGCGACAGAGCGAGACTCGGTCTCAAAAAAAATAAATAAATAAAATAAAATAAATAAATAAATAAATAACCTGAAAATAGATCATCCACCACAGGGACTGCATTTCAGCTCTGATGATCTCCATCCTTGATGCATTAAGATCTTTCCTATACCCTGACAGAAGCACATGTCTAGAAGAGAATACATTTGTAAAACATATCACTGTTAAAAGAGTTGTATCCAGAATGTATTTTAAAACACAAAAAATACAGACAATCCAATAGAAAAGTGGGCAAAATACTTGAACAGGCACTGTTCATAAAAGAGGATCACCAAAATAGCCAAGAAACATATGAAAAGGTTAACAATCCCATTATAATTCAACATAGAAATGCAAATTTAAATCACAACCATATACTACATACCTGATAAAATGGCGAACATTAAAAAGTTGGAAATATCAACAGTTGGTAAGAGGTAGAGCAACTGGAACTTTCTTATAGAACTGGTGAGAGTATGAATTGGTACAATGCTTTAAAATACTGTTTGGCAATGTCTACGTGGACTGAACATTCACATGCCCCTATGACCCAATAATTCACACCCAGGTATAAATTGGGCAACAGAAGTTGGCAACAGAAGCATACATATGGTCCTCTAAAAATCATATAAAATGTTCATAGTGGCATGATTTATAACAGCTCCAAATTGGAGACAATCCAGATATCCACCAACAGTAGAATAAACTGTGCTGTAGGTGTACAAAGAGACATTATAAAACAATGAAAATGAAAAAGGAACTACTGTTACAACACAGACGAACTTGACAAACATTATGTTGCATGAAATAAGCTAGACACACAAAAATAGATACTGATTAATTTATATAAAGTTTAGAAATACGCAATCCTGGCCTGTGGCGTTAGAGATTAGGATAGTGGTTAATTTTGGGGAGGAGGCAGGAGCTGGGAATTGGAGCAGGCATGTCGAAGGCCTTTGGGTATTGGACATGGTCTATTTCACAACTCAAGTGTCAATTACATAGGTGAGTTCACTTTGTGATTTAGCTGTACATTTATTTGTACTCTTCTGTAAGTATATTATACTGCAATAAAAAATTCATGTAAAGGAAAATTCTGAATGAACATATCTCTCATTGGACTTCATTCCATTGCCTAATCACTGTTTTAAATCAACAGATTATGCTACTGACCCCAACATCTTCTTAAAAATCGCCTGTATTTATCAAAGATATCAAGTGGAAAAAGATGTAGGAAGTTAAGAATCCACAATAGAGACCCCAATAGCCAGAAAAATGTGAGCCAGTTGGGGATTGACGAAGATTATAAGGAAATAGAACAGTAACAATAATTCAGTTGAGTTTTCATAGGCATGTACTTAACATCAGACCAAAAATAACATTGTTCTTTAAAAAATTTATTACATTAAAAATGACAAAGATGTGCTTACTGCAGAAAATACAGAAACATATAAGAAAAGGAAAAATAACCACATATAACCAATAATCTTGTCACCCTAAAATAATCTTTATAAACTTTTTGTCGACCTTTCATTCAACACTCTCTTAAAATACATTTACAAAACTTGAATTTGACTTACAGTTTTTTAAAAGTTTCCTTTTGCTTATGTCCAATCACATGTGCACTTAAGCAGTGCATTCTGTTTATCTAAGTTATCTGAACAGAACAGGGACAATCAGCTGTGATGAACTAACTATGAATCGAAGACCTGGCTAATGTAAACCCATAGAGAGCAGCCACAAAGAAATGGAATGAGGGACTGTCTGTATCTATAATCAGAAGACAGATTCCCCTTAGAAAAACATTTTTCTCTACTGTTCAAGTCTTACAATTGAATGTTTTAGAGGGCAGTCATTAGGTAGGTAGGGAATTCTCTGAATCCCCAGAAAATAGCTTCGTTTTTTTTTTTTTTTTTCCACATTTCTGCATTGTAGATGACAAGTAAGGCAGAGCTGGGTGGCATGAAAAAGAAATGGGCACTTTTGTTTTCATGCTGACTCTAAGGATATAGAGAGTGCCTTCTCACAGGGCAATTTTCTTTGGCATTTTGTCTGCTTTGGAATCCTCCTTTCTGTTGTGTTGTGTTTAAATTGCAGGGTGCACGCTGCAGTCATTGCCTGTCAATCCCTGAAGTTTCCAGAGTGTGGGGGAAACTTAATCACATAAAGCCCAGTGACATTTAGGGAGCCACACTGTTCAGATGTTCTTATCACTTTCCTCCACCCATCTCCTCATCCAGGGCACAGGGTAACTTGAGATCTGCACTTGAGCAGTCTTTCTTGTTCACACCTGCTCAGTCCTGTCTGGGCACTCAAGTTTGAAGGGAGGGATGTCTGCAGAAGCACCAGCAGGCCCACGGGAAGCTCACTTGTGAGGATATTTCTTCAAGGTTCCTAGGCAAGGGAGATGTGTAGGGATAAAAAATGTATACCTGTAAAGCACTTCAAAAAATTCTGATAAAATATATGAATCATGAAATTTACCTTTTTAGCTATTTTAAGTGTTTAATCCAGTGACATTAAGTGTATTCAAGATGATGTGCAACCATCACCACTATCTAGTTCTGAAATTTTTTCATCATCCTAAAAGAAACCCTATACCCATTAATACCACTTCCCATTCCCATGTAAGCCATCACCCTTCTCAGCCTCTGGAAACCACCAACCTGGTTTCTGTGTCTATGGATTTGATTATAAAGGATATTTCATAGAAATGGAACCATACAATATGTGGCCTTCTGTATCTGGCTTCGTTCACTTAACATGTTTTTAGGGTTCATGCCTGTTGTAGCATATATCAGTATTTCATGCCTTTTTATGGCTAGTATCCCATTGTATGGATATACCACAGTTTGTTTATCCATTCATCAAAGATGGGCATTTCGGTTGTTTCCACCCTTTGGCTATTGTGGATGGGGCTATTAGGAACATTGATGTGCAAGCAGTTGAACACCAGTTCTCAGTTCTTTTGGGTGTATATCTAGGAATGCAATTGGTGGGTAATTTGGTAATTCTATGTTAAACTTTTTGAGGAACTGCTAACTATTTTTCACAGTTTTAAAGAACTTTTAAGGCTGGAAATGTTCAACACTGATGCCCACCTCAGCATAAGTTATTAATAGAAACCTAATAGAAAGTAGTTTCAAAGCTTTTCTTCTTCCTATTCTAGTTCCCTTCACACTTCCCAGTATTCAGTTTCTTCATTTTGTCCCCTGAACTCCAGAGTTTTTCCCAAAGCAAACTGTTCTGGCCTACTTTTTTCTTTGCTAACTGCTATCTCGCCATCAAACTTACCTTGTCCTATTATTTCATGGCACTTAAAAAGAACAAATTCATTCTGTTGTGTTTGGATACTTAATGAGGGATTACTGCAGTGGCTCTGAAGCTAGGATGAACATTAGGCCTAAAATGATTTTCCAAAGCAACACTTATTTCTGGATTCCTTACTGAATCACATGTTCTGGAAGGGGAGGCTCAGTGTGTGTATTTTCACTGATTCTTTTCCACACTTCTATTTAGTAATCAGTCCAGGTGTGATGGCTGATGCCTGTAATTCCAGCACCTTGGGAGGCCAAGGTGGGAGGATGGCTTGAGCCCAGAAATTTGAGACCAGTCTGGGCAACATGGTGAGACCCTGTCTCTATAAAAACTAAAAAAATTAGCCAGGCATGGTGGTGTGTGCCTGTGGTCCCAGCTACTCAGGAGGCTGAGGTGGGGGGATTGCTTGAGCCCGGGAGGTCGAGGCTGCACTGAGCCATGATTGTGCCACTGTGTACCCCAGCCTGAGTAACAGAGTGAAACCCTATATGAAAATAAATAAATAATAAAAATTTAATAATCAGTGGGTTAATGTGTTGTCTACATAATTTACAATGTTAATAGGAGTGTTCAGGGTATAATGCTTCATTCTAAAAGTTAGGAGTATTGATAATATTTCTGGCACTAAGGCAGTAGCTAGAAAAGACAATTTGACATTTTGGAGCAGGAGTGGGCCTTGACATTACTTAATTCACACTGAATAAGGATCTGGTGGATTATAGGACTGATTCATCATGATTTTAGGAGCATATTGCTGGTTGCGGTTGAAAATAAGCTGCCCCTTTTGGAAAAGCAGACTCCTGAATCATGCAGAGTTGGTATAAAGGAGTAGAGTGGGTAGACTGGAAACTGTTGCAATTTGTTTAGTATGAAACAGATTAGGGATCTGGAATTAATTACTTGAGTGTGCTTCCAGAAGAGAGAATACAGCTAAGTAGAAATAGGCTGCTTTGAGAAACCAGAAAAAAACGTGTATTCAAGACTTCACTATGTTATGGCTCTTTCACTGGTTGACCAATTGAGATGATATGTAGGCATGAGAATTGGCTGAGAGACTGAGAGGGTGTCATTAGGAGTCAAAAGATGAGATAGAATCCTGTAATTTTTTCATTTAGAATTTTGTGTATTTGGCATTACTTGGATTCTTTATTTGTGCTAGATACCTACTTTCAATAACTTGTCTTATTTTAAACACTTACCTTTATATAAACACTAATCTAACATTTTCCATTGACTTCCTATTCTAAAACTGGTCATTCTTAAATTGTCACGCACGCTCCACCACTTGCTGGAAGCATTTATTATGAGGCTTTATGTGCAAGGAGGAAACTTTAAGAATGTGATAAGCTGCAGCGCCTTAAAGCTTAAGACACCACATCCTGACCCTTGTTCCCATTGTGTCTCCATCTCCAAATCTACACAATGGAGATAATGGGATGAATATCTCAGGATAGTTTAAAGATGACTTGGTTAATAATTTGTGAAGCTCACAGGAAATTACATATTTCTTTATTATGGTTATGAGCACAAGAAAAAAAATTTCAATACTGTCTCCTTTGAACACATGTCAGACATACTTCTAAATATATTTAATATAATTCAGGATATCAGTCAGTTGTTTCTCAGTTGTTATCCTAGACTTGGAAAAGAGGTGTGTTTTGCTGACAGTGCTGCCAAATTCGCACATGGGCTGAGATATGAATAGTGGTGCTAATTACGCTTTGCAGAACTGGTAGCCAATTAATGTAATAAGAGAGTCCCACTAAACCACATCAGCCATACTAAAAATAATATCATCCCAGTGGTGACTGATATGCTGATTTTATTTGCCTGTTGAGCTACCACAAGAGTGTATTATGTTTTCTGACTTTACCTGTTATTGAAATTAGAATGGAATAAAAACGAAATTGAAATATATGAAGAATTTTTTCTACAATACATATTTTCAAAATCTAGGTTCAATTGCGTTGTTTCATACACTGAAAAGGAGGGGTTACCTGGTTCCCATAATAAATAAGCTAGTTCAATGCAACAAACAAATAGGTACTAAATAAAATATTTTTCTTGCATATATTAATTTAGACATTTACAACTTGACAGACGAGCAGGCTGAACTCTTAGAATATGAAATGTATGAGTGTCCCCTTTGTCTTGACCATTTAAGCGGTCAACGTACCTTCACCTATAAAAGCAAACCGCAAGGCCAAATGTATGTTCCAGGGCTGTGTTTTCCAAACAGAAGTAATATACGGGCTTACTTTAGTGGACAACATTTTCACTCATTCTGCCCTCATTAAATGAGCTGATACCTTTTTAGATAATGTTACTTATATCTCTGCAAATGTAACTATATATAAGCTTGTTGTTTTCTTTGAGATGGAGTTTCGCTCTTGTTGCACAGGTTGGAGTGCAATAGCGTGATCTCAGCTCACTGCAACCTCTGCCTCCCAGGTTCAAGCGATTCTCCTGCCTCAGCCTCCTGAGTAGCTGGGATTACAGGCACGCGCCACCATGCTGGCTAATTTTGTATTTTTAGTAGAGATGGGGTTTCTCCATGTTGGTCAGGCTGGTCTTGAACTCCTGACCTCAGGTGATCCACCTGCCTCGGCCTACCAAAGTGCTGGGATTACAGGCGTGAGCCACCGTGCTCGGCCTTGTTATTCTTATAGATACAAAACAATTATAAAATTAAAATTGATTTACAAATTAAATATTAAGAAAATTTCTAAACCAATGAAATCCAAATTCTACACTGATTTAAGAAAACATAGTTACTGACCCCAATGCAACTCCAAGTCTTCAGTTTTGGTATCATAAACTCAATCTTCCTATTTGTTTAGTCGGACCATTAAGAAATCATCATTTACCAAATTTCACTTGGCCTTCAATTGGCACACGGTGTGTCACTTTTATATTAATTCCTCCTCAGCTTTCTCTACATTAGCCCATGTACATTAAAGTAGTATCACTTGATGATGATGCAATAGAAAAATGAAAGCACAGACACTAAAATGAAGTGGAAATACTCACTTATAAGGTGGTTATCCATGTGGCCCCAAGTATATTTCATAACTTTTTTAGCTTATCATTAAAATAAATCACAAAATTAAAAAATTCTATTCTAAGGACTCTTCCTGCCCTCAGTTGTCCTTATTTTTCTGGGTTTAGAAGTTAGTTTAATGCTAAAACTTGACTTCAGCACCCAACTGTGGCCCCTTCAGATTTTGTAGTTTCCTAGAAATCACATCTAGCATTTTGGACAGATGAATCCCATCATGGATTTTAGCTTTTCTGACTCTTGTAGCCAGAAAAATAGAGAATAGGTTGAGTAAGAAGTGACATAGAAAAATTCCTCCCACCATTCAGACTTCCTTCTGTTCATTGCAGTCTACTGGGAAGCCCACTCATCATCTCCTAGATGGATGACATCAACCATTGTTTCCCTGCCTTCCTCCTCATTCCCTCTTTTTCACATTGCACATGACTTTCTGACCAATTACGCTAAGCTGCATGTTGATAAGGATGATCAGTTATTCCCTGTTGCTCACCAAAGAGTTTAAATGCTTTATTCATGCTTTCAAAGCTCTTCGCCATTTAACCTCAACTTACCTTTACCTCCCAAACACCATCACTCCCTACAGTACACCATGGTCCAGCCAAATTGGATCACTGTATGTTCCCTGTGCTTTTCTGCTTCTGCCCTTGCTCATGCCATTCCGCCTGCTGGTCATACCTCATCCCCCATCTGTGCTTTCTGAAATCTGACTCGTGGCTTAGTGCCCAACTCAGATGCCTCCCCTCTGTGGCTAAAGCATTCCCTGACCATGCCTGCTGGACACGATTCTCCCTTTGAGATTCTAGAGGACTTGGTCCTTCTCCCTATGGCCCCCATTTTAATGTGGCCTCACATTTTGGCCGTTGTGTGCATGGCTTTTCTATCCATCCTTGCAGAATGTCAAATTCCTGGAGGTCAGGAACCGCACCTAACTCACTTTCCATTCTCCTCACTGTCTGCCCATTGCCATAGGAGAAACTAACTACTATTTTCTGTGTAAGTAGAAAACAGAAAATCACAATTCTAGAAGAGGTGTGAGTAGACAGTTTAATGTAGTTCTGAGTAATGGATGGTATTTTACCTTCAAAAACAGCAAATCAACTAGAAAAGTCTGATAAATTTTTCCAGGTTTCAGGCCTGGAAAACAACAGATAGTTATTTTCATTCCTGATCAATAACAAATTTAACAATTTGCTCAAAGGTAAAAAATGAGCATTATAAGGAAGGGGCAGCAATTCCCATCCACTAAAATAAGAAGAGATATTTTATGCACATGCAGGAGATCTAATGAGAAAACAGAGCAATGGCCCAAGAATGTGGTCCAACAACATGTTATTAATCGTCTAGAAACTATGTTTACAGAAAACAGCTGACTTTGGGGATCTATGAGCGCCTGTACTTTTTGGCAATCATTTTTTGCTGCCAAGCTTAAAACATGAATAACGAATTCACATCAGTTCCTTTACCTCACTGACTTAGTTTTTACTTATTTATTTTCTCTCTGTGTAGCATATATTAATGGGAAAATGAAAATACATAGAGATACAGTCTTCTACTAAACTCTGACATGAAGCTGAGGTCAAACTTATCATTCAGAGAAATGTTTTGGGTTTTAAATAAATAATTTTCTTCTACTGGCCCTATTAGTATAAACATCTTTATGAATGGGCACATTTTTCCTCTGGTGGTGTTTATTTTCAGTTAAGTCTAAATACATTGCTTTCTCCTTGTTACATCACTATTGGTTGCCAACTTGATAATAACAAATTCATCAAAAGAAGGTGCCTGCCATGTAGACATTCTTAGTTATGAGAAGGGCAACACAGTAAGAATGTCTTAGTCATGACAAGGGCCGCCTCTTGAAGCTGCCATGTGACTAACCCTAGTTGACCAGGGAATCTGCAGGTATGCAAATGGCTGCTTGATTCCTGGGAATCTGACCACTGTCAGTCAAAGATTATTGCAGTTCTGGAAGCAGTGTGAGTAGCACATTGCATTGGTGAGAAACACATTGTTTTTGGGACAGTATGGTATCCCCCAAGAAGCTGCAAAAAATGGGAAAAATTCTTTCCTCTGAAAGTTAAACTTTAAGCTCAAGGGACAGTAGCAGTGATACACAGAATCGTGAGAGGGACAACTTTCCCTCCAGGACTGACTAGTTTAGTGTCATAAAATATGCAAAGAAAAAAAAAACTTGCCTGCCAGAAAGAGAGGATGTTTTATCATTGAGAGATATACCAGTGAGACACGCATTGGCTGTACCTTTCCAAGTGCCATGTGGGAAGAGAACAACCTAGTCAGTGGGTGTTTACTTTAGTATGCTGGCTGCAGTGGGTGTTTAGTATGCTGGCTGACAGCACTGGCAAAGCCCCTGGTCAGATTTCCCCTAATTTGGTAATTCAAAGAGTTGTAGCTAGAGCACTTTGTGTCCTATTGGTAAAACCACCTCTACTGTCAGCTGCAGACACCTGGGCATCTTTATCTGATGCTCTTTGCTTTTGATTCACTTGACAGATATCGTCCTTCTGAAGGCAAATCCTTTTTCTTAATGTAAGGAGATGTGCACATGGTGCTTGCACAAATAATTCTGGTTTCTGTGGCACATATTACTTGAGTCAAAATTAAATTTGGTAACTCCTGACTTGGGTTAAAGTAAATGGATCTGTCTCCCGTTTGAGGCTGAAAAGCTGAGAGTGAGTCTCTGAACTGCGATCAAGCAAATCCACAAAGGAACTGCCATCTTGTGAGGCTGCCCAGAAGTTTAGCCAGATGGAGGCGGGGGGAGTGACTGTTCTGAGCACATTCTCTGAAAGTGGAACACGCGGGGCCCACGCGTTTGGACGTTTGTGCAGTTTGCTCACTGCTCAGTGAGTGAAGCTGCCACCCGGCCTCTGCTTAGTTCTCAAAGCTGCAGTCCCCAAGCAGGTCCACTTGGAAGAAGGGGCTTTTTTATTTCCGGTTTGCAGAAAGAGTTTGGTTTTGAATTAGAGCCCTTGCAGTGATTGCAACACTCATGAAAAGTGTTTCGGGGCAAGCTACTTTATGCGTGTATTTAGAACCTCACAGGTCATGCCCTAGACTCTGAGAAAGGGTCTCCAAATATGTGGATCATTCCTCATTACCAGGAAAAAACTAAAAGTGTACAAATATATCATATATACAATAAGAAGGAAGAAATAATAAATGTAAACAGAAGATCTTGTGAATTAATTCTGGAGATCAGGAGATCACTAGAATAGGGAAGATGGTTAAAATGGGCCCCTTTTTGTCCTACTAATGGCTATACATCCAAGAAAAATTGTGTCCCCACCCACTGAGAGATTAATCTTTTCTACTACCCAACCCACTGCATCACCCTAAACTCAGAACGCCTTCTACGTGTCTATCTCAAATTCCAGTCACATCAACCTAACCTTTTTTTTTTTTTTTCTTTTTTGAGACGGAGTCTTGCTCTGTCGCCCAGGCGGGAGCGCAGTGGCATGATCTTGGCTCACTGCAAGCTCCGCCTCCCAGGTTCACGCCATTCTCCTGCCTCAGCCTCCTGAGTAGCTGGGACTGCAGGCGCCCGCCGCCATGCCCCGCTATATATATATATATATATATTTTTTTTTTCGTATTTTAAGTAGAGACTGGAGGGGGGTGGTTTCACCGTGTTAGCCAGGATGGTCTCAATCTCCTGACCTCGTGATCCGCCCGCCTCGGCCTCCCAAAGTGCTGGGATTACAGGCGTGAGCCACTGCGCCCGGCATTTTTTTTTTTTTTTTTTTTTGAGATGGAGTCTCACCCTGTCGCCAGGCTGGAGTGCAGTGGCACAATCTTGGCTCACTGCAACCTCTGCCTCCTGGGTTCAAGCAATTCTCCTGCCTCAGCCTCCTGAGTAGCTGGGACTGCAGGCACATGCCACCATACCCAGCTAATTTTTGTATTTTTAGTAGAGACAGGGTTTCACCATGTTGGCTAGGATGGTCTCGATCTCTTGACCTCATGATCCACCCGCCTGAGCCTCCCAAAGTGCTGGGACTATAGGCATGAGCCACCGTGTCCTGCCAACCTAACCTTTTTAAAGACACCCAATAGTCTTCACAATAATGAATTCTAACAATTGGTATTTAGATAGGATTATAGTCTTGACTATCTTTAATCAATTAAATCAACATCATAAATTTTAAAAAGCTTAATTTGATAATTTCAAACATCTTATTGATAATTTTATTTTTACATTTCTGAAAGGTACCCTCAGCCTACTGCAACGATAAAGATTAATAAGTTTCTGAAAATGCCACTACTACTACTTACAATAGCTATAGTAATGTATTTTATCTTTTAACTGGCTTTAAAAAGAAGCTCAACTGACCAAGTCTATTGCAGAAATTGGTCATTGAGACAAATACTTCCTGCTCCATGACAGGTTTCCAGAAGTTTTGCTTTATTATCTTTGATCACTTTATCTGGTTGTCAGTTTAGGATATTTGGTGATAAAACTCCAGTACTTTTCTTTTTCTATCTCTACATTTTTATAGCATTGGCACCAGACTCTGTCTGGGAGAGCAATTGCATGCAGAGGATCAATTAGCCTGGTTATGACGCCAGAAGGTCTGTTCAAAGAGACAGAGCTCTGTATAAATAGGGTTAACCCCTCAGAAGTTACTGGAACGTCAACACTCACATTGCATCTTCCTGGAATGGTGTTCTTAGAGGCCAAAGGAGTGTCCTTTACATACACAGGAAATTTTAACAGGAAAATATTTCTTGTTTCTTTGGAGAAAATGATTTCATGGGTTCGTATGATAAGGAAAGTGAAGGGAAGTACAAGGAAGAGTATCTTTCTATAGACTCTTGTTATCTGTTGAAGGAAGTCCTACCTTTTGACTTTCAAAGGTATTCACCTTTGAATATTATATATAGTTCAGTAAATATTAACTTTGGCAATTTTGGTTGCCCTCTTTCTATGCTCAGAACTACTTTTATATATACCTCTTATACCTCCTTAGACAGACATGTAGAAATCACACACATGGGTTAAACAGACACATAGAAATCATAATCTAGAGCCAATTACACATCATGAGAGTCAAAGGACGAATTCTCATTGATTTAACTGTTAAAAACTGGTATAATTAACATGTTCTAAGGCAACAATGTGTGAATATAGTTGGTAGAAATTCAAGTATACAGAAATGGTTTTCGGCCGGGCGCAGTGGCTCATGCCTGTAGTCCCAGCAATTTGGGAGGCTGAGGCAGGTGGATCACGAGGTCAGGAGATCAAGACCATCCTAGCTAACACGGTGGAACCCTGTCTCTACTAAAAATACAAAAAATTAGCTGGGCATGGTGGCACGCACCTGTAGTCCCAGCTACTGGGGAGGCTGAGGCAGGAGAATGGTGTGTACCCTGGAGGCGGAGCTGGCAGTGAGCCGAGATTGCGCCACTGCACTCCTGCCTGGGCGACAGAGTGCGACTCTGTCTCAAAAAAAAAAAAAAAAAAAAAAAAAGATTTTCACATTTTCCATTGAAATGCTAAATATTATTCATACATACATGTATACTCATACATTTAATGTGTGTATGTATGTTTGCAAAGTGGTTACTAATATATTATTTTATTTTGATCCTTATAACAATTGTATGAATTAGGAAAGTAGATATTATTAGCCCCATTTCATTTATAAAGAAACTGACTCTCCAACGTCTTAAATGTTCAGACTTGTCCCTTGCTTAATAATGATCTTTCCACCGATCTCTAGATGTACATATTTAACTGTTTATTTGACATATCTCTTGGATGTCTCCTAAACAACTTAATTTGTCCAAGTGAATTCCTGGCTTTATCCCAAAGCTTTTCCTACCCATTCACCAGTCTTCAAAAGTAAATATCATCACCATCATTTCATTGTGTATGTTAGAAACCCAGGCATCATTCTTAATTTTTTTTTCCTCTTTTAGCAATCTCCTGCATCCAAACCATAATCAATATAACAGATATATCAGATACGTGTCATCACTTCCAAAATACATCTTCTTTCCACTCCTTTCCATTGTCACTGCCAGTACCTTAAGTGGACTGCCATCATCTCTTGCTAGACTTACAATAGTCACCCCTGACAGGTCGCCTAGATTTTACTCTCACCTCCAGTTAATTCTCCATGCAGCAGCTAGTGTGTTCCAAAATGTAAAGTGGATAATGTTTTGCTGCTGTTTAAAATTCTGCAATGGCTCCTGATTACTCTTGGGATAAAATCTGTACTTTTTATTGTGACCTATACAACCTGGTTCTGTCCAACCTTGTGTTGTCTCTGTGCCCCTTGCTCACTATACTCCATCTACCCTAATCTTTCTTTCAGCTTCTGAAACATGCTAAGTTCACTCCTATTTCAGAACCTTTGCACAGTCTAGCCCCTCTATCTGGAATGTTCTTGACTTGATTATCTCCTTATCATCTTTAGGTTTCAGCTTCAATATTACTTTTATACAGAGGCGTTCTGTAAAAATCCCATCCAAAATAGATCCTTGCCATTATTTTTGATTTCATCGCCTCTGTTTCTTTCATAGCATTTATGACAATTAATATTTTTGAACTCGTTTGTGTTGATTCCCTTCTTTACTTGATTGTGAGCTCCACTAGGGCAGTGGCTCTGTGTCTCTTTTTGCCATTCTGTCCTGGGCTCTTAGCAAACTGTCTTGCACATAGTAGGTGTTCAAGAGATATTTGTTCAATAAATGAACCACTTAATTCAAATTCCTCATAATAAAACGGGAAATTAGGGTTGTTGAGGTGAAGTGCTTTGCCCAGTGCAACATGGAGACTTAATGACTGGATCTATCTCTTTTTATATCAGGCATTGGATTTAGTTGTTCAATGATGCAAAGGTAGTGGAAATAGTTTCTTGAGCCTCTCATTCAGGTATTGGATGAGACTAGTTCCATTTTAAGTTAGATGTTTGATTTAGGTAGGTAAAATATAATGACTCTGTAGTTGGAATTTAATCAACCTCTTTCAGCCTGTTTCTGAATATGGGGAGTCTGGCTTCCCTGCAATCACATATTCCTGATGACTTGACTCATGAGAATCATATAAACCAAGAAGGAACTTCACTACTAAAGTTCATAATTTTTAAAAGGATCATTCAACATGGTCAATCTGTAAGAGAATAATGCTTGATAAACGACTGAGAGAGCACTGCCTTTTCTTTCCCATTCTCCTGTCTGGATCCTCCTGCAGAAATCCCTGCAGGGGTCCTTCCTGACAAGAACAGAAATTGTTCTCAAGAGATAGCCTATGACACAATCAAAGCCTAGGACTAGCCTGGAATAGCTGTGGGGACAGAGGAGGCCATTGAGGCAATGCTTGTTGTGATTCAGCCTTGCATTTATAGTTCTGACCTGCACAGCACATTGGCACATGGTATTTGCTCAGTGTTATAGTCAGTGTTGGTCCTCCTCCCTCTCAGATTCCTTACATGGGGCCAGGGTGCCTGTTGGCCACTGCTGTGATCATTGGTTGCTAACAGTTCAGACTTGTCCCTGTTGTGGGCCTAGAAAGCTGCCTCATCTAGAAATGTGTGGGAGATATGTTTCTTGCCATGCCTACCCTTAACTGAGGGCAACCCTAAGCCAATGACTGACAAATATGTGGATAAAAACATCTGGGCTTTTTGAGAAAGTGGTACAATTGTGGTGCTATTCATGCTCCAAAACTTCCTGTGGAAGCAGACAAAGTGTAGACATTGGCTTAATCTGCATCTTCCTCTAGGTTTTTCTCCTGTTCTATCCTCCCATCACTCTCTTACAGATTTTACCTGCAAGCATGCCCTCAATCAGTCATTTGCACGGTGTTCCCCATCTCAGACTCTGTCCCTAGGGAACCTGCCCTAGAACACTTAGAATTTGGGAGCAGTTGTAAATGATATAGATGAGAGATTATCTTAATGGCTCAAACTGCTAATATCCCTGTAACCATATTTCAGGGTACCAATGACAGTTCCCAGGACTGAGATGTACCTATAAAGTTCTTATTTTGAATTTCAGCCTGATCCATCCCAATGGTAAAAGGATTGGCACTATATATAATACTTAACAACACCTCAATCTCTAGGCTGCAGTGAAAGCAGAAGATCTTTTTGTTACCAGAAAAGGGTCCTGATCCACACCCCCGCTCCAAGAGAGGGTTCTTGGACCTTGTGCAAGAAAGAATTCAGGGAGAGTCCATAGAGTAAAGTGAAAGCAAGTTTATTAAGAAAGCAAAGGAATAAAAGAATGGTTACTCCATAGGCAGAGCAGTGGCATGGGCTGCTTGACTAATTCTACTTATAGTTATTTCTTGATTATATGCTAAACAAGGGGTGGATTATTCATGAATGTTCTGGGAAAAAAGTGGGCAATTCTTGGAACTGAGGGTTCTTCCCTTTTAGACTATGTAGGATAACTTCCTGAGGTTGCCATGGCATTTGTAAACTGTCATGACACTGGTGGGAATATCTGTTAGCATGCTAATGCATTATAATTAGCATATAATGAGCAGTGAGGATGACCAGAGGTCACTTTCGTCACCGTCTTGGTTTTGGCTGGCTTCTTTATAACAGCCTTTTATCAGCAAGGGTTATAAGAGGAAGACTTATATCTATGCCGACCTCCTCTCTCATCATGTGACTTATAATGCCTAACGTCCTAGGAGTGCGGCCCAGTAGGTCTCAGCCTCATTTTACCCAGCCCCTCTTCAAGATGGAATCGCTCTGGTTCAAACGCCTCTGACATTTGAGTACTAAGTCATTCTCCTGTCAGTTAATTACAGACTAAGCACCCTTGACAATCCTATTTCATGTATCCCCAGAGAAGTTCATCTTGTAAAAAATAATAATAATAATAATAATATGGCAGTGTTCACTTGCACACTGCCTCTTCAATTATTCTGGTCTTTCTATCTTCTGGGACTAGACCCGTTTTTTCTCATCTTTTGTTATACTAGTCTAGAAAAATTTAGTCCTAGAAATTCTGATTTAACCCAGAAGAACTTGAAGAGGCAGGTATGCTCTTAGGAAATATGGTGACTAAACTTTAGCACTGGTTGAGCTGTCCAGGAAGCATATTCCGAGTGGAAATGAACGCACATGAAATTTAAGAAGTACTGTGGAGATTGGCAGCTGTGGAAGGGAAGAAAAGAAAGTGAGACCGGGCGGAGGGAGAATTGAACTGCAATGCAGTCACGATGGAAGCCTCAGCAAACCCATGGGGAACTTTTTTTTTTTTTTTTTCAGACGGAGTTGCACTCTGCCGCCCAGGCTGGAGTGCAGTGGCGCGATCTCAGCTCATTGCAAGCTCCGCCTCCCGGGTTCACGCCATTCTCCTGCCTCAGCCTCCCTAGTAGCTGGGACTACAGACACCTGCCACCGTGCCCGGCTAATTTTTTGTATTTTTAGTAGAGGAGGGGTTTCACCGTGTTAGCCAGGATGGTCTCCATCTCCTGACCTCGTGATCTGCCCGCACTGGCCTCCCAAAGTGCTGGGATTACAGGCGTGAGCCACCGTGCCCCACCCGAATTTTGAAGCTGCAATGGTCCTTTAGAATTGTTCTGGACACAGCATCATAACAATTGTTCATCAGACATGGGCTGCCCCAGGAATGGAGTGATCTTGAATGTGGAATCTCTCTTTAACAGAAGCAATACTTGTGGGGCGAGGACAGCTGAGAGCTGTCTTCCTGCAGCACTCCAGCAGCGGCAGACTAGTTCCTTCATTCCGAAAGAGAAATATGGGTGGTACAGGGACGCATACAGTCACTCTGTGGTTAGGAAGTCCTGAGACAGACAGAGGCGTGGTGTACTGCTCTAAGATTTACTTTATGTGGTCTCACTCTTTCAGGACACGCTTGACCCAAAAGCTTGTCTTCAAGAATGTAATTGGAAAAGTTACACAGTGGGTAAGTTGCTGGCTCTGGCTGCTTTTAGGTTATCACAGTTGTGTGGGGCTGGATTTAAGAGTAGGCTTATTACTATGGTGCCTCCTAGCTGCTGGTCCAAGAAGAAAATGAGTTGTTTGAAGTCCTGGGTGTTCTAATAGAGGATGGTGTTTTTGTAACATAAGATTATGAATTCTATTCCTGGAATCATATGATTTATATTTAGCTAGGAGCTGGGCTGGCTGTGTGTCTTTGACCACATATCTATTAAAAGAAAGCCCTGGGCTATAAGAGAAAGGCTTATTACAGCTTCTCCCAGTGTCTTGGAAACCTTGAAAGAAAGAAGAATATTTGAGAAGCGAGAAACTGTAGACATTTAAGTAGATACGGACAACAAGACTCAGAAAAATGTCATTAAAGTTAAATATGTCAACTAATTGATTTGATAGAATATAACACTTCCAACACTTTGTATTTTCATTTCCATTTTTAAAAATGCGTATTTTCTTATAGGCCTTATACTTCTTCTGATAAAAGTATGTCTACAGTGAGTACCTCTTTCCGTAAAATGGAAATGATAGATGCCCAGCTATGAAATTTTAAAATTATAGGCTATAAAGCATTTTACAAATTGCTACCCACACAGAGTACTTGGATAAATGGTACATGTTTGAGTAGCCTATCAAATTGCAGCAGGTTTAATCTCATCTCCAGACCTTCTTTAACCCTCTAACTAAATGCCTGGTAAACCAGGACAGATATGAAAATGGTTCAGTATACAGCCAAAAAACCAATAGAGGATGTCTGTTCAGGGTACTTGGGTAGCACATTTAGCACTAAGGGTTTCACAAGCTTCTCAGTGATCTGTTCAGAAGAAATGAGCCTTTTCATTTTAATTTAGATCTACCTCTAACAGCAAATAACTCTGATAGAACTTTAATTTTACCATAGCTCATGGCCCTACTAGTGAAACATGCTAACAAGTCCCCAGCCAGAAAAGCAGAGTTCCAAAAGGGACTTGAAAAATTCTACAGAGCTTCAAGGTTCCTGGGAGAGGGGTGGACCCTGCCCTTAGGTGGTGGACTTGCCTCAAAACTCGAAATATGAGGCTATTTCTTTCTTAGTTGCTTTTTTTTTTTCTTTTTCTTACCATGAAAATGTAGTAGAGAAGAGAAATGGTGTTGTCCTTTTGCATATCCATACTGGAGAACCAAATAAAATCCTGAAGACCTAGTAAGATTTAGCTTTCCAGCAATATAAATAATTTAATCAGATTAATGACATTGTTCTACCTGAGGGGTTCCGTAATTAGTGGATTATTGAAGTCGCGTGAAAGTTATCTGCCATTAGCACCTGGAGGAATTCCTGTTGTCTCAGACCGTGGAATTGAGCAGTATGAATATTCCTGTCATGCAAACTGTAAAGATAATAAGCCCTGGCATTTTGTAAGCTATATAAATCCACAGATTTCACTTTAAATATTTAAGGCACAGGAGGTGTTATTTGTTAGGATATAGATAAAGGGAGTTCAACTGCCTCAGCCCTTTCTCTCGGTTTCGGGAAGTCTCTTTCTTTGTCAAAGGTACTTTCGAATCTTTATTATTGTGTTTCACCACCTCCTTTAGTTTGTATATTGCTTCAGTTCCTCTGGAGATATTATTTGGATTTTGTATGAGAAACATTCAAAATATTTTAACAGAAGGTTTGTCCTTTTCATATAAAAAGGAAATTAATACCAAGGGTGCAAACAGATATGAATCAAGCAGTATATCAAAATATGGTAAATGCTAGAAAGCTATGAAAAGATCATCTCATTACTGTATTCCTAAAATATTTAAAATACCAAGTATTTTTTAGCTTTATGGGTTTCATTCCTCTTGTTTATGTGTTATTTAGCTATGGGAAAAAAGACTGGCCTTTTCATGTGCACCTATGATTTAGCTTTTTATATCACCGTAAGACCTTTCATGTAAACAAAATTTATAAATCAGAAAAAAAATACTGCCTGAGACCGTGTGTCTAAATGGTTGATGCGGAAAATACTGTCACTATAGCTTATGGAGAGAGATGACACAGCCGATTTGGCTGGATGTGCTGCTGAGATAGGAAGTTTCCAAATTAGAGCACTTCTCATTGGGTAAAGGTGCTGCTTCCTTAATTGAGTTCCATTCACTTAAGATAATTTATCAGTCAGGTTTTGTCAGGGGAGGGACAGAAGACTCAAATGGGTAAGTTGAGGTGAGATGAATGAAGGGATTATTTGGACACACATAGGCAGGGGTAAGAAGCAGTAAGCAACGGTGAAGCACCCCAAATCTAGCAATAGTGGAGAGCCCTTAACACATGTAGGCCTGAAGGGGAAAGGGGAGCAGGTAGTTACCCGTCTCCTACAGCTGCAGAGAAGCCCAGCAAAAATTAACATGAATGATCGCTGCCAGCCGTGGACCAAAGCTGCTGCCAACCCAAGGCCTGGCAGGGAAATAGCTGGTGGAATAAATACCCCCAAACCTCTTTCCTCTCACCTTCCGTGCTGTTACCTCCCATTGACTGGTCCTAATTGGACACCAGAGGATAAGAGAACCTGTTGTTGTTACCCATGGAAGTTGGGCTCCCAGACCACACAGTAGGGTGGGAATGGTTGAGAATGGAGCTGAGTGGCAAATAGGAATGTCTGATGCAATCACATTTAAAAATATTTGGCAGAGTTCTTTTAATATGAGGCTTTATGTAGACAACTAATGCATTTATGAGAAGAGTGATGAAGTTATATAATGACATGCTGTATGAATTTATAGCATTGTTAACTTAAGTGGGAAAATCTGTTTGTATATAATTTGCATATACCACAAAATACCACTCATGTTTCCCTAGAGAATTTATGAAATTATTAGCCACTTAGTGGTATGAGAATATCTCAGTCATAATCACACCCAGATTCTTATTTCCTTAGACTGGTTCAGTATCATCTGCCTATCTGATGTGATATGGTGAGAAATATTAAATGACAGTCTGTGTTGGAGTAAACAGGACTTATTTTAGGGGTTTTGTATTCATTAACAGTTGTCCCTATTTCTGCAGTTGTTTGAAGTTCATAGGTCAAATACTGAGTTTTTATAAGTACTTCTATAGCACTGACTATCTTTATTTTAAAAGCATTACTGGGCCCAGGCACAGTGGCTCACGCCTGTAATCTTAGCACTTTGGGAAGCTGAGATGGGGGGAATCACTTGAGGTCAGGAGTTTGAGACCAGCCTGGCCAACATGGTGAAACCCCTGTCTCTACTAAAAATACAAAAATTAGCTGGGGGGGTGGTGCATGCCTGTAATCCCAGCTACTCCGGAGGCTGAGGCAGGAGAATCGCTTGAACCCGGGAGGCGGAGGTTGCAATTAGCTGAGATCACACCACTGCACTCCAGCCTGGGTGACAGAGAGAGACTCTGTCTCAAAAAAAGAAAAAAAGAAAACAGCGTTACTAGACGTAGTGCAATATTAATGTTCAGTGAAATTTGCTCTCTCACATAAGCCTTGAAGTTTTTAATTAGTTGATTAAAGGTATCCCTTCTTATGTTCTCTATTCTCTTTAGTGGCAATAGAAGAGATTTTATATACATCCCAACTTTTTTGAAAGGAAAGGTGTCAAATTTTCCTAGGCAGAGTGTTACTTTAAAAAATTTCTCTGCTTTCCTGAAGCAATTGATTCTATAGCTTCTTCTTTTTTTTTTTTTGAGACAGAGTCTTGCTCTGTTGCCTGGGCTAGAGTGCAGTGGTGTGATCTCAGCTCACTGCAGCCTCTGTCTCCTGGGTTCAGGTGATTCTCCTGCCTCAGCCTCCAGAGTAGCCGGGATTACAGGCGTGCACCACCACACCTGGCTAATTTTTGTATTTTTAGTAGAGACGGGGGTCTTGCCATGTTGGCCAGGCTGGTCTCGAACTCCTGACCTCAAATGATCCACCTACCTCGGCCTCCCAAAGTGCTGGGATTATAGGCATGAGCCAAAGCACCAGGCCAGGTTCTATAGTTTCTTATATTCATTTGCTTATATTTGTCTTTTTTTAAAAATTTTTTTAAGAAGGGCAGGGAGAAAGTATTTTTTTGCCCAATAATAAAGGATTGCACTTACCTTATATTATCTTCCTTGTATGGAGAACTATGGTGTACATAAAACTGAGGGTTAACATCTGGACTCTAGTTTCTTCTACACAACTAATTCATACCTTTGGTATCACTTGCAAATTGTTCCATGGAGTTAGTCAGCACAGGCAAAACGGAGAAGTAAAATGCCCGTGGAGATTAGTGCATTCTATATAGTTCACAGGAGCAGCAGGAGACCTTTGGAAACTCCTAAACTTGCAGAGATGTTTTAACTGAAGGTCTTTAAGATTGCCACATCATGTAAAAACTTTTGTGGAGATAACGGATGACCTTGGCATACTTAAGATGGGTTTGTGGTTTGTGTGCTTAAGAGGACCATGAAGTTAAAAATATTTATGTAATTGTTCTTTAGAAAGCCTTGGGACATTAGCATGAGGTTATAAATTACCGTTAACTTTCACAAAAGCCAGAGGGGCCGAGGTTCTCATTGGGGTGGTCCTGGAATTTATCCACATAATCGTTGCATCTTTGTCAAGTTTTGAAGTCACCAGAAGGACATCCCAGGCAACAAGAAGTTACTGGTGGGCTGATAAAGCAATTGAGTTATAATATGGATCTAATTCTTCTTGGAGCAGCAATTGTAAGACATATGTCAGAAATTTATCACCTCCTTTTTAGAGAGACCTCCAATTAAATAACGAGCCAATGCTGTCTTTCATCTTTCTGGCTCCAGTGGTGGTCTAAATAAATCATTTCTAAACAAATATGTTTTAAAACCTTTTACTCTATTTAAAATGATAGGCTTGACTAAGTAAGTCTTTATCAAATTATAGTGCTGCATTTTGCCCTGTCTCTGTCTCCATTAGAAGAAACCCCTATTTTTAGAGATTTGTAACTCAGATTTCCTTGAGGGAGGAAACTTGGCATTCAAACTAGTGAGAGGGAGTGATGGTTATTCATTAGTATTACTTGCTCCTTATTTTTTAAAGTGCCTTATTTCCAAACAGAATTATAGAAGAGCAAACAAAAGCCTGAAGTAAGTTCAGGGCTATTTGTTTTTCACTGGTAGCTTGAGCTTTAATTACATAACTCAGGAATAAAAATGATATACCACTGAGAAACTGTACCCAAACTGTGCTGTGCTCGGGAATATTTTCTGACACTTTCTCCTTGTAATCAGACAAATTTCTCCTATTCTCTCTCTTCCTCTTCCTGTCTTTTTCACAAGGTCTGAAGTCCTTATAATTCTGTTTGACTTAAATCCTTCTCCAGTTCCTTCTGTTATCTATGTTTTTGGATTCTTTTGTTACTCTTTAGTATCATGTGGATAAAAAATAATGTTTCCAGCTGGGCATGGTGGCTCATGCCTGTAATGCTAGCACTTTGGGAAGCTGAAGCGGGCAGATCACAAGGTCAAGAGATTGAGACCATCTTGACCAACATGGTGAAACCCCATCTCTACTAAAATTACAAAAATCAGCTGGACGTGGTGGCGTGCACCTGTAGTCCCAGCTACTTGAGAGGCTGAGGCAGGAGAATCACTTGAACCCGGGAGGCAGAGGTTGCAGCGAGCCGAGATCACGCCACTGCACTCCAGCCTGGTGACAGAGGGAGTCTCCGTCTCCAGAAAATAAAAAATAAGAAATGGAAAAAGTTTCTGTTTAAAGCATCTGGAATAAATTGTAGCAAATAGTAATTTTTGAGTTAAACATTGAATTATTTGAACACTATAATTTGGAAATTGTATAGAAATGTTTATCTCCTATCCCTTGGGCAGCATTATGTGGGGGGCAGGGGTCATTAATTTGATAGGCTTATCTAATGGAGCCAGGTGGAATTTTACCTGTGGGGTGATTCTTATCCAAGATCAGGGATTTGGGCCAGAGGAAAAATGCCAGAGGTTTTGTATTGAGCAATGTGTTGATGTCAACATGGATCCAAGGGAGCTGTGAATCAAAGGGGGCAGTTGAGACACTGGGATCAAGAGACTGACCCAAATGGATGAAGTTGAGGGTAGAGACAGCATGAGAAGAAGAAACAGTGTGGGGGAAAAGCAGATGTGGACCAGTGTCTTTGGCCATCTTTTTATATGTTCCAATGTGTATTTGTGTACAGGTGAGCTAGATTCAGAGTTGTGAGTATGGGCTGGGCCCTCTTGAACTGATCCCAAAATTAAAATTGATGGCTTTATTGGTATCATTATTTTCTGTTGATAGTGAGTTGCTGTGTGATAACGTGGCTTGTCAGGGTATGTGTATGTTTTCTATGGGTTTGTGAAAACCATAATGTATTATTAATTTTTAGATGAAGTCTGCCACAAATTTGTGGCAGGATCAGTATATCGAGAGTGATTTGGGAGTCACATATTCAAAGTTTAGAACAAAGCTGATTTAATGAACAAATTCTTCCACTCAGGATAGCCAGAAAAATATTTAAAAACATCTTCTTATAGGTAAGGAACTAAAACTCGAAAGAGTGAAGAATAACTGGGTTAGAATCTAGGGGCGTTCAGAGCCCAGGGCTGAGCTTTTGGCTACTTCACCTCTGGGGCTATTTGTTCATTCTCCAGGGAATGGCTGCGAAGCTTGACAGGGCTCAAATGTCAAATGGTGGGGGCAGGAACTGGAGTCCAGGGTCACAAAGGGCTGGGGTAGTGAGCCCTCAATGTTTTGGGTTAAGAATCAAAGGGCTGATCCCTAATAATAAAAGGAACTGGGAGAATTCATACCTTCTTGAGACTGCAGCTCAGATGTAAATAATACCAGTTTCTGAAATTAGAATGAAATGAATTCATATTGCTAATTCTTCTAGCTACAAGCCAAAGTCGAATTTAAATTCTCTTTGATGGAAGATATCATCATCCTACACGTCAAATTATTTCTACAAATAATTTTTCAAATAAAATGCTTGGCAAAAAATAAAAAGTAACCAGATCTCTAAATAGTCAATAAAACATTAGCAAAAACAGCAGAAGAAACAGGCAAAATAAACAAACCCACAGAGGCTACAGACCCTGAAGTTGTCGCAAAGAGATTTTAAAATAACAATGCTTGTTATATTTAAGAACATGAAAAACAAGATTGAGAATATTTGCAGAAAGCAGGAAGCTATTAAAAAAAAGAACCAAATGGAAATTCTAAAAATTAAAGGTATAAGGCCAAATTTGTGGGTTTAGTGGATAGGGTATTGAACATATTAGACCCAAATAAAGAAATAATTCACACACTGGAAAGTAGGTCAGAAGAAAATATCCAGATGGAAGTATTTAGTGACACAAGAATGGAAAATACAGAAAACAGATAAAAGACATAGAAGATATGGTGACAGTCTAATATGCTTGTAATTGGAGTTTTGAAGGAAAGGAGATAGAAAACTGGAAAAAGCAGTATTTACAGAGATAATGGTTGACACATTTCCAACTCAATTAAAGACATTAAGCCATATATTCAAGAAGTACCATTTTAGCAGCATAAATGAAAAAAAATCTATCTTTAGATATCTGTCTAATCCAGAAAAATCTTATAAGCAGGCAGAGAACAAGAGATAGCTAAAGTAGCAATAATTAAGCCAACAGCTGATTTCTAAGCAAAATCAAATACAAAATCAGGAAAAAACTTATGAGTAGATTTAGTGTCCAGGGAGCTGGAACTGACAGGTAGAGTAATAGATGAAGACAGACAGAAGTACTGTGGGGAGATATAAAAGCCCTAAAGTGAAATAACTCGGCTGGGTGCAGTGGCTCATACCTGTAATCCCAGCACGTTGGGAGGCCGAGGTGGGTGGATCACTTGAGGTCAGGAGTTTGAGACCAGCCTGGCCAACATGGTGAAACCCTGTCTCTACTAAAAATACAAAAATTAGGTGGGTGTGGTGGCACATGCCCGTAGTCCTGGGAGGTTGAGGCAGGAGAATTGCTCGAACCCGGGAAGTGAAGGTTGCAGTGAGCTGAGATCATGCCGTGGCACTCCAACCTGGGCAACAGAGTGAGACTCTGTCTCAAAAGAAAGAAAGAAAAAAAAAAAAAGAAAAGAAATAACACGCTGGTACAAGTTGAGCTTCGTATATGTGCAAGCGACTGCATTTGTGGACTCTTCCTAACACCTCCAACAACTGAGCATGTCTCTGTTGGTCATAGATTTCTGGAAATTGGTTTTTTTATCCTGGTCTCTGGTGCTTTTTGTTATTTAAGGAAAAGAGAGACGTTGCATAGCCGTGTTCCTAATCCTTTCACAGATTATATTGGCTTACATGGATCTTTTAATAGTTTATAATTGAGAAAGTAGCATTAACCTATGCCTTGCCTTGCTTGATGCAAAAGAGCACATTTAAGCCCTGTCTGATATAAAGGTGTCCCAAAGCAGTCAGCATCTTGCTATTCAGAACTCCAAGAT
This sequence comes from Homo sapiens, assembly GCF_000001405.40. NCBI lineage: Eukaryota > Metazoa > Chordata > Mammalia > Primates > Hominidae > Homo > Homo sapiens. Next base: position 81,457,296 of record NC_000009.12, on the reverse strand, counting down.
GACTATGCACTGTGCTTTATATTTAAGAAAGCAGAAAGGAAACTCATCCTCCAAAACCTGGGTCAAAAATATTTAGTATGAACAAATATTTGAAAAATATTATGATTTGTATGTTACTACCAAGAAAAGCATCCTTGAGTTCAACACTCCTTGAAGTGAAGGATTGGTCCTGTGCTAATATTTGCTTATCAAAATGAAAATGTTCTCCTCACTTTAATAAAACCAGTGACTTGTAACCATATTCTAAAGAAAGTCTTCTCAGCTGTCAAAGTGCTAAAAGCAATCTCTCAAAATTTCCAAGTCATTATAAGAACCAGTATGTTTATTTTAAAAAGGGATCTCAAATAATACCATGCTTGTTTCAGACCTTTTGACAACTTCCAACTGCATCTATTCTCATTATATTGCCTACACAATCTACGTGATTTGGCCCTGTCTACTTGATATCAGCATGAAGAATGCAAGCCAAAGAAAAGATTTTGGCAGATGAAAGGCTGTAATTAATGAAGGTGTTTATGGTTAGGCTTCAGACAACATGATTGCCAAACATTGTATTTGAAATTTGAGATGCCCCATAATAAAGGTAGACTCCATGAGCATTTTCCAAATAAATCCAGTTCAGATAAGGACAAATGAGTAATGCCTAAAGCAGTTGCAGAAAAATGAACAAGAATTAGTAGGACTGTATGCCACTGACCAAATCAGGAGGAAATGCATAATTGTGGTACTGCACAGACTCAGGACCCAACGTCTCTTTTTGGAGCTTTCCAAACAATTCCAAACCTATATGAGCTGAAAGGAAGACTTTTCTACTCATTTGAAGAGTGCTGCAGCTTTGCAGGGAAACACTTGGTTGGAAATAAAGATGCACGCATAAAAGTGTATTGATTCTATTATGTAGCTGGTCAATTGATTAAGAAAAAAATGAAAAAATATGGAAGCAGATTACCATCTAATCTAGCATTCCACGACCAGTGTTTTCTTGGTGTAAGTCCTTAATGCTAAAGGGATCAATGTTAGAAACTGTTCTATGCTGATCATTAAACTAAGTGATAATCTTTATAATCCCTTGGAATATAAATTCTGTGAGACGTAGTGTGATGGGAAGTAGAGAGGAAAAAATATTCAAGTACCCTTTGAAGGCCTTGGCTTTTTACCATCTGCTTGTTGATTCATTGGTCCCATTTTTTCCTCATCTGTTTATTTGCATAGCAGCACCAGCTGCCCCCTCAGATTTGAATTGCTTGACTTAATCAGACAGACCCCTGATTGAGAACTGAGTTACAAATTGGCAGATGAATACCAAATTGTTTTTAATAAGACACAGAGTTCTGGGTGCTTTGTGCTTGTGCTATAACTGTTTGTTGGCAGCTACAATAACCAACAGCGTTCCTTTCATCTTGAAGAGAAAGGCAAAAGGCATTCAAAAGAAGCCTTTGAATTTTGTACTCAGAAATTCCACTCATCTGCCTAATGTTCTTTTTTTTTTTTAATTAGAAGGATACACATATGACTTAATTAATCAAGCCTGTCTTAGGGAATTATGCATTTATTAATGGTTTCTGCACTCAAGCACATTATTAAGGGATTTGTGCTAAGCACCTGACATAAAGCAGACTAATTTTGCTTGCTTTGCTTAATGTATTGAGAAACGGCACGTTGATCAGATTTCAAAACATTCAAGCTATGAACTAATGTCCTATTTAGAGGGTTTAAAAATTCAGTGCTTTGGCAATCCAGCCTTATAATGCTTTCTTTATCAGGCACTCCCCAACCTGAAAGGAAAAATGACTTGATGGAGTGAAAAGCACTACAAAATGAAAAGAAAGGAAAGAGTAGAGGGGAAAGCCCTCTCCCATCCCAGGGCAGGGCAGGGCAGGGCAGGGCCAGGCCTTAGTTGAATTTGTTGTTCTTTCCTCCAGTCTTTCCATAGTTTTTGATGACCACATCTGAACTGATCTTGCAAAGACCCCCACTGGGTATGTGAATGGCTGAAATGGCTGCATTGCACCTACTCTGTCATATAGACTTTGTCAGGGTTGAGTGTGTAAGTCCATATTCACATTGCTGATCTAGTTGTAGTCTGAGCTCCTTAGATTACTGATCATTTTATAGTTTTTATCCATGACAGTGATTAAAAATATATTATCTGGCATTGTTGGTACCATTATTAAAAGGGCATTACATGTTGAACCAGGAATTCCTCTACACAGACCACAAAAATTGAATGTACCAAAGTTCTCAGTAACCAAAAAGTAACACAAGAAACACATTACAGAATGCTCTGTAGACATCTACAGTGAAAAGTAACGTGGTTTGACCAAATGGAGAACAAGTCTCATGAATTCGGGAAATTTTTCAGCGTTTCACTTTTAGGAAACAGTGGCCAGCTGATGTCAGGGAAGGGTAGCTCTCCATGAGTTGCAAATATTAAAGCCTTGCCATTCAGTACTGTCCTAGGAAAGCAGAGAACACAGAGGACCTGAGTGCAGTGTACTTCAGTAGATAAGAGAAACACCTCAAGAGCCAAAAGGCTGGCTGAGATTGGAATCTTGGCCCTGCCACTTAGCAGCTGAGCAACCATGCAGCTCAGGTGACCTCTCTAAACTTCAGGAATGGTGATCATTATGTCTCGTATCTAGATTTGTTGTGATGATTGAATGAGATAAGACAAGTAAGCATTCAGTGTGTATTCACATTGTTATTATTCATCAGTCATCAGCCATGTGCTCGGAGAAACCCGTCTTAGTGCACATTTATTGTATGCAAATTCAGTTATACCATGGTAATGCTTTTCTACCTGTGTTGGCTGATAGAAACCTCAGTTCAGAATCTGTAGCTCACCTCTGGCAATTACTTTGGTAAAGTCCAATTAGGGCTTTGCTGTATGTATTTTCTGTACTACAAAGCTGGCTTCATCTTTATGTTCTTATCTTTATTAACCTTTAATTCTAATTTTCTTCCTTATTTTAAAAATAGTATTTGTTTTTCCTTGAAATGCCCCCCTCTTCTCTCCTGTTCCTGGTTAACATCTATTTATGCCTCATCTAGCCCAGCAAACACTTTTCCCACCTATTAGATTGGGTCACAACCCTTGTTTTGCGCTCTCATAACACTCCAGTTTTCTATCTTCCCTTGTTGCCATTTAAAGTGTATAACCATGTCACAAGGCGGAAAAATCTTGTTATTTTCACAGGTAGCAGTAACATTCCCCTTAGGAAAAGCACTTTTGGGAAAATTCTTCAGAGTGCATTCAGAGTTGAAGCAAGCTCCTTGAGGGACTGGAATTAGTCTGTACTGCAGGCTCAGCAAGGGGTGATATCTGTCCTATGAGATAGAGAAAAATCTGGAACTCTTGCTGAATTATCATGTTTGCCATTCCATATTCTATACATTGTAATCCATAATGGAATTGAAACGAGGAAAATAAGGGACGAGGGAGAAAGTGGTGAGATTGGAGGAAGGTTGTGTACTATGCATAGGGGACCGACCACTTCTTGGAATCCAGCTGAAACCATCAATAATGACCACCAATATTACAATTGCTTGGGTTAGATGATTTTATTGTGGAAACTGAATAAGGCAGGCCCAGTTTAATGCAGGAATTACAGTGTGGCTTGATCAAGACACACATAAGGAAATCAGTGCCCCAAAAGCCAGATGATTGTAAAGCTTCCCCTTTCCCCTACAGAATTGGCGGATATCTTGGGGAAGACTTCTGTTAGTCGTGATCATGGCATGGGGGTGAAGAGGGACAGTTCAGGATCTCAAAGGGATGGAAAGCCCCAGCTGCCACATGGATTGCATCTATTCATGTGATTATTATGTAATATTTGTCTGCATTCCGTGAGTGCTGAGATTGTGTCTATTTTGCTCATCTTTAATTTCCTGGCCACTAGCTCATTTTCTGGCACATAATGAGTTCTCAATAAACATTTGTTGAATGAATAGTTATTGTACATCACCTTAGGTTCTTTTGGAAACATAGTTTGGAAGATGGAAAGTTGGAAAGAAGAAATGAAGAGAGAATAAGTGCAAATAAATTATCCAAGGTTACGGTTACATAGCAGGTTAGCCATGGAGTGAGAGTTTAAACACAGACCATTCCTAAGCCTGTTTGCTTATACAGTAATGTAGTATTGTTATCCTCATGTTTACAGACAAGGATTTTGAGATTCAAGGAAGTTCAGGAATGTGGTTAGGATATACAATTAGAAGATTAGGGAGCTGGGATGTGAATCCTAATTTGTGTGACTCCAAATCTTATTTTATTGCTTTGTGTTTCATTAGGAATATTTCAGTTGTTAGATGGCAGAAACCTAAGTTACATAGGATTAAACACAATAAGGAATTAATTGGCCCTTGTAAGTCCTGAGGAAGATCATCTCAGGCACAGTTAGATCCAGGAGTTCTAAATTATATTATCAGGGCTTTGTTTGTTTTCTCAGATAGACTTTCTCCATATGACTGACGGCTCAAGAGCCAAATACTGATATCTTAGCAACCTCAAGGGAAAAGAAATATTTGTCCTTGATACTCTGGCTGAGTGGTACCTGAAGTTGTCTGACTGGCTCAGCTTGAGTCCTATCCCACCCTGCCTAGGGGAAAGGGGTTGGATAGCTATGATTGGCCAGCTGCCTTCATGTGCCCAATTCTTTGGTAGAGAAAATAAGGCCCACGTAGTCAACCCCACCATAATCAGACACACTGAGGGAAGGCTCCAAAAAGGAGGGAGTGTGAGGCAAATGAATAAATGACAGATGTTTACTCCCACTTGTTTCTGATGCTGTAGAGAAAAAAATGCCTAAGAGCATGGGTTTTGGGTTATATTCTTGCAACCAATTCCCAGTTACTTCACTTTCCATATGTGCCTCTTGAGCAAGTTACTTACCCCTGTGGACCTTGATTATTTTCTTTTATAAATAATCTTTAATACAGTGTTGTAATGGATAAATGAATGCATGCATGCAAAGCACTTACCACAGTATCTAGTTTATAGAATTACAATTGTATCATTACTATAAGAAACATGAAAGAAATTAGAGGTGTAGTGGTTTTGTGCAGTTGTACATATCATGGGATTAAAATTTTGAGATTACCTTAAATTAAGGAAATAGTCATTGTGGAATCCTAGTCAGTCCTTTTTTTTTTTTTTTTTTTTTTTTTTTTGAGACAGAGTCTTGGTCTGTTGCCTAGGCTGGAGTGCAGTGGCGTGATCTCAGTTCACTGCACCCTCAACCTCCTGGGTTTAAGAGATTCTCATACCTCGCCTTCCTAGTAGCTGGGACTATAGGCACATGCCACCATTACCAGGTAATTTTTGTATTTTTGTTAGAGACAGGGTTTTGTCATATTGTCCAGGCTGGTCTTGAACCCCTGGCCTCAAGTGATCTGCCTGGCTTGGCCTCCCAAAGTGTTGGCATTACAGGTGTGAGCCACTGTGACTCCTAATAAGGATTACTATTTATTTCCATCATCAATATAGCATATGGTTGTAAGCCCCTTTGAGACCTTGTTTTTTTTTTTTTTTTTTTTTTTTGAGACAGAGTCTCGTTCTGTCTCCCAGGCTGGAGTGCAGCGGCACGATCTTGGCTCACTGCAAGCTCCACCTCCCGGGTTCAAACTATTCTCCTGCCTCAGCCTCCTGAGTAGCTGGGACTACAGGCACCAGGCACCACGCCTGGCTAATTTTTTGTATTTTTAGTAGAGACAGGGTTTCACCATGTTAGCCAGGATGGTCTCGATCTCCTGACCTCGTGATCTGCCCATCTCGGCCTCCCAAAGTGCTGGGATTACAGGCGTGAGCCACCGTGCCTGGCCAAGACCTAGTTTTGAGACTCTTAGATGATCTTGGTTCTTTCTCTTCATTCTATAATAATTTACCGTAAGCTGCCCCACTTTTAAGAACATAACGGGTCAACAGCAACCACCACCCTTGCCTTTACCTTATTTTTCAAGTTGTCATACCTTATTACCCAAAGACTTCTTGAAAGAATGATTTGCCTTTGTTTCTTCTCAATTATTTCCTAAACAACTCAGTCTAGCCTCTGCAGACATCAGTGTATCACTTAAACTGCTTTCAGGAGAGCATACCTGGCCTGGTGGTCAGGGGACATATTAAAGAGCTTATTTTGTTTGATTTCCAAATCTGTATCTCTGGACTGACAGGCCTCTCCCCCTCAACTCCAGATTGATACATCTAAGTGACTGACACATTTGTCATCATGAGAAAGGCACTGTTGGGAAATGAAATAGGCAGGCTGGCATGGGACTTTGGCTTCCCCATCTTACTCAGGGTGAGTTCAAGGGTGGTAGACAACATTGTTCCTTTATGCTGAACATCATCTCTAAGCTGCCTCAGGACTCTAGGTTTCCACCACTAGTCATTATTTTGGTTTCTAGTAAGAAAATACACCCTGTCAAAAAAATCAATGTATATGACATTATCAGCTGTTATTAGCTCTTAAAAGAGCTAAGTTATGGCCCCTAGAGAATGAGACATACAAAAGATACATTTTAAGTAATTAATAATAAAGGGGTATTTGGAAGGATTGGAGCACATTTCAGGTAGTGGGATGTCAGCGCAAAGTATGGATACTGGGAAGTATGACGGGGAATTAAACTGTTTCCTATACTTTATCCTGACATCTACAATAACAAGGAAAACAGAGACCACCACTGCTTATTGGAATTATCCTATATATCAGGCACCTTACCAAATGCATTACATGCACAACCTAATTTAATCCTCCCAATAACTCTGTGGAGTAAATGAATTAAACCCACTTACAGACAAAATTGAAGTTATTAAAAGATAAAGCAATTGGCTGAAACTCATGGAACAGGTAAAATGGCTAAGCTTAAGTTTGATTTATTTGTTTATTTAATGAATAACTTTTCAGGGACTATTGTATAAAAGGCACTGTTCTAACTTTTGGATAAAACAGTGAACAAAAGATTTCCCCTCAAGAGGCTTATATTCTAGTATGTGAGAATAAAAAAGTAAAGCATGCAAACTTCTCAAAAATTCTATCTAAGATCAGCAGTATGATTTGCTCAGGGAGACTGGGCCTGGCCAATATAGCTTTTTTATTTTTAGGAAAGGAATAATTGCATTGTTAGACAAGAAGACAGATATATAGAAATTGAACTTAAATATTGATTTTGAGCTGCATTAAGAAATGTAAGAAAATATTTTTAAAAATCAGTGTATTGACTGTATTTTCTTATTTTCTGTATTTTTGATGCCCTGGCGTTTGGTGTCTAGATCCTGGAGAGGCTGCCTCTACCAGGGGTAGCTAATTCCTAGAGACAGCAAATGACTTCCTTTCCGGCACAGCTTTCATATGCAAATAAACCAACCTAGAGCCCATACCCCAATCATCTCCTTTATCAAATTCCTACACACCAACTCAATATCACCTTGCCCCAGATCATCTTAGAACCAGGTAGTGGACAACTAGGGACCACCCCTAAGTTCCAGAGTGCATTGAAATTATTCTAACTATCTAATCCTAAATTTACTCAACATACCTATCTTGCCCCACTCTTTCTTCCCTGAGAACCCCATAAAAGCTTTAGGCCATGCTCTTTTCCCCCACTTTGCCTCCTCACTTGGCTGTTTCCCTACATGGTCTGCATGACTGCTGTGCCTCTTGTTTCTAAGGATCTGTGTGTATCAGTTTCTTTTTTCACAACAATCATTTATATATTCATATTTTCTCATGTCCGATTAAAACAAATTCCAGGTACACTTTGATACCATCAGGAATACAGACAAGTATATTGCAGAATTCAGGATATTTAAAAATGCACTTAACTGTTTTAGAAGAAAAGATTTGTAGCCCCCTAGTTCATATATTGTTAGCCTTTCAATCAGGGAGAAAAGTGATTAAAAGAAGCAAAAAGGGGAAGGCCAGGAGGGGATTTAAATAACCAAATTGGGCATAATTTAAAAAATTGAATGTGGGAGGGTAAGAATACAGAAAATGCACTACATAAGCCCATTTAGAAGCTTTTTCCTTAAGCAATGATTAGACAAATATGTAAAAACTATTAATGAAATAAAGACAAGTCAATAGTTAGTTTAAAAATAGACTTAATAATATTTTCGAATAAAATTCTGAGTAGATTGTACAGCTGAAGTAAAAGGAGCCTTGTCTTCTCTTTTTGTAGGTGGACTCAGAAAGAAAAAATAGATTGGAATGGGAAATTGCCAATTTAGAAAATTTCTAACGTGGTAAACATTTTCAAAGAATAGCAATAAAGCAAACAAGCTAGAAATCAAAATAAACTTTTAGCTATTTAGGTAGAACCATTAGCCCCTGAAATGAAAGGAACAAAAGGTCTTTTATTTTCTAAGAATCAAGAGCTCATAAATAAGGACACCTGTAGATATTACAGGGAGAAGAGTCACTGGAAGAGTCAATGATGCTATTCTACAAGATAGAGAAAGAGAATCTTCCCTAAATCATTCTCTGAAGCAGGTATCAACCTAATACCAAAACCAGTAAAGGACATAACAAAAAAAAAGAAAACTATAGAACAATATCTCTGATGAAAGTAGATGCAAAAATCCTCAACAAAATACTAGCTAACCAAATCCAACAGTATATCAAAAAGATAATTGACCATGATCCAGTGGGTTTCATACCAGAGATGCTGGGATGGATCAACATATCCAAGTTAATAAACGTGATACACCATATAAACAGATTTAAAAAAAATAATTACATGACCATCTCAATAGACACAGAAAAAGCATTTGACAAAATCCAGCATCCCTTTGTGATTAAAACTCTGAGCAAAATCAGCATTGGAAAGACATGCTTTAATGTAATAAAAGCCATCTATACCAAACACAGAACTAACTTTATACTGAATGGAGAAAAGATGGAAGCATTCACCCTGAGAACTGGAAGAAGACAAGGATGCCCACTTTTACCACTTCTATTCAACATAACACTGGAAGCACTCAGACAATACAAAGCAATCAGACAAGACAAAGAAATAAAGGGCATCCAAATTGGTAAAGAGAAAGTTAAATTGTCACTGTTTGCTGATGATATGGTTGTATACCTAGAAAACCCTACAGACTCATACAAAGAGCTCCTAGAACTAGCAAATGAATTCACAGAGTTTCAGGATACAAAATTAATGGACGCAAATCAGTAGCACTGCTATACACCAACAGTGACGAAGCTGAGAATCAAATCAAGAACTCAGACCCTTTTACAATAGCTATAAAAAATACAATACAATACATAGGAATATACCTAACCAAGGAGGTGAAAGACCTCTACAAAGAAAACTATAAAACACTGCTGAAATAAATCATAGATGACACAAATAAGTGGATACATATCCCATGTGGGTAGAATCAATATTGTGGGTAGAATCAATATTGTGAAAATGACTATTCTGCCAAATATGATCTACAAATTCAATGCAATTCCCATCAGAATACCACCATCATTCTTCACAGAGCTAGAAAAAAAAATTCTAAAAATTGTATGGAACCAAAAAAGAGCTCATGTAGCCAAAGCAAGGCTAAGCAAAAAGAACAAATCTGAAGGCATCATATTACCTGACTTCAAACTATACCATAAGGCCATAGTCACTAAAACAGCATGGTACTGGTATAAAAATGTGCACATAGACCAATTGAACAGAATAGAGAACCCAGAAATAAAGCCAAATACTTATAACCAACTGATCTTCAACAAAGCAAACAAAAGCATAAGGTGGGGAAAGGACACCCTATTCAACAAATGATGCTGGGATAACTGGCAAGCCACATATAGAAGATAAAACTGGATCTTCATCTCACATAATACCAAAATGAACTCAAAGTAGATCGAATTCTTACTTCTTTTTTTTTTTTTGAGATTGAGTCTTGCTCTGTTGCCCAGGCTGGAGGGCAGTGGCGTGATCTTGGCTCACTGCAACCTCCACTTCCTGGGTTCAAGTGATTCTCCTGCCTCAGCCTCCCAAGTAGCTGTGATTACAGGCATCTGCCATTACACCCAGCTAATTTTTGTATTTTTAGTAGAGATGGAGTTTCACCATGTTGGCCAGGCTGGTCTCAAATTCCTGACCTCAAGTGATCCACCTGCCTCGGCCTCCAAAAGTGTTGAGATTACAGGCATGAGCCACTGCACCTGACCAAGATGGATCAAACACTTAAATTTAAGATCTGAAGCCATTAAAATTCTATCAGATAACATTGGAAAAATTCTTGTAGACATTGGCTTAGGCAAAGACTTTGTGACCAAGAACCAACAACCAAATGCAAAAACAAAAACCAAAACCAAATAGATGGGACTTAATTAAACTAAAGAGCTTCTGCACATTGAAAGAAAAAATCAGCAGAGTAAACAGACAATCCACTGAGTGGAAGAAAATCTTCACAATCTATACATCTGACAAAGGACTAATATCCAAAATCTACAAGGAACTCAAATCAGCAAGAAAAAAACAAAGAATCCCATTAATAAGGGGGCTAAGGACATGAATAGACAACTCTTAAAAGAAGATGTACAAATGGCTGACAAACGTGAAAAAATGCTCAACATCACTAATGATCAGGGAAATGCAAATCAAAACCACAATGTGATAACACCTTACTCCTGCAAGAATGGCCATAATAATAAAATAATAGATGTTGGCATGGATGTGGTGAAAAGGGAACACTTTTCACTGCTGGAGGGAATGTAGACTACTACAACCACTACGGAAAACAGTGTGGGGATTTCTTAAAGAACTAAAAGTAGATCTACCATTTGATCTAGCAATCTCAGTACTGGGTATCTACCCAGAGGAAAAGAAATCATTATGCAAAATAGATACTTGCACACACATGTTTATAGCAGCACATCTCACAATTGAAAAAATATGGAAGCAGCCCAAATGCCCATCAATCAATGTGTGCATAAAGAAAATGTGGCATATATATACCATGGAATACAACTCAGCCATAAAAAAAAATAATGGTATTCACAGCAAGCTGGATGGAATTGGAGACAAGCATACACATGAAAAAAATCAGTAGAGATTGTCCCTGAGAAAGCCAAGACATTGAGCTTACTGGGCAGAGATTTTAAATCAGCTATTAAAAATATATTTACAGAACTAAAGGAAACAATGTCTAAAGAACTCAAAGAAAGTAATAAAGATGATGTCTCACCAAATAGAGAACAAAAGGAGAGAGAAATAAATAAAAATAAAAATTCTGGAGTTGAAAAGTACAGTAACTGAAATAGACTTCACTAGATATGTTCAAAAGCCTACTTGAACTGGCAAAGGAAAAAATCAGTGAACTTGTTGATAGATAAGTTGAGATTATGAAGTCTATTGGCAGAAAAAAATGGAGAAAACTAAAAGCCTCAGAAACTCAATGGACACCATGAAGCTTACCAACATATACATAATGGAAGTTACACAACCATACACACACACACACACACACACACACACACACAGAGGAAAGAGTATGGGGGAGGGAGGGAGGAGCAGAAAGAATGTTTGAAGAAATAATGACTGAAACTTTCCAAATTTTATAAAATACATTAAGCTACACATCCATGAAGCTTGGAGCTCAGTGAATTCCAAGTAAGTTACACTGAGGGATCCACATCAGACAAATCATAATCAAGTTGTTGAAAGACAAAGGCAAATAATCAAGTTGTTGAAAGACAAAGAGAAAATCTTGAAAGCAGCAAAAAGAAGCAACTCATCACATACAAAAAATTATCAATAAGATGAGCAGCTGATTTCTTATCAGAAGCCATAGAAGCCATATGGCAATGGGATGACATATTCAAAGTGCTGAAGGAAAGAAAGAATTAACCAAAAATTCTATATCCAGAAAAACTGTCTTTCAAAAATGATGAAGAAGAAATTAAGCATTCCTAGATATATAAAAGCTGAGATAATTTATCACTAGCAGGTTCACCTTATAAGAAACACTATAGGGAATCCTTCAAGCTGAAACATGTAACTCAATCCACACTGAGCATGAAACAGTAACTCAATCCACACTGAAAAATAAAAAGCACTGGTAACTGAATAGATAAAACTGAAGGATAAAATAATTGCATTTTTTTGTTGTGCTGGTAGTAAATAGCACATAAAATGAGCTCCCCCCTCTTATATTTTTATGTGTACAGTACAGTATTGTGAGCTATAAGTACAATGTAGTACAGGAGAGCTCTAGAAAATTTTTAATCTTGCACTACTGAAACATATCAATTTTCCCCTCCCCCAGTCTTTGGCAACCACCATGCTACTTTCTGCTTCAATGACACTGACTACTTAAGATACCTCATGTAAACGAAATCATGCAGTATTTTTTCTGCTGTGACTTACATATTTTGCATAATGTTCTCAAGGTTCATACATGTTGTGGCATATGACAGGAAGTCCTTATATGTGACTGAATTGTATTCCATTGTATGTATATACCACATTTTCTTTATCCACTCATTCATTAATGGATAGTTAGGTTGTTTCCACCTCTTGGCTCTTGTGAATAATGTGGCAACAAACAGGAGAGTGCAATTGTCTCTTTGAGATTCTGCTTTCAATTCTTTTGGATAAATACCCAGAAGTGAGATTGCTAAATGATACAGTAGCTCCATTTTTAATTTTTTGAGAAAACATCCACCCCATGTAACATGGTGGCTGTTCCATTCTACATTCTCATCAACAGTGTACTAGTGTTCCAATTTCTCCACATCCTTACCAGCATTTGTTATCTTCTGTTCTTCTTTTGTTTTGTTTTATTTTTGATAATGGTCATCTTAATAGATGTGAGGTGACATCTCATTCTGTTTTTTTGCATATCCCTGATGATTATTGATTTGAGCATCTTATCATCTACCTGTTGACCATTTGTATGACTTTTTTTTTTTGAGAAATGTCTATTAAAGTTATCAGCCCATTTTTAAATCAGGTTATTTGCTGTTTTTTATTGAGTTGTAGGAGTTCCTTATATATTTTGAATATTAACTCCTTATCAGATATATGGTTTGTACATATTTTCTCCCATTCTATAGGCTGCATTTTCACTCTACTGATTATTTTGCTGTGCAAAAGCCCTTTACTTTGATGTAGTCCTACTTGTCTAATTTTGCTCTTATTCCCTATGCTTTTGGTGTCATATCCAAGATATAATTGTGCAGACCAATATTATAAAGTTTCTCCCTGTTTTCTTCTAGGAATTTTGTAGTTTTAGGTCTTCCATTTAAGTTTTTTATTCATTTTAGTTGATATTTATGCATGATGTTAGATAAGGGTCCAATTTTATGCTTTTGCATGTGGGATATATAGTTTTTCCAGCACCGTTTTTTGAAGTGCCTATCCTTTCCCTATTGTGTATTCTTGGAACCCTTGTTGGAAACTAGTTGACCATATATGTGTGGTTTTATTTCTTGTCACTCTATTCTGTTCTATTGGTCTAAGTTTGTCTTTATGCCAGTATCATACTGTTTTGATTTTGTAGCTCTGCAATATGTTTTGAAATTAGAAAGTGTGAAGACTTCAGCTTTCTTCTTCTTTCTCAAAATTTTCTTGGTTATTTGGAGCTCTTTGTGGTTTCATATACATTTTAGGATTGTTTTTTCTATTCCTGTGAAAAATACCATTGGAATTTTGATAGTGATTACATTGAATGTGTGGATTGCTTCAGAAAGAATAGACATTTTAACAATGTTAAGTCTTCCAACTGATGAATATGATAAGTCTTTCCATTTATTTGTGTCTTTGATTTCTTTCAGCAATGTGTGTTTTTTTTTTTTTTTTGAGACGGAGCCTTGCTCTGTCACCCAGGCTGGAATGCAGTGGTGTGATCTTGGCTCACTGCAGCCTCCACCTCCCGAGTTCAAGTGCTTCTCCTGCCTCAGCCTCCTGAGTAGCTGGGACTACAGGCATGTGCCACCACACCTGGCTAATTTTTGTATTTTTAGGAGAGATGGGGTTTCTCCATGTTGGCCAGGCTGGTCTTGAACTCCTGATCTCAGGTGATCTGCCCTAGTTGGCCTCCCAAAGTGCTGGGATTACAGGCATTTTTCAGCAGTGTTTTGTAGTGTTTGGTATACAAACTCCTTAGTAAAGTTTATTTCTAGATATTTTATTCTTTTTGTTGCTATTGTGAATGGAATTGTTTTCTTAATTTCTTTTTCAGGTTGTTTGATGTTAGTATACGGAAATGCCACTGAATGTTCTATATTGATTTTGTATCCTACAGCATTACTGACTTTAATAGTTTTAACAGTTGTTTTTGTGTGGAATCTTTAGGGTTTCCTATAAATATAAGATCAAGTCATTTCCAAGTAGAAATAATTTTACTTCTTTCTTTCTAGTTTGGATGCCTTTTACTTTTTCTCTTGTCTAATTCCTCAGGCTAGGATGTCCATTACTGTATTGAATGGAAGTGGTGAGAGTGAGCATCTTTGCTTTGTTCTTGATCTTAGTGGAAAAGTTTTTAGTCTTTCACTATTGACCATGATATTTGTTGTAGGTTTTACCATGTTAAGGTAATTGCCTACTATTCTTGTTTTTTTTTTTTTAAATTATGTAAGGGTGTTGAGTTTTGTCAAATGCTTTTTCTGCATCTATTGAGATGGTCATGTGAGTTTTATCCTTTATTTTCTTAATGTCACATTAATTGATTTTTCCTTTGTTGAACCACCCTTCCATTCCAGGAATAAATCCCACTTGGTTATGATGTGTAATCCTTTTAATGTGCAGTTGAATTCAGTTTGCTAATATTTTGATGGGGATTTCTGCATCTATGTTCATCAGGGATATTGGCCTGAAGGTTTTTTTTTTTTTGGGGGGGGGGGGGTAGTGTCTTTTTCTGGCTTTGGTATCAGGGTAATGCTAGCCTCACAAAATAAGTTTGAAAGTATTCCCTCCTCCTCTTCCATTTATTGGAAGAGTAACAGAAGGGTTGGTGGTCATTCTTTAAATGCTTGGCAGAATTCACCTGTGAAGTCCTCTGGTCCCAGGCTTTTTCGTTGTTGTTGCTGCTGAAAGATTTTTGATCACTGGCAAAATCTCCTTACTAGCTACAGTTCTAGTTATGAGTCTGTTCAGATTTTCTGTTTCTTCATGATTCAGTCTTGGTAGGTTGCATGTTTCTAAGAATTTATTTTTTTCTTGCTCTCAGTTCAAAATGAATTACAGATTCAAATTATTATCAGAATTTGAACCTATGGCCGGGAGCCATGGCGTATGCCTGTAATCCCAGCACTTTGAGAGGCTGAGGTGGGTTGATTGCTTGAGTATGGAGTTCAAGACCAGCTTGGGGAACATAGCAAGACTCAGTCTCTATCTTTTAAAAGAATAAAAGTTTAAAGATAAAGCGGTGGGGTGCAGTGGCTCATGCCTGTTATCCCAGCACTTTGGGAGGCTGAGGCAGGTGAATTGCTTGAGCTCAGGAGTCCAAGACCAGCCTGAACAGCATGCTGAAACCCTCCCTATCTCAGCAAAAATACAAGAAAATTACCCAGGTGTGATGGTGCATGCTTGTGGTCCCAGCTGCTCAGGAGGCTAAGGTGGGAGGATTGCTTGAGCCTGGGAGGTGGAGTGAGTCAAAATTGCAGCACTGCACTCCAACCTGGGCAACACAGTGAGATGCCACCTCAAAAAAATAAAGAACTTGAACTTGACTGGGCGCAGTGGCTCACGCCTGTAATCCCAGCACTTTGGGAGGCTGAGGTGGGCAGATCATGAGGTCAGGAGATTGAGACCATCCTGGCTAACACAGTGAAACCCCGTCTCTACTAAAAATACAACAAATTAGCTGGATGTGGTGGTGGGTGCCTGTAGTCCCAGCTACTTGGGAGGCTGAGGCAGGAGAATGGTGTGAACCGGGGAGGCGGAGCCTGCAGTGAGCCGAGATGGCACCACTGCACTCCAGCCTGGGCCACAGAGCGAGACTCTTTCTCAAAAAACAAAACAAAACAAAACAAAAAAAACAGAATTTGAACCTAAGCCATTTCTATTCTAAAGCTCAGTCTGTTAACCACCTTTGCAACTGCTAGGAAAAATAAGAAAGGACAAATTTTCTAAATCTTGCATTCAATAAAAGTATTACTCATTTTTTCTCATGCATAAGAGAAAAAAAGTATCATTCATATTATTTTACAACTTGCCTGAATATATTCTTACTTCACTGAAAATAATATCACAATATCAACTAAGCAACACTAAGCTTTATTTTGTAATAGGTTTCAGTTTGGCAGTGATGTCTCACATTTGACAGCTTGTATATTTCATTTTTTAGTCTGAAGATTAGGAAATTGAGCAAAACATGCTTGTCTTATTTCTTCTAAAGGCAAAAAGCATTAAATATAAATTATTTGTCAATTACTTATAAAAGGTAAACTTCCTTTATCAGATTCTATCATCACATCTGGTTTTTGGAATAATCTCTCTGTTTGAAGAAACAATTTACTCTTAGAACACAAGGTTCAGAATTTCTCTTAGACATGATGTAAAGTCTTGCAAGGTTTGGCTAGAATTATTTAAATAGTTGTTATTTGATTTTTAACCAAAAAACCCATTGATAACATGCAAATGTTGGACATCATTCTACCCTTCAAAGAAAAATGTATTCAGTTGGAAGTGATTTCAAAAGCTGCTTGTCATTTAGCGGCTATTAAACGTTTTATGGACGGTAGGCATGGAACTTAAATTTTCATAGCATCAAAATTATTATGTTAAGACCAACCAAAAATAGGGCTATAATTCCTCTAGTTTGTATCATTAGAAATGTCTTCCAAGACATATGCTCATAAGACAATTAGAATTTTGAATCATGACACAAAATTGATGATTCATAAATTATACATGTGTCTGGATTGTTAAGAAAATGTGTTGCATTTTCTGTGTAATTAATGTACTCTCAGTGTCTATAACATACATATCATTTTAAAAAGAAGCCAAAGTTTCAAAAAGAAGCCATGTATACACTATCTTTGCAGGGAGTTTTTATGCATCCATATATTTCTGCAGTAAAGGAGGTGATGACAATGAAAATGAGCAGATAAAGGAAGCTATGGTTTTCTTACTTCTTCCAGGCCCCATGTATTTACCGAGGAAAACTTTGCATAGCAGCAAGAATTGAATTCAAAGGGACTATGTACTGTAAAATTTAGGATTGAAAAGAAATTTAGGAAGACATCTGATTTCAAGAGAATCTCATCCCTTTACTATCCTGAACAGATAGCTTTTTTTTTTTTTTTGGCTGGCATGTTTACCAGGTATATGACATTGTATGGACAGCTTCTTAGGTATAATATTGCTCTGTGGTTTGAGTGATCGCTTGTGTTGGACTTGAGTAGAAATTTTCGAGATAAGAAAATTGTTCATATAAAGATATGACAATAAAGGCTTGATAAACATATTGAATATTGTCTCTCTAATTCATCACTTAGATTCATTTTAGAAAGCCTTTCTGAATGCACAGAATAGACTGAGAACTTGCCTTAGATTAACTTTTGTTTTTAGGTATCAAAAACAGTATTTGATTTGGGAGGCCAAGGCAGGCGGATCACTTGAGGTCATGAGTTTGAGACCAGCGTGGCCAACATGGTGGAACCCCATCTCTACCAAAAATATAAAAAATTAGCCGAGTGTGGTGGTGCATGCCTACAATCCTAGCTACTTGGGAGGCTGGGGCAGGAGAATCACTTGAACCTGGGAGGTGGAGGTTGTAGTGAGCCGAGATCATGCCACTGTATTCCAGTCTCTTCAACAGAGCGAGACTCCATGTCAAACGACAACAACAATGAAAACGACAACGACAACAACAGTATTTGGCTATTATTGGTATCTGAATATTTACCTAGAAGAATAGTAAAAAAAGAAATCTTACAAAGTTTTAAGGTTTTTCTATCTATTTCAAAAAACATACCTCAAAAGCTTTACGTACAATCTGATAGCATACCTGGTAGCAATAAAACAATTCTAATTTTATTGCAAGGAATTATAAGCTAATGAGATATCATAGTCAAGTTTTCAAGATGAAGAAGGCAGATGTGCCCAATGCTGAGTAAGAAAATACTTTTAAGCCTCAGAATAATATCAAATTGACTTTTAATTACCTGGACAATTACTGGAGATCATATAATCTTTGATTATTTTATATTATCAATGTTACTCTCATGTTTTCTAAGAAGATGAGTTAAGATTTGGAAAGTGGCACATTTAATCAGAGATAATCCATCTTATGTAGAATTGAGTGAGAATATAGAAAAATGGAAATCTGTTAGTTCCTTAGTCTGTTTAGTGGTGCTATAACAGAATACCCAAGGCTGTGAATTTTATAAAGAAAAGAGGTCTGTTTGGCTTATGATTTTGGTGGCTGGAAGGTTCAAGATTGGGGATCTACATCTAGTGAGAGTCTCAGAGTGCTTCAACTCATGGTGGAAAACAGGAGGAGAGTAGGCATGTACAAACAGCTTACACAGCAAGAGAGAAAGCAAGAGAGAGAAACCTAGGAAGCCAGGCTTTTTTTTTAAAAACAACAACAACAACAACAACAACCAGCTGTCATGGGGACTAACCTATCCCCAGGAGAACTAGAACTGACTCATCCTCATGGTAGGGCATTAATCTATTAATGAGGGATCTGCCCTGTGACCCAAACACCTCCCACTAAACACCACTTCCCAACACAGCACATTGGGGATCAAATTTCCACAGGAGTTTTGGAGGGGACAAACTACACCCAAACCATAGCACTAGCTGACCCTGGAATTCAAATTATTTTTAAAAAGATATATATGACTTAGTGACACAAGTGCACTACATACATTTCAAGAAAAATATTTGCTAAATTTATTTTATTTTATTTTATTATTATTATACTTTAAGTTTTAGGGTACATGTGCACAATGTGCAGGTTAGTTACATATGTATACATGGGCCATGCTGGTATGCTGCACCCATTAACTCGTCATTTAGCATTAGGTATATCTCCTAATGCTATCCCTCCACCCTCGCCCCACCCCACAACAGTCCCCAGAGTGTGATGTTCCCCTTCCTGTGTCCATGTGTTCTCATTGTTCAGTTCCCACCTATGAGTGAGAACATGCGGTGTTTGGTTTTTTGTCCTTGCGATAGTTTACTGAGAATGATGATTTCCAATTTCGTCCATGTCCCTACAAAGGACATGAACTCATCATTTTTTATGGCTGCATAGTATTCCATGGTGTATATGTGCCACATTTTCTTAATCCAGTCTATCATTGTTGGACATTTGGGTTGGTTCCAAGTCTTTGCTATTGTGAATAGTGCCGCAATAAACATACGTGTGCATGTGTCTTTATAGCGGCATGATTTATAGTCCTTTGGGTGTATACCCAGTAATGGGATGGCTGGGTCAAATGGTATTTCTAGTTCTAGATCCCTGAGGAATCGCCACACTGACTTCCACAATGGTTGAACTAGTTTACAGTCCCACCAACAGTGTAAAAGTGTTCCTATTTCTCCATATCCTCTCCAGCACCTGTTGTTTCCTGACTTTTTAATGATTGCCATTCTAACTGGTGTGAGATGGTATCTCATTGTGGTTTTGATTTGCATTTCTCTGATGGCCAGCGATGGTGAGCATTTTTTCATGTATTTTTTGGCTGCATAAATGTCTTCTTTTGAGAAGTGTCTGTTCATGTCCTTCACCCACTTTTTGATGGGGTTGTTTTTTTCTTGTAAATTTGTTTGAGTTCATTGTAGATTCCGGATATTAGCCCTTTGTCAGATGAGTAGGTTGCGAAAATTTTCTCCCATTTTGTAGGTTGCCTGTTCACTCTGATGGTAGTTTTTTTTGCTGTGCAGAAGCTCTTTAGTTTGATTAGATCCCATTTGTCAATTTTGGTTTTTGTTGCCATTGCTTTTGGTGTTTTAGACATGAAGTCCTTGCCCATGCCTATGTCCTGAATGGTAATGCCTAGGTTTTCTTCTAGGGTTTTTATGGTTTTAGGTCTAACGTTTAAGTCTTTAATCCATCTTGAATTAATTTTTGTATAAGGTGTAAGGAAGGGATCCAGTTTCAGCTTTCTACATATGGCTAGCCAGTTTTCCCAGCACCATTTATTAAACAGGGAATCCTTTCCCCATTTCTTGCTTTTCTCAGGTTTGTCACAGATCATATAGTTGTAGATATGCGGCATTATTTCTGAGGGCTCTGTTCTGTTCCATTGATCTATATCTCTGTTTTGGTACCAGTACCATGCTGTTTTGGTTACTGTAGCCTTGTAGTATAGTTTGAAGTCAGGTAGCATGATGCCTCCAGCTTTGTTCTTTTGGCTTAGGATTGACTTGGCGATGCGGGCTCTTTTTTGGTTCCCTATGAACTTTAAAGTAGTTTTTTCCAATTCTGTGAAGAAAGTCATTGGTAGCTTGATGGGGATGGCATTGAATCTATAAATTACCTTGGGCAGTATGGCCATTTTCACGATATTGATTCTTCCTACCCATGAGCATGGAATGTTCTTCCATTTGTTTGTATCCTCTTTTATTTCACTGAGCAGTGGTTTGTAGTTCTCCTTGAAGAGGTCCTTCATGTCCCTTGTAAGTTGGATTCCTAGGTATTTTATTCTCTTTGAAGCAATTGTGAATGGGAGTTCACTCACGATTTGGCATTCTGTTTGTCTGTTATTGGTGTATAAGAATGCTTGTGATTTTTGTACATTGATTTTGTATCCTGAGACTTTGCTGAAGTTGATTATCAGCTCAAGGAGATTCTGGGCTGAGACAATGGGGTTTTCTAGATATACAATCATGTCATCTGCAAACAGGGACAATTTGACTTCCTCTTTTCCTAATTGAATACCCTTTATTTCCTTCTCCTGCCTAATTGCCCTGGCCAGAACTTCCAACACTATGTTGAATAGGAGTGGTGAGAGAGGGCATCCCTGTCTTGTGCCCATTTTCAAAGGGAATGCTTCCAGTTTTTGCCCATTGAATATGATATTGGCTGTGGGTTTGTCATAGATAGCTCTTATTACTTTGAGATACATCCCATCAATACCTAATTTATTGAGAGTTTTTAGCATGAAGCGTTGTTGAATTTTGTCAAAGGCCTTTTCTGCATCTATTGAGATAATCATGTGGTTTTTGTCTTTAGTTCTGTTTATATGCTGGATTACATTTATTGATTTGCGTATATTGAACCAGCCTTGCATCCCAGGGATGAAGCCCACTTGAACATGGTGGATAAGCTTTTTGATGTGCTGCTGGATTTGGTTTGCCAGTATTTTATTGAGGATTTTTGCATCAATGTTCATCAAGGATATTGGTCTAAAATTCTGTTTTTTGCTTGTGTCTCTGCCTGGCTTTGGTATCAGGATGATGCTGGCCTCATAAAATGAGTTAGGGAGGATTCCCTCTTTTTCTATTAATTGGAATAGTTTCAGAAGGAATGGTACCAGTTCCTCCTTGTACCTCTGGTAGTATTCGGCTGTGAATCCATCCGGTCCTGGACTCTTTTTGGTTGGTAAGCTATTGATTATTGCCACAATTTCAGATCCTGTTTTTGGTCTATTCAGAGATTCAACTTCTTCCTGGTTTAGTCTTGGGAGGATGTATGTGTCAAGAAATTTATCCATTTCTTCTAGATTTTCTAGTTTATTTGCATAGAGGTGTTTGTGGTATTCTCTGATGGTAGTTTGTATTTCTGTGGGATTGGTGGTGATATCTCCTTTATCATTTTTTATTGTGTCTATTTGATTCTTCTCTCTTTTCTTCTTTATTAGTCTTGCTAGTGGTCTATCAATTTTGTTGATCCTTTCAAAAAACCACCTCCTGGATTCATTAATTTTTTGAAGGGTTTTTTGTGTCTCTATTTCCTTCAATTCTGCTCTGATCTTAGTTATTTCTTGCCTTCTGCTAGCTTCTGAATGTGTTTGCTCTTGCTTTTCTAGTTCTTTTAATTGTGATGTTAGGGTGTCAATTTTGGATCTTTCCTGCTTTCTCTTGTGGGCATTTAGTGCTATAAATTTCCCTCTACACACTGCTTTGAATGTGTCCCAGAGATTCTGGTATGTTGTGTCTTTGTTCTCATTGGTTTCAAAGAACATCTTTATTTCTGCCTTCATTTCGTTATGTACCCAGTAGTCATTCAGGAGCAGGTTGTTCAGTTTTCATATAGCTGAGTGGTTTTGAGTGAGTTTCTTAATCCTGAGTTCTAGTTTGATTGCACTGTGGTCTGAGAGAGAGTTTGTTATAGTTTCTGTTCTTTTACATTTGCTGAGGAGAGCTTTACTTCCAACTATGTGGTCAATTTTGGAGTAGGTGTGGTGTGGTGCTGAAAAGAATGTATATTCTGTTGATTTGGGGTGGAGAGTTCTGTAGATGTCTATTAGGTCCGCTTGGTGCAGAGCTGAGTTCAATTCATGGGTATCCTTGTTAACTTTCTGTCTCGTTGATCTGTCTAATGTTGACAGTGGGATGTTAAAGTCTCCCATTATTATTGTGTGGGAGTCTAAGTCTCTTTGTAGGTCACTCAGGACTTGCTTTATGAATCTGGGTGCTCCTGTATTGGGTGCCTATATATTTAGGATAGTTAGCTCTTCTTGTTGAATTGATCACTTTACCATTATGTAATGGCCTTCTTTGTCACTTTTGATCTTTGTTGGTTTAAAGTCTGTTTTATCAGAGACTAGGATTGCAACCCCTGCCTTTTTTTGTTTTCCATTTGCTTGGTAGATCTTCCTCCATCCTTTTATTTTGAGCCTATGTGTGTCTCTGCACATGAGATGGGTTTCCTGAATACAGCACACTGATGGGTCTTGACTCTATCCCATTTGCCAGTCTGTGTCTTTTAATTGGAGCATTTAGTCCATTTACATTGAAAGTTAATATTGTTATGTGTGAATTTGATCCTGTCATGATGATGTTAGCTGGTTATTTTGCTCGTTAGTTGATGCAGTTTCTTCCTAACCTCGATGGTCTTTACAATTTGGCATGATTTTGCAGTGGCTGGTACTGGTTGTTCCTTTCCATGTTTAGTGCTTCCCTCAGGAGCTCTTTTAGGGCAGGCCTGGTGATGACAAAATCTCTCAGCATTTGCTTGTCTGTAAAGTATTTTATTTCTCCTTCACTTATGAAGCTTAGTTTGGTTGGATATGAAATTCTGGGTTGAAAATTCTTTTCTTTAAGAATGTTGAATATTGGCCCCCACTCTCTTCTGGCTTGTAGAGTTTCTGCTGAGAGATCAGCTGTTAGTCTGATGGGCTTCCCTTTGTGGGTAACCCGACCTTTCTCTCTGGCTGCCCTTAACATTTTTTCCTTCATTTCAACTTTGGTGAATCTGACAATTATGTGTCTTAGAGTTGCTCTTCTCGAGCAGTATCTTTGTGGCATTCCCTGTATTTCCTGAATCTGAATGTTGGCCTGCCTTGCTAGCTTGGGGAAGTTCTCCTGGATAATATCCTGCAGAGTGTTTTCCAACTTGGTTCCATTCTCCCCATCACTTTCAGGTACACCAATCAGACGTAGATTTGGTCTTTTCACATAGTCCCATATTTCTTGGAGGCTTTGTTCATTTCTTTTTATTCTTTTTTCTCTAAACTTCCCTTCTCGCTTCATTTCATTCATTTCATCTTCCATCACTGATACCCTTTCTTCCAGTTGATCGCATCAGCTCCTGAGGCTTCTGCATTCTTCACATAGTTCTCGAGCCTTGGCTTTCAGCTCCATCAGCTCCTTTAAGCACTTCTCTGTATTGGTTATTCTAGTTATACATTCATCTAAATTTTTTACAAAGTTTTTAACTTCTTTGCCTTTGGTTTGAATTTCCTCCTATAGCTTGGAGTAGTTTGATCATCTGAAGCCTTCTCTCAACTCATCAAAGTCATTCTCCATCCAGCTTTGTTCCGTTGCTGGTGAGGATCTGCATTCCTTTGGAGGAGGAGAGGCATTCTGCTTTTTAGAGTTTCCAGTTTTTCTGCTGTTTTTTCCCCATCTTTGTGGTTTTATCTACTTTTGGTCTTTGATGATGGTGATGTATAGATGGGTTTTTGGTGTGGATGTCCTTTTGTTTGTTAGTTTTTCTTCTGACAGAGAGGACCCTCAGCTGCAGGTCTGTTGGAGTTTGCTAGAGGTCCAATCCAGACCCTGTTTGCCTGGGTATCAGCAGCGGTGGCTGCAGAACAGCGGATTTTTGTGAACCGCGAATGCTGCTGTCTGATCATTCCTCTGGAAGTTTTGTCTCAGAGCAGTACCCGGCCGTGTGAGGTGTCGGTCTGCTGCTACTGGGGGGTGCCTCCCAGTTAGGCTGCTCGGGGGTCAGGGGTCAGGGGCCCACTTGAGGAGGCAGTCTGCCCGTTATCAGATCTCCAGCTGCATGCTGGGAGAACCACTGCTCTCTTCAAACTGTCAGAGAGGGACATTTAAGTCTGCAGAGTTTACTGCTGTCTTTTTGTTTGTCTGTGCCCTGCCCCCAGAGGTGGAGCCTACAGAGGCAGGCAGGCCTCCTTGAGCTGTGGTGGGCTCCGTCCAGTTTGAGCTTCCCGGCTGCTTTGTTTACCTAAGCAAGCCTGGGCAATGGCGGGCGCCCCTCCCCTAGCCTCGCTGCCGCCTTGCAGTTTGATCTCAGACTGCTATGCTAGCAATCAGCAAGACCCCGTGGGCATAGGATCCTCTGAGCCATGTGCGGGATATAATCTCCTGGTGCGCTGTTTTTTAAGCCCGTCGGAAAAGCGCAGTATGAGGGTGGGAGTGACCAGATTTTCCAGGTGCCGTCCATCACCCCTTTCTTTGACTAGGAAAGGGAACTCCCTGACCCCTTGGGCTTCCCGAGTGAGGCAATGCCTCGCCCTGCTTCGGCTCGTGCACGGTGTGCTGCACCCACTGTCCTGCACCCACTGTCTGGCACTCCCTAGTGAGATGAACCCGGTACCTCAGATGAAAATGCAGAAATCACCCATCTTCTGTGTCACTTACACTGGGAGCTGTAGACTGGAGCTGTTCCTATTCAGCTGTCTTGGCTCCTATTCCACATTTGCTAAATTTAAAACCCTGGCAATTATATGACAGTGAAAGATAGTGAGTTTAGTTCAAGAAAAAGATTGCTAAAATTAATGAGACAGTGTGGTAGGTTGATTGTATCAATGGCCCCAGTTAATGGCTTCCTTATATCATGCTGTTTGCCCTGTATCTTTGTTGTCCTCTTCCACTGTGACTCTGGGCTTAAATGCCTTGCTTTGATTAATGGGAAGCTTGAATGATTGGGCTTCCTTTTTCTTGCTCTTCTGCCTACATCATAAGAAAATTCCTAGGCTAGTCTGATGGATCATGAGACATATGAAATAGAGCTGAGTCAACCCAGTTCCCCCAGTTGAGGCCCCGGATATATGAGAGATCCCAGTCAACTTCAGCAAAGCTGCCTAGTCAACCCCAAACTGACCGCTGACCATAAGTGAGCCCTACCAAGCACAGCTCATCTGAACAGAATGCCAACCAATTAACAGTCATGAACAGATGTAAATGTTTATTTTTGTATGCTCTGAGGTTTTGTAGTTCTTTGTTATGCAGTTTACTGTGGCAATAGAGAACTGACACGCAAAGGATAAACATGCTATAATTTATCTGCAAATATATACTTTTCCTTTTGCTTCAGGTCTCCAGAGCTCTCTTTCCACGTAGCTGCTGCTTCTTCAGTACTCTGCCCTGCAAAACATTAGATGCTTCAACTTCCCTGAATGTCCTGACCTTTGTTTCCTTAATTCTGAAAGAACTGATGAACTCCCCATCCTGGCCCTTTAGCCTGGCAAATGCTTCCAGGCAGTAAGCTGGGAGCAATCCCGGAGCTTATTTAATTTGTTTTCTTTAACTCAGAAATTAATTTCCTGTGCTGCCTGTTGTCAGTGTCTAAAAAGAGTTGTTTCAAATATTTTATGTGTGTTCCTACATGTAAACGATGGGACAGCAATTCCTGTAACAGCTAATTCTTTATGGGCATAAATGAAAATAAAATAATTAATATTTAAGTCATTTAAAATTTCTTCAATAACAAAGTAAAATTATTTTAAAACAGAGACATGTTTGTTAAATGTTTAATTACATTACTTAAAATGTTAATATAACTTTTAAAATGTATAAGCCTTTTTAACCAAGTTAATAAGAAACATTTTAAAGGTATACTTTGTTCTTTTCTTTCCATACTTATTCATGATCTGGAGGGGAAATACATTCTCTTTTAATTCAAACTCTTTCTTAGCTTCAATAAATCTGTCCAAGGGAAAAAATTATTTCCATGGTTGTGAAATAATTATGCTTGTAGACCTAGATGGTTCTATGGGTATGAGTTCAGGAGGCTGGTGAATACAGATGCTTTAGTGACTTCTTTCTTTCTTTTTAGTAATTCTCTTTATAATCTCAGCAAATTCATATTTCCTGAGTGACTCACCTTTAACCATCAAATCGATCCTAGTTGTCATCATGGATGAGTTATTATTGGAGGTTTATGTTTTAGTGAGTCTGCCTTAGTAAAGTTTGACCCTGGAAATGGCTGTAAGAATTTTGGCAAGACAATGACATGTAGCACATACTTATCTTGCCTATTTGTCAAAAGTTTCTAGAATGTCTTCTCATGTACTATTTTTATATCATTAGCAGTTATAAGCATAATTCCATAATAATATTTGGACCTTTAGCATATCTTAAAACCCCCCCTTTTTTTTTTTTGAGACAGAGTCTTGCTCTGTCACCCAGGCTGGAGTGTAGTGGTGCGATCTTGGCTCCGCCTCCCAGGTTCACGCCATTCTCCTGCTTCAGCTTCCTGAGTAGCTGAGACTACAGGCGCCTGCCACCACGCCCGGCTAATTTTTTGTATTTTTAGTAGAGATGGGGTTTCATCACGTAAGCCAGGATGGTCTCGATCTCCTGACCTCGTGATCCTCCCGCCTCGGCCTCCCAGAGTGCTGGGATTACAGGTATGAGCCACTGCACCCAGTCTTTAAAACCCTTTTAATATAGAGTTCAGTGTTTTAACAAAGCATTTTAAGCATAATTAATATATTCTATAGGTGAAAAAAGTTTATCATCTTTCAGGCACCTTGATTTATTTTTTCCTTGACATTTTGAAGAAGGAAAAAAATGAGATAAATAATAAAAAAATTTTCCTTTCATTGATTGATGGGGGCTTGGAAGTTTAAGGCCTGATTCTAAGCCAACTGATAAGAATAGAACCTATTGTGAAAGAGATACGGTGGCTAAAATGGATCAATGAATTGGAGACTAATGGTTCAATCAAGATGCTGAAGTGTGAGGTCTTAGTGTTGTAGTTGCTAGATTGTAGCAACAGAGGAAGGGGATTAGGAGCAGGAGAAAATAAGATATAGCATAGGCAGAGAACAGATCATGGAGTAGTCATAAAGAGTTTGTTAAGAATCAAGACGAATGACAAAAACTCAGTAAAGGCTCTGTTTACCTGAAATTACTATTGACTCATTTGAAACAGTGTATTTTAAGGTGATGAACATTTCACAATGTGGATATCTGTAGGGAGCTCTGTTTGATGTCATTTGTAAAACTAATAGTTAAAATATGATAGTAGTATATTAATATACTAAATATACTAAAATATGATAGTATGTTAGAAGTAGTCACTTCTAACATTCTATACCTGTCTCTGCCTGCCTGCCTGCCTGCCTGCCTGCCTATCTATCTATCTATCTATCTATCTATCTATCTATCTATCTAGAAAGATGGGTTTAATGGAGTATTTTCTACTTATTAGAGATTATCTTTCTACTGACAACACTTTGTATCACTCAAAAATGCTGTGAGAACATTAAGTATGTTCTGATGTGTGAAAACTCTAAAGGAGAAATTTATTTTTATATTACAGTATACACATATGTAAGTATATTAGGTCAAATGTATGACATTGCTGATGTTCAACCAATTTTGACCTACTGAAACAGCAATTTCATTATGGTGCATCCTAATGTTAGGTTCACATCTGAAAATGTTTACAAACAAAGGCATTTAATAAAATAGTAATCCTATTTGAATTTAGGATGGTGCTATGTCTAGATAAAGGGCTGGTAGCTTAGCTCCTGGATTTTGCTTTACACTTTGGACTAAACTGAAGGGTTAAAAAGTCAAACAAATCACTCCTCCCCAAAATACAGCAGTTTCACAAACCACTTTCACCTTGAAATTTCTGTGTGGATCTACCCTAAGTGACTTCTGAAAAAACTGCTCATGTGTCCATCTGAGAATCTCTTTATCTAACAATGAGTCACAAATTTCCATTGCTTCCCATCATTTTTCTTTTTCACTGTTTTTTAGATAGATGTGAGAAAAATTAATAATACTTAAATTTCCAGTTGTATTTATGAATTTTTAGATTTCTCTTTATTTCTTTCATTTCTCTCCTTTATTTTGCCAATGAGTACTTCATATTAAATTATGAAATTATGCTATTAGGTATACACATGTTTATTTTTTTATCTTACTGTTGAATTAACTTTTTAAAAATCATTTTTATTCTGTTTATTTCTGGTTATTCTTCTTGCCTTAAAATTTATATATAGCTGGTGTTATGTCTACTATCTTGCTCTTTGTTTTTTATTTGAAACATCACTTTTTTCCCTTTTATTCTGCTTTCTTGCCTGTTTTGTGACAAATCAATTATTATTATGATTCCATTTCATCCCTTTGACAGGCTTTTTACTTATACTTTTTTGGATATTTTTATTTGAGGACTAGAGATTACAATATACATCTTTTACTTATCACAGTTGACTTTGAATTAGTATTTTACCACTTCACACACACAAATGTTAGACTCTTACCACAGTAAAATTCTATTTACTACTCCATAGTGCTATTTTGTCATATATTTTACTTTTATATATGTTATACACATCTAAATACATTGTTATTGTTATTGCTTTACATGGTAAGCACCTTTTAACATATCAGAAATAACTTTTTAATATTTTCTCACATACTTACCCCTCTGGTGCTCTTCCGTATTTCCTCTGTCTCAGTGTATCCATCTGGAATAATTTCTCTTCATTATAAAGAACTTTATGTAACGCTGGCTGCTTATGGCAAATATACCCATGTTTTGCTTGTCAGAAAACAGATTTATTTCACCTTCATTTTTGATATATATATTTTGCTGGGTATAGATTTTTAGGTTGGCAGTTTATTTTTCTTACAACACTTTAAAGATATAGTCCCATTGTCCTGTGTCTTCTATACTTATTGTATAAAAGTCAGCTGTGTTTCTTGCTCTTTTTCCCTTGAATTTAACCTCTCTCTCTCTCTTTTTCCCTCCAGCTGCTTTTGTGATTTTTTTCTTTTTTAAATTTACAGCAGTTTGACTTTGATGTGCCACTGTGTGGCTTTCTTTGTATTCATCCTGTTTAAATTTGCTGAGATTTTGAACCTGTTAGTTGATAATTCTTTTCAATTTTAGAAAAATCTTGGCCATTATTTCTTAAAATTTCTTGTCTAGCTTCTCTTTTCTCTCTTTGGCACTTTGTTTTCACATCTGCTGGTTGTTAGTGCTGAATTGTTTCCCCCAACCTCCTTCAGTATACATATATATATATATATATATATATATATATATATATATATATATGTCCTAATCTCCAGTAACTCCAAATGTAACTTTATTTGAAAATAGGGCCATTACAGGTGTAATTAGTTAAGATGAGATATATTGGAGTAGGTGGGGCCCAATTCAATATGTTGTCCTTATAAGAAGATGGCCATATGAAAACAGAGACACAGGGAGAACAGTATGTGAAGATAAGTTGTCCTTATAAGAAGATGGCCATATGAAAACAGAGACAGACACAGGGAGAACAGTATGTGAAGATGGAATAAGTGAAAAGGAGCTCCTCATCCAATAGTACCAGAAGGAATATTAACCTGTGGGAGACAGGTAGGGAAAGAGAGAAACATGTTCTGCATAGTCATTTAAAACTGGTTTATGTAGTTCATTTGAGAGGTGCAGTGAGGTGGGACAGGAAGGAAGGTACTAGCATTTATGGAGGGTCAGCTTTCCTCTAGGCCCTTTACTTGAGATGCTTCATTTAGTCTTTATGCAACCCCATTGGACAGCTTTCATTTCCCATTGTAGAGGTGAGGTAAGATCCAGGATGTCAATTATTAAATAACTGGTCTAGGATCACACAGTTAAGGTGACTCAGTTGAATTTCAAAATCAGTTTTATCTGATTTCAAAATTTATTTTCTTTTTAAGGAAAAGTTTTAGTTCTGCTTCTGGGATTGAAATACCAAGGGTAGATAAAAAGAATGTGTTTTATGTCTCTTTCTGATGATAGAAACTTGATTATTATAGATAAGAGTTTTTAACCTGGCATTCTTGAATCTTTACAAATGGAACATAGAACCCCCTAACAATCTATGTAAAATCTTGTTATGTGTGATCATGCATATTTAGGAATGCAGACCCATAGGTTTTCTTAGATTGTCAAAGGCAGGACAGCTGCTATTGTACATTCTATGCAAATAAATCCCACTGCAGTTGTACAACTCCAGCTGACAGGAGTCTGTACCTGGAAAAAGTGAAGAATTAATGATACAGATATTAAATATTATAAGAATATAATAGGCTTGGCACAGTGGCTCATGCCTGTAATCCCAGTACTTTGGGAGGTTGAGGCAGGTGGATCACCTAAGGTCAAGAGTTCAAGACCAGCCTGGCCAACATGGTGAAACTCCATCTCTACTAAAAATACAAAAAAAAAAAAAGAAAGAAAATTACCCGAGTGTGGTGGTGGGTGCCTGTAATCCCAGCTACTCAGGAGGCTGAGCCAGGAGAATTGCTTGAACCCAGGAGGCAGAGATTGCAGTGAGCCAAGATCATGCCATTGCACTCCAGCCTGGGCAATAAGAGTGAAACTCCATCTCAAATAAATAAATAAATAAATAAATAAGGAATACAGTAGTATATTTAGAGAAGTCGATTCCCACACTTGGCAGGGCAGGCATTTAAGAAATGATTCTTGCCCTCATGAAGCTCACTCTTAGTAGGAAAACTGATATTTAAGCAGATAATTAGTCAATGCATAAATGCTTTAATGGAAGTGTGAACATGACTATGTAGGAACACAAAAGGGAAAATCATTAATTCTGTCTGGTCATTGGATGGAAGCTTCAAGGATTTTTCACAGAGGAAGAGATGATGAAACAGTAGTAGGAATTAGTCAAGTGAATATTGTAGGGAGAAGGAATTACAAGGTACAAGTCCCAGAGGTAGGACACATTTTGTATAGGTAGAACCCACAGCAGAGTGGCAGGTAGTATGTCTGGGGAAGGTAGGCAGCTCATGGGTGATCTTGTATACAAAGCAGAAGAGTTTGAATTTGGTGTGTGTACTAGTTGGCCTTAGCTTTTCAGGTCAATGACCCATTTGACAATCTGATGAAAGTTACAATACCTTTATTCAGAAAAAAGTTAACATATGCACCAAAATTTGCATGTGATTTCATGGGGAACTTGAAATGGGGAACTTTGTAGTATAGGATAAGATAGCTTTAGAGAGTTTAAAGAGGTTGTTGTATGATCATATTTATGTAACAAAGATTTGGATAAAGGGTACAGTCAGCAGGCTGTGGTAGAGAAATGATGATGGCTCGATGAAGGCATTGACAGTAGGAATGGAAAGGAAAGAATAAGTTTGAGACACATTGTAGAGGGAGGATCTATAGGACATGGGTATTGACTGTAGAGGGATTGAAACGGAGGTAATCTAGGATAATTTTTTTCTTCCTTATTTTTCTCAGGGGTTGGCCTTCATATCTAGTGGTGTCAACATGACATTGGGAGTCTTTTAAACCTTTCGGTTGGATCTCTTCCAGTCGTACAGAGGCCCCACCCAGTAGCTGATGTCTGTCCCACTCATATAATCACACTGTGGAATACTGGCAGTGACATCTCTTTCCTCATAGAGCTACAATGATGAGAGGACTGTTTCTTAGCTATCTCCAATGCCTTCCTACTTAATCAAAATGGCAGTGCTGAGGAGCCAGACTGTCCCAGTGTCTCCGACAATTAAATTGACTTTCCTAAAGCTATTTCTCCCCCAGGATTTATTAATCAAGATATCAAAGTATTGGATCAGAGGTAATTAAATGCAACAACTCCAAATTGCCTCCAGCAAAACACATTGGAATACAGTGTATGGGTTTGCATGCTCCAGCATGAATTTCCCAAGTAGATAAAAGCCTTGTCTGTCAGAAGTAGCCACACATTCCTTGGTCCCAGAGACCTACATAAATGCAGTGTTTGCCTTTGGGCAGGGCTTCTACTTTTATAAAAAGTCTTGAGGGTAGTTTAAAAGTATTTACTTTCTTGAAAACATCAGCAAATTGTTGAGTAAGGTTGGAGGCCAAAAAATTCACTTATTCTATTTTATTTTGGGTTTTTATTTCAAATTCTTTCATCTTTTGGTGCTCTGCCTCAGTCTACATTATTTGTATTTACACTAATTATAATTTATAATTTTTACTTAATGGAATGTCTGTGGAGTTTTGACCTATGAAGACACTTGGATTACTTTGAACATGGATTAAATGTTGCTGCCAAAGGGCTACTGTTTTTATTTGCATAAGATTCCAAAGGAACTGAAGAATCCCCAAGAGAACTGAGTGGTGGAATGAGCTCATTTCCACGTATGGGAAAGCTACAGACATTGTCTTCAGCACAGCAATGGTGTTGATTTAGTAAAATAAGAATCAAATGTGTTCTCAAGCAAACTTGAGGGTGTGTAGCCTTTATACCTTTCTGTTTTGGTGTCATGCACCAACTTTGGCATGCAGACAAAGTATCTGCTACTTTAGAGTGAAAAAGAAAATAATAACTCAAGTTATGTGAATAAATTGTACTAGTTCAGACTTCTTGGTTGCAAGGAACAGAAATTTGCTACCTAAATTTGCCCAAGTAAAATAGGGGTTTATTTAGAAGGATAAAGGAAACTTTCACATTAATCAAAGAGCAGGAGCCATAACTGAATTGAACTGGGTATCCCTAGGCTGGAACTGCATTCTTGGAGGCTTTGGAGTCCAGCTGTAGGTCATGGGACTTCATGTTGATATTTGGTTGTTAATATAACTTTGCATCCACTTTCTATATGTGTACTTTTGTTTCTCTTAGACCTTGTGTAACCACATGTGGTTTTGGAAGTTAGCAGAAGAGAAAAAGTTGTGGGCAGAGACTAGGGGAGGGCTGAGGGCAGAGCATTCACAGAAAGATTCTATTATTGGTTCTAATTGAAGTATATTACTTTTAAATAAAATAGTTTTGTAATAATGAGAGCAATGACTATGAAGGAGACACCATGCTATGCATTTTACCTATTTTTCTCTCCTTTAATCCTGAGACAATTATTAAAACTCAAAGGACTATAGCTATTTTACAGATGAGGAAATGAACTCAGAGAAAGAAGAAAAATGATTGACTCAAGATCCTGTTTCAATTAAATGGTGATGCCAATATTCAAATTCATATCTCTCTGACTCCAAATGCTAAGCTGCTTAACTTCTATGTAACATGATGAACTCATCTTACTTAAGAATTGACTCCCCTCTCTAGCTTTTGAGGAAATTTTGTCCTGTACATTCATTGAGAGAAAGGAGTAATACAAGAATCTTTAACTATAATCTTATGAAGTCTATCCCAGTAGTGTTGAGACAGTCAGGAGAACAGGATAAGCTGCATTAGCTGCTATAACAAATAACTCCAAGATCTCAGTGGCTTAAAACAATTAATGTTTATTTTTCATGCTCTTAGAGACCAATGCTGATATTCCTGTTAGGTGGCTCTCTAAGGTAGCTATCCTGCAATAAGTGACTCAAGAATCCAGGCTGCTTCTATCTTGTACTGCTACCATCTTTAACACATTGTCTTGAAAGTCACTGAAGAAAAAAGAAAAGTGTGTGAAGCCCAGCTGCTCTTAACTGATTTAGAATGGAAATAATATATTGCTGTCATTCACAATCTGTGGGTAAGAACTATGCATATGACCCTATCTAGAACAGATATGGTAAGTGTCTAATCAATTTAGAAGTGTACTTCTTTTTTTATTTTAATTTTTTATGGGTACATAACATGTAGGTCTATACATGGGTTATATGAGATATTTTGATATGGGCATGCAATGCATAATAATCATGTCAGGGAGAGGTGTTTTTCTTAATTTAAATGTACAGGTTTTTTTTTTTTTTTTTTTTTTTTTTGAGATGGAGTCTCACTCTGTCACCCAGGCTGGAGTACAGTGGCACAATCCTGGCTCACTGCAATCTCCCCCTCCTGGGTTCAAGCGATTCTCCTGCCTCAGCCTCCCGACTAGCTGGGATTAAAGGTGCATGCCACCACACCCAGATAATTTTTGTATTTTTACTAGAGATGGGGTTTCACCATGTTGGACAGGATGGTCTGAATCTGCTGACCTTGTGATCTGCCCGCCTCTGCCTCCCAAAGTGCTGGGATTACATGCATGAGCCACTGTGCTCGGCCATGTATGGGTTTTTTAAGTCATATTTTTGTGATTAATTTCTTACTTAATTGAACTATATGCATAAAATAAAGTTTGTAAAAATAATTTTTTGAAGTTTATCAACACTATTGTGACCCTGTATGTAGTAATTTTTCATAAATATTCCACATATGCTAGAACAGTATATGTATTTCACCATTTTTGGGACAAATGTTCTAAATATGTTCATTAGTTCAAGCTCATTAATTGTGTTGGTAACATTATCTGCATCCTTACTAATTTTTTTTGCACACTAGAGAGAATTGTGTGAAAATCTTCCATCCTGGTGTAACATTTGTTTATTTCTCTTTGTAGTCCTGTCATTTATTTTTTTAATTTTGAGTTTGTCTTTAAGTATATACATTTTCTGACATTCTTTAAAGTAGTTCACAACAGTATTATGTAAGTTAGAAGTGAGTGATCAAAATTAAATGCTAGGGCATGTAATTTAGATGTGGGTACACTCTAATGTCAAAAATACAATGACTTGAAGATATTGAAAGTCAATTTCTCTTTTATATACTAGTTCTGTGGTGAGTGGGTCAGGAGGCAAAGTGTCTTCATACAGTCATTTAGGGGCCCAGGTTTCTTCCCATTTGTTCATCAAACCATGGCATTGTTCATCTGCAGGAACAAAGCTGAATAGTGGATATGTTCATGCTTCCATTACTTGAAAGGGAAAAAGAAACAAAAGTTGTGTTTTTAAACTCATGACACATTACTATTTTTACTGTGCTACGTAGTCAGCATTTGATTAGAATTTATCCATGTAGTTAGCACTTTCAATGCTCTTTTTATGCTTTTTATATTCTTTATCTCAGACTCTCCATTTGTAAAACCTTTTCTTTCATCTGAAGAAGATCCATTAAAATTTCTTTTAACTAGCAACTGCTTTTAGAAAACTCTGTCTTCATTTATCTGAAAAGTCTTTATATTAACATCATTCACACAAGCCATTCAATCTGTCAATCATGTCTATGTCTAGGCCAGGTAAGGTTTGCTGTGTTGCATCAAATTAAGCCACAAGTCCCACTCCTGGTGGTATAGAATTCCAGGTGATAATTATTTTCTCTCAATGTCTTTAAGAAATTTCTCCCTCTGTCTCCTGATTTTACTGTTGCAGTTAAAAAGCCAGTTCTCAGTCAAATTCTCATTTTTTTTTTTTGAGATAGAGTCTTGCTCTGTTGCCCAGGCTGGAGTGCAGTGGCACAATCTTGGCTCACTGCACCCTCAAGTGATTCTCCTCTCAGCCTCCCAAGTAGGTGGGATTACAGGTGCATGCCACCATGCCCAGCTAATTTTTGTATTTTTAATAGAGATGGGGTTTCTCCATGTTGGCCAGGCTGGTCTTGAACTCCTGACCTCGAGTGATCCACCTGCCTCAGCCTCCCAAAGTGTTGGGATTATAGGCGTGAGCCACTGTGCCTGCCCTAAATTGTCATTTATTTGAAGGTAATCTTTCTGGTTCCTATCATCCTGTCAGCTTAAATTTTTTTTTCTTTGGTTTTGCTTTTGTTGATGGCAGTGTTCCATGTTAGGGTGAAGGGAAAAGTTTCCCTCTGCCCTCTGAAGTTTCTCTGAAATAAACTGACAATAGACAGACTAACAGGAGAAAAGGCATACACAATTTTAATGTGCGAGTGTGCATGAGAGCCATACAAAATATAAAACTCAAAGAAGGGCCAGATGGCTGAAACTTAAATAGTACCCTCTTCATAGGAAAGAGAGAGATGAGGAGATGTAGGCAATTTTAGGGGAAATGAATGGGCCCAAATAACAGACAATGGCTTGGGACAAAGTTCATCTAAGTTCTGGGGAGGTGACAACAGATTGCAGGAAGGCGAGGGGCAGAACTTTACTGTGAACAAAGATTGTCTTATTACGCAGATAAAGTTTCCCAGGTAATCTTGTGGAGCTGCCCTCAGAAGAATAGATGAAAAATCTGTCTGGGCCTGGTGATGATTTTTGGTTTTTCCTCTATTGGTTAGTCTTTCTTGGTTATTTGATGAGATTCCTAGAAAGAGGGATTTAAAATAATTGCATTTCCTTAGGAAGAAGTTTTGGAAAATAAGAGAACTTCCAGACAGACTGCCTTTCTGCACTTGGGATGAGAGGTGGGGCAAGAGAAGATTAGGAAGTCCTTTTTTTTCTGAAGCAGCTGCTAAGGTCTTCTACTTTCCTTTAATTACAGAACGTTCAGCATGCCAAAGCATAATACTCTGGGGTATCATCCTCTGAGCCCCAATATTTACAAATTCACTACAGTGTGTTTTGGTATAGATTTATTTTTATTTGGTTCTGTTTTACTGAAATTTTAAAATATTTAGATTGATATTTTTTAGCTAGGTCTGGAATATTCTCCTCAATACAACTTTTGCTTCAGTCTACTTTTTCTTTCCTCTCCATATGAAAATGCCAAATTGCTAATTAGATATATGTTAGAAATTACAACTTTATTCTCTATAAATTTTTTTTTCTATTTTCTGTTTCTTTTTTCTGTGCTGCATTCTGGATAATTTTTTCAGAAATATTTTCTAGTTCTGTAATTCTCTCTTTAGTTGCATCTGATCTGTTGTTAAATCAGTCCCTTGTGTGTTTAGTTTCAATTATTACCTTTTTCATTTTTAGAAATTCTTTTCTTTAAATCTTCTTGGTCATTCAAAATAGTTTCTTGCTCATACGTTAGTCTTTTAAAAATGTACTTAAATTTATTGAACATATTTATGGTAAGAGAGATTATACTCCATCCGGATTTGTACAGGCAATTTTTGTTACAATACGTTGGGAAGTGATCTCAAGTTTTTTTTGGAATTTCAGTTTTACGAAGCTGTGGGAATTTAACAACTCTCATTAAACTCCTTGCCTTAGGCATGCCCTGAGATATGTCTTCTGTTCTTGGTGTCCTAAAGACCTTGAGAACCAAAGGTAAAGGTCACCTGTATTGTTAGGCCAATGCTCTCCAGGTGAAAGCCAGCCTCAGTGGTAGGCAAATACCTTGTAGCTGCTTCTTCATTTAATTTTTGACTGAGTATTTCTTTCTTTCATTTCATTAATAGATTTAAAGAATTTTACATAAATTTTCTCCTGCATTTTTTAAAGTTGTTATAAGATAACCTGTGTTTCCCTAAATTCTGATATTAAATTTCTAACACCTGATGCCTCAAAATGTGACTATGTGTAGAAAAAACCTTTAAAGAGGTAATTAAAATAAAATGAGGTCATATGGGTGGGTCTTAATTTAATATGGCTAGTGTCTTTATAAGAAGAGAAGATTAGAACACAGATACACATAGATGGAAGACCATGTGAAGACACCAGAAGAGGGTGGCCACCTAAAAGCCAAGGAGAGAGGTCTCAGAAGAAATCAATCATGCTGACACCTTGATCTTGGACTTCTATCCTCCAGAAATGTGAGGAGGCTAAAACAAGTTCCTGTTGTTTAAGCTACTCAGACTGTGGAACTTTCTTATGGCAGCCCTAGCACATGAATACAAGGATCGTTTGGTGAATCTAAAATGGTGATATTTTGGCTTTCTTAAAAAGAGTCTCTAAGACAGAAGTTAGTAATCATGGCACATTCCTGGAACCAAAGGAGATGAGCAAAGAATCTAGGAAATTCTATTCTTTGTAAAGCCTTGAAAGATCATTTAAATTATATATGGCCATCAATATTATTTATGATTTAA
This sequence comes from Homo sapiens, assembly GCF_000001405.40. Classification (NCBI taxonomy): domain Eukaryota; kingdom Metazoa; phylum Chordata; class Mammalia; order Primates; family Hominidae; genus Homo; species Homo sapiens. The sequence goes on along the minus strand of NC_000009.12, from coordinate 81,419,077 downwards.
TAAATTTATCTTCTGCTGCTTCTTCAAGACATGAATGACCTTTTGGTGTGGCCTGGTCAGATGGTGGATGGAATAGGTAGCTACTGAAACACCTATAATTTCAGAAGTTCTTCTTGTTCTTATTTACTGATGTTCAAAACTTTATTAGACAATCAAACCCATTTGACTGTAATTTGTGTACATATCTCTTCTCTTTGCAAAAATTTGGATAAAGGGATAATGTGAATTAAATAATATGATAATTCTGAGAATACTTCCTTCCTATGGAGAGCTTTTAGCAAGTTTCTCCCACTTGGGTTTAACCAGGAGACTAAGCAGATACCTAAAAAAAATTTCATTTATGTAATTTGAAATCATAAACATGGGGCCAATATCTAACTACACAGCAGAATGCAAGTCATACAATAGACCTTTAGGCAAGGATCTCTCTATTTTCTTTTTGTAATTATGTTAGATGAAGACTTACCTTGCTTGCTTTATCTGTCTCTTGTAAAGTGCATCTTCTCATATATTTTATTTCACTGTTCACGGTGTACATACATTCTCTGTCTTGACATTTGTGTGCATATATGTGTGAGGTTTCTGAATCTTGTGACACTGTTGATCTTTCTTAATGCTGAGGAATTTTGCCTGGGGGGTAGGCTTTTAAATGAAAGGGCATCTGCTAGAAATCATTTTCTCACTTAATTACTGAAATGGCCCTTCAAATGTAATTTGATATTAAATTCCTATACCATATTGTAGTTTTCACTTTTAAGAATACCAACACAATGGACAAATGTTTTCCATCAAATATGTTTGATGACTGATATTTTGGTTTGCCAATGTAATGAAATGAGATTAGTGCTGCCAGATTTGCTTCTCTTTTTTCCCCCTCTTCATTTTGTTTAAAGAAATGGCTGGTTAAATTACTAGGGTTGGAAAAATGCAGCTGCTTTCTTTATGTGCAGCATAATTTTGCTCTCTTGATTTCCTGGTTTACTTGGCAAATTTTCTAAATCAATGTTTAAATAGGAAAATGTCCTGACCAACTGAAAAAACCCTTGTGGTTCCTAAATACATTTATAAAGCAACACTTGATAATTTCCCAAATCAGAGTATTACAGTTGCTTGAAATGTGTAACTTATGTTTCTCTGGGAATCAGGGCATTTTTTAGTTTTAATTATTTTCTTGGTAGGGACTAATTGCTGGAGCTATCAGCATAAGTTAGGGAAACGACATTTCCAAAATAAGCAATTCTTCAAGAAGGCTTTATAGCAATTGGTTAGCAAGGAAGTAGGACTTGGAGTGGAGAAACTTTCTTAGAAGAATTAAAGTTGATGATTTTTGACAATGTGTACCAGGCTAACATTTATGAACTGTTGTTCATTTCTGCTTCTCTGAATCGACAATAATGAACTTTCAAACAATAGTCCAACCAAGACATTTCCATTTTGACAGCCAAATCAATTGGTTGTGCTGATAGAGTTTCCTGTTAGATGGAGGTTAGCCAAACTTTTCTTTTTAACTGTTGAACCAGACAATTCCAATCAGCTAAAAAAAAAAAAGGTTGTAACTACAAACCACCTGTTTTTCTCTGCCAACTCAGAGAGGCTTGACTCAACTACCAGGTCTGTCTGCTTGCTCACTATGCCTCTTTCCACGCTCCGTTTGGCAATTGGATATTTGAATCTTCCCCTCTCTTGGCTCTTTCTGCTGTCACTGTCCTGATTAACTTGTATCAAGGGGGAAATATGAGCAGGTAATCTTGGCTATAGTTATGTGACTCATCTGCTGGTTGGACAGAATCAGAAACAAGAGAAAATATCGATTGCTTTACTAGCGGTCCTTGCCAGGCTGCCTTAAGAGTACTAGAAGGCTGTAAATAACCCTTGGCTTGTACTTGAGTTCTCCTTCTTCTAGGTCAGACTCTTGGCTGATGTGCAAGTTTTGTTGTCAACATAGAATCATGAGCCTTCCTCTAAACCCCTTGATACAAGAGAAGCTCTGCCTGATGGTCTCAGTTTCACTGAAGGTGACATGACTGCCTGCTTAGGCCACAGGATACTCTGCACGAATGAGAGTCTCAGCTTGTTATGTGTGTCAGCTGTGGGCTTAGATAGAGCTTAGCAATTAAATTCCGGGAGAGGATTCACTGTGGAAACTATGTTGAGCATGAATACTCTTGAAAGTCCTTTAAGTCGGAGTTTTATTATATGACACAGTGTCCACATGAAAGAATTCATGTTTGTGAGGGAAGAGAGAGGAGAGATGCCTGGTAAAAGGTGGAATGTAAGTGTTTTCAAAAAAAAATTTTTTTTAAAGTTCTGATGTAGTCTTGGCTCCCAGCTGGGTTTGGAGGCTTTTCAGATGTTGCAGATAAGAGTAGAAATCAGAGCACAGACATTGCCTCCTGCTTTTTACAAACACAGTTGAAAAAGCACTGGATAATTGGGCAGATTGTGGTAAGCTATAATTACAGACTACGGTTCTGTTTGCAAGAGGAAAATATTTGGACCTGATTGGATGCCTGAAGCATCCAATCAGTTACTGGAAAATAAAAGTGACTTCAAAAGATGGCCGTTAAAACTTTGACTCAGGTCACAATAGAGACTCTAAAAATTGACGTCAACTTACATTTTTTTTGCTTGTTCTCACAACCTCATTTTTAACCTAAATTTGATTAAAGATAAGGACTCTGAATGTAGAACAAGTGTTGAATGAAGACTTAGGCCTGTATTTTTGCTGCATGATAATGTTTAAATTTCATGTTCCCGTCAGGTGCTATATAGAGATAGTTAGAGATAGTTGATTTACAAAACTGGTCATGTTGTGATCCTCACATACTTTCTTCACTTTTCCTCAACGCTTGCTATCTCATTTCACCTTGCTATTGCCCTGCTGCCCTGGACCTCTGTCCCTATTCTACCATCTCACCCTTCAGCCCCCTCCACCATCATCTGTGTGAGAATCTCACTTCTGGTCCCAGGCATTACTATCAATAGGTTGGAACTAGGAAAAGTCCTGGCCAGGAGGCCTATATTGTACAACTAGGAAGCAGCATTCAATGTAGAATATAATCTGAATGGTTCTTCCTGGAGTTGTGCGAAACACCTGGCCCTGCACTCCTGGTCTCTCTGGTGGCAGGGAGGTATGGACTGGGCCACCCTGTGACCACTGTCACTTCTGCAACTGGAGGAGGCTAGCCCTGTCTTTCCTCGATGGAGCTAAATTTTCTGTTGTATATGTTTTACAGAAATCATTGTTATATATGATCCAAGGATATTAGAATGTAAAACAGAATTCTGTGGGAATCTGTGTATGTGTATGTTTAATGGGCAAATGGTATTCAACTTTTAAGCAACAAATTTACGATGGAACTTTTGGAATATCCCCCTTTGGTAATGTGGTAGTTTTCTATGGTAAATGCATCTGGTTTCTCTTCTTCCTGCTGGCTTCTTTTTCTTTAATTGAATTTTCATTGCTACTCATATACATATGACATTTTACAGAAATACATAAATGTGACATTATCATATATACTGGAGTTCTTATTTTGCAGTCTTTTATTTCTTTTTTTTTCTCTTTTTAGCTTAGCTTTTCTTTTCTTCTATTCTTCCCTTACCTTGACTTTACTCTTATCACTCCCTTCTCTAAGAACCCAAACTGACACCTTTGTGTGTATTCACCTCTTTGTTTCTCTATGCTTATATTTTTATAGAGGAATACATCTCCCTGTTTTTCACACACACACACACACACACACACACACACACGTGCTCATATAATTATATACAAATACAACATACAACACACACCCTGCACAGTTTTTAGTCAACATTTCTCTCTTTTAAAAGGATTATGTTATAATAAATACCCTTTTCTTCATTTTGCTTTTTTTCACTTGACATTACCTTGCAGAATTCTTGACAAGTGGCCACATATTTCTTTCTAATAACTCTATAGTAGTTTTATAGTGTGGATGTACGTAAGCAATCCACCCATTCCCCTGTAGATGAGCATTTACTTGGTTTCCCATTTTTGCTAGTACAATGTTGCAATAAACAGCCTTGCTCATATTTCCTGTGGTTAATGGCACTTTTATTTACATAAGAGAACTCCCTAAGAGTGAATTGGTTCTGTTCAAATATATCAGGATTCTAAATTTAAATTAAGATATTGCCAGATTATTTTTTCTAAAGAGTTTACTAATTCATTCATATTCTCACCACTCATGTGGGGAAGTACTCTCTTTCCCTGTATGTCCCTGGCAGCAATATGCATTACCAGTCTTTTTCATTTTTGCTTAACATCTCAATTTTAATATTAATTTTCTGACCTACTAGCATATTTTAGTTTATTTTTTATTGTACTTTTCTTTCAATTGCCTCTGCATCCCATCTTGTCCATAGTTCTATTGGGTTGTTTCTCTCTATTATAAATTTGGAAGACAAATGTATATTGCAGATATTAACATTCTGTCCCTTCCATTGCATGTGCTTTTAAAAATTAATTATTCATTTAATAGATGTTTTGCTCTCTTTCCCTACATATTTTAAAAATGTGGCCAGAAAGTTTCTCTTTTTCTTAATGGTTTCTTAGCATCCAATTTTAGTGAAAGGGTCTTCTTCACTTAGATTGCATAGCCCGTATCCGAGATTGTCTTGTAGAATTGTAGTTGTTTTATTTTTTTGTCCTTAAATTTTTAATAAGACTAGTATTTCTTAAATAATCTCCTCTTTTGAATTAAAATAACACTTTTGCTCCATTAAATTCTCAAATGTGTTAGCATCTAATTTTGGATTCTCTTTTCTGTACCAATGATCTTTTGCCTATTCTTAGCCTGGCAACATGTTGACTTAATTACAGCTGGCTAATACAATGGTCTGATATCAGATAGGGCAAGTCTCCCTTGTCATTCTATTTTAAAAACTTTACTTAGATTTATTTCTTCCATGGCAATTTTAAGATCATTTTGTCCAATCCCCACAAAACTCCTCACATTACGTGTTTACAGTAGTCCCCTCATATCTGGGAGGGGTATGTTCTAAGACCCCGGTGGGTGCCTGAAACCGCAAGTAGTACTGAACCCTATATACACTATTTTTTTTCATATACATATGTATCTATGATAAAGCTTAATGTATAAATTAGATACAGTAAGAAATTAACAATAATAATGAAATAGAACAATTATAGGGACAGAGTGTTAATATCTGCAATATACATTTGTCTTCCAAATTTATAATAGAGAGAAACAACCCAATAGAACTATGGACAAGATGGGATGCAGAGGCAATTGAAAGAAAAGTACAATAAAAAATAAACTAAAATATGCTAGTTTTTATAAATGTAGTCTGTTTAACTCTCTCTCAAAATATTTTGCACTGTACTCACCCTCACCCTTCTTTTCTTCAGATCTGTCGATCTGATAACCCAGGACCAACAGACAAGTAGTGTGTACAGTGTAAATACACTAGACAAAGTTATTATTCATATCCCACGTGGGATGGAGCAGAAGGACATGAAATTTCATCACGCTACTCAGAAGAGAGTGTAGTTTAAAACTTATAAATTGCTTATATCTGAAATTTTTCATGTAGTATTTTTGGAACACAGTTGACTATGGGTAACTGAAACCATGGAAAGCAAAACTGTGGATAAGGAGAGGACTACTGTATATATGTAACTATGTTTATGTCTATATGTGCATGTATATGTGTGTGAGCACATGTAATTACATATTTCATGATATGTATATATCACATATATAGAATCTATAATAATATTTTCTGTTGGCTTTTGATAGCAGTCTTTATTACCTTGAAGTAATATCCTTTAATCCTATTTAACTTGAAATTTTTAATAAGAAGAGATCTGAATTTTAGAAAATATATTTTCAGTATCTTTGATATGATCATTTGTTTTTCTTTCTTTAACAATCGGTGCAATTAATTCTGTTGATATATTACCTGATAATGATCTACCCTTGTATTTTTGGAATAAGCCCTTCCTGGATGTAATGGCTTATCCATTTGCTACAAAGCTGGATTCTCTTTGATAAAACTTTACTGAAAATTTTTGCATTTATATTCAGAAGAAAGTTTTTTTTGTGTGTGCTATCATTACAGGGCTTTGAGTAAAAGTTTTACAAGTTTCATAAAATGGACTGGAAGAGCTCTCTCTAATTTTCTCTGGCTTGGATTAGTTGAACTAATATTATATAAACTAATATTACTTTGTATTAATTTTATTTTGAAAACCTACCATATAGTAAACTTCATTTTTGATGTACAGTTCTACGAATTTTAACACGTTATTTATGTAAACACAACTGCAAACAAGGTATAGAACAGTTTCATCACCTACAAAACTCTTCTTGTACATGCTGTCCATACTGCTACACCCTGGAAAATACTGATTTGCTCTCCATCACTGTAGATGGGGTCTTTTAAAGTATATTATATAAGTAGAACCAGAATACATAACATTTTGCGACTGGCTCCTTTGAGACTGGCTTCTTTTACTCCATATAATGCCTTTGAAATTCATCCATGTTGTTGCATGAATCAATAGTTTGCTTGTTTATTCATTCAGCTGTTGAAGGACTTTTGGATTGTTTCCAATTGTTGGTGATTATGAATAGAGCTGTTATAAACACTCCTGTACAGGTTTTTGTGTGAATTTAAGTTTTAATTTCTCTCAGGTAAATACCGATGTGGGACGACAGGGCTATAGGTAAGTGTATGTTTAACTTTGTGAAACACTGCCAAATTGTTTTCCAGAGGAGCTGTGTCATTCTGCATTTCCATCAGCAACACATGAGAGTTCCAGTTGTTCAGCATCCTTGCCAAGACTTCGTATTCTCTGTATTTTATATTTTAGTCATTCTAATGGGTGTAGAGTGGTAATGTATCATGGTTTTAATTTGGTTTTAATCCTAATGACTAATGATGTTGAACATTTTTCCAGGATTTGTCATCCATATATCTTTGGTGAAGTGATTGTTCAAGCCTTTTGCCCATTTCAGGATTGAGTTGTTTGCTTAGTGTTGAGTTTTGAGAGCTCCTCATATATTGCAGTTAAAAGTCCTTTTTGGACATGTGATTTTATTTCTCTGCATCTGTGGCTTGCCTTTTCACTCTCCTAACAGTGTCTTTCAGAGAACAAAAGTTTTAATTTTGATGGTCTGTTTAATCAATTTTCTATTTTTATGGATTGTACTTGTGGTTTCATAGTCACAAAATCTTTTCCTAACCCTAAGTTATAAAATTTTTTATGTTTTCTTCTAAAAAGTTTATCATTTTATGTTTTACATTTAGTTCTATGAGCTAATTAATCTGTGATACATTTGGGGTATATTTTATATAAAATATAATTCAATTTGTGTTAGGCTGAGGTTTACTTTTTTACACATAATTGTCTAATTGTTCCAATACTATCTGGTGAAATTATTATTCTTTCTTTATTACATTGGCTTTCAATCTTTGTGAAAAATCAATTGTCCGTGCCTGTGTGGGTTTATTTGTACATTTTCTATTCTTGTCCATTGATTATCTATCCATTTGTGAGTACGCAGTGTCCTGATTAATGTAGTTTTATGGTATGTCTTAAAATTGGATAGCGTGATTTTTCAACTTTCTTTAAAAAAAATTTGGCTCCTCTAGTTCCCTTGCCTTTCTATATAAAATTTAGAGTCAGTTTATCTACGTCTAAAACAAACAAACAAACAAACAAGTCTTGTTGAAATTTTGATTTGAGTTACGTTAAATCTGTAGATCAATTTGGTGGGGGGATTGACATCTTTACTATGTTGAATCTTTCAAGCCATGAAAATAGTATTTTTCTATTTATTTAGGTCTTTGATTTCTTTCATCAAAGTTTTACAATTTTTATCATATAAAATCATGTACATATTTTGTAAATTTCTACCTATGTACCTCATCTTTTGTAGCTATTTTAAATGGCATGTTTTTAAATTTGTCTCTGATTGTTTATTGCTAATATATAGAAAATTAATAACTATTTTTGTGTGTTGACCTTGTATCTTGCAAACGTGCTGAACTCAATTGTTGTGTCTTGAAGTTTTGCTATAGATCACTTAGGATTTTTTACATAGTCAATTATCATGACTGGGAGTAAGAACAATTTTATTTCTTTTCCCCAATCTGAATGCCTTTTATTTCTTTTATGTGTCTTATTGCATTGTCTAGGACTTCCAGTATGGTGTTGAGCAGGAATGGTGAGCGTGGATACTCTTACCTTGTTCCTGATCTTATGAGAAAGCAGTCAGCTTTTTGTTAGCTGTGGAGTTTTTTGTTGATGTTCATTATCACTTTGAGGAATTTACCTTCTATTTCTAGTTTGCTGAGAAGGGTTTTTAAATTATGAGCGAGTATTGGATTTTGTCAGATGCTATTTTTTTAAACAATTGATTATTAATGTATTAAAACAGTTGACTTAAAGCATCTGCAATAGTGACTACAGTGTCAACTCCTAGCTCAATACTGGTGGAAGTAATCTGCTTAACAGTCTTGGAAAGGCTGTGCAAGTCAGTAAGCTGCTTGTGGATTTTCATCTAGAAATGGTGTTACGTCTTAGAACTGCCACCACAAGGTGTTTTTCTTGGGATTCTCGAAGTCTTGGTGGACATTTGAACCGGTTCTTTCACTTTGAGATTGTTTTCCTTTGTGCCTCTGGTTGAGTCAGCACACACAGTCTCCACGGATTTTTACCCTGTGGCTGGTTAGTGTAATTAGAATTTGGTGAATCACCACCTTTGGTTCTATGAGATTTTTTCTGTTATTTTTAAAAGCCATACTGCATCTTCACTTCCTGGCCAACCTTTCCTTGGCAAGAGGGAACAGTGGCAAGTCAGGAGCAGGATCAAGTGGACTAGAGATCCGCAGCACCTGTGACCACATCTTCTGCAAAAACCTGTCAAATGCTATTTTCTGTATCAACTGATATAATCATGTTTTGTTATTTTTCTTTAGGCTATAAACACAGTGGATTACACTGATTGATTTTTACATATTAAAGTAGCCTTGCATTTCTGCAATAAGTCTCTGTATAGGAAAAACAAAATGGTTTTTTCTTTTCTATACTCACAACTCCTCTGGCCACTAAAATGTATGAGGATTCCTCCAATACCAAGCAATTCTCCAATTCTCTGTGGACACCAACTGTGCATTCTACAATTCAATTCAATTCTAACATTCACTGGATCCCACAGATTAAGGTTAAGGGCTCAGTCTCACAAGACTGTTAATGTGTTAATCATAAATGGTAGGTCCTCATGTTGCCTACAACTTCTGTCCAATTTAGCTATGAACCAGAGGTTCTCATGATCCCTTCTCAAATTTGATCATTTGCTAGAGTGGCTCCCAGAATTCAGGAAAACAATTTACTTACTAGATTACTTGTTTATTACAAAGAATAAAACCCAGGGACAACCAGTTGGAAGCTATGCATAGGATAAGGCATTGGAGAAGGGGTGAGGAGCTTTCTATGGTCACACTCTGCTATGTTCAACAACCTGGAAGCTCTAACCTCATCTTTTAGGGTTTTTATGGAGGCTTCATGACACAGGCTTTATTTCATAGACCCTCTCCCCTCCTGAGAAATCGGAGGGTGGAGCTGAAAGTTTCAACCCTCTATCACATGATTGGTTTCCCTGGTAACCAGCCCCCATCCTGAGGCTATCTAGGAGCCGCTGGCCACCAGCCATCTTACTAGCATACAAAAGACACATCACTTCCAGAGACTACAAGGATTTTAGTTCCTGTATGTCAAGAAACAGGGACAGAGATCAAATATATATTCTTGTTCAGTTACAATCTACTTGTTCATGTTGTAACCCTTTATAATGAGTATTGCCACATTTCAATTTGCTCATATTTTGCTGAGCATTTCTGTGACTTTTTCAGGAGAGATAATGATTTGTACTTCTCTTTTTTGTACTTCCTTTGTCTGGTTTTGGTATCAGAGTAATAGTGACCTCATAACATAGATGGGAAGTGTTCTCAGAAGAGCTTACATAGAATTGGTGTTTTTTTTTTTTTTCTTTAAATGTGTGATAGACTTCACCAATGAAATCATCTGGGACTGGAGACTTCTTCTGAAGGAATAATTCAACTTAATAGTTATAGAACTATTATGGGTTGAATGGTATCCTCCCCAAAATTCATATCAGAGTCCTAACCTCCGGTCTCTCTGAACGGAAACTTGTTGGAAATAGGATAATTGCAGATGTCATTCATTAAGATAAGGTTATACTGGAGTAGGGTTGTCCCCTAATCCAATATGACTGATGTGCTTATTAAAAGGGGAAATTTGGTCACAGACATGCAAACAGGGAGAATACCATGTGAAGATAAAGGCAGAGTTTGGGGTGATGGTTCTATAAGTGAAAGAATGCCTAAGAAGGCCAAGAAATCACCAGAAACTAGGAGAGAGGTATGGAACAGATTCTCTCTCCATACTCTCAGAAGGAACCAACCCTGCTGACCTGCAGCCCCTGCTGCTCTTACATGTCTCACCTCCAAAAATGTGAGACAGCTAATTTGTGTTGTTTAAGCTACCTGGTTTGTGGTACTTTGTTATAGCAGTCCTGACAAACATAGGTATGGAAGGTAATTTTCAGGTATGGAAGATATTTTTGATCACTTTAATATTGTTTGTTTCTAATTGTCTTATTGTGTTTTGTAACAGAATATCTAAAACTGGGTAATTTATAAAGAACCGATATTTATTTCTTACAGTTCCATAGGCAGGGAAGCATGAGGTTAAGGGCCTTGCATCTGGTGAGGGCCTTCTTGTTGTGTCATCCCATGGCTGAAGACAGAAGGTAGGGGAGAGAGAGAGACAGAGAGAGAGAATGTGTGTGTGTATGTGTGTGGGTAGGGGGTTGAGAGAAAGAAGTAAGAGGCTGAACTCATTCTTTCATCAGGAATCCACTCCTGTAATAACTAACCCACTCCCACAATAATGGCATTAAAACATTTGTGCGGGCAGAGCCTTCATGGCCTAGTCACCTCTTAAAAGTCCCACCTCTCAATACTTTGCATTGGGGATTAAGTTTCCAATATGAACTTCGGGGAGCATATTTCAAATCATAGCACTAATTGTATTGGTGTATAATCAAAGAATATGTTCTGTACAAATCTGACATTACAAATTTATTAACATATTTTCATGACAGGTGCATGATTAATTAAAAAATATCTTTATGGGCTAGGTGCTGTGTGGCTCATCCCTGTAATCCCAACACTTTGGGAGGCTGAGGTGGAGGACTTCTTGAGGCCAGGAGTTTGAGAGCATCCTGGACAAAACAGACCCCATCTCTCTAAAAATGTTTTTAAAAATAGGAGTGGTATCACATAGTCCTAGCTATTTGGGAGACTGAGGCAGAAGGGTAGCTTGAGCCCAGGAGTTTGGGGCTGTATCAAATTATGATTGCACCACTGCACTCCAGCCTGGACAACAGACTAAGACCCCATCTCTTCAAAATAATGAACACACAGAAAAGATGAATATGCAGTATTTGGGGAATATGAAGTTTTCTCTGCACATATGTAAAATTATTACATGTGTATTACATATGTACATACCCAATACATCTAGTTTATTATGTTCCTCAATTAACTTTTGTCCTTTCTAATTTTTTCTAGTAGATCTGCCCCATTCTTAAAATACATAAACCAATATACTTCTTTGCTATCTTTACTGTAAATATATATATTCTAACTTCCAGATATTATTTCTTACCCTTGATTTTTAATTTGTGTTTACTTACTGCTTAGTTAGCTCTTTCATATTCAACTTTTCTTTATCCCAGTGAAGTGTGCAGTTTTCACAAATAGAATATTGCTTTTCTAAGACCAGTTAGATGGTCTCTCTTTTACAGGAAGAATTTAGTTCATGTAGTGACTAATATACTTGAACTTTTTTTTTACTTTACCTTATGATTATTATCTAGTTTTTCATTGCCTTATTCCTTTTATTTTCTTGTTGATTTCATCATTAAGATTTATTCCATTTCCCATGTAAATATGATAGTTTACAATATTTTTTCAATCTATTAACACTTAATTTCTCCTTTCTGAACTATGCTACACAGATATTTCTTTATATTATGTAAAAACAAGCTATTATTCCCACTCAGGTACAGTTTCCCTCGTTAAGATAATTTATTTTCTCCTTAATAAAATGAGATCTTTAAAACTTTTTCACTCTCCTTTCTTTCCCTCTTCAGTCCATTATTTCAGGCTTAGAATTTCCCTTGCTGTTTTAAGAGTTTTTTAACACTTTATTTCATATTTTCAGTGAATCTATTAATTGATATTTAATAATGCAATGACATGCAGGTCATTGCACTATAGATAATGCAAATGTATGTAAGGTATATTCATATGCAAATATATAGCACATAAATTACAAAATGTACTATGTTTATGTAGGTGTATGTTTATATATCCACCTATATATGTATATATATATATAAATTATAAGGTTCATTGCTCAACCAGACTTTCTTCTATTATTTTCTAATTGTGAGACCAAGTTAAGGTGATTATTTTTATCTGAAATCAAATTTACAAGATTTGAGGAAAGGAAATTGTTGTAAATCACTTGTCAAGTATCAACTCATTTTGACCATTTTTTTTTTTTTTGCAATTCAACTTTTTTTTTTAGAGACGTTCTTAAGTTTGTAATGTTTATAAAACAGATTTTTTTAAATGAGTAGTTAGGGCATTAGATGTCAAGTTAGAGGAATAAGAGAATTTTAGTTAAAGGAACGCTTAATAAGTCATTAATGCATTAAGTCATTAATGTTTATCTTTTGTTCCCTGAAAGTCTCTATTTGGTTTTGCCTCCAGAATGTCTTGTATATACCTTTTGTACCATTCGTTGGTACCATTAAGTTCTTTTAGTGATATAGATGATTTCAAGGTGTTATGATAATGTGATTATTAAAGACTAGAATTCTGTCCACATTGCTTTCAGTATAATTAAACATAGAAATGAATATATTAAAAAAGTCAGAGTAATTGATATGAAGCATGGTATATGTGAAATGTAATTTCCAAATTCTAAACACAGTATCAATGTGTTCTAAAGTGAAATTAGAGTTTACATTATGCTAAAAAACAGTTACATAATACGAAAATAATAAGAAAAATTTCTGTGAATTAGGAAAGCTAGTGGCTTCTCCACAAAGATAAATAATAAAACAATGAACAAATTCTCATTCTAGTAAAAGCAAATTATGTATGGATTTGTGTAAGTAAAAGTGTGTAAGTAATAGCGATTCAAAGGCTGCACACATCAGAATTTCCTTCTCCCTTAGAAAGGAATCAGCCTTGTTTTGTATAGAATAAATCTGAAGCTAGACAGGTCGGAGTCTTGACTGTTTTCTATTCCTTGTGACCTTTTAATGACCTTTGTATGCCAACTACAAATAAAGAATATTCTGAGGGCTAAAGAGAGAAATTCCTTAGGGGGATTTTTCAGGTATGTTTTTGTTAAGAGCTTAACATCACTAAATTTTCAGTCTTCTTAATTTCATGACACCAGCCACATACTGTAAATGCAGGTGTATTCCTTTAACTGCAAGGGTTTATTTAACCAATTTCCTCTCAAGTCTTCTGGTGTCAGACACAGCATGACAGTAGTTAAAGATCTGTCACCGTTACCATTAAAAACCTTATTGTTTAGGCTTTGCTTCCTTGACTATTTCAAATTACATCTAGCTGAAACTTGCCAAAGAAGTTGTCAGCTTAGATATGACTTTGATTTTGAAAAACTGTTCAAAATAGGAAAGCCATTTATAGTGACAGAAAAAAGAAAATTTGGCTGGCATCAAATGTCTTTTCTTGCTGAAAGATACTTGTTCGTGAAGTTTTCCAAACAAATGCAGTATGGATTAGTACATTTTGACACTTCAAAAATAAGCATGCTTTAAAACAGGATAGATAATTAACTGGAAAAATAAATGTCTGCATGTATATTAGAAATGTTTCCTGGCTTCATTTTACCAAGGGTGTCCAATATGTCACTATGATAGTACTGAAATGGCAAGATTCTATTTATGCAGAATATGAATCAGGAACATCTCCAAAAACATTTGCCACAAAAAGAATATTTGCATAAGAATATGCATTTTCATTTCTTTGACGTTTTCCAAGAATTAGGTTAAAACTATAGTTTTTTTCTTATAATGCTTAGATTAAGAACGAAGTAAAATTGAATATATAGGTTAATCAGTAAGTCGACTGCCCAAGCTAATATTTTTCTGAATTGTAAAATCTAGCAGAATCACCCAGAGTGCAGTTTAGAGAGTTTATTAGTCTGTTCTCACATTGTTATAAAGAACTACCCGAGACTGAGTAATTTATAAAGAAGTTTAATTGACTTACAGTACCACAGGCTTAACAGGAAGCATGACTGGGGAGCCTCAGGAAACTTATAATCATGGCAGAAGGTAAAGGGGAAGCAAGCATATCTTCACAATGGTGGAGCATGAGAGAGAGACAGCGACGGGGGAAGTGCCACACACTTTTAAACCATCAAATCTCGTGAGAACTCATTCACTATCATGAGAACAGCGAGGGGGAAATATGCCCCGTGATTCAATCACCTCCCACCGGGCTCCTCCTCTAATTTGACATGAGATTTGGATGGGATGGGAAAAACGAAAGAGAAATTAAGAAGCATGGAAGAAAGAATTAGAAGAATTAAAAGCTCCAACAATTATCTAACAAGAGTTCTAGAAGAATAAAGAAAGAATGGGGAAACAATGTTTGAAGAGATTATGGCTGATAATTTTTTCAGAGTTGAAGAAAGACATGGATCCTTAAATAAATAATCAGCATTGAGTTACAATCAGGACTTGATAAACAAATTCATACCAAGAAAGTCTAAAAACTACCAAAAATCCAGATTGTTATTCTTTTCTAGGTAATTTTACTAATGACATACTTCTTAGAAGCAAAAAGTACATGCAGATATCAATTAAATAATTTTTTCAAAGCCCTATGGGAAAACAAGCTGGGATTCAATTCCCAGATTAATTGCTGTCTAAGAAAGAGTGCAAAATATGTAGACAAATTTATGTGTACAAAGAAAGTTTATCCAGTTTATTATATTTAGGGTTTATCATTCATTTATTATTCTTTCTGCTAAAAGACCTACTGGTGTTTTTAATTCAGTAAGAAGAAAATTGAATTGAAAATAATAAAATGGGAGGCAAATAAAAGAGGAAAACATGTTGGTAAATGCAAGTAGCATTGACTGTATGCCCTGCAATGCCCTTCAGTGACATGATGAGGGGAGGTGGCTGGTCAGAGTTAAAACCATGCTAAAATCCTCTTCTGTTTAAGGTAATAAAGATTTTGATTAAAAATAGAGTTTGCTAAAAACACATGTTAAAAATTAAAGGCAACCATAGAAATAATAGAAACAGGATTAGGAAGTGGAGCCAAACTAACCTCTAATCTATGTGATCATTTTCAGTTTTAGGATCTGCTTTTTAATCTTGACTTCCACATCCAGGTGAATATGAAGACTGGTTTGACTCTGGTCTCCTCATCAAGACAGAAGCTCACCTGATTCATTTTTCTTTTTTTTTAACTTACCCCTTTTCCAGGCAAAAGAAACTAGTGTCCTTTGGAAAAAGTTAAGAATGTATATGCTCCTGTCAGTCATTTATAGACACATGATGGGGGTCAGCAAGATATTTTGCTAAGCTGCATTTGACTGAAGAGATGTGGTGTAGCTTTGGAGAAGAAAAAGAAAATGCTCAAAAGATGAAATATCTCCAAAATGATAGTAATGATGATAACTACTACTTATTGGGTATCTACACAGACCAAGCACATTATACTAGCTCATTTCACTTAATCGTAAAAAACCACCTTACACTGCTGGGCGCGGTGGCTCACGCCTGTAATCCCAGCACTTTGGGAGGCCGAGGTGGGTGGATCACGAGGTCAGGAGATCGAGATCATCCTGGCTAACACTGTGAAACCCCATCTCTACTAAAAATACAAAAAATTAGCTGGGCATGGTGGCAGGCGCCTGTAGTTCCAGCTACTCGGGAGGCTGAGGCAGAAGAGTGGCGTGAACCCGGGAGGCGGAGCTTGCAGTGAGCCGAGGTCACGCCACTGCACTCCAGCCTGGGTGACAGAGCGAGACTCCGTCCCAAAAAAAAAAAAAAAAAAAAAGCCATCTTACACTTTAGATGCCATCAACTCCATTTTAAAGATGTGACTGTGTAATGCTTTATAAAAGTGGGGACCCTGAATTTGAGCCCAGATACCTTTGATTGATTCTATCTCCTTCATTCTCTGTACTTCATTATCCTATATCTTATGTAACTACTCTCAAATATAAATAGCTTGTTCTAATGCTTGACATATCTTGATCTTCTGAAACAGAGAGAGGAATCAATGCACCAAGTAGGTTAGTAACTGGTGTTTTGCCTTCTTCCATTGCATTTTCCACTTTTAGTCTTTGATACACCTACTGTGTGTCATGTTGAATGGAAAGAGTATAAGGTAAGGTTTGTCCACCTCAGTGGGCTGAATCTGTAGTTCTTTAAATAGTATTGGTGATTTTTTTAAAGTATCCTCTATTACTGTTTGATGTATGCGTTATTTTATTTTTCCTGGGGGGAATGGTTGGTGGCCGACAAGTTCTTTAGGTAGGAAAGGCAGAAATAAAGTGATTTTAAAAAAAGAATCTTTTTATGGTAAACTAAATTGTAAATAGGCAATAATTTATTTGAGTCTAAAGGAAAAGTTTCCTCTATTCAAGATAGTAGGATATGGTGTTATGTGGTATCTGGCTCTATGAACACCACTGGTTAAGGGATACCTTTTGCCAGTCTGTTCTCACCTCTGAGTTCTAATAACATAGAATCAGGTGAAATAGTCTGGCTACATTAATATTCCTTGAGCTGCTGTTGAGAAAACTGTACAAATTGGAAGAAAACTTTGTCTACATGAATCCCATGCTACCTAGGAGAGGAGCTCCAGAGTCTCTGAGATGTTATCAGCTACCATTTGATGCCAGAACACATGTGAACTGTCCGAATTTATCCCCCAGCAAATTTAGTCCCTCCAAGCAAGCTCCTCATTGGAATTTGAATTCCCATGTCAACTTCAGGCCCTACAAGCAAGCTCCTGATCAGGACTTGGATTCTCATGTCAACTTCAGGCCCTTCAAGCAAGCTCCTGATCAGAATTTGGCTTCTCATGTCAGTTACACCACAGGGAAGAATATACTGAGCAACATTTTGGCTGTTACATTAGTCTCTTATGAACTGGAATCATGTGCTTTTGTGTTTGAGAAACTAATCTCTGCTTAGGATATTCGTAGAATCCAATTTCTGAGCCTTAAACACCGAAGAGCAGTTTCTGGGCTGTGATGCCTTCTTCTGTGACCTGGTGGCAGCCAGCCATTTCAGCTGCCCTGCATCGTGGCCATTCTCTACACACACTCCTCCAATCTACACAATTCCCGTGGCTCATTTCTGTTTTAGTGTCGTCAGTTTGCTTGTTCTGTGTGTGTGTTCACATTTCTCCAGTATCAAGATTATTTTAAACCTCACTTTCTCTAATTTTGTTGGCATTTCTTGAAGCAAGATTTATGAGTACATTAAAAAGAGTGTGATTTGGCCGGGCGCGGTGGCTCATGCCTGTAATCCCGGCACTTTGGGAGGCCGAGGCAGGCGGATCACGAGGTCAGGAGATGGAGACCATCCTGGCTAGCAAGGTGAAACCCCGTCTCTACTAAAAACACACACACACAAAAATTAGCCGGGAGTGGTGGCGGGCGCCTGTAGTCCCAGCTACTCAGGAGGCTGAGGCAGGAGAGTGGTGTGAACCCGGGAGGCGGAGCTTGCAGTGAGCCGAGATCGCACCACTGCACTCCAGCCTGGGCTACAGAGCGAGACTCCATATCCAAAAAAAAAAGAGCATGATTTACATTGAGAATGAAAGAAAGCTCACCTAGGAAATCTAAACAACAACAACAAAAAACAAATTCACTTAACCTATATAACATGGACCTAAATTCCATAGTTCAAGTGTATGTGACAATACAAATCTCTAATGCTTGTGTGGCATATGTGTGTTGCTTTTGCTTTCAGAGTGCTACAGGTTGTGTATTTACTTTCAAGTTTGTTCTGCATGGATTATATGTTTGTGTCTCTCCCAAATTCACATGTAGAAATCCTGACCCCCAAAGGGATGGTGTTAGGACTTAGGGCTTTAGGAGAGAGCCCTCTCTTTGCTATGTGAGAATACAATAGGAAGGTGGCCATCTGCAAACCAGGGATAGGACCCCCACCAGACACTGGATCTGCAGCCATCTTGACCTTGGACTTACCAGCCTCCAGGACTGTCAGAAATAATTGTCTGTTGTTTAAGCCACTCAGTTTATGGTATTCTGTTATAGCAGCCTGAATTAAGATAGTATCTGTTTCAGAATCCTCAGTTATAAAAATTCAGGATCTAACCTTTGGATTTATGTGTGAGAAAAGGATCAACTTTCTTTTGTTCCACCATCAGTCAATTGACACTGACTGATAATGAATTAGTAAAAATGAAGTAGCAGAATCATGTGTCATTTATTTTGAAAATAGCATGATGTGAAAAACAATTGAGAAACACATAACATGAAAATTGAAATGCTCACTTAATAAGACTTTCACACATTATTTGGGGTGATTACCATCGAAAAAGTTCACCCACCTTCAAATCTAAAACAACACATGAAACACAAACAAGATCCTAGGGATCAAAGGACATCGAAATTTGAACAAAATGGTGTAATTTGAGGTCCTAAGGGTGATACACTGGGTTTGCCAGAAAATTTCTTTTTTCCCCTGGAGTGGGTTCCTTTCCAGGGAGCAAATTTTCACCCCCATTGCATTGGGGATATAATCAAATGATACAAATAATGAAAAATGCTTTACACCCAGCATAGGGACCAAGCTCCAAGAAGAAGCAAGGCCACAGGAATGAACTTCACTTCTCTCTTTGGCTTTCCATCTTGTACTTCCTGCCTGGATCTCATGGATCAGTGGTTTCATCTTCCTACACCTCACGTTGGTTGTCCAAGCATCTCTTTCCTAATCTACAATATGAGGGTAATGACATCTAACTGTAGGCTCTTGAGGGTCGAATGGGTCAATAATATATACAAGGCATTTAAAGCAGCTCCTGGCAGGTAGAAATCTTTCAAAATTTCTCCACCACCTCCTCATTAAACCATAATTCCTTTGGTGAAAAAAGAACCTGAGTTTCTTTCCCAGTCTGGAAAATGGGCTGAGTTACCTTCAGTTATATTTCTTCTGATCTTATATCTTATGTATTAGTTTGCTAAGACTACCCTAATAAAGTACCATGGGGTAGGTGACTTAAACACTGCAGATTAATTTTCTCACAGTTCTGGAGGCTGGAGGTTCAAGATCAAGGTTAGCGTCAGCAGTGTTGGTTTCTCCTGAGATCTCTCTCCTTGGCTTGTAGATGGCCACCTTCCTGTTGCATCCTCACATGGCCTTCCCTCTGTGCATGAACATCCTTGGTGTGTCATAGGGCCATACCCGCATGTCCTCGTTTAACCTTAATTACCTCTTTAAAGGTTCTATTTCTTAATATAATCCCACTGAGGGTTAGAGCTTCAACATATGGATTTTGGGAGATACAATTCAGTCCATGACACACTATAAGATATTTTAAGGCTTGCAATTAGGTGAACACTGGCCACAGTTGCCAAGTATAAATCTTACCCAAGAACTGTTTCTTTTTCAGTTCTTTCTGTCAAGTACAGAATATGCAGGTCATAAACTGTCAATAATGATTCGCAGACTAAATGAACATTGCACCAGAAGTAGGAAAGCATGATATGAACATATTAGACATTTACAGCAGTGTTGTCCAATAGAAATATAATGGGAGCCAGAAAGTTGCTGTGTGTTTATGCTTATGGCACAGCACAGTTTGGACTACCTTCATTTTAAGTGTTCACTTATCACACATGGAAACTGACTACCATATTGGATAGTGCAGATATCCCAAGTATGCTTTTAAAACACAGTGACGGCCGGGCTTCGTGACTCACGCCTGTAATCCCAGCACTCTGGGAGGCCGAGGTGGGTGGATCATGAGGTCAAGAGCTCTATCCTGGCCAACATGGTGAAACCCTGTCTCTACTAAAAATACAAAAATTAGCTGGGTGTGGTGGCACACTCCTGTAGTCCCAGCTACTCAGGAGGCTGAGGCAGGAGAATTGCTTGAACCTGGGAGGTGGAGGTTGTAGTGAGCCGAGATTGAGCCAGTGCACTCCAGCCTGGGCAACAGAGCGAGACTCTGTCTCAAACAACAACAAAAACACAGTGACAGAAGAGAATGCTTTTGGTCCAGCAGTTTAACAATGTTGATTTCTAAATTCTAATCCTATTTTTGTCAAATAAAATCATATAAATTTTATGTCAAAATGCCCTTCTTGCCAAAACCATATAGTAGAGAGTTAAGAATGCACAAGTATCAGTATTGAAATGTATATATGGAGGCCACTGTATTTTAAAAGCTGCTGTAGAAATAAATGCAGCCTCCCAGGGTCAGTGTTTTTAACATACAAATATCATTGTGAAGTCCTGAAAGAGATAGTGTTTTCATTTATGAGGCATTATAATAACTGCAAGACCCTTCATTTCACAGTAGAGGTTCCTGAGCTCATTATGTAAAAAGGAGTGTATTATCTAGTACATTCTGCTCCTGGAAGCTCATCAGCTCCAACTCCAGTGGACGTGAAAGCTATATGTTTACACGAGAAAAAGTCATTAGACATCCCTGATGGTAAATCTCCTAGGCAGGAAGCCTCGCGTAAATCACGGGTGTGGCTTTGCTGACTTCCTAGTCAAACTCAGGCAGTGTCATTGCACTCAGCAAATTAAATTTCAATGAGCTTGGGAAAGTAATTGGGCCGTGAATGTTACCCGTTACTTGGAGAATTGTACATGTCCGGAAATGAAATCAAATGATGTAACATCCAATTAATGTTTTGGGAGCAACTAACACTATAGAGATTCAGAGCAGGAGGGACCTAAGCCTAACCTCTAATTTTTCAAATTAAAAAACAAAAACAAAAAAACAAAATACCAAGGCCCTGAGGGGTTTGAGTGAGGCAACCAAGATCAGGCAAATCATCTTGGCTACAACTAGGACTAGGTCCCAGTTCTACCAGCTCCTTAGCTCCTCATTCATTTCTCTTCAACATGCCAACACCTATGTTTTCCCCCATCTCTTGCTTTCTGCAGTTTTGGCCATTTCTCTGAACTTTGTTATCTTCAGGGAGGAGAGGGAGAGAAAGAAAAGCCAAAAGCTGTCAGCACTAGTTCCTTCCATTATTATGTAAGGTATGATAATTGTTCCAATTTCCTCGTAGCAGAAGAGAAACAAATGATATTATGTGTACATACTGGTTTGGGAAAAAATACTTATTTTCTGAGCCAGAAGTTGGTGGAGCTAAAGTGAAAGAAAAAAATACAAGTGGGTCAGACAGCTAAAGGTATATGAGACTGGAAGGATAATTTTGGTTGGGACTCAGCTATTGAGAGAGGGAAAACAGGTACTTGATAAATATTTATTTCATTGATTCATTTAATTGAAGGACATGGCAGATGAAGGAGACGGATTCCTGGTGGTTCTTTACCAAGACTTGGGGACTTTTGAATGTGGAGGAGTTTGGGGTTTACTGGAGCAGAATCCAGGGGTGCCTCCTACAAGTTGACATCATCGTAGGCAGGTCGTCCCATGTAGATAGACAAGGTGCTGGCATCATTGAGCCTCAGTTCCAGATGGGTTGTTTTCCAGCTATGTGTCCTTAGAATAGCTTGCCTTCTTTGAAACAAGAGGGCTGCCTGAAGTGATTGCTTCTGGAGCTCCTAAATCAGCCCTCTTGCTCAAGGAAGCCGTGGAGGTGGCAGGGAGCTGGTGTTACCATTCATGGAAAATCCCAGCATTCAAGAATGGAACATGTCTATGGAAAACAGGCACATCACGCCACCTTTTCCTTTGATATGAAGAAATTAGACCTTTTCAACCTTTTTTGGTGGCTTAGAATAATGGGCTGAGGGGAACAAAGGAAGCCCTGGGTGAAGCCAATAGAAGGAGGATTTTAATTCCCATCCTCCAGGGAGCTCTGACACAGCCTCTCTTCCCTGCTCCTCTCCCATTATGTTCTGCTTTAGAAACAAGATCATCCCTGTACCTCTGTACGTGGTTCCGTAGCATTCATTTAAAAGCATGTTTATTTTAAGTCTCTGACTTGGCAATGAGGACAGATTGGAAAGCGCCAGCCTCAGGCACTCTTGATCTCCTGTTCCTTCTGAATGCGGCATTCATCACTTAAACGTAATATATTTATAATCAGGGCCAAGGCAGCATGACCTTGTTTCATTCTAAATAGATCACAGGCAGCTAGACGTGGGAGCTTCCGGCTTTAAATCAGATGCAAGACGTGTTAGCCATCAAGGACTTCGTTATAATTCAGTTCATCTCTTTACGTTTGATCTGTTTCTTTCTCTGCTATTTATATAAAAAAAAAAAACAGAAAAGAGGTGATGGGTGGAGGGGATGCGGTAGGGGCTCCCCATGAAACCAAACTTCAGAAGAATCCAAGGTTGCTCAGCTAGGCCTTTCTATCAGAAGGGCTAGGGGGGCCGGGGGTTGGGGGGGAGGAAGATATGTCTGAGGCTTAGATCTTCTAACCCAAGGTAATTAATTTCTAAGCCACATTTTTCCCCCTTTCTGGAAACATGAAAATAAACAACAATAACAACACTAAGACCAAAAAACAATGGAGTCAATTGTTATTTATTACTTCACTGCGCAGCGGTGCTTAAAGAGCATTCACCAGGAATGTGTAGACATTTTTTTTTCCATCCCAGAGCTTAGTCTGGGGCTAGCCCTGTATGTAAATATCCTTTTAGGGTGATAACTCCAATCTCATTCAGTCTCATCTTTTACACTGTTCTGCCTTGCTCTTCCTTAACCATTTCTACAAGCTACAGTAACTTGAATTGTTCTCAAAAGTCAGAACAATTGGAGTAAAGCAAATACTGCTTCCTTTACTGATTGTAGCCAGTGGGAATCTGCGGGGGCCTGGTCACTTGAAGGTGTCTGATTAGTTGTCCACCTACAGCCGATTCCTACACTCTCCCACTCCTCCTACCTTCCCACCCACCCACCTACCCACGGTGCCCCTTGTTACAAGGTATTCTGTCTTGGAGATGAAACAAGTGAGGGCTAAACTAATTAACTAACCAGCAGTGATCTACAGCTTCAGCACCTTGCATTCCTGAAGATTTATCCCATTTCGAATTCATTGCCATTTCCCTCCAGGGAAATAAAGATTGCTGCCTATTAAAGATGGGGACAGAAAAAGGCACCTTCACTGGAGACAGCCTGTACAAGAAAATAATACTGTAATCATTCCCTCCAATCAGCTGAAAAGGATTAAATCTTCTGCTTCTAAAGTAATGTTCCAATTGAGCCTTGGGGAAGAATAATTCATGATTAGGGAGAAGGCTGGTCTAGCAAATGTGAACATTATGTCCATTACTTAAACACACTTCCTGGGCTGACTGCTAATGTACCCAAGGGACTCACAGCCCCAGCAACTGATAGGCGCAATGAAACAGGCAGACAAGGACAAGGAGTATTATCATCTGCATTCAACAGCACTACATAGACTTTACCACTGCTAAATCACTGCCTTTGGTAAATAGCCCAGATAACTCATTTTAATAGAAGAATTCTTCTCTTCTTTATGTGTATTAAACAACAGACTCTTATGAGCGGTGGCAGTGTATTGATTCCTGGGAAAGGCCGTGTGAATACCAATTCTGTAATTTATGCTGTTTTGTGGCTCTGGCTGTATTTGTTATGCATAGTGTATTAAACATTCAATAGCTCAATTTAATCTTTGCAGCCAAATTGCACAGCACATCATGCCAGATAGTGGTTGTTTCATATACACAGCCCATCTGCTTCCTGTTCTATAATTCATTCAGCAGGCAAAGTTTCTGGCAGCCTCAGGCTACCAAAATATATATATATATCCTTAGGGTACAAGAGTGCTTGGCACTCAATTAGTTTTCCTGGTTTCTAGTGCTGTGTGTGTGTGAGCAGGGGTATGTGTTTCCACTTTTATGTGAATTAAAGATGGGAATAGTTTGCTAATTTCTGTGTCCTCATCTGGACAACTTTTCATAAACTTCTGGGGTTTCACAAAACCAAAAGATAAAGTTAGGAGTGAAACAAAAATGATCCTCTCCCTGGGGAAATTATCCACAGCAATAAAATGTGTTCTCTCAACCATCCCTATCTAAATAGATTGATTTATATCTTGTGGGGGGGAAAATAAATAAAACAACCCAAAAAGTACTATAAACTCTTGGCTCCTTTCTCTGGATGAGCCACTTGGGATTCGTGCTCTTATGGCGAATGTTTATTTTCCCTCCAATCCCCTCCTTTCTTGGAGTCCTGCCTCTGTCTCTTAATGTCGGTGGTAACTTTGTTCTTTCCTCATCTCCACTTTCTATTTGCTTTTAAAGTCAGTGTCTAAATGTTGCCCAGTGGAAAACTACATTTGTAGTTTATTGAAGTCTTTCTGCAACTCGCAGTACAAATGCCTGATTTTCAGAGCATTTTATGGCCTTTATACCACACTCAAGGGACATGGACCACCCTGGGATTTTGGGTGATCATTTTATACCTTTTTGGGAAAAGTGACCAAAGAACCCATCTTATGGACTGGAATTATAGCCTCTCAGAGCAGAAGTAAGTCATCCATTCCAGTGACCTCATTTTACAGGTAGTAACAGCCAACACTTGTGTAATGCTTTAGAGCAAAGTCAAACAGGAGGGTGCCAACAGGACTCAATGAGATTTCCCAAGTGACTGCAGCCTGCCTGGTGGGGATGGTGGAGAACTGGAGCACCCAAACCCATGTTGGAGGAGGCCAGCCAATGCCAAGCTACAGAATGTTGTCATGCAGAGTGTGGGCCCGGTGTTTCCAAATGTTTGGTTTTTCGAAAAAAAAAAAAAAAAAAAAAAGCTGGGAATCTAGATTTTTCTTTTTAAATGAGAAATCTGCTTCTTTTTTCAATGCTGGTATTAAGTGATATTATATAGTTTAAAGCACTGCATGGGCCAAACACAACATATCTGTGGGTCTGATAGAGCATCTGGGCCTCCAGTTTGTAAACTGCTTTGGAGTGTATGCCCCGCTATCCCATGCATTCTTGTTATATTTTCCTGGTAGGACACTGACCTTTAGGGAGGCTAGGGTCTTGCTCAAGTTTGCACTAGACATTAGGGGCAGAGCTAGGACCCGGATTTAATCTCGTGGCATAGCTTTCTGGGCTCCCTTCTCATGTTTTCCGTGTAACCATGGGATTCCCTGCAGTGCACGGAGATTCGTGGGCATTCTTATCCTAGTCATTGGGATCTTGTCTTTGTAGCACTTTATTTCTGCTTCTAATAACCCACTCTGCTATTACCATCGTTAGCATACATTATTTTGGTTTGATTCATGCCTTTCTCTAGGATTATGTTCCTTGGGTAAACTGTATGTTTTACAAGCATGGCCCATGATGCAAATAAAATATCAGCTTTATTTTGGCTTTCCACATCCTTTCTTTTTTTAAAATTTCAACTTTTATTTTGGATTCAGAGGGTACATGTGCAGGTTTGTTACAGGGGTATATTGAGTCATGCTGAGGTTTGGGGTATTGTTGATCCTGTCACCCAGGTACTAAGCATAGTACCCAACAGGTAGTTTTTCAGCCCTTGCCCCCTCCTTGTTTTTTTATGGCTGTGTAGTATTCCATGGTGTTGATTCCATGTCTTTGCTATTATGAATAGTGTTTCAGTGAACATACAAGTGCTTGTGTCTTTTTGGTAGAACGATTTATTTTCCTTTGGGTATATACCCAGTAATGGGATTGCTGAGTCGAATAATAGTTCTGTTTTCAGTTCTTTGTGTCTCCCACTGTTGTTGAAGCTTATTCACTGATGATCATCTCCTATTCTATCTCTTCTCTTCACCCCATGAAAACTACAGGAACCACAGACTTTTCCGTTCATTCTCCACTAATACACAGTTCCACAATTCCTTTGTTTTGCAAAAAGATCCTTGATTTAGTCATTTGAATGTTCAAAACTAAGGAATAATCAAAACTTCCAACCTTATTCAGTGTTTGTGGAATGATAGAATTCTAAGAATGACCACCAGTGAACTTCACTTTTGTATAACTGCCTTTCCTTTGACTGAGGGTGAAATCTGTGAATATGATAAACTATCCCTCTTGTGATTAGGTTACTTTAAATGGCAAAAGGGAGATTATTCAGATGGGCCAATCTAATCACATGAGCCCTTTAAAAGCAGAGCGTTTTCTCTGGTTGGTAGCAGAAGAAGTCAGAGAGATTGTAAGCCTGGGAAGGATTTGATGAGCTATCGTTGGCTTTGAAGATGGATGGGGCCATGTGCAAGGACCCGAGAGCCATAAAGAACTGAAAGTAGTGACTGGCCAACAGCCAGCAAATGGAGAGCTCAGACCTAGAGCCACAGGGAATTGAATTCTGCCGACAACCAAATGAGCTTGGGTGTGAATTCCTTTCCAGATCCTCAAGATAAAAGCTTTGCTGGCCAACACCTTGATTTTAGCCTTGTGAGACTCTTAGCAGAGAACCCAGTAGAGCCATGCAGGACTTCTGTCCTGCAGAACTGTGAGATATTAAGTGGATGTTGTCTGAAGCTGCTAAGATTGTGGTAATTTGTTATGCAGCAGTACCAAACCAATACAGGTTTCCGTCTCCCCTTTTTCCAGCCAGGCCTTCAGTGGTGCATGGGAGCCTAATGGCTTTTCATGCTGTTTTCTCCACATTTACCTTCCCTTCCACTAGCTAGCTGCTGTCTGACTGGGGAAGGGGGCTGATTAGAGCAGGGGGAAGAAAATGTAAGGGACAGGCAGTTCTTACTTGGCTGGTGTCTTTTTCTCTCTTGGTTTGCAGAGGGTTCAAGCTGGCTCTTTAGTGGGCAATGTTGTAAGAATTTTAGAGGTTCCTTGCTGCCCTTTTCTTCTACAGCTGCCTTAGCCTGGGCTGATGCTACTTTATTGAGTGACCACTGAACAACCTGAAAAAGGTCTTATGTGGGGTTGCATTCCTGCATAGTCTACTTTTGGCCCACAAGATATACTACCACCCTGCTCTCCTTCCTTGCTGCAGTTGGTGCTGGGGCTGCAGGTAGATTCCATGCTGCAATGCACTTCTGGCTTTGCCACCCAAATAGTCAACTCATCCCTCACCTTTTAATTCTGTGGGCTGGAGTCAGAAACCTGCCCATATTCTGCTTAGACTTTCTCAGGTATGAGTCAGACAGCAGGTCTTTTCATCTCCCAGTAGCAAATCATTTCAAAGCTCTCTGGGTGAACATGTGCAGATTCCCTACGAGATGTATGGAGAGAGGGCAGCATTCCCTGCCCCTTTCCCTAAAGGACAGTGGTGTGGTGGGACCGGGCTGTAGCTTTGTATGTTTCTAGGGGCAGCATTCATGTTTCATTCTATGTATCTAACAGCCTTTGGAGCTCCAGAACACAGAACGCATAGAATACAACTGGAAAGGTGCCTCTGAGTTGTATAATGGGATTCCCCTTATGATGAGCATTCACTGTAGGGTGTAACTTTCTTCCAAAGATATCCTTCACTGATCCTCTCTGACTACTATCTCTTCCTCTTTATCTTTTCTAAGTGGGTGGCTGGCTTCAAGACTGGTGGAACAGGTTCTCCTGTATTGCCATTGTAAGTTCTGCTCATGGGAGGTTGTGTCTCCTACTAGCTTTGTTATCTTATCATATGAACCCCTTATTGACAAGTGTGATATGAAGGGCTCTGTTCTAAAATTCTGCCACACTTGTCTAACTGTCTGCGCATCTAGCTCAGGGGCCAGCTCCCTGCAGCACTCATGCCAAAGAAGGCACCGAGGGAGTGGATTTTTCTGAAAAAGCACCTGGACTGGATGTCCCAGCCGTGCTGGCCTCTCTCTCCAATGCTGGTCAATAGACTCTTCCACAAGCAAGGAGGGGTCAGAATCTTGTCATTTGTGGCACATCTCCAGAAGGCTTTGTGTTCCTGTCTCAGGCTGCAGGGGATTTTTTTTTACTGGCTATCTGTCCTCACTTAACAGTTATTTTGATTTCTGAGGTGTTCCTATTCTCTGGGTTTGTGCTGCTGCTGCTGCTGGTGTGTGTGTGTGTGTGTGTGTGTGTGTGTGTGTGTGTGTGTGTGTGTGTGTCTGGCTCTTTTTCTGTCTGTGTTTTCCCTCTGTTGAATGCTTGGATCTCAGTGATGTATTGTTCAGGAAAATCAGTCTGGCTGAGAAGCACAATCACTCTCTCCCACTTTTGCTCACTTCCTGCCTACACTTCCTTCCACTCAGGGTCTGCTTAAACTGTGCCAGGCCTAGGCTTCAGGACATGAGCTTTTGGCAAAATCTGCTGCTAGAGAACATGGGTTCAGATGGTGAGGCAGCTCTTTGCCACAGCTGCCCTCTTATGTGGGTCACCTATATTGTCAGAAACACAACGGCATCTTGTTCACAAGGCTGAATTGAAGACAGCCATTCTAAGTGATTGAGTGAGTATCAGCCTCACAGATTTTGGGTGAGTGTCTGCTTTAACCAGCCAAAAGTTTCTGTCTAGAGGAACATACCTAGTCCACTTGCCTGAAGGGCATCTGAACGCTTTTCTTTTCTTATCTGAGTCCTAAACTCTTATCTAGGTCTCCCAGTTAGATTGATAGTACTGGCCATTCTCTCTTTCTAGTCTCTATGAGAACAGGTCCAGAACCATACATTCACACTATGGTATAAATGATTGAGGGCTTAAGGTGATAGCCATACCAGGGTATTCAAAATCTTCAGTAACATGGTTTTACAATTTCTGACATCAGTCCATTGTGATAGGGGAGAACTGGAGGGAGTGTGTGTCTGTAAATGTGTGTGCATATGCATGTGTTTGTGTTTGTGAGCTCTAGCCGAGAATTACCACCTATTATTGTGCAAGTCAAGCTTTTGTTGCCTTCCCCTCTTCCCTCTAGGGCTGGTGAGTAGGTCATTGCCTTGGTGTAAATTGAAGATCCTCCCAAAGCCCGAGCAACCATGATGTCTACTCTGAGGCCTGCCAAATGCCTGTGATTTCTTCCACGAAAATTAGTCATTTGGGTCATGAGGTAAAGAAATCCTCAAATTCCAAAGCTACGTAGTCATCCACCAGTCCTCATTGTCTAGTTATGTTTTCATTCTGTAACTATCTATTAAGTACATGCTGGGTCCTTGCCATGCTGGAGGCTACGGGACACAGAAGGGCCAGACAGAGCGTAACAATCCAGTCTAGTGAGTGGATGAGGAAGTGTATAATGTTCTGATGTGGATGGGATCATTGGTAGCAAAGGGCATTGTTCCAGACAATGGGAATGGGTGGGTAAGAGGAGATTGCTGGGAGCTGAATCTTGCTAAGAGTGACAGGAAGAATATACAGAAGAATGGAGAACTACAGACCATCTCAGCTTCCTTTACAGTTCTGTCCAGGTCTTCCCTTGTATGTCTGCCTTCTAGCCTCCCCTGTGCCTTCCATCTCTCCCCCTTTTCTCTATCTCTTCTTGGCATGACTGCTTCTCTTCCTCTCTCAGCCTGTTCCTTTAAACTCTCTTCCCCGTTGTGCTCCTGATCTCTAAACTTGCTGTTTCTAGGAGGATAAAAGGGAATGGAGCTGTAATGGGACATGTCTTTCATTTTCTCCATATGTCCTGACTTTGAAAGAAGAGAAGGAAATTTGACCTTAGATGGTAGGGTTTTTTGTTTGTTTGTTTTTCCTTTCAAGTGGTTCCAAAGTTTATTGAGGAGAGTGATCATGCACTGTGGTTGAAAATAAGTAGGTGCAGAAGGTTGGTGATGGAGGTGGAGTTTATAGCCTACCTTTCCCCAGGCTGGTTCTCCAGCAAAGAATCCTTAAAGAGCATCCCAAGGCCAAAGACAGGCAATTCACACGGTGAGGTTACAGTGAACATAATGTTTAAGTTGAAGTTTCAGGAGGGAAAAGTGAAAATTGCTTCACCTGCTTAAGGCTCTTGTCCTGTTACTGTACCTTTTGCATTTCAAACTGGCCTGCAAATGAATTCCCTACACTGTCACTTGTCTTCAGCTGGAGTGTGAGAGAGGCAATGTGTAGCTTGTGGTTGCCTAAATTAATCTCCATACTCATTTTGGATGAGAAAGAACACTAGGGATTGCTTCACTTTTGGGAAACAGGCACATCTTGGCTAGCATTCTCTAGCATAGGGCCCCAGAAAAACAGCTTCTAAACTAATGTCCACTGATGAAATGAGAGACTGGGCCACTTTATTTGATAAGCCATTCTTATTGTGAGCACGACAAAATATTTCCAAGCAAAGGAAAATTAAAAATGGGGAAAACAAACACAAAATGAAACATTATACAAAGCAATATAATGTCCATGTTAATTGTCCTTCACATGGAGATCTCAAACCTTTGTACCATTTTCTTAAAAAGGAGAGGAGGTCTTGATAAATGAAACAAAATTGGCGTACGCAAGTGCTTCGGTAAATACTATGCTCAGAAAAGGCACAAACTCTCAATGCATCATAAGGCTGTAGGGAATAGTCCAATAAAAGGAAAAAAAACCTGCTCAATGAAAACACTTTACAAGTGAATATATATTCACTCTAAAAGAGAGATTTTAAACAAACTTCAACAGAGACACCATTCAGGTGATAACAAGTGGTAGCAATGGTTATATGCATCTCTTCTTGCTCCCCAAAGTGAGCCAGAATTGGAGATGATAGTGCAATGCATGAAAAATTATATGCACTTTATTCTCATTACAATCAGTGTTTCTTATTCTGTAAACACATGGGCCTCTGATGTTCCCATCCAGGTGATTCATTTGAAGATTCATTCTCTCTCACTTCAAACATTTGGTCGCTCCATGAGAAGAATCACCATCGCCCTGCTCAACCCATTTAGCACCTCTAGAAGTCACTATACGGACTTAGTGATTAATGATAATTGATTTTTTCTCGCCAGCCTAATCGTCACACTTGACTGGGGCTGATGTACACCCAGCTGTGCTTAATTAGCCCAGAGGACTTAGAAACCATATTTTAAAGACAGGCTTGTAATGGAAGAAGCCTTCTCAACGATGCAGCCTGCTGTGGTGAACCCAGACATGTGGCACACGCTGTTTTTCATTAGGTCCAAGGAGCATGTCTGGGAAATGGATGTTGTATAAAACAGACATGTGTTGTCACATTAGACTTGGGAAAACTATTGTCTTCTAGAACATAGGTTATAAAACGTGACAGCTCTATATGAATTTCTTTCTCTGTGGCATGTTCTTGACTAATTACTTGTTTCAATATAGAAGGTAGGTGTGTTATATGACATCATTCTATATAGTATGTTTGCTTTTCTATTTTTGGTGAATTTAATCTTTCTAGCATCCATCTTAAAATGTGGACTTTTTATTATCCTTGAAAATGTTCCATATCTATAAGGATGTTTTCTTTTTTTCAGGATCCAAAATGAAGAACCAACCTTCCTTCCTTCCTTCCTTGCTCTCTCCCTCCTTCCCTCCCTTTCTTTCCCTCCCTGCCTCCCTCCCTGCATTCCTTCCTCTCTCTGTCCATCCCTTCTTCCATTAGACATATCTTCTTTATAGAAAATATAAGGAAATAATAAGAAAATTATTTCTGAACTCAGCCCATTCCCTATCAGCTGAGAGGCTTAATACTGACTTCTGTTGCATGAGTGTGTACCTGCTAGGCATAGTCCCTAAACCGTGACTTATTTCACACTCACAACAGAAAGTCATCCAAAAGTCATCATAGCTTCAGTTTTAGGTAGCATCTGGCTTGAGTCAAATTGGAACCAATGACATAGGAAAGCCATGACTTTTATTAGTACTTCTCTTAACCCAGAAGGCCTCAAGGAACTTTATAGGATAAGATGCTCAATGAGTTTTCAAGGAGTGTTTACAGATATACTTGTGGATATCTCTGGAAATGGTGGAAATATTCATATGGGGAAGTCATAAAGAGACAAAGAAAAAACTTTGTTGCAAGGTTTGGTGCCATGCTATTTAGCTGTTGACTAGGGAAATGTTTGATAAAGTTGGAGCAAAGAGAAGACTAGGCAGAGCATGGAGAGTGGGATTAGCAAGTGAGTTGAGTTTTAGAAGCCTAGAAGCCTTGAAACTGATCCTCAGAGAGGTGCCTATTTTCAGTGTGAAAGGCATTATCTTGGTGCCAAAAGGAGCATTGTATTTACATAGAATGCATTGTTTAGAACTCTTTGGCCTGCCAGTGACCAAAACTCAATTTAAACATTTCAAGCTAAAAGGGGAATTTGTTAACTCACATACCTTGGAAGAAAATAAGTGCAGCTCATAGGACTGAAATTATAGTATAGTTCCCAGGGCCTCAAGAACTGAAACCAAGCACTTGACATCAGGTGCCTTTCCATCTCTTGCCACTTACTTCATTCATTTGTTCATTCATTCATTCATCCATCCATCCATCCATCTATCTGTCCATCCATCCATCCATCCATCCAGCTGGCTAACCATCTCACATTTTTATCTTTGCTTGGCTTTGTCTGCAGACTGAATTTCTCCAAATGCCAGGATTTAGTAAATGCAGTCTCATCATGCATATGGCAATCCAATGGAGGGACACTGCCTAGCCCTGTTGGGTCATCTATCAGATCCTCCCTTAACCTAGCTAGGGAAAGAGGTATTATTTGGCTAGGTGTGGGTCATGTGCCTGTATCCGTGGGTGATGTTTTGAGGTGAAGACAAACTGGTTACATTAGCACAAGAAAGGGTAGAACAATTTGCTGAGCTCACAAATATAATGTTCACCCTAGTCCCTTATAAATGTCATTGTAATATTACCACTAACAGGCCTAGTAAACTTACTTTTTTCTGAATAACTGTTTATTATGTTCAAAGCATTTTCACTTACAATTAATTAAATTTTTGTTCTCCGTGGTCTTATACAGGGGACAGTTAAACACTTAGTCTCACTTTATTGATGAAAACATCCAGGTCTAGACTGAATAATAGTACACGTATAGAAGGGCATAAAAATAACTAACACACATACATTAAAAAAACAAGAACTAGAAGATCTAGAGATAGTTCACGTTCTTCTTCTTCTGTAGTAGGAACAGAACTATCTATACACAAGTGGCTTGCTGTTTATGGGCTTGCTTCCAGCCCAGTTGTGAAGTAACCTGAGGTCTTAGGCTTGGAAGGGGAGTATTCTCAATGTTTAGATCAAATAGTGTGTCTCAAGTTTATTTTGTGGCTTCAGGTTATCTACTTTTGCTATTCTTGAAGAGTTAAAAGTTTTCCTAGCATTAACTCATTGTAAGCAAGAAGACCTGGAGAAGGCAGTGATGCTACAAAAGGTGGTAACAGGCTTCAATTTCTATACATATATTTTTTTGAGATGGGGTCTTGCTCTGTTGCCCAGGCTGGAGTGCAGTGGTACCATCTCAGCTCGCTGTAACTCTGCCTCCCTGGTTCAAGCGATTCTCCTGACTCAGCCTTGTGAGTGGCTGGGATTACAGGTGCGTGCCACCACGCCTGGCTAATGTTTGTATTTTTAGTAGAGAAGGGGTTTCACCATGTTGGTCAGGCTGGTCTCGAACTCCTGACCTCATGCTCCACCTGCCTCAGCCTCCCAAAGTGCTGGGATTACAAGGGTGAGCCACCGTGCCTGACAGGCTTCAATTTCTATCCTCTGGGCATAATTCAGTTACTGGCGAGACAAGGCTTCAGGTCAAGCCTGCTAAGAACTGCAGGGAGTTGCTATGGGAACTGCTTGGTTATCTACTTTTCCTTGTTTCCTCCCTCTTTATCATTCTGAGCCTGAGCAGACAAATTTCTGTCTGACAGTATCTCATATACATATCTTGGATCCTGGGCATAGATAAAGTAATTCTCACTTTTTTTCCCTTTTCTCCCTTAATATCATCACTCATTTGAATGTAAATCTGAGTGAATTTAACTTCTTGTTGCAGTGGAAACCCACTCTTTGTGTGGTAATCTATATTTATAATGAATTATCGCTTGATTTCACTTAGAAGTCATTGTAGTATAACCCACTCCATGAGAATCTGCCAAAGTAGATGCTCTAATGTGGGCAAAGGCTCCCTGTGGTCATTTTTTCCTGTCTCTTAGCTCCTTTTCATCATCTTTATATAGTTACCTCTTTCCCCTTTGTGGTAATTTTGTGATCTGAATTTAATATGTCCTTCATTTAACACGGATTTAAGTGTTTTATAGAGGAATGCTTTAAGGTCTAAAGAAATAAATCTCTGAGAACAGAATAGTGAGGCATATTTCTTTTGGTGTTGAAATAACAATATGTTTGGCTGGGTGCAATGGCTCAAGCTTGTACTACCAGCACTTTGGGAGGCTGAGGCAGATGGATCACTTGAGGCCAGGAGTTAGAAGGAACTCTTCCAACTTTGGAAATTTTTTTTTGAAAGCACTAAGTATAGTCATTTAAATTGATAAGTACCCTACTGCCCTAAAATATTTGATGTGTCTTATTAAAGATAAATATTTTCAAGGCAGGAGGATCGCTTGAGCCCAGGAGTTTGAGCCAAGCTTGGGCAATATAGGGAGACCCCATCTCTACAAAAAATTAAAAAATTAGCCAGGCATGGTGGTACACACCTGTAGTCCTCACTACGGGGAAGACTGAGGTAAGAACATCTCTTAAGCCTTGGAGGTCAAGGCTACCATGAGCTGTGATCAAACCACTGCACTCCAGCCTGGGTGAGACT
This sequence comes from Homo sapiens, assembly GCF_000001405.40. Lineage (NCBI taxonomy): Eukaryota > Metazoa > Chordata > Mammalia > Primates > Hominidae > Homo > Homo sapiens. The sequence continues at coordinate 81,384,147 of NC_000009.12, read as the reverse complement.
CTGTCTCAAAAAAAAAAAAAAAAAAAAAAAGAATATTTAAAAATCCCAAAAAAAAGATATCAACGGAGATATAAGTATATAACAAATCCAGGCTAGTATAATCAGTGTAATTAAGCATTGCATTTGATTTCAAGCTTCCTGATAACAAAAGCAAAAAAGGAAAACTCAATTCACTATTGAGTTTCTCCTTTGAAAAATAGTTAGCATAACATTTCCTCAGCCAGTCAATTTTTTCTATATTGCATATTTAAAAAATATTTTCAGGGATATATAAATTCAAATGCTGTTGTTCAGGATGTTTACTGCAGTGTTATTTATACCAGCAAAAATGTAACTAGAAAGTAAATATTGAACAGTAGTATAGTAATGTGGCATACTGCTATTACTTATGTGATATGTGTTCATAAAGCAAAGTATTATGATGGCATATAAAACCATGTTGAAAATGATTATTTTACATTCTGTGAATATGTTTATCATGGTACATATAGAATATATCTAAATATGTATATTCCATAACAAAATATCAACAGTATCTTTATTAGGATGATGGAATCATAGGCCACTTTTATTCACTTTTATTTGCTTTTTAAATTTTGCTTATTTGTATTTTCTCATAAAAACATGTATTGATTTTTGTGGGTTTTTTCCCAGTTTTAAAAGAATAATATCCTCCGTGGGCCTTTAATGCAAGAGACATTTGACAACCTAATATCGATGGCTTGAACAATGGCTTTACTAAAACACAAAAATATTCTTCATGAGACCCTTAAAATTTGATAGCATAACTTAGTGAAAGCATTTCTTTGCATTGTGAATCAAGGCAGTAGCAATCCAGTGAATACCAGGTAGATAACTTCAAGTGATTTAATATACGTGCTAACAAATTACAGCAGTGGTTCTTGAAATTCAGTGTCTACTTATATTACTTGGACATCTTGTTCAAACACAGATTCTGATTCAGTAGTGTGGGTGGGGCCTGAGCTTTCTCCATTTTTAGCAATGCTGCTAGTCCGTACATACAGTGCATAGTAAGTACTTAGAATGCCTAAGGAATCATATGTAAGTTACTAGTTCCAACCCAAGTGATATGGTTTGGCCATGTCTGTACCCAAATCTCATCTTGAATTGTATAATAGTTCTCATAATCCCCATGTGTTGTGGGAGGGACTGGTGGGAGGTAATTGAATCATGGGAGTAGTTACCTCCGTGCTGTTCTCATGATAGTGAGTGAGTTCTCACAAGATCTGATGGTTTTATAAGGGGCCTTTCCCTCTTTCTCTCAACACTTCCCTTGTGAAGAAGGATGTGTTTGCTTCCCCTTCTACCATGATTGTAAGTTTCCTGAGGCCTCCAAAGCCATGTTGAACTGTGAGTCAATTAAATCTTTCACTTATAAATTACCCAGTCCTGGATATGTCTTTATTAGCCACCTAAGAATGGACTAATACACCAAGTTTATCCATTAGAGTTAACTGTAGAACTTTAAAAAGTACAGATTCCAGGAGCCCACCTCAGATCTAGGGAATCACAATTTTTACAAAATTTCCCCAGTTATCTGGATAAAGCTTGTTCCTAGACAGGGTGTGTGCAAGATTCATCTCCTGAGACAGCCTTATCTGCCACTCATTTCAATGGCATTTTTGATAGGAGCAGCACAGAAGCCTCCCTGGGGTGTGGGCTGTTTTGCTCTGTGTAAGAATTAGCCCCATGCCTTAAATAGCAGGCATTTGGGTGATAAGCCTGTCCATGCCAAAGTAACTCAGAAACCAGGTTGGTGTTCCTACCAGATCTCTGTCCACTGCCACTGTGGGCCACAAATGTTTCTAGAAGCAGTATTAATTTTCCACAATTCACTGTAGATTTGCTCAAATAAATATATTACCAACTGCATATTATCTAACTCTGTCGATGAGTTTATCTAGTAACATAGTCAACAAACCTATCATTTAAATAGTCTTCATTTTTATAATTCTTTTCCTCCATATTTAACTTATGTAGAAAGCCACAGAGATGATACTGCAGTTGTCTATTCAAAGTAGACAGATTAATTATATTTGTATGAGGACCAGGTTGGACTCAGATTATGAAATATACTAAGCAAATACACACATGAACTCAATAAGTAAGGTTTTCATGGAAACTGAAAAAGGTATGAGTTGCCAAGGATGTCAGTGTCCTTCAGGATGTCTAGTGCATACAATAAGCAATGTGTGACAGCACGGAACACGTCAGTTTGTCCTCTGCTGAGGTCTGACCCAGCAACTAATATATGCTGACCTGCCACTCAGAGCTGTGCTCGTGCTACTGGTATAAATGTATGTATCTACATATGCTTGTATCTGAGGGCAGTAAAACCCTGGCTTTTGAGTTTTAATAAGGCATACCTAATTTCCACATAAAAATTGAAGGTTAATCATGCTAGCATGTGGTGGGCAATTTCCATCTCTTGTGCAAATTTGCTTTCCACAGACATTGCTTTCCAACAGGTTTATGAGAAGCCTACATAACTGTGTAGGATAGTTAATGAACAATTCACTGATTAATAGATGAACAGCACCTTTATAATGGGCAAAACCAGTGCCTCTTACCAGAGTATATTCTGACTATCAGATTTTATTTTCCTGTTACCAAAGTTAAACTTTGTCCTGCAAAGGAAATATGATCTGGCCCCCTGTGGTAATTTCTCTCTTTGGTGAATCAAACCTTGATTTCTCTGGGATGCTTTGTGTATTATAATTCCTATTATGATAACCTGCTGAGTTAGTGGGTTGTATAAATGCACAGGACAGCTGTCCAGGAATGATTACAAGATGAATAATTTTACCTCCTGGCAAAAGATAAGAGTTTGCTCCATTTTCCCTGTACTCCTTGCTTCTTTCTCCTTGGCTGCACTCTGGGAGGCTCCCTTTCTCCTTAGCCCCAGGCACAAGTAATTATTCACATCACTGTTAAAGAAGAACTATGAGCTAAGGTTCAAGGCTAAAATGATACTGATGAGCATCATTTAGCTTCTCTTTTGGAGTCCTTTCAAGTTTATTTTTCTGTTCACTGCAGCTGCCCAGCACATGTGGTTTCATCAGGCCACACAGCATTTCCTCCTCAGTGGAGACCACTTACAGTCAGACTGTAGGTCTTTGGGGTTTCCTCCCGCCCCAAACTCTGCTGCCCCGCCTTCCTTCTCTGTTCCATGTACTTCCTACTTCCTTGATTTTTCTCCTTGTTCCTCATTCCCAAGTTTCCAGTAGAGGCTGGAGTCTGGCTCCTCCACGGTCAAGTGGAGAATGTAATGGCTCACCTCCTGTTTGATTTCAGCCCTGGTCCCCGGAGGGACACAGCGTTATTGTTGTGGCCCAGCCTTGTAGCACCACAGGCTAATGGATCAATTCAGCCTTCAAAGCATCCTATGGCCTGTCGATATGAAATTCTAGCAATTACTGAAGTGGGAAGGCTGGGAAGTGGCTGAAAAACATTCCCTATTGATTGGCTCGTTGCTCTAGAGTATGATGAACTTGTTTAAGAAAAATTGATCCGACAAATTGATTTTTTTTTAATCAGAGAATCTCACGGATGCAATTTGAGTCACAATATTTCTTGCCTTGCAGAGTGTTTTTTATTTATTTATTTTTATTTTTTTATTTTCACAAGGAGGATCTGTGAGGCAAACCAGCCAATGAGAGATACTGAGAAGAGTTTTGACGCTTCCCAGCCTTTGGTTTGTCATTTTAGAAAATGTTTTTCTATTAAACTGGTTTTTACATCGAAGGTCTCCTCTCCTCTGTGTTTTATGCACTTCAACCCTCTCGTTAAACTTCTTCACTCTGTTCTCCCAGTCCCTTGTTCCCCTCTTCAGCTCTAAATTTGAGGCTGTCAGTTGGGGACCAGCCCTCTGAAAGAGTACAGGCTTTCTCATTTATTGCGTGGAGAATAGGTTCTGGGAAATCAGAATCTTAATTATGGCTGAAGGTAGGCCTGTCCCTTGACATCTCCGGGAACTATTTGGGCAGTAATGGTGACAGATTGCAGACCCCAGGGCCATTCGCTCTCTGAGCAGTGACACATCTGCCGCATATACTTGGACAACTGCTGTTTTGGGATTGAAGAAGTGCCAAAAATCCTTACCTACTTCTGAATACCTGCTCCACCCTCCCTTACACCTTGTATGGGGTGACCCTTTCCCTTCTCCCTAATCTGATCTGGTACTCACTTGTGGGCTAGATCAGTAGATTCCAAATATGGATAATCATCAGCATCACTTTAGGAGTTTCCAAAATACGGATTGTTGGGCCTCATTCCAGACCTATTGAGTCAGAATCAGGGAATGGAGCCTAGGAAATCATAATTTAAAAGCTCCCTAGTTGAGTCCAATGACCAGCCATATTTGGGAGCCACTGGATTAGATAACAAAATTGTGTGAGTGTGTGTGTGTGTGTGTGTGTTAAAGTTGGAGTTGGGTAGAAGGATGGAGGAGAAAATTTGCCCCAACATGCAAAGTGCAATTTATCCCTTTAGAATTCTTTATTAGCACCGTAGGGGAGGCGGGAAAGCTTATTCTCTACCCTCTTAGATTCTGTGGCTGGGAAATTAAACTGATGAAAGATAGATTAACAAGGGAATAGCAAGTTTGTTAACAATACAGTGGACATACCCCTGGGAGAAACTCAGTGATGAATAACTCAAAGGGGTGGTTAGAACTTGGAACTTATCTAGCATCCTAGCAAAGAACAATAAATTTGTAGAGAGGTGACAAGACAAAGGAAAAGAAATTTAGGCTTCTAGGAGTGGTAAACTGTGGGAAGGTAAATATATGTGAGAAAACTAATGGAAGATAAGAGCTATTTCAGTAAAGTTTCTCTTGGTGCCATCTCTGGTCTGAGAAGAGATTACAGTGATTTAGTCTTAAGCGTTGTCCTCCTCTTCCTGGTACAGGAGACAAAAACACCTTTACAAATGGAAATTTATATCTTTTAGGCAAATGGAAGGAGTACAGAGAGCCTTTCTGGCATCTGCTGTATCTCAATTGTCTCAGCTCAAAATAACCCTTCTGTCAGCGAGGCAGATTTTGGCCGGGTGTGGTGGCTCACACCTATAATCCCAGCACTTTAGGAGGCTGAAGCGAGTGGATCACCTGAGGTCAGGAGTTTGAGACCAGCCTGGCCAAAATGGAGAAACCCCATATCTACTAAAAAAAACACAACATATACAAACATTACTAGGGCGTGGTGGTGCGCACCTGTAATCCCGGCTACTCAGGAGGCTGAGGCAGGAGAATCACTTGAACTGGGAGGTGGAGGTTGCAGTGAGAGGAGATCGTGCCACTGCGCTTCAGCATGGGAGACAGAGCGAGACTCTTGTCTCAAAAAAAAAAAAAAAAAAAAAGAGGCATGTTTTGGGGTGTCATATTCTGATCCACTATAGTGCTTTGAACTTCGAATGTGCTTGTATGGAGAATCATGATGAGATGAAGCTGTTTGATACTTAAGTCTAATAAGAATAAAAAATAAGAAATAAAATAATAGAAATAATTTAATAGAATAAGAAATAAAGGACAGAGCAATTTCAAGAGAGGGACGTGCTGACAGTAGAGGCGAGCACAAGTAACACGTTTGGCACACTTCAGACCTGGGTTCAGGAGAAGCATTTCAGCCAGGGCTGCAAGCCTCTACCACAAATGAAAAAAAAGTACCTGTGCCCTAAAATTCTGATGGCTTACTCATACTAAAGCCCACACCCAGCTTCTTTGTTATATGTTAAAGAAATTGGTTTCCCTCCAGTCTAATGGATTGTGTAAAAGTGGAGAACCATATCTGGACCTTTGAACACAAGACTTCAGGAGCTGTGTCTATAACTTTGCCAAGCCTGGCAGAGAAAGTTCTAAAGTGCTTGAACCACAAGAGAAATGCTGGTTGCCTATGCCAGAATATATCCAGGAAATATGTTCCCAAATGAGTTTTCCCTCGATAATCTCAAAAACCTGCTTCCCAGGGTGAAATTTTTAAATAACTTTGCTGCTTGTTTGGTGAGCTTGAATAAGCTGAGAAATGGGGAAAAATAATCTTCTGCAAATCATCTAGATTGGAGATGATTCATGGACTTGGAAAATAGTCTAAATTTTAGTGCACTCAAGTACAACTTTTAACCACTGAATTCATCCCTGTTATTACCCTTTTCTCTGAGCTCCTGCAAAGCAGACTAGCTAGTTTGTCACAGGAGTGTTCAATCTTGACTGCGCTTTGTAATTATCTGGGGTACTTTATTAAGAACTCAGACCTGGGTCCATCCCTAGACCCTGACTTAATTAGTCTGGGGCTAAGTCTGGGCATTCCTGTAAAAGCTCCCTAGGTGATTCCAAATTGTGGCCAAATTTGAGAAGCCCTGGTGTATTTAGATTCAAAGGTAGCCCATTGGAATTTTGCTGAAGTTCGAAGCCTTCCTTTTAATTTTCTGCCTTTGCACTTCTGGACTTCTGAAGGAGACAATGCAGAGAAGAGAAGGGAGGCGTCTTCTGTTTGCCAAATTTGTGATGAAAACAAAGGCCTCCTGTTTCAAGTACTTCTCAGATAGCATGTGGGCTCTCTTCAATACACAGCTCTGCTTTCGCAAAATTGTTAATTACAGATCATAATAAGCTGTTAGGAGCAAAACACACACATAATTTGAAAGTGAAATGAGGCACAGTACATAGATAAAGCAATTGTTTGTTTAAGAGGTGATTAGCAGCAGCAAAACAAGCAAACTGATACTTGAACCTGAAAGAAATTACACCCATTTGGAATTGTTATACTCTTTGGTTATTTGTGTGTTGCAGCCCAATGCAAAGGGGAAAGGCGGCTGCTGTCAGTTTTCTTTTTTGTCTGTGTGTGGTGTGGGGAAGGTATAGTCTATGCCGTCTTAGAACTAAGATGATATTAAAAGAGTAGCCTGTCAGAAGGAATAAAGGAAGGGAAGCGTCTCTGTTTCTTGAAGGAGCACAACTGAGATTTAAATTGTTCTGAGCTATGATAAATTATAAGGCTTTAAAACCACTGTAATCACTGAATGAACAAAACAGTTTGCCTTGGGTAATTATGCCTTTTTGGTCTCCTTCACTTTCAAGTTATTTTCCCCTTGTAAATGTTACACTCTGGCACTGTGTGCTGTGTCAAAGAGTGTTAATTTCAGTGTGAAACGCTGGGGTTGTCTTTAAGAGTAAGTGAGCCTAGAAATACTTGCAGTTCAGACCAAGTTAGACAAAAACATCATTAACACTTGAGCATGACATTTGGTGACTAGAGTTTCTACATCACAGCTCAACCTGGGGTCAGGTGGGCTTGGGGCTTAATCCACTGATTCCCATGAGCTTTGGACTTGAGTTAGCTTTTAGGCTCTGCTGCAGACCTGGAAATTCCCAGGATGGAAAGTTCTTGTGGAATAGATGCCAGTTAGTTAACAAGGATACAATAAGGTTGAATAACCATGTTATTAGGGTAGATTGCAGCACTCAAGATGGGAGGTTTAATAAGCATCTGAGGTTAACAGTAAATCCTTAGCTTTTTGTTGCCTGACAATGCATTCAGGTTTTTCAGCCCACCACTCCCTCGAGTTGAGGAATGGCCTAATTCGTACTGCTCAGAGGCAGCACTATGAAGAGACCAGGTTCCAACCCAAGCACGCTATCTGATTCCCAGGTTGGCAGCAGAATGAAAGGCTGCTCTGAGTGGCCCATGTGGTATTGTTGTCTATGGAAAGTTCCAACATGAGTCTCTCTCTGGTGTCTTGAGTGAGAAGGTAGAGGCAACAGGTAATTTTGCTGCAACCATCCAAATTATCATGTTTCCTAGGCTGTCTGTGTTAATGTTCCATCCTGGTGAAAGGAAGAGCTTGTAACTGCCAGTTTCCTTGGAGATAAATTCACTGTGATTTGGTGCTTGGAGAAGGCAGGTTTATGACAAAAGCTAACGTGTACTGAGCACCGACTTTGTGCCAGGCATCATTTCTAGGCAGATCACAGTATGACCTCCTGTAACCCTGACACACAATCGAGGATGCAGGCTTTCACCTCTCCAGTTTTCAAAAGAGGAAAAGGAGACGGGGAGTGGCTGGCCAACTCGCACAAGGGCACAAATTATGGAGCTGGATTGAAACCAGGCAGTCTGACCCCAGAAAATGCATAATGAACTACTAGGTTGTGCTGCTTCAAAGACACAAAGCCTTGTCTCCCTCTCTCTCTCCCTCGCTCAGTGATTTCCAAACTCCCTGGGGCAGCATTCAGGCCTGGTTTATCCACCTGCACCACTCCAGCCTCCAGGCTCCTCACACCCCCAGGACTAGGAGCAGATAACCAAATGGCACTGCAGCAATCTCTCCTCTTGCCCCTCGGGAGAAGCTCCTGTCATTGGTTCAGAAAGTTGGTCTTTTCTGACCTTGTCCCTTTCTCTAGTTTGGTTTTGAGGAAGTTGGGATTTATGAACTTGTTCTGGAGCGGAGGACTTAAGGGAGAACCGAAGGGTGGTGTACATCGTAACTTCCTCAGATGATGTCATAATGCATCCTCTCCAAAGGACCACAGATAAGCCTCCTGCTAGTTGTAAACAATATACCAGACCGGAGGATTTTAAAATCGAAGTGAGATTGCAGCTGGGGCTGCAAACATTTAATCCAAAAGGCAGGGAGTCTAAATGAAGTCTGATAGAGTTGCATGGAAGCATTAGAGAGGCCAAGAATCCTATAAATGTAATTGGACTTTCGAATTCATTGAGGTGATAAGACTTGTCAGCCTGCATGTTTTATGCAGCCTAACTGGCCAGATCCAGGACTGCATGCATAATGGACTTCTGTGAGATTGATAAGTCTGGGCTGTTTCTTTTGATAAGTCTTGGACCTTCAGAGGTTTGCTGCATGATGCAGGCTGCTAAGTGTGTGCCACTCTCCTTGCTGCCTCCAGGTAGGGAGCTGGTCTTGCTCCTATTTGTACAATGGCCTGATTCACATGCAAGACCAGCCCCTGCTTTATTCCTTCTTTCAAGCCTCCTTCTGTGGCTTGTTTTGAATCCATTCCTGCCTCCTCCCACTTCTTCCTGTTACTAATGAGCCACTCTGGGTGAGAGACTCTGACATCTAAGGGCCTCTGGGAGCAGCAGAAAAAACTGTAGGCCTGTGCACAGAGGAGTCCCATGGTGCTGACCATTTATCTGGTGACCACGTGGGCCCAATAAACAAAGCAAATCTGTCCGGCTCTCTCACCCTCTGTGGCTTTTGGGCCTGTGCATGTGCATTTCCCAGGACAGTTGGAGGAGACACCAAAACTTGTCTTCATTACAGCTCTGACTCATAACCCAATTAATGGTGTCAAGAAGTGAAACATGGTCCCCAGGCCCACCTGCCTTTTGAAAGCAAGTCCCAGCCTTTTCAGAGCAATAATGAATGGTGCTCCAGAGAGGATGGCTCAGAATCTATTCTGCTAGCCAAAGCAAAGGGAGGTTTCAGAAAGGTGGTGCTCAGTGTCAGCTCTCAGTTTTGGGGTGTGGATGCACTTGGCCTCAAAACTGCTGAGTGGGAAGGTGGGAGGGGAAATGTCTGGTGCCTTCCCCTGATTTCTAACTGAGGTCACCTACCTCACCTGCTCTGGACTTCTCACGTTTAAGGCAGGCAGATTGTCACCTGCCTCCCTCTATCCACTCCTCCTCCGGTTTCTCTTCTCCTCCCACTCCTTTGGCCTCTGAGTTTCTGTAGGGAGAATCTCCCTCTTCACATTGACCAGACACGCTGCTCCGTTTATTCCCCTCTAGGGCCTGTACATGGGTTGATTAACATGTGCCTTTCCTTAAATCACCGCCATGGTTTGCAGGTGAAAGGCAAACACCATGAACCCATTTTCCAAGGTCCGTTATAGAGATTATTTTGTAAATTCACACATGCTAATATTCCACAGGGCATGTGCTAGCAAGGGCTCCCAGTGAGACTGGGACATACTGTTCCTTCAAACACCTGACTAAATGCACAGAATTTTAAACACAGTCTTACTGTGATTCAGTGGCAATGCTTCTTCTTTCTAAGAAGCCATTTACTTCTTTCCAGAAAAAAAAAATCAAACCTCTTTACTCTTCAAATGTAGAGCCCCTTTAATATCACTAATGAGAGCTACCATTTATTGAGCACAGAGTGTCAGACGCGGCACAGAGAGCTCTGTTGATATTGTCCCTAATCTCCACAGCAGCCCTTCCAACAGGGAATTGTATCCTCATCTTCCAAGTGAGCACTGTTTTTCGTTTTTGAAGGAAGACAGGGTAGGAGAGGATCGTGGTGCTTCACCTCGGAAGGGAGCCAGGAGCTCCAGGGTCCTGCAGTTAATACCCATCTCTTCTTATTCCTTTCTCACCTCCTGCAGGTTGCCTTGAGATTTTTAATCCCCTGGGTGATCTGAATCTTCATTTTATGTCTCCAGAAAAGAAGCCAGGATCTCCAGGAAGGTGGATCTCCCAGAGAGAGATTCAGGTGGAAGAGACAGATCCCTGTGGCACCACCCTAGACACCAAGTTTCGCTCAGTGGCCTGTCCCCTGGTGCGGACTGAAACCAGCATTGCCTGGTTTATGTGCTCCTGACAAGATGACAGCCTGTGGTGACAAGGGAGGCAGTTGGATACATGGCCCCCGCCTTTCCCCAGGGACCTCTTTCTTCTGTTGGAGCCAAATGCTGCTCAGTTGAGAGCTCAGGGAACAAAATAGTCTTTGTTGCTTAAACTGAAATCTTCCCATGGCTGACTGTCCCAGGGGTCTTGTTGTTAACAATACTCTCTCCTCATTCCTCCTCTTCTTCCTCCTCTTCCTCCTCCTCCTCCTCGTCCCCCTCCCCAATCTCTCTCCCTGCTGCCTCCCCCTACCTGCTCTTCCTCCTCTTCTCCCACTCCCTTGCCCTCTGTGATTCTTAATCATTATACTTCTGAAACATGACAAACCTAACAGAATCTTGCCAGAGCGAGAGGCCCTAGGGAATTAGTCGAGAAACTACAACAAGAGCCAAATCCATTTGGGTAGGTTTGGGTTTCATGGGAACAGTTTGGTGCAGTGAGAAGGCAGGAGGAGGAGAGAGAGTTGGAGGCTGCCCAGCTGATTGTCTCCTGGGATGGGTGCCCAGCGGGTAGGGCTGTAAACCGGCCTAGTGACTGTTAACCTATTTTAGATCACAGATGTCTCTGAGAATTTGAGGAGCACGTATCAGCACAAGATTTGGGCTTGTGGTCAGGTTTCTGTGAGTGCTCAGTCCAAGGGCCAATGCTCTGCATACTTCCCACTTCTTCCCACTGGCTTCGTCTGTCTTAGCTGTAAGCCCAGTAAACACACATCCTTAGGAGATGTGATCACGTCATCAATTATCTTCCCTGGAACACTTTTGAGAGTGACAGAGTCACTATTATTAACTACACTCGGATGACTTAATGTCAACCAAGACAGTCTCAGGCGAACTGGGAAATAGTGTTTCCTAGCTCTGGTCATGGGGTTTGGTGGTAAGACCCAAGACTAGGAAGTGGATTCTACTATGAACTGCTTAGACTCTCAGGGAGACCCTCAGCTTATCCAGCTGTAAAAATCAAAGAATCAAACGGAGTCTTCATTGTTTCTTTGGGTGCTGGTGTTTTTAATCCTTCTTTTGTTTATATGCATGAGAGAAAAAGTATATTGGGTGACATATTTTGCCTCCTACTGGTTGGTTGAATCAATGTTTTCACTTGAATGTCTGAACAAAAAAGTGCTTGAACGGGTGAGAATAATATAGTGCAGAGAACCTGGGACTTCCGTTTTCTGAAAGAATAGGGTAATTCTTTTGTAAAATGTTTTCTCCTTGCTCTAAGTAACTGACCACGGTGTTGAATACTGATTATTCAGGAGCACCCACTGTTACTCAGGGCTTTAGCAGGAGCATCTGAGGGGTTTAGCATTCCCTGTCTCCAGGGCCTCGTCTCTCAATTATAAGGAAAAAACAAGCCTGTGTTTAAAGATACAGCAGCTGGTAAGGTACTGAAATCTCAGAGCTCCTCGGGGCCCTGGGTGTAGGGTAATTTGGGAAATTCTGGCATCAGGATTTCCCTAGTCACCTTATGCACCATGAACAAGCAGGAACTACAAACACGAAAGTCTGCCAAGGACTCACGTCAGGTGAAAATGACCCGGAGGCACCGGATCAGGAGGCAGGCTTGTTCACAGTCCTTCTTGGTCAGCCGTTGATTTCCAGAATGTCCACAGGCAGGTAGTTTCTTTTCATTTCTTTCAAAGGTTTCATTTTCTCCTGCTGTTCACACTGCATGAGAATTGGGAGCAGGACATTGTAAATACTTTAGCCACCCTGCATTTTGAAGTTAAAGGGCACGCTGTGAAGCAGGCCATGGGGTGGAGAGAAAGCAGTGGGCCAGAAGTTGGCAGCACGTTGATTCTCATCCCTGATCCCCACTCTGTATGTATGAATTTGCCCCATCTTTATGCTTTGGAAGCCTCTGTTTTATCATCAGAGGGAATTTTTTTTTCTTCTTTTTTTAAGTAGTGGAGTCTTTCAAATACGGGGGAAATCTTATATACACTTCCTCAAATATTAAAAAATATGTATTTGCATTTTTATATGTATATATGTATAAAAAGTGCAGCTATTTTGATTGAACTAAGGTTTAGGACCAGACTGTCACCAGCTCAGGCTATCTGTCCTGAGCGCCCTGAGGCACTTCCTCTGTTGGGCCTCCACTAGCCTGGAAGTTTGGGTGAATTTTTTAAAAAGCGTCATGCCCTAGTCTGATGCAGCCCCCGCACCAGGCCCTATATGGGAGCAAGGTGAGCAAGGGCTCAGGGGAAGCCACTCCCCTCCCCTTGGTCTGCTACAAATTGCCCAGGTCCTGCCCTCAGACTCCTAGCAGTTGAAAATTGTTGAACTTGGTTGCTCCAACGAGCTTCTTCCAGATCTTCAGTGTAATAGACACAGCCAATCTGGATTGAGGACTGGAGTCTACACCGCCGTGAACCACTGGAGTTGTCAGATGAAGGTAAAGACTAGAGGAGAAGCACTTGGCAATCAAGAAGCCTGGCTCAGAGTCCATGCCATATCCCCCAGACACCCACCCTGCCTCACAGCCAGAATCCTGGCTCACTGGTTGTAGTACTTTCTGCTCCCTGGACAATTCTGGTGCTCAATTTTATTGTTTACCAAGCCTGTTATTTGGGTCTGTGAAATACGATTCTTGAAGGCTACAGTGAAGCGACTGGCGCTTGGGGACCAGGCACCTTGGGTTGTAAATCAATCTTCTCCCTACAGAAACTCCAGCCGTTAAACATTACAAGGTGAAGAGTAGCCCCCTTGTGGGACACCCTGCAGCGATTGCCATGTTAGCTGAAAAGATTATGTTTCTGGAAATGCTCTAATGGAAGATACAGAATCCTCTCTTGGGATTATATTTTCACGCGTGGGAGTATCTGTTAACAGGGGATGAGTAGAGCTAGGCACTGAATGATTTGTAGAGAACTTCCTCTCTCTTTCTTTCTTTTGTATAAAAAGGAGACAGATGCTTAGACAAAATGTATTTCTTGACAATTCTGTTCAATATTTCACAAAAGCAAACAACCATAATCCTACCCATCAGAAAATAGTGGATTCTTTGTAACCTTTTGAATCTCCTCAGGTCCTAGCACGTTGAATATTTATTTCTCCTAAAATTTTATTTTCTTTGATTATTTCTAAACAATTAGCTAAATCCTTTTCTATACATTGGAATTATACTTGGAAAGAGTCATTGAATGACGTTGGTTAATGAGCTGATGTGGCCACCAACTGTCCTATGATAATATCTGAGAAAATCCAGATTCCAAATGGGCCAGTTAAACTAGTTTTTCAGTTTGAGAACATGAAGAAGTTCTGGTAGACGGTGGTGATAGTTGCACAACGAGGTGAATGTGCTTAAGGCCACTGAATTGTATACTTAAAAATGCTTCAAGTGGTAAATTTTATGTTATGTATATTTTACAATTAAAAATAAAAAATCAAATTTTAGGTCTGAGTTTTTATTTTTAGACTTTGCTCAACCCAAACCAAAGGTAGTTTTATTTTGTTTTATTTTGTTTTGTTCATGACCCATGAGGATGTGGTGTATTTCATAACTCCCAGGATTCTTCTCCTTGCTTGTGAGTTTTAAGTTCTCAAATATTAATTCCCATTTCTCTGTCGCATGATTCCTGCCTAGCCATTTCAAATACTGAGGAACAAAATAAAAAGCAGGCAGTGTGTTCCTTGCAGAACTCCTCATATAAACTAATGATGTGGGAGTCCTGCAAAAATTTCAGAATCTGTGTTTACTTGGGACAAATATTTTAAAAATTTATTTGGACAAAATTTGGAATGGTGGGAACTCCGAAAATATTTTTTCCACAAACTGACCAATTCATGCTTTACCTGCTTTCTTACCTCTAAGTTCTTTATTCAAAAAATACGCTTATTATGTGCCTACAATTTTCAAGGTCTCACATGAAATGCTTTGAGAAATATGAGACTGATCTATCCTCAAGACAGAACTGGAGATGTGTATATAACTAAAACAAAAGAAAGGACCAATACCCTGAATAGACTCTTTCCATCATTCATTCAACAATTGCTTATTGATCCCCCAACAAGTGCCAGACACTTTTGGTATTATGGGAATTCAGAGATGCAGAAATGCCTTCCAGCACAGAACAGCAGGGAGCTCTGTGGAAGAACTGACATTTCCAGAAGCTGGTTACGGAAGGATATGTAACATTTGAAGGGCATTCTACAAAGTGAGAATAGAATAAGCAAAGGTAAAGAAATGGGGAACAAAGGGAATGTCTGGAGAGGAACAGGCAAGATTACATGGGTCAGCAAACTTTTTCTTTAAAGGGTCAGGTAGCAAATATAGTGGCTTTGCAGGCCAGATGGTCTTTGTTGCATACTCAACTCTGTTGTAGTGTGAAAGCAGCCATAGATAATACCTAAATGAATGGGTGTGGCTGTGGTTCCAATAAAACTTTATTAAAGCTCTTTGAAGCTCATTTGGCCACTGGCTGTTGTTTACTGACTTCTAGGCTAGATCCCACGATGGGTGAAGGGACATAGTGGGGATGTAGAAGTAGACCTCCATCGGATTAGGGTGGTGCTTGCATTTCAGGCTAAAGATATATATATTTTTTCAATGTAGCAATGAGAAGGTACATGCTTTTGAATGAAAAGAATGTTCTGATTAGAGCCTTTCCTAAATAATATCTTTCTCAAAGGAGTTCCCATATCTTTATCTCTTTCAGAAGCACTTCTGGAGATTTTTCCTGTATAGTATTATTTATTCACTCTCACATCCATACATTCTTAGGACTTTAGAAGTAGCTACACCAAACCTTATAAATCATCTGGTCTTACCCACCAAACAAGGAAAAGAGAGCTGACAATATGCTTCTTCCAATTTTTTTTTTTCCTTTTCATTCTTTTTATTTTGAGACAGGGTCTCACTCTGTCACCCAGGCTGGAGAGCAGTGGCTGATCTCGGCTCACTACAACTTCAACCTTCCAGGCTCAAGTGATCCTTCCACCTCAGCCTCCCGAGTAGCTGGGACTACAGGTGTGCACCAGCATGCCTGGCTAATTTTTGTATTTTTAGTCGAGATGAAATTTTGCCATGTTGTCTAGGCTGGTCTTGAACTCCTGGGCTCAAGCAATCTGCCTGCCTAGGCCTTGCAAAGTGCTGAGATTACAGGCTTGAGCCACCACACCTGGCTTCCAATTTTCTATTGTAGGAAGATTGCAATGAGTGAGACAGAATGAGAATTAGCCAAGAACCCTGCATATGCATATATATTCTACTATAGTTCCTTGAGTGAGGCCCAGATTTTTGCAGGATCTCCATGGCCTTAGAGATTAGAGGAATACCTTCCTTTCCTCCCCTCCCCTTCCCTCCCCTTTCCTCTTCTCTCCTCTCCTTTTCTTTCTGTCTCGCTCTGTTGCCCAGGCTGGAGTGCACTGGCACAACCTGGCTCACTGCAACCTCATCCTCCCGGGTTCAAGCAATTCTCTTCCTTAGCCTCCCGAGTAGCTGAGATTATGGGCATGTGCCACCATGCCTGGCTAATTTTGTATTTTTAGTAGAGATGGGGTTTCACCATATTGGCCAGGCTGGTCTCAAACTCCTGACCTCGTGATCCACCTGCCTCGGCCTCCTGAAGTGCTGGGATTACAGGTGTGAGCCATTTTTTAACTTTTATTTTAGATTCACAGGTACATGTGCAGGTTTGTTTCATAGTTAAAACTCATGTTATGGGGATTTGTTGTGCAGATTATTTCTTCACCCAGTTTACTAAGCTTAGTACCCAAAAGTTATTTTATTTGATCTGTCTCCTTTCACCCTCTGTCCTCAAGAAGGCCCCAGTGTCAGTTTTTCCCCTCTTTGTGACCATGAGTTCTCATCATTTAGCTCTCACTTACAAGTGAGAACATTCGGAATTTGGATTCTCTTCCTGCATTAGTTTGCTAAGGATAATAGCCTTCAGCTCCATCCATGTTCCCATAAAAGACATGAATTTGTTCTTTTTTATGGTTGCATAGTATTCCATGGTGTATATGTACCACATTTTCTTTATCCAATCTGTCATTGATTCCGTGTCTTTGCTATTGTGAATTATGCTGCAAAGAACATTTGCCTGTATGTGTCTTCGTTTTTAATTTTAAAATTTCCATATGTTATTGGGAAACAGGTGGTATTTGGTTACATGAGTAAGTTCTTCAGTGGTGATTTATGAGATTTTGGTGCACTCATCACCCAAGTAGTATACACTGCACCATATTTGTAGTCTTTTATCCCTCAACTCCTTCCCACCCTTTCCCCCTGAGTCCCCAAAGTCCAATGTGTCATTCTTATCCCTTTATTTTCCTGCATGTGTCTTTATGGTAGAACGATTTATATTCTTTTGGGTATATACCCAGTAATGGGATTGCTGCATCAAATGGTAGTTCTGTTTTTAGCTCTTTGAGAAATCGCCACACTGCTTTTCACAATCGTTGAACTAATTTACATTCCCACCAACAGTGTATGAGCATTCCCTTTTCTCTGCAACCTCATTAGCATCTGTTCTTTTTTTTTTTTTTTTTTTTGAGATGGAATCTCACTCACTCTGTCACCCAGGTTGGAGTCAGTGGCACGATCTCAGCTCACTGCAACCTCTGCCTCCTGGGTTCAGGCGATTCTCCTCTTTCAGTCTCCTGAGTAGCTGGGATCACAGGTGTGCGCTACCATATCCGGCTAATTTTTTTTTTCTTGTAATTTTAGTAGAAATGGGGTTTCACCATGTTGGCTAGGAGGTCTTGAACTCTTGACTTCAAGTGATCTGCCTACAGCGATCCCCCAAAGTGCTGGGATTACAGGCATGAGCCACTGTGCCTGCCCTTTGCCCACTTTTTAATGGGGTTGTTTTTTCTTGTAAATTTGTTCAAGTTCCTTATAGATGCTGGATTTTAAACCTTTGTTAGATGCAAAGTTAGCAAATATTTTCTCCCATTCTCTAGGTTGTGTGTTTATTAAGTTTAATTGGATCTCATCTGTCAATTTTTGCTTTTGTTGCAATTGCTTTTGGTGTCTTTGTCATAAAATCTTTGTTTGTTCCTATGTCCAGAATGGTATTGCCTAGGTTGTCTTCCAGAGTTTTTATAGTTTTGGGTTTTACATTTTAGTCTTTAATCTGTCTTGAGTTGAGTTTTCTCTGCAACCTAGCCAGTGTAAGAAAGGGGACC
Organism: Homo sapiens; assembly: GCF_000001405.40. Lineage (NCBI taxonomy): Eukaryota > Metazoa > Chordata > Mammalia > Primates > Hominidae > Homo > Homo sapiens. Next base: position 81,366,407 of record NC_000009.12, on the reverse strand, counting down.
AGTTTCAATTTTCTGCATATGTCTAGCCAGTTATCCCAGCACCATTTATTGAATAGAGAGACCTTTCTCTATTGCTTGTTTTTGTCTACTTTGTCAAAGATCAGATGATTGTAGGTGTGCAGCTTATTTTTAAGTTCCTTCTTCTGTTCCACTGGTCTACGTGTCTGTTTTTTTTTTTTTTTTTTTTGTCAGTACCATACTGTTTTGGTTACTGTATCCCTGCATTATAGTTTGAAGGTTGGTAGTGTGATGCCTTCAGCTTTGTTCTTTTGTTTATGATTGCCTTGGGTATTCAGGCTCTTTTTTTGTTCCATATTAATTTATAAATAGTTTTTTTCTAGTTCTGTGAAGAACGTTATTGGTAGTTTAATAGGAATAGCATTGAATCTATACATAGCTTTGGGCAGCATGGCCATTTTAAAGATATTGATTCTTCCTATCCATGAGCATAGAATATTTTTCCATTTGCTTGTGTCATCTCTGATTTCTTTCAGCATTGGTTTGTAATTCACATTGTAGAGATCTTTTACCTCCCTGGTTAGCTGTATTCCCAGGTATTTTATTCTTTTTGTGGCAATTGTGAATGGGATTGCATTTCTGATTTAGCTCAGCTATATCAGAATATATAACAATAGCTTGGCTATTGTTGATGTAGAGGAATGCTAGTGATTTTTGTACATTGACTTGGTATCCTGTAACTTTGTTGAAGTTGTTTATCACCTGAAGGAGCTTTTGGGCCAAGACTATGGGGTTTTCTAGATATAGAATCATGTAATCTGCAAACAGAGGTAGTTTGACTTCCTCCCTTCCTATTGGGATGCCCTTTATTTCTCTCTTTTGCCTGATTGCTCTCGCTAGGACTTCCAATACTATGTTAAATAGGAGTGGTGAGAGAGGGCATCCTTGTCTTGTGCCTGTTTACAATGGGGATGCTTCCAACATTTTCCCATTCAGTATGATATTGGCTATGAATTTGTTATAGATGGCTTTTATTATTTTGAGGTATGTTTCTTCAATGCCCAGTTTACTGAGAGTTTTTAACATAAAGGGATGTTGAATTTTATTGAAAGTCTTTTCTGCATCTATTGACATAATCATGTGGTTTTTGTTTTTAGTTCTGTTTATGTGATGAATCACATTTATTGATTTGCATATGTTGAACCAACCTTGCATTCTGGGGATGAAGCCTACTTGATTATCACACATTAGCTTTTTGATGTGCTGCTGGATTTGGTTTGCAAGTATTTTGTTGAGAATTTTTGCATTAATGCACATCAATGATGTTAGCATGAAGTTTTCTTTTTGTGTTGTGTCTCTGCCAGGTTTTGGTATCCGGGTGATGCTGGCCTCATAGAATGAGTTGGGGAGGAATCTCTCTTCCTCAGTTTTTTTGTGGTAGTTTCCATAGAAAGGGTACCAGATTTTCTTTGTACATCTGCTAGAATTTGGCTAAGAATCTCTCTGGTCCTGGGCTCCTTTTGGGTCTTGGTTTGGATTCATTGCTGGTGAGATAATATGATTTTTGGAGGATGTTAAAGAGCCTTATTTTGTCATATTACCAGAATTGTTTTTCTGGTTCCTTCTCATTGGGGTAGACTATGTCCAAGGGAACATCTGGGATTCAAGGGCTGTTGTTCAGATTCTTTTGTCCCATAGGGTGTTTTCTTGATGTGGTTTCTTCCCATTCCTCTAGGAATGAGGCTTCCTGAGAGCCAAACTGTTCTGATTGTTTTTGCATTTCTGGGTCTAGCCACCCAGCAGAGATACTGGGCTCTGGGCCGGTACTGGTGAGTGTCTGCAAAGAGCACTGTGATGTGATCTTTAGGTCTTGCAGCTGTGAATACCAGCACCTGCTCCAGTGGAGTTAGCAGGGGAGTGAAGTGCATTCTGTGGGGTCTTTGGTTGTGTTTTTATTTAGTGTGCTAGTTTTGTGTTAGTTGGCCTCCAGCCAGGAGGTGGCACTTTCAAGACCACATTAGCTGTGGTCCTGTAGGGAGGATGCAAACTTGCCCTAGAGACAACTGGTTAAGTATTCAGGTTTCTTAGGTGGTGCACAGGGCCATAGACCTCCCAATAAATTATGACCTTTGTCTTTGGCTACCAGGGTGGGTAGAGAAAGACCATCAAGTGGTGGCAGGTTTAGGCATGTCTAAGCTCAGCCTCTCTTTGGGTGGGGCTTGCTGCAGCTGCTGTGGGGGTAGGGGTATAATTCTCAGTCCAATGAAGTTATGTTCTGCTGAGTCATACAGGCCGCCAGGGAAGTGGGGGAAAGCTGGCAGTCACAGGCCTCACCCTGCTCCCACATAGCCCACAGTCCTAAAGGCTGGCCTCGCTCCCACCATGCCCCTGCCAAACCCCCAGTAGCACCGAGTCCATTTCCAGGGCTGAGAATTTGCCCCAGACCACGAGCCTCCCCATTAAGAAAGCAAGCTGACTCACCGTTTTTTGGCATCTCGGGGAGCCTGCAGGGGTGATCCAGTTCCTTCAAAGGGTCTGTGGATCTTCTCGGCTTTCCTGGTATGTTCCTGTGGTAGTTCTTTGAGCAAAAGTTCATGATGTGAGTCTCCACACGCTGCTCTGTCCTTCCAAGCAGGAGCTGCAACCTAATCCTGCCTCTCATCCACCATCTTCCCAAGATCTTGTTGATCTTTTGAATGGTTTTTCATGTCTCAATTTTCTTCAGTTCAGCTCTGATTTTGATTTTTTCTTGTCTTCTGCTAGGTTTGGTGTTGGTTTGCTCTTGCTTTTCTAATTCTTTCAGTTAATACCTTGCTTTTCAACCTCAATCTCATGCTTTTGGCTTGCCGTGTCCTGAATTTCCAATTTTATTAAGCTTTTCCAGGCCTCATCTTTCTTGGCATATGCAATATTTAACACCACTTACTCCTTCCTTTTGGTTGTTTCCCTGCTCTGATTTCTATGATAACATTTTTTCTTGGCTTTTCTTTTCTTCTTTTTTTTTAGTGATGGGGGTCTTGCTATGTTGCCAAGGCTGCAGCAGTGGCTATTTACAGGAACAATCATAGTGCACTACAGCCTCAAATTCCTGGACTCATGTGATCCTTTGGCCATAGCCTACCAAGTAGCTGGAACTATGGGTGTGCACTAGGCATGCACCACTACACCTGGCTGGCTTTTCTAACTTATTCATGTCTTCTTCATCTCAGCTCCTTTGCCTGACTCATGGACCCTAGTCCACTGCCAATGGCAGGGTTGGTCAGTCCATGTATTTGTGCAATTTATTAGAAGGCCTGAACACGTGTTATATTTTTCCAAAACAGATTTTTTTTTCCTTGAATTCTCCATCTTTGAAATGGGTGTGACTTTGTATCTATTAAGCTAAGCTAGTAACCTGGAGTCATCCCAAACTCTTCTTTTCCTTTTACTAACAACATCTCATTAATGATCAAATCTTAAAGTTCCTATTTCTTCCATGTGAGACAGAAACTCCTAGCACCCCACTCCATGATGTACTCTTAGTTCTAGTCATTTTCTGAGATACTAAGTTTTCTTAATCTACTTTATAAATCCATATATCTGTTTCTTTGAACATGAATACTCTTTTCTTTCTTGAAAACCAGTTGAGTACTTTATATGTCTTTTAAAACTCAAATAGCACCTCCACTGTGCTTTTCCTTCACACCCTTCCTAATAAAATACTATTTTTTCTTTTAATCCATTATAGGTGGCAGAATGGAGAGAAGTATCAGGCATAAGCTACAGTCATATAAACCTTGATACAGATGTGAATTGGTGAGTGTAATATGGATTGTTGATCAGTAATCTCTCAAAAGATCAAAGGAATACACACTTGTCCAGCAAAGCTGTTTACTAGGCCTACTGAAGTAAGAGAGAAGGCCAACTTCACTGAGTCTTAGTAGTGTCTCAAAACGGGGAAGTAAAGGGAGGATATTTATGGTGTTTTAGAGCCTGAGGTGGGTGATTTTCAAGGTGGGTCTTTCAAGGCAGGGAATTGGTTGGGATTGGGCAGTATTTATGATAAAATAAATTCTGATTGGTGAACCTAGCAGGACAAAGGTCTGAAAGCGAGTCTTGGAGAACAAGTTTAGTCTTGAAAAGAAAGCTCTTTCAGTGGGTTCACAGTCATATCTTCCAGGAGCAAGTATTTATGGAATAAAAGCACTTACTTCCTTTTGCTTGGTCTTAGTATTTTTTAGCATATAAAAATGAAAATATTTTCCCAGAACTGTTTAACCAAACGTGAGGAAGGTATGTTGGTTTATGTTCCCACTATCTCATAGGAATATTGTAAAGATTGGCTACTTTTAATGCACATTTACCATAGTACCTATACGTATAAGTATTTATCATAGTACCTACATAGCAAGTTCTCAATAAAAGGGCTTTGTAATTATTACTCAGTATAATTTATTAGAACATCTATACTACTTTACTTCAATGTTTTGTTTTAATGTCCATCTCTTCGAATACATCACAGGCTCCCAAGTACCAGAACTATGTTTTATTCATTTTATATCTCCAGCTTCTAGCACAGAGCTTTGCCATGTAATGAGTTCTCAGTAAATGTTTGTGGAATGAATGAAAGGAAGCAGTGTGCTAAATAAACTGTGTATGTGGGTTGACACCAAGGAATATGTTAGCTATGTTGGTGAACATTATGAGAAGGGAAGACAGGACAAAGCATTTCTTCCTAGAATGCAAGAGGCGGTTGAAGAAATGGAGAAACCTAACTTTTGTTTTTCTTATGCATGCTAAGGAGCAACTCTTTTGGATTGAAGTTTAATACATTTAGCAGATAGCCATCCATCATTCCCTGTTTGCAGGCAAGAGTAAGTGATAGCTCCATTAACTCTGCCCACATAACTTGTGGAGCAAAATGTCCGAGGTTGGTTTGGATTGGGACCTGGTGCTAGCTGGTGTGTAACAGGGCAAAGAGGCTGAGAAAGACAAGCACAGCTGGTGACTACATCTCATGTTTAATGGGGAAATCTTGAACTATTACAACCCTTTGCACTAAGAAGGTGGAGATGACTTGAGAGAAAACCAGGACCACATAGCAAGAAAAATTAACTTAATATTTCTGTCTGTTTGTACAGTGAATGACATTGTTCATGTGAAATACTAACGAGTTTTTTGCATTCTTTCTACACTTACTTTCCTTTTGTGAGGAAACTTATACTACACAGCTTTGTCTTTGAAGCTATGTATTTGAATCAGACCTTACACTGAGGCAAAAAAGAACTTGGGTTATATAATAGCTGCCTGGTCTTATTTTATGCTTCTATTAGAGCCCTGAGTACAAGACACCCCACTTCTTTTGTATAGGTCTGTCCTTGCCACTAGAGTACGACTTCCATTGTCATACTCTGATAAGATACCCTAGAGACAGGGTCGGCATCTTATTCAATATTGTATAATTGCCAGGCTGTGTTTCCCATGGATGCTAGTACTGACAGTGCCTGGCACATAATAGAAAATGTTCGCAAAATTGACGGTGATGAAATGAGTGTACATAGATGGAGGAGCTGAGTGAATGAAATAAAAAAATTCTTTAAAAGCAATATTAATCTTTATTTACTTTGGATTATAAAATATTTCATTAGAAAATACATAACTAAAAGAAAATTTATAAAGAAGGAAAACATTGTTGAACTCAACACTGTTAGTAAGCACCCTAGTCACCCACTTTCACATACACCCATGTTACACACACATACACATAACAGATATATATATTTACATGTGTGTAAACATGTATATCTATATATGAAATACTTTCTAAATATTTTAAGTGTATATATAACTGAGCGATATATCTTTAAGTACATATATATGTTTATAGGAGAAATTGAGTTTAGACTATAAAAATAATTTTGAACTTTTTTCCTCTTTAGTATTGTATCATGAAAGAATTTCATGTCTTTAAATATTTTTGGAACAGTTTTATTAGTTGTATGGTTTTTCATCTCATAGCTATCCCTTATTTATTGAAATTGTTTCCAACTTTTCTAACCATATCAGGAGCAACTTTTTGAACAAATCTTTTTTTTTTTTTTTTGAGACAGAGTCTTGCTCTGTCACCCAGGCTGGAGTGCAGTGGCACAACCACAGCTCACTGCAGCCCATACCTCCCTGGGCTCAGGTGATCCTCCCACCTCAGCCTCCCAAGTAGTTGGGACTACAGGAATGCACCACCATGCCTGTCTAATTTTTGTATTTTTTGTAGAGACAGGGTTTCACCATGTTGCTCAGGCTGGTCTTGAACTCCTAGGCTCAAGTGGTCTACTTGGCCTCCCCAAGTGCTAGGATTATAGGCATGAGCCACCGTGCACGGCCTGCACACAAATATTTATGTACCTCTGTGTTTATGTCTTCAAAAAAAATTCTAGAAAGGATTAGTTGTTATTGTAGTGGCTTAATTACAGAACAAAGAAAATCTAAATATATATTAAGGGATATTTTGGCTCAAAGGGTAAGAATATTTTGAAGATTTATTATTCCTGATACCAAGTTGTTCTTCATAAAAATTATACTGTTGTATGATTTCCTCAGTAGAGCATGAGTTTTCTATTTCCCATACCAGTTCCAATGCTAGGCTTTAATATTAGAGAAATTTGGTGTCAGTTTTAAAGAAAAACAGAGGCTGGGCGCGGTGGCTCATGCCTGTAATCCCAGCACTTTGGGAGACTGAGGCAGGTGGATCACGAGGTCAGGAGATGGAGACCATCCTGGCTAACACGGTGAAACCCCGTCTCTACTAAAAATACGAAAAATTATTCGGACGTGTGGTGGGCGCCTGTAGTCTCAGCTACTCGGGAGGCTGAGGCAGGAGAATGGCCTGAACCCGGGAGGCGGAGCTTGCAGTGAGCCGAGATTGTGCCACTGCACTCCAGCCTGGGCGACAGAGCGAGACTCCGTTTAAAAAAAAAAAAGAAAGAAAAACATAGAATTCTATTGTGTTTTAATTTGCATGTGTTTCATCATTTTTTGAGCATTTTATTTTACTATGAATGGGCTTGCCTGGAAGAGCTTCTTATATATTGAGAATATTTTATGTAATTTTTTTCAAGTTGTCATTTACCTTTTATGTTAGGATTGACCAACTTATTAAAATTTGTGTATTTTTATAAAATAAAAATATCATTTTTTAGAATAGTTTTTTCTTTATTGTTATGCTTCAAAATTTTATTACAAAGTCAAATAAATATTCACTAGTTTTCTGTGCTTCTTTGATTTTATTTCTTATATTTAATTCATCTGGTGCTTTTTGGCATAACATATAAGGATGATAGAACCTTTCTTCAAATATTTTTGTAATAGTATTAGTCTAATTTATTATATAATTTAAACTTCCCTGTTAATTTGATAGTATGCCAAAACCTAATGTAACTTTAATTTCTCATGCCTCAGGAGCCTGTGGGTATCGGCTGGGTCATTTTAATAGTAACTACTTAAATTTCATTAGGGCATGTTCTCTGTTGGAGCAGGATCTCCAGTTACTCATCCCCACCAAACCCATTCCCTTTCAAATATTTCTGGGAATACGTAAGGGCTGCTCATTTGTACTAATAGACAAGTCTGACTGGAGATTTTGGGGATAGTTCTCTTGCTCCCTTTAAATCAAGTATCCCACCTTTTTCATTATTTCATCTAAGTGGAACCAAATAGGTGATGAGGTAAAGTCTTTCTTTATAGATGCGTTACAGATTATTAATTATTTCAAAGAAGAATGAATGACAGAATTTAAATATGCCATTTGCAACCCCTAAAAATGTAATGAATCTATGCGGTATTATTAATGGCTGCTAAGACCATTAGGTAAAGAAATTCCTAAGGAATGGCTATGACTGATAACATCTAAACTCATTGATCAATTTTTTTTTTTTAAGACAGAGTTTTGCTCTTGTTGCCCAAGCTGGAGTGCAATGGCGCGATCTCAGCTGACCGCAACCTTTGCCTCCTGGATTCAAGCGATTCTCCTGCCTCAGCCTCCCAAGTAGTTGGGATTATAGGTGCGCGCCACCACACCCAGCTAATTTTTTGTATTTTTAGTAGAAACGGCTAACCATGTTAGCCAGGCTGGTCAATCAATTTTAACACAATGAAAGAAGATACAACCAAGTACTACATACCTCATGATGGGATTTACAACATAACTTTGAAATATTCTTACTGAAAAATTCAATTTGAATCTGCTCAGGACTCTAGATCTAACTACTATTCATAGTTTTCAGGGGACACAGGGGATAGAAGAACGTGTTAAAAATATCATGAGGATTTAATCAGCAAAATTCAGAATGCAAGAAAATTTACAGGACAAACAACCCAATTTGCCCAATGTTAAATTGTGAAGAAAATAAAAAAGGAGGGGAATTCATAGATTAGATAACAAAAGACACATAACAACCAAATGCAATGTGATCTTGTTTGAATCGTATTTCACACGTAACCAAATCAACAAACACTGTGAGACAACGAGCAATTTGAACACGGAATATTTGGTGATATTAAGGAACTATATCTGATAATAGTTATGCTTTATGAAAGAATTCTTATCTTTTAGAGAAATGAACTGAAATAATTATGGATGAAATGTTGCATTGTTTAGAATTTATTTCAAAATAATGCAGTGTGGGATGGAGGGACTAAAGCTAAAGATGTAATAAGTCTGTCTGGACTAATAATTGTAGAAGATGGGTGATGGGTCCATGAGGGTTTATTTCACTACTCTATTTTTTGGTGAAATTATTTATTTTTTATTGTGGCAAAATACTCATAACATAAAACTTGCCATTTTAACCATTTTCCAGTGTATATACAATTCAGCGGCATTAAGTACATTCACAATATTGTACAACAATTACCACTAATTCCAGGACTTTTCTCATCACCCAAAAGAGATGGGGAAATTTTTAATGATAAAAATACTAACCATTAAAGCAACATCTACTAAGTAGATGAATGGCTGCTTAGTTTTTTATTTATCCCATTTGTCTTTAAATCAGGGGTTAGACAATGTAGAGATATAAAAAGTATCTATTTTTAAATTTATTTTTATCAAGGTAGGCTATGTTTTCTGAGCTCAAGCTTACTTAGAATTCTCTCAAATTCCTTTGGCAATGATGTTTGTTAAATTTTCTTACAAACTCTGGCAATAATTTTTCTATCTTAATATTTTATTTTGCTTTAAATAGTCCGCTTTTTCTACATAGATATTTTAGCATCTAACTTACGGGAAGCTATGTCAGAATCTGCTAGGTAGGTGTCATTTTTAAATGAAAGCACAGCCAGAATTTTTTTGATTGCTGGATAGGAACATTTTTTTCCTTTCCAAATAGATATAATATTGAGAAAAATATTGAGAGTTACCACTATGTGAACAAACAACCTAATTATTAGAGGAGTTTGGTTCTTTGTTCTAAACAGCACTTCTAAACATTCCATACCCGATTTTCAAATTTGGTAATTCACTATCTTACCTTTTTTAATATTAAAATTTCACTTGTCAATATTAAAATTTCATTTGTTATTGCCTGACTTTTGGATACAAGCTATTTTAACTGGGGTGAGAGGATATTGCATTGATTAGCATATGCTGAACTTGGAAGTATTCCCTCCTTCCCTATTTTTTGGAACAGTTTGGGTAGGATTGGTATTACTTTTTATTTAAATGTTTGGTAGAATTCGGCAGTGAAGACATTGGGTCGCAGGCTTTTCTTTACTGGGAAACTTTTTATTATGACTTTGATCTCATTGCATGTTATTGGTCTGTTTAGGCTTTGGATTTCTTCATGGTTCAATCTTGGTAGGTTGTGTGTATATAGGGATTTATCCATTTCTTCTAGGTTTTCCAATTTACTGGCATATAATTGTTCATTGTAGCCACTAATGATCCTTTGAATTTCTGTAGTATCAGTTGTAATGTTTCCTTTTTCATCTCCGATTTTTTTAATTTGGGTTTTCCCTCTTTTTTCTTAGTTAGCCTGACTAAATGTTTGTCAAGTTTGTTTATCTCTTCAAAAAAATCAACTTTTCATTTTGTTAATCTTTTGTATTGTTTTCATTTCAAATTGATTTATTTCTGCTCTGATCCTTATTATTTCTTTTCTTCTAATTTTGGGTTTGGTTGGCTATTGCTTTTCTAGTTCTTAAAGATCCATCATTAGGTTTTTTATTTGAATTTTTTCGTTTTCATTTATTTATTTATTTATTTTTCCATATGTTATTGGGGTACCGGTGGTATTTGCTTACATGAGTAAGTTCTTTAGTGGTGATTTGTGGGATGTTGGTGCACCCATTACCGGAGCAGTATACACTGCGCCATATCTGTAGTCTTTTATCCCTTGCCCTCCTACCACTCTTCCCCACAAGTCCCCAAAGTCCATTGTATCATTCTTATGCCTTTGGGTCCTCATGGCTTAGCTCCCACATAGTGAGAACATACAATGTTTGGTTTTCCATTCCTGAGTTACTTCACTTAGAATAATAGTCTCCAGTCTCATCCAGGTCACTTAAAATGCTATTAATTCATTCCTTTTCATGGTGGAGTAATATTCCATCATGCATATATATTCCACAGTTTCTTTATCCACTCATTGATTGATGGGCATTTGGGTTGGTTCCACTATTCTGCAATAGTGATTTGTGCTGCTATAAACATGCGTGTGCAAGTATCTTTTTCAAATAATGACTCCCTTTCCTCTGGGTGGATACCCAGTAGTGGGATTGCTGGATCAAATGGTAGTTCTACTTTTAGTTCTTTATGGAATCTCCACACTGTTTTCTGTAGTGGCTGTACTAGTTTACATTCCCACCAGCAGTGTAGAATTCTCCCCTGTTCACAGCATCCATGCCAACATCTACTATTTTTTGAGTTTTTGATTATGGCCACTCTTCAGGAGTATAAGTGCTATTGCATTGTCATTTTGATTTGCATTTCCCTGATCACTAGTGATGTTGAGCATTTTTTCTTGTTTGCTGACCATTTGTATATCTTCTTTTGAGAATTGTCTATTCATGTCCTTAGCCCCCTTTTTGATGAGACTGCTTTTTTTTTCTTACTGATTTGTTTGAATTTGTTATAGATTCTGGATATTATTCCTTTGTCAGACATATAGATTGTGAAGATTTTCTCACGCTTTGTGGGTTGTCTGTTTACTCTGTTGACTGTTCCTTTTCCGGGCAAAGCCCTTTAGTTTAATTAAGTCCCAGCTATTTATCTTTGTTTTTATTGCATTTTCTTTTGGATTCTTGGTCATGAAATCCTTGCCTAAGCCGATATCTAAAAGGGTTTTTCCAATTTTATCTTCTAGAATTTTTTTATAGTTTGGGGTCTTAGGTTTAAGTCCTTAATCCATCTTGAGTTGATTTTAGTAGAAGGTGAGAGACGAGGATGCAGTTTCATTCTCCTACATGTGGCTAGCCAGTTATCCCAGCACCATTTGTTGGAAGGATGCCCTTTCCCCACTTTATGTTTTTGTTTGCTTTGTCAATGATCAGTTTGCTGTAAGTATTTGGGTTTATTTCTGCATTGTCTATTCTGTTCCATTGGCCTACGTGCCTATTTTTATACCAGTACCATGCTGTTTTGGTTGACTATGGCCTTATAGCATAGTTTGAAATCAGGTAGCGTGTTGCCTCCAGATTTGTTCTTTTTGCTTAATCTTGCTTTAGCTATCTGGGCTCTTTTTTGGTTCCATATGAATTTTAGAATTGTTTTTTCTAATTCTGTGAAGAATGATGGTGGTATTTTGATGGAGATTGCATTGAAGTTGTAGATTGCTTTTGGCAGTATGGTCATTTTCACAATATTGATTCTACCCATCCATGAGCATGGGATGTGTTTCCATTTGTTTGTGTCATCTATGATTTCTTCTAGCAGTGTTTTGTAGTTTTCCATGAATACGGCAAAAGTGGTACTAAGAGGAAAGTTCATATCCCTAAACGCCTACATCAAAAAGACTGAAAAAGCACAAACTGGCATTCTAAGGTCACACCTCAAGGAACTAGAGAAACAAGAATAAACCAAATCCAAACCCAGCAAAAGAAGGGAAGCAACCAAGATCAGAGCAGAACTAAATGAAATTGAAACAAGAAAATTTAACTGATAAATGAAGCAAAAATCTGGTTATTTGAAAAGATAAGTAAAATTGACACACCATTAGCAAGATTAACCAAGAAAAGAAGAGAGAAAATCCAACTAACCTCACTAAGAAATGAAACAGGAGATGTTACAACTGACACCACTGAAATACAAAAGATTATTCAAGGCTAGTATGAACACCTTTACACACATAAACTAGAAAACCTAGGAGAGATGGATAAATTCCTGAAAAATACAACCCTCTTAGCTTAAATCAGGAAGAATTAGATACCCTGAACCGACCAATGACAAGCAGCAAGATTGAAATGGTAATTAAAAAATTACCAACAAAAAAAAATTCTGGGACCAGATGATTTACAGCAGAATTCCACCAGACATTCAAAGAAGAATTGGTACCAATCCTTTTGACACGATTCCATGAGATAGAAAAAGAAGGAACCTTCCCTAATTCATTCTATGAAGACAGCATCACCTTAATACCAAAACCAGGAAAGGCCATAACAAAGAAAACCATAGACCAAGATCCTTGATGAACATAGATGATAAAATCCTTAACGAAATACTAGCTAACAAAATCCAACAACATATCAAAAAGGTAATCCACCATAATCAAGTGGGTTTCATACCAGGGATGCAGGGATGGTTGAACATATGCAAGTCAATCAATGTGATATACCACATAAACAGAATTAAAAGCAAAAATCACATGATCATCTCAATAGATGCAGAAAAAGCATTTGACAAAATCCAGCATCCCTTTATGATTAAAGCTCTCAGCAAAACTGGCATACAAGGGACATACCTTAATATAATAAAAGCCATCTATGATAAACCCACAGCCAACATAATACTGAATAGGGAAAAGTTGAAAACATTCCCTCTGAGAACTAGAACAAGACGAGGATGTCCACTCTCACCACACCTCTTCAACATAGTACTGGAAACCTAGCCAGAGCAATCAGGCAAGAGAAAGAAATAAAGGGCATCCAAATCAGTAAAGAGGAAGTCAAACTGTCACTGTATGCTGACGATAGGATTGTTTACCTTGAAAACCCTAAGGGCTTCTCCAGAAAGCTCCCAGAACTGATAAAAGAATTCAGCAAAGTTTCCAGATACAAGATTAATGTGCAAAAATCAGTAGCTCATCTATACACCAACAACGACCAAGCAGAGAATCAAGTCAAGAACTCAGCCCCTTTTACAATAGCTGCAAAAAAAAAAAAAAAAAAAAATCAATCAAACAAACATAAACTTAGGAATATACCTAACCAAGGAGTTGAAGGTTTTTTCTTTATTGATGTAGGCACTTACAGCTATAAATTTCCCTCTTAGTACTGCTTTCGTTGTATCTCATAGGTTTTGGTATGTTGTATTTTCATGATCATTTGTTTCAAGAAATTTTTTCAATTTTTTTCTTAATTTCTTCACTGACTCACTGGTCATTCAGGAGCATATTGTTTACTTTTCATATATTTATATAGTTTCCAAAATTTCTCTCATTATTGATTTCTAGTTCTGTTCTATTGTGGTCGGAGAAGACATTGATATTATTTTATTTTTTTGAATGTTTTAGAACTTGCTTTGTGACATAACATATGGTCTATCCTTGAGAATTATCCACATGCTGATGAGAAGAATGTGTATTCTGTAGCCGTTGGATGAAATGTTCTGTAAATATCTGTTAGGTTCATTTATTTTATGGTGCAGATTAAGTCCTATGTTTCTTTGTTGATGATCTGTCTGGGAGATCTTTCCAGTGCTGAAATTGGGGTGTTGGTCTCCAGCTCTTATTGTATTGGGGTTTATCTCTCTCACAGAGAAGGAATTCTGAATTCCTTCTCTGTGTTAACTTGAATATCTTTTAGTTTCCTTAAAATAGGTATTTTGAATTCTCTGTCAGAACAGTCATATATCTGTTTCTCCTGGAGCACCCACACATGTAAAGCAAATATTATTAGAGCTAAAGAGAGAGATATATGAACACAGTGTTGGGTGCATATATATTGACAATCATTATATTCTGATGCTGGATTGACCCCTTTATCATTATATAATTACCTTCTTTGTCTCTTCTTACAGTGTTTGTCTTTACATCTATTTTATCTGACATAAATATAGCTACTCTTGTTCTTTTTTGGTTTCCATTGGCCTGGGATTTTTTTTCCATCCATTTATGTTTTTCTATGTGTATCTTTATAGGTGAAATGTGTTTCTGATAGGCAACAACATATCATTGGGTCTTGTTTTTTTAATCCATTCATCTACTGTATGTGTTTTGATTGGAGAGTTAAGTCTATTTACATTCAATATTATTATTGATAAGTTGGAACTCACTCCTGCTATTTTGTTCTTTGTTTTCTGGCTATTTGTGGTCTTCTCTTCCTTTGTTCATCCTTCCTGTCTTCCTTTTAGTGAAAGTGATTTTCTCTAGTGGTATGCTTTAATTTCTTGACTTTTATTTTTTGTGTATTCATTGTATGTTTTTTGATTTGAAGTTATCATAAGGCTTGCAAATATTTTTTTACAACCCATTAGATGACAATGAACACTTATTGCATGCAAAAACAAGCCAACATGCCAAAGGAAAACTAATAAAACCTCTAAATTTTAAGTTGGTCTCCCCGCTTTTTAACTCTTGGTTATTTCTCTGGATTTCTCATTGTGCTGTCCATGTCTTAAAAAGTTGTTTTAGTTATTATTTTTCATTGGTTTATCATTTAGTCTTTCTACTTAAGACAAGAGTGGTTTACATACCACCGTTACAATGTTATACTATTCTGTGTTTTTCTGAGTGCTTACTATTACCAATGAGTTTTGTGCCTTCAGATGATTTCTTCTTCTTTTTTATTTTTACAGACAAGAGTCAAAGCATAAAGATGATTCCTTCTTGCTCATTAACATCCTTTTTTTTTTTTCCATACTGAAGAACATCCTTTAGCATTTCTTGTAAGACAGGTTTGGTGTTGATGAAATCCCTCAGCTTTTGTTTGTCTTGGAAGATCTTTGTTTCTCCTTCATGCTTGAAGAATACTTTGACTGGATATGCTATTCTAGGGTAAATGTTTTTTTCCTTTATCACTTTAAATACATCATGCCACTCTCTTTTGGCTTATAAGGTTTCCACTAAAAAGTCTGCTGCTAGATATATCGGAGCTCTGTTTTATGTTATTTCTTTTCTCTTGATGATTTTAGTATCCTTTCTTTATCCTCATCCTTTGGGAGTTTGATTATTAAATGTCTAGAAGTAGTCTTCTTTGAGTTAAATCTGCTTGGTTCTCTTTAACCTTCTTGTACTTGAATATTGATATCTTTATCTAGGTATGGGAAGTTCTCTGTTATTATCCCTTTGAATAAACTTTCTACTTCTATCTCTTTCTCTGCCTCCTCTTTAAGGCCAATAACTCTTAGATTTGCCCTTTTGAGCCTATTTTCTATATCTTGTAGGCAGGCTTCATTGTTTCTTATTCTTTATTCTTTGGACTCCTCTGATTGTGGATTTTCAAACAGCTGGTTTCAAGCTCACTAATTCTTTCTTCTGCTTGATCAAGTCTGCTCTTTCCATCAAGAGACTCTTTCCATGCACGAATGCTAGCTGAGCCCAACACAGCTTTATTCTCCACTGTGACAGGGCAGCACTGAATTCAGTGTAGTCTCCCTGTCCCTGCACTCTCCCTCCCCAAAGTGCACAGATTCTCTCTCTGCACCACATAGTCACTGCCAGGGGATGGGGGAGGTATGGTGTTAGCCATTCAAGACAGTCTTTCCTGCCCTCCTCAACACCTCTTATAGTGATACGAAGTTAAAACCAGGTACTGTGATTGCTTATCTGATTTTTGTGTTTTTTTGTGTGATGGTACTTTTCTGTATGCAGATAGTTGGTAAAATTTGGTGTTCCAGTGGGGGGCATGAACAGTGTAGGATTCTCTTCAATCATCTTGCTCTGCTCCCATGCCAAAGGCATTTTTATTATTTTACTTATAATACAATTTATAGTAGAAGAAAAAATTTATGCATTATTACACTATTTAGACCTAACAATTATTAACATTTTTTGTGTAAATTTTCATGGCTTTTATAAATATGTTTGAATATATATATATATATATATAAAATAAAAGTGGGATAATCCAATTTGTAACCTGAAATTTCTGTTAAACAATAGATAATGAGCAATGTTCTATATCACTATTTATGTTTACTTGTAAAACATAAATTTTCCTGATAGCTCTGTATCCTTTGGAATGGATATTACAGTTGACTTAATCAGCTTCCTAGTTTTGGACATTTTGGTTGTTTTCAATTTTTTTTAAATTTTAGACAACACTGTAACAAATACACTTTTAGATAAATTTGCTTGTAATGTTGGTTATGTCCATCTATGGCACTTTTTGAAATTTTTGAGTTCAGGTGTATATTTTGAGCAATGAATTTCAATATAGTTTCTCCTAAGCTCACTCAGCATAATTTCTGAACCAAGGGGAGGTAGGTCTGTAAAGTTGAGGTCAGGGACGTGGTGGGGAAAAGGTGTAGCTAACATGTGATGGGGACATCTAGGTAGAGGTTCACTAAGATTTTTGCTTCTCAGACTCCTTTGAACCCTCAGAGCCAGCTGAAGTAGTCCCGATCTTGGCTGAACAGATCTGCCACAGCCAAGCATTCAGTGTTCTAAACTTTCAATATTTTTTGTTATACACTAACAAATTAGAAAACCTAGAGGAGATGGATAAATTTCTGGAGAGGTACAACCTACCAAGATTGAATAAAAAAAAAAAATAGAAAACCTGAACAGATTAATAGTAAATAATAATATTGATATTAATAACATTAATAAAATGTTTCCCAGCAAAGAAAAGCCCAGGACCTGGTGGCTTTACTGCTTAATTCTATCAAACTTTTTTTTTAACCTCTTCCTTGCAGAGCAGTGTTAACCCCTAGGCACTGTGCTCAGAGTCAGCTAATTCTACCAAACTTATAAAAAGAATTAACACTGATTCTTCTCATACTATCCCAAAACATTGAAAGGGAGTGAACTCTTCCTGACGCATTATATGAGGCCAAAATGACCCTAATACCAAAACCAGACAAGGACATAACAGATAACAACAAGAAAAACTGTCTGCCAGTATCCCTGATAAACATAGATGCAAAAATCCTCTACAAAATACTAGCAAACTAAATCCAGCAACACCTCAACATGACTAAGTGGGATTATCCCAGGGACGCAAGGATGATGACTGAACACACACAAATCAATAAATATATCACCTCAACAGAAAGAAAGACAAAAATCATATGAACATCTCAATAGACCAAAAAAAAAAAAAAAGGGATTTGATAAAATTCAACATCCTACCAGTACCATGCGGTTTTGGTTACTGTAGGCTTGTATATTTGAAGTCAGGTAACGTGATGCCTCCAGCTTTGTTCTTTTTGCTTAGGATTGTCTTGGCTATACAGGCTCTTTTTTGGTTCCATATGAAATTTAAAGTAGTTTTTTCTAATTCTTTGAAGAAAGTCAATAGTATCTTGATGGCGATAGCATTAAATCTATAAATTACTTTGGGCAGTATGGCCATTTTCATGATATTGATTCTTTCTCATCCATGAGCATGGAATGTTTTTCCATTTGTTTGTGTCCTCTCTTATTTCCTTGAGCAGTGGTTTGTAGTCCTCCTTGAAGAAATAGACAAACTGAATTATATTACACCAAAAATCTTCTGCACAGCAAGGAAGCAATCAACAGAGTGAAGAGACAACCTGTAGAATGGGAACAAATATTTGCAAACTATTCATCCAACAAATGCTAATATCCAGAATACCCAAGGAACTCCCAACAACTCAATAACAAAAAACAAATACTCCCATTGGAAAGTGGGCAAAGGATCCGAATAGACATTGCTGAAAAGAAGATATGCAAATGGCCAACAGATATGTGAAAAAACACTCAACATCACTAATCATCAGGGAAATGCAAATCAAAATCACAATGTGATATCATCTTACACCAGTTAGAATGGCTATTATCAAAAAGAAAAAAAATAACATATGCTGGCAAGTATGCAGAGAAAAGGGACTCTTATATACTGTTGGTGGGAATGTAAATTAATATAGCCATTATGGAAAACAGTATGGAGGTTTCTCAAAAAAACTAAAAACAGAGTGACCATACAATCCACCAATCCCATTACTGCCTATTTATTCAAAGGGAAGGAAATCAGTATATTTAAGGGGTACTTTCACCCCCATGTTTATTGCCGTACTATTCACAATAGCCAAGATATGGCATCAACCTATGTGTCTGTCAATCGACGAATGGATAAAGAAAATGTGGTATATATACATAATGAAATGCTATTCAGCTGTTAAAATGAATGAAATCCTGTCATTTGCAGTAGCCTAGAAGGAACTGGAGATGATTATGTTAAATAAAGTAAGCCAGGCCCAGAAAGACAAATATCACATGTTCCCATTCATATGTGGGCGCTAAAACAGTTGATCTTATTATGGTGATAGAAAATAGAATGAGGCTGGAAAGGGTGGGGGTGGGTGGGGATGAAGTGAGGTTTGTTAATGGGTAGGAGTATACAGTTAGAAGGAATAAGTTCTAATGTTCAGTAACAGAGTAGGGTGACTATAGTTAACAATAATTTATTATATATTTCCAAAGAACTAGTAGAGAAGAGTTGAAATGTTCCCAACAGAAATAAATAATAAATGTTTGAGGGATAGATATACTAAATAGCCTGATTTGATCATTAATCATTGTATGTATGTATGAAAATATCACATGTATCTTATAAATATGTATAATAATGTATCAAATTTAAAAGATGCTATATAACCCTAAGTTCTAATCACCCCCTTTGAGTTACTCATTATGAGTGCTCCCACGTGTATGCACAACGCATGTGTTAGTAAACTTCTGTTTGTTTTTCCTCTTGTTAATCAGTCCTTTTGTCAGTCTAATTTGCAGAGCTCTACTCAATGAACCTAAGATGGGTGGGAGAAAAACACTTTTTTCTTCCCCTACTCTCTTATTACTTAAGCATTTTTGTCTGTCCTTTTGTAACTATGTGTGAAGGCTAAGGACATGATCTGATGTATCCCCAGTGATAACCATCTTCATCCTTCAATGCTACTCTGATTTGGGGGAACAATCATAAGTTCTATTTGGCCAATCTGGTGAGTAAATTGAATGATTTGGGTAAAACTATTACTGTTAGAAAAAAATGAAAGGAGGTTCTAAGGTAATGGAGTGAAGTTTTGCATGTGCCATATTAACTGGTGTAAGACTACTTAGTCTCTTAAGATAATCACTTAAAAGAGAGAATACTTATCTTGAAGATAACTGCTGCCATGATTTAAAAAACAAAATAAAACAATACATATGACCCACTGCTTTCTTTAGTATCAGACAGTTTATTTATTTTTGATGTGTATCTACTCTCTGTATAAAAGTGATAAAAGCATCATTTAAAAAAAAGAAAATAATCGGCTGGGCGCCGTGGCTAATGGCTGTAATCCCAGCACTTTGGGAGGCCAAGGCGAGTGGATCACCTGAGGTTGGGAGTTCGAGACCAGCCTGACCAACATGGAGAAACCCCGTCTCTACTAGGAAATACAAAATTAGCTGAGCGTGGTGGCGCATGCCTGTAATCTCAGCTACTCGGGAGGCTGAGGCAGGAGAATCACTTGAACCCGGGAGGCGGAGTTTGTGGTGAGCTGAGATCATGTCATTGCTTTCCAGCCTGGGCAACAAGAGCAAAACTCCATCTAAAAAACAAACAAACAAAAAAATCAAGAAATAAAGGTCACACCAAACATAGATATCAGCCAGGCCAAGTTTGAAGGACCTGCCTCATTTACATTGAGGGCTGGATAATTTATTTGTTTTGGGTCACAGCCTGAGTAAGGACCAGCCATTGCTTTGACTAAAAGTCTTCTGACTTTTAGTTCAGGGTTCTCTTCACCACAATGTTGTAGAGATGGGTCACCAGGAAAGGCTTGTGGGCTGTTTTTTGGGAATATCCATAAAGATATACCACCTTCCTTTCTGCAGAAGATAATTCAAAAGTGATCTTAGCCATAAGGGACCTTTATATTTTCTAAGACAATGATTCTGTACTCATCATCTGAATTATCTGTAAAGCATGTTTTAACACTAGACTGCATTGAGGATGTTAAGACCTGGAAAGTGGGTTTTCGCAATTTCTTTGAAAAAATGTTTTTCAAAGTTATATTCTATTGCAGTTTTCATGTGCCTTTCAGGAGAAAAGAATGAAGTAATTTTGATTATTTTGATTCCTTTGGCACAATTTCATTTGGTAATGGGAATACCAGAAAACTAACTCTGTGTGTGTGTGTGTGTGTGTGTGTGTGTGTGTACAGAGAGACTGAGAGTGTCAGGCAAGCAGAAGCTCCAAGAGGCTCATAATGCTTCGCCAGGATGTAGAAGACCTATATGTTAGAGCTGGGATCACCACTAATTATGTGACTTGGAAACTCATCTAACGTATTTGGACTCTTTAGTATTAAAGGAAGAGTTTTTGGCTTGGTGGTCTTATAATTTCCCTTTTAGTTGGAAAATTCCTTGAATTCAACAAAGAATGTTGGATTTTAAAATAGTTACAATATTTTGAGTTTTCAGCAAAAGGCTGGCTTTTTGGCTTAGTGTGATACCATGCTACAAGCAGCATCTATATGAATCTGAACTCCAATTACAGTTGTCTCAAAATGGAGTAAGGTAAATTGACAAGGGATCCACTCTGTCTTAGTTACTTTTTCAAAGATGGTGGCAATGAAATCCTTGACCTTGAGAATACATTTCAGTATGCAACTAACTCTGAATATATATACCTATATACATATATATGTATACACATTCAGAATTATATACATATCTAAAATCAGATGGAGAGAGAGAGAGAAATTTAGGGGCTTTAAAGCTTAAATTTTTTACTTTCAGTCAAAGCTGGAAAGTGGTTGGTTTTTTGTTACAAACCCAGCCTTTTTCAAATGTGCCAACTGGGACATTTCCATCAACTTTTCCTTTGTTCACCATCAGACAAAAGGAACCCAACTGTTCACAGTGTAGTGAGTTTTCAGGAAGATTTTTCATTTATACCAGGGCAAGATGAAAAATGAACACCAGAGTTTCTCAAATAAGATGTCTTAGAAAGATAATTTCACTTTTCAGAAATTTTTCAAAAGCCCATAAATTTGGCCTAGTAAGTTGTTCACCTCAATCATCCATGGGACTGGTTATTTCTCAGATTGAACAAAACAAAACAAAACAAAACAAAACAAAACAAAACAAAACAAAACAAAAACTAACGACCTGTATTCAGGGCTTCAGGCCATTCCTCAAAGGACCAGTTAAGACTATTGTCGGCATGTTCCCATCCCTGCTTTTCAGGAAGTGAATTCGTGTTTTTAAATGACACTTCTTTTTGCCCTGTCCTGTGTGGTATGGGTTTATTCCCACCTACACTTTGGTTTGAAATTCAGGTGTGAAATGACCCTAGGATACTGAGCAACATGTACAAGCTGAGTGGTGCCAGGGACCCTGAGGGACAGGTTGGAACCTTCATTAGCCCAGAATCTTTAGCCACAATGAACTGGAAATTACTGATGGTTCATACACAATAGCTGAGCCGTCATGAACAATTAAGAAGCAGTGGTCTAATTGACCTGATTTGAAGATGCAGGGCAGCTGAGTACTTCTCCCTGGGGCCAGGTCTCTCTTGTGAGCAGAGCAGATGGCCTTCTGAGGGATTACGATAATAAGGGCAGCTGAATAGTCAAGTGACCAGTCAGGGTAACCAAGAGGACAGGGCAGTCAGATCTCTTCTGGATCGATGGGCAGCCTGTGCTAACTGGGCTGTGCCATATGTCCCTGTCTGCAGCACCCTTCTGCCCCTTCCCAGGGGTATTCCTTCTTTCCAATGCAAAATGTAAGGATAAGGATTATGTCACTTCAACAAATGTTTAATTTGTTGACACTGTGATACATGCTAGTGATACAGAGACGAATAAGGCACTAGAAATGTCCTCAAGAAAGGTATGATCTTGTGGGATGGAGCAGACATGAGCATAGGTGACAAGTCCTACTCTTCTAAGTGCGGCCACAGCACATACCATATGATGGATGCAAAGAGAAAGAAAGATATCATTTCTTAGTAAAGATAAAGATGACATTGAAAAGAGATGACTTTTCACTAAAAAATGGCTCTGTGGTCCACTACATTTCAAAACACCACATAAAGATGTACAACATACATTAGCACATATATTTTAAATTTTACTTTATGAATAAGAAATGAATGAATTTGATTCAAAGCTCATCCAACATTGCACCCACATCTCCAAGAGACTCAGTTTCCTCGATAGCAGCAACTACTCTTACTAGTTCTAGTGGACTCTTTTAAGACATGATATGAAGTGGAGTCTCACCATGTTGTCCAAGCTGGTCACACACTCCAGGCCTGAAGTGATCCTTCTGCCTTAGTCTCTCCCAAGTAGCTGGGATTACAGGTATGACCCACTGAACCTGGCTAGAGCTTACTAACTTTTTAAAATGACTGCATTCCATTCCATTGTATTGGATGATTTTCTATTATTTATTTAGTTTGCTCCCTTAGTGAACTTTTTCCTGCTACAAACACTACTTCAGTGAATATTCTTATAAATGTTTAATTTCAATTATATATACATTTATTTATAGGAACAATTTCTAGGAGCAGCATTGCAGGTTAAATAGGTGTGTTCATTTTTAATTTTGAGAGAGATGACCAAATAGTGGTTTTTATTTTTTTTTGAGTTGGAGTCTTGCTCTGCCACTCAGGCTGGAGTGCAGTGGTGGGATGTTGGCTCTCTGCAACCTCTCTGCCTCCCGGGTTCAAGTGATTTTCCTGCCTCAGTCTCCCGAGTAGCTGGGACTATAGGCGTGCACCACCATGCCTGGCTAATTTTTGTATTTTTTTAGTAGAGACGGGGTTTCACCATATTGGCCAGGCTGGTCTCGAACTCCTGACCTCAAGTGATCCACCAGCCTTGACCTTCCAAAGTGCGGGGATTACAGGCATGAGCCACTGCAACAGGCCCAGATTGTTTTTATTGGAGTTATTTATGGCCACCAATGATACATATGCCTACCTGCTTACTGCCTTTTCACTAATTCAGTGTGTTTCCAAGATTTTTCTTATCTTGGTCAATATGATAAGGAAAAATGATGTTTTGCGGTTTTAATTTTTGTTTTCCTTGTTGTGACTAGTGTAGGGGAGGAAAAAAATGTTCTTTCTCCTTTTAGGTTCAGTGGCTATAGTCTATGAATTAAACAGAGAAAGGACAAATTAACAGAGAAAAGACACACTTTTTATAGGTGTTAACATTTTTATATGCACAGGAGCTTTACAGAAAATAAGTGAAAGCAAAGAATTAGTTAAAGTTGGGAACCTATATACCATTTTAACCAAGGGCAATACATTGTGGAGAAGTACCTAGAAAAAGGAAAGAGGGTTTGGACTTCTAGGGCTGGTATTTGTGGAAAAATAACTAGATAATATATGAGGGAAATCGAATGGAAGATAGGGATTATTTTGGTAAGGTTTATCTGTGCAGACTCCTACTGATGTTGATTCCTTGTGTCCAGTGATAAAGGTGCTTTTCTCTTCCAGGTTCATGAACAGCAACTTTTTCAGTGTAAATTTATGCCCTGGTTTTAGTCAGATGGCAGAAGGGCAGATAGCTCTTCCTGTATCTGCTGTTTCTCAGCTGTGTTCTGCTCAAAATAATATGTCAAAGCAGCATATTTGGGGGTGGCATATTCTGATCCCCTTCAGTGTGGCTGAGAAATTTTTCATATGTTTGAGTTATTTTTATGTCTTGTCTCTTTAAATTTTTTTGTATATTTTCTCATTGCATTTTTAATTATTTTCTTGTATGTACTCTACATATGCTAAAAAAATTAGAAATTAGGACTTAGTGAAATTAATATCAAATATTTCTCTCAACTTGTAGTTTCTTTTTTGATTTGGTTCATGGTGTTTTTTTTTGCCAAGCAGACAATTAATTTTTCTTTGGTTAGTCACGGTTATCAATCTCTATTTCTTGAACTTCTGAGTTTCATGTCTTACCTAGAAGGACCTTCCAAATGTTCTCTCATAATTTTATGTTGTACTTTTAGAGAAAAATTCCCTCATAATTTTATTTAGTACTTCTATATATAATTGATATTCAGATCTTTGATCTGAAATTTATTTTTTGTGTTACTGTATGGTAGGAATCCAGGAATGTAACCAGAATGTCTTGAAACAATGTTTTGAATAATTTACATATTTTCCCTATTGAAATGAAAGACCAAATTTAACATATACTAAATTATATTTAGGTCCAATTCAGAACTTTCAATTCTATTAGAATGATCTGTCTATTCATGTATAAGCATTCTAAGTATTATAATTTTATAATAAATTTTAGTATAGAATAGTGCAATTTGCCCTTCATTATTCTTTTGAATTTTCCTGGTTTGGCTGTATCCCTACCCAAATCTCATCTTGAATTGTAGCTCCCATGATTCTCACATGTTGTGGGAGGGACCCGGTGGGAGATAACTGGATCATGGGGGCGGTTTCCCCCATACTGTTCTCATGGTAATGAATAAGTCTCACAAGATCTGATGGTTTTGTAAGGGGAAACACCTTTCACGGGGCTCTCATTCTCTCCTTGCCTGCCGCCATGTTAAGACATGCCTTTCACCTTCCAGCATGATTGTGAGGCCTCCCCAGCCACGTGGAACTGTGAGTCCATTAAACCTCTTTTTCTTTATAAATTACCCAGTCTCAGGTATGTCTTTATTAGCAGCATAGAGAACAGACTAATATAATAATGTTTTTATATGAGCATCAGAATCAGCTTGCTTTGTTAAAATAAACTGTTGGTATTCTGGGGAGGGAAAATTTCATTAAATATAGATCAATATGGGAAAAATTGACATCCTCATGATATATAATATTTGTATTCAAGAATATGATTCTATGTATTTGTCGTTTTGAAGTCCCTTACTACCATTTTAAAGATTTCTTCCTATAGATCATAGGTATTTCTTGTTAATTTCATTTTTTTAAGGTATTTTATCTTTTTAAGTGGTATTGATTTTTCTTCCATTATGTGGGCTGATTGCTGTTTTTATATATGAAAGCTTTTGATTTCTGTCTATATATTTTTTACCTAGTGAACTCAGTGAATTCTTACCATTTGAAAGAGCTTCCACTTGATTCTTCTGGAATTTCCAGTTAATGGTATCCTCAAATAATGATAAATTTTACCTTTTTGCAGTGAGCCGAGATTGTGCCACTGCACTCCAGCCTGGGCAACAGGGCAAGACTCCACCTCAAAAACAAAAAAATTATCTTCATTTTTCCTGTTTTTATATCTCATTTTTGGGGGACTGTTTCCTCCGAAAAATATTAAATATTAAAAGAAAAAACATATCTTGTCTTCTTCTTGGAATTTAATAAATTTTCTTGTGTGCTTTTTATTAAATATGCATATGCACACATCCACACACAGGTATTTTCATGTATTTTTGTTTAAAAACATACAGAATAGTTGTTACATTTTATAATGCCTTTTAAATAACTATGTAGTTTTTGTACAATTTTTATATTCATAACGGTTAGTATAGTGAACTATATAAATAGATATCCAAGTATCCAACTATTCTTGCATTCATTGAATAAAACTTATTATCATGGTTTGTAAATTTAACAATTATGTTATATCCTGTTTTTTGTGATATTTGCATCAATATTTGTAAATGACTGGTTTGTAGTTTCCTCTTTTGTTGGTGCTATCTTTGTAAGGGTTTGGTACCATTGTCATACTTCATAAAACTGATTTGGGTACTTTCCTTTTAAAATCTATTTTCTGGAACAGTTGAAATAGTACCAGAATTATCTGCTTCTTAAAAGTTTGGTAGAATTTCTTGATAACAAACATCTGGGCCAGTTACTTTTCAAAGGGTAACTTGTTTATAGTTATTCTTTTTTTCTATTTTATTTTTTAGTTTCTAAATATTGTGCCTATTTCACTTTGATTTCTTCTTGGACTCAAGGATTTTATTTTATTTTGATGTTGTTTCCTGTCTCTTTCTTTGTTTTCTGTAGCTTTTGCTTTATGAAAATGTCTGTGTATTATTTGGTGCAAAGGCATTTGTAATTTTTGGATGTTCGCTGTAAGTTGCACCCTTTTAATACATTTGTCCTAAATTCAACCTTGTTTGAGTTTCTCCCCCAAGTGATTTGCCGGATGAGTCTTTGCCAAGTTGTTTTATTTTCAACTTCTCTGAGCCACATCTTTATGTATGTGTATCAGACACAGCTTGTGTCCTGCCTCACATTCTCTTGGCCCACTTTTTAATCTAGCTCTTGCAGAAGCTGGCTCTGTGTAAGTGTAACCTAACAGCACTTCACTCGTCTGTATCACGATCTATGTAACTATATATACCTGCTCAGACATTATCATGGACAAAAATTCATGACTAATGAATTTGTTCTCCATGACAGGAGAACAACAGATAAATATTCTCCTTTCCATCTCCTGGATGGACAATTCTAAGGCATGTTCACATGGCTGCATATAAGTCTCTAGTGGTATCACGCCCAGTTGCCCATAGTGGTAGTCAACTCCATAACATACCCTTGATTTGGCTTTCCGTTTCACCCTTCCCAAGCCTCTACTCCTGATCCTTAGGATTACTTCCTGGAGCTAACTATCTGTATGTATCAACCTGCTTTTTTGGAAAGCCTAGATTAGAACAGTTTATCTTTTGAATGTTGCAGTACATTAAATTTTGCCTTGCCCTCTTAACATATTCATAAAACTATATGTATAAAACAATGTATTTATTGATATGAGATATTTATCCTTAGTTCTATATTTAATTGCTTCTATATTTTTTATTTCATGATACAATTTGTATATTTTTGTGTATATACATTTTCAGAAGTTATATTTTGTTTTAGTAATTCCTTTTTTATTACTTTACTTATTTTTTGTAGAGATGGGATTTTTCTGTGTTTTCCAGACTGGTCTCAAACTCCTGGCCTCAAGTGATCCTACCACCTCAACCTTCCAAAGTGCTGGGATTATAGGTATGAACCACCATGCCAGGTCCCTGTTTTGTTTTTATGAGCTGTACTTACTAATTTCTTTCTAAAAGCAATGATGAAATTAGTACAATTTTAATGTCTTCATTTTCATCTCTTTCCATTTTGCCACTCAATTTTTTTGTTTAATACGTTATTTTTTATTAATGTTACTTTTAGTTTTCTATGTATATATTTATATCACTTTGACTTGATTTATTATCCTTGACTAATACTTACCCTTGGTGATAAAACATGAAGAAGTCAGCTTACATTCATTGCCTCTCATCTCCTCTCTTTTCAGCTTTATTTATTTTGTCAGGATTATAACATTTACATTCTTGTAATCTTTTATGAAATCTTTTATGAAAAAATGATGTCAATACTCAGCATGCATTCTTGTGCCATGTATTTCTGTTCATTCTCTGATAATTTCTTTCAAAACTTCTTGGAAATTATATATTAATTTTTCATTTAAAATTATTTTTCTCTTGCCTTTATATTTGGACAAGTTTGTCTGGCTACGTCTTATGTCAGTTTTTTTCTTTTTCTTCAGACTTTGTAAGCTTTGCTTTACAGTCTCTTGGTATTAAGAATGTTTCCAGGAAAAACGTCTGAGGCCTGCCTAAATTTTTACCTTTTTTGATGGCTTACCATTTTTTCTTGGTTGTCCAAAGGATTACTCATTTACCTTTGAGATCCAGTAATTTTACTATATTATGTCTTTCTGTTAATTGTTTAGTGTTAATATTTCCTGGGGCATAATGTACTCTTTTAATGGATAAAGTCTTTTATTTCTGAAAAGTTTTCTTGCCTTAAATTTCTTTCTTCTATCATTTTGTTTTTCTTCACTGAGGATAACAATTATGTGATGCTGGATATTCCTTGTGTGTATCTATATAAATGTTTTTGTAATCTTTTACTTTAATTTCATCTTCCTTACTGTGCACAATCATGTCCTCTCTCTCCTTTGTTATGTTTTAAGGAGTGGCTGTTACTCTTGAGCTACTTCCCAATGGCGTTTGGTGTTATTGTTTGATAATTTTCTTTTATTTTATTCTTCCACTTCTTTGATCTTTGCAAGCTCAAATTTTCTCTTTTTGTTGTCTTGCCACAGTTTACCCAAAGCCTTATAGATCCCCTTTGTGCCCTACCTAGATTTGTAGAACTAATTAAAAAATTTAAAGGCCATGGCCAAATACATAGTCTCAACATTTTAAAGAGTATTTTTAAAATCTGTTTTTTCCTCCCTGCCTGTTTCCTGCTTTTATTTTTTACCTTGTAGTATTTTTAGGTGGATGATGTGGTAATACCCTTGTGATTATTACTCATCCTTGATTGAGTTTACAGGAAATTTGTTTATGGGAGGTCTAGGGTATTGCAACAAATTTATTGCTATCCTATTTATTATGCAGATAATGAATATGTGTGAGTGAGGTCTTTTATTTTATTTACCTATCAATCATCTAAATCTCTCTCTCTCTCTCTCTCTCTCTCTCTCTGTTGATCTAAAATAAAATCACTCTACATTCATCCTGGAATCCCCAGATCTCCCTTTGTTTATGTTTCTTCTTACTGAAAGATATCATTTAGTTAGTATTTATTTGAGAGAGAATCTATGGTAGATAAAGTCTCATAGTCTTTGTATACATAAAAGAATCTTTATCTTACATCCATCCTTAAAGGGTAGTACAGTTGGGTATAAAATTATAAATTGACAGATTTTTCCTTAAATATTTGAACAATATTATTCAATTTTCATTGACTATCTCATGTACATGTGTTTACCTACTTTTATTGGTATATTGTCTTCTCTCTCTGATAATTTTAAACTTTTTATATTCCTTTGAAAATTTATATAATTTATATTCATTCTATAAGATTTCTATTCATTTTTTTAAAGATTTTATATGTATTCTGTCTTTATCCTAGTTGTTTTGCTACAGCATGTCACAGAGTAGATTTCTATTTATTTATCTTGCTTGGAATTGAAATACATTTTGATTGGAGGATTTGTATCTTTCTCCAATCATTAAAAATTCTCAACTCTCCTTTATAGGTAGTGATTTTCAGGCATTTCTTCTACTTTTTCAGAAATTCTTATATAATAATAAATATTAGTGTCTAACAATTCCCTTTTATGTCCCTTAGCTGACTTCTCATATTTTTGTTCTTTTTAATCTTCATTTACTGTGCTTTAATGAGTTCCACAATTTTCTAGTTCAGTTTTCTTTGTGCCCAGCCTAGTATAAAATCTATTTAATGAAATGTTTTATTTCAATTCCTTATTTTATTTTTGCTTTGTTTGTTTCGTAATTTTTTTTGGTGTCATTTATACTTTGTATAAATGTTTGATAATTGTAAATACACTTGTCTTTAATCCTTATCACATTTTTTTCTTAGAAGGTATTATGTCTCGAATGCATTCATATCCTAATTGTTGGTTCGTGGTCCATCTTAGCATTTCTTCTTGTGTTTATGGAATTTTGATTGAAGGCTCATTTTGATGTTTCTTTACATTTCTCCTCTGTTGCCACTTTTCCTTTTCTAGGAGTTTTGTGATTGCCTTTCAGGATAGCAGTCCATAAGAAGGCCTTAGTATTCACCTTGTGCCTCCTGCTTCTAGGCGAATATTGGAGATTTTACATATCCAACCATGAGCCAATGGACAGCTTGGCTTAATTTTTGGTTAGAGATTTCGCCTGTGATTTCTGAACGCACTGGGCTTGTAAGTGACTAAAAGTGTACCTGTAGACCACAGTTACTCACTGTTGAGACTTGACTCTCAATATTTCACTACTGATACGTTGGCACCATTGACAGTTTGGGCCAGATATTTCTTTGTTGCTGGGGGCTTTTTTGTGCACTGCTGGATATTTTACAGACTCCCCAGCCTCTACACACTAGATGTGAGCAGCTATTCTCCCTTCCCAGTTTTGACAATCAAAATGTCTGCAGGCATTACCAAATGTCCCCTGGGGGTTGCGTGGTAAAAATACTTCTTACTGAGAACCTCTGCTCTAAAAATAGTAGGGATATTTTTCAGTCCTTTTTCTAAAAAAGGAAATAACCCCACCAAACCCTCTGGCTGCAAACAATGAGCTTGGTCCTGTCTCTTTTAATCTGCCAGCTGTCAACATCTTTTTCAGACCTAGAAGTCTTTAGCTCATGCCTCCAGTACAGGTGACTACTTTGTATTTTTCCCCTTTTTTACTTATAAAATCTTTATCTTGATTTTTGTGATGTTCATAATGTTTTATTTTTTTAATTTTGTTTGGGACAGCGTGGCTCCATCAGAATGAGAACTAATGGAGTTCTTTTTACTGGAAATCTTCATCATCACTATTTTTATGGGGTGATTAGTATACTTGTATCCCAATTAAGTCACTCCAAAAATGGCATAAAGCAGAAGAGAGGCAAATGAAAAGCTAGTACTATAATGCTGTATTGTGATTCCCTTTCTATCCACCATCATCAATATCTTACTCTGTGCTAGGTCTTTCCTGTCAGTACACAAACCCTGATGTGATCTGGTTCCTACTTAGCTCTCCAACATCATCTGTATCACTTTCTTGTTGGCCTCTATTGTTAAGCCCCAATGGGCTTCTTTTTGCTCTTCAACAAGTCAAGCTTATTATACTTTAGAACATCGTAGCTTCCTCCCACATTGTTATAGTGTTTGGTTTTAAATCTCAGCTTAAATATCACCTTCAACAGAGGCCTTCCTTGACAACTCACGCAAAAATATCTACTCAGTTATTCTCTTACATTACCCTGTTTTAGTTCTCTATATACAAACTTCCACTCTCCAATATTCTTTTATTTTTTGCATTTGTTTATTGTCCATTTACAGCCACTACAATATAAGCTCATGGGTGGCAAAGAATTTCTATTTCTTGTTTAATGCTGTGTCTTCGGTGCCAGAAATAAACCTGGCACAGAATTACAGATCAATAATAAATATTCACCGAATAATAATAAATGCAAAAACATGTGATTTATCTGCTCACCTAGCAAAATTCATCCCAAAAGGAGACTTGAAATATCACCTTCTTGGCCGGGCGTGGTGGCTCACGCTTGTAATCCCAGCACTTTGGGAGGCCGAGGTGGGCAGATCACGAGATCAGATCGAGACCATCCTGGCTAACAGAGTGAAACCCCGTCTCTACTAAAAATACAAAAAATTAGCAGGGTGTGGTGGCGGGCACCTGTAGTCCCAGCTACTCAGGAGGCTGAGGCAGGAGAATGGCGTGAACCCGGGAGGCAGAGCTTGCAGTGGGTGGAGATTGCGCCACTGCACTCCAGCCTGGGCGACACAGCAAGACTCTGTCTAAAAAATATCTATGTATCTCTCTCTGTATATATCTATATATATATATATATCACCTTCTTTTTCTTATTCCCCAAATATTTTAGAATAATTTCTTAATAAATGTATTAAACATGACAAAAAGCACATTTTGTCACATCTTAGGCACATTTTCATGAGGAAATACAGAAATAATCTCTGGTGTACGATGCCTTACAAACAAATCCAAGATACAAACTCAAACACAAATTGAAGAAGAGACTTGCAGTAGCTGGTGCTGAAGTCTTGCTCTTTTCTCTTAAACTTCCCTTGAGAGGTCAGGCATGGATGATCCTTGGGGCACTTTATGTTATAGCGTATATTTACACTTGAAATTTTATTTAATTCCTCTTTGTTATAAGAATAATTACTTATAAAACCATATAAATTATTCTAAAAAGCTAGTCTGAAAAATATGTGACTGCTTATTAAGGAACAGGTTAGACCATGTATGCTTAAGCTATTGGTTTATATTCCATATGTTTTTGTGGTATTTTTACAAAGGAAAGGTTTGAGAAAAAAAGGTATTGGACCATGTGAAAACCAGACTACAAAGACAAGGGAGTTAGATCTGCATTTTAGTGTATTTATCTGGAAAGCGATCCTAGTAATACTTAATTTCTTCTGATTTTAAATGGTGATGTGAAAATAAAATTAAATAAATGTATAAGTGCTTCGAACACAGCATGGTAAAATTGGAAGTTATTACTAGTAGCCATAACCTAATGATCACAGTAATATTGAGTTAGCTTTTATACATTAAATAAAAGCTATAATTCCATGGGTGACATTTCCTTTCTACCTCTCATCAGACGATGTCAATGTTTTGAAGAGTTAGAGGAGCCCAAACCCTGAGGATTCTTAATGTATGTTGGACACCATTCACTGTGCCAATATTAGAGAATGACAACCACTTGAAGACCGTTAGTAATATCTTTTATCTTATTATTTTACTGGTAAAATTTGCTTCCCCTTTATAATTTAAAGAATGCTGATTACAGTGGTGAAGATGCTTCAAATTTCTTTTTTTTTCTTTTTCCTTGCCTCCCTTTTTTCTTTCTAGCAGTGTGTATTGAGTCTAAACTCATTGCCAAGAGTTTCGAGTGAGAGTTGATATATGTTTAGGTTTGTTTTTGGAATTCAGACAATAGCAAAGATTAAAAGGAATTAACAGAATGTCAGTTAGCATGTATTAAATCTGCAGGAAACTATCCAGATGTAGAAGTGTCCTCAGCATTGTTCCTCAGTGATGTAGAATTGTTTGAGAGAAAGGAAATCCTGGCACCTCATGACTAATGATTATCATTTGTTTTGAATGTCAGTGATATGTCTATACAACATCAAAATAAATTAGTTCAGCAAATACCACGAAAATGATGAAAATGT
The DNA here is from genome assembly GCF_000001405.40 of Homo sapiens. Taxonomy (NCBI): domain Eukaryota; kingdom Metazoa; phylum Chordata; class Mammalia; order Primates; family Hominidae; genus Homo; species Homo sapiens. The sequence goes on along the minus strand of NC_000009.12, from coordinate 81,333,442 downwards.
TGTTTTGAGGTTAAAATGATGACACCCGCAAAGCAAATTTCTTTCTCCTTTTTTGTTCTGTGCCAGTATATACACTTACAGACAGATAAATACATGCACTTAGTGATAGACAACAAAACCAAGCAAAAGATAATTCCTTTTTCTAAAAATGTTCTCTGAGGAAGTCTAGACTAAAAATGAAACAAATTATTATTCAATAAAGCAAAAATGCATTCAGCACTGATAGTGCTTTAGGTTAAAAAGTGATTTATTATAATTTTCATGAAGGAAGGAAATTTATGTACTTTTGAGAAACTAATTTTTATTATATAAATTAATTATATATTGACACAACATATTGCTGTCTTTCCATAATCACTGAATAGATTTTGACAATATATCATGGTGTATGATAAGCTTTTTAAAATGTACAATTCATTAATGTGTTCACAGAGTTGTACAACCATCACCACTGTGTAATCCCAGAACATTTTTACCACCCCAAAAGAAGCTCTATATTCATTAGCAGTCACTCTCTATTCTCTCCTCCCTTTAGCTCCTGGCAACTACTAATGTACTTTCTCTGTCTCTGGATTTGCCCATTCTGGACATTGACTAAAAATGGAATCATACAATGTATGGCCTTTTGTGGTTGGCTCCTTTCACTAAGCATAATGTTTTCAATGTTTATCCTTGAAATACTGATAGCATATATCAATACTTCATTCCTTTCTATGGATGATTACTATTCCATTGTATCAATATGCCATATTTTATTTATCCATTCATCAGTTAATGACATTTAAGGTTTTCATTTTTGTCTATTATGAATAATGTTACCATGAACATTTTTTGTACAAGTCTTTGTGTGGACATATGTTTTCAGTTCTCTTGGGTATGTACCTAGGAGTAAAATTGCCAGCTTATATGGTAACACTGTGTTTAAACTTTTGAAGGACTGCCAAATTGATTTCCAAAGTGATTCCATTATTTATAATTCTACCAACAATGTGTGAGGGTTCTAATGTCTCCACATTCTTGCCAGCACTTGTTATTATTTGTCTTTTTTATTTTAGCAGTCTTAGTGGTTGTTAAGTGGCACCCCTTTGTAGTTTTGTTGAGCATCTTTTTATGTGCTTATTGGGAATTTATATGTCTTCTTTGGAGATTTTTTTTTTTTTTTTTAAGACCGAGTCTTGCTCTGTTGCCCAGGCTGGAGTGCAGTGGCCCAATCTCAGCTCACCGCAGTCTCCGCCTCCCAGGTTTAAGTGATTCTTGTGCCTCAGCCTCCTGAGTAGCTGGGATTATAGATGCATACCACCATGCCCAGCTAATTTTTGTATTTTTAGTAGAGATGGTTTTCACCATGTTGGCCAGGCTGGTCTTGAACTCCTGACCTCAGGTGATTCACTCACCTCAGCCTCCCAAAGTTCTGGGATTACAGATGTGAGCCACCGTGCCCGGCCTGGAGAAATATTTATTTGAATTCTCTGTGTGGGTTATTTGTCTTTTCATTGTTGAATTGTAAGAATTCTTTATATATTCTGCATATAAGACATTTATCGCATATAAGGTTAGCATACATTTTCTCCTATTCTGTGGATTGTCTTTTCATTTCATGAATAATGTATTTTGATCCACAAAATCTTTAATTTTGATAAAGTCTAATTTGTCTATTTTTACAAATAGACAATATATGCAAAGATAATTTATGGTAGTATGTGGAACTGTCACATTAGTGGAATAAGAAGCAAGAAATTAAACAGAGTACTTTTAATTGTTATGGCTTCTATTAGTGTGAAAATTTTAACCTATACCTTCAAGAACTGGCATGATTTGGACAGCTGGTGAGAAAAGTAGGCATTGTTAACAGGGCAAACTACATAAGCAAAGATTTCAATATAGGAGAAGAAGTTGGCACTCAGGACATGATATTTGTTGAGGAAGCCTAGGCAACTGAGAAGAAAGGTGATAAAACCATCACTATAAGGGTGTGGTTTCTGGGGTGAGGCAGGAATCAAACTGCAAAGAGTTAGAAGCAATAGAAGCAAATTAGTCACTTGGTAGTGAATGAAAACTGAGAAGATAAATAAAGTGGGATTCAGAGGAATTTGTAGAATGAAGTCATATTTCTATGTTTTCCAAGATAGGTGACCTGTCTCTAAGTTTGAAAGAAGAAGAGAAGGAAGCTTTGAGATATCAAGAATAGAATATTAAGAAGAAGAAATTTATTTTGGAGGAAGACCATTTAGGGTTACAATATAAATGATGGCAATATTAGTAATCAGTCACTTTTGGCAAAACCAAAATTATTATTATAAATAAAATTAGAAAGTAGCTTAGCAAAATTCAGTGTTATTCTCTGAGGAATGGACTTGGTTTCTGCTCAAGTTTGTCTACGTGCAAGACTACTATAAAAGCCCAAAACATGTTGTAAAATAATCATGAGAGCATGATTATGCTAAGTTATAGCGAGTTCATTGCCACTGTTTTAAATCTAGTTTTGCTCATCTATCTCAGATTATGTTCAGAGAAACAAAAGCAGCCAAGCATTTTAAGAATTTGTCAGCATTAAAAGAGATTTTAAAATAATTTAGTAACATCTTTGCCCTTTTTGGAATCTTATTAGCATGCTAATCCTTGATGAAAGAATATAAAATACAAATTAATATATTAGTCACATTGTTGCTGCTTTGTATTACAGAACTATAATTTTAGAGCTGGAAGTGCTTTTTTGATCACTGTTTTTAGTATTTCTCAAATTATTGTCTTTGAATATTCACATACATCAGATTCATTTAGGGTGACAGTTAAATATGTGATGCCAAATTATCTTTTATCCCACCAGGATCTTCCCTTCCCACAGTACATTCCTAAGGAGACCTGAAGTTTATTTTCTGGATCAGAAGGAAACCAGCTTATTTCTGGATTAGAGAGAATCCAGAGTAAGGGACAAGTATGGTAGACAATGTGGTTGATCCATAGTGAAGGCAAGAGATAGAAGTACTAACAGAAGTCTTCGTGCATTCTCTGTTAAAGCCTACCGGTTGTCAGACTCAGCCAGTGGCTACAAAGGCTCCCATATATATTTGAGTGTATCATTCTAAAATATAAAGGAGGACCCAAGGATTGCCAGATGTTTAAGAAACAATTCTGATCAAAAGAAAGAATAAATAAGATAAAAGGAATTTAAAAATTAAACAGATACATCATAGAAAACATAAAGAAGAAAAAATCCAACTATGATTAATATCCTTAGAAATATGAGAAAATATATTTCCTCCATGAAGAGGCTACAAGATGATTTTGAAAAAAAAGTATTAGCAAAGAAGAAAAGGATCCTGGAAAATACACTAACTCAAGTTAAAAATGTCCAACAAAGAAAAAAAGTTGGAAAATTTTCCAAGAAAAAGAAGGTGTACAAATGTCAGACAAATGCATTTTGGTCAAAGGACACAAAATTTTCAGTTAAACAGAAGAATAAGTTCAAGATCTACTGTACAACATGGTGACTATAGTTAATAACAATGTATTGTATGCTTGAGAATTGCTAAGAGAGTAGATTTTAAGTGTCTCACCACGAACAAATGATAAAGGAATTAGTGCATATGTTAACTTGCTTGGTTTAACCATTCCACAATGTATACATATTTCAAAACATTATGTACATCAGTGCCTTTTGGCACCAAGGACTGGTTTTGTGAAAGCTAATTTTTCCACAGGCCGTGGGAAAGGGATGGTTTCAGGGTGATTCAAGAACATTACATTTATTGTGCACTTTATTTCTATTATTATTATGTTGTAATATATAATGAAATAATTATACAACTCATCATTATGTAGAATCAGTGAGAGCCTTGAGCATGTTTTCCTGCAACTAGATTGTCCCATCTGGGGGTGATGGGAGACAGTGGCAGATCATCAGGCATTAGATTATCATAAGGAGTGTACAACCTAGATCCCTTGCATGTGCAGTTCACAATAGGGTTTGCACTCCTGTGAGAATCTAATGCCTCCACTGATCTGACAGGAGGTGGAGCTTAGGCAATAATGTGAGTGATAGGGAGCAGCTGTAAATACAGATGATGCTTCCTTCACTTGCCGCTCACCTCGTGCTGCATGGCCCAGTTCCTAACAGGCCACAGACTGGTACCGGTCCATAGTCTGGGGGTGGGGACTCCTGATATACATAATAAATATATACAATTTTTGTCAATTGAAAAACATACATTAAAGAAGGTCAATAAAGCTAAATGGTAAAAACTTAAAAATAGAACAATATAAGAATAAAAGCAAGAAAATCAGATAATGTATTTAGAGGGTTGGTCTGAGTTTATTACGACTTCTAGGAAGAGTAAAAATTGAGAAAAAAATTATTAAGATAATACTGCCAGATATTTTCTTGGCACTAAAGGACAAGGATCTCCAGATTGAAAGGGCTCATTGGGTGGCCAGCATAATGAATTAAAAATAACCTAAATGAGAACACTTTAACCCTTCTCATGAGGTATGAATTGGTAGAAATTACATTAGAGAGGAATTTGGCAATATCTTATATAATTAAACTTATTCCTATTTTAACATCCAACAGTTTTACATCTAAGTGCATGTAACAGAAAATGTTATCCACTTATGGAAGGAGATGTTACAAGAATCTTAACTGAAGCATGAGTTTGTAAGAGAGGAAAATTGGAAACCATCCAAATGCCATTAGTCAACTGTGAATTAGAATATCGACGTTTTGAAATATGAAAGGACTCGACACTTAACATTTCCTATATATCCTTTCTCAAGAGGCTGATGGAGAATATTTACCATAGTAATGAGTAAATAAAAAAAGAGTAAGCTGTGAAATAGATGATACAAGGAATCCAACACAGGAGAAAGGTTAAGGAAAGTTCCAAAGATGGCAAAAGGAAAGTGTGGGATAATAGCTATGCTGCAGGCTTAGAGATAATCAGCCTCAATTATAGTAGGAAGACAGAAAACTTGAGGAGGCAAGTATCTAGGAAAAAAAGAGAGAAAGAAATGCTACATTATCTCATGCATTTGACAATGTGGAACACATAATAGCATTAAGAGGAGGCTCATAGCTCTGCAAGAGTCTATAGAGAGAATCACTATAAAGTAGAGAGAAATCTAAGTAAATTTTATAAACGTTAGGTAATTAATAACTTTAGGAAAAATAAAGAAATTGTATAAGAAAGGAAATGTAATCATGGCATACTAATTGGCTTAGAAATAATATTTATGCAGCCATAATTATGTTTATTAGTAAATATTTATTTTAGCAAAAGTTAAGCTAACTATACTTGTAGAAAAGAAAGAAGGGAAGTGAGGGTGGTAGCATAATAGAAGTAGTGTATCTAACAGGAAATAAATAATGCCTAAAATATTTACAAAGGAAGATATAGCAGTCAATCATTTTAATTGGCAATATACAACTCACTGTAAAAGAAACAACTCTTAAAAGAATTGAGAAGGAGCATCTCTGGGGGGAAGGACTGGATTGGGAGGGACAGGCAGGAGCTAGGTGCTTTTTATTGTAAGATTTGAGGAATTATTTAACTTTCTAAACTTCCTAAAGCTGTTTTGTATTATATGCCTTATAGAAAAATTTTACTTTGTAAAACAAAAATTATACTGAAAAAGTCCATCATAGAATGATGTTATCAAGATGGCTGACTAGAAATTTCTTGCACTCTCCCTACCCCATAAAAAAATCCAAACAACAAATAAACTACATTTTGACCAAAATAATTAAAGGAGATCACCTTTAAAGGAGAACAGCAAAGAAGCAGCAGAAATCCTGTAGAGCACGGAAACCCAAGACAGTCACAAAGAGCAGGGAAGAAACAACCTACCTCAGCCACTCCATCCCCTCAGTCAGGATCAGCTCAGAACTAGGAGGGATTTCTCCCTGCAGGGAAAAAGGTAAGCCAGAGGACCCCAACAGCACCCATCACCACCGTGGACACCTGTAGTATTTGCTACTGGAGATTCCTACAGTCCTCATAGGTTCTGAGTCCAGCTGAGGGAGCTCCTGGGAGTCTACATGCTGAGCTACCCCCAGAGAAAGAGCCTGTGCTGTGCCTTGCCTCCCAGTGACCCACGCTGTTACTGCTCTGTGCCGTCTTAAAATTGAAGCCCCTGCTAGAGTATGTCCTGCTATGGGGCACCACTGCAGCCCTCTGTCTCTCCATCTCTGAGGCTCAGCTGCCACTGCACCATGCCTACCTGGTAGTGTGCCATCCCTAAGCAGAGCTGCTGCTATAACCTACTTCCTATGGCCAAGTTACCACAAAGCTGCTTCATCCTCCTCATCTCAGTTCCTGGCACAACCTCCCCACAGGGTTGAGCTGAAATGATTCTCCACCCTCAGGGACCTGAAGCCTTGAAATATCAGAGCAGTTGCACCCCTGTCATCACAGCCAACACAGCACCTCACCCACTGGGGACCTCAGGCCTTCTGCACACAAGAGCAGTTGTGACCCTTGGAGCCACAGCTGAAGTAGCACTCCTGCTTCAGGGACTTCAGGCCTTTGGGACACTGGAGCAGTTTCACCCTGGCCCTAGAGCAGATACAATGTCTTATCTCCCAGGGACCTCAGGTCTCCTGCACTCTGGAGTAGTCTCATTCCTCATCTGGCAGGTGATGCAACACCTGACCTCCCAAGGCTCCAAGCCTTTGGCACACCAGAGCAACTGCACCTTCCAGCATCACAGTTGACACAGTGCCCCACCCCCAGGGATCCAGAGATTCTGCTTACCTGTGTAGGCACACTTTCTGGGGTCAATCAGATGTAACTCCTCATGTCCTAGAAGATCAGAGCCTTGGCTGGACTGTCCTCCAGGCCTAACAGCCACAGTATTCCACCTACCTGGAATTGGACTAGTCCTGTGCAGTCTGAGATGCTGATACATCTTGCCTCTCCAGGTAGTAGAGTCAGCACTGTGCTGCTTCCTGCCCCTGGGGCCCAAGCCACAGTGGCAACTTGCCATTCCTGGGTCTTTGCTACCATTGCACCTGACTTCGCAGAACCTAGACTATTGTCATATCCTGTTAGGACCCCTAAAGTCATTGCTCTATAATAACAAAGCCACTGTCACACACAAACTCCTGTAGCATAGAGCACTGAGGTACTTATAGTCATTGCTAATGTTGATCATAACTGAAGAAGCTGCATGAAGACTATACCACTGTGCCTAAGTGAAACCAGAGCCACTACACCCTGCCCAACTGGCACTCTTGAGTCAGTCTGCAAGTGAAAGTCTTCCCCTATAAAACTCATTCTGTGAAGTTTGGAAGAGTTAACTGTACCACCAGATGGGCAAACATCAATGCAGAAACACAAGACACATTTTAAAAAGCAAGGAATCATGACACCACCAAAGGAACACAATAATTGTCCAGTAACTAATCCCAAAGAAATGAAAATTTACAAATTGCCTGACAAGAAATTCAAGATAATTATCTTAAGAAAACTCAGTGGGACCCAAGAGAAAACAAACAATTCAATGAAATCGGAAAAACAATTCATGATCTTAATGAAAAACTCAACAATGATATAGATATCATAAAAATGAACTGGCTGGGGCCAGGGGCGGTGGCTTATACCTGTAATCCCAGCACCTTGGGAGGCCAAAGCAGGTGGATCATGAGGTCAGGAGATCAAGACCATCCTGGCTAACATGGTGAAACCCCGTCTCTACTAAAAATACAAAAAATTAGCTGGGCTTGGTGGCAGGTGCCTGTAGTCCCAGCTACTCGGGAGGCTGAGGTAGGAGAATGGCGTGAACCCGGGAGGCGGAGATTGCAGTGAGCCAAGATCGCACCACTGCACTCCAGCAGCCTGGGGACAGAACGAGACTCCATCTAAAAAAAAAAAAAAAAAAAAAAAAAAGAACCGGCTGGGCACAGTGGCTCATGCCTGTAATCCCATCTGTTTGGGAGGCCGAGGTGAGTGTAACACCTGAGGTCAGGAGTTTGTGACCAGCCTGGCCAACATGATGAAACCCCATTTCTACTAAAAATACAAAAATTAGCCAAGGATGGTAGTAGGTGCCTGTAATCCCAGCTACTTGGGAGGCTGAGGTAGGAGAATTGCTTGAACCTAGGAGGTACAGGTTGCAGTGAGCTGAGACCACGCCATTGCATCCTAGCCTGAGCAACAACAGTGAAACTCCATCTCAAAAATAAAAAAAAAAGAACCAGACAGAAATCTTGGAACTGAAGAATTCAGTCAATGAAATCAAACAATTGAGAGCTTTAGTAGCAGACTAGATCAAGCAGAAGAAGTAATCTGTGAACTTGAAGATAAATAATTTAAAATGACTCAGTAACAGAAAAAAAAGAAAGAATGAAAAACAGTAAAGACAGCCTATGGAACTTAACAGGACACCATTAAGCAAACACATTTTTACATTATGAGAATTCCATAAATAGCAACACAGGAATAGTAGGGGACTTTAATACCCCTCTTTCAAAAAACAAATAGATTAACCAGATAGAAAATTAATAAGAAAATACTGGACTTAAATTGTACTTTTGACCAAAGGGACCAAAGGGTCATATCCAGAACTCTCCAGCCAACACCAGAATATACATTTTTTCTTCAGTATGGCACATTCTCTAGGATAGACCATATGTTAGTCCACAAAACAAGTCTTAATGAATTGAAGATTGTAATTATATCTAGCATTGTTTCAGAGCACAATGGTATGAAACTAGAAATCAGTAACAAAAGGATCTTAACAAATTCACAAATATGTGGAAATGAACAAACGTGTTCCTGGACAATCAACGTGTCAAAGAGTAAATGAAAGTGATGTTAAAAACATCTTGAGACAAATGACAAGGGAAAGAGAACATGTCAAAACCTATGTGATGCAGCAAAAGCAGTTCTAAGAGGGACAATCATAGCAATAACTGCCTGCATTAAAAAAGAAGAAAGCTCTGAAGCAAATAATCTAACATTACACCGCAAGTAACTAGAAAAAGAAGAACATACTAAGCCCCAAATTAGCAGAAGGAAGTAAATAATAAAAATCAGAACATAAATAAATCAGGTAGAGAACATAAAAACTGTAGAAAAAATAAAACTGAGTGTTGTTTTTTTTTTAAAAAAATGCAAACCCTTAGCTAGTCTAAGAATTAAAGAAAGAAGATTCAAATAAATAAAATCAATAATGAAAGCAAAGAAATTACAACAGATGCTTCAGAAATAGAAAGGACCGTAAAATAATAAAAAGCCTTCCAAGGCAGAAAAGCCCAGGACCAGATGGCTTCATGGCTGAATTCAACAAAAAACTCTTAGACCTGATAAACAAATTCTGTAAGTTTGCAGGGTACAAAATCAACATGCAAAAAATCGTAGCATTTCTATACATGAATAACAAACTAGCTGCAAAGGAAATCAAGATGGAAATCCCATTTACTATAGCTACATAAATACATAAAATACCTAGAAATAAATTTAACCAAAAAGTTGAAAGATATCTATAAGAAAAACTACAAAACACTGATGAAATAAATTAAGAGGATACACACAAATGGAAAGACATCCATGCTCATGGATCAGAAGAATTAATATTGTTAAAATGGCCATATTACCTCAAGCAACCTACAGATTCAATGCAATCCCTATCAAAATACCAACTGCGTTTATTACAGAAATAAAAACCTAAAATTTGTATGAAACCAAAAAAAGAGCCCAGATAGCCAAAGCAATCCTGAGGAAAAATAACAAAGCTGGAGACATCACACTGCTAACTATAAAATGCATTATAAAACTATAGTAACCAAAACAGCATGGTATTGGGATTAAAATTGGCAGATAGACAAGTGGAACAAAGTAGATAATCCAAAAATAAATCCACATATTTACAACCAACTAATTAACAAAAGCACCAAGAACATACATTGGGGAAAACAGAGTTTGTTCAATAAATGGTGCTGGGAAAACTGGATATCTATATGCTGAAAAATGAATCTTGACCCCTATCTCTCACCATATAAAAAAATAAGCTCAAGGTAGATTAAAGACTTAAATGTAAGACTCCACACTGTAAAACTACTAGATGATAACTAAGAAGAAATGCTTCAGGACATTGGGCAAGGGAAAGATTTTATGGCTAAGTCCTCAAAATTATAGGCACCAAAACCAAAAACAGACAAATGAAATTATATCACACTAAAATGCTAGCTGTGGTTTCTAGACCTGGGCACAGCAAAGGAAACAATCAACAGAGTGAAGAGACAACTTGTTGAATGCGAGAAATATTTGCAAACTACTTATCTGGAAAGGGGTCTAATATTCAGAATATTCAGGAAGTTAACAAAAAAAATCTCATTAAAAAGTGGGGAAAGGACATGAATAGATATTTCTCAAAAGAAGGCATACAAATGACCAACTGGTTTATAAAAAATCTCAACATCACTAATCACCAGGGAAATGCAAATAAAACCACAATGAAATATCATTTTCCCTAGTTGGAATGGTTATTATAAAAAAGACTGAAATTAACAGATGCTGAGGAGGATGTGGAGAAAAAGGAACTCACACAATGTGGGTGAGAATGTATACTAGTACAGCCATTACAGAAAATATAATGGATATTTCTCAAAAAATTAAAAATAGAACTATCATATGATCCAACAATTCCACTACTGGGTATTTATCCAAAGGAAAGGAAATTAGTTTATCAAAGGGATATTTGCATCCCCATTTTTATTACAGCCATTATTCACAATAGCCAAGATATGGAGTTAACCTCAGTGTCCATCAGTGAATGAAGAGGTAAAGAAAATATGATATATATAAACAATGGAATACTATTTTCCCATAAATAAATAAATGAAATCCTATTATTTGCAGCAATATTGATGGAACTGGAGGCCATTATGTTAAGTAAAATAAGTCTGGCCCAGAAAGTCAAATATTACATGTTCTCTCTTGTATGTGGGAGCTAAAAAAGTTGATCTCATGGAGGTAGAGGAGGTAGAGAGTAGAATGAGTTACCGGAGCCTGGGAAGGGTATGTGTGTAGGAGGAGGGGAGGGATAAAGATAGATTGGTTAAGGGGTACAAACATACACTTAGATAGAAGGAATAAGTTCTAATGTTCGACAGCAGAATAGGGTGACTATAGTTAACAACAATGTGTTGTATATTTCAAAATAGAAGAGAGGACTTGAAACGTTCCCAACATATAGAAATGATAAATGATAGAGATGATATTCTAAATACCCTGACTTGATTATTACACATTTTATGCATGTGATGAAATATCACATGTACCCCATAAATATGCACAAATATTATATATTAATGAAAAATAAATATTGCATGCCTAACAATTATTTTTTAAAAACTCTATTATAAATAATGTATATTAATTTCTACCATCTTGCAATTTGAGTATTTGATGAAATGATTGTTATCATCATCATCATCATCATCAATAAAATCTGTATCATAGCATTCAGATATTTAAAATTTTTCTACATGTACCATCTCCATTCATCTACATTAATATGCGAGATGAGTAGAACATTTTAAAATATCTCCCAGTTTTAATAATAAAAACCAGATAATGTGACCGGCCCGAGGTTAAATAATCAGTAAATGGTGAGTCAGTAAATAGCAACATGGTAAGCTCCAAATTCAGAACTTCTATTTTCAACCCTAAGTTCTTTCTTTATGACTGTGTGCCTCCAAAATCTTTCACTGGTACCATAGAAATAAATAGTGTTTTTATTTACCTAACAAAAGTGTAAGAGGAATTACTCATTGTGTTCTTATGGTAGAACTTCAAAGTCAAAAATGGAACAGGAAAAAAGTGTTTATTTCCCTTGTGTCTTTTTTTCCTTTCTCCTTCATTCACTCCAAACTTTCTTGCCACAAAAACACTTTGGCAATTGATGTCATAGATTTTCTAAAAAAAAAAAAAAGAAAAACAAAAAAGAAAAAAATCACTTTCGAGAACTTCATTATTTCTATTAATACAACTACTATTAATAACAACAATAAATCATGTTTTGCCCTTCTCCAGTGCCTCTTATCCAGGGATCTCAGAATGCTTTTCAAACATTAATTAAAAATCCTCTCGTCATCCCTGTGAGTTCCTAGGGCAAGGAGAGAGGAGGAAATCATATCTGCTCTGACATTAATTAAGCTCTCTCTTGGCTCGCAAACTAGGTAAATAGCTTTTCTTCCCCCCATTAACAAACAAACCCACTCTCCATGATGATTATCACAGATGTTCATAAGTGAGAGGGAAGATTAATTCTGCTGGGCACTCAGGAAAGAGACTGAAGTGCTTGCCAGACTTGGCTGCTGAGGCTCTGCTTTCTAGCTGTGGTTTCCAGACCTGGGCTATCAGTGGCATCACCTTGGAGGCTTTGAAATATACCTGTATCTGGGCCACTTACATATCCTTCCCAGAGTGTCTGATTTAATAGATAAGCAGTAAAGCCCAGGAATCTGTTTTTCAAAAGTTCTCTATACGGTTTGAGAAGAATCGTTTTAAAATCATATTTTCATGACTGGTTTAAATGTTATAAAATTAGTAGAATATGCATATTTATTATCAAACATCTAAGAATACAAATAAATAGAGCAAATTATTAAAAGTGCCATTTCTGGCCGGGGGCAGTGGCTCACGCCTGTAATCCCAGCACTTTGGGAGGCCGAGGCGGGCGGATCACCAGGTCAGGAGATCCAGACCATCCTGGCTAACACGGTGAAACCCCGTCTCTACTAAAAATACAAAAAAATTAGCCGGGCGTTGTGGAGGGCGCCTGTAGTCCCAGCTACTCCGGAAACTGAGGCAGGAGAATGCGTGAACTCAGGAGGTGGAGTCTGCAGTGAGCCGAGATCGCGCCACTGCACTCCAGCCGGGCGGATAGAGCGAGACCACGTGTCAAAAAAAAAAAAAAAAAAAAAAAAAAAAGTGCCATTTCTGGACTTTCTCCTGCTTACTATAATAGTTTCTCAAAATATGGTTCTTGGATCTTTTAAATCTAAAATGCCTGGGTGAACTTAATGATACAGATGTGTCAAAATACATAGTTCTACATGTGTTTGTATTTCTTTCAAGGAAGTAAAATTTATTCTTACCTCAAAGAAAAAAATCAAACAATGCCATGAAAATAATGAATCTTTGGACCTAAGGGCCCCCAAACACTGAATATAAGGCATGAGTGAATGCTGTGTGTCTGTTTTTACGAATATTGTTTCTGGATACACAGAACTTCAACGCTAGTACCATGGGGGCGATTATTCCTACCTTCTTATTTTACAGAGGCAAGGAAACAGTCTCAGATAATTCATCTTCCTACAGATGATCATGGGACCCGCTGGTAGTGGGGGCAGATTGGCACACATCTCGTAGCACAGAGTCCAGGGCTCTGTGAACATCATCAGAAGGACACACTACCTCACAATAAATTTATCTCATTTGTCATTTTGTTTTTAATTCTCCTATTTTTAACCATGTGGAGAGAAGCCTGATGTTGGAAAATGTTACTTTCTGGATGTCTGAGAAGAAAAGGAAATAAGCTGAGAAAAGAAATTTGCCGTATTCAACTGCCTTCCTTTCCTTACTTGGCATCTCTTTATTCTCATCCTCTGGCTTCTACACATGCCCTTGCTGGTGGAAGGACTGGGGCCAGGCAGCTGGGCAGGTAGGCTGAAGTGGCCATTTACAGGAGTGGAGAGACATTTGGGTGCAGCACGAAAGGTTGCTCATAAAAAAAAAAATCACAGAACTTTGTACACGTTTATATGCACAAAGGATCACATAAGGATCACATAAGCGTTTACAACCTTTCATAGATCCTTCCCTAATTGTACTTAGAATAGTCCCTGGGACAGTATGGTTAACCCCACCATTGCAGGTGATGATGTAGTGTCGGTTATTCATTTCTTACGATACAGCATGTCCTTAGCAAGGCTGGAACTGGAGGTGTCAGGGATCCCTTAACCGCATGGGCAACTAGCCACCTGCTTTAGCAGCCTACGGTCCTTCTGCATCAGGGGATGGTGAGGGGCAGGGGGCTTTCGATGTTGACGGTATAATGTGTGGGTAGGGAAAACCCTATTTTGCTTTTCCTAGACAGGGAATATGGGAAAGAGAGTAAGGTGCCAATTAATTGAGCAACTGCAGTGGGGTAGCTGCCTTATCTTATCTTATCGTGTATCATCCTCGCAAGAATATTGTGGGCAAGTTCTATCAGTCACATGTTACAGATGAGAAAACGAAAGTTGCAGAGAATTAAGCACCATGCTAATATGTGGCATAGTCAGGGGTGGGACTGAGTCCTATACATCTTTATCCTTTAACTACCCAGATTTCTTAATACCCAGCAAAATGTTTGCTCACAAAACAAAGACAAGTCTACACTCTCCCTATATACCTCACTTTGTGGCCACATGTAATTTTCTTAGGTGGTTTGTTGAAATAAATATAAATTTCTCTCTTTTATCCAATTGCATTAACACTAATAGCAGTGAATTTTTCAGAAAGGAGAATGCAATCATGAGTGTTTTTCATATATTTCGGAATAAAACTCAAAGCAAAGCACTGGTGTGGTCCCGTGAAGTCCTATGGCCTAGTGTCCTGAGTCCAGGTCTGGAACTCAGAAGCTCATGGATATTTAGTCTCTGCCTGACCACTGCTTTTGTAAACACAGGGTGAGTCACTTAATCATTCTGGGCTTTTCTTCCTCCTCCAGCAAAGAAGAGTAATTCGTGTTTGTCACTAATCTGTGTTAAAGGGGTGTGGTAAGTGTAACCTTGTAATTATAAGGTTCTGGGTAAATATAACAACCCCAAATGACAGTAATATTGCCACTCATTCCAAACTGGAGATTGGCTTGTTGAGTTGGAGAATTTGCACTTCGGCAAATGCTCACCACTTGGTGGTTTACAAGTCTGGAACTTCAGAGTTGGAAGGAATTCCTAGAGATTACCTAGTATGAACCCCACAGTTTGCAGCTGGGGCGACAGAAACCCAGAGGGATACAGGGATTTGATCAAGTCACATAGTGAGTTAGACACAGGCAGGGATTAGAACCCAGATCTCCTGACTCTTGCTTGAGATCTCCCTTTTCCTCCTTTGTCTCTCAATGTCCTGCCGCTTCTTGGGAGGATTCTGTCTCCTGTCTGGAGAGAGCGGCCGCAGATGAAAAGTCGGCCTGGGATACAACTGCTGGAGGCTGCCTTTCAGGTTGATCACACACTAATCACTTTCAGCTGAGCAACCTTATTCAACTACAACCGGGTGGGGCAGGCAAACCAGATGGGTAATTGCCTGGAGTGTGTAGGGAGATGGTGGAGAGTGTGGTTCACTGAGTACCCAAGGAGGTTTGGCACATCATCATTTCCAGCCATCCAGAATACGAATGACCAAACCCCAGTGGTCTGATCTTGTCAGATTAGTTTTATTTAACAGAACCATGCCTCTGAGCTAAGCTGTGCTCTGTACTTTGTTATGCACAAACTTGCAGTGATGAAATTCTTCGGGGAGGTTGGAAAGATAGTTTTTAGAAAAACTGCACAAGTAGTTGGATCATTACCTTTATGAGAAAATCCTTAAAGCTTATTTATGCCTCCTTTCCTTTCCTTTCTTTTCCTTTCCTTTCCTTTTCCTTTTCTTTTTCCTCTTTTTTTTTCGTTTTCCTTCCTTCCTTCCACACATACTTATTTAGAGCCTACTATGCTTTATGTAGTCTAGACTCTTGATAAAGTAGGGAACAAGATACACAAGGTCCTTGGCCTTGAGAAAAACATTTTTAAATAGCAAATAAATGGCAACCAAAAATGGGCAAGAAAGTTTCAGAGACTGATCAATGCTATGAAGAAATGAAAGCTGAGTGATATGCTGGAAACTGATGGGGCCTCTGTGAAGATGAATTTTGAGCTGAGAAGAACCAGTCACAGAGAGACCTGAAAGCAGAGTCATCCCTGCAGAGGCAATGGCAAGTGCAGGGGCCCTGAGGCACAGGAAGTGTGGTGACTGTCTCAGTCTGCTTGGGCTGCCTTAACAAAATACTGTAAACTAGGGGGCTTACACAACAGACATTTTTTTCCCATAGTTCTGGAGGTCCTAAGTCCAAGATCAGGGTGCCAGCATGGTCAGGTTCTGTTGAGGGCTCTCTTCCTTGTTTACAGATGAGTGCCTTTATGCTGTGTCCTCACGGGGAAGAGACAGTGATCATCTCCCTGTCTCTTCTTACAAGGGCATGCATCTTCCATTTATGAGGACTCCACCTTCATGACCTAATTACCTCCCTAAGTCCTCACCTCCAAATATCATCACAATGAAGATTTTAGGCTTCAACATATGGATGTTGAGGGGACACAACATTCAGTTCATAACAACTAGCTTGAAGCATAAAAACAAAGCTACTGGTGTTGTGGAAAGTCAGGGACCCCGAATGGAGGGACTGGCTGAAGCCATGGCAGAAGAACATGAATTGTGAAGATTTCATGGACATTTATTAGTTCCCCAAATTAATACTTTTATAATTTCTTACGCCTGTCTTTACTGCAGTCTCTGAACATAAATTGTGAAGATTTCATGGACACTTATCACTTCCCCAATCAATACCCTTGTGATTTCCTATGTCTGTCTTTACTTTAATCTCTTAATCCTGTCATCTTCGAAAGCTGAGGAGGATGTATGTCGCCTCAGGACCCTGTGATGATTGTGTTAATTGCACAAATTGTTTGTAGAGCATGTGTGTTTGAACAATATGAAATCTGGGCACCTTGAAAAAAGAACAGGATAACAGAAATGTTCAGGGAACAAGAGAGATAACCTTAAACTCTGACTGCTGGTGAGCCGGGCGGAACAGAGCCATATTTCTCATCTTTCAAAAGCAAATGGGAGAAATATCGCTGAATTCTTTTTCTCAGCAAGGAACATCCCTGAGAAAGAGAATGTGTCCCTGAGGGTAGGCCTCTGAAATGGCTGCTTTGGGGGCAGCTGTCTTTTACAGTCACAGTGGTGGGATGAAATAAGCCCCGGTCTCCCATAGTGCTCCCAGGCTTATTAGGACAAGGAAATTCCCACCTAATAAATTTTGGTCAGACCGGTTGTCTGCTCTCAAACCCTGTTTCCTGATAAGATGTTATCAATGACAATGCGTGCCCGAAACTTCATTAGCAATTTTAATTTCGCCCCGGGCCTGTGGTCCTGTGATCTTGCCCTGCCTCCATTTGCCTTGTGATATCTTATTACCCTGTGAAGCTTGTGATCTCTGTGTCCCACACCCTATTCGTACCCTCCCTCCCCTTTTGAAAATCACTAATAAAAACTTGCTGGTTTTACGGCTCAGGTGGCATCACGGAACCTGCTGACATGTGATGTCTCCCCCGGACACCCAGCTTTAAAATTTCTCTCTTTTGTACTCTTTCCTTTATTTCTCAGACCAGCTGACACTTAGGGAAAATAGAAAACAACCTACGTGACTTTTGGGTGCAGGCTACCCCGATACTGGTGCTGGAGTATAAAGAGCTGGGGAGAGAGTGATAGGTCCTGAGTCTGGAAAGGTGGAACTAGGTAATGTCTCTGGTTCTTGTAGGCAGTGTTAAGGGCTTTAGATTTTATTCTAAATGCAAAGAGAAGCAAATGATGGGTTTTAAGTGTGTGTGTGTATTGGGTATGTGTTATGTAACATGAAAGGATTTATGTTTCAGAAGATAGTTTGAATTTTTTGTGAAAGCAAAGCAACCAGGTAGATCGGAACATTCCTGCAGGTAATAATGATGATTGTAACTGGTTAGTAAGATGATTAGATGATTAGATATTTCAGGATAGAATTACACTAAATACAGTTTAGAGTTTACAGCTCAATGGAGAGCTCAGTGATGGAGATACAAACTTGAGTCTTCCACATGGATGGTAGTTAAAACCATGGGAATATATAAATGCTCACATGAAAAACACTGTAAATGGAGAACAGTGGTGCTTGGAGGGGCCCTGGGGTACTCCAACTTTGCAAATTTGAACTGAACGGGGGTAGGCTATGCAGAAAAAGAGACTTGGAAGACATGGTTCATGATAAGGATGAAAAACAGCAAAATGTAAAGTCACAAAAATTAAGTTGTGTTTTTAGAAAGATTGAGTGGTGAACAGTGACTAGCCTTGCCAAGAATGTAAGGCAAAGAAATGTAAATGCCAAATAAATTTGGGAACATGGTGGACTTCAGTGATGGTTACCCATGACCTTGGGAAGAAGAGTAGATTGTGTAGGAAAGATAATGGGCTAAGGAGAGATGGTATGACAAGAAGTGAAGACTGGGACTGTAAAGAAGCCATCAAGACTTTTTTTTTCTATGAAAAGGAGCAGAGAAATACTCCAGAAACTGGAAGTGGACCATGGAGTCAATGGAGATTGAGTGAGGGTCAATGGAGATGGATGTCAGTGGGACGTAATGAAGATGTGGAGAACATATATATTCAGTAGAGACGGAGAAATTGATCACCATGTGTGTTATTAGTGAGGGTTCTCCAGAGAGACAGAAACAATAGGATATACGTATATATGAAAGGGAGTTTATTAGGGAGAACTGGCTTACACAATTACAAGGCAAAGTCCCACGATAGACTGTCTACAAGCTAGGAAAAGAGAGAAGCAGCTAGAGTGAGTCAGTCCCAGTCCAGAAGCCTCACAACCAGAGAAGCTGACAGTGCAGCCCTCAGTATGAGGTCAATGGCCCAAGAGTCCTTGAGAGGCTGCCAGTGCAAGTCCCAGAGTCCAAAGGCCGATGAACCTGGCCATGAGTCTGATGTCCAAGGGCAGAAGTGAAAGAAAACAATGCCACTCCCCCAACCCCCACAAGCAGGCTGTGTATCCCTTTTTTCATCCTGCTTCCTTCTAGCCACGCTGGCAGCTGATTAGATGGTGCCCACCCACATTGAGGGTGAGTCTTCCTCTTCCAGTCCACTGACTCAAATGTCAGTCTCCTCTGGCTATACCCTCACAGACACACCCGGAAACAATGCTTCACCAGCCATCTAGGCGTACCTCACCCTAGTCAAGTTGACACCTAATATTAACCATCACACCAGGAAATGAATGGATATTATAAAAAGTTGGAGGGAGGTGGGGTCTTTGGCCCGGTGGAGGGCTAGATAGGGAAGGACACTTCATTGTAATGGAGGGAAAGCCAGAAGCTGTGCGAACAGATATAGGGATGGCAGCAGCTGTGGTGGTGGTAAATGGAGGCAGTTTCCTGTTAGTACCTTCCACTTTCTCAATCAACTATGAGGCAACATTATTAGCTGAGAACATGAGTGTCTGTGTTTGTTGGGGGAGAATAGTGGTGTTGGAGATTTGAGGGGAGTGAAGAAATTAAAACCCTATTTTGATGAGTGAGCAAATATATCAGAGAAGTATGTTTGGATTGTTAAGAGACCCTTTGATTTTCTGGTTATAATTTTCAAATAATTCTCATTATGATTTTCAAATTTAGACCTGACAGCATGGCTCTGTGTTTTTTCCTGGTATCATTCAGCTTTCTGGAGAAAACCACAGAATAGAGAGATGGCGTGAGTTAACTGAGGTTGGAGTTTATCCAGAGGAACTAGTAGAAGGAAAGTGGGGCAAGCGAGTGGAGCAGGTAGCAAGTGAGTGACTATAATTCTAGATCACGGGGTCTCGGCAGAGCATGCTGGGAAGCTTCAACAGGAGAACTTCTCACAGCATGAGAAGTGACGGATTGTGAAAAAGCAATGAATCAGTGGGTTAGATGTATTAGTGAGGCTAAAGAATAGTAGGATAAAAGAATATAATAATAAAATACAATGTAATAAATATATATGTAGGTATACCTATATGTCTATTTCTCTATAAGAGCACTAGAAGGACAAGCAGTGGTGGTGGAAGAAGTTTTTGAAGGAGATGTATTTATTTGATAACAAGGAAAAGGCTGTGGCCTTGCGAGTTGGTGGCTGAAATGGGGTGCAAGAGAAGATCATGTGCGAGCGAGGGAGCCAAGGGTCTGAGGGGCTCTGCTCTTGGATGGTTAACATGACAGGGCTATTGATGTCTCCAAGAATGGCAACTGAAGTAAGGTATAAAGAAAAAAGTCAGGTTTTGAAATTTTGAAGGAATAATGTAGAAAGACCAGAATACTGGTAGGAACAGCAAACAAACAAACAACAGCAAAACAACAACAAAAAAGAGGGTTAGTGGGTAGTGAAGGCTGAAGGTACAAGTATCAAAGGAGCTTTGACAAGGAGATAAAGTAAAAGTGGTGTATGTCATATTAATGTATGATTTTGTTAGAGCATGATCAACTCATTTTTAGTACATTCAAAAGTTTTCAAATATGGGAATTCTGTACTTATCAAAGATCCTCCCCCCATTAATGGTTTTAACGAATGCCATTTCTAAGAGATACCCTTGAATCATCATAATTTGCCACAAAATGATACAGAAAGAAATTTTAATTTTCTAAACTGTGTCTTTAATGCAATAAACTCTAAGATTAATGAATTTGTTAAAATATTTGGTGTAATTATTTCATGTAGTATTCTCACATGAAATTCTTACTTTTCATCGGTATGAAGCAGTATTTTTCCAATTAAAAAATAATGCCTATTACCCATCTATATATACAACGTATTGTATCTTAACAACAGGGTTGATCTACCTCTGATTAAAGTTGATAACTTAGAAATAGGTCAGTGATTGCACGTAATAAATATCATTTCCTGTACTATACAGTCAATATATCTGCTCACTAAAGTAAGAAACTGAATTCTGTTTAACGCAGTATTTTACTTGACTAGAAAGCTGCCTAGCATGTCCGTCTCATAAAAATCCAATCACTTTACAATAAGGATCAGCTCTCCAATATTGTAACAGCTACAGGGGGACAATAAAGGATGATACAATTATATTTTCTTACTGGGGGTGACCTCTAGTGTGAAACGATGGCATTATACATTCCCTGGGGTCTGAATTAACAGCACTTTACCAATTATGGTAATTTTACTCTTTTTTTTGTGTCCTCAAGATCACAGGTAATTTGTCTTGCTGTTTTCTTGAGCTGTTATTTGATTTTTGAAGTCAAGACATCTATTCACATCTTCTTTCTTTTACTTTCCCCAGGTCTCCACGTAGAGGCTTTTATTTTTAATAGGCAAGAGAACTGCCCCATATTGCTTATCTTGGCCTATTTGACTTCATTCCCAAGCTCACAGATGTCACATTTCAATAGATTTCTCTTCGTATTTATCCTTCCCGTGCCACTTAAGTTATTGCTTCTCACTTCCAAACCCACCCTTCTGTGCGCTGTATCTTTGTGATGCTGGGGCTGGGATTCTGCAAGCTGTATTCCTGTGTTGTCAACTGCTTCTCTATGACTCTCAATCAATCGGAGTCACTAGAGGGGCTGGACGAGGAAGAAGGGATTTGTTCCTGTCTGCCTTGTGTTCCTATGAGTATCTCCCCAACAATGCTGCTCCCTGGTAGCAGAAGTTTCTTCCTGTAGGAATAGCTGAATTCTTCTTTTTTTTTTTTTTCCCAGCACTAGCTAACCAGGGCGCATCTTTTCAGTTGGGACAGGAGCTGAGTTACAGCTCCATGAGGCCCCTCCTTTAGGCTTCTAAGTTTTAGTATCTCCAACCTCTTCCTTTTGTTACTCAATGCCTCCCCCCGCCCAACCCTACTAGTGGTAGCTGCTTCTTTCAGTCATCACCTTCTCAATAACTTGGGGTCCTTGTTCTGCTTTTTACATTATCTAGTTATGACTTTATACCTAGTTAAAGTTGTATGTTAAATTCTCTCTGTTAGAGCAACTGGTATGATTCCTAGTTCCTGATCTACCCCTGACTACTACTCTGCCTCAGTTATCCGTTTCTTAATACGCATGTGGTGGAAACCACACACATACTATAGCCGAGAGTCCTTCCTTTGAGATCAATAGTTATTTTTCCTGTGAGAAGCAGCATATAAATACAGGCTTTGATTAGGTGGATCTGGGGTGAAGTCTGACTTTGCTCTTTATAAACCTCCTGTACCTTTCCGAGCCTCAGCTTTCTCATCTGTAATGAAGGAAGACAATCTACCTCTGAGGGCTGTGGGACACATTTCAGATGAGAAGGCATGCAGACCACTGGCACAGTGCCTGGCACAGGGCAAATGAGAAATGATAGCTTTAAAAATTATTGACTCTTGGCCGGGCGCGGTGGCTCGCGCCTGTAATCCCAGCACTTTGGGAGGCCGAGGCGGGCGAATCACGAGGTCAGGAGATCGAGACCATCCTGGCTAACACGGTGAAACCCCGTCTCTACTAAAAAAAATGCAAAAAATTAGCCGGGCGTGGTGGCGGGCCCCTGTAGTCCCAGCTGCTCGGGAGGCTGAGGCAGGAGAATGGCGTGAACCCGGGAGGCGGGGCTTGCAGTGAGCCGAGATCGTGCCACTGCACTCCAGCCTGGGTGACAGAGCGAGACTCCGTCTCAAAAAAAAAAAAAAAAAAAAAAAAAATTATTGACTCTTTCTGTATGATCTTAGAAGAACTGTAATCATCAGAACCCAAATTACACAAGACAAATACACAGATAACTAAAAACATAAAAACCAACAATTATGGGCATCAGCAGGATATAAGGTTGTATTTTTTATAAATAATTTTTAGGTTGCTGATTTGGATTTAAAGTAGTGTATACCTCATGTTCTTTCACCCCTCCCCTTCAATGACAAAGGAAGGTGGCAACAAGTAAGGGTTAAAATAAACTGGTGATCTAGAGTCTCTCTCGTGCTCTCTCTCTCTCTTTCTCCCCGCCCCCCCCCACACACTCACATACATACACTCTCACACAGCCTTTTTTGGTATACAGAATATGAATATTCTGTTTCTTATTTATTTATCAAGTAGGTATTAAACACCAAATATGAAAAGTTTGTAAGGGTTTTTGTTAATTGCTTTGAGGATAAGTAAGAAGAATTCATAGAATCTGTTTCCAGGTTGTTAGCAATGTGTAAGGAGAGACAGGGCAGGAACTAAGTGTGGCACAAGGTATAAAATTATAATAGTTGTAAGAGAGGAACACTCTTAACTGCAGGAGGAGTTCTGAATATGATTGCATTTCTTCCAGCTGGAAGGTTGGGTTGGCTTTGTGGAAGAGACACCATTCAAGCTGAGCTCTCCAATGTGGATAGGAATTGGGTGACTGTGGGTTGGGCAGGGCAAGGAAAAACCAAAGCATGAGAAACTTAACGGGATAAGAAAGTGCTTGGGTGGCTGGGGAGATGCACAAATTTCCCTTTGACTGCTGTTAATAGTATGAAAATTGAACTGTTGGATCGTTAGGGTGGAGGTGGCTCACAGAGAATGTTTAATGTCAGGCTAAGGAACCTGGACTTCAACACAAAAGCATTAGGAGGCCTTCAGAAGGTTTTGAGAAACAAAGAGAAAAATCAGAGCCATTCTAAGGAAAGGCCAATCTGATTGCATTGGTGAAATTTGGCTAGAAGGTACAGATGCTGGTATCTAGTAGTCCACTTGGATGTTATTGCAGTGGGCCAAGTGACAGGTACAGAGAACTTCCCCTTGGTGGAAGGAAATGAAAGGAGACACAAGTATGGCAAAATGTGTTGAATTTACAGAGTTTGTCAACTGAATGAATATAAGCACCTTGGGAAAGGGAGGCACTAAACTCCTGTAGAAATTTTGAGCTGGGTTGACCAGAAGGATAGTACTTCCATTAGCAGAAATAGAAAGCATGGAGGAGGAACAGGGGATGGTTTGGGAGGGAAGCTATGCTTAGCGAATTTGAAGTGTCTATAGGACATTCAGGAAGAGTTTATTGTCTTACACATTTTGGAATACAAGCCTGAGGCTGGGAGGACAGTCAGAGTTTGAGATGCAGATTTGAACATCACTGAAATACAAGGGGTAGGTGGTCTGTCATGTAACTGAATGAGAGTGACAAGAGGGTGAACACAGAAGAGAGGCAAGAACAGATCCAGGCACACCTGCATTTAGAGCAGGGCTTGACAAATTCTGGCTGTGGGAAATTTGACCTACCACCTCTTTGCATAAATAAAGTTTTATTAGAACACAGCCATGCTGTTTCACTTATATATTGTCAATGGCTACCAAAGGGGAGTGCAGTAGTTGTGATAGCCACCTGTGTGGCCCTCAAAGCCTAAAGTATTTACCATCTGACCTTTTGCAGAAAATGTGGACTAACCCCTGATTTAGAGAGTGGGAGAAGAATTAGAATCCAGGGAAAGATTGGTCGGATATAAGAAGTAAAATAAAAATGATATGTCAAGAAAAGCAGAGAAAAGTTTCAAAAGGACTGAAGGAATTGACAATATCAAATCCAGCAACAGCATTTCCCCAAAGATGCACAGAGAAAATGAGTTACAGGTATTTAAAGAAATATTGATTTCCTTACCTTCAGTGTTGGCTGGGGTGTGCCTGGGATGGCCAGAGCCATTTGGATTTCAAGGAGGGTAGCCAGGTTTAGCAAATAATAATAGACAATACCCAGTTAAATTTGAATTTCAGATTAAAAACAAACATATTTTTAATACAAGTATGTTCAATGCAATATTTGGGAAATATTTCTTTTGTCTGAAATTCAAATTTAACTGGGTTTCCTGTATTTTACCTGGAGATCGTAGCCAGGAGCTTTTGCATTCAGAGTTTGCAGAGGACTGCTTGAGCAAGGAGGTCCGATAATAAGTCCAGTGGTCCACAAGGCAACAAAGGTGAGGGGCAAAACTGGGCATTTCCTATTCTACTGGGATGCTCTGACACCGCCAAGAAGAGGCATCATCACTGAGCTGTGATC
This sequence comes from Homo sapiens, assembly GCF_000001405.40. NCBI lineage: Eukaryota > Metazoa > Chordata > Mammalia > Primates > Hominidae > Homo > Homo sapiens. The sequence goes on along the minus strand of NC_000009.12, from coordinate 81,308,642 downwards.
TCGAGAGCCAGGGCCAGAATTGTTAAAGTGGTTTGTGTTCTGTGAACCTACAGAGGGTACAGCAGGTCAGAATTGTGATCTTCTGACTCACATAGATCTTGGGGACAGCCCTAAACCTCTGATTTTATATTAAATACATTCGTCCTTTATGCAGCTGCTGTTTACTTTACTTTTATGTTATTTTATTTATTTATTTTTTCAGATGGAGTCTCCTTCTGTCACCCAGGAGTTTGAGACCACCCTGGGCAACATAGCAAGACCCTATCTTCACCAAAAATACAAAAATTAGCCAAGCATGGTGGTGCATACCTGTGGTACCAGCTACTCAGGAGGCTGAGGTGGGAGAATTTCTTGAGCCCAGGTGGTCGAGGCTGCAGTGAGCTGTGATCACACTACTAAACTACATCCTGGGCGACAGGCGTGAGACTCTGTCTCAAAAAAAAATGTTTTATAGTCCTGTATTTGAATATTGTGATGGTTAATATTGAGTGTCAACTTGGTTGGATTGAAGGATGCAAAGTATTGTTTCTGGGTGTGTCAGTGAGGGTGTTGCCAAAGGAGATTAACATTTGAGTCAGTGGACTGGGAGAGGCAGACCTACCTTCGGTCTGGGTGGGCACCATCTAATCAGCTGCCAGCGAGGCTAGGATAAAGGCAGGCAGAGGAATGTGGAAGGACTAGACTGGCTAACTCTTCTAGCTTCTATTTTTGTCCCGTGCTGGATACTTCCTGCCCTGAAACATCAGACTCCAATTTCTTCAGCTTTTGGACTCTTGGACCTGCACAAGTGGTTCGCCAGGGTGTCTCAGGCCTTCGGCCACAGACTGAAGGCTGCACTGTTGGCTTCCCTACTTATGAGGTTTTGGGACTCGGACTGGCCTCCTTGCTCCTCTGCTTGCAGATGGCCTATTGTGAGACTTTACCTTGTGACTGTGTGAATCAATACTCCTTAATAAACTCCCTTTCATATATGCATCTATCCTATTAGTCCTGTCCCTCTAGAGAACCCTGACTAATAAAAATAATGTTAACAAATTGTTGCATACTGCTTTAATTATTCTTTTATTTATTTTTATTTTTTATTTTTTATTTTTGAGAGAAAGTTTTGCTCTCGTTGCCCAGGCTGGAGTGCAATGGCACAATCTCGGCTCACTGCAACCTCCCCTTCCCAGGTCCAAGCAATTCTCTTGCCTCAGCCTCCTGAGTAGCTGGGATTACAGACATGCGCCACCACATCCAGCTAATTGTATTTTTCATAGAGATGGGGTTTCACCATGTTGGCCAGGCTGGTCTCAAACTCCTGACCTTAGGTGATCCACCCACCTTGGCCTCCCAAAGTGCTTTTATCCTATTTGCAGCCCATTTAGTGACTTTGCTAGCTTTTAAGTTTCCTGCTTCAAATATCTTTTTATATATTTTCTTAAAATTGTATTTAATTTTCTAATTCTTGTCTCTAATTGTTTATGCTGTTTATTCTTATTTGCTTCTTTGTTTTTCTGTTTTACTCTTTATCTCTTGCATTAGTTACTCATTTTATTATTTATAATTTAAAACGTTTTTTATTCCTAATTCCTTACTTTGAAATCTAGCTTTATTTTCATTTGTTATATTGTCCTTACTTTTATCTTATTTAAAATTGTATTATTGTATGTTATATTAAACACATTTAATGTCTTTTATGGTTATTTTTTACCTTCATGCTTTACATTTAAGCTATTTATTGTTTTTAAAGACTTCACTGCTCACTTTGGATTTGTATTTACATTTAACATCTTAAAATGTGCTTTTTTAAATTGTATTTTATTTCAGTAGCTTTTGGGAACAGGTAGTCTTTTGTTACATGGATAAGTTTTTAGTGGTGATTTCCGAGATTTTGGTGCACTTGTCAACCAAACAGTGTACATTGTACCCAACGTGTAGTCTTTTATCCCTCATCCCCCTCCCATTCTTCCCCCACGAGTCCCCAAAGTCCATTATATAATTTTTTTTTTTTTGAGATGGAGTCTCACTCTGTCACCCAGGCTGGAGTGCAGTGGTGGGATCTCAGTTCACTGCAGACTCTACCTGCTCGGTTCAAGCGATTCTCCTGCCTCAGCCTCCCCAGTAGCTGGGATTACCACTGCACCCAGCTAATTTTTGTATTTCAGTAGAGATGGGGGTTTCACCTTGTTGGCCAGTCTGGTCTTGAACTCTTGACCTCAAGTGATCTGCTCTCCTCGGCCTCTCAAAGGCTGGGATTACAGGCATGAGCCACCACACCCAACCTCTTTTAAATTTAAGCAACAAACACAAAATTGATGAAAGTTGTAGTGGATTAGCTGCCTGATTCTCCTGGTGGTGTGAAGAGCACCTGTTTCTCTGCATTCTGCTTCAGTTGGCTCTACATTTGGTGTGATTTGATCAGTACGTTTATTGTTCTTATTGAGGCACATGGTTTTTGCTTAGATATTAGTTTTCATTTTGGAAATCTTCTTTAACTTTGATTTACTCAAAGCAGAGTTAATTATTTATAGGGACTTGTAGCTAAGATCAAAAGTAAAATTACTAGGGAACTATGTGGAATGATTGAGAAATGGCATGATTGCTTTCCTGTAGACCAGGGGCCAACAAACTCTGTATGAAGGGTCAGATAGTGAGCATTTTCACTTTTGCAGGCTATGTAGTCTCTGTTGCAACTATTCAACTTTACCCTTGAAGTAAGAGAGTAGCCACAGACTATCTGTAAATAAATGGGTATTTCTGTGTTCTGATACAACTTTATTTACAAAACATATCAGGGTGGATTTGGCCCGCTGGTTATATTTTGCTTGGGCACTGTTTGTTGACTTCTGCTGTTAGACCATCTGTTTTTTCTTTTCTTTTTTTTTTTGACAGGGTCTGACTCGGTCACACAGGCTGGGGTGCAGTGGCGCAATCGTGGCTTACTGCATCCTCCACATCCCACAGCTTGGGTGATTCTCCCTTCTTAGCCTCCCGAGTAGCTGAGACTACAGGTGCATGCCATCACGCTAATTTTTGTATTTTTTTGTAGAGACAGGGTTTCACTATGTTACCTAGTCCTGTCTCAAACTTCTGGGCTCAAGTGATCCACCCACCTTGGCCTCCCAAAGTGCTTGGATTTCAGGTGTGAGCCACTGTGCCTGGCCCTGGATAATTTCTTTAGAAAAAGATGTGTCAACCTAATTAGAAGCTTCTGTACAACTCTGGAGTATGAAGGATCATTACAAATTCTTCCTACTTCTGCTATTGCAAAGTGGAGAGTAATTCTTTTCTCTTTTAATCTAGGCTGGCCTTAATGTCTTGCTGGTCCACTAGAATGAGATGGAAGTGAAATTTTTTGTGTTCTTTAGCTAGTTCTTAAGAAATCTTGCAGCTTTTACCTGCGCTTCCAGAAACATTTCTGTGAGCCTCAAACCATGATAGAAGAAGCCCAATTGCCTTGACTCCATGACATGTTCAAATTTCATTTCCTTATTTTATTCAGGTCTCTGCTCAAAAGTTGCCCAGTCAGTAAGGCATTCTTTGATCAATTTATCTGAAACAGCATGTCCCTCTCTACCCTAGTCACTCTCTTTCTCTTTTTCTCTGCTTTACATTTCTTCATAGCATTACAGATTTGTTTATGTATTTATTTTTGTGTCTATTGTGAGTCTCTTACACTAGATTGTAAAATTCACAGGGGCAGAGATTTTTTTCTTCTTCTAGCATGACACATGTGAGGTGCTTACTAACCGTTTTTTGAATGAATGAATCTTATTCTTGTTTCATTAATTTCATACATATTCTTTTAAACCGCCTCAAATATTTTCAGGAGTGAGTTGTCATACAAATAATAAATAAATGAAGTTACAAGTTTCTTCTAATAACTAACTCTTTCTTCTCTGTTACAGACCTTTTTGTTACTAGAAGTATTTTCACTTCTCTTCTTTCCATTTCTGGTTCTGGCTATCTAAATGCTTGTTACCAGAGTAAATGCCACCTTCTCCTTGAAGTCCATTCTCATCCTTCATTCCAAGAATACCTTCTTTCTTTCCTTTCTGCCTCCAGGACAAAATAGTTTTTGTTTTTGAAAATTACACTGTAAGAAAATATCATTTATATTCCACCTTTTAAGATAGCAGTCTTTTATCAGATAGGTCTTCTGCAAATATTTTCTCCCAGTCTATGGCTTGTCTTTCCATTCCCTTGACAGTCTTTCACAGAGCAGAAATTTTTAATATTAATGATATTTAGCATATCTATTCTTTTTTTCATGGAGCATGCCTTTGGTGTTACATTTTAAAAGTCATCACCAAATCCAAGGTAATCTAGATGTTCTCCTCTGTTATCTTCTAGGAGTTTTACAATTTTGCATTTTTAAAAATTTATTTATTTTTTTGAGACAGAGTCTCTCTCTGTCGCCCAGGCTGGAGTGCAGTGGCACGATCTTGGCTCACTGCAAGCCCCGCCTAATTTTTTGTATTTTTAGTAGAGATGGGGTTTCACTGTGTTAGCCAGGATGGTCTCGATCTTCTGACCTCATGATCTACCCGCCTCTGCCTCCCAAAGTGCTGGGATGACTGGCGTGAGCCACCGCGCCCAGCCCTCGACAATTTTGCATTTTACGTTTAGGTTTGTGATCCATTGTGACTTAATTTGTCTGAAGAGTTTAAAATCAGTCTTCATTTGTCTTTTAGGTTTTGCACGTGGATACCCACTTGTTCCAGCACCATTTGTTAAAAAGACAAGTTTTTCTTCATTGTATTGCCTGTGGCCTTTTGTGAAATACCAGTTGACTATGCAGGCATACCTCAGAGATATTGTTGGTTTGGTTCTAGAGCACTCCAACAAAGTGAATACTGCAATAAAGTGAGTCACACACGTATTTTGGTTTCCAAGTACATATAAAAGTTATGTTGATACTTCGACTCCTTGATTAGGTATATTCCTAAGTATTTTTTTTGCAGCTATTGTAAAAGGGGTTGAGTTCTTCATTTGATTCTCTGCTTGGTCGCTGTTGGTGTATAGAAGAGCTACTGATTTGTGTACATTAATTTTGTATCTGGAAACTTGTATCTGGAAACTGGATAATTCTTTTATCAGTTCTAGGAGCTTTCTGGAGGAGGTTTTACGGTTTTCAAGGTAAACGATCATATCAGCAAACAGTGACAGTTTGACTTCCTCTTTACCGATTTGGATGCCCTTTCTTTCTTTCTCTTGTCTGATTGCTCTGGCCAGGACTTCCAGTACTGTGTTGAACAGGAGTGGTAAGAGTGAGCATCCTAGTCTTGTTCTAGTTCTCAGAGGGAATGCTTTCAACTTTTCCCCATTCAGTATTATGTTGGCTGTGGGTTTGTGATAGATGGCTTATATTACATTAAGGTATGTCCCTTGTATTCCTATTTTGCTGAGAGTTTTAATCATAAAGGGATGCTGGATTTTGTCTAATGCTTTTTCTGAAACTATTGAGATGATCATGTGATTTTTGTTTTTAATTTTTAATTAAAATTAAAATTAAAAATTTTAATTTAAGTTAATCCAAAATTAAAATTAAAAATGTAAAAAGATTTTAATTTTTAATTTTTAACTTGTTTTACAAGTCATATATATTGACTTGCATATATTAAACCATCCCTGCATCCCTGGTATAAAACCCACTTGATCATGATGTATTATCTTTCTGATATATGCTGTTGGATTCAGTTTGCTAGTATTTTGTTGAGGATTTTTGCATCTATGTTCACCAGGGATATTGGTCTGTAATTCCCTTTTTTTCTTATGTCCTTCCCTTCTTTTGGTATTAGGGTGATACTGGCTTCATATAATAATTTAGGGAGGATTCCTTCTTTCTCTGTCTTTTGCAATAGTGTGAATAGGATTGGGTACCTATTATTCTCTGAAAGTCTGATAAAATTAGCTGTGAATTCATCTGGTCCTGATTTTTTTTTTTTTTGGCAATTTTAAAATTACAATTTCAATCTCGCTGCTTGCTATCGGTCTGTCCAGAGACTCTGTATCTTCCTGGTTTAATCTAGGAGGGTCTTGCATTCTTCCTCTACTAAAGTCTTGAATCCCTCAAAGCCATCCATGAGGGTTGGAATCAACTTCTAAACTCTGGTGTGTTTTTATTATTATTATTATTTTAGAGATAGAGTATTTCTCTGTTACCCAGGTTGGAATGCAGTGGTGCAATCATAGTTCACTGCAGCCTCAGACTCCTGGGCTTAAGTGATACTCCTGTCTCAACGTCCCAAGTCTCTAGGACTACAGGAGTACACCATCATGCCTGGCTAATTTTTACATCTTTTTTGAAGAGACAGGGCCTTGCTTTGTTGCTTAGGCTGATCTCAAACTCCTGGGCTCAAGTGATCCTCCCACCTTGGTCTCCCAAAGTGCTGGGATTACAGGTGTGAGCCACCGCACCCAACCCTAAACTCCTGTTAATGTTGCTATTTTGATCTCCTCCCATACATCACAGATATTCTTTTTCAAAAAATTGAGATGGGGCCTTGCTATCTTGCCCAGGCTGTTCTTGAACTCCTTAGCTCAAGCGATCTGCCTGCCTTAGTAAATCACAGACATTCTTAATGACATCTAGAATGGTGAATCCTTTCCAGAAAGTTTTCAATTTACTTTGTCCAGATCCATGAGAGGAATCACTATTTATGTCAACCATAGCCTTACAAAATATATTTCTTACATAATAAGACTGGAAAGTTGAAATTACTCCTTGATCCATGGGTTGCAGAATAGATACTGTGGTTAGGAGGCATGAAAACAACATTAATGTCTTTGTATATCTCCATCAAAGCTCTTGGGTGACAAGGTGCATTGTCAATAAACAGTAATATTTTAAAATGAATCTTTTATTCTGAGCAGTAGGCCTCAACAATGGGCTTAAAATATTCAGGAAACCATGCTGTAAATAGATGTGCTGTCATCTAGGCTTTGTTATTCCATTTATAGAGCACAGGCAGAGTAGATTTAGCATAATTCTTAAGGGCCCTAAAATATTTGGAATAGCAAATGAGCATGGCTTCAGCGTCAAGTCACTAGCTGCATTAACCTCAACAAGAGAGTCGGCCTGTCCTTCAAAGCTTTGAAGCTAGGCATTGACTTATCATGAGGTATGAAAGTCCTAGATGGCATTTTCTTCCAATATAAGGCTGTTTTGTCTACACTGAAATCAGTATTTAATGTAACTACCTCATCAATTATATCAGCTAGATTTTCTGGATAATTTGCTGCAGCTTCTATGTCAGCACTTGCTGACACTTTTATGTCATGGAGACAGTTTTTTTCCTTAAACCTTGCAAACCAACCTCTGCTAGCTTCCAACATTTCTTTTGTAGCTTTCTCAATTCTCTCAGCCTTCACAGAATTAAAGAGAGTTAGGGCCTTGCTGTGGATTAGGCTTTGGCTGAAGGGACCGTTAGGCTGGTTTGATCTTCTTTTTAGACCTATAAAACTTTCTGTATATCAGTAATAAGGCTACTTCACTTCTTTATCATTTGTGTGTTCACTGGAGTAGCACTTTTAATCTCCTTCAAGAATATTTTCTTTGCATTCACAACCTGGTTAACTGTTTGGTGAAAGAGGCCTAGCTTTCAGTCTATCTTAGCTGGTGATATGCCTTTCTCACTAAGCTTAATCACTTATAGTTTGGGGTTTAAAGTGAGACATGTGACTCTTCCCTTTACTTGAAAACTTAGAGATCATTGTAAGGTTTGTAACTGGCCTAATTTCAATATTGTTGTATCTGAATACAACAATATTGGAGGCCCAAAGAAAGGGAGAGAGACAGGGCAATGGTCCATTGGCAGAGCAGTCAGAACATACATATTTATCAATTAATTCTCTGTCTTATATGGGCAGGGTTCACGGCACTCTGAAACAATTATAACAGTAACATCAAAAATCACTGATCACAGATCACCATAGCATATCTCATAATAATGAAAATGGTTGAAATATTTTAAGAATTACCAAAATGTGTACAGGAACATGAAGTGAATACATGTTCCAAAATGTATATAGGAACATGAAGTGAATACATGTTGCAAAAATGGTGCCAATAGACTTGCTTGATGCAGAATTGCCACCAACCTTCAATTTTGTTTAAAAAAAAAAAAAGGCCCTGGGCACAGTGGTTCACACCTGTAATCCCAGCACTTTGGGAGGCCAAGGGGGGCAGCTCATTTGAGGTCAGGAGTTCAAGACCAGCATGGCCAACATGGTGAAACCCCATCTCTACTAAAAATACAAAAAATTAGCTGGGCATGATGGTGCATGCCTGTAATCCCAGCCCTCAGAGGCTGAGGCAGGAGAAATCACTTGAACCTGGCAGACAGAGGTTGCAGTGAGCCTAGATTGCACCACTGCACTCCAGCCTGGGTGATAGAGTGAGACTCCATCTCAAAAAACAAACAAACTAAACAAAACCAAAAAAAAAAAAAAAAAAAGAAAACCGGTATCTGTGAAGCACAATAAATAAAGCAAAGCACAATAAAATGAGGTTTGCCTGTATTTATCTGGGCCTCTTTCTGGGTTTTCTATTTTGTTCAATTGATCTGTTTATTCTTTTCCCAATACCACACTGTCTTAATTACTATAGCTTTATAGTAAAAAAACAAGGTAGTGGGTAGTGTCAGTCCTCTAACTTTGTTCTTCAATTTTGTATTGGTTATTCTGAGTTTTTGCCTCACCATATAAACTTTAGAATCAGTTTGTCAATATCTACATTATAATTTGCTGGAATTTTGATTGTATTATGTTGAATCTATATATCAAGTTTGGAAAAACTGACATCCTGACAATATTGAGATTTCCTTCCATGAACATAAAACATTTCTCCATTTACTTAGTTCTTTGATTTCCTTAGTTTTGTAGTTTTCCTCATATAGATTTTGTATTTATTTTGTTAGATTTATACCTAAGTATTTTATTTTTTTGTGTGCTCATGTAAATGGTATTGTATTTTTAAGTTCAAATTCCACTTGTTTATTTCTAGTATTTAGGGAAAGTGATGACTTTTGTATATTAACCTTGCATCCTTCAGACTTGCTATAATTGCTATTCTAAGAGCATTTTTGTTTATTCTCTTGGATTTTCTACATAGACAATCATGTTGTATGTGAACAAAGACATCTTTATTTCTTCCTCCCCAAGACATCTTTATTTCTTCCTCCCCAATCAGTGTACTTTTCATTGTATTTTCTTGTCTTATTGCATTAGCCAGAACTTCCAGTACTATGGTGAAAAGGAGTGGTGACAGGGGACATCCTTGCCTTATTCCTGATCTTAGTGGGAGAGTAAGTATCTCTCCTTTAAGTTGATGTTTTTTTGTAGATTTTTTTGTAGATACTGTTTATGAAGATAAAAAAATTCTCTTTCATTTCTAGTTTACTGAAGATTTTTATCAGGAAAGTTGGAGATGTTGGAGTTTGTCAAATGCATTTTTTGCCTCTATTGTCATTATCGCCTATTTTTTTAGCCTGTTAATTTGATGGATTAAGTTAATTGATTTTCTAATATTGAATCAGCCTTGCGTACCTGAGACAAATCCCATTTGGTTGTGGTGTATAATTCTTTTTATATATTGTTGGATTTGAATTGCTAATATTTTGTTGAGAATTTTTGCACTAATTCTCATGAGACACGTTAGTGCACAGTTTACTTGCAATATCTTTGTCTGGTTTTTGTATTGAGGTGATGCTGGGCCCATAGAATAAGTTAAGAAGTATTGCCTCTGCTTCTATCTTTTGAAAATGATTGTTAAAAATTGGTATAATTTCTTTCTTAAGTATTTGATAGAATTCACCAGTGAACCCATCTGACCTATTCAGATTGTCTGTTTCTTCTTTTTCGAGTTTTGACAGATTGTGTCTTTACAGGAATTGGTTCATTTCCACTAGGTTATAAAATTTGTAGTTATAGAGTTATTAATAATATTCTCTTATTATCCTTTTACTGTCAATGACATCTGTAGTGACACCCTCTGTCTAATTTCTGATATTAGTAATTTGTGTCTTTTCTCTTTTTCTCCTTCGTCTGACTAGAAGTTTATCAGTTTTGATCTTTTTCATATTGTTTCTTTTCTTGCACTTACTTTGGACTTTTGTGTTTACTTTGGGCTTTTCTCTTATTTTTGTGTTTTTCTAAGGTATAAGATTAGATTATTAATTTTAGATCTTACTTCTTTTCTAATATATGCATTCAATGCTATAAATTTCCCTCTAAGCACTGCTTTTGCTGAATTTCACAAATGTTGATAAGTTGCGTTTTTTGTTTCTTCAGTTCAAAATATTTAAAAATCTCCCTTGAGATTTCTTTTTTGACTCTTGTGTTATTTATAAGTGTGCTGTTTATTCTCCAAGTATTCTGGAATATTCCAACTGTCTTTGTTATTGATTTCTAGTTTAATTCTATTTTGGTTTGCAAAAAAAAATGTATGATGATTTCTATTGTTTTAAATTTGTTAATGTGTGTTTTATGGCCCAGAATGTAGTCTGTTTTGGGGAGTGTCCCATGTGAGCTTGAGAAGAATGTGTATTCTGCTGTTGTGGGATGAAGGAGTCTATAGAGATCAATAATATCTTGCTGATTGATAGTGTTGTTGAGTTCAAGTATGTCTTTACTGATTTTCTACTGGCTGAATTTGTCCATTTATTATAGAGAGGTATTGACATTTCCAGCCATATGAACAGATGTGTCTATTTCTTCTTGCAGTTCTATCAGTTTTTAGCTTATGTATTTTGATGCTGTGCTGTTAGGTGCATACACACTAAGAATTGTTACGTTGTTCTGGAGAATTTACCTTTTACTATGTCATGTTTCTATTTATCTCTGACAAATTTCCTTGGTTTGAAATTGGCTTTGTCTGAAATTACTATTGCTATTTCTGCTTCCTTTTGATTGGTGTTAGCATGCTACATCTTTCTCCATCCATTTACTTTTATTCTCTCTGTATTTCTATATATAAAATGGGTTTCTTGCAGACAATATGCAGTTGGGGAGTCTTTTTTTTTTGTAAACATACTCTGACAATCTATCTTGTAATTGGTGCATTTGGACCATTGATTTCCAAAATAATTACTGATATAGTAGGTTAATATCTATCATATTTGTTACTGTTTTCTATTTGCTGCTCTTGTTTGTGTTTTCCTTTTTCTCTTCCACTCTTTATCTTTCTTTTGTGGTTTAAGTTAAGCATTTTATATGATTCAATTTTCTCTCATTTATTAGCATTTCTTAGCATACTTACTTTTTTACTTTTTTTGCGGTTGCCCTAAAGTTTACAATATACACTTACAACTAATCCAAATCCACTTTTAAGTAACACCGGGTCACTTCATAGATACTGTGAATACTTTATAATAACAAAATAATCCTACTTCCTCCCTCCCATACCTGGATCATTGCTGTTTTTTATTTAATATATACATATATATATATGTATATGCATACATAAGAATGTGTGTGTGTATTACATACATACCTAATCAGATACATTGTTATCACTAATTTGAACAAACTATTATCTGTTAGATCAATTAAGAAGAAAAATAAGTTTTTACTATACCTTTACTTGTCCCTTCTCCAATGCTCACTCTTTATGTACATCTGGCTTTCTGTCCTGTATTGTTTCCCTTCTCTCTAAAAAACTTCTAATATACTTCCAAAAAAGGTTTAGTTGCAACAGATTTTCTCAGCGCGTGTTTGTCGGAGAAAATCTTAATTTATCCTTCTCTTGAAGAATAATTTCACAGGCTACAGAATTCTAGGTTGGTGTAGGTTTTCTTTTGTTTTCTCTCAATACTCTAAATATGTTACTCTACTATCTTTTTGTTTGCATGGTTTCTGAGTAGAAATCAGATGTAATTCTCACATTTATTCCTTTGTAGGTAAGGTATTTTTCCCCTCTGGGTTCTTTCAGGATTTTTTTCTTTATAGTTTATTTTCTATAGTTTGAAAATAATATGCCTAGATATGCCCTCCCTCCCTCCCTCCCTTTCTCCCTTCCTTCCTTTTTTTCTTTTACTTTTTACTTTTTTTTTTTTTTTTTTTTTTTTGCACTTATTCTGCTTGGTTTTCTCTGAACTTCCTGGATCTGTGGTTTGGTCTCTGGTATTAATTTGGGAAAAATTCTCAGTCATTATTGGTTCAAATATTTCTTCTGTTCCTTTCTCTCTTTATTTTTTTTCTTCTTGTATTTTCATTACGTATATGTTATACCTTTGTAGTTTTTCCAGTTCCTGGAGATACTATTCTGTTGTTTTTTTAGTCTTTGTTCTTCTTGCTTTTCAGTTTTAGAGGTTTTTATTTAGATTTCCTTAACTTCAGAGACTCTTTCCTCAGCTGTGTCTAGTCTACTAATGAGCCCAACAATGAGCGTTCTTTATTTCTGTTACTAAGTTTTTGATCTCTAGCATTTCTTTCTCCTTAGGATTTTCCATTTCTCTGCTTATACTGCCTACCTGTTCTTTCATGTTCTTTACTTTATCTATTAAAGCCCTAGCATATTGATCATAGTTGTTTTAAATTCCTGGTCTCATAATGCCAACATCCCTACACTGTCTGGTTCTGATGCTTTCTTTGTTTCTTTAAACTATGTTTTATTGCATTTTGGTATGGCTTGTAATTTTTTCTTGATAGCCAAATATGCTGTACAGTCAGCCCTACATATCTGTGGATTCAATCAACCATAGATGGAAAATATTAAAAAATAAAATTGTGTCTGTAGCAAATTTGCACAGACCTTTTTTCCTTGTCATAATTTCCCAGACAATGTAATATTACAACTATTTACATAGCATTTACATTGAATTAGGTATTATAAGTTATCTAGAGATGATTTAAAGTATATGGGAGTGTATGCATAGGTTATATACAAATATTACACAATTTTATATCAGGGACTTAAGCATCTGAAGATTTTGGTATCTGCAGGAGACCCTGAAGCCAATCCCCTATGAATACAAAGGGATGACTATACAAAAGGACTGCTTTAAATAGGCCTTTGATAATTTGGTGGTCAGGTGCTAGGAGTGAGGAAGTCCTATGATTAGGCCTCAGTGTTTTCGTGAGCCTGTGCCCCTGGACTATGAACTTTACATTTATTTCTCGGTTCCTTTCTGCCCTCCTTAGGTGAGACAGAATGGCTAGAGTGGGCTGGAGTTGAATATTTCCCTCCTTCCACATCAGTTAGTCTACAATAAAACTCCAGCTAATTAGGCTGGTTAGCTAGTTTCTCCAGAGGATAGGCTTCCTTAAGAAGAACAGAGTGCTCTGGAGTTTCGAAATGGCTCCTTTCTCCCTCCCCGACAGAAGCATGGGGGCAGTTTTTCTTCCATATTTACTATGAATATTTGTTTGAGCTCCCAAGGCGAAACTCTCAAAAGCATGGGCTTCCAGGACTGGGTCCCCCTGGAATTTTTAACTCTCAGATTTATCCACACCTAACCTCTTGCAATGAATCAATTACAGTTTAGCTGTTCCTACTCCAGCACTGGTTCCTGAAGCGATTTCTGCTCTGGTAAGTTGTGAGTCTCTATTTCCACCTGTTTCTCTCTCCAGTTTGGGGGCAGCGGTTTGCCCTGTGTACTCACTTCTTTAATGAATCTAAGAGGAGTTGTTTATTTTTCAGTTCCTTCAGCATTTTATTTTTTATAGAACTGTCTTTCCCACTTTCTCCATCTACGTTAATTATTCCCTCTCTATTTATCTGTGCTAATTATTTTTATATTTATTTTTTTGAGATGGAGTCTAGCTTTGTCAACCAGGCTGGAGTGCAGTGGCGCGTTCTCGCCTCACTGCAAGCTCCGCCTCCCGGGTTCACGCCATTCTCCTGCCTCAGCCTCCCAAGTAGCTGGGACTACAGGCGCCCACCACCAGGCCTGACTAATTTTTTTGTATTTTCAGTAGAGACGGGGTTTCACTGTGTTAGCCAGGATGGTCTCGATCTCCTGACCTCATGATCTGCCCGCCTTGGCCTCCCAAAATGCTGGGATTACAGACGTGAGCCACCGTGCCTGGCCTAATTGTTTTTATATACAGATAGATAAAGAAAAAGAAAGAATGTGAAAAAGCTGAAATTAATGAAGGCATGTATTAATACATGCATAATAAAATCTTGAAAATAAGCCACAGATGTGAAGGTCTTTTAGTACCACATAGTTTCCTGTTGACTCTACATTTCTTCCTCCCTAGGACTACAACTCTAAATAAGATATAAAAATCAACCTGCAAGAGATGGAGTAAAACTTATTTCAGTGAAAATAACTATGCAAATTAGGCCAAAAAAGAAAAGGTTTAAAAAAAGTTCTGGCATCCTCATTTATTTTCTTAGCTACTCTCTGATTTTTTGTAGACTTTCTGGATCACATCTGATAGAGTCATCCTGATGTTTTTGTTTTGTTTTTTTTTTGTTTTTGATCCAACTCAAATAGTTTTTCTTTTATGAACATTTGGAGTGACTCTTTTAAATATTCATCCCACAACCTTATCATACACAGATATTTTCTGCTATAAGATTATGTTCTACAGAGAACCTAGTCGTTAAGAATTATTCATAGATTTTAACAAAGCAAAGGAAATAACTATTTGTCATTTGTATCCAATTTGTTTTAAATAGTTTTGAAAAAGGCTCATAGGGACATCCATAATAGGGTAATTGTTGTTTGGAAAAACTAAGAAATTAATGAAAATTAAAATGTGGGTAAAATAATAAATGAATTCAATTTGAGGTTGGAACACAAAATGCTGCCAAATACAAGACAACCTCTGTTCATAGGGAGATCAGCCAATTATGCAGAAATAAGCCAAAAAAAGAGGTCTTTGAGTGGTTTTAGTAGTCAAAAAAGCTCTCCACAAAAGTCTTTCCATTTTGCTTCTGATGAAAACTTTCTAGACATGTGCTGTACAATATGATAGCCACACTAGCCATATGTGGCCACTGAGCATTTGAAATGTGACTGGTTTGGATAGAGATGTGCTAAAATGTAAAATCCACACTGTTTTGAATGCAGTAATGAAAAATGAGTGTAAAATATCTCATTAAAAGTTTCCATTAATTACATGTTGAATGTAATTGTATTTTGGATATACTGGGTTAAAAATACAGCATTAGAATTAATTTCAACTGTTTACTTTTAAAAATTGGCTAATAGAAAATTAAAAATTCCCTATTTGGCCCACATTATGTTTCCATTGGACAGCACTATTTCAGACTCTCTTTGTAAAATCTGACCGGTTTTATCCTTATTCTTCACACAATTCTAACATGCTTGTCTGTTTTAAAATCTCCCAGCAATTAGTATCATCAAAAAAGAAGGTGGGGGCAGGGCAGGGATCATGGTGGACAGGAGGCAGGACTAGATTGCAATTCCCGACAGAGCAGCATGTGGAGGCTTCCATTGTGAATTTTAGCTCCAGGTCAACTGCCAGAACAAACCAGCAATCCCGAGAGGACACACAGACCCTCTGAAGGAAGCAGACTGCTCCTGCAGGACCTAGGAGACACCCCAAATCCTATGAGTGTCCTAACTGCGGAAGTGGGAAAGGGAGACCCTCCTCTCCTGAACACACCCCAACCACCCTCCCCGCCCCGCTCCACTGGAGAAGCTGAAGATCTGTTTGCAGGAGAAGTTTCTGACTTTACCTGGAGCTGAGTCAAGTCAGAGAGCCTACCGAAATACAGGGGTGAAGGAAGAAGCAGAAAGGCCCTGGGAGCTTGCTGGGTCCCCGGAGCAGCCCATTCCTGCTGGCACCACAGGGATCCACTGGGAGCGTGGCCAGAGGAGCAGGGGGTAAAACTTCACAGGGAGAAGGAATTCTCTAGCTGAACTTTGTAACAATTTGAATGGGGTGAGAAGCCTCCTGGCCAGAACTCAGGTGTGGGTGTGAATTGGGCATGAGGACTTCACAGGTGGGGGAAGAACTAAAGCCCTTTTCTCTTGCAGCAGAAGCAGATAGCCTCAGGCAAGTTTTCAAGCCCATTGCCCTCTGCCTGGAAACAGACTTGGGGCTGTCGGGGGTGGGCACAGCGGGAGTGAGACCGGCCCTTCAAATTGCATGGGAGCTGGGTGAGGGCTGTGACCGCCAGCTTTCTCTCACTTCCCTGACAACCTGCATGACTCAGCAGAGGCAGCCATAATCCTCCTAGGTTCACAGCTCCAGTGACCTGAGAATCTCACCCCCATTCCCTATAGCAGCCTCAGCAAGACCCACCCGAAGTGTGAGCTCAGACATGCCTAGCCCCACCCCCACCTGGTGGTCCTTCCTTATCCACCCTGGTAGTACAAGACAAAGGGCATATAATCTGGGGAGCTCTAGGGCCCTGCCCACCGCTGGTCCCTATCCACACTACTACAGCTGATGCTTTCTGAAAACTGCCACCTCCTGGCAGGAGGCCAACCAGCACAAAAATAAAGCATTAAACCACAAAGCTGAGGACCCCCATGGAGTCCATTGCATCCTCTGCTGCCTCCACTGGAACAGGTGCTGTTATCCACAGTGAAGAGACCCATAGACAGTTTCCATCACAGGACTCTGTGCAGACAACCTCCAGTACCAGCCTGGAGCTGGGTAGACTCGCTGGGTAGCTAGACCCAGAAGAGAGATAACAATCACTGCAGTTTGGCTCGCAGGAAGCCACATCCATAGGAAAAGGGGGACAGTACTACGTCAAGGGCACACCCCGTGGGACAAAATAATCCGAACAACAGCCTTCAGCCCTGGACAGCCCCTCTGACAGAGCCTACCTAAATGAGAAGGAACCAGAAACCCAACACTGGTAATATGACAAAACAAGGCTCTTCAACACCCCCCCAAAAATCATACTAGTTCACCAGCAATGGATCCAAACCAAGAAGAAATCCCTGATTTGCCTGAAAAAGAATTCAGGAGGTTAGTTATTAAGCTGATCAGGGAGGGACCAGAGAAAGTTGAAGCCTAATGCAAGGAAATCCAAAAAATGATACAGGAAGTGAAGGGAGAAATATTCATGGAAATAGATAGCTTAAAGAAAAAACAACCAAAAATTCAGGAAACTTTGAACACACTTTTAGAAATCAAAAACGCTCTGGAAAGTCTCAGCAATAGAAATGAACAAGTAGAAGAAGGAAATTCAGAGCTTGAAGACAGGGTCTTCAAATTAACCCAATCCAACAAAGACAAGGAAAACAGAATGAGAAAATATGAACAAAGCCTCCAAGAAGTCTGGGATTATGCTAAATGACCAAACCTGAGAATTATTGGTGTACCTGAGGAAGAAGGGAATTCTAAAAGAAAACATATTTGGGGGAATAATTGAGGAAACCTTTCCTGGCCTTGTGAGAGACACAG
Organism: Homo sapiens; assembly: GCF_000001405.40. NCBI lineage: Eukaryota > Metazoa > Chordata > Mammalia > Primates > Hominidae > Homo > Homo sapiens. The sequence goes on along the minus strand of NC_000009.12, from coordinate 81,291,320 downwards.
ATATCCAAATACAAGAAGCACAAAGAACACCTGGGAAATTCATTGCAAAAGAGATCTTCACCTAGGCACATTGTCATCAGGTTATCCAAAGTCAAGATGAAGGAAAGAATCTTAAGAGCTGTGAGACAGAAGCACCAGATAATTTATAAAGGAAAAACCTATCAGATTAACAGCAGATTTCTCAGCAGAAACCCTACAAGCTAGAAGGGACTGGGGACCTACCTTCAGCCTCCTCAAACAAAACAATTATCAGCCAATAATTTTGTATACAGTGAAATTAAGCATCATATATGAAGGAAAGATATAGTCGTTTTCTGACAAACAAATGCTGAGAGAATTTGCCATTACTAAACCACCTCTAATGGAATTGCTAAAAGGAGCTCTAAATCTGGAAACAAATCCTGGAAACACAATAAAACAGAAACTCTTTAAAGCATAAATCACACAGGACCTATAAAAAGAATACAAGTTAAAAAGCAAAAACAAAAAAATAAAAAACAAAGTACACACGCAACAAAGAGCATGATGAAAGCAACGGTACCTCATATTTCAATAGTAACATTGAATGTAAATGGCTTAAATGCCCCACTTAAAAGATACAGAATTGTAGAATGGATAAGAACGCACCAACCATCTCCTGCCTTCAGGAGACTCACCTAACACATAAAGACCCACATAAACTTAAAGAAAAAGGGTGGAAAAAGGCATTTCATGTAAATGGACACCAAAAGCTAGCATGGGTAGCTATTATTATGTCAGACAAAACAAATATTAAAACAACAGTGGATAAAAGAGACAAAGAGGGATTGTATGTAATGGTAAAAGGCCTTGTCCAACAGGAAAATACCACAATCCTAAACATATATGTACCTAATAATGGAGCTCTCAAATTTATTAAACAACTACCAATAGACCTAAGAAATGAGATAGACAGCAACACAATAATAGTGGGGAACTTCAATACTCCACTGACAGCACTAGACAGGTCATCAAGACAGAAAGTCAGAAAAGAAACAATGGATTTAAACTATACCTTGGAACAAATGGATTTAACAGATACATATAGAGCATTTCATCAAACAATTGCAGAATACACATTATATTCAGCAGCATATGGAACTTTCACCAAAATAGATCATATGATAGGCCATAAAACAAGCCTCAATACGTTTAAGTAAAATGAAATCATATCAAGCACTCTCTCAGACCACAATGGATAAAACTGGAAACCAACTCCAAAAGGAGTCTTCAAAACCATGCAAATACATGGAAATTAAATAACCTGCTCCTGAGTGAGCATTGTGTCAAAAACAAAATCAAGATGGAAATTAAAAATTTTTTCGAATGGAATAACAATGATGACACAACCTATCAAAACTTCTGGGATACAGCAAAGGCAGTGCTAACAGGAAAGTTCATGACCCTAAATGTCTAGATCAAAAAGTCTGACAGAGTACAGACAGACAATCTAAGATCACACCTCAAGGAACTAAAGAAACAAGAACAAACCAGATCCAAAACCAGCAGAAAAAAGGAAATGACTAAGATCAGAGTAGAACTAACTGAAAATGAAACAACAACAACAAAACAACACAAAAGATACATGAAACAAAAAGCTGGTTCTTTGAAAAGATATATAAAATTGCCATTAGCAAGATTAACCAAGAAAAGAAAAGAGAAAATCCAAATAACCTCACTAAGAAACAAAACAGGAGATATTACAACTGACACTACTGAAATAACGAAAGATCATTCAAGGCTACTGTGAACACCATTACACTCATAAACTAGAAAACCTAGAAGAGATGGATAAATTCCTGGAAAGATACAACCCTCCTAGCTTAAATTAGGAAGCATTAGATACCCTGAACAGACCAATGTCAAGCAGCGAGATTGAAGTGGTAATTTAAAAATTACCAACAAAAAAAGTCCAGGAGCAGACGGATTCACAGCAGAATTCTACCAGACATTCAAAGAAGAATTGTAACAATCTTTTTGACACTATTTCACAAGATAGAGGAAGAAGGAACCCTCCCTAATTCATCCTATAAAGCCAGCATCACCCTAATACCAAAACCAGGAAAGGACATAGCCAAAAAAGAAAACTACAGACTGATATCCATGATGAACATAGAAGCTAAAATCCTTAACAAAATACTAGCTAACTGAATCCAACAACATATCAAAAAGATAATCCACCATGATCAAGTGAGTTTCATACCAGGGATGCAGGGATGGTTTAACATACACAAGTCAATAAATGTGATACACCCCATAAACAGAATTTAAAAAAAATCACATGATCATCTCAATAGATGAAGAAAAAGCATTAGGCAAAATCCAGCATCCCTTTATGATTAAAACTCTCAGCAAAATCAGCGTACAAGGAACATACCTTAATGTAATAAAAGCCATCTATCACAAACCCACAGCCAACATAATACTGAATGGGGAAAAGTTGAAAGCATTCCCTCTGAGAACTGGAACAAGACAAGGATGCCCACTCTCACCACTCCGCTCTAACATAGTACTGGAAGTCCTAGGCAGAGCAATCAGACAAGAGAAAAAATAAAGGGTATCCAAATCGGTAAAATGGAAGTCAAACTGTCACTGTTTGCTGACAATATGATCGTTTACCTTGAAAAACCCTAAGGACTCCTCTAGAAGGTGCCTAGAACTGATAAAAGAATTCAGCAAAGTTTTCAGAGACAAGATTAATGTGTACAAATCAGTAGCTCCTCTATACACCAACAGCAGCCCAGCAGAGAATCAAATGAGAACTCAACCCCTTTTACAATAGCTGCAAAAGAATAAAATACTTAGGAATATATCTCACAAAGGAGTTGAAAGACTGCTACATGGAAAACTACAAACACTGCTGAAAGAAATCATAGACAAAAGAAACAAATGGAAACACATCCCATGCTTATGGATGGGTAGAATCAATATTGTGAAAATGACCATACTGCCAAAAGCAATCTACAACTTCAATGCAATCCCATCAGAATACCACCATCATTCTTTACAGAATTAGAAAATACAATTCTAAAATTCCTATGGAAGCAAAACAGAGCCTGAATAGCCAAAGCAAGACTAAGCAAAAAGAATAAATCTGGAGGCATCATACTACCTGATTTCAAACTATACTATAAGGCCATAGTCACCAAAACAGTGTGGTACTGTTATAAAAATAGGCACATAGACCAATGGAACAGAATAGAGAACCCAGAAATAAACCCAAATACTTACGGCTAACTGATCTTCAACAAAGCAAACAAAAACAAAAAGTGGGGAAAGGACACTCTTTTCAACAAATGGTGCTGGATAATTGGCTGGCAACATGTAGGAGAATGAAACTGCATACTCATCTTTCACCTTATAGAAAAATCATCTCAAGATGGAATGAGGACTTAAACTTAAGACCTGCCTGAAACTATAAAAATTCTAGAAGGTAACATTGGAAAAACCCTTCTAGACATTGGCTTAGGCAAAAATATCATGACCAAGAACCCAAAAGCAAATGCAATAAAAACAAAGATAAATAACTGGGACCTAATTAAACTAAAGAGGTTTTGCACGGCAAAAGGAACAGTCAGCGGAGTAAACAGACGACCCACAGTGTGGGAGAAAATCTTCACAATCTATACATCTGACAGAGGACTAATATCCAGAATCTACAGTGAACTCAAACAGATCTGTAAGAATAAAAAACAAACAATCCCGTCAAAAAGCGGGCTAAGGACATGAATAGACAATTCTCAAAAGAAGATATACAAATGTCCAACAAACATGAAAAAATGCTCAACATCACTAATGATCAGGGAAATGCAAATCAAAACAACAATGCGATACCACCTTACTCCTGCAATGGCCATAATAAAAAAAAAAATCAAAAAAACAGTAGATGATGGTGTGGATGTGGTGAACAGGGAACAGTTCTATAATGCTGGTAGGAATGTAAACTAGTACAGCTGCTATGGAAAACAGTGTGGAGCTTCCTTAAAGAACCAGAAGTAGAACTACCATTTGATCCAACAATCCCACTACTGGGTGTCTACCCAGAGGAAAATAAGTCATTATTCAAAAAAGATACTTGCACATACGTGTTTATAGCAGCACAGTTCACAATTGAAAAATCAAAGAACCAACCCAAATGCCCATCAATCAATGAGGAGATCAAGAAACTGTGGTATATATATGTACGATGGAATACTACTCAGTCAAAAAAGCTGAATGAATCAATAGCTTTTGCAGTGACTTGGATGAGATTGGAGACTATTATTCTAAGCTAAGGAACTCAGGAATGGAAAACCAAACATTGTATGTTCTCACTATATGGGAGCTACACTATGAGGACCCAAAGGCATAAGAATGATACAATGGACTTTGGGGATTTGTGGGGAAGAGTGGTAGGAGGACAAGGGACAAAAGACTACAGATATGGCGCAGTGTATACTGCTCGGGTTATGGGTGCACCAACATCCCACAAATCACCACTAAAGAACTTACTCATGTAAGCAAATACCACCGGTACCCCGTAGCTTATGGAAAAATAAATAAATAAATAAAAGAAAATATTCAAATAAAAAACCTAATGATGGATTTTTAAGAACTAGAAAAGCAATAGCAAACCAAACTCAAAATTAGAAGGAAAGAAATAATAAGGATCAGAGCAGAAAATGAATTTGAAATGAAGAAAACAATACAAAAGATCTACAAAATGAAAAGTTGATTTTTTTTGAAGAGATAAACAAACTTGACAAACATTTAGCCAGGCTAAGAAAAAAGAGAGAAAACCCAAATAAATAAAATCAGAGATGAAAAAGGAAACATTACAATGGATACTACAGAAATTGAAAGGATCATTAGTGGCTACAGTGAACAACTATGTGCCAGTAAATTGGAAAATCCAGAAGAAATGGATAAATTCCTAGATACACACAACCTACCAAGATTGAACCATGAAGAAATCCAAAGCCTAAAGAGACCAATAACATGTAATGAGATCAAATTATAATAAGCCTGCCAGTAAAGAAAAGCCTGTGACCCAATGTCTTCATTGCTGAATTCTACCAAGCATTTAAATAAAAATTAATGCCAATCCTACCCAAACTGTTCCAAAAAACAGAGGAGGAGGGAATACTTCCAAACTCATTCCGTGAGACCTGATATGAAAACCAGACAAAGACACTTCAAACAAACAAACAAAAAAGAAAACTACAGTCCAATATATCTGATGAGTATTTATGCAGAAATCCTCAATAAAATATGAGTAAACCGAATTCAACAATACATTAAAAAGACTGTTCATCATGATGAAGTGGGATTTATGCCAGGGATGCAGGAGTGGTTCAACATATGCAAATCAATGAGATATCCTCTCACCCCAGCTAAAATGGCTTGTATCCAAAAGTCAGGCAATAACAAATAAAATTTTAATATTAAGTGAAATTTTAATATTAAAAAAGTAAGATAGTGAATTACCAAATTTGAAACTCAGGTATTGGATGTTCACAAGTGCTGTTTAGAACAAAGAACCAAACTCCTCTACCTAATAATTAGATTATTTGTTCACATAGGGGTAACTTTCAATATTTTTCTCATTATATCTATATGGAAAGGAAAAAATGTTCCTATCAGACAATCAAAAAAATTCTGGCTGCTCTTTCATTTAAAAATGACCTTACCTAGCAGATTCTGACACAGCTTCCCCTAAGTTAGATGCTAAAATGTCTATGTAGAAAAAGGGGGCTATTCCGGCACTTTGGGAGGCTGAAGTGGGCAGATCACCTGAGGTCAGGAGTTTGAGACTATCCTGGCCAACATGGTGAAACCCCATATCTACTAAAAATGCAAAAATTAGCCAGATGTCAGGGCACATGCCTGTGATCCCAGCTACTCAGGAGGCTGAGGCAGGAGAATCACTAGAACCCAGGACGCAGGGGTTGCAGTGAGCCAAGATCACACCACTGCACTCCAGCCTGGGCGACAGAGGAAGACTCCATCTAAAAAAAAAAAAAAAAATAGGGAAAGAAGTCATTATTCGAAAAAGGTAGTTGCACATGCATGTTTATAGCAGCACAATTCACAATTGCCAAATCCTGGAACCAACCCAAATGCCCACTAATCAACAAGTGGATAAAGAAACTATGAGATATATCTATATCTATATCTATATCTATATCTATATCTATATCTATATCTATATCTATATCTATATCATCTATATCTATATCTATATCTAAAGGAATACTACACGGCCATAAAAAGGAATGAATTAACAGCATTTGCAGTGACTGGGATGAGATTGGAGACTATTACTCTAAGTGATGTAACTCAGGAATGGAAAACCAAACATTATATATTCTCACTGATATGTGGGAGCTAAGCTATAAGGACACAAAGTCATAAGAACAATACAATGGACTTTGGGTACTTGGGGGGAAGAGTGGGAGGGGGGCAAGGGATAAAAGACTACAAATATGGTACAGTGGATACTGCTCAGGTGATGGGTACACCAAAATCTCCCAAATCACCACTGAAGAACTTACTTACTCATGTAACAAAATAACATCTGTACCCCAATACCTCAATAACTTATGGAGAAATAAAAAATATAATAATAAAAACAAAAAGCCAAAGGGAAAAAAGAAGGTGGCTTGGGATAAGCATAGTGTGGGAAGTCTGGTAGAGGCTGCCATATTGTTGGTAATGAAATGTATTGTCCTAGGGAAGTTTATATTCGTCCAATGAGATAAAACCTAAAGATCTGATGGCACCGAATTTGTTAGCTACTGCCACAAGAAAAATGTGTGGCAACTCCAAATCCAATGGCTTCTCAATATAAGCATTTATTTCTTGCTAATATATCTGCATGTTGGTTGGAGTTTAGCTCATCTAAGCTGGGCTTGTCTCCAAGCTGCAGGTTGGGTAAAGATTTGTTCCTTATGTTATTTCCTTTGAACAAGTTGCTATGTGAGTCTTTTCCTTTTGATGGAAAAGGCTGGTGTGCAAGTGAGCAAGTCGAATCACACAAGTAAATTTCAAACCTCTACTTATAAAACATCTGCTAATATCCTTTGACGAAAGCAAAGCATGTGGTCACAGGTGGGAAAATGCTTTCTCTACCATGAGGCCTCCAATGAAGACCTGAGGTTAATATAATGTAGCACAAGTACCTACAAAGCAACATGCAAAATACAAAAAACAAAAAACAGCTTATAAAGCAGAAATAGAAAATCATTAAAAAAATCACCAAAGCTCACTGAGGAGAAAATCTGAGGCCATTTTGTATAAAGATAAACACCTCTAAACACCTCTGAAACATCTGCAACCTTACAATAATACATTCTGTTCTTATTGATACCCTATTTAATTTTTTTTAACAGGCCCAACACAAGAATGGATCATGTGACCAACTTAATCAATCGATGTATTATATTCTCCTGTCATTTTTTTATGACATCCACATTACCTATGTAGTAGTCTTCCTTAGCATTTCCTGAAAGGAGAACGTATGGCTCTAATTCTCAGATTAAGGCACTAACTAACTTCAGAGGAGTTAAGAAATATGGTCAAGGTCACATAACTACTTGCAGTTCCAGAATTCTACTCAAGTCTGTAATACTCCAAAGCCTATATTCTTCCTATTTTCCAATATGGCTTCTAGGAAAATAAAGAAGTGAGCAATCAGAGTTTATCTATATTATTGTATAATGTATTAATTGGCATTCTTAGGGTTGCATTTGCTTTTAGGAAAAAATTAAATTTTTTTTCACATGGGTATATTTTTTAGAAAGATTTTTGAGGGAATCAGGATATGTCACCCCGAGATATGCCACTTTGGCATAAGGATTATGTTGAGCTGAAGGCAATTGAAAATCAATATATGAAGGAAGAGTTCTCTGCTCTCTCCCTTTCTGCCTAAAAGCAGGACATTAATTTCCCTTTGTGAAGTTGTTTCTTCTTTTCCTGTACCAGAAAGAGAGTAACTCTTATCATCAGAGATGAAGAGTTGGCAATGAGATGAGCCTGCATAAACAAACCTTACTAAAATGATCCTTATGTTAGTTTCCCTCCATTTTACTTTCCCTCTAGTCACTTCCCCACAATTTATCACCTATTGAAGCCCAAATCCCCTTTGTTAAAATGGTGTATCATCCCTGAGACTAGCTACTTATTTGGGTTTCACTTATTTTCTCTGAATTCATGTGCACATAAGATATCAATAAAAATTGTGTGACTTTTTTCTGTAAATATTTCTTTTGTTAGTCTAATTTGCAGGCCCCCAGGTGCTAAACCTAAGAGGTTAAAGGAAAGTTTTTTTTGTCCCTGTCATTTTCTTGTCAGAAAGTTAAAATATAGCACAGCATGTTGAATATAGCTAATCATTAAGTATTGCATATTTTCATCACAAAAATGTTAAATATTTGAGGTGATAGATATGTTTATTAGCATAATTTAATGATTACATATTGTATTCAAAAATCATACTACTACTTTGTACCTCATAAATACATATAACTATAATTTGTCAATATACAATGAAAAAGGTAAAATAATACTCAATTTATTTCTGCTTAAAAGAATAAGATTTGCTATAGTTTGTGTATTGTTTGGGTTTCTTTGTTCTCATGGTACAGCATAGAAGAGATTTTACTGATTGTTAAAAGAAAGAATTAATTTAAAATTTTCAGTTATATGACCTATAGTCTCTCAAGTAACCATAAAAACGAGTTAACATTGTTTATAAAATTGAGTAGGTGTTGAATAAAGTACTTCTGGTAGGTAACAATTAGCACAGGAGTCTTGGGAGGAGATGAGTGTTTCATTACTTAGTTTTCTTCTGAAAGGGAAAGAACAGGGACTTATAGGTTAGGGACGAAGAAGAAGTAACATCTTATTATTTATAGAAATAGTGGCAGTGAGTTCTGTTTGGAGATTTCAAGATCACCATTTAGAACAGGGAGCCCTCTTTGGATTTTTGAGCCAAGAATTAATGAAGTGGTAGAGTATAATCGTTATTCTCATTTTCCTTAAGATGGCTTTAGTTTGGATCACCTTTATAGCACCTTGGAATTCTGTGAGGATCTGATGAACGTTTGATTCTTTATTGTGTGGTATTGGAAAAAAGACAGACAGTGCTTTGTTTCTTTGCCTTGTGGCATGAGTAATATGGAAATATTTCTGGGAAATAGAAACTGAGGACTCATGAATAAACATTAGGCCCCTTTCTATTTCTACTAAAGTGTTATAGAAAAGCTCAGCTCCATTTCTGAGATTCTGGAAAAATGGCTCTTTATCCCCTTGTTTTTCTTCTCTTCCTCTGTTTTTGTCGAGTTGTGTCCCTGCTCTGTGAAGGAAATGAGGCCTCGTACTCTCAGAGAATAATATGAGATGAAGATGCATCATGAAGAAGGAAGGGTCTGCCCTCTCCATGCTGTGGTCACCCACTAACACTCTATGCATCCATCTATTTTCCTAGAAATATACCACTCCCTGCCTCTATACCTTACTGTATCCATTTTTGTCAGCCTTCTCTTCTTTTCTTTCTCTTCCTCTTTTTAAAGACAGAGCCAGTGTTTTTCTTTGGTGATGCATGTAGGGTCAAAGTTGCAAAATCTTAAAAACGAAAAAATACTATTTTTGTGGCTTTAAGCTCAATGTAACTGTGGAAATTTGCCTGCCTTTTAAAAAATTAATTATGGAATAATAGGGACAAAAACCCAGGCAACAACTTAAGGTGAAAGTTTGGTTAAGCATTGTGTTTTTAAAGGAATAGTGAGGTGTTGTTGGCTGAGCTTCTAGAGACAGGTTCTTCTGGGACTTACCCCTTGGTCTTGTGGATTTTTTAGGTTAGTACATTTTTTGTATCATTGTTGAATTATTTCAGAAATGGTAGTTCAAGGGAAAAGAAGAAGTTGGATGCAAAAGCTTGACTACATGTGATTGAGACTAAAATAGGAAAAACAACTCCTATAGAAAGATGTTTTCATGACAGCACCTCAAACTTGATACAGAGATTTATTTATTTTTTTAAATTTCCAGCCAATTTATTTATTTTTAACTTACAATAAAATTCACTCTTTTTGGTGCACAGTTTAATAAATTTTGACCAATGCACAGAATTGTGAAGCTACCACCATGGTCTATAATCAGACCAATTTATTCATTCCCAATGTTTCTGTATTAATTGGATTTTTTCGCTATATATCAGAGAAAAATTAACACAAATTGGCTTAAGAAAAAGGAAAATTATTGGCTTACGTAAATATAAGGTCTAAGGCTGCTTTTGCTTTTGACACTTTCAAATGCAGAACTCAAACATGGCCACCATAATTTAATTTTTCTTTTTCTCTACCAGATTTGCATCATTTACAGGCGTCATGTGATGGCAAGATGGAAGATGCCGGCAGCTCCAGATCTTATATTCTCACAAATTCAACTCCCTGAGAACAAATTCTCCATTATTTCTTAGTATTTTCATCAAAGGTCTCACTGCATCTTCTTGTTGTTGAACCACATGCCATCACTGAACCAATCACTGTGGATAGACAATATGATGTGAAGATTGGTCTTGGTCCCATGATCTGGTTCTGAGATGGGCGAGAAGCTTAATCTTAGAATTGTGTGTGGAAAATGAGGTAGGGATGAGTCCCAAACGGAAAACAGAGGCTATTTCTAGAAGAGGATATGGATGTTGGAGATACATTCTGCAAACATCCACTCTGGTTTCCTAAACATTAAATAGAGCTTTACAGTCAATTCTCCTCTACGAAAGTTACACTTTTGAGTATGTTTACCTACTTGTACAAAATGGGGAAACTGAGACACCATGTTATATTCAATTATACTACCAGGGATTCCTTAGAGAGAAGACAAGCAAACAGGGATATGCTGAAAGCAGCTTGTGCTGGCTCACACACATGCCAGTCATGGGATCTCTTTCTAACTCTGAATTCAATGACTTCATGGTGATAGCTTGAAATAGGCTGTGGTGGAACATTTACAGCAAATAAATTGGTAAATGTTATGTATCAGGGCTGTTTCCCCTAGAGAGCTGGTTGGTAAACATTTACTCATACAGCACTGCTGGCAGACAATAAAGAAGTCTACATAATAAATATGATAGCACTGTGTGCTATCATAAATATGTGCTAATTTTAAATTAACTCACACAATAATTGCAACAGGAATCAAGAGGAAGAAAATATCACTGTGCATGTGTGTGTGTTTGTCTGTGGTGTTTGTCCAAATGAAAACAAAAGGAAGACTTCATAGAGGAGAAGACATCTTCCTGTATGGGACATTGTCTTGGAGATAACACACATCACTTTGTGCCTGTCGCTTGTGATTTCTATAATTTGTATTTTTGTCTTATCCAAGAAAGTTTTTCATTTTGCAAAAAATGTTTCCTATGTTTTCTTCTAAAGGCATCATAATTTCTCAAATTAACTTTTATATATGGCATAAGATAGAAGCCAAGGTTCATTTCTTTTTCCAATGCCCTAGTTGAGAATATAAAATACTCTCCTCTGAACACTAAGATATTATCATCGAATGCTGCTAATTCCCCATTTCTTTTTTCTCTTGGTCTCAATTCCCCGAACTAGTTCTGTTAAATTCATGAGTCTTCAGACAGCATAGGAACAGAGGTCTTATGTTCAAAAGCACCTGTGAGTCTGGCCTGACAGTGAGTCTTGCTCTGTAGTCTGATCTACCACTAGTGGCTCTGATGCTAGATCAATGATCTGGGCACCCTTTTCCCCACGAGGAGCATGTAGGAGCTCCTGAAATACTAGCTGAACAAGAGCCATTCATGTTAATTTCAGCAGAATCTATACAGATGTTCCATTTTCAAAAAATACACCTTGTTCTCACTCCCACTACACTGAAACTCTGCCTCAGTTGCTCAGACTGTCATCTCCTGGGTTTTACTCCACCTCTTGTCTTCTTGGGGTCAGCTGAAAATGAAAGACGATTTTCTTCCCAAGAAGAGCTTCAGTATCTTGAGCCTCATAACTTCTTGTGTAATTTTGTGTCAGTTCTCTTTTAGGGCACTGGCTCCGAGAGCTGATAGATGTGGGTGAGTTTTCTGCAGTTGAGGTGTTCACTACCAATTCTCTGCCTGCACTTCCAAATTCTTTTTCACCTTAGTTTTCAGGGAACAAGATTTTTTCCTTTAGGTCATATGCATTCTAATGATTTTTTTTCTTTCAAAAAATTATTGAAGAAATAAGTTTATGGGTAAAATAAAGATGCACGATATTTTAAAAGGCAAGTCTTCATTTCCTGGTTTATGATCACACTTTTATATGCTAGAGTTCTCAATAGGTCTGGCGGGACATTTAGAACACAAGAGATTCCAAAGTCATGGTCATTTGGCACCTTGAAAGGTAAAATAAGAGTAAAGTCTTTCAGAAGATTTAGCATTCGTTTTATGTATGTTCAAGCCATGTACCATTTGTTACTCAAGTGCAGTGGAAACATGAAAACTTGGCAGTAAGAGTTTTAAGAGGTTTTTCCAGGAAGGGTCAAAACACCATTGCTTAGCGTGATTTAATAATAGGATAGCAGTTTGTGTGAAGCTTTTTTTTTTTTTTTTTTTTTTTTTTTTGAGACAGAGTCTCGCTCTGTCGCCCAGGCCGGAGTGCAGTGGCGCGATCTCGGCTCACTGCAAGCTCCACCTCCCGGGTTCACGCCATTCTCCTGCCTCAGCCTTCAGAGTAGCTGGGGCTACAGGCGCCCGCCACCACGCCTGGCTGATTTTCTGTATTTTTTTTTTTTTTAGTAGAGACAGGGTTTCACCGTGTGAGCCAGGATGGTCTCGATCTCCTGACCTCGTGATCCGCCCGCCTCAGCCTCCCAAAGTGTTGGGATTACAGGCGTGAGCCACCACGCCGGGCCTGTGTGAAGCTTTTAAAAGCATTTGGTCTAAAGTTGAGCAAAGCGCTTCAGAAGAGAGAAATTGTGGAATAGGGAAATAGGTCAAATTTTTCAGGCCTTCTAAATCTAGGTCTGAAATCTAGCTTTAGTAGTTATTTGTGGTGTGACTGTGAATTTGACGTAACCTCTCTGGGTCTCAGGTTTTTTATTTATTAAATGGACATGTTGACACGACTTCAAAGTGTTGTTATAGATGAAATTAAGGTGTCTGAATCTCTTGGCATATTGCTTGGTACTCAACAAACATTAGTCATTGTCCTTCCTTAAGAGGAAGACAGACTGTTAAGGGGAACGTTTGAGAAAATTTCCAAATGGGGCTTATAATGCCCTAGTAGAGCTATGTAATAATTGTGCGTGTGTGTTTTGGGGGGACGTGATGGAACTAATAAGTTGTGATGCCTCTGTCATTTGCCCAGTCATGGAGAAAATAGCGCATGCTATGGGGCTCAGGGGTGCTCAGACCACAGAAGAGTTCCACAGAGCACTAAAGTATAACAGGCTAAATGTAGATATATTTGGCGTTAGATTTAAGAGGAAAAATACTATGCAAAATTCTTTGAGCAGTTTCTGTCCCCTTGTGTCTACAAACTTGTCATTGCAGTCAAACACAGAGAAAGAAAGAAACCCGATTATTTGGAAGACCAAAAAAGTGAGTCCTCCACTTTATATGGGAATCCTATTGATAACAGGCCCAATGGCTCTGCTTAAACAAATTCAGTGACGAGGCATAGACCACACTATAAGGAATCCTATTTCGTTTTTGAGCAGCTGTAACTGTTAGAAATGTCTCTGTATTCAGTCAGACTCAACACTTTTGTGCTGTGATGTTTATCATTTCAATACTTGTTGAAGTCGGTCTCAGCTGTCTTGTATTTCTTTAGAGGAATGCCAAGTGAAAGTCTGTAGGTTTGATTCTTATGATGCCCCTTTGCATGCACCAGAAAGACCCATTTCATGACCTTAGTCTGCTGCTCTGAGTTACCATGTTGTGCAGAAGTGTTCTGTAGTTGATGGAGGTAGGAGGATGGGCTTGGGGGATGAAGAGGTAGCATGGAAAGCCCACTCAATACAAAGCCCTACTTCTATAGGAACAGCAACACACATCCCAGGCTTCCCTGTTGGTAGCTTGAACACCTAGGTCTTTCAGAGCACGTAAGGCTCAGTGATGCCTACCCAGAAAATCTCAGTAGAGGTAACTTTTTCAATTGTTAATTATCTATAGGCAAAAACCATAATTGCATTTCCAAAGTGCTCCTGCATTTTAACATTTGGATCTTTGACACTGATTGCTCTTTGAAACTTCAGATACTGAGGAAACAATGTGCTTGGATGAAACACTATTTGAATTCAGGACTATTCAAATCCAGGCTGTGATAGGAGTAACTGTTCAGATAATACTGATTTATTAATGCCCTGTATCTGTTACCTGTCCCTTGTCAGAAGCCCCAGAGAGAGCAGAAATCTTTAAAAAATTTTGATAGCTTACATAAGAGAATAATAACCAAAATAACTAAAGTCATCTTCTGAGGAATGACTTGTTGGAAGAGAGGCCAGTGAGAAGCAAATTTGTTAAATGTCAGGCTGGAATGGGGTGCTGAATTTTGACCCACCCTTGTTGGCACCTTGAAAGGTAAAATAAGAGTAAAGTCTTTCAGAAGACCCACCCTTGTTGGGGAAGGCAGTTCCCATGGTTTTCTTTCATAAAAGAATTAGCTTCAAATGTAATAGATTTTTACAATTGACAGAAGCTATAGGATAGTTTTGTTCCATTCCCTTCATTTTATAGGTAAGAAAACCAAAAGAAATTTTTAACAGACAATTGTTACATAACTATTATATTCTAGGCACTGTTGTAGGAATTGGGGATATTGTAGACAATAAGGTGTTGTTGACTGCTTAGATCAATTAGACAGAGTTCTAAAACCAGTTAGGGCAGACCACAGCTAGACTAGCACCCAACCCACTCTTGCTTTGACCAGCAGTCTTGTCTCTACTGCTCACCTTTCAGCACCTTGAATTGCTTATTTTCCTCCTCTTCTACAAGCTCACTTCTGTTGTCAAGATGCCAGAAGAACGGTGGTTCTCAACAATTTTGGCCATCTCTTCTTCCCTTGAAAGACAAATGGGATTTACACAAATAATCTTTTTGTACCATCTCAGGGCATGTGTAGCACTCCTGATGTCCACAAGCATCAGGGCAAGCAATTCTGTATCTGAGTGATAATACAAGAACACCAGCCACATAAAGAAAATATGATGGGGCTGGGTACAGTGGCTCACACCTGTAATCCTAGCACTTTGGGAGGCTGAGGTGGGTAGATAATTTGAGGCCAGGAATTTGAGACCCTCCTGCCCAACACAGTGAAACCTTATTTCTACTAAAAATACAAAAATTAGCTGGGCATGGTGACATGCACCTGTAATCCCAGCTACCTGGGAGGCTGAGGTAGGAGAATCACTTGAGCCTGGGAGGCGGAGGTTGCAGTGAGCCGAGATCATGTCACTGCCCTTCAGCCTGGGCAACAGAGTGAGACTCCATCTCAAAAAAGAAAAAAAAAAAAGAGAAAATACTATGGGCTATCAGCTTTATAGCTTTATATCTGGAGAATTTTGTGAGGTCTGCAAAATTTCTACTATCAGTAATAATTTTATCAATCACTCAATGAATCAATCAAACCAAAGAAAAATTGACAAAACATTTTCCAGGCTCTGTGAGAAAACATGGAATTTTAAGACATGATTCTTGTTTTACTTATGAGGAAATTGAGTTACAGAAATGTTAAGTAACAAATGGCCATAGCCTGTGTAACTAATGAGACCAGAGTTTGAACCCAGGGTTTAACATTTGAATTCTAGTGTTTTTTCCTCTGTAGGAGAGCTACTTTGAGATGTCAGAAATAACGACTGAGTAAAAAAAACTTTTTAAAAAATTATTTTTAATTGACACATTGTTACAGTTTGGATTTATATCCCCACCCAAATCTCCTGTCAATTATAATCCCCAATGTTGGAGGGGAGCCTGGTGAGAGGTGATTGGATCATGGGGGCGCATTTCCCCCTTGCTGTTCTCATGATAGTGAGTGAGTTCTCATGAGATCTGGTTATTTAAAAGTGTGTAACACCTCCCTTTTCGCTCTCTTCCTTCTCTGGCCATGTAAGACGTGTCTGCTTCCTCTTCGCCTTCTGCCATGATTGTAAGTTTCCTGAGGCTTCCCTAGTCATGCTTCCTGTACAGCCCTCAGAACTGTGAGTAAATTAAACCTCTTTTCTTTATAAATTATCCAGTCTCAGGTTGTTCTTTATAGCAATGTGAGACCAGACTATTGCACATATAATTGCACATATTGATGGGGTACAGAGTGATATTTTGAAACATTTACACAATGTGTAAGGATCAAATCAGGGTAATGAACATATCTGTCACTTCAAATATTTATCACTTTTTTGTTTTGGGAATATTCAAAATCCTCTTCTGACTAATTGAAAATATACAATGCATTGCTGTTAGCCACAGTCACCGCACAGTGGTATAGAATGCTGGAGTTTATTTCTCCTATCTAGCTATGATTTTGTATCCCTTAATTTACCTGTCCCTATTCCTCCTCTCCACTATCCTGTCCAACCTCTGGTAACCACTATTCTACCCTCTACTTCTATAAGATCAACTTTTTTAGCTTCTACATATATATAAGAGCATGTGTGGTATTTATCTTTTTGTGCCTGGCTTATTTCACTTAACATGATGTTCTTCAGGTTCATCTATGTTGCTACAAACAACAAAATTTCATTCTTTTTTACAGCTGAGCAGTATTCCATTGTATGCATGTACCACATTTTCTTTATCAATTTACCTCAGAATAGCTATTGTCAAAAAGGTAAAAAATAAATGCTGGTGAGGATACAGGGAAAGGGGAACTCTTATATGCTATTGGTGGGAATGTAAATTAGTACAGCTACTGTGGAGAATGGTGCAGAGGTTCCTCAAAACACTGAAAATATAATTACAAAATGATGTGGCAGTCCCACCACCGGGTATATATTTAAAGAAAAGGAGATCAGTATGTTGAAGAGTTATCTGCACCAATATGATTATTGTATGCACAGTAGCCAAGATATGGAATAAACCTAAGTGTGCATCAATAGATGAATGGAAAAACTTCTTAACTGTGTAGCAGAACACAGGTGTTTTCTAAATCTGCATGTGAGGCAGATCAGTAAGGGCTGGAGAACATATGGAAAACTTCCTGAATGAACAGTGCATCAAAGGATGGGAAGGTATGGATAGGTAAAGTAGAATCAAAATAATCAGGCCAGGCATGGTGACTCATGCCTGTAATTCCAGTACTTTGGGAGGCTGAGGTGGGCCGATTGCTTGAGGTCAGGAGTTCGAGGCCAGACTGGACAACAAGATGAAACCCCTTCTCTACTAAACATACAAAAAATAAGCTGCGTGTAGTGGCACACGCCTGTAGTCCTAGCTACTCAGGAGGCTGAGACAGGAGAATCGCTTGAACCCAGGAGGTGGAGGTTGCAGTGAGCCAAGATCGTACCACTGCACTCCAGCCTGGGAGTCAGAGGGAGAATCCATCTCAAAAAAAAAGAAAAAGAAAAAGAAAAAGAGAGTGATCAATGCATCAAGAAGAATGGAAAATAATTTGATGTGCCAAAGAGCAAATTTCTGGAATAGCAACTTCTATTACTACAAATCCAGTTTTAAATATAGATGTGTCTATTTAGGTAATTAATGTGTTTCTTTTTCTACTTACATATGCTATTTAAAGATGGAGAACACACTTTGGGAAGCCAAGGCAGGAGGATAGCTTGAGCTCAGGAGTTTGAGACCAGCCTGGGCAACATAGTGAGATCTCATCTTAAAAAAAAAAAAAAAAAAAAAAAGATGGAGAAAAGAGGGAGGTATCCAGAATCTGGTCACTTTACCACACATTTACTTATATTAGAAATGGTAAGTATAGACAATAATAAACAATAAATAGTCCTTACTCTCAAGAAACTTAGACTCCTATTGGGGAATTGTAACTTTACCTGTAATTGTACCTGAAGAATTCAGAATTTCAGAATTCTTGATAATTTTTGGTCCCTTTTTTTTTATTTTTGTTTTTACTTTTTCAGACTTGAGTTGGTAAGTAGAATAACCAATATTAACCCAATATGTTTACAATGGCTTCTGTGCTAGTCTCCTCAGGCTGCTATAACAAAATACTGTAGGCTAGGTGGCTTCAACAAATGACATTTATTTTCTCAGAGTTCTGGTGGCTGGAAGTTTGAGATCAGGGTTCTTGGTGAAGACTTTCTTCCTAGCTTACAGATGGCCACCTTCTGTCTGTGTCTTCACATAGTGGAAAGAGTGAGAGAGCTCTGGTGTCTCTACCTCTTCTTGTAAAACACTCATCCCATCCTGGGGACCCCACCTTCACATACCACCACATTGGGGTTAGGGTTCCAACATTGCATTTTGGAGGGATACAAACATTACATGACAACTCCCAAAAATGTTCTCACTATAAATAGGCAAATATTACTCTACAATTTTAATTAAGAGACTAACAACATGGTATACCATCTTTGAAGGCACCATATTTAATCTGTGGTTTTTATTTTATTCAAAGCAATTCAATTGGTCTATAATTGTGATAATTCTGCTGAGAGCTTGTAAACTCTGAACCTGCTGTGATACAAAACACATGAATGCCTCTGTGTGTATAAAATTAGCTATAGTTCGGATTTGTAGAGTGTCATGCTCGGTGCTTGTTCAATTCTTGTAATGGTGGCATGTTGTCCCTCTATTGTCCCCATTCTACAGATGAGAAAGTCAGCAAAGAAAACACAATCTAGTTAGAGAAAAAGGCTTTAGGAATCTCTACTCAAGTACAAGGAGTTTAGTGGTAGTGATAAGTAACTTTCCTCTTACAATTGTATCTACTAATGTTTCATTTGTTCATCATTAAAATAGAGAAGTATTGAAATTGATGGAGTACCTTTGGGTCACCTCTAAGTTTGAACCTACAAACTGCAGTGCACAGGGAATTGTTTCTTATGTAAACTTGTTTATTATGCTAGAAGGTCTAGAATGTCCATGTTCACGCAGATTTCAGACTGCTGTAGTCTCTGTGATGAGAACCCATTGTACCCATATAGTAATGCTAATTCTTATAATATATTAAAATTCATTATAATTATTTTATATCTTAATTACCTTATATTATTACATGTTATTATATGGGAAACAATGCATCCTATTATGTTATCACACCTTACTAGTTAATCATGAACCTATTTCTCCTATTTGAACACAGCTTGAATTCTTGGCAGTTCAGGGAGATTAAGAAAGTTGCCTGAGTTGACATAGCCAATAAACAAAGAAGCCAGGATTCAAACTTAGGCCTGAAACACATGCCCTTTCCTGTGCCTTGCTGTGGCCCCAATTTATGATTCACCTTTCATCACTGTGATGGTTAATACTGAGTGTCAACTGGATTGGATTGAAGGATGCAAAGTAGTGATCCTGGGTGTGTCTGTGAGGGTGTTGCCAAAGGAGGCATTTCAGTGAGCAGACTGAGAAAGGTAGACCCACCCTTAATCTGGGTAGGCACCATCTAATCAGCTTCCAGTGTGGCCAGAATATAAAACAGGCAGAAAAATGTGAAAAGGCTGGACTGGCCTAGCCTCCCAGCCTACATGTTTCTCCTGTGCTGATGCTTCCTCCCCTTGAACATCGGACTTCAAGGTTTTCAGCTTTGGGACTTGGACTTGCTTCCTTGCTCTTCAGCTTGCAGATGGCCAATTGTGGGATCTTGTGATCGTTTGAGTTAATACTACTTAATAAACTCCCATATATCTATCTATATATTCCATTAGTTCTGTCCCTCTAGAGAACCCTGAATAATACAGATTTTGGTACCGAGAGTGGGGTCCAGAACAGGAGAAGGATCTGCAACAGATCCAGGCTGCTGTCCAAGCTGCCCTGCCACTTGGGCCATATGACCCAGCAGATTCAATGGTGCTTGAGGTGTCAGTGGTAAATGGGGATACTGTTTGAAGCCTTTGGCAGGCCCCCATAGGTGAATCACAATGGAGTCCTCTAGGATTTTGGAGCAAGGCCCTGCCATCTTCTGCAGATAACTACTGTCCTTTTGAGAGATACCTCTTGGCCTGTTACTGGGCTTTGGTGGAAACTGAACGTTTGACTATGGGTCATCAAGTCACCACGTGACCTGAACTGCCTCCATGAACTGCGTGCTTTCTGACCCATCTATCCACAAAGTGGGTCGTGCACAGCAGCATTTCATCATCAAGTGGAAGTGGCATATACCTGATCAAGCTCTAGCAGGTCCTGAAGGCACAAGTAAGTTACATGAGGAAGTGGCTCAAATGCCCATGGTCTCCACTCCTGCCACCCTACCTTCTCTCCCCCAGCCTGTACAGATGTCCTCATGGGGAGTTCCCTGTGATCAGTTGACAGAGGAAGAGAAGACTAGGGCCTGGTTCACAGATGGTTTTGCATGATATGCAGGCACTACCCGAAAGTGGATAGCTGCAGCACCACAGCCCCTTTCTAGGAAATTCCTGAAGGACGGTGGTGAAAAGGAATCTTTCCAGTGGGCAGAACTTCAAGAAGTGCACCTGGTTGTGCACTTTGCATGGAAAGAGAAATGGACAGATGTGCGATTATATACTGACTCATGGGCTGTAGCCAATAACCATCAATAACCATTGGCTGGATGGTCAGGGACTTGGAAGAAGCATGATTGGAAAATTGGTGACAAAGAAATGTGAGGAGGAGGTATGTGGATGGACCTCTCTGAGTGGTCAAGAACTGTGAAGATATTTGTATCCCATGTGAGTGCTCACCAAAAGGTGACCTCTGCAGAGGAGGATTTTAATAACCAAGTGGATAGGATGACCCATTCTATGGACACCACTCAGCTTCTTTCCCCAGCCACCCGTTATCGCTCAATCGGCCCATGAACAAAGTGACCATGGTGACAGGGATGGAGGTTATGCATGGGCTTAGCAACATGGACTTCCACTCACCAAGGCTGACATGGCTACAGCCACTGCTGAGTGCCCATTTGCCAGCAACAGAAACCAACACTGAGCCCTCAATATGGCACCATTCCTTGGGGTGATCAGCCAGCTACTTGGCGGCAGGTTGATAATATTTGACCTCCTCAGTCATGGAAAGGGCAGCGGCTTGTCCTCACTGAAATAGACACTTACCCTGGATATGGGTTTGCCTATCCTGCTCGCAATGCTTCTGCCAAGACTACCATCCATGGACTCACAGAATGCCTTATCCACCATCATGGTATTCCACACAGCATTGCCTCTGACCAAGACACTCACCTTACAGCTAAAGAAGTGTGGCAGTGGGCTCATCATGTTCATGGGATTCACTGGTCTTACCATGTTTCCCATCATCCTGAAGCAGCTGGATCGATAGAATGGTAGAATGGCCTTTTGAAGTCAAAATTACAAAACCAACTAGGTGACAATACTTTGCAGGGTTGGGGCAAAGTTCTCCAGAAGGCTGTGTATGCTCTGCATCAGCATCCAATATATGGTACTGCTTCTCCCATAGCCAAGATTCACAGGTCCAGGAATCAAGGAGTAGAAGTGGAAGTGGCACCACTCACCATCACCCCCAGTGATCCACTAGCAAAATTTTTGCTACCTTTTCCCACGACATTACGTTCTGCTGGCCTAGACGTCTTAGTTCCAGAGGGAGGAACGCTGCCACCAGGAGACACAACAATTTCACTGAACTGGAAGTTAAGATTGTCACCTGCACACTTTGGGTTCCTCCTATTTCTAAGTCAATAGGCTAAGAAGGGAGTTACAGTGTTGGCTGGGATGATTGACCCGGACTGTGAAGATGAAATCAGTCTACTACTTTACAACGGAGATAAGGAAGACTATGCATGGAATACAGGAGATCCATTAGGGTCTCTCTTAGTATTACCATGCCCTGTGATTGAGGTCAATGGGAAACTACAACAGCCCAATCCAGGCAGGACTACAAATTACCCAGACCCTTCAGGAATGAAGGGTTGGGTTATTCCATCAGGGAAAAATCCATGACCTGCTGAGGTGCTTGCTGAAGGCAAAGGGAATAAAAAAATGGGTAGTAGAAGAAGGTAGTCATCAATACTAGCTACGACCACATGACCAGTTGCAAAAACGAGGACTGTAATTGTCGTATTTCCTCCTTGTTTGTTAAAAACATGTTTGTGCATGTATACACTTGAACTTAGAAAATATCTTTATTTTCTTTTCCGTTTATCATGTGACATAAGGTTTATTGACTTTATATCAGGATTTTAGTATTGTTAACTTTCTGTAATAGCATTTGGGTTGGGGATTGGTGTGTTTCTGGTTGTACAAAGGATAGTGGTATTATGTTAGGTGTAATTATGACCTTATTATTGTCTTTATTTGAAGATTATGTATGATCTCAGGAGGTGTGTATGGGTTCAAGTTGACAAGGGTCAGACTTGTGATGGTTAATATTGAGTGACAACTGGATTGGATTGAAGGATGCAAAGTATTGATCCTGGGTGTGTCTGTGAGGGTGTTGCCAAAGGAGATTAACATTTGAGTCAGTGGGCTGGGAAAGGCAGACACACTGTTAGTCTGGGTGGCCACAATCTAATCAGCTGCCAGCAAATATAAAGCAGGCAGAAAAAAATGTGAAAAGGCTAGACTGGCTTAGCCTCCCAGCCTACATCTTTCTCTTGTGCTGGATGCTTCTTGTCCTCGAACATCAGACTCTAAATTCTTCAGCTTTGGGGCTCAGACTGGCTTCCTTGCTCCTCAGCTTCTAGACAGACTATTTTGGCACCTTGTGATCGTTTGAGTTAATACTACTTAATAAACTCATATATATATATATATATATATTTCTATTAGTTCTGTCCCTCTAGAGAACCCTGACTAATATAATTACACTCATTATAATTAAGCTTGAAGAAATTACACATTTTACAAATGGATTCTTTTGAAGGGATTTTAAGATCATTATTCCATTGGAGTTGCTCTGTATGTAACAGTGTAAAAAACACATCTTGGGAAGTTATGGGCCAGAATAAACCATAAATACCTGACTCATAATCACTGTCTGTCATCACTTGCTGTGGCTGTATAAAACTGTTTATGGAAATTCAGCCAAACAAAACACTGTGGGGGAGCTATCCATTTTACGTTGTAACTTTTAAAATGAGATGTCTTTGTTTGGTTGAACACCCAAGAAAATAGGTGGCTCTTTTCTCACCTTCCAAAGTGTGGTGAGAATCCACTTGGCCTGTATTACTAAAGAAGATGGTCAAAAACCACTTGAAGTCATCTGCTTTCTGTAAGGATGGAATAACACGGATAAATTTTACCCTCCATCCAAAACAATAGAAAAATGAAAATAATACACAAAACATAGTTTTCAAGGTATGGGACATCAATCAGAAAAGCAGAGATCATTAAGAGACAAGAACAAGGAGGTGGGTCCTGAGATTGCCCTGGCTTGCTCCTGCGTGAGTTTCCTGGTTGCAGTACAGGGAGGGCAATTGAGGTGGAACCCAGGGATGCCTTGAAAGGAGGAAGAGCTGCAGGACATGGGACATAAAAGCAGCTAGAGGTGATGGGACAGAATACTAGAGAGTAAAGGCTACAGATCTGCAGAGGTGAATCATCTACCCTTCCAGGTAGAGTCAAGACTAATTCCTCTGAGAGGCTTCTGGGAGGCAGAGATTGAAAATCCTGCGCCTAGGATGCTGTTCTGAAGAGTGTAGGCAACTAGCCTCTTCCATCTTGTTCACTCCTTCAGGGGAAGCAGGATTTTAATATATTCATAAATTTGGTTAATCCTTTGGTTGTTTGCTTATAAGGAACAGAAACCCTTCATCCAGTTTAGGTGAAAAAACAAACAAAGCAACTCATGATCAGGGATGAGGAATGTTTTACAGAATCCAAGGGTAGAAATCACAGCTGAGGCTGGTGAGAGACTGGACCTGAGAAATGTCAGTCTTCAGGCACGATGACCTTCTCATTTCCCTTAGTCTGGGGTCATATGACCTCTTATCCACCCTTCTCTGATAGTTTGCTTCACATTTTCCTTTCTTAATAGAATATACCTTCCATCTTACTTTCTCCTGCCTAATCAGGGATACTCCTACTCTGTGCTTGCAGTCTCTGGGTTTATGTTACTTTTAGACCAGGGCACTTGGCTAGCCAACTATGATTTCTACCCAAATTATCAGTTCCAAGTATGGGAAGTTGATTGACACAATTTGAATCAATTATCTCCTCTTGCTCCAACCAGCAGCAGGTACAGAGAACCCTAGAGCCTGTTCCAGTTTGTAAGAACATTGTACATGGGCAGTGAATTTGAATGCTGTCTTTGCTGTGGTTTTGCCACCTAACTATTAACCATCAACACTGTTTTGTTTACAACAAATTTGATGAGTGTACATCTTATGTGTTAATCACAAGCAATTGATAAGTGTGAGTCAGAACTTTGTCAGAGAGTGAGCCTGACTGTTACTAGCAGTCATTCTTTTGGTCAACCTCAGCTGATTACTCAATCAGTAATCTTTGGATTGGGCTGTAGAATCAGCTGTAAATTGTACTATGTGTATCCTTAGTATCTATCCAGATATTTCTCCTTTGTCTATAAGGCTATAATGAGTGTCAATGACATTCTCCTAGACTTAGTTTAATAGTCCTGAAGGAAAAAGTGATATTAGATCAATAGGTCTTCACATTGGAAAGAGTATGTGGAGCACAAAATGAACGCTGTTCTTAAAATCAGAAGTCTCTCTCTAGGCTAGTTGACCTCTACATCCTCTTCTAGTCTACTCTTCAAATCTGTAAAGCAGGAATTGTAGTTTTCATTTTGTACTCTCCTTATAAAAATTAGATAAGATTATTTGTGTCTTTTAGTATGCAATATTCAAGTAGGAAACAGTACGGTCCTGCTGAAAATTCTTCCATATCATCACTGCCCTTTTGTGGATCACGATATTGAAATATGAGAAGAGGTGCTGAGGAAATTTCACCCCCTCCCACCACCACATGTCTCTGAGGACATGGATGAGGTCTCTCAGGAATGCAAAGGCCACATTCTATTTTGGTTTTGTGATCTTTCACATACTTAGCTTATCAAATTGTGTGGGATTTGTTTTAGAGGCAAGAGCAAAATGGTAAAGGGAGGCATCAGAAGGGTTTGGGAAAGAGTGCAGTTGGGTTGGATGGTGGTTGGTTTTATGTGCTCAGGATCCCCCAAGCCCTTGGCATAACTGCTGAAAAAACACATTCAAAACAGTGGCTCCAGTATTTCCCCACATTTTGGAGGCTTTTTCCTCTTGAAAGATTGATAAAATAGCTTCAAGGTAAGGTATCTTTGTTGTTTGCCCTGAATATAACCACTGTCACACCTTCAATCTTACACATGTTATAGACAATGAAGATCATTAGTTTAAATACTGTAAAAACTACATGCTATTTAAAACAAGCATTTGGGCTTGTAATGAGCACCATTGCACTTTAAGATCTTTCCTGGAGATATTTTATTGACCAGACGGCCCAATTAAGTTTGTAAAATAATGTCAAGATCTGCCTTACAGGTTCTCTCTGTTAACAGCACTTGCAACTCCATTCCATTTGGTCTTAGGCAGGAGTTACTGCTTAAATGGGGAAAATACAAAATTTGCATATTACACATATAGAACTATCCTTTTCGTGCCTGGTGTTTTCCAGAATACTCGCAAGCACAGAGGCTGTCAATATAGCTCTTTGGTAAAACTATTTTCTTTGGTTAGCCCCTTCTTTGCTAGAACTCTAATAATTGAGCAGGGTGTTATTGGGCCATCTTGGAAATCTGCTGGAATCATTTGGAATGGAAACACGTTTCAGTACTGACTTCAATAGAAATACAAAGTTTCCACATGAAAGGCTTTTGCTTTTAGCTTGCACAGCCATATGGAGACTCTGAGAGGGAGGCTGATGTACTCTGAGACCTGGTAAAGCATTCAAAGAATATCTCCCAGAACAAAGGCAGTGTATTTGGGTATGTGAGGTCACGTGAGGTGGCCTTGTTTGACATTCTGGAGATTGAATCCTTTACCTCTGCCCTTTTCTGCAGGCCCCAGAACACAGGCATGAGAAGTGTTTGGCCCAAGATCTTCCACCTTTTCAACAGGCAGCAACTGAAATGAGGAGAGATGCCTGTTGGAGGTGTGATGTTTTAAGACTTTTCAATGGCAGGTTTCAAAAGAAAAGCCCACTCAAACTGCCTTGTATCAGTTTAGATAAAGCTTGGTGTTGTGTCACATAAAACTTGAAATCTCTGTAAAATCTCAACACAGAGAAATGGATTTCTTGAGCTTATAAAACCTGCTTGGTGAGGGTGGGATGGCTGCTCCAAGCATTCTTTCAGGTACTTAGACTACTGAGGCTCGGACGTCTTCAGTGTGTGGCTTTTGCCATTGTTCTGGGTGCTGACACCTCACTGGCACAGGAAGAAAGATTGCTGTGGAGAGTCACGGGGAGAGTTCTTATTGCCAAGACTGAATGTAGAGAATATCCCTTCCTCTCATCTCATGGGTCAGGGCCTGGCCACATGGCCACAGCTAATTGTATTAAGAGGCTGGGAGTGTAGTTTGGCTGTGTGCTCAAGGAAATGGCTTAGTGAACAGATGGTCAGTCTGCCAGATAGCTTAAGCCAAATGGAATTTATGACAAGGATAGAGGGGTTCACACAGAATCCTAGGTTTCCAGGAAGGGACTGGACTGGAATAGGCAAACGCTGACTTCCTCTCTCCCCGCTTCCCCTTTTCCACTTTTTGTTTTGGTGCCGCAGCTTCATTTTCCCCTCTCTCTCTCTGTGTAACCCCCTCCTTATTTTATTTTATTTTTTTAATTTTTAGTATTTTTTGAGACGGAGTCTCGCTCTGTCATCCAGGCTGGAGTGCAGTGGCATGATCTCGGCTCACTGCAACCTCTGCCTCCCAGGTTCAAGCAATTCTCTGCCTCAGCCTCCTGAGTAGCTGGGATTACAAGCACCTGTCACCAACCCCGACTAATTTTTGTATTTTTACTAGAGATGGGGTTTCACCATCTTGGCCAGCCTGGTCTTGAACTCCTGACTTTGTGATCCACCCACCTCGTTATTTTTAAAAAATCTTTTTAATTTTTATGGGTACATAATAGATGTATATAATTACAGGGTACATGAGATACTTTGATACAGGCATAAAATGTGTAATAATCACATCATAGAAAATAGGGTATTTAGATACCCTATTTATCTTTTATGTGACAAACAGTCCAATTATACTGTTTTATTTTGAAATGTACAATTAAATTATACTTGACTATAGTCACCTTGTTGTGCAAATACTAGATCTTGTTCCCTTCTATTTTTTTTGTACCCATTTACTATTCCCACTTCCCCCACACAATGCCCCCACCCTTCCCAGCCTCTGATAAACATCCTTCTATTCTCTATCTCCATGAGTTCAGTTGCTTTTGATTTTTCACTCCCACAAATAAGTGAGAACATGTGAAGTTTATCTTTCTGTGCCTGACTTATCTCAGTTAACATAATGACCTCCAGTTCCATCCCTTCTGCTCATCTTTTAAGTTACTCATTCATCTATAAAGCACTGTGTGGCTACTCCATAGCTCTGTTTTCACATTATGGTATTAACTACATGCAGAGATGAACTACTTTCTGAATTTGAATTTGAATTCCAAGTTTCTAGGCAAAAGAATCTGATTGGCCGAGCCTGCTTCAGTTTCAGTCAACTGAGACCAATGGTCAGGCTCCCAAAGTGCAAACCTGGCTTCTAGATCTCCCCACCCACCACTCTTATCCTGTGGAAGAAGGAGCCAATTTCCAGAAATGGATAGCTTTGAGCTGGATCAAAAACTATCCAAAAGTTAAAACACCAGCTTTTCAAAGTTTCTTAGGACTTTTAGCCACAGAATGTGTGTTGCAGCAAGGCAGGAGGTGAAATTCTTTTGTCTATGTCTTCCATATCTCCACTTATGCCCTCCCTCGCCCATTTCTTTTTTTTCCCATTAATTCTATATATAATTCTGTGTATTTTATATATTTTGTGCTTTCCTCTCCTTTTATTATTATTATTATTTTTTATTATACTTTACATTCTAGGGTACATGTGCACAATGTGCAGGTTTGTTACATAGGTATACATGTGCCATGTTGGCTTGCTGCACCCATCAACTTGTCATTTACATTAGGTGTTTCTCCTAATGCTATCCCTTCCCAAGCCCCACACCCCCCGACGGCCCCAGTGTGTGATGTTCCCCTCCCTGTGTCCATGTGTTCTTTTTGTTCAACCCCCACCTATGAGTGAGAACATGTGGTGTTTGGTTTTCTGTTCCTGTGTTAGTTTGCTGAGAATGGTGGTTTCCAGCTTCATCCATGCCCCTGCAAAGGACATGAACTTATCCTTTTTTATGGCTGCATAGTATTCCATGGTGTATATGTGCCACATTTTCTTAATCCAGTCTATCACTGATGGACATTTGGGTTGGTTCCAAGTCTTTGCTACTGTGAATGGTGCCACGATAAACATACGTGTGCATGTGTCTTTATAGTAGCATGATTTATATCCCTTTGGCTATATACCC
The DNA here is from genome assembly GCF_000001405.40 of Homo sapiens. Classification (NCBI taxonomy): domain Eukaryota; kingdom Metazoa; phylum Chordata; class Mammalia; order Primates; family Hominidae; genus Homo; species Homo sapiens. The sequence goes on along the minus strand of NC_000009.12, from coordinate 81,262,709 downwards.
AGTATGGGATGGCTGGGTCAAATGGTATTTCTAGTTCTAGATCCTTGATAAATTGCCACACTGTCTTCCACAATGGTTGAAATAATTTACACTTCCACCAACAGTGTAAAAGTGTTCCTATTTCTCCACATCTTCTCCAGCATCTGTTGTTTCCTGACTTTTTGATGATCACCATTCTAACTGGTGTGAGATGGTATCTCATTGTGGTTTTGATTTGCATTTCTCTAATGACCAGTGATGATGAGCATTTTTTCATATGTCTGTTGGCTGCATAAATGTCTTCTTTTGAGAAGTGTCTGTTCATATCTTTTGCCCACTTTTTGATGGGGTTGTTTTTTTCTTGTAGATTTGTTTAAGTTCTTTGTACATTATGAATATTAGCCCTTTGTTAGATGGGTAGATTGCAAAGATTTTCTCCCATTGTGTAGGTTGCCTGTTCAATTTGATGATAGTTTTTTTTCTGTGCAGAAGCTTTTTAGTTTAATTAGACCCCAATTGTCTATTTTGGCTTTCGTTGCCATTGCTTTTGGTGTTTTAGTCATGCAGTCTTTTCCCATGCCTATGTCCTGAATGATATTGCCTAGGTTTTCTTTTTTTCCTTTTTTTTTGAGATGGAGTCTCGCTCTGTTGCCCAGGCTGGAGTGCAGTGGCGCGATCTCAGCTCACTGCAAGCTCCACCTCCCGGGTTCACGCCATTCTCCTGCCTCAGCCTCTGGAGTAGCTGGGACTACAGGTGCCTGCCACCACGCCCGGCTAATTTTTTGTATTTTTAGTGAGACGCGGTTTCACCGTGTTAGCCAGAATGGTCTTGATCTCCTGACCTCGTGATCTGCCTGCCTCGGCCTCCCAAAGTGCTGGGATTACAGGTGTGAGCCACTGCACCTGGCCACCTAGGTTTTCTTGTAGGGTTTTTATGGTGTTAGGTCTTACATCTAAGTCTTTAATCCATCTTGAGTTAATTTTTGTATACAGTGTAAGGAAGGGATCCAGTTTCAGCTTTCTACATATGGCTAGCCAGTTTTCCCAGCACCATTTATAAAATAGGGAATCCTTTCCCCATTGCTTGTTTTTATCTGGTCTGTCAAAGATCAGGCAGTTGTAGATGTGTGGTGTTATTTCTGAGGCCTCTGTTCTGTTCCATTGGTCTATGTATCTGTTTTGGTGCCAGTACCATGCTGTTTTGGTTACTGTAGCCTTGTAGTGTAGTTTAAAGTCAGGTAGCATGATGCCTCCAGCTTTGCTCTTTTTGTTTAGGATTGTCTTGGCTATGCAGGCTCTTTTTTGGTTCCATATGAAATTTAGCACAGTTTTTTCCAATTCTGTGAAGAAAGTCAGTGGTAGCTTGATGGGGGTGGCATTGAATCTACAAATTACTTTGGGCAGTATGGCCATTTTCATGATATTGATTCTTCCTATCCATGAGCATGGAATGTTCTTCCATTTGTTTGGGTCCTCTTTTATTTCATCGAGCAGTGGTTTGTAGTTCTCCTTAAGGAGGTCCTTCACATCCCTTGTAAATTGGATTCCTAGGTATTTTATTCTCTTTGTAGTAATTGTGAATGGGAGTTCACTCATGATTTGGCTCTCTGTTTGTCTATTATTGGTGTATAGGAATACTTGTGATTTTTGCACATTAATTTTGTATCCTGAGACTTTGCTGAAGTTGCTTAAGGAGATTTTGAGCTGAGATGTCCATCTCCCATTTCTTTGCATTTATTACTTTCTTGCACACCACTACCTCTGATGTCTTGGGACAATGAGTCATTTCCATATATGAAAATATGAAACAGGTCTAGTTTTTGTTTTATTTTTCATTCTTACAGTGCTAATTCCCTCAAGATAATGAAACCAATGACCTAAATATTGAATTAATGAAGCATACACAAGAATGGAGAAGCTAGGAAGGGTCCACAGAGTTTCCTTTATCCTAGAGTCTGCAGTATTGTCCTCTATCACTATTATGGAATGTTCTATTTTAAGATTTATTTTATGTTTAAGATGGTGGGGGAGGGGTGGAGAAATATATGCAGAAATAAGTGTCTCAGTTGGGTTTTCACTGTGGTCATGTAAAATCTTTACTGTAGAATGGTGAATCAAGGTTTAGCTTGGCAATATTCTGAATGTTGAGCCCTATCTCTAAAATGGGGATAATAATGCATAGCTCAGGGATGTTGAGAAGATTAAATATAATAAGTATGTTAAAAAGCTTTGTAGGGTTGCTCAAGTTAACACAGAATTATCTTATGACCCAGCAATTCCACTTCTAGGTATATATCCAAAATTATTGGAAATGAGTGTTCGGGTGAAAACTTGTATATGAAAGTGTACAGCAACAGTACTCATAGTAGCTACAAAAATGGAAAGACTCTAATTCACCAACTGATAAAGAAAGAAAACATAGTATATTTATACAGTGAAATATTATCTACTCATGAAAAGAATGAAGTACTGATACATGGTACAACATAGATGGACCTTGAAAACATGCTAAAGAAGTCGGAAACAAAACGGCACATATTGTGTGGTCCAATTTATATGAAATATCCAGACTAGGCAAATTCACAGAAATAGAAAGCAGATTAGTGGTTTCCAGGGAGTAGGGAAGGGGAAGTGGACAGAGATTGCTTAATGGGTAGAGCATTTCCATTTGGGGGGATAAAAAAAATTCTGGAACTAGATAGCAGTGATGATTGCACAACATTGTGAATGTATTTAATGTTATAGAGTATACATGTTAAAATGGTCAAAATGGTAACTTTCATGTTATATTTTACTACAATCAAAAAAGAATACCTACTCTTCCCTTAAAAAAAAGCTTCGTGGATGCTAACCTGCTATGTGAGACTGGCCCAGGTATAATTTTTGTGCTTTTTATTAAAGCGGCTGTCCTAGCCAGATGGCTTCAGGCATTTCATTTTTCCACAACACTTGCTGTTTTCTCACCCAATGTGCTAATCAGAGATCAGTTTCAACCTTTGCCTCTTCAACTCAAGGTGCTTCTTATTCCTATGAAGAAATGCTCATGATAGTGGTTTATTCAAGAAAAAAGAGAAGTGGATACTGCTTTCAAGTTTTCCTTTAAATAATCAATGAATCTTTCTTCAGTCAGTGGCCACCTACCTTTCTGAAAAATAATCTAAAGATTTGGTTGCATAATCAAAGGTACAAAGCAAAAAAGTTCTGCATCATGTTGTTTGTTAGTGCTTACCCATTTCCAGTTCTTCTGTCCTCTTGCGCACGTGGGAAAACTGGACTCCTCAGTTCCATTTGTGCCTAGACCAGGTTATTTAATGAATGCTAACAAATGAAACAAAGATATTTAAGAGACAGTGTGCTATCTCCTGTTCTCGCTTTCTCTGCTGCAATGACCATTCTCCATAAGAATATAGGGATATTGGTAGAATGCTGTAGATGATCTGTAAGGTTGAGCAGAAAAGGAGGGTCCTGCCTACCTAGGACCAAACAGGATCCCTAGGGGAGAATCTTTCCAAGGGATCCCCGTATCCCTACAACCCCTTTCTCCATCTCCCTGCAGCCTTTACCCTTGCTCAGACCAGTCAATTACAGCTGGTACATTACTAAGCATTGGTCCCTGGGAATCAAAGGAAGAACATACAGTTCCTGCCAGCAGGAAGCACACAGTCCAATGAAGAGATAGAAAGGGCAGAGATCTTACAATACAGTGAAGTGAGTGTAGCAACAGAGGTAAATCCAGAAAGCTGTGGAGCGTGAAGCTGTATCCTCTAACCTGGTCTGATGGGCAAGGAGATAGGGAAAGCTTCTAGAAAGAGGTAGTTACTGAACTGAGACTAGGATGGGTTGGGCTGTGAAGAATTTGGAAAAGAGGTTTTATTCTCGCTTTAGGGATGGCCTTAGAGAAAAAAAATGTAGCTTGGGCATTTTTTGATTTGGAAACCTAATTCATTTCTCATTAAACATTACTGCATGTGGAGGACACCCTACTCCTTTTGGTAGAAGAGTTTTCTCCGTAGTAATTCTAAGAGAAAGTAGAACACAGTGGTTATGAATGTGTTTTGCTATGGGGTCAGGCAAACCTTCATTTCGATGCTGGCTTAGCCTGTTTATTATTATTATTTTTTAACTGTGTGACTTTGGGCAAATTACTATATGACTTTATGCCTCAGTTTTATTTTTTTAATCTGAAAATGTGGGTAATAATTTATTATTGAGATTAAAGCTCATGTCTCAAACACATGATAACATTCGAAATGATATGGTTAAATTGATGATGACAAGTTGTGAAGACCTTAACTCCCATACTGACATGGTTTCACTAGAAAAGTACTTTTTAAGTTCCAATGAACTGGCCTAAAAGAAATGCCGGGGGCCCGAACTACTTAGGAAGGAGACTGAACGTTTATTTTAGCAGAATCAAATTATTGCTGTCATTTTCTAGCTTCTGTTGAAGAGGAAATTTGTCAGTGGGATACAGGGTATGTCTTTTAAATAAGAATATAATGCTTCTCTTAGAGGTTTCTGCCATCATTTACCCTATTCAGAAATTCATAACCAGTTGAGTTACTTTTATTCTCTATCTTTGATCTTTAGCTTTCACTAATAGTTACATCCTTGGAGAGTGATTCCAGGTAAAGATTTTGAGTGCACAATCCCTTCATGTGCCTATCTTTGGAGTTCTCTTCTTTTACCTGAATTCTCAGAAACCCTATTAGAGGAGCAACACTGGGCAGACACCTGGGTGCCACTGAAGAGAAAACCTAAGGACAGAAACTGCTGTTTCTAGAACTTGTGCGCCGGGGGCCTAAGCACTGACTGTTTTAGATCTGAGGCCTCTTTGCCTTTTTGCCTCTGGGTATTAGACATGGTATTGTGCTGCAATGGGAAGGGAGGGAGAGTCTACTCTCAGGGCTCAAGAAACTTCCAAAGCTGTATAATCAAGCACTTGAATAAGCTCTTAACGAGACTGTCAATCTACAGACCACATACCTTGGCAGAAATTGGGACATGCTAAGTGGAAGGAATTAATCAAGATTTGCGGATTGGATGGTGGGTCACTTTCCTCCGAATGTTGGAAAGGGATTGTGGAGCTGAAAGTGAGCATCTTCCAAATTACTCTGGTGTCAAGGTAAGTGGATATTAAAATATGTGACCCTCCCTGACAGCTTCAGGCTGCTTTTCAGAGAGCTAAACTTATGGGATGGCACAGTAATTAATGTCAAGAAGCTATTATAAGTTGACACCGCTCTGAAAGCTGCAGCGTCTGAAAAGAGTGAATATATTTCTGGGAAAGATATTTTTCAGGAGGTTTTAGTGGGCTGAGGTATCATTCCAGGTGGTGCTTTACGGTGTCACATTAATCAAGGAGGGTTCAATGAGCATCCACGCATGTGATGACACTAAATCATAGGTCTGTTCTCTTCTTTCTGGTAGAGTTCTGAGCATAAGAAACGTGGGTGTGTCTAGTTAATCCTAACTACCGACATGTTTCCTTCCATTGCTTTTCAAGGTGATGCTTGCAAATAGATGGTAGAAGATGTATAATACTTCATTCTTTAGTGTTCTCAGGTTTTAATTTCTAATAGGAAAATAATCAGTCTAGTCAATGACAGAATGAAGTTCTATGTTTATATTTTAAAATTAATTTTAAATGGGCAAAAATTTCGTTTTAGAATTCCTCAAAACCTTTATAAATTCTTTTCACTTCCTGGCCCCCTTTTTTTTGCATTATCCCTCAGGGACTTCTTAATGAGGGGAACAAAGTCTAATCCAATCTCTGGCTTTTCCACATTCTTCAATGCCTGAATTCACAATTACCTCTCTTTTGTTCTTCTCTGTTCTTCATCAGAGTTTTGGCGGGAGATGTTCTGGGCCATGGCCTAGTCCCACTCACTTTTTCAGCCAGCATATACATCCCCTCAGCTGCTTGAAGGGCTGAGACTAATTGCTAACACTCACCAACCTTTTCTGGGGACTTGTCTATTCCTTAGCCCAGAGAATCCTAGAATTTATGCCCTCCCCATTTGATGCCAATGCTTCCTGATAAAGGACACAAACTCTTACATCTTAAGGTAGGACAGAGCTGGATCTGGCCCTGGTTTACTTGAAACCACATCCTTTCTTGCTTAATCTGCTTCCCTCCCTCCTTTGTAGGGTTTTCTGGAGAAGCACACCCTCAGTCAATCATAAGCCTTTGAATCTGTCACCTGTTGCTAAGGCATTTGACCTAAACAACTATTTGGCCAGCTGAGTCTTTGGAGAATATTTATCTGAGTAAAGTGATTTACATAAATGTCTGAGAATTTACAGGTCTCCAAAGTCATTTTCATTCTATAAGAAGTCCCTTAGCAGCTATTTATTCCTAATTGGCAAAATTTCATTTAGTATGATAGTGGACTGAACATCTCTAGATAGTGTGGGAGACAATTCTCAGGAGCATCATTATGGATCCTACTTACCTTTATGGAGCAACATACTGGTATGCTTTGCTAAGCCACAAAATGGTTGATGCCTTAAATAGAAGTGTCATAAAAATGTTAAGAGATGAAAAGACTTATTAAAAGACAAGAAAATCAAGTTAGGAGGAGTTATCCTTTAAAACTCTAGGGTGGATTAATGCCCACTCTGTAGTAAAGGTAATCTTGCTGCTAGGGGAGGGCTCAGTGGGATTCCATCTGCCTCTTGCAGCTTGCCCTTTATAAGTCACTGCAGAGTTTCTGTTGTTTGTTCAGTGGGAAACTACAATGATCACAATGGGAATGAGAAATAGGGAATATGAAGAAAGACAGAGTGGTAATTAAGTATCAGTTCTCACATGGACAGGTATAGTTTTCTATGCTGTGAGCAGCGATAGAACATGTACATTTTACAACACAAGGTGCTTAAATGAACCATAAGGAGATGTTTCTAATTGGGAAGGTAGTTTATCATTAAAATGAACAATTGTGGGAAAGGACTCTTCCCCTTTTTCCTGTTAGACAAAATAAAATAAGTGTTGGAAAAGATGCGAACAATTCAGAAGAATGAAAAGTAACATTAGGAAGCTCCCTAGCTTTTACTTCCTGTTCTCACTCTAAGTTTTCAAAGATCATTTGCTGTATGCTTCATACATGCTTCCAAATACTATTTTCATAAACATAAATATTTAATTATATATTTTTCATATTACTATGAAGGCATCTTTGTAGATTTTTTCTAAACCTGTAAGTGGAATAATATTGTAATTTTGTTCTTCAACAACTTTCTTCACTCAACAGAATATCAGTGGTATATTCTATATTAGTATTAATACTTGCAGAGCTGCCAACTTATTTTGTAAATGGCTAAATACAATATTACAGAAAAACATAACTTTCAGAGGTTTTTTCACAATTGGGATTCTCTATTATAAATTAGAAACCAATATTTGCTTTTGCTGTGCTGTGTTCTACAAAATTTGAGGAAGAAGCAAGAACTCTGGAATTAGAGAGGAGATCTCAGTTTTACTCCTGGTTCTGCATATTGTCAACTGTATGACCTTGGCACATTATTTAAGCCATTTTAGGCTCAGTTCCCTTGTTTGTAAAATAGAGACAACAATATTTAACTCATTAGGCTGTTTTCACTCTTAAATGAAACACTATATATAAAGTTGTCTACTACGATGTCAAATTTTAAGTGCTCAATAGAGTTTTAATTAAATACATTTTATATATTTGATTGAAACATAAAGTTGATATTTAGTTGTTTCTAAAAAGGCAATTTTGGCCAGGTGGGGGTGGCTCATGCCTGTAATCCCAGCACTTTGGGAGGCCGAGGTGGGCGGATCATGAGGCCAAGAGATCGAGACCATCCTGGGTAACATGGTGAAACCCTGTCTCTACTAAAAATACAAAAAATTAGCCAGGCATGGTGGCAGGCACCTGTAGTCCCAGCTACTCAGGAAGCTGAGGCAGGAGAATCGCTTAAACCTGGGAGGTGGAGGTTGCAGCAGTGAGCTGAGATTGCACCACTGCACTCCAGCCTGGGTGACAGAGTGAGACTGTATCTCAAAAAAAAAAAAAAAAAAAAAGGCAATTTTGTATAGTTCAATGTAATATATATTTTATATTTAAAATTTCATATCTACTCTCTTCAAAGAGTACATATTTATTGAGGAGACAATGAACTTGGACATATTCTACAATTGATACTTAAGGGCTAAATAATCAATATAAGATATGACTCTGAGGAATTAAAGTATAGAGGAATGAATATTGGCTGGAATAATGAGGAATGACTTAATGGAGGCATGCAATCTGATATCAACCTCGAAAGATAGGTGGGATTAGATGGCAGGAAAAGCAATAGAACATTCCAAAAGTTACGATCAATTAAACTATCTTTTTCAGAAATAGATGTGAATGACATAGTAAATATTTAGAATTAAAAATGTTAGTGCCAGATTGGGCCTATAAAATTATATTAAAGATAAAAAAATGACCTATAGAATTTAAATTACTAGCCAACATCACACAACTGGTCTCCTGGAAAGCTAGTGAGAAAAACATGATAGGTACCATCATTACTTATAATCAAGACATGGAAATAATTTTAGGGTTATAAATCTCATTAAAAATATTTTTATAAATCTTTAAGGAAGAGTACTTAAGAAAACACTGCCTACAAAATCAGTCTTCTGGAGAATATGGGCTGTGATGATTGGAAACAAATAAGACATGTTGATGGAAGTGAAGGATGCAGAGGGAAATGGCAAGCATTTGAACGAAAATTGATACATGTGCCAAGGGTCTATGTGAACTATAGAATGATAAACACGATACAGGCTTCACAGAGACCATGGAAATGAAGGAGCAAAGCGGAGAGTAATCAAGGGTGAGCAAGAGGCATATGCAAGATATGAAACAGTTGGGACAGAAGTGGCTGAAAAAGATTACAGAATAAATTTCGAGAGTGTATAAAAGCTCAGGCAAATCAAAGGTGGAAAATGAAGGGAAGATTGTACAAGAGGATTGATAATACGATGTGTTTCAAGTACATGAAAGCAAAATGTACAGAAGGCAAGAGTCTCTCACAGATGGCAAAGGTAATTTATTGAGAGAAGAGATAGAATTTCTGAAACCAGATAATTAAATGACTCAGTTTTCCTAAATATTAATGATGACAGAAGTGGAGATATATATATATATATATCTAGGAAGAAAAATTGAGAGAAATCAGGCTGATATTAGCATAACTGGAAAGGAAATAGATTGAGGATATTGGTGACTTACTTAAGGTTGAATGGAAACATGATTGCTGTAGGAAAATTTAGCAAGTTTTGTGATATTGAGTAAGTGTTGAACTCTCAGGATCTTAGTTTTCTTAGCTGTACATTGAAGGGGTTGGACAAAATGAAATTTATGGCAGTTTTACCCAGAGTGGCTCATGGAGCAGTAGATCCATGTACTTACTACTTGTTACTTGTCTATGACAAGGTAAGTACAGACTTTGAGAGTGTTCATAAACTTTCACAGCAATTTGACATTGCTGCAACATCCAAACATGTGATTTTGTATTTTTCAGAGTATTGGTCTACAATAGATTTGAAATTTTAAAAAGTGGCCCTTCACCATGCATAGCTTGAGAATCATTGTAACTTTGCAACCTTGAAAGTTACACTTACATTTTTTAAAGAGGATTCAAACTTTCCTGGAATATGGATGGATATGTCTGCTTCATGCTTGCATTAGTTTGCTAGGGTGGCCATAACAAAATACTACAGACTAGGCAGCTTAAACAGCAAATTTATTTTCTCATAGTTCTGGAGAATGGAAATTTGATATCAAGTTTCTGGCAGAGCTGGCTTGCTCTGAGGATGCTTCCTGGCTTACAGATGGCCACCTTCTTGTTGTGTCCTCAGAAGGTCTTTCCTCTGTGCACTCGCCCATGTCTGTGTCTTCCAATCTCCTCTTCTTATGAGGACATCAGTCAGGTTTGATTACAGCCCACCCTACTTGCCCCATTTTAACTTAATTACCTCTTTAAAGGACCTGTCTCCAAATAGAGTCACATTCTGAAGTACTGAGGGTTAGGGCTTCAACATATGAATTTTGAAAGGATACAATTCAGCCTATGACCAAGCTGAAGCAAATTTGTTTCCCCAAAGTGTCATTTTGTGATAACCTAACCAATTGATGGAGATACGTGTGTGTGTGTCTATCATCTATCTGCCTGTCTGTTATCTATCTATCTATCTATCTATCTATCTATCTATCTATCTATCTATCTATCTATCTATCTATCATCTATCTATCCAAATGACTATAAATATAAGAATTAGTAATGCTATATTTTCATTTAATTTTAATTTATGTAAAATTTCTTCCCAAACAATGCTGCCATTCTACAACCAAGATAAAAATAAATACATTTCTGATGTACAAACCTCAGAAGTGTTTGGATGACCAAGTAGCAGCCACTCTAACAGATGATTCAATAAATCCATTAACCTTCCTTTATTTCAGAACTATCATTGAAGAAAATAATATATCAGACTGTGCTAACCTCTCTGAAATCCAGTAGGGACATAAGGCATATTCTAATTTTTCCTATGCACAGCTGAAAGGTTTTGATGCATTTGATTTTTTTCATAGCTCTAATCGTATTGAAGTTTATCTGTATTTTGTTCTTTAAATCCCTGTATGCTGCATTTTATTTTCTTCAATTTAAACCAATTCTTTGGCCATATCTCAGATTAATCCCTTTAGGTTAAATTTTTAGAAGTAGATCTTCTATATCAAAGATTAGAGCATTTCTAAGCCTTTTTGTGTCTACTACCAAATAACTTTTACTCACAGGCATGTAAATTGCTCTCTTTACTAGGAGCGTGTGAGAATACAGACACAGGATCCCTTATCCAATATGCTTGGAACCAGAAGAAGTGTTTTGGTTTTTGAATTTTGAGGGGGTTTTGAATATTTGCTATACATGATGGGCCATCTTAGGAATGGGACCCAAGTCTAAACACAAAATTCATTTGTGTTTCATATATACCTTATACACATACCTTCGGTGTAATTTTATATAATATTTTAAATAATTTTGTGCATGAAATAAAATTTGTATACACTGAACTGTAAGATCCATATGGACAATTTGTGATTGTTTGATATCGCCATCATTCCTGACTCCAAATTTATATTCTACTGATAAGCAATCATTTCCTTACACTATCCACATACAAATACTTAATGGTAAAAAAATGACATGCCATTAGTACAGTGAAAATACAGTGAGTTCAGATTCACTAAGAATCAACAGTAGTGTCATGGAATACCTATCAGCTGTTAAACAACAGCAACAGCAAACAATGGCAGACTTTCAGTCTACACCTATGATGTTGTGTATTGATTAAAAGGTTATTGTATACTATATTTTAATTTTTTAGGTGAGAAGAGGCATCAGAAGTAGTTGAGGGTTCAGGAGGTGGGTCTTTTAGGTTTGAGGGGGCACTCTGCTGGATGGTTTTAAAAAATCTTTACTTCAGAGTCTTCTGCCTCATTAACGACAGTTCTTCTCTTAGAAGTCTCTCTTTGATTTTACAAACTGACGTGATCTCTTGTTCTGTTATGAAGGCATGCTGGTCAAGTCTTTCAATAAGCCCATGACACATTTTCACCCTGTTGTCTATGGGTGCTTTTCCTGCAGTGTTAACATCTTCATTGTCACTATTATCACTTCATTCAGAAACGTTTCAACAATTTTATTATTGGTAATAAATAAATCACTAGAGCCTTCATTATTGATGTTAAAAACTTTGATATCTACTTACAGCTTACTGATGGACTCTGAAGGTATATTGTTTTGTTTATGTAAGTAGGCCAGACATAATTTTTTTCGTGCCTGACATGGAATCCTTCAAAGTCACCACCTTGTTCATAATCATCATCATGGAGTATAGTCAGAGGCCAGGCATGCACAACTGTGTCTTTTGTCACTGTGTTCCTAGCACTGGCAATGGCATATGTGGCATTCTTTATGAAAAACTCCTTTTGAAAACCTTCTACACCCATGCCTGTGTTCACTGCTGCTAGCATGCTATTCAGAAATATGTTTTTATATTTACTCTTCATTGACCTAAAAATATCACAGTCACATGGCTGAATTAATGAAGACACATTTGGGGGAAAGTATATGGCATAAATATTTTTGATGAGAATTTCAGCTGGAGGATGAATAAAACAGTTGTCAAGTAGTTACAAAATGTTGTAGTTGTCATCCAGTCCAGCTTCCCTGCAGTGACTATGAGCCCCTGGTACGAAATGTTTGTGAAACTGATCAGAAAAGATTTACTGGTGACCCATACCTTTTTGTTAGCATAATAATGGACTTGTAAGAGATTCACTCCTTGAAAACAGTGAGGATGTAAGCTTTTGCCTGTCATAAATAAGTTGACACTTATGTGTGCCTGCTGCCTTAGCACATCCCTACACAGTTATTCTGCCTTTGGCATCCTTAATTCCTCTAGGGGCTGTCTTGTCAGCTGTAGCCAGTGTATTTCTGGTGCAATAATGACAAAACAGCGATGTTTAAACAGCATTGTAGACATGTTTGGTATCAGATTTTCGTCAGCAATGACGGTTGCAAACTCATCAATGGATTTCTCTGCTGTTTGTGATCAGCAGGTCTTTATCACCACAGATCTTTACAAAATTAATGACATGTCTTTTCTTAAAATTCTGGGATTAGTCTGTCAAATATCCACGGTTTCTTTCAATTTTCATTTAATCATGATAGATCTCTGCTTGTCTCATCATCAGCATACCATGATAGATTTTTGCTTGTTTCATGATCAGCATACCATCAAGTGTCAGCATACCCTTTCATATTCACTGTGATGCTTATAGATCCACTCTTTTAATACACAATTGAGATCTTCATTTTTAGATTTTTGCAGTGTTTTTCTATGTTTTTAACTTCTCTTCATCACTTTCAGCATAGAATTTTGATAGTTTATCCTTCTGTTTCTTCAGGTCATATATGGTTGTCATTCTAACACCATAATCTTCTTTCTGTAAGACTTTTCAGGCTTACGTTGTTGTCCAATTTCTCCAATAGCTTGACTTGACTTTCTGTGCTAGAGATAAACATAAATCCTTTCTTTTTTAAAAAATCAGTTACTCATAGGGGCATCTGCAGACCTTTTTGACATTTTCAACAATATCTTTACACCACAGAGCAGAGAATTACCAAAAACCCACAGTGTAATGCATGCAGGTCTTGGCACAATGTGGGGCATCACGGGGAGCCTGCCATTATTAATATTCAGCCTGTACCTGTGCCATTTATTACCATTTGTGGGTGTGTTTGTGTGAGGGTATCTGGATTTGTGTGGAAAAGATATCACAATGGAGGAGGCCAGTTGGGATTTTTTCTTTTGAGGCCGCTGAATAAACTGTGTGTTATATGCCCGTGTTTTGACTGTGAACCATCGCATGAGGTAAAGTGTGGAATTTTCCATACGTGGCAACAGATTGGCACCCACATATTTCATATTTTGGAGCATTTTAAATTTCAGATTTTTGGATTAGGGCTGCTCAACTTGTACCTGTTTCCCTGTATTCTTGCCAGAATTTTTGATTATCATTAAATAACTTTTAAAAAGAAATTTGAAAAGTGAAACATGGTACATTATTTTATTTTGTATATCTCTTACTACAGCAAGCTTGCCCCATTTTTTTCTATTTTATTGACTATTTGTATTTCTTAGTCTGTGAGTTGCCATTCAGTTTAGCGTCATATACTTTCAAGACGGCAAAGAACATATTTCCCTCTAATACTTTCACCTTGTAGTCAGAAATGAGCATCCAGTCAAATTACTATAAAGCATTATAAACTTGTTTTTATTCTTTTTTCTTCATAACTTTTCCTGTTTTCCATTAATCTATTAATAATGTCCTGTGTTTGCTTGTTGAGGCCCCAGAATGCAGTGGTTGAAAAATTCATCAAAGTTCAATGTCCACTTTATTTTCAATCCAGATCTGAGAGGGAATTAACCTCTAAGTTCATCAGAGGTTTCATAAGAAAGAGGAGGAATTGAACCTGAAACTTTTACTTTGCTCAAATTTTACTTGTACTGTGCAGGAAATATGTCTCTGCATTAACATTTTTGCTTATCAGGAAATAGATATGGAGGCCAAGAAACGCCAAAGAACATGGCTGAGATGTGGCTTGATTTTCTTTGGCTTTTTATACATTTCGCCTGTATGGTAATAAGTATTTCAAGTTACCCTGCACAGTCTATTTTGTGCATTATTTTGTGGTTCACAGATGGACTGAGACATGTTTTTTCTATATTGCCAGCCTTCAAGGGGGATACTTTGGGGGCCTACATGTAAACTCTCACCTTCCTGAGAAGCTGGCATTGAATCTGTTTATTGTTACACAAAGGAGGGTTGAAATTATAACACTTTTCATTATGTGAATAAGCCACATTCTCTCACGTGAACAGGAGAACTTTGTGAAATGAGTGGAGAGGTGAGAGACGAAATGTTCTGTAGAACTAAGAGGGAGGAAAAGAGAACAGCAGGAGTCCAATTACAAGCAGGGAATTGTTTAAATCAGAGATAAATTCCTAGCTCTCTGGCTGACTTTGGGTTACAAATATCTTTAAACAGCAAGGTTTGCATTTCTTTTCAAAATGTTTTTTATTGTGGTAAAGTACATATAACATAAAATTTACCATCTGAACCATTTTTAAGTATACACTTCGATGGCGTTAGGTACATTTACGTTGTTGTACAACCATCTCCAGAACTCCTTTATCCTGCAAAGCTGAAACTTTATAACCCTTAAACAATGTCTTTTCATTACTTCCTCTCCCCCAGCATCTACTATTCTACTTTCAGTCTCTAGGATTTTTGACTACTCTAGTTACCTCCTATAAGTGGAATCATACAATATTTTTCCTATGGTGACTGGTTTGTTTCATTTAGCAACTTAGCATAATGTCCTCAAAGTTCATCCACGTTTTATAACAAGACAAGATTTTCTTCCTTTGTAAGGCTTGAATAATATTCTATTGTATGTGTATACCATATTTTGCTTATTCATTCATTTGTGGACAAATACTTTTAGGCTGCTTTTATGTTTTAACTACTGTAAATAATGCTGCTACGAACATGGGCATACAAATATCTCCTTGAGCCCCTCCTTTCAATACTTTTGGGTATCTACTTGTGGATATACAAAGTGGAGTTGCTATATCACATGTCAAATCTATTTTTAATATTTGAGAAACTGCCTTATCATTTTATACAGTAGCTGTGCCATTTTACATGCCTACCAACAGTGCCCAAGGGTTCCAATTTCTCCACATCCTTGCCAATATTTATTATTTTCTGTTTTTTTTTTAGAGTAGCCATCCTAATGGGTGTGAGGTAAAAATCTCATTGAGGTTGTAATTTGCATTTTCTAATGATTAGTGATGCTAAACATCTTTTCATGTTACATGTTAGAGTTGAAGTGAGTCTCTTGTAGACAGCATATAGTTTGATCATGTACTCATTTATAAAAATTTATTTTGACTATCTTTTAATAGGAAAGTTTAATCCATTTATATTTAATAAATAGATTAGTTTGTCATTTTTCTATTTTCATATATCATAGTTTTTTTAAAAATCTCACTTCAAGCATTAATGTCTTCTTTTGTGTTTAGCTGATTTTTTTCATCATGAAAAGTTTTAATTACCGTCTCATTTCCTGTTCTGTAATATTCTATAACTTTTCTTTGTGGTTACAATAGGGATTACATTTAGCATCTTAAAGTTATAACAGTTATAACACTCTAATTTGAATTTATACCAGTTTAACTTCAGTAATTTATAAGAACTCTGCTCCTACACACCTCCATCCCTATGCCTTTCTGTTACTGATGTCATAAAATTATATCTTTATTCATTGTGTGTCCCAAAACATAAACTAATGATTTTTTTATAATGCATTTGTAGTGTATTATAAAATACATTTTATAATGTGTAATCCTAAATTATGTTGAAAACAAAATGTGGAGTTACAAACCAAAGTTGCAATAACACTAGCATTTATGGTAGTAATTGCTCTTTAAAAAAAAATTAGTCTTTTAAAATATGTAGGCAATAAAAGGTGGAGTTACAAACCGTTGTTATAATAACACTAGCTTTTGTAAATGACCATGTATTTACCTTTGATTTTGAATATCTTAATCTTTAATGGCTGGGTCCCAAAAGGGGAAAAAAAGAAGGATAAAGAAGGATGAAGGGGGCAGAATGGGACTAGCCCTTTAAATCCACTAGTGGTTTCTTCAAAAAGAGGGAGATTGTTGGCCTCCTCTTCGCCACTGATTACAGCAATGGTATAATCAATGGTGGAGAGGAGGGGCAACAATGGCTGCCCACCTGTTTGTCTGTACCTCCATGATCAGAAGTACCATTCAGTGATCAGAACACAGGTCCCCAGTATTTAGAGAACAGGGCTCTTATTCTTTTATTTTTGAGACAGAGTCTCGCTCTGTTGCCCAGGCTGGAGTGCAGTGTTCCTATCTTGGCTCACTGCAACCTCTGCCTCCTGGGTTCAAGTGATTCTCCTGCCTCAGCCTCTCTAGTAGCTGGGACTACAGGCGCATGCTGCCATGCCAGGCTAATTTTTATTTATTTATTTATTTATTTATTTATTTATTTATTTATTTATTTATTTTGTACTTTTAGTGGAGACAGGGTTTCACTGTGTTAACCAGGATGGTCTCGATCTCCTGACCTCGTGATCTGCCCGCTTCGGACTCCCAAAGTGAACAACCGCGCCTGGCCCTTATTGTTCACCCTTGCTCTCACAAACTGCTTCGGGAATATGTGCAAGGCTTCCTGCTGCAGTGTGGGAGTTGAGGGTTAGGAGCTATTTTCTGATGAGCTCAGAGCTGAATTTGACCACATTTAACCCACAATTGACCATCCAGGCCTCCCTTGGAAGCTGCAAACTTTCAATAAATATCAGAGTTAGAAAATACTTAGAGCAGACAGATTCTGCTAGCATAATTGTTGTCTAGATGGGGAGACAGATTTCTGGTGCTTCCTACTCCGCTACCTTCCTAGAGTCTTTCTACATTAAACAAAATTGCCAATGTTTAAAAATCCGGAGATTTTACTAAGAAATTTATATTTTCAAACTGTTAAAAATTTGGGAGATCTGGTGGGCTCTCATTTCCTTCTGGCAACAATTGGATGAAGCTAAGTCATGACTGCCTCTTACCCATGATGTGCTCTTTTTTAATGCTGTCACTATTACTCCCTAGGGATCCCTAAGTCTATTTAGCA
Source organism: Homo sapiens (assembly GCF_000001405.40). Classification (NCBI taxonomy): domain Eukaryota; kingdom Metazoa; phylum Chordata; class Mammalia; order Primates; family Hominidae; genus Homo; species Homo sapiens. Next base: position 81,245,427 of record NC_000009.12, on the reverse strand, counting down.
CTGAGCTTGTATGGTCCACTGCACTTATTTGTGCTACTCATCAGGCTCCTTTAAGGCATTGATTTTGAGACACCAGATTTTTAATGCATATTGATTCTGCTCTCAAAGTAATAGACTATTGTGGGCAGAAAGAACCCTGGATCTGAAGGAGAGGGTGTCTTTATCCTCACACTGGTTTGGCTAATTTGTGTGCCTCTGTTTCCTCATTTGCAACATGAGCTGCTTGGATGAAATAAATTTGACCTCCCACAGTAACATTCTGTCTCACTGATTTCATGCCATTAGAGACTTTGGATGGGTACCTTAACAAATGCATAGGAATGAATACTCTGGACGAAAAACATCGCCAACTTTTATTTGCAGTTATGATATGATTATTCCATTAGTCATGTCACTGATAACTTGATGAGCTTTAGTCTGGCCAAATTTTTTGTTAATAATTGTTATTTATTTATTTTTATGTTCCTGAGGAGAAAAAAAAATCTATCAAACAGAAACAGGGCATTTGGCACTTGGAATATCTCAATCTAGCCTCTGCAGCCAGCTCTGGAACTGGAAAGCAATAGTCATTCAGTAGAAATTTGTGTGAAACTGGTATTTTCAGGCAAACAAGCTGTTTATGCAATAGTTATAATTCCAGGGAGTTGACTCCTTTCTGGAAGATGATTAAAGAATTCTTGTTGTGATGATTCTTGACAGCATAGTTATACGCAGTTGGTGATCTTTCAATAATAAACTACTGTGTGTACCCTCATATGTTATGGCAAAGAGCTGTTAACAGATTGATGGGCTATTAATTATTAATAATTCTCTAATGTTTGGAGTTGCCTGTTATGTTTTTCCTCTGCTACGTAGACTAAAATACTCACTATATTTCTTAGTATTAAAATTTATCAATTCTTTAAAAATTCAATGTCTTGTTTTTCTTTAATTCTAAGATATCTGCCATCTTTTCCAGGATATAAGATGCAAAGATCATGTTTGACATAGGTTTCTGAAAGAGAAAAAAATATTTTTGATGATCCAGAAAATAAATGATATTTATAACTTGAGCATACATATTCTTATCATGGCTTGATAGTCAATGAATTTTTCAGAGTGTGTTTGTGCAGTGTGTGAATGCACACGTGTTGTGTGTGAATTAAATAGACATATATATAAAGTAGCACAGGATCGTCTGGCTGTGGTGGAATGCACACAAGTACACCCTCTAAGTTACTAAAACTTATTCATTTAAATACCAAAACTTAGCTGCCATAAATTGCTTATTTTCTAACGATATTGATTATATTAATTTCTTGAATTGAGATATTAAACTGCAAATGTTACCCTTTTCATATTTTGTCATTTTCTTTAAGTGCAAAGTGTTTTACTACTCAATAAATTGTTCTATATTTTTGTTTTTTAAAATTCTTAAAGTTTTATTTCTTAGAATTATTTTTCGATTTATTCTTTACTCAGGTTCTAACCTGCTATATTTCTCCAGTAAACATCAGCTACTAATGGTGCCATTCCTCCTTTTAATTTATTGCATTTACTCTGTCATGGACCAGGTTACAAGTTTGTATAAAATGAGTAAGCCTCCTTCTTAGAAAAAAAGTATGAAGCATTCTCTCAAAGTTTAAAAATCTTTTGTCTTTAGAATATGTGTATTATGATAAGACATGACTTCTTCTTACTATAGATTTGTTGTGTTCCAGATGATTGAGGTTAGAACAGCATTTTGTTGGCTTGAGTTTCAATGGTCATTAATTTAAGACTCTGACATCAGCGTGAAAACAATATGTTGGTGAGTTACAGCTTGTACAAGTTATCAGACATTGAGTTTGCCATGCACTCAGCTAAACACTCAATATGAAGAGATATGCCCAGTGTCAGGGTGCCTTGTTTGCCTGAAGGTTTATCTACAGGTTACTGCTCAATCTAGTATTGAAAGTTTTACTTTAAGAATGTTGTTAAACTATTTATAGCTTTTCATTTATAATTGCCTATATTTCAATTTATTCCATATCGGATCCTTGGAACCTCTACTAGAATGTCCCTGACTTACTGAAACATGGAGAAAAGTGGACAATTAAATAGATGCCATAGGGAGCATGGCTCAATGGAAATCACTATGGGAATTTAAGAGGTGAATTAAAGTAGGACATGTCAATGCCTGTCAGAAGAGCTCCTTTCCAGGATTGGAAGATGACTAGAATCTGCAAGTAGACATCCTGGTGCACTTGCTTGAGGTGGCTACCTTGGTCCATAGAATGAACGAACATTGGAGAGCTGCAGAAATGCAGAGAGGGCTGATCACTGACATATTCTTCTTGCCCTGCCTGAAGCACAAAATGCCAACATGGTGAGCTGTCTTATCTGCTAAGAAGAGAGACAGAGACTATAGATGGCCATGGGGCAGATTTTTTTGGAGGAAGTTCCTGCACATAGCAGGCAACTAGGTTACATCTAACTAGTACCAGTAAATACAGGAGGATATAAGTGGCTCCTAAAAGGACAGAGACTTACTCTGGACTGGGTGGTAGATGCAAATACTCAAAACACCATATAATAACTGGGACAGAAGATACTGTAGCAAGGTGAATTGCTAAGATGTATTACTTCAAGAGATATACTTTATAGCCTGCAATGGACACTTATGGAAAAAGAGATATCAAATGAAATATCATATTAGGTGTTATCCCCAGAGTAGTGATTTGATAGAGAATTGGGAAGGCTGTTGAAACTTTTTTTGGCCTAATATGGAAGGAGATAAAAGCACGAAGGGCTGGCGTACAAAACTTAGCAAGTATGTACTCACACTCAACATGAGGGAGCCAAGAAAACATCCACACTACATAGATTTTATTTTATTTTATTTTATTTTATTTTATTTTATTTTATTTTATTTTATTTTATTTTATTTTATTTTATTTTATTTTTACTTTTGTAGGGAATGTGAGGAATAGCAGGTAGAAGATGGTGCTGGTATGACAATACAATTCTCCCCACATCCCTTCAACTTTCTTTTTTCCTACCTGGTACAGTGGTTACAAGACCAGGGCCTCAGCTGTGAATGTCACACACAGGCATAACCTCTAAGCAAGAAACTATATATCTTTAAACATTTTTGGTAAAATTCCTAAGGATTTGATGGAATGAATTGTCTCTTCACCCCATCTTGCAAAACTGGAATGACAGTGAATGCAGCTTTATTGCCTAGTGATCAAGACAGCCCACTATTCTGAACCTGTGTAATTCTACTCTAAATGAATGGCAATGGATGGAGAGGAGACACTTGCTAGACTGATTTTGCTTCCAGCAAACTGGACCAGCAAAGTGGCTAAACCTCACGTTCCTTCTGACTGCGAAAATGTTTGGGTTCAAGTTCATGACAAATTGAGAGAAGGAGAAATAGTGGCTCAGGGCAGAGGAATGAATAAATGGATTATGCTTGAGGGAAATTCAGTATTATATTGATACCTTGTGAGAGGCTCGGGGCAAAAGAATGTCTCTTAGCACAATTATACCAGACACTTAAAATGCTGAATTCCTGTAGTTGTCAAGACCAGCCCTGCTTTTGGACCTTGACGAGATGGACTGAAAGCCTGCAAACTTGAATGGCATTGCTCTGGGAGACTTTTGGTCAAATGATACAATAATGATCAAATGGGCCAGTTATTGGTGGCTGAGTGGAATTCTAATAATTTGCCAGTGTCTTGACTTTTATTTTTCCAGTTACAAAGGACTTTATTTAGGAAGAAATTATCAGAAATTACTCCCTGCCAGATCATCAAATGATGTGATATACAACTTCCAGCAGACTGAACGCTATGCAACTATAAACGTTGACGACCAAATGCTTAGGAAGGGCCATGGTTATAATGGACAAAATACAGCATCTACATGCCCAATATGCTACAGTGTGCTGTGTACAAAGACATATCATCCTTGTTTTTGTGGAAGGAAAACTATTAAACAGAATGGAAAAAGACAATGGATTTACGATGAGAATAAAGTAGTAGGCTTTATGTTTTGAGTCCTAATTCCCCTGGGAAGCAGCCCTATATTGAGACAAGGAGGTTTATGGGAGACTTATTGCATATTCAGATGAAATTACATGTAAGTGTGACTGCCACTCATCTAACTGTATCATAAAGAATTAAATATTTTGGGGTATACAACATGCATCCTAACTTCAATTAAGCCAATAGAACACAGTACCAACAACATGCATGGTGGATTAAACAACATTGACCCACAAAAAAGCAAAAGACTTTAGGCAGATAGATGATAGTCTAGGCAAGGTAAGAAAAGCTGAATTCACTTGTAATGAGGAATTGCCTTTTAAAGGAAAAACGCTCATAAACTAGAATCAGCAGATAGAGAAAATTATCTTCCAGGAAGAAAACAAGGGATAGGAGTCAGCCTGAAAAGATGAGATTTTTAGTGAAGTGGGTCAGGCAGACTCAACAAATAATGATGAATAACAGGACTAAGTACTTGGAAAGCACTTGTACCCTGACCCAACAGGGCCTCTTGACTATTTTAATACACATAGAGGCTGAAGTGGCCATAGGTCAATGTCCCTCCATCATAGCTTCTGAGACTCAAAAGGCACAGTTATGGACTCTTATGGACCTTCAAATTTATAAAAGTTCTCCAGGATATGCATAATTTACATTGATAACTATGACTTCCTTGATTGCAAGAATAGATCAGAATGGGACATATCCTGCAGTACAATTAGCAGAGATGGGAAATATTCTGATTGCCACCCTTGTCTTTCCTATAGAAGAAAAGGGGTCCTTGCTATACTATAGTACGCGATAAACAGTTTAATACAAACTTGTGATCTAAGACAGAATAAATTGCTTTGGCCACAACTGACTTGGAACACAGAGATTACTGAATCATGGCCAATTGTAATGAAGCTTGTAATATGATATATTGTATATAGGCAAGGGCCAATTCTGTTGGGAAGGCACAGCAAACACCTCTATAATTCTTGCTGGTTTGTTCTGAGATGCAACTGAACTGTATCATAAATATACCTCAATGTGGTGTAACATTGGTATTGCTGGTAAGATTAAACTATCTTATATAAATAATATTATAATACTGATCAAATGATGATGATTATATACTGATTATAATAGTGATTATAATGACCATCAAATGTATTGAGAAATCCAATTAAAGCCTCCATAGGATGTAATACTAATGGAAACTGAGTGGTCTGAGGAAGAATTGAATTCAGCTGTCAGCTTTTTTCTATGAGTTTTTATTTACAGGTTTATCACAAGACACAAATAATAGTAGATTAAGGGGAAGCAGATATCCAAATGAGTACAAAAATTAGAACATGTATGAAATGGCCTTACAGGATAAATTATTTGTGGTTTTATGTCAATTTCTACCTACACTGGCTCCTCCAACAATACACATATTCATGCTAATATTATTGCTGTCTCTTATTAAAAATAAATGTATTGCTAAATATAAATGCTCCAAAAAATTGGATCGTTTGACTGTAAGAGAGCATAGACCAAAGAGCAGGAGATTGGACTCTGTAGAAAAGGGTTAACTCATCAGGCCCGTGTTGCTCAAATCCTTCACATTCCCAAGAAAGGCCTGTTTTCAGGATTGACCTTTGGGTGTCTTCTGAGAGATGAGCTCTGAGCCCTTGGAATATTCTGCCTTATAAGAATGTTTCCTCTGCCTGAGGCCTTGGGCCATGAGATACACTTTAATCTAATAATTTATGCTAACAATGTAATTGATGATGAAGGCCTATTTTTGGTCTGGGGCCTAGACTGAATAACTGAAGTCAGCCATGCAGGTGTTACATTCACACATGACTAACCCCTCAAAAATGCTAGACACCAAGGCTCAGGGAGCTTCCCTGGTTGACAACACTTTGCATGTGTTGTCATATATCATTGCTAGAAGAAGAGTATGTGTTTGTGTGATGCCATTGGGAGAGGACACATGGAAGCTTGTGCTTGGTTTCTCTTACACTTTGCCCATATGCCTTTTCCCTTTGCTAATTTTTTTTCTTTTCTTTTTTTTTTTTTTTTTGTGATGGAGTCTTGCTCTGTTGCCCAGGCTGGAGTGCAATGGCTCAATCTCCGCTCACTGCAACCTCTGCCTTCTGGGTTCAAGCGATTCTCCTGCCTCAGCTAGGGTGTGGACCTGGGTAATTTTTTGTATTTTTAGTAGATACAGGGTTTCACCATGTTGGTCAGGCTGGTCTTGAACTCCTGACCTCGTAATCTGCCTGCCTCGGCCTTTCAAAGTGCTGGGATTACAGGCGTGAGCTACCAGGCCCAGCCCCCTTTGCTGATTTCAATATGTTTCTTTCTCTGTCATAAACCATAATAGCATTTTTGAGTCCTGTGAGTTTTTCTAGGAAAACATCAAGCCTAAAGGTGATTGTGTGGAGCCCTGACACAATGTGCTAGGTGTGGTTTTCTTTGTATTTTACCCGATTAGAGTTGGAAGAACTTTTTAGATCATAAGTTAATGCCTCTTCACCAAACGTTGGAAATTTTAACAATTATTTCTTCAAAACCTTTTCCCCATTATTGTTTCTCTTCTCTCTCTGGAGCTCCAATTAAACACACATTGTGTGATTTTTAAGTGTCCCACAAGTTACTAATGCTCTATAGTTTTTCTTTCATCATATTGTCTGATTGAACAATTTCTATGATGCTCTCTTTAGTTAAGCTGAATCTCTTATCTCCAATAGCTGTTTAGCACATCAATAATTATATTTCGAATATGGTTCTTTTCACGTCTATAATTTCGATTTTGAATAATTTACATTTTTATACTGAGATTTTCTATCTGTTGCCTTGTTATGTTCATCTTTTCTTTTATGCCCTTGAATATAAATATAACAACTGTTTTTAAATGTCTTTCCAACTTTTGGTTCACCTCAAGATTTGTGTCTATTACATGCTTTTTTTCTTGATTATGGGGGTTACATTTTTACATTTTCTTCATGTCTCATAAGTTTTGATTGTTTACTGGATGTTGTAGATGATGCTTGTAAAGAGTATGAATTGTGGGCTCTCACATCTTTCAAAGATTGCTAAATAATGTTCTGGAAATCAGTTAATATACTGGTAGCTCTATCTTACTATACTGAGGTTTAGGTTTTATTAAGGTGGATCCAGAGTAGATTTTATTGAGATCATGGCCCTTCTCCCTAAAACAAGTGGTTATTGTATCTTTATACTCTTGTGTGAGAATTCTGCTATCATCCAGCACAGTGTGACCTCTAGTATTCCTACTATTTTCTCAATCCCATAGGAACTTTTTTTTAGGCTTCGCTGAGTCATTCTTTGCAAATATACAGCATCCACGTTAGCCCAAGCACTCACAGACATATAAAGCCTGCCTCTGTATTTCTCTTATCTCTAGTGTTTATCCCTAGAAGGTCCAGATACTTTAGCAGCCTTGAACTCTGATTTCTGGTTTTTCAGCTGAAGGGGACCACCATGCTCTCCCAGAACCACATTTTATCTTTGTTCAAGCACATACCCCGTACATAATCCTGCCATTTCTCTCATAGAATTGTTTCCATATCTCAAGGTAAAGCAAAGGGCTGGCAAGTTTCATTATTCCTTGCCTAATTATGTCAGTCAGAAGAGCTTAGTTCTTCCTTTGTGTTTATCTTGTGACATTCCTACCATGTGGATAGCATATCATCTGGCATGGCAATTCCTTGTGTACATATTGTAGCTTCTCTACTAGTTTGTAATTTTCTTGTAGAAAGGGAATATTTTTTCTTCTCTCTTTCTTTTTTAACAGTATCCATTCTAGGATTTGCCCATATAGATACTAAATAATGTTTTCTGATAAATAAATAATATGTTGCTTAGATGGCAGAATTCAATCACAGCCTTGGGACTACATTGACTTTTTACATCATCTTCATGTAGTATGTTTAAGAAGAACTTATCCATTAGTACCCCCATGGTCCCAATGATTATGTCAGTTGCTTTTGGTGATGTTTATGTCATGCATCCAAATGGCATTCTCTGAAATGTCTTCCAGAATACATGCTTGACTGTCTCCTCTTTGCACGCCAACTGGCAGAAATTAGAACTCTCTTTTCTCTGCCTTGGCCAGATTTTGTTATCTCAAAATTTTATTTTAGAAATTCCTGCATTATCTTTTGTTGGGGATGCTGTGAAGAAAGATTATGATATGATAGAGAGAGCAGAATATGAAGTCAGAATTTCTACGTTTGTGTTCCATCCTTACTATTTGCCTATTTGGCAGCTTAGAACAATAAAGTAAGTCACCTCAACCTCTTTTGACATATAAATGGGGATTTATGCATTCTTTCTAAGAATTAAGTAAGAAATAAGCACTTTTTATATCTAACTTGTGAAGTACCATTCAAATGCAAATAGTTACTATCATCATTAAGAGTGGTCTTCATGGGTAAAACGAAAGTCACCTGAAATAAAATTCTTTTTGTCTTACTTCAATCTCAAAATTGTTTATATCTACTTGTTGAATAACAGTAAGCAAACATGAGGCAATATGCTTTCAAAACTGGAAGACAAGGAAAAAAATTCAAATCACAGAGTAAAAACTAACACTTACTTAAAATAAAAAGTACCACCCAATTCCCAATATAATAAATCATTTATGGTTTAGTTTTTAACTGGCTTAGCAAGAGTTTCATTTGTTTATAATTTTTCTGCTTTTAAACATTATCTCTTTTTAAGTAGATTGTTAGCTTTATTATTTCTGTATCTTTTGTTGTACATTTATCGAAGTTGCCTGAAGCTAAAAAATGTCAAGATCTTTAGTTTTCCACTCTAGCACATCCTGAACGAGCAACATATTACATTTTCTGTATAACATGTTACTTTTTCTGTTTAAATATCAGGCTATGGTTTGAAATTTTCAAAGGTTATAAAGTTATTAGTTTTAGCACAGAAACTAATACCTAAGTAAACGCATAATTACAAACTGCCAAGATGATTCATTCTGATTTGTGTGGTATTTGAGGGTCATCACAATATATATCTTTCCAACAACACTCCCCAAATATTTCTGTTCCTTGAACTTTAGTCATGTAATTCCACACATTTAGTACATCAGTATTTTTATTTGCCCATGCTGTTTCCTAAGCTTGAAATATTTTCCTTCCCACCTGCACAAACCAAACTCATCCTTCAAGCCTCAGCTCAATTATAACATTTGTGGGATATTTCTATTATAATTAGTGGTTAAGAAAATGGACTTTAGAATCAGATTATCTGAGTTCAAACTCTGAATGTACCATTTATTGATTCTGTGACTTTGGGAAATTTACTCTCTCCAGTCTCAGTGTCCTTATGGTACAAAGGAGATATTAAAGGCATCTACATTATAGAGTATATTTGAGGATTAAATATAATAATACACATGAGGCACTTCAAATTTCTAATCACAGAAAACATGCGGTAAATATTAACTGTTTTTTCTTCAAGTTAGAGTAATCATTTCTTTCTCTGTATGCTCATAGCAATTTCCATCTATTTCTGTCATAGGACGTATTTTATTCTGATTTATATTAGAATTATATTATACCCTAAGTTTCTTCTGAGAGAGATGATGTTTAATTGATTGCCCTGTGCTCTCCTAGTAGTTAACATACTGCTTTGCACATAGGTGATACTTAATAAATGTATTAAAAGGAAATAGTAAATAAAATTAGAGGTGACACCTTGAATAACATGTTGATTTTAACAAAATTGTTACAACTTGTAATTTAGTTTGGCATCATAATATTACCAAAAGAAAGCAAAAGAGCTATTAAAGGAAATTTCAATCTTTCCTCATTTTGGTAGCCAGCTTTGGCCTCAGATATGTCAATCCTGTGTATTTGTATCAAATTATTTTTCTTTCTTTTTTTTTTTTCAGGGACCTACTACTTCAGAAATTCGTATCAAATTATGCACAAAACAGTATGAACTGAATATTGAGTTAATGCTCTTGAGTGTCTATTAAGTATACCTGAGTGCAGATGTATCGTTTTCTGGCTAGCTATTATCAGATGTTGCTGTTATAATTTTCACTGAATTAAAAACAGACGTACTGAGACTTTTACTTCTGGCATGAAAAAGTAAGGCGTCATATTTACCATCCCACCTTAAACAAAAAGAAAACAGGACAAAAAACACAACAACTTACTTAGCTTGGAAAAAAGCAGCACAGATTGGTGATAATGGAGAGAAAGAAAACAGATTAGGTGAGCCCTATGATTGCCCCACTTGACTGCCTGAAGAGAGTTTTCAGTTCTGTTAGAAAGCAGAACTGCAACAGAAGCCATCAGCTTTGCTGAGTTGAAAGGTCAGAGTTGGGATTTTGCAGAAGACAATGTGGCTAGAATTTGAGGGCCATAAAATAGATGCATAGCAAAATAGCCTTGGAAATATGCAGAACGGTTCCGTTGAGTCTTTGGCTGAGTACTGATCTGTGCATGCATGGGAGAAAACTATTCTAGTTTAGGGGAAGAAAAAAATAAAAAGAAAACTAGAAAAAAGTTGGTGGGACAAAGATAAAGCTCACACAGAGTTAGGGAAGTTTCTATTTCAAGAGTAGAAAAACCTTACAGTAGAGAGTTCATTATATGGAGTCCTCAGCATAGGGTATTTTGTCAATAGTTGTGTCAAATTAGCCCTGAACTAAAAGCTTTTTTAGACTCACTTTAAAGAAGCTTAGAAGAAAGCCTAAAAATGATCATACTGATTTCAGGTAGCTTAACTAATTCCCAGAACAGAGACCAACAATATGCAAATAAATACAACAAAATCCAATACCAATCAACATAAAATTCACAATGCTAACCATTCAATTAAAGATTTCAAGACATTCAAAGTTGAAAAATAATACTATTATATATTATACATTATAGTATATATTATACCACGTAGTATATAGTATTATGGTATTAGTATGTATTATACATGCTGTAACCAGAAGAAAATGTCTTTGAATTAACAGAGATGATAGAATTAGCAGATAAGAACTTAAAAAGATTATAAATGTAATTTATATTTCAAACACAGATGACAAGTTTATAATGATGAGGAGAGAAAAGAAAGATATATAAAAGGCACAAATGAAACTTCTAGAGATAAAAATTCAAGATCCAGAGTTAAAAATAAATACATTAAATGGGATTAACACAAGATTACACACTGCAGAAGAAAAGAGTATTAACTTGAAAACAGCAAGAGAAACATCCAAAGTGAAACATAGAAAAAAAAATTGAACAGGAAAATAACATAAGTATTAGTAAGTTGTGGAACAATATAAAGGGTCCTAACACATGTTTAATTGGATTATGACAAAAAGTAGAGAGAAAATAGGGAACAGAAAAAATATCTGAAAAGATAATGGTCAAAATGTTTTCCACATTTGTTTAAAACTATGTATTCACAGTTCACTGAAACAATAAATAAATCATGACAAGGTACATCAAATTTCTGTTAACCAATGATAAAGAGAAAATTTAAAAAGCAGCCAGAGAGAAAAAGCATGTTACATACAAATGCTAAATTTTGATAGCACTGAAGTCAGACTTCCTTTGAGTAACCAAACAAGCTAGAAGATAAGGAGCAATGTAACGTACTACAAGCAAAAACGTAGACTAAGATTTCTATGCCCAGAAAAGATAGTTTTCAAAAATGAAATAAAATAAGGACTTTTTCATACTGATAGTTGAAAGGGTCTACTACCAGCAATTAGATACAGTAAAAACATATCGAAGGAAGTTTTTCAGACAGAAGGAAAATGATACTATTTGGAAATTCGGAGTCATACAAAAGAATGAAGGGCAATTGAAATAGTAGATATGAGGGTAGATGTAAAAGCCTTCTATGTGAATTGTTTTAAGGTGCATTAAAAGACAGCTGAGTGTTTAAAGCAGAAATAAGAAATAATAATGACAATGTGGAGGCTATAACATATGTAGTGATAAAATGTGTGACCGCAATACCACAAAGGAAGAAAGTGGGGTAATGTAAGTATACTGTGGTAAAGTTATACGATACAATATTTAAAAATAGGCATTATGGAAATCTGAGAAAACTATTTAAAAAATACCCAAATATGAAGTATAACTAATAAGAAAATGATAGCAATAGAATAGAGAAACAAAAACTGCACTGTTCATTCCAAAGAAGGCAGAAGAACCAAGAAGAGGTGGGACAAAAAATAATGGCAAGGTGGTTGACTTAAATTCAGCCATATAAATAATTACATTATATATAAATGGTTTAAATGTATCAAATAAAAGTCAGAGATTGCCACATGAAGATAAGATTCTTCTCTATGCTGTCTAAAACACTTGTCATTTTAATTATGAAGACCCAGATGGGATCAAAGTAAAAGAAAAAGTGGTAAAAGATATACTGTACAAATACAAATCAAATGAAAGTTAGACTGCTTATATTTATATCAGGTTTCATAGCAAAGAATATTACTAGGAATAAAGAGACATATTGCACATTGTATCCAATATCAGAGTTTCAAAAAACACGAAACAAAAACTGAGACTTGAAAGGAAAAATAGCCAAATGCACAATGATACCTCTCAGTAATTCAGTTAATAAGTACAAAGAAAATCTGTAAAGATATAAAACACTTGAACAATGTTATCAATTAACTTGACCTAATTGGCATTTACATAACATTCTGTTTAAAAACAATAAAATATTCTTTTCAAGTGGAATATTTATCAAGATGTAAAATATTCTAAGCCACAAAACAAGTCTCAATAAAGGCATGAATTGAAATCATTCAAAATATGTTCTTTTTTAAAAACAGAAATAAATTAGAAATGAATCCCAAATACTTTGAAATTAAGTAAAACACTTCTAAATAACCCATGGATCTAAGATAGACTTGCTAGAGAAATTAGAAAATATGTAACTTATTAAAAATATAAACAAAGTAAGTTCAAATTTGTGGGATGTCACTAAAGCAGTGTTTAGAGAAAAATTTATGTCATTGATTTATTATTTAAATAAAGATAGTTCTCTAAAGAATCTAGATGTTTACCTAAAGAAACTAAAACTGAAGAGAAATCAAAATCCAAAGTAGATAGAGGAAGAAAAAACAAAGATAAGAACAGTAATCAATGAAAGTTAAAAAATAATAAGATTAATGAAATTAACAGTTGGTTCTTTGCAAATAATAATAGTAATCCTCTAGTTACACAGATCAGTAAAAAATAAATTACCAGTATCAGAAATACGATAGAGATAAAGACGATGGCAAGAAAATATTATGACCATCTTTATGACAATAAATATGACAACTTGAATGATGTGGATGAATTCTTTGAAAGGCATGAATTTCCAAAGTTCACTAAGGAAGTAGGTTGTCCTGTATCTCTTTAAAAATTTTAATCTGTTGTCAAATACCTCCTCAGAAAGAAAATACTTTGCCCAGATGGTATTCTTGCTGAATTCTATCAAAATTTTATATTTTGATGGAAAGAATTTCTACATAAATTCTTTCAGAAAATTAAAATTAAAATTTTCCAATTTATGTTGTTGAGGCTAGCTTTACTCTGACATCAAAACCGGGCAAGATATGATCAGAAATAGTAACAACAGACCAATATCATTCATGACTATAGATTAAAAAGTCTTTAACAAAATATTTGCAAATTGAATTTAACAATGTATAGAAAAGTATAATATATCATTACCAAATAATGTTTATTTTAAGAATGCAAAGTTGCTTTAACATTTAAAAAAGGAGTCAATGTAATTCACCATTTGAGCAGACTGAAAAATGAAAATCCATGTTATCATCTGAATAGATTACGAGAAAGCATCTGGCAATATTCAAAACCCATTTGTCATTAAAATTCAGCAAACTGCGAATAGTAAGATAGCTTTTTCAATTTGATATAAATATTCAATATTATAAAAATAATTTTTAACAGCGTCTTAATGGTGAAAGACTGAATCTTTTCCTCCTAAATTGGGAACAAATCAAGGAGGTATATCTTCACTTCTAGTCAACATTGTAGTTGAGGTCCTTCATAGTGCAATAACAGAGATTTTGAAAAATTGTACAAATTGATAAGAAAAGGTAAATCTCTTTTTTTTTAAGGCAACATGATCTATGTAGAATACCTTAAAAATTATTTTAAAAAACCACCCCATAACTAATACTAATAAGTGAACTCAGCAATATCACAAAATGCAAGGTCAACGTAAAAAAATACCATTGCATTTCTATATAATAGCAACACATAATTAGAAAATTCAAATAGCAAAATCATACCACCAAAATAATGAATTTTCTAGGGAAAAATTTCATGAAATATGTACAAAATCTATAAAGTGAAATCTTTAAAATTTTACTGAAAAAAGTTAAAAGGATTTTAATAATAGAAAGACATTTCATGCTTATGAATCTGAAGACTCAATATTATTGAGATGTAAATTCTCAAATTGATCTACAAGTTAAATGTAATTCCGATCAAAATTTAAGCAGAATCGTTTTGGCAGAAATTGACAGCATGCTTATTTCAAAACTCATATAGAAAAGCAAAGGAATTGGAAATGTCAAAACAATTTTGAAAAAGAAAAAAGAGGAGAATGTGCACTGTCTGATTTCAAATCTCACTATAAGGCTACAATAATGAAGAGAGTGTGCTATTTGCGTAAGGATAGGCACATAGATCAATGGAACAGAACAGAGAGTCCAGAAATAGAGATCTACACATACATAGTCAAAAGATTTTTGACAGATGCAAAGGCAATTCAATGAAAAAGTATAAGCTTTTTAACAAATAGTGCTGTAACAATTAGATAGTCAGATGTAAAAAAAAAAAAAATAGAGAATATGGGCCCTAGTTCACACTATAAAGTTTTGTATATGCAAAACTATAACTCAAAATTAAGGACCTAAATGCAGGAGCTAAAAGTATAAAACTTCTAGAAAAAAACAGGAGAAAATATTTATGACTTTGTGTTGGTCAAAGATTTCTTAAATTGAACACAGTATAAAAGAAAAAAATGAGGAATTAAGCTTCATAAAATGATAAACTTTTGTTCTTCAAAAGACTCTTCTAGAAACAAAATGTCAAGACACCTTCTGAGAGAAAATATTTGCAAAATATACCTGATAAGTACTTACGTACAGAGTATATAAAGAACTCTTGTAACTCTATAATAAGAAAGTCTGCCAAAAAACCAATGGGCCAAATATTTGTACAGACATTTCACAGATGGCCAATACATACATAAGAGAGTATTCAACATCATTAGTCAGTAAGAAAATGCGATGCATGCATATATTGTTGCAGCACTATTCACAATGGCAAAGATATAAAGCCAACTTAGTTGCCCATCTGGATAAAGAAAATGTGGTACATATACATCATGTAATACTATATAACTATAAAAAATGAGATTGTGGCCTTTGCAGCAACGTGGATGGAACTGGAGGCCTAATCCTAAGCAAATCAATGGGGGAACAGAAAACCAAATGAAAATCAAGTACTGCATGTTCTCATTTATAAATTGGAGCTAAGCATTGAATACACATGGACACAAAGAAGGGAACAATAGACACTGGGGCCTATTTGAGGGCGCAGGGTGGGAGGTGAGTGAGGATTGAAACACTGCCTATTGGGTGCTATTACCCAACAGGTGACAAATTGTCACTTGATTACCTGGGTGACAAAATTACCTGTACACCAAATCTCCATGGCATGCAATTTTGCCCCTGTAACAAACCTACGCATGTACCCCTTGAACCTAAAATAAAAGTTGGAAAGAAAAGCCACAATGAGATACCTCTGCTACCTGCTAGAATGGCTATAATCCAAAAGATGGACAACACCAAGAGTTGGTGAGGAGGTGGAATGGTCTCATACACTGCTGATGGGAATGAAAAGTGATACAACTGTTTGGAAAATAGTTTAGCAGGTTTTTTTTTGTTTTTTGTTTTTTTTCGAGATGGAGTCTTGTTCTGTTACCCAGGCTGGAGTGCAGTAGCGTGATCTCGGCTTACTGCAACCTCCGCCTCCCAGGTTCAAGCAATTCAATTCTCCTGCCTCAGCCTCCTGAGTAGCTGGGTTTACAGGCGCACGCCACCACGCCCAACTAATTTTTGTATTTTTAGTAGAGACGGGTTTTCACCATGTTGGTCAGGCTGGTCTTGAACTCCTGACCTCAGGTGATCCACCCTCCTCGGCCTCCCAAAGTGCTGGGATTACAGGCATGAGCCACTGCGCCCAGCCAGCAATTTCTTATAAAGTTAAACATACACTTACCATATGACCTAGCAATTCCACTCCTAGATTTCTACCTATGAGAAACACATACATTCCTTCAGAAAATGAGCACAAAAGTGTTCATAGCAACTTTATTCATAATAGTTTCAAACTGGGAACAAATGAAACTTCTATCAGTCGGCCAATGGATGAACAAATTGTGGTTTAAACATACAATAGATACAATTCATTAATAAAAATGAATTAACTAACATGTAACGGCATGAATGAAGCTCAAAAGTATTGTGTCAGGTGAAAGTGGCCAATTATAAAGGAATAGATAATGTATGAATTCCATCAATAGGAATTTCTTAAGAGAAGAAAACTATACTGATAGCAATCACAGGAGCTGTTGCTGAGGCCAAGTTGTGAAGGGAGGAAATTTACTACAAAGGGGTGTAGAGTGAAAGGAATGTTCTGTATCATGCTTGTGGTAGTGGTGGTATACACATGTCAAAACTCATCAAGTTACGTGTTTTAAATTGGTGAGCTTTATTATATATAACTTATACCTCAATGAAACTGACAAAATATCAGCCCCTGATACTGGGGTAATCTCTGCAGGAAGCAAAAATAATTCTTTAGTTATTTTGCCTTTCTTTTCACTGACATCAACGCTAGTTACAGGTATCACAGCTATTCATCATGTTTCATTGAAATCTAACATTCACCAAAAGTGAAGATGATTGTATAAATAAACAGAAATACTCTTTGGGAGGATGGTGTATGCTTCTATTGGTAGAATGAAGTGACAGGAAAAGTAAATAATAATCAGTCATAATCTAATTAATTGCTAAGTGGTAGAGCCTAATGTGAAAAGCTCCACGGAGATGATAGCTCCTTTGGCTTAAAGTGCTTTAATGCCTCTTGAATCCCAGGTGTGGAGAGAAAGAACAAGAAGAAAAAAAAAATCTAATAGCAAAGCTGTCAGACACTTTGGGTCTTTGGCTCTCAGGAAGAAAGGTCACTCTGCTGCCTTTTCCAAAATGCTAACAGTAATCTTTCTTAGGCAGCAGCAGTAGTTCTATTATCAGCTGAGCAAGCCCCATTGTCGGTGATTGACAAGGTTTCCACCTCCAGATTTCTTCCATAACTGTGCTTAACAACTTGGGGCTTGCAAGCTCCTGCTCATGAAGAGAATTCAACAGGGCTTAGGCGGCAGAAACCCAGCATGGACTTCATGTGGTGTGCACTCCTTAATACTGCACTTTGCTGTGGAATGTTCTGCTTGGAAAGCAAGGCAAGCTGTTAAAGGCAGAGAGAACTTTGGAAATAGGAATACACTCAGCACAACCCAAATACTTCTAGTTGTGGCTACCTGCGAAAAGTCCAGTGTGAGTGGATCATGTTTTCACCTGAAACAGAATATGAGGTGATAGGTTAAAGGTCTGTTTGAACAGAACCCTGGGAAATCATCCTGGTTCTGTCATGGTTCAGAGGATTTCACCTCCAAGTTATATAACTCATACTGTGCGGTACACTAACTAATCCATCAGGTCCAGCTCCATGGGTGTGCGTCTCAGAAGAGCCCGTGCTTGGTTTAATGCTCTCCTGTCACCATCCTGAAATTAACACTTTTATCTTTTTTTTTTTTTCCTTTGGAGACAAGAGTTTCATTCTTGTCACCCAGGCTGGAGTACAATGGCATGATCTCGGCTCACTGCAACCTCCACCTCCTGGGTTTAAGTGATTTTCCTGCCTCAGCCTCTCAAGTAGCTGGGATTAGCTGGGATTACAGGCACTCGCCACCACACATGGCTAATTTTTGTATTTTTATAGAGATGGGGTTTCACCATGTTGGCCAGGCTGGTGTCGAACTCCTGACCTCAGGTGCTCCACCTGCCTCGGCCTCCCAAAGTGCTGGAATTACATGTGAAAGCCATGGTGCCCAAGCTCAATTTTATTTTTGAGTTTGTGATTTATAAGTGAAGCACAGCAGGACAATGGAGCATGTGCATGAGCAGAGGACTTACATGCAATATGTGTCTATGCCATTCCATGGTACTCCATTCACAGATAATGCACACACCATGCTTTGTACAAAATCCCAGTGGACCCTCAGTGCATGGAAGTGAGGGCAAGGTAAGCACGTTACACATAAGACTCCACAAGTGGGTCCATGGAGACTCCCAAGAGGCCACACTTTCCATCTGAAGCAGAACATGCTTCAAATGTAGAAAGAGGGTAATAGCATTCTAAGAAAAAGGAACAACCAAGGAATTCTTACCATATTCTTTCCTAATTGTGATATTTTCTTGCAGTAGCCAACCACTTATGCTGAAAATAATGCCATAGGAGAAAAAAGGAAACATAGGGCAACTCATAGTTATATGCTTTCCTTTAAATTCTTCATTATTTACCCAAAAGCTGAAGATAAAGCATGTTGGTAGAATCTGTTCATATCAAAGTGCAATAAATACAGATGAGCTAGTTTTGTTCATTGTTTCTACTGTTCTGGTATAAATGAAATATATATACATGTGGAAATTACAAAATATGAATCATGTATTATAATTTTGGTGATTCTGCACATGAGATAAATAGTCTTATATGTTCACTTAAAACTGGCATGCTCACTATAAAGATAAATGGTGAAATGCATGCTAATAATTAAATATTTTAATTTTTATTTACCTTGAATGACATTAAATAGCAAAATACCATGACAAATAGAGAGAGACTGCTGAAGAAAGAAAATATTTATATTTTAGTTTTTTTTTCTTTTAAGAGTCAGGATCTGACTTGGTCACCCAGGCTAGAGTATGGTGGGTGATCATAGCTCATTGAAGCCTTGATTTCCTGGGCTCAAGTGATCCTCCCTGTCTTGGCCTCCCAAAGAGCTGGGATTACAGGCATGAACCACTGTGCCTGGCCATTTAGGACCTTTAATGGGACTTCTTTTTTTTTTTCTGTTTTTTGAAGAAGTATCCCTACATTTTAATTTCAAACTGGGCACTGAAAATTATGTAGCTGGGGCCCTGCCATCAATATTGAGTTCTCTCTCAAGTAAAATGCATTAGTGTTGTTTTGCATATCAAATATTCGCTGTGGAGGGCAGCCACAAACTGTATTGATCTTGTTTCTCTAACTACTCAGCTTCCTAACATGAGTCGAATAGTCACATAAGCTTTTCCTGTTTTAAGTAAGGCTGTGTTTTTGATTTAAGGCATTATGCAATCCATCAAACAATTATGGAACATTTACTATATGCTACTTGCTCATTATAAACACTTTATAATTTAGTTGAAGGAACAAATATTTACATAGCAATGTCATATGTGCTATCTAAAATAGACATGAAAACACACAGGAGAGAGAATGATGCAATTGAGCCTGGCAGGACAATAGGAGTTGTCAAAACTTGACCGAGCTGGCATTGTTTCAGCAAAGTTGAAGAATGAAGAGTATTTGCAGGTTGTTGGTGAACTGATGGAAGGACATTCTAGGCCAAGGAATATTTTATTCTCATAACCAGATTTGCTGCAGTGCACTCTGCTTTTGAGCTGGAGAATTTGTTGTTAGCATTCTTTCTGTTGAGTTTAAAATCATGAATACACTGACAGATATTTTTAGTGTTTTTTTTTTTTTGTATAAAGTAGGACTAATTTTTGTGTTTGTGATGACATACATGCATATTTAAAATTTTTGGGTTTTTTTTTAACCATTATAGGGATATGAGGTGATATTTAAAGTAATAATAGGTATTTGTACCATTGTTTTACCACTATGGTTGTAGATATTCAGAAAGGTGTTCTGCATTTTGAGCAATAGCCTGCCAGCTTTTCTAGTGTTACCAGTGGGAGAAGATGTATAAAAGTTACTGTGAGTAGATGTATAAAAGTTACTGTGGTGGTAGTGGGGAAAAAGAATCACTCAGGAGTTTTGGAGAAATTCATTGAGGACTTGGTCCTACAAGTAACACCAAAAACAAAATGATGAATTTGGGGTTACAATGCAAGACCCATTTAGTATCTGGGATGCTTTTGAAATTTGATGTTATGATGACACTCCAGTGTTTTAACTGGGAGCAATATCCTGTGGGGATCAAAGAACACATCTGAAGTTTCTTTAAATCTATTCTAAGAGATGTTTGTGGTAAGTGCAAGGCTTTCATCAGACCCTGGGAGGTCTGATGTCATGAAGGTCACTGTTACTATTTTGACAACATAGAAAAGATAAGCACTGTTCAGACATATAAACATAGTTTATATTTTGTGCTGCTTTCTCCATTGCCTGTGATAGCAGCCATATGGATGTCAAGGAAGGAATTATGGTAAGGGAGGTGGAGGAATTGATCAGGCATCTGGATGGCCAAAGGGAACACGTGCTGAGAGGAAGTTTTAGGCTCTCTTTTTCCACTGATTGCTACCTCTTTCCTCACGTTCTCCTTCTCCATTGATTCAAATGGCCGTGAGCCCAGCCCTCCCTTCTCACTTGGCTGTAGAGCTGGAATCTATGCTCACAATGTAGAAATGGGAAGTGCAAGTCTGGCTGGAGCAGGGTTGGCTGAAGGCTATAGTTAAACCATGTTTACTTATAAACCTGTCCATGTTGGAGGCCAAGGTATGTGCTTTGAGAGAGTGTTTTCCTCCAGAGATAAATGTCTTACCCCCATCCTGCCACTCTCGAAAGAGGCTTTTATAAATGATGTTCTCTCCCTTCTCTTTGTTTGGCTTTTAGCAGCAGGAAGCCAAGAAAAGACCCAACTCTGGTTTGAAGACCCTGGGGAAGAGTTGCAAAAATAACACCTGCAGGTGTGGAAGGCTGTTCAGTGATCCCCGGTGTGCAGAAGGCCATGAAGAAATTATGAGATTAGAGATCGAGAGAGTGACGGCAGCTGCCTTTCAGCAGCTTTCCCCTGTTGCCTCGAGAATAATTCAACTCTAGCAGACTTACTTAAGGCCTGGGAAAATAGTGCAAAGTGAAGAAAGGGATAGAAATGGTTGTTATTTGCCCTAGGGTGAGAGGAAGTGTTTGAGCTTTCCCTAGGATATTGAGAAGTACATGGCTGAGCAAATCATATTTGGAAAGTAGGAGAACATACTTCTGTACTTTGCATTTTTCTAGGAGAAAAAATGAATCTACCTAAACATTGAGAGCATCTTAGGTAATTTATGGGGAGCATTAGCAAAGCCAGGAAAGCTTGCAAACCAGACTAAACACCTCTAAGTTTTAAGAGTGTGCAGAGAATATAATGAAGAAATAATAAATGAAGATTAATGGCTTACTTAAAAAGGATTAAAGCAACTTTCAGTTTAAAACTGCATGCAGCTAATAGTCCCTTACACAGACTTTTAATTTTCTGCTGAACCACCCAGATAAAGACTGAAACTCATAATTTCACCCAAACTGGAAATTTCAACCTCTTTCCACAATCCTGGCAATTAGAATGGTTGGAACCATATTTAAAGGTGTATTTGGTAAACTTTTCAAAAGCCTAACTACTGACTCACCTGGGCTCAGAAATGCCAAGTTCTTACCGACAACAACAACAACAATGCAGAGGCCAATAGCAGCAGAGTTGTTGTTGTTTGAAATACCTAGAGTTTTGTTTTTTTTAAATAATTTTTTCCCATTTTCATTTCTAATATGGTAAATATTGATAAATATAACACACACAAATAGAAGCTCTGGGACATCTTTTGCTAATTTTTTTTTTTTTTTTTTTTTTTGAGATGGGAGTCTCACTCTGTCACCCAGGCTAGAGTGCAGTGGTGTGGTCTAGACTCACTGCAACCTCCACCTCCCGCCCCCCCCGGGTTCAAGCGATTTTTCTTCTTCAGCCTCCCAAGTACCTGGGACTACAGGCATGCGCCACCATACCCAGCTAATTTTGTTTTATTATTATACTTGAAGTTTTAAGGTACATGTGCACAATGTGCAGATTTGTTACATATGTATACATGTGCCATGTTGGTGTGTTGAACCCATTAACTCGTCATTTAGCATTAGGTATATCTCCTAATGCTGTCCCTCCCCCCTCCCCCCACCCCACAACAGTCCTCGGTGTGTGATGTTCCCCTTCCTGTGTCCATGTGTTCTCATTGTTCAATTCCCACCTATGAGTGAGAACATGTGGTGTTTGGTTTTTTGTCCTTAAGATAGTTTACTGAGAATGATGGTTTCCAGTTTCATCCATGTCCCTACAAAGGACATGAACTCATCATTTTTTATGGCTGCATAGTATTCCATGGTGTATATGTGCCTCATTTTCTTAATCCAGTCTATCGTTGTTGGACATTTAGGTTGGTTCCAAGTCTTTGCTATTGTGAATAGTGTCGCAATAAACATACGTGTGCATGTGTCTTTATAGCAGCATGATTTATAATCCTTTGGGTATATACTCAGTAATGGATGACTGGGTCAAATGGTATTTCTTGTTCTAGATCCCTGAGGAATCGCCACACTGATTTCCACAAGGGTTGAACTAGTTAACAGTCCCACCAACAGTGTAAAAGTGTTCCTATTTCTCCACATCCTCTCCAGCACCTGTTGTTTCCTGACTTTTTAATGATCGCCATTCTAACTGGTGTGAGATGGTATCTCATTGTGGTTTTGATTTGCATTTCTCTGATGGCCAGTGATGGTGAGCATTTTTTCATGTGTTTTTTGGCTGCATAAATGTCTTCTTTTGAGAAGTGTCTGTTCATATCCTTCGCCCACTTTTTGATGGGGTTGTTTTTTCTTGTAAATTTGTTTGAGTTCATTGTAGATTCTGGATATTAGCCCTTTGTCAGATGAGTAGGTTGCAAAAATTTTCTCCCATTCTGTAGGTTGTCTGTTCACTCTGATGGTAGTTTCTTTTGCTGTGCAGAGCTCTTTAGTTTAATTAGATCCCATTTGTCAATTTTGGCTTTTGTTGCCGTTGCTTTTGGTGTTTTAGATATGAAGTCCTTGCCCATGCCTATGTCCTGAATGGTATTGCCTAGGTTTTCTTCTAGGGTTTTTATGGTTTTAGGTCTAACATGTAAGTCTTTAATCCATCTTGAGTTAATTTTTGTATAAGGTGTAAGGAAGGGATCCAGTTTCAGCTTTCTACATATGGCTAGCCAGTTTTCCCAGCACCATTTATTAAACAGGGAATCCTTTCCCCATTGCTTGTTTTTGTCAGGTTTGTCAAAGATCAGATAGTTGTAGATATGCGGCATTATTTCTGAGGGCTCTGTTCTGTTCCATTGATCTATATCTCTGTTTTGGTAACAGTACCATGCTGTTTTGGTTACTGTAGCCTTGTATATAATTTGAAGTCAGGTAGTGTGATGCCTCCAGCTTTGTTCTTTTGGCTTAGGATTGACTTGGCGATGCGGGCTCTTTTTTGGTTCCATATGAACTTTAAAGTAGTTTTTTTCCAATTCTGTGAAGAAAGTCATTGGTAGCTTGATGGGGATGGCATTGAATCTATAAATTACCTTGGGCAGTATGGCCATTTTCATGATATTGATTCTTCCTACCCATGAGCATGGAATGTTCTTCCATTTGTTTGTATCCTCTTTTATTTCTTTGAGCGGTGGTTTGTCATTCTCCTTGAAGAGGTCCTTCACGTCCCTTGTAAGTTGGATTCCTAGGTATTTTATTCTCTTTGAAGCAATTGTGAATGGGAGTTCACTCATGATTTGGCTCTCTGTTTGTCTGTTGTTGGTGTATAAGAATGCTTGTGATTTTTGCACATTGATTTTGTATCCTGAGACTTTGCTGAAGTTGCTTATCAGCTTGAGGAGATTTTGGGCTGAGACAATGGGGTTTTCTGGATATACAATCATGTCATCTGCAAACAGGGACAATTTGAATTCCTCTTTTCCTAATTGAATACCCTTTATTTCCTTCTCCTGCCTAATTGCCCTGGCCAGAACTTCCAACACTAAGTTGAATAGGAGTGGTGAGAGAGGGCATCCCTGTCTTGTGCCCATTTTCAAAGGGAATGCTTCCAGTTTTTGCTCATTGAATATGATATTGGCTGTGGGTTTGTCATAGATAGCTCTTATTACTTTGAGATACGTCCCATCAATACCTAATTTATTGAGAGTTTTTAGCATGAAGGGCTGTTGAATTTTGTCAAAGGCCTTTTCTGCATCTATTGAGATAATCATGTGGTTTTTGTCTTTGGTTCTGTTTATATGCTGGATTACATTTATTGATTTGCATATGTTGAACCAGCCTTGCATCCCAGGGATGAAGCCCACTTGATCATGGTGGATAAGCTTTTTGATGTGCTGCTGGATTCGTTTTGCCAGTATTTTATTAAGGATTTTTGCATCAATGTTCATCAAGGATATTGGTCTGAAATTCTCTTTTTTGGTTGTGTCTCTGCCAGGCTTTCGTATCAGGATGATGCTGGCCTCATAAAATGAGTTAGGGAGGATTCCCTCTTTTTCTATTGATTGGAATAGTTTCAGAAGGAATGGTACCAGCTCCTCTTTGTACCTCTGGTAGAATTCGGCTGTGAATCCATCTTGTCCTGGACTCTTTTTGGTTGGTAAGCTATTGATTATTGCCACAATTTCAGAGCCTGTTATTGGTCTATTCAGAGATTCAACTTCTTCCTGGTTTAGTCTTGGGAGGATGTATGTGTTGAGGAATTTATCCATTTCTTCTAGATTTTCTAGTTTATTTGCGTAGAGGTGTTTACAGTATTCTCTGATGGTAGTTTGTATTTCTGTGGGATTGGTGGTGATATCCCCTTTATCATTTTTTATTGCATCTATTTGATTCTTCTCTCTTTTCTTCTTTATTGGTCTTGCTAGCGGTCTATCAATTTTGTTGATCTTTTAAAAAAACCAGCTCCTGGATTCATTAATTTTTTGAAGGGTTTTTTGTGTCTCTATTTCCTTCAATTCTGCTCTGATCTTAGTTATTTCTTGCCTTCTGCTAGCTTCTGAATGTGTTTGCTCTTGCTTTTCTAGTTCTTTTAATTGTGATGTTAGGGTGTCAATTTTGGATCTTTCCTGCTTTCTCTTGTGGGCATTTAGAGCTATAAATTTCCCTCTACACACTGCTTTGAATGTGTCCCAGAGATTCTGGTATGTTGTGTCTTTGTTCTCATTGGTTTCAAAGAACATCTTTATTTCTGCCTTCATTTCGTTATGTACCCAGTAGTCATTCAGGAGCAGGTTGTTCAGTTTTCATATAGCTGAGTGGTTTTGAGTGAGTTTCTTAATCCTGAGTTCTAGTTTGATTGCACTGTGGTCTGAGAGAGAGTTTGTTATAGTTTCTGTTCTTTTACATTTGCTGAGGAGAGCTTTACTTCCAACTATGTGGTCAATTTTGGAGTGGGTGTGGTGTGGTGCTGAAAAGAATGTATATTCTGTTGATTTGGGGTGGAGAGTTCTGTAGATGTCTGTTAGGTCTGCTTGATCCAGAGCTGAGTTCAATTCCTGGATATCCTTGTTAACTTTCTGTCTCGTTGATCTGTCTAATGTTGACAGTGAGGTGTTAAAGTCTCCCGTTATTATTGTGTGGGAGTCTAAGTCTCTTTGTAGGTCACTCAGGACTTGCTTTATGAATCTGGGTGCTCCTGTATTGGGTGCATATATATTTAGGATAGTTAGCTCTTCTTGTTGAGTTGATCCCTTTACCATTATGTAATGGCCCTGTCTCTTTTGATCTTTGTTGGTTAAAAGTCTGTTTTGTCAGAGACTAGGATTGCAACCCCTGCCTTTTTTTGTTTTCCATTTGCTTGGTAGGTCTTCCTCCATCCCTTTATTTTGAGCCTATGTGTGTCTCTGCACCTAAGATGGGTTTCCTGAATGCAGCACACTGATGAGTCTTGACTCTTTATCTAATTTGCCAGTCTGTGTCTTTTAATTGGGGCATTTAGCCCATTTACATTTAAAGTTAATATTGTTATGTGTGAATTTGATCCTGTCATGATGATGTTAGCTGGTTATTTTGCTCGTTAGTTGATGCAATTTCTTCCTAGCCTTGATGGTCTTTACAGTTTGGCATGTTTTTGCAGTGGCTGGTACCGGTTGTTCCTTTCCATGTTTAGTGCTTCCTTCAGGAGCTCTTTTAGGGCAGGCTTGGTGGTGACAAAATCTCTCAGCATTTGCTTGTCTGTAAAGTATTTTATTTCTGCTTCACTTATGAAGCTTAGTTTGGCTGGATATGAAATTCTGGGTTGAAAATTCTTTTCTTTAAGAATGTTGAATATTGGTCCCCACTCTCTTCTGGCTTGTAGAGTTTCTGCCGAGAGATCAGCTGTTAGTCTGATGGGCTTCCCTTTGTGGGTCATCCGACCTTTCTCTCTGGCTGCCCTTAACATTTTTTCCTTCATTTCAACTTTGGTGAATCTGACAATTATGTGTCTTGGAGTTGCTTTTCTCGAGGAGTATCTTTGTGGGGTTCTCTGTATTTCCTGAAGTTGAATGTTGGCCTGCCTTGCTAGATTGGGGAAGTTCTCCTGGATAATATCCTGCAGATTGTCTTCCAACTTGGTTCCATTCTCCCTGTCACTTTCAGGTACACCAATCAGACGTAGATTTGGTCTTTTCACATAGTCCCATATTTCTTGGAGGCTTTGTTCATTTCTTTTTATTCTTTTTTCTCTAAACTTCTCTTCTCGCTTCATTTCATTCATTTCATCTTCCATCACTGATACCCTTTCTTCCAGTTGATCGCATTGGCTCCTGAGGATTCGGCATTCGTCACGTAGCTCTTGGGCCTTGGTTTTCAGCTCCATCAGGTCCTTTAGGGACTTGTCTCCATTGGTTATTCTAGTTATCCACTTGTCTAATTTTTTTTTCAAAGCTTTTAACTTCTTTGCCATTGGTTCGAATTTCCTCCTGTAGCTCGGAGTTAGTTTGATGGTCTGAAGCCTTCTTCTCTCAACTCGTCAAAGTCATTCTCCGTCCAGCTTTGTTCCGTTGCTGGTGAGGAGCTGCATTAC
This sequence comes from Homo sapiens, assembly GCF_000001405.40. Lineage (NCBI taxonomy): Eukaryota > Metazoa > Chordata > Mammalia > Primates > Hominidae > Homo > Homo sapiens. The sequence goes on along the minus strand of NC_000009.12, from coordinate 81,218,251 downwards.
TTTGGAGGAGGAGAGGTGCTCTGATTTTTAGAGTTTCCAGTTTTTTTGCTCTGTTTTTTTCCTATCTTTGTGGTTTTGTCTACCTTTGGTCTTTGATGATGGTGACATACAGATGGGTTTTTGGTGTGGATGTCCTTTCTGTTTGTTTGTTTTCCTTGTAACAGACAGGACCTTCAGCTGCAGGTCTGTTGGAGTTTGCTAGAGGTCCACTCCAGACCCTGTTTGCCTGGGTACCAGCAGCTATGGCTGCAGAACAGCGGATATTGGTGAACCGCAAATGCTGCTGCCTGATGGTTCCTCTGAATCTTTTGTCACAGAGGAGTACCCAGCCGTGTGAGGTGTCAGTCCTCCCCTACTGTGGGGTGCCTCCCAGTTAGGCTACTCGGGGGTCAGGGACCCACTTGTGGAGGCAGTCTGCCCGTTCTCAGATCTCCAGCTGCGTGCTGGGAGAACCACTACTCTCTTCAAAGCTGTCAGACAGGGACATTTAAGTCTGCAGAGGTTACTGCTGTCTTTTTGTTTGTCTGTGCCCTGCCCCCAGAGGTGGAGCCTACAGAGGCAGGCAGGCCTCCTTGAGCTGTGGTGGGCTCCACCCAGTTCGAGCTTCCTGGCTGCTTTGTTTACCTAATCAAACAACTAACTCAGCAATGGTGGGCGCCCCTACCCCAGCCTCACTGCTGCCTTGCAGTTTGATCTCGGACTGCTGTGCTAGCAATGAGTGAGACACCATGGGCATAGGACCCTCTGAGCCATGTGCGGGATATAATCTCCTGGTGTGCCGTTTTTTAAGCCCATTGGAAAAGTGCAGTATTAGGGTGGAGTGACCGGATTTTCCAGGTGCCGTCTGTCACCCCTTTCTTTGACTAGGAAAGGGAATTCCCTGACCCCTTGCGCTTCCCGGGTGAGGCAATGCCTCGCCCTGCTTCCGCTCGCGCATGGTCCACTGCACCCACTGTCCTGCACCTACTGTCTGGCAATCCCCAGTGAGATGAACCCGGTACCTCAGTTGGAAATGCAGAAATCACCTGTCTTCTGTGTCGCTCACGCTGGGAGCTGTAGACTGGAGCTGTTCCTATTCGGCCATCTTGGCTCCTCCGAGTTTTTTTTAAGCTTTGTTATCTTTTCTTTAATCTTTGTTATCTTTTCTCTTTTATCTGTCTTGAGCCTTTTACTTATGCTAGTTTAGGGACCACAACTCTGAATGCAAAAAAGAAAATGAAACAAAAACCAAAAAAAACTAGCAAGAGGAAGAAAGGAGGGAACAACTCAGAATAGAGAATTTTACCTTGGGAGAGTAGCCCAGTGAACACCATGGTGAGGAGTGTGGTGAGGGAGAATCCTCGCTATTATCTCATCTTATAATAACATCAGAGAGATAGGCTGGGAGGGTTGGAAAAGATCTCAGTCTACAAGAATCTCAATTGGTAAAAGAAGGAATATGACTGAACTCTTTTCACTTGGTATGTACCACTTCACATTTGACATCTTCCTTTTACTGGGAAATAATACTTAAAATATAAACTTGGGGCCTAGGTTTGCTTACTGGCTCCCCTTAGTAGAGAGAGCTAGGAAAAAAAAATGTGTGTGTGCATATGCATGCATATATCAGGAATTGTGAGTTTACATTGATACCTCAAGTGCAAGCCTGTGGAGCTCCTTTCTGCCTTCTCTGACTTCACCTTGGTAGCTCTGTTGTGAGAAGTGGGACTTTCAACAACATGAATATATTCATTCCCTTGTTTGATGCCTTTATAAGCCCAAAATAGTTTCAAAGTTTTCATATCCACACCACTAAAAAAAGTAAACCTACTAAGAATAGTTCACTATATATTTGCAGTTTTTAGTTTTTTTAAGGCTAAGAGTATATAGTCAAATTATAGTGTTCAAAAAGTACTTGGGTAGGTTCTGTTCCCCCGTTCATTTAAAATGCAGATGTGTTTGTTTCTTTGTGCATTCAGTTTTAGGATTCCCCCCATTCTTGTTCGTTTAAATTTATTGTCTATGTGAAATACTGAAGTTATTCCAAGTATTAAAAGTATATACTTCATCCCTTTTCCCTTCTGCTCATCCACTTCTCCATAGGTGATTAATTTCATTAATTTCTAATTCAGATTTTCTGTGTTTCTATTTGCAAAAAGAAGCAGATATATTTATGATTTTTGTATAAAAGTTATACTATATTTAATATTTTGTACTTTTTCACTTAACAATATATCCTGGAAGCTATTTCACATCCATGAACAGCTATGTGTCCAAAGGCACAGAGAATGTCCATATTAGGTTTGTAACAGAAAAAAGTAAAAGTCATGAATAACAATATTATAAAGCCACAATCTTCCTGCTTGAAATTAAGGAAAATCTGATTATATAACTAGGGTCATCAAGAATGATCAACATGAAGACCTAAGGTGGCAAACCTTCTAAAATTAAAGGAAAAAGAAAGAATCCTGTGGTTACATGGACAGATGATAAAAGGTCACCTTTATGAGAGGAGAATAAGGCTGGTTCAGCATTCTTCAGTGCCACAAGACAATAACGCAAGGTCTATAGATTTTGGAAGGGGAATACCAAGTCAAGATATCATCTGTTTATAAAAGTACCAGAGATTTTCAAATATACAAGAACCCATGGACTAAAACATACATAAAATGTCTTTGAAACTACTACTTGTAAGTAAAATCACATCAACCAAGAGAATAATCGAAACAAAGAACACAGAGATGGAGGAGCTGTTCAATCAAAAAACTAGTATTGAACCTATTTAAATGTAGAACTAAGATTATGTTTGGAATTATTGTTATGCAGCAAAATTTAAATGTTATAAATATGGAAAGAAATGCATACATAAAATATAATATTTGTATAATTATAATGCACCAAGCTAAAGTCTCATTATGATTTTTTTTACTTTTAAAAAAGTGAAAGAATTAATTCCTGTTTACTTTTAAAGAAATGGTGAAAAGAAATAGAAGCATGAAGATAAAATCTAATAACAGACCATATGCTTTCTAAATTTGGGGTGGAAAGAGTAAGAGAAGAAAGAAGATATATACCAGAGAGCAGATAATAAAATTATGGGAAACTGCAAGAAAAAATAAAAGGCCCAATTAAGCCAAACTTGCTATAACAACAGTGATGAATGGGATAAGATTGTTTTTATCAGCCAAACATTTTATCACCAGAAAAGTCAAATTGAAAAGATCATTCCATATCTGTCACCAAATAGCAGCGTATATAGAAGTAAGTTACAAGCTAACAAAAAATTCTAAATATTTTGTAATTTATACAATCTGCCCTCTTTAATTACATTTGGATCAAAGAGTAAATTAAAAAAACCAACTAAGAAAATCATAATAAAAATACAACTTTAAAGACCTATGGCATGTGGATAAATCTTTGATTGGAGAAAAGCACAAAGCTTTTAATATTCATCTTGCTAAACAAAAAAGAATGATAAAATAAGTAAATTACATTCTATATATTCTACATGAGAAATTAGAAAAGGAACAACAAATTAAGCCAAATGAAACAGAAGGAAGGACATAAGCTAGAAGCAGAAAATAATTTTAAAAAGTGAGGAAAAATTTAGTATAAAAAAGATGATCCATGAAAAGATTCTTTAAGGGAAAAAGCCAATAAACTAGAGAATTCATTTGCTAGCTTAATAAAGAAACCACAGAAAACAGAAAATAGTAAATCAAAAAGAAAATTTTAAAAAATTATGTAACTCTATTAAAATACATTTGGGATCCTGGAATGGATAATTTCCTGGGAAGATAGAAATTGCCAAATTGTGAAAAGGGGAAACCCAAACAGGACAATAATCATGGAAAAAACTGATAGAATTAGAAAATAATATTTGTTCCCAAACACCACGGGCCTGGAGCATTTAACAAATGAAGCATCCAACATGGGCCTGGAGCATTTAACAAACGAATCCTTCCAAACCTATTAATATTATTGTTATTCGTAGGTACATTTGTCAGTTCAGGCAGCCATACAAAATACCACAGACCAGTGGCTTAAATAACAGACGTTTATTTTCTTATAGTTCTGGAGGCTGGAAGTCCAAGATCAAGGCCATCAGCATGGTCAGGTTCTGGGAAGGTCTCTTTTCATGGCTTACAGGAACCCGCCTTTTTGCTGTGTCCTCCTAGGCAGAGAAACCTCTGGCAGTGTTTCTTTCTCTCCTTATAAGGTTACTGGTGCCATCATGAGGGTCCTGCCCTCAGGACTTCATTTAAACCTAATTATCTCCCGAAATCCCAATATCCAAATATCATTGCATTGGGAGTTAGGGTTTCAATGTACAAATTTTAGAGGGCACAATTCAGTCCACAGCAGGAGGTTAGGAGGAAGAAAGGGTTTTAGGTTAGATGTTCAAGGATTGTAAGGGAGGATGCTGAACAAAGACAAAGAGCTTAAACATCGTGGAGTGTTAAGGGACAGCGACTAGATCAAGTCTCATTGTCAACTACATGAATAATAACATAAATATTAACTATATGAATCTATGCAGTTTGGGTTACGTGGGAAACCACATCTGTTAGATATTGGACGTGGGAAAGGTCTTGGGATGGGCAGCTGTCATCAGCTGCAGGCAATCCCTGAAGAGGGACTCAGCTAAAGGCTGTCTGCTGCCACCACTTTCAGCAGCTGAGAAAGGAATGCTTGAATGCCACAGTGAAGAGGACTCCACCATACCCACTGCAGTCCATAGCTTGTACTGCTTGGATCAATTTTTTTTTTTTTTTTTTTTTTGCTGAAAGTTCTGTAATGCTCCTGGAAGATTCTGGTGGACCTCTTTCTTGAAGTAACAAGAGGGGAGTTAATGTGACAAATTACAGTCCTTTTCATTGTCACTGATATTTATCATTTTCTTTTCCTACTATCTAGTCTAGAATCATCAGGACCTCTGCAGTCTAGGTGGCTTACCTGGGGAAGAGGAAGTTGACTCAACTCCTCTTTTTTCATGGGTCTGAGTCCCATTTACCATTAAAATTGGGTAATGGAATACCAGGAAACAAACACACAAGTAGTCACCTTATTTCAAAACAAATGCTTCCCTGTCCCTATTATGTAACAGAGGCCCTACCCCCTCCTGACCATCAAAGTCAATTCCTGTCAAAATGATGGTGATTCCTTTATTTGTCTTCTTTTCTTTTGGCACCTGGGGGGTGACAAGATGACAGCCATAGCTTAAAATTGAATGGGATTTTTACTCTGCTCCCTTGTGGATATATATTCCTTCTCTGGCAGCCAAAACTATTAAACACACAGATCTCAGAGTCGCAGGCACAGGATGCACAAATTCCCTGAGTTGGTCGCTGAGAGTAGTCGTATTTTGCTATTAGGGTCATGCTACAATTGTTGATTTAGAGCAGTGGTTCTTAGCTGACGGTGTTTTTGTCTTCTTAAGGGATATATTGCAATGTGTGGATACATTTTGTGTGCCACAAGTTGGGGAGGAGGTTTGCTATGCGCATCTAGTGGACAGAGCCAGGGATGTTGCTAAACATTTCACAACACAAAGGACAGCACAACAAAGACTTACCCAGCTCAAAGTGCCAATCCTGCCAGGGTTGATTTAAATGATGGCGCCTCACCTTTGCAGGGTATCATCTCCAAACCAGCACTTAAGCCAAGCCCTCAACAGGCTGTTGAGGATAAGCTTCCAGGTAGTGAAGTGTGTGATAAACTTGATGAATTATATGATCTCGTGTGCGCTAGCACACCCTCTTTTCTGTAAAATAGGTCCCCTGATCCCACATGATATTATTCAGTATCCTGAGCTAATGGATCAAACATGCTGCAAGTCCATTATGGTGGTGTTGACTGAGGTACTACAGGGAGTAAAAGCAAACTCATGTCAAGTTTGTGTTAGTTCTAGTTAAAAATGAATCACTTCATTTTCTAGGGTTAAAGGCATCCAATGAATTTAATTGACTGCCACCGAGCTGATTGGACTCTTCAAGGAGCTCACTTTTTATCTTTGTTACTGGCAGGTTGGGCTTTCAGGAGTGGCAGTAACTCCATCAGATTTGTTGAACTGACAGCACTAGGGTGGAAAATGGCAAAAGCTGTCTGAAGTCAACTAGCCAAGCATTCAGTCTAACTAGTTATTTACTGCCTGTTCAGGACCATGTGATACAAAATTCTTCACATATCATTTCTTCATTTACAGATCCATGCACCTACCTCTTCCCAGATCTCCATGTACTCTATCTTTAGCTTTTTCTCCTTCCAGGCTCCTAATCAACCAGCCACGCCATTCGTCATTGCCCTTGTGTTTATTTTTATAATATCCCCAGGCCATTTCTCTTTTCCCACAAATTCAATGACTGGTTGCACTGCCCAAAGCTCTGCACATTAGGATTCCCCCTCACGACTGACTTCAGCATCATCCCTGAATGAGGCTAAAATGCAGTTGTTGTTTGTTTTCAGTTTGGATCCACATGCTGACCCAACTAATCCATGTCCCAAGCTTAGACTTTCTACTCCTTCAACAGATTTTTAAGGAAGCCCCAGGACAAGAGGTGCAGAGTCTCAGTTATGATGGATGACAAGAGAACTGGCCATGTGTTTGTGCAGCTTACTTTTGCCATTTGCCCTACTCATGCCCAACTCTGGATATACCAATTCCATCTTATAATGAATTGCTGTTGGGCTCGCCTGACCTTGTGTCTTTGTGAGTCTGATAGAATTCTGAGTGTAATGGGCTGTCTGAACACTGAACACACTGTCACTTGAAGCTGTCTCGTGGTCAGCTTCCTAATCATCCTAGATTTCTTTCTTTTCTTTTCTTTTCTTTATTTTTTATTTTGAGACAGGGTCTCACTCTGTCACCCAGGGTGGAATGCGGTGGCATGATCACAGCTCACTGCAGCCTCAACCTCCCAAGCTCAAGGGATCCTCCTGCCTCACTAGATTTCTTTTGATTGTGCAGATTGACTAACACTTCAGTTTGTTGCCCATTGATCTTGCCTTTAGGAATGTCATGCTTTATTACTCATACTATACCCGTCCTTAGATTAGACCCCACTTGTGGGCATCCAAGCTTGCTGCTCACTACAATAAACATGCTGCCTTGCCTTCTGACAATTGAGTGCTGCTACCTGGCCTCTATTACTTTGGCAATCCTATAATCCCCTATTGCTAATCAGAAAGCCAAGTTCTATAACAGCAGCAGCCTTGGCCTATAAAGCAGAGCTACCAATGAGCTTTTCAGTGCCACTGATACCCCTCTCATCTGTACATTCTGCATTTTTTTTTTTGAGACAGAGTCTCACTCTTGTTGCCTAGGCTGGAGTGCAATGGCACGATCTCGGCTCACCACAACCTCCACCTCCTGGGTTCAAGCAATTCTCCTGCCTCAGCCTCCCAAGTAGCTAGGATTACAGGCATATGCCACCTCACCTGGCTAATTGTGTATTTTTAGTAGAGATAGGGTTTCTCCATGTTGGTCAGGCTGGTCTAGAACTCCCAACCTCAGGTGATCTGCCCACCTCAGCCTCCCAAAATGCTGGGATTACAGGTGTGAACCACCGTGCCTGGCCTACATTTCTTATTGCTTTTGTAAGTGGAGCCTCCTCTGGGTCTGCCCATGAAACATGGTGATCAGGTGGGTTTTCTGGCCTGAAGTATTCTTTCCATTCTAGCAAGCCCACTTCTCTTCTTTCATCATCTGCCATGGCAGCTTTGGCATTTCCATTTCACTTAGTGCAGGCTACTGCTTTTGCCATGCTATTAAATGCAGCATGTTATCATCTGCTCATGTCATTTTGGCCAGAGTTTTAAACCCCGTATCACATGAGAGGGTTCCTATTCATCAACTGCTTCTGACTGTGATGGTTAATTTGGTGTGTCAACTTGATTGGGCCACAAGGTGCCCAGACATTTGGTCAAACATTATTCTGGGTTTGTTTGTAAGGGTGACCCTGGATGAGAAGTAGTAATACCCTATTTGTCTCATAAAAACTTGAGAATAAAAAAACAAATTTTATTAAAATACTCCAAGGAACTAAGATATGGTACCTAAGTATATCAGACAATTACTATTTTCATGCTATTTCAACCATGCTAATGATTACTGGACTAGATTCCCTAATAAAGGTGAATGGCTATAAACATAGTCCTGGAGATAGTATTTAAATGCAGCGGATATGTCTGAACAGACAAATGCCATTCCCACATTTATGCATATGACTTATCTTCAGTGCTGATGGTGTTCTCTGTTCTATCCTCACATTTACATCTTACCTTTCTCTTCTAGTCTACCTTTGTCATCTAGCCTATTGATTTCTTTCTTTTTTCTTTTTAGGAATTGACATTTTTCTTTCCCCATTTATTCTTTCTATTTCAAAGGATATGTATTTTATTTACACTTAAGTTTAGGGCTAGAGGTTTCTTCTCATTTGTCTTTGAGTCTTACAGTTGCTTTTATTTGCTATTTGCTTTTTTACAGGGCTTCTCTCTTAACCTCACAACATTATTGTTAGAAAGGACTTTCTCTCTTCTTTTTTATTAGCTTATTTTAAATATCTGTTTTCCAATTTTCTTGTGATGTATTCTGAGGAAGAAAACACAAATAATCTGTTTGTTTGTTTCTAGTTATAGGAAAAGTCAATTGGATTGTGGCAATTTGTTCTGGTGACTAACTTAAAACACCCTTTTGCTGAATGTCACCCAAAATATACTTTAGTGTTGGAAGACATGTATGTGCATAGTGTTATGTCTAGGTGATGCATTCATCTATAGAACTTTAAATAAGTGACTACTATATGCAAGATACTGGAGAATTCGAGGAAGTATTTGGGTCAGGGGTTGCCAAGACCTCCCCCGGATTTGGTGTTTTGCTGGAAGCACTGACAGGACTCCAACGTCATTATATTAACAGTTATAGTTTATTACTATAAACTATAGTGAAAGGACACAGAGCAAAGTCAGTAGAGTGAAAAGGCACATAGGAGAAGTCCAGAGGAAAACAGACATCAAGTGTGAAATGTATTCATATAAAGTACACTACAGCATGCAACTGCTATGTTTTATATGTTATGGACAGGAACCTTTTAAAACATGTGGTCACCAAGGTTTACATTTACACGGTCATCTGTCTGCCAAGAGTTGCATACTGTATGATTTGATGGCTCAGCAGAGAATAATTCCTAGAAATTTCTTCCCAAATGATATCTCACATAATAGATGTAACCTGAAAAATAAGAATCAAAAGATACTGGCATATGACTAGAGTTCCTTTCAGTTATTAACCACCGTTCCGGCTCATCCATCACATCTGACCAGAATGGAATCCACTGTGATGCCACTCAGGTTTGCAGGTTTCCATTCTGCATTGTCAGGTTGCAAAGGAGTTGGTGGTCTTGGCAAACATGTGGCTTTACTCTCTCCAGTATTTGGTCTAATTGTGCTAAAAGACAATATTATTCTCTTCCTCTGAGCCTCTCTCAAGGCAATCATGTAATATCGTATTTTCCTTATTGCATAAGTCTTTTTTTTCACCTTTATTGTTTCTCTGTCTCTCAACTATTCACAGATTTTAATGCAACCCATTCCACCTGTGGAAGGGATGTCAGCTCTGATATGGTGCTGGCCCAGATTACCAGCAACAGTATGAGCCTAACCACTGCTTTGCCTTCAGTCCCTTCCTGTTCATATAGGCCTGGGTACCCAGATACAGAACTAGTGAGATAACTCAGCCACTAAACAATATAGCTGTAGTCACTGATGACCCCAATTTTTTCAGATGGGATGAAGGCACAATCCATCCCATCAGACCCTTAGGATTTCTGGCAAAATGGTTTAAAGATATAGTCTCAGTTTCTTGCTAAAGGATCATTCCTGCCTCCTGGGTTCAAGCAATTCTCCTGCCTCAGACTCCTGAGTAGCTGGGATTACAGGCACCTGCCACCGCGCCCAACTTATTTTTCTAAGTTTAGTAGAGACGGGGTTTCACCATGTTGGCTAGGCTGGTCTTGAACTCCTGACCTCAGGTGATCCGCCCACCTCGGCCTGCCAAAGTACTGGGATTACAGGCATGAGCCACCGTGCCCGGCCTCAATTTCTTTAATGAATTTACTCTGCCCCTGTTTTTCAGTTCTTGAGTCATCTTTGGTAACATATATTTTGCTAGAAATTTTTATAATTTAGCTCAATTAAAAATTATTGTTATATTGCTTCTGGAATTTTGGTTTTGATTTTAACAATAATAATGAAAAACATTATTTGAATGCTTATTATGTCACATTCACTGTTCAAAGTATTGCATGTATTTTGCCTAATGCAATAAATCTATGCGGTAGGTACAGGTATTATCTCCTTTTTGCATATGAGAAAGCTGAAGCTCAGAGTGGTTGTGTAACTTGCCCAAGGTTACCCAACTGGCTGGTGGCAGAGCTCGGATTTTATCCAGACAACAGCCCAAAGCATGTGCTATTACTCACAGTCCTGTATTGTCTCTTTTGCGTATGTCATCATGCACCGTTTCTAACATGATATACTTATTTCTCTTGCTAATTTTGTGAGGGGTTAGGTTTTTTAACAGATTTTATTTTTTATAGTAGTTTTAGGTTGACAGCAAAATTGAGCAGAAGGTACTGGAATTTCCCACATGCCTCCCACCTCCACACATGCACAACCTCTTCCACTGTCAACATATGACACCAGAGTGGTACATTTGTTACAACTGATGAGCCTATATTGACACATCATTATTACCCAAAGCTCATTATTTATATGCGGGTTTACTCTTGGTGTTGTACATTTGGTGGGTTTGGACAAATGTATAGTGACATGTATCCTCCATTATAGTATCATACAAAATAGTGCCACTAGCATAAATTTCTCTGTGCTCTGCCTATTCATCCCTTTCTCACCACTAACCTTGGGCAACCACTGGCCTTTTTACTATATCTATAGTTTTGCCTTTTCCAGAATGTCACATAGCTGGTATTATACGGTATGTAATCTTTTCAGATTGGCTACTTGCACTAAGCAATATGCATTTAAGGTGTCTCTATGTCTTTTTAAGGCTTTATTGCTCATTTTTTTTAGTACTGAATAATATTTCATTTTTGCATGTGGCACAGTTTATCCATTCACTTATTAAAGCAAATCTTGGTTGCTTCCAAGTTTTGGCAATTATGAATAAAACTGCTATAAACATCTGCATACAGGTTTTTGTGTGGACAGAGGTTAGCTTTTTAATAATAACTTTTTTAGATATAATTCACACTTCATACAGTTCACCATTTAAAGTGTACAATTCAATGGTTTTTGGCATAATCACAGAGTTGAGCAAATATCACCACAATCAATTTTAGAAAAATGTCATCACCGCCCAAGGAAACCCCACAACCATGAGCAGTCACTCCCCATTAACTCCCAATCTCCCCAGCCCTAGGTAGCCACCAATCTATTTTTTCTCTCTCTGTACCGATTTTGGAAATTTCTTAGAATTATACAATATGTGGTTGTGACTGGCTTCTTAGCATAGTGTTTGCAAGACTCATCTGTGTTGTAGCATGTATCAGTATTCCGTTTTGTTTTATTTATTTTTATTTATTTATTTTTTTTGAGATGGAGTCTCGTTCTGTCACCCAGGCTGGAGTGCAGTGGCGCGATCTCGGCTCACTGCAAGCTATGCCTCCCGGGTTCTCGCCATTCTCCTGTCTCAGCCTCCCGAGTAGCTGGGACTACAGGTGCCTGCCACCACACCCGGCTAATTTTTTTGTATTTTTAGTAGAGACGGGGTTTCACTGTATTCACCAGGATGTTCTCGATCTCCTGATCTCGTGATCCACCCACTTTGGCCTCCTAAAGTGCTGACCATTTTGTTTTATTACTGAATAATATTTCAAGTATGAACTCCAAATTTTATGCATCCTTTTATCAATGAGTGAACATTTGGGTTGTTTCCACTTTTTGGCTGTTATGAATACTGCTGCTGTGAACATTCATGTACAAGTTTTTGTTCGGGTGTATATTTTCATTTCTTTTGAGTATATATACCCAGGAGTAGAATTACTGGGTCATGTGGTCACTATGTAACATTTTGAGGAAATTGTCCAAGTGGTTTCAAAGTAGAATTACTGGGTTACTATGTAACATTCTGAGGGACTTGTCCAACTGGTTTCTGAAGTGACTACCATTTTTGAATCTTACCAGCAATGTAAAAGAGCTCCATCTTTTTCAAATTCTCAGTAATACTTGCTATTGTCTTTATTAGTTTAGCCATCTCAATGGGTATAAAGTGGTATACCATTGTGGTTTTGATTTGCGTTTGCTTGCTAACTCATGATATTGTATATTTTTTCATGTACTTATTGACCATTTGTCTATCTTCTTTGGAGAAAAGTGTTTTCAGATTCTTTGCCTATTTTTACTTGATTTTTTTATTATTGACTTGTAGGATTTCTTATTTATTCTAGATTTAAGCCTTCTATGATGATTTGCAAAAGTTTTCCCGATATTATGGGTTGCCTTTTAAATTTCTTGATGGTGTCCTTTAAAGCACAAAAGGTTTTTGTTTTGATAATGTCCAATTATTCTGTTTTCTTATGTTAGTTTATTCTGACATACCCATGGAAGTTTTTATTTCAATGATAATGTTTTCATGAAGCTTCTTTCTCAGGTCTATTTATTCCTTTCTTATATTTTTCCTGATTTTTTTTTTCCATTTATCTCTTTGTCTACCTATATGTCTTTACAATTGCTTTCCTATTATTAGTTTATTTTAGGTAGGTAAGGGTATTTAGTTTTCTGTTTTATGAATCAGTTGATGTTCCCTTCATGGTGCTTACATGACAGTCTGTAATTTTTTATTGGTAACTATTCTGCAGATGGGGTAACAAGTCTGGTGGAATCCTGTGAGCTCTGAGATGTGAAAGGGTTTCTCCAGAGAATGCTAAGTCATACTTTTGTTAGGACTACAGGCATTCCAAAAGCTCTGGACATAGTGTAATGTGAATGTTACAGCTTGTGTTTTATAGAACAAATGAGTATTGTAAATTCAAACTCCATTTCCAAGCTAAAAAAAATAGACTTTAGGTTTGATTAATCCCTGATGATTTTTTTCCTCATTCAATTTGCCCTCATTCAATAAAGGGCAAGCTTCTTTGCTGCTGCTTTAGGCTAATGGTTAGGGAAGATTTTTTGCAACTCTCCCCTTAAATAATATTTATAGATTGGATGTAATTTGTAGATATAACTTTCTTTGTTAGAGATAGAAACTAAAGGGATAAAGATATTGCCAGATTCTTGTTAACCATCTTTACCTGCCTCTCCCTCAGGAATTCAGGAATTTCAGTCACACTTTGGAAAATCTGGCTCAGTACATTTTTTTCTCCACACCAATTCCACTTTCTGCTTTTGCTATTCGATTTAAGATATTTACAATCTGCCTAGTTCTGGAATTATCTACATGGAGTCATTAGTTCTTGCCCTGTATCCTTCTACAGCAGAGCTGCCACAATGTGACATCAGTTCTACCTTTAAATGTCTCCCTTACTTCTCCAATCAACTCTAACCTCATTGTCACGGTGCCCGTTTACACCCTCATTATTTCTTACTGGACTATTGCAGTACCTTTCTAAGTAGTTTCTCTATCTCCACATTTTCCCTCACATTGTCTTCCAATGTTATTTAAGACAGAGATTTGATCATGTGATCAACTTACTTCAAAAGGGTTGGCAGCTGCCCATTGCCTAAAGATTGAAGTGAATATACATTTTATTTTTCCAACTTCTTCCCTTCCTATTGTTCACTGTAATACTTATCTTGCAGCCAAACCAATCTATTGAATTTCCCCAGGATACCCCATTTATAATCACACCTCTTTGTTTTTCCTCTGCCAGAATTACTGTCTGCAGTCCATAGGTAGTTTCTACTATTTATTTAAGGTCCAAATCAAGTGCCATTGCCTCTGTATATCTTCCCTGTCACATAATGGAAACTCATCACTTTCTTATTTATGTTACCATTTACTCTTTGCATACCTCTATTTCAGTAGTATGTTATTATAATATAAACTTTTACATGTGTATTTTGTCTTTTAGAATATGACTTCCTGCAGGACAGTAGCCACTTTTTATTCATCTTTGTCATCTCTCTCTGCCTGGCTGGCATGTTGCTTAGAACATAACAGATGTTCAGTAATGTTCTTTAAATAAATTAATGAAATAATAAAGCTATATTATTACATCAAAATAGCAACAGGAAAATGTTTTTAATTTTAGACAATATTTATCTTCTCATCTAGTACCTGCTGCAGTGCAGACTAATAATTCAGTGGGGGACCTAATTCTAAATGATACCTGCTGATATGGAAGCAAAATTAGAATCTTTGAATCTTGTTATCCTCTTCCTTAAAATATAACTAGGAATTCATGGTTCTCAGTTGCTATGGAACCAGATAAGCAAATATAACCAGTAAATTATTTATGTTAACTAATATTGGTAGGGATTTTTAAAAATGCTGTTTTAAATCTTCTTACTTCAATTACAATACATGTTCACAATAATACATTTAGAACACACAGACAAAATTTTATGAATAATATTATCCTTTGTGAGACAAACAATAATTTTGAACACATTTATGTAATATTGGTTAACAAAACTGAAGCCAGAGGCTATGTTCTGTTTTGTATTTTTGCTATTTAAAATAATATATTAAAATAATCTATTATTTTGGATGCATTGAATTGTAAGTAGCAGAAAGTTTCAAGTCAAATGGGCCTAGCAGTAAATAAATCTGTTTTCTCTCATCACTGATAAAGGTTAAGATATGACTCTGGTTGGCTTATAGTGAGTGTGATCTCTCTGGGGACTGGACAGAGGGTCACCTTTCTTGAATTACATGAGGAGGGGTAGGGGTAGCTAGATTAACAAAATCAGGAACCTATTCCAAAGGAAGAGGCTGGGGGCTGAATGATATTGACATGAGGCAACCTGCAGTGTCAATCACAGATTTTCCTCATTTTTTTTTTAAAGAAGTGAATCCTATTTCATTTAAAATCACTTAGTTCTCTGATGTTGGATATTTGGATATTTTTCTTCAGTATTTTAATATAAACAGCACAGCTGTGGAAAATCCTGTAGCTAAATTATTGTGAAGATCACGTTTACATATACAATTTCAGGTCTGAATTAAGCAACATATTAAAGCTCTGAAATATATTGAGGTGTTGCCCATGGGAAGGTCACTCATTTTTGCCAGCAGCATATGAGAATAATTGTTCCTTTGACAATACTGAGCATTAAAAAAAACTGTCTTGGCCAGGACTTTTTTAATTGTGTTGAGGAAAAATCTATGCTTGTACAGAACCTGAATTAGGCTAGTGTGTGTAATGTCACAAGCTGACTTAGGCTACCAATGCTTCTTTAAGATTATTGATGTTGAGTTTGTATCAAGCTATTATTTTCTCAATCCAGACTCTTTTAATTATCCTTCCTATTTTAACAATAGTTGCAAATGTTTCCTTAGGAGTAGCAAAGAAAACAGAACAAAAACAAACAAACAAACAAACGAAAAACTTAAGTTATTCATGCATAAGAAAATTTTGGAAAAGCCAAAGAGAATCTTAGAAAGGATAGATTTTATTAGAATGAATCAACATCTTTTTTTTCTAACTTTCTGAACATCCAATTATCTAAGGGATAATTGGACCTGAATCAGTATGTATCTTGCTTTGTGACCAGCATATGTATCCTCAGGAATCCATTTAGCTCCTGCCTTACCAAGATCAATTGGCTGATAGACTGGGAGGCCTGTGAAAGCTGCAGGTAAATTAATACCAGAGCTAATGCCTATGAACCATGCCTGGCTGCTCTTGAAATCCTTCTGGCCGGGCACGGTGGCTCACGCCTGTAATCCCACCACTTCGGGAGACTGAGGTGGGTGGATCACGAGGTCAGGAGATCAAGATCATCCTGGCTAACACGGTGAAATCCTGTCTCTACTAAAAATACAAAAAATTAGCCGGGTGTGGTGGCGGGTGCCTGTAGTCCCAGCTACTCGGGAGGCTGAGGCAGGAGAATGGCGTGAACCTGGGAGGCTGAGCTTGCAGTGAGCCGAGATTGCGCCACTGCACTCCAACCTGGGCGACAGAGCGAGACTCCGTCTCAAAAAAAAAAAAAAAAGAAATCCTTCTGAAGTCTGAATTATTATTATTATATAAGTTATATATTAATATACAACATATATATTTATTATATATTATACATATGTAAAATGATTATACATATATACACTTATTAAGACTTTTTTCCTTGATCATGGTTCTGTAGTTTAAAGATTCCATTATTTCAAATAGGTTGATAATTCCCAGGCCAGGTATTAAGTTCATGTGAGACGAAGTGCTTTTTACTCTTTGCAAAAGTTGTGAAGACATTTAGATGTCATCGTGGTGATGATTTCTTTTTTTTTTCCCCTTAGATTTTTTTTTTAATTGAGATGTAATTCACCATTTAAGAATATACAACTCAGTGATTATTGTTTTAGAAACATGTTAACAACTTGTATTCCTAGGTGGCTTTTGTACAAAAGAGTGAATTGCCATATATTTTTACTTTTTCTGTGGGTTTGAATTTTTTTTACATACTTTAAGTTCTGGGATACATGTGCAGAACGTGCAGGTTTGTTACATAGGTATACACAAGCCATGGTGGTTTGCTGCACCCATCAACCCGTCGTCTACATTAGGTATTTCTCCTAATGCTATCTCTCCCCTAGCCCCCCACTCGCTGACAGGCCCCAGTGTGTGATGTTCCCCTCCCTGTGTCTATGTGTTCTCATTCTTCAACTCCTGCTTATGAGTGAGAACATGTGGTGTTTGGTTTTCTGTTCCTGTGCTAGTTTGCTGAGAATGATGGTTTCCAGCTTCATCCATGTCCCTGCCAAGGACATGAACTCATCCTTTTTTATGGCTGTATAGTATTCCATGCTGTATATGTGCCACATTTTCTTTATCCAGTCTATCATTGATGGGCATTTGGGTTGGTTTCCAGTCTTTGCTATTGTGAATAGTGCTGCAATAAACATACATGTGCATGTGTCTTTATAGCAGAATGATTTATAATCCTTCAGGTATATACCCAGTAATGGGATTGCTGGGTCAAGTGGTATTTCTAGTTCTAGGTCCTTGAAGAATCACCACACTGTCTTCCACAATGGTTGAACTAATTTACACTCCCACCAACAGTGTAAAAATGTTCCTAGTTCTCCACATCCTCTCTAGCATCTGTTGTTTTCTGACTTTTTAATGATTGCCATTCTAACTGGCGTGAGATGGTATCTCATTGTAGTTTTGGTTTACATTTCTCTAATGACCAGTGATGATGAGCTTTTTTTCATATGTTTGTTGGCCACATAAATGTCTTCTTTTGGGAAGTGTCTGTTCATATGCTTGGCCCACTTTTTGATGGGGTTGTTTTTTTCTTGTAAATTTGTTTAAGTTCCTTGTAGATTCTGGATATTAGCTCTTTGACAGAGAGATTGCAAAAATTTTCTCCCATTCTGTAGGTTGCCTACTCACTCTGATGATAGTTTCTTTTGCTGTGCAGAAGCTCTTTAGTTTAATTAGATCCCATTTGTCAATTTTGGCTTTTGTTGCCATTGCTTTTGGTGTTTTAGTTATGAAGTCTTTGGCCATGCCTATGTCCTGAATGGTATTGCCTAGGTTTTCTTCTAGGGTTTTTATGGTTTTGGGTCTTATGTTTAACTCTTTAATCCATCTTGAGTTAATTTTTGTATAAGGCATAAGGAAGGGGTCCAGTTTCAGTTTTCTGCATATGGCTAGCTGGTTTTCCCAGTACCAGTTTTTTTTTATTCCTCCAAGAGTTCATTCTGTTTTGGGAATGGGTGACTATGAAAGTAGGAACTGCATTCCTTCTTAGGTCAATTTCCCAGCTTTATGTACATTTAGAGTATTTGTTGGCTTTCCTGCCAAGTATTTGATATCATTAAATATAATAGATCCACACATTTGCGAGTGTTCCATTTTGGTTTCCATATGTACAAGTTATTGTAATCCATAGCAAAAAACACTCAGAAATCACACCTCTAATGGCAAAGTGTTTAAAAGCATTGACAGTGCTCCTTCTCTTAGGTGCCTGCCACATGCTTTACTTCATCTTCAGAAAAAAATGCGAACAGAATCTGCAACTTTAAAAATGTATTTGTAAACATTTTATAGTCTTTCTTGTTTTTTTTTCTTCTTTTCCTTTTTTTTCCTCCAATTTTATTGTCTTTTCTCAACTCTCAATGAGACCTCAGGAATCCATTTAGCCTCTGCCTTACTAAGACCAATTGGCTGATAGACTGGGAGTGAAGGCAGCAGGTAAATTAATAGCAGAGCTAGTGCCTGCGAACCATGCCTGGCTGCTCTTGAAATCCTTCTGAAGCCTGAATTATTTGTATTAAGATAGGCCAGCACTCAGTCCCCTATGAGTCAATTCTTTGTAACAGTTGCCAATATTTTTATACCTGAGAGAGCAGCTTCATTCTTTATTATTGCTCAGGAATCAATACTCCCATTGCCCTCACAAAATGTTATACAAGCATTATTGGCATTTCACTTGGCAGTGAAGGGTATCAACATCAATCTCGCCAACTGCACACCTCGCTAACCCTGCTCCACTCTCCTGCGTCTATTTGTATTCCATCTGGATTGTCCGCGGCTGCTTCATTTGAATGGGAATCCTTAGCATGGCCCTGACACGTTCTGTGATAAGGAAATGGAAAGGCATCATTTAGCCCCTCACAATAACAGTCCCTCTCCCTGCTCGTCTACCCATTTTGTACTTGGAGGGTTTGCAGTATTTAATAAAATATCATTTCCTACCATCCTGTGGTTTTCTAAAATTGCCATTTCAGAGCTCTTCATTAATAGCCAAATGGCAGCTTCTAATCCCATCCATTGGAAGTTACTGTGAATTTTAAAGTAATTTCTGCGGTTTGAAAATGGCTCTTAAAGTAACATATCTTAAAAAATAAAAACTCGTACACATGGAGGTGCCATGTGCACAAAGAGGCATGGTGGGAACTGCAGCTACATTTGCTCTAAATACTAAACATGCACACTGCCTTGGCTGTTTGGCAAACTCAGTAAAAATGCTATTCATCCACGTGTAAATTCCCCTTGCATCATGCAATTTTGGGGCAATATCTAAATGAAAACCATTATAGGGGATTCTGTCATATGTCAGTCTCATGCTGGGCATTATCAACATGTAGTAGATGTTTTATCAAAAGGGATATCCAGAACACATTTTAAAAAGTCTTGCAACTCAATAATAAAAGGAAAAATAGCCCAATTAAAAATGAGCAATGGCTATAGTGAGACACCACTTCACACCTGTTATGATTATGATGGTCATTTTCAAAGAAAAGATAAGAAAAAAATACAAGTGTTGAAGAGGATGTGAAGCTATTGGAACCATTGTGTATTGCTGGGAGGAGGTGTAAAATGGTGCAGCTGCTATGGAAAACAATTTGGCAGTTCCTCAAAAACTTAAACATAAAATTACTATATAACCCAGCACTTCCACTCCTAGGTGTATACCCAAAAGAATTGAAAGCAGGAATTCAAACAAATAATTGTATGCCTGTGTTCAGTGCAGCATTATTTATACACGCTCCAGGTGGAAACAACCCAAGTGTCCAACAACAGAGGAGCCTTCTCTCCCCTTCCTCCTTCTCCTCCTTTTTCCTTTTCCCTTTCTCTTCCCCTTCTTCCCCTTCTTCATTTTTGAGAGTCCTCCAAGAAAGGGATGAGGTTGATTCCTTTTTGTGGAATTACTAATCATTTGAGTTACTTGATGACATAAACATTTAGCAGCAATTCTACTCACCTGGGGACCTTGTTTAAAATTTACTTTTCCTGAACCCAATCCTGGAGATAATGATTCAATAGTTCTGAGATGGAGCTTAAGATGTGCGTTAATACGCACATCCTGCCTAGGAATAATTCCTGTAGTGAAAGCTTAAGGACTGCACTCTGTGAAACTGTAATAGGGGAAACCTCAGACCAATTGAATACTATGGAATGTAATATTTCCTTTCATTGGTGTAATGACTTCTGGCTGTGTTAGAGCCACATTTTGTTATTGAATGAGATATTATACTTGCTATTATTCAAGAACTAAAACAGCTTTCCTCTTTTTAGGAAGAATGGTCTGTAAATATTCACTAGCTTGAGTCACTCTCTTGTTGCACATTTAGTAGGACTGGCCACAAGGATATTGAAAGTGATCACTTTGACAGCATCTCTAAGTAATTCTTGGCCTAATAATAGGTGGATCTCTTCTATAGCCATATAGCATTGGATTTATATTAAGGATCGTTTTGTTTCTAAACCTACAAATCATATTAACTCTTGCAAAATTTCAGGTCCTAAGAGATGACCAACAATCATTTGCTTTGGGGCTGAAATCAGGACCTGCCCAACACAATACTCCAAAATAGGCAATCTTTTCTTTTTTTTCTCTGAGTTCATCCTTCCCTCTTCATGTTATGTGAGATCATTTATTTGTCAGATCAAATAAATTGCATCTAGAGCTGCCTTTGCTATATAATGACGTATGATCTAGCAAAGTTACTCTCTTTATCTTTCCTCTCTCAAGATATAACCAAACTGACTGCATGATGCCTTGAGCTTTGGAGTCATAGTAAAGAGATCCTTATTCTGGCTCTATCATTTGTTGGTAAAGTGACTTTATGCTAGTTATATGATTGCTCTGAGCTTCAGTCTCTTTCTCTGTTGAACGGTGATGATGGTGATGTTGATGATGATGATAATGGTGATGATGGATGATAATGGTGGGGCTGCTGCTGGTGAGGATGATGATAATGATGGTGATACTGCTGCTGCTGATGAAGACACTTCACAGGACTGTTGTCAAGATTAAGATGCAGTGTGAATAAAATGAATTAGTGAGCTTTGTGAGAAGTTCTAAAAGTATAAAATACCAGAGTTGTTTTGTTTTTTAAATTGTATTTTAAATTCAGGAATTAGAATATTTGTATGCTTGTATCAAGGAGATATATTAGCCTAATTTTTGCCTCAAAGGACAGGAAAATATTTGAAAATTACAAATTTTATTTGCAGTCATGCATATGTGTGAACCTGTATTATGAAATCCTGTCAGTAATAATCCATTTAAGAATTGCATTGGTTTCAGTGGAGGTAAAATAGCAAAGTTATTCATTCTTACCCAGGAGAGAAATAAGTGGTTTTTGTTTGTATCACTTGAAACAATTTTCTGAAGGAATTTTATTTTCTTAGAACCTCTGTTCTTCAGGTATAAATAAAAATGGCTTTGAAAAGATAGTTGTTAACTTGGTTTGTATTTTGGATATTAAAAGAAAAGACTTTTCTGAATTTTTATATATTGTAAACGTTCTCTTCACTAGACCTTAATTTTTATAAATATTTTCAGAAAAAAATGAATTCATTATATTTTTTAAAATAGAAAAAGTCCTGGAATAGGAGTTGGAAACCTTTAACTCTCCAGTTTTATCATGTGTGAAACGTATTACCATAGGCGAGTTAATTAACTACTGATCATTAATCTTCTTCTCTGTTAAATGGCTATAAAACAGACCTACCCCTATTTCACGTGGCCGCTGAAGGCAATTACAATATGTGTGAAAATACTTTGTAAATAACCAAGTTCTGTATAAATGGAAAGTGCCGTATTTTTCTGAATCTAGGAGATTATCAATCATAAGATGTACCATTAGTTACAAACCATTAAGAACAAAAATGCTGCCAATTTAACTATAAAAACGTGACATACTGTTGTTTGATGCACAAATGGGTCATAACAGCCTTTTTAGTTTTGAATGTCCTTTAATCTAAGCTATATGGCAGTACTTATTGCTTTCAATTGTTTTGCTTAGCAGAAGGTAGGCAGTCTTTTTCTGCATGTAAACCAGTAACAAAATATAACAAAATGCCCGGTATTTTTCTAGATCTAGTAAATCATTTGATTGTTGCATTGCAAGAAAACACAGAATTGTAGTCATTCCTCCTATGGCAAGTATTTGCTCTGCTAATCTTAAACATATGCATTGTTTGCTGTTTCCATGTGTCTATTTATAATAGTTCCATTTCACTGCTAAATCAAAATGCACTATCTTGAAGACATTTTAAAATGACAATTAAACCCAACATGGGCCATACTGGCAATGCACATAACTGAGGTGACAAAAATGTGAACAGGCATGTCCAAATTTGTCCAAGCACAGTCAACGAAAACTCCTCTATGACACCAACTTGCAGTCAGTAATTGTAAGACAGCTCCTTATTTTTAGAGATGTTAAAATGTGGAACAAAATATATTTCAAACTTAATTAAATATTGCATTTTGTTATTAGCCACAATGTAATACTTTTATTCTAAATACAAACTGAAGATAGAACATTTACTTGATATACCTTGTTAATAATAGGAGTGTGAGACTCTTTGAAACTCATCCAGCTTCCTGATGTCCCAGGAAAATAGCCAGATGCCTCATTAGTACAGTAAGGCACCAAAAAACATTTTGGTCAACGATGGATCACATATATGATGGTGGCCCCATAGTATTATAAGATCATATATTTACTGCACTTTTCCTATGTTTAGATATACAAATACTTACCTTTGTGTTACAGTTGCCTACAGTATTCAGTATAGTGACACACTGTACAGGAGCAATAGGCTGTATCATATAGCCTAGGTATATAGCGGACTATACCATTTGAACTTGGGTAAGTATACTCTAGATGTTTGCATAATGACAAAATCACCTAACGACACATTTCTCAGAGTGTAGCTTCATCACGTGACACATTATTGTATTTGCAGACAGTATAGCATCTGCTTCTAGTACCTTCTTCTACACACTAAACTCTGTCACTTTTGTCAGGCTTTTAATATGGCATGGTTTTGAAACCCTTTCTTTCCAACACTTTTCTCGAAACTAGCCTTCATTATTCAGAGCTCTTTAATGCATTGTATTTGGAATTAAACTTCTAGTTGTAAACTAATACAATTAAATTGTAAATTAGTTGTAAACTAATACAATTAAACTTCTAGTTGTAAACTTCTACTAGAAATTTAAATGTCTAGTTGTATTTATTTTAATGATAGAATGACCTACAATGTTTAAGTACAAGCAATAGTTTTTTTTTAAGTTTTTGGGTAACTCAAAATTTGAAAACTTATGAACACATGCAACATGTACTTGGAGTGTAGTTTTATTTTTAAATGGTGATAAAAATTTACATTAAACTAGTTATATATAATTATTTTCAATTAAGTACCTTTTTATTCTTTTGTTTTTTGTTTTTTGGGTTTTTTTTTTAGTTTTTTTGAGACAGAGTCTTGCTCTGTTGCCCAGGCTGGAGTGCAGTGGCATGATCTCCGCTCACTGCAAGCTCCACCTCCCAGGTTCACACCATTCTCCTGCCTCAGCCTCCCGAGTAGCTGAGACTACGGTGCCCGCCACCACGCCCGGCTAATTTTTTATATTTTTTAGTAGAGACGGGGTTTCACCATGTTAGCCAGGATGGTCCCGATCTCCTGACCTCATGATCCCGCCTGCCTTGGCCTCCCAAAGTGTTGGGATTACAGGCATGAGCCACCGTGCCTGGCTTACCTTTTTATTCTTAATAATTTTTGTTCCTCATCCTTTTTTGTGTCTTTATCAAACTCCTTTTAGAATGTTGAATTGACAGGATCAGAAGCCAGGCTTCTGGGATATACTTAGGGTATTAGATTTCTAGGGCTGCTGTCACAAATACCAAAAATTAGGTGGCTTAAAACAACAGAAATGCATTCTTTTACAGTTCTGGAGGCTAAAACTCTGAAGTTAAGGTGTTGGCAAGGTTGTGTCCCTCTGGAAGCTGTAGGGGAGAATCTTCCCTTGCTTCCTTCCAGTTTCTGGTGGTTGCTGGCAATGCCAGGCACTCCTTGGGTTGCATCTGCAGCACTTCAATCTCTGCCTCTATTGTCACATGCTGTTCTCCCTGTGTCTCCATCTTCACATGATGTCTTCCTTTCCATCACATTGCATTTTGTCCCATTATGTCCCATCTTGATGACTCATGTTAACTTAATAACATTTGCAAAGACCCTATCTCCAAATAAGATCACATTCCTAGGTGCTGGTGGATAAGACTTCTACACATCATTTTGGGGGAGACACTGCAACCATAACATCTGTCAACATTTTGCTTGGTTAATATCAAATTACTGGTCTTTGCTCTTTGTGTACAATAACTCCACTGGCTACTACAATGTTAATCTTTCTTAGCATTCAACCTATGTTTCTCCATTCTATAAAAGGGATATAAAAACAGAACCATTTGTTTACCAATTGACTCACCAAGTCCCTGTTAGCTTTGTGTCCTGGATTTTCATATTAGACATGTCCTATAATCCTTTCAGAGCAAAACATGAGTGGAATGTGACAAGCCATTTGTACACATTTATGATAGCTGTCCTTTTCCCATGTATTCACAATCCATTTCTTTAGTAGTCGATCCTTGCATCCAGCAGTTTGTTTGCCAAACCTATAATTTTCCACTTGAAAGTGGGACTGACTCTGGCTTTTTTCCAGTTTTCAGACTCCTTTGCCCTTGTCTAAAATTTCTCATAAAATAAGGATGTTTGTTGAGTGATTTCATTTACAAGTTCTCTTAGAGCCTTGGGATGCAATTCATCTAAGCCAAATAACCTGAATTCATATAAAATAACTTTACTACCTTTGGACTTTCTTTTCCCTTATGAATACTAGTTTTATACTTGGCAGAAAAATCAGAAGCAAAAACAGGAATTTAGACATTCCATTTTCTTTATATCAAACTTCTATGTAACACCTTGTGCCCCTGTAGTGGTCCTGGACCTCTTTTGTTCATTTTCTTATTTATAAAATAACATTTAAATAGTTTTGTTGTCCTTAGCACTTGATACATGCCTCACTTAATTTTGGTCTCAGACTTCCTAACAGCTTGGTTTCATACACATCCTTGGTTATTTATTCTTCTTTCCATTCTTGGGGCATGATTTCCTTCATCCATTTTCTCCTTGTTTCTTTATTCTAAGATGACTTTTCCATTCCACAATTGGAAATGCATCAATAAGTGTTTCCCAACTCCCTTGAGTCCAGCCATTCAAGAGTCATGCTTAGAACAGCATACTAGGGAACCATTAATTATAGTATTTTTAAAACATGCCCCTCTAAATATCTCAACAAGTTATTTGAAACAGGCTTTTCTCCACCTTTACTACTGTAGATATTGTGATCTAAGATGATAGAACTGCTTTCTTCTAAGACATTTGATATGGTTTGGCTCTGTGTCCCTACCCAAATTCATGTCAAATGGTAACCCCAAAGGGTTGAAGAAGGGGTCTGGTGGGAGGTGATTGAATCATGGGGGTGGATTTCCCCCATGCTGGTCTCAGTGATAGTGAGTTCTCACAAGATCTGATGGTTGAAAAGTATGGCATGTCCCTGTCTCTGTCCTGCTCTGCCATGGTAAGAGGTACTTGCCTCTGCTTTGCCTTCTGCCATGATTGTAAGTTTCCTAAGGTCTCCTAGCCATGTTTCCTGTACAGCGTGGAACTGTGAGTCAATTAAACTTCTTTTCTTCATAAATTACCCAGTCTCAGGTAGTTCTTTATAGCAGTGTGAGAATGGACTAATAAAACACTTATCATTTCCCCATCACCAAATAGCTCTGTTTGTTAAAATTAGGTCTAGAGTAGTACTTTTTACCATTTCTTCCACCACTGGGTAATTGAGATTATTAGAAAATCTAGACAAGAGCTTCTCAGAACCTTTACTTTTAGCCAAATGAGATTTGATCCCTTTTTATAGACAAATGAAGTCCTCATCATTGCTATATTTTTCTTGCCTCTGCTAAAAAGGAACATAATATTTTGTCTCTTCACACAGGTGACCTGTATTATCACAACAATATTTTATTTCTTTCTTATAATTTTTCCTCTCATATTTTCAACATGCTTCCACCAATGTTTTAGGTATTTCTAAATATGAATATATAAAATAGAATGTTTAAATGGGATACATTCTCTCTTAGATTTGACTACATTACTAATACTACAGATTTGAAGCTCAAAAGATCATGAGAGAGAAATCTCTCATGCAGAATTTAAATCTTCCAAAACTCTTTTAAGAATCAAATCCATGTCTCTGCCACCATTCAGCCAAATCAAGAATAGAACAAGTTGACAGGGATTCTCCTTCCAGTGTGAAAGATTAAGTTCTTATTGAAGGGTAGTTTTAATTTGGGAGGAAAAATGGATCTCTCATGAGGTGAGATTTCTGTGGACTTCAACCTGAGGGCAGTGTATGGTCACAGCTGCATGGGCTGGCTACAACTTTGATAGGAAACCACAGTTCTCTGGCCCAAGGAATAAGAGAATAGAGATTGAAGCTAACTACAGCCATTAGGATATTAGGAAAGAACCTTAGAAAAGAGAAAGCTGAAAAAGGGAAGCCCCCAAATTTGTGTACAAACTTTGCTCAAATTACTGGATGATTCCAGAGCCATTATTATGTGGAAGAGAATCCAGTTAAAGAAAAATAATGAAATTGATATTTGAGATGCTAACCAAGAGACAAAGTTGGCAGTTTGAGTCCAACTAAGTTAATTGCCTACTTAAAGAAAAATTAGCATTCTTCTGAGGAATAAAACAGAATCCATGTAACAGTCAGAGTGTTGAGGATACAACCTCAAGTTACTTGACATGTGAAGAATTAGAAAAATATGACTCATCATTAAGATAAATAATGATCAAAGAGTAACAACTCCAAGATGACTCAGAAGTTGGGATAGCAAGAATTCTTAAACACCTATCAGAACTACATACACTCAATGAGAAAAATATACTTGGGGCGAATGAAAAGATAAAAAAAATACCACATCCGGCAAATAGAAAGTATAAAAAAGAACAAAATATAGGTTATTTGTTTGGCAAATAAAATATCAGAAATAGAAACACAGAGTGAAGACAACAGAAGAGAAGAGTCAGTAACTTTGAAGATAGCTTAATAGAAATTATCCAATTTGAGTAACAGAGAGAAAAAGAATTGAAAAAGAAAGAAACAGCAGGGCATCAGTGACCTGTGGGACATTATTAGAAAGAGAGGAGAGAGATAGTAAGGGGAAAATTTTGGTGAAACAATGAACAAAAATTTCCTCAATTGCTGAAAGGCACAGTTTTACAGATTTAAGCAGCTCAGGACAACTGAAATATAATAAACACACACACACACACAAATACCTGAGCAATTATAGTCAAACTTCAGTAAACCCAAAGATAATGAACAAATCTTGAAACTATCAAGAAAAAAAAAAAAGACCAATTTCATTTAGTGGAACAATGATTTGAAACATTGCTGACTTCTTATCAAAAACTATGGAGGTCAGGAGAAAGTGAAAGACAATCTTTTAAGTGCTGAAAGGAAAACAAAAAAACATAAAATAATCAACTCAGAATTCTATCTGGTGAAAATACGTATTTTGAACAGAGTTGGGTTTTCATCAGGGTGTGAACTTATTGAGACATTTTGCCAAGAATCTCTACTATAGACCCAACAATTTCAGAATAATGCTTTACTCAGTGCTACATTATAAGAATGTTTGAATTCTTGCCTTTTGATATATCTTTATCTTCTGTTTCTCTCCATTGTCAAGAATGTCTCAGAGCTAGAATAGAATAGTTCTTTGTTAATAAAAGAAACTTTAGCTGAAAGCATTGGCTCATGCCTATAATCCCAGCACTTTGGGAGGCTGAGGTGAAAGAATCACTTGAGCCCAGGAGTTCAAGACCAGCCTGGGTAACACAGGGGGACCTCATCTCTACAAAAGTTTTAAAATCAGCCAGGCATAATGGCACATGCCTATGGTCCCTGATACTTGGGAGGCTGAGATGGGAAGTTCTCTTGAGCCCAAGACATCAAGGCTGCAGTGAGCTATGATTGCACCACCACATTCCAGCCTGGGTGATAGAGTGAGACTCTGTCTCAAAAAATAAAAAATTAAAAGAATCTTTGACAGATCATAGAGGAAATGACTTCTCAATATTCATTTGATAAAAGGAAAAGTTGGATCTCATTCCTGTTAGTCATTAAGTGTATGAAAAAGGGAGGTAAGTCACTTTATGTGAGGAAGGCAATGTCTGAGAGCTTGTCTATGAATGCACATTCTTTGTTTCATTATACCTAAGATTGATGTGTCTGTGTGTGTGTGTGTGTGTGTGTGTGTGTGTGTGTGTGTGTGTGTGGTATATTAATTTCTGTTTTTCATTTGAAATGATTCAAGAAGGAAGGACTTTAAAACCAAATATTGAAAATCCAGCAAGGCTAGTGTCTGATTATTTTTTAATGTTATCTTTGGAATAAAATAGATGGAATTTGTTGAAAATTCCTAATTACTTACATTCAACTCTTGGAGTTCTAAAATTTTGGTTAACTGCCTTATAAAATTTGGGGCTTAACAATATTTAGGAGTTCAAATGTTTGGTCAATTTTACCCCTAAATTATATCTAAACATTTATATATATTTTAATATTGAGGTAAAATCTTTAGCTGTGATATTTAAACAATTTATAGCTAACTATGTCTATATTTTTCTTCTTAATCTCTCTACTGTGTCCAGTTCTTAAGATGTTTTACATAGGCATTAAAATTTTTAATTAAGTACGAGTGACATATGAACATTTTCTTCTTGTAAAATGTTAAAAACTTCAGAAAAAAAATGCAAATAGCTTTCGATCCTCTGAAAGCATTTTCAAAACCTGGCCCCTTTGTTCTACTTGAAAATAATAGGAGTTAGGAGTTTAGTCTGTCATTTCAAATATATTCTTTATACAGATAGCTATCTATATGTATCCTATAGAAAATATGTAACAGTGTTTTGGGTATTTTTCTTGGACATACTTTCTTGTGAATATGTGCAAGTATTTCTCTAAAGAGCAATATGAGTAGAAAAATTATTAGGTTTTAAGGTGTGAACATTTTAATTTTTCATTAGAGAATGCTATATTATTCTCCAGTGGTTGCAGCAATAAACCTTGCTACATGTAGGACACTCTTTTAGTTGCATTTTCACCAACTCTTAATATTTTACACTTTTAAAGTTTTGTCCATATAATGGGGAATCAGCAAACTATGACTCATGCACCAAATCCGGCTAACTGTACTTTTTCAAGCTTGTAAACTAAGAATGGTTTTAATATTTTTAAATGATTACATTTTAAGTGGTTCGATACATACCTATAAAATGTCCTTGATTTTCCTGCTTAACCCACAAAGCCAGATATAGTTAA
Organism: Homo sapiens; assembly: GCF_000001405.40. NCBI lineage: Eukaryota > Metazoa > Chordata > Mammalia > Primates > Hominidae > Homo > Homo sapiens. The sequence goes on along the minus strand of NC_000009.12, from coordinate 81,188,893 downwards.
TATTTGGTCCTTTAATAAAAAATGTGCTAATCCTTGATCTCATGGATATTAAAGGGTATGTCATGATTGTTATAATTTGCATTTTCATGATTACTTAGTAAAATTGAGCCTTTTTTCATATGTTTATTTGACATTTGTATTTTCTTATCTGTAAATCATCTGTTGTTTGTATTTTTGATTTTGTTTCTATTTTTAAGATTGATTTGAATAAACTCTGTACATTCTGAATATCCATTTTCCTGGACACTGTGGTTTCCTACCTAGTAGTCATTTTCTGCACCCATTATTTTTTTGCCAGTAGAACGCTAGTTCTTTCTTAGGTATTGGGCAGTGATGTAGTTCTGGGTATCTGGGCTCTCATCCAAATCCTAAGGAGGTGGGAATGTAAAATTATAATTATTCTCAATAATTGTGACAATTGCATTCCCCCTTGCCTGTGATTAGTTGAGGACTGAGCATGTGATGAGATGTGTTTATGGGTATTTATTTTCCTCTCAATTTGAAAAAAAGAAACACTGGGATAGTTATACACCTTGCAAGCCTCTGTTTTCTTCTCATGAGACTTCTGCAAATGTGACAACCATATTTTGAGCATAACAGTAGCCCGATTAAATGGACCCTACTGAGAGCAAACAAAACAGTGAAATGAAAAGAAAGCGGGTTCTACATTTTAGAGTCTCTTTATAGTGTAGGTTATTTTTAGGTGGAGCTTCAGTTATTTGTAGCTAAAGGTATCCTAATTAATGTATCTAACATTTGGCACTCTTTCATATAAATTTTAGAGCCACGTGATCATATTCTAATCACTTGAGCTGATTAGAATGACTGCGCATTATAGATTAATTTCAGCTTAAATAATATCCATAAAATATTGAGTCCTCCCATAAGACTCTTTCTGTTATTCAAGTCTTGTTATGGTCTGAATGATGGTTTTCCCCCCAAATGTAAATGTTGGAATCTAATACTCGATGTGATAGTGTTGAGAAGTGGAGTCTTCTGAGAAGTGATTAAGTCCATCAGGGCTTTGTCTTGGTGAATAGGATTAGTGATCTTATAAACGAGGATGAAGAGGCCGGGCATGGTGGCTCACGCCTGTAATCCCAGCACTTTGGGAGGCCGAGGCAGGCAGATCACGAGGTCAGGAGATTGAGACCATCCTGGCTAACGCGGTGAAACCCTGTCTCACTAAAAATACAAAAAATTAGCCAGGCATAGTGGCAGGCACCTGTAGTCCCAGCTACTTGGGAGGCTGAGGCAGGAGACTGGCTTGAACCCGGGAGGTGGAGCTTGCAGTGAGCCGAGATCACACCACTGCACTCCAGCCTGGGCGACAGAGCAAGACTCCGTCTCAAAAATAAAAAAAAAAAATAAAATAAAAATAAAAAATAAAAGAGGATGAAGAAAGCTGCCTTACCTCTTCTGCCATCTGAAGGCTGTGAGAAAGTGCCAAAGCAGACAGCAAGCCTTGTCCAGACGCTAAATCGGTGGGCACCTTGATTTTAAACTTTTAAACTTCCCAAGCTCCAGAACTGTGAACAATACATTTCTGTCGTTTATAAATTACCCAGTTGTTCTTGTCTGTTTATGCTGCTGTAACAAAACACCTCAGACTGGGTGATTGATAAATAGTAGGAATTTGAAGGCCAGACGTGGTGGCTCATGCCTGTAATCCCAGCACTTTGGGAAGCCTAGGTGGGCCGATCACCTGAGGTTGGGAGTTTGAGCCCAGCCTGACCAACATGGAGAAACTCCGTCTCTACCAAAAATACAAATAGCCGGGCATGGTGGCGCATGCTTGTAATCCCAGCTACTTAGGAGGCTGAGGCAGGAGAATCGCTTGAACCCGGGAGGCGGAGGTTGCGATGAGCCAAGTTGGTGCCACTGCACTCCAGCCTGGGCAACAAGAGTGAAACTTTTTCTCAAAAATAAATAAATAAATAAATTAAATTAAATAAAAAGTAGCAGGAATTTATTTCGCCCAGTTCTGGAGGTTGACAACATCAAAGTACCAGTAGATTTGATGTTTGGTAAGGGCTTGCTCTCTGCTTCCAACGTGGTGCTTTGTTGCTGCATTCTCAGATGATGGAAGAGGCCAAAAGAGATGGGAGACAAACACTCCCTCAAGCCCTTTTTATAAGTCTGCTAATTCTATCCATGAGGACAGAGATCTCATGACCAAATCACCTCCTAAAGGCCCTACTGCTTAATACCACTGCACTGGGTTTTAAGTTGCAAGATCAGTTTCGGACAGAAAAAAAATTCAAACCATAGCACTAGTCTAAAGTATTTTGTTACTGTAGTCTGAATAGACTATGGCAGTCTTCTATTAGGCCTTTAAATAAGATTTTCACTAGAAATATTTTGTAAATTTTTATTAGATTGACTACTAAGTACTTCATAGTTCTTGTTACCATAGGAAATGTCTTTTATTTTTCTTATTATGTCACATAATTGGTTTATATTGGTGAAACAAAACCTTATTTTAAAAATAGTATTGTGGCCGGGCACAAGGGCTCATGTCTGTAATCTCAGCACTTTCAGAGGCTGAGGCGGGAGGATCTCTTAAGTCTAGGAGTTCAAGACCAGCCTGGTTAACACAGGAAGACTTCATCTGTATGAAAAAATAAAAACCAAATTTAGCCAGGTGCGGCGGTACATGCTTGTAGTCCTAACTACTTGGGACGCTGAGGCGGGAGGATTGCTTGAGCCCAGGAGTTCGAGGTTGCCCTGAGCTAGGATTGTACCACTGCACTTTCAGCCTGGGTGACACAGCGAGACCCTCTCTCAAAAAAAACAAAACAAAACAAAACAACAACAGGAAAAAAAAAACAAAAAAAAACCCTAATAATAATATTGTATACTACCAACTTGCTACATTTCTTTTGATTTTAATAGTTTATCTGTGGCTTTTTTTGAGTTTTCTACGAAGTCAGTCATACTCTTAACAAATAGTTATAATTTTATGCCTTGCCTTAAATTTGTTGCCTTATAATTTTTATATCTTACATCCTTACCTTATTGCATTGTTTTGGGTAAGCATAATGTTCAGTGGGAGTTATGAAATAAGTCATTCCTGTATTATTTCTGTTTCATTTCTGAATTTAGTGAAAAATGTTTCAATTATGTCATCTGTAAGAAGGATGCATACTACAGGTTCACCATGGATAGGCTTAAAATAAATTAAGCCACCCCTTTTTTTTTCTAACTTTCCAGGTATTCTTTTTCACTGTTGTGAGTAGGTGTTGAATGTTATAGAAAAAATTTTTGGCCTCTATTTAGATGACATAGATTTTTCTCCTTTAATATGTATTGATGCTGTGAATTATATTAATGGATTTATTAACGATCAATATTGTATTCCTAGAAAAAGCCTACTTTGTTCTGAGTGGCTAGAGATAGCTGCTCCAAACATTTTTTAGAATTTTTTAATATATTGTTTATTTCCCCCAAAATAACTAGCATTTGGATTTGTTCATTTTTTTGATTTTTTGCTTTATTCTTTGTACCTCCATTTTCCATTTATTACTTTTCACAGATTTCATTTTTTAAAATAAATTATTTAAATGAGTGCATAGTATAATTTTAATCTTTCCATTTTTTTCTTATAGAAACATTAAGGTGATGAGTTTAACTCTGAGAACTGTTTTAGCTTGGTTATATAATTGTTCTTTATTCCTCATCAAAAATGGTGAGTAGATTAATTTTTTTTTTTTTTTTTGAGATGGAGTCTCGCTCTGTCACACAGGCTGAAGTGAAGTGGCACAATCCTGGTTTACTGCAACCTCTGCCTCCCAGGTTCAAGCAATTCTCCTTCCTCAGCCTCCCAAATAGCTGGGACTACAGGCGCAGGCCACCACGCCTGGCTAATATTTTTATTTATAGTAGAGACTAGGTTTTGTCATGTTGGCCATACTGGTCTTGAACTCCTGGCCTCAAGTGATCACCTGCCTTGGCCTCCCAAAGTGCTGGGATTACAGGTGTAAGCCAACGTGCTCAGCCTCGAGTAAGATTAATTCATTGACTTGTTTCCATTTAGCCGTCATATATTGTGCACTTCTTTTATCCCAGACTCTTCACATACATTATTTCATTTAAACCTCAAGCAGCCCTGGATATTATTCTAATTTCCCAGATGAGAAAACAGACTTTGAAAGATTAAATGACTTGCCTAACATCACTCGGCTAGTGGCTGGAGGAACATGTGACTTACTGCTGTCACATGGAATCCTTATCAATATCATTTAAGCAGGACCATGATAGCAGCATAGTCTCTTTCATAAGATTTTCATTGGCTACACATTTCCTCAGTGTATATTTGTATTTGATGAAATAGTTGGAATATAGGAATAGGAATCGAAAAATAAAACACTGAACTTTCTATTATGCTGAGATGTTCCCTGTCTTCTGTCACTAATTCTTTGAGCTTTCCTTCCTTTTATATTTGCTTCATGCAAATAAGTTTGATGAGAACATGAATTTTTCATGGCAAAGGTTAACATTGGAGACATGACCCTAAGGTAGTTTTACAGTAAGGAATTATTTCAGAAGTATAATTGTTGGAGCAAAGAAAGTTAAATTTTGCAATCTACTTTTTTTTTCACTCTTACTGTAAAATGTTACTCGTTGTATTAGTATCACCTCCCAGGAAAGTTATAGATAAAAATGACTAGAATATTTTTTGATAGAAACATTTTTATAGTCAGAAGTCATCTTTAACTAGTAGAACCAGGAATATTACAATTGAATTCATGATCTTTCTTGGGATTAGAGAGTTTTTTCTTAAAACGGAGAAAGAGATGACCATGTATTTCCTTGTATTGCTCTTAGCAGAATAGCTTAATTAAACACTTAGGAATATGATGTAACTCCTCTTCCAACACACTGAACTACCAAACTGCTATTTTAGAAGATATAAGAGAAACAGGAATGTGAGTTGTTTTTTTTTCAACTCCTCTAATGGCCAACTTATCCACAAATGTTTAAATTCCTGGGCTTGTGGTCAGGGTAATGAAAGAAACAAACACAGTCTCTGACAGGATCTGATGAAAAGGTTTTCTTTGCCAAGTGAATTTGCTATATATGGAACATGGTCCTTTCAATGAAATTAGGGAAGTTATTTGCTTTTATTAATTTAATATTACAAGAGGCGATGTTAGTGTTATTTATTGTGTCTTAGGAAATTTTACTAAATAATATTGTGAACTCACGAATGAATTATTTTACTCCAGACAATGGGTCCATCCTAAGTTTGAGTAGATCTTGATTTTTATCAACGAATACAGATGCTATCTGGCAGGAACAGATGATTTAATTCAGGCAAACCAACAAAGTTTCATGACCTCACAATTTTCATTAAAGAAAACACTCTCCAGAAACTTTGCAATGTGATAATATTGATTAAGCTTTAGCAACTGATTACAATTTTACTATATTGTTCTCTCAGGCAAGACACATGATTTTTTTTAATATCACTTTAGATTTTTTCATTAGGATAGCAATGAATTAAAATCCTGACTTATTGCTTTCTTGAATATCAGGCCCAAATATTCTCTGTGTCACTTTTTAAAGTAAAAAATATATACTTTTTGGAGTCCTTAATATTTGAATTGGATAATGAGGAAAACAATTTCTTTGCTAAGTAAATCTGTTATATACAAAATATACTAATTTCAATGTAATTAGGAAAGTTATTTGCTGTGACTGTTTTTGCTTTTATTAATTTAATATTATAAGGAACAATGTTTGTGCTATTTATTATGTCCTAATGAAGTTTACTAAATAATATTGTGAATGCACTAATGAATGAATGAATGATTTCACTCCAGACAACGGGTCTACCCTAAGTTTGGGTAGATCTTGATTTTATCAGGGAATACAGGCTGTCAATATGTGGATTGTTGCTTCATTTTCCTTTCTTTTCGTTTTCCTGATGGAAGTGTGTAATTAGGTGCTAAGGCATTTGACATCTTATATCAGTGAATGATTTAATTTAAGCCTTACCTCTGTGGGCATAGCAGAGCTTACAGGCATGGGGAGGGAAACCTGTTTGGAAGCAGCCTGGAGCCGTGGAGGTCACTCTTCATTTCCTCAGGGTTGTTATCCAGATGCCTTCTTATGTGTGTTTTTGCTTCACTTCACCCAGCTGAGCATGGCTGCTTTCTTGATCCTTTACATTTCACACCACTGAGCTTGACTGTTCTCAGGTCCATAGTTGCTCACTTGTAGCATTACTCACACTAATATTGTAGGCTTCAAAGCTCAGCCAAAGTCAGTCCCTTGAGATACACAGATGGTGAATCATTAAAGGGCATGCAAACTACCAAGAGTATCAGTGGCCCACACAGGCTATTTCTGCCAGGTGGACCTGTCATTTAAAAGGCTTGGCCATTGTGTTTTGGAGTTAGCCATCTGACTGATGAATTGCCTTCATGACTATACTAGAGACAGAGAGAGAAAAAAAAGTTCTGGCATATTGCTCCAGGAGTTTTATTTCACATATTGGCTTTCTTTGAGAAAATAAGCCCAACTCTTGCTAATACTAACAAACTGACAACCTGACTTCTCTCTTACTGTTTGCAGTACCGTACATTCTGATATTTAGTCTTATCCTGTCCTTTATGTTAACAAACCCCTCTTTGTAACTCAAACTGCTTCTCTGAAGAATCATAAATAAACTATTAGAATCCTACCTCTATCTTTTTATTGTCTTCTTTGTGGAATAATGAAATTATACGACTCATCTTTGAACACCAAATTCATGGCATTTGTAGTGCTAGTGGATTTATAAGTCCATTCTGCAGAACTCCAGTGCATTCAGATAAAAGACACCTGGTGTGCTCACTAGGTATAGAGACATGACATTTTAGGGATATCAAGATATAAACAGTTCTAATAGTAGAAGCTATTAGTTGAAGCTTGATCTAGAAGGGCTTGCAAGGAAGATTAGTTTTTATACTTACTCTGAGTGTCCAGTACCTAGACTGCTTGCCATGCTTGTTCCAGATGAACAGACCACTCAACATATTGGATATTTTCACCCATTCAGGTATACGTGCATATTTCTTGGGTACCTACTGTGTCCTACTAGAGACTCTGTTATGTACCAGAAACACAAAGTTTAAAAAAATATGGCATCTCTTTCAAGGAACTATAGTTTAGTTTATTGCAGCATCATAGGATGTATAGTTTACACATCAGTTAAACATGCATTTATATAACTCTTAAATATATTTTAAGCATCTGTGTTGCTCTAGACACCATACAGGAGTATACTGACATGTCTTTAACACCCACCCTAATTACCATGCCACTTGCTCTGCCCACATCTCTCATGATTTATCTTTGTATTATTTATTCTTGTCACACAGAAATATACGTACAATGTTCTTTTACAACACTGGGAACTCCCGAAGGAAAAGCTCATTTTTACAGCCCCTCCATTGAATTTTTCTTGAGTAAATTGCAGAACTTACTAAATCTTTGATGGCAAAATTAAGATGGCAATGTATACAGCATTGACATAAATAAAAAAGGGTCAGTAATTATTCAAGTAGCTGATTTCCTAATTTGTATCTTAACACACTTATTTCACTAATTTTGTTCTCATGGGGGAGTCAGAAGACTTTGGTTTCTGGTTCTGGCTTTACTGCTGGCTGTGTAAGCTTTAGCAAGTCCTAAAACTTTTCTGTACCTCAGTTTTCCTGCATCAATTTCTAAAAACAATGGCCAAATTAACCCCAATTCTATTGATAAATATATGTGTTTTTCCTGGTAAGTATAGTCAAAATAGACAATTTGCAGCCTGCTTGGTTTAGAGTGCATTACTGGAAACAGATGATATTAGAATTTATCTATTTTTAATGTTGAGACTTAAGAAATTTTTTCTCAGAATATATTATCAAAGAAGAGTAGAAGATATTCATCACCATGATCTTTAGGCTTTTAACTTACAGACCATGTAGGAACACAAAGGTAAAAGAGAAAAGGGAAAAAGGTGTTCATGAATTAGATGACAATGATGGTTACATTTGCCTGAGAAAAATCTTGCTGTTGAATGAGGATTTATTCAACCCTGGTTGTCCTACACAACTTCCCATTTTCCTGCTGGAGCAGAACATCTGCATTTCCTAAGGCCAGAGTGGTCTTGATATTTTCTGTGATGAGGGTGGATGCATTTTAGTTTTCCCTAACTTTAAGATACATTCCCCCAAACATTTCTTTTTTCTTTTAGGAGAAAAAAAATACAAGGCATTTTATCAAGATGTATTTTTATATATTAAAACCCATATTTAAAAATTATGCACTAATGTACATACAATCATTAAACACATATTTGTATATATGCTTATAAACACTTAAGTAACTCCTTATTCCAATCTTCTTTTTCATGATCAAATATTTTAAAACATTAGGACAAAAAAGAGATCTTTTATTTTTTCTCCTTCCCACACAACCTGGAAACAAATATTCATGGAGTATGTCGAGCTCAGTAGAATAGACACCTCTGAATTTTTAGGTCAACTGAGCAAGGTTCTCAGGTGAATATTGTGAATTTCACCCATCACAAGGCATATTTTGTCAACATTGGATAATCTAGGGTATATTTTCCTCTTCAGAAAAGATTTTCTTCATTCTGATTGCTGTCATTTTAATTATGAATTCACGGAGGGAACAGATGCTTTTAAATTTAATGCACCTGGAGACAAATATATTAAATATTCATTTTATTTTAAGAATCTAAATTGCTAAGTATTATAACTTACCTTACATAGCTGAGCTGTGATACATTTGTTTGCATGTTCTAGTTCTTTTAACTTCTAATTTTTAAAGCCAGTCTGTAGGAAGTAGGCAGAAGGTCATATTATTGTCTTGGCTGAGAGGCTAAGTGATTAGGATTTTTCAAGTTAGATGTAGTTTTTAAAATAAATATTCCAGTCTGATACCTTGAACTTATATAAAAAATAATTGATAAAATTAGGCCAGGCATGGCGGCTCATGCCTGTAATCCTAGCACTTTGGGAGGTTGAGGCAGGCAGATTGCTTGAACCTTGGAGTTCAAGACCAGCCTAGGCAACATGATGAAAACTTGTCTCTACAAAAAAATATACAAAACTAGTTGAGCATGGTGGTATGGCCCTGTAATCCCAGATACTTGGGAGGCTGAGGTGGGAGGATTGCTTGAGCCCTGAAGGCTGAGGCTGCAGCGAGCTGAGATAGTGCCACTGCATTCCAGCCTGGGTGACCGAGTGAGACCCTGTCTCAAAATAATAATAACAATAACTAATAATAATAATGATAGATAAAATTGATATCAAAATAAATAAAACATTGAGTAAATTTTCATCTGATGAAGGAATGTATTTTTATAGGAGATTGTCTCCAAAAGTTGAGATTTGGCAAGTTCCTGTATCAAAGATGAAAAGAGCAGCATAAATCTAAAAACAAATTTAAAAGCCAGCACAAACCAGTAAGGTAATGTGAAAAAGGGGTATTCTTAGCACTCAAAGGGTGCTGTGAAGGTGATGTCTGAGAGTAACAGCTGGGACAGCATGTAGCCACAAAGAATGCTCAAAAACCTGAAAAGTCAATCGAAGACAAAAGAAGATATGCAAAATAAGATGCTTAACACCTTTAGGCATTAGGAAAATACAACTTAAAATCACAATATATGGCTTGGCATGGTGGCTCACGCCTGTAATCCCAGCACTTTGGAAGGCCGAGGCAGGTGGATCACTTGAGCTCAGGAGTTCAAGACCAGCCTGACCAATGTGGTGAAACTCTGTATCTACTAAAAAAATACAAAATTAGCCGGGCGTGGTGGCTCATACCTGTAATCCCAAGTACTTGGGAGGGTGAGGCAGGAGAATCGCCTGAACCCAGGAGGTGGAGGTTGCAGTGAGCTGAGATCGTGCCATTGCACTCCAGCCTGGGCAACAAGAGTGAAGTTTCATCTCAAAAAAAGAAAAGAAAAAAAATCACAATGTGATACCTATATATACATATTAGGATGGCTAAAATTAAGAAGATTGAAAGCACCAAATATTGACAACGATGTAGAGCAACTGGAACTCTCATGTTGCTGATGAGAGTATAAAGTGCTACAACCACTTTGGAAAACTGTTTGGAAGTTTCTTAAAGGTTAAACATACCATATCACTCAGCCATTCTACTCTCAGATAGATACCCAAGAGAAATGAAAGCATAAAGGTCCATTCAAAAACCTGTATGTGAATGTTCATAGCAGTATTATTCATCATATCCAAAACAACCCAAATGGCCATACAACATTTGATTCTATTAATAGAAAATTCTACCAAATTAAGACTTTCCTATGATAAAAGTCAGATTGGCATTTGCCTGCGGTAAGAGGAGAGGGAAGGATGGACTGCAAAGGGATGCCAGAAAGCTTTTGAGGGTGATGAAAATGCTCTGTAATTGATTGTGGTTTTATAGGTGTATATATTTGTTAAAATTCATCAAATTGCATATTTTAAATGAATACTATTTCTTGTACATAAATTGGACTTCAATAAAATTGATAAAAAGAGACCCAGTCAAGGAAACACCTTGGACAGCTATGAGCAAAGCAAATCAGTATAGGAGTAAGAACCCATCCTGGAGTGAAAAGCAAAGCCAGGGACAAAATCTAGAGAGAAGAAAATCTGAGCTCGATTATTTTTGCCCTACAAATATTTCCTCTCTTTCAATTGACTAATGAGTGCAAACTTGTGGGATTAACTGATAACTAAGTCTGGGATAATAATAATGACAACACTTTAATAATTGCATCTATAATTTATAGATTGTTTATTCTATGACAGAATATACTACTAAGTTCTTCAAAATATATACACCATATATTTTGACCTCATTAAAAATTTGAGGGGTCATAGGGAGGTCTTCCACAATTTCCTGACTCTCTTTTTTCCCTCTTATATCCTCCCTTTTACCCTGCTCATCTGCTACTCTTGAGAAACAATTCTTTCTGTCTCTTACAGGGTGGTTCTCTACATATTCAGTCCTGTTTCAGGGTCTTATCTGTTATTCCAAACAGCTCTCTAAGAACCTTCCTTCAAAAAAATAAATTTCTACCCTTCTTAAAGAGGTTTCTGTAGTACAATTTTCTCCATTCAGAGATATGCATGCAGGCAGGCAACAAAATTAGGATTCTTTTTTAATGTTCATAATATCCCCCCCACGGCATGGAAATAATTGTCCTAATTTCCTTATGAAGAAACTAAAGTGTTAAAGGTTAAGAGAGCCTGCCTGAGTTTGTGCAATTACTAAGTGGTGAATCTAGGGTTTGGTTTCAGATCTTTCTGGTTTCAAACAATGCATTGTCCACCTCTTAAACTCATTCATTAAATAGAGATTGGGGCCTTGCCTAGCTGGAGTTAGAAGTGGTCCATGGCATTTGAAGCTGACAGTAGGCAGGGAGGCAGCATACTTAGATTAGTAGTTTGCTGGGAAATCCAGAACCAGGGCAAAGGGAGAGGCGTGGTTGGATATATAAAACACAATGCAATGATGAGGTTGGCATTTACTAATATGATGAATTTTTGTGTCTTTCCACAATGTGCCAAGCACCTTTCTAGGCTCTGAAGATCTAGCATCAAATATAACATAGCTCCCGCCTTCTGTGAGTTTCCAGTTGAGAGGAAGAGACAGACCCTTGGGTCAATGTTTGATATTCAGTAATTTGCAATACAGGTATGCACATGGTAGCCCAGGGGCTGGCACATACTTAGTATTCAGTAGTGATTAATCTATATCTATGCTGTGAGGCACAGACACACAACTTTAAGTCATACTGGCAAAGCCAGTAAAGGCATTTTTGAAGAGATGTTAAAGCACAAATATATAGGTGAAAAGTGAATGAAAGACATTCCAAGAAAATCCCTTGGCACCTGCTAATGCAGGTAGGCATGGCATAAAACTGAGTTGCCCAGGAACATTGAAGGCATTTGTCAGGGCTGGAGTGGAGGGTGAGTGTGAGCGAGGCAAGTGTTATGTATGAGGCAAGTGAGGGAGGTGAAGGACAAACTCTAAAAGGGTCTTGTGTGTTACCCATTAAGGAATTTCAACTTTTTCCTTTAAGCTTAGGGAGTCACAGAAGGACCTAGAGCAGGTGAATGTCATGATAAATTGTGATAGTGGAGATATGAAAAGATGGTTGCAAGTTGTCCCAGGAATGTAGCCTTCATTTTGACCTAACTCTTTCTGGCACACTGAGCAAGATGTGAGGATGCTTTGGCTATAGTATCTAGGAACACATTAATGGCTGACATTGATTCTGTCAGGTTGGCAAATTTCTTCTTTGAGATTGGTGGTAGAAAAAAGAAACTAAAAATTATTAAATATAAAGTTTATGCCAGACCCAGGGCTAGGTTCTTACTGAGTTATTTTATATAATTCTCACAATCATTATATGAATATTGATGCTACACTCAGATATTCAGGCACCCAGCCAGTTAAATACTGTGGCATCTGAGGCACAGTAAATGTTCTCTACATTTACCAGTTAGGCTGATCCCTACTACTGTTTTGTCCAAGATACTGGAAGCAGAAATAATGGGTGCCACTTTGAGACAGAGGAGGCAAGAGCCAGTGTGTATCTTCCATCTCTTTATTTCTTTACTATAGTAAACTTGGAAATACTTACAAGGTATTTCTGATGGCATAAATTCAAATTGAAGAACAGCCAACCAAGACATTGAGTGAGTAAGAAATATACCTCTATTTTTTGAGTCACTGAGATTTTAGAGTTATTTATTATGGCACTATATGATAAACTATCCTCACTAATATAGTGTCCCTTCAAATAGATATTATTTATATGTTTGTACATTTATTTATTTGGAGTTAGGTCTATAAATAAAGAAGTTTTTAAATGTCAACTGGAGGGCTTTGACTGCTTTGGTCAAAAGAGAACCAAGGACACATCACCAGTTTTATCAGGAGCCATGTGTGGGGACTCGAGTCAACTAACAGCAAAGCTTCAATCCTGTCTATTGGTCTTCTGGCACTGCTGTGGATCAATACCTTAGACAGTAGCATGATTAGCCTGTTCCTTATTCCAATTTTTGGAAATATTAGCTCTAGTATATAAGTATGAAAACTGAGGTTAAGGGAAATAACTCATTCAAGACCGAATGTTTAGTAAATGACAGAGATTATATTTATATTATTTTATTTAATTCTTACAATTTACCTGACTTCAGTCAATATGCCACGCTGTTATTTATATTGTTGGGTTGTCCAATGAAGAAAGTTTCATAATGACCAGTTTTATTGGTATTACATTTTTTTCTCTTTATATTTCTTTTATATCATCTTGTCCTTATACCCACCCTCCCTCACCCCAGCTTAAAGGTGAACAAGCTGGGTAGCAAGGGCCTGCAGAGAAGCATTGGCTTTGAGGAGACTCACAGCCAGTTAGTGATAAAAACACATCCATAAAAACCTGTGCTTGTCCTAATGAGAGCTTTTCCACTGCAGGAAGGTAAGTAACATTGGAGTGTTTCTCTTTCTCCATCCCTTTTTCTAGCCTGAAATACTGTCTTTGTCTGTTAGATTCTATGAGCTTGTTTGCAGAATCAAACCCAACTAAATTTTTGTTTACTCCCAATTAATAAATAGCTTTGGGTTGTTTACTAACAGCACACATTCTGGTTTGCACAAAGATTCTTTCAGACTAAAAACCATGAGAGAATAAGTAGCCTTGCAAGTTGCTGTCAGACACCTTTTAAATTTTATTTCACTAGGTGTATCTGTGAAGCTGAGAGAAGACTTTAGGCTACTCTTTTCTTAGGTCCAATCTGCCCAGAACTGACTTATCAAGTATCAGGGATTTTATAAACAGTAAAGCAGGGTAACAAAAGATTAGCTTGTGAATTTGAAAATGCCAAGTTTGAATTTCATGTTTACTGTGTGATCTTTGGCCATTCACTTAAAATCTCCTAGCTTCCGTTTTCTTAGTTATTAAATGGGGATAGAAAAACTGAGAATTTTCTCCTAAAGCAAATATTGGTTACTTCAGTAATTTATCCTAGAATAAGAATTGTGGTAACCTTTGGCAGGGGAGAAGTATGAACTTCTTTAACTCTCAAGGGCTTGGATGAGGAGATCTTGGGAAAGGCTTACATCTTGACACAAAGTGTGGCCAAGTCCTTGGCTTCTTATGATTTTTCTTTTCTTTTCTTTTTTTTTTTTTTTTGAGATGGAGTCTCGCTCCGTCGCCCAGGCTGGAGTGGAGTGGCGCGATCTCGGCTCACTGCAAACTCCGCCTCCTGGGTTCACGCCATTCTCCTGCCTCAGCCTCCCAAGGAGTGGGACTACAGGCACACGCCACCACGCCCGGCTAATTTTTTGTATTTTTAGTAGAGACAGGGTTTCCTTGACACCATGGTCACACCCTGAAACTGCTTCTGCTTGCACTTAATAGAAGCAATATATGCAGTGGACTCCAGGACTAGCATGACAGTGGGGAGACAGAAACATCATTTTTTTTTTTTTGTATTCTAATGAACACTAAAGATTCAAAATCACAGTGAGGTTCATCAATGACAATGGTAAAACATCGTGGGGAGAAACCAGGAACATTATGTCAGCTGTCTGAAGATCAGCCATCACGGTGACTAGTCAGTGGCTGGATTATAGCCCTCTACTGGTTAAAGGCAAGAAGCAAGAAGGAATGAGAAAGACTACTTCATAATCCACATAAGCATTTTGAGGGTTCTTAGTAGTCCTTTAGAACGAGGAAGCTTGGAGAAGAATAAGCTTTTCATTTTAGGTATGGAAATTGGAATATTTAAATTTGAATATTATTGTCTTTTTGTAGCCTTATTTTTTTATTCCAAGCTGGTCAAGTTAGGCCTATGGCTACAATAATATTTTCAACTTATTAGATTTGTTGTAAGGATTAGAGATAATATAGGTCATAGCCTAGGATAGGTAGAGCTGTAGCCTTGCATAGTTAGATAATATAGTTAATATAATGTAGTCCTGACACCTGGTAGGCAGTCAATAAGTGATAGCAATCAGCATTATTATTTTAACAATTAATTTGATCAGATACTACTGGTTAGGATAGTTGGGGCATTGATGAATTATAAGTTTAAAAACCCTAAATTAGTATATAATATTCTTCTTCAGAAAACTGATTTTATTTATCTTTAGAAACATTTTTTTCTGCTAATAATACCAGTAGCTCTCTGTGATCTTCCCTCTTTCCATCTTTTAAATCCAGCATGTCACTTCCTGCCTTGAATATTTTAACTATGTAGTTGTCTTATCTCTCCAACTACACTATGCGCTCACAAAAGATGGAGAACCGTATCTTATGTTCAGTGAAGATATTCAAAATGTTTATAACCAGTGCAGTACAGACATCACGAATCACAGTAGATTCTGGACATGAGCACCCTGTTTGGTCCTACTGACACATACCAGTGGAATACTGACACATTTTGTATATATTTGAATCTTTCATAGTGCCTTCCATATAAATGAGCCTCAACAAATACTTCTTGGTGATTAAAGTTTGGAAGTTTCTATAAAGTGATGTCAGGAGAAGACGGCTGGCTTCTAAATACCCTCTCAAGATTATGATAACCTTGAAAAATTTATCCCAATTAGTTCCTCAGCTTGATGGGCTCAGAAACTTAGTTTAACTGAACTTATAAACTTCTGTATAAATTGTTATTCCAATTAATTTATTTAAAGTGAGAATGATGCATTAATGTTCACATTGGCCTTAGCAGTACATTCCTTGGATGAAGGCTGATTTATGTGGGGAGTCAAGTTATCATAAGAAGAAATCGTGGTTTGTATCACATTAAAAGTGAAATCCTTACATTTATGGTCAACTGGTTTTCAACAAAGGTGTCAAGTCTATTTAGTAAAGGATAGGACAGTATTTTTAGCCGGGAAAATTGGATATACACATGCAAAAAAAATAATCTTAGCCCCCTACCTCACACCATAAACAAAAAAGTTAACTCAAAATGGATCATAGACCTAAATTTAAGGGCTAAAACCATAAAACTTCTAGAAGAACACATAGGAGAATGTCTTTGTGACTTTGGGTTAGGCAACAATTTCTTAGATCAATAAAAGACATAATTATGAATTTGGCTTTATCAAAATTAAAACTTTTTCTCTTCAAAAGAAAGAAAATGAAAAGACTAATACCAGAATGGGAGAAAATATTTTCAAAATACATATCTGATAAGGACTTCTTTCCAGAATGTATAAAGAACACTTACCACTCAACAATAAGAAGACAAACAACCTAATTAAAAGTGGGCAACATATTTGAATAGAGATTTCACAAAGAAGATATACAAAATGCTAATAAGCACATGAAAGGATGCTCAATATCATTATTCATTAGAAAAATGCCACTTGAAACCTCAATGAGATACCTTTACACACCCACTAGAGTGGCTGTAATCCAAAAGACTTGCAATACTAAGTGTTGGTGAGGATTTGGAAAAACTGAAATTCTCATACATTACTGATGGGTATGTAGAGCAGTATAGTCACTTTGGAGAGCCCCTTGACAAGACCTTAAAAGATCTAATGCATACTTGTGTCTAACTCAGCAATTCTATTCCTAACTTTTTACTCAAGATAAATCAAAACATATGTTCCTGCCAGGACTTGTTCCTGACTGTCCATGGAAGCTTATTCACGCAATCCAAATGTCCAGAAACTGGTGAATAGACTGACAAAGTGTAGATCCATAAAAAGGAATGCTGTTCAGCAAATTTTAAATGGTATACTGATAGTTATAATAACATAGATAACCTTCAAGTATATAATGCTAAGTGAAAGAAGCTCAACACGACTATCTAGTTTATGATTTCATTTATATAACACTTCCAGAAAAGACAAATCTATAGAGACAGAAAACAGATTTATGGTTGCCTGGGGCTGAGGGTGGGAGTGGAAATTGATTGCAAATGAGCACGGGGAACTTTGTGGGTGATAAAAATGTTCTAAAACTGGATTGTGCTTATGATTATGCAACTGTATAAATTTACTAAAAATCATTCAACTGTACACTTACAATGGGTGACTATTATGATATGTAAATTATGCCTCAATGAGTCTATAAAAAATTCAAGGGTGGGCAAGTAGGCTGCTGAATAAAATCTTTGAGACATCAGCTCTTTTGACTGTGTCTATCCTTGCAACAGAAACATTCTCCGCCTACAGTAATGTTTTGCTCAAATTTGCCTGGTTACATCTATCCTGAACAATGAAGAAAGGAATTGAAAATATATTTCTGTGATTATATTTACTTAAAATTCTGCATTGACCAAGGTTCATTCATTTGGACATATTATATTTTTTGGTTATGTTAATATCATCAGTATTGTTCTAGTCTGAGGATTACTTTATCTCTTAGATGATTTGGCATTTCTTTCTGCTCTGATTCATTTATGTCCATTTTATGGTTTAACAGAAGGACAGTCTTAATTCTGGCAATCTGTAGCTTAACTAACATCCAAAGAGGCTAACTCATTTCTAACTATGTATTAACTCGAAGGTAAATATTCTCTAATAACACCAAGTTGTTGTACATTGTTCCCATGTACCACACACACACACACACACACACACACACACACACTACTACTACTTCATTAATAACCTACAGCGTTTCTATTTTTCTAAAAATATTACCTGGCTTTCCCACAAACTTACTAACTCTTTACCACAGCTGAGTTTTTTAGACATGGAAAATAGAATTTAAATAGGGAAATATATGCCACAGATATTCCTTACAGGTATTCATAAATGTATCCAAGTAGATGTAGAACACTGAAATATATTTTATTCTTTCTTTAAAACCAGAAAGAGTGGGGATGAGGTGGAAAATATGAATTTTGCAATGTAGGGTGTTCATTTCCCCAAAATGTAAATAAAGTATTCTTAGGGAAAGGATTTAAAGAATAAGAATTTGTGTCAGTTGGTTGTTTATAAATTTCCTTTCCAAATCAGCAAAATGATTCAAGGCAATACTGTAATGAATGAAACATTACTTTCTAGTAGATTCAGGATCTGGTTGCAATGGCTCTTTTGGAGCTGGCTTCTCTCATTGAAAAATGGCAGCAGAGATAGTGATTGAGTTTTCTTTGGTTGGGCTCCATCTATCATTCTACCATCACTTTTGTGAAAATCATGAGTCAGTGCAGCTAGGTCTGGTTTGAGGAGGATGACATTGATAAACAGATCAGGTGCAAATACATCATAAATATCACACAATGTCTCACGTAAAAGGCCAAAGCAAAGCTTGTTGAACCAACATATCATTCTAAATATGATGTATATGGAGATGTTCAAAGAGGTTTCTGATTTCTGCTGTCCCAGGAAAACTTCTTCTTGTTTTTTTCCATTAATGATGAGGCCAAAGTCAACATTATTCTTCCTGGCTTCTCTTTGCTCATGTGCATAGTCCATGTGCTTCATAAGCACATTTAGACATGTTTACTTGTACAATTCAGAATTTCTTCCATTTGAGATTCTTATTAGATACTTTTTTAAGTGGATTCCCTCCCATATGGTATTTGTATGGTTCCCAAAACAATTTTCATACTACTGAAGTGTGTATTACTTTAGAAAAACATTCATGCCAGTAGTCTCTAAACAGGAAAAGTAGAGCCAGTGAGTGAGTGGGATGATCCATTAGGGTGTGGGAAGGAAACACTAGAACTTCTCTTTCAATTTTTATCTAAAATAAAAAAATAACTTAAGTTTCATTAGTGTTTAATATGTGGATTGGAACTGGCACACCCATTTGGTCACTGTACATTGTCACACACCGTTCATGAGATACTACTCTGAAATAAGACAGGAGCACCACAGTATGGAGGGATTGACTCAATGTTTAGCCTGCTTGTTTGTTTATTAATTCTAAGCACACAATACTTTACAAAATGGAAAAGTCTTAAACAAATGCATGGATTGAAAAATAGTAGAAAAATACAAACAATTAAAAAACACACGCTGGAAACCATCATTCTCAGCAAACTAACACAAGAACAGAAAACCAAACACCACATGTTCTCAATCATAAGTGGGAGTTGAACAATGAGAACACATGGACATAGGGAGGGGAACATCACACACCGGGGCCTATCAGGGGGTGGGGAGCTAGGGGAGGGATAGCATTAGGAGAAATACCTAAAGTAGATGACAGGTTGATGGGTGCAGCAAACCACTATGGCACGTGTATATCTATGTAACAAACCTGCATGTTCTGCACATGTACCCCAGAACCTAAAGGACTGAAACACACACACACACACACACACACACACACACACACACACACACATGGCAGAGCTGTAGTCCTAGCAGTAGCTTTTTGGCAACTATGCCAGGAAGTAAAAATAATTGTTATCTAATTATGTCTGTCAAGAAGATTGCCAATTAATTTAAAAAATCATAAAGAGAATTTATTGAAATGAGGTTTTACCTCCACCTTTACTGACACAAAATAACGTGTGTTGAAGTTTAATCGTAGTGTATATGTATGTAATGTATACATACATATATATACATAATGTGTATGTATGTATGTATAATACAAGCATGCATATGTTAGAGCTGCTTCTTTTTCTAATTGGATTTGCAGTCAAGGCATTTGGAGACCACTTAGTTAGAAATGTCCCTTGAAAGTATGTTCACTTAGTTCTAATTGTGGATGTTTCTGGTTGAGAATACATGTATAAGCAGGGACTGAAAATATATGAATTCTGGGTGATAACAGGGAAACTAGCAAACATAAAATATCAGAAGTAGTGGATTCTGTGGCCTAGTTGTGAAAACTGATACTCTGGATGTGTGAACCTTTATGCTATGTGGGTCACTAAGTGTCTGGCCATCCTTGTCAAAACCTAGACCCCTGTTCCCACGTTCCATATGACCAAGAGGGGTAGTAACATGAGGTTCTGCTGCTCCACTCATGAGGTCAGTCATTAAAAATGACAAATAAGACAATACAGCAAACAGAGTACATATTTCAAGGTAAGTGTCACAAGGTAAAAGGCTAGCCATGGAAGCCCTGGTATTAAAATGATTTATTCTTAACAACTAATCCTTACATGTGAAAAAACAAAAGACACTTGGAT
This sequence comes from Homo sapiens, assembly GCF_000001405.40. Taxonomy (NCBI): domain Eukaryota; kingdom Metazoa; phylum Chordata; class Mammalia; order Primates; family Hominidae; genus Homo; species Homo sapiens. The sequence goes on along the minus strand of NC_000009.12, from coordinate 81,168,752 downwards.
TAGCTCAGATATTTTTACTAGTAATCATCCACTTAGAGACTACAACTTAATTAGCATTACTTTGGAATAATTAGTTAAGCAAATATTTATTGAATGCCTACTAAGTGAGTGAGTGCTAGGAGTGATGGATGCTACCAGACCCTAGGCTAAACTTCTTTTTTTTTTTTCAATTATACTTTAAGTTCTGGGGTACATGTGCAGAAAGTGCAAGCTTGTTACATAGGTATACATGTGCCATGGTGGTTTGCTGCAACCATCACCCCGTCACCTCCATTAGGTATTTCTCCCAATGCTATCCCTCCCTCCACTCCCCCCCGCCGGTGACAGGCCCAGGTGTGTGATGTTCCCCTCCCTGTGTCTATGTGTTCTCATTGTTCAATTCCCACTGATGAATGAGAACATGCCGTGTTTGGTTTCCTGTTCTTGTGTTAGTTTGCTGAGAATGATAGTTTCCAGCTTCATCTATGTCCCTGCAAAGGACATGAGCTCATCCTTTTTTATGGCTGCATAGTATTCCATGGTGTATATGTGCCACATTGTCTTTATCCAGTATATCACTAATGGGGATTTGGGTTGGTTCCAAGTCTTTGCTATTGTGAATGGTGCCACAATAAACATACGTATGCATGTGTCTTTATAGTAGAATGATTTATAATCCTTTGGGTATATACCCAGTAATGGGATTGTGGGTCAAGTGGTATTTCTAGTTCTAGATCCTTGAGGAATTGCCGCACTGTCTTCCACAATGGTTGAACTAATTTACACTCCCACCAACAGTGTAACAGTGTTCTTATTTCTCCACATCCTCTCCAGCATCTGTTGTTTCCTGACGTTTTAGTGATCGCCATTCTAACTGGCATAAGATGGTATTTCATTGTGATTTTGATTTGCATTTCTCTAATGACCAGTGATGATGAGCTTTATTTCATATGTTTGTTGGCTGCATAAATGTCTTCTTTTGAGAAGTGTGTGTTCATATCCTTCAGCCAATTTTTGATGGGTTTTTTTTTTCTTGTAAATTTGTTTAAGTTCTTTGTAGATTCTGAATATTAGCCCTTTGTCAGATGGATAGATTGCAAAATTTGTCTCCCATTCTGTAGGTTGCCTGTTCAATCTGATGATAGTTTCTTTTGCTGTGCAGAAGCTCTTTAGTTTAATTAGATCCCATTTGTCTATTTTGGCTTTTGTTGCCATTGCTTTTGGTGTTTTAGTCATGTAGTCTTTGCCCATGCCTATGTCCTGAATGGTATTGCCTAGGTTTTCTTCTAGGGTTTTTATGGTTTTAGGTCTTACATTTAAGTCTTTAATTTATCTTGAGTTAATTTTTGTATAAGGTGTAAGGAAGGGATCTGGTTTCAGCTTTCTGCATATGGCTAATCAGTTTTCCCAACACTATTTATTAAACAGGGAATCCTTTCCCCATTGCTTGTTTTTGTCAGGTTTGTCAAAGATCAGATGGTTGTAGATGTGTGGTGTTATTTCTGAGGCCTCTGTTCTGTTCCATTGGTCTACATATCTGTTTTGGTACCAGTACCATGCTGTTTTTGTTACCGTAGCCTTGTAGTATAGTTTGAAGTCAGGTAGCGTGATGCCTCCAGCTTTGTTCTTTTTGCTTAGGATTGTCTTGACTATGCGGGCTCTTTTTTGGTTCCATATGAAATTTAAAGTAGTTTTTTCTAATTGCGTGAAGAAAGTAATTGGTAGCTTGATGGGTATAGCATCAAATCTATAAATTAGTGTGGGCAGTATGGCCATTTTCACGATATTGATTCTTCCTATCCCTGAGAATGGAATGTTTTTCTATTTGTGTCCCGTCTTATGTCCTTGAGCAGTGGTTTGTAGTTCTCCTTGAAGAGGCCCTTCATATCCCTTGTAAGTTGTATTCTTAAGTATTTTATTCTCTTTGTAGCAATTGTGAATGGGAGTTCACTCATGATTTGGCTCTGTGTTTGTCTGTTATTGGTGTATAGGAATGCTTGTGATTATTGCACACTGATTTTGTATCCTGAGAATTTTCTGAATTCGCTTATCTGCTTAAGCAGATTTTGGCCTGAGATGATGGGATTTTCAAAATATACAATCATGTCTGTATACAATCTGCAACCAGAGACAATTTGACTTACTCTTTTCCTAATTGAATACCCTTTATTTCTTTCTCTTGCCTGATTGCCCGGCCAGAACTTCCAATACTATGTTGAATAGGAGTGGTGAGAGAGGACATCATTGCCTTGTGCTGGTTTTCAAAGGGAATGCTTCCAGTTTTTGCCCATTCAGTATGATATTGGTTATGGGTTTCTCATAAATAGTTCTTATTATTTTGAGATACATTCCATCAATAACTAGTTTATTGAGAGTTTTTAGCATGAAGGGTTGTTGAATTTTGTCAAAGACCATTTCTGCATCTATTGAGATAATCGTGTGGTTTTTGTCATTGGTTCTGTTTATGTGATGGATTATGTTTATTGACTTGCATATGTTGAACCAGTCTTGCATCCCAGGGATGAAGCCAGCTTGTTTGTGGTGGATAAGCTTTTTGATGTGCTGCTGGATTCAGTTTGCCAGTATTTTATTGAAGGTTTTTGCATTGATGTTCATCAAGAATATTGGCCTGAAATTTTATTTTTTTATTGTATCTCTGCCAGGTTTTGGTAGCAGGATGATGCTGGCCTCACAAAATGAGTCAGGGAGGAGTCCGTCTTTTTCTATTTTTTGGAATAGTTTCAGAAGGAATGGTACCAGCTCCTCTTTGAACCTCTGGTAGAATTCAGCTGTGCATCTGTCTGGTCCAGGACTTTTTTTGGTTGGTAGGCTATTAATTACTGCCTCAATTTCAGCACTTGTTATTGATCTATTCAGCGATTCAGCTTCTTCCTGGTTTAGTCTTGGGAGGGTGTATGTGTCCAGGAATTTATCCATTTATTCTAGATGTTCTAGTTTATTTGCATAGAAGTGTTTATAGTATTCTCTGATGGTAGTTTGTATTTCTGTGGTATCAGTGGTGATATCCCCTTTATCATTTTTTCTTGCATCTATTTGATTCTTCTCTTTTTTCCTCTTTATTAGTCCTGCTAGTGGTCTATGTATTTTGTTGATCTTTTCAAAAAAACCAGCTCCTGGATTCACTGATTTTTTGAAGGGTTTTTGTGTCTCTATCTCCTTCAGTTCTGCTCTGATCTTAGTTATTTCTTGTGTTCTGTTAGGTTTTGAATTTCTTTGCTCTTGCTTCTCTAGTTCTTTTAATTGTGATGTTAAGGCGTCGATTTTAGATCTTTCCTGCTTTCTTTTGTGGGCATTTAGAGCTATAAATTTCCTTCTACACACTGCTTTAAATGTGTCCCAGAGATTCTGGTATGTTGTGTCTTTGTTCTCATTGGTTTCAAAGAACATCTTTATTTCTGCCTTCATTTCATTATGTACCCAGTAGTCATTCAGGAGCAGGTTGTTCAGTTTCCATGTAGTTGTGCGGTTTTGAGTGAGTTTCTTAATCCTGAGTTCTCATTTGATTGCACTCTGGTCTGAAAGACTGTTTGTTATAATTTCGGTTCTTTTGCATTTGCTGAGGAGTGTTTTACTTCCAATTATGTGGTCAATTTTAGAATAAATGTGATGTGGTGCTGAGAAGAATGTATATTCTGTTGATTTGGAGTGGAGAGTTCTGTAGATGTCTATTAGGTCTGCTTGGTCCAGAGCTGAGTTCAGGTCCTGGATATCCTTGTTAATTTTCTGTCTTGTTGATCTGTCTAAGATTGACATTGGGGTGTTAAAGTCTCCCAGTATTATTGTGTGGGAGTCTAAGTCTCTTTTTAGGTCTCTAAGAACTTACTTTGTGAATCTGGGTGCTCCTGTATTGGGTGCATATATGTTTAGGATAGTTAGCTTTTCTTGTTGCATTGATCCCTTTACCATTATGTAATGGCCTTCTTTGTCTCTTTTGATCTTTGTTGGTTTAAAGTCTGTTTTATCAGAGACTAGGATTGCAACCCCTGGTTTATTTTATTTTATTTTTTTTGCTTTCCATTTGCTTGGTAAATATTCCTCCGTCCCTTTATTTTGAGCCTATGTGTGTCTTTGTACGTGAGATGTGTCTCATGAATACAGCACACGGATGGGTCTTGACTTATTATCCAATCTGCCAACCTGTGTCTTTTAATTGGGACATTTAGCCCATTTACATTTAAGGTTAATATTGTTATGTGTGAATTTGATCCTGTCATTATGATGCTAGCTGGTTATTTTGCCCGTTAGTTGATGCAGTTTCTTCATAGCATCGATGGTCTTTACACTTGGGTATGTTTTTGCAGTGTTGTTCCTTCCCATGTTTAGTGCTTCCTTCAGGAGCTCTTGTAAGGCAGGCCTGGTGGTGACAAAATATCTCAGAATTTGCTGATCTGTAAACAATTTTATTTTTCCTTCTCTTATAGCTTAGTTTGGCTGGATATGAAATTCTGGGTTGAAAATTCTTTTCTTTAAGAATGTTGAATATTGGCCCCCACTCTTTTCTGCCTTGTAGGGTTTCTGCTGAGAGATCCACTGTTAGTCTGATGGGCTTCCCTTTGTGGGTAACCCAACCTTTCTCTCTGGCTGCCCTTAACATTTTTTCCTTCATTTCAACCTTGGTGAATCTGATGATTATTTGTCTTGGGGTTGCTCTTCTCGAGGAATCTCTTTGTGGCATTCTCTGTATTTCCTGAATTTGAATGCTGGCCTGCCTTGCTAGGTTGGGGAAGTTCTCCTGGATAGATAATATCCTGAAGAGTGTTTTCCAACTTGTTTCCATTCTCCATGTAACTTTCAGGTACACCAATCAAACGTAGATTTGGTCTTTTCACATACTCCCATATTTCTTGGAGGCTTTGTTCATTTCTTTTCACTCTTTTTTCTCTAATCTTGTCTTCTCACTTTATTTCATTGAGTTGATCTTCAATCTCTGATATCTTTTCTTCCACTTGATCGATTCGCCTATTGATACTTGTGTATGCTTCACGAAGTTCTCATGCTGTGTTTTTCAGCAGCATCAGGTTACTTATGTTCTTCCTTAAACTGGTTATTCTAGTTAGCAATTTGTCTAACCTTTTTTCCAGGTTCTTAGCTTCCTTGCATTGGGTTAGAACATGCTCCTTTAGCTCAGAGGAGTTTGTTATTACCCACCTTCTGAAGCCTACTTTTGTTAATTCATCAAACTCATTCTCTGTCCAATTTTGTTCCCTTGCTGGTGAGGAGTTGCGATCCTTTGGTGGAGAAGAGGCATTGTGGTTTTTGGAATTTTCAGCCTTTTGTGCTGGTTTCTCCCCATCTTCCCATCTCCCCATCTTCGTGAATTTATCTACCTTTGGTCTTTGATGTTGGTGACCTTTGGATGGGGTCTCTGAGTGGACATCCTTTTTGTTGATGTTGATACTATTCCTTTCTGTTTTTTAGTTTCTTTTCTAACAGTCAGGCCCCTCTGCTACAGGTCTGCTGGAGTTTGCTGGAGGTCCACTCCAGACCCTGTTTGCCTGGGTATCACCAGCAGAGGCTGCAGAACAGGAAAGATTGCTACCTGTTCCTTCCTCTGGAAGCTTTGTCCCAGAGGGGCACCGCACCCCAGATGCCAGCCAGAGCTCTCCTGTATGAGGTGTCTGTTGGCCCCTATTGGGAGGTGTGTCCCAGTCAGGATACAGGGGGGTCAGGGACCCACTTGAGAAGGCAGTCTGTCCCTTATCGGAGCTCAAACGCTGTACTGGGAGAATTGCTGCTCTCTTCAGAGCTGTCAGGCAGGGATGTTTGAGTCTGCTGAAGCTGCACCCACAGCCGCCCCTTCCCCCAGGTGCTCTGTCCAGGGAGATGGGGGTTTTATCTATAAGTCTCTGACTGGGGCTGCTGCCTTTCTTTCAGAGATGCCCTGCCCAGAGAGGAGGAATCTGGAGAGGCAGTCAGCCTTGCTGAGCTGTGGTGGGCTCTGCCCAGTTCGAACTTCCCAGAGGCATTGTTTACACTGTGAGAGTAAAACCACCTACTGAAGCCTCAGCCATGGAGGACGCCCCTCCTCCCACCAAACTCGAGCATCCCAGGTCAACCTCAGACTGCTGTGCCACCAGTGAGAATTTCAAACCAGTGGATCTTAGCTTGCTGGGCTTCGTGGGGGTGGTACCTGCTAAGCCAGGCACCGGAGGGAATCTCCTGGTCTGCTGATTGCGAAGACCGTGGGAAAAGCGCAATATCTGTGCTGGATTGCACCATTTCTCCTGGTACCGTCTCTCATGGCTTCCCTTGGCTAGGAAAGGGAAAACCCCTTGTGCTTCCTGGATGAGGCGATGCCCCACCCTGCTTTGGCTTGCCCTCCGTGGGCTGCACCCACTGTCCAACCAGTCCCAATGAGATGAACCGGGTATCTCAGTTGGAAATGCAGAAATCACCTGCCTTCTGCATTGATCTCACTGGGAGTTGCAGACCAGAGCTGTTCCTATTCAGCCGTCTCTCCAAACTTCTTAAGCACATCATTGTGATTGATCCTTACAACATCTTCTTAACATAGATACTATATTCCCAGTTATAGAAATAAAGACATTGAGACATAAAAAGATAAAATAATAGGTTCAAATTCTAGACAGGAGTTCTCAAAACAACCTCAGCTCTTTCCACACAATGTCAGTCCCCCTGATGGATGGAGAACTGTAGGGAGAGAGGAGTAATGGTAAAAGGAAGAATGAACTTGGGATTTGGGGGAGCAGCAACCTCTCTTTCTGAGCTACTGTCTTATGGAAACTGCCTGGGACTTGCACCTGACTTCCTCCAGTTGTGTTAATTTAATCTCTCACCAAGCTCCAGACACAATCTGGCACCATGAAGGGCAAATAGAAGGCTTCTGTAGCTGTAGCTGTACGTCAGTGTTTCAGGCTTTTGTCCGCCTTGCAGCTCTTCCCACTTTGACCATGATTTCATGGCTGTTTAGTATCTGGTCTTCAACTCATTCCTCTCTGGATGCTTCTGTATTCCTGAAAAGCAGGCTCTCAGAGACTGAGCTGTTTGACATCAGCTGCCAGATGTTTCTCAGGCTACCTATAACCTCTTTGGATCTTTGCTTATGAGTGATAGCAGACTGAGGTCCAAGAGGCAATCAGTATCGGCCAAACCCCATCACCTGCCCTGTTCTTGTTTGAATAGACTCTTCAAGTCTTGACTCTTTTTAAGCAGATGGTACTAGTGGTATTCTGTCTAACCTGGGCTCCCTGAGAAGTTGGCTTATGCCTTAGAGTGCAGATAAGCTTGCTCTACTGCCCTGCTCAGAAGCCTTCTTTTTGGGTTGATCCAACTGCTCTGCAAGGCAAGAAGTTTTCCTTCTTACCTTTCTTAATCTGGCTTCCTTCCTATGCCTGAGCCTCAATTAAAATAGGGCATAGGTGGTCGAAATTGTAAAGTTTGTTTTGACTATTTCCCATGTTGCCCTTTGTGTTGCTTCTGCTCTTTGACATTCGGGCTTTAAAACTATCATCATCATTTGCATTTTGGTTTTATGTATTTGTTTTGTTTTAATAAAAGAGAATAAAGGTGAAGTCCTCTTTGTTTTTCTGCTCAGCCCTTGTGTTCCCTTTCTCCGTAGAGGTATTCGATATCATGAATTCCAGTTGATATTATTACATTTTCTGCATCTATATGTCCATAAATAGTGAATAATAACTGATGTTTACTAAGCGCTTAGTATTTACCAGCAGTGTTCTAAGTTATTTATATGCATCTTTTTCTTGACTCTTGAAAATAAACCTTCCTTGACTCTTGAAAATAAGTGCCATTATCATCTCTATTTTGTAGATGCAACAATTGAGACACCAAGAACTTAAATAACTTGCTCAAGATTACACAGCTAATAGGTAGCAGAGATGGGGTTCAAAAGCAGGCCTCTGACTCCAGAGCTGGTGGGCTTAATCATATGCTAATGCTTTTAACCACACCAATGTTATGCAGTCTTCTGTGGTATTGCTTTCAGTGATTTCCTAAATGTTCAAAAATACAATTTTTAAAATCGCTTTCAATTTATTTTTCCTTTCAACAGTGTTTTTTCTTTTTTTTTTCTTTTGTGACGGTGTCTCCCTCTGTTGACCAGGCTGGATAGAGTGCAGTGGCACGATCTTGGCTCATTGCAACCTCCACCTCCTGAGTTCAAGTGATTCTCGTGCCTCAGCCTCCCGAGTAGCTGGGACTACAGGCGCGTGGCACCACACCAGGCTAATATTTGATTTTCAGTAGAGACAGGGGTTTCGCTGTGTTGGCCAGGCAGGTCTCAAACTCGTGACCTCAGTTGATCCACCCACGTTGGCCTCCCAAAGTGCTGGGATTATAGGCATGAGCCAGTATACCTGGCCTCAAGAGTGTTTTGAAGACATGTATTAATCCAATCATTAATATTTACAGTTATAAAACATTCTGTCAGAAATATCAATCATATCAATCATAATTTACTATATTCCCTTGGATAAGTATCTAGTGTTTCTGATTTTTCACTATCGTAAGCTATGCTGCAGTGAACACTGTTGTGGTTACCTCCTTAACAGTCATTTTCCCTTCCAATTCAAATGTTGCTATTTCACCGGTGCTTTTTGTCAGTTGATAAGATGATGTAGTTAAATAGTTCTCACCAATATCTGATTGATTTGTAATAATTTAATCCTTTGCTAGACTTTGCATTTTAAAGAAACCCACTTGTGAGCTGAATTTAACCTATAATGGTTAAGGTGATCATTTAAAGAGTTTCAGAAATTAGGAGGAAGGGGTGGATATGAAGAATATATATGATGAGGGAGAGAGACATTTCCAGTACTTTCAGGATTTCTGTTACTCATCTGGTGAAACTGAACTTTCTTTTCCATTTCATGGAAATCTCCATGAGAACCTGTTTCAGCATGAATATTCCAGAATGGTATATTGCTACCTGAACTACTCTCAGTATTCCTTTTCCTACCTTGTAAATAGTAAATGTATAGATAGGGTATTTGTTAGATTACAAAATACTCTGGGCTGGGTGCAGTGGCTCACATCTGTTTTAATAAATAGAACTTTGAGAGGTCAAGGCAGGTGTATCACTTTAGGCCAGGAGTTCGAGAGCAGTCTGGCCAACATGGCAAACCCCCTGTCTACTAAAAATACAACAATCAGTCAAGTGTGGTGGCACATGCCTGTAGTCCCAGCTACTCTGGAGGCTGAGGCAGGAGAATCAATTTCTTGAACCTGGGAGGTGGAAGTTGCAGTGAGCCGAGATCATGCCACTGAACCCCAATCTGGGTAACACAGTGAGACTCTGTCAAAAAAAACCCCAAAAAACAAAAAACAAAATACTCTGGAGTATAATAGCCACTTGACCTTAGACATAGGAAAGCATATTTATAAATCTTGATAACCACATGGTGAATATATTTGCATACCAAGTGGGATTTCCTCTTCGGTGCAGTTTGTCTTGCTGTTCAGTACTTTAAGTTCCTTGCCCTTTAAGTGAAGTTCCAGGTGGAAGCATTAGAGTTATCTGCCAGAAGTCCAAGAGTATTTTATGTTGTGATAGCTGCAGTTTTTTATTTATGGAGAAGCTCTTCTAGTATCAAGTTTTTGCTGGATGAACTCACTGTGAATGAATTTAGTTGTCTTTTTGTTATTTTTTAATTTTTATTTTTTTATTTTTTTTTGAGACAGAGTCTCGCTCTGTTGCCCAGGCTGGAGTGCAGTGGCTTGATCTCGGCTCACTGCAAACTCTGCCTCCTGGGTTCAGGCCATTCTCCTGCCTCAGCCTCCCAAGTAGCTGGAATTACAGGCACCCGCCACCACGCCCGAATAATTTTTTATATTTTTAGTAGAGATGGGGTTTCACTGTGTTAGTCAGGATGGTCTCGATCTCCTGACCTCATGATCCACCCACCTCGGCCTCCCAAAGTGCTGGGATTAAAGGCAGAGCCACCGCACCCGGCCTATTTTATGTATTTTAAGTGTGTATAGGGCTCACCATATATATCTTGATGCATGGCACAGATGTTGTTTTGAAATAGAACCACTGGGCCTATAGTAAGAAAAGTACAAGTTACCCTTAACAGCCCAGCACCCGGAAGAACATTGGTCATGGAATTAGAACAATTAGTTCTAATTCTAATATTTACAGGTTTGGTGAAGTTGCACATATTTTTGTAGATGAAAATCATAACAATAGTGATCTCATCATGTAAAATGATGATAAGAATATCTTCTAAATTAATATAATTTTTCCAAATGAATTTTTAAATATCTAATCTGTTTCTTAATCACTGAGTAATATGGTTACCTGATGCAAAGTGATAGATATAAAGAAAATAAATTTTAAAATTAGCTAGAAAATGAAAATAGTCATGGCTGGGTGTGGTGGCTCACACCTGTAATCCTAGCACTTTGGGAGGCCGAGGTGGGTGGATCACCTGAGGTCAGGAGTTTAAGAGCTGCCTGGCCAACATGGTGAAACCCGTCCCTACTTAAAAAAAAAAAAAAAATTAGCCGGGCATGGTGGTGTGCACTTGTAATCCCAGCTACTCAGGAGGCTGAGGCAGGAGACTCGCTTGAACCTGGGAGGCAGAGGTTGCAGTGAGCTGAGATTGCACAACTGCACTCCAGCCTGGGTGACAGAGTGAGACTCCATCTCAAAAAAAGGAACAAGAACATAGTCATGTCCTCTGTTGCTAGAGTTGTTGTGTGAAAAACAAATGGCTTGATATGTGTAGAGCACTGTGTGTAAGAGAAAGGCCTGGCCCCATGGTAAGCTTTCTACATTGTGGTTCTGTTTTTTGCAGATGACTCAACTAGCATCCACAAGTGAGGATAACAGGCATTGGTTACCTTAAAATTTAAGAGTAGTACATCCCAGTCAGATAATCCAGTTACTTCTCCCCAGGAGAGGCCATGGACAACAGTTTAATGGAAGGTACACTTACCTTCCCTTTACCCCATGTATTTAAATAGCTCTACAGAGAGAATGAAATGCCATATTTTAAGGAAATATGAATTGTATAGAGTAGTAGCAATTTCATCCCCTGAAAGAAGGGATTATATGATGGGTTCTCCCACCTTCCCACAAGATGGGGAGTGGCCAAGCTGACTTCCCTGTCCTCCCCACAACCCTCATATAAAGTAAAGAGTAAGGATGATATGTTAGCAAATGCTGAGCCACTGAACAGATGGATCATCTGTTCTTTAGGTTTGAATGTGGAGAAAAGGGCCAGAGGGATGTGACAGAGTTGAAAAAGGAAGTTCCAAGGTGCAGCCTGCATGTCGATGTTTGGTATGACAAGGACATGTGAGTGGGATCTGACTGAAGGTGAGTTGGAGGCTGAGAGTCAAGCTCTTTTCAATCACAGTTCCCTTCCTGGTGCCACCCACTGGGCAAAGGGAGCCTAACATTAAGGGGATGCGGAGTGGATCATCTGGAGTAGGGCACGAGGAGAAATGGAAGAAGCCAAGTCCCAGTCAGTTACCTTATGTCAGGCAGTTGTGTGGGGTAAAACTCCTGGAGGTTCCACCCAAGAACCCATAGATGCCTCCCATGAGGAAGTCAGCATCTGATGGGGAAAGGGAAATGAGGACCAAACAGGGATGGTGTGACAAAGAGAGGCTGATATGCCATGAGCAGTCACCTGGGAAATGTGTTCTTTCCACCCCTTCATCCCTGTTCCAACCCCAGAAAGGAAATGACAGCAGAGATGGTGGGAATGACATGAGAGAAGAGACCCCATCATTTGCTCTCTATATCCTTCTATAGCCGCAGGAGCCACCGGTCTAGCCTACCTGGGAGTGTAGAGGAAGAGTTCTGTGAATTGAAAATGAAATCAAAGTTTTTACATGGAAAACACCAAATTAGTCTGAGATGCCATAAAATTAGACTAAGATATCACTAGGGAGAGTAAAATCCAGTGAGAAAGGAAAAAACAAACAAAGAATGTTTTCATGGTGATATCTTAAGTTGATACACCTTGATGAAATCTGTCAAACTAATGATTAATTAAAAAGATTTCTCTCCTTATAGGACCAAATGTCCTGAGCAGTCATTCCTCCAGATGGATCTTATGAGCTTTTCACTCAGTCCTGGCAGAGAGGAAATTTGGCCTGCTATCTATATGGCCAATCTTAAATTGTTCATACATTTGTTCATTTATTCAATCTACATTTATTGAGCATTTAGTGTGCCAGACACCACACTACTGAACCAGACTCTTGGGATAATTAAGCTTGCCAAATTCTCAGTTCACATGATATCACATGGATTAAAAACTTTTTTTTTTTACTCCAGCTTTTGAGGCACTGGCAGATACTGCACAAAATAAATTGTGGGCTTTACAACAAAATAGTAATCTGAACTGCCTGGTAGAAATAATGATGACCATGAATCCTGGGTTTTCCATGATGGTCTCGGTTACTTATAATTTTATTTTATTTTTAAATAAAATAAATTTATTCATTATGCAACTAAATGAAATTTATTTTTCATGAGCTTGTAGTGCTTTTTATTTAAATTTATAAGTGGTGAAACATCCTTTGTTAGACCACATGCTTCAATATTTTATTTGGAAAATATGGATTCTTAATGCTGTTTTTTTTTTAAAGCAAATCTAGATCTAGATTATGCTGACAAAAATACGAAAATTATTGTTTCCTGGAAACCCAGCTTTCCTGGCAGCTGTATCTCTTAGAATGTGACAGATTTTAAAGGTAAAACATGCTGCAGCTAGAGCAACAGTTTGCCTTAATGCCAGTTTTAACCCACACTGATGCAGTCCACTGGTAATGCTGTGCTTTAGAAGGCAACAAAGCACCAGAGTCTTTACTCAGGTCATACCTCCTGCAAGACAAGATGAAAGAGGGAGGGAGCAGAGTGTTGAGAGAGAGAGACAAAGGGAGAAAGCAACTCAGAGAAGGAAAGAGGAGAGAGAGCATGGGTGAACTAGTTTGTAACCATCTCAGCTCTCATCTCCAAATAATTTCTTGCATAGGCTATTCAAGAAGCATGATGAGGATAATAATCAGCTATTGTTTTTATATTCATTTTAGTTTTATTATGGAATAATTTAATTAAAATACATTTTTATTACCCTTTTACTCCCTTTGCCTGCTCTCCTTCCTGCTGTAATTTCCTGAGAAGGAGATGCATGACGTCCTCTGGGCATCCCAAGTAGCTTTTCAATCATCCATTCATACCTTCTGAGTAAGTTTCATTTTGCCAAAAGAATCCTTTTCATATTTAGCATTCTTGTCACTGAAAATGAGTTGTCTGATTATCTGATGTACTGCATAGTTATGGCAAAATCCTTTAAATTTTTTGAAATCTCTTTGAACATAGTAGGCTAGAAAACATAAACACCCCAGAAGTAAATTTCTTTTAGAAACATGCCCTTCCATTGTTCCAAACATGGTAGGCAGAATAATAGCCTCCCAAGAATATCCATGTCCCAATCCCCCAAAACTCATCAATACGTTACCTAACACAGAAAAAAAATACCTTGCATATGTTATTAATTTAAGGACCTTGAGGTGGGAGATTATCTTGGATGATATGAATGGGTCTAATGTAATCATAGGGGTCCTTCACTTTGGAAGAAGTAAGCAGAAGTGAGGTCACAGAAAGATGGATGATGATGGAAGCACACCCGAGCAAAGATGCTGTATTGCTGGTTTTGAAGATAGATGAAGGGGCCATGAGCCAAGGAATATAGGCCACCTCTGGAAGGTGAAAAAGCAAAGAAACAAATTGTCTTCTCAGAGCTTCCAGAAGGAATGCTTCCCTGCCAACATCTTGATTTTAGCCCAGTGGAACGTGTGCCAGACTTAAAAAACTTCTTTAAAGCCACTAAGTTACAACAGCAATAGAAAACTAATTCACGAAATTTTCTTTCTGAGTATAGGTTGAGTCCTAGACTTATTAGCTTTTAATTGCATTACTTAATAAAAGTCTTCCTAACTTCTCTGGCCTTTAATTGAAATATTTTATATAATTGAAGAAGCTACATTGGCATCTTCTGTACACTTCCTTTCCAATCATTGCCCTTTTCAGAAGCCAATTTTCAGTGGCAAGCTCCTTGACTGAAATTTACTTTCATAGTTCACCTTTGTGCATTTCCTTTCTAATAATTGCCCTCTGCACGTTTCCTTTCTAATCATTGTTCCTTTTAGAAGCCAATTTTCAGTGGCAACATCCTTGCCATGGAAATATACTTGCATAGTTCCATTACCACTTATTCTTAAATTTAATCTTAATCACATTTGCAGTAGATGAAAGCCCAAGCTAAGTAGGGCTTCATTGATTTTATAACAGTTGACAAAATAGGAGAGAACATGCTCCCTCACTTTATATTAGCAAGATTTCTTTCAATTTGGATTATAAGAGTGAAATCTGCCAAGATCACTCTCATGTTGCACTGTCGTGATGAATATTCTATGGCTAATAATGTTATCTAGAAAGGAAGCCAGTCTTTAGAGAAAATATTAGTTTGTGTCTGAGACTAGGAAAATCTTGGCATAACTCATTTGGCAACTTCACTAATTGGAAGCAACAAATCAATATGAAACCAGGATTAACTTGTATAGACAGTTTTTCAAGTACGTTTTCTATCATGAATTTTCATACAATCTCTATTACCCTGTAAAGTGTTGAAGTTTAAAAATCTCTCACTTAGGTTTCTTAGACTCTCATACCAGACATAAGAAAAGTAAGAAAAGAAAATATGTGGCTGTCTCTTTTTCCTTTGTAGTTTTAATAGGGGCTTTGGAAAGACCGTATGGGATTTTGGTTAAAACAGTGCCTCTGCTACAACTTCAATTGTGATAAAGAGAGACAACAACACCCCAGGGAGGTCTCAGTACGGATCTAGCAAATGTCTTTAGGCAGTGGTTCTTTAGGTTCTTTGTTAGTGGGAATCTAAGTTTCACTGAGATTTTTTTTAACTGTAAAATGTGTGGCCATAGATTCATTTTTAATAGCAATATTCACATAGCGTTAAGTTTTTCAAAGAGTTCAATGGTGTGTGTGTGGAGGGGGTGTGTGTGTGTGTACATGTGTGTGTGAGAGAGAGGGGAAATGCCTTCATGAGACACAAAATAATCTTTCCAAAAGATGATTCTGATACTAGTTCAAGGAAACACTTTCTAATTTGAAATCAGGATACACCAAATAGGGGCAAAATAATAAAATCACTGAAAACCTGAGTTGGAAATGTCCTACTGCTTTCCCTTATTTTCCAACCCTTTTCATCCTCTATACTGTTTTCTGCTCTCTCTCTAGGAAGAGGATTTTGACTTCGTAGAGATATTAAAAGCCTTCACAAAACAACTCTTATTATCTCCCCCAATAACAACAAAGTAACTTTCCAATAGCAAACAAACATAAATTTGCATCTATTCTGTCTTTTCTTCTCGTTACAATGGAGATGTCTCTACTATATAAAATTCTGGATTCTACCTCCTGTGACATGCTCCAGAACTTTCCACAATTGCTTGTTTCTTCTTGCTCTTGTGTAGCAAACATTTCTCTCTTAATTGGGTTCTTCTTGCTATGGTTGGAATGTGTTCCCCCAAATTCACGTGTTAGAAACTTAATCCTCAATGCAATGGTGTTGGGAGGTGGGGTGTTTTGAGAGATGTTTAGGTAACTTTTAGCTAATTATGAGAAAGTGTCAAGTAAGTGGATGGATATTTAGGTGTGAAACAAATAAATAGTATGGGTTAGAAAAAGATCTTTGGGATTCATTAGCTTAGAGATGGTAATTGAAGGTCTAGGCAAGAGTTAGATTGCCAAGGAGTGTATACAGTAGAGAGAGAGGAAGACCTCATGAATGGATTAATGCTGCTATTAAAATGGGCTTGGAAAAGTGGTTCAGCTCTTTCTTGCCCTTGCACCTTCTGCTATGTGAGGACACAGCAAGAAGGCCCTCACAAGATGGCCAGCACCTTGATCTTGGACTTTCCAGCCTTCAGAACTGTGAGAAATAAATTTCTGATTTTTATAACTTCCCCAGTCTCAGGCATCCTTTTAATAGCAGCATAAACTGAGTAAGACACTTTCCAACAACTTTCAAGAATACTTGTCTTTTATACTATTTTAGATCAGCAAAAAGAATCCTCCTTATCCTTTATATATCACATTATCTTTTCCTCCCCTTCACAGCCAAAGTTCTTCAGATTGCTTCTGAGTTCACCTCAATTTGGCATTTGATCTCCTGACTCCACTAAAATTGCTCTCATTTATGTTACCAAGAATGTTTATCTCACTATATTAAAGGAATATTTTCATTCTCTTCTTGGTCTCTCAGCAGTTCCATTCAAAGACTTTCTTTTTGATTCTGTGACACAGTATTTCTTGGAATTTTCCCTACTTATCTGTTCATTGTTTAACTATTTCCATTTTAGGCACTACCTCCTGAACATAAATTGGCTGATGGAGTCAATCACAGTTCTATTTTTGAACTTCTTCTCTCTCTATTGTATACACTCCTCCTTGGCAATCTAACTCTTGCCTACACCTTCAATTACCATCTGTAAGCTAATGAATCCCAAAGATCTTTTTCTAGCCCAGACTATTTCTTTGTTTCACACCTGAATATCCATCCACTTAGTTGGCATTTTCTCATAAATAGCTAAAAGTTACCCAAATAATTATGTCCAGGAATACACTTACACTTATTCTGTATCCTACCCCTTCACCTTTGTCTTTTTCAAGTGAATTCCATCAGTAATGTCATCAATGAATGCTCCAACATCCACACACATATGCAAGCCAGCAGCTAGTAATCATCTTTGACAAATCCCCCTAATCTAATGCCCAAATCCCATTCAGCACTAAGCCCTGTCATATTTTACTTTTCAAAGAATCACTCAAATATATTCCCTACTCATCATCTCTATCAACTTTAACCTAGTCTAAACTACCACAGTAAATATTTCCCTTTCAATGCATTTTTTTTTTTGCAATATAGCTAGTGTAATCTTTTCATAATGCAAATCTGAATAAGTTACTTTCCAGGTTAAAATTTTTTGATGAGTTCCTACTGCTCTAAGAATAAAAACAGTGTTACTTTCCATGGTTTATGGTCATTTGTATTGTAGTCCTTCACTGCCCCTTCAGTATCAGAGTGCACCATACACCTTTAATTCATTCCAGGAATGTTGTCCTTCTTTCAGCCTCATATGCAAGTCATATTCCTCCAGGGACATTTTTTTTTTCTTTTTGAGACCGAGTCTCATTCTGTTGCCCAAACTGGAGTGCAGTGGCATGATCTCGGCTCCCTGCAACCTCCATGTCCTGGGTTCAAGCGATTCTCCTGCTTCAGCCTCCCAAGTAGCTGGGATTAAAGGCATGTGCCACCATGCCTGTCTATTTTTTGTATTTTTAGTAGAGACAGGGTTTTGCCATGTTGGCCAGGCTGGTCTCCAACTTCTGACCTCAAGTGATCTGCCCACCTCAACCTCCCAAAGTGCCAGGATTACAGGCGTGAGTTACCATGCCCGGCCCCAGATACAGGGTTTTTATACATACTTGAACACTCTCCTCTCATCTCTTTTTTTCTGTTAAACTCCTGCATGTCAAGGATCACCTCTTCATGGACTCCTTCTTTGAGGCTGCCAACTAGACAAAATCCCCCTCATGAAAAAATGTGTTTTAACTTCATAACACTTAGAACAGTTACAATTTAATATTTAGTTTTCTAATTGATTAATAACAATACTACTTAGCTTCATGAAACACATTTTATGTATATATATATATATTATATATATATATATATACACACACACACAGTCCTAAGCCACTATATCCTTTGTGCTTAAAGTCAATTAGCAAGATGACTGGGAAAAAAAAAAACAACAAAACAACATTTGTTGAATAAATACATAGAAAAGACTTATACATGATTTTAACCTGTTTTAGAGAGTGATAGACTGAGTCCCAGACAGGTGAATCACTAAAATCTAAACTCAAATTGCATAACTTTAGTATTGGGATTAATCTGTCATATAATTTTATGTATTTAAATGTGTTTTATGCTCTCTTTATATATTTATGCAAATCTGAGTGAAGTTAACATCAATTATCTTAACAGTGGTGGCACTGGAAGAATTACTAGTCTGCATTTAATGCCTATTATAATTAGTTAACTTTTATAGACATTAATCCAAACCCAAACTTTCTTGTCTAAATTCCTTTAGATTATGAAGCTTTTTGTGTAACATCAGTTTTTCTATCTTGGATTGAACTAGAAACATGTACATGATACAGAAAGCAACTCTATAGGAAGTGAGTGCAAGGGATTCTAGTTACTTCTCAATTGGCCTGGGCAAAACTCCAAATCAAATAATGGCAAACCCTCCCTGTTAATCTTCTCTTTGTAGAAGGATGCCAGCCATTTGCTTATTTGTTCTCAAATCAATTACTAGAAATTCGTTTTTCTACTCTGTTGCAAGGAACTGCTAGCTTCTAGGTAGGGTGAGCCAACAGGAAGATAAGACTGAAGAGTAAGGAGATGAGTTTAAGGTTTATCTCTCCTCTCATGTTGACTTAGGCAGCATCTCTGGCAGCAGCTGCATCTCCTCCTCAACTCCAGCTCTTGGCAGATTACCTGTCATTCGGTGGTCACAGCTCCCACAGGCAGCTCCTTTTGTGGTTCTTGCCCTCATTACATGTCCTTGGCTTTAGAGCTTCAATAAAATCACATTCTTCTTTCTCTAGCCCTGTGGAATGATAATGTCTTTCCTATTGTTGCTAATCTGTGGGTTGCTTCATGATCTCCTGCTTAGTTTTTCAGCTCTACAAAAATTTGTGTAACCATTTGCCTGTATTGAATTTTCTTTATTTAAAGTACTTAGATTGATCTATATTTTCCTGACTAGACCTTGACTGATACAATTATTTTATGTTAGGATTAATCCCAGGAAATAGATCCTTAAGAAGGAATTCTGAGCTTAGATTGCTTGCTTCTTTTAGCTTGAATACAGTGAAGAATTTCTTTCTGGTGAAAAATGGAATATTACAATTAAAGAGCCTCATCAAATAACATCACAATAACTTAAATTATTGCCTACTTTGTTTGAGATAATGTGCCAGTCAAAAGCAAGTCTTTTGGGAAAACAAGTAGTGTTTCATTTGACTACAAAAATAGAGTGACTGTCTCTGACTATGCTGAACTACTTACAGAAAGAAAATGATAAGCCTAGACCTTAAACTTTTAGCTCAAGAGACAGCCAGAGAATCAGAGAGCTGCTTTGGCACTCTTGTAATTTTTTTTACCAAGAAGGAAATTATGGTTGAGAATCAGAATCATGTTCAGTATACAGAGTTATTATGCAAATTGAAAACACAGACTCACCAATTTAGTATGTTAGTACTAAGCCATTAGTTGTAAGAAGTGAAACCCTGAGAGTTGGGATGGGGGATATTTGAGCAGATGCAGTTGAATTTGAAAACTCTGAACACAATATATCCCCAAGTTTCTGTAACCAGCAAATGCAACCATGTTCAATGAGGCTCATCTTTCTTTACTTACGAAGCCTATAATTTTTTCATCTGAAAAAGTTGCCATAAAAGGAGATGTCTGTTTTTCTCAATACTCACAAGAAGCATCTTTTATTGCTTCCAAACCCATAACTACAGTCAGATGCCAGCACACTTCAGGTGGAGAATTATAAGGGCTGGTCCAAGAATAAATAATGTATACATGAAAAGAATTGCAGATATTTGCTAATTTTTATTGGAATTTCTTTGGAAAATGTGTGTGGAGATATAATCTATGTGAGGAAGAATAAGGAGCACAGAATATAATGTAGGTTTTATCAGTATTTATCAATATAGGTATATTTATTTGAGAGTCTGGATTAAATATATTAGTTCAAGCAACTGAAGATCATGCTAAAACTTTGATTGGTTGGTTAACTGAAACACAGAGTTAATAATTGCCTATGTGAAATGAGGAAAAGATCCCCAAACTTCCCTGAAATAATGATGAAGGAGGATTCAAAAGCATAAGGAGATGATCATGTTGGAATGAATTTATTATATTCAACCTACTCACTCTCTTCCTGACTATTCTTGCAAGAGAACCCAGAGGACTCTTCTTTTACTCAACCATTGATAAATGCATTAATGAGGAGAGCCCCAATATCTTTAAATATCTATGGTTAATTTATTCTACAGGCTATGGATGACACCAAGATTTGATGACTTTGAAATACA
This sequence comes from Homo sapiens, assembly GCF_000001405.40. Taxonomy (NCBI): domain Eukaryota; kingdom Metazoa; phylum Chordata; class Mammalia; order Primates; family Hominidae; genus Homo; species Homo sapiens. Next base: position 81,148,558 of record NC_000009.12, on the reverse strand, counting down.
TCCATTTTAATGGAGAGATGAGATCTTGGAATGTCAGGGATCAGGTAGCAATAGCACTTTACTGACAGAGACAAAATAACCATAATTACTGTAATGAGCAGGGAGGGTTGAGTGGCAATTCAGATGTTTTTATCTACAGGGATCTATGATGATAGCTAATTGATTATAGTTTCCTAGGAATTAAATAGAAGGATAGCCCAACAAAGCATTATTTGATCCAGTGAACAGGAAGTTATCTTGAGTAAGTGCCACAGGAAGTCACAGCGTCTCTGTTAGTTCACAGATCTAGAGCCTAAGTAGGAGGCTATGTTCTCTTGAAGAAGGATTCTGAAAAATTGCCCCAAGTATATATTATAAATCATCCTCCAAATTGTACTCTAAAGGGCCTTCAAATTATTTATCAGGATGACTCTGCAAAGAGAAAAGAGAATAGGTCACAGGACTAGTGATGCCCTGAAGGGGAGAACTGCATATGATATGAAGATATTCAACTTTGATATGGGCATGATGACTGGTGGGTCTTTACATCTCCGCATTTGGGAAGAGGATGAGAATGGCTGCATTTAATGCAGAATAGCTATTCTGTGGATTCTTTGGATAATAGTTTGTAAAATGGGAAAATAAGGCTGTTATTAGGTAGTTAAATATGGGCATGCCATAAATAAATATATAGACACATAAATATATAAACATGCAATGAATGTTGGACACCAGAAAAGGGGTGGACTGTGTAGGTCAGCTGATGTTTTCTCTCATACTCTCTGCACTTCTCCAGCTCTGGTTTGTGTCTCAAATAAATACATTTCCCATATTCCTTTGCTTATGAATTTCTTGGATGTGCTTGACCAATGGGAAGTACTAGGGAGAAATAAACAGAGGAAAAGAAGAAGCCTGTCTATTTCTTCCTCCTTCTCTCTATCTGGTGACATCTTTGAAGCAGGTGCATCTTACTTATGATTTCAGCTCCTGCCAGGAAGTGTATTGCACTATATTCTATCACTGAGAGGAAAAGTTCCTGCCATAATCCTAGTTCCAGCCAGACATCCTTGGCTTCTGAGTTTCCATAACACAACATAGTGGTTTTCTGCTGTTGCTAATTTCTGGATTGCCTCACTGTCCCTATCTGGTTTCTTAACTTTCCTATCACTTCTGTAAACAATGCCCTGCATTAAATTCTCATTGTTCGAAAAATATTTTGTTTTTGTTTGAAATACCTGGAGTTGAAATACCTGGACCCAACTGATATGAGAAGTGAAAACGCTGGGTAAACAAAGAGAACACAGGTTATTTCAATTTCAGCTCATGCGATTTATTTCAAGTGGTGCTGAGTAAACTTGTTAATTCTCTTTGATGTGGCATAAAGCTGAAGCTCCTTCATGTCATACAAGGCTCTCCCTAATATGACTTCTGCCTGTCTCTTCAACCTACTTTCTGACGCTTCCTGCCTTGTCCCACGATGCAGCCAATCAGAATCCTTTTGCCTTCCCCAAGTGGGCATTGCTGTTTCCCTCCTTCATACCTCTGCCAGGTCTGGAAAGCCACTACCTCTGAATTCCTACTTGTTTTCTCAAGACTCAATTCAAGTGCTTCTTGCAATATGATGCCTTCTCTTGACCCCTAGACAGAATGATTACTCTGCTCTTTAAACTCTGATTCTATTCCATATATTTACATGTATTTTTACTCATGCAAAACACTATGAGATCCTTGAGGATAAAGAGTTAGTCATCTCTGTATTCTTGTACCAAAAAGACTCTCAAGTGTTTGATGGATGAATCATTGAAACAATAATGGTGATGAGTGGTGTGTGTGCTAGGTATTTCTTAAAGATCAACCCATTATCTTCCCAGAAGCAAGGTGAATGCTTTCAGTCATCAAAAGTTTTTTGACAGCTGTAAATATTAAATAATAGCCTATGGCCATAGCTTTCCTTCTGTATAAAGAAGCAGACATCATTTGGACAGTATCTGCACATCACTTGGGCCCTCCAACCAGATAAAGAAAAATGTAGCATTCTGCCAGCAGCTTGCTTGTTTCATAGTCGCTTGTTTTCCAGCCCATAGGATATTGGCCATAATCCCAATGAACAAATGTTGATCAGACTGAAGTAGGGCAGGCTGTGAAAATCGAATAAACAATGGCCCTCTGACAGGCTGGAATAAAGCATATTTAATGTCTTTGGAACTCACATTAACAATCATTCTGGGTTATTGTGCAGGCCTTCATTTTGTATTTACTGGAGTATTGCAATTGCCTTCAGGGGATTGAAGCTACTGCCCTGGCAAAACAGCTCAATCACGGTGGCCCCCTCAATGATAGTGACATAACCAGAGCTGTGCTCACCAGGAATTTTTTTCTCCTTTCTCCAAACCTAATGTATCATGAGTGGTTCTCCTGGGTAAGAGGTAAAAATGATTTATAGAAATCTGTGAAGGCTGGGGGCACAGTTTTCTACTATTTTAGTGACGATTTATTCTTCTTTATGATCCTGAAATGCTGCACTGTGAGAAGGTTTGCAATTTTGTGATTCTGCTGGTTTCAAACCAACCAGCATCAAGCCTATTGCATTAACAGGATGGATTTTCCCCACCCGTGTCTCTCATTTCTGCTAGGCAGGAGCACGAGAGAAGGTTGGAGAGACCTGCCCTCCCTCTTCTCCCCTCTCTCGTGCAGTGGCTCCAAATAAGACACAGGTAAAAAGTGCCACGTGGGAGAAGCTTTTTGGAAGCAGCCTGTCGGGCCTCTGATAGTCGTCAGCATTTCCAAGAGCCAACTGAAAGTACACTTTGGCTTTGCCAAGGGGAGAAGAGGTGAAGGTTTGTTCAAAACGTTTCTAGTGTCTGGAAAGATCCAGTCTTGTGCCTGGGGCAAAGGGCATTAAAAAGAGAAGCTCTGCTGTCACCTGTTTCAAATTGTTTTTGCCTGCGGCTTAGTAGAATAGTGTATTGAAGAGAAAGAAGACCGGGGAAGGAGGGCCACCTTTTCACTCCAGGCAGCTGAGAGAGGAAGGAACATTCCATGGTTAGAAGATAAAACCCTTGGGACTAAAATTGAGGGATGACTAAGTAAGTGATTTCACCAAGCTCCGGTTATCGAATTCTAATATTCTCCTCTCTTTTTTTCTGTGAGTTTTTCCCACCCTGATGAAATGCTCTATTCTTAACATCAGTAATGTTCAATTATCCATATCTCAGGAAAATTGTAGGGGGTTGGATTACACCAGTGTTCCCCCAGCTGTATTCCCTGAGGAAGGTATTTCAGGAGATAAAAGTTTCAGTTGCCAATACATTTAAGAGGAAATACTTACTGTCCCTCTGTTTTAGTTTCCTATGCTACTGTAACAAAGTGCCACAAATGTAGTCGCATAAAATAAAACAAATTTGTACTCTTACAATTCTGGAAGTCAGAAGTTCAAAATGGGTCTCACGGGGCTAAAATCAAGGTGTTGGCGTGGCTGTCTTTCTTCTAGAGGATCTGGAGTAGAATCCACTTGCTCGTCTTTTTCAGCTTCTGGAGCTCACCCACTTTTCTTAGCTTATCTTTTCCAGCTGCCCACATTCCTTGGCTTGCAGCCTTGGAAACACCCTGACCTCTGTCTCCAGTGTCTTGTAAGGACTCTTGTGATTACATCAGGCCCACCTGGATAATCCAGGCTAACCTAAAGGGAACCTCTCCATCTCAAGATCCTTAACTGAATTACATCTTCAAATCCCAGGTTGCCATGTAAGATAGCATAGTCACAGGTCTGGGGACTAGGACAGGCATTTTGGGGAGTCATTATTCTGCTTAGTGGTTCCTCACTCACTGAAACAATGTTTAAAAGCACAATAAAGGTTCTGTAAAGACTTGTAAATAATTATGTTTTATTTTCTTTAACCCAGAGGGCTCCAAACCTATTTTCTTTTTCTCCTTAATTCCAAGAATATCTGTTATTTTATGAGACACAACTTAAGGAATGAAAGACTAAAGAATAATTCCAGCATTCAGAATATAGCATCTATGATTTTATTATCACATTTCAACCCACTCTTGAGCAGGTGGTGATGGGACAGAAGAGGGTTCAAAATTTGACTGTTTTCGTAAGAGTGTCCTCTGGCAAACCATGTAAAATCTCAGAACCTTAGCCTCCTCATCTGTGAAATGGAGATAAGAATAAGGGTAACCTGCTTTGCTTGACTGTTGTGCAGGTTTTAGGCAATGATATGTGAGAAATCTCCATGTAAATTGTAGAGAGTTAAACAATGTGAATTTAGGTCCCCTTGGTGGATCCTACCCGTAATCTAAGAGCTTCGGGAGGCCTAGATGAGAAAATTGCTTAGGTCAGGATTTCAAGACCAGCCTGGGCAACTTAGCGAGCCTCTATCTCAAAAAAAAAAAAAAAAGTTAATGCAGCCAGGTTCGATGGCACATAACTATAGTCCCAACTACTCAGGAGGCTGAGGTGGGAGGATCTTTTGAGCCCAAGAATTTGATGCTGCAGTGAGTTATGATTGCACCACTGTACTTCAGCCTGGGCAACAGAGCAATACACTGTCTCTAAAAGAAAATAATAACTAAGTAAATAAACAAAGTACGTTTAGATATCCCAGAATAAATGAGCTTCTATATAGTCATTTCAACAAAATTTTCATAATTTCTTCCATTCACTTTCCTTTTCTGATTTATCAGTTACAATAACTTCTGAGATAATTTAGAAGCCTTGAATATCAGCTCAGTAATTGTTGGTTGTTGATTTTAATTATGGTACTGTTTTAATCAGTAACCAGGAATCAGTGATATATGAAATATTTACACATGTCTAACCATCAGTTATCCTTGTGACTAACTTGGGGGATTATTTGAAAATTGTTTTTTATTCCAGGTTTGATTCTTCTTGTGAACCAAGCTCACCCCCAGATTTTATCTTATATTTGTTGATGTCCACTCATAGACTACAAATGAGTTTCAAATGAATTATATTTGAGTTGCTATGTTATCTAGTGTTTAAGATAATCTTTGCTCATGCTAATTTCTGTTTTGTGAATGTGGTAATAATTCTTGTTATTCAAAAATATTCCATCTCTTCTCCATCCAGACACAGGGTGGGGTAATACTTCCCATCTCTTATGAACTTAGGGATAGCCATGCAACTTGCTTTGGCCAATAAAATGTGAGTAGAAGAGATTTGTGTCACATCTAGGTGGGAGCTTTAAGAGCCACGGTGCAGTTCAGCATCTTCCTTTGAATCGCTTTAGAGCCTGTGAAGGCATCTGCAACATGGAGCTCTCTCAGCCTGCATTCCCCCAAGGATTATCAAGAAAAGAGTTTGTCTGTTCACCTATTTTGGACTTGAATGTGTGTGAGAAATAAACTTTCGTTGGTTTATACCCCTAAGATTTTGGGATTCTCTTTATTGCAGCTTAACCTGGCCTAACCTGGTTGAGTCAAAATTGAATCTTTTAACTGATCCCCATTACCTTTAAGCACATGAAAACATGCATTTGAAAGTTCTTATTAAGCCATAAGGAGATCTGGAAAGGTTCATTTTGTTACTGTAGAGACTGAGAGCTAAAGTAATAGAAAAATCTGTTGGGGGAATAGAAAGACCAAGGGATTTGCAATTAGATGACCTCTGTCCTAGTCTCATTTTCATTCTTATTCATGTTTTATGTAAGACAAATTGAATGCATAAAGCATTATTTATTTAATTTTTAAAAACATCATTCCTACCTAGAAAAGTAATCCATAGGGTATAGAAGGATTCTTAGGATTAATTGCCATAGCCTTGTAAAGACATGGTAAATTTTTACTTGCTCTCAGAAACTATTTACTGGCTAATTTGAGGTGAAATTATTTATTGCTTCTCCTTTTCCTCCTCCCTTTAAATCCTTTGATTAAAGTCTGTTTTGATGGAATAATGCATTTCTTAGGATTGGATGATGACCAAATGGATGTCGCCTCCATTACTTGGTTTGGAGGATGCCAGTGAGGGAAGATGAAACTGCAAGTACTCCCTGAAGGAGAAGCTATACTGGTAAACTCCACACCCAAGTGCAAGTGGCAGATATTGGAGTCATTCTTCCATGCCACTTTCTATTGCACAGAGGATGTGGCAGTGATGCAGTGGTGAAGGAGGGAGGAGTATGACATTGCTGAGCATCTGGATTCTCAAGAAGCTGTGGTGACTATGGTTAGGGGACATATAAGCTATGGAGTTCCAGAGCACATAAAGAGAGGGAAAACAAATTTTAGAAGACAAGCTTCCTGCTCTGAAAATGTGCCTAGGGCCACCCTGAGTGCCCCTGAGCAGCAGCCAGATCCAGGAGGCAACTATTGATATGATAGCTTGCTTCCCCTTTAATCCTCCTTCACTTCTCCTGGCCCTGTGTTCATTAGCAGCTCCCTAGAGGCACCCTGTCTGCTCACCTGTCAAGGCCACTTGGCAACTGAAAAGGATTTGCAGGCAGTGGCAGCTCCTAGGCTCTCTCAGTAAGGATGGCGTTTTTTATCCCTGCCCCCTTCTTGGGCTTTTTTTTTTTTTTTTTTTTTTTTAATTGCATTAGGAAGGCAACTACAGATAGTTGAAAAATGGGCTTTGGTATCAGGTGGTCAGATATCCAGGGCTCCAGTCTCACCTCCATCAATTACTTATGATGGCAGCATACTTAAGCATTTTTTAAAGGTTTTAATACTGATTCCACTTAATCACATTATACTTCATGTTGAGAATGGTTTTGATGGGGAATTTTTGGAAAAGACACATGGAAAATTAGGTCTCAGATTTTTCTGTCAGTGACTCTGGAGTTAACAGAGAAATAGGATTCAAATTCAGAATTATATATTTTGGCAGACTAGGAAGGTTAGCATAATGCTAAAAATGTGGCAATTACTATTATTGTTGTTGTTGTTATTATTGTTATAGAGACGGGATCTCCCTCTGTCACCTAGGCTGAATTGCAGTGGCATGATCATAGCTCACTGCAGTCTTGATCTCCTGGGCTCAAGTGATTCTCTCACCTCAGCTTCCCAATTAGCTGGGACTATAGGCACTTGCCACCAACATACCCAGCTAAATTGGTTTTCTTTAAATTTTTTGTAGACATAGGGTCTTGCTATGTTGCCCAGGTTGGTCTTGAACTCCTGACCTCAAGGAATTCTCCCACCTTGGCCTCCCACAGTGCTGGGATTATAAGTATGAGCCACCATTCCTGGCCTGTTCTTTTTTTTTTTTTGAGACGGAGTTTCGCTCTTGCTGCCCAGGCCGGAATGCAGTGGGGCGATCTCGGCTCGTTGCAACCTCCACCTCCCGTGTTCAAGTAATTCTCCTGCCTCAGCCTCCTGAGTTGCTGGGATTACAGGCACCCACTACCACGTCCAGCCAATTTTTTGTATTTTTAGTAGAGATGGGGTTTCGCCATGTTGGTCAGGCTGGTCTTGAACTCCTGACCTCAGGTGATCCGCCCACCTCGGCCTCCCAAATTGCTGGGGTTATGGGCAGGAGCCACCATGCCTGGCCATGCCTGGCCTGTTCTAGCAATTATTTACAGGTAGGTAGGCAAGGAGAGTTGTGTGGATCTCGTAAATACCCTTGTCTCTATTCCATCTACTACACAAGTCCCAAAGGGGATAAACAGGTATCGTTGCAGTTAGCACCCTGTCCCCCTGTTCCTTTTATTGGGCCACTATACAAAGTGTTGTAAGGATAGCATACAGTTGTGAGAAGGAACTTATGATGTAAGCTTGTTTTTTGTTTCTTCACTATGAGAAATAAGTCAGAAGATGCCGGCTCTGATACACTTTGGTTTATTGAAGTTATATTTTGACCAAATCTCTATTGAGTTACTATGGCAGATTAAAGATGGCCTTAAATGCTTTGACACATCTTCCATTGAGAGGAAGGATCTGTTATTTTCCACTTGAATCTGGGATGGCTTGTGAACTGTTTAGACTAATAGCATGTGGCAAAAGTAATGTTATTCAAGTTGCAGAAGTTTAGAAAGAGGACTGGTAGCTTCTTGCATGCTCTTTTGAAAACCAGCTGCTGTGCAAGAAGGGAAATTACCTTGAGATTGCCATGCTGTGAGAAACCTGAGCCACATGAATAAACCCTAGAGAATAAGATCCTTTGTGGAGAAGGATGGGGAGGAGAGAGAGAGAGAGAGAAAATGCATCAGGAAATTTTGAAGTTTTGAAGCTCCCAGTATATAATAAAGAGACGTTTTGAAAATGAATTTGCCAGATCCAGCCATTCCAACTAATGTGGATCAGAGACCAACCACTCAGCCAACCTCATTCAGAATTCCCGACTCACCAAATTGTGAGTAAAATGAAATGGTTATTTAAATCAATTAATTTTGGAGGTAATTTGTTTTTCAGTAATAGACAACTGGATGAGCTGGTTTTCTAATCCTGACATTGGTAATTTTTAATTTGTTAAAACTTGAGTTTGTTTTATTCTTAATTTCTTTTGATGGTTATCATATTTGAATTAAGAGAATATTGGATTTCTTCACATCTTGGTCAAAGCAGACGGGGGATCATTGTGTCCCCAGAGACCTGAGGTAGTGGCAAGGAAACTAGGGGAGCAGCAGTGTCTGGGGAGAATATGAGGAGCTGGTGTGAAGAGTACGGGGCTTAAGAAATGTTTGATGATTTGTAACTATCTGTAGACCTTAACTTCCCTGTCCTGGGCCTCCACCACACCAAGGCTTCCTATTGATTGAGTTACATGGCATCTAATCAGAAGCATTTGTTCTCTAAAGCTGGCTTATTCTTCTGTCTCCTTCCATAATGTGCTTGGCCAAGTGGTAGAACAGTATCTGTATCTTATGCTATTCCTTTGTGGAAGGTCCCACTCTGCTTCTCTCTTTTAACCTCATCAGCTCTTGCATATCAATTGAGACAGCTCTGGGCAACTCCTCCAGGCTTTTCTAGGTGCTCTTCATCCCCTGTCCTCTCACGGCAACCTGAGCTCACCTCTATCATTTGTCAAGATATCATCACTATCACATCTATCAAAATGCTGCATTGAATCATCTGCCATTTTTTTTTTTTTTGGTCACTTCCAGGAATGGTGAATTTTCTAAAGGCCAGGACAATTTTACTGTTCATTTCAGTATCTACCAAATGTGTAGTAAAGGAACTTGTAACACAGGGGCTCAATGAGTGCTTCATCGCATGGAACTAAAGAGGATCATCTCGTGCAGAGGGCATTTCTCTTGGGATTTCAAAACTGTTTGTGTTGAGACCATAGGCACAAGACTGATTCATAGGTGCAAGTCAAAGCCAGAGTAGGCGTAAGTAATTCCACTTAGACATTAATGCATGTCTTAAATGAAAAGTATCAGATCATAAAACTGTATTTGTAAGTGTGTTTATCTCTAAGAAAAAGAGAGAAATCTGGGCAGTGGGGGAGCTGAGAATTCTCAGGGAGAGAGCTGAGAAGTGTCCTAGGGCTCAGGTGCCTGCAGGAAGAAACATGTTTAATGCAGTTTCTTGCTGGGTCCACTCTAATTGTCCTTTTGAAGAGTAAGTGGGCTTTATATGAAGTTAAACTTTACTAAAGAGAACTAACTTCCTTTCTCTTCTTCTCATGCCCTTGTTTTCTGAAAGTTTGTCTCTTTGTTGGGCTGTAGCATCACACATGTTATACGCTGTGGAAGAAGAAAGACTTGAAGCTAACTCAACTAGGAGCCATCCTTGGGAAGCTCAGCTCAGCACTTACCCTCCTTCCCTCTGTCTCTTTTCGCCTTCTTCCTTCTTTCTCTCTTCTCTCTTTTGTAGGGGCAGTTTATTTCCTTTTGTCAGAATGCAGCATAATGAGATAAGACTGGTCATTTGCTGCTGCTCTGCTCCTTCAGTGGGTGTCAAACTACTCAGCAATCATCTCCCAGGTTCAGTCTCTGCCAGAGACTCTCTGGTCTTCATTTCTTCCAATGTAAAAAAGGCAGAATAATTAAATACTTCCAAGACAGGTTAATGGGATAAATGTCAACCTGAAGGGAAGTAGTAGGTGTCAAAGCATTTCCTGAAGTGGACTGATATGTAAATATTCGGTGCATTGTGTGAGTTCAGCTGGTCTCTGCCTATCACCATCTAATTGTGTAATTGACCCCCTACTACTCACCTAGTGTTGTTTCTGACCACAAATCCTAGAAACAATTAAAGTCTGCATGTCAGATTTGTCTTCAAGGATTTCTAAGGCCTGCCACTGTGGCATTAATGTACAGAACCAGAGAGGCGGAAGCAATGTTTGATGAATGTGCTATAATTGCTCTTTGGTTTGACATAGTAATAGGAAAATTCATATAATTGACAATGTAAAGGCCCCCACTGTTAGCAGCTGCTTTAAATTTAATGGAGCTGGGATTGTTAATAGTCTTCTCTTCATAGGGGTCTTTCCTTTGGCAGCCATAGCACAGAGCAAGCCTGTCCCATCATCTGTGCTTTCCCTCCAGCCTCACTGTGGTGGAAGATTATAGGGAATAGGTCCATTTGCACTTTTTCATCATGTCTTAATTATCTGGTGGAACTATTGGTGTGTGATACATGGGACTCTCTCCCTCTGGGACTTCTCCTTATGCAGCATGATATTACAAGAAAGTCAGCTCTGGAACGGAACCAGGGATATGTCACTTACTAGCTGCAAATCTTGGACAAGCTATGTAACCTCTCTGAGCTATAGTTTCTTCTAGAAAATATAAAAATTAAAGCCCATTTATTTCAAATTGGCCAGCACAGGGTATGGGATGTATTTGTTAAATATCAGCTTTCAATTTTCTCTTTGTACACCATAACAGGTCTCTCAAATTATCCAAATTATCCAAGTTCTTTCCTATCATTTTCTCTGTCTTCACTCTCTCATTTGTCACCTTCCTCAATGAAATGACAGGTAAAGCAATCTGACTTTGAACTACAAAATTCCTTAGAGCCATTTGCCCTTTTCCTACAAGGGCTAGCTTGCTTTACTAAACCCTATACAGTCAACATGAGTCTTATAAGAAAACTGCAGAAGATTCAGTGTGAGGAATCCTATTACTGGAAACTTTAGGTTATTACCATCAGATTAGGTTTATTGGCACAAGACTAATTCATAGGTGCAAGTCAAAGCCAGAGTAGACATAAGTAATTCCACTTAGACATTAATGCATGTCTTAAATGAAAAATATCAGATCATAAAACTGTGTTTGTAAGTGTGTTTGTCTCTAAGAAAAAGAGAGAAATCTGGGTAGTGGGGGAGATGAGAATTCTCAGGGAGAGAGCTGAGAAGTATCCTGGGGCTCAGGTGCCTGCAGGAAGAAACATGTTTAATGCAGTTTCTTGCTGGGTCCACCCTAATTGTCCCCCTTGGTTAAAGATAAAGCTTATTTTTTTGTGCTCGTCACCAGTTTTCTTCAGGTAAGCCAAAGTCGCAGATGCTAAGTCAGTTCTCTCTGCAGTCACTCAGACAGCTTCTTGTGCAGCAGTTTCACAACTGGAATTAACTGGAGATTAAACCATCTATCCTGTGAACAGATGGACATTAGGATATGCCCAATCCGACCATAGAATATTTATAAACGGCTACAGAAATGATTTAGAAGGAATACTGTAGAGTTTCCTAACTTTCTCCTAGAACTCTCTTGAGAAGGAAATAAGTGTATCTATTTTGTTTAATCTGTGGTTCTCTACTAAGTCTGACCTTCTCCTTTACTGGCTCATCCTTAATGTGTGTGCTGCTAAACTAACCATTGTTTTTTTTTTGAGATGGGGTCTCCCTCTGTTGCCCAGGCTGGAGTGCAGTGGTGCCATCTCGGCTCACTGCAAGCTCTGCCTCCCGGGTTCACGCCATTCTCCTGCCTCAGCCTCCCAAGTAGCTGGGACTACAGGCGCCCACCACCACGCCTGGCTAATTTTTTGTATTTTTAGTAGAGATGGGGTTTCACCGTGTTAGCCAGGATGGACTTGATCTCCTGACTTCGTGATCCACCCATCGTGGCCTCCCAAAGTGCTGGGATTACAGGTGTGAGCCAACGTACCGGGCCAAACTAAACGTTGTTTATAAGTACTACTGATCTTTCTTTCACGTCTCCTAGTCACCTTTACTCTGAATATTCTGTCACCACAAAATCTTCCATTAGAAGATTTTGTTTGACATAAAAGCTATCAATAGCTGGCTTTAAACACTTTTCCTAGCTGTCATATTCTAATATGCCCTCTGATATGGAACATTGTACTATACACACTATTTACAACTCTCAGAAGCATATTTCCATAGAAAACTTCAGATAGATATGTAGATTTTCCTTCATCATGGATACTTGCTTTTATTTTCTTTTTATTTTTTTTTTTTTTACAATTTTTAGTAAATTGTTATTATCTGGAAGCAGTATCAGGTGGCAACAAAGTATTACTCAACAAAGAAAAGAAGATCAAAATACTGTTACGCATTAAAGGACAAATAGAAGATGTGTGGCTACTTAGGTGTGTGTGTGCACACATTTATTAAACAGGGAAGACAGTATAATCTCTGAGAAATATCATTTCCGTGAATTATAAGCACTTAGTGATACATACATATATTTCTGATGAATTAATCTTTGCCAGTAGTCATCTTAGACCATATATAACTTTGTAAATATTTTGAGGAATCATATATATCTGCCAAATGTTTGTACTGTTGACAAAATGTAGGGATATTCTACTCACATCATCAGTCACATCCCCTCCTCAAATGCACAATTGTGCATGTCCTCCAAACAGGGCCAGCTTCCCGAGTGTGGGACCTGTGCAGTCACCAGGGCCCCATGCTCAAGAGGGTCCTGTATTTGGTTTAATGTTCTGCTCCCACTATATTGCAATTTTTTTTTTTTTTTTTTTTTTTTTTTGAGACGGAGTCTCGCTGTGTCGCCCAGGCTGGAGTGCAGTGGCGGGATCTCGGCTCACTGCAAGCTCCGCCTCCCAGGTTCACGCCATTCTCCTGCCTCAGCCTCCCAAGTAGCTGGGACTACAGGCGCCCGCCACTACGCCCGGCTAATTTTTTGTATTTTTAGTAGAGACAGGGTTTCACCGTTTTAGCCGGGATGGTCTCGATCTCCTGACCTCGTGATCCGCCCGCCTCGGCCTCCCAAAGTGCTGGGATTACAGGCGTGAGCCACCGCGCCCGGCCTATATTGCAATTCTTAATTTTTTTAACAAGTGGCTCAACATTTTATTTTGGGACCTGACAATTGTGTAGGCTGGTCCATGGCCCATATATTTGCTGCCCATGTAGCTGTTTATAGTAGAAGCGGTTTTCTCTTCTACTGAATTTTTTCCCAACACACACAAATATTTATATCACATAAGTTTATAATAATACATATATATACACACACATATAGACACACACACACGTTTTTACACTTATTCTTCTAGTATTATAGACCTAAAGAATCCTAGCTGAGACTGCCTGTTCAACATTTGGATTGCAGAATGCTACAGGATAAATTTTTTAATAAAAACAAGTTTTTGATTTGGTCTTTAGCCTTAATAATAACACCATCACCACTATTAATGAGTGTTATGCATCTATGCACCTTTTGTAAGTTAGTTTAGTCAATTGTTAAAAAACCTTATAAGGTGATTACTTTTCTTTTTTTTTTTTTTTTGAGATGGAGTCTTGCTCAGTTGCCCAGGCTGGAGTGCAGTGGCACGATCTCGGCTCACTGCAAGCTCTGCCTCCCGGGTTCATGCCATTCTCCTGCCTCAGCCTCCCGAGTAGCTGGGACTACAGGCGCCCACCACCATGCCCTGCTAATTTTTTTTTGTATTTTTAGTAGAGACGGGGTTTCACCATGTTAGCCAGGATGGTCTTGATCTCCTGACCTCGTGATCTGCCTGCCTCAGCCTCCCAAAGTGCTGGGATTACAGGCGTGAGCCACCGTGCCTGGCCAAGGTGATTACTTTTATAATATGTTTAATGGATTAGGAAACTGATGCTTAAAGAATTATTACATTAGGGCTGGGCATGGTGGCTTACACCTTTAATCTAAGCATTTGGGGAAGCTGAGGGAGGAGGGTCATTTGAGGTCAGGAGTTTGAGACCACCCGGGCAACATAATGAGACCCCATTTCTACGAAAAATAAAAAGAAAGTTAGTCTGGCATGATGGTATGTGCCTGTACTCCTAGCTACTCAGGAGGCTGAGGCAGGAGGATCACTTGAACCCAGGTGTTCGAGGCTGTGGTGAACTATGATTGTGCCATTGCACTCCAGCCTGGACAACAGAGCAAGACCCAAAGAAAAAAATGATTAAATCATTTGCCTATGATTTATTTCATAGTCTGTCTGATGCTACTGCCTGAGCACAGAATATGCTAGAGAGTTTATCCCACTCTCAGTCAAGAAAGCTGGTCTTTGGTAACCACAGCTAGTCACACATTGGCTAAGGTCTATGCCGGGGGGTGACAGGGAAGAGTCTACTGGTCAAAGCAGTTCCTGTCTACTGGACAAAGGCAATTTTCTGGAAATGAGGGCAGCTGTGAGTTTTTGTATGCCAAAATTCACGTGTACATTGCCTGGTAGAGGTAATCTCAATGGGGAACCACTAGCATTTATTACTATCAACTTCTTGCATCTCTCTTCACATCCTTCCCACATTAAGTTCATGTCTTCTAAAGACAGCTTCTTTAGGATTTGGGTTGGTTAGTTTTGGGAAAACTTATAAAAAGAGAGTTTGTGAGCAAAACCATAGTTAGGTGCTGCAGTTGGTCCCAAGCACTTCTTTAAGTAAAATGTGTTGGCCTGAGATGACGTTGGTAGATCAAACACTCTATCAGTCTTTGAATAGCAGTGCTTGCTAAGGCATGTGGACAAGAAAGGCAAACCCAAACCTGGAATATGTGTTGATTCCAGTCAGTGATGAATGGCTGCCACTACCAGAGGAAAGAAGTCCAGTAACATCAACTTGCTGCAAATGGCTGCCTGGTTTTCTTGAGGAGTGGTACTCTTTTGAGGTCTCAGTATTGTTCCCTTTTGCTGGCAGGTGGGATATTCAAGAGGGTCAGGAGCTATATTAGCATTAGTGAGAGGGAGACCATGCTATCTGGCTCACAGATAGCTTCCATCTTTGCCGCCATAGCCACTTCCTTTATGGGTCTACGGTGCAAACATCGGTGTGGTGAAACATAAAGGTTAGAAGACATCTACTAGTGGAACCAACTTGTCCACTAGGTGGATAAAGGCCTCTTCTGTAGTGGGTGCTCTCTGGTTGGCATTAACATGGGATACAAAGATTCTCACACTTTGTGCTCATTCTCAAAAGTCCACACATCTGTTACTTCCCCAGACCTCGTTGTACCCAGTAATCTAATTTAATTGTTTCCAAGCTACTCACCTACCAGATAAGCCATTTCTCCTTGTTCTTGAGTCTATGGATCCTCTTATCTTGGTCCACTTTTTATGATCCCAGTGTATCACTCCATGCGGTTTCTGAAGCTCTGCCCAACAAAAGGCCTTTCTCTCAACACTCTTTTCTAGTCTGGTCCTGAGTGGGGACATGATGCAGCTACCATTCTCTTTTGGCTTGCATCCATTTACTACACTGACCCATCTGTGAACCAGGCTGGTGTTTTTCCTCTCCCTTTAGTTAGTCATAGAAAATGCCTATGCAGTTGAAGCATGAGCTGAGGATGGGCACCAGAGAAGCATGGGTTCTGAGCAGGCTGTTCATGCACTTTAGGTGTCCTCCTGACCAGCTTGAGCCTGACTGTGGATGTACCATGTCCATTATATTATGGATTGCTGCTAGAACCACCTGAAGTGATGATGTGGTGGATCTGAAAGTATCCAATTTATGCTGAGTAGTTATGGCCACATAGTCACTTAATTCCCAAGGTCAGATGCTTAGATCCTGCAAGGAATGAGTAGCATTCCAGGACCTGTTTTTTTGAATGCTGTGTAGCTCTTTGCTGCATGTAGCATGGATTTGCTTCCAAATCACTAGTTTCTGTTGTGACTCTCCTAATGGGCCTTGCTAAAGGCTCTACACGGTGTCTTTATCTACCACAGATACCTCTTGTATCATGGAATCTGCTGAATCATAGAGATCAAATGCCAGCAATTCTAAAACCACAGGAGGAACTGCTGCAGAGCACTTTCTTTTTCTGGGCTTCAATCAAAGGTAACAGCTTTCAACCGAACATGATGAAGGGGTAGTTTCAGCATTCCCAAGTGCAAGATATGCTGTTTACAAAACCCAAGAAGACTACCAAGGGTTGGGTTTCATCCTTTGTGGTAGGAAATGTGAGGTCTTTTCCCATTCTCTAAATTACATGTGCATTTCCAAGGCATGCATAGTACATGCCAAAAAGTGGAATGCACATGCCTTGGAAATGTACATGTAATTAGTTAATATGTTAGTTCATTTAATATAATTTGATTATGTTATCATACTAATATGATCACTTAGTCAATATGATATTAATTTTCAAAAAATTGTCCAGGCTGTCCAGGCCCCTTCAATCTATATTACGACAGACAACATGAGAATTAACATAATCTTGGGATATGACAGTAAGTTTATATCCCATGTGAATGTAAACTGCTCTGATCTTTCTTTGTGAGTATGGCACGGTTTTCCAGTTCAGTGTCTACATGCTATCTCTCTGAGGCTGTGTTAATCTTGCCTAAGAAAGATAATCACATGTAGTACTGTAAATCCAACCAGCCTTTTGCAGGGGCCATACTGGTGAATCAAATGGGAATGAAGTAGGGAATATCAGCTCGGCATGTTTAAAGTCTTTAAGCGTAGCACTGGCTGTGTTATTGTGCTGTGATGTGATATTGTTTTTATTTACTCTAATTGCTGGGGAGGGTGGGGATAGTTTCAGAGTTTCTCACTTGGCTTCCCTATGATAACCACTTTTACTCATAGATCAAGGAAGTTTCTGCCAACTGCTAAATATATCCGCTTGAATTATACATTTAGGGACTGTGGAAATGACAATCAAGCAGGTTCATGGGCCCAGTATCCCCACTGTGGATCAGACCTGGGTCAGAACTCCATTCCTTATCTGAACATAGGGAGGGGGCAAGATGGCACTTTGGATCTTCTGCTATCAAATTACACTTGGGTCCTGCATCCAAATAGTCTTGAAGCATCTGAGTATTCATCTTTTCTGAGTGTGCCATTATAAAAGTAAATAGTGATAGGTCCCACTGGGAAAAGAAAGCCTACAGGTGCCATTGATTTTTTTTTTTAATTAAAAAAATTGGCCAGGCGCGGTGGCTCACCCCTGTAATCCCAGCACTTTGGGAGGCTGAGGTGGGTGGATCACAAGGTCAGGAGTTCGAGACCATCCAGGCCAACATGGCGAAACCCCATCTCTACTAAAAATACAAAAATTAGCTGGGCATGGTGGTGTGCACCTGTAATCCCAGATACTCAGGAGGCTGAGGCAGGAGACTCATTTGAACCTGGGAGATGGAGGTTGCAGTGAGCCGAGATTGGGCCATTGCACTCCAGCCTGGGTGACAGAGTGAGACTCAGTCTCTCTCTCTCTCTCTCTCTCTCTCTCTCTCTATATATATATATATATATATATATATATTTACTTAACATTTTTGTGCCTTTTTTATTTCCTATTTACCAAGTTCTGCCACAGGATCTATGATATTGTTTTGGAAATGGGGTCTTGCTATGTTTTCCAGGCTGGACTCAAACTCCTGGGCTCAAGGAATCCTCCCACCTCAGCCTCCCAAGTAGTTGAGACCACAGGCACCTGTGCAGCAGCTATGTCCCTCCATTAGTCAATGAATTCTACCCCTGGGATCTGGCTCCTATCTGGAAACTGGGCAAAATTTTATAACTTGCCATTGAGGAGGAAAACCTTGGCCCTCTGCTCATTTATTATTGATTTCTTTTGGATATACATAAAACAGTACCCTTGTTGGCTGACCATTTATCTTGTCCCTAGGAACACCATGTATAAGCCATCACTATGGGTCATGATAAGTCAGACCCTCCTTGCTGTCATTCTGTTTTTGCTAACCATACTACCCAAGATTCTATTATCCCCATTGCTTCTAGAGAGTACAATTCTGTAACAGCATCTCTCCTACCAGGAGATCAACCTACAGAGGAAAGGCACTACTGGACTTGGTGGCAATGCTGGTGTATTCTCTGCCAGTTTGTTTCTTGTTGCCTCAATAAACAGAGTACTCTCCAGGCCCTCCTGCGGAAAATGATGAGCTGTTGGATTTTCCATCTTAAACAGGTGACACTTGAACAACATGGGGTTATGAGTCCTTACCTTTCTGTGCCGTCCAAAATCTGGGTCTAAACTTTTGACGCCCCCCGCCCCTACCAAACGTAACTACTAACAGCTTACTGTTAACCAGAAGCATTACTGATAACAGTTGATTTATACATTTTCTGTATGTTATATATATTATATACTATATTCTTACAATAAAGTAAGCTAGAGAGAAGAAAATGTTATTAAGAAAATCACAAGGAAGAAAAAATACATTATTCATTAAGTGAAAGTCGATCATCATAAAGATCCTCATCCTTTTGGTCTTCACACTGAGTAGCCTGAGGAGGAGGAGGCAGAGGAGGGGATTGGTCTTGCTGTCTCAGGGATGGCAGAGGCAGGAAAAAACCTGCATGTAAGTGAATCATGCAGTTCAAACCCATGTTATTTGAGGGTCAACTGTATAACAGATCCATTCTAGCATGCTCAATTCTCTACACCTTTTGAGCTCTTTCTCACAGTTTTCCATGGTGCTTTTTCCATCTCTATTTGACTTAATGTCAGCTGTAGCTTTTCCCAAGCTTCTAAGAGTCATCTCAGCAGTGTTCGAGATCCATCACCTAATGCTCCTGACAGGGAGTTAAATCCTGTAATACGAGGGAGTTCCCTCATGTTATAAAGCCTCCTTTATCCAGCTTTATATTCTACCTTTCTTGATCCAGCTCCATCAGGATCCACTCTCAGACATAATCTCCTGGTTCCTGCCAATGATACTATCATTGGCCCCATAGCAACCTTGGTGTATAATCGTTTTATTTCTTGATGGGTTCTGCACTTCTCTGGGCTGGTTGTGCTGAGATTTAACTATAATTAAAAGCCTAGTGCCAAGGCTGCAAGGAGAGGACAGGTTGTGAGGAGGTAAGCCATTGCCTTGTTTGAAACCTGTCTCATTTGAGGCCCCTACATTGTCTTAAACAAGGAGGGATGAGTGCTTTTCCAAAAAGGAGTTGGCCATGTCTGCTAGCCTGAGGTTCTGAGAAATTAAGGATACAAGGCTCACAAGGTTACTTACCCATGTATCACCATCTCAAACTCGGAGCCCTGTGCTGTCACAGAAGATGTGCCTAGGCCAAAAATCCTCTGAAGTTCTGACAATGTTACACTGAAGTTCTATCTACAATCTTCAGCAGTATCTACCCTCTGTCTTCAGGGGATGAGAGCCTTTTTAAACGCTGCCAAGGAGGCCTCTGACACACTTTGTTTTAAATTGTTAGGAGGTCTGAGCCTGTCATTTTCTTTCTTCAATAAATCAACGGCACTTAGGAACAGCCACTCGATTTCACAGTCTTTATAGTTGCCATTTCCCATATCTCTGCAAAGCCTGTGAAATTTCACCAGTTAGTGCATCCCTTCCGCCTGGATCCCATCCCATTCTACCCATGTGAAAGTTGAGTAGTTGCATACTGCAGCATGCCAGAGACTATTAACACACCACCTAACACCAGGTATTCGGATTGGCAAGCCGACTGCAGGAAAATTCCATCCTTAGAGTTTTCTTCTTGAGTTTACTTCTGGTATAAACTGACTTAGGTTGAGTTCCTTAAACGCAGAGGCTGAGATGGGGATTCTTGTTCAAGTGATTGATGAAGGGAGTGGGAGGAAGCTATTCTCAGGAGAAAAGGAGTAGGGAAAGCCTGATAGAGTGGGCTTAAAAGGTATTTATGAATGTGATCTCAAATGGAGACTAGCTTCAGTCTGAACCCATGGGGAATCTTTAGAACACAAATTGCAAGAAAGAGTCTCATCCTGAGATGAA
The DNA here is from genome assembly GCF_000001405.40 of Homo sapiens. NCBI lineage: Eukaryota > Metazoa > Chordata > Mammalia > Primates > Hominidae > Homo > Homo sapiens. Next base: position 81,128,548 of record NC_000009.12, on the reverse strand, counting down.
GGCCCAGTCTTCTGTTCCTAGGCAGCAGTTAGTCATTAGCTGAAGTTTGCTGGGTGGCATGATGGGAATGTGTATTGTATAGACTTCCAGGTGTGGATAACGCTCTAGATAAAGGGTCAGCTAAGAGTTGTTGTTATCAGCCAATACTCAGGGTAGCTAGAGAACGGGTATACTAGCAGGTGGCAAATCTGCACAGTGCCATCAACATCATCCATATAGTAGATCAGGGCAGTTCTTGAGATTCTGTATTTCAAACTATCTCTAAGGTGATGCCAGTGTTGCTAGTCTAAGAACCACACTCTGAGTGGCAAGAAATTGATTATTTTGTTTTCAGGTTTTTCTGTTCAAGAGATTGATGAGGGGAGTGGGAGAATAGCTTGGAAGCTATTCTCAGGAAAAAAGGAGCCGGGAAAGCCTGATAGAGTGGGCTTAAAAGGTATTTATGAACGTGATCTCAAATGGAGACTAGCTTCAGTCTGAACCCATGGGGAATCTTTAGAACATCCTTTTTTTCTTTCTCCTGCATCCTTTTTTTGCTTTTCTTTCCTTCATTCTTACTCTAATTATGTTGAGTCTATATCTGCTCTCCAAACCAGTTTGCAGCACTGCCTTCAGAGAATGCGAGAATCTTGCAGGTTTCTTTCATAAGAAAGGGAAGAAAAACATCAATTGATTGGTCTACTTTTCTATTTATACATCCAGTTTCCTAGAGCTGGCTTTATCCAGGTTGTTTCCTTCACATTAATGGACAGTTCTTTAAAAATACTACAATCGTAGGAGCTGATTCAAGGAAAAAAAATACCCTTAGCTTTTTGTGAGCAGATTAAGAATAACAAAGCTACCTAAAGTAGGAATCACAACCAATCTTTTGATTTCATTGTAGTGCTGAAAGAAATATTTACAAGACTAATTATACCCAAGTCACCATTTGGGATGTTAAATAAAATTTGTGAAAGGCTCTTGATTTGGACTAGGCTCCTATACAAAGCCTAACAGACCAAACCGATATGGAGTTTAGCTACAGTAGCTGAGTTTTAGTTAATTGCAGGAGTCTCTGTAACCAATTAACCAATTAAGCTGTAACCAGTTAAGTTGTCTCTATACCAAACTTCCATTTCCTATAAATGCTATTAGATCATGTTATTGGTTGGCATTCTCTGAACTTACTCTGGTTTGAAGGACTGCCCAGCAGGTAAAATCGTTTTTTTTTTTTGTTTGGTTTTGTTTTGTTTTTCTTTGCTCAATTAAACTCACTTAACACTTAAACTTGTCTAAGACTTTCCTTTTAAGACATTTGGTATCATTGGTAGGATTCAGGACAGAACTCCAGCCACCCCGGGAACATCAAGCAACCAGGCGTAGGTGCATACTGAGACCACTGTCTTCCCTGTTTTCTTGCATTTTCTGGGAATCATTGGTGAGTTCTCTCTCAAATTATGAAGCTCTCCAAATGTGTGTTTTGAGCTATCTGAGTGTTTTTGAGCATTTTTTAAAAAATCTAAGCTGGGTTTAAAGTCTCCACAAAAATGGAACTGGGTTCAGTAGGTAAGGTTACTCTAAGACAAAGTCACAGATTCACTTGGATCCAATAAGAAATTCCATTCCACCTTCTGAAACTCCACCGAGGGTTACTTTGTGCTCTGAAAAGGCATATGTGTCCTTCTTGGGGTGGCTGTTTTGTGTTAAATAGAAACTGGAATGGGTCCAGGGTCTGGAACTCCTACATTTGGAATCCCAGCCAAACTCATGCATAAGAATCCCCAGAATTATACTTTTTTTTTTTTTTTTTTTTTTTAAGAGGAATGGGCAAACCTTGCCAAAGGTGATTTGGAATTATAGTGGCCACAATTAGAAAGTTTTAATTTGGGTAAAATTATCTGTAGGATATATTAGAAAAGGAACAATCAAAAGCCCCACAGAAGCCATGACATTCATTTATTAATTAGTACACAGGCTTTTAAGAGACTAAAATGTGAGGGGGAAAATTGTTTATATAAGTTGAGCTCTTAGATCAATAGGGTCTAAAATTTGAACTCAGAATAATAGCAAAAAGTATCCTAGTCTTGTATGAAAAATGCTTTGTCTGCCTTATTCCTTAATAGGCTCTGCCCAGAACTCAGTAATTTAGTTAAAAGAACACAGGTTGAGTTGGGAAGCAGCTGCCTATTTTTAGTTATTTTAAGACCTATCTTTAATGAAGGAAACTTGTGTCAGTGGAGGAAGTCCCGTGTACAGAGGTGTCTTCCTCTCTACGCCAGGAAGACAGGAATAACTAAGTCACTAGAGGCTTTGCAATAGGGAAGGCAAAAAGACCTGAGTCTATGTAACAAGCCTTGCCTCAGACCATTTTGTTTTAGCTGGGCTTTCTACTTTCTTTGTCTCAGCAGGTAATGGTATTTAGGTCTGAAACCTGAATTCAATGGATGACCTAGGTAACAATAACTTAGGGCAATAATCTGGCAGGTCATTCAGGAAATGGTCACGGATCCGTTACCCCCCTTGCTGAAATAAGTCAATTGGTCAATGGGTAAAGAAAATATTCTCATGCTCTGTGATTGTTTTTTGAGAAAAATGAATGGGCCTTTAAGAGAATAGATGATGATTAGTAGCAAGGTCTGTCAGGGTGTGATGAAACTTCCTTTCTTGTGAGTTAATCTTCAGAGGAATGGTAACAGTAGAGTCCCTTGGGAGAATCTGTCTTCAGCAGTTAAGAGGAATTCAGAACGCCTTGCCTTGCTTACATGTTGGTAATCAATATCACAGTGATATATCTGGGGGTAATATTTTCTGAACTTCAATGGCTACCTCTGTGTAATGAGCAATTTAAGCATATTTGTTAAGAATGAGTAAACTAGGTGAATGTAAATAGGTTGGAAACTTGTAAATGAGTCACAACAATCTTCCATTATCCAAGGTCTTAAAGTTATGTTGGATTAAGTGATAGATACCTATGAAATGTATGACTCATTTTTCAGTAAGTTAAGATATTGAAACTTGCTCTTCAACCCTTCTGATCTCATTGTGTTTTGGGGGAGGAAAACCTGTGATTTTTTTTTTTTTTTTGACTAGTCTGGGACTTTCCAATTAACTTCAGTGATTGGGATAGGCTAATGGAAACTGTTCTAAAGATAAAACAGCTGTTCATGTCTTTCATTGAGAATGTAGAACGTGTCTTCTTGGAAAACAGAGTAATGCAATGATGAGCTCTTTGAGGCTGATAATCAATGTATGGCCATATTCATTCACTAAACAGATATTTGACTATATACTATGTGTAACACATTGTATTAGGGCCAGGGATATAAACAGAGTAGATGTAGTTTTTTCTCTCAGTGTCATAGGAGAAACAGATGCATACATACACACAGTATAAGAAAATTAGTAGTTACATTCTAGAAAGAAAAAGAATTGTCCACTTCTATCTGCAAATAGTTGAATGGCTGAACTGAACTTCTTGTGTCAGCCATTTCTGTTGCCACTTATCTAATACCAAACATAGTGCTCATCTCGGTTTATGTCTGATAATGAGTAAGTTGTGCTAGGGGTATATTGTGTTTTTTTTTTTCTTTTGCAGTATAGAAAACTCAGGTGCATTTTGGTCCTTTAAACATAAAAAGGGTGGTACTATGAAGACATATGTTTCTAAGCTAAAATGGTGCTCATCTACAAAATGCTACTACAAAACAGTTCAAGATTGCTTGCTTCCAAGGTTTCCATTGGAAATTAAGATTACTACGAATTGAGGAGATTCTAATTAATTGAAACAAAAACTATGGCTTCCTATATGAGGAAAGTAAGACATGTTTTTGGTTGGTGAATCTATACCATATGAAAGATGTAGGTTTTTAAAAATTTTTTGTTGAGAGTAATTTTGTCTAATTTACAGATTGTTGAAAGTTTGTTTCAGAATAAAGAAAGGATAGATAAAAGTGGATAAGAAAGTTGTAGAAGGTTTATGGAAGATAAGTCTTGTGAAAGAAATTGTATGCGGTCAAGCTGATAAGAATTAGAAGGGAATTGTTTTTCTAAGAACAGAGGATTGACATCAAATGTGTAACTATGCAAAATTAGAATCTGTACTCTATGTTAAAACGAAAAGGTTTTTGTGTAGAATTGATCTGTTCTTAATAGGAAATAGAACCTTATTAGGTTGTTTGATTACTTAGGAAAACTGAGTTCTTTCTACTGAAGAGTTAGGATTTTCCCCACCACTATGTGTGTATTTAATTATCACTCTGATTAAGTGATCATTTCACAGTGACCTGTAAACCTCTATTTTTCATGTTACCCCAAATCAAATGATAAATTAGTCTTTTTGATCTAAAATTGACTTGGGATTTTCTAGGTGGGTACCTGGAGAGCATTAGGAAGTATCTCATCTTGTAGAGATGTTAAACTAATTAGGCTTATTTCATATGTTGTATGGAAAACATTGGCAAATAATATGATGTTAAATCTTTTTGAATTGTCTTTATGAATTTGCTTGAGAAATTCTATGAAATTCATAGAAATCTAATAGTCCTAATATAATGCTATCAGTGATAATTGTAGTTGTTATCTTCAAATGTTGTATGCAATAGAGATAACCAAGCTTCCTTATCAAATGCTGGTTATGATGCTTTAACATGGCCATTATAAGTCTTTGTCATTCAATTATTTCTTCTCTAAAAGCGTTTTCAGTTGGCTGTAGCTCAAAAAGTGTTGCATTTTCAAAAAGTTCATGGAAAGAACTTTGACAAGTACAAGTTTTTGATAACTTGAAGATCTTACCACTAGACTGAGTGGGAATTCTGAAATTCTTAATGATTGGTTAATAAAGTTAACACAAAATCAAGTAGAATAAGAATTAATTGAATACCAAGGAAGTGTTCTGGCAGATTTTCATGCTCGGCCAGCCAATGCTGAAACTGTTACGATGTGCAATTTGAATGAACTCCTTAAAATTGATCCAAGTCAACTTCCCTATAATGATTTATTAAAGAGTACAAATGTCTTAGATTTGGAAAAGCAAAATCATTATCTGACGTGAGAAGTTCAGTGTTAAACATGTATGCACAAAAGAACTGGATGCCTGCCTGGTCATCCCTGAATCCCTGAAGCTCTTATTGTAAAGAGCCTTGCACTTTGTAACTCATCATGGAATATGTAAGATGACCCAAATGATGAATAAATATTTTAAGGTGACTGTATTAAAATTGCTTAAATGGTTTATGGCCAATATTTGGTTTGTCAAGCCTATAGTCCTGGTGATGGTGCAGCAGCCTGTCTAGAGTGGCTGCTGCCATGATGCTGGCTTCAGTGGGGGAGGTACAGCTGGGGCTGCCTACTCCATGGAACCAGTGGGAGCCAGGAACAGGCAGAAGCCCCACTCCCTTCCGAGTTGGAGGGGCAGCCTCCTGGATGCAGCTGCAGCCACGGTTTCAGACCTGGGCATCTCTGCACCCTTGGGGGCCCAGGCAGCCCACCTGCTCTTGTAGGCTCAGGAGTACCTGCTCCTGCTACCTTGCCTCTCCCTGTTCCTGGCACCCACTCTGATTTTGGAGCAAAGCTGTGGCTGAGCCCTGGCACTGTCACGATCTGGCCAGGTGTGTCTATGCTTGGGGCAGTGCCAACATGCCAGACCCCTGATGCCTTGTCCCCCTCCTGACTTTGGGTGCTGATGAGCATGGTAGGGAGGCCAAGGGAGGACTAAGGGTGACTCAGCATGGGCCTGGAGGCACCCCTCAGCAGGAACAACATGGATGCTGTGGGCACCATGGATGGCAGGTTAATGGTGGCAGGAGGCAGACAGGTTCCTGGGTAGAAAGGGGTGGGTCACCAGAGAGCCTCCACCTTCAGTACAGGGATGGTGTGAGGCCTGAGAACCAGCCTCGTAGCTGCCAGTTCCACAGACTGGAGTAAGAACTGGTCTTTTTTTTTTCTGGTCCCACCCATGGCTGCTCATGGACCAATCAGCACACACTTCCTCCCCTCTGAAGGCCATAAAAACCCTGGAGTCAGCCAGACTCAGTCAGACAACAGGATGACCTACCTGCGGAGAGGAGTGACCCACTGTGGGTCTTCTCTCTGCTAAGAGCTGAGTAGATGTTGGGATGCCCTGCCTGCAGAGGGGAGCTACCCACTGCAGGTCACCTCTGAGCTGTTGTTGCTCAATAAAGCACCTCTTTGGCTTGCTCATCTTCCACCTTTCCATGTACCTAATTCTTCCTGAACATGAGATAAGAACTTGGGGCCTGCTGAATGGCAGGGCTGAAAGAGCTGTAACACAAACTGAAACACACTCTTTGTTTGTCATGCTGGGGGTGACAAGAAGAAGAGAGAAGGAGAGAAGAGCTTGGCTCTTTGGGGAGCCCAGAACTAGGAGCTCCCTGAGCCATAGCTGTGACACCCTCTTTGGGGCTCTGTGGTTCCTGGTATCTCTAAGCTTCCAGGCACTGCCACATTCCCTGGTGCCAGCTGTGGAAGCTGCTTGTCATATGCCTGATCTAGCCACAGCCTCTCAGGGAGCCGGCACTGGTGCTGGCACCTGGAGCTGGACACCCTGATGCAGACAGCATGCCTGGCTGTTTGCAGTGGTTAGGCCCCATGCTTACTTTCTGTATTAGTCTGTTCTCACTCTACTGATAAAAATATACCTGAGACTGGGTGATTTTTAAGGAAAGAGGTTTAATTGACTCATAGTTCCACATGGCTGGGGAGACCTCACAATCTTGATGGAAGACAAGGAGTAAGTCACATCTTACATGGTGGCAGGCAAGAGAATGTGTACAGGGAAGGAACTTCCTTTATAAAACCATCAGATCTTGTGATACTTTTTCAAAACTATCATGAGAATAGCACGGGAAAGGCGCAACCCCATGATTCCATTATCTCCCACTGGGTCCCTCCCAGAACACGTGGGAATTATGGGAGCTACAATTCAAGATGAGATTTGGGTGGGAACATAGCCAAACCATATCACTCACTCACACACCCCTCGCCACTCTGTGCCTGGCTCGCCATTGGCAGACATGAGATCCAGGCCAGTAGTGTGAGCCGAGTGCAGCCTGCCAGGTTGAGTGGGCAGAACAAGCTCAGCAGGCCTGAGCAAAACTCAGGCCAAGGTGCCACCAGCCACAGAGTTTTCTGGCTGGAAAAGTGGCACCTCAAAGATCCTGTGACACTGGGAGGACAATCGAAACCCCAGGTGTTTCAGTTCTGTACATGACAGATCATTTGAACATTTATAAAGGAATTTCATTCCATTACTGTTTTCAATAGGATGTAAATGTGTTCTTGTAATAGTTTATGCTATTTGGTTGTATAGAAGCTTTCCATGTGGGAAGATGAATGTATAACAGTCCAACAATGTCTAAAGTTGGACTGTTAGCCATACTCTTTATACATTTGCCTTATTTTTTAGAGCACATTGGAGCAGAATGTAAACATTAAAAACATTAAAATGGAAACACTATGCCAAGGACCAGTATTGGAAAGGCAAGGTAAAATGTTCTGGAATTGACTGAAAGTTCTCACTTAGGATGCCTAGATTTACTTTAGAAAAAAACTTATCATAGCATTATCCTCCTTACTGTGAAATTTTTCTGATAGACTGATAACTGCTTCATATTGGGGATGACTACTTTTCTATTATTGCTGTCTGCTTTTCATTAAGTGTTGTCATCTTTCATGGTATGAAGGTGACAAAGAATGTAATGGTACAGATCATCCTTAATTCCCAAATGAATGTATTAAAATTGGACATTATTAATATTATCATCATAATCCTCATCAAAATTAACATTCATTGAGGGCTTACTATGTACCAGGCAATATATATTATTTCATTTAATCCTCACAACATTCCTATGAGGCTAGTACACTTATTAGATCCATTTTACAGATGAGAAAACATACTCAGAATTTTAGTGTTTCGGTTTTCTTTCCCCCAGTCACACAGCTAGTTTGTACTGGTACTCGGATTTTTTTTTTTTTTTTTTTTTTTTAAAACAGAGTTTCGCTCTTGTTGCCCAGGCTAGAGTGCACTTGTGTGATCTCGGCTCACTGCAACTCTGCTTCCCGGGTTCAAGCGATTCTTCTGCCTCAGCCTCCCGAGTACCTGGGATTACAGGCACTCCCCACCATGCCTAGCTAATGTTTTGTATTTTTAGTAGAGATGGGGTTTCACCATGTTAGGCAGGCTCGTCTCAAACTCCTGACCTCAGGTAATCCGCCCACCTTGGCCTCCCAAAGTGCTGGGATTACAGGCGTGAGCCACCATGCCGGCCATGGTACCTGAATTAAAACTGAAGTTGGTTCACATCAGAATTTACAACCATAGGCACAATTGATTTATGTTGAGTAGTTAGCTTGGAAGGCAAATCAACTTCAAAGAGAAGGTAAATGTTTTAGGTTTAGTTTAGAAATATATTGGTGAAAGCAAGTGAATTCAGGAGAACATCTATAGGCCAAAAATAAATCATAGAGAAGAATAAGATAAGAAGTTCTATATTGCAGAAGTATGCATTCTTGCAACCACAAGAGTAAAAGCCCTGAACCAGACTGTAGTGTTTCATGGTGGTTTTTTTTTTTTTTTTTTAACTAGAGGTTTCTTTTGTTGGTCATCCTTATGATAGGCTGTCTTCCTCATGATAATCTTACTGAGAAATGTTTATGCAAATAAAGTACATGTTATCAGTTGAAAAATAAGTGTTTTTCATGTCTTCTACTTGGAGAGAAGTCTCAGAAGTTTAGAAGAATTCTTTGCTCTGAGAGAGAAGGAAGTCACAATGGAATGACCTCACATCATGGATAAAAGGGGCTTTCTTGTGCCTGCATGCTATAGAACTTTGTTGGTACTGCAGAATTGTGTTTTCTAGTTTGTTTATAGTTTTTGTAAATAAGCTAAATGTACCACACACTCGTAGTGCCCTTACTGTTTGATATCATTGCTGCATTGGAGCAGGGGACAAAAGTATACATGAAAAAGGTTAGATGAGTCAACGTTAAAGAAACTCCATGTGTATCAAGAAAATAGCTTATGTTACTTCTTGAGGGATGGGAGGATTGGAATAAATCTTGTGTATATCTTTCATGACTTCAAGTTACCTGTAAGTGATTTTTAGGCATGAATTATTTTGGCTATATCTAGAATTGGATCGTAACGAAGACTTCCTATATATCATACCTAGCTCACCAATTGGGATATAACCAATGGGCATAACATAATAGAATTAACACTTAGACTATAGTAAATGGGTTTAATATATTTTTATTAATCGAGGATGCTTTTGAACTGGGTTTTGTTTGTTTGTTTGTTTGTTTGTTTGTTTGAGACAGGGTCTTGCTCTGTCACCCAGGCTGGAGTGAAGTGGTGTGATCTCAGCTCACTGCAGCCTCAACCTCACAGGCTCAAGCAATCCTCCCATGTCAGCTTCCCAAGTAGCTGGGACTACAGGCACACATCAGCATGCCTGGCTAATTTTTTTTTTTTAATATAGATGGAGTTTCCCCATGTTGCCCAAGCTGGTCTTGAACTCCTGGGTTCAAGAAATCTGTCTGCCTCAGCCTCTCGAAGTGCTGGGATTACAGATGTGAGCCACTGTGCCCAGCCTGGGCTTTCTTTTGACTAGCCATAAAAGCCAACCTGGATAACTTGAGCAAAAAATAGGATAGAAATGATATTGGATATTTTGTACTTCACAGAATTAACAGGAATTCTGTACAGCTTGGCTCAGAAACAAACAGTAGTTCCTTGTGTTTAACTAGCAACAAGTTTTCAAAAGGCTCTTCAAGCTCTGTTTAAATGAATTATCTTCAACACTTTTAAGTCTCTTTACTCCAGGGCTCAACATTCAAATTCTAGGAGGGTATCCTCTGGTTGGCATGAGGCATATGCCACCACTGTGGTTAGAACAGGACTCAGAACCTTGCTTAACAGCCTTAGCGGAATGTACACAAAGAGCAAGCTAGTAAGTTCCCCAAAGAACTCTGAATACTTTCAGCAAGAGAATATGCAGTGGATGCTAGGAAGCCACAAAAGCAACAGCTGACCTCTACAAGGTCATTGCAAGTCTTGGGACTTAAAATTTGCTATTATAATATTTAAACATTACAAGGGTAGAAGAGATGTTATAGAGAGGGACCAAGTTCAGTCTAAACTGAAGTGCCTGAACCTGATTTAGATTATAAGCCTTTAGAAAATATTATAGGGTATATCTACATAATTCTCCTTAAGTGACCTTTTGCAAAGCCAAGTACATTCAGAGACCTAATCAACTTGTCATGCTCTTGCAGCTTATCAGAGAATTCTAACTTCAATGGCTAAATACTGGGCCCATTGCTAGGGGTAGAGATACAAATAAGACATGCTCTGACTTCAAATAATTCTAAGTCTGGCATGGGGGAAATGAGAAATGCTTGCAACTTGCTATGATGCAGAGGTATAGATGCCTCCTTGCAGAATGAATAAAGAGGCATCACAGGAAAAAGAGATTCACTCTTCTTGGAGGTGCTGAGGAATGCTCAATGGAGAAGATGACTTTTGAAGTAGATCTTATAGAAATGGCTATTTTTGTTTCTTCTGAGTTAAGGGAAGGACAATGGGAATTCTAGATAGAAAAACTGCAGTAGATGTATGGAGATCTGGAAAGGTTGAGGAGGGTGCACGGGGAGTGGAGCAAGCTCATGGGTATGAGCATGAAGGGAGTGGATAGCAAATGAGTCTAGCCAGTGAAGGGGATGCTATTGTAAGGATTTGGGACTTTACATTGAATAAAAGATTAGGCATTGATGATTTCTGGATCAGGATGCTGTGTTGGGATCCATAGATTAAAGAGGGGGGACATAGACTGGCGGGGAAGATAGATCTGAGGTTATCACAGTAAGCCCAGGAGACATGTTGGAGGGCTGCAGTGAGGCACGGACATTTTTCAGGCTTAATCAGTAAGAAATGGGACTGACTTGATATAAGGGGAACAGAGAAAACTCAAAACATGCTGATTGTTTCTAGCTCTGTTCATAGGGTCACGATTATATTAAATAGGAAAAGAGAGACAGATTTGGCGAGAAGCAAATGAGATTGGTAAGATACACATTGGTTAAAAATGTGTAAGCTCTTAAGATTTTTAACTCATTCTCACCTATCAGGTCTGGGCTGGTTGTTTCCCCAAATATTACCATGTCAGTAATAAACATAAAAGATCACACCCAGCAAGCAGGTAATAAACACACATAACCTTCATCCTCTACAATGCCTTGCTCAGATGGCTCTCCCGTGGTGGGAGATAGGGGTGTATACTTGAGAAAAGACCAATGCCTGGGCAGCCCAAGATAGATGTCTAATAAACAAAAAAGACCTAATATGATCTAAGCTATGGCGTCCACTTGCTAGACCGGGCAAGCTGACTTTATTACAGACTGCTGTAGGTTATTAAGGTAGACAGTGACAGATCATTTTGTAAGGCCCAGAGAGAGCCAGATCCATCTGCCTAGAAAAACAAATAAATCCCAGTTCAGAACTGAGGTTAAAAAAGATTTACAAGGCGCACTGATGCATGTGCCCCTCTCTGGGTGGGTTGTGGTGGCCGGCCACGGGGGTTGCCCTCATTGGTTCAACACAGCCTGCCATCTGGGGAGACAGCAAGCTCTTGGGCTCATATTACAAGGCATTTTCCCATTTCCTTTTCTATGGTCTAGCTTCGGCAGAAAAAATGGACAACAGGCTGGAGGAGGATAAAAAATAAACAAGAGAGGGAAAAGAGTCTCTCTCTGAGCAATCTTATAAAACAAAGCATAAATCTTTAACTGCCTGACCTTTCAGCTCACATGATTCTTGGTGCAGGAGGGATAAATCAGAGCTCATCTGGAGGCTCAGGGGAGGGCAGCTTTCTGCCTTCCAACAGGAAGCAGCCTATTTGCGGAAAGCACATAGGTGTGTCCTTGTTTTTAATAGAAGCTCAATTGATTTCCTAGAAATTGAAATGTTCCCTTGGTTGGGAAATGAAATTTCTACTTGGCCGTTCCACCTCTGGCCACCTCTTGGTGGCAGGTCTTATTGCATATTGCTGGAATTAACAGAGAAAGGCCAAGTAAAAGGTCTTGGGGGCAGACTTCCTCATAACAGGGAGCCCCTCTCCTAGATGCAAATAAAACTGGCAAAGGTTGAGGGTTTTGCAGATGCAACTCCCTGCAGTATGGTGAAGGGCGTTTCATTAACCCTTCTTGTGCTGATCTCCAACTTGCCTGTCTTGTGTTCCTGTGTTGTCATCATGGCGCATAACTACTCCATTAGAGCCAAGGGTCAGCTCCTGGTTTCAGCAACACAGCAGATATTTTCTATCTGACGGCTTTGGTGCTCTTGACTGCAGCCAGCCCCTTCATCACAGCAACCAGAGTAACATTTACACAAATACTTGTTTCTTTAATATGTGGGGAAAGGAGTGTGCTTTTTCTTAGCTAGCTGACAATCATTGTGATAAACAGGTTTCTCCATGTAAGAGAAATTTTTCTTTTTTACTTTTTATCCAGGGAGGGTGGTGGTGGTGACTAGAAACAGAAAAAGGATAAATTATTAGCTTCAAGAAAGCATCAGGAACCAGATTTTGCTGTTAAAGCCCACCTCAGTTCATAGAACCAAAGGTGTATTTTGATGATTTTTTCTCTTTTTGGGGGGAGAGGGTCGCTAGAGTGGCTCAAATGTGAGAGAAACAGGTATGTCGGTCCAGCCTGAGATACTTATTAAGAAAACAGAATCGAGAAAATATTGTATTCAGTTTGAAAGGAAAGGTATTCTGAATCTTTCTTAGATTTATTTTCCCTGAGTCTGTTTTATTTGTCCCCAGCAAGAACTGCAGCTACCTGATGAAGTGGGTGCACCTGGTGAAGCAGGTCCTACCTGGTGATGGGAGGCTTCTTCCTGACTTCCCAGGCCCGTCCCAGGGTCAAGAGCAAAACCACTCAAGGAAAAGAGAATATTCCTTGGTTTAGGATATCTGAGGGTATCTGGTATTTAAAGAACAATGGCCTTTATGTATGAAAACTTGCTATCCTTTTCTTTAAATGTTATTCTGTTAGCAGGTTATTTCCAAATTCACTTTTTGCAAAAATGTGCAAGCTGTTCAAATACGGAAAAGGAAATAGGGATAATTTAGGAGGTGGAGTAAGAGTTTTGATATTTTTGGAACTGCATCATCAATTTGCCTCTCTTCATTTTATATTTACTATTAATTTTGCTTGTCCTATTTCTCAAGATTTAAATGTGGCCTAGTGGGGACCCAATGAACTGAAAATTAGAATATAATTTTAGATCTACTATTTAGTTTTTTGTCTCAGAGTAATTTAGCTTCTATGTTTCAGATCCCGAATCTACATCCTAACTGATGATAATTAATATAACTTTAAAAATTGTTGATTTTACCTATATATGTATACAAATTATATTTGTATTTAACATAATTTTTGAAGAAATGAAAACCACAGTAGCCAAAAAAAAAATCCAGAAAAGGATTTACATGGGGAATAACAACTAAGTTTATATTTGTTTCTTATTAACATATTTTTCAAATACTTATTAATAGTCAAAGGAGCTTGGTCCTGGTTTTCAGAGTAAATTTTATATTGAATAGATTTTATTTATTACAATAGTTTTAATAAAAATCCACCAAAAAGTGGTTCAGCATTCCTAATAATATATGAGGGAGCACAGAGGAAGACTTATTTTTAAAAAATGATTGATATCCTTTTTTTCTAGATTATTCTTTATTAATCACATTTAAATGGCAGTAGCATAATCTCAGTACTTTAAATTTAAAAAGTTAACAGTTCAAAGGCTGCCCTTGGCTAAAGGCTATGCACTTCAGATATTTTAGTTATCTATTTCCTGTTTATTTTTTATTTTTTGATATAGGGACTCACTTTGTCACCCAGGCTGGAGTGCAGTGGCATGATCTCAGCTCGTTGCAACTTCCGCCTCCTAGGCTTAAGCAATCTTCCTGTCTTAGCCCTCCAGGTAGCTGGGACTACAGGTGTGAGCCACTGTGCCCAGCTAATTTTTTTAAATTTTTTTTGGTAGAGATGGAATATTACTATGTTGCCGAGGCTGGTCTTAAACTACAGAGCTCAAATGAACCATGCACCTCAGCCTCCCAAAGTGTTAAGCGTGAGCCACTGTGCTCAGCCAGTTATCTATTTATTTACCCAACTAACTCCAGTTTGGAAGCTACCGCTACTTAGGTGAAGCTCTTCAATTTAGTCATACATGTGGTTGGTGGGCTTATTTAAAATGGCATTCATCTTGCCCTGCAGGAACAAGATGATATTTAAGTTACTAAGAAAGGTACTCTGAAAATTGGGAAGAAACAATAAAATCAGATACCCTTATTCTCTTCCCAGAGCACGAAAAATGCTTCCGCCCCATAAGTGTACACCTGTTATCCTACTTAGCAGCCTCTGTGCAAATCATTCCCTATTGTTAGGGGAGCAGAGAGGGTCCGTGTTGTAAGAGGCAATACAGAGTTTATTTTGCCTCTGAATCATAAAGAAGCATGCTAATTTTCTATCATTTGGAAAGGATTTGAAAGTATGATGGATAGTCATCACTTTGTTAATTAACAACTCAAGGGCCACCCACAGCGGTGTATAATAACAGAGCAGCTGTAAAAGGCACACTTGCTCACCCTAAGTCCACCCAAGTGCACCTTTCTAGGGATGGCTGTCTATTCCCAGGAGTAGCCATTAACAGATTACGATTTCCTCCTATGTAGCTGTTTCCAACAGATGTTTTCTCACTTGACTTTGTATGGCGGAGTCACTTCTTTTGTTGCTGCTGTTGCTGTTTCTTTTCCTCTTTGCTCGTATTTCCTCTTAATTCATCCACTCAGACAGGAATAGTCTTTCAGTTAGAAACATGAAGAAAACCACCAAACCACAGAATAGTTGCTCAAACCATACCACCTATAAAAAGACCTACTTTTAGAGAATTGATGTACCCACCCCTTGTTCCTTCTTCATTTTTGTGTTTCGAAGACACGGCTTCTTAGTGGCCATGTTTTTTTTCCTCTGAGGAAGTAAGAAACCAAATTAAAAATGTCACATGTGTACAGTTGGCATGCCATTTGACAAGCTTCCTTTTCTTGTACAGCTGTCAAGTTTAGTTACTCTGAACCAGAGCTTTGCACATGGAATGGGGAGGACTTTTCACCATGCATACCTAAGACAGAAGTACTACCCTTTACTTTCTCGGTGACAGAGTGTGTGTCTCTTTCAGCTCTTTACTAACAGCTGAGGCCAAATGTGTTGTCTGCTGGAAACGTCCTGCCCTGTCTGAACATTTTGGAAATACGTGCTCATCACTCAAACCTCCCTCTGTACATTGTCAAAGTGAATTTTTTTTTAATGCTTTCATTGCTCTGGCTCATTCAGGCACATCATTTATGTGGCATAGTTGGCAAGGTTTTACAAGCTAATGCAATTTGCATTAAAAATAGCTGAAAATGGTAATAGTCATTATAATGCCTATTTGACCAAGAACAAGTAATGGCTTGCGATTAATCAGTTGTAAAAATTGGTAATTGTTGCACCCTCTTAATCTTTTTCTCTCTCAACCAGAATGATTACACCTCGTTAAAATCTGAATAAAACATCATTATCCTGTATCATTAGGAACCCTCAGCCTCCCTTGCATAGTAATTTGTACTCAGCCTGAGCAAATGAATGGCCTGTGAGAAATGTTATTCTAATTCCAATTAGCTCTCAAACCCTGGCACAGAGCCAGCTCACAAAACAAAATAGCTGTTAATGTTATAGAAGGCGCATCCTCGCAGCAAACTGAAGTGCAATTAGGGATTCCTTTTAAATTCCACATCATAAATTGTTCCCTTATTAGCTATTTTAGATACTGTAATTTAACTAGTGTTTATTCACAGCCCCTAACAATTTATCACAATCAGGCCTTGAAGTTTTTTAAAAAGAGAAGAAGCATGTTGTCAAGACCCCTGGGATATGTTAGGGCAAAAGCTTGCAAAATAATGAGAATAGCAATTAAAGTGAAGCTTTAAAAAGGAAGCCCTCTGTTAATGTCAGGAGGTTCATTGTAATGAAATCTACATCTTAAATTAAAGGCAAAACTTACTGTGCCCTACCAGAATAAGAAAGCTTAAACATATCAACGAAAACCAGCAGCAGCTTGATCATTCCTTTGCCATCTGACAGATGAAATAGGTTTAACACATTTGAATCTTAGGGTTTGTTGTTTCGTTTTTTCCCCTTTTCCCTGCCTACATGGGGGCGGTCAAATAGTGATTACTAATCTCACACTCTGTATGAACTGAGAACGCTTTTGTAGGTGGCAGGATTAACTTGGAAGTTTGAATTTATGTGTCTGATTCGTGTGTGTGTGTGTGTGTGTGTGTGTGTGTGTAATATCACCTCACGTAACACACTGCTTTATGCACTGTACTGCACATACAGTTTATTTCCATACATATGCAGACAGTGCTCTCACAATGAACCTGCATACATGGGAATTATTTTTAACATCAATCAATTGCCTATGAAAAGATGTAGTAAAACCAGTTGTTTTACCTCATGGCCAAATCTGGTATTAGAGAACATCGAGAGTGCAAATGCACAAACTATAGACACATTTTGTTTCCACCAGTAGCTGACTGTACTTTGCTAAGTTCTTTCTTAGCATGATATCTATGGGTTTGCAGTTGTTGAAAAAGCCATAATCTGTTTGTATCGAATTGTCGTAGTTTGCACATGCAGAATGTGCCTGCATACAATTTCAAGTTAAAATGATCATACAGAAATGCTTTGGCAGACAGAATAATGCCCTCAAAGATGTCCATGGCCTAATTCCCCAAACCTGTGAATATGTTACCTTACATAGCAAAGCAACTTTGCAGATGCGACTAAAACAAGGACCTTGAGATGTGGAGATTATCCTGATGGGACAGATGTAGTCACAGGGATCTTCTTAACAGAAAGCAGAAGAATCATGCCAGAGAAGGAGACGTGATGTCCGAAGCACGTGTCAGAGACTAAGACACTGGAAGACGCTACACTGCTGACTTTGAAGGTAAAGTAAGGGACTATAAACTGGGGAATACAGGTGGCTTCTAGAAACTAAAAATGGTGAGGAAATGATCCTCCCCTCAGGGCCTGCAGAAGGAACTGGCTCTACTGACACCTTAACTTAAGCCCAATGAGACTGATTTTATACTTCTGAGTCCCGAATTTACAGAGAATGGATTTGTGTTGTTTTAAGTCATTAAATGTGTGGTAATTTATTACAACAACATAAAAAGCTAATACTCATGTCTATATTGGATTTTTGTATATACTTTTCTATTTCTTAGCAACTATGATTGATCATATTCCTTAAATCAAAAGGATGCACAGGATAACAAAAGTAATACTGAGTGAGAAAAAGAGTGAAGAGCAATGGAAAAGTTTAGAATTATGGAAGATCATTGCTGTTAGGAGGAGTTTAGAAATTATTTAGAATAGTTATTTGTGTTACAGGTGGTGATAAGATATGACCAGATATATCCAATGACTTGTGCAACTTCATGGAGATGGTTCATGTCATACTGAGACAGCAATACTACAAAATGATTGCAGGCAATAGAGAATTTCAGGCAGCAGTTTCACATAACTAGCAAGAGGAAAGTATTGAAGTAGCTGCAGAAGCTAGAGGCTGATAAGACCCTCAAAAACTAGGATGTGGGCCAAGCTGGCTAAGACCAATTAGACCCAACACGGCCCTAGGTTTGACCTAGGTTTCACCTAGGGCCTCATTATATGCTCATTAACATAGTAAATCTCACACTCACTGGTGCCATGAGTTCTGAGAACACCTATATTTGGTGTAAAAATGAGTGGCACAACAGTTTTGAGAAATTTCTGCCCTTTTCCAGGAATCTTCATGAATGTTCCACCTCTTGGTTAAAGAAACTCATAAAGGCAGAACCCACATGCCCCACCGTGCATGACTCTGTCCCTTGAGTTCACCTGCAATCCCCTTTCCTGAGTGTGTACTTTTGCTTTGCAATATATCTCCATACCTCCATACTTTCACTATTTTCTGACTCATCCTTGAATTCATTCTTGTGATGGTGTCAAGATCCTGGACACCAGCAGGGACCAAGATCTCATTAGTGTTTGGGGACCTCCCCCCACCTACCAGTAACAATACCCAAAGCTGAAGCTCAGGCTTGAATTTTGAAGGCACAGGAAACTAGATGTAATTGCTGGGAATTCACACTAAGATATATATAAATGTATATTATATTATATATTAATATACATTATATATATTATTGAATTGTCATGGTTTGCACATGCAGAATGTGCCCACATACAATTTCAAGTTAAAATGATTATACAGAAATGCTTTGGCAGACAGAATTATAGTATATGAATGAATTATATATATATATACACTATATATACTATATATATACTCCCGGCTGCAAAAAATATATATATATATAAATACACTATATACATATATACACATACATATACACTATATACGTACTGTGTGTATATATATATATATATATATATATATACACATACACACACACACACACTCTCTATATACTATATATATACTCCTGGCTTCTATATATATATATATATATATATATATAAAAAATATACTACATATAGTATAGATAGTATATACTACATGTAGCATAGATAGTATATACTGCATGTAGCATAGATAGTATATACTGCATGTAGTATAGATAGTATATACTGCATGTAGTATAGATAGTATATACTGCATGTAGTATAGATAGTATATACTGCATGTAGTATAGATAGTATATACTGCATGTAGTATAGATAGTATATACTGCATGTAGTATAGATAGTATAGTATATATACTACATATAGTATAGATAGTATGGTATATATACTACATATAGTATAAATAGTATGGTATATATACTACATATACTACATATAGTATAGATAGTATAGTATCTATACTATGTATAGTATATATATACTTTCCCTCAGGAGAAATGCGAACTGTCACTAATCCACTGTACAATTTAATGTTCTAAAACTTACTTTTTAGATCCCTAAAGTCTGCATTTCACCAGCTATCACATATTTGTTCCTTGCTTCAGTTCTGAAAGTAGAAGACGTTGCAGTAACTTTTGTATTAATGTCATCTAGGTGGGAGATGGAGGAGATGGGCTTATATAGCTATCAGTTGTACTTCAGTATGTACATGGTATAGGCAGAAAATGCCTACTAGCAAACAGCCAATTTACTGTGCTCAATTTTTAATACGTATAAGAAATAAATAATCCATATGAGTAGTGGTCTTTCATTATTATCTACACTAAGAAATAGATATGGGCATAATTTTATGAATACAGGTTCCTTTACTACCAGGTTTGCCATTCAATTACCTGAGGAGCTTTAAGTACCATTGATTATTCATTGGATTGTAGGATGGGCTAGCTACACAAGTATTCATTAATCCCTCAGTGCCCCAGGGTACTGGCATGATTCCTGCACTGCAATGGTTTCCTGACTCAAGAGTTTCACTAAGAAAAGGATTCATGGGTTAGGAAGCTTTCCCCAGAAATGAAATGTAGCGCATGGTTTTGAATTTGGATGTAAATTCCTGCTGTTTTATCCTTGACCCTTTTTATGCCCTTTTCTGCAGAAACATTTCCCTGTAGTTGTTTTCTCTTCTCAGGTCTTACCAATGTTTCTCATACTAAAGGAAGCTGTACATTTGGAACCAAAAATCAGAGCATTTCAACAAATGTTATGGCACGTTGTTGAGTAATAACACAGACATTGAAATCTGTGCTAACCTGAAATTGACCTCCTTCTCAACCTCAGGAAGGCCATAGAGAAACCCTAGATGTCCTTTTCCTCTCTATGCAATATCAGCCACCTGTCTCCAACTTCCTGAGTTTCCTGTGTCTTGGCATCACATTTATCCCCTAGATTGCAAGTTCTCAAACCTGACTCACCATATAGTCATCTGGGGAGATTTTAAAAAATACCATTCCCTGAGCCTTATCCTAGACCAGTTTAATAGGACCCCTGAGGGGAGGAGGGCCCAGGCTGGATGTTATTTAAGCCTCCTTAATTAATAATACCATGCACCTAGGTTTAAGGGCTACAGTTCTAGGCAAGGCCAGATACCCATCAATAAACCCTGATTCCGTCTCCTTTCTAACCCTGGTCCCCAATACCTAGTTGGTCAACTAAAACTGACAAATCTGCCTTGTAAACTGGCTCCGTTTTATCTTCACTACCATTGCCTTGGAATATTCTTTGTTGCTAAAGGGGATCAGAATATTCCACCCCAAAATATGCCCCTTGGTATAAAGATTATTTTAAGCTGGAGACGTTTGAGATTCAACAGATGAAGAGAAATTTGTGGCAAGACTGCCACAAATTTTAGGATCTACTCCCAGAAGGGAGAATGTGAATGAAACCTACCACAAATCCCTTCTCCAGGGGAGTTTTATGGTCCTGAAGAGACTGAAAGATTATGCATACCTGTATAAACAAACACTATTATAAACTTTCTTATCTCTTGTTTGTTATCCTAAAAACACATTTATCTTTCCAAAAAGTCATGTGTTTTTCTGTAAGTGCCTTTCTGCCCCAACTCTTCACCTATTAAGAGGCATATAAGTTCCAAATTCTAACCACCCCTTTGAGTTACTCATCACTGAGCTCTTCTGTATGTACTACACATATAAATAAACTGTTTTTATTTTCCTGTTAATCTTTTGTCGGTTTAATTTGCAGAGCCCCAGGTGCTGAACCTAAGAGAGAGAAAAGAAAATTTTTCTCCCGTACAGTGGGTTCTCCTGGTAGTTTTCTTTTCCTCTGATCTTCTCTTTTCCTATTATAGTACATGGTTCTCACTGCTATAGGGTGGCCTTTGTAGGACATGAATATAATCATGCTAACCACCCTCTTTCTTAAAATTCCTCAATTCATCAGGACTTTAGGACAAAGTCACGCAAACTCTTTATTTTCTGACTGCTCCCCGCCTTTCTAGCTTCGTGTTCTCTTACCCTTCTTCCCACCCCCATATATTCCATAACCAAAGGACTGGCTGCATCATGGTTTCATGTCTTTGATCTCCAATTCTTGATCTCAGTGCTCAGCCTTTTTTTTTCTTTTAAACGGGGTTTTGCTCTTGTTGCCCAGGCTGGAGTGCAATGATGTCATCTCAGCTCACTGCAACCTCCGTCTCCTGGCTTCAAGCAATTCTCCTGTCTCAGCCTCCCAAGTAGCAGGGATTACAGGCGCATGCCACCATGCCTGGCTAATTTCTGTATTTTTAGTAGAGATGGGGTTTCATCATATTGGTCAGGCTTGTCTCAAACTCCTGACCTCAGGTCATCTGCCCGCTTCAGCCTCCCAAAGTGTTGGGATTACAGGTGTGAGCCACCGCACCCAGCCAATGCTCAGCTTTTAAGCTAAGAACTATAGTCCTTGCTCAAGCTGAGATAAGGGTGTTCACCCTGTGCATGCTCTGTTTCTATTACATCTTGCACCACTTACCATATTGAGTTGAGACTCAATCCCATACTGTGGGGACTGTGGATCTTGCACATATCTACACCTGTAATGCCTAATACTGTGCCAGGCACATAGTCAATGTTTGATAAATCAACATTGAATGCATGGCGGAATAGATAAATGAATGAACACAGTAAGTTATAGCCTGTTGTTCCTCACATCATTTTCTTTGAGGCCTCCTCCGTGTCATTGCATGATTAACTGACACTACGTTGTTGGAGCAATGACAACATCTAAATGGCAAGTCTTCTTAGTGTAACTTTTGGGAGGATATTAATAATGGTGCTTATTTGAACCAAAGCTAAATTGCATACATAGGTGATATTCCATTTTGTAAGACTCTCATGAGAAGAGAGGGAATAGGTGGGTTTTATGGTCTTTGGGCTAACATTTTCTGCTGTAAAAAATGGCTATGTGGTAGCAGAAAGAAATTTACAGCCAAACTTGGCATGAATGAACCTTGGAGTGGCAATGGCTTCATTCTCAAACCTTGGTCCTGTTCTGGGTGAATGTTGCTTTGAGAAGCTGGCTTTTCCAGAACATGAAATTTTGATAGCATGTAACACCATAGGTGGGCAAATGGACAACCTCTGTACCTCTGTAGTTCCTTTGAGTGTAAATATTGCTTTGAATTCCTTGATGTATAATACTCCTAATACAAGAGTTTTGTTTAGGTCCCTTGCCTCAGGGAGAAATATGTGCAAATGGTTTATCTTTTCTGCTACCTTCTGCCTCTGCAACCTGACAATGAACTCTACACACTGCTTTGCCCTCACTGACATGGCAGAAGCTCCTCCTGGACATGGTGTGTGATGGTGCAGATCATATTTCCTAAAAACACAGAATATGTGAATGATAGGACCAACATTGCCAGATAGCTGGTTTAGCATGTGCCAACAAGAATCCTGACTCGACTTTCTCTTTTTTGGTAAGGAGGTTTACTTACTCCTTAAAAGAGGTGATTCTAGAATTGTCTGGATAATATAGGTGTCAATATTTCATAGACAGCATTGTTTAAGGTAGGCACAATTATTTAAAAAAATGGAGTCATTTTCCTTTGATAATTTTTAAAGCAAATGTTTTTTCAGTTTTATGTACAGCCGTGTTAAGAGTTAACCTCCATAATCTCATACGATTGCTTGTCATCTTTGTAAAATCTATCTTCAAAAAAAATGTTTTGGTATACCATTATTCTGTGTGGCTCCCAAATTCTGGACCTGCCCTGTTTGCATTCCAGTGTGGGGTCTATAAAAATAATAGAAACATATAATTGGATGGGATATACTAAATGAGGACTCTGAAGCTAATTGTTCCCTCAATTCATGAACTGTTTCCTGGGCTGGGATTTCACTGCCTCATTCTAAACCCTTTCCAGTGATGGGGTGCTCAGTACTTTGGACTTCACACGTCTCACTTTTTCTCAGCTTTAACAGCAAGTTCTTTCTTGCATTAGGTGACAGTGGGAAAATCTAAATATTTCAGCCTATGTCACCATGTATCTGGATCAGAACCTGGGGTGATTGTGTAATTACTCCAGGAATATCACAGAACAGGGAAGGAAGTCTTGCAGAAGTTAAGTCTTTGCACAAAGGGATAAAACAGCTTTCTTCTCTCTCTAGAACCCAGAAGGAAGTTCGGCTTGGATCCCCAAGTGTGGAGGCAGTGAGATAACTTGCTGAGGCAAAAGGTGAAGTGCCCCTGGCCAGTGGAGGCAGGTTGGGAGTGAGGCAGGAAAACGTCTGAGTAACAGACCCCATGATGGATGTGAGGCTGGCCTGGGGATTTTAATTTATCTATAAAGTGTTTTTCCTCCATTGTTTTGGAAGATCATTAAAGCCCTGTTGAAAATTATATAGCATGTTTAGTTATATTGCATAGGAAGGGCTTATGTCCATCAGTGAGGAAAGTAGGGCCATGAGGGTGAGAAAATTGTCTTTTCTGTTGGTGGAAGTGCCCTCAGAGTTTCCTTCTAGACCCACAGTTTTGGAGTTCCATGTATAGTCCTTTCGGAATTTAAAAACCTTTCTCGTGCTCTGCTCTCTCTCTCTCTTCCCAGCCACTCAGATGCAGGCAAATCTAACTCGTGTTTCTTCACTAGTATTCCCAGGCTGTGATTTTGAGGTTCTTTGCAGCCCAGTCCCTGGTGTCTGGATGCTCAGTGGATTGCCCACGTCCCACATAAAAAGTAGCCAGAATGACCAGGCACAATGGCTCATGCCTGTAATCCCAGCACTTTGGGAGACCGAGGCAAGAGGATTTCTGAGCTCAGGAGTTCAAGGCTGCAATGAACAAAGGCCACATCACTGTACTTCAGCCTAGGGGGCAGAGTGAGGCTCTGTGTAAAAATTAACAAATAAATAATAAAGAAGCCAGGATGGACCTGATCTATCCTCTAAACAAACAGAACAGAAAAAGCCAGAAAAGAACATGGACAATGAAATTATGATATTAACCCTACCTATGTCAGGGATACTTTAACGCCCCTGGTTGCTTCTTTAATTTTTGTGTGTTCAGACTCTGGTATTCCAGGCACTGCTATAGGTAAGCTAGACAGCGATGCTGGTAGGACAATTTTTAAAAAAATTTTATTTTATTTTATTTTTATGAGAAGCGTGAAGGTTGAAGCTTGGATACTGTAGTCTAAGGGAAAAGCTATATTTTTTTTCTACACTATATTATCAGTGAAGTAGTGGCAGCTTCTGAACTTTTTTATTTCCAGTAATTTTTGGTTTAAGAGCTTTTTTCTCTTAATCTATATAAAGACATTGTTCTATACATTAAAAAACAGCAACAAAACAACTCCCCGAGGATACGAAAGCCTTTCCTACGCTTTGTGACAGCACAGTTGAAATAATCTATCTTTGTTAAATTACAAAACCATCGTGTTTTCCATAGAAAAGCTGCTAGAGTTTCATTTTGGCATCTGGGCATCTAGTGGCTGATCTGAAAAATGCATCTAGAGAATTTCAAAGGAAAATGAATGAATGCTTTGACCTGGAGGAAATTTTTCAAATGTGTTGAGGAAGAGGGACCAATAAAGGACAGTTTCTCTTTTTTTTTTCTTTTTTTTTTTTAAGTGAGAGGGGAACTGGGACACACAATCAATGTGGCCAGGCTTGCAGCTGCATTTGTGACATGAACCTGAGCAAGCTTAGAGCACGCACTGGCCAGGTGAGGTGATGCACTGGCTTGTCTGTACTCTGTGAGGCAGAGCAAACACTCCGGCTAACACGCAAGCCTGTCACCTCTGCTCCCAAACAGAATTGATGTCACAGATGGAAAAACTGTTCGGAGATTTCAACCCCAGACCACTGATTGCTTTACTCATAATACAACTGCTCTGCCAGTGGCTGTAGCCTAGACTTGGTTCTGGAAAAGCAAAAAAGAGATCAACAGTTTGCCTGGGGAAGGCTGATGAATTTCTGAACTAACCAGGAGGATGTGTTCATCACTGTTCACCTTAGGTCAACAACATGAATTTTCCTAAGCCAAAAGACAAAGGAACATAATAGAGTTCAGAGTCTTGTGGTTGGGAATCAGGTTACAAAGGTTACATTCGCTTTAGGTGTCTTTTCTCTGGGCTGTGACAACGTTGAAGAAGGGGTTCTCTCTCATTTTTCCTTCTACAGTGGTATGGCAGCATCCTGAGTAATGCTAAATATCACTGATAGATTTGATATTTAGTGTAAACTGATAACACTGGAGGAAAAGCAAAGGAAAGAGAGAGGTGTTTGAGGATTATTTTCCCATCCTTTATCCAGTCAAAATATGAAATGTTCTGAATTCTTAAACACATCCCCTAATACCGCACTGTTCTCTTTGATACCCTAATCTTTATCTGTCTCTCAAAAGTCTGGCTCAGCAGGCATTGTAGAGCCAGACACTAGCCCATGCCCAAAATGTGTGAAGATAAATGGACACAGGCTATTGAATGCACATATCCACAAATCTGTGGATTTGTTTTGCTTATATTTGCTCTATGTGGTCATTGATGACATTAGTGAGCAATCATTTATTGGGTGATGATAAGTTTTTCAGTGTTATGTTGACTTCATCAGGATATGCACATTTGGGGGTAAACATAAATGGTTGATTTTTGACAGAAATGTATTGCATGCTTACCATGTGCCAAACAGTGAGTGAGGTGTTGGATACAATGTTGGATACTAATGGAGCTGTTTAAAGAAAAGGGAAGAATTTAGGAAACAGGCCTTCCATTGGGAAAAATGAATGAATTAAAAAATTATTTAATGTGTGGCAAGATAGGAATGTTTGACTTCTTTTGATATGAACATTCAACTGTTGTATGATTTTTTTTTTGTTTGTGGCATTTAGGCCTAGTTTAAAGAGAGGAGCCTTATACAGGATGTAATGCAAACATTCTTTCCAAGAAATTAAAATCAGACAGTTCCTTTTTGTGTTGTTTTTAAAAACTGTGATTCTTTCCTGTTCTGGAGGAATGGAGAACTAGTATTTTCCATGACTTCTGTGTTGCTTTAATTTTATGTTTTATGTTATCCTTCAGGAAAATTGACTTTTTATGTTTGTGTTCATTTTTTTGAATTCTAAACGCCACTACAATCAGGATATGGAAAAGTTTCATCACCTCCACAGCTAATTTTTCTCTGGTTTGTTTGAAGAATCTCTGCAGCGACATTGATCCTCATTAACTAAACTCACTGAACACTCACTTTTCATGTAGAAGGGAACTTTCCTTTGCCAGCACCTGGGCTGTGAACCCATTGATTGTTTGACCTTATGTGAGTGAGACTTTCTTCTTTCTATCTACACCAATGACCTTAAGTCGATGGAAACTAGTGTTCAAATAATAATACTTTTTTTTGAGATGAAGTCTCGCTCTGTCACTCAGGCTGGAGTGAAGTGGCGCCATCTCAGCTCACTGCAGCCTCCACCTCCCAGGTTTAAGCAGTTCTCTGCCTCAGCCTCTCGAGTGGCTGGGATTACAGGTGCCTGCCACCATGCCTGGCTAATTTTTGTATTTTTAGTAGAGACGGGGTTTCACCATCTTGGCCAGGCTGGTCTTGAACTCCTGACCTTGTGATCCACCCAACTTGGCCTCCCAAAGTGCTAGGATTACAAGCATGAGCCACCGTGCCCAGCCAACAATACATATTTACTTTAGAAAACTAGACTATTCCAACCAAAGATTTCTAAAATTCCTAGCAGTTCTATTACCAGTAAATAACTATTATTAAAATTTTGTTATACTTCTAACATAATATACTCTATGTGTCTGAATATATATGTCATCACCAAACATATGGAAGTTATCACTGTCTCAACAGAAAGTTAGTTTTTGGCCAACTTCAGTATTTCAGGGATGTAATAGATTCAAGGACTAATTTAGTTATAGATACATTTAAACTCATAGTATGTAAAATAACATGCTAATTGAGAATTTTTTTTACATATTTTATAAAATGCTTTAATTGAACTAACATCAGAACCTTCATTTCTAGATCCACTTTTTAAGTTACATTACATAATTTCTGGAGCACATCATCTTACCTTCTAAATGGTTTTAGACACAGGACTTCTTGAAGCTCTGTCAAATCTCATTGAAAACTTTATCCTAACTGTATGTCTCCACTTAAGTAATGTTAAGGCAGCCATTTTGTCTCAATTTTTATTATGGTATATATATATATATATACACACACACACATAAATATATATATATGTGTATGTGTGTGTGTGATTTGTATAATATAGTGGCTTGATTATGCTATTACTGTTTAGCATGGTAGATTTCAAAAATAACCATACATTTTTCTGATTTCTGAATTTAGGCACATTTTAAATATAATTTTGTAGCTCCTCCTTGAAGAGGTAAAGTCTATTTCTCTACCTTTTGAGTCTGGGCCTGGCCATGTGACTTGCTTTGGCCAGTGTGTCATTAGAAGACATGATAAAAGCAGAGGTTTGCATCAGGGTTTGCTTCATCACTGCTCATAGAGCTACTACGATGTAAACAAGCCTTGGCTAGTTTATTGGATGAGTGACACAAGGCTCAGTTGCCATCACTGGCACAGCTAACAGCCAGCGACTGCCCACATACATGTGTGAAGTCACCTACCATTAACTGACTACAACACATGGATAAGCTGAAATCCCACGGAGCAAGGATACATTATCCCATCTAAGCGCAGCCTAAATTGTTACCCCATAGAATCTAGAACAATTAATATGGTTCTTGTTTTAAACCACTAGCATTTGTAGTTGTTTGTTACATGGCAAAGGCCAACTGACAGATTTATCAACTTCAGACTTCATTTATTGACTTCCTTTTTGTGTAGATGAGGATTTGGCTTTCTTACACTCCTATTATCCTCCCAAAATACTTAATTACAAAACTTTGTTAATCCAAAGTCAGTGATTGTACTGTTAATGACATTTAAATATTGTTTACATCAGAGCCAAATAGTCTATCAGAATAATGCTTTCCTTTGAATATTTCCTAATGATAATCATTGTCTTTTTAAAATTTACATAGTTTTCCAAGTACCTTTGGTTTTTTACCCCAAAATTCTCCTTTAGATCTTTCAACAACAAATGAATATTCTTTTATCAATGATCAACAAATCATATATATGCAAAGCTATAGTAATCAAAACAGCATGGTACTGGCATAAAAACAGGCATATACACAACTGATACAAAATGGAGAGCCCAGAAATATATCCACACATTTATAGTCAATTGCTTTTTTGACAAAGGTGTCAAGGACATACAATTGGAAAACTGAATATACACCTCCAGAAGAATAAGATTGGACCCTTATCTCATACTACATACAAAAATCAGCTGCAGATAGATTAAAGACGTAAATGTAAAACCTGAAACTGTAAAACTACTAGAAAATGTTTGCTTCTTGACATTGATCTGAGCAATGATATTTTTGATATGAGCTCAAAAGCACAGGCAACAGAATAAAAAATGGACAAATGGATTGCATCGAACCAGAAACTTTTGCATAGTAGAGGGAACGATCAATAGAATGAACAGAAAACCTACAGAATGGGAGAAAATATTTGCAAAACATGCATCTGATAAGGGGTTAACATCCAAAATATATAAGGAACACAAATAACTCAACGGCAAAAAAACCAAATAACCCAATCAAAAATGAGCGAAGGATATACAAATAAGTAACACATACATGAAAAAAATCCTCAATCTCTGTTCAGAGAAATGCAAATTAAAATCTCAATGAAATATCACCTCACACCTGTTACAGTGGCTATTATAAAAAAAGGGAAAAGTTGGGGGTGAGGAAAAGGAAGAGTTGGCAAGGATGTGGTGAAAAGGGAACTCTTTTACACTTTTGGTGAGAATGTAAATTAGTATGGCTATCATGGAAAACAGAATGGCAGTTCCTTAAAAAATTAAAAATAGAAATTCATATGATCCAGCAATCTTAATTCTGAGTTTATAGCCAAAGAAAATGAAATCAGTATGTCAAAGAGATAGCTGCACTCCCATGTTCATTGCAGCATTATTTACAATAGCCAAGATACGCAATCAACCTAAGTGTCCATTGATGGATGAATGGATAAAGAAAATGTGGTATATATAATGGAATACCCTTCAGTCTTAAAAAGGAAGAAAATCCTGTCGTTTGTGACAACATACGTATTAGTTCATTTTCATGCTGCTGATAAAGACATACCTGAGATTGCGAAGAAAAAGAGGTTTAATTGGACTTACAGTTCCACATGGCTGGGGAGGCCTCAGAATCATGGCGGGAGGCAAAAGGCATTTCTTACGTGGTGGCAGCAAGAGAAAATGAGGAAGATGCAAAAGTGGAAACCCCTTATAAAACCATCAAATCTCATGAGACTTATTCACTACCATGACAACAATATGGGGAAAACTGCCCCCATAATTATAACGATCTCCCACTGGGTCCCTCCCACATGTGGGGATTATGGGAGTACATTTCAAGATGAGATGTGGGTGTGGACACAGCTGAACCATATCAACACAGATGAACCTGGAGGACACTATGCTGAATGAAAGAAGTCAGGCTCAGAAAGACAAATACTGCACAATCTAACTTATATCTGGAATCTTAAAAAGTTGAACTCACAGAAGCAGAGAAAGTAGAATGGTGGTTGCCGTGGGCTGAGAGGTTGGTCAAAGTGTACAAGGTTCGGTTAGGATAAGTAAGTTCTCGGGATCTATTATACAGCACAGAGACTATAGTCTACTTGAAAATTGGTAAGAAAGTGGATCTTAAATATTCTTACCACAAAAAATGACAAGTATGTGAGGAGACGGATATGTTAATTAGCTTGATTTAATAATTACACATCATATACATATATCAAAACACATACACTGTAAATATATATAATTTTTATTCGTCAATTATACTTTACTAAAGCTGGAAAGTTAGTAATTTTAAAAAATAAGATCACTTACTTTGGTTTTATTATTTTCTTGGAGTCTTCCTTCTGGACCACCCTGCCCTCTTCCTTTTGTCTGGTCTGGATGCTTTCCAGTCTGGCAACGTAACTGACTCTTGGCTACTCTTCAATATTGGATATTCTAGTTCTTGGGTTCTCATGGCTTTCTCTCCTTTGGTTATCTCAAACCAAACTAGTACTCCTCCAAGTACTTTCTGTCTTACCCTGTAGAAGTCACCTTACTTTTCTGATTCTTGGCTTCTTTACCAGTAAAGTGACAAGAATGCCTGCCATGCTTTGTCTTATAAAATTTATTTGTGTATGACAATGAAATCATGTCTGTGGTTATACTTTGTTATGTGTGAAGTTCAATAAAAATTATATTATTGTATGAGGAAATTGGAAACTAGATCAGGATGAAAAGTTATATTTGATTCAAACGTGACCCTTGCTTGGAAGCTCTTTGACACCTGAGTCAGACTGAGTTGAAGAGTGGTACAATGGAGTGTGCTGGGAGAACTAAAATGATCTAGAGATCTTAGTCTTAGTCCTGGATCTACCTTTAATATAGAGATGTGACTTTGCTGAGCCACTTAGCCCTTCCCAGCTTAGATTTGCTCATTTGTAAAACGGGGCTATGAAGTGGGAGGGCTCTATGTGTTTTTCAGTTTCAAAATTCTATGGTTCAGCCACCTCTAATTTGGAAGGAGGCAGTTTTTATTTCATACTGGACATAGGATACACATTTTTACCATGGTAGAGAGATGGTTAAATGAATCCGTGACAACAAAGTCAAACAACACTCAGTAATGAAACTCTCTGACTTAATTCTCCTCCCCTGAGTCCTTGGCATTTCTGGCCCTTCTGAACACGATGGCAGACTTGCATTGTCACTTCTTGCCTGGCTGCCTCTTGGAAGTTATTCCAGACACGTTGGCCTCTACACAGTAAGCGTCCCCAGGTGCCGGAGTTTGAGGCCACCTGCGGCACGTCTGCCCACCTCATCCCTCCAGTGCACTCACTAGAGCAGGAAAGATTAACTTTCTGAAAATGAAAGGGACAGAGAGAAGACGAGCTGCTTATCAAATATGCACATTTCAGATGGAACTTCACACTCAGTAGAAAGATGTTAGATTGCTGTTAGCTCTCTGGAGCGCTCCTGACAATGTGTTATCAGGTCATGTTTGCATGACAGAGGCAGCCCAAGCAGGAAACATTAAGTCATATGACTTCTAAGACGGAATCAATCAAGTGAGCAGTGCAGCTCCTGAAAACTAATTTCACCTTCATAAGGCCTGGTTATCTGTGCGGCAGACATGAGGTTTGTCAGCACCATTTCAGTCTGACCAGGTTCAGCACTGCATCAAGAATTTTAATGAACTGACACTGTAATATGTATGAAAGATGACACTGAGATGAATTCATGAAAAGCCAAGTCCCTATGAAATATGAACAATTACTTGCAGGCTCCTTTGCCTACTTAGCTCATTCGAAATGTCCGTTTCAAAGGCCTTTGTCTTTCTCTGATTCATTTGCAAGTTTGTGCACAGATTTTCATCATATTTAACCAGTTTAAAAACCAAAGAAGCTATTCACAATTAAACAGTTCAATGAGCTCTGGTTTGATGGGGGCAGAGCCAAGGCCAGCCAGAGCTTAAATCTTCATTTGGTTGCAGATACACAGATTTCCTTGTGTGGACAAGAAAGGACTTGAAAAGACTGGGATGTTTATGTCGAATTTGTCCTTGGCATTCAGTGTGGCCCTAAGCAAGCTACTCATTTTTTTTTGTCCTAATGACATCATTCCGTCTCTGGTAGTAATGACATTTATTTGTTTTCATCTTCAGAACAGCATTACCAGGGTTAGCCTTCTTTTGAAAAGTTTTTAAATTTGTCAGAAGATTTATGTTGAAATCACAAAGAGCCCTTTTCAGATCTTGCCTTTTTTTTTTTTTTTTTTTGAGGTGGAGTCTTGCTCTGTCACCCAGGCTGGAATGCAGTGGCGTGATCTTAGCTCACTGCAACCTCTGCCTTTCAGGTCCAAGCGATTCTCCCACCTCAGCCTCCCAAGTAGCTGGGATTACAGGCGCCTGCCACCACACCCGGCTAATTTTTGTATTTTTGGTAGAGACGGAGTTTCGCCATGTTGGCCAGGCTGGTCTCAAACTCCTGACCTCAGGTGGTTCGTCCGCCTAGGTCTCCCAAAGTACTGGGATTACAGGCATGAGCTACCGCGCCCCGCCGGTAGTAATGATATTTATTTGTTTTCATCTTCAGAACAGCATTACCAGGGTTAGCCTTCTTTTGAAAAGTTTTTAAATTTGTCAGAAGATTTATGTTGAAATCACAATGAGCCTTTTCCAGATCTTGCCTTTTTAAAATATATGGTACCCCAATTCATTCTCCAGATCCTGTACCCTTTTTATATACTCTATCTTTGTTATGGATATGCATTTCATATACTGATCTAGGTAGCTCAGGATGTTTCATAGACTATTAACCACAATTCTTATCTTGCTCTCTGAGGTTATGGGCCTTATACTACCATACTCATTTAGTCCCATATCACTTCAAGTTTCTTCTTGCTTAGCACACATTGCTCCCCAATTGAAAAAGACACTGCCCAGGCTCAGGGGCAGACAAAATCCTGTTCTTCCGTATCTTTTTCTATTCTTTTATCTTATAAAAGAATATGAATTATCTTATCTTATATGAAATAGCTTATAAAATATTTCAAACATACAGAAAATATAAAGATAATTTAAAGAAAATTCATGTCCTTTCTACCTATTTGACTTCAGAAAATTTTAACTTTTTTTGACTCAGATCTTTTCTTTAAGCAAACAAAAACAGATATTTTAACCAACAAAAATGTCCATGATGTACAGTAGAAGACCTGTATTCACTCTCATCTCTTATTGGCCCCAGACAAAGGCAATTACTTTCCTAAACTTGGCAAATAAAATCCCCAAGCATGCTTTCGTACAAAGATTTCATTTGTACTGCTATACTTATGATAATCTATGTTATTACATAAAGCTTTATTTCATTAATCTTTACTGTTGCATCCATATGGAAAACATCCATAATATGAATATGTTCTACTTATTTAACCAATCTTTAACCTATGTGGAGGACTACCTGGGGGTGTACACCTAGAAGTGGAAGAGCTGGCTTGAAAGGCATGTACACCTTCCAACTTGACTAGATTATTCTCTAATGTAATTGAATTCTTTTAGACTACTTAGAATAAATAAGAAGTCTGTTTTCCCTATGCTTACCAGTACTGAGTATTTTATCCAGTCATTTAATACTTACTGAGTGTTCCCATGAAACAAATACTGTTCTGTGTGCTGAAGATGCAACAAGGAAAAAATCAAAGATTTCTGCCTTCATGGAGGGGTTTTTATCATATTTAAAAAAGTTTTGTCATTGTCGTGCGTGAAATGGTAGCTGTTAGTTGTTTCATCTTGTATGTCTCAGACTAACTGTCAGGTTAAGTATTTGTTCATATTTTTGTCCATTCTGTGAATTGCTTAATGGTATCTTTAATCACTTCCAAATATTGGTAGTAAGTTTCTTACTTATACAAAAGTTTTTGTTTTTCAATGTTCTAAGCCTTCATCAGTTAGGCCTTTGCAAATTTTTGCTTCTAGTCAATAAGTAAAGTTATACTTTGTTTATGGAGCCATTATTGAAATGAAATAACTTGATATTCATTTACTTGATTTTGTTAGTTGATTCTTAAAGATTTGTGCTTTTTGTTTGTAACAACATTCTTCAGAGCAACAGCTTTGGGTATATAAATTCTTTGGCATTTTTTTGTTTTCTATTTGTATTAATCTCTGTTCTTTTTTCAATTTTTTTTATTCTTTCTATATTATTTAGTTTTTTATTTAAATTTTTAATTTACTGAGTTGAACAATGACTCATTAATTTTGTCTTTCCAAGTTTTGAAATAAATGTCAGTATTTATTTAGAAGTTTTTTCCGTATAAACTCTGCTTCAGTTTTATCTTATAAGCTTTGATGGTTGTAAATAAATATTTAGAAATTTTTATTGTAATTTCCTCATTAACTTATGAGTCACTTAGGAATCCATTTTTAATTTCTAAAACATATTGAGTGTTTTCAACTGTCTTGTTTACTCTCATTGAAATTGCCTATGACTGATGATCATTTTCACCATAACATTCAAAGAAAATTATTAAAACATCCTTTGTCACCTTGTACATGCTAATTTTTAATGCTCTATGTATATATGAGAACAATATTTTCTTGTAAAGGATAATCTTTGATTCATGTTTCTACTTACTAAATCTTAGTTTTTGAGTATCTTAAAATCTCTTTATTGTGTATTTATTCATAAATAAAACTGTACCTAAGAATAAAATTTCAAGCTGTCATTTTTTTCTCTGCACTTAGAAACAATGGCTTCATTGATTTCAGACATCTCTTACTACTGTTAGTTTGTCAATTCTTCATTAACAAAATGCATTTTCCCTAGTAGCTTTTAAAATTTTTCTCTTTATTCTTCATGTTTATGATACAAAATATCTAGATATAGAATTATATTTATTATTATTTTTTGTTGTCAGACTATTAATCTGAAAACATTTTTGTTCAAATTGGGTAATCCTAAATTTTTGTCTTTTCAGTATGACTTCTCGGTCATTTACTTTATATTCCTTTGCTAGAGTTTCTATTAATTGTATGTCTGAGCCCCTTAATTTCTCCTTCATTTTGCTTGCTTTTTCTTATATTTAAGTTTTTTTCTTTAGCCTTTTCTCGTTAGCTTTATTTTTATCTTTTCATTTGTTCCTCATGTTTTCTCTATTATTTTTAACATATTAGTCATAGTTACCTTAAAATCCATGTCTGCTAATCTTAACTATCTTTTTGGTCTTGATTATCAGTGGTATGGATTATCTGTTGGTCTGCTTGTATTTTTTTATTCCTCTTGGTTATTAGTCATATGGTCATGTATTTTTGTATGTCTAGTAATATTTTTATTTTAGGCATTGTGTATAAAAGAAACAGAATCCGTATAACGTTTTCTTTCAGCAGAGAGGATTTGCCTCTCTTCTGTTAAGTAAATATAATGCAGGATGCTCACCTCAATTTAACCAGAGATTAAGCTGGGTCCAGAATGTGTTGCAACTTCGATAAGTCTCAGTCTACCTCTTCCTCTCCCTGTTTCTAGTACATGACACACCAGAACTTTCAACTGCCTCATTAGGCTTTGTTTCCTAGGCCCTTGAAGATGGGGAAGGATAAGAAAATTAAGATCTGCCCTCCAGAGAATTTCAGTTTAGTACTTCAGCCTCCTGCCCCATAATATTTCTGAGGGAGAAACCAGCCATATGTGAGAGCCCCGACGTCACTCATTTTGTCACCTTCATGAATGTCAATCTCGCTGCTGGTTTTTCTGTGTCCTAGCAATAGCCTTCTGACAGGGGTCAAACCTGAGTTGTGAGAATCTCCCATAATCCCTTTGAAGTGATTGTTCTCCCCCTCCAAATACAAATAATTTTCATCATTATCAAACAATTACTGACACTTTTTAAAGAGCTTAGTAGGTGTTGTGCTCCACGCTAAACTCTAATCATTTAATCTTCATTTAATCCACACAACTATTGTGAGGATTACACATTATTCCCACTCTATATTTAAGGGAAAACAAATTAACTTTTCCACGTCTCAGTGAGAAGGCATAGAACAAATATTTGAAATAAAGAACATCTGACAAGCTCTTAACCACTATACTGTATTGTTTTTATATATCAAGTGCTTATTGTTTTAAGAAGTACTATTACATCCTCGACTTTTATTCTGTTTATATTGTTTTATTTCAAGTGTTTCTTGAAAGAGTTGCTTTCATTTGCTATTTACAATTGACTACTGCCTCGCTCCGCATGAGATGAGTTCTATACATGTCACTCTAATGAAATAGTCTCAAAAGATTACCCCTTGGCCTCTTTTTTGTTTTGTATTGTATTATATGTTTTAAAGATTTTTAATTGAAATATAATGCACTGAAGTGCACTAAACACTCAGTGAATTATTACAAAGTAAACACTCTTGTAAACACCACTGTGTTCAAGAAACATAATATTCTTATCTCATGAGAGACTCCCTTCATGCTCATCCCCAAACTCTGCCTCTTCCTTCTTCCCCAAAGTTTATCATTGTTGTAACTCTTAATGTTATAAATTAGTTTAGCCTGCTCTTGCGCTTCACATTAAATGGAATCAGACTCTATTTGCTTTTTATTTTCTGGCTTATTTTGCGTAACAATTTGAGTCATCTATGTTGCCACACAGAGCTGTAGTTTATTTTTATTGCTGGTTAGTGTTCCATTGTAAGAATATACACAATTTAATTTTTAACAGCTTTATTTGGGCATTATTGCCATACTATGAACTGCATGTGTTTTAAGTGTACAGTTTATTAGGTTTTAATATATGTATATGTTCATAAAAATATAACTACAACTGAGATTACAAACATATTAACCATCTTCCAAAATGTCCTAATGTGTGTTTTTAATTCTTCCCTTCCATGTTGCTCTGCCCCATCCTCAAAGAATTGCTTATTTCCTTTCTATTACTAAAGTTTGTATTTTCAAAAATTTTTGTAAATTACACAGTATGTGCATTTTTTACATCTAGCTTCTATCACAGTATAATTATTTTAAAATTCATTCAATGAAAAACTTTATTACTTTTTATTTCTGAGTAATATTTTATTTATTTTATGGATCTACCAGATTTGTTTATCCACTAACCTTCTGATACACATTTGAATTATTTTCACTTGTTCACTTTTACAAATAAAGCTACTATAAACATTTATGTGTAAGTTTTTTTTTTTTTTGAGATGGAGTCTTACTCTGTCGCCCAGGCTGGAGTGCAGTGGCAGGATCTCAGCTCACTGCAAGCTCTGCCTCCTGGGTTCACGCCATTCTCCTGCCTCAACCTCCCGAGTAGCTGAGACTACAGGCGTCCGCCACCACGCCCAGCTAATTTTTTGTATACTTAGTAGAGACGAGGTTTCACCGTGTTAGCCAGGATGGTCTCGATCTCCTGACTTCATGATCCGCCCGCCTCGGCCTCCCGAATTGCTGGGATTACAAGCGTGAGCCATCACGCCCGGCCTATGTGTAAGTTTTTATAAGAACACGAAAGTTATTTCTCTTGAGGAAATACCTTGGAAGATAATAACTAGGGCATAGTGTGGGCGTGTGTTTAACTACTTAAAACTGAAAACTGCTTTCTAACACTTTAGTGGTCAATCTTTAAAATTTTAGATATTCTGATAGGTATACACATTTTATTTTTATTCATTTTTTATAGCAAATGGGTGGTTGATTTCCCAGAATATTACTGTGAATGTCAAAACAATAATACTCTTAAAAGTAGTATGTGAGAATTTCTTTACTACTTTGGGATATGGAAATATTTCTTAAATAGAACATGAAATCTACTAACTAAAAGGAAAAAAGATGGATACACTGAATCCACACGTTAATACATTAATATTAAAAAGTTCTGTTCATGAAAAGAAATACTATTCATCAAAATTGAAGTACATTAAAGCTAAGAAATATTGTTAATTAAAAAGACACCATTACATGAGAAATCTTTTGGGAGTGGTGGAATTATTCTGTGTCTTGACTGTGGTGGTTTAGAGAGATATACGATGGTCAAAATTCATCAAAATGTAGCCTCTAACTAGATTAAGCTTTGTATGTAAATTATCTCTGAATAACACTGATCAAAAGAAACAATAAATCAGTAATGACACGATTAAGATAATGAAAAGGTTTTTTAATTGCTTCATGTAGTCATCTTTTTTGTTCTTCGTGCTTCTTGCAGTCTCTGTGGCATTGGACCCTGTTCACCATCTTTTTTCCTAAGGCTTTTTTTGTTTCTCTCATGCTACTCTGTGATCTTTACCACTTTTCTAATATTTTTTCAAATGCTTATTACTTTCCAAATATAACAGCCCTTAAGATGTGTTTGCCACTGTACTAGGTGCTGGGAGTAGAAGAATGAAGAAATAAGGACTTTGTTTAGCGATCTCGTTCGCTGACTCCTGACTCTGATATAATTGGTAAGGATTGCTTAAGATTTTGTAAAGATTTTTTTTCATTTTGTTTTAAACGCTAACTCTCAGTAATCTTTTCACTCTCAAAAATATAGACTTTGAACTCAGACAAACACAGGAGAAAAATCCTGCCTCTACAACTTACTAAATATATGACTTTGAGTAAGTTATCGAAGCCTTAGTTACCTCATCTGCAAACTACAGATGATAATAATATCTCTATTTATATGGTGGCAATTCATGTGGAATGCTTTGTTCAGTGCTTTCTATATAGACTAAACTAAAAAATTTTTAGTTGCCCTCTCTTCCTTCTCTTCCCATTCCTTCTCTACTGTTCTTCTCCTTTTTATCTTTCATATCCTTTTACTTAGCATCCTTCTCTTTTTTTTCTCCTTCTCTTTTCTCACTCCCACTTTTTCTTTCCTATTATTCTCTTCTTCCTCCTCCTCATGTAAAATTAAATCAAGTTATATAAGTGAGATATCTACACACACATCTATATATGTGTGTATACATATATGTACATATGTGTATATATATGTATATATGTGTATATATCATTTCTATAATGCAGGTCCCATGTCATAATACTCACTTATCCAAATACTAATCCTACAATCTCAACTTAAATTCAACCACATCTATGAATCTAGCCAGATGTGATCTCTCATTTCCAGAATTGTTTGGCATCATGTTTATGGCTTATTCTGTACCATTCAGCAGTATTACTTTGACAACACAGCTTTCATTTTAAAATGTAAGCCATTTAAGGCAGGTCTATGTCTTAAATAGCAGTTGACATAGATCTTGATACTCTAAGTCCTTACAATATAATTAAATAAATTAAACAAACAATATGTATGTATATACAATAATTATATCCATGGCAAATATCAGCCTACTGTTTTGTTGGCTAGCTTAATAGATTAAAATTTTCTCAAGAACAAGATGCTTAGTAATTATATTTTTTCATTTTCAAACAGTAAACATATTCTGAGCATAAAAATTGTGAGATCCAAGAAGGCATGAATCTTTGATTTGTTCTCTGATGTATCCCTAACACCTGAGCAGTGCTTGGCACATAAACAATGATCGATAAATATTTGTTATCTGAATGAATGATGTAGGTAATTGATCTTATATTTATAGCTATATTTTTATATTAAAATGTCCCTACTAACAATCAGGAAGTATCCTATCTGAGAAACAAAGACAGGAAAACACAAAATTCCTTGCAAATGTAACACAACTACTGAAAGAAGTTCAAAGAATGTTTTTGTCATGATGCGGTGTCCTAGGAATCATCATAATCATATTGTCCTAAAAACCCATTGCTCTGACTAGACCTAGTTCAAAGTCAATAATTTTGGGGGTGGAAGATTACTGAGTTAGAGTTTAAAGCAAAATGAAAAATAATATTTACAAAATTGTAAGCAGTCCTTACCAATCATATCAGAGTAAGGAAACAGTGAATGAGATCACCAAGCAAGGCCTTTATTTGCTTTTGAAAATTAAAAATAAGAAAATGAAATTAAGAGAACAATTCCATTTACAATAACGATAAAAGAGTACAATACTTAGGAATATAACAAAAGAAGGGCATGGCTTGTATATGATAATGAAAAGTATAAGAAGTCATTGAAAAAAATTAAAGATCTAATAAATAGAAAGATTTCTCATATTCATGGATTGGAAGAATTACATTGTTAAGATGGCGATACTAATTAAATTGTACAACAGAGTTAATGCAACTTCTATCTAAACCTCAGCTACAGTTTTTGCAAAAATTGAAAAGTTGTTCCTAAAATTCATATGGAAATGCAAGGAACCCAGAATAGCCAAAACAATCTTGAAATAGAACAAAGTTGGAGGACTCACGTTTCCCTATTTCAAAACTTACTACAAAGCTAGTGTAATCAAGATTGTGTGATACTGGCATAAGGCTATACATATTCATCAATGGAAGAGAACTGAAAGTCCAGAAATAAGCCCATACATTTATGCTCATACATTTATGCTCAATTGACTTTTGCTAAGGGTGCCAAGACAATTCAATGGTAAAAGAGTAGTCTTTTCAATAAGTGGTGCTGGGTCAAGTGGATATTCACAGTTAAAATACTAAAATTGGACTCCTACTTTGTGTATCACACACACACACACACACAAAATTAAAATGAATCATAGACCTAAATGTGGGAACTAAAATTATAAATTGTTAGAAGAAAACAGGCAGTAATCTTTATGACTTTGGATTAGTCAATACTTTCTTACATATGACACAAAAAAATACAAGTGACAAAAGAAAAAATAGATAAACTGGACATAACAAAATTAACATGTCAACATATCAAAATTAAAAACTTTTGTATTTCAAAAAATACCAAGAAAATGAAAAGGTGATCCACAGAATGGGAAAAAATGTTGGCAAATCATATACCTGATAAGAAACATAGATTCAGAATATATAAAGAACTCTTACAAGTCAACAATAAAAAGACAAATAGCCCAATTTAAAAACGAGCGAATAATTGGAGTAGACATTTATCCAATGAAGATATACGAATGAAAAAAAAAGTATGCGGATGACCAATAAGCACATAGAAAGATGCTCAACATCATTAGACATTAGGGAAATATAAATTAAAGTTATAATGAGGTAATATTTCAAACCCTCTGGGATGTCTAAAATAAAGAAGGCAGACATTAACAATCGTTAGTGAGTATGTGGAGAAATTGTAAACCTTATACATAGTTGGTAAGATTTCAAAATGGTGCAGCTACTTTGGAAAACAATTTGGCAGTTTCTCAAAATGTTAAACATAGAATTACATATAATCAAACAATTCTATTTCCAGGAGAAGCAAAAACACAGGTCTATATACAAACGTGTACATGAATGTTCCCAGCAGCATTATACATCATAGGCAAAAAGCAGAAAATAATCTAAATATCCATTAACTGACGTATAGATAAACAAAAAGTGGTATGTTCATACAATGGAACATTATTTGGCCTTACAATGAAATGAAGTACTTACGATGAAATGAAGTACTATGCTATTTATGCTATAATATGGATAAACCTTGGAAATAATATGTCAATAAGCCAGACACAAAAGGTCCTGCATTATATGATTTTATTTGTATAAAACATCCAAAGTTGTCAAATCCATAGAGATAGAAAGAATATTAGAGGTTCCCAGGGTCTGGGAGAGCTGGGGAGTGACTGATTATGGGTAAAGGAATTCATTACGGGATGATAAAATGTTCTAAAATTACACAGTGTTAATGGTTGCACGACTTTGTGAATATACTAAAACCTAATGAATTTTACACTTTAAAAATGTACATTTTATGATCTGTTAATTATATCTCAAAAAAGCTGCATTGAAAACCAGGTGCTTTGAGGGTAAAACAAAACAAAACATACACGCATTATTTAATAGGGATCAGATATTCAGCTCATATATTAAAACAAAAATAGATTATAGTGGAGAAACAAGCTCCCCCCAACCTCCAATTCTTCAGTGAAGCATTACCTGATGACAAGTGACGGGCAGTACGTAAACATTTAGGAGACAACTCCATTTGGGATTCTCAAGTTCTCTAATAAGGCTTACCTTTAAGGCAATGTAATTGTACTTTTAAATGACAGTCTATCCATGGGCTCAGCTTTACAAAGATCACTGTAACATCTTTATCTGCGGTAACACTCATTAAAGGAAAACAGTGTTGCATGTCTGCACGTTTGCCAATATCAGGCTTTCTCTTGGAGTCTCTGTGTGGGAGTCTGATGGGATATCCCTTTAACAAAGCAGCGTCAACTGTGTGAGTTGAAACCTTATCCCTTTTGTGATTTTCACAGATTTGATGTGGGCTGATGCAAAGCTGGATTTTCTTCCCCCTCCCTTTGTCTGTGAATTATACCCTTCAAAAGTATGATCATTTACATCCCAGCCTAGTGGATGCTTCAGATAAAACCAAACTGTGGCAATGAGTGGCATGAAGGGCTTATTTAAACTTTTCTTAATAAGAAATGTTATGGTTTGGATAGAAAGAGGCTCCATTCATGGAAAAACTTAATTTAACAGAGAGTGTGGATACTCTTGAGGGAACTATGGTTCTACTAACATTTTTTTTGTTGTCATAAAGTCTTTAAATAGTAGGTATGTTCATTTAATACTGAATCTTCTATCGAAAGCTTTGCCAGCGAAAAAGTAATATGGTGTGAAAACCTCAACAGTAAATATCCAAACTGTCTGGGATGAAAAGTATGAGAGAAAAAAATTTATACAGAGTCAAAGGACATCATCTCTTTCCAATTGTATTATTTTTCTCTCACTGCATAGCAAATTACCACAAACTTAGAGGCACAAAACAACAGTATTTTTTATCTTACTTTTTTTTTGGAGGTCAAGTGTCCAGTGTTTGTGACTGGATTCTCTGCTCAGGGTCTCAATAGGATGAAATTAACATGTCACCTAGGCCTGAGGTTCTCATCTGGGCTTGGAGTCTTCTTCTAAACTCACTTATTGTTGTCAGAATTCATTTCCTTGTAGTTTTAGGACTGTGAGTGTCCATTATCTTTCTAGGTATTAGCCAGGTACCTCTCTCAGTAACTAGAGGATTTTGGAGTTATTTACCCCAGGAGTGGCCCCTGTGGGCAGTTCACAACATGGATTTTGGCCTTCTTCTAGGCCAGTGGGAACATCTGTCTGACCTCCTTTTCTGTGACCAGTTGCAGAAAGTGTCATATTTTAAAGGGCTTAAGTGATTAGGTCAGGCCCACCCAGATAGTCTCCCTATTTTAACATAACCTAATTATGGGAGTAAAATCCATCACAGTCCCAGTCCTAAGGATTATGCAGGGGATGCTCACCAGCAAGGTGGAAAATCTACAGGCCCATTTTAAAATTCTGCCTACTCTACCTCTGCTTCTCCTTTTGAAGAAATGAGTCTTCCTCTGAATCCTTAATGGCACAAAAAGACTTTAAGGCAATATTTAACTGAATGATTATGTCTTGTGTATAATAAAAGTCCTGAAAGGTTGGGGCTGGTAAAGGGTGGAAGACAGGTTAGGTGTGAAGAGAAAGGCACAACAGCCCTGATTTATTTAATCACAGGTAAACTTAGATTTAGTTCCATTTTCATCTGCCTTCAAGAAATCTGAATCTCTGTGGCATTCTTTGTCGCACTTGATTATCTTGTCTTTAAAAGAATACATATGTATTTTCATGACTGACAGTTGTTGAATCAGATAAGTACAACTTTAGGTAACTTCTTCATTGATGAAAGTTTATTTGCTTCCCTCCTTTTAAACAGTCATTAAAAGTATGCACTAATAGGAATATTGGAAACTTGTGTTGGATTCAATCTATAGTCTCCAAAAATAATGTATCAGCCATGATTCATGAAATCTACATACAAATGTAAATACTGTATAGCTGAGAATACAAATATAATTTTCCCCCAGGTATCTTTCTGTCCATTGAAGAGGGAGTATTGTGTATTTTAAAGACTTTAGTGAGTTTAGATCCTCTTTGACACACTCTTTACTCTCATGATTTGAACTTAAATTAAGAGCAGCTAGAGAACAGAGGAATTTCCCTGCTAGAAATAAAAAGAAGTTAGTTGAATGCTGTTCAGGAAAAAAATGGAAAGGATTGAGAAAAGGGACAGGAATAGGGTGTCTTCCCTGAAGAATTTTAAAGCTATTTCTAGAAAAATAACAAATGTGAAAATAAATTATACTAATCTATCACTTAATTTCTTTAATTCAGAGCCCACTAAAACATGCTCAAAGAAAGCTTGATATGACCTGTTCTGCCCAATTAATCTTGAAGTATTGAAAATCAATTAGTTACAATAAACAGAACTATTCTCATTATTTTAAGCAGCTCGCAATTAGCTTCATAGAAAGATGACTGTACACAAAGCTTTAAGTAGAAAGACACGCTGCCATTGACAAAGAATGTAGTGTATTCCTTATTTCTAATTCTAAATCTCTTTTGCACTACCAGAACCAGCTTCTGATAGTGAATTCAAACTTTTACCAAGTGGTCTGCTTTTTATAGAACTGATTTAAATATTGAAACACTAGATTTTTCCTTCGCAGTATGTGCAACAGAAACTGAAATTCTTCTGTGAATGT
This sequence comes from Homo sapiens, assembly GCF_000001405.40. NCBI lineage: Eukaryota > Metazoa > Chordata > Mammalia > Primates > Hominidae > Homo > Homo sapiens. Next base: position 81,084,296 of record NC_000009.12, on the reverse strand, counting down.
ACACATAACATGGTACCAGTTTTTGTTTGCTATACTTTCAGCCTGCATGCAATATAGGAGGAAATATGTTTAATCCTTTTCTCATTCCTTCTAGCCACTGAGGGACTTGGCTTGCCAAGGTATCCCTGCCTAGCCACAGCCAAAAAGGAGTCCTTGTTCCTCTCTCATTAAATACAGTAGATTTGCTTGATAGAATCTTTTTGCTTGCCTGCCTATCTGGCGTGCTGACTAACTGTTTTGCATCTGCAGTTTCCAAGGTATTCATTTGCTCACCAGAAAAAAAAAAGATTAGGAAAAAAGCATAATCTGCATATTTCCTACATTAGTACATTGATTCATTATGTCATTTCTAAAAGAGGGACAATATTATGACTCATGAGCATGGAGGGAAATAAATGGAACATTTTATTTCTTTGTTGGTTCAGTAAGTGTACATTTGATGGTGACATGGACTAATTGCATAGTTACCATGAAATAACATGCTTTATTTTTCTGTAATAATGTAGTAACTACATAGTAACTTCTTAGAAAACAATGGTAATTATACAGTGATGTGATCATGGTGCTGTTTTATTTTCCTAAAAACTATGCAATTAAACACACATAAAGTAAAATATACACCATTTCTGAAGTAATGTGTATAGTTGCTTAAAGGATTTCTTCCTTGGTTTTCTGACCGTGACTGCTTTCTCTCATTTCAAGACTATATTTACACTATTAAAAGTCTAAATCTAAATCCTTTTCACAATGTCTCTTCTTCAAGCCTGATAACCTATTCACCCTTTAGAGTTCTATCATGAAGTTTAGAACTGAAGCACTGTGTAGGGCTTTATGTTAAATAACCCAGAAGTCACTTACAATGGCAAAAATAGCAAAGCCGGCGGGGATGGCTTTAGCAGACTGTCTTTGGGCAAACTGGCTATGCAGAAGATCTGAGCCCTCCTGGCATGTTTCCCATTGAGTTAAGCTGGGCTGAGTAGCCTTAAAGAAGGGCACACATTTAACTTCCAGGGTGAAGCAGCGTGGAAAGCACTGGTTGCACTTCCTCTGCTGGATGATCTGTGAAATACACACACAGTCTTGGTGAGAGGAGAGCAGAGAAGAAAGGGCTCCTGCTCCATGTCTCAGTAGGCAGAGGGGGTTGCAGCACTTTCAAAAAATAACTTCTCCATAAAAAATAAATATTTCAAAACGGAATTGCTCTAGGCACTGTTCAGTGTCTGTGTATGTGCATGACAGGGGAAAAAAAGAGATTCACATAGTAAAAGAGGCTTAGATGCACAGCCAGGAAAACAAGTCAGACAGGAAGAAAGACAAAGACACAAAGGTATACTGACTAAGAGACAGCAAGAGAATAAGAATGGAGAGGATAGGGAGGAATAGAGACAATGACAAAAAGAACAGAGAAGAAGGCATAGACAGAGCCAGAGAAAACAGAGCCAGAGTAGCAGAGAAAGACAGAGATACAGAGAGAGACAGAGAGAAAGGGAGTGAGAAGTGGAACAAATGATATCAAGAGATAGAAGAAGGAGAGAGAGAGAGAGAGAAAGAGTGAGAGAGAGAAAAAAAAAAAGAAACCCAAAGATGGAAAGACAGTCATGGCATGGGGGGATACAGACAGAAAGAGAATCGTGTGTTTGTGTGTGTATATACGATATACATAATATATGTATATGTATGTATTTTATGGTGAATGTGGAGCCACCTTCTGAATATATTCTGCATAGGACCTTCCTGGTTTTTGGTCAGTTTTGTTCTAACTATTTTTGGAGTTGTATGAAGGCCAGAGGCAATGCTTCTGTTCATTATAAAATTGCATTGCATTTTCAACTTCTGGTTTGGTACCAAGGAATGAATCATAGAGCCTCAGAGGAGTACTGTCATTTTTCTCTGTGGTCTAATTTAAATTCTGTATCAAATACCATTGCAACAGTGACTTTTAACATTTTGCATGATTTATGCTGTTAATGAGCAAAGAACCAGAGAAGGTTGGGATGGTTTCTATAAAGGGAATGAAGTAAAATCAAATCCTGCACACAAACCTTGCAGAAATATTTCAGTTTGGATGACTTTCATCCAGACTGATCACCTTAAGCACTTGCTTCTACCTGATGCAAATGAAGTATCATTTTTCCATGACCTGGGTGACTGGATTGAATTCTTGCCCACAGAAGAGAACTAATTGAATGGAGAAGAAATGCCCCAAAGGTAGAAGAAAGCCACAAAGTCATCTGATTGAATCCAAAAGATAAGCATTTTAGTCCAAAGAAGTCAGGGAAGACATGAGAAGCTTGAAATATGGAGTTACTGAAGTCAAATACATTGCATTTTATCCTGGAGGTCTAGATTTTGGCCTGTAGGTCTAGGTTTCAAGTTCTAAATTTTCTAAAATGCGACCTGTATGGTTTGAAAATAATATTGCCATGTGTTGACAGAGCACTTTGTAATGAGTTAAGAAAGGCATAAAGAACCCAGCCCCTTAAATTTACCAGCAATTTGCCATATAACCCTTCGTAACACGTTTTTGGCCTGAGCTGTGCCACTCATGACTCTAATCTTCTGTGCATCATCCCATCCCACTTTTCTCTTTGGATATATGGATCCCTAGTCTAAAATTATTTTCAACCTGAATTGTTAATAAAGCGAAATCGATAGTTGATTCAAGAATTTGAAAGAGAATCGGGAAGTGGTTTAAAACCATCCACTCAACCAATATAAATGAAGACTTCTGCATCTCCCTACTTCATGGGCACTGTGCTGTGCTGGTACGTGTGCAGAGAGCACAGCTGCGCGTGGCACCATGTGCTCACAGCGTTCACCATGAGTTGAAACTTTACGCATTTTACAGGCTGACTTTTGCCTATCTCAAATTTATATGTTGATGTTCTAATCCCCAGCACTGTACCTCAGAAAATGACTGCATTTGTAGATAGGGCGTTTGAAGATGTAGTTAAATTAAAATGAGGTCAATAGGGTGGGTCCTAATTGAAAATGACTGGTGTGTATAAAAACAGGAAATTATGATGCTGACATATATGCAAGGAAGACCATGTGAAGAAGACAAGGGAGAAGATGGCCACCTACAAGACCAGGCTAGCAGTTTCAGAAGAAACCAATCTTGCTGATACCTTGATCTCAGACTTCTAGATTCCAGAACTGTGAGAAAATAAATTTCTGGTGTTTAAACCACCCAGTTTGTGGTACTTTGCTATGGCAGCCCTAGCAAACAAATATGTTATCATTCTCTGTGCCAAGAATCAGGTTCAGAGTGTAGGAATTTCATAACTAATGAAAGCTGTACTTTATCAGTGATGAAAGTATTTAGTATGATATTTGAGCATAAATTATATTAACTAATGGTCTTAAAAATAGTACTTAGGACAATGGTTTACTCTAAAAATATACTTGGTAGCCTTCTCAGTAGCCCCCATATTTTCTTTACCAATGCATCTGGAGGGTGAGAAGCCCTTCTTTCTATACTGCACTATCTACGTGGGTTAATATTCAAAAGGCCAGATACTCTTTCTCTCAGCAATAACACCACATCTCTCTCTTCTATCCACATGTTCCCTACATGTGCAGAGACTATTATCCTTCTCCTCTGTCTCTCCTTCAGTGTCCTTTCTTCACACCTTTCTCTGGATGACTCATTTCCTTTGTAACATCCTATGGAAGCTACATCTTCTCTCCTGCCTTAGGTGTTGATGTACTTACTTGCTGCTTGGCTCTCTGGTCTACCTTTAACATTTTGTTGGCCTTCTCTTCTATTTTGAAGTCTAAAGCAGCCTAGCTAACATATGGTCCCAGAACTGTTTGTTACTAGGTTTGTTACCAGTCCATGGGGAGATGAGAAACTTTGACCAGTAATGTAACTTAACTGTATTACCAAACTCACTTACTGTTAATTTGTCTATTCAGCTATTATTATTATTATTATTTGAATAGTAGCAGTAGCAGTGGTAGCTACACCTTCTCAATGAAGGAAAAAACATGTTGATTTAGTCTGGCTCAAGCTACTTACCTCGTCAAGGTCCGATACATTGAGTAGAGCTGGTCTACATCTTCTACTTGCTCCCTTTAGTCCATAATTCTGTCTTACCTTTGGAATGCCAACAATCTTGTTTCTCCAGCTCTATTTTCTTCTCCAGTTTCCTAAATGTGGATGTTTTCTTGTTTGTTTGTGTTTTTAACTTAAATTTGTCACTCCTCCACTCCCTTAAATCTTTTTCTAACTTTCCAATATTGTTCTGCATATGTATGCCCATGGAAGATACTCTGGTTCTCCCATAGTTTATACTGGAAGAAAGTTGAGCCTTTTGCTAGATGTAGTTCTTCTCTGTTCTTAGAGCATACAGTAGATCATTGAGTTTCTCTTCTCTTTCAGCAATTTAATTTCACATTTATTCCTTCGGCATTGCCTGAACTTGCTCGCTGCTTTCACTAGAATGGTAAGTATATTGTACTATGCTACAATATGCCTTTTAATAATGTTTTCTCTTTTTTAAAAAGGGTGACAAAATGAAAGAATGCTCAGATATCAGTATCTCCAATGGAAAAAATTAGAGTTCTTTCTGTTTTTTCCTGAATCCTTGTTATGGAGTTCTTTCTAGAATTCCATGTCCAACATCTATACATGGATCAGAAAGTAGCATTAATGAATTAGCAGGCAGGTATTTGAGAAAGAACATTCTGGAGCTCACTCCCTACTCACACCTTCATCTATAGTCAAGTGGCTACTTGTTTCTCCTTGGGAGAGATCTTTTCAGGGAAATGTTCTGTCAAAGGCCTTCTCTTGTTTCTCCTTTCCCCTACCATGACCCATGGTGCAGGTGAGTCTAGAACATCAGGAGGTCCTGCACTTTTTCTTTTCCTCCTTGCTCTCTTGCCCTTTATTCTTTCGCAGATTTCCGTATCTTGCTTTAGTTCCTCAGATTTGTCCTGACAATTCTGCTGCTGCTCCTGAAGATTTCAACTTTCCCCAAGTTCTTCATCATCTGCTACCACTCAGTGACATTTACTCCAATGCTTCTCTTCTGCTTTTCAGCAGTTGCTCCTGTAATGCAATCTCCATTTCCCCAATTATTTTTCTGTGTAAATTCTTTACCTAAACATGCTACTCAAGTTTAGCTCACTAGGTTTCCATGTAGCTCATTGTTTCCTGTTTGCTAGGGGGAAGTATTTTCATAGCTCATATTTATTCTGAAAAATAGCATGGACACTGTGCAAAAATATAGATTTAAGAAGCCAGGGGTCAGAGTCTCCTTGTGTCTGTCTTTTCTATTGTGCTTACTATGGGTAATCACAAAGTCTTCCAATAAGTAGGACTGGTTGACTAGGTGGAGATTGCAGGAAGGAAGATGCTCTTGGCAGTGGATAGGATAGGATTTACGCAATGAAATGTCTAAACTTGTTTCTCAGCCAGAGATAACTTGAGTGTTTTATCATACATTTAAGTTTAACTTTTTATTGTTTATTCGATTTGAGTTAAAGTAAAATGATGGCTCATCAATTTTGTAATACACCAGTGTTTTTAGCAATGGCTCTTATTCTGAAGTCTACAGCAGCAGACCACAACAGCTGAGAACTTGGCTGTTGAAGTCAAACCAAATTGGATTCTAAAAACCCTGCTTTACCACTTACTAGGTATGTGGACAAGGCAAGTTATTCATCCTTTCTGGGACTTAGTTTTCCACTATATCAAGTAGGAATAATGATACCTCCTTCCAATGCTATAAGGAATCGAACGATACAAATAAACCTAAAAGTTTTTGTGCCGCTTATTCCAAAAAGTGACTGGAGGAATATGCTTGGTATGGTTAAAAAAAAAACCCTACATTATAAGGTAGCTGCAAAAATCACTTTAGGGAACCTTGGGAGAAATACAGATAGCCAGTCTTTCTCCAGAGCAGCTTTTACTGAGATTCAGTGAACAGGCCTGTTTGACTTCCTATAAAGAGAAATATGTTATATATACTAAGATGCTGGGAGCAATGCAAACAATCAGTAATTTAAAATAGAAGCCCTAAATTAAAGTTACAATGGCAAGCACTCCTACTTGCAGATGCTTATTTATGCTTGAGCAGCTTGTCACAAGAACAATTTCACGTAACTTCCTCAAGATAAGTGGCCTGGAGTTATTAATTTCATGAGTCTTCTCAGAAGGGCTGAAGAGGCCAAGCCAGATAGTGTGAGCTCTCTCTAAAGTGTTAACACAATGTCCAGCATATAGAAAATGTCTTCCCACAATTGTAGCTATGATTATGTTTGGTTAATGTAAGGGCTTCAAGGGGTACATTAATACATTGTGAAATTATATGCCGATTATTCATCATATGTATTTTTCTAAGGGCTGGAACACATGTTTAATCAGATTCTTACATGGTTCTTAATCAGTAAGCATAGAGAGATGTTTTAGATTCTGTCCCAAATGTGAAATCAACCCAGAGTTTCTGTTCATCTTTGATGGTGTCTTGGGGCTAGGGTTAAACCAATGGATCTTCATTTCAGTTTCAGAGTAAAGAAAGGCCATGTGCATGTAGAAATGAGCTTAGCAATCTTGAAACTGGCCTGAAACTGAAGGATGTTTACAGGTAAACATGTAATATATCTGCTAGCTTTGGGCCAAGCTAATAGCCTCCTCCTGGTGGATCCAGGCACCACAAAAACCATTTAGTTGTTCTGTGGATTAACTATGTCCAGGTTTCTTCCTTACTTGATGATCCTTGAAGCTGTCCCTTCATGGATGCTGGTAATTGCCAATGGTTAATTGGTGAGCCTTATAGTCTTTTTTGGTGCCCTGCAATACCAAAAACCTTTTCTTTGAGACAGTGTCTAATGATTCCAAAATGTGAAACCTTCCTTGTCTTTGAAAACTCAAATTATAGTTCATTCTATCAATGGTCACTCCCACACTACCAGATGGCCCCATTTCCTAAGACAGATGTATCCAGCACTTCCTACTATCATCCTCACTGTATCTGAACAGTGATATTTATTTTTTTGTACAGAGGTTAAACATGATTTTTTTCCCCTAAAAGTCAGTTAACTTCAGAATTATATTTTCTACTCTACTGAGCACAGGCCTCACTAAACCATCTGACTGGTTGGGCTTTTGAACCATGCTGCAGTCCAGGAGTTTTGTTTTTTACTCTTTTTGTTTTTTCATCTTTCAGTAGTAATTTTGTGACATGATACATTTGCTGGCACCTTGGCTAACTATGTTCATGCATTCCTTTACACCTTCTAAAACTGTAAATGTAATCCAACACACGGCTGTCGGAGGGAGTTCAGGAAGTAGGATACTGAGAATCAGAGGTGTGGTGGGAGAGATGAGTGTGCGGAGCAGATAACTGTACTTGATTAGCTGGATTTAAATAGTGTCAGATGAATTTGCCAGGTGAAAATAAAAATTGTCAGTTCAGTTTAATTTCATGGTGAATCAAACAAGGAAATTAGATTCTGCTACTCTGTCAGTTTGACATCCATAGCAAGTGACAATTAGAGATGATGAGAGAACTTATATTTACTCTGAAACTCTTGATTTCCTGATAGGCATGTAACTTTTATTTACCCTTGCAATGCAAGAGAATGTGCATAACAGTGGCATTCGAAGAGGTTGCTAGAACATTCAAGATACAGGCTGAACAGCTGCAGAAGGGGCAAGTAGAGAGGCCAGGGTTCACTTGCACAGCCTGGTGTAATAAGATTGAGAGATATGCTGGAGAGAGAAAGCCCTGCCGTTAGGGGTTTAGAGCTGAAATGCAGATAATAACACAGTGGTCACACACCTTGCTTCAGCAGACAAGATTACATTAGAGCAAGTCAAGGCTGGAAGGCCAGGAATCAAAGTGATTCTGACTTGAGCTGTGGCAGCCAGGCCATTCCAGTTGATTTTACTTTTCTTCATAAAACCAAGACCAAAGCATTGAGCAACTTGGAGGACTCGTGTTTAAACACAAATGCATTTCCAGATATTCTCCTCCACCACTCCTAATACAAGCAAATAGAATTTCAATTTCAAATTAGGGTTCAAAGAGCACCAAAAATTCAGTAGAACTGAAGCATGAAATGACCACATGGGAAGTTGCCTCCTTGATTTGCAGCAAAAGTTCTTGGCAAGAGATGGGTCTCAATAGCACGAGGAAATCATTTTCCCTGCTGACTTTACTTCCAAAGAAAGAGTTTCAGGGTTGACTGACTACCTTTGGATAGCAGAGACAGCATTGAGAGCTGTAAACAGAATGAGAGGCAAAAGGTGGTTTGATTCTAGGAGAGGGCTGAGACTAAGATATTCTCATCTTTGATTTAATAGATATATGGACAACCTTAAAGGATCCTTTATCTTTGGACTATAAAAATGAAACAGGGTCTGAATAAGTCAACTCATGTCTTGTTCCAAACTTTCTCATGGACCTGGACATTCTTAGATCTCATCCCCTGAAAAGTATCTTCTCTCTCTCTCTCCTCTTGGCTAAGGAGGGAAACAATTCTGACTCCAAATATATTTATTTTCTAATAAAAACTATATATCAGTGTTTAGTACTAGTTTCTTATTTCCTACATTAACCTCAGACATTTTTGTTATAATATACCAGCACATATCAGGGTAATGGTAGGATAGTCCATGCATATGTGAGTATGAGTGGATACTTTTGTATTCTAATATTTTGGAACTCAGAGACATGCCTGGGAGGTTTACCAACTGAAGATTTAAATCCTGACCCAGGAAAGCTTGATAGCTACATGGAGCATGTCTTTATGGTTACTGGTGATGTTGAGTTTATTTCTCTAATTTAGCATGATCGAAGTAAAGGTAGGCTAAAAGGGGGGAAAATAATTTGAAGGTGATGGTTTCCACTGCTAATCAAATAGGACCATATGAGATGATATCTTTATATTGCCTCAGCTATATAAAATTCTCAATGATTTGATTAGTGCTTATTCCAGAACTCCAGTATAAGTGGAGTACCTTCCTTCTAGGGTACTTGTTATATGTAAATTCCAAATGTATCTATTTAAAAACTCCTTCAACACTTTGAAAATGAGGTACAATAATGATAAACAACTTGAACTAGAAATGAATTGGCAGCATACAGCTCAACAGCCTTACACAAATCCCCACGTCTTTACATCTTGTCTTTTATTGGGAGGCTAATTGATGTTTGAGTATATCATCTGAATCACACTTGCAAGATAAATATTTATAAGTAGAAACTGTGTAACTGAGAAATCCAGGAAGGGACTCCCTCCCTTGATCTTAATATTCACTGTACTCTTTAACCACTAACTGCTACTACCTACTTATATAAAGTATACTTTTTTAAAATCTCCACTTATTTTCTTCTCTTTTCCTTTCCTTTCATTTTATTTATTTTTTGTCAAAAGTTTCTTCAGAGTTGTTAACGCTTTAGTAGGCCATAACCTGCAGTTCTATTTCACTGATGGTAAATACTTGAAACTGAAATTTGATCTATATTCTTTAGTTAATATTTTTTGTAGGGTCCCTGAAGAAAAATACAGGCATAAGGCTATCTGAGCAATGTCTTTAATAGTTATTTGTTATATAATGCCAGACACTATTTATCTTTGATACTACCCTGTCCCCACCTTGAAATCCTTTGTGAGGATCTAGACTGGCAAAATATAATGTAAATAGGATCTCTCTGTGGTTCACAAAAGTTTTCCAATTATAAATTCAACTTTCTCTAAAGGAAATACATTTCACTGCCATATTAATTGCCAATTGGAACATTCCCTAGCTCGACCATAACACAATGCCATGGTTCATTACCTGCAGATACTCGACTCACCGAGCCAGTGGTTGCATGCAGATATTCCAAATGACTTCATAAACACAGGAGCACATACTGTTAAGCAGTGATTAATTCCTACAAGATCATGTGATGCCCTGTAATTCTTTAATGGTGCCAAAGTGATCTATAGCATGAGTGCAGACTTTGCCTAGCTCAGCAAATGCCCAAGGGAAGCATCGGGAACATCTCTCCTTGCAGGCATTTGTGGGGATTTTATTCACCTTGGAAAAGGACCTACAGCTTGCACTGAAAAGATACTTTAAGAAACTTGCACTTGCAGTTTCTCGGGGGGAATAAAAGGACATTTCTTTCCTCTTAAAGATATATTATTCTTTTTTATGGTGCTCATATGATCATTATAACCAACAAAAGGAAGTGGGACTGCTGCCCTTTCTCTGTTTTTCTGGCATGACTTCTAAGAGAGATAGTAAGCCTTTTTCATGTGTTTTTGAGATTCTTTATTCATTATACAAAAAGGTTCCTCTAAGGATACACATCAGTAGCCAGTTCCATCAACAGCAGAGCATGAATAGAACGCATTTAGAAACCAGAGAGGTTACAACAGCAATCAACGTTTTTCAGTGATGCGCTCCAATTTTAAATGAGAATTCTGGTGACTCTGTGATGTCAGACAGAGTATTTTGATTAAAACATTTCTTTATTGAATTTTTTATGGGCCCATTACTGGAATCCCTGGGTACATGTAAATATTTTTTTCAGGACAATGCAATCCAGCAGAGAGGTGGGACTGGGCCTGGAGTTATAAAATGGGAAACATTAAACCCAATGACAAGGGAGTGCACAATGTCCTAAACGTCAGTTAACCAAATGCTCCCTTGGGCCTAAGCTACTCTCAGAACTAAATTATGTGCTTAGGGAAGAATATGAATAACTGTGGAGCATTGGAGACATAGTTAGTTCTGGTGGGGGCAGGTCTTATTCCTACATTCCATTTAACATTTTCAGCTATCAAACATAGACTTGTTTAGGCAGAAAGAGTGAGCTCTGCAAAGCCCTAAATTGGATACCTGCATCCCAGGTTCTAATCTGATTTGAACACTTGATCCCTAAAGAATTTTGATAAATCAACAAAAATGTCTGAGGTTCAAATGCCTCATTGTAGATGAAGAGATGGTAACATCTGCTGGGCCTGGGCTTCCCTATACGGCCAATCAAAGGAGGAGAAATAACGTATCTGGAAGACACTTTATGAAGCCCACAAGCAAGTAACAAATAGAAATCACTACTATTTATTTGATGATGAAGACTTCAAAACTAGCCTCAAAATATTTAAAAAGAAAAATCTAAATCTGAGTCTCTAAAAGTATCTCTTTCTAAGCTGAGCCTTTGTATTGTCTGGCCACCCTTTTACTATTACTTGGAATCAATTCTGGAAATGATGAGATGGGCTCATAGAAATACGCCTAAAAGTTACATTCTGCTGCTAAGTAAGGTGCTTGTCTGGCCTAGAGTCATGGCTCAGTGGTGAGGGCTGAGAGCATTCTTTGTGCTATTTCTCCAGATTCTAAATTGGGGAAGTTGCTCACAATGAATGTAGTTATAAATGAAGAATTGCGTGCAGTCCACATTTGATTGGAGAGGAAATCATAACTTTCATCTTCTTTTTAGTTTACTGAGATGATTTACATGGTCTTAAAAATGTGGGATGGCACTAAAGCCAAATAATTCATGTGATTTTTGAAGGAATCTTAGCTGTCTTGCTTTAGAGTATCTTCTATTTCTGTGTGATTTGTGCATGCATCTGCATGTGTGTGCTTTATGGTTTAGATGGAAATGGGTAATTCTGGAAAAACAAGACTACATAAATGATCAAAAGTAATAAGAAATCCAAATGATAAAATAGGTGTTTTGCCCTGGTCATTCACCACGCAGGGGAATATACATAGCTGATATTAACTCTTCAACATTAAAGGCCAAGATTGTTGCAAATAGTGAATAGCTAGATGCCATCTCAGGTCATAAAATATTGCTGTTAAATCACCACAATTTCTAAAGTGGCTGTTAAAGTTGATTGGGATTGATGTTGATGTGTTTTGTAGTACTTTATTAAGGTATGACGCTAAAATGTAGAACTTTTATATATACAGAATCACACACATACAAACTGGTGAACACCATTTTTTTTTTTCTGAAGTGACTCCTGATTGGAGGAAGTCATAGTCGACCTGATAAGCAATCCCATTGGTACCCAGGCTCTTCACACCTTAAAGGATTAAAAGGCCATCTTGGGTTGATTTTAAAGGCAAAAACTTATGATCATATATTATATCCTTATTTTACTGAATAAACAAGTATTTTAGATGTTTATTCTAATTCACAAGCTATATCATGTTTAAAACAAGTTGAAAAGTTTGGTTTTCTTGTATAAATGTAGCTAGAATGAACCATTTATTCTCAGGAATCTTGTTCTGAATTTAATTTCAAAAGCCAACAAATTTTAATGAACACTTACTGTGGTCCTAGCAAGGTGCTACAGATGAAAGTTGAATGAGATGTAGTTTTCACTTTCAGGTTGTTTCGAGTGTGAGAAGGAGACTTTTAACTCTACAATTACCAAGTTGAGGGATCAGTACTTGGAAAGAAGGTAGCTGCTGCATTTACATTGAGATCATCCCACATGCGCTAGAGAGCAGAACCAGGTGTTTCTTGGTGAAACATACTTTAGTAGTTACAAGACTGGTTATTGAGACAGAAAAAATATAAAGAAAGAATGAATGAAGATAAAGAAAAGTTGGTGCTAGCCAAGCAAGGTTCTGACAGCACTTAAATTGAAAATGTTTAGGGTACATTGCATACATGATGAACCTAGTGTCTTTAAGCACGGGAAGCTATAATGTTAAGAAGATAGTTACTTTTTTTGCATGTCAATTATTATTATTATTTTTTAAATAATTGTTTTGAAAAAATGGAGACTGCTGCTCAAGGAACTTGTCTCCTTTCTGGGGCTCCCATCTATCTTCATCTTGCTTCTTCCATCTCTTTTCTCTAGTGGCAGGCTTCTTCTGCTTGCTGATTTAGTCATCCTTTCAGCTTGCATGCAGCTTGTCATGGGTACATCTGGCCCCTCTTCATCATGACCTTCTTGCTTCAACTCTCATTGTGGATCAGACACAGTCCTTCTTTGGATGTATTCCAGAGACACTTTCTGATTCGTCCAGGCTAGGAACTGGCCAGCTCTGATCCTGCAGTACATTACACAACCATAGCCCCTCAGCAATAGGTGTACGTGTGCTGCTTTCCTTAGGAGTGTGGCCAGGGCATGCACCATAACAAGATGCTTGTTACTTTCAAAAATGTTTAATTTTTGATGTTTACTTTCACTCTTGACTTCTTTCAAATCAGGCAGTCAAAATTTTTTTAATATCAATCAAGATTTGTACCGATATTCTTAAATAGTACAATCTTTTTTCAAACTGAAGACATTGAGTGATAGAATTAATTTGGGATACGGTCTATATTGTATTTAGTTGTTTGGGCTATTTGAAGATAAAATGCATAAAATGTCCTTTGTTAGTTTTCTGTGTGGTTAAGATAAGGATCTTAAAGTTCTTGAATACTGGCCAGTTACTGACTGCTACATTAGGTGCTGCAGAGGTAGATGCATATCTTAAGAGGCCGGGCACGGTGGCTCACGCCTATAATCCCAGCACTTTGGGAGGCTGAGGCGGGTGGATCACCTGAGGTCAGGAGTTCAAGATCAGCCTGGCTAACATGGTGAAACCGCATCTCTACAAAAAAAAAAAAAAAAAAGCCACGCGTGGTGGCACATGCCTGTAACCCCAGCTACTCGGGAGGCTGAGGCAGGAGAATGGCTGGAACCCAGGAGTCAGAGATCATAATGGGCTGAGATTGTGCCATTGCACTCCAGCCTGGGTGACAAAAGTGAAACTCCATCTCAAAAAAAAAAAAAAAAAAAAAAAAAAAGAAAGAAAGAAAAAGAAAAAAGAAAAGGAAAGAAAGAAAAGCACCCAGAAGGCAGAGCAAGAGGGTGCAATAGGAGCCTACACTTTTCATACCCCCTGCAGAAACACCAAATTTTAACAATTTTCTGCACACAGAAAAGCAAGTCACAAGAACCAAAAAATTAGGTGAGAGCAATTACCGTGCCTGGCTTTAACTTTATATTGCTGAAAGAGGCATTGAGGAGGGCAGGAGACAGTCTTGAATTGCCAATAACATGCCTCCCTTATCTCGGACAGTGGCCAAGTGGCAAGTGTGCGCTTAGGAGAGGGAGAGTACCGCAACTCTACATTGAACTCAGTGCTGCCCAGGAAAGCAGAGAGCAAAGCTGTCCTGAGCTGAGTCAGCACCCACAAATGAAGGGAGCATTTGGACTAGACCTAACCAGAGGGGAATTGTCCGTCCTGCAGTGAGAACTGGAGTTTCTTGGCAAGCCTGGCCACCATGAGTCAAAGTGCTCTGGGGTCTTAGATAAACTTGAAAGGCAGTCTAGGCCCAAATATTGCAATTCCTAGACAACTCTAGACAACAGTTAATGCTAGGCTGGGCTCAGAGCCAGAGGACTAGGGTGGCAAGTGACCTAGGGAGACACCAGCTGGGGCAGCTAAAGAGTGCTTGTGCCATCCCTCCCCCAACCCCAGGTAGTGCAGTGGGCAAAAACAAAAGAGACTCCTTCCTTCTGCTTAAGGAGAGAAGAGTGAAGACAACTTTGTCTTGCATCTTGGATACCAGCTTAGCTACAGTAGGATAGGGTAACTGTCAGAGTTGCAAAGCCCTCATTCCAGGCCCTAGCTCCAGACATTTCTAGACACACCCTGGGCCAAAAGGGAACCTACTGCCTTGAAGGGAAGAACCCAGTCCTAGAAGGATTCATCAGATGCTGACTAAAGAACCCTTAGGCTCCAAATAACCAGCAGTGATACCCAGATAGTACACTGTGGGCCTTGGGCTCTGACACCTGACTTCAGCTGTAACCCAGCACATTCCCAGCTGTTGCAGCTATGGTGAAAGTCCCCTTCTGTTTGAGAAAAGCAGAGGAAAAAGCAAAGAGAGCTATGTCTTGTACCTTAGGTACCAACTCAGCCACAGTGGGGTAGAGCGCCAAGCAGGCTCTTGGGGTCCCTCTGTCCAGGCCTAGGCTCTTGGACTTGAACAGCATTTCTGGGCCTTCCCTGGACCAGAGGAAAGCCCACTGCCCTAAAGGATGAGTCTCAGGCCTGGCAGCATTCACCACAACCTGACCAAAGAGCCCTTGGGCTTTATGTGAACATAAGCAGTGGCCTGGCAGAACCCTCCATGGGTCGGTAGTGGTGGTGCCCACAGGGAGAGGCTCGTCTGCCTGTGGAAAGGGGAGGGAAAAGTGGGAAGAACTTTGTATTATGGTTTGAGTGCCAGCTTAGCTACAGGTGAATAGAACATCAGGTAAATTTCTAAGATGTTTGACTCCAATCCCTGGCTCCCAGACAATATATCTGGACTTGCCTGGAGCCTGGGGGAACTCACTGCCTGTATACAAACCTGGCTGGCTTCACTGCCTGCTTACTGTAGAGCTCTAGGGTCTTGAGTGAACATAGGTGGCAGCCAGCTAGTGGTTACAGCAGGCCCTGGGTGAGACCCATACTGTGCTGGCTTCGGTTATGACCCAGCACAGTCCCACTGGTGGTGGCCACAGGGCTGCTCACATAATTCCACCCCAAGTTCCAGGGGTCTCAGCACAGAGAAAGAAAGACTGTGTTTGGGAGAAAGTAAGGGAAAAGAACAAGAGTCTCTGCCAGGTAATCCAGAGAATTATTTCAGATCTCATCCAGGACCACCAAAGCAATACCTCTATGAGTCTGCAAAAACCACAATATTGTTAGACTTGGGACCCAAGTCTCTTTGAACAACTTAAAAGTCTTCTCAAGAAGGATGGACACAAGCCCAGACTGCAAAGACTGTAATAAATACCAAACTTTTTAATGCCCAGACACCAATGAACATCTATAAACATCAAGACCATCCAGGCAAACATGACCTCATCAAATGAACTAAATAAGGCACCAGTGACCAATCACAGAGAGACAGAGATATGTGACCTTTCAGACAGAATTCAAAATAGCTGCACTGAAGAAACTCAAAGAAATTTAAGATAACGCAAAGAAGGGATTCAGAATTCTGTCAGATAAATTTAACAAAGAGATTGAAATAAGCAGAAATGTGAGACTTGAAAAATACAATTGGCATATGAAGAATGCATCAGAGTCTCTTAATAGAAAAATTGATCAAGCAGAAGAATTAGTGAGTTTGAAGACAAGCTATTTGAATACACAGTCAGAGGAGACAAAAGAAAAAAGAATAAAAAACAATGAAGCATGCCTACAGGATCTAGAAAATAGCATTAAAAGGGCAAATCTAACTGTTATTGGCCTTAAAGAGAAAATAGAGAGAGATAGGAGTAGAAAGTTTATTCAAAGGGAAAATATCAGAGAACTTCCCAAATCTAGAGAAAGATATCAATATCCAAGTACAAGAAGGTTATACACCAAGCAAATTTAACCCAAAGAAGACTACCTCAAGGCATTTAATAATTAAACTCCTAAAGGTGAAGGATAAAGAAAGGATTTTAAAAGCAGCAAGAGAAAAGAAACAAATAACATACAGTGGAACTCCAGTACATCTGGCAGCAGACTTTTCAATGAAAACTTTACAGGCCAGAAGAGAGTAGAGTAGAATGACAAATTTAACATGCTGAAGGAAAACAACAACAACAACAACAACAACAACAACAACAACAAACTTTTACCCTAGAATACCATAGTTGGCAAAAATATTCTTCAAGCATATAAGAGAAAAAAAGACTTTCCCAGACAAACAAAAGATGAGCAATTTCACCAATACCAGACCTGTCCTACAAGAAATGCTAAAGGGAGTTCTTCAATCTGAAAGAAAATGATGTTAATGAATAAGAAGAAAGAATCTGAAGGTACAAAACTCACTGGTAATAGTAAGCACACAGAAAAACCCAGAATATTGTAACACTGTAATTGTAGTTTGTAAACTACTCTTAGGTAGAAAGACTAAATGATGCACCAATAAAAAATAATAACTACAACAACTTTTCAATACTTGGTATAATAAGATATAAAGAGAAAGAACAAAAAGTTAAAAAGCAAGGGGATGAAGTTAAAGTTTAGAGTGGTTATTAGTTTTATTTTGCATGTTGTTTTTTTTTATGTAATCAGTGTTAAGTTGTTATCAGTTTAGAAAAATGGGTTATAAGTTGCATTTGCAAGCCTCATAGTAACCTCAAATTAAAAAAATGCAATGAATACAAAAAAAATAAAAAGCAAGAAATTAAAACCACCGAAGAAAATCACCTTCACTAAAAGGAAGAAAGAAAGAAAAGAATGCAGAGAAGACCTCAAAACAAGCAATAAAATTACAAGAGTAAGTCCCTACTTTCTATAATAACATTGAAAGTAAATGGACTAAACTATCTAATAAAATGCATAGAATGGCTAAAAGAATGACAAAACAAGACTGAATGATCTGTTGCCTACAAGAAACACACTTCACCTACAAAGAAAAAATAGATAAAAAATAAAGGGATGAAAAAAGATATTCTATGCCAATAGAAGCCAAAAAAGAGCAGATGTAGCTATACTTATATTTGACAAAGAAGACTTCATGACAAAAACTGTAAGAAGAGACAAAAAGTTCATTATATAATGATAAAGGGGCCAATTCAGCAAGAAGATAAATGCTTGTAAATATATATGGACCCAACATTGGAGCACCCAGATATATAAGGCAAATATTATTAGAAATACAGAGAGAGATAGACCTCAATACAATAATAGCTGGAGACTTCAACACCCCATGTTCAGCATTGGACAGATCTCCCAGACAGGAAATCCACAAAGAAATATGAGACTTAATTTGCACTATAGAACAAATGGACCTAATATAATTTACAGAACATTTTATCCAATGGCTACAGAATGCATTCTTCTCCTCAGCACATAGGTTATTCTCAAGGACAGAACATATGTTAGCTCACAAAACATGTCTTAAAACAGTTGAAACATTTTAATAATATCAAGCCTCTTCTCTGATCACAATGGAATAAAACTAGGAGTTAATAACAAGAGGAATTTTGGAAACTATACAAACACATTGAAATTAAGCAATATGCTCCTGAATGACCAGTGGGTCCATGAAGAAATTAAGACAGACATTGAAAAATTTATTGAAGCAGATGATAATAGAAACATAAAATACCAAAACCTATGGGATACAGCAAAGTACTAAGACAGAAATTTATAACCATAAGCACCTACATCAAAAAGGAAGAAAAACTTCAAATAACATAACAATGCATGATAAAGAACTGAAAAAGCAAGAGCAAACCAAACCTAAAATTAGCAGAATAATAGAAATAATAAAAATCACAGCAGAAAAAAAGTTGAAATGAAGAAAACAATATAAAAAAATTAATGAAACCAAAAGTTGGTTTTCTGAAAAAATAAAATTGTCAAACCTTTAGTCAGACTAATGAAGAAAAAAAGGTGAAGGCTCAAATAAATAAAATCAGAGAAGAAAAAGGAAACATTACAACTTGATACCACAGAAATTCAAAGGATTATAAGTGGCTATTATGAGCAACTATATGCCGATAAAAATCTAGAGGAAATGAATACACTCCTAGACATGTGCAAGCTACCAAGATTGAACCATGAAGAAATTCAAAACCTGAACAGACCAATTACAAGTAATGAGATTGAAGCTGTAACAAAAATTCTCTCAGCATTGAAAAGCCTGGGACCCAGTGGCTTCACTGCTAAATTCTACTAAACATTTAAAGAAGACTTAATACCAATCCTACTCAAACTATTCCAAAAAAACAGAGGAGGAGGGAATAATTTCATACTTATTCTACAAGGCTATTATTACCTTGATACCAAAACCAGATAAAGACATATCAAAGAAAGAATACTACAGGCCAATCTTGGATGAATATTGATGCAAAAATCCTTAACAAAATACTATCAAACTGAATTCAATAATACATTAAAAAGATGATTGATCCCAAGTGAGATGATTTATCCCAAGTGAGATTTATCCCAGGGTTGCAAGGATGGTTCAACTTAAGCAAATTAATCAATGTAATACATCATATCAACAGAATGAAGAACAAAATCTATATGATCATCTCAATTGGTACTGAAAATCCATTTGATAAAATTCAACACTGCTTCATGATAAAAACCCTCAGAAAACTGGGTATAGAAGGAACATACCTCAACATAATAAAAGTCATGTATGACAGACCCACAACTACTATCATAATAAATGTAAAAATACTGAAAATCCTTTAAGATCTGGAAAATGACAAGAATGCCCACTTGTTATTCAACATAGTACTGGGAGTCCTGTCTAGAGCCATCAGACAAGAGAAGGAGATAGTTTCCAAATTGGAAAGAAGGAAGTCAAATTATCCTTGTTTGCAGGTGATATGATCTTATACTTGGAAAACCCTAACGACTTCATTAAAAAACTGTTAGAACTGATATATAAATTCAGTAATGGTGCAGGATACAAAATCAGCATACCAAAATCAGTAACATTTCTATATGCCAACAGTAAACAAACTGAAAAAGAAATTTTAAAAGTGATCTCATTTGCAGTAGCCACAAATAAAATTAACTACCTAGGAATTAACTTAATCAAAGAAGTAAAAGATATCTACAATGAAAACTAGAATACATTGATGAAAGAAATTGAAGAGAAAACAAAAAATGAAAATATATGTTTATAAATTAAAAGAAGTATTGTTAAAATGTCCATGCAACCCAAAGCAATCTACAGATTTAATGTAATCCCTTTTCAAAATATAAATGACATTCTTCACAGGAATAGAAAAAAATCATAAAATTTATATGGAACCACAAAAGATCCAGAATAGGCAAAGCTATCCCAAACAAAAAGGGAAAAACTGGAGGAATCAAATGACCTGACTTCGAATTATATTACAGAGCTATAATAACCAAAGCAGCACGGTGCTGGCAAAAAAACAGACACATAGACTTTATTAGTTTGTTCTAACACTGTTAAGAAAGAGATATCCAAGACTGGGTAATTTATAAAGAAAAGAGGTTTAATTGACTCACACAGTTCAGCATGGCTGGCAAGGAATAGGGAAACTTAAATCATGGTGAAGGAAAAGCAAACATGTCCTTCTTCACATGGTGGCAGCAAGGAGAAGTGCTGAGCAAAAGAAGGCAAAGCTCCTTATAAAACCATCAGGACTCATGAGAACTCACTATCACAAGAACAGCATGAAGGTAACTGCCCCCATGATTAAATTACCTCCCACCAGTTTCCTCCCATGACACATGGGGATTATGGGAACTGGAATTCATTATGAGATTTGGGTGGGGACACAGCCAAACCATATCATTCTGCCCCTGGTCCCTCCAAATCTCATGTCCTCATATTTCAGAACCAATCATACCATACCCTTCTTAGCAGTTCCCCAAAGTCTTTACTTACTTCAGCATTAACCCCAAAGTCTGAGTTCATAGTCTTATCTGAGACAAGGCAAGTCCCTTCTGCCTATGATCCTGTAAAATCAAAAGCAAGTTAGTTACTTCCTAGATACAATGGAAGTACAGCATTGGGTAAATACACCCATTCCAAATGGGAGAAATTGGCAAAATAAAAAGGCTACAGGCCCCATGCAACTCAGAAATCCAATAGGGAAGTCATTAAACTTTAAAGTTCCAAAATGATCCCATGTCTCCCATGGACTCCATGTCTCACATCCAGGGCACACTGAAGCAAGAGGTGAGCTCCCATGGCCTCAGGCGGCTTTGCCCCTGTGGCTTTGCAGGGTACAGCCCCTTTCCCAGCACATACTGCTATCTGTCAGTGGATCTATCATTCTGGGGTAGGGAGGATGGTGGCTCTCTTCTCACAGCTCTCCTAGGCAGTGCCCCAGTGGGGACTATGTGTGGGGGTTCCAACCCCACATTTCCCTCTGCACTGCCATAACAGAGGTTCTCCTACCCTGCAGCAGATTTCTGCCTTGACATCTAGGCATTTTCATACATCCTCTGAAAATCTAGGTGGAGGTTCACAAAACTCATTGCTTGTCTTCTGTGCACCCACAGGACCAACACCACATGGAAGCTGCCAAGGCTTGGGGCTTGCAGCCTCTGAAGCAACAGCCTGAGCTGTATGTTGTCCCCTTATAGCATGACTGGGATGCAGCACACCAAGTCCTGAGGTTGCACAGAGCAGCAGGGGGGACGCAAGCCCGACTCATTAAACCATTTTTCCCTCCTAGGCCTCTGGGCCTGTGATGGGAGGGGCTGCCATGAAGGTCTCTGACATGTCCTGGAAACATTTTTCCCTTTTGTCTTGGTGATTATTTGGCTCCTTGTTACTCATGCAAATTTCTACTGCCAAATTGAATTTCTCGCCCCAAAATGGTTTTTCCTTTTCTACTGCATTGTAAGGCTACACATTTTTAAAACATTTATGCTGTGCTTCCTCTTAAACACTTTGCCGCTTAGAAATTTCTTCTGCCATGTACCCTAAATCACCTCTCTCAAGTTCAAAGTTTCACAGATCTCTAGGACAGGGGAAAAATGCAACCAGTCTCTTTGCGTAGCAAGAGTGACCTTTATTCCGGTTTCCAAAATGTCCATCATCTCCATCTGAGACCACCTCAGCTTGGACTTCATTGTCGATAACACTATCAGCATTTTGGTCAAAGCCATTCAACAAGTCTCTAGGCTTTCCCACATCTTCCTCTCTTCTGAGCCCTCCAAGTCTCTGGGAAGTTCCAAACTTTCCCACATTTTCCTGTCTTCTTCTGAGGTTTCCAAACAGTTCCAACCTCTGCCTGTTAACCCAGTTCCAAAGTAGCTTCCATGTTTTCAGGTATCTTTACAGTAGTGCCTCACTCTCTGTGGTACCAATTTAACTGTATTAGTCTATTCTCACACTGCTCATAAAGACATACCCAAGACTGGGTAACTTAAAAGGGAAAGAGGTTTAATTGACTCACAGTTAAGCATGGCTGGTGAGGACTCAGGAAACAATCATGGCAAAAGGGGAATCAACCACATCCTTTCTCACATGGCTGCAGCAAGAAGCAGTATGAGCAAAAGGAGGAAAAGCCGTTCATAAAACCATCAGATTTTGTGAGAACTCACTATCACAAGAACAGCATGAGGGTAACTGCTCCCATGATTCAGTTACCTCCCACTGGGTCCCTCCTATGACACATGGGGATTATGGGAGCTACAATTCAAGGTAAGATTTGGGTGGGGACACATCAAACCATATCATAAACCAATAGAACAGAATTGAGAACCCAGAAGGAAATCCTCACACCTACAATGAACTCATTTTTGATAAAGATGCCAAGAACAACTGGGGAAAAGACATTCTCTTCAATAAATGGTGCTGGGAAAACTGGGTATCCATAGGCAGAAGAATGAAACTGAACCCCTATCTCTTGCCATATACAAAAAATCAAAATGGATTAAAGAATTAAATGTAAGACCTCAGATTATAAAACTACTATTAGAAAGCATTGAGAAAGCTCTCTAGGACATTGGTCTGGGCAAAATGTCTTGAGTAATACCCCATAGGCACAGGACAACCAAAGCAAACATGGACAAATGGGATCACATCAAGTTAAAAAGCTTCTTCAAAGCAAAGGAAACAATCAACAAAGTGAAGAGACAACCCACAGAATGGGAGAAAATATTTGCAAACTACTCATTTGACAAGAGATTCATAATTAGAATATATAAGGAGCTGAAACCACTCTATAGGAAAAAATTATAATAATCTGACCAAAATATGGAAAAATATTTTGAATAGACATTCTCAGAAGAAAACATACAAATGGCAGACAGGCATATGAAAAGTGCTCAACATCATTGATCATCAGAGAGATGCAAATTAAAGTTACAATGAGATATTGTCTCATCCAAGTTAAAATGGCTTATATCCAAAAGGCAGGCAATATCAAATGCTGGCGAGGATGTGGAAAAGAAAACCCTGTACACTATTGGGAGAATGTAAATTAGTCCAACCACTATGGAGAATAGTTAGGAAGTTGCTCCAAAAACTAAAATACAGTTACCATACAATCCAGCAATCCCACTACTGGGTATATAGCAAAAAGAAAGGAAATCAGCATATTGAAGAGATATCTGCACTCCCATGTTTGTTCACAGCACTGTTCACAATAGCCAAGATTTGGAAGCAACTTAAGTTTCCATCAACGGATTAATGGACAAAGAAAATGGAGTACTATTCAGCCATAAAAAATAATGAGATTCTGTCATTTGCAACAACATGGATGGACCTGGAGGTCATTATGTTAAAAGAAAGAAGCTAGGCACAGAAAAACAAATATCGCATGTTCTCACTTATTTGTGGGATCTAAAAATCAAAACAATTGAACTCATGGAGACAGAGAGTGGAAAGATGGTTACCAGAGGCTGGGAAGGGTAGTGGGATTATGGACAGGAGGTAGGGATTGTTAATGGGTACAAAAAATAGAAGAATGAATAAGACCTAGTATTTGATAGCCAAACAGGGTGACTATAGTCAATCATAATTTAATGTACATTTAAAAGTAAAGAGTATAATTGGATTGTTTGTAACACAAAAGATAAATGCTTAAAGGGATAGATACCCCATTTTCCATGATATAATTATTATGCATTACATACCTGGATTGAAATAGCTCATATACCCCATAAATGCATACACTTACCATGTACCCACAAAAATTAAAAAGTAAAAAAGTAAACAAAAGCATCATTTGTTTTACTTGCTTTGTCTCAAATACTTGAAGGCACTCTGATTCAAATGAGCTTAGAAGACTCCCTGGCCTTTATAGTACCAAGCCTGTAACTGTGAAATAGCAAAAGAACTAATGTAACTAACTCAAGTTTTATTTAAGAGGCCTTTACCCATTCCTGCATGTAGGCTAGGATAATTTTAGAGCACTGAGATAATATGCAAAAACAGTGACCATGTAATTTTTAAAATTAACTCTGGGATTAAAGAAGTATATAAACAACTATGTTTTGTTAAAGATTTATAAGAGCACTGTGGCCTGACCAAGGATAAACAAGTTTCCAACCTCCTTGGACCCTCTCTGACCCCCAGATGTCTGTGGTCATTAGTACCTCTTGATATCAGCCCCCTCTTCTTCCCCATATTTCCCTCCCATAAAAATCCTCTGGTCAACCTGAAGAAAGGTAAGATGGTACTTTAGAATGCTAGTTCACCATCTTCTCAGTTTGTTGGACCTTCAGATAAACTTGTTTTTCCTCTCACCAACAATCATCTCTTGTGTCTGGCTTTCAAGTGGCAAGCAGCTGAACCTGGGCTCGCTTACAGGTCTAGAGATGTAAGTGGCCCAGTTTTTTCCTTTTCCTTGTACTTTAACTTTCTAGCTTCCTGGCCTTCTATGGGCACAGTTGCCTACCCTCATGATGGAGTGTTTTTTTACATTATTTGACTGCATAAGATGATAGACAGATAGATGACTGATTGATTGATTGATAGAGATAAATGACATGGATAGAAAGAATATACTAGAACAAACTGTATCAAATGATTTGAGAGAAAGATGTTTACCCAGTTCAATTCCACAAACCCTTTTGTTTGCCCTCTAAAACGTTCATTCTTGATTAAGTTGGCTTAACTCTGGGGTTTCAAATTCTCCATTGGGCACTTAATCCAAAAGAGGTTTAACCTTCTTAGAGATGTCACTGTAGAGATGGGTTTTACGACAGAGACTGTTCTCAGGGAGACTTTGCATTTTAGAGCTCCCTGGTGCTGTCCCCCATGCCCCACAGCCCAATGTCCATTGCTGAAACAATTCAAGCCTCCTAGAGAACTCTTCAGTTTTTCTATCATACATTTCTTGGTGTCATTTTAACTACAAATGAACAACTAATCAAGTCTTTGGGAAAATATTTTTAAAATATATTTTAAAAATCTGACATTACAGTATTAACCTGTAAGATTGGGAGTGAGGAAGAGGGAGAGAATGTGTTGCTGCCAAGTTCAGCATGTAAAGATATTTCATTGCCTCTTGTTTGGAATGATACAGTTCAAATAGCATTCTGGTATACAACATCTGGGAAACTATGAAGCAAGGAGTCATTGGGACTAGCTGTATGGCATCAAACTACTTTCAATAGGTTAGGCTATTTTGCTTTGAAAAATATTTTTGTTGCATTGTTGCATTCTTGTACTTTGTCTTTCTTACACAACACGATTCCTTTCAGTAAAGAGTGCTTTGAAATAACACAAAGATTGAGAACAATTTGTGTTTTTTTTTCTCCCACGGAAAATAACAGCACAGAAACCTCTTTTTTACTAATTGTATCTGTCATACAACTTTACAAGTTAAGCAGAATTGTTTTCTTCAGAATATCAATGCATGAATGCTGTGATTCATGGTGTTCTTTGAATTTTGGAATGATGAGCTAATATAAGAAAGGGAAGAATATGCTGAGTTAGCTGCCCTGACTCATTAGGTAATTATTATATGCACAATTAACATGATGGTGAGGGAAAGGCAAATCCACTTTTTCTGAATGATCTCTTTATATGGACATACATTATCAAAGATACAACCTCATTTCTTAACGAATAGATGAAAAATTTCTCAAATATTAAGAAAGAAATAGCACAGAAGCTCTTAATCTTTCTTTTGACATAGATTTTTGAAAATATCCTGGTGTAAGTCTCTCCCCAGTTGAGTAAAATTTTGAAATTAATGCCTTAAGGTGTATATAATTCCCCTTCCTCACATCAGTGTTAGAAAAAGATTTAGTATGACTTTAAGGGGCTGTAGAATTAAATTGTACATGTTTTTAAGATTTTAATCTGTAAAGTTTAACTGATTTCATAAGGATCAAGGTAACAGCAAGAGAGCCTGGGCTTTAAAATCTTACTTTTCTTTCTATTTTTTTAATAGGATAGTCTTAAGTTTGAGGTGACTCTACTACCTCCAGTCTTCTGCATAAGAAGTGAATGTCAGTGTGATAACCATTTCTATTCTGTCTTGAAGTTGTGTGTTTGAAACTGAAACCACATAGTTCCAGTTGTGTGGGTCATGATTTTTCCATTTAACTACATCCAGCAAATCGCATAAGTGCAAAGGATAGCCTTTATTCACATTCTGGAGCACACAGACTATGTCTTCACCTATTTCTATGTCTTTGTTTACCACTATATCTATCATAGTCAAAAGAGATCTTAAAGATAAAAATATTGCCCTTTCTAAAAAGAAAAACATTCATACCTTTCCCTTTATTTTAAAATCAACACGGTTTTATCCCATTTGATCATTATAAATTCTGATTTAGGTGATGATTATTCTATTAAGTGTAATTATACCCCAAATAACAGCGATCTAATATTCATTATCATCTTTACCTTGTCTCTGAAAAGCATCATATAGTTTTGCTTTTAGAAAAACATAAAGAGGACAAAATGCACATTTTCCCAGAATTTATAATGCTCCATCTATATATTAAAATAATTTACTTTTTGCTTTTGCCCATCTTTCAGAAATCGATGTTAATCTAAATTACCCAAGATTACATACTACTGGCTTTTGGCATTTTGCAAATTAGGTTGATTAGATGGTAGCATTATCCTTGCAGATTATTACAGAAAAGCTCCTTGGCCTATACAGATTTTACTTGTGTTCAGTTTTCACCAGACACTTCTCTGTGAGTAGTTTTTTAAAGATTATATATCTGATGGCAGAGAAATTTATGATAAAAATGTGCTTTGGGTAGTGTTCAGATTTGTATTTTAATTCTCACTTGCAAGAAGCCAAATTAAAAATAAAATTTAAAATAAGTTAATTCTAAATCTTTGGCCCTTGGGTCCATAATAATTTTTCTGTGGTATTTCTTCTGTGAAGAAGAAATATTTAAATTTCTCTTCCTTGTTGCACTATTTGAGGCATTTCCTTTTGCTTTATCATCACTCAAGTTATCTATTGCTGTATAACAAATCACTCCTAAATTTATTGGCTTAAAATATCTTTATTTTTGTGCTGTGTGTTGACTGGGGACATTCTTGCTCAGGGTCTCTCTTGAGGCTGCAGTCATCTGGACATCCAAGGTGACCACTCACATGGCTGGCAGTTGGTGCTGGCTTCAGCTGGAGCTCAGCTGGACTATTTGTTGGAGAACCTGTACATGCTTCTCCGTGTGTGTTAGGCTCTGGCTTCCAAGAACAAGCATCCCAAGAGTGAGTGTCATGAAAAACCTAGGTGAATGCTGCAAGGTTTCTTATGATGTAACCTCAGAAGTCCTAAGAACATCACTTCCACTGTATTTCACTAGTCAAGAACCCCACAAAGGCTTGCACAGATTTGATGGGAAGAAAATAGACTCTGGGAAGGAAATAGCCTCTGCTGCTCACTGGGAGGTGTATCAGTCAGTAGCAACAGAACGAACAGTGTATATGTATGTACATGCGTATACATATATACTTATAAAGAAATTTAAGGAATTGGCTTACACAGTTCTGGGGGCTGACAAGTCCAAAATCTGTAGGACAGACTGGCAGGCTGTTACCTCAGGCAAAAGCTAACATTGCAGTTTGGGTCCTTACTTCATAGTGTAGGAAGCTAGGCCAAAAATTCAGGCAAAATCTCTATGTCATGGTCCTGAGGCAAAATATCTTCTGCTTTAAGAAACTCTTAGGGCCTTCAACTGATTGCATGAGATCCACTCACAATGTCGAGAGTAATCTTCTTTACTTAAAGTCAGCTGATTGATGATGTTAATCACATCTACAAAATACTTTCACAGCAACATCTAGATCAGTGTTTGAACAAACAACTGGGCTTCATAGCCTAGCCAAATTGACACATAGAATTTGAACATCATAACAGGCATAGCAATTTTTTTTGTTTTTTTTTTTTTTTGAGACGGAGTCTCGCACTGTTGCTCAGGCTGGAGTGCAGTGGCGCGATCTCGGCTCACTGCAAGCTCCCCCTCCTGGGTTCACGCCATTCTCCTGACTCAGCCTCCCAAGTAGCTGGGACTACAGGCGCCTGCCACCATGCCTGGCTAATTTTTTTTTGTATTTTTAGTAGAGACAGGGTTTCATGGTGTTAGCCAGGATGGTCTTGATCTCCTGACCTCGTGATCCGTCTGCCTCGGCCTCCCAAAGCATAGCAATTTTTTAGATCATCTTTAATTTGCTGTAGTCATCATAAAAATGCTTTAACAAGAGTAAGATATTTGCTTAAAAGGCAATAGCAACTTCAGACTGTGAGAAATGACGTTAACCTCTAGCAGGACTAATTGATCAAATGATTTTTTTCAGATATGGTATGAAGACTCTACCTTAGTCTCTGTCTCTCTCCTAGTCTAAAACTTATCTCTTGATGTTTGAAACTGATATTTTATATGCAATTACATGAAAAGATTATAGTGTAACTAAGAGTAATATCTATATAGCTCTGATTTTCCTTTCCTTGTTAGAATCTGACTACTTTACCTTTCGTGCTTACATTTCTGTTTCTTTTACTTTCTCTTGGAACTACTTTGTCAATAGTAATATACATACTCAAGTACCCTCACCCACCAAAAAAAGAGCAATAACTATAAGTTGGAGGATGTCTTATATTATTTTAAATTTCTATTTGGTGACTGACTTGTGTGCATTTTCCTCAACCTAATGCACATATCTAGAATTCTTGCTTATAAATTTAAGTGAGATTTGACCTGTGTTCCATTTTCCATTGACCTGGCTAGTTGATTTAATTTTTCCGCTATGACCACCTCCCTCCCTATGATTGAGTGTCTAATGGTGATTGGTTCATTGATAATACAATCCTTTAGGGTCTTTTTAAAAAACGCAGGTTCCTGGACCTTTCTTTGATGACTGAAGCAGAAAGTCTGGAAGTTAGGTGCAATCCACATTATTTTAACAAGCACCCCTGGAGTAACCATTTCCCTAATCAGAGTTCATCTGTAATCATATATATTGCTTTAGGAGAAAACTCAACCTCTACTTTTCAGTACCGCTATCTATTCCAATTCGACTATATGTGATTACTTGATAGCTTAATTTTCCATGTTAGATCCCCTTTTCTTCAGCCTCTAATAGAAGTTGTCTGTCTTTCAGGCCTTTACTAACAGTAAGACACTCATAACTTCTGTCTACTGCCAGTCAACATATTTCAGATTTTTATGGCACTCTCAGCTTCTGGTATCAATAACTGCTTTAGTTTGGTACACCGAAGTATAATCCTGGTATAAGCAAATTATTATAGATATAAGATCCTATATCCTTTCTGGCAATAGTGTTCCAAAGGAGGGTGGAAGTTAGAAGATCAGAGAAATGTCCCTAGCCATTTCTAGTATAAGGGAATGAGTCAGAATTTGCTGGAAATTCTGGAAGCTAGTCATATCATACTACTAGAGTAGGACCATAAAGAAGGCTGATGCAGGCATCTATGGAAGTTGGTACTTTGTGACTCCTGCCTTTCTGGGTTAGTGCACATCTAAATTGTGGTAATAGGCCTTGGGCCTCTGTTAGTTATTATGGCCAACAGTTGATAAGGAAAGCTGGTTGCTGAGTAGGAAAGGAAGGCAAACTGGAACACGTCAGATATCCTTGGCACCTTTCTCTCCTTGCCACCAACCAGTGTTGATATTTAGAGTGTAATGGCTGATGTTTCACCTCTATCTCCCAAATCTCATGCAACTTATCATTTAGCCAACTCTAAGATGAAATGATATGATAAGGGGATTCTAGAAAACATTGCTCCATGTAAACAAATTGACAATAGAACAGTTCAGTATTTTTCAGCCCTTGTCACCTTGACATCTACCCACAGCTCTTTTCATCATATTTAAGTTTAAAAAATAGACAGCAAAATCATGCTTCTGACTAATATACATCTGCCTCCCTTTATAACTGAAAATACACTTTCTCTTCAATAGAGGATTTACAAAGCCCCAATATATTTATTTTATATATGATTGATGTTCATTCCTTGTTCAATGTTGAGCTTATAGAAATAGCCTCCTCCTAAACTTTTAGAAATTTATGATCTAATTATTTCTAGAAATAATAACAATTGTAAAGATCTTGAAATATAGAGATAAATTATCTATAATGTCACTCTTGAAACTAAAGAGCTTAGTAAATTTGATATAACCCTTTCAAATAATTTTCCATTGTGATATATATAATGATATATTATTGATATATAGGGATATATTATTGATATATATATAAATAAAATGAATTAATAATAGGCACACAATGTTTAATTTGCCATTCAATTTACTACCAAATTATAACTATGTTTTCAGATTCTCACATAGCCTTCTTAATAAAGGCTGCATAATATTCTATCTAGTGACTGTGGCATCAATTAATTTGTTCCCATTCTACTGATGCATATCTAGATTGCTTCTCAGTTTTCATGGGTACAAATAGGCCCGTGTGATAAAATATAATGCATTCCTAGATAGGTCTATGAAAGTACAATGTGTGAAATTTGTACAATATTCTTACTAGTTATAAGGGAAAGTCCATTCTCCAAAGCTAAAGAATTTATAAAATCCATGACTGTATTTCTTTTAAGACAATATGTTTCCCACAGTTATTCACAGAAGGCTTTTGTTCTTTTATTTGCAGTGGGACACTGCCAACCAGTTAAATTCTAGTGAGTGACTGACTGAAGCCAAAAATTTCCTGATTTCTATTTTTTTGCAGTTTTATTACACTTGTATAACCAGTATTTTTACTTGTATCAGCAATTTTTTTCTTTTCTTCTAATTTTTACATTATTTACAAAATAACCATAACATTCAATAATATATCAAACTAATTGCACAAATATTGCTGAAGAGAAAAACTGATGTCAACACTGCCAAACCTGAGTGTTTCCAAGAGCAAAACAATAGCTCAAAATATTCATTTTCAGTTGATGTACTGAAGTATTGTGTAATAAGTTTAGAAGTCACAGAAGTTGAAAGTCTAAAAAGTTAGGTGTTTTCCTAGAAGAGGCCAATTACTTCATACTGATAACCTTTCCTATATTTTGGAATTTTTAAGGATAAATACATGTTTAAAGTGTATGAACATCTTATGGCTCTTCATAAATGGAAATACAATTAGGAAGCATATAAATTAGAGTGTGGTTAGATAGAAAAATGTTTTATGTATAATGTGATATCTGAGCTGAGTTCTGGGGGAAAAGTACTTAACTATGTCAAGGTCATGGGGTAGGGAATAAATGACTTTCCAGCATGTTTGGGAGAGAGAAAATGCATGATGTGTTTGAAGAATTGTTAGTAGTTTGGTATAGCTGAAGTGAAAGTCACATATGGCCAAAGAAGTATGGTGGGTGGAAGTATGAGTCAGCAGAGAGGCAGAGGATAGAAGCAGAAATCAGAAATATGAGCTAAACTAATGGTTGATCTTGATTTTGAAAGCACTGGCAAATTCCTCAGGGAGGCATGCGATCAACATGACCAGATTTGTTTTCAAAAATATTTTTTGGCAGCTATAATCAGTAGAAATTGGAGAAGCTAAAGAGAGACCAGTTAGAAAAATATTATTGTGATTCAGGAAAGATAAAATGAAGTGACAAAGGGAGGCAGTGACAGCAGGGGTAGAGAAGAGAAAATGGTAGATACTATTTTAGAAGTCGAATCCACTAGAACTGTGGCTTGTGCCTTTGGATGTGGGGAGTGGGCAATGAGACGAAACAGTCTAAAATAACTTTCAGACTTCCATCTTGGGCAACTGAGTTCATGATAATATCGTTCTCCAGGAGAGAGATAATACAGGAGAAGCAGTTTCATTAGTGTACACGGTGAGGTCATATTCATTAACAATGAGTTAGACACACCTGTAATTATATCTAAGGAGATATAATTCATTAGATAGTTGAATGTATAAATATATGGATGAAATTGAAAACATAAATTTAGGCAGTATTGGTAATAAGGAAATTGAAATGGAAAATAATATTTGGATCACATGACTCAGGGATAAAATGTAGAGGAAGAAGAGCAGAAGGCATAGGGCAAATCTTTGGGGAGCATAGATATCATGTAACCACAAAAGAAAAAGAAAGTATTGAAGAAGGCATAGAAAAAGCATGGACAGGTGTAAAACCCTTTAGCATTTGATATATACTTTATAGGAAGGCCTTCTAGTTTAGGAGTCAGATGAAGTACACTTTTGTGTTGTTTCTAGGCATGTGGCCATAGATACATCACTTAACATCATTGTAATTTTAAGTCCTCCTATGAAAGGTGAGACCATGACTCCTGCTGCCTGGTTTATAGGTCTATAGCAGATAAGACAATACATGTTAAAGCATCTTGGGAACACTCCAAGTCACCATATAAATGTAAAATTTTTATTATTTTCTAGATACTGACATATTTTATCACTTTTGACATTTCTTCCTTTCTACTAAATGGGATGTTAAGTGGGCTTATAATTTCAATCTTTGGGTATGATATAATCTCTTACATTGAAACAAACATTACTAAAAATTTACAGGACTACCAAATAGTCTAGGTCAAGAACCTCTAAGACACAGAACAGAGGACACACAAATTTTTCAAGACTTACTATGATATACACACAAGATCAAGCTGACATTGGATTAGTTCTAAAAAAAAAACAGTCATTGGAAATTTGGTTATGTGCTTGGCATTACTGTAAAAGCAATTAGGGGGAAATGGGTTTTCTAATTCAAAATAGATGGTTGAGGATAAGCATCATCTTAAAAGTGTGGCTCATGGCAAGGATTCCTGAAGGCAAATCCATACAATGGGTGGAATTCATGTTACTACCTGATTCCATTTTTTTTTTAACAGCCTTTCCTTACCATTCAGTCCTGTTTGCCTTTTCTCTATTTTATCTCCATTCTAAAGAATTTTTCTGAGCCTAGGGAATATAATCTAATGTATTCATTCATTTTCAAATATTAGAATATGAATATATTAATATTTAAAGGCAATGTTTCTCAAAGAGTGGATCATGAACTACCCAGACTCACTGACTCAGGTGATTTTGACACCCAGTTCTATTGGAGAAGCACTGCTTTAAGAATATATTTTATTAAACAGAAATGCAAGAATAATTTTCTATTATCTATTATTATAAAAAATGAATGAAACATTACTATAGTGTAATAAAAATAGTGCTTGGAATAAAAAAAATCCCATTTTTTTTCCTCACTGACTAAATGTGTGATATTCTCAGGTTAGTCTCTTAATCTCTTAAAAATCTCCATTTGCCCATCTTAAAATGGATAAATAATAATAATGAAACCTGCTCAAGCTCACAGAGTGGTTTTGAGCATCAAGAGAGACAGATTGTTGGTGAAAGTAGCTACAACTGTGAAATAAGATACCTCTATGTCTTTATTTATTTATTTATTTATTTTTTTTTGAGACAGAGTCTTGCTCTGTCCCCAGGCTGGAGTGCAGTGGCGCGATCTTGGCTCACTGCAAGCTCCACCTCCCGGGTTCACGCCATTCTCCTGCCTCAGCCTCCCGAGTAGGTGGGACTACAGGGGCCCACCACCACGCCTGGCTAGTTTTTTTGTATTTTTAGTAGAGATGGGGTTTCACTGTGTTAGCCAGGATGGTCTCGATCTCCTGACCTCGTGATTCGCCTGCCTTGGCCTCCCAAAGTGCTGGGATTACAGGCGTGAGCCACTGCGCCCAGCCACCTCTATGTCATTATCTTTATTTTAGCTAATGGTGGAATGTCTTAGGGGAGGAGGGCATTTTAGTACTTTAAGAATTAAACTACATATTTTTATTAATGACAAAAACCTAACCTCTAGATAGCTAGAACATATAAATGCAAATAACAACATATTAATTACACATATTTGAACCACAGAGTTGGGTTTTTATTATTATATATTTCAAGAACAAAGCTTACAATTATGTCACAATTTCTGGATTGGTGCTCAATAAATATTTACGGAATGGATAAATGCATTTGGAATACATTTATATTGTTAGCACAGAGCTATTCCTTTTTATTATATTTTCTAAAACTTCCTCATAAGAACAGAAAATATAAAAACTTTAATGCCTTATTGATGCAGCATCATTCAGGAGTATTAATATCAGCATGACAGTATATCAATAATAATATGACTAATGTAGAGAAATTCTGCCTCGGGGTTTATACAAGAATCCACTTGGGTTTTTTTCTTATGATTTAAAGGGTCATTACCTATCAATTCAATTACAGTTTTGTCTCAATGAAATGAGCATGCGTCTGTCAATAACACTGTTTATTAACTCTTTTAAACAAACTCATAATATGCTTAAGAAAATCAGATCTATAACCATTGCACTCTTAAGGGAACAGTTATTTTTCACTCTTGTGGTTGACATTCTACATAAATCCTTTCTAAAATAACATATAAGAGTTACTAAATATGATATTGCATTAAGGAGTGAGTTTTCTGTTTGGTTTATAGTACTACTGAATACTATCTAGTCTCTGAATTTAGAGTTAAAATTAACTGCTATTGATTGAATATTAGTAAATAGTGTAGATGCTCTGTTCCTGTCTCCCTCTTTTCCTCCTTCTTGCCTTTTCTTTCTTTCTCTCACCCATTCATCTATTCTTCACTCCTATCATCAACAGCACACATTGAATATCTTCTGTGTGCTACAGAATATATGAGATAATAGAAGATACTTCAAATCAGTGGTACTCAACTGAGGACGATTTTGTTCCCCAACAGGCATTTGGCAATGTCTGGAGATATTTTTGCTTGTCACCTTGTGGGAGTGTTACTGGCATGTACTGGGTAGAGCCAAGGATACCGCTAAATAAAAGGACAATGAAAAGGACAGCTCTCTACCACAAAAAATTACCTGTTCCAAAATGTCAGGAAGGCTGGGCTGGAGAAACTCTGCCTTATGTAATTTCTATAGTTACCATATACTCAGTGTTGGTAATATACTCAGCAATTCCCTACCAGGTGCTTTTCTCCTGATTCTTCACAACTTCTAATATGGAATTGCCATTAGTAATTACATACGATGTTCTTCTACATGGAGAAAGTATTGGAGTCTTTGCATGCCTGCTTGAAGGTTTCTATTTCTTTCACGGTCATCTTGTGCCACAATGTTTTTTTTTTTTTTCTGTGTAGTGTACTACAAAAACACTTTCTGTTAAAAATTAATATGAATAAGATGTTTTATATTTTCTTCAGTAGGTGTGATCTTATTATAGAACAAAAGGTCTGGTTTGTAATATGCAGTATTGTTTGAGAGGCATTACAGACAGTGTCTGAGAGCACAAACATGGAGTCCATACTCCTGGGATTTGTTTACTGGCTCTGATGCTGACTAGGTATGTAACCTATGTAAGTGTCTTATCTTCTCTTTAAAATGCAGATTTTACATAGAATGATGTGGGTTTTGAAAGAATTACCATGCTATTTAATTAATATGACAATGTTATTGATTTAAAGGTACAGCATTATTTTATGTACCACTAGGAAAAAAGAAAATGCCACCAATTAAATTCTTATAAGCCATCATGTGTAAGGCATATTCCAATGTCAAAGGTTGTTAAAATGTGGAAGAAGCATACATCTTAGAACCAAGAAAATGCAGTATGTGTAAAGCATTTAGAGCTGTGGCAGACACTGAATATACACAAAATATCCATTAACACTTGAGTTGATATATGCACAATAAACCACCACTAGGAAAACAGGCAGTATTGTTCAGAAAGAAGTCCAGAATTGCCACACTGCCAATATTCTTTTTCCAGAAGAGAATGCTTTTTTCTTTTTTCTTTGCTGCCAATACTTCTATTCATACATGTTTTAAAAGACTATTAGTCATTTCAACATGAATATTGATTAGGCTACTCTGTAACAAACCCATTGAAAAAATAAGTGCAACCAACTAACTGGAAACATTTTTTGGGATGAAGAATCTTGGTTTGAAATGTCCTTTATGCACTTCTCTATCTGATTTGATTCCATGATCTGTGTCATAATAGCCTGATATTTTTTCCTGACTGGACTGTGTGTGAGAGTAAGTCATTCTTGTGGGCTTTCACAGCTTTCCCATGAATGTCTGTTTATGTTCCTCTCTTTCTATTGTATCTTAGTCTTTCTATGTATGCCTTCTCCATTGTAAGACAAACACCTAGAGGAAAGGGACCAGGTGATAATGATTTCTGTATACCAACTATCTGGCACAATTTCAGGTACAAACTCAATATACATTTCATACTGTACAACTGTTTAGTCTGTTTTGTGCCATAAGATATAGAAAACATCAATATGCAAGGACTAGAAACTAACTAAGTTAATTGGTGAATAATAACTACTCTCTAAAAGATACACGTGAGGTCAGAGTTCAGCATGTTGTATGGGTACATAGAAAGCATCCCAGTTCTGAAAGAGAAAGAATTTCTGACAGCACTGCTATTAGTCCATACCGTGGGTCTGAGTGAGCTTGAGCATTTGACCTCTTCCTTTGCTCCAATGTGGAGAATTTGTCCTCTGTCTTTCCCTCCTACATCTCATTTTCACATGAGACTAACCAGAAGACAAAGGCAATTTTAGAGACTTAAAAGTTTTGCTAGAGATGATGATCAGCTATCTAAGCCAACCAGAGGTGCATTTCGAGTCATGTCTGTAAAAATTAAGATTATGTCCTGAGGCCTAAGACAGGTGAAGACATCAGCACAGTTGGAGGATAACGGCCAGGACTCTTTTCCCCCATGATCAAACCCAGAAGGAAGAATAATACACCGCAAGGACAGAAAGCTCAACCAAGGGGTTTGAAAACAAAATCAAACCAACTTGTTCTAGGATTTTGGAATGCAAGAATACACTGCTAGAATAGAGCTTAAGCCATTATGTATAAACTTTGTTCTCCATTTACCTGTGAGAGGTGTAACTAATGTGTTCAGCTGTGAATGTCTTATCAGATAAGCTGTTTGGATGAAGCTCTGTTCCCACATTGGGTAACACATCAAGGACAATAGCAAATGGCAGGCTGCTAGTTGCCATGTGGTTTATTGAAGCCAATATATCAACAAACATAATCTAGGAATAGAGCTCACAGATCTAGTGTTTTCCTGCTTATTCCAGTAGATTTTGGAAACTCAGTCTTTTAAAAAAAAAATAGTAGTTAAAAAAGCCATAGTAGAAGAAAAAATACTACTGATCTAGTATTGATTTTTGGTAAAAGGCTCTGGAATTTTACATCCTAATTAGTCTCCTTCTCAGAAAGAATATTTATTTAAATACTTCCCCATCCTAGTTTTTATTTAGGCAGATGGTTGGAACATTATGGTAATATATTAATAACAGATGCACACCTTTCCCTGGACTTCACAGTAGGGAGGCTGCTGTCTCAAGAAATTATTAATGGAATTTAAAGTCTTTCACTTCCAGGTCATAGGTTTAAAAAATGTGCCTTTGTTGTATCTAAAAAATCATTACTGTCTAATATGTGTCATGCAACATGGACTTAGTCCAGATATCACATTGGGTATTAATAAGTAGCAATTGTATGTAGACAAGAGATGATTTCTTTTTAAAAGGCATCACAATAAATTACTATTCTGAATGGTGTTTTGGGTCACCCTTAGACAGAAGCACTGTGATTTTGACTAAGGTTGACCACATTTCCTAGAAGGCTATAGCATCTTTCACAAACATTTGTTTTGTGACAGGGGAAAATAGATGCTTTGGGTAGTAATTAGTTTTCTAAAAAGGTTATTT
Organism: Homo sapiens; assembly: GCF_000001405.40. Taxonomy (NCBI): domain Eukaryota; kingdom Metazoa; phylum Chordata; class Mammalia; order Primates; family Hominidae; genus Homo; species Homo sapiens. The sequence goes on along the minus strand of NC_000009.12, from coordinate 81,046,685 downwards.
TACTTTTAAGTATGCCTTTCAAATGTTATTTAATGATTAATAATAACTTGATTGGAAAAAAATAATAATTTGAAATACAGAAGAACTTGAGGCATAAATTATATTCTTATAATCTAAAAGGTTACCTGCCTAGAAAATATTATTCATAGGAAATCTTAGGGATTTGAAGATAAATATGGTGTAAAATCATTTCTTTAAGTCCTTTTCTTAAAATTATCTAAAGTTGCCTGAGAGTGGACAAGAAAGCATACGCTGAACTACACTGGGGGTATCTTCCTCTGCAGAATGAAGTTAACTTACTCCCACAATCCCCTACGTATGTATTTTTATTTTCAAATTAACGTAGAGTTAAAATGACTATTTTCTGACAAGTTCTACAAGCTTTAGTATACAAATTTGTATTATGACCACTATAATCACGTTATAGACCATTTCATCATCCTTCAAACCTGCCCTGTACTGCTCCTTTATAAAAATATCCTTCCCCACCCTATCCTCCGGCAACTACTAATCTGTTTGCTGACACTACAGTTACGTCTTTTTGCAAATGTCTTATAAATGGGACCATAAAGTATTTAACCTTTGAGAATGGCTTTTCTTCACTTAGCTTAACAGCTTTGAGATCTGTCCAAGTATTGTTTATCAGTAGTTTGTTATTTTTGCTTGCTATTATTCCATGGTCTGTAACACTGTTTATCAGCTCATTGAAGAACATTTGGGTTTCTAGTTTGGGCACATAAGAATCGTGCTGCTATAACCATTCATGTATAGGCTTTGTGTGAACATAAGTTTTAATCTCTCTAGGGTAAATACCTAGGGGTGGAATTGCTGGGTCATATAGTAAGTGTATGTTTAACTTTGTAAGAGAGACTTTGCCCTTTTCCATTGCCATCATCACATTATATGTGAGTTCCAGTTGCTCTGCTTCCTCACTAGTCCTTAGTTTTGTAGTACTTTTTATTTTAGCCCTTCTATTAGTGGCTTAGTAATATCACATCATTGTTTTAATTTGCATTTCCCTAATGACAAATGACGTTGGACATCTGTACATGTGTTTGTTTGTCATTTATCTGGTTTCTTTGTATATCTTTTATGATGAAGTATCTGTGCAAACCTTTGCCCATTTTTTTTATAAAGCTGGATCGTTTTCTTACTGTTGGGTTTTAAAGTTCAGGATCCAAGTGATTTGCAATTGATTTATTCCAGCCTTTAGCTTCTCTTTACATTCCCTTAATAGTATCTTTTGCAGAACCAGGGTTTTAAATTTTGCCGGAGGTTAACATCTATTTTTAAAAATTAATTATGCAGTTGGTGTTATATGTAAGAGCTATTTGCTTAATGTCGATTTAAAAAGATATTTTCCTATGCTTTCTTCTAAATATTTAACATTTTACATTTAGGTCTATGATCCATCATGATTTAATCTTTGTGGAAGGCATGAGGTTTATGTTGATATCCATTTTATTGCATATGGATGTCCTAACACCACTTGCTGAAAAGGCTATTCTTTCTCCATTGAATTGCCTTGAACCTTGGTCAAAAACTAATTGGCATATTTGTATAGGTCTATTTCTGAACTTTCTATTTTGTCCTATTGATGTAGGAGCCTACCCCTTTGCTAAAACCACAATGTTTTGATCACCAAAGCTTTATAAAGAGTTTAAAATTATAAAATATGAGTCCTCCGACTTCCTTTTATACCAGAATTGCTTAGGCTAGTCTAGTTTCTTTGCCATTGCATATACATTTTAGAATTAGCTTGTCTGTAACTATAAAAATAATCTAGCTGCATGAACTAGCTAATGAAAACAGCTCCTTTCTCTCCTTTTATCAGATAGCATAATTAACTGATAAAACAGTCTAGAAAGACCAAGGAGAAACCAGCATTGCCTACATTTACAAGAGTTTGAAAAGGGAGGGGCACTTATTTCTAAGGAGGCTGAGCCACAGACAAAGCCTGGGTTGCTGAAGCTTGCTCATACCACTTGATCATTCACATTGATGATTTCAGATCCTTTCCTCTTGATTTCTTTTTGAAATAACAAGCAAAGTAACTTAATGGGCTCTCAACAGTGTTTAAGTCTTAGTTCAAGAGTGCTGAGTAATTAGTATAATGTACACGAGGAAAACACTAAGATCCTACGATTTTTCTACTGTGGCATTAGAGGTTGGAAATTATTAGTAAAATAATGGTATAAGAGCTATTCCAGTATTTTCCCTTTGTCTGCTTTGTCTGGTAAATAGGCTTGTTTTCTTTTGTAGTGCCTGGTTCTAACATATGCATGACATGGCAAGAGGTACTTGACGTAGGCTGGAATTTTTAGCTCAGTTGTGATTTGGGGACCTATTGGCAAGATGAGAATATCATAAGATTAGGGGTAGTTAGGTACTTTTGTGAGAATCAAACTGGAACATAGTAACCACTCTGTGTGTTGTGTACCAGCCATCTCTTAGGCCCTGTTTCTGATTTTCTCAGCTTCATTTTTCTGTGGATCCAGCTGCACTGTGGGCTCCGACTAACTTCACACAGATGTGATCTAACAATGTCTCACCTCATGTCATCTATCTCATCTCTGCTTCAGGGCTTTCCTGTTCACCAAGAGCGATGGAACACTGGAAGATTAGGAAAGTCAACAAGAATTAATGCTCTGTGTACCAAACATTTTAATGGGCAGGAGCTAGCTGCAAATTATTTTTCTTTCCCCTTTCTCTGTGTACTCAAAGAGTGGTCCTAAGATGCAGATTATGTGGTTTCTCGGAGGAAGGTCCTAGGAAATCAAGCAATCAATTGCATTTATTTTAAGCCACCTGATGACACATTTTCATGTTAGCTTCCACTGCACCCATCTTTCCTTTACTCCCTTTGTCTCCTGCTTCTATTCTCGGGTTCTGCAGTCCTTAATTGCACATTAGCACTTAGAGCTATATCTAATGTTTTATTTTCTGGGGAACCTTGGCCAAGTAGCAAAATAACATCATTGCTTAATTAAGAGGCCCATGTGAAGTATAATAAAAGATGAGGTAAGCATTTCCAGTTGAATAGAATTATTAAATAATTATGTTTAGTTTAATGTGATGAATTTTTTTTCCTCTCCTTTCTAATTTAATTTTGACTTTCCCCTTTTCACTGCTGTACACTTAAGGGAACTCTGTTTTTCTGTTTTTTTAACAGGTATGTGCTCAGGGAATCTGTGCTCAATAAATAGTTGTTAATTACTATTGGGTTGTTTCAATAAAAACTTAAGCAATATATAATATGGAGGTAAAACTGATTTTTATGTCTCACCAGAATTACATAACACATTACAAACAGAGTTTATAACATCTTTGGGTCTTTAAAATAGTCGTGTGAGGTAAGAAGGTTTATTTATCTTACATAGGCTGGTAATTGGGGTTCAGGGAGAAAAAGTAACTTGCCTTAGATCACAGAGGAGATAATTGTTAGAACCAGAGTCCTGAGTCTACTAAAATTTTGTTATTTCCCCTTGGTCTCTTTTATATCAAGAGTTTGAAATCACTGGATCTTGTAAATTAGTAAATTTAGATTGAATACACTTATGAACAGTACCTCTAAGTACAGTCTGATGTTTCAACTGATGATGTTAAGAATTTTCTAGTTTATACAATGTAATAGAACATATGTATATAACAATGTGAACTTGAAACGAATGAATCAATTCTATAAAAGAAGCAAGTTGCATTTCACCTAAGCTTTCATCTTGACATATCCTATGCCCTTTTATAAGTATTTATTATTCTGTCTTACGTATCAAGAAAATACAGTTTTCAAAGCTCTTTGTTTCCCTCCTTCAATCCTTATACTTCCTCATTAATGCTTTCATTGGAACAAACTGTGAGATTGGCTATTTTTGCAAATAAGAGATAGTTCTGTTCTGTTTGATGAACATAGTCTTGTACTGCAATAAGAAAATTTAGGTTCACAACTCAGATTTGTTGTGATATAATGAGATACATAGGCATAATCAACATATTAAATGCACATACATTATTATGATATATAGTATGTATAATATATTTTAGATGACTATATATAGTATTTATTTATATTTTTGTATGTTTGATATATCTGGGCTAATCTTTGTATTACAAAAATTAAATACTATTAATATAAAATATTTTAAAAGATTTTTGACAAACTAAGTTAAATGAAGATACAGTATTTCTTTACTGTAGTATGCATCATATTTTTTCTCTTTTTGATGGCTGGCATCTGCTTTTAGCCGTGAGATTTCTCAAATGATAGTTGAAGTAATAATTAGTTACTGCATAGGTATCAACAAATCCTACTTCAATACTTTCTGTATGTACAATAAAGGAGAAACCGAAATATGTTTTTTCTGTGTGTCAACATTCTAACTCCTCGTAGTTCATTAAATCAAGATGATATAAATCCCTGAAGACTGAAGTACAAATTTTAGAGCTGTATTGATTTAACCTTCCCTTTGTAAATATTTCATAGTTCTATAATGTGCAAATGCAGTCACTCACAGAACAAAGGATTGCACTTTTCTGTTTTTATGCAGAGGGGATGGCTGACAGCTTTTATTATACCATTTAGAAAATAATACATATGAAAATGTGTAAGGATATTTTGTCATTACTATGGATGTCAAGAGGAATTGATGAAACACTGTTTTTAAAACAAGATTTTTGTAGAGAATACTTTAAATGTGTCATTTTCCAAATATAAATCCATTTACCTTTTATAACTTAAATTTTCTTACTATGTTTTAAAATTATTTACTGGCTCTTCTTAAATAAAAGGCCTTATTTGCTCGCCTTTTATCTCCCTCTCATTGACACTATGGAGAAACTTAGGATTTAAATATGTAATATTTGAGTTACTTTCATAACAGCACACTGTGAAATCATGGTGGTACAAAAATAAATATTTCATTGAAGGATCCATCAAGGAAAAAGTAACCTTTCTCAACTGAGGGTTGAAACTATGGCTGTAAAAATGACAAGTATGTTATACTAATGTTTAATGTTTTCTTTTTAAGCTTTATATAAAAATAAAGCCATAGTCAACATAGTGAATACTGATGTGTCAAGATGTAACAAAATTAGTTTTCTGCTGCCATAGAGATGGCATCAGAAGAAGATGATTTTTTTTTCTTTTAATATTTACTTTGCTAGGAAGGAGGCAGAGAAAAATGGATCTATGGGTGAATGGTAAGAGCCTGGTATTATGAGATATCACTGAACTGCTTTCATTAAACTAAAAGTTTGGTAATTACCACACACACACAAACACACATTTTAGGAAAAGAATATTGTAGACTTTTATATACTAGCAACTTAGTGCACCGAAACAGGAATTCAATCTACACCAAAGCAGATTGCATTCAGAATTCTAAGAGTACAGTGATGAGGTTTACTTATAAAGACAGAGTTTCTGCAAACAGGAACCAGGGCTTTTCACTAGTGGGAAAACTTTGATTGGCAGACTTTTCAGTACCTGATTTATGCTGAATTTCATCACATAATTTTTCCATGAAAACATAATACAGATATGCAAAAGGGAGTCTAATTATATTCCATTGCTTGTACTCTTACTTTTTAAGACTGTATGGCTGATTTTTATTTCTGTATCAGTGTTGCATGTATGCAAATGCTCACATATATGTGCAGTGTGTGATATTGTACCAGTTGGTCCCATTTAAAGTGAGTTTTATTTTCTTGGAGACAGTTTAGGCTTCATTGATCTCAATATTTCTGATAATTCCTTCATAGTGCTTTCTGTAGATGTCCACATTTTTCATCCCATATTCAAGTTAAAGCACAGTAAAAACACAGCTACTTATAAATGTTTCTGCATGCCTGTCCCATTAATCACTTAATATGAACATAAGAAATCGCTCTATTTAGGAAACAGCCATTTTGTTATCTCAAAGGCTACTTTTTATTAGTTAATTTCAACACTTTCCTTCATACATATTTCCAGGTCCACCGTTGGCTATCTATTCTCCCAATCTATTTTAAGAGCTGAAATACAGTTACTTATTCACATTTACAATGTGCCAGATATTATCTCCTCAATGTAAGTTTGGGCGTAGAAAGACTTGTGTCCTGAGGACAATATGCTTTACTTCTCTGTAGATCTCACTCAAGGTTTTAAAGTGTTCAGGCATAATGTTCACTTCTTAGAAGAGAAAAACGACTTTACCTGGGCACTTGGAAAACACGTATCTATGAGAGAAAAATGCATACTGTAGCTGTTTATTTTATTTATTCAACATTCAAATGAACGTCAACAAATTTTAATGGAACACCTTCTAGGTACCAGGCAGTGTCTAGCCATTTGGGAACTGTGAAGAGTAAACAAAACAGATAAAAATATCTGTCCTCTCCCAGGAGCTTGCATTCTCCTGGGGGAAATAGACAATAAACATATAAGTCATTAAGTAATTTATATGGTATGGAAAAGTCCTATGGAAAACAGAAAGAAGAATTATTAGATCAGGATAAGGGCAATCAGGCATGATGGTGGGCTGTGGCACTTTTCACTTTTACGTGAGATGATCAGGACAGACTCTCTTGGAAAGATGAGCTCTGAGATCTGAAGGAGGCAAGAGAACTAACCAAGCAGATATTTGAAGGTGGGGCAATTCAGGCAGGAGAAACAGCTAGGACAATCTGGAAGAGACAAACACAAAGAAGGCCAATGTGATTGTGGAGTTGCTGAGGGAAGAAAGAGAGGAAATATAGTTAAAAAAAGGCCATTGAGTGATCTGATTTATAGTTTAAAGGAATCTTCTGGCTGCTGTGCTGAGAATAGACCTTCAAGGGGGAAGGGCAGAGGTAGCACATAAGGAAGGCGGCATCAGGTAGGCAAGTGGAAAATGATGGTGACTTAAACTTGGGTGGCAGCAGTGCAGGAGGTGGAAGTGAACAGATTCTGAATATTTTGAACATCTCCAAAGTTCTTGACACTAGGATGGGAAAGAAACCGAGGAGTTGAAGATGATGTCACAGCTTTGGCGTAAACCATGGTGAAGATGGAGTTGATAGCAACAAAACTGTAGAAGACTGCACTGGAGTAGGTTTAGGCGGCGAAGGACTAGGAATTCCATTTCAGACAACCAAGTGGAGAAATAAGGAGATCAGCTGGAGCTGAGTCTAGGCTTCCCAGAAAGAGGTATGGGCTAGAGATTTCAGGTTTTGATTCATCAGTACATGGAAGAGATAAGTGAAATAAACCAGACACAGAAAGAAAAATATTGCATGATCTCACTTATATGTGGAGTCTAGGGGGAGAAAAGGTCAAACCTACAGAGATAGAGAATATAATTACTATAGATGAGAGGCAAGGAGGCAAATGGGAAGATGTAGACCAAAGAATACAAAGTAGCAGATAAATGGGAGGAAAAAGTCTAGAGAGCTAAATACAACATAGTTGTAGTTTATAGTTTATAAAATTATAATGTGTTAGGGATTTTTGTTAAATAAACAGATTTTAGCTGCTCCTGTTAGAAAAAGTAACTATGTGAGATGATTAATATATTAATCTGCTTCACTATAGTAATTATTTTACTATAATTACTATAATGGATTATTTATTATCCGTATGTGTTCCATATTATCATCTTATAAACCTCAAATATATACAATAAAATTTATTTTTTAAAAATAAAACTAAATAGTTTGGATGAGATCACAAATGGGTGTGAGTGTTGACAGAGGAAAGAAGTGGCAAATAAAATGTTGAACCACTGTTATGTTAGAAGGTTGGAGAAAAGAAACTTCTTCTTTCAAAAAGATGTAGAAGGTGAAGTAGATGAAAAATCAAGACAGTGTTTTGTCCTGAGAGGCAAATAAAGTATATCAAGAAAGAAATGATCAACTGTGGTACATACTGCTGATAGGTCAGGAGAGAAGAGGAATGAGCATTAATACTTCAAAAACTTTAGCGGGTTCAAGTAAAATCTTGTAAGCAAATTCCTTTTCTTTGCAAGAAAAATACCAAAAACTTTTGAGGAGTAGCAGCACTGTCATCATGAAAAACACATCTTTGTAATCAGGTAGATCTGGGCTTGGGTCCCAGGGTGGATCCTCATTAGTTTGTGACTTTAGGACAGTCACTTAGCCTTCATGAACCTCAATTTCCTCATCTCTACAAAGCAGATAATAATACCTCCTTCATAAGGTGATTGGGAGGATTAAATATTTAAGTGCTGGCCTTTTCTCTGACGTATGAGGAATGCTGGCAAATGATAGTTAACAATTATTGCAATTATAGTTATAATTATTAGCGCTAATAGTCAAGGCTGCCTCACATGTGGTCCTATCCCCCCTACCCAGATGTTCACTATGGTGCTGTGGGATCTTTTGGGTCCAAAAATCCTGCTCATCATCCCCAGAATATTCTTTGTGTGTGTCATTTTTTTTTCCCCTCTTCCATTGTTAGTTTATGTGTTATCCTCAAGTTAGAATACCTTCCATCCATCTCTGACTATCAGGATCCTACTCATTCTTCAAACCATTGCTCAGTCCCTGTTCTCTTCTGGGAAGTTTCCTTTATCATCCCAGCCAGATGCAGCCTTAATCTCCTCTGAACTAATCTAACACTAATAACTGCACTATCAATCTACCTTCGATACACACTGCATCAAGAAGACTAATCTGTTTACATGCTTTATCTCTCCAAACTACAGAGTGAGTTCTAAGAGGTTAGAGATTTCTGTGCCTTTTCAACGGCACCATTATGGTAATTCACACAGACCCTCAATGTTGGTTGACAGATGATGATGCTGCTTCCCTGGGGCTGGTTTCATAGGAGGACTCCGCTGTTCTTTTGAGAGCCAGAGTTTAGATCCTTTTCTATTATTACTCAAAAAACCTTTGGAAATTTAGAAGTCTTTTAAAGAAGTTGTTCTTATGGTTAAAAAAAAATACTGTGAGATGTTAGGTAAGTAACTGTACTTCTCAGGATTAACAGGGATAATAAAAAGGTGATCTTTAGGACTGAATGAGAAAGTAGATGTAAAAATGCCTAAGATACCCAACACAGAGAAACACTTAAGTATTTGCTGTTATTATTTATTAAAGCACATTTTTATATACAATTTTGTGTTTCTACAATATAAGTATTTCAGACCCAGATTTAAGTAAAATGTAGTAGGGTCCTTGTCTGTGCTAAGTGTTTTTTTTAATGTTGCCATATTTAATTCCTAAAACAATCTTACAAAGTTTGAAAAGTTTTTCTTTTTAAATAATTAAGCAATATGATTTTCAGAATGGCTAAGCAACTTTCATAATGTCACACATATGATGTCTCCAGATTCCAAGTTTCATGTTCTTTCATTTACATTAATAATAATTCTAATATCAATACTTCATATGCACTGAATTTGAATAGGGCATTACACTGACTTAATCATGTATCACATCATTTTATCACCACAGTACACCTATGAGGTTGCTGCCAATGACTCTATGGAGATTAAAGGAAGTCAAGTCATTGACCCAGACTGCACAGGTAGAAGTTGTAGAGCAAGGATTTAAGGCCAAATAGTTCTAATTTTTCTGCCGGTGGTTGTCCTACTCCTTTACAACATCCATCATTTCAGGGGCTTATTCTTACCAAATAAGAGTCAATGTGAATGGGGGAACATACACATTTTGTTTAAATGTGACACTGTAGATTGCTCCTAAGATGTCACAGGCTGGGAACCACTAACCTAAGATCTCCTTTTGATTTTTAATTGAGTTGCTCCTGAAATGCCTTTAGCATCTTTGACTCCATGTTCTTTCTCTTCTTTGCTTCAGTAACTCCCATGCATTCTTCAAGCCTTAGAATAGCTGGAACCTCTTCTGAGAAGCTTTTCTTTCTACTTCCAGTCCCAATGGGTGCTGGATTTCAGGTGTGTGCCCTGGGCAAATCTCTATCACCCATCAACCACAAATTTTTCCTATTTTTCCCTCCACTAAAGTAGGTCTTTAAACTTCTAACTGTCATAGAACCTAGAACATGGAAGGTGCTTAAATAAGTTTGTCCACTGAGCAATTAATAAAAATTACTTCCTATCAACATATCTTACTATTTTTCTGCAGTCAGTGATTCATTCTCAACCAAAAACGTTTCTTTTCTCTACCATTGGATCGTGCTTCTCCTCTGCTCCCTGCTCTCAAGTGGTTTCCCTATCTCATCTGTGTTGGGAGCAAGAACTTTGTTTTGATGAAGGAGCTTTCATCACATCATTTTGAGTTTCCCATGTCATTTCTTCATTCTTAAGCTACCAGCATCTCCGCTCATTCAGGCTTTGGCACATGACATTTTCTCCAAAAATTAGTTTTGTCCTTTTTGTTTGTATCTGAATTCCTGCTTGCCTTTGTCTTTGGGTGGTATGTCTCTCTCTCTCTCTCTCTATATATATATATACACACACATACACACACATACACACATACATATATATGTGTGTGTGTATACATATATATGTATATGTATATGTATGCATGTGTGTATATACACACATATATATGTATATACACATACATATATGTGTGTATATAGAGACCATTTTGGTCTCTATATATTTATATATATTTTTTTTCCTAAAACACTAATTTCTTGATAGCTAAAACCATGTCCTTAACTCTCATTAATGGAATATTACATAAATAGAAAATCAAGCTAATGCTGTGACAGTCCAATTTTTCTCTGACTGAGGATAAAAATTCATATTTTTATCAAGGGTCTAGTAGAGTCCATGGAACATAGACAAACTTTCTTTAATATTTTTTTAAATTGAGCTTTAGAGGTTCAGTGTCTTCTTCAAGGTCCCTCAGCAAGAAAGTTGTCAACTTGATATGGCATGAGAGTAAGTCGTCAAGTCAATGAGGTTTCACTCTGATTTTCCAGTGGTTTGTGGTTTAGCAGCAATATTATGTCCATGGGGGGTTCAAAACTATAAATAAATTGGTCAGCTTGTAGACATAATTTTAATTAAAATTTTTCATCCATTTAGCTCCATAAGTCTTACTAAATTTGAAGTATTAATATTGGGGATAAGAATTAAGAAAGAAAGCATTAAAGGTATAGAATCTACCTTTTTAAAGGCACTATAAAGCACCTTCCTAGAGGTAGTTCCTTCTTCAGAGTGAATAATACAGCTAGAGTGGCATTTAGCTTAAAGCCCTGGCAGCTCACTTTTTTGGCTGTAAGGCATAATTACGGAGTTGGACACGGTGCATTGGCTACATTAGGGAAAAAGCTTGCAAGTCTTTCATTTATGTGGTTTGGAGTCAGAATGAAGTTCTCCAGATTTCTTTTTGATGCTTCTTATCTCTAGACAGATCCTTTTCATTAATTGGTTTATGCTTTCCCTCAGTGGATATCAGTTGAGAAACATAAATGTTAAATGACTCACTTTCATCCCAGAGAACATCTCCCACATTTTAGAATGAAACGTCATAATTGAGAATCAACAACCTTTTTATTTTGTTCCTAACGGACAATTAAAGCCAGACTCTTAGTAACTTGACATTCTTGAAAACCACCACATGACTTGATTGAGCCTATTTCTTGAACTGCAGAATTAACATAAAGACATTAAAATCTAGAGAGTAAACGATCAAGATGAGAAAAATTGAGGCATAAAATAGGGTGAAACCTGAATTATAGAAAAAGTTCTTCATTGCTTGAAAGATACAATTTACAAACTATTATCAGCTGTCAAAGATGATTGTGTTTAACATGGGGTTTGTGTGCAGCTCAGGGGAGATCCATGAAGAATTCTGAAATTATGGTTTAGTCAAATGATGGCAAATAGATTTTTCACTTGTGGATCAACTCAGAATGATTGGAGGAAGCTTCCAGGAGTATTTTATTTAAAAAAGACCTAGAAGTTGCTTCTGCCCTAGTGGGGAAGAGAGTGCTATGGGTAAGCAGCAATGTGTATACAGTAGGTACAGGAAGTGAGAGTGACAATATACATACTACCAGCTTGCAGCTGTGGACTTGAACAAAGCCTCTGGTTGGTTCTGGAAAGGACATAAATCCATTTTATTACTTCCAAAAGTATCTAAATATATCCTGGATGTTTCCTTAGCAATCCTTATAATTATACTCCCCTAATTTATCTTAACTCTCCTGTTTCTCACATTAAATTTGGGGCAGATATCTGCAATATGCCAACTAAATGCAGAACAGATTATAGATACTTTAAGCTCTTGAGTTATCTTTTCTCAGACTTGGTGATAACAGGAGCAAGCTTGTGTGGCCTTCTGTATCTCTCTCCTCAAAGGACCTCTTCGGCAGCAGGTGAAGCATATACCAATGTGTTGTGCTTTTGTAACAATGGTCGCCTGATAATAGCAGAAGGCTGCTGTTTGTACTGTGTGGGCATCTGCAAATAAAATATCAAATACACATACTATAAGGCCATATGTCAGAGTCTGTTTTAGGGGCTCACTGGCTTTGAGCTACTATCAAGAAATAATAATCCTTTTCTTTAGCATAATTTCCCTCGGGTCATGTTTATAGCTTAAATCAACAAGCTCCAAAATGGACTGCTCTACTGTGGCCACCCTGTAAAAGAGTGTTCTATCTACTAATTGTATATAGATGCTTCAGGGGATCTTTCCAGAATCTGCTCCCAAATTTAATGACTGACACAAGGCAAAGCTTTTTTCTTAGGAGGCTGACCCCTGAAAGGTTGTTGTGTTGTAGACTCCAGTTTTGCATGATCAGACTCCTGTGATAAAACATGCAGGCACATGATCAAAGAGCAATGGACATTTGCATTTCTAATTTCCCTTGGTAAATTACAGTGAATCCCCAAATCTGTACTCTCTTTTCTCCTCTCTTTTCCTTCCTGTTTCTTCCTTGCTTTTCTCACCCATCTTTCCCTTTCTCCTTTCTTCCCCACTTCCTTATCTCCTTATTCTCTCCCTTCTTGAGTAAATCAGTTTGTGAAGAATAAAAAGTAGACATCATTTGTTCCCTATAAACTTACATTCCAGTTGAGGAAATGTTGACAGAATAACATAATGAATTTATAAAACATGGGCAATAAATGTGCACTGCCTCAAAATCATGTGCACAAAGCCATGAACTGGTCTTAAGCGTGTACCCTTCATTCAGTTTTCATGAAGGCATCTATGACCCATTCTTGCTTATTGGCTGGTTTTTGCATTTACAGCTAACTGCATGAAAAAATAAATGCTAGGAAATAAATATCCCCTCTCCACACACAATTTTTACAACAGTTTTTTTTCTCTAGTTCTTTTGATTCATCAAGTTAATCTCAAAATTGTCGTAGTGATCATTTCCAAAAAAATAGATCTGTTAATGTTTGACAGGTACAATGGCCACAGTAGATACACTGAAACTTGATTCACAGAAAAAGGAATTGTTTTAAACACATCTCCCTCCCTCCTCCTTCCTGCCACATGTGTCAGCCTTCTGGTAATTTTGAAAATGAACTCAGCTGAGTGTATTAGAAGAAGGGTTTCTTCCTCACCGTCTCTTTCTAGGATTAAAGTGTTTGGTTTTAACAAGAACTTCAGAATTAATCTTTGTGTATTCCTTATCTTTTCTTGCTCCACTGAGCTTTTTAAACATAAATGCCCTGAAGCAGCACACCACTTGTCTTAAAACCCTGGAGTCTCAGAGCATGACACAGGGTTCTCTTTACCACAAATTACTAGAAACAACTCACAGGCCTCTTGTTTCTTTCTTGCACTCTGCAGGGACAAACCATCCCCTCAGCCCCCATCCCTGCCCTCACTGTCCTCACATCTGTTCCATCAACACAATCATGGATATTGTGTTTAGGTTGTAATACCTAATGGTTAACCAGAAAGAAACATGACCTATTTTAATAGCTTGGGGGCAAAACAAACCAACAAAAACTTCCCACAAAAGCAGACCCCGGACGGGGATCTATTGGCTTTTTGTATCAGGAATGTGAAATCCCAGGAAAGGTGCTCGGAGTAAAAGGTTCATTCCCATTCTTTACTCTGCAGTAGGAGGCCATGGTGCTATTTGGTATACAATTTTGCTTTACAAAATTCTAGGAAATGAATGAAATCTTTGAAAGGAGAAGCTTTAGACAAATTAGATATAGCAGAGTTTATCTGAACAAAGAATGATTCATGAATCTTGCAGCACTCAGAACCAGAAGAGATTCAGAGAATTGTGCTCTGCCAGTGGGCCGTGAGTATTTATAGACAGAAGAGGCAAGTCATGTACAGAAATAGTTCCATTGGTTACAGCTGGGCTTTTGCCTTATTTGCACATATCTGATCCGTTGGCAGCCTGTGATTGGCTGAAGCTCAGCTGCTTCTGATTGGCTCAGACCTATCTGTTACACAAAAATGTACTCCTAAGTTAGGTTTCAGTTTGTCTAGGTACTAAGTTCAGTTGTAGTTCCTTAAGTAAAGACTCAAAGTTCAGAGATGGCCTTTGGCCAAATTTAATTTAATACTTTGACACCACCATCCCTGACCCAATATATTTTACAAATCAGACAGTATAAAATAATGGGAGCATTTTGGAGTAGGGCCATTTTTGAAGAGTAATTCTTAAATGATGCAATGTGTTTTAATGACTCATCTACATGATGAGAGGCTCCCAGCAAGTCTCAGGCCTCCTGGGTCTCTCTCTCTGTGCTCCACAAGACCTCTAAGGAGAGAAAAGGCATGAATAAAAAATCCTGGAGAGACCTTCTGTATGCTCCCTTCCTCTCCTAATACTCCTCATCCCCAGCACCCCTTTGGGGTTCTCATAGACCTGCTGACCTTGTTGTTATTGCCCTGTGTGCACCAGCATCTCCAGTAATCAGAAAAGGGAGTTTCTTTCAGCATCTTTTAAAGCTGGGCATATGGCATTTGGTAATATGAACAGGAGGAAAGCGGGAGAAGAGAGAATGAAAGAGAGGAATTTAGACTTTACATTGACAGTTCTGTGACATCTGGATGGGGTCACTAACTTGTGTGTCCAACCCTACCCCCGAATCTGAAAGTGGTCAAGGGCCTGGGAAGTGGGTGTACCGTGAGCCTTGGGTTAGTAAATTAGTGACTAAACTCTGAGTCAGGTGAGATGCTAATTGTGCTGTGATCCTGAACACCTGGGATCCTGGTGCCAGACCAGCTGACTTGCTTTGTTCCGAGTCAGTCCTTCAGTAACCAGTACCTTATCTCGTCCCCTGATTACTCTGTAATGGCATCCCTGACTTGAACCCTAGTGACTCAAAGTCGTATAGGAAGTGCCTCCATGATCTCGTAGTTTTCAGAATTGGATTTAATTCTGAACCTCAGTTTTCTCAATCTTGAATCTTTAATAACTCCTCCCAGAGTTCCCTAACAGGAGTCATTCAACTGCGAGACTTTAGCCAGTTTTGCACTGTTTCCTCTTTCTTTGATCCCTTGATTTTTTTTTTCTTTATCTACTTGAAAAGAATTCCAAGCTCATCGACACTTGCAAATAATGCAAATAATGCTTAAGGCCTGATGCTCCTTTTCTAATATCAGTATGGGATTAACATTAGGAGATGTTCCTGAATGTCCCTCTGCCAGAAAGAGATCTTTGCTCTGGCTTCTGTGTTTATAGCGTCTGACATTTAAAGCCTGCGTATACTCCTAATCTCAATTTTTCCAATTCCCCAGCAGGCAAAATTGTAAAAATGCCACCCAACATTCCGCATGCTAATTCCCAAAACCTGTGATTATAATGAGGTATTAATATCACTTCCATGATTATGTTATGTTATATGGCACAGATGACCTTGAGTTAGGGAGATTATCCACCGGGTAGGTCTTCCGATCTCATAAACCCCTTTAAAAGCAGAGAATTTTTTCTCCAGCTGATCAGAGAGGTCAGAGGGATTTGATGCTGTCTTGCTAATTTAAAAGATAGGAGGGGCCACACACCAACAAATGCAGACAAGTATCTTACCCACCTCGCAGCCAATAGCCAGCTAGAAAAGGCAGACCCAGTCTGACCTCCTCAAGGAACTAAATTCTGCCAACTACTTAAATAAATGTAAAAGCAAATATTTTTTCCGGAGCCTCCAGATAAGGACCCATCCAATGACACATTGATTATGGCCTTATGAGACTCTGAGTATAGAACCCAGTTGAACTCGCTGGGATTTCTGACTTACAAAAGTGTCAGCTAATAAATGGGTGTTGCTTTAAGCTGCTAAATTTGTGGTAATTTGTTAAGGCAGTAAAATGAATATTCTCCATCTTCCTTCCTACCACTGAAGCCTTAGTGGAAATAAATTGAAGTTGAAATAAAAGCATTTTAAGTCTGAGTAAAATGTTTTATGTACTTGACACATTTTTCTTCCTTTAGTTGCTTGAGTTTG
This sequence comes from Homo sapiens, assembly GCF_000001405.40. Taxonomy (NCBI): domain Eukaryota; kingdom Metazoa; phylum Chordata; class Mammalia; order Primates; family Hominidae; genus Homo; species Homo sapiens. Next base: position 81,030,345 of record NC_000009.12, on the reverse strand, counting down.
ATTGAAGAAAGTTTTGGAACTAACATATGCAAACTGTGAGAGTCTATCCTGTTGTTAATGAATGTCCATCATTGTTTTAGCAAACATTCAAAGGCAAATTCAATAACTGTTAAGAGAGATTAATAGAAGCTTTTATATGCTTAGTAAAAATGGAACCCTAGTCTCATAAACACAATGTACTTCTCTGTGTATCTAATAGGAATTGGCAGAAATGAGAGAGAATTAGGCTTACTGACAGCCTTAGTGAGACTGAAGTATTAAAAAGAAAACATCACAGCCATTTACTTATCAACATTAAAGACTATTAATACATTTGCAGGAATTTAGTTTTATAATAATACTCTTTGCTACATCATTTAATATTTGATTCACTTGAATTTATCTTTAGGGAAATAATATTTAGCATAAATTCTAACTTTACTATATGATAAAATGTGAATGTTTTATGGAAGCATACCCAGTAAAACAGGCTTTATTGGAGGGGCTCATTTAAGTTCAGCAATAGCGGGAAGGGATGGATAATGATCACATAAAGTCTTGGTAAAAGCACATCAATTTAGATTCTGTTTTAATCTGGGAATGGACTTTGGTGTTTAATTTGTAAATGTGAATAATTAGCATTGTTTATGGGTTTTTATAATTTAAAAAAAAGCTTTGATACAAGGCCCTGAAAAGTGAAACTTGCCTGACTAATAGATGTTTAAAGAATATATTCTGACTAATTGAATATTCTGGTTAACTGTGTCTTTTTATTTTGCCCATGATCATTGAAAATCTTGTTCAAGTATTCTGTTCCATTTTGCTGCCTTAGCAAGTGTACTATGCTGAAAATGAGCATATTCTGACTGTCTCACAGGATCAAGGTTATTATTAACTTAATGATTAATGTCAGTAACTTAAAACCACTTACATATTAAAATATTTGTTTTTAGAGTATATTTATATGTATTTATCTGGACTTTTTATGTATCGAGAGATGTTTTCTCGTAAAGTGAAGTTAAGAATAATAAAGAGTTGTGTAAAGGTTTTTGATTTTGGTTCAAGTAACTAAGGTGTATATATGGGTGAATGCATATATAATTATTGTGTATGCAATCCATAAAATTGTAGAAAAACAGAAACGCAAAGAGAAAAATATAAAAATCACACGTAATCTTGTTTCCAGTTAATCTCTTGTGATATATTCTTTGAGTTTTTTCTATTTATGCAATAGCATTAATAATTAAAATTAATTATATTAATAGAATATATTACCTATGTTAAATATTAAATAAGTAATTCATTATATTTAATTATAATTACAATAAAATATAATTCAATATAATATAATATTAAATAAGTATAGGACACTTATGCCAATATACAAATTTAAAGAAATATTGAAATTTGGGCCACATATAGAAGAGATGAAATCAGTATTTAAGAAAGAAAAAGGTGATGGAAAGGGTAGAATATTAGAAATTCAAATGTAAATATAGGCTAACCTCTTTCTGGTAGAAGAGAGAAGTGACACAGAGTAATGGGTAATTTAAAAGGTGTTTATATTAGTCTTGGAATGTCGTCAGAGAGGCAAAAATACACACATACTCAGACACATGTATATCCCCTTGGACCTAGGTGGGTGGTACTAAGGAAACACTAGGTTAGTGAGAGTAAACCACAAAGAATTCCACCATTGATGAGTAATTGAGGGTGACTCTCTTCTCGACAATGCGCAATCTGTTCCAGTCCCTGACATTCAAAGAACCAGTGTTTCTGCACAGAGAGGAGAATTTTCGGGTGTACTGAAGGATGTCTTTTCTGCCCCTGTAAGTTCAGTCACACATTTTAGAACTGGAAGGAACTTTAGAGACATTTTAATACTAATTCATTTAATGAAGGAGGATATTAAAATCCAGGGAGGTAAAGTGACATGCTGAGAGTCATTAAGCCTTTCCAATAATGGTCAAGAACTCTTGTTCCTTAATTTCCAGCCAAATCTCTTCTCGATTTTTCAATGAAGTCAATTAATACACATTTACTGACTTTCTATGTTCAGGGAGATATTTAAATATAGTGATAATAAAGAAATTCATTGCAGTATCTTTGTCTTTCAGGAATTTACATGCATGAATCAAGGCCATATATTATTATTAGAAAGCATATATTAGAAAGCAAGGCCAAAAGTTAATAATCATGTGAATTAGAGTAAGCAATAACAGATATAATAAGGAGAAAGACTGTATTGGGTTGGAGCCATTAGAAAATACTTTTTAAAGGAAGTAGTATAGATTTTGGAAATAATTTTCAGAGTTTGTAAGAGAACTGCCTTTGGAAATATTTATCACAATAATTTTTAATTTTCAAAATACTACATTTGTTGCTGTTTAAAGCTTGATGCTACTTTTGAATTTTATTTCACTTTTGTTAGAGAATGTAGTCTGTATAATTTATGCTGTAAAGTTTTTGTTTAGTTTTTTTTGCTGTGATTGGTTTAAATTTGTGCAAATATTTGATGGATGCTTCAAAAAATCTACCTTGTGATATTTATTCAAATGTTGTCGCTCTTAGTCTTTTTTATTGTTTATTATACTTTTCTTGTTGTACTTTTCTATAGAAACTATGGTTCTGTTAACATTTTCCTGTATTTCGATTAATTTTCCCTCATCTATTTTAATATTATGTTAGTAACTTTTATATCTTTATGATGGTTTGCACCATTTTATTAATATAAAATGGCCTTGTTTATTTTACTTATTTACCTTTTCCCTCATATTCCCCTTTATCTGAAATTAATATGCTTATCCCCACTCATTTCTTTAATTTACCTGCTGATCTTTGCTAAATATTTTTCTGTCTATTTACCTTTTCAAAATAGCTCATAGTTATTTTACATTTTTTGGTAACAGCTTTATTGAGATATAAATTATATATCGTACAATTCAACCATTTGAAGTATAGAATTTAATAGCTTTTAGTATTGGCAATGAGTTGTAAAATCGGCCGGGTGCGGTGGCTCACGCTTGTAATCCTAGCACTTTGGGAGGCCGAGGAGGGTGGATCACGAGGTCAGGAGATCAAGACCATCCTGGCTAACATGGTGAAAACTCGTCTCTACTAAAAATATAAAAAATTAGCTGGGCGTGGTGGCCGGTGCCTATAGTCCCAGCTACTTGGGAGGCTGAGGCAGGAGAATGGTGTGAACCCGGGAGGCGGAGCTTGCAGTGAGCCGAGATCGCGCCACTGCACTCCAGCCTGGGCGACAGAGCAAGACTCTGACTCAAAAAAAAAAAAAAAAAAAAAAAAAAAAAAAAAAAAGAGTTGTGAAATCATCACCATAATTTTAGAACAATTTTATCACCTCACCCCAGAGCAAAATTCTGTACCCTTTCATCGTTATCTCCTAATCACCCTATCCCTATCCCTATGCAAAACTAGCCTACTTTCTTTCTATATAGATTTTCCTGTTATCGGATATTTCGTATAAATGGAATTTTACAATGTGTGGCCTTTTGTGTTTCGTTTCTTCCATTTAACATAATATTTTCAAGGCTTATTCGTGTTGTAACATGTATCAGTCACCCATCCCTTTTTATTATAAACATATACTACCTCTTGCTTATCTATTCATCAGTTGATAGACATTTGGGTCTTTTTACTTTCTGGCTGTGATGAATAATGACGTTGTGATCATTTGTGCACAAGTTTTTGTGTGGATTTGTGCTTCCATTTTTCCTGGGTATATACCTGGGAGTGGGATCCGAGTCAAATGCTAACTCCATGTTCAGCTTTTGTGCGGAATTGCCAGACTGTTTTCCAAAGTGGTTGCACGTTTTACTTTCCCACTAGCAATGTATGAGAGTTCCAGTTTCTATACACCCTTGCCGACACTGTATTATCTGACATTATTATTATTATTATTATTATTATTATTATTATTATTATTATTTTTCTTACCCTAGTAAATGTGACATAGTATCTCACTGTGGTGTTTATTTGCATTTACCTGATGATTAAGAATGTTTCACATCTTTTCATATGCTTATTAGCTATTTGTATATCTTCATTACAGAAATACCTATGAGACTTGGTTTTAATACAGTATGAGGATCACTGATTTTTAAGACAGAATTCCAGCCTATTAACATTCAACAACTAAACCAATATCTATTTTCTATCATTTTATGTTTCCTTGTTTTTGATATTTTTCTATACAAACTTGATTTATTTTTACATTTTCAAATGATTTGGCAGTTACTAACATTGCTTTTAATTATTCTCATGGTTTTATTTAAAAAATTTTAAAAGTTTTCCTTATATGTCCCTAGTTATTAAAATAAGAAGAAAATTAAAAAGTATCTCCTGAGCTCCACTCAGATAAAATGAAGCATTTTTGAAACTTTTAGTTTCACTTTTCATTCTAGTCCCAGATTTTGTATATAGAAGTTTGGATATGAGGAGTAGATTACTGCTATTAGATGATCATATAATCATGTTACAAATATCCTGCTTGTAGAATTATTTGCATTCAATTCACATTTAGTAAGATTCAATTCTATTTCACATTTAACTGGATTCAATAAAAGTTTGACATTTTTAATTGTTTATTATTACGTATCATTTTTGGGTCATCACTTGGTTAACTGTAGGTTGTATAAAATATAATTTTTTTGCAAGAAAGGTAAAAGTTGGCATATCTAAACACTGACATATCTGGAAAAATTGCTTTCGCATGTAAATAACAAATTAGATAGCAATAAAAGTTTAAATTTATAACCTTTTCCTTTTAGGATACATGATTATTAACATATTGTTAGGTAATATTTGAGACTGTAAAATAAGTTCGATGATAAACCCTTACAAATTTTAAAATTTTTATGTATTTTTTCTCTCAGTATGTTTGAGATTTTTTTTATTATTCTTGTATTTTGTATTTTTCCAAAGTATGTTACATACAGATTTTCTTTTATTTTAAGCCTTCTTTTGGTGAAACTTCTTGTTTTCCTTTATTCTTCACTTTATAAAAGTATTTTAATTATACTATTGCTTTGTTTTTTTTACAAAATTGCTTTTTCTTAAGTATTAAGTTTTAAATTGACTCTTTCTTCTCTCTTAATTCAGCCCACTTCAATTTTATTGAATTATATTCAACCACTATCTACTGAGCATCATTACATACTGAGCTTTGCTGAGCATCGATGACAGATACAGCCCTTGCCTTGTAGAGTTGAAAGTCTAGCTGACAAAAGCAAATATTAAAAGATAAATTATATTTGGGATGTGTGCAATGGAAGGGGAAGGAAATAGGCATGAGGTGAGTAATCTTATTTTATCAGTGAGGCCAGGGACAGCTTTCCAGAGAAAGTAAAAAGTATTTTACTTTTACTGAAATTTAAGGATGAATAAAGATTAAATGACGGTCACGGTGATACTGGCAGTAACGAATGGATGGTAGCTCGGGAGTGGTAGGGAACAAAAAAGATTGCTCAGGCCACTTGGAAAGAGCAAAACAAAACAAAATCCAGATGTGCCATAGAGTGAGGGTCACCAAACTATAAGACATCATCTGATCTTGTAAAATAGAGTTTTATTGAATGACAGTCTTGCCCGTTATTTACATAATGTCTATAGCTGCTTTCATGCTACAATGGCAGAGTTGAGTAGTTGCAGAAACACTTTATTAGGTGCAAAACATAGACTATTTATTATCTGGCACTATCCACAAAAGTTTGTCAACCTCTGTCTGTCTATATGTCTGTCTGTCTATCTATCTATCATCTATCTATCTATCTATCTATCTATCTATCTATCTATCTATCTATCTATCTATCATCACAGTTGGACCACACCACAGGATTCAGAGCACCCTTGGCATATATTTTGTGGGAGGGCAAATTCATGTTCTTAGTATCTTTGAGTGATGTGGGGAAAACATAGGTAAAATATTTAATTTCTTCCCAGTATTCTCCACTGATTTGTAGTTTATGAAAATCCTCAGATCCTGGCAATTATTAGCCTCATTGTCATCAGCTTTTGTTTTCTTCTGGATATTGGTCTGCATTAGTCAGGTTTCTCCAGAGGGACAGAACCAATATGATATATGTATTTATAAAAGAGATTTTATTAAGGAGAATTGGCTCATGTGATTACAAGACAAAGTCCCACCATAGGCCATCTGTAAACTGGGGAAAGAGAGAAGCTGGTAGTAGCTCAGTCCAAGTGCAAAAGCCTCAAAATCAGGGAAGCTAACGGTGCAGCCTTCAGTCTGTCACCAAAGGCCAGAGAGCCCCCAGGAAGCTGCTGGTGCAAATACCCGAGTCCAAAGGGTGAAGAACCTGGAGTCTGATGTCCAAAGACAGGAGGAGCAGAAGCAAGCGTCTGGCAGAGGAAGAAGAAATAGAGCCAGAAGACTCAGCAAGCAAACTTATCCCACCTTCTTCCACCTGCTCTGTTCTAGCCACGCTGGCAGTCCATTGGATGGTGGCCACCCACATTGAGAGTGGGTCTTCCTCTCCCAGTCCATCAGCTCAAATGTCAATCTCCTCTAGCAACACCCTCACACCTAAAAACAATGTTTCACAAGCCATCTGGGCATCCCTCAACTCAAGTCAAGCTGATGCCTAATATTAATATTAGGCATCAGGGTATTTCAGAGATAAATTATGAGAGACCACAACAGGAAAATCTATGCAGATATAATTATAAAAATGAATTATGTGTGCCACTTGAGATGTTAATAGTATAGTATTCTATATTTATTGGGTTAGGAATTGGTGACCTGCCCTAATCTTTACCCTCTAGGTTGTTCTAATCTAGTTATTGATGTCATTATTCTTTCAATTATCTGGTCTTAAAGTATTCAGTAAATCTTGATGCTCTCCTCTATTATTATCTATCTTGTCCCTTCCTTTCTGATTAACAAAATAATCCAAGCCTGTATACACTGGCATTGGTGTGCTTCTTGGTCTCTTTTTCTCCAGTTGCCCTTCTGCAAATACCCATTTGTGCACTTGGCCAGGTTAAGATGTACAACACTGATTATCACTAGTGCCCCTGTCCTTACTCCATTTTCTGAAAACTCCTGTGATGCTCCATTGCATGTATCAGGGTTTGACAAATTATGGGTCACATCTGACACCTTGCCTGCTTTTGTATGGCCCGTCAGCCAAGAATGCTTTTTACATTTTTAATGATTTCAAAAAAATCAAAAGAATAACGCCATCTTCGGATATGTGAAAATTACATGCAATTTAAATTTTAACATTCATATATGGTGTTATTGGGACACAGACACACTGATTTCTGGATATAATATCTATGTCTTCTTTCACCTACCATGGCAGAGCTGAATAGTTGTAATGGAGATGGCATGGCCTGAAAAACCTAATATATTTACTATCTGGCCCCTTAGAGAAAAAAAAAAAATTGCTGACCTCTGGCATATAGGAATACCAACTTCTTATCATTTATTTTATGTAATCTGACCTCTACTTAGTTTCCGACCCCAATTCTTCCTACACCAATCCTCAACCAAGTTGACTCTTTTACTCCTTTGTAAATGTGAGCATTTCTGCTTTTACTTTCCTATAGTGTGGACCCTGCCCGTAACTTCTGGCTCTTTGTTTCTGCTTAAGGACTGCTTTTTCGTCATGATTGATTAAAATTTAGCCTCACTTATAGTCTTTCTTTATTTGTCCCACCTTCAGTGTGTAACATGTAATAGTTGCTTCTTTAGCTATGTTAATCGGTCCCTAAATTTCAACGATATATTTCTAAATTATGCCGTAGTTTGCTTGGGTGTTTCCTAGGCAGCCTTCTGCGTGGCAATTCAGGGATCAAGTAGCTTTCCAGCTTGTGATGTTGCTAGCTTCTACGTCTTCACTGGACTTTGCTGAAACTCTTGCATTCAGCATGAAATAGCCATAGTAAGAAAAATGGGAAAGTCTGTTTCATGGCTGGCCTGGAAGTGGTATACATAATTTTCCACTTACGTTGCTTTTGGCAGCATCAAATTACACAGTAGCAAGCTAACTGCAAAGGAAACTGGAAGATGTGGTGTGTCCTAGCATCCAGGAAAAAAAAAAAGGAATTGGTGAACATCTAGCTGGGTTCTACCACATTACCAAATAGATGTTAACTGTTTTTGGACTGTTTGAGGCAAGAAATTGTGCTCCTATTTATATCTGCAGCCATGTGGCATGTTGCATTGTAGGAGCGAAGTAAATATATCTTGATGATGCTTATGCCAACTTCACATTCATTTTAAGTCTGTAAAGTCACCTTCTTTTTAAGTTATTGGCTCATTTGTGATGCCAGGCTAATTTCAGCCACTGTTACGTACACTGAAGCACTATCTTATTTTAGTGACTTGAAAGGGATCATCATACTAGCTAATACCTACCAACAGAAAATTCCTTAGGAGTGTTTTTACCCCAGAACCTCAATCTTTATTTTAGGGTCATGTCATTATCAGAGTGGCTAGATTTGTACTGGTTTAGCCAAGTGTCTCCTAGATCCCAATATGAGATTAAAATTGTATTAGAAAGTCTTTGTTATACAATGAAGCTGATGATAAGAGCAAATTCTAAATATGCTTTGGATGTAAACTTACCATTGCAATGACAAAATTGGCTAAGTCTCAACAATAGTAAGAAATATCCCTCTTACTCAAATGAACCCTGTGTGGCATTTTCTGTGCACAAAGAAGCAGTTGCTTTTTTCATTGCACTCAAGATTGACTCATCATTATTGTTCAGTTCCTAATGAACCCTGATAAAATATTCAGTGATGCCTCAAATTTTTATATTTTTTCTTAAAGGAGTTTTGAAATGATGCTCTTGAGTGTATAACTAAAGGTATCCTATAATAAAAGTACATAAAAATTGGTCAAGAAAATGAAAGTGTCAATAAAAATGGTCTCTATGATGACTTCTAAAGGATGCTTGCTGCTGACCTGGCTTTTGTTTCTTCTTTAAATATTAATTGCTTATTTGTTGGTTTGAAAGCTCAGCTTTGAGTACTGATGGGTCTGTAGCTGCAAATTTCTGCCTTTTTATTCATTTGAAAGAGAAAACTGGATTCTACGACCCCCTTGAGGAGTGCAGGGGTTTGCATGTGAGTTTCACCTATATGTAATATGTTGTTACTACACTTGCTGAGTCTCCATGTTTTGTTTTAATACATAGTTGTGCTAGAGATATTGGTGAGGAAATTTGCCCAGGTAATATAGCAGAGCAATAAAAAGAAAAAAATAAAGAGCAAAGGCAGCAATTTCCATTCTGAATGTGTCTCTTTCTAATCCTATCTCAACTCTTCACACATCCCAAGGAGGTAGTTCAATATAATGGAAATTATAAACTTTGGTGTGTAACCATTTTTTCACCCTGCAATTTAAAAACAGCACGACTTTCACAGGGATTCTTCATCTATAAAACGTGGGATATCATCTATTTCATAAGAATGTTTTGAGACTCAATTTTGATAATGGGTACAAAACAGATACCATCCATGAAAGCATGCATTTTGCATATTCATAAAACCTCTGGGTGTATCTTAGTTTTCCTGCCCTTCTCTATTTCTGACTGTATGCATGTGTTTACTTTTATGTTGCTAAAGGACATGTGCCTTTGAAAGCTACCTTCAAAACTGTTAGAAAAATTTGGAGTGTGCCATTTATTTGTTGCTTCTTGGCACTGAACTTGTACTTCTTTGTTCTACTTTGCGCTACTGGAGCAGGACTCAGCAAACAACATTTTTTCTTTTCTTCTGGCTCAATATTAGGCTCTCCCACTGTTGAGCACAGAGGGAGATTGTAAGGCTGGAGGGAGAAGAGGGGACTTGCTGCTTTCTGGTTTTGGGTTTCACATGGTGATGAGTAGCTCTCTTTGTGCTGAAATCCATGGGTTTCATTGCATAGGTGGGCAAGGAGTTTTTGAATCTCACACTTACAATCTCTATGTTTCTTCCTATTCACTTTTCTCTCAGCCCTTAGGGGAGGGAGCCACTTCCTGCAGTTCCTATTTCTGTTACACCTTAGAATTCTCTAATACTTCATCAATTGTTAACCACATTCTACTAGGCTTAACCACCATAGTTAACAGTTCTACATTCACTGTTCAAATTACTGGTGGGGTTTCTCTGTCCCTACTAGACCCTGATGGCTACATGGAGAATAAATAAGTCTGGAAATATTGATTAACTTCAAAATGACTTTCTCATTTAATATATTTGAGCCAGGCATTTCACTGGGAAAATAAAAATGAATAAGACAAAGCCCCTCCACTCAAGGAACTCACAGCATAGTCCATTTATTTTGTATCATAGAATCATATTGTGGAAGGAATGTTTGAGATTGGTTTGTTTAGTTTTCCCACTTATTTCCAACTTGATTCTAAAGCAACTATACATAAGTCATCTTCAGTCTGGGCTTCAGCACTTTTATGAGAAACCACTGCATTTTTACCTTCACAGATTATTATCCTGTTCTTCCTCATATTGAAAGAAAAGGTATTACCCTTTATTTTCCATTATTGAAATGAATTCTACTTTCTGATATAATTGATTAATTCAATAAATATTTACTGGGCGCCTTCTATGCACCACTGTTCTGGATCCTAGTAATGCAAATGTAAATAAAAGCAAAGATTCCCTCACCTCATTGAGCATACATTCTAGTGCAAAGGCAAAGAAGAAATGAGTCAATGAACAAATAAAGAAGATAATACTGAGAGACAAGGAAATAAAAAAGGTGGTACCTAAAAAAGTGCCTAGGGAGATGGAATACTCCTTTCAGGAACATGGTCATCAAAGTCCTCCCTGGGAACATCATCAGAAATGGTTCAGCATTACAGATCTGACAAAAGTGGGCACAAAAACAAGTGGTACAAGATGTGGCCTGAGTGGTTACAGGTCCACATGTGATTAGGAATAATATATACTGGGAATACAATGAGGATTTTAAGTAGGGAGTGTCATCATTTGCTTTGCAAAAAAAAAAAAAAAAAAAGTTTACCTCATAAATAACTAGATAGTTATTTACCCTATATCTCTTCCCTATCCTCCGACCCAGTGTTATCTCTCTCCATGTTAAAAATTCTTAGCTCTTTCAACAGTCAAGGCTTTCTCATTTTCTCATAACACATTTTTCCAGGCCCCTATTATTTTAACCATCCTCAAGACTTATACTATTTATTTCCCCAGGTCTCAGAGTTAAACACTTTATTTTCATTATAAATATGACTTACCAGTGTATATGAAGGGAGCCTGTCAACTTATTAGAGCACTGGGTAAGTATTAGCTGATTAGAAAAAAAATTTTATTAGAAGTGAGCTTAGTTATGTTTTTGACTTGCTCAGCTGGGGCTTAGTTAATATGAAATATAGTAAAGTCAGATGGTTTTAATTTTACATTTCATTTTTGTGGAATTGAATTCTTGTATCTGAATACAAATATTTTAAAGGTTGTCTGGTTGGTATTATCAAAGAGTTTTTATCCTAGATATCTTTTGCTTTTAAAGCATCTAGGTAGATATGAATTGCCTTTCAGAAATTGCTATGATTACAAATCAGACATGAGTGATTTGAAGTATTTGAGTGAACTTTAGAAATTAATACTAGAATTCTGACACTGTCAAAGTGACCTACGGAATTTCAGTCTTTGAGAGTTCCTCAAAATTGTTTCCTGCTTTTCCATACCAGATGCTCTAGAAAGAGAGTTTTGTTGTAGAGAGGGAAGAAAATCTCTTGATTCTGTGCTAAAATACATAAACAATCCTTTTGCTAACTTGGACTTATGACAACATACATGTAGAGCCTGGAAGTAAGGAATAGATTTGAAGTCAATAGAGAAATCTGTGAGAAATATTTTTAAAAGACTTATATTTGCATTAGAAGATATCTGAGAAATAAGATAAATGATTTTACTTGAAAAACATTTCTCAAAAATTAATATATACAGGGGTTACTCTTTCTGGACTTCTTGTTCTGTAAGCAAACTTAAACCTTAATGTAATAGGGTTTTCTTTGTGTGTAGATGAATGAAATCCTAACTTACTGAGAATTTTGTCCACAAATATGGATGAATTTGATGTTTCACAGGAAATCTCTTCTATGAAGTCAGCTATGTTAGACTAAACTCAGCCAAGTTTAAACTCAGCTAAGTCTAACATGGCTTGTTTGATAATTTGAGCAAAAATTTGAAATTAATGTCATCAAGGAAAATGTGTCATGTTTCTATTTCTATGGATTCCTCACAGTAGTCCAAAAATATTGGCTGAATTTCACTCTCTTTTTTACTGAATAATCATATAGTTCATATCAAGTGAAAACTAGGGGAGAAAGTAGATCTCTACTTGTGACTTTTATCTTTGCTGGCAGGCATAAGTGTACATGCGCGTGCACACACACCCTCTCTCTCTGTCTCTCTCTCTCTCTCACACACACACACACACACACAGAGATAGAGAGAGAGCAAGCATGCAGGAGAGATCAAACATTTTCTACAAACCAATACCATGAAACAAAATAGTGCCTCTTCTTTCTTTCTTCCAAGACCTTCAAATGCAAGTAGGGTTATGGGCCTTTGGCTGTTTGCCTACCTTTTAGTGTAAATTACCTTTAAGATGAGGGTCCTTACCTTGATGATAATGGATTTAGCCTGCCCTGCTATATAATACTGACAACCTATGTCTTATTAATGAGTATTTCAAGCATCCATTCCTGTGTATCTTGTCTTATATGACAGGAAAACACACCAATAAATCTTTTCTCCCCAGTTCATCACAGGTTTTGACAACAGGAGTGTAAGCAATGACAAAAAGGCATGGAGATTAAAAAGATGCCTCTGCTGCTCCACAATATGGATCAGAATCTCCTTTTTTGAAATCATAGGTAACTGATCATCTTACCATTGCTAAAGTCTGTTTAAAAGCAGGCTTAAATTGCCAGTGTAGTCAACAGCAATTCATTTTACTACACCCAACATGAGAAGAACTGATCAAAATCCATGTTTCCAAAGGTCTGACTACAAAAGCAAATGGTTTAGGCACTGTTCTGTACCAAGAATCTTTCATCGTTAACGATAGAATACTGTCTCTATAAGCCTGTGAAATGCCATAGAAAACATTAAAATAGTTCCAATCTATTATTTTTAGCAAAATTACTAGCAATGTTTGTAGACTTTAGCAAGATAAATACCCATAACACCAGTGGTTATTTCTTTCTAGTACAATAGTGGTTGGTGATTGCCGAAGATAATTTTTTTTTTTTTTTTTTTGCCAAGCCAGAAACTTGAAGGATCAACTTGTCTCCTCTTTATCTGTCACAACTTCTTGCCTACCCTTTAACTTACTCTCTGTCTCAGCAATTTGATTGACTCTACATCATCACAGCCTTTTGAATTTTTCAATTTTAATTCATGCTTATTGCACTTACCATATTTCAGAGCACCACCATCATCCTCTAATGTTACCTAACTGGTCTCCTTGCCTTTCTTCTTGAAGTTTCTGCAATTTATTTCTATATTCAACACATGTTAATCTTGTTTTTAAATTAATAACCATTTTTTAAAAGTTTCAAATTTACAGAAGAAATGAGCAGATAGTACAGAGAATTCTCATATTCTCACCCCTGCCCCACAATGTCTAGTTATGAATATTTTATAGTCATATGGTTTGTTGTGATAAACCAATATTGATACATTATGTTTAACTAAAGTCCATGGTTTAAATTTGGGTTTGCTCTTTGTATTTTACAGTTCTGTGGGCTTTCACAAATGCATGATGTCATGTAACCACCCCTTACAGTATTATACAGAGTAGTTTTACTGCCCTAGAAATTTCTAATTCTTTACTAACTTATGTCACAGCCCCACTGTGAGCCCCCAGTAACCACTGATATTTTACTTCCTTTATAGTTTTGACTTTCCTATAATGTCATATAGTTGGAATCATACAGTATGCTGCCTTTTCAGACTGGCTTCTGTCACTTGGCAATATGCATTTAAGGTCCCTTCATCTCTTTCCATGGCTTGGTAGCTCATTTCATCTTAGCACTGAATAGTATTCCATTGTATGGATGTTTGAATGCTTATCTATTCATTCGCATATTGAAGGATATGTTGATTGCTTCCAGTTTTTGGTGAGTATAAATAAAGCTGTGATAAACATCTCTGGGCATGCTTTTGCTTTGAATTTAGCTTGGTAAATACCTAGAACTTCAACTGCTAGATTATATGATATGGTTATGTTTAGGTTTGTAAGACTCAAACTTTCCTCTAGAGTGGCTGTATCATTTTGCATTTCCACAGCAATACATAAGAGTTCCTATTGTTCTACATCCTCGCAAGAACTTAATATTGTCAGTATTTTGAATTCTAGCCATTCTAATAGGTGTGTGGTGGTATCTCATTGTCGTTTTAATGTTTTATTCCCTAGTGGCATATAATGTTGAACATTTTTGTGTGTGCTTATTTGCTATATCTTCCTTGGTTAGATGTCTGTTCAGATCTTCTGTCCATTTTTAATTGAATTTCTTTTTTTTTTTTGAGACGGAGTCTCGCTCTGTCGCCCAGGCCGGACTGCGGACTGCAGTGGCGCAATCTCGGCTCACTGCAAGCTCCGCTTCCCGGGTTCACGCCATTCTCCTGCCTCAGCCTCCCGAGTAGCTGGGACTACAGGCACCCGCCACCGCGCCCGGCTAATTTTTTGTATTTTTAGTAGAGACGGGGTTTCACCTTGTTAGCCAGGATGGTCTCGATCTCCTGACCTCATGATCCACCCGCCTCGGCCTCCCAAAGTGCTGGGATTACAGGCGTGAGCCACCGCGCCCGGCCTTAATTGAATTTCTTATTTTCTTATTGCTGAGTTTTAAGAATTCTTACATGTTTTGGTTACAAATTCTTTATCAGACATGTGTTTTGCAAATATTTTCTCCCAGTCTGTGACTTGTCTTTTCATTTTTAAATAGTGTTTTTCATAGAGCAGAGGTTTTTATTTTAATAAAGTCCAACTTATCAATTTTTTTCTATCATCTATCATGGTTTTGGTGTTACATCTAAAATTTCCTCCCCAAAACAAAGGTCACCTGTTTCACTCATGTCCGTGTGAAGAGACCACCAAACAGGCTTTGTGTCAGCAATAAAGCTGTTTATTTCACCTGGGTGTAGGCAGGCTGAGTCGGAAAAGACAGTTAGCGAAGGGAGATGGGGTGGGAGATGGGGTGGAGCCGTTTTATAGGATTTGGGTAAAGGAAAAAGTGGGGCTGTTCTCTGGTGAGCAGGAGTGGGGGGTCACAAGGTGCTCAGTCGGGGAGCTTTTGAGCCAGGATGAGCCAGGAGAAGGAATTTCACAAGACAATGTCATCAGTTAAGGCAGGAACAGGCCATTTTCACTTCTTTCGTGGTGGAATGTCATCAGTTAAGGCAGGAACCGACCATCTGGATGTGTACGTGCAGGTCACAGGGGATATGATGGCTTAGCTTGGGCTCAGAGGCCTGGCATTCCTGTCTTCTTATATTAATAAGAAAAATAAAATGAAATAGTGGTAAAGTGTTGGGATGGTGAAAATTTTTTGGGGGTGGTACGGAGAGATAATGGGTGATGTTTCTCAGGGCTACTTCAAGTGGGATTAGGGGTGGTGTGGGAACCTAGAGTGGGAGAGATTAAGCTGAAGGAAGATTTTGTGGTAAGGGGTGATATTGTGGGACTGTTAGAAGAAACATTTGTCATTTAGAATTATTGGTGATGGCCTGGATATGGTTTTGTATGAATTGAAAAACTAAACGGAATAAGAGAAGGAGAAAAACAGGTACTAAAGGTCTAAGAATTGGGAGGACCCAGGACATCTAATTAGAGCATGCCTAAGGAGATTCAGCATAGTCCTGCCAGCAAATATTATTTATTTACTTTAAGAGTTAAGAGTGGCAGTTTAGGGATAGCACCAGGAGATATCAGCTGTGATGGCTTAGAGAAACAGTGTAAACCAGCAGTGTAAACAAGAGCAGGGCATGTATGAGTAGTTGAGAACTGTGAATAGGAGTATGACTAGACAGAAGATAGTAGGGATGACAAGTTTTTTGGGGCACAGTCCAAGTTGGTCTGGTGTCTGGAGTGAGACGGGGGCCTAATAAAAAGGAGCATCTATACAGGAGCTCAAATGGGCTGTACCCTGTAGCATTCCGAGGACAGGCCTGAATTCTGAGAAAAGAAAGCGGTAAAAGTATTGTCTAGTCCTTTTTAAGTTGGTGGCTGAGCTTGGTGAGGTGTGTTTTTAAAAGACCATTAGTCCATTCTACCTTTCCTGAAGACTGAGGACTATAAGGGATATAAAGGTTTCACTGAATACCAAGAGCCTGAAAAACTGCTTGGCTAATTTGACTAATAAAGGCTGGTCTGTTATCAGACTGTATAGAGGTGGGAAGGCCAAACCAAGGAATTATGTCTGACAGAAGGGAAGAAAAGGCGGTGGCCTTCTCAGACCCTGTGGGAAAGGCCTCTACCTATCCAGTGAAAGTGTGTACCTAGACTAAGAGGTATTTTAGTTTTCTGACTCGGGGCATGTGAGTAAAGTCAATTTGCCAGTCCTGGGCAGGGGCAAATCCCCGAGCTTGATGTGTAGGGAAGGGAGGAGGCCTGAACAATCCCTGAGGGGTAGTAGAATAGCAGATGGAACACGGAGAAGTGATTTCCTTGAGGACAGATTTCCATGATGGAAAGGAAATGAGAGGTTCTAAGAGACGGGCTGGCGGCTTGTAACCTACATGGAAGAGGTTATGAAATGACAACAGAATAGAATGGGCCTGTGAGGCTGGAAGGAGATATTTTCCTTGGTCTAAGAACCATTTGCCTTGTGTGGGAAGAGATTGATAGGTGCAAGTTTCAGCGGGGGAGTAGGTGGGAGTGACTGATGTGAAGGAGAAAAACTGGCTGTGAGCGACAGAAGTTGGAAAACTAGCTGCTTGTCTAGCCACCTTATCAACCTTATCAGCATAAGCATTGCCTAGAGCAATGGGATCTGACACCTTTTGATGGCCTTTGCATTGAATGACTCCAGCTTCTTTTGGAAGTAAAGCAGCCTTGAACAGAGTTTTTATGAAAGAGGCATTAATGATGGAGGACCCTTGCGTAGTGAGGAAACCTCTTTCAGCCTATATAACAGCATGGTGGTTCAGAATATGAAAGGCATATTTAGGGTCAGTATAAATATTGACGCGTAGTCCTTTTGCAAGAGTGAGGGCTTGAGTTAAGGCAACTAATTCAGCTTGCTGAGAGGTAGTGGAGTGGGGCAGAGCGGTAGCCTCAATGATAAATGTGGAAGATACTATAAGCATAGCCTGCCTTTGCTGGTGAGTGGCGATTAGGCCTGGTGGAACTGCCATCAATAAACTAAATGTGATCAGGGTGAGGAACAGGAAAGAAGGAAATATTGGGAAATGGGGTGAATGTCAGGTCGATCAGAGAGATACAGTCATGAGGGTCAGGTGTGGTATCCAGAATAATGTGGGAAGCCAGATTGAAGTCCGTGCCAGGAACAATGGTAATTGTGGGAGACTCAACAAAGAGTGAGTACAGCTGAAGGAGCCGGGTTGCAGAAAGTATATGTGTCACGTATGAGGAAGAAAATAGATTTTGGAAGTTATGAGAACTGTAGAGAGTGAGTTGAGCATAGTTTGTGATTTTTAGGGCCTCTAAAAGTATTAAAGCAGCGGCAGCTTCTGCATGCAGACATGAGGGCTAGGCTAAAACAGTAAGGTCAAGTTGTTTGGACAGAAAGGCTACAGGGTGTGCTCCCGGCTTTTGTGTAAGAATTCTGACCACACTAACCATGCCAGGAAGGAAAGGAGTTGTTGTTTTGTAGAAGATGCTGGGGTTTGAGAGATCAGTCAGACACGATCAGCAGGGAGAGCACGTGTGTTTTTATGAGAATTATGCCGAGATAGGTAACAGATGAGGAAGAAATTTGGGCTTGACTGAAATAATGGGGGCTGTCTGTGAAGCTTTGTGGCCATATAGCCCAGGTAATTTGCTGAGATTGATGGGTATCAGGGTCAGTCCAAGTGAAAGCGAAGAGAGGCTGGGATTAAGGGTGCAAAGGAATAGTAAAGAAAGCATGTTTGAGATCCAGAACAGAATAATGGGTTGTGGAGGGAGGTATTGAGGATAGGAGAGTATATGGGTTTGGCACCATGGGATGGATAGGCGAAACAATTTGGTTGATAAAGCGCAGATCCTGAACTAACCTGTAAGGCTTGTCTGGTTCTAGGACAGGTAAAATCGGGGAATTGTAAGGAGAGTTTATAGGCTTTAAAAGGCCGTGCTTTAGCAGGCGAGTGATAACAGGCTTTAATCCTTTCAAAGCATGCTGTGGGATGGGATATTGGCATTAAGCGAGGTAAGGGTGATTAGGTTTTAATGAGATGGTAAGGGGTGCATGATCAGTCACAAGGAGGGAGTAGAGGTATCTTATACTTGTGGGTTAAGGTGGGAGGATACAAGAGGAGGATGCAAAGGAGGCTTTGGATTGGGAAGAAGGGCGGCAATGAGATGTAGCTGTAGTCCAGGAATAGTCAGGGAAGCAGATAATTTAGTTAAAGTGTCTCAGCCTAATAAGGGAACTGGGCAGGTGCGGATAACTAAAAAGGAGTGCTTAAAAGAGTATTGTCTAAGTTGGCACCAGAGTTGGGGAGTTTTAAGAGGTTTAGAAGCCTGGCTGTCAATACCCACAACAGTTATGGAGTCAAGGGAAACAGGCCCTTGAAAAGAAGGTAATGTGGAGTGGGTAGCCTCCGTATTGATTAACAAGGGGACGGACTTACCCTCTACTGTGAGAGTTACCTAAAGCTCGGCGTCCGTGATGGTCTACGGGGCTTCCGAGGCAATCGGGCAGCGTCAGTCTTCAGCTGCTTACCTGAGAAGATTGGGGAAGGAGTCAGTCAGAGAGCCTTGGGCCAGAGTTCCAGGAGCTCTGGGAGTGGCTGCCAGGTGAGTTGAACAGTCTGATTTCCAGTGGGGTCCTGCACAGATGGGACACAGCTTAGGAGGAATCCTGGGCTGTGGGCATTCCTTGGCCTGGTGGCCAGATTTCTGGCACTTGTAGCAAGCTCCTGGGGGAGGCGGTTCTGGAGGAACGCCTGGCCACTGCGGTTTAGGCGTTTGGAAGTTCTTGTGTGCTGGAGATGTGGCTGGGGTTTGTCTCACAGTGGAGGCAAGGAATTGCAACTCAGAAATATGTTGTTATTTGGCTGCCTCTATTCTATTATTGTACATCTTGAAGGCGAGGTTAATTAAGTCCTGTTGTGGGGTTTGATGGCCAGAATTTAATTTTTGGAGTTTCATTTAATGTCAGGAGCAGATTGGGTAACAAAATGTATATTGAGAATAAGACTGCCTTTTGACCTTTTAGGTTCTAGGGCTGTAAAGCATCTCAGGGTTGCTGCCAAACGAGCCATGAACTGGGCTGGATTTTTATATTTGACGAAAAAGAGCCTAAACGCTATCTGATTTGGGATAAAGAAAAAGGAGCATTAACCTTGACTATGCCTTTAGCTCCAGCCATCTTTTTAAGAGTAAATTGCTGGGCAGGTGGGGGAGGGCTAGTTACGGAATGAAACTGTAAGCCGGACCAGGTGTGAGGAGGGGAGATGATAAAAGGATTATAGGGTGGAGGAGTGGAGGCTGAGGAAGAATTGGGACCTAGCTCGGCCTGATGAGAAGGGGAGAGGTCAGATGGGTCTGTAGAAAAGGAAGATTAGAAAGACTCAGCAATGCTTGAGGTTGGGACTGAGGGGACAGGTGGGAGGGAAAGAAGGACGATTTGGGATGAGTTGCATAGGAGAGACTAGGGAGGGAGCAACGTGTAAAAGAATGCCTGGACATCAGGCACCTCAGACCGTTTGCCTGTTTTACAACAAGAATTATTTAGATCTTATAGGATGAAAAAATTGAAAGTGCCGTTTTCCGGCTATTTGGAACTACTGTCGAGTTTGTATTGGGGTCAAGCAGCATTGCAGAAGAAAGTAAGACACTTAGATTTTAGGTCCGGTGAGAGTTGAAGAGGTTTTAAGTTCTTAAGAACACAGGCTAAGGGAGAAGAAGGAGGAATGCAAGGTGGAAGCTTGCCTATAGTGAAGGAGGCAAGCCCAGAGAAAAGATAGTAGAGACACGGAGAAGGGGTGGGGGGGTTCTTGCCTTCCAGAAATGCAGAGAAGGGGTTGAGGCATGGAGATAAGGGGTTGGGGCACAGAGATAAGAGGTCGGGGCGTGGAAATAAGGGATTGGGGCACAGGGATAAGAGGTTGGGGCACGGAAATAAGGGATCAGGGCGCAGAGATAAGAGGTTGGGGTTCCTGCCCCTCCCCCAGAAAAGTGGGACTTGCCGCTAAGGCTGAAGGAGAAGGGGTTGAGGGGTTCTTGCTCCTCCCCAGAAAAGCGGGACTTGCTGCTAAGGGTGAAGGACCAAGGCAGGCGTCCCTGTGTGGTCTGACACCTCTGAGACCTGGTTGAATAATCAGAGGCATCCCTGCAATGATTAAACACCAAAGGAAGGCTGCCTTCCCTAGTCCGTGACTGGCGCTGGAGTTTTGGGTCCACGGATAAAACTTGTCTCCTTTGTCTCTACCAGAAAATGAAAGGAATTAAAATTAAGAGAAGGGAGAGATTGAAGTGTGGCACCAAGATTGAAAGGAGAAAGAGGTTGAGGGATAGTGAGGGAGGTTGGAGAAGAGAGTAAAAAGAGGCCACTTACGGGACTGGAAATTGGTGAGATGTTTCTTGAGCTGGTCGGTCTTAAGACTGAGGTCGTAGGTGGATCTTTCTCATGGAGCAAAGAACAGGAGGACAGGGGATTGATCTCCCAAGGGAGGTCCCCTGATCCAAGTCACGGCACCAAATTTCACTCGTGTCCATGTGAAGAGACCACCAAACAGGCTTTGTGTGAGCAATAAAGCTGTTTATTTCACCTAGGTGCAGGCGGGCTGAGTCCAGAGAGTCAGCAAAGGGAGATAGGGGTGGGGCCGTTTTATAGGATTTGGGTAGGTAAAGGAAAAAGGGGGGTTGTTCTCTGGCGGACAGGAGTGGGGGTCACAAGGTGCTCAGTAGGGGAGCTTTTGAGCCAGGATGAGCCAGGAGAAGGAATTATACAAGATAATGACAACAGTTAAGGCAGGAACAGGCCATTTTCACTTCTTTTGTGGTGGAATATCATCAGTTAAGGCAGGAACCGGCCATCTGGATGTGTACGTGCAGGTCACAGGGGATATGATGTCTTAGCTTGGGCTCAGAGGCCTGACAAACTGGATTTTCTCGTGTTATTTCTTAGAGGTTTCATAGTTTTGAATTTTAAATTCAGGTATATGATCCATTTTGAGTTTATTATTATGTAAGGAATAAGGTCTTTGTCTTTATTCATTTTCTTAACATATGGATGCACAACTTTTCAAGTACCATTTATTTGAAAGACTATCATTTCTCCATTGAATTGCTTTTGTTCCTTTGAGAAAGATTAGTTGACTTGGTATGTGTAGGTCCATTTCTGGGCTTTCTATTTTGTTGCATTGACCTATTTGTCTATTCTTTCTCATCACACTGGCTTAATTATTGTAGCATAGAAAGTATTGAAGTCGAGTATTCTCAGTCTTCCTACTTGGCTCCTCCTCCTCTTCTTCTGTTTTATGTTGGCTATTCTAGGTCTTTTGTCCTTCCATATAAACATTAGAGTTATTGACATACTGATTTTTCTCATTTAGCCTGAGTCTTGATGTGATAGATTATATTAATTGATTTTCAAATGTTCAACCAGTCCTTGCATAGCTTGAATAAATTCCACTTGGTTATAATGTATAATTATACACTATTTTATAAACTGTTGGATTAGATTTGCTAATATTTTGTTTAGAAATTTTGTATCTATGTTCATGAGAAATACTAGTCTGTGGTTTTCCCTTCCTGTAATGTCTTTGGTTTTATTATTAGGGTAATTCTGGCCTCATAGAATGAGTAAAATGTGTTAATTCTACTTTGATAGTCTGAAAGAGCATGTATAAAGTTGGTATAATTTCTTCCTTAAATTAGTAGAATTAATCAGTACAACCATTTGAGCCTGTGCAGTCATTATTGACAGGTTATTAATTATTGATTCAGTTTCTTTTATAGATATAGGCCTATGCAGATTACTTATTTCTCTTATAAGTTTTGATAGTTTGTGTATCCAAAAAATTAGTTCATTTCATCTGTCATCAAATTTATAGATGGTGTTTTTCATAATATTCCTTTATAATCTTTTTACTGTTCATATGACCAGTAGTGATAACCATTCTTTCATTTCTGGTATTAATAATTTATTTATTTCTTCTCCAAGTTTTTACTGGATAGCCTAGCTGGAATTTTGTCTATTTGATTGATTTAAAAAGAAGAACAAAACAAATAAAAACCCACCAAATTTGGTTTCATTGATGTATTTTCTAGTGATTTCACATTTTAAATTTTATTGGCTACTGCTATAATTCTTATTATTGCTTGTTTTAGGTTTAGATTGTTCTTTTTGTCTCATTTTCTAATGTGGGAGTTTATTGATTTTAGATCTTTCTTCTTTTTTAATATATGCAATGAATACTATAAATTTCCCTCTAATCACTGCTTTTGCTGCATCCCACAAATTTTGATAAGTTGTATTTTCATTTTTATTTAGTTCAAAATCTGTCAAAAATTCTCTTAAGATTTCCTCTTCAATCCCTACGTTATGGAGAAGTATGTTGTATAACAGCCAAATATTTTTGAATTTTCCTGATAATTTTTATTGACCTCTAGTTTAATTCCATTGTGGTCTGATAACATGCTTTGTATAGTATCCATTCTTTTAAATTTGTTAAGGTTTGTATAGTTTCTATTCTTTTAAACTTATGAAATCCAGAATGTGGTCTATCTTGGTGAATGTTTCCATGTGAGCTTAAGAATAACTTGTGAGCCAGGTGCAGTGGCTCACGCCTGTAATCCCAGCTCTTTGGGGGGCCAAGTTGGGTGGATCTGGAGGTCAGGAGTTCAAGACCAGCCTGGCCAAGATGGTGAAACCCCGTCTCTGCTAAAAATACAAAAATTAGCTGGGCATGGTGGCAGGTGCCTGTAATCCCAGCTACTTGGGAGGCTGAGGCAGAGAATTGCTTGAACCCGGGAGGTGGAGGTTGCAGTGAGCAGAGATCGCGCCATTGCATTCCAGCCTGGGCGACAGAGTGAGACTCTGACTCAAAAAACAAACAAACAAACAAACAAAAACAGTAACTTGTATTCTTCTGTCATTGGAGTCGTTGGATAAAGTATCCTGTAAATATTGAATAGATCAAGTTCAGGTCAACTCTATCCCTACTCGTTTTCTAACTTCTAAATCTGTCAATCATTGACAGAAAGGTGTTGAAGTCTCCAACTATCGCAGTGAATTCATCTCTTTCTCCTTGCATTTCTATCAGTTTTTGCCTTACGTATTTTGATGCTCTGTTGTTAAGTACATGCACATTAAGAACTGTTATACTTTGGAGAATTAACACCTTTGTCATTTATGTAATACCCTTCTTTGTACACCACAATTTTCCTCACTCTGAAGTTTTCTTTGTCTGAGATTAATATAGCTACCCTAGCTTTCTTTTTGTTAGTGTTAACGTGGTTTTTTATATATTCCTTTACTTTTAATCTGCCTGTGTCTTCATATTTAAAGCTAGACTCCATCTTTTAATTGGTAATATTTAGACCAGTATTAAAACATAAAGTGATTGTTCACAGAGTTGTATTAATATGTTTCACAGAGTTGTATTAATATGTACCATGTTTGTAAGTGTTATCTGTTCATTTCACTTGTTTCTTTTTTATCTTCCCTCTTTTTCTGCCTTCTCTGGTTTCGATTGAGCATTTTATATGCCTTGATTATATCTTCATGGCATATTAATTCTACTTCTTTTTAATACTTTTATGTGGTTGCACTAGAGTTTGCAAAGTACATTTAAAACGAATCTAAATTCACTTGCAAGTAACATGTGAGGGGCAGTGCAGGCACCTTGTAATAGAGCATTCCTAGTTCCTCCCTCCCTACCCTTATAATGTTGTTGTCTTTCATTTCACTTATCCATATGCTATAATCACCCAATACATTATTGTTATTTTTGCTTCGAACTAACGATTATCTGTTAGATGGATTAACAAGAAGAAAAAAGGAATCTATTTTACTTTTACTTATTTCTTTTCTTATGCTTTTCCTTCATGTGGATCCAAGTTTCAGACCTGTGTCATTTCCCTTCTCCCTCAGGATTTTAATATTTTCTTGTTGGGGAGGTATATTGATGATAAATTCTCTCAGCTTTTGTTTGAGAAAATTTTTATTTCCCTCTTACTTTTGATGGATAATTTCACTAGATATAGATTTCTAGGTTGGTGTTTGTCTTTCTTTCAACACTGTAAATATTTCACTCTGCTCTTTTCTTGCTTTCATGTTTTTCGACAAGAAGTCAAGTGCAATTATTTTCCTTGACCATCTAATAGGTAAAATGCTTATTCCCTCCCCTTCTTACTTCTTTCAAGACATTCTCCTTTTCTTTGGTTTTTCTGAAGTTTGAATATGATATTCCTAGGTATAGGTTTTTTTTTTCTTCTGTTTATCCTGATTGGATTTTTCTGAGCTTCTCAGATCTGTGGTTTGATGTATATCATTCATTTTTGAAAAGTCTCAGCTTGTATTACTTTAAATTTTTTTTTCTTCTTTCTCTCTCCTCCTCTTTTCCAATTACAGACATGTTATACCTTTTTTCTATTGCCCCATAGCTTTTGGATATTCTGTTCCTTTAATTTTTTTTTTCATTTTAAAATTCACTTTGGAAAGTTACTATTGATATATCTTTAAAATCATTTATTCTTTTCTTGGCTGTGTTCAGTATATTGAAATAGGTGTTCATTTTTGTTATACTGCTTTTGCTTTTTTGCTGCTTTTTTATTAATATACTTTAAATTTTGGGATACATGTGCAGAACGTGCAGGTTTGTTACATAGGTATACATGTGCTATGGTGGTTTGCTGCACCCAGCAACCCATCATCTACATTAGGTATTTCTTCTAATGCTGTCCCTCCCCTAGCCCCTGACCCCTCAACAGGCCCCAGTGTGTGATGCTCCCCTCCCTTTGTCCATGTGTTCTAATTGTTCAATTCCCACTTATGAGTGAGTACATGTGGTGTTTGGTTTTCTGTTCCTGTGTTAGTTTGCTGAGAATGATGGTTGCCAGCTTCATCCATGTCCCTGCAAAGGACATGAACTCATCCTTTTTCAAGGCTACGTAGTATTCCACGGTGTATATGTGCCACATTTTCTTTATCTAGTCTATCATTGATAGGCATTTGGGTTGGCTCCAAGTCTTTGCTATTGTGAACAGTGCTGCAATAAACATACGTGTGCTGCTTTTGCTTTTTTACATTTCTTTTTGATTCTTAAGACTTTTAATTTTTTTTCTGTTCATCTGTTCTTTCATGTTGTCATATCTTTCCATTAGAGTCCTTAAAATATTTATCACAGTTTTTAAAGAGTACTTCTCTAATAATTACACAATCTGTGTTATATCTGAGTCTGGTTTTGATGCTTGCATTGTCTCTTCAGACTGAGTTTTTCTTGCCTTTTCACATGCCTTGTCATTTTTTGTTGGAAGCTGGACATTATGGATCAGATAATAGCAACTGAGGTAACTAGGCATTTAGTGTGAAGCTTTATATTAATCTATCCAGGAGCTTGCCTGTTTTTCATGTTGCTATAGATGAATGTAATAGAGGATTTAGGCTCCATCAGTTTCTTATTTCTTTCATTCCCTGCTTTCTTTGTGTTCCTAAGAATTTTTAAATAGAGCCTATGTCTTTAAGGTCTCTTGATTTTAATCTACCATCCTTATACTGAAGCCCTGCTGATGTGATGATCTTGGAGAGGAAAACATTCCATAATCTTATAATTATGTCAGTTTTTACTGGGCTTTAGTTCCTGGGCTGTAACTTTCCAATAGATTTCTTAATCTGGTTTTTTTTTTTTTTTTCCTCTCTAGACATAAAGGCTAGAGTTGGCTCTGGTATTTAATGGTTTTTGACAGACGACAAGCCTTTCTTATGGAAAACCTCTGAATATATTTCAAAATGCTTTACTTTTGCATTCCTCCTGCCTAAGACAGAAGGCTGTTTTTTCTCATATTTTCACTTTGAGGGCCTAGTGGGATTCCTGGAGGTAAAATTCGCAAAAGCATGGAGATTCCACACAAGACTGAACTGCTCAGATTTTTTTTTTTAAGTTTAACAGCATTGGATCAATTAGGAAACATATTCACAACACCTATGATATAGTAATTAATAGTATTGATATATAAAGAGCACAAGAAAACAACAATTTCAATCAAAATTAGGACAAAAGACGTGAATAAGAAATGCACCTGAAAGATATACCTATAAATGAATTTTAAAAGTTTACCTTTGCCAAATTTTAAATTTCATCTTATTGTGGTTAGAGCACTTAACATTAGATCTATTCTCTTAACAAAGATTTAATTGTACAATATGTCTTGATAACTATAGGTATGATGTTTTATAGCAGATTTCTAGAACTTATTTATCTTGTATAACTGAAACCATATCCATTGATTAGCAACTCATCATTTCCTCCTCCTCCCAGAGGCAGTAACTTATAGGAATGCTGATATAGACTGAATGTGTCCCTTCATTCAGAGTCTTTATAAACGGGATTAGTGCCCTTGTAAAAGATGCCCCAGAGAGCTCACTCGCTCCTTTTGCCATAAGAGGACTCAGCAAGAAGGTGGTTGTCTATGAACCAGAAAGGGGGCCCAGAAACTATAAATGCCAGCACCTTGACATTGGACTCTCTGGCCCCTGGAACTGTGAGAAATAAATTTCTGTTGTTTATAAGCCACACAGTTTATGGCAGTTTGTAACAGTAGCCTGAACAGACGAAGACAAACACTTAAATAGTAATTTTGATGAATTGCTAAAGGCTGAGTGTAATCTAGCTTGAAAATTCCAAGTTCCAAAGGAAAATATCCCTAGAATTTTTAACTCTCAAGCTAGCCTATGCTCACTCTTCAACAATTTATCAAAATTACCATTTAATTATTTCTATCAGTTACTGCCTTCAGGAACTTCTCTGCTCCTAGGAAGCTGATTTTGACTGTGATTTTCTGTATTATCCTGTCTCTGAAGATTTGGGGGTTGTGGTTTGAGAATGGTTGAGAAAAGTCATTAGTTTGCAGTTTGTTCAGTTTTTTTGTTGTTGTGAGAGTGGTAGTGATGACTTCCAAGCTGTTCATGTGTTGGAGCTGAAAGCAGAAGTCCTAATTTTTTTCAGTCTAATTTTTTTTAAGTAATGGCTGTCCTGAAATATAATTAACATTCACATGTCAAAATTTACATATTTGTAGTGTACAATTGAATGATTTTTAGTATATTCACAATTCTCTGCAAGTATTGTGACAATCAATTTTAGCACATTTTTATCACCTCATAAAAATGCCCATGCCCATTATCTATCACTTCCCACCACTATCTTCTAACCTAGATAGCTACTAATCTAATTTTTGTCTTTGTAGATTTGTCTACTCTAGACATTTCATATAAATGGAATTATATCTTATGGTCTTTTGTCTTGAATAAGGAAGAATATGCCAGTTGTTTTAATTACTGTTGTTTAACAAACTACCCCAAATTTTATGTTTTAAAACAGGGTTGTTTGGTTACCTGGGCTTAGCTGGACAGTTATAATTTAGGAGCTCCCATACTGTCGCTCTCTGGTGTTGATTGCAACTGCAAACATCTGACAGTTCAGTTGGGCTAGATGTTTAAGGTGGCTCACTCACCTGGCTGGCAGTTGATACGCTCTGTTGGCTGGGAGCTCAGTTGGGGCTTTGAAGTGGTTTCTGAGGGAATGTGGTCTCTGCTTGTGGTTTGGGCTTCTTGTGACGTGAAATCCAGGATCAGAGAATGATCTAAGAGCAAGTATTCTGAGACACCCAGGCAGAAGATAAAAAGCTTCTTATAGCCTTACATCTAAAGCTATGTAGCAACACTCCCATTGTATTTTATTGGTCAAAAGCAAGTCATGGGACCAATCCAGATTCCAGGGAAAAGGACTACACAAGGGTGTGAATACTGAGATATGTGTTTTGCTGGGAGACCGCTTTGATATCTAGCTACCATGCAAGGGGCAATCTATCAAGTATTTGGGAAATCTGTGGATGTGAGGGGGCAGGGAATGGATAATAATAACTATAAGAAGAGTGAAATTGGGTGGCTGGTGTTAAGCATGATTAATGTTTTGGAAAAAGCTATAAAAAGCAGGGAGTGTTTAATCAGCAATTAAATACTGAGCATAAAAGCCAGAAGCCCTGCTTAGTAGCATGTAAAGAGGCTCTCATCCCAGCCAGAGGAATGGGAAATCATACAATATTTTATCCTAAGGACATAAAGCTATAAAACAAAAGGATACATGGGTAGTGGAACCCCTCATATTCCCATTTATTTTTCCAGTATGGCTCATTTAAAATCTAGATGAACTCTGAAGGAAAACAGTAGACTACTGTAAATCAATGGACTATCATAAACTCAGTACTAACAAAATATAATACTTTTACTAGAACAGATTAACATGGCCTCAGGAACATGGTATGTGGCCATTGAACAAATGAATGCTTCTTTTCCATCTTATCCATAAAGAGATCAGAAACAGTTCATGTTCACTTAGAAGAGAAGAATACACATTTATGGTCTTATAGGCCCCAGGGTTATAGTAACTCTCCCACCTACTGTCATAATAGTCTGAAGTGATCTGGGCTGTTTGGGCATCTCATACAACATGACACTGGTGCCTATATTGATGTCACTATGCTAATTGGGCCAGAGGATCAAGAAGTAGCCAATAGGTTGAGGCTATTGTTGAGACACATATGCCTTAGAAGGTGGGAGATTAATTCTATTAAGCTTAAGAGGCTCACCACATTAGTAAACTATTTAGGGGTCAATTGGTCTGAGACATTCTATGACATACTCTTGAAAGTAAAAGACTAACCATTGCATCTCACATTACTTTCCATGAAGAAGGAAGCATATAATGCCCAGTGGGTTTCATTGTGTTCCAAAGGCAACATATTCAACTCCTGGATTTACCACTACCTCTGATATATTAAATGGCAATGGAAAGCTGCCGAATTTGAGTAGGGACAAGAGTGGAAAAGGATTATGAAGCATGTCCAGGTTGCAGTTCAGGAGGCCCTGCTGTTTGGGTCATATGATCAAGACAATGTAACATTGATGATATTTGTGGGAAGAAAAGATGCCATGTGGAGTTAAGAGAAACCCCAATAAAAGAAGCGCTATGTACACTATTTGGATTTTGGTGCAAGAATTTGCCATTGTCAGTGAAAAATTATATATCAATTGAAAAATAGTTTCTGCAATAATATTGGGCTCCAATAAAGATGAAGGATTTAGCTATGATTATCAAGTGACTGTAAGGCCACAACTGCCCATCATTAACTGAATTCTAACATACTTATCAAGTCAGAAGATCTTCAAGCCCAGCAACAATCCATAGAAAGATGGAAGTGGAGGATTGGGTATGAACTGGACTGGAGAGCACAAATAAGTGGTACAAGGTGGTGACTCAGACCTTCATATTATCCACCTCTCTTTGACCTACGCCTCTCTCTTTCATCACTCCTTTGTGTGATCCCATAGGGGCTCTCAGCTGACTGAAAAGGAAAAGGATGAGTTGGCTTACTATGTAGATAAACCAAAAAATTACGGCTGTTCCAAATCATCCCCAAACAGGGATAGCTTTGAAAGACAGCAAATTGGAAAGATTACTGATATGGGCAAAGTTTCAGGCAGAGTGGGAAGAGAAGTGGCCAATGGTTAGTGTACATACAAACTCATGGGCAGTGACAGATAGCTTGGCTAAATAATCTAAAAGAGAAAAAGAGAACATTGTCAGTAAACATGAATTACCAACTTTCTACATGTTGCTCTGGCTATTGACAATCCTGAGGATTACCACGTTTATATCCAGAACAATATTTGCTGGAGTCCAGTTTATCAGTCCTTAGGATGAGTTCTTTGCTGAAATGACAGCATACACAACTCAAACAATTTCATAGAATTTAAGGGTACTGATTGGTCTCCTCAATGGATGGTTCCATTCTGGGAACTCATCACTGATCTCAGTTGCTAGAAAATTAAATATTTGAAATTAACAGCAGTTTGATTAGCACTGGTAAGAAGAGCCTTTGCTGTTGATCCCACATATAGTTTGCAGACAGAGGCTGGCTGATGCCAACTGGTTGAGCCTCTGTCACCAGCCAGGCCCATGTAAAAAGCTGGTAATTTGAGGTTATAATCCATAACTATATATTTTTCTGCTTGTTAGTCAATGCAGGTTCAAGGCTAAAATTCATGACATGGTAAATGTATTTACTTTGAGAACCCTTTGAGTGCTGCTAGATTATTCATTTACAAAGTAATTAATGTTACTGACCTTCTAGAAGAGTTAGAAAAGACATCCTACTAGGCAAATTATAACCAAATTTGCATATACAAAACTGGATTCGAATCAAAGCACCAAGGGCAATGGAAAATTAAAAAAGTAGAAAATATACAATGTAAAATTTTAGCACTGAGCATTAATTTGGACAGAGCATATGTTACACCATTATTTGAACTAATTTTTTGCTTGATTTATTATAATTCTTACTCAATTGCATTGTACACCTTTACTACATCTCTAGTTAAAATGTTCTTTCTGCAAAATGTTCTTATAGAAAATATCTAACTTCAGCTGGGGCACAGTAATAAGAACAATGTTATATTCTTAAATTTTATTAACTTTTAAACATCAGATCTATTTCTCAACTCCATATTATGCATTGAGTTGAATTGGTCCTATTTTCTTTCCCGGGTAATATAATCATCATTCTTTCTCCTCTTTTTATGGTTTGGTATAGTTGTGAAAAAACAAACATGCTGAAAACTTGTTATTGACATGAAGTACAAGTTTAACACAAAAAGTTTAGGAATCTATGTCTGTGATATCAATGATAAAACTGAAAGACTGAACTCAAATATGTGTCTATAGTTACTGCTATACCAATGCACCAATTTTTAAATATTCCACCTCCTTCCTATGATTGAGAAACTAGACACATTCATAGGAATAATTGTATTTCTCTAGTGCTTGAGAATCTCACATATTCTATAAACCTTGTATAATGAATTAGGAATCTCAGAATAGTCTGAAGTGTTGAAATCTATGAAGAACAAAACTAAAATAATACAGTGAAATTTCAGTTACCCAGAGTGCTTAGCTTTGAATTATTCAACATGGCTCTTTTCTGAATGTTTTCTTCCTTTAGGCAATACACATTTTAATTTCAATAATGTTTGTCAAAAAAAATTGCATAATGAACTACAAACTTCTTAGGGTTGTAAATAATTAGGCTTTATTTTTATAAAAGCAATACAAGTACATAGGTTAAAAATTCAAATAATATCTCAAAATTTGTAGTAAAAATCAGCAGACTCCTGTCCACCCTTCTCAAACCTCAATTCTTCCACCTCACATGCAGCTACCTACAAACATTTAGGCTATTTTTTCTGACATGTATTTCCATCTAATAAATAATATAGCTATGCTGTTAGTTATTGATTTATGAAGTTTATATTATATAACTATACTATATACTCTATGACTTATATAAACCTTTTACTTTGCAAGAGTATAATTTAACTAATTTATACCACCATCCATATAAACTCTATTTCTCAATCCTCTTAATGTGATTATCTGATGACTTGATAAATCAATATTAATTTTTATATCTTATTTTAATTACATAAATATTATTCACAACAGGGACCTATACCATATACAATAATTACATTTCACTTTATGATCAATTGCTTTTCCTGCAGTTAGTCATTGCTTTATATTTCTCATATTTGGTGTTCTATCAATTCAGTCCTAAGCTTTCAAAAACTCTCAATATGACCAAATATGTTATTACTTTCTGTTTATTTTTTTCATTTTTTAGCAATTTTACTGAGTAAAATTTAAATACAAGAAACTATATAATTGAAAGCATACAATACTTTGATATAATTATGTATCCATAAAATAATAATCACCATAATCAAGATAATGAAAATCTTCATCTGCTCCTTTACAAATCTTTCCTCCCATCTTTTCATGACTCTCTAACCTTTCCCAAGGCAAACACTGATCTGCTTTCTGTCATTATAGATCAGTTTTCCTTGCAAAAATCTTATGTGAATGGAATTATATAGTATGTACATGTGTTTTGTGTGGGTTATTTTATTCAGCACAATTATTTTGTTATTGATGTTGTAACATGTATAAATAATTTCTTTTTATTGCTAAATAGAATTCCTTAGAATGGACATATATAGATTCTTTATCCATTCTTTTGTTGATGAGCACTGGATTATTTCCAGTTTTGGCTATTAAAAAAATAGAGAGGCTATGAGCATTCGTATACTAATCTTTGCATGGATACAACTTTCATTTCTCTAAGATAAATATCTAGAAGTGGAATGATTGGATCCTATGGGAGGTGTATGATTAATTTTTAAAGAAACAGCTAAATTATTTTCCCAAGTGGTTGTACCATTTTAAATTTCCTCTAGCAGTTGTATGAAAATTCTAGTCCTTCATATTCTCACCAAAACTTCCTGTGGTATGGTTGCTCTTTTTAATTTTACCTATTCTTATATGTATAGTGATATCTCATTGTGGTTTTAATTTGAATTTTCCTAATGGCTAATGATATTCACCACTTTTTCATGTGTTTAGTTGGCATCTACATGTTTTTGTTGGCAAAATGTTCATGTCAGTCATTTTGCTCATTTTTATTCAGTTACATGTTTTCTTCTATAAAAGTTAAACTTTTCTTCTATATGTTTTAACAGTCTTTATAAATTCTGAATACATGTTCTTTATCAGGTATTTGATTTGCATATATTTTCTCTCAGTCTGATGTCTTATCTTTTTATTTTCTTAACAATGTCTTTAGACATTGTTTTATTTTATGGATCAAGCTTTGTTATTGTATCTGAGAAATCTTTACCTAACTGAAGGATACAAAGATTTTCTTCTTTGTTTTTATTCAAGAAGTTTTATAGTGTTAAGTTTACATTTAAATTTGGTCTCTGATTTATTCTGAGTTAATTTTTGCTTATGGTATGGGATTTGGATTGAAGTTCATTTTTTTAATATGGAAATCCAAATATCCTAAAACTATTTATTGAAAAGACTATCCTTTCTCCATTGAGTTGCTTTTGCACCTACATCAAAAATCAGTTGTCCAAATATATTTAGGTCTATTTCTTGACTATTCCATTCCATTGATCTATTTGTCTACCTTTATAACAATAGACACTATCTTGATAACCATTGCTTTATAATAAGTCTTGAAATCAGTCCTTCAAATTGTTTCTTTTTTCAAAGCTATTTTGGCAATACTAGGTTTTTAAATTTTCATATGAATTTTAGAATTATATTTGCACATTCTACCAAAAAATTCTGCTGAGACTTTGACTGGAATTACGTAGAATCTATCTTTAGGAAGAACTGACGTCTTAACAATATTAAGACCTATGACATATAAACATGGGTGCAGATCTCCATTTGTTTAGTGCTGCTTTTATTTCTCTAAGCAGTGCTTTGTGCTTTTCAGTGTACAGATATGTGATATAACAAAGTGAGGTGTAAACCAATAGCAGAAATATTATCTCATATTTAATGCAACAAACAGAGACATAAAATATATAAAACAAAAACCGATAGAAGAAGAAATATAAAAATCTATGAATATAGTGAGAGACTTCAATACCTTTTTCCTAAATTTTGTAGAACAACTAGACAGAAGAGCAGCAAGAATATAGAATAGTTCCACAATACCATCACTCAACAGGATGTATTCAACACTTATAGACTACTTTAGTTCCAACAGCAGAATATATATACAAACATATATATATATATTTTTTTTAAGTGCCCACGGAATGTACATCAAGATGAACCATATCTTGGGCCCTAAAATAAAACCTAAGCAAATTTAAGAGAAGTGAAATCATGAAGAGTGTGTTCTCTCACTACAATGGAATCAAACTAGGACTCAATAACAGAAAGATAACAAGAAAATCTCCAGGCCAGGCATGGTGGCTCACACCTATAATCCCAGTACTTTGGGAGGTTAGGGAGGATGATTGCTAGAGCCCAGGAATTCAAAACCAGCCTCGGCTGTTAGAGGCTGAAAGATTGGGGGTCGTGATCAACTCAGTATACCACTG
The DNA here is from genome assembly GCF_000001405.40 of Homo sapiens. Taxonomy (NCBI): domain Eukaryota; kingdom Metazoa; phylum Chordata; class Mammalia; order Primates; family Hominidae; genus Homo; species Homo sapiens. The sequence continues at coordinate 80,996,002 of NC_000009.12, read as the reverse complement.
GAGGCTATATGAGTAAACAGCAAACTGTTCTCATAAACTCAATGTTGGCAAGCTGACAAACTGCATATGCCTCTCAGAAGGAATGCTGTGGGCAGTCACGACCCAGGCAAAAATGTTTCTTGTGATTAGGTACATCTGAAGCCTGTTAGTAATAATATGAACCTGTGATCAGTTCAGCAGCTGACTAGTGGTTACCTCCTCCTCCTTGCTCTTGTTACCCAATAAATACGAATGGCTGTAGAAGCTCGGGGTCTGCCTTTGCTCACTAGAATCAGGGAGCTCTTTTCTTCTTTCCTCGTTCCCCTTCCTTTAAAATAGTTTCTTTTGTTTTTTGTTATCATTTTCTATGTTCATCCCTTTGTTCAGTCCTGTAATGACGGTCTCAAGCAGTAACAATAGTAACTGCTGTAATGATGGTCTCAAGCAGTAACAGTAGTAACTGCTGTAATGATGGTCAGTCTCAAGTAGTAACCATGGCAGTCTGCCACACTGGGCAATATAGTGAGACTTCATTTCTACAAAACCTTTTTAAAAATTAGCCAAGTGTGGTGGCACCCACCTGTAGTCCCAGCTACTCAGGAGGCTGAGATGGGAGGATAGCTTGAGCCTGGGATGTGGAAGTTGCAGTGAGCTGAGATTGTGCACTTCACCCTGGGTGACATAGTGAGACTCTAGTCTCAAATAAATAAATAAATAAAGTTTTTTAAAATCAGCCAGGAGTGATGCCTCACACGTGTAAATCTAGCACTTTGGGAGGCCGAGTTGGGCAGACCACTTGAGCCCAGGAGTTCAAGACCAGCCTGTGCAACATGGTAAGACCACATCTCTACAAAAAATATGAAAATTAGCCATGTGTGGTGGTGTGTGCCTATAGTCCCAGCTACTCGGGAAGCTGACGTAAGAGGATCACCTAAGCCCAGGAAGTTGAGGCTGCAGTGAGTCATGATCATGCCATTGCACTCCAGCCTGAGTGAGAGAGTGAGGCTCCATCTCCAAAAATAATAATTTAAAAAATAAAAATAAAAAAAAATCTCCAAACATTTAGATAACAAGAAAAATCTCAAAACCTTTAGAAAGAATCTCCCACACTTCTAAATAATCTCTGTAAGTCACAGAGAAAGTCTCAAGGGAAATTAAAAATATACTGAATGGGTGGAAATTAAAGTACAACATACCAAAATTTGTTGGACACAACTAAAGCAATGCTGAGAAGAAAATTTATAGCATCAAATGTATATATCAAAAGAGAGGGAGAGTCTTGAATCAATAATCTAAGCTCCCACTTCAAAACCTAGAAAAGTAAGAGCAAAATAAACTCAAAGCAAGGAGAAGGAAGGAAATAATAAAGATAAGAGCAGAAATAATATTAAAATCAGTAAAACAATAGAGAAAATAAGTAAATAAAATAATGGGTTCTTTGAAAAATAACATTGATAATCCTCTGGTAAGACTAATAAAAGAGAGAAGACACAAATATCAGTATCAGGAATAAATAAGAAGATATCATCAGTACAGATCCTACAGATATCAAAAAAATAAGGATCTACTATGAGAAATTCTATGAACATAAATTTATAAATTTCACAATTTAGATGAACTGGATCAATTTCTCAAAAAAACACAAATTACAACAAATTGCCCTATATGTAATAGACAATTTGAATAGGCCTATAACTCTTAAGAAAATTAGACTATAATTTTAATATTCCCTAAAAAGAAATGCAAGCCGAGATGGTTTCCCTAGAGAATGCTATCAAACATTTTTTTAAAAGTTAATACTAATTCTATACAATCTCTCATAGAAAATGTAATGGGAGAGAACATTTCCAAACTTATTTTATAAAGCTAAAATTACTACCAAAAATCAGAGACAGTACAAAAAGAAACTACCCATCAATATACCTCATGAAAATAGATGCAAATATCCTTAAATATATATTAACACATAGAATTCAGATATATATATATATATATATATATACCCTGTTGTGTGTGTGTGTGTGTGTGTGTGTATATATATATATATACACACCCTGTTGTGTGTGTGTGTGTGTGTGTGTGTATATATATATATATATACACACACACAACAGGTTGTGTATATATATATACACACACACACACAACAGGGTGTGTATATATATATACACACACACACAACAGGGTGTGTGTGTATATATATACACACCCTGTTGCCCAGGGTATATGTACATATATATACCCTGTTGCCCAGGGTGTGTGTATATATATATGTGTGTGTGTGTGTATGTATTTATGCCCAGGGTATATATTTATATATATGTGTGTATATATGTGTGTGTGTATATATATATGTGTGTATATATGTGTGTATATGTGTATATATATGTGTGTGTATATGTGTATATATATGTGTGTGTATATATATGTGTATATGTGTGTGTGTGTGTGTGTGTGTGTGTGTGTGTGTGTGTATATATATATATATATATATATATATATATATCTCCTGTTGCCCAGACTGGAGTGCAGTGGTGCGATCTTGGCTCACTGAAACCTCCACCTCCCGGGTTCAAGCAATTCTCCTGCTCAGCCTCCTGAGTAGCTGAGATTACAGGCAAGTGCCACCACGCCTGACTAATTTTTATATTTTTAGTACAGACGGGGTTTCACCATGCTGGCCAGGCTGGTCTTGAACTTCTGACTTCAGATGATCTGCCCATTTTGGCCTCCAAAAGTGCTGGGATTTATAGGCGTGAGCCACCGTGCCCGGCCGCAGCAATATTTTTAAGGAATTCTATACCATGGCTAAGTGCCATTTATTCACCTGTCATGATTGTCTGTGTAGAAAATCCCTAAGAACTGACAAAACAAACCAATAAAAATGAAAAACACCCCTGGAACTAATAAATGAGTGTAGCAAGGTTTTAGTATACAAGTTTAATACATAAAAATCAACTATGTTTCTGTATACCAACAAGGAACAATTGGGATTTAAAATTTTTAAAAAGGTACCATTTACAAGAATATCTAAAAGGGTCAAATAGGTAAGTATAAATCTAAAAAAAAATGACAGAATATATATGAGGAAAAATAAAAAAACACTGATGACAGAAATCAAATAAGATCTAAGTAAGAAAAGAGATAGTTTATATTTTTGTATAAGAAGACACAATATTATTAAAATATTAAGTTTGCCCAGCTTCATCTATATATTCAAGGCCATCTCCAGGAAAATACCAAGTTATTGTGTGGATATCGACGAACTGTTTTTAAATTGGAGACTGGAAAGGTAAAGGACCTAGAATAGCTAAGACAATTTTGAAAAAGAAGAATAAAGTAGAAAGAATCAATCTACCCAATTTGAAGAGTTAACACATATAGCTATAGTATTAAAAAATGTGTGTCATTGGTAGAGGAATAGACACACAAATCAATGGATTAGAATAAAGAACATGGTAGTAGATGCATACAAATATGTGTAGTAAATTTTTCACAAAGTACAAAAGCAACTCGATAGCAAAAACATACCCTTTTCACCAAATGGTGCTACAGCAATTGGATATCCACAGGCAGATATAGGAACCTTGATATAAGTCTCATACCTTATATGAAAATTAACTCCAAATGTGTGGCAGATTTAAATTTAAAATATAAAAGCATGAAAATTTTAGAAAAGCATGGAAGACTGTTTTGGGGATTCTTGGTCTGAGGAAAGAATTGTTAGACTTGACACTAAAACGTACCATGTAGAAAAGAAAACAAATTAAAAATTGGACTTCATCAAAATTAAGAACTTTTGATCTGGGAATGAACTTGTTTAGAAGAAACGACAAGTGAGAGACTGGAAGGCAACATTTGCAAGCCACATATCCAACAAAATAATCGTTATCTAGAATATATAAAGAACTCTTAAAACACAAACAACCCAGAAAAAAAAAATGGGCAAAAGACATGAAAAGACATTTGCTGAAGATAATACATGTGTGGCAAAAAAAAAAGCACATGAAAAGATGATCAGCTTCATTAACCATTAAGGAAGTGCAATTTAAAACCACAATATCATGACAAATCCATCAGAATCGCTTAAAAAATAGTGACAACACCAACATCAGCAAAGATGCTGAGAAACTAGATTGCTTAGATATGGGGAAGTAAAATGGTACAGTCACTCTGGAAAATAGCTTGGCAATTTCTTAAGAAACTAAACATAACAACTAGCATGCTGCCCAGCGGCATAAGAATGATACAGCAGACTTTGGAGACTCAGAGAAATGAAAAGTTATATACATGGAGTTTGCTGTGGATTGAGTTGTGTCACCCTAAACTTCATATGTTGAAGTCCTAACCTCCAAAGCAACTATATCTGGAGAGAGGGTCTTTAGGAGGCAATTAAGCTTAAATGAGGCCATAAGGGTGGGCCTCTAATATAGGACTGTGGCTTTATAAGAGGAGGACAATCTCTCTTTCTTTCTTTTTCTCTCTCTCTGTCTCTCTCTTTCTGCCATTTGAGGACACAACAAGAAAGCAGCCATCTACAAGCCAGGAAGAGAGCCCCAACCAGAACTCACCCTAATCTTGGTCATCCACCCTCCAGACCTGTGAGGAAGTAAATTTTTGTTGTATAAGCCACCTAGTCTATGGTATTTTGTTAGGGCAGTTCAAACTGACTATAATACAGATGATTATAGTCAACCGCTATAATTATAGCAGTTTTTTACATAATAGCCCCAACCTGGAAATAACCAGGATGTCTTTCAATAGGTGAATGGTTAAATAAACTGCGGTACATCTATACCATAAAAAATTTCTGAGCATTAAAAAAAAACCCCAAAGTATTGATACAAGGAACAACTTCACTGAATCCTCAGAGATCCATCCTGGAGTGATGGAGAATGTGCTGTGTTTTCAACGTATCGATGTCAATATCCTACTGTGATATTGTGCTATAATTTCTCAAGATGTTACCATTAGGGGAAACTGAGTAAAAAGTATATGGATCTTTTGGTATTCAACTTCAAGTGAAGCAACAATTATCTCAAAATAGTTTAGTTTTTAAAAATCTATACAACTTATTCAAGATATTATAAAAAGAAATACATCTGCTTTTGTCCACTCTGTCTCTCTCTTTCTGCCATTTGAGGACACAACAAGAAAGCAGCCTATACTATAATAATGTCTACCTTTCCTAATTGTTTGATAGGTTTAAAGTGTTTACAACTTCATTTGAATTACATTTTATTTTGATTATTATAAAGTTTGCTTGTGTAAGAAAACAGCTGAAAAACATTTTTTTAAACTCTTTTTGTATTTCAATAGGTTTTTGGAGAACAGGTCATGTTTGGTTACGTGAATAAGATCTGTTTGGTTTTTTTTTTTTTTTTTTGAGACAAAGTCTCACTCACTCTGTTGCCCAGGCTGGAGTACAGTGGTGCAATCTCAGCTCACTGCAACTTCTGCCTCCTGGGTTCAAGCGATTTTCCTGCCTCAGCCTCCTTAGTAGCTGGGATTACAGGCACACACCACCACATCCAGCTAATTTTTGTATTTTTTGGTAGAGACAGAGTTTCACCATATTGACCAGGCTGGTCTCGAACTCCTGACCTCAAGTAATCCGTCTGCCTCAGCCTCCAGGCATGAGCTACCACGTCCAGCCTGGTTACATGAATAAGTTCTTTAGTGGTGATTTCTGAGATTTTGGTGCACCCATCACCTGAGCAGTGGAAAGTGTACCCAACGTGTAGTATTTTATTCCTCACCCCCTCCCACTCTTTCCCCCAAGTCCCCAAAGTCCGCTGTATCATTCTTATGCCTTTGCATCCTCATAGCTTAGCTCCCACTTATGAGTGAGAACATACGATGTTTGGCAGAAAACAGCTGAAATTGTTTTTAAGAAGTAGGATCATAATATCCATGTTGAAGTATCTAGTAATCAAAGTTGTGTAAGCCTACAAAAATCATACAGAATGGCCATTAAAATCTATAGATTATTCTTGAAATAGATGTATATACACATTTGTATGTGTATGAGTGTGTGTTTGTTTGTGTATATGCTTGGGGTGCCTACAGTCTTTATTGTTTAAAGATTAGTAAGACCAAGTTTAAGGTCTATTGGAATGAAATCTGAGACAAGTGTGAGGCCCTGAATGTTAAAAGAAAAACATAATAATAGTTTCTTCTACCCTAAGTGGAGAGTAGCCTGAGTGGCTAGACTAATAATCTTGTAGAAAGTGATGTGAGATGTCTAAGTGTTAGTTGGGGCAATGAATCGATGGTTTTCAGGAAATGGTGCTTTTGCATGGACTTCTCCATGGTGTGAGGCATATTCTTTGATTAGGTGTTATCAAAGTACTAATGGCAGAAGCAGAGGATAATTAAGGGCTCTAGGAAAAGAGGGATGGTATATACCAACAAGAAAACAACCACCAAGACAATTATATGATATACCTAACAAGAAGGGAGAAGGAATTTTTGATTCCCAGTTGTTTTACTGATCACATTTCCAGAGTTCTGTCCTCAGCTCTCAGTCCCAACCTTCTTGTATAAAAACCTAAGAGGAAGGAGCACTGGATGCATGACATATTACTTAGAAATTCATTCCACTGCAAGACACAGAAAACCTTAAGCAGCACCAACACATGAGGTGATTGATTTCACATTGCAAGAATTCTGGGAGGATAGCCCAGGGTGGAAGTGGTGCTCAAAAAATGTACAGGGACCCCAACTTTTAAGTCAGTTCTTTCACTTTTTCCTATGTTACTCCACCTCCAAATTCATGTGTGTATTTTAGTAAGAAAGAAGTAGGGCAAAGGGCTCACACAAAAGTTACACCAATCTTGGAAAATTTTTATTATGTGTTTTTTTTTCTGAATTTGGCGTATAACAGATAAATATTCTTTACTATGAAACCTTTCTTTTGCAAATGCACATTGATGAAATGGAAATGGAAAATGATAAGAGAAAAATATATTTAAATGACAGCCAAATTAATACAGCTTTGGGCTCAGTACAAGTATACAAAGCTTAAGTGACAGAGGCATTTTTAGACTACTCAAAAATTGCCGGAGGTTTATTAAGGTAGTGTGCAAACATCCTTTGTGTCCCCTTTAATACTGTAAAACAGTATAGCTTCCCATGTGATCAGGATAATTTTACAAAAATACATTTTGCTTAAATGGCTTATCTTTTCTTCTGAATGAAATACAAACATCTCCTTCTGGCTAGTATTTACGATTCTCAACATTATGTCCCCCATCTTACTGTGATAGATTTTTCTCACTACACACCTATATGCACACCTTGTAATAACCCCTGCTTTTTCTTGAGCTATTATACACTTGCTCATGCTTTGTCCTCCACATCTGCCTGTCTGTTAAAGTTGTATCCATAGAAATAAAAAAAGTGGTTGTTTGGGACAAAAGTATGTGTGGTAAGAATTGACTGGGAAGAGGTACAAGATAATGTTCTGGGGTGACAGAAATGTTCTGTCTTCAAATGAGATTAAATTACCTGAATGCTTACATTTTATCTAACTCAATGGCACATGTGAGATCTGTACAAATGTAAATTTCATGTGTCACATGCAAATTATACCTCAACATTAAAAAATGTACCAGCATCTAAAGCCCTTTGCCAAAGCCATCAGGTAATAAAGACAATCCCAAAAATCCCCTCTGTCCCCTAAATTATGGGGACTGATTTTCCATCCTTTGAACTTTCAAGCTCTTTTTAAAAAGCAATATGTGTTTGTGTGTGTGTGTGTGTGTGTGTGTGTGTGTGTACATACATGCAGGCACACACATAAAATCATTCCATATTCTACATGTTTTTTGGTATGTTGATACTTGTCCTATGCCCCTTGTTGTACTATAAGTACCTTTGTTAAGGAACTGGCTTACTTGCCCTTTTAATCCTTTTATCACCTAGCACAGTATCTTGTGCGTTGTAGGTGTTCAGTAACATTTATCAAATTGTGAATGGGCAACCTGGAGGCAGAACCTCCTCTAGTGACTCTACGTATGTTCTATGCATTCTATCGTATCCTGTCACTTTTAGGCTTATAATTGTAACTTAGAAGTCATCAACACAATGTGGGCTTGAGATCTTAGAACAATTAATGATCTTCATAAATATTGCATAATTTCTATTCTGTGCTGTGTTAGGCAGTTCTTGAACCACTATAAATAAATAACTGAAGCTGGGTAATTTGTAAATAAGAGGTTTAATTGGCTTACAGCTCTGCAGGCTGTACAAACATAGCAAAAGCAGGAGCAAGAGGGGGAGGAGGTGCCAACATTTTTAAACTGGATCTCACAAGAACTCATTATCACAAGGACAGCACCAAGGGAATGGTGCTAATCCATTAATGAGACATTCAACCCTAAGATCCAATCACCTTCCACCAGGCCCCACCTCCAATATTGAGATTACAATCTAACATAAGATTTGGTGGGGCCACAGATCCCAATCATACATACACCTTGTTGAAAATTCAGCATCCCCTCTTTCAACCAGGATTCCTATGCTGTATCCAGGGTTAAGGAGTGAAGACAGATAAAAGCTAAGATGAGATGTTAATTCCTCTTGGCTATAATTATGACCAATTTCCTGCATTGGCTGGATTTTTGCCTTGTTTTGTGGTTGTTCCTTTATCTCCAGCTGGAATTGAACCATACGTGGATATGGGCCTCTTTTTAAAATTTCTGATTCCTCTCTCTTTCAAAAAAATCCTCACATGTACCTGTGTTAGTGTGACATGTTTCATTTAGTGCCTGTGGGTGATGGGAAGGAGTTTACTTAATTTCAGAAACACAATCAACTTGAAATTCACCACTCTTCTGTGTTAGTCAACAGTTTTCCATCTGCAAACATTTGCTTTATCTTCTTTGTCCCTCTCTTCAATTAAGATTTTTTTTTTCTCCCAGCACTTTGGGAGGCCAACGTGGGTGGATCAGGAGGTCAGGAGATTGAGACCATCCTGGCTAACACGGTGAAACCCCGTCTCTACTAAAAATACAAAAAAAGTAGCCGGGCATGGTGGCAGGTGCCTGTAGTCCCAGCTACTCGGGAGGCTGAGGCAGGAGAATGGCGTGAACCTAGAAGGCAGAGCTTTCAGTGAGCCAAGATCGTGCCATTGCACTCCAGCCTGGTGACAGAGTGAGACTCCGTCTCAAAAAAAAAAAAAAAAAAAATTCAATTTTCTTTTGCAGAAAAATTTAATTTGTTGTAATGCTAACCCTCAAACATAGCCAAAGTCTTGCCAATTCAAAGACTAGGTGAAAATTAAAATTTATACTTTGTAAAGGCTAGAATTGACCGTGTTGGAAAAGACTCCATCCTTTTCTGTGGTGTCATCTGAGGAGCATGTCTCTTAAATAAGAACCAAATATTGAAATGTCTGGATCATTTGATCCGTTACTCCTGTCTCAAGAATAAAGATCCCTTTCATTCATAATTAAAACGTCTAAATCATTTCAAAAGGTAAAAAGAACCCAGCCTTTTGTAGTTCTTGCACCATTCTGGCTACCAAGGATGTAATCTCTTTTACTTGAGCCTCTACAATGACTGTGTTAGAACAAACATTGCTCCTCCTGCTCTGACATTTTCCAACAAACAACACCCAGAAGCTGAATGTTTTGTACCACCTCTAAAGCTATCTTGAGAGCTCTGCATACTCAATGATATTATACTCTTTTATTTGGATTGCCCCGGTTGCCTCCATTGGAGCTTATATTTGTAGTGAGTTTGCCAGATCTGGTAGAAACAACAGGTAAGAGAGGGAGGGAGAATTGGATGGGCCTAAAGAGATTTGAATTTCTAAGCTCAGCAGCAATTCTGTCTATAACTATAGTTATCTGTTAGTCTTAGTATACAGTCAAAAATATCTCATTTATCTGGCTTAGGAAACTCTGAAGAATATGAAACATAAAGCTTCTCTACTACCAACCTAAATGTGTTAATTTGCTAAAAAGCTGATGTAAGTTCATAATTTGAATATGATTCAACATAATTTCACATTGAAAATATTTTTTTCTGATTAAGAGAACAAGATCATATTTTGTTAAGTTGTAATGCAAAGTGACATCTAAAAATATGTCTTCATATCTTTGTGTGTGTTACTGACTGAGCATTTTATGTTTTGCCACATATCGATTATATTCCTATAATCACTAAGATATCGATTATATTCCTATAATCACTAAGGTATCGATTATATTCCTATAATCACTAAGGTATCGATTATATTCCTATAATCACTAAGGTATCGATTATATTCCTATAATCAATAAGGTATCGATTATATTCCTATAATCAATAAGGTATCGATTATATTCCTATAATCAATAAGGTATCGATTATATTCCTATAATCAATAAGGTATCGATTATATTATAATCAATAAGATACCGATTATAGTATCTATGAAGTAGTATCTATGAAGATTGGCCATTATTTAATAACATATAATGAATTTTATTGTAATTCTATTTGCCTTTTTCTGATGTGCTGATCTCAATAATACCTGACCTCAAGACTTACTATAAAGCTACACTAATTAAGACAGTGTGGTATTGGTAGAATAACAGTTGAATTGATCAATGTACTAGAATAGAGAGTCCAGAAATTAACTCACATAAAAATAGTCAACTGATCTTTTACAAAAGAACAAAGGCAATACAATGGAGCAAAGATAGTCTTTTCAACAAATAGTGCTGAAACAACTGGACATACATATGACACAACGTAAATTTAGACAAAGATCTTAAACCCTTCACAAAAATTACCTCAACATGGATTTGTAGAGCTAAATGCACAATGCAAAACTATAAAACTCCTGAAAGATGACATAGGAGAAAATCTAGATGACCTTGGATTTTGCAATGACTTCTTAAATAATATAAAACAAAAGACTTATGAAAAAATTATTGATACATGAAACTTTATTAAAATTAAAAACTTCTGCTCTGCAAAAGACACTGTCAAGAGAATGAGAAGACAAGCTACAGACTGGAAGAAAATATTTGTAAAAGGCATATCTCATAAACAAAGAACTGTTATCCAAAATACATAAATAACTTACAATTCAGCTATAAGGGCACAATGTGATTTAAAAATAGGCAAAAGATCTGAACAGATACCTCACCTAAGAAGATAAACAGATGTGAAATAATTGTATAAAAATATATTCCACATCATTAAGGAAAAACAAACTAAAGCAACAGTGAGATACCGCTACACATTTATTGGAATGGCCAGAATCCAGAGCAGTGCCAGCATAAAATACTGGAAAGAATGAGGAGCAACAGAAAGTCTTATTCATTGCTGCTGGGAATAAAAAATGGTACAGCCACTTTGGACATTATGGTAACTTCTTACAAAACTAACCATATTCTTATCATATGATTAGGCAGTTTTGCTCCTTAGTGTTTACTCAAATGTTTTGAAAACTTATGTTCACACAAAAATCTGCATATAGATTTTTATAGCAGCTTTATTCATAATTGCCAAAACTTGGAAACAACCATAATGCCCTCTAGTAGGTGACTGGAAAAACTGTGGTACATCTATAGAATGGAATATTATTCAACACTAAAAGGAAATAAGCTATCAAGTCATAGAAAGACATGGAGGAACTTTAAATGCATATTACTAAGTGAAATAAACCAATCTGAAGTCTACATACTTTATGATTCCAACCATATGGCATTCTGAAAAGGCAAAACTATGGAGACAGTAAAAACATCAGTTGTTGCCAGGGGTACGGGGAGAGGGAAGGGTGAATAGATGGAGCACAGAGTATCTGTAGGGCAGTGAAACCTATTCTGTATGACACTATAATGTTGGATACATGTCATTGTATATGTGTCAAAACCTATAAAAGGCACAACACAGGCATGACCCCTAATGTAAATGATGAACTTTGGGTGATAATGATGTATCAATATGGGTTCAGTGATGATAACTAGTGTACCACCCTGGTGCAGAAAATTGATAGTGGGGAATCAAGCTCTATGTGTGTAGGGAAGGATGGGAGATAGAGAATATATAGAAACTCTGCACCTTCTGCTCTGTTTTGTTATGAACCTAAAACTACTCTAAAAATAGAGCCAATTTAAAATAAAAAAAATTTACTATGCTAGAATGTAAGCTTTGACTTCACCTGGAAGTTCCAGAGAGGATGAGTTTTCAGGGTTTGCTGTAAGCATTTTATAAAAGTTTTTGGTTCAGGTCATGAGTAATCATATTTGGAGTCATTTCTTATGTAAAACTGGCAGGATCAGAACTCAACTGGGTCTCTAAATCCAGGGATACAAATCAAAAAGGGCTGGCATTTATTAATTTGTTAGGAATGGGAAAAGGGGAGAATTGTGAAATGTAGAAGACTGGTGTAAGACGATATGTTTGATAGTGACACGACTGCCTTGAAAAGTAAAGATGAGCCCAACTAAATTAAGTCAGATTTCTGAAATGTCTTCCATCACACCAAAGAGTAGGGAAAAAAATATGTGATGGTCTGATAACTGGAAATAATCTGAATACTTGGCTTAATGGTGGGCATTCAAGGAAGTAGTTGATGGGGAGGCTATTTCTTTTTAATCATTACATGAATGTTTGCTGGAGGGTGAATAGGTTCTTTGATATTTCTGTTTTTCACATAAAATATTTTCATGTCAGCAGCTGAGAAATGATATGAGAATAGATCTCAGGCTGGTAATTGACTAAAGGAAGTGAAAACATTGAATGTCTATATAAATTTGTATATGAGAAAGAGATTTGAAGAGGGAATGTCTTTGCTGCACCCACGAAAAATTTTACGTTCTGTTTACTGACGTATTAATTTGAAGAAGATTTTACTTATGGAATTACACTTGGATAGATTAATACAATTTGAATAAAGATATTATTTACCAATCCCATCACACAATTGGATGGGGATGATGATCAATGGGGATGAGACCTTAAAGGTGTCAATCAATAACCAAAAGATATTTGTTAAATTCTCTTTTAAGGCCAGAGGATACTTGAGGAACTTTTGATAAATGTTGGTGCATCCAAGTTGGATTTCAGAAATTGGACTGATGCTGAACATGAGGAATCTGAAGTTCGGTATGAGTGGACAATTTTAAGAATAATTGATTCTAGACACTCAATGAGGGCAAAGAAAACCAAATACCACCTTAATTATAATGCCACTAGGCTTTTTACTTTTAGTATTGACAAGGTGGCTCTAAAATTTGGTATGGATTCTAGAATACCAAAAGCAATCTTTAAAAAATGAAAATAAAATTGAAGGAATCACATTATCTGACTTCAATACTTACTATAAGTCTGTGGTAATGAAGACAGCCTTAATTTGAATAAGGATTAACAAATAGATGAACAGAGCAGAATAGAGAGTCCAGAAATAGGCTAACATTTGATTTTCAATCAAAGATTCACAGCAATTAAATGCAGAAATGGATATCTTTTATGTGTATAATATTGGAACAACTGGATATTCATATGGAAAAATAAAAACTAGAATGCTACCTCCTATTACACCAAAAATTAATTTGAGATGTTTTGGATCTAAACATAAAAGCTTAAAATATAAAAACTTTAAAAGAAAACGTAGGAGAATATCTTTAAAACTCAGTGATAAACAAAAGTTTTCTTAGACAGAATAGAGAAAGCAACAACAGTAGAAGAAAAAAATGATAATTTAGGCTTCATCAAGATTTTTAAAAAATCTTTTCAAAAGATATTAAGAGAATAAATTAGAAATATACAAAAACAATAAAATGTTTTCAACACATATATCTGACAAAGGACTGGTATGCAGGGTATAAGAAGAACTTATACAACTCAATAGTAAAATGATAAACCTTAAAAGTGTGCAAAACATTTGAACAGATACTTTACAACAGGAGATATACAAATTAGCACATGAAAAACTATTCAGTATCAGAGAAATGCAAGTTAAAATCACAATGAGATACCATTACATACCCAGCAAACCTCATTGAATGGGATTGTTAAGATTTGTACATTTCTTTGTAATTAAATTTTACCTCAAAATAAAATAACTGTGAAGAAATACTGAACTATAGCTAATGGTGTCCATCCTGAAGCATTTAGCAAGCAATGTAGTGAGGTCTGTAAATTCCTTAGATATACTTCAAAAAAATAGAATGAATGGAATAATAGGTAGAGGAGGCAAGTTACATAAACATGTGATGAAATGAAGTTAGTAAAATATTAATTGTAGAATCTAGTGGGCAGTGTATGATTGTTCATTGTAAAATTCTTTCACAGTGTTATGTTTAAATATTTTCCTAAGAAAATGTTGAAATATCATCTCAGATTGAATTGATGTAATGTAGGAATGACTGAAGAGCAACAAAGAGGATACATTTGTAGGGAAACCTTCTAAGTAAATATTAACTTCTTAAAACAGTAATAAAACATTTTGAGCTCTAAAATGTATGTAGAATTGTAAGATGTGACAAGAATAGTACAGAAAAAGGAAGGGAGATAAATGAAGTTAAAGGGTCCTAGATTCTTGCATTGTCTAGAAAGTATAAAAAGTTTAAATTTAACATACACCCTAATAAATCTGGAATGTAAGTTCTAATTGTTAAGGTAAGCAATAAAATATGAATCAAGAAGTGTGTAAGTAAAAGCTAATTGAAAATTAAATACAAAGATTGATTACTCCCAAAAAGAGGAAAAACAGAGAAACATGAAAACCAATAAGAAAAACGAAAATAAGCAGATGGGGTGGAAAACTCAAATAGTATAACAGTAGACATAAGTTCATATATATTAGTAATTGTGATAAATGTAAATGTATTAAATGATACAATTTTTAAAATACCTTGTTAGATTGGATTAAACAATAAAACCCAAATATATGCTGCCTACAAGAAACTCACCTTAAATACAAGGATGAATAAAATTTAAAAGCAAGAGGATATTAAAAAGACTACCATATATAGTATCAAGAAGAGTCAGTGAAGTTACAATAATATAAGTCAAAGTAATTTAATGAAAAAATATAGAGATAAAAACTGGAATTTTATAATACTGAATGAGTTTACCAGGAAGAAACAGTAAGCATAAGTTTATATGCATCTGATGGGATAGCCTCAAAATATACAAAGCAAAATCTGACAAATAAGAGAAGAAATAGATAAATCCATAATTGTAGGAGTATACATATCTGTCTCAATAGCCAACAGAATAAGCAGATAGGCAAATCAGTAAGGAGGGAAAGATTTGAACTTAAGGAATGCTAGCAAATCTTAAGTTATGTATAAATACAGGAGCAAATAACATTCAATAATAATTGTATCAACAAAGCTAAGATATACTATTGAGAATTAAAATATTCTGTTTGTGAGATTTCCTCGTTGATGAAATTTCTTTATCAAAGACTCCACATTTATAAATGACTATAATACGTTCCAAGGTAAATTGTTGAATTTTACACAGCAGTCTTCTGCAAGGGATTCTGTTTAAGCCACTTTTAAAAAAATCCATTGTCAATTACCTTACAGTCAATTTTCCATCGATACAATTTCACTGCAATAAAATATGGAGATATTATGTCAACTGAATGATGGAGTGGAGGTTCCTTTTTATGGTATGAGTCAAGAATGGCTTGAGCACAAAGCCCTTTATAATCTACAAAATCTTACCTACCAGTATTTCCCAATGTTACTTCATTACTTCTAAAAATAATAGAAAAATAAAATATGTATTAGCAACTTCTATGTAGCAGATAACATGCCAGTGGGCACCAGAGGGGATTAATAATCTCTAATAGCCATTCAGAGCTTTAAAGGAGTATATGGCTTGTAGCATAGTATTCATAATTGCCATTCAGTAAAAAATACGATTGAATTAATTGCTGCTTATTAAAAGATGCTTTATAAATGCTAGTTGTGTAAAATTGTGTTGGACAAAACTAAGAATGCAGTTACTATATTTATTAGTTGCTTTCAAAGATGAGTGTGTGTGCCTTAGCAGAAGTTTTTACTTTGGCCCAGACATGAAAGTCCCTGAAGCCCTAGGAAGCAAAAGTACAAAATGAAATTTCCTTGTGAATTTTGATTCATTAACTGATTGGTTAATTCCTTTCTTTATTCAACAAGAAAGAGATTTACTGCATATTATGCCTCAGAGACAGTGCTAGTAATTAAGAGAATAGTGACTAAGACTGACAAAGCCCTAGCTTCCTAGCCTTCATAAGGACACATTTTAGTTTGGGAGGTGTGATGGTTAATACTAAGTGTCAACTTGATTGTACTGAAGGATGCAAAGTATTGAGCCTGGGTGTATCTGTGAGGGTGTTGCCAAAGAAATTAACATTGTAGTCAGTGGGCTGGGAAAGGCAGACTCACCCTTAATCTGGGTGGGCACCATCTAATCAGCTGCCAGTGTGGCTAGAATACAAAGCAGGCAGAAAAACGTGAAAAGACTAGACCGGCCTAGCCTCCCAGCCTACATCTTTCTCCCATGCTGGATGCTTCCTGCCCTTGAACATCAGACTCCAAGTTCTTCAGTTCTGGGACTTGGACTGGCTGTCCTTGTTCCTCAGCTTGCAGATGGCCTATTGTGGGACCTTGTGATTGTGTGAGTTAATACTTAATAAACTCTCATATATATATCCTATTAGTTCTGTCCCTCTAGAGAACCCTGATGAATATAGGAGGCCAGTATTTTAAAAATAATTTTAAAAAGCTCTCCCAACTTATAACACAATTAATCATTTAATTGTGATTGTAATAAGGCCCTGATGATAAATTAGATGAAGCAGAAGAGTGAGGTCATTGTCAGCCGAAATAACAAGCAGAGAGAGTCTCTCTAAAAGAAAAGATGTTTACTGGGAATAGAGTGTTGCAATGGGAATATATGTGCCATAGTTAACTATATGTATATTCAGGGAGGTGAAGCAAGACAAAGGTTTTTAAAGGAAAAAAAAAAGGGGGAATTTTACATAATTGTTTTGAAACAATTATCCTTGGCTACAAGGATTAATAATAAGGGTGACCTCCAGTTCCAGGTTGGATAGGTAGTTGCTGGGCAGATGTTCTCACGTAAGTATTGTTTTTGTTTCAGGTTGTATGGCCGTTGTATGAGGTTGTGATTTTTGCAGTCTTTTGTGATAGATTTTGTTGCCAGGCCCCAAGCATGAGAACCCTTTCTTCAAGGCCTTCCCTGGTTCAATTTATCAGGGTTTTCCTAACATCAGTGACTCCATTTTAATTCTGACAACTTGCACAGCAAATACCCCAGACTGAGGGAATAGCCAATGTGTCAAAGACTTATCTCTTCCTTAAATAATACAGTGTACTTATTGAATTGAGAGGCCATTTATGACTTAAATGAGAGTTGGGGTTCATGAGTGGAGTAGAGGACTGTATCCAGATCAGGCAAAGCTTTAAGGAGATGTTAAGGAGTTTTTTCTTTATCCTCAGAGAATAGAAGCCTCCAAAGGATTTTAAACAAGAAAATGAAAGAATTCTTTAAAACATTATTCTGGATTGACTCAAGGCAAGATTCTATGCAGGGAAGCCATTAGAAAATATTGGCCATGGTCCCAGACAACCTTTCTAATGGTCAGAACTGGGATGGTAAAAACAGAAATCAAGAAACGTGGCAGATACATCTTCTCAGTCATGTGTAGGGGCTAAAAAGGTTGATCTTACAGAAGTAGAGAGTAGAATTGTGTTACTAGAGGCTGGCAAGTTTAGAGAAGGAAAGTGGATATCAAGAGGTTGATTAATGGGTACAAAATTACAGTTAGGTAGGAGAAATACATTTTATTGTTCTATAGCACAGTGGATGACTATAGTGAACAACTTATTGTATATTTCAAGATAGCTAAAAGAGAGGAATTTGGGCCAGGTGTGGTGGCTCACACCTGTAATCCCAGCACTTTGGGAGGCTGAGGCGGGTGGATCACCTGAGGTCAGGAGTTCAAGACTAGCCTAACCAACGTGGTGAAACCCCATCTATACTAAAAATACAAAAATTATCTGGGCTTGGTGGTGGGCACCTGTAATCCCAGCTACTTGGGTGGCTGAGGCAGGAGAATCGCTTGAACCTGGGAGGTGGAGGTTGTAGTGAGCTGAGATCATGCCACTGCACTCCAGCCTGAGCAACAAGAGTGAGACTCTGTCTCAAAAAAAAAAAAAGAAGAATTTGAATGTTCCCCAAACAAAGATATGATAAATGTTTGAAGTGATAGATATCTCAATTAGCCTGATTTGATCACTACACATTGCATGCATGTATCAAAATATCACATGTACCCCATAAATATGTATTGTTATTATGCATGAATTAAAAATGTTTTAAAAAAGGAAAAATGGTTTTATTCAAGAAATAATTAGTTTGTAGAACAGAAAGGAAAGCTGGTACTTTATTGTATATGAGGGATAAGGAGAGTGAGAAGTCACAGCTGATGCCGCCTTCCTAGTTGTTCTAACTATATGCAGTTGTGCTCTCCTTTGAGATTCTAAACAATAAGAGGAAGAAGAGCAGGAAGATAATGATGATGATGTTCAGTGTGAAGTGTAGGCACTTGCATATGTTATTCTAAAATTCAAATGAAAGATGTGGGCAAGAAATAAGAAGTTGATAAGCAGATAAGCATTGCCTAGGGGAAAAGTATAAAGTGGAAGTAAAGCAAGATTAGTTCTAATGTTTGAGGAACTCTTTTATTGAAAGACCATATAGAAAGGAAAAGCCAGCAGACACAGAATGAAAGGTGATATTTGTATTTGTTTGTTTTTGTTTCTTTTTTTAGACAAGGTCTTGCTCTGTTGCCCAGGCTGTAGTGCAGTGGTGAGATCATAGCTCACTGCAGCCTCGACCTTCCAGGCTCAGGTGATCCTCCCACCTGAGCCTCCCAAATAGCTGGGACCACAGGCATGCACCACCACACCCACCTAATTTTGTATCTTTAGTAGAAGTGGGGTCTTACTATGTTGCATAGGCTGGTTTTGAACTCTTGGATTCAAGCAATCCTTCTGTCCTGACCTCCCAAAGTGCTGAGATTACAGGTGTGAGCCATTGTGCCCAGCCTGAAAGTGATATTTGTAAGAGGAAAACCTATAGGTGTGGTGTGATCTAAGGTAAGGGAGGGTGTTTTGAGAATAAGGGAGTGATAAATGCTATTCCTCAGAATGAAATCTCATTGTAATGGAAGCAGGTTTGTTTAGTGTTCTCTTTGAAATGCTAATGTTATCTGTCTCTGCTTAGACTGATGATCTAGTTACTGCAGGTGATAGAAAATAAAATACTTGAGGACTGGTGACTTCACATTGCAAAGAGTGCATGGTGCCAAATCTATTCTAGAATAACATTTATCTCTTGAATGGTATAATTTAGGATGTCTTCGTTTAATTCACTGCTAATGTTGTATTAGACGTTAATGTGACTTGTCAGTGCATTATTGTACTCACGTTGAAAAGAATTCTTTCTGACATTAAGTATGAGCATCTGAAAGTCTGAATGTGTTTGAAATCATGCATAAATACAAGTATTATACCATCAGTTACTTATATAGGAAATTCTCATCCACTCTCCCATTCAGCAAACATTTCTTAATTGCCTGATATATGCCAACCATTACTAAATGCTGGGGATGTAAAAAATTATCTTGAAACACAGTTTTTGTAAACCACCACACTCTTGGGGAAAATATGTGTGTCCTGTGGAGGAGGAGGTAAGCTAGGTAAGATAGATCAGGCCTAGATTGCGAAGTGATTTAGCACAAAGCTTAAAACTACAGTGTAGAGTAAACAAATCATTGACGAGGAAAAGTTCTTTTTTTATAGAAAATTTGTAGCTAATAAATCAAGATTCAGTAAAATATAATAATTTTGCTTAAAATAATGAATTAATAGATCTAGGCCATAGCTGGTAACATAAATAGAGACAAACCATTCTTATGTACCTCTTGATGCTAGTTACATGAGATGACCTAAGAAGTTTTCTAGCTTAAAATGTTAAATCTGAAACAGATCACTACTCTTCACTACTCTAGATCTAATTATTAAATTATAGGAAATACATAGAGAATAAATGAATATGTTAATCATACCATGGGGGTGCAATCTGCAAAACCCAGATAAACAACCCATTTTCTTCAGTAACAACTACAATAATAAAAGAAAAAATGAAAGAAAGAAAGGAGTGGTCATATATAGAGTGGAAAAGACTTAAGAGATGTAGAAACAACTGAAATTTATGGTCCATACTTAGATCCTGATTCAAACTGTAAAATAAAAACATATAAGGCAACCAGGAGGATTTGAACACTGTTGGATTTGTTGCTACTGAGAAATGATTGTTAATTTTTAAATGTGATAATGTTTTGTGATTAGGTTTTAAAAATAGAGTTCCTGTCTTATACTATTTAGAGTTAAAATGATAGAATGCCTGGGATCTACTTCAATATAATCAGGAATGGAATATAGATGAAATTAAGTTGGTCATCGTAAGGGAAAACTCACTGTATTTCTTCTTAGTAACAAAACACTTCTGGCCACCAAATGTGTGGGTTTTTTCCTTCCACACCAAGCAATTCTCTAATTCTCTATGGACACCTACAAGTGTCCTGTAGTTTAATTCAATTCAGAAACAGTCTATCTGGAGATCGTGTCAAATCCCACAGGTTAAAAGCTCAGTCCCACAAGACCGCCCCCACTTCAGATGCCAAACACAAGTCCAGGCTGTTACCTGTGCTTCTGACTAACTATAAATTTGAGGTTCCCATGGTCCCCTTCTCATATTCCATAATTTGCTCACCAAACTCAGGAAGACAGTTTGCTTATCAGATGACTGGTTTATTAGAAAAGAATGCAACTCAATGACAGCTAGATGGAAGAGATGCATACGGCAAGGTGTGGGGGTAACTGCCCAATGGGTTTGCCTTGCCTACTGCCAAGAAAGAGCTAATTTATCAAGACAGGGGTATTGCAATAGAGAAGAGTAATTTTCATGCAGATTTGGCTGTGTGGGAGACCAGAGTTTTATTATTACTCAAATCAGTCTCCCTGAGCATTTGGGGATGAGAGTTTTTGAGGATAATTTGGTGGGTAGGGGAAGGCCAGTGAGTCAGGAGTGCTGATTGGTTGGGTCAGAGATGAAATCATAGGGAATTGAAGATGTCTTCTTGCACTGAGTCAGTTCCTGGGTGGTGGCCACAAGATCAGATGAGCCAGTTTATCAATCTGGGTGGTGCCAGCTGATCCCTCAAGCACAGGGTCTGCAAAATATCTAAAGCACTGATCTTAGGAGAAGTTTAGGGAGAGTCAGAATCTTGTAGCCTCCAGTTGCATGACTCCTAAACCATAATTTCTAATCTTGCAGCTAATTTGTTAGTCCTACAAAGGCAGCAGTCTAGTCCCAGGCAAGAAGGGGATTTGCCCTGGGAAAGGCTTGTTATCATCTTTGTTTTAAACTATAAACCGTAAACTAAGTTCTTCCCAAGGTTAGTTCAGCCTATGCCTAGGAATGAACAAGGACAGCTTGGAGGTTAAAAGTAAGATGGAGTTTGTTAGGTCAGATCTCTTTCACTGTCTCAGTTACGATTTAGCAATGGCGGTTTCAGAGGTGTGAGCTTTCATGCCCTATCCAGGTGTGCCACCCTCCCAGCACTTCAATGTGTTCACCAACCCTGAAGCTCTCTGAAATTCATTCTTTTGTGTTTTCATGGAGCCTTCCTTACATAGGCGTAATTCATTAAATCATTGGTCATTAGTAATCAAGTCAGTCTCCAAATCTTCTCCTGTACCTGGAGGTCAGGGGGTGGGGCTAAAAATTCCAACCCTGTAATCACTCGTTAGTTATCCTGGCAACTAGCCTCTATCCCATAGTTATCTAGGGGCTTTCCCAAACTCACTTCATTAACATAAACTCAAATGTAATTGAAATGGGTTTGCTATGAATGACAAAAGATGGTCTGTTCTCCTTTATCTCTCATCACTTATGAAATTTCAAGAGTTTAGGGAGCTCTGTGAGAGGGATGGAGACAAATACCAAATATATATTTTTTTATAAATCACAATATTACAATTATGAACTGTGAATTGTTAAAACTGGTTGATGGGTACTTAGGTTTATTTTATTATTTCCATTACTTTTCTATCAGTTTGAAATTTTGTATAATAAACAGTGAAAACAAAAGTTCTTAATCATAGGGAACGTATTATATAAAAGAGGAAAGCAATTTCTGGTGGCAGAAAATTGAAGCTATTTAAGTGGCTATTGCAAAATCTGTATAAGAGATATGAGAGGTTAAAGCAAGGCTTTGATGATGGAGATGCTGATGGGAAAGGCTTTGAGATACTTTCAATTAGAGCCACTTAGATGCAGGAGGTGAGAAGACTCTAAGGTTTAAATTTTGAGCACTTTGATGATAAGATGAATCAAACAGGTTGAAAAGAAGCAAATCTCCCAGCACACATAATGAGTTATTTTTATTAATAAAATAGGTTTGAGATTTTGGTAGGCTATTGAATTTTCCAACAGGAAGTTGATAACATAAGACCAGCACTGAGGAAAGTTGTGAAAGCTAAATGGCATTCAGATTACATTTTTTTTTTTTTTTAAAAAAAGAAATAAAATGTCAGCAAGTTGTTTTGGAGAGATGAGCTCAGCTCCACTGAAATCTGCCCCCACCTTGAAAACACACACACACACACACACACACACACACACACACACACACACACACCCCCCAACCCCTTCCCTTAAACCTTCTTCCATATGGAACAAAATGCTGTCTGTTAGGTAGGTGCTAGTTGTTTTTCTTTTCCTTTACTTCCCCAAAGTACTAGATTCATTTGTTTTATTTTGCGAAGTAGTTCTATGAAATGAGATTTGGTGGACAGTTTGGGGAAAGATTGAGTGAGAAAAGATAGAGGATCAATTTTATTGGACATAATTATAAAGAGAAAGGTTTCAAGGAAAATAGAAGACAGCAGTTGATGGAGGAGGAGAAACATGAAGATAAGTTTGGATTTATTAAAGGGAACCTTTCTATTTTTATAAGATAGAAGTCATCCTTTCTTCCTCTCTCTCTTCATCAAAACCACAAGCAAAATTTTGCTACTTATCAATGCTTTGAGATTAGAGTTGTGTCTGATTTTTGTGTGTGTTGCCAGGTTGTGCTGAGACAGACTCTAGGGATAGAGCATAGTGACATTAGGATTCACTTTTACATTTGGACTTCATACTGGGGGCTTTCAGCAGGAATTGTTGGAAGGAGTGGGATATGCATTTGTATAAAGAGTATTTTATGCTGGATTTTAGCCTTCTATTTTTGTCTACTATTTTTAATTTGCTATAAAGAAGGCAGCAGTGGTTCTAACAAATTTTATACAAACATAAAATATGCAAAAATAAAATAAGCATGTAAAATTGTTAACAACACTGATAGTGGTATAACACCTCCAGCTGAAACAAGGAAATGCCTTTTGAAGATTCCATGGAGGCATCAGATAGGGTACTAGTACGGATCGACAATTGTGTTTGAGAGAATGCAATGCTACAAAAAAGAAAGGTGATATATGTAGTTGGTCATCTTTGCAAAAATTGTGAAATATACCCTTTTTTTGTAGATCAAAATAAAAATGACATGGTATTTATAAAATTACTTGTCACTGCTTGATAGATATCATTATGATGATGATCATAATCATTGCTGTAATTGTCACCTTTGTCATAAATCACGAAAACTAAGTCGAGAGAAGCAAGTAGAAACATGGAAACACCATATGGACAGGAGAAGTTTCCACAGCCAAAGCTTGCTGTGCTACAGTAGGATGTCCCAGCATACTGGATAGGATGTATTACTTTTTCCCTAGGATTGGCAGCTGTAACTTCTATCTCCTGCAATTAGATGTCTTTGGTTACCTCCACTGGACTGAGGGATCAGGAAGGCCCATGTAATGTTGACAGATAGTCTCTTTTAAAAAGAGCAATTTATGGCTGTAGGACAAATAATCTGGCATGCAAGGAGAAATGGAACATTAGCTTGCAAATATATTGAGTAGGGACAGAGGAAAGCTCAAAGAATAGGAAGAGTATACTTGAGCCTGAATTCAATCTAATTAATTCTGAAGCTCAGCCCTCTCACTCATGGGGCATAGTTATTTGAGATTGTATTAGTTTGTTTTCACGCTGTTGATAAAGACATACCTGAACCTGGGAACAAAAAGAGGTTTAATTGGACTTACAGTTCCACATGGCTGGGGAGGACTCAGAATCATGGTGGGAGGTGAAAGGCACTTCTTTCATTGTGTCAGCAGGAGAAAAATGAGGAATAAGCAAAAGCGGAAATGCCTGATAAACCTATCAGATCTCGTGAGACTTAATTCACTATCACAAGAATAGCATGGGAAAGACTGGCCCCCATGAATCTGTTACCTTCCCCTGGGTGCCTCCCACAACATGTGGGAATTCTGGGAGATACAATGCGAGTTGAGTTTTAGGTGAGGACACAGCCAAATTATATCATTTCACCCCTGGCCCCTCCAAATCTCCTGTTCACACATTTCAAAAAAATTCATGCCTTCCCAACAGTCCCCCAAAGTCTTAACTCATTTCAGCATTAACCCAAAAGTCCACAGTCCAAAGTCTCATCTGAGACAAGGCAAGTCTCTTCCACCTATGAGCCTGTAAAATCAAAAGCAAGCTAGTTGCTTCCTAGATACAATGGGTGTACAGGTATTGGGTAAATATAGCTATTCAAAATGAGAGAAATTGACCAAAACAAAAGGGTTATAGGACCCATGCCAGTCTAAAATCCAGCAGGCAGTCAAGTTTTAAAGCTCCAAAATGATCTCTTTTGACTCCAGGTCTCACATCCATGTCACGCTGACGTAAGAGGTAGATTCCCATAGTTTTGGGCAGCTCCACCCCTGTGGCTTTTCAGAGTATAGCCCCCACTCCTGGCTGCTTTTATGGCCTGGCTGCTTTTATGGGCTGGCATTGAGTACCTGTGGCTTTTCCAGACACACAGTGCAAGCTGTCAGTGGATCTACCATTCTGGGGTCTGGAGGATGGTGGCCCTCTTCTCACAGCTCCACTAGGCGATGCCCCAGTAGGGACTCTGTGTAGGGACTCTAACCCCACTTTTCCCTTCTGCATCTCCCTAGCAGAGGTTCTCCATGAGGGCCCCACCCCTGAAGCAAACTTTTGCCTGGGCATCCAAGTGTTTTCATACATCTTCTGAAATCTAGAGAGAGGTTCCCAAACCTTAGTTCTTGAATTCTGTGTACCCCCAGGCTCAACACCACGTGGAAGCTGCCAAGGCTTGGGGCTTGCACCATCAGAAGCCATGGCCCGAGCTCTATAATGGCCCCTTTAAGTCATGGCTAGAGCAGCTGGGACACAGGGCCCCTAGTCCCTAGGCTGCACACAGCATGGGGACCCAGGGCTCAGCCCACAAAACCACTTTTTCCTCCTGGGCCTCTGGGCCTGTGATGGGAGGAGCTCCCCTGAAAATCTTTGACATAGCCTGGAGACATTTTCCCCATGGTCTTGGGGATTAACATTAGGTTCCTTGCTACTTATGCAAATTTCTGCAGCTGGCTTGAATTTCTCCCCCAAAAATGGGTTTTTCTTTTCTACTGCATTGTCAGCCTGCAAATTTTCTGAACTTTTATGATCTGTTTCCCTTTTAAAATGGAATGCTTTTAACAGCATCCAAGTCACCTTTGAATGCTTTACTGCTTAGAAATTTCTTCCACCAGACACCCTAAATAATCTCTCTTAGGTTCAAAGTCTCACAAATGTCTAGGGCAAGGGAAAAATGCCACCAGTCTCTTTGCTAAAACATAACAAGAATCACCTTTGCTCCAGTTCCCAACAAGTTCCTCAGCTCCATCTGAGACCACTTCAGCCTGGACCTTATTGTTCATATCACTATCAGCATTTTTGTCAAAGCCGTTTAACAAGTCTCTAGGAGGTTCCAAACTTTTCCATATTTTCCTTTCTTCTTCTGAGCCTTCCAAACTCTTCCAACCTCTGCCTGTTACCCAGTTCCAAAGTCACTTCCCTATTTTCAGCTATCTTTTCAGCGACGCCCCACTCTACTCGTACCAATTTACTTACTGTATTAGTTCATTTTCACACTGCTGATAAAGATATCTGAAACCGGGAAAAAAAAGAGTAAGTTTAATTGGACTTATAGTTTCACACGGCCAGAGAGGCCTCAGAATCATAGCAGGAGGCAAAAGGCACTTCTTTCATGGCAGCAGCAAGAGAAAAATGAGGAAGAAGCAAAAGTGGAAACCCCTGACAAACCCATCAGATCTTGTGAGATGTATTCACTATCACGAGAATAGCATGGGAAAGGCAGGCACCTATGATTCAATTACCTTTCCCTTGGTCTCTCCCACAACACGTGGGAATTCTGGGAGATATAATTCAAGTTGAGATTTGAGTGGGGACACAGCCAAACCATATCAGAGACAGACTGAGGTGATAGGAAGAACATTACTAAAATTGATTTCCTAACTAAAATATGGGACAATCAACACATTTCTACAGGGAAAAGAGGCTGGGCTTCACACTAGATTGTCATAAAACAGCTAATACAAATGGTGTGATAGCTTCTTTTTAGAATAAGATTTTCAGCAACAACAGAACACATTTTAGCACAAACGGTCTCCAGATTGCAAGCTTCACGGAGGTGGGATCCATGGGTTTTCTTTTGAATCTCCCCAGTGTCTTCAATACAGGCAGGACAAATATTTTTAAATTAATGAAGCAGAATGGTGACCTGAAAGGAACTTATATTAGAACCTTCTTCTAGATATGGCTCTGTCACTGACCAGCCTTTTGACATGGGAAGAGTTATTTTATTTGTAAAATGAGAAAATAGGGCGATCTTTTCTAAGCTCCTCTTTTTATAAGTCTAAGATGAATTAATTTTAAATTAGAAGTAAATAAGGCTGATGTAAACACACACAGCAACAACAAAATCAAAACATTAAATCTAGAACATATTTTTCCTGTGAAAATGAGCAGCTGTAAATAAAGCGTTGAATTTTTACACTAAGACAAAAAAAATCTGTGCTATAAACAGTATATTTTCCCCAGTTGCTACTCCATGGCTTCTCCCAGACCCCCTCTACTGTCTGATGCACCCATTCTTTAGTTGGCTGGAATGTCTGTGGCTAGCAGCTCACAGCTGTTTTCTTTACTGGGCATTGGTTGTGGATGTAGGAACTGACTCACCCACATGTGTACTCCCTCATAGGGAGCTGCCCAAGGCCCCAGACTGGCTGCTATGGAGATAAAGGCCAGAAACTTTGCCTCAACTGAACACAACTCTTATGGGCCATTTCATCCTCAGGGCTCCCTAAGATGTGTGGATGCTCCAGCAGCAGCTACCTTGCAGGTCACTTTTTCCCACTGCTCAGTTCTGCCATTTTTCCTGCTTCAGAAGTGTAGATCTCAAGAGCTTGACTTAGTTAACCTTTTGGAAGCAATTCTCCATTTCAGCATCTGTTTCCATGGAACACAGTCTAAGATACAATGCAATCCAATGTACCTGTTTACATACCTAAAAAGTGTGTATATGTAAATGAACTTCAGGCTCTTTCTTGGATATTTAAATTTTCCTATGTATGTGGCATTTCTGTCCCAGCACAGATAATAATTTCAATATGAAGCTTGAACTGTCTCAGACAAGACAATACTTTAAATTATAGTCATCAGCCTAGGGTTGATGAAAGTTTCAGTCCTTTCCTTTTAGGCCAAATACGTAGTCTTAGACCTAGGATAAAGCTGGGCTTGAGAACATCATGACAAGTGCTTCCTCTTCAGCAACATGTTAGGACAATTAGAAAGGAGTCTCTGTACATAAGGTTCCCATAATTCCCATATGTTATAAAAAGCTGAATGAAACCCTAAATGCCTGGAATTATTCTTTCATTTATGAGAGAAGAGACAAAAGGAAAGTTTTTAAAGGCATATGACAGACAGAAAGAAACATTCTGAAAGCTTAAAACAAAATTTATTTTGGATCTCAACTTTCTGATAATATAAAGAATCCCTTTCACTCATAAAAAAGCTGGGACTAAATATAACCATAATGGGTTTTAATCATTTATTTGCCCTAATTTAATTTTTACTTCTTTTAGAATAAAAAGTTTCCTTATGATTAAAGTAAGAGAAGTGGAAAAAATAAAAGCAAATTTTGTTATTCAAACAGGGAGTATGTGCAACATTTATAAATGTTTTGATATAACTTCTTTTTTTTTAGGTAGACTCTAACTCTGTCTCTTAACCTGGAGTGCAGTGGCGCGATCTCAGCTCACTGCAACCTCCACCTCCTGGGTTTAAGTGATTCTCCTGCCTCAGCCTCCTCAGTAGCTGGGATTACAGGCATGCTGCATCTTGCCCAGCTAATTTTGTATTTTTAGTAGAGATAGGGTTTTACCATTTTGACCAGGCTGGTCTTAAACTCCTGACCTCAGGCGATCTGCCGGTCTTGGCCTCCCAAAGTGCTGGGATTACAGGCATGAGCCACTGCAACTGGCCCTGATATAACATTTTTATGTGTGGATATTTCATAACAGATTGTATTCATCACAGTTCTCTAGAGGAACAGAACTAATAGGATATATGTATATATGAAAGGGAGTTTATTAAGGAGAATTGACTCACACGATCACAAGGTAAAGTCCCGCAATAGGCTGTCTGCAAGTTGAGGAGCAAGGAAGCCAGTGGTGGATCAGTCCGAGTCCCAAAACCTCAAAAGCAGGGAAGCTGACAGTACAGCCTTCAGTCTGTGACCAAAGGCCCGAGAACCTCTGGCAAACCACTGCTGTAAGTCCAAGGGTCCAAAAGTTGAAGAACTTGGAGTCTGATGTTCAAGGGCAGGAAGCATCCAGCATGGGAGAAAGATGAAAGCCACAAAGACTCAGCAAGTCTGCTCTTCCCTCTTCTCCTGCCTGCTTTATTCTAGCCATGCTGGCAGCTGATTAGATGGTGTCCACCCAGATTGAGGGTGGGTCTGCCTCTCCCATTCCACTGACTCAAATGTTAATCTCCTTTGGCAACATCCTTACAGACACACTCAGGAATAATACTTTGCATCCTTCAATCAAGTTGACACTCATTATTAACCATCACGTAGATGCAATAGTATCCATTGTTCAAGCTTTTTGGTTCTTAAAGTAATAATATAAAAGGGCAAACATGGGTGAATGTGAAGAAAAACTCTGAGAGAGATGATATATTTCCTTGTAATTCTAAGAGACTTTTTGTGTGGGCATGAAGTCAAATGGGAAACTATTTCTTTTGATTTTTGTTACTATCCTAATTTATTTTCTATTTTGGTCATTTATAACAAAACCAGATCTACTTACTATTTGTAACTCTTTATTTCTAAATGTTACTGGGAACTTCAAAACTTTTGAAAACTCTAATGACCTCTCTATGGCAATCAGAAAGAGATTTTCCTAAATGCAAGGGGAAGCTAACTTTTTCATAATAACAGAATACCTCCACAAGTGTGGAGACCAGTGCCGGAAAACACCAAAGAGCTGTTTAGCTTGAACCCTTCTGGAACCCTCTCCAGATGCTTTTCTGTTTTCCTCATGACTAAGTTAGGCCATCTTACCTCTTTCTCTTTTTACCTTTGGATGCATTACTTTTTCGTATTAGCTCTATTTCTTCTCTCCTGGATGAAATAAGGAAAAGATGTTACTGTAGCTATCCTCTTTTGTGCAGGATTTTGTGCAGCATGGGGCCTTCAGGGGGCATCCCAGGAGGAGCAAGGTAGAGGACAATTGGTATACAGCCAGAATTTCTGTCCAGTGCTACCCCACTTGGAAACCTGACCTCTTAAGTGGACCATTTCTTTGTGTTCCTTAAAATGGTTAGTGATGCTTTCCTTGATCTGAACAAGTAGTTTTTTTTCCACATTATACAGGAAATCTGAGTTTTTTTTCTTTTTCTTTCCTTCCTTCCTTCCGTCCTTCCTTCCTTCCTTTCTTTCTTTCCTTCTTTTCCTTTCCTTTCTTTCTTTCTTTTTTTTTTTTTTTGAGACGGAGTTTTGCTCGTGTTACCCAGGCTGGAGTGCAGTGGCACAATCTTGGCTCACCACAACCTCCATTTCCCAGGTTCAAGTGATTCTCCTGCCTCAGCCTCCTGAGTAGCTGGGATTACAGGCATGTGCCACCACGCCTGACTAATATTGCATTTTTAGTAGAGATGGGGTTTCTCCATGTTGATCAGGCTGGTCTGGAACTCCTGACACCAGATGATCCACCCCCCTTGGCCTCCCAAAGTACTGGGATTACAGGCATGAGCCACCGTGCCCGGCCCTTCTTCCTTTATTTCTCGTGGTTTGCTAATCAAGCTGGCAGAAAGTTTAGGGCAATTCATGGCTACATTCAACTTCCAACATCAAGTGGTACCTTCTAGTGCTGAAATCCTATTGGCGGCTTGGTCTGTTGAAGATGTAACAAGTTTTCAGTGAAATTTTGTATTTCCTTTGGGTTTATTACTAACAGCATGAAGAGAAATTGACTAGGCACAATAAGCCACGTTGTCCAAGCTTTACCAGGTGAAAATCTTGGTTTGTGGTTATTTATTTGGTTATGAAATAAAATCATATACAAATGCATATGCATATGAAAATACACTTTTCATTAAAAAGCCCCAGAGTGCTCTGTCTTGTCTCTAGGCAGTAATTTGCACATTCTATATAGGTTTTCCCCATGTGTTTGTTCCAATCAAGCAAGCTTGGGGCTCAATCCGAAGCCACACAGTTGGTGGTAGAAGGCTGGAGGCTAGTCTGCTATTTTAAGCAATATGTCTGTAAAAGTCCTATTTTGAACCACTGTTGCTTGGGGATCTCTATATTTGCTGTCCCCTAGCCACACCTCCTGCACAGCATGATGCTAAGGGAGGTCAACTTTTAACAACCTCACCCTGTTATAAATAACTAAAGGTATTCTGTGAGCAAAAAGCTATTAAGGATGACTGCCTTATCTAGACAGTTGAAGATCTGTGAGTGAGACCACTGCTAAAACACTCCCCAAATTCATGGACAGGGTGCATTTGTACTCTTACCGATCAAATTCAGGAAGTAAAATGACATTTTTCTGCAAAATATGTCTTACTCTTTATTGTGATTCTAAATGACAGGAGCAGCAGCCACACTCCAGAGAATTCCAGTGAATTGCACTATTTGTGCACAAAAAGCTGCTTAGAATGAAGGGTTAGTCTTTTCCATCATAAAAACATTTTATGTGATTGGCAAATCAGAAAGTGGTCAATCAGCAGACGGTTATAGAGATGTTTTTCATCTCTAGTAACAGCAGGATGCTAACGGGAGAGTTAAGACGAAAAGGAAAAAAAAATACATTGATTTGTTGACAGAGGCCTAGCAGCTGTCACAGTAAAACATGGTTCTCTTGCACTTAATCAATGTCAGTCTCTAACCCAGTCATTTTGTAGCCCAGATGAGAAGCAATCAAGAGGAACACCTTCATAAGCATGAAGCTTTCTAGATGGGGTTCAATGAAGTGTGTCGTTAAGCTTAGGCACTCAAAATGTGATGCATGACCCAAAGCTAATCAGAAACACTTAACCCTTTGAAAGGAGGCAGCAATTACTTGCTTATTTCTTTTTCTTTCCTCTTTTTAAGATAGAAAATACATTTCTTACTTCATCTACAATTTTTAAGACACCTTGTTTCTGTTTTGATGTACAATTATTTTCCTTGCTGGATAAGTTGAAGCGTAATCATTCATCGTGGCTCCCTCTTAAAGTGTAGAGTGTTTGCTTTAAAAGCATCTCATTTCTCAGAGAGACAATGCAGGAACAGTGACTAATTTTGTTACCCATTTTTTAATGTTTTTGTCCTGTGTAGATATTTACTTCATCAAACAGTTCTTTTATTATTAGTGTCCCTGGCCCAATGATAATGGCTTGGGATATTCATGTTTCCACAAATCAAGACAAGCTTAAAGCCCTCAATCATATTTCCTGTAGAATGAGATTTAATTTCATGTCAGTTTCCTTTTCTGATGACCAGTGAGGAAGATGCTCTGGGAAACAGAATGCTAGTGACAGGTTCACTTTAATGGAGCGAAAACCTGAGCAATGTAGAGGAGATGGTGGCATTCCTGGGCCACCACACTCCTCTTCACCCAAGAGAAGTCAAGTCATAAGGGCTTATGTTTCTTTCTAGTTCTTACAAAAATAGTACTCTTAGATTGTGGTGGAGGGGGTTGGTTGAGTGTGGGCTATGAACTATCTGGAGAAAACCAAAAACACAAAAACCTTGTTTCCTTACTTATTGTGAATATCGAAGACAGAAGACTGTGTTATCTGTCTTTTCTGTCATTTTTCATTTTAGTTGTTCTCAGAAATAATCTGTGGGTTAAGGGAATGAGAGTGACAGAAAGAGAGTGTGGGTGAGGGAGAGTGAGAGACCAAAAGGACTTGATAGTACGCAATGAGAAAAAAAATATGCAATAGAGATTGTAAAATATAAAATTCCTATACCGTAGTTCATGCTTGACATTGCCAGAACAATTTTTAAACAAAAAATAGATAAGAAATTAAAATGTGCTTTGATAATTAAGACAATTGTATATTCATAGGATTATTGCTGGTAAATTTTTTTTTCACAAGTTAGATACCACCTATGAATGAGTAGATTATAATCATGAGAGTCATGAGCTTTTATGCAGGGTTTCTTACTGGTCAGGCAGGCCACTATGAATCCATGTTTTAATTAATGACAGTTCAATTATTTATCCCAAACTCCAACTCTTTTTTTTTTTTGAGACAGAGTCTTGCTCTGTTACCCAGTCTAGAGTGCAGTGGCGCGCTCACTGCAAGCTCCGCCTCCCAGGTTCATGCCATTCTCCTGCCTTAGCCTCCCGAGTAGCTAGGACTGCAGGTGCCCGCCACCACACCCAGTGAATTTTTTTTTTTTTTGTATTTTTAGTAGAGATGGGGCTTCACCATGTTAGCCAGGATGGTCTTGATCTCCTGACCTCATGATCCACCTGTCTCAGTCTCCTAAAGTACTAGGATTACAGGCGTGAGCCACCGTGCCCTGCCTCCAAACTCCAGTTCTTATTTGACATATGATATGGTTTGGCTCTGTGTCCCCACTGAAATCTCATCTTGTAGCTCCCATGATTCCCACATATTATGAGAGGGACCCTGTGGGAGGTAATTGAATCATGGGGGCAGGTCTTTCCCATGTTGTTCTTATGATAGTGAATAAGTCTCCCAGGATCTGATGGTTTTAAAATGGAAGTTTCCCTGCACAAGTTCTTTCTGTTTGCCTGCTGCCATCTATGTAAGACATGTCTTGTTCCTCCTTGCCTTCCATCATGATTGCGAGGCTTCCCCAGCCACACAGAACTGTAAGTCCATTAAATCTCTTTCTTTTGTAAATTGCCCAGTCTCGAGTATGTCTTTATCAGCAAAGTGAGAATAAACTAACACAACATACAAATACTTTTAATATCTTTTTCACATTTGTGAGAGTTTGGTTTCTAATATACAGAAATCACAATTTATTCTGACTAGTAAGATGAAAACAAAACAAGACAAAAATTTACAAATAGGGTAGAGGGGCTGAGCATGGTGGTTCATTCCTAAAATTCTAGCATTTTGGGGGGCCAAGGCAGGAGGATCACTTGAGTCCAGGAGTTCAAGACCAGCCTTGGGCAACACAGCATGACCCCATCTCTACAAAAAAATTGTAAAAGGTAGATGGGTATGGTGGCATGCAGCTGTAGCCCTGGTTAGTTGTGAGGCTAAGGAGGGAGGATCATTTGAGTCCAGGAGTTTGAGGTTACTGTGAGCTATGATTGTACCACTGCACTCCAGCCTGGAAGGCTGAGCAAGATCCTGTCTCTAAAAATAATAATAATAAATTAATTAAAAATAAAAGTAGGATGAAGGACCAAACAGGTTTTTATGTGTCTTTGCATATGGATATGACTGCATAAAGCAAAACAAATGCAGGACCATCACCATAAAGAATATGCTCAAGTTTTTCAGTGAGCAGGAGACAGACCATGGAAATGTATCATTTAGAAACTGTTGTAGGACTTTCTCCTTGGTTCAGCTAAAAGATGTGCTTTTGTCACACGACCATGAAAGTTCAGGCTCGCAGACACTTTGAAGGGTGAGAAGGACAGGGTTTATTGAGAGCAAAGGGAAAAAAGGGAAATAAGGGCTTTCAGCAAAGCAAGAGTCCTGCTAGCAGGCTTCCACCTCACGAACTGAAACCCTGGTTACCACCCCAGAACAGGAGAGGCCAGGCTCTTCCCCACTGCAAATGGCGCAAACTTCCTGAAGCTCCACCCCAGTGTGCATTCCTCCCAGCGGGCAGGCCGGTCAGAGGTTCTCTGGGGACCCCTTTGTACTTGGCTGTCTCATAATCACTTTTTACAAATTCAAGACATGTAAGAAACCATTGATATTTTTCTTTATTGTGAACTGTCATCATCTTTCCTTCCTTTTTTGTTATTATTATATGTAAAATAATATTTTAAATACTTTCACAGGGTATTTATGACCCCTGTCTCTCTAAGCCATTTTGACTTCATAAATTCTTAAGTTACTCACAATAGTAAGTTCTTCTTTAACAAACATATTTAGGAGCAGAGCTGTGTAGACTGTGGAGAGATAATATATTGATAAATCCTTAACGCCCTTTTCTCTTAAGATTTTGACCAACTTCCCCTCTCAAAATGTCCGGATCCAAAGGATTTATCATCTACCAAGTTACATGAGCGAGTATAGTGCAGAACATCTGTACCACCTGCATACTTGTCTAGGCTAATCTTATATTTGCACCTTAATGGGGTGTTAGCACTTTTATTTTACATATCCAATACTTCTTTAATGCTGGAGCTTTTGTCTCCAGAAGCCTTTGTGGAAAATGTTTATTTTCATCCTTATCAGTACTACTACAATATTTATCAGATCTGAAGTGTTAGATTATCTTTATTATCAGTTTGTCAGGGCCTAGTCTAAAAAGACATTGATTGATAGTTACTGAAATGCTACTATGGAGACTAGGAATTCAACTTGGATAAAGATGGGCTGTTTACATTGTCCAGACACAATTAGACAAGCATTGTTAGTGCTTTTTTTCCTTAATAAGGAGACCTGTTAGACACCTGAATAATGGCACAGCCCGCTACATCAATGAATGAGACAAGCATTTCACATGCAGCTCCCAGTGAGGTGATGGGAAACTCCAATGGGATGGGAGCCACTGGCTTTACATACTGCAGTATACATGTGTTATATCTGATCATGAAAATTTCAAACACATACAAGAGTAGGGAGAATAGTGAAACGAATGACCCGGACACCTATCCCCTAGATTTCACAATAGTTACTCTTTAGCTGTATTTTCTTTATAGAACACAAACATACATACAATTTTTCTTTTTTTCTGCTTAACTAAAACAGGCATGTTTTGAATATGTGTGTTCTTGTATTAATCTGTTGTCATGCTGCTAATAAAGACATACCCAAGACTGAGTAATTTATAAAGAAAAAGAGGTTTAATGGGCTCACAGTTTCATATGGCTATGAAGGCCTCACAATCATGGCAGAAGGCGAGGAGGAGCAAAGTCAGGTCTTACACGGCAGCAGGTAAGACAGAGCTTGTGCAGGGGAACTCCCATTTATAAAACCATCAGATCTCATGAGACTTATTCACTATCATGAGAACAGCATGGGAAAGATCCACCCGCATGATTCAATTACCTCCCACCAGGTCCCTCCTGCAACATATGGGAATTATGGGAGCTAAAATTCAAGATGAGATTTTGGTGGATACACAGGCAAACCATATCAGTTCTGTACTACAGAAGATGTCTATTTTGAAATCACTGCAGCATTATATCCATTGTGTGTTCATCTAGCTCATTTTCATGTTGCAAATACTGGTGGGAATAAGACTATAGTTTGTAGCCTTGGTCATAGACAAGAATCAAGTCAAATGAAGTAGAAGAAAAAGAGAGTGTGATCTACAACCTAGGAAAGATTAAGACAAAGATAAGTTCAGTCTCCAAGTTGGGAGCAAATATAGCTGATAACTCCATAGGTATTAATAGTTGTAATCAGTATTTGAAGCAAATAAAGAATTAGCCAGATGTATCCCATTAATACCTATGGAGTTATCACAGGTAATATGAGTTGTCAGAGACAAAGTGTCTCACAGGATACACCAAGTGAATGTTAAGAATCTTAAATGTCATTTTTATTGTGGTGACATTCTTTATTTTTCATTTGAGGATATAGTTTTATAATGGTGTTAGCTATTCATGGAAAATATGGTTAAAATTGCTAACACTCAATGTCTTAGTCCATTCAGGCTGCTATAATAAAAATACCATAGACTGGGTGGCTTATATACAGCAGAAATTTATTTCTCACATTTTTGGAGGCTGGGAAGTTCAAGATCAAGGTGTTGGTAGATTTGGTGTCTGATAAGGGACCTCTTTCTGATTTATAGGCAGCCATCTTCTCACTGTAACCTCACATGGAGGAAAGGGCAAGTGAGCTTCCTGGGGTCTCTTTTAAAACAGCACTAATCTCCTTCATGATGGTGCCACCCCCGTGGCCTAATTACCTCCCAAAGATCCCCATGTCCAAATGCCATCCCATTGGGGGTTAGGATTTCAACATATGAATTTGAGGGGGACATAAACATTCAGTCCATAGCATGTATGCTGTACAAATTGGAATATCTAGTCCAAGTTCTTGGGTAGATATATTCTTGCTAATATTACATTTTTAAATTCACAAAACACAAAGATATATGCATAAGATGCAATGAAGGGAAACCAAGGCTTGAATCTAGTGTCCCTTTAGCTCTAAGAGGGTTTCTAAAAACTGGAGGACAACTTAGATATACCTGGAAAGTGTACAGTACTTTTTTGCCTCCTGGGGACATTGTTCACATTGGGATACATCTGGCTAATTCTTTATTTGCTTTAAATACTGATTACAACTATTAATACCTATGGAGTTATCAGCTATATTTGCTCCCAACTTGGAGACTGAACTTATCTTTGTCTTAATCTTTCCTAGGTTGTAGATCACACTCTCTTTTCTTCTACTTCATTTAACTTGATTCTTGTCTATGACCAAGGCTACAAACTATAGTCTTATTCCCACCAGTATTTGCAACATTCTCTGAATGTTTGCACCCTAGTCGGCTTTCCTTATGACCTTAATCGGTGATCAATAAAATATTTTCTTACATTTTAATTTAAAGAAAACTTTTCCATGTAGTCTGCTCATATGTTGGCTCAGCCCTAAGGTTTCCATATCGATCAGTTGATCTTATTGTGCTCCTTTGAAAGATGGTGGATGTGGATGTTGGGCTAACTGTGCATCAGTTTACACCTCTGAAGAGTGGGCTGGCAAGAATTCTGAGCTGAGGTTTCTCCAAAGACAATATTGTTATCATAATTGAATTCGTTAGGGTTAAAGTAAGGTTAAGCACCTAGGGCACAACTTAACTAACACATGGTAGGTGCTCTATAAATGTCAATGTTCCATCCATTTCCTGCCTATCAGAGACAGAGGGAAAAGGACGGAGGAAGGGAAAGAGAGAGAGAATCTGATATGTGTTGTACTACAAGATTTTTCAGATTCAATATAGAAGAGATTGTGTCCTTTCACAGCTGCCCACATTATCTTGTTGAATTTAGCTGTTGCCTTAGCTGTGCTTACCTATAGAGGGAAGCATGGGTGACAGCTGCCTTCAGCAGTTTGCTCAGAACTGAATTTAGATGTGTGATTGCCATATCATAGAGGTCCTATAAACTCTCAGTAGGGCTAACACATCTTCCATTTGGGTTACTAAACCAGAGATGCTGGCATCTCTAAATGAGATTCTACAATGTAGAAAAGGAAAACCCACATGTCCATTACAATCAATAAACAGTTTCTGAACATCTCCAATGACATATCACTAAGCTCTCAGAGGGTTGCAAAAATGACTCACGTATAGATCATATTTCTTTCCATTCAGCAGACACACACACACACACACACACACATACGTAGTCACATTCTGAAAGAATGGCAGTATAACTTCTGATTTACAAAGTCTGGTCTGTTCATCTATAACATGCTGTATTCCCAGATGACATACTAAAGAGTCTCCTACATAATTGTCACATCTATTTGCTCCCGGTTCTCTTTATATTTTTATTTGAGGTAAATGGCTCACAATTGTTCTCAGTTGACACATTTTTTGTCCGTTGGCACATGAAAGCACGTGGAATGAGCAGGCATGGCGGGAGAGTGGCATGAAGGTCTGTGGAGCCGGTGAAGAGAGCATGGGCTCCATGCTAATGGGAGAAGTTAATAGAAATCAGGTTTACCAAATCTTTTCCTCAATGTGTTATTAAAAAGGAAGATGCACAGCTTTTTAGTTATTTAGTCACCTCTATATGCAAAGCATTTGAAAAGTAACTCTGAATGTTATTT
Organism: Homo sapiens; assembly: GCF_000001405.40. NCBI lineage: Eukaryota > Metazoa > Chordata > Mammalia > Primates > Hominidae > Homo > Homo sapiens. The sequence goes on along the minus strand of NC_000009.12, from coordinate 80,957,509 downwards.
GATCAATGGAAAGCAGTGAATCATCACATTTCAATAATGCCGTAGTATGGGAATGATAAATGAGCAAGTGATTGGTGTTGGGGTAATGAAAGGAAATGCAAGCAATGCAGATGTTGCTCAGCTCCAATGGTAAGGCACATTAGTCAGGAAATTCCCACTCAGAGCTTTATTTATTTCCCTTTCCTCCACTCACCATCTATCTTATCTTTTTGCTTAATTACAGCCCAAAGTATTTTTAGGAGGTTAAGCTCAAGTGTTGCAGAAATATAACTGGTAACTTTTTCTCTTGTTTTCTGTGTTTTCTTTTACGTTTTATATAAGTGTGTTCCTATTTTCAATGCTGTTTTATGCTTAGTTCTTATATGAAATTTTTATTTTATTTGAATGTAAAACTTCTTTACATTTAGCATTGAGTATTGTACAGTCTTGGTTTGTGGTTTAATTTATAATTACTAGGTAACAAAGTTAGAACTCTGAATGGTTTCTGAATATTGGATTTCCAAATCCACTCTTGCCAAATGAAAATTCACATATGTGTTAGTTATCATAGCTAAAGAGAAGAGATTAATGGGAGGTGCTTTAGATATGAAAAGAATAAAAATAAGGGTCCAATCAATGTACATCCTATGTGAAAGATAAAGTACATTTCTGGAATTATTTAGAGAATAATTTTCTCAAAAATTGAGCATATTGTCTTTGAAAAAATATCAAAATTATTTGTGCTGCGCTTTTCCTTTCTTGTTTGGTATAGCTCATGGTAAGCAAGGAAAGAAAAATATACTATATTTTACCATATTTTTTTCTGGAGTAAGATTATGAATGTTGTATGAGCAGAAGAATAATTTTGAATCAATTTGGGCTGCCCTCAGCCCTCTCCCCTACCCCAGAGCTAGTTTTTAAACTACATAAAACAATTTGTCTGTAATCCATTAAGAATTTATTATATATCAACTGTACATACCCTCTGTTGCTATAGGGTGTGGAAACTTGAGTGCAAATGAGAGGATATGGCTTCATTAGTTTACTGTGATTGCTGTAACAAATTAACACAAGCTTGGTGGCTTAAAACAACGGAAATGTATTCTCTCACAATTCTGCAGGTCACAGTCTGAAATTAAAGTGTGTCAGCAGGGTCGCACTCTCTCTGAAGGCTCCAGGGGGGAGTTTCTCTTTGCCTCTTTCAGCCTCTGGTGGTATTCCTTGGCTTGTGGATGTAATCACTCCAGTCTCAGCCTCTGTCTTCACATGACCTTCTCCTCCTCTCCCTGTGTGTCTCTTGTAAGGACACTTGTCACTGGATTTAGCTCTTACCTGGATAAGATCACATTCACACACTCCAGGAATTAGAGCATGGGTATATCTTTTTGGGTCCACCATTCCATCCTCTACAGTGGCTTAGGTGAAGCTATGCTATCAAGGCTGCTAAAAAATATTCAGAGTTGAGATTTGATGTAGTAAACAGCATCAAAAGTAGTGGAAAAGTCATTTTCCACTTTGTAGAACCTTTCCAATATTTCACTTTGACCATCTTTTCTCAGCACTACCCCAGCTTGTCTGCTTCCTCTTACTAAGCCAGCAAAACTTGTCCTGCAGCTAGACTCATGTCTGCTATATAGTATGTATGTGATGACTAGTTGGTAAATGAATGGAAATGAACTTTCTGTTTTATAGGTTTTATTATGGAAGCAATATGTGGTTTTTGAAAGTTTTCCAAAATACGGTTTGGAATTATAATATTAAAACAGCTTTTTCTTTTTGAAGGATCTATTTCCCAAATATTCAGTCACTTCTCCAAGTGTGATATGTCCCACCAAGTAATGGTCACTTTTAGAAATAAAAAATCAATGAATCTTTTGGACCGGGAGAGAGGCATGCTAAATCCACATGTAAAGATTGTACAAAGGGACAGACCTAACATTTAGAGCATCCTAAATTAGCTAAATGAGGGTGCACGAGAGGAGTTTGAGAAAAAGTGGGCATCAGCAGGGAAGACCATGAGGAACTTGGTGAGAGTCCTATTTGTAGAAAGTGAATTGATTCCAGAGATTAGGATGATTAGGTGGATTATATTGTTTAGTTTACTTTTTATAAAAATAAAAATAACTGTTTTTTTTCCTATCTTCCACTATAAAGATATTATTAAACTATCTTTACATACAGAAACATAAGGAAGAAAACAATTCCTGTAACTTTACAACTCCGAAACAAATTTGTGTATGCATGTGTGGCTTGAATGAGTTTTCCTCCAAAATTCTTACGCTGAGATTTAAACCCCAAGGTGATGGTATCAAGATGTGGGGCCTTTGGGGAAGTGATCGTCATGAGGGCTCCCCTTTTATGAAGGCGGTTGAAGAGATCACTCTAAGACCATTTTTGCTCTTTGCTTTTCCATCCTTTCCACCATGTGAGGACACATAGATGGTGCTATCTATGCGGAACTAACCCTCACCATACACCAAATCTGACAGTGCCTTAATCTTGGACTTTTCAGGCTTCAGAAGGGAAGTTTTTGTTGCTTATAAATTACTCACTCTTAGATATTTTGTTATAGCAGCACAAACAGACTCAGATAATATCAAGGACAGTTTATAGTTAAAGGTTGTTGTTCTGGGGGGAAAGTTGAATTCATAGAGAAGAAAAGAAGTGAGTCCTTCAGCTGCAGAATCAGAGCTAACCATAAGTAGTAGTGAGTCCAGATGAATCCTGAGGTCAAATGCCAGAGAGATTAGAAACAAAACAAAACAAAACAAAGCAGGAACTGTGTTGTGAGATGAGGTAGGACAAATGGTTTATAAGGTTTGCTTTTGTATAGTGCTGTTAGCTTGCCATGACAACAGTCCTGGTAGGTCAGGAGAGCTGAGAAGTATCAGATAGCATGAGATTCAGGAGAAATTAGTAGAGGAGTAGAAAGGAGATTCACTGGGCTGGGCGTGGTGGCTCATGCCTGTAATCCTAGCACTGTGGGAGGCCGAGGTGGGCAGATCACCTGAGGTCAGGAGTTCAAGATCAACCTTCCCAACATGGTGAAACCCCATCTCTATTAAAAACAAAAAAAAAACCATCAGCTGGGCATGGTGGCAGGCGCCTGTAAACCCAGCTACTCAGGAGGCTGAGGCAGGAGAATTGCTTGAACCTGGGAGGCGGAAATTGCAGTGAGCCTAGATCGTGCCATTACACTCCAGCCTGGGCAACAAGTGCAAAACTCTGTCTCAAAAAAAAAAAAAAAAAGGAGATTCACTAATTTAAGAAATTGTTGAAGCAATAATTTAATCATGCCAAGATTAACATGGCAACTAATTATCACAATAGTTTCCATACCAGAATATGTATTACTTTATTTAATGATTTGTAGCCTGATCACTTCTAAAAATGTTTGCAACAGCTTTCAAACTAGAATTGTTTGGAATTGCACATAATTGTAATCATATTGTCCTGGGTCTGGCCTTGCTACCTAAGTCACTATTTCTTATTTGGAGGAAAGGGAATTGAACTTTGAGTGGATTCTGATGCACACCTAGCGTTAAGAGCCACTATTCTGGGGTGGCTGCACTCTGAGTGGAAGCAGTTCTCAGTGTCAGGGGTATGGGTTGATTTGAGGAGCAGGATCGAACCCTGTGAGATGTCATTGGTAGAAACAATCAAGGTCATTGGGGTTAAGCTTCAGTTTGTGGGACCCATAATGAGGAAGCCATTTTGGAGATTTGGACTCAGAGCCCTGGTCATGGGGAGAGTCAGACAGAACAGCCACACACATTTGGGATTAGGTACAGTGGCAGCCTTGTGAGTTGCCATGAGAGCCTCAGAGGAATAAATTCTCCCCAGACACAGAAGATGCTTCCAGGTTTGAGTGTTCATAGGGCAGTTGTGCTTATCCCACAGCCAGGCTAGATTTTCATGGGTGTATGAACTAGCAGGGTCAGGCCTGTCAAGGGCAGAATTTTGGTACCTGTATCTGGGCAGGACGGGCTGGCAGGAAGAGACACATCTGGAACTAAGACTTGTTCAGCCCCTCTTTTTGTTTGAAGGATTAATGGAGTTTGCATGTAATAGCTCAAGAGAGCCTGTCATTGCCTGAGTTAACTCCCCTTTGCTGGGGAGAATGACTGCTGAATGCATAACACAAAAGGATGCATTTTCATAGAATTTGAGTTACCCTCTTAATTCCTAAGCCCAGAATGCTTAGAATTATCTTCGGCACCACCCACTTCAAATCTGACATCTAGTCAGCTATTTGGTAAAGCAAACTCACTCACTTTAGCAGACAGTGAAATAAAAAGTTGTGTGTTGTGTGTGTACTATATGTTGTGTGTGTATGCGTCTGTGTCAGGAGTGGAGGTGATGAAGAGGTGAAAGATTCTTGGGAAAAATAGCCAAATACTCCGTGGATATAAACAGCAAAACCACTGTACCACCACCAGTTAAAATACAAATAGGAGTTTGGTTAAATGAAGCTATCAAAGAATGATTTCATGTCACTTAAGATGAAAGATAATCTAAATCAAGGGTATATAAAAAACAATACTAAGATATAATCGCTAATTCAGAGTCAAGGGTTTTTGTTTGTTTGTTTTTGAGGGTGGAAAGAAATACTAAAGAGAATTTGGAAATTGAGGAAAGTAAATCTCTATAAAGGTCAGATTTTAAAGGACAATGGCAGTTTTCAAGTTTGGACTAAGGAGAGTATGATATGGTGTGGTTGTGGGCACTCCTGTGTGCTGATTAGCTATGACGAAAAGCAGAGGATGACAGGCCTTTAGCAGTGATTATTGCTGATGGGTGAAGGAGGATTCCTGGGATTCAGAGCAGGCTGGGTCTCTGACAGCAGCTTTTGGCTCACTGACTTTCAATCCTCACAGGTCGACTTGGCCTGATCGGTCATCTTCAACTCAGGGTAATAGCAGTAATTTTCGCTTTATTCATTTTTGCCTCTTGGCTGGAGATTCTTTAGCACATCACTTAGTGAAGGCCTTGGCCAGTTGCTGTCAGCTTTTGATGAAAAGAAGACTTTTGATAGTGACTAACATTTTAAGCTCTCATATCTGCCTTTGACTCAATCAGTTATTTTCCGGGTTGTTTTACATGTGATTTATATTGGAACAGATGATCCATCCTTCCTTGCTGTTTCTCTCCCTTCCTTCCCTTCCCCAATATCTCTCACTCTCTCTTTTTTTCCTATTATCTGTCAAGAAATATTTTTACCATATGATATAAATAGGCAAAAATAAATTATGACATTTTGGGAAAATATCAGCTGCCCTTTCCTTATGTGCTAATATTCTAAAGCTGAGTATTTTCTTCCTGTGGAAAATCTGAAAAATTAAAGAATACAGTGGCCATAGTGAGTGTGGTTTCTATAAAACATTTTCAGTCTTACAGATCTATGTGGGTGACTCTGATCTCACAGGAGCACCCTCTTAATTGATTCACACATTTCTCCAAGCAAATTCCCTTTAGCTATACTGGACTCGTACCTAAAGTTTTACAGAAAATGTATCCTAAAGAGTATATATATTTTAAAAACTTTTCAAACGTTGAGCATCAATAAAATAATGCAAAAATACTTCCCTCCATGCTGTTTGTTGGACACCTTCTCTCAGGCCTCTGAGTCACCAGTCTTGGCAAGTCTAGTGAAAAGATGAGTTCTCTCTGCCTCAACGTGGGCGTTCCAATAGTGCAATGCCGCTTCTGAAATGGCTGTGATAACGGGACTCTCTGTTTTGTTCTTATTGCCACTGTTCTAGTTATGGTCCCATCATTGGTCGTGCAATTGCAATCCCAGTCTCTCCCCTTTATTGTCTCTGTTTTATACTGTCAGCATAGATTCCTTCTAAAATTTTCACTTTGTCCCTAGAAACAGTTAAATAACTCCTAGTACCCCAAGTCAGGAATGAAAGTTAATTACCATAAAATGAAATGTGATATCTCCTCAGGATTCTAAGAGCAACTTGAAATTTTTGAAGCATATTTAAAGAGATAGTTTGGGTGGAACATGCATATTTTAAGTTGAAACAGAAAAAACATAATGGAAAATCCATATATATGTTTGGTTTAACTTCATTTCAATATATATATAGCCTTATTCATCAGATTAAAACTATATTAATATCTGAAATAATTTATGAAATATTACTTGGCCACCAGAAGAAGCCTATATTGTTCAGAAAATTAAATATGAATATATTTTAAATATTATATAATTATAGTTATAAATAGAATTATAAAAATATAACTGTGGAATTTAGAAAAAATCAGCAAACTTCAAGTGGTCAAGAATTCAGAATTTCATAAAATGTGAAAAATGTACTTTCTGAAAATATGGTAATATGAATGTAAATGTACATACATAACAACAGTACAATAATCTAAATTAGGAAATTAACATTAATTATTATTATTTTACAGACTTTATTCAACTTATGTGAATTGTCCCAGGAATATTCTTTTTTTAACGCAAAATCAAATCCAGGATTGTATGTGGTACAGATTGAGTATCCCTTATGCAAAATTCTGAAACAAAATGCTAATGTTTCATGTTTCATATTCTTGGGATTTGGGAATATTTGCATGTCTGTGCTGAAATGTCTTGGGGATGGGACTCAACTCTAAACATGAAATTCATTGATGTTTTATATATACATCATATATATGTATAGCCTGAAGGTAATTTTATACAATTTTAAATAATTTTGTGCATGATAAGAACCTATAGTTGGAACCCATCACATGAGATCGGGTGTGAATTTTTATACCTGGAGCATTATGTCACTGCCCCCAAAATTTTGAATTTTGCAACATTTTTGATTTTTGATTTTTGGATGAAGGATTCTCAATCTGTATTTAGTTGATATATCTCATTAGTCTCCTTGATCAGTTATTGATTTTGGGACTGCAGCAAATAAGAATCAGTCACAGTCCTCATCTCTCCACCTTTTGCCAATAAATAAATAAATAAATAAAAAGCAAAATCCAAATCCTGAAGTCTTAAGAGGCTGAACTGAGATTCTAGAAGCCACTAGTAAATGATATATTACCTACTTTTTGGGCTTCCCAAAGCAATAACAAATTTCCTAGAGACTTTGCTCTCCATTATACAAGTCATGAAAAATGGATTTGGGAATCTCCTGAGGCTTGCTGGACAGCTAATTGGAATGCCAGTGGTAAATGAACAGATTTGCTCAAGCCTTGTCCTATTACCTGCTATCTTTTTCATTACATCTCTAGCTCATGATCCTACCAGGCAAAATCAGGATACAGCATTTGGCCCTCTGCTGAACAATCAGGCAGTATTTGAGGAAAGTCATCTCTGTATAATGTGCCAGGCCAAATAACGGTGAAAGGATTGTGGGCACGAACAAACAGGATGTAGAAGGAACTAAATCAAATCATCTGTGCAAAGAAAACATTAGAGTTGTTCCCAAACTGTTATATCTTAAAAAATAAATACAAAAAAATTACAGCATCAAATGTTTCAATCCTAAAGTAACTTTTGACACTGCAAATTAGCATCTTGTTCTTAGCTCTAGAACGTTAATGATGGCTATTAAAATACATATTCAGTTAAGACATTTATCGCACCTGTTCATTCTCTATGTAATTGGTATTTAAATACAGAAATTAGGAAAACATAATCCTTATTCTGAGGATGTTCATAGTCTAGGGTAAGTTGTCAAATAGAATCTGATGCCAGCCACATTTGTAATTTTAAATTTTCTGATAACCATGTTAAAAACAGAAAGGAATAGGTGAAGTTAATTTTAATAACTTATTTTATTTTACCCTGCATCTTGAAGTATTTTATTATATTATCTCATTATAACATGAAATATTATTAATAAGTCATAAATTTTGTGTTTACTTTCTGGGTCTTCAAAATTCGGTGTGCATATTATACTGACAGCACATCTCAATTTAGACTGGCCGCATGTCAAGTGGACTTGCTCCATAGGACAAAGACTATATCTTATAACAAAGAGCATTTCTATACTAAATACATTTGTATTTTTAGTATTTTCACTTTTCAAATGAATGAATAGAAACAGTGAAAGAAGTAATCACTGAGACATCTGAGCCAAGTCTTGAAGGCACGCTGGATCCACTTGGGAATAAAGGAGAAAAGAATGGGAAAAAGCAGGAAAATATTGCCAGGTGGAAGAATGAAGACACACAAAGGCCTTGAGATCTGAGTTTAATTTCAAAAGAAGCTGCTTTTCCTCTAATCACAAGATATGAATTTATCTCATAATTAAAATAATCTATTAAGTTTTCTCACAGTCTTTTGATTGCACAAAATTTTGGAGAAAAACACGATAGAAATAAAGTGTAGAAGTGACTAATTGTCAGGGTGGTTTGCGCCAGACAGTTAATTAATCTGGAGAATTCAGGTCAATTTTCTTTGCCGCTTCATATTAACCAGGTTCTTTCCATGAACAACAACCACAAAAATGTGTGTGTGTGTGTGTGTGTGTGTGTGTATGTGTGTGGTTTATATTTCCTGAGATTAGTGCAGAAAGAAGAGTTCAGAATTCTGATGCAGTCTGACATTATTAAATTAAGTTTTAGCTTTTTAAAAAATCAAATGAGTATCGGCAGCATTCTCATAGCTTTGAAGTGAATTGACTACAGAGTGACATTTCTAAAACCCACTGACCGATGCCAAGTCCTTGTGAGGAAGAAAACAGGTTGCTCCATCTCGGTGGAAAGAATCATGTACTCACATGTATGTCAATAACTTTTCCTCAGGGACCTCTTTTAAGTCCGGTTCAAACTTACCACAAACTAATGTACAGTCATTTTCTCTAGTTTATTTTTGTCCTCATCCTGTAGATAAATGATGAGTTTATGTATCTAATGCTATTAGTTAGCAACCACTCACACAGCTCGTAAGCTAAGTAAGGAAAGAAAAAATAATAATAAAAGAAGAAAAAGCTATTTGAAAAATGCAGGAGTTGAATAGAGCACCCTTTTATCTAACAAGTTTCAAATATGCAGACCTTTCTTTTATAAAGAAAGAGGGTCAGTGAACAATCCTAGAATTGAAAAGCACACCAGACTCACTGAATTGCTCATTTTCCTCAGGAAATAGCAAGAAAGGTGAAAATGAAGACTGCATCCAAATGCAAACCCACTCAAATGAAGTGTGAACGGCAATCAATGTTAGCAGTGGTCTGGCAGCCTTGGTTCCAAACAGCAAGTAAAGACAGCAAGTGCCTCAGTGTCACTGCCAGCCCTGCTCTGTGCGCTTGTCTATTCTGGTGGTGGGATGCAGTTGGTGCACACACAGAGCAAAAGGCCTGTCTTGTATCCATAATGAGAGGCAGATTCTGCACTAATTATTCTGGCAGAGAGCTTGTGCAAAAGTGATGTACGGCATTTTTCTGAGGACTGCTTACTGTTATTATGCTCCTTTTCCATCTTGTGATCTATATGTAAGACACATGTGGAAAACTTGAAAATGAATGGTTATGTGAAAAATTCATACATGAAAAGCAACCCTTTTTATTTATGCTAGATATGCTAGCTTTTATTTTAAAGGCTAAATTCTCTTAAAATTTCCTTTTCTGGAAAGACCTAAAGTCCTTGTGCAAGCAAATTATTAAATTCCACACATGACGTTGTACTTTTTCTTTAGCCAAATGAAGCAGGAAGCTTACAAAAGGTGGACTTACATTTATAATAGTTAATGTTGTAAACAAATCCACTCAGATTTAACAAGTTTTTGCCAGTGCTAATCCAGAGCAAGACATCTAAAAATAATCTCTGCAAAGTCAACAGACATTACATCATAATGTAATACCATTCTATTCGTAAAATATTTCAAAGTTGGAAGGGGAGAAAAATCTTAATGGACATGCTTTTAAGTTCTCATGAAAAACAGGACATAAATCTATTGTGAATCCCATGTCGATCTGGATGAAATTCAAAATTAGCCAAACATTTGAATTAAATTTGTAGGGCTAGCATCTTATACTATTTTACTAAGCTTCAAGAGATGAGGGGGAAAAGTGGTGACAATGTCACAACAAAGGCAACACAAAATAAAACAAAAACACATTTTGAATAACCTTTACCAAGTATTATCAGAATTTGAATAAATAACCTCTTGAATATGATAGAATTTTCTTCTTGTAAAACCTAAAATATGACCAGCTAGAAAAAAACAAAAATGGGAATTTTTTTAACTTCAAAAATAATACCACTGTGACATCCAGTAACATTAATGACCCTGGACAGACATATAAAACAAGAATAAAAGAAAAAAGTACCCTCAGTATGAGGAAAAAATATCATAAAGCTCATGAACTTTTTTTTCCATAAAAGAATTATCATCAAGCAATATAGTTCTTAAAAGTAAGGCAGTAGATTAAAAACAGATGGTAATACACAAAAAAAGAACAAAAAATGAGAGAGAAAATTAACATCCACAATAAATCTTTACCCAAATGTAGGAAAATACTTTATCCATTCAAAAGCCTCTGAAAGCATCAATGCCCATATGTGGCTGACACTATTTGTTGACTGTTATTATAGGCATTACCAGCCCCTATTGCATTTGTTACCTTCTACCATAAAGGCTAGAAAAACCCATTACTCATTTTCCCAGCATTCCTGGCAGTAAGAAGTGACCACATGACACAGCATGAACAAATATGTTGGAAAAGTTCTGAAAAGACTTTTACATTCCTGATAAAAGAGAGAGAAGTAGCTGACATTTCTCTCCTCTTCTCCCCAACCCCCACTTCTTTTTTAATGACTTAAATGTGACTATGATGTTTGCAGCTGTGATAACATCTTGTGATCTTGCAGGGAAGGTAAACATAGATTTCTGAAACATCATCTTTCATACCTTTGATGTGTTGAATCGTTGCCAACTGTCACACACCTCCATATTGTAATTTACACAAGAAAAATAAACCTCTATTTATTTAAATCATTGAGATAGGTTTTCTGTTACTTGTGGCCAAAAATATTACTAACTGATCAACACAACAAAATCATTTTCTGGAAATCATCAGAAAAAGATAAATTATGTTTCATGTTATTGGAGTTTAGGGGGCTAATAAGTAGCAATCCTGTTCCTTGAGTTTGGAACCAACTGAGAGTCACAGTATTCATACAGAAACCAAAATATTAACATTATTACAAGTTTTATTTTGAAGGGTATGGTTTCAGGCTGGATGGAAATTCATTGCTAATAAGCATCCCATAATTAGATAGATTTGAATAACTGGCATTGACATGTAAAGCTTACATCCTGAAATAACTCAGATATTCTTTCTTCATGAGAAGGTGGGTCCAAGGAAGGAGAGAGGGCTGAGGCATAAGTGCTTACTTTCTTCCATCAGATTTACCAGTCAGCTAAAGCAACAGTCTGGGAATATAGCCCAGCCTATTTCCACCTTTACGATGTTAATACCAACAGCTTTTCCTTTTTAGATTATCTTGGGTCCACTATTGGTTATTTCAGATTTGTTCTAAGAAAGCCCTAACATGGATCAAAATGGCACACAATTACATTAATTCTAAGACACTGCTGTAACCGAAGACCTGTTTGGCTGTGTTGTCTAGGAAAGCCCATTCAAAGTACTGTACAAAGATTAAAAATCAACATGTAGAAAATCCAACAATCTAGAGATATCTCACATTTTATTAGGTTGGTGCAAAACTAAATGCAGTTCTTGCCATTGATAATAGTATGAATGCCCTTTTATAGTCAAAATCCAAGAAGAATTTAATAAAGATTAAATTCCTTTGCAGTTAAAATCCTATACCCAAGTAACTTATAACCTGCAATCAAATCTTCTTAACCCATGTGAGTTAAAAGCTCAAAGTCCAGAGAAATTAATACCCTCCTAAAAGTCATATTTTGTTCAGGCTTAGTCAGAAATGTTCTCAACACTTGGAATCCTTCAGAAGCTTTTTAGCCTCTGCTGTTTTTTCAGAGCCTCAAAAGCTGCATTACTTTAATGCAAATTTCTCATGAGCTTCAGGTTTAAAGACCTCGAAAGCTAATAGGATATATGAGATTTTCACACTACTGCCCGGATGCCTGTGAAATTTAAATGCAATGAGCCTCTACCTCTTAAAGCAGTTGTCCTGGTTAAAATTATGATCCTAGAACTCAGCACTTAAGTGTTGCCAAAGACGGTATTAAGGACTCAGTGTTACCTGAGAAAAGGAAGACAGATGAAAAAAAGTCAAGATTTCTGCTCTGCAAAAAGTCAGTCTAGACCAAAGTCTTTCACTTGTGAACTTAAAAAAAACTCTCAACCGGAGATATTTTGGTGCAAAAGGTTGAAAATATCTCTGTCTGCAAAAGTGAGGTCGGGGATATTCTTTTTTTATTGCAAGGTTTAGATGCTTGCATGAATGGCATCCAACCAGGTCTTATTTTGGATGCATTTTCTTCTCACTCAGAATCTTAAAAACTTTCAAATTTCCGTTTCTCCTTTGTTCCTTATATTTTTGTGCATTCTTAGGATGAACGAGGTCTGAGTGCTGCCAGTGATAGAACCTTAATCACGCTTCACCTACATTCCTTTATTTAATCCATACTACCCTTGAAAAATATTTGTGAGAAGCTGCTCTTGAAAATGTTTGCCTGAGGAGCTTTGTGATGCTCAGAACCTTAGCCATGCATTCTATTACCCCTAGCATTACCCTTCCTTCTCTTTCACTGAACACCTGTCAGAGTTTGTAACATGTTCACTTCTCTGGTCTCTTTCCTTCTCTACTTTATGTAAGGCTGACACTCCTCTTTTCTTGTTCCTTTCTTCTGCTTTTCGGCCCAATTATCTGTTGTTTAAACAGACTCTTCTTGGTTTCATCCTGAGATAAAACTAGCAAGTTACAGAAATTCTTAACAAATCTTTGTCCACCTTCAACTTTTGCAGTTGGTAGTCCAGGGCATACCTTCCTTTCGAACAACATCTACCAGAGGACTGGCTTTACATTGACATGCCTCATCATTTTGGTGCTTTTTTTTTTTTCATTCTACATTCCTTAGACACAAGCTCTCAGGACAAAAGTGATACTTGTGTCTCCACCTAAAACTGATGAATCTTTTTGAAATTCACCTAGAACTCATTAGGAATTTTATCTGACTTTCCAGATTGCAAATATGCCCAAAACCAATTGACCAAGTTTTCTTTACCTTCAAAAGGTAATTCTCAGTAGCTCTTGCTAAAGTTTAAGTACATAACTTTTTAGAGGGTGTGGTCCCAATATTTCCCTGAGTTCTGGCTTCTACTGAGTGAATAATTTTAGTCTTTCTGAGATCTTGGCTCCCTTCTTTTACTAGATTTCCTTATGTTCCATTACGTTTTCTGATCTGATATTGGCTAAAACATTTCCCCCTTTTGTAAGGCCCACTTTGAGAGCAATTGGATTCAAATATATCTCTTTTTTACCAAATGTATATCTCTTTGAATATATAAGAAGACAGGAAATCTTCTTCTTCCACTAGTTTAATCAGTCTCTGATTCCACTTACTGTGTTTTTCACATTTTACTGCTCCTGTTTTGATAGTAAGACTGAAATACATTTGTCCAACCATTTTATTTGAGGAATTTAAACTATTTATATTCCTGAGTAAACTTGATTTGTAAAGAACTGTTTCATGGATTTGGCATTTTAAATTGCTTTCCTAGCAACATTTTTCTCCTCTTTGAGCCATGTTAATGGAATATCCTGAATAAGAACCCCATTCTTTTTCATTTGTTTGTTAATAAAGTAGCCCTCTAAGTCTCGGCTTCTAGCTCTAGAACCTTGGTCAGAGCTTTTGCATTAACATATCTAAAGCTGATTGAGGACTATGTTGTATCTTGTAACTGTTGAGGGCCTAATCTAGTTAAAAAAAAATAAATGGAAAACAGAATTTGGGGCATATGATCCAGTATTACTTCTAGCTCTACTAAATATGGCCCAGGATGTGGTCTCTCTTGGGGAATGTTTCATGTGAGCTTGAGAAGAATGTGTATTAGTGTAGTTAGATGGATTATTATACAAATGTCAATTAGATTAAGTTGCCTGATAGTCTTATTTAAGTCAATTCCATCCTTACTGTTTTTCTACCTTTTCGATATATTCAATTACTGAATGAAGAATATGGAAATCAGCAATTATATAGTAGATTACTATATTTCTCCTTGCAATTTTATCAGTTTTTTTGCCTCAGATATTTTGGGTTTCTGTTGCTGGGTTCATACACGTTAAGGATTGTATCTTCTTGGAAAACTGAGACTTTTATTACTTTGTAATGTCCACTTTCACCTCTGATAATTTTTCTTTTTCTGAACTCTGTTTTGTTTGAAATTAATAGTACTCCAGCTGTCTTTTGATTTGTGTTAACATGACATATCTTTCTCCATTGCTTTACTTCTAAGCTGAGTTTTTATATTCAGGCAGTTTTCTTTTAGACAACATTAACTGGTTTTGTTTTCTTTTTGATCCACTCTGGCAATCTTTGTCTTTTAATTGGTGCATCTAGACCCTTCCCATTTAAAGTTATTATCAATATAGCTGCATTAGTTAATACCCACCAGTTTTTAATTCTTTTCTAGTAATTGCATTTGTTGTTATTTTTACTCCTCCTTCTTTTTCGGCCTTTTCTGATTTTTTTTTTTTTTTTTTTTTTTTTTTTTTTTTTTTTTGAGATGGAGTCTCACTTTGCCACCCAGGCTGGAGTGCAGTGGCACAATCTCAGCTCACTGCAACCTCCACCTCCCAGATTCAAGCGATTTTCCTGCCTTAGCCTCCCGAGTAGCCGGGACTATAGGCGTGCAGCATCACACCCAGTGTGATAATGTTTGTATTTTTAGTAGAGACGGGCTTTCACCATGTTGGCCAGGGTGGTCTCGAACTGCTGACCACAAGTAATCCACCCGTCTCAGCTTCCCCAAGTGCTGGGATTACAGGCATGTACCACCGTGCCCCGCTCCTTTTCTGATTTTAATTGACCATTTTACCTCCTCTTTTAGCATATCAGTTATGATTCTTTTTCACTTTTTTAAGTGGTTGCCCTAATATTTGCAACATATGTTGATCACTAATGTAAGTTCATTGTCTTATGTGTTGTATGAGTTGTATAGGTACCTTATATCTCCCATCCTTTATGAAAATTCCTGTCATTTATTTCACTTATACATATGCTAGAATTACCCTATATGTAACCATGCATATAGGGTAATTAATAAAGTATAGTTAAACTACTATTAGTATTAATAGTAGTTTACTATAAATAAAGTATAGTTAAATACTATAATAAAGTATAAACTACTATTACTTCAAGTGAATAGTTATGCTTCTGATTAATTAAAAATACGAAGAAAGTGTTAGTGTTTTATTTTACCTTCATTTATTCCTTCCCTGACACTCTTTTTTTTTTTTTTTTTTTTTTTGAGACGGAGTTTTACTCTTGTTGCCCAGGCTGGAATTCAATGATGCGATCTCGGCTCACTGCAACCTCTGCCTCCCTGGTTCAAGGGGATTCTTCTGCCTTAGCCTCTTGAGTAGCTGGGATTACAGGCATGCACCAGCACGACCGGCTAATTTTGTATTTTTAGTGGAGACGGGGTTTCTCCATGTTGGACAGGCTGGTCTCAAACTCCTGACCTCAGGTGATCCACCCTCCTCCGCCTCCCAAAGTGCTGGAATTACAGGCGTGAGCCACCACGCCCGGACTTCTGACACTATTTTTTATGTGAATCCAAGTTTTGGACCTATATAATCTGCCTTTTCCCTAAATAACTTATTTTAACATTTCTTGCAAGGCAGTCCCAGCAACAAATTCCCTCCATTTTTGTTTGTCTGATAAATTAATTCTTTTTCACTTCTGCAGGTAAGTTCAGTGATTATAGAATTTTAGCTTGGTGGTTCTTTTTTTTTTTTCTTTCAACATTTTAAATATTTCACCTTGCTTTTTTCTTGCTTGCATGGCTTCAGAAGGGAAGTCTGTAATTCTTATTCTGTAGTTTTGATTTTTTTAAAGAATTCTCTAGCTTCTTCAATTTTTTTCTTTTCTTTTTTTTATTTTTTGAGACAGGGTATCACTCTGTCACCCAGGCTGGAGTGCAGTGGCACAATTATGCCTTGACTTCTGGGGCTCAACCATTCCTCCCACCTCAGTCTCCCTAGTAGCTGGGACTACAGACATGCACCATCATGCCTGGCTATTTTTTATTTATTTATTTATTTTGAGATGGAGTCTCTCTGTCACCCAGGCTGGAGTGCAGTGGTGCAATCTCAGCTCACTGCAACCTTTGCCTCCTGGGTTCAAGCGATTCTCCTTCCTCAGCCTCCCCAGTAGCTGGGATTATAGTTGCACACCACCATGCCCAGCTAATTTTTGTATTTTGGGGTTTCACCATGCTGGCCAGGCTGGTCTCAAACTCCTGACCTCATGATCCTCCCGCCTCGGCTTCCCAAAGTGCTGGGATTACAGGTTTGAGTCACCGCGCCCGGCCGCCTGGCTAATTTTTGTAGAGATGGGATTTCATCATGTTGGCCAGTTTGTTCTAGAACTCCTGGGCTCAAGTGATTTGTCCACCTTGTCCTCCCAAAGTGCTGGGATTATAGGCATGAGCAATCATTCCTGGCCGAAGATTTTCTTTTAGTCTTTTGTTTTCTGCAGTTTAAATATGCATTTTTTTTCCTATTAATTATCCTTGGTGCTCTCTGAGATTCCTGGATCTGTGGTGTGGTGTCTGTTATTAGTTTTCAAATGTTCTCAGCCATTATTATTTCAAATATTTCTTCTACATATTTCTCTCTTTCTTCTCCTTTTGGCATTCACATCGTGTGTATGTATACTTTTTGAAATTGCACCATGTCTTGGATGTTCTGTTCTGGATTGCTTTCTTTTTTCCTGTTTTCATCCTTCTTTTTGTTGTTCAGTTTTGGAAGTTCTATTGATGTATCTTTAAGCTCACTGATTCTTTCCTCAGCTGTGTCCAATCTACTGAGTGACCCAAGAAAGTCATTCAAAATTTTTTTTACATTGTTTTTGATTTTTACCTTTCCTTTTGATTTTTCCTTGAGTTCCTGTATGTCTTCCTACATTACTTATATGGGCTTATATGTTACCTCAGTTTTCCATTAGGTCTCTTAATATATTAATTATATTTATTTTTAAATTCTCTGTCTGATAATTTCAAAAGACATTATTCTTGTTCTAATGCTTGCTTTGTGTCTTCAGACTGTATTTTCTCTTGCCTTTTAGCATGCCATATAATTTTTTGTTGAAAGTCAGACATGCTATGTTGGGAAATAGGAACTAAGGTAAATCAGCCTTTAGTGTGGGGTTTTATGTTAGTATAACTAGGATTTGGACTATGTTTAATTTCTGTTGCAGCTGAAGGTAAGAGAGGTTTCAAATTCCTCTAGTTTTAATTTTGTCTCCCCTGTTTTCTTTGCATTTCCCTATAAACTCTTCCTTAAGTAGAATCTATAGCTTGAAGCTCTTTTAGCTGTAATGCACTTATCACACAGAAGCCCTGTTGATGATCTGGTAAATTGCTGGAGAGGGGAAATGTTCTATCATATTCTGACTAAATCTGAATCTTTTAGTTGACCTGTGTTCCTGGGCTATGACTTTTGCAAAGGTTTCTTGGTTTATGCCCCTTATTTTCCCACCCTTCATGTGAAACAGGAAGGCTAGCATTGCTTAATTTCTCTCCCAAGTAAGTGGGATAAGGCTCAGGTAAAGATTTTTCCCACACAGAGTAGGTATTCTAAGATATATTATACTAATACAAAATTGGAGGTCTAGTTAGGCCAACATATCAGGAGACAATTGTCATTGAATTCTCACAGTTCCCAAGAGGAGAAGACATGCCACCCCATCACGGGCAACAAGGGGAGATGCTGGGGTCCATCATGGGCTGAAGTAGTGGGAGCAACTATGGGAACAACCCTTATTTTGGTTTCTGAAGGAAGAAATAAGTGGGGTAAGATAAGCAGGTTTAGGGTTGGCCACCGTGAATAATTTCAGTGGGCTCTGGGGCATAGAGGCTGTCCCTAGTTGTTTCATATCTGGCTTTAGGGTGATTAGAGCAGATAGATAAAGAGTATAAGACCTGATAAAGCAGGTATTTGGGGTGTGGGCTCTGGATTGGTTGGCTTGTATTGAAAAGTACACGCTCAGATGAGTTATTAACTATCTCTAGGAACCAGGTAACCCTGGGAGGGCAGTCCCTTCCAGGGTCAGCAAGGCCCAGAAATGTCTCACATCATAATACAGAAAGTAAAAGACATGGTCAATAAAGTAGAACTTTATTATGGAGAACACTTTGGTATATTTCACAAGGATTACTTTTTCCCTCTGTTGCAGAGGAAATCTTTTTTGACTCTTCATGGTGAGCACCTGGTTTGGTTCCTGGAGGTGAAACCCACAGAAGTGAGGAATCCTCTAAGACCATGGCTCCCAGGATGTCCACACTCAGCCTCCAGCGATTTGTCTAAACTGCCATTTCAGTGTTCCTACCAGTTTATGGCCCAGTAGGTTCTGCTCTGGATAAACAATTCTTGGCTGTGACTATTCATCTTGCCTGTTTCTGTAGATTTCACAGTGGTGGTCTACTCTGAGACTTCTATTCTCTGATAGATCCAAGAAAAGTCATTTTTCAGTTTGTCAAGCTTTTTCCCTTGTTGTAAAGTTGGGAGTGACAGTTTCAAAGTACTTTACATGTTGGAGCTGAAACTAGAAGTATTGTAGCTGAAACTGGAAGTTCAACCATTTATGACTACAATATCAGTAGGACCTTATAATGATTAAAACACTCAGCTCTCTCAAGATTGAAGTTCCCGGTCTCCCACACACCCCATATTTGGCTGAGAAACACAGTAAACTGCAGAAAGAAAACATTCCAACTCATTAAAAATTTTAAAAGCTCTTTTTTTCTATAATGAAATATTTCCGTAAGCAGTATGTGTTTCTAAGAAGCCTGAGGCTGTATCAGAACAGCCATTTACCTGCCCATGAATAGCCACTGGTATGAACAAAGTCATGATGACCTGCAGTAATCCACCAAAGTCAAAATAACATGTGACCACTGTTTGCTGAAACCAGTCCTAAAGCTGTTCTTTTAAACCATATCACTTAAAAAGCAAACCACACCATTTTAATAACTGACTGCATGGAACAATATAAGATGCTGCAAATGTCAAGATCAAGAACTTTCTTGGTCCATACTTGCAAAAGCTTAAGGTATAAAGCCTTATATCCTAGCCTCATTTAAGGACAAACCTCAAACATTGAACATTATTTTGTCTCCCCCAATTTCACTCCTTATCTATTTCTCAATGTTCCAGGCCTATAAACAGGATGATAGGTTTTGACAGCATTCAATCAGTAAAACTCCTCTGCCCTATCCAGATTCAGAACCTATTAAGAGATTGGCAAATAATTGACATAGGTGGACATGTAAATGCCGCCTATATGATTGACATAGTTATATCGGAGGTATGGGTAAAGTCTGCTAGGTAAGTGGGTGTGATATTTACACCTGCGCCTCCATTTAGATCTTGGTTGCCTTCTACTTCTCTGTGGTAGAGATGGCAGAAAAGGCCAAATCTCTCATTCTTGAGTCCTGTTCAAAGATTAGCCTCATTCAATTGAGAAACATTGACATTTACTAAACAGATAACTCATTTCAAATCCACAGGAAATAGTTAAGGGTTTGGGCAAAATACCAGCAGTACTTAGGGAAATGCTTACTTTTGAGAACTCAGAGAATAAGAAATACATGTTCTTTCTTTGAGGGAATAAATAAGGAAATCATAAATTTCATAATTTTTTATACACCAATTAGTAAAATTATGAAATGCTCAAATGTATAGGCTTCAGTGGGCTGGAAAATCACCTATTTAGGCAGCAAATATCTAGTAAAATGAAAGCAAGGGGGAATTTATGACTGCTTGACACTCTTGAAGCTAAATATTGATATAAGTTGTTTATTACCATTCTAGGAATTGAAAAAAGCAGGGTTTTTAAAAAATCATACCCCAAACCAAAAATTTCATAAACTTTTTGAGTTATGCACTTGAAATATCTTAATTGTAAAAGCTTTAAAGACATATGTTAAAAATTTTAACCTAACTTAGGTAATTAAAAAAAAGAATCAAGTAACACTTTATTCAAGCAGAGTAATAAACATGCCAATAAACATTCTTTTTTTTTTTTCTTTTGAGACGGAGTCTGGGTGTGTCGCCCAGGCTGGAGCGCAGTGACGTGATCTTGGCTCACTGCAACCTCCGCCTCATGGGTTCACATAATTCTCCTGCCTCAGCCTCCCAAGTACCTGGGATTATAGCAGTGCACTACCATGCCTGGCTAATTTTTGTTTGTTTTTAGTAGAGATGAGGTTTCACCATGTTGGTCAGGCTGGTCTCCAACTCCTGGTCTTAAATGATTCACCTGCCTCGGCCTCCAAAAGTGCTGTGATCACAGGTGTGAGCCACCATTCCTGGCCCCAATAAACATTCTTAAAATGTCTAAGAAACACAATAGTTTAATTTGACGTAACACAATCCTATACTACTATTTACATCCCCAACCCTGAGGAGGGTAGCACATAGAAGCTACTTAAATGTGTTTAAGTTAATTCTGTTAATCTTTTAAAATATAGATAAAAATAAACAACCAGTTCTGTGTATTGTATCAAAGCCTGTGAAATTAGTTTAGAAAAATTTCTAATAAATATGTAAGAACTGTTTCCTAATTGAAGAAATATACATTTTTAATTGAATATGTTTGTCTTAGTCATTTATCAGATATAAAAGTTTTTAGAAGTATTAAAATACTGCCAACTATTTATGTATTTACTTTTCTTGATTTTTTTTGAGACAAAGTCTCACTCTGTTTTCCAGACTGGAGTGCAATGGCACAATCTTGGCTCACTGCAATCTCTGCCTCCAGGGTTCAAGCAATTCTCCTGCCTCAGCCTGCCAAGTAGCTGGGATTACAGGCGCCGACCACCATGCCCGGCTAAATTTTTGTATTTTTAGTAGAGTCAGGGTTTCACCATGTTGGCCAGGCTGGTCTTGAACTTCTGACCTCAGGTGATCCACCCGCCTTGGCCTACCAAAGTGCTGGGATTACAGGTGTGAGCCACCATGCCAGGTAAAATACAGCCAACTATTTAAATTTAAGCTGGAATTGCAGTACCATTTTCAATTTTCTTTTCTCATTTTCTATTATGTAGTTATTCTTATTTGTGTAAGTCTGAAGAGAAGTGAGCTTTAGTTATCATGTCCACAAGTGACCACTGTAGAAGACATACATAACTAGCAACAAAATGGGAGAGCTAGCTGGAAATACCCATTCATTAGTTTAAAATTTTTCAATAAATATGTACGGAGCATTTACCATTTGCTGGGCAGCATGCTGTGTCATAGAGTATTGAATGAGAAGATGATTTCCTATAATTCTGAAGCTTATATTTCAGTAGGAGTAAGACAGATAATAAATATACCAACTACATAAATAAATAAATAGGTATTCAAGTGGTGATTATTGCTTTGTGACGATGATAGGAAGTGACAAAAATTTGTGAAATTGGTTGGACAGAAAAGACCACACAAAAAAGGATAACATTTAAAATGAGACCTAAGTGGCAAGAAGGAGCCAGGCATGTGAAGAACTGAGGCCAAAGCATTTCAGGAAGATAACGCAGGCACTAAAAGTCCTGAAGGAGGGAACATGGTGGTGTCTTTGAAGAAAAGAGAAAAGATATATATGAGCATGGCATTGAAGAGATTGAAGGAGAGTGAAGGGGAGATTGATAACACATGGGTCTGGATAGTTGGTAGAGATAAATCGTATAGGCTCCTCAGTTGTGGTTACAGAGTTCCAGTTGCATTCTAATGCATTTGGAAGCCATCACAGGATTTGCATAGAGAGGTTAAATGAAATTAATTATGTTTTAAAGATTATGTGTAGAAAATTGGATGGGGGAGGACAGAATGGAGGAAGAGATATGAGTTTCAAGGCCTATAGAGCCAGGAAAGAGATAATGGCTGGTGGGAGATGGCAGGAAGAGAAGTGGAGAGATTATGAGAGGTTTAAGCAGAAGAATCAAAAGAATTTGTGGGTGGAATGGCCTTATGGAATAAAAGAATGACAGAAATCAATAAGCTTTGGGTTTGAACAACTGAGTGGTGGGAATGCCATTTACACTGACTGGGAGAGGAGCAGGTTTTGGATCGGAGAATCCAGAAGTCTATTTTCATATGTTGAGTTTGGAACATTTATTGGATATCCAGGTAGAGACAGTTTAATAGATGATTGGATATATGAATTTGGAGTCTAGGAAAGAGATCTGGGTTAGAGAAATAAATACATATTTTAGCAGTAGATGAGTATCCCTTAAAGCCATAAGGGAAAGATGAATGAAATTTCTAGAGAGAAGTTGACCCTGGAGCAAAGGGAGTCATAGGACCTGGGGCACATTTAGAGGTTCAGCAGAGAAGGGCCCAGAGAAAGAGATTGATGTCACATGCCCAATGCTTGGTATGATTCTCCCTTAACAGTCTTGATGCTAGAATATTATTATTCAGTTCTTGTCTTTGGGACAGAACTACAAGAGTATGATCGAGGTTGAAATTAGTCACATTATTTTTTCTTTTCCAAAGATGTTGTAGAATTAACTATAAAGAATGAGTGGCTCATTAAGTCGCCCTTGTAAGGCAAAAGAGGCAGGTTAATCCTTCAACAGACTCCACGATGGGCACATGAAGATTATGTTTGCCCCTGCCCACAGGTATTTTTCCCCTACCTACGCTTCCTTGACAAACTGACAATGTTTACATCCTAGTGTCCCAATTCAATCAGCTATCCATAAAGGATTGTGGCCAAAGTCTTTTCTATTTTAGCCATGAGTCCTGATATTCTAGATCTACATATTATACCCTATAATTATACATACTTCCACAAGTTTCCTAATCCCCAAATTCCTTGCTTCTTAAACAGATCATTTCCCTCTAGAGCTTGATAGTTCTTGCCAGTCTCCTCAACTCTTCTGGAGGGCTGCACTGAACATTTTCCTTGTTACACTATTGGCATCCACGGCCTCGCGCAATTCTTGTTAGAGCAAGTTGTTTCAAAGGCACTGCACAAGCTCCTCAAGAATTGCATTACAGAAAAAAGATGAAATGAGAGCAACAGATGTGATCTCACTTCTATTTTCAAATCCCCCTCTGTTAAACAGCAAACAACACAAAGTCCAGATTCCATGGCTCCTCCCTGCCAAGAACTGTTTGGTCATTCTTTCAAGGGGAATCCTTAGGATGTTGGAAATAGCAATCAGCATAGAGAACAAGAGAGAGCTGAGACCCTATTCTGTGATATTTTTTCATTAGTGTTATATAAATTAAGGTTCCTCTACTCCCCATAATATGCTTTCTGGCATATAGAATGTGTTAGACACCATATATAAGCTCATGTTCTTGAATTTAGGCTTCATATAAATGAGAGGTTAGAGGTTCCCAAACTTTCTGATTTCCTGACACCCTAATGTCTCAGTAGTTTTTCTCATGGCACTTCTAACCCATAAGAAATGCCTGACCATTCTGTTATTATTATTGTTTTTAATAGTGAGGTCCAAACAACTTAATAGTACTAGTTTGTGTGGTGTTAGACAGCTGTTGCTGGGTTTGAATTGAATTGAATTGAATTCAATTCAATTTCCTTGAAAATATCAAAGAAATTGAAATATCAAAATTGAAAATATCCTCCAGTGCTTCTGTGAGTTGGCTGCTGCAGGCATCTTGGTGCTCGTTTGGGAACTCTGTGGCCATGTGAATAGCTAAAACAACGTCAAACCTGACACTCCCAAAGCATCTCCCATGGAAGAAGATGTCCTGATCTATAAGGCTTCTGCATTCTTTAATAGACATCTGGGCTTTGAATATTTGGGAAATTGTACTTCATGACCTTTGGAATTCCCAATTTCCAGCAAATATTAAACAAATGGCAGGAAAGTTAATCTTTTCCACAAGGAGTAAAGGAATTAGTTCAACCATTCACTGTTTATTATTGGTAGCAATTGTGTGCAAAATAAGGCACGTTTATGTAAATGTGAATGCTCTTCCAACTCAATGTCAATCTGAAAGTTTATAAAACATAATAAAAAGCTGGGCCCTGGCTGGTAGTGCATGACACATGTTTAGCATTCGTTCCCTTTCTCTTATCCATTCTAAATGTGAAAGCCTGCCTGCATTTAATCAGGTTCTCCCATCATTAACAGCCTATAAAAAGGCACAAGATGATAGAAAAAATATTTCTGAGTATTTAAAGCAAAAAAGTGATGAATGATGCATTTCCCCAGAATTCAGGTGTTCTTCCTACACAGTCCGCCTGTGAACATTTTACTGTTGGGTATAACAGCCAAGTTTCAGCAAGCAGAACAAGATGTTCCTTTGCTTTCTATCAGGGGATGTAAAATGTTTGCTTTTTCTTGACTGCATTCAAGATCACTAGCGAGTCTATGAAGTGAATGCGGATATAAGGGTCAGGATCTGTGACTGGTACAAGAGGCACAATTATGCTTCATTGCCCATATATTTTAAAATTCTCTTTTGTTCCTTATGTATGTTCTTATGTATGGCCATTTCACACGTTCCCAGATCTGGGTGCAATACAGTTTGGATCTAGCAGTGCTGAATTGTCCTGCCATGGAGATTAAAAGAATATATCTGAGTGTAATTAGTTAATTGACTGCTTAGCACTTTGAAAAGCACAAGCTGGGTGTTTCCTGCCCTGGAGTCCAAATTCAGAATGACCACCCACGGTCTGTTCCACACATGAGGTTGAGGCAAACCCATTTATTTTATTTGAGAATTGGTCAAAATATGTGTGCCAGATGATCTTCCTGCCAGAAAAACATATTTCAATCAGAAATGATGGGTCAAGCATTTGCTGAGAAACAGGAGAAAGAGGAGAAAGCAAGAGCCTGGCCCAGTTTGTATATGTCAACCCAATGTTGCACAAGACAAAGTTCATCCACGTATATTATGAAGTTTGCTTTTCTGTATTTCATTTTGACTTTATATAAGACTACAGTGGAATGGAGCCAGATCTATTATTTCTTTTATGTCTAGGATGTAGGCGTGCACCCCATGCTGCTGGAGAATACCACTCAGCATGTGTTGGACATTCAGTAAAAGTTTACTGACTCAAACCATGAAAGCATTTCCACTCACTTCCTCTTTGGAGCAGGTCTTGCCAGACAGGCAAATGGCTAATGATGGAGGCTGGGTTATGGCTGGGAATTATTTCTAAATAATTGGGAGCACTGAGAAACAAAGATCAAAACCAAAAGACCGTGGAGGAAAACTCAGGGTGAACACAGTGCCTAACTGACAGAACCTAGATTCCATACTCTGGTTGGCAACATATCAAGAAAGCAACTCAAGAAAAAACAAGGCAGAAGGGGATATTCTTATCTGGTTTTTACATGTTTCCCTTTTTGTTTTGTTGTGGGGGAATTAATAGAAGAAATGTAATCTCTAGATGACAACTATCATTTGCCCATGTTTTCCAATTCCCATCACTGTCTGTATACGACCTTTTTTTTTTTGAGATGGAGTCTCACTCTGTCACCCAGGCCGTAGTGCAGTGACGTGATCTCGGCTCACTCACTACAAGCTCTGCCTCCCTGGTTCACGCCATTCTCCTGCCTCAGCCTCCCGAGTAGCTGGGACTACAGGTGCCCACCACCACGCCTGGCTACTTTTTTGTATTTTTAGTAGAGACGGGGTTTCACCGTGTTAGCCAGAATGGTCTCAAACTGACCTCGTGATCCTCCCGCCTCGGCCTCCCAAAGTGCTGGGATTACAGGCATGAGCCACCATGCCTGGCCTATATATGACTTTTTAATTTTTATTTTAAAAAATTATTTTAGGTTCAGGGCTACATGTGCAGGTTTGTTATATAAGTAAATTCATATCATGGGGGTTTGTTGTACAGATTACTTCATCAGCCAGGTACTAAGCCTAGTACCCAATAGTTACTTCTTCTGATCCTTTCCCTCCTCCCACCCTCCAGCCTCAAGTAGGCTCCAGTGTCTGTTGTTCCTCTCTTTGTGTCCATGTGTTCTTATCATTTAGCTCCCACTTATCAGTGAGAACATGCAGTATTTGCTGTTCTGTTTCTGTGTTAGGCTGCTAAAGATAATGGCCTACAGCTCCATCTGTGTTCCTGCAAAGGACATAATCTAGTTATTTTAAAGGCCGCATTGTATTCTGTAGTGTATAGTGTATATGTACCGCATATACTTTGTCCAATCTGCCATTTATGGGCATTTAGTTTGATTCCACGTTTGCTATTGTGAATAGTGCTGCATGCATCTTTATGGTAGAATGATTTGTATTTTGGGAGTATAAACCCAGTAATAGGATTGCTGGGTCAAATGGTAGTTCTGTTTTTAGCACTTTGAGGAATAGCCACAATGCTTTCCACAATGGTTGAAGTAATTTACACTCCCACAATTTATAAGTGTTCCTTTTTCTCTACAACCTCGCCAGCATCGGTTATTTTTTGACTTTTTAATAATAGATGTCCTGACTAGTGTGAGATAGTATCCCATTGTGGTTTTGATTTGCATTTCTTCAATGATCAGTGATACTGGGATTTTTTTTTTTTAAATATGTGTGTTGGCCTCCTGTATGACTCGCTTCAGTCAGACCCAATTTTTAAACTAACAACATGATTTCTTGAAATGTAAGAATTTGAAGTGAGAATTACAGAGTGTACTACACCCAAAGGCATAAAAATAATTATTTATTGAGTGAATACAGTGTACAGAGTACTAGGCAAAGTATTTTACATGTACTATTTAATATTTTGACAACACAACAAGATATTATTACTATTATTATCCTCTTTTCAAAATGAAGGAACTGAGTATTAGAGATTTTTAGTTATGTGACCATGGATATAAAATTAGTAAGAGGCAGGAGCTAAAATTCTAACGTAGGCTGTCAATGAGAACTAACACTCATATTACCTCCCTTTGCAATCTCCCTGGAAAACCATAATCCAAATGTAGACATGCAGCATAAAAACATGAAAAGTGCTGAAGAATATTTTTGGTGCAACATATGAGTGAGGAGAAATGAACATGGTGCAGAGATAAAAACGAAGCAATGAGATTTCTTGAAGATTTTGGAAGTCATGGCAAATACATGAGGAGAATAAATGTAAGATAAATGGCTTGTCAAAGAGAGATTAAGTAAAAATAGTAACACTGAATAGTAATTTTAAAAGATGTTAATTTCCATTTTTTTTGAATAGGGAAAACACCTGATTCAAAATTTAACAGACACAAAAGTATATAAATATGTAATTCTCTCTCTAAGCCCCTCCATTTCTCTGTGCAGGGGCAGCTGCCATCACTTTTTACAAGGATATCCTTGTATTATGTATTCAAAATTTATTTTCTCTGGATTTGGATAATCAGAGAGGCCTTTTGGACATTAATTTTGGAATAGTGAAGTAGTGGTTATTTGCAAATACTTTCTCAGATATGCCTTCATTTCTGTAAGTTCTCACAAGTCTGGAATTAGATAATCCACTTTTGACTAAATGCCTTTATGTACATTATTTTTTCTTGACTATAGTTATCCTGATGTACAATAGATCTCAAATTTATTCCTCCTGTCTCTCTGACATTTTTTATCCTTTGACCAGTAACTATCTATTTCTTTCCTCCTCCTACCCAAGCCTCTGGTGAACATTGTATGCACAATGGGATACCATTCAGCCTTAAAACGAACGGAAATTCAGTCATTTGCAACAAAGTGGGTGGACATAGAGGATATTATGCTAAGCGAAATAAGCCAGATACAGAAAAACAAATGCTGCATCATCTTATTTATATGTATATTATATTTAAAGTTTTCTAAAAAAAAGTGAGTGAAACAAGATCAAAAACAGGGATTCCTTACCTACCATTGAGAAGAAATTGCTTTCAAGTACTTTAGAAGAACTAAACTTTGTAAATCATTCTTAGCTCTTCATTAAAATAGCCATTCAAAGCATTTGAAAATCTCAACTGCCTACTTTCCAGTACTTTCTTTGCCTGCACATATATGCAAATACATATGTGTATGCAGGTGTACAATACTTTCAAGTAATTATGTATATCTATATCTATCTATCTATCTATATATATATGAACTTTTATATAGGATTGTAAGATATATACTTCTACATATAAAATTTGAACTTTTCACAATTTCAGATTCTTCCTGTCTTTGGTGTATCTGCCTTGCTGAGTTCCATGTGGGCTTTATCTTTACATTATGATGGAGGAGAGACAGCTGTGTCCTTGAGAGCAGCATAGAGTTAGCCATAGCATAGTGGGAACAGTCGAGTGTGAAAACAAAGAGGCAACCTGTCTTTATTCTTTATGTTGACCAGGACCTCACAAGTGTACACTGGGCAAAAAAACATACCTGCAGCATAGTCACCTACACTCCCATACACTTCTGCATATCATTTGGGATACATCACAACCCTTCTCAGAAATCTTTCTAGACTGGGCACAAAGAAAAGTGGTAAAATTTTGTAACTGGTCTTGATCCTGCTGAGTCATTCCAGGGCATGACCAGCAAGACTATAGAAACTTACAAGTCAAAGCTTTGGGGCTTTGTGGTGTGTGCCAAGGATAGTTCTGGAAGTAATTTCAGGTCCTGCTCACTCCACATCAGAGGGTTCTCTCATTCTCTATGGAAAAAAGAGAGTGGTAATGGTTTTATCTTGAGAGCTTGAAAGCTTGGCTCTGAAAAGGAGGACTTCTCTTCATAGAGGGATGTAATGTGACCGGCAAGAATTTTGGAACTAAACAAATCAATTTTTTTTTTGTTTGCTATTGCTAAATATATTACTGTGGACGGTTTCCCTGGTCTGAGTCTAAATCTTCTCACCTATGAAATAGGGATAATCATCAAATAATAATGTCAACTTTGCAGCTTTGTAAGCATTATATGAAATAATGTATTCATGCCACTTAAGCATATTGATTTGCATTAGTCAATGTCAGTTTCCCTGTACCTACACTGGAAGTGGGAAAAGGATGCTTGCAGGGAAACCCAACGACCTGCCCTCATCTCTTTCTCAACACAAGAAAAGCCTCAGATTCTGGGGATGTTCCTGTGGGAAGTGGAGCTTGCAGAGATTTGAAGCGGTTTGTGATTTATTTTCTTAAATTCCCACTCCTGTTCCTTCTCTTCTTCTTTTCTTCTGCGAGAGAGGAATTGGAGGGATTCACTTCCTGGGCACAGGTGTACAAAGTGCTCAGTCTCATGGGAGCAAGAAGCATAGTCTGTTCAGCTAAATACCCCAAACTTTCTGTCTTAGTTTGTTTGTGCTGCTATTATAAAAATACCTGAGACTGGGTCATGTATAAACAACAGAAATTTATTTCTCAAAGTTCCACAGGCTGGGAAGTCCAAAATCAAGGCACCTGCAAGTTTGGTGTCTGATGAAAGCTTGTTTCCTATACATGGAGCCATCTAGGCATCTTCACATGGCAGGAGGATCAGAAGGGCAAAAGAGAGGGCTGAATACCGCTTGAAGCCTCCCTTTTAAGGGCATTTATCCCATTCACGAGGGAGGAGCCCCTGTGACGTAATCACCTCATAAAGGCCCCACTTCTTATTACTATTGCATTCAAGATTGTTTCAACATGAATTTTGGAGCAAACAAGTACTTTCCAAACTGTTTTCTTACCAAAATGCTTATTTGTCTTGCAGCATCACATTTCAACATAGAAAGTAGATAGAAATGTGACATATATATGAAGAAATGGTCCTACCCCAAACCCTGTAAGGGTTTGTCCCCAGTGTCCAATGTCTTCTATGATGTAAGAGAATAAACAGGGCCAGCTGTTGGTCGGAATGAACTCATAAACATGTCTCAATATCCACCAGTAGCATTTTTTATTGAACTGCTACAAATTTCCAGTATGATTGACTTTTCTTACCTGTTGTTATTTTTTGTATTTTATGTGCCATTATTAATTATTCAAAATTGGTATCTTGGTTATGCCACTGTTTGACAGAACATGCACACCTCCCCTTAAAAACATATAAAAGATGAGAAACTGCACCCTTGTGAAATTTAGAATCTCTTTGAGACTTTGAGGTTTAGTGTCTAATAATCACTTGGTGATTGAATTTTTATGTTTTTGACATTTTTCTAAATGAATTCTTCTCTGATGCTAAACCTGGAATAGTTGCTTGTCTTTCAGTGCATTGGATTAAATGTTAAGGGGGGAGAGAATCATCCAGGAAATTCCCTTTGGTATTGTAGCAGATGTTAGGCAATAGTAGGGAGTCAATTGTGAAAGGGTTACTAGACATGGTCAGGACCCTGTGATAATCTGATCACTGAGACCTGTTCAAAGCATTCAATATGTGAAATTCAGGCTGATTCAATCATTCTCTATGGCCACCCAGGCAGCTTCCTTGAGTATATTTTTAAAAAATGATCCAGACAGCAGCTGCAGAAAATTTGGGGACACTTTTCCCTTTGAGTGAGCATTTCCAGAAAGAAAAATAAATAAAATGTCAGAGTTGGTTCATCTGGTTTGCAAGGCAAGCTCTCCCTCTTCTATGAAGGAGGTTGAGTTGAGGAACGTTGTGGTTTCTGGGATTCAAAGCCGGAGACACAGCACAACGCACACCTTATTTGAGAGCAATTCACATCATACATTTTCATAAGGCATGGACCAGAAAGCAAGCTTTGTTTTCAAACTGTGTTTCCTTGGCACTGGTTGCAGCAATTTGGTGTGTGGTTCATTGTCAAAATGCTGTGGGTGGCAAAAGCAATCAACTAAGGGTGCATGAAATATTTAAATTGGGGTGGTTTGCTGAGGCCATTTACTCAACTCTTAACACCTGTACTCCAATGACAACAATTAAGCCTCTTGTAGGGTAATACTCTGTATCATATGATGTGAGAGTTGGCAGAAACCATACTGAGCAAACTTTTGTGTACTGGGCCACACAGTAAATATTTAAAGCTTTACAGGCCACACAGTCTCTGTCACAACTACTCATATCTCTTCAATTCTGCCATTATAGAACAAAACCAGCCGTAGACAAGACATAAACAAGTGGGTGTGGTTGTGTGCCAATAAAACTTTATTTATAAAAATAGTCAGTGGCTGGATGTGGCTCACTGATTGCAGTTTGCTGACTCCTGGTTTAGATACTATTGCTTCCTTTTGCAGATGAGGAAAGAAAAACCCAAAAAGATGAAAAGAGCCTGCCACTGTCATGGGCCAGTTAGTGGCAGGACACAAAATATCAAAATTCCATATTAAGTTCTGCTATTTTTTGCTCACGGTTTTATGTTTTGCACATAAAAACAGTCCCTCTGTTGCCTCAGAAGCCTGAAGAAGCAAGAGACAACTTTCCCCTCTAGGTTTTGTCATTACCCTAGCTAAAGCAAATGTCTCCACTTGAGAATGCTACTATTCTTTGACATTTAATATAGAAGAAAACTTTAATAGAATAGACATGTATAAATATGTTTAGGAAATATAAGCATTTCAAATATTGAATTGGTTACTTAAAGCCATAAGGGTAAAATCATTGCTAATAGAGGAGGAAAAAAATGATTTATATATTAATACATCTTTGCTCAGAATGTTGGCATCCTTGTTTTCCAGGATGTTCATTAATATCCTCCATTTATTTTAGTTTTACCAGCCCTTCACATTTTCTGTGAGGCCTTGGTGTTTTGTGAAATGCCAGTTACCGGTGACCTCAACTGCAATAGCACTTATTTCATGTGCTTCTTTTGCCGTATTCTATCCCTTTGGTGATGTTATGACCTACATTATTTTAGTTACATTATTATTTCTTTTTCATAATAGTTAATAAAGGAGAATTAAGCAGTAAAAAGAGAAAAAGAGGATAGATAATTTTTAATGCTGAAGAGAGAGAGAAGGAGAGAGAGAAAGAAAAAGAGAGAGAGTTTGATGGAGACATCACTGATAATTCTCCCTATTAAGAAAAAGAAGAGTAAGAAGTGGGTGAGGATCACAGGCCACCCTGTTATGCTGTGTTTGGATGAGTTCTAGTTCAAGATCCTGCCAGGCAGGGATAGCACTTTATGAAGACCCTAAACTTGGTGGGAGGAAGGATGCTTGCACACTGCCTGGGTTAGTGTTCTAGGAAGCTGACCCAAAGGCTGCTCCCCCCACAGCAGATTCTATGGATCATTAATTCTGATACATATGAACATGTGTTACACAAATAAAATGTTTTTTTACTGAAGTAAATTTGGGAAGTGATGGATTAAACAAAGCCCTAGTCTTTTTATGTGAGGGCTTCTCAAAGCCTTTAATGTGCCAGTTATTTAGGAATCACCAAGACAGGGATAGAGTGTGCAGTGGTTTCCTAACATACCAAATGTTTCAATCATGTTATCACGAAACACTGAATGAGACAAGCAACCCCCAGAACATCTCTGGGAAATGCTGAATTCAGTTCTGCATTGGTGGAGTCTTACTTTCTCCAGTGGCAGACCCAACATATATGTCCTTCAAGGTTAGCTTGGGACCTGCTCAAGAGCAAGACAGTAGAACACTTACTGAATAACTAAAGGATAATTATTGATGGGTCAGCAGGCCAACATGCACAATGACAGAATGCATAGACCTGATTTACTTTCATATCTGTTTTTTCAAATATTCTTTCATTCCTTCCGAATAGTTCTCCCTCTGTGTCATGTATCCTTATTCCTTGTTCCATCCTCCTGATGCAAACAAATGCACAATTAGAGGGTCCCTGATGACCCTGGGGCCCACAGAGGTC
Source organism: Homo sapiens (assembly GCF_000001405.40). Classification (NCBI taxonomy): domain Eukaryota; kingdom Metazoa; phylum Chordata; class Mammalia; order Primates; family Hominidae; genus Homo; species Homo sapiens. The sequence continues at coordinate 80,924,689 of NC_000009.12, read as the reverse complement.
TTCTGCTTCTCTTTGGCCATTTTAACTGTGAAACAGAGCCAGAGGTTGTCTGAAGGTGTTTAAGTTTTGAGCAAAGCTCCTTCCACTGCAGCCTCCCCACCTTGTTCCTGCCTCAGGGCCTTTGCCCAGCTCTCCTCTCCTGCCCCTTCCCCTTTTGCACCTGGCACTCCTGGTTTTACTTATCCTGCTTTATTTTTTTCTCATCACTGAGTAGCATTTAAAACACACCATTTACTAACTTATGATAATCAGCCTATTTAATGAATGTTATATTTTGACAATGACGTGTTTAATTTCTCAATTCTCTAATTAGTTTTTATATATTAACCTGGTTTTTTTTATGAATATAAAATCTTTTGAAATTTCTTGTTTGTCTTCCATCCACTTCCCTTACAAACCACAGTTGCTCTTTCTACCTCTTTTATATGAAACTTTCTCTGGGAAACTACACCTTTAATTTTAGCCTAAATTTCTTCTCACCCATCTCCCTAGAAGACTAAACAAGCTCAGGGTAGACTTATTTACAAGTTGTGATATTGACACTAATGATACGTTCATTCAACATCCCTGTTGCAGTTCCTGCTAGGTGAGTTCTGGAGTTCCTGAGGGTTACTCTAATTTGGAACCTATCTGGCTTAACATTGCATTGATTACATTGAACCCACTTACATGAACTCTTCAATCCAAAGAATTTGCATGTGCTTCAGGAGAACCCTGTGATGAGGGTACTAGGAGCCTACCTGTGAGTAAAAACCAGATCCATTTTTGCTTTCCCAGGAACCTCAAAATTCCACAAAACCACATCATTTCCTCTAGTTGTATCTTAGGAGCCTTGAGGTAGGTAGTTGTGTCAAGGCATACTTTATTTCCTGCTGTCCCACCTGCTCACTCCATCTAGTTAGACATCTCGACTTCTTTACTGTTCCTTCAACATACCCAGCACAATCCAGTCTCAGAGCCTTTGCATTAGCTGATTTATATGACCAGACCTCTCCCCTCTCCCCTATATCCACTTTGGTCATTTCTTAGTCTGTTTAGGCTGGTATAACAAAATACCATGGATAGGGTGTCTTAAAAACAACAGAAATCTCTCACAGTTTTGGAGGCTGAAAAGTCCAAGATGAAGGCTCTGGCTGATTTGGTGTCTAGTGAGGACCTGCTTCCTCATAGATGGCCATCTTTTCACGGCAACCTCATATAGTGGAAGGGGCAAGAGATCTCACTGGGGCCTTTTTAAAAATTTTTTAAATTTTTTAATTTTTTTTTATTTTGTGATGGAGTCTCTCTCTGTCACCCAGGCTGGAGTGCAGTGGTGTGATCTTGGCTTACTGTAACTTCTGCCTCACGGGTTCAAGTGATTCTCCTGCCTCAGCCTCCTGAGTAGTGGGGATTACAGGTGCATGCCATCACGCTTAGCTAATTTTTGTATTTTTAGTAGAGATGGGGTTTCACCATGTTGGTCAGGCTGGTCTTGAACTCCTGACCTTGTGATCCGCCCACCTCGGCCTCCCAAAGTGCTGGAATTACAGGCGTGAGCCACCGTGCCCGGCCTGGGGGCTCTTTTATAAAGGCACTAATCCCATCCATGAGGTTTTCTCCCTCATGATTTAATTACACCTAAAGGCTCTACGTCTTAGCATCATCACATTGGGGTTTAGGATTTAACATATTAATATGAGGGGCACAAACATTCACATGAAAACAGGTTGCTCACACCTCTCTCATGTGAAGCCTTTCAGCTAATCACTCCGTTTAGAACAGAAGTAGCCCATTCCACCCTGGTACTCTGATATTGTTTGGCTCTGTGTCCCCACCCAAATCTCACGTTGAATTGTGATCCCCAGGTGTTGAAGGAAGGGCCTGGTGGGAGGTAATTGAGTCATGGGGGCCGACTTCCCCCTTGCTGTTCTGGTGATAGAGTTCTCAGGAGATCTGGTTGTTAAAAAGTGTGTATCACTTCCCCTTTCTCTCTCTCTTGCTCTTGCCATGTGAAGACCATGCCTGCTTCTCCTTCACCTCCTGCCAGTTACCTGAGGCCTCCCCAGCCATGCCTCCTGGACAGCCTGCAGAACTGTGAGTCAGTTAAATCTCTGTTCTTCATAAATTACCCAGTCTAAGGTAGTTCTCTGTAGCAGGGAAGAACAGACGACAACATACTCCTTGTTTTAGTCTTGTATTTCATTTTGACCATACCACTTTAAATCTAATATACTATATATATTTGTTCATTTTTGTTTTGTTAACATAAGCTGTCTCCACTAAAGTATAACCCCCATGAGGCATATTTTCACTGCTGCTTTTCCCCCTTCTTTTACTGCTCCTTCATCCCTAGCACGTGGAATAGTATCGGCACATGGTAAGTTTTCCAAAAGTAGTTTTTAATTAACAACCCGGAGAAGCCATTTTTAGATCAGGCAATAAGTCAGTTGTGCCTGTAAATTGCAATCCATGTAGTACCTTAGCCAGGAGCTGAGGAGACAAGCCGAGGGAATACACAATAACTTTTTCTGCAGATAGTAACAACAGTCATCACCAGTAAGAAACATTCTGCAGATAGTAACAATAGTCATCACCAGTAAGAAACATTCGCCTTTAAATTATCTCACTTGGGTTTTTTTGGAGGGGACTCAAGAGAGCAATCTTAGTGATTCTTTTAAACGATAAGGCAGGTCCTGTCATTCCTCTGCTTAAACCCTTCAATGCCTTTGTGTCTCACTCAAGTAATACCCAGAATCCTTTACCATGATCTTCAAGACTCTGCATGGTCTCTTTCCTTCCCTAGCATTTTCTTTCTAATCCTGCACTATCCACTGATAATATAATATAAGTCACACGTGTAATTTTAAAGATTTTAGTAGAAACATTAAAAAATTAAAAAGTAGGTAAAATCAATTTCAGTAACTGATTTTATTTAACACAATTCCTCTAAAATATTAATTCAACATGCATTCAATGTAAAAAACTTGAAATATTTCATATTCAAAATTCATACTAAGCCTTTTACATATAGGGTATATTTGACTTACAGCACATCTCAATGTCGTCAGCCGCAGTTCTAGGGCTCCATAGCCGTATGACACTGGTGACTACCATATTGGACAGTCTCTTCTTCATCTTCTCTCCCTCAGATGATCCTGTTCAAGCTGGCTTGGACTCCTGTAATAGTGCAAACACATTTTCACGCCGGTAAAGTGCTAGATTGAGCAAATACAAATAGGGAATTGAACAATGAGAACACACGGACACAGGAAGGGGAACATCACACACCGGGGATGTGTACCATATCTTAGCTGATGAACCTATAGATACAATATGACATCCCTTGTCTTCTGCTCTGGGGGTCAAACCTCTTTGGTGGCAAAAAGGACCATGAGATCAATGGAGGGAACTGTTGTAACGCAGATAATCTGTTTATGAAGACAAAATTGGTCAAGAATATCAATAGGAAAATATTAATTTTTCATACCTTTATACAAAATACTTTCTCATATCGATTCAGTCTTACATTTTGCATGCATTTCTAAAACTCCCAGCAGGTCCTCATTCCTCTAATAGCCATGAGTGTGCTCATATCCTTTTTTTCCTTTACTTTACACTTGTGTGACCAAGTACCTTTCATGAAGCTCAAAATGGGTTTCTCCTGCCTTTGCCATGTTTAGCCTAATTCTATTGATTTGACACTGTTTTATTTCCCAGTAAAATGTAACAAACAAAATAAGCCCAGATATACATAGCTACATAATTTTACCTTTTATGTGGTGCATCACTGACAAAATATATATAATATATACGCAGGAATATCTTATTTTATTGTGTTTCTCTCTATTGCACTTTGCAGATAATGCATTTTTTGCAAATTGAAGGTTTGTGGCAATTCTGTGTTAAGCAAGTCTTTTGGCACCATTTTTTTCCAACAGCACGTGCTCACTTCAAATCTCTGTTTCACATTTTGGTAATTTTTGCAATATTTCAGACTTCTTCATTATTATTAAATGTGTTGTGGTGAACTGTGATCAGTGATCTTTGATGTTACCATTGTATTCTTTTGGGGCACCGCAAACCATACCCATGTAAGATGGTGAAGTTAATAAATAAATATTGTGCGTGTTCTGACTGCTACACTGACCAGCATTTCCCCATCTCTGTCTCTCACTGGGTCTCTCTGTTCCCTGAGACACAACAATATTAAAATTAGACTAATCAATAACCCTATAGTGACCTCTAAATGGTCAAGTGAAAGCAAGTGTTCACATTTTTCACTTTAAATCTAAGCCAGAAATGATTAAGCTTAGTAAAGAAGGTATGCTGAAATCCAAGCTAGACCAAAAACTAAGCTTCTTGTGCCAAACATTTAGCCAAGATCTGAATCCAAGGAAAGGTTTTAGAAGGAAAATAAAAGAGCTATTTCAGTGAACACACAAATGACAAGAAAGCAAAACAGCCTTATTGCTGATGTTGAGAAAGGTTAAGTGGTCTGGATAGAAGATAAAACCAGCCACAACAATCCCCACAGCAAAGCCTAATTCAGAGAAAATCCGTAATTATCTTCAATTCTATGAAATTGAGAGAGGTGAGAAAGTGACAGAAGAAAAGTTGGAAGCTAGCAGATGTTAATTCCTGAGGTTTAAGAAGACATCTCCATAGCATAAAAGTACAAGGTGAAATAGCAAATGCTGATATACAAGTTGAAGCTAGTTTTTCAGATCTAATATAATCGATAAAGGTGGCTACATTACACAACAGATTTAATAGATAAAACAGCCTTATATTTAATAGATACAACAGCCTTATATTGGAAGAGATGCCACTTAGAACTTCCATAGCTAGAGATAAGTCAACGCCTGCCTTCAAAGCTTCAAAGGACAACAGGCTGACTCGCTTGTTATGGATGAAGGCTGCTGGTGACCTGAAATTGAAGCCAATGCTCATTTTGCATGCTGAAAGTCATAGGACCCTTAAGAATTATGCTATATTTCCTCTGCCTTTGTTCTATAAATAGAACAAAGCCTGAATGACAGCATATCTGCTCCGAGCATGGTTTAATGAGTATTTTAAGTCCACTGTTGAGACCTACTGCTTAGAAAAAAGATTCCTTTCAAGACATCACTGCTCATTGACAATGCACCTGGTCACCCAAGAGCTCTGATAGAGATGTATAAGGAAATATCCTTAAAGTTTTCATGCATGCTAACACAACATTCAATCTGTAACCCATGGACCAAGGAGTAATTTTTACTTTCAAGTCTTAGAATTTAAGAAATACATTTTGTAAAGCTATAACTGCTGTACGTAGTGATTTCTGTGATGGATCTGGGCAAGGTAAATTGAAACCTTCTGGGAAAAATTTACAATTCTTAATGCTATCCACTGATGGATAACATTAAGAATATTTGTGATTCATAGGAGAAGGTAAAAATAGCAACATTAACAGGATTTTGGAAGCTGTTGATTCCACTCATCATTGATGACTTTGAAGGGTTCAAGGCTTCAGTGGCAGAAGGAACTTCAGATATGGTGGAAATAGCAAGAGATATACAATTTAAGTAGAGCCTGAAGACGTGACTGAATTGTTACAATCTCATAATAAAATTTGAAAGAATGAGGAGTTTGCTTCTTATGAATATGCAAAGAAAGTGGTTTCTTGAGATGGAATCTATGAATACTCCTGGTGAAGATACTGTGAACAATTGTTGAAATTACAACAAGGAATTTATTTTTTATTTTTATTTATTATTATTATACTTTAAGTTTTAGGGTACATGTGCACAACGTGCAGGTTTGTTACATATGTATACATGTGCCATGTTGGTGTGCTGCACCCATCAACTCATCATTTAGCATTAGGTATATCTCCAAATACTATCCCTCCCCCCTCCCCCCACCCCACAACAGTCGCCAGTGTGTGATGTTCCCCTTCCTGTGTCCATGTGTTCTCGTATTTCAATTCTCACCTATAAGTGACAACATGCGGTGTTTGGTTTTTTGTCCTTGCGATAGTTTGCTGAGAATGATGGTTTCCAGCTTCATCCATGTCCCTACAAAGGACATGAACTCATCATTTTTTATGGCTGCATAGTATTCCATGGTGTATATGTGCCACATTTTCTTAATCCAGTCTATCATTGTTGGACATTTGGGTTGGTTCCAAGTCTTTGCTATTGTGAATAGTACCGCAATAAACACATGTGTGCATGTGTCTTTATAGCAGCATGATTTATAATCCTTCGGGTATATACCCAGTAATGGGATGGCTGGGTCAAATGGTATTTCTAGTTCTAGATCCCTGAGGAATCACCAAACCGACTTCCACAATGGTTGAACGAGTTTACCGTCCCACCAAGAGTGTAAAAGTGTTCCTATTTCTCCACATCCTCTCCTGCACCTGTTGTTTCCTGACTTTTTAATGATTGCCATTCTAACTGGTGTGAGATGGTATCTCATTGTGGTTTTGATTTGCATTTCTCTGATGGCCAGTGATGATGAGCATTTTTTCACGTGTTGTTTGGCTGCATAAATGTCTTCTTTTGAGAAGTGTCTGTTCATATCCTTTGCCCACTTTCTGATGGGGTTGTTTTTTTCTTGTAAATTTGTTTGAGTTCATTGTAGATTCTGGATATTAGCCCTTTGTCAGATGAGTAGTTTGCAAAAGTTTTCTCCCATTCTGATGGTGGTTTCTTTTGCTGTGCAGAAGCTCTTGAGTTTAATGAGATCCCATTTGTCTATTTTGGCTTTTGTTGCCATTGCTTTTGGTGTTTTAGACATGAAGTCCTTGCCCAGGCCTGTGTCCTGAATGGTATTGCCTAGGTTTTCTTCTAGGGTTTTTATGGTTTTAGGTCTAACATGTAAGTCTTTAATCCATCTTGAATTAATTTTTGTATAAGGTGTAAGGAAGGGATCCAGTTTCAGCTTTCTACATATGGCTAGCCAGTTTTCCAGCAGCATTTATTAAATAGGGAATCCTTTCCCCATTGCTTGTTTTTGTCAGGTTTCTCAAAGATCAGATTGTTGTAGATATGCGGCATTATTTCTGAGGGCTCTGTTCTGTTCCATTGGTCTATATCTCTGTTTTGCTAACAGTACCATGCTGTTTTGGTTACTGTAGACTTGTAGTATAGTTTGAAGTCAGGTAGCATGATGCCTCGAGCTTTGTTCTTTTGGCTTAGGATTGACTTGGCAATGCGGGCTCTTTTTTGGTTCGATATGAGCTTTAAAGTAGTTTTTTCCAATTCTGTGAAGAAAGTCATTGGTAGCTTGATGGGGATGGCATTGAATCTATAAATTACCTTGGGCAGTATGGCCATTTTCACAATATTGATTCTTCCTGTCCATGAGCGTGGAATGTTCTTCCATTTGTTTGTGTCCTCTTTTATTTCGTTGAGCAGTGGTTTGTCATTATCCTTGAAGAGGTCCTTCACATCCCTTGTAAGTTGGATTCCTAGGTATTTTATTCTCTTTGAAGCAATTGTGAATGGGAGTTCACTCATGATTTGGCTCTCTGTTTGTCTGTTATTGGTGTATAAGAATGCTTGTGATTTTTGCACATTGATTTTGTATCCTGAGACTTTGCTGAAGTTGCTTATTGGCTTATGGAGATTTTGCCCTGAGATGATGGAGTTTTCTAAATATACAATCATGTCTTCTGCAAACAGGGACAATGTGACTTCCTCTTTTCCTAATTGAACACCCTTTATATCCTTCTCCTGCCTGATTGCCCTGTCCAGAACTTTCCAACACTATGTTGAATAGGAGTGGTTAGAGAGGGCATCCCTGTCTTGTGCCAGTTTTCAAAGGGAATGCTTCCAGTTTTTGCCCATTCAGTATGATATTGGCTGTGGGTTTGTCATAAATAGCTCTTATTATTTTGAGATACATCCCATCAATACCTAATTTATTGAGAGTTTTTAGCATGAAGGGCTGTTTTATTTTGTCAAAGGCCTTTTCTGCATCTATTGAGATAATCATGTGGTTTTTGTCATTGGTTCTGTTTATGTGATGGATTATGTTTATTGATTTGCATATGTTGAACCAGCCTTGCATCCCAGGGATGAAGCCCACTTGATCATGGTGGATAAGCTTTTTGATGTGCTGCTGGATTCAGTTTGCCATTATTTTATTGAGGATTTTTACATCGATGTTCATCAGGGATATTGGTCTAAAATTCTTTTTTTCTTTTGTTATGTCTCCGCCAGTCTTTCATATCAGGATGATGCTGGCCTCATAAAATGAGCTAGGTAGGTAGGATTCCTTCTTTTTCTGTTGATTGGAATAGTTTCAGAAGGAATGGTGCCAGCTCCTCTTTGTACCTCTGGTAGAATTCAGCTGTGAATTCTGGTCCTGGACTTTTTTTGGTTAGTAGGGTCTTAATTATTGCCTCAATTTCAGAGCCTGTTGTTGTTCTATTCAGGGATTCAACACCCTCCTGGTTTAGTCATGGGAGGGTGTATGTGTCCAGGAATTTATCCATTTCTTCTAGATTTTCTAGTTTATTTGTGTAGAGGTGCTTATAATATCCTCTGTTGGTAGTTTGTATCTCTGTGGGATCGGTGGTGATATCCCCTTTATCATTTTTTATTGTGTCTATTTGATTCTTCTCTCTTTTCATCTTTATTGGTCTTGCTAGTGGTCTATTAATTTTGTTGGTCTTTTCAGAAAACCAGCTCCTGGATTCATTGATTTTTTGAAGGGTTTTTTGGTGTCTCTATCTCCTTCAGTTCTGCTCTGATCTTAGTTATTTCTTGACTTCTGCTAGCTTTTGAATGTGTTTGCTCTTGCTTCCCTAGTTCTTTTAATTGTGTTGTTAGGGTGCCAAAGTTGAAATGAAGGAAAAAATGTTAAGGGCAGCCAGAGAGGAAGGTCGGGTTTCCCACAAAGGGAAGCCCATCAGACTAACAGTGGATCTCTCGGCAGAAACTCTACAAGCCAGAAGAGAGTGGGGGCCAATATTCAACATTCTTAAAGAAAAGAATTTTCAACCCAGAATTTCATATCCAGCCAAACTAAGCTTCATAAGTGAAGGAGAAATAAAATCCTTTACAGACAAGCAAATGCTGAGAGATTTTGTCACCACCAGGCCTGCCTTACAAGAGCTCCTGAAGGAAGCACTAAATATGGAAAGGAACAACTGGTACCAGCCACTGCAAAAACATGCTAAATCGTAAAGACCATTGATGCTAGGAAGAAACTGCATCAACTAATGAACAAATAACCAGCTAACATCATAATGACAGGATCAAATTCGCACATAACAATATTAACCTCAAATGTAAATGGGCTAAATACTCCAATTAAAAGACACAGACTGGCAAATTGGATAAAGAGTCAAGACCCATCAGTGTGCTGTATTCAGGAGACCCATCTCACATGCAGAGACACATATAAGCTCAAAATAAAGGGATGGAGGAAGATCTACCAAGCAAATGGAAAATAAAAAAAAAAAGCAGGGGTTGCAATCCTAGTCTCTGATAAAACAGACTTTAAACGAACAAAGATCAGAAGAGACAAAGAAGGCCATTACATAATGGTAAAGGGATCAATTCAACAAGAAGAGCTAACTATCCTAAATATATATGCACCCAATACAGGAGCATCCAGATTCATAAAGCAAGTCCTGAGTGACCTACAAAGAGACTTAGACTCCCACACAATAATAATGGGAGACTTTAACACCACACTGTCAACATTAGACACATCCATGAGACAGGAAGTTAACAAAGATATCCAGGAATTGAACTCGGCTCTGCAGCAAGTGGACCTAATAGGCATCTACAGAACTCTCCACCCCAAATCAACAGCATATACATTCTTCTCAGCACCACATCGCCCTTATTCCAAAATTGACCACATAGTTGGAAATAAAGCACTCCTCAGCAAATGTAAAAGAATAGAAATTATAACAAACTGTCTCTCAGACCACAGTGCAATCAAACTAGAACTCAGGATTAAGAAACTCACTCAAAACCGCTCAACTACATGGAAACTGAACAACCTGCTCCTGAATGACTACTGGGTACATAAGGAAATGACAGCAGAAATAAAGATGTTCTTTGAAACCAATGAGAACAAAGACATAACATACCAGAATCTCTGGGACACATTTAAAGCAGTGCGTAGAGGGAAATTTATAGCACTAAATGCCCACAAGAGAAACAAGGAAAGATCTAAAATAGTATACATTTTCATATCAAACCAAGGGAATTACACTTACTGAATTATCAAACTTTTAAAACATTTTTCCTTTGATAGATTCAGATTTCTTTCCAGATATAAAAAATCAGTACTCATGGTATGTTAATTTTTATAATGTTATATTTTGTATTTAAGCAAGAACTCAAAATACATATGGCACACATGGGTATGAGCTGGTGATTTTCTGTCTTTTCCTGATCCTTGCTTGGAATGTCTTAGAGTGGTTTCAATCAACAATTTTCAAACTTTGGCAAGCACCAGAATCATCTGGAGGACTTCTTAAAACTGACAATTGGGCCCTGCCCCCAGAGTTTCTGATTTAGTGGCATTTCTAACAAATCCTCTGGTGATGTTGATGCCACTGGTCTAAGAATATCACCTTAAGAACCACTGGTGTGTATGGTTTTCCGTGTGTTATGAATTCAGCACTACCTGCATCAAAAGAGAAAGAAATACCACCACCTCTGCCACCTTGGAGTGCACTGGGAAACTTGAAGACATTGAGCATCACAAAAGCGACATTTATTCTTGGTGGGAAATAAAAGTGAACAGCAGAACCTAGACAACTTTTTTTTAAAATAAATTCCTCTCATTGCTTTGTATTTCTGCGGGCTGAAATAGAGACCGAGCTATCTCAGGCTGAGCTTTGCCATAAAACATTTTTACTTATTCTTCCTATTTTTTTTGTGACATTCTTTTTTTTTTCACAAGAAGCTTAATTTCTCAGAACCCTCGGCTATATTCACAGAATTATTTTTTATTATCAGCTCATTATTTTACTATCTCCTAATTTACAAATGCTAGTTAAAATTACAAAAAAAGTATTTATTTAAAAATATTACGAACATATGTTAAACGTTGTAAAATTCAAAAGGTTCTCAAGAAACAAAATTTTTGGTCCGGGTAATATGATATTCTCAGGTTTACTAAAACCATCACAAACAAGCTACTAGTCCAGTATTTTAAACATAAAAATTTACATAAACCTATAACTGCTATTTTCATTCTTTGATAATTGCACTATCACCACAAAGAAATAAACACCTACTATTCACGAAAATAAATTCACAAAAATATTTTCTCCCTGTTGTAAATAGAAACATCAAATAATTAGTTTTCTAAAATGAAAATTGTCAAGTTTCCTAGGGCTTTGTTCTACACATAAGAATCCTTTGTTTTCAACGCAGGCCATTTCCTTTGCTCTAATTCTGGGATTATTGATATGAGAGTTTGTCCAGGAGGTAGCAGGAAGCTGGGCCCTGTGGTTGTACTGCAGAAGCAGTTAAGAAAGGAAAACTAGCAGAGGTATTTTTCAATGAAGGGGCAATCAATAAAAGACTCTGAGAGCAAGGAACAGAAATTTAAGTGGATTCTGATAAGCACTGGATGAGAGTCTCCAGAAGTGGACAGGTATTGAACTTGTTCCAGTACGTTTTTTTTTTTAATTTTATTTTTTTGTTCTTGTTTCCAGGATGTTCTTACTATTCCAATTTCCCTTTTGGCTAAGTATAATTGATTAATTTTTTTGGTCCATTCCCAATCTTATTGTAATACCTGTCAGGAGAATGAATATATAATACTATTCTTTTCTCATTACCATCTTAATATTGTCACTAGAAATAACTAACGTGCCATTCTGTACTATTAAGAGATTTGTTACATGAACGATAAAGAACTAACCTTCCTTATCTCATTCTATAGTCCCATTTTCCATGCAAAGGAGCTGGTTCAGATAAAAATTAGCTTCGTGCTCAGGTTAAATTCATTCTGTGAAGTGATAGTAGTTCAAATGCATTATAGGAGGATTCTCCTGTTCTAAGTTCTGATGTGGGAGGATTTGTCTAATGTTAAAAAAAATGCATATGAAATATAAATGGTAATTTCAATGCATTTAAAAGAATAAAATAGGCCTTGTTATGCAAGCCTTCTTTTGTATATAATATGAAATGAGAAAAATGGAATATCTTCACCATAAATTAAAGTTAGAATCATTGGGAAGTTCTATCTATGAATATGTGTGTGCATGCATGCTTGCACATGTATTTCATATCCTTTACAAAATTACAGATCTTCTAGATTTAGGTAACCATGATAAGGTCATGTTAAAAGAATATATCATTACCTATTATAGATCCTACTCTTTACATAAAAAATAAGCATAGAAATGTGAGGATTTTTGAAGATAACTTCTAAAAAATGTTTAAAAGACATATGGCTTACCTGAAGAATCTTCTTTGACTGAAAACAAAAAGGGGGGTGGGAATCCATATATATATATATATACACACACACATGTGTATATATACATATATACACACGTATATATATACACACGTGTATATGTGTGCATACACATGTGTATATGTGTGTATGCACACATATATGTGTGTGTATATATGTGTATGTATACACGTGTGTGTGTGTGTATATATCAGCAAGCAGATCTCAGCAGATATTTATTAAACACACTTGAGGTGAACCACTCAGTAGAAGTAAGGCCAGCAGAACACTGCTGTGTGTTTGGAGCAGTTCAAAGGTGCTTCCAGATAGATCTTTTGGAAAAGGATTTCTCTGTGTGTGTGTGTGTGTGTGTGTGTGTGTCTTTATCTATGTGTTTATTGGTACTTTCAAGGAACAACAAGGGCATTCATAAATTGACTGTTTAGTAGAGGCCACAGTGTATTTCAGTCATGACACACGTATGGTCTGCTTTCTCTTTACAAACTACGTGAGGTAAGATTTTATTCTCTTATTTTACAGATAAGGAAAAGGGCTCGGGGAGGTTAAGAAAAATCCTCAATGTCACACAGTTACTAAGTAGCAGAGGCATAATTAAAACCTATTTCAATTTAGCTCCAAAGTCAGTGTATTTTCTCCTCAGAATGCAGAAAGCCTTCTAAGAGAGAATTATGATTCTCCATGCCATGTAAAATAACTGATTATAGACAAATAAAAATTTGTGTTTTCCTAACTACAAGTACATAGGTGTATTTTCTTAGATTGTAGCTTGTTACGATTTTGAAATTATAATTATTACATATCAAATATCCTAAGTGTATAGCACTTACTACAATATACATGAATAGATGCTTTGATAGTGTTGCTGCTACTGTTAATAGTTAACGCTAATTCAATAAAGGCACATTCACTTTTGTGAGCTTTTGGTGAATTAGGGTTTTTAAAGAAACTAAGCAGAGCAGGTAACTACGTCCTATAAAACCCTAATCTAACAACAGTCTGGGGTTACTGTGTAGGTTTTCATAATTACTGGGAGGTTTGTGTGGGCACTGGATATAGACTTTAATGACTCTAAGATAATAGATAATGCTTCTTAGTATAAAGAACTAAGTTAATTCAACAGCCATTAGGAGAAACTAAAATTTCCAACCAGATCTAGGCCCGATGATATTGAGTTATCTGGGTGTTTCAGCATCAAACTTCAGGGCCACCAACCTTGATTTTTAGTTCATTATGGAAACTAGTGCCCAATTAAAATATTCCTTGGCAAGCAACTTTCTGGAGTTAGGCAGACTAATTACTGTAGGGAATGAGGAGAAAGTCATGCTCTAAATCATACTGTCTGACCTCAGAAGGAGGAGCAGTTTAGTGCCAAGAATACAGCTATAGAGCGTAGTAAATAAAAAGGAATAAAATTTGCAGATATTAAATCATACCTACCTGAAAGGGCACTGAATAATATTATACATCATTCTTGGGTTTATTTGATAGCCATTTGGAAGTTGAATGTGCATGAAATGTTTTACAAATTTATAATTTACAAATTACAAAATGTAAAACATTTAAGAGGTTTTACAATTTGTGCCTACAACATTTAAGTTATTAACCTATTAGTATTTTAAAGTTACTGTTGTATTGAAACTGGTGTTACTATTATCATATTTATCATATAATACCAAATAATGAACTGTAATATATCATGTAACAACTGCTTTGAATTATTTTTCAACTAATGAAGGTGAATTTGGTGTGCTGTCCTTGATTTTTTAAAATTTTTATCCACTGTATTTTATTGTTATAGTCACATGCAAGAAATAAGCAAGGGGAACACAACATTTTCTTGAGCATAAGAAGGGTGACATCCTCTGACATATTTTTAAATAACTTACACCTTGAGAAGGAACCTACATATAACAGTAATTCTTATTGTTCCTAAATAATAATCTCAGTAGATGTGTAACCTCTTCCTGAAAGTTTGACCTGCTTCCCATTTCAGCTAGAAAAAATGAGTGATGTCATCACACATCACATGAAAATCTAAATGATTGTAATGTATAACACATACACATGTGCTCACACATAAATACACAGAAATAAGCCTCAGCAGAATTTTATAAAGAGAGAAAGGACTTCGGTTTGCTTTTCTACTCTAGAAACAAGCATGCTGACTCCTATAGACAGGTGGATTCCATTTAATCGAGTCTTTTCAGATGGTAACAGCTAGATATTCTTTAAGAAGTGTGTAAAGATGAAAAAAGGGAGATTTTTTGCAAAGACTAAAACCCAATTCAAAAAAATAGAATTTTACAAATATCTACCCATAAATAAAAGTAAAATGGATATATATTTCTTTTTAATGTCAACTTGCTGACTTTGCTTAAGAAAAAATGATAAACCTTAAACCACATGGCTTACAAACTGCTGAACTTTTAGATTGTATCCTATGTTGTTTTTGTTCCAGTCATCTACTTTGCTGGGATGACTTCTTGCTTTAGGACTGTATTACTAAATCATATGTATGTATGTATGTATTACTTATGTACTTGCTAAAAGTACATCTTACTTGTTTTCAAGTAATGAGTCTTAATTAATTTATGCTCATGCATGATTTTGCTCCTTTCTAATAAGCTCTGCAGGATGCTGGCCATAGTTGAGAGATGTTTCAGCTCTTGCTCTCTTTGGCAACTGTATTATTTATGCTCAACATATATTTGATTTACATTGGTGATGATGTAGAATTTTGAACCCCTTTTCGTACAAAGAGTTGCTGCCTATTTAAGATGCAAACAAAAAATTGATCCTCCATCTTTTTACCATTGTGAGATTGCTTCTTTAGCATTATTAAATATTTCCTTGGCAGTCACAATTCTGACATGACTCAGGACATTATTTCTTTAACACTTTCCACCCGTTATTGTGAAACATCCATTGTCCTGTGGCTGAAGGCCCTTTATGTTTAGTGAGACTTGAGGCTTCATGGTCAGAGCTGTATAAAGAAGAATTTGAAAGTTTGTAGAATTTTTGTGGTAGTTCTTCTTTTTGAGTGATGAAGGACCATCTGTGATCTTTACAGCAGCACTGTTCAATAGAACTTTCTGGGATGATGAAATTGTTCTATATTTGTGCTGTCCAGGATGGTAGCCACCAGCCACATTTGCTATTGAGCACCTGAAGTGTCACTTGTTTTATTTAATTTAATTAACCTAAGTATGATTTAAATAGACAGTTATGGCTAGGGGCTGCAATATTCAATAATGCAGCCTTAGAGGATAACCAGAAAATTTGTCCAGAAATTTGTTTTGGAATCTATCTGTGTAGCTCTATTTAATATTGGGATTTGTATTACTGATTTTTAGCCATAGTATGGTGATAATGACTGAGAGAAAATATCTGTCTATCTATCTCTATCTCTATCTATCTATCTATCTATCTATCTATCTATCTATCTATCTATCTGTTTGTGTGAGTGTGTGTGTGTAATTACCTTTCAAGGAGCTATCGGTAGTGATAGAGAGATGAAAGAGAATTTCTGTATATAAAATGTGTTCATCAGTAGGTTGATATTTGGAAGACAAAAATCAAGGAGATTCTTTTACTACATGAGAACTTGTACCTGAGTTTCCCTAACCCTTAGAACTTCTGGTATCCTACAAATATAATTGTATTTTCAGAATCTGGCATTTAACCTTTTGAATGGATTAGATGACACGTGGTAATACACTGGCTGCATTTAAAACAAGTAAATGGAAGACATTGTGCTGAGTGAAATAAGCCAAGTACAGAAAGACAAATACTGCATGATCTCACTTACACAGGGAATCAAGAAAAGCTGAACTCATAAAAGCAGATAGTAGGATGGTGGTTGTCAGAGGTTGGAGGTGAAAGCAAAATGGGAGATGTTGGTTAAAGGGTACCAGGTTTCAGTTAGATACAATATGTTCTAGAGAGTTATTGTACAGAATGGTGATTATGGTTAATAACAATATACTATTATATACTCAAAAATCACTAAGAGTACATTTTAAATGTTCTCACCACAAAAAAGTAACTATGTGAGGTGATGGAGATGTTAATTAGTTGATTGTGGTAATCATTTCACAAGGTATACATATATCAAAACATCATATCGTGCACCATAAATCTATGCAATGTTGCATGTCAATTATACCTCAATAAAGAGAAAGATTAAACGCATTTGATGATATAATGCTCTGGACTCAGCACTGTACTTCACTAAAATTATTAAATCAACTTTTGGATTTGGATACCAAATCCAAACAGGTTGCAGCAATATAGTGCCATTATTTGAATGTTGGGAAAATTCTGTCTTTGTGGCACTTGACATATGGAAAATGATAGTCATTATGAACTGTGAAAATCCTTTGGTTCATAATAGGTACGTAGTAAAAATTTATTGAATGTTATCATATCATGTCTACTAGAAAGAATGTTCAAATTATTCACCACTACACTAGTCCCCCTTTATCCAGAAGGGATACATTCCAAGACCCCCAGTGGATGCCTGAAGCCGTGGATAGTGCCAACCCTATATATAATATGATTTTCCTATATGGATATTCCTATGATAAAGTTTAATTTATAAATCAGGCACAGTAAGAGATTAACAACAACTACTAAAATAGACCAAAACAGACAAAAATATGTTGTAATAAAGACTAAGTGAAAGTGGTCTCTCTCTCTCTTGTATGTGCTCTCTCTCACACACAATATCTTAGTATATTGTACTAACTTACTTACAGACTGCAGTGGACTGTGGGTAACTGAAATCATGGAAAACAAAACTGTGGATAAGGGGGAACTACTGTATATTTATTGGTGAATATGATTTTTTTCCATTGAGTTAGAAAATTTTTGTTTTACTTGGCCCTAATAACTTTTCTTCTCTTTAGAAATTTTTGTTGGTTACCATAATAATGCCATATGTGATTATAAAAGATTAAAAACAAAGAAAAGGAGTAATTTAAAATATTTGTTAAATATTTTAAAATATACTCATTTTTTACTGTTAAAAATCCTAATAAACTGAAGATAACATAGAAACATTCCCTATAAAATCAAAAATAAAATACATGTTTATTTTTACCATTCTTGTTACTTTTTCTGGAGGTGGTAAAAATACAATGAAATAGGAAACAAAAATATTAGCTAGTAGATTAATATAAAAAGATGAACAAGTTGCCTTTTGCATACAAAATAACATTTTCTGTAGGGAATCTTAGAAAACAAACTGAAAATACGAGCAATTTTGGCCCAGTGGGCTGGCTCACGCATGTCATTTCAGCATTCCGGGAGGCTGAGGCCGGGGGATCACCACCAGGTCAGGAGATGGAGACCATCCTGGCCAACATGGTGAAACTCCATCTCTACTAAAGATACAAAAATAAGTTGGGCATAGTTCTGTGTGCCTGTAGTCCCAGCTACTCGAGAGGCTGAGGCAGGAGAATCACTTAAACCTGGGGGTCGGAGGTTGCAGTGAGCCGAGATCGCGCCACCGCACTCCAACCTGGCCACAGAGCAAGATTCCGTCTCAAAAAAAAAAAAAAAAAACTAGCAATTTTTACAATTTAATAAATTTAGCATGTGGCAGCAACTGTAAAATATTTATAGAGATTGCAAATGCTGGAATTAGACTGGCTGTTTCATAATACCACAAAGATATATAACTTTGGATAAGTCACTTATATTCCTTATGCTTCACTCCCTTGAGCTATCAAATTAAAGTAATAATAGTATTTACCTTATAGAGGTCTGTATATTAAATGATGTGATTCATGTAAATTAGCAAAGCATGTGGCACTTACTAAATATTAATAAATGCTAATTTGCTAGTAAGTTAATTATCATTGTTGTTGCTGCTTAGTAAATATAACAAGGGAAAATTATTTCACTTATAGTAACAAAAATAAGAAAAAAATGAAAGTGTGACAGCATTAATTCAAAAGATAGTGGCAATAAATTGGGAATTTTAAGGCTCTTCTTTTTTTTACTAGACATGAAAAAAGACTATAGATTGTAGAATGAAGTATATTGGAAAACATTTAGCAAGAATTTTCTTAAAAGAGGTATAAATAATGCACCAAGCATAAATATAAAATGGAATAATAAAAAATACTAAATAAAAAAGGCAGATAAAGAGGAGTAAAAGGAACATAGGATGGTTGGACACAATAAAATAATTTTAAAAGGGTAGATTTAAATGTAACAATATTAATAATTACTTTAAATGCAAATTAACTAGGCAATTAAACAGCTGAGCTTGTCAACCTGTATAAAATGCAAGACCTAACTATGAGATGTCTAAGAGAAAACCACTTTAAATATAAAGATGTAGGCAAGTTAAAAGTAAATATATGATGAAAGATATATGATGTGATGATTACTAAAAATAAAGCTATAATGGCTATATTAATAAAATACAAATTAAAATTTAGAACATAAAATATTAACAGAAATAAAAAAGGATATCAAATACGAAAACTGTGGTCGAAATAGCAAAGAAAACATGAAGATGCTAAATGTATTTCTACCTAAGAGGGTTTCCCCACGCAAGAACAAACAAAAAATAAACTGGTCAACTGAAAACAGAAATACACAAATTCACAAGTATACTTAGAGACTTCAAAATTTCTCTGTTAATAATCAATAGAATAGGGAGCAAAACATACCAATCAAGATAATTCTAACATCCCTGCCATATTCGAGTCTGGTTCTAATGTTTGCTTGCTTGCTTCCAACTGTGGGTTTTATTTATTTTTTTATTTATTTTTTGCCTTTTAGTATACCTTATAATTTTTGTTGTTGTTGAAAGCTTGATATGATGTACTGCACAAAAGGAAGTGAGTTACTTAGGTCTCTAAGTAATACGTTGATAAGATGTGGGTGAGGAGAAACATTCTATAGTTGTATGATTTAGTCTCAGTCTTTTAGTGAGCCTGTGCCCTGGGCTGTGATCTTCACAGGTGGTTCACCTTAGGTGAGACAAGAAGGATTAGATGGGGATGGAGTTTGGTATTTTCCTGTCCCACATGGAAGGCTAGATGGGGCTGAAGTTGACTACCTTCCCCTATGCAGAAGTTGCTCCTTGTTACTTCTTCAAACCAAAGTGAAATTTAGGGCTTTGTACAGGCATTACTATGTCTATTCTCAGGTTTTCTAACAGTAAGGTGAAGGGTGTGATTTGATGAGGTGATCAGAGTTATAAGAAAGGAGCTAGAGAATGGGATTCTTGTTATATTTTGTAATTTATTGTCTTTGTCTAATTCAAAGATGCAAACTCTCAGCAAAGAGTTTATGGTACAACTTTTATATTCTCATAAACTAAATATTGGCCATGAGTTTGAACTACGTCTAGGTATTGACTTTCTTTTATATATTAGCATGCCATTTGGGATATTTTATAATTGTTTGTAATTATGTGCCACAGTTACATAGGCAAATAATTTTCTCGTTGTTTTCAAAGTGCTTGATTCGCTGTAAAAAAAGTTGTTTTGCTTTTTTGTTTTGCAAAAACAAAAAAACATATGTATATGTAGTATACATATGTTTATTGACATATGTATACTACATATGTCAATAAACTGACCTAGAGCAAGAAGAAACTAAGATAATCTGGGGGTGATGAATGTTTTCTAGTTTAATTAGTCAATAAGAAAAGCAACTTACACCTACTACATACAAAGCATTGTGCCGTGTGAGAAAGACACATACAGTAATTTGTTTCAGCATATCACATTTTGGAAGTATATCATTTGCCAGGTAGTAAGTGCTGGAGATTCAGGGTAAGTACGATGTAGATTCAGCTTTGGGAGCTTTTAGTATATTGAGAGAAATAGACACACAAAAAGTTCCTTAAATTGTCATAAGTGAAAGAAAAGACTTGAATAAAGGCATTAAGGAAGCACAGAGGAGGGCTATTTATTCCAGAATATTGTTCCAAAAGTGCTAATGATCTAGATAGAAAATAGCTAAAGCACTAAAAATGCAACATTGATGATAATGACAATAAATTCTATTTGTTCCTAACTTAATTTGCAGATCTAATATTTCTCCTAAAAATAAAAGAATTTTTTTTCATTTTATCAACAAGGAGATTAAAGAACAGAAATGGTATGTGTCTTGCTTAATAGAATAGAAATATTATATGGCAAACTAGAGACTGCAAATGCAATAATCAGACTTACTACTCAAACATACCTGGCATAATTTGTTCATGTTACCCTTGATAGACTAGATGTCCTAGTGAAGTCATCTGTGGCAAAAGACACATCTCTGTTCATTTGGATTGGTTTAGTATCATTTGGTCTTTCTGGGACTACTTGCTTTATGAATAAGTACTCCCACATCGAAGGAGAGTGTACCTGTTCTGCAACCACCTGCACAAAAGCAGACATATTTTGTTTTTATTTCATTCTAAGAAGACTGCCTTTATCCAGAGAAACTTTTTTTTCATCTCTGATAGGCGGATCATGAGGTCAAGAGATCAAGACCATCCCACGAAAAATACAAAAATTAGCTGGATGTGGTGGTGCGTGCCTGTAGTCCCAGCTACTCGGGAGGCTGAGGCAGGGGAATCACTTGAATCCGGGAGGCGGAGGTTGCAGTGAACCGAGATTGCACTACAGAACTCCAGCCTGGTGAGAGAGTGAGACTGTCAAAACAAACAAACAAATAAAAATGATGTAACAGAGAAAGTCCAGCTCTCAAAAGTGCACCAATGAAATCTGCCTTCCATTTCTGTTGCCTCTTTGTAGTCAGTTTCACCAATAAATGGTTTCTATGCCTCTATTCTGGTTTCCTTTATTCCCTGTTTTGTGTGAGGCATCCCTTGATCAAAGAATAGGAAAACCTATGATTTCTAGCTGCTGTTTTTGTTTCTCCCCTACTCGTGAGATTGACCATAAACATTATTAATCATTATTCTATCTATTGATTTCTATGGTTCAGCCATTGATTTCATAGGCAAGAAACATTGGCTCATGTGTTGTTCAGGAAGTAACAGATTTCAGCAACTGAAATAGGACATATTCTTAAAACTGCACAGCAGGTCTCATACTTTTCTTCTTTGTCACAGCAGAGAAAAGTTTGGAGCAGAACTAACATAAGTCATAAGACTCAAGGAAGTAGCCCAGTCTTGATCATCTTTACACTTAGGACTGATTTGATGTTGAATTTCAACCTTTCGTTTAAGCTAATAGCTACCCTCTAGCCCCACCACTCAAGAATAGAAAAGTGATTTTTTTCATTTCCATAAATTTTCTAAGGGACAAAACTGGTCCACGCGATTTTGGGTGGAGGGAAATGACCCTTTTCTCTGTTAACTGCAAGCCAGTACGCAGGAGCTGCATACCCCTGGGAAACTTTGCATTAGTCATGAATGGAGACAAGAGTAAAACTTCACCCTCCAGCTAGCTACCAAGAAGCAAATCGTGTGCTCCATTGGACAAGAACCTCCTGACTCACACGTCCTGATGTGTCTTAGTGGGTAAGCTGAATATCTGCTCTAGTACATACCTACTATCTCTAGTAGTATCTATTCCATTTTTCTCCTGAGAACCTGGGCAAACCTCCTGATTACGGTCGTCAAACACTTTCTATGTCTTAGGAAGAAACATGTTAGAGATCTCTGACACATAAGCTGTGTGGAAATCCTATGGATTCCAGCCTGTTGACTTGTAAATTAGTAAGTGCTGAGATTATATCCAAGTCTGAGAAGTTACTGGAAGGCATGAAATGCAGTTCGTAGTTCAAACCAAGCATAGCTTGGTGTTGGTGACTTTCTTGTCTTGAATGTCATGGCATGACTTTTAATAATATTCAAGATTAATCAAAAATTTTCTGTAAATCTGTGTAGAGATTATCAAACAGGTTGTTTTATTGAATTGCTTGAATGACTCAGTCCAAACACTCAGTTTGAATGTTTTGTGTTGATACAATCCCATTTGAAGATATATGAAGATTTCATATAAAGGCTGCACCATTTTATTTCTTTTCTATATATATATATATATTTTATTATACTTTAAGTTCTAGGGTACATGTGCACAACGTGCAGGTTTGTTACATATGTATACATGTGCCATGTTGGTGTGCTGCACCCATTAACTCACCATTTACATTAGGTATATCTCCTAATGCTATCCCTCCCTCCTTCCCCTGACCCACAACAGGCCCCGGTGTGTGATGTTCCCCTTCCTGTGTCCAAGTGTTCTCATTGTTCAATTCCCACCTATGAGTGAGAACATGCGGTGTTTGGATTTTTGTCCTTGCGATTGTTTGCTGAGAATGACGGTTTCCAGCTTCATCCATGTCCCTACAAAGGACATGAACTCATCCTTTTTATGGCTACATAGTATTCCATGGTGTATATGTGCCACATTTTCTTAATCCAGTCTATCATTGTTGGACATTTGGGTTGGTTCCAAGTCTTTGCTATTGTGAGTAGTGCTGCAATAAACATACGTGTGCATGTTTCTTTATAGCAGCATGATTTATATTCCTTTGGGTATATACCCAGTAATGGGATTGCTGGATCAAATAGTATTTCTGGTTCTAGAACCCTGAGGAATCGCCACACTGTCTTCCACAATGGTTGAACTAGTTTACACTCCCACTGACAGTGTAAAAGTGTTTCTATTTCCCCGCATCCTCTCCAGTATCTGTTGTTTCCTGACTTTTTAATGATCGCCATTCTAACTGGCATGAGATGATATCTCATTGTGGTTTTGATTTGCATTTCTCTGATGGCCAGTGATGATGAGCATTTTTTCATGTGTCTGTTGGCTGCATAAATGTCTTCTTTTGAGAAGTGTCTGTTCATATCCTTCGCCCACTTGTTGATGGGGTTGTTTTTGTCTTGTAAATTTGTTTGAGTTCTTTGTAGTTTCTGGATATTAGCCCTTTGTCAGATGAGTAAATTGCAAAAATTTTCTCCCATTCTGTAGGTTGCCTGTTCACTCTGATGGTAGTTTCTTTTGCTGGGCTGCACCATTTTATTTCTAATGGAGCAATGGTAAATGTACTCAACTTAGAGCCAAATCCAAATTACCTGTAAGTGCACATGAAAATCAATATTTAAACTGCTTTTAACTTTTATTTTTTAGCATTAAAATAAATGCAAATATAGACTGTGACATTTCTACTCTGAAAATTAGATAAAATATATTTAATATTATATTATGTTCTGAATTAGAGTATTTGTGTGTGTTTAAATTTCCAAAAGGTAAAATAGAAAATAAAGAAAATTGGGTTGTATTTTCATGAGAAAGGAACAGCTGATTTGATGTTACACATATGTGGGGAAAAATATTGCCTCCTGTTTTGAACAATTTTCATGCAAAACATGAAGTTCTCATTATTTACTGAAAGTTATAAATCAAATGATAATCTAAATACATTTAACTGCTTAAGTACAGCATTTGCTATGTGAATTCTGTGATGCAATAAGACTAAATGTCAAGGCATGTAGAAGTTAACTAAGAATTCAAGTTCCTCATCATCTAACTTGTTTCCTGCAAAGTTATTTACAAGCTACATTAATTTAATCCAACTACTAGCATACCATTTGAAAACACTGGCTGAACTTCAAGTGTATTACGGAAATGAATATAATCCTTTTTTTTATAGAAATCTGGTACATAAGTGGGTTAGTCAAATAAGGTAATATTTAATTTACCTTGTATCATGACCCTTTTTGATAATCTGATCCTCTTCACAAGGGGAGAAAAACATGCATATATGTCATTTTGCATCTAATTTCAAGATGTTCAAAGGTCCCTGAAACTCTTGGCTCCAGGTTAAGAGCTCTTAATCAAATGAATAGGACACTTGATTATAAACAGCAATCTTAGATTCTTACCTGACTTTAATGTTGATGAAGTTGTGGCCTTGAGTAAATTATGTATTTTTCTGCATTAAATCTTCATCTATAAACATGATTGCTACTAATAGTAATAATTTACTCTTTAATATAAAGGATAATTTTTGGCTATCTGGAGGCGTATCACCATAGAACTCCAAGATACTATTGCTATTGAAGATGATGTGTATGATGTACGGCCCAGATGCTGTGTACAATAATAATACCAATTTCATGTATTTACATACATATTTGTTTTCCTTTTTTCTATATTAGAAGGATAAGACTCAAACTAATTCGTTTTTCAGGGCTTTCCATTTTTACTGAGGGCTCCCTATGACAACCTCATTTTAAAAACACACTATTTTGAAATATAATTGAAATATAAGGATTTAATAGCATGCCCACTTTATTATCATTAATTGCTTCCCAATTCTTGGTTTTAGACTGAAAAAATACTGTAGGGTTTTCAATAAATTGACCTTTGGAATTTGAATCAAAGGTTTCATTTGGATCATTAAAGTGATAGACCTTGTTTAAAACTGAAATCATGTGGCTGTATTTAAGGAATTTCACATTGATGCCAGACATTGGCATGGCTTGAAATCATCTAGTTTGAAATGCAGCCCTACTGCATTTTGTCTCAATTTTCCTATCGGTATGCATCTCAGACAATGAACAGCCATGGCTTTTCATGGTTTTGTATATAATTTAACACATCCTTTACATCTTCTCATGTTGTCCAGATTCTTCAATGGAGGTGCTCTTTTGCCAAGTTCACCACCTTATCTAAGTATCTGTATTGACTAAATCAAGGCAAGTACAGATGACAATTGGACCTGTTAAAGCAATAGTCAGTCACTAAGAATGATGCAAACCAGCAAAAGTGAGTGGAAATAGATATCTTTTGTGGTAGGATGTGAATCAAGATTTGGCAAGACTAACTGGTCATTTTGGGATAATGAAGTATCAAAAATTGAAAATGGGAGGTTTGAATGCTGAAATCATTTCAATGAGCTATTAACAAATCCCAAGTGCTATAAAAATTATTGCTAGATATGAAACTGTGGTTTGAGGGTATATAGGAATGATTCATTTTTCCTTTGTGGTTCTTGAAATGCTACAGGCTCAATGGCAAACTGCCTGATTATTGTTGGACCTTTCTACATTTCATTTCAAATAAGGATAAAAAAACACAAAGACTATATTCTATAAACTTATTGTAAGTGAAAAAGTGCCAACATATACTTTTCAGTGCCATTACTACCTTGAAACATATTAATAATAGGATTCTTTTTTTTGTTAGGGGAAACAAAAGGTCAAAGATATTCTCTTATGATTTTTCCTTGATTTTTAATGTTTCTCAAACTTCAAAGTATTTACTTTTGAAACAGAGCATCTTCAGAAATAAAGGATGGTGCACCTATCTCATACTATCATTATACGGAATCACATGATTTATTAAAGAGATTATTTTGTTTAAAAGTTCAAAAATAGGAAATGGGCTTATAGCCCTAAATAATGTGCAGCCCACTCATAATTTTAAGTTAGAAGTAGACTGTGATTTTTTCCTCATAACATCGAGATTATACTTACAATAGTTACCTGTTTTATTGTTTGTTAAATGTCTATTTTCGTCTCTGGCCAGTAAGATAACTGAAAACATGATCATGTCATTTTTTTCTTATATTTTCTAGACCTTAACTCAGTGTCCATCAAGGAAGAAATCAACAAACATTGTTGACTGTTACATGAATGAATGTTTAAATTTTCAAGCTTTTAAGGCAAAGTTCCATAGTACTAAAAATAAATGTAGTCTTCTTAAAAAGTATATTAAAAATTAGTTAATAATATGGATTAAATTTGCCCTTCTCAACAGTTCTGACGCTATACTCTTAACATAGAATTAAGATGTATTCAATCTATGAGATTTTCTTTTTAGAGGGCCTTGGCCCTTTTTAAACTATGCTCCTGGTCTATAGGAAAGTATGTAAGTGACCCATTGAAAAGTAGGCCTTTGCAGAAAATCAGTATTCATTAGATGTTCCTTATAAAGACTCCACTTTTACAGATAACCAGCTTGCTTTTGAAAGAACTGTTTCTGATGTTCTGCTTCAAGATTTTCAGCATTCAGTATTCTTTAATGTCATGTTTTTTACACATAGATACTGATTTCACTACGTGTTGTCTTCTGTTTCTTGGGCTTTCTTTTCCCTTCCATTAATTTTTTTTCAACTGCCCATTGGCTTAATTTATAAAGGCTCCTCATAAGTGTGTGTAGATATACGTGTTTATACACGTATATATACACGTATATATACACGTATATATACACATATATACACATATATACACGTATATATATACACTATATATATACATATATACATGTATATATATACATATACACGTATATATACACGTATATATATACATATACACGTACATATATACACATACACGTATATATATACACATACACACACACACACACACACACACACACACACACACACATATATATATATATATATTTGTCCCTTGATTTTTCTCACATAGCAAGCATAATACAGGACCACTCCACTCCACCTGGGTATGAGCCCCAGGTGGTACAAACTTTTAGTTCACACACTTATTTTATTTTATTTATTTTATTTATTTGTTCATTTATGTATTTATTATACTTTAAGTTCTAGGGTACATGTGCACAATGTGCAGATTTGTTACATATGTATACATGTGCCATGTTGGTTTGCTGCACCCATCAACTCGTCATTTATATTAGGTATTTCTCCTAACGCTATCCCTCCCCTTCCCCCCACCCCACAGCAAGCCCCAGTCTGTGATGTTCCCTGCTCTGTGTCCAAGTGTTCTCATTGTTCAATTCCCACCTGTGAGTGAGAATATGCTGTGTTTGCTTTTCTGTCCTTGCGGTAGTTTGCTCAGAATTATGGTTTCCAGCTTCATTCATGTCCCTACAAAGGACATGAACTTATCCTTTTTTAGGGCTGCACACTTTTTAAACTTCTTTTTGCAATCTGGGCAGTGACCTCAATTTTCTTGAAACCCCTTTAAATGTACTTTCCCCATTTAGTCCAGTGAGAACGATATCTTGATTTCTTCTCTTTTTTCCAAAGAGATCATGCAAATCCATCTTAATTTTAAAACATGTTACAGTATAATAAGCATAATGAACATAAAAATGTTCACAAGTGGGCCCGATAAAGACAGGGAATTTTTCTTTTCCTGTGGTTTTTACACAATTATAAGAACAATGTTATTTTATGAGTTAAAATTCTTAAGAGCATAAAGACTGAAGATGAAGTAGTAATTGCCAACTAGTAAGTGATAGATTAAAAGCATATGAGTGTTTCTAAAGTGCCTCAATGTATAAAATAATGAACTATGGTATTAGTGTAAAAAAGAAAATTGCTGAAATTATGCTATTTTAATTCTGCCTTAGAAACAGCTATCATGGTTGAATCCGGTTCAATGTTATGTTTCTTTTTCTGTCTTTAGATGAAATGACCCTTTCTTCAAAGCTTTTCAGAAGGAATAACAAAGAGGTTCATCCAACAGAAATAATCTGTGGCATTTTATTTGCAAAAGCAACAGAAAATTATGGTCTGTGGTAGTAAATAAATGCATCACACATTCCTCTGGTATATAGAAGTGTAAATCTTTCTACAAAGAGACTAATCAGAAGAGGGAGGTTCAGAAGAGTAGGGAAACCATGTCTATATGTGAGTGCACCTTTATTCTTAACTACTTTTTAGACTAATTTTTGCTTTTGTTTTTCTCTTTTGATTATAAATTGACAATGTATATACATTTATGGGGTACTGAGTGACGTTATGATTTATTAATACAATGTGGAATAATTAAATCAATCTAGTTAACATATTCATCATCTCACCTACTTAACATTTTTTGTGGTGAGAACATTTGAAATTTAATCTCAGTGATTTTGAAATTTATAATGCTCTATTATTAATTATATTCATTATGCTTGAAGTTGAACTAAAACAAACGTATTTCTTGTCTGAGATTTTGTGCATTTTGACCATCATCTCTTTATTCCTCCCACCTCCAACCTCAGCAACCAACATTCTACACTCTGCTCCTATGAGTTTGATTGTTCTAAATGCCACATTTAAATGAGAACATATGCTACATTTGTTTTTCTACAACTGGCTTATTTCACTTAATGTTCTCCAATTCCATCCATGTTGCAGCAACTAAGATAATTTCCTTCTTTTTAAAGGCTGATTAGTATTCCCTTATGCATGTATACCACATTTTCTTTCTTCCTTTATCGGTTCAGGGACACAGGTTGATTCCACAGCTTGGCTACTGTGAATAGTGCTTCAATGAACATAGGAGAGCTTACTTCTCTTTGACAAACTGATTTCAAACCCTTTGGGTAAATACCCAGAAGTGGGATTGCTGGATCATATAGTAATTCTATTTTTAGCTTTTTGAGAAATCTTCATATCGTTTTCCATAATTGCTGTACTAATTTGCATTCCCATCAACAGTGTACAGAGTTCCCTTTCCTCCAAATCCTTGCCAACATGTGTTATTTTTCATCTTTTTGATAATACCTATTCTGACAGGTATGATATCTAATTGTGTATCTAATTTGTGTTTCCCTTATGATTAGCAATGTTGAGCATTTCTTGAGAAATATCTAATCTTGTCTCTTACCCATTTTTTAATTGAGTTTTTTTTTGTTTTGTTTTGTTTTCTTGCTATTGGGTTGTTTGAGTTTTTTGTATGTTTTGGATATTAATCCCTTAGTGAATGTATGGCTTGCAAAAATTTTCTCCCAGTCTGTAGATTGTCTCTACACACTGTTGTTTCCTTTGCTGTACAGAATCTTTTTAGTTTAATGTAGTTTCATCTATTTTTGCTTTTGTTGCCTGCATTTGTGGGATCAGATCCAAAAATTCATTGCCTAGACCAATGTGATATAGTTTTTCTCCTATGTTTACTTCTAATGGTTCTACAGTTTCTGGTCGTACATTTAAGTCTTTAATCCATTTTAAGTTGACTTGTTAATATGTTGTGTGGTAAGGGTCCAATTTCGTTCTTCTGCATATGAATATTCAGCTTTCCCAATGCTATTTATTGAAGAGACTCATGTTTTCAAATCATGTGTTCTTGGCTCCTTTGTTGAAAATAAATGGACCCAACATGCGTGGGTTCATTTCTGGACTCTCTATATTCTGTTTTATTGGTCAATGTGTCTATTTGCCAGTACCATGCTGTTTTAATTACTACAGCTCTATAGTATAGTTTGAAATCAGGTAATGTGATATCTCTAGCTTTGCTCTTCTTGTTCATGATTGCTATTGCTATTTGGTTCTTTTTGGGGCTCCATATGAATTATAAAATAAATAGTTTATTCTATTTTTATGAAAAATGACATTGGAATTTTGATAGAGGTTACATTGAATCTGTATATTGTTTTCAGTAGTATGGACATTTTAACAACATTAATTCTTCTGATCCATGAACACCGGACATTTATTTGTGTCTCCTTCAATTTCTTTCATCAATATTGTATAGTTCCAGTGTACAGGCCTTTCATTTCCTTGGTTAAATTTATTCCCAAGCACTTCATTGTTTCATAGCTATTGTAAATGGAACTGTTTCTTAATTCTAGGATAGACCACACGTTAGGGCACAAAAGAAGCCTCAGCAAATTTAAGAAGGTTGAAATTATGTTAAGAATACTTTCTGAGCACAGTGATAAGAAGCTAGAAATCAATACCAGGAGGAATTCTAGAAAATTCACAAATATATGGAAATTAGACTGATTTTTGAAGGTCTAACATGTGCTTTCATCTAAAGAATCCCTTTTGATTATCAGGGTAAGCCTAAAATTGGATAAAAACACTTTATGCCCTTTGGCAGTTCTTTTAACAGTTATCTCAACTTTTTGTATTAAAGTTAATGGAAGAGCTATAATTTAAGGTAACACCCTATTTCTGATATTTTATGCAGCCAATGCAAGCAATATGCTCAAATTGCTTCATACCATAGTTTATTCTTTTTTAAAGTTGGATTATGGGCAATCATAATTATATGTGCTTTAAGTTTATTGTCTTCCCTATTATAATATGTAAATTTTGAAATCCTGAGGTATTAGAGTCCTGATGTATTATTCCATCTCTGAAGCAGAGATCAAAAGAAATTTCAGAGGTCTTAATTTCCTACAATTTAAAGTGTCATTGTCTCAGAATATTTGTGGGAACTTTCATAAGCAGCAATTTTGCAAGCTATTCACCCTCATTCTACACCTTGCCTTCATTCTAGGATCATCTCTGTACTACAGAGTGACACTAGCTTTTCATTTGATTAACCTTTAGAAGAAAGAACATTCCTGATAAATCATTGCCTACAATAATCTAGAGTTCTTCAAAAATATGTCTACTATTATAATACAATGTGTGATAATAAGGCAATTGGTTCAATTTTTTTCATGTACTTATCTCATAGCTTGACCTTAAGTGTCCATAATTAACCTGTTCTAATAAGCATTTATTATGTACTAACTAGATATCTAGTAATGTGCAAAGGAAAAAATACAAAGGTGACCAGACACACTGTGGTTCAGATTTTAGTGTATTGACTGTGTCTAGTCATACTTAATTATAATAGTTACTAATGTTGCTTCGAGATATATGGAACTTTATTCTAATAATTTTAATATTTAATTTTTAGTCTTCTTTTTATAGGAAGTAACACTCCATTAATTAGTGCAGAATAACTTTCACTTATACACATTATTTTAAAATTTTGCACAAAAAAGCATATGTATAAATTCTTGTAGCATTACAAAGGGATGAGGAAGACTTCTAAATGAATTATGTATTTCAACAAAACAATTTTTGCTAATAAACTTGCTTATGGTAAAAAAGTAAACACATGAACTAAAAAATGTAAACCTACGCTGCCTTGACATGGATTAAAATCCCTTCCTTTCTTAGCTAATATAGCCTTAGTCAGCAATTATGTACCACTTATAAAGTATGTGTTTATATAATTTTAGTAAATGTAAGGATAGCAAGTGATCCCATATTGTCAGTTGTGTTGGACATTAAAGAGCTACTGTTTTTATCATATTGTCATTCAGATAAATCCCCTGAGATATTATCGAATACTCATACCCAGTTGGCTTCATAAAAAGTGCATCTAAATGTTCTGTGGTTGTCACATCACCCTGAAGGACCTCTTCACCATCTATGAGACTGAAGATATCATATCGCCTCTCTACACCCTAGCCATTGTATGTAACTCTTTAGTTATTAGCAAAACTAAATAAAGATTGTGGTTTGCAATGATTGCCTTAAGAGACAAAAGTTTGATATTTCTGTGTGTTTATGTGTGACATACATAAACACACAGGAGATGAGGCAGATTAAGTTGGAATTCGAAATATTTTATTTGACTTGAAGTTATTCCATTAACTCTAGATAATATGTTAGAGGGCAGAGCTAGACTCTTATTTTTTAGAATGTTTAACTGCTGAGATATTTGGCAAATCTAGGATGTTGCAATGACCAGTTTCAGAACATTATCAAACTATAGCACTGTCTTTTCAACCTGGCCTTCATAAGGGTTATAAACTAGAAGATGTACATCTTATAAACTTCTTAAAGTAAGGAAAGGGAAATTTATTGTCACAAATAATAATATCTAGAAATCAGTGTGATGCTTTTTCGAGAGGTTGCTCACAGGTGGATATATTTTTCTGGATGTAAAATAAATTCTAAGAAATGTATTAACTTTTGGTTGCATTAATGATATACCTAAAATTATATCTGGTAAATACTTTTAACAGTAGAATATAAGGTCTCTAAGAAACAAATGTCTTATGATGAATGATGATTATTTGGGGTTCTTCAGTGTTATTATGGGCACTGTCCTATTGATAAGCCTGGTCTAGATCAAGTTTGGCAAACACATTTTCCTCTCAGAAATAGCAAGGAGTAGATAGATTCTAAGCACTAAATATGATTTTGGTGTCATGTTGGGGTTTATTTACCTCCCGTGAGATTAAGGAATTTGTGGTCAGGGACTACATTTAAAAACAGAAAAATCAAAGAATCATTTTTCAATCACTGAGGATACTATCTGGGTTTAAACAGTTTAGATAAATAGCAACTGTGTTTATTCACCTATTGATCATATTCTCCACAACAATTTTCACAGACTGCATTAATCCCTGTTAGTATTACAACTGATTCAAGATAATCTTGTATAAATAGTTGCAGAACCTCTTTATATTTCCTTTTTTATTTTACAGCAAAATATACATTGTTTTAGGGTAAAATGAGGCAATGACTAGATATTTATAAGCTCCAGTTCCTTGGAGAATATCTCAGTGATTTAGTCAACATATTCCTTTAGCTAGGCTAGTCTAATGGTAGGTATACTTTTGACATCATATCCAAAATATCTTACCAAATACCTTTCATGTTCCACTTTTCAGGAGTGAGTGGAAACTTTTCTGTGAAGGAACCATGCTCCTTGTTCATAGTAGGGCTTACAAGAATGAGGCCACAGTTTGGGAAATTGACAATTTGGGGAAAGAGTTTACATAAAAAGAAAGTATTACAGAACATACCTTTGTTGATTATCGCTACTAGGCAGAAAACCGTAGGTCAAGGCCACGTAAGCTAACTACTGCAAAATCCTGTGGGGTGCAGAAGCATCATTCCCAAAATCATCTTAACATGATATAAGTAATTTTTCTATTAGATAATTAATGTCACTAGATGTTTCTGGGCATCACGAAGGACTCAAATTAGCATGCTCTTGAATCTTCACTCTGCATCTTCTAATCAGTAGTGCAAAGAATTGATGAATTTATGCTGAAATGAAGAGAGGGCAGAGAACATATATCCTCCATTCTTCTGACTCATTGACAAGATGCACTGTTATGTGGATAATTATAATTAGAAAATTTTCCTCTAATTTTTGAGCCATGTAGTCATCGTCCTTATGCTAGATAGGTTTTGGAGACAGCAACGAATGGCAAATATAGTTACAATGAATGACATTAGTGGAGGGCTTTATCTTAAGCTACTTATTCAAGACTATGGGATTGATCATTAGAATTCCACAGCAGGAAAATAGATACAAATAGTTACAAATACATAATTCTACCACACAAGTACAATACATTCCTCATACAATTTCATATCTAAACAGTAAATTTTGTGCTAGTGACGCATTGCCCTTTTCCCCCTGATAATCATGTTTCATTAAAATCTTAGTTTTATATTTGGTGGGCAATTAAATATAATTTTATAGCATGTTTGGCCTTTCTGACAATTTGGCACTCTTTTCTTCTCAGAATCCTGTATGATTTTGTTTTCTACATTCTCATCTTTTTAGATTGGAAGTTATTTATGATATCAGCTCTGATAAGCTAGTTGCAGAACCTCTTTATATTCCCTTTATATTTTAGAGCAAAACATACTTTTTTAAGGTAAAATGAGGCAATGACTGGATCCAAAATAATAATTTTAAATGCAGCAACTATGCAGATTTCAGCTGATGGGCTATGAGGGAACTATACACCAACATTTCACTGTTTCTTTCCTTTTTAAAGTATTTTATTCTCAGGTTTACTAATTTTTATTCTTATCATGGACAAATATTTATTTAAGAAAGTATAGAAAAAATGCCACCCAGTGAAAAATCACTATTTTTCTTCTCCTTTAGAAAATATTTTAAGTATATTTTACAATTTCCTTTTCATTCTTTTTTTTTCTATAGATGACCTGTGTGTTATTTATGTAGACTTTATACATACAAATAGATTTGCTGGGTCACAATCTTTCCTCCAAGACCTTATTCACTAAAGATTTTATCACTTATACTGATATCCTTGTCCCTCTCCCTAGGCTAGCCATTATTCTGAGTGATGTAAATTATCCTTGAATTACTCATCTCTAGTGATTTTCACTTCCACTCTGCTTCAGCCATTCATTTCTATGGGCACACATTTGTTGTCATCCCAGACTGCTCCAACTCTGAAATGTTATGTAATGAAACACTAACAATGATAAACCACTCTCAGACCATGACCTTCTTCTCTCCCTCTCATTCACATACCCTCTGTCACTGTCTTTCTCTCTCCCTCCCTCTCTCCACTTGATATAATTATGCTCTTTACCACACAAGGCATTCTGTACTTTGATTCTCTTATTTTTCCCTGTAAGCTCCCTTCTACCTCTCCTTGATTCCCAAACCAATTTAGATTTTTTTAACCCAGAAAAATCCTTTTTTGTGAGGGGTTGTTCTGTGTAGTATAAGATGTTTAGAAGAATTCCTGACCTTTACTCCCTAGATTCTATTAGTACCTCCCTCCCAAGTTGTGACAACCAAAAAGGTCTCCAGACATTGTCAAATATCCCCTGGGGTTTGGGGGCCAAAATTGCTTCTTATGAAAACCTGTAACATTAACTCGTTTTTTTTTCTTACATTGTCCTCTTACTGATTTATGCATTGTCCACCCATCACAATAGCCTGGAGGCACACCAATCCTGAACAGCCCTACAGTCTATCTTCTTTATCCCTATTCCTGGGTTTTTAAGCAATGCTTAGGGAAATGACACAATGGTTTCCAATTTCATTACCACCTAGCAAACTTTCTTTGTTCCTGTTTCACTCCTCTATTCTCCACAATATCTCTTTTAATAGTTATCCACATTCTTTAGGATTCCCATGTGTCCATCTTGGCCCCCCTTCTGATGCATGGAGAAAATAAGTCTCTCAAATTTCTGCCCCTGAACCTGAAAACGTACCTGGATCATCCTTTCCTCTTCTTTTATAGTGGAAGAAGGATTCCTCCTCCTGCCCAGTGATAATTTCTCCATATGCCAGCTCCAATCCTGACCTTTTCAGGATTCTTACTCTACTAATTATCCTGTCAACACTTAGGGAGTTTCACACATATCTGCACAACACAATTTCTCTTTCCAATTACTTACCTATTTCTACCTTTTTTTTTTTTTGTAGCTCAGTAACTTCTAAAAAGTTAAATTTTATTGTCGCTACTTGAATTCAATCTTATATTCCTCATCCTGTAATTTATGTAAACTTCGCTAGCCAGTATCTTACTATTTATTATACTTGACCTCTTAACATTTCCTACTGTTTAATTGCGTGAAAGACTGTTTTATATTGCTGTTGCTTTTAAAACATTTTCCACTTTTGTTGACACCACAAATTCCATGTCTTTCTTCCATTTTTCAGACATTCTTTCTTAGAATCCTTTCAAGGCTTTTCTTCCTTTACCTGCCCAACCTGTCCATGTTCTTCAGGGTTCTATGCCCAACCCACTGTCTTCTCACTGCATATTACCTCCTAGATAACCACACTCACTCCAACAGCTGAAATTTTCATGTACAACCCCTGTACAGATGATTGCTATCTTGTAGTATAAAATCATACTCACATTTATATTCCCAGAGCCAAATTAGTCATCTTACCACACAAAATACTCAACATATTAAAACGTGTCTATTATTTTTATGCACTATAACACAATGATGAAAATGTTGGGCATGGTGGCACACACCAGTAATTCCAGGGCTCTGGGAGGCTAAGGTGGAAGTATTGCTAGAGGCCAGGAATTTGAGACCAGCCTGAGAAATAGAGCAAGTCTATAAAAGTAATTTTTAGAAAATCAGCCAAGAGTAGTGGTGTGCTCCTGTAGTCCCAGCTACTTGGGAGGCTGAGATGGGAGGATCACTTGAGTCCAGGAGTTCGAGGCTGCAGTAAGTTATTATAGTGCCACTGTACTCCATTCTGGGTGACAGATGAGAACCTGTCTTTAAAAAAAAAAAGATACCTAACGGGTCTGATAGGGAAAGACAAAGTCAATCAATCAGTTAATCAGAAACAATAAAAATCATCATCAAATGTTTAATTATTGAATTACAATTTTCAATGCTATAGAGAAGTATGGGGTTCAATAACTCAATCCTTATATTCATTTAATCATTCTGTCTATGGCTTCTTCCTTCTAAATATAGCTTGTATGTGTCTATTTCTGTGTGCCTTGCTAATACTCTATCTCAAAGGATCTTCTTCTCTTTTCTGGATTCTTGTGTAACAGCTTCTTAACTGTTCTTTCTACCTGCAATTTTACACCTCTGAATCTGCCTCCACAATTCAGCCAGAAAGACTTCCCTAAATTCCAATCATGTTATTCTTCTGTTTAAAATCCCTTAATAATAATAGCTATTTGTAGAAAATTTACTATGTGTCATGCACTTGCCAAATAATTCTCCTTTAATCCTTACAACAACTTTATTAAGTATTGTTATTATCTCTATGCTACAGATAAGGAAACCAAGACATGGAGGAAATATCTATTAGGCCCAAGGTCAAATGGTAGACATAGGATTTGAACCATAAAGGACTAAAATGAAAATTTCTCATAGATCACTCTTCTGCTTAAAATCCTTCAAAAGCAATTCTTGCTATAAGGATAAAATACAAATTTCTGACCTGTCATATAAGCATTTGCAGGATCGTAACTACGTATATGTCTCCAGCTTTATGTCCTGACCCTGTCTTGATTAAACCCTGCAGTTCAACCACAGTGAACTTATTTAACACTGCAGCATGCCATAATTTGTTTTATCCGTAGGGTTCTGCCTTCATTTACAGTAACAAACCCTTCCCATCAAATCATACGCCCCTGTTTCCATCCCCTTCTGGAACATTCTTTCCTGGTCTTTATACTGACTCACTCCAACTCATCATTCCAGAATCAGCCATCTCAGACCATTTTCAAAAACTTACTGAGATTGCTGCCCTGTTTAATTTTCCCCTTCCTAGAACTTATTCTCTGTCTTGTCATTATCTGTCTGAATCCCACATCTGAATAAGTTCCTGAAGTTCATATCAAAAGTCTTGAAACATTGTAACCATTCTGAAAACACTGGCTGTAGCAATGGCTACCTTGTTCTAACCTTTGTTTTGTCCCTTATGCCTATGAGATTTCTTGTTTGCCTTGATAATTTAATTTTGGGCATGTGCCAATTTATGCCTAGGATCAAGTTTCTTTTTTTATTTTAGGTTTTCTAATGCAGAAAAACTCTGTTTTCATGTGGAGGTCTTATTTCAGCTTTTCAAATTTTACCTGATGACGTCCTTGTTTGTTTGAACATGTCTGTATATTTATATTCCAAGGGGCATGAAACCAGGATCCTTGGATAGTTTCCAGGAGATATAAACCTGAAAGCACTTGTCTTATCCCTCATCTAGAGACATTTATTTGAATGCCAAAGGTAAGAACCTAGGAATCTTCCCCTTCTCTACCCAATATTTTGTTTACATTGGAGAGATTATTTCCTCTTCTCTCAGGAGGTAAGAACGTCAGCTGGACAGCATGTATATTAACTCCCAGATTCTTAATTATAGGGCTCTTCTCTTGTATGACACACATACTTGCCAGCCTATCCATATGGCTCTTCTTTCCAGAAGGGGGAAAGAAATTGAAGTGTAGGGAACAGATATAGCTTCTTCTATGGTTACAATCTACCTTGATCCCGTAACCTTATGTTTGCATTTAGAATCATATAAACAAATGCAGATATTCAAAACTTATCAACTTCCTGCTTCTTTTTCATAGAAGTCTTGTCAAGTTGGGTACTAATGAGAATGATAAATAATTAAAAAAAAATTTTTTTTTTTGCACGATTCTTTACACATGCAGAAAAAGGGTAACATTTGATGATGTCCCAGGGCAAACTGATTGGACTGCTGCATGGGTCCCAGCTACCCCAGGTTCTCTCTGGTTACCTTGAGAGCTAAGAAGATTAAATTTCAGTCACCTGTGGACCTATCTGCAGCCTCCAGGTGTGCCACAGTACACTGGCTAGTAACCTTGGCTCTAGAAAATCATTTCAGATAATTTTTTTTCTATTTTGCAGACATTTTATAGCCTGTCTTATAGTTGTTACTGCTGTTTTTTTTTTTTAAATGACAGTAGATTCTTGAATGAAGACATCCATCCAGACCAGGTGCTGGTCCATAGACAGAATTAAGTGTACCCTTTGGCTTCATCTGTTGTCCACTGTCCCCAGCTATAGTGCTCTCCTTGTGGATTGTTGTGCTGCTAGTGGTTACAAATTTTCCCCTTGAGTGTCTTCCTTATGCTATTTGTGCCATTCTTTTATTACAGCAAAATTACCTTTCTATGGTCGTATAACCATAATAGGTTCATTGCCCTATGTGCAGGGCAAGTCAATACGCCGAGACACTGGGTGGCAGCAGAGAAAGAGGTTTAATCGTAGGGCTGCTGAATGAGGACATGGGAGGAAACCTCATATCCATCTCCCCAAGGAGTCTGAGGGTAGGGATTTTAAGGGTTTTGGAGTGGACCAAAGTGTGGAGATTGTTGAATGGTTGAAAAGTGCACGGTGAAGTCTTGGGAAAGGGAGATGAAGAAACTATATTTTCAAACTGATTCGGTTCTTCTGTGAGGGTCTTCAAACTGGTTAAGTGTCAGCTCTTTCTCTGAAATTCAGAATCTGCTTAAGCAATTCTTAAACACCTTATGATTCTATAATCAGAAATCCTATTTATAAGAACAATTAGGATGCAAATGGTCAGTATCTAGGGCTATGTGACTTTTGATTACAAAAAAGTGGGTCAAAGTACAGCCTGGTTAATGCTTAATTATAACTATATTTTTGTCTAGAATTCTTGTTAACTCTGTGAAGGTGATTTTAGAGACTTTTTTTTTTTTTTTTTTTTTTTTTTTTTAAGAGATGAGGTCTTGCTGTGTTACCCAGGCTGGTCTCAAACTCCTGGGCTCAAGCAATCCTCCTGCCTTAGCCTCACAAAGTGCTGGGATTACAGGTGTGAGCCACCATGCTCGGTAGTTACTTTCTTTTTCTTTCTTTCTTTTTCTTTTTTTTTTTTTTTTTGAGATGGAGTCTCGCTCTGTGGCCCAGGCTGGAGTGCAGTGGCGCGATCTCGGCTCACTGCAAGTTCCGCCTGCCGGTTCACGCCATTCTCCTGCCTCAGCCTCCCGAGTAGCTGGGACTACAGGCGCCCGCCACCACGCCTGGCTAATTGTTTTTTTGTATTTTTAGTAGAGACGGGGTTTCACCATGTTAGCCAGGATGGTCTCGATCTCCTGACCTGGTGATCCACCTGCC
The DNA here is from genome assembly GCF_000001405.40 of Homo sapiens. Lineage (NCBI taxonomy): Eukaryota > Metazoa > Chordata > Mammalia > Primates > Hominidae > Homo > Homo sapiens. The sequence goes on along the minus strand of NC_000009.12, from coordinate 80,885,194 downwards.
TCGGCCTCCCAAAGTGCTGGGATTACAGGTGTGAGCCACCGCGCCTGGTCTCCGTAGTTACTTTCTATTCAAAATCGTTTGTACCAGAAGAAAGCAGGTGGACCACAGTCCCACTGACAGAGCTACAGGTTCTTAAAGTCTCAATGTAGTAATTTAAATTTTAGGTATATTTAGTCAAATTGGCAGTGCAAGTTCTTTTATACATAAATATTTCTAATTGAACGTGCTACTTTCCCTAAAATTAAATAAAAACTGGCCTTATCTAATGCTCTATGTAGGAAAGTTCTTAAAGGATTTTAAAGAATTTCAAATTTGTCACAATTTATTTTAAAAGTATCCAAAATTGCACATGAATCATATCATAATTTTAAAAGTATTAAATGGAGTATTTTAAAATCAAAATGCTGTCTCATTACTTTCAAAATCTGTCATTATCACCTTAATAGCTAAGAATTAAATGATTCTCCTTTGTGTTCCATTTAAATTTTACGAAGGTTTTAAATAGCTGATTAGAATTGGGGAGGATAATCTGTTAACAGAGAAAAATAAGTTGTAATTATTTTATGGTGGGCATTCATTCAAACATATTTATTAAGCTACTCCTCTGAGTAAAGCAGTGTTAGGTATTTTGAAATATCAAAATAAATACGTAAAGTCAGAAGAGGAATACATACACACAGATACTTCTATATTTAAGAAAAATAACTTGTATGTACAAAGTCATGTTTTAATAATCTTAAAATCTGTTTGGAGAAACTAGAAAAAGACTCCTGAAAAATTCATAGTCATATAAAATCAAATAGGAAATGCCAAGTCAGCGATTTGGCTGCTTTCTAATTCCTAATGAGGAGCAGTCATTTATTGTTAGGGGAAGAGGAGATTGCTATGGACCAAAGGTATCAATGAAAGCTTTATAGGAAGGAAATAGAGACAAATTAGATTTGAGCAGGCCAGGAGAGTGGAGGCAATGTAAACAGAGAACAAAACACAGGTAAGAAGAGGATTTTGAAAATCAGCTGTGGGTATAGGAAGAGGAATGGGAATTGAAGGACAAACAGACCATGAACAAATGAGTCTTGTTGGAAGTAAATAAGGGATGACGTTAGCTTCATGAAGCTGACTATTTTTAGAGAGGATGAGACTGATTTCCAAAAGAAGGGAAATGTGGACTGGATGCCTCTACCATCTTTAAGGATCATGAGTTGTGAAATAAGTAAATTATTTGTTTAAACAAATGCGTTTGCATTTGAGTTTTTCTCTCGTTTTTTACTTTAATGTGATGTTTATAAATCTCTCCCTTTCTGTTTGATTCCTCTGCCAAAGTGTTTGGCTACTGAGTACACATTTTTAACCTTTTTCCCTTTTTGCCCCAAGAATACCCACCAACAGTGCTTGTGGCTGCAGCATTTACCCTGAGAACTTTGCCACAAAATATCTGGCTTTTATAATTATTTTCACATCACTCTAGTATGTCAACTTTGGAAACAAAAGACATCATTCTATTTACAGTATTCTGTTTTTAGTAGTCGTATTTCCACTTACAAAATATAGTAATTCTCGAGGGATGATAACGTCAAATCCTAGAAAATGTAGCATTCCTATGTGTGATATTAACATCATTCTCAAACAATTGTTGGCTGAATTTGATGAACTCGATATTTCCAAACTAGACGATTCTGATGATTCTGATGTTTGTTCTGTTTAGAAATAACTCCAAAAACAACAGTTTTTATATTTTAGTTTTACATTGAAACTCAGTCAGATTTGCTTCAGCCTCAAAGAGTGTGTTTATGTAAAATTAAATGATCACTGGCAACGAGCTGTACTTTTTTTTTTTCCTAAACGGGAAAAGAGTTAATAATGAATATTAGCTATCCTCAAAACCAATTAAAAGTTAAAAAAAGATAGATGAGAAGGAATGAGTGATTGAAGGCAGAATTAATGAGAGAATCTATTAAATAATCCCAGAAAATAATGATTGTAGAGATGGAAAATATCTGAATAGCCTGAAATTCACAAGAACTAATTATTTCAGCATTTTGTTTTTTATTTTTTCTTTGTCACTTTCAAAAATCTTTTGTAGATATTTGTCTTTAATTTTTATTAATTATTAAATCTTCTTTCCTTTTTATAGGCCATAGCTGTTTCTTCCTACTTTCTGAAATCTTTCATTTCATTAATCTCTCAACGCTTTAGTCTCTGTCACCATAGCCTTTGTTATTTTTTGAATTAGAAAATAAGATAGTGTTATTCACTTCTGTAATTTCCTTTTATTTCTCATTTGAGTTCTTTAAAGTTTTTATTAAACATTGTCTCTCATCATTTTATTTCATTTGCAGTTTTTAAATGTTTATTACCAGTGACTAGTTTTTCACATAGGAGAGTAGATAAGTGAATGTCTTTCTGTTAAAGGAAAGGCTTTTATTTAACGTAAAAAAAGGTACTGTAAAATACACAAATACATTATAAAAAGTATTCCACACATTCTCTTGCTATTAAGAACATGTGCATAAGAAGAGTTATAGAATCCTATTAATTATTTTATATCTTACACTATTTCTTAAAATGCGTATAAGTTTTTGACTAAGCTATTCTGCTCTTAAGCTGGTAGTCCTAAGATTCTCTACTGAGGGCAAGGCCTGTTTCAGATAAGTATCCTCTTTTTAATAAATTAGTGCTAAGCCTGCTTAGCTCTTTGGGGATGTAGTTGTAGCAGACAGGAAATTGGCCTTGTTTATGGCCTTTCTTTTGCGGCCCTGAGTGGATTTTCATGCTTGTGAAAATGAGATACTGGCAGCAACCGGAATTAAAAGAAGGAAGATATTGGGCCCATTTACTCTTCTAACTCTGCTAAGCCATTTTCACTCTTATAAGTAACTTTCCTCCTCTTGCAGACTTGAGCCTCTCCTGTGCAGAAAATTAGGACAACATCTGAGGAGGGCTAGGACAAGGATAACTGTCCACCAGGGACCAAGCTAAGATTGGTAAACCAATTTTCACTTGTGAACAATGCCAGAATTCGACCCATATGTCTCCCATGGTGAAGCACTGTAGTGCGTCATTAACCCACTGTGCCATTTAGCAGCTTCTCTCTGCTTGCTGTCCTGTGAATTAACATCTCTGCCGCCACCGCACTAGACCCTGGGTTTATTTCTGCTAGGAGTGCTGCTGAATGAATAGCAGTTCTCTGTAACGAGGGATCAGGGCACAGCTCTTTCAAATTTTCAACTGAAAGCAATAGCAATTTGCCATTCAGTCCTATCTTATCATCATCATTAGGATGGGAAATCACAATCTGAAGGCTCGTTGTAATGTGCTGTCAACCTGATATCTTGTAATTTTAATATGTAATACTGTGGTTAATAATTAATGGCTTTAACTCTGTAGGTGGGATCTGAATTTGGCTCCACGAAAGAAATCCCTCTGAGCTGAAATATTCTTTGAGACTTCAACATCTTACGAAGTTTCCCCTCAATCAGCCTCGTTGCCTTCTTATTTAAATCATCTGCCATCTAATGAATCTGGATCAAAAGCGCCAAGCTTAAAATATACAACAAAAAGCTGCTTCTGGGTGAAGAGTTTGGATCCAAATCAATACGTTTCTGTGCTCTGGCCATTATCACATGCAGTTAACTGCTGGGAAATACTGATGTTCAAAAGATATGGTGGAAAAAGGCACCTGCTTTCTCACGCTGGTTTATGTTTGTCATCTTGATAAAAATGCAAGGCAGCATATGCAGAAATTGTGCGGAAACACCATTCACATGGTAATTCCTTTGTATTTGAATAACTTCTTTTCAGGTGGTGCACTGAATGCCAGACTTGGGAGGATTTGAGCATCTCCCTGCCTTCAGTTCTTCCGTGACAATATTTTAGTGTCTGGCTCACTTTTTTGATCAAAGAAGATCATTTACTGGGACTTCAGAATGAAGGTACTGCCCCCTGATTTTCCTGGATCACAAGCCATAATGTAGAAACGTTTCTCACATTTTGTCTGATGAATATTACTGACAATATAACAAGGGAAAAAGCTCCTTAATTCTATCAGCCCAAATCTTCTTTAGTTTAAGTGCTGTTTAACAAGCAGAAAAATAACTGGGTAGACTCAGCGTAACCCCTCATAAATCAAATCTCTGATAAATTTTAGTAATACTTCCTTTTGCAGGCTTCAGTTACACTCTGCATTTCCAAAATATTAGGTTTACAGTCTATACCTGCCTGGTGTTTTTAAATTCAGGAACTTTGAGTATTATTCTACTTATAGAAATGAAAGCTTAAGATATTTTAAAAGTTATTCTGGAAGTACACTGAAGCATGTTGAAAATAAGAATATATATATTATATATGTGAAATATTAAATCAAAAATGGCTTTGGGGCTTAACTCACATTTAATTATAATCAGTTGCTAGTGACTTGCTTGGAACTCCATGTTGAGAGGGATGGTGAGGTTGTAGCCAAACTCTAAAGGTAGAAATTTTTTGATAAATCATTAATGTTTGTCATTTTGGCCAAAGGTGAGAATAACACACTCATGTCCCCATAGTGTCCACTCTGACCCTAGGAAGCCACTTATGATTGGACTTGGTGAAGTACATATGGTAAGCAGCTGATAAAGCCAGCATTTCGAAGGTCAAATACATGTTGTTTTTGTCTTAAATTTACTAGTGCCTCCTTTTCAAATAGTGTCCTCAATTCCTAAACACTCTTTAGATTTAGCTAAATTGATTTTCTTCTACAAGAGTCACTTTTATGATTATATTTAGTTTTAATATTTAATCATACCAAGGTATTTAGTAAGTCTTTTCTTTAAAGTCTTTCTATGTAAGGCTTAATATTTGAGGCTATTAATTCATAGCTAACTTCCCAGCCAACTCTACCAATAAGATAATGGCTGTGTCTCTACTCAGGGCTCAAAATCAAAACTAATGAGGCTGGGCGCTGTGGCTCACGACTATAATCCCAGCACTTTGGGAGGCTGAGGCAGGTGGGTCACTTGAGGCCAGGAGATCGAGACCAGCCTGGCCAACATGGCGAAACCCCATCTCTACTAAAAATACAAAAATTAGCTGGGCATGGTAGTGTGCACTTGTGATCCCAGCTACTTGGAAGGCTGAGGCACGAGAATCGCTTGAACCCGGGAGGCAGAGATTGCAGTGAGCTGAGAGTGCACCACCACACTCCAGCCCGGGCAACAGAGTGAGACGCAGTCTCAAGAAAAATAAATAAAATCTGATACGCTCCAACTAGTGGGAATATAAGAAGTGGTTCATTGGAACCAGCTTGCATTAACTTGTGAGAACTGATTGCTAAATTATCAGCACTATTGTGAGCAGGTTATTAAACACAGCCCTTATTAAACATTCAATTGTAGAAACTTGTAACAGTAAATGGTCTTTAAAATAAAAATAATACGTTCTTTTTGTTTGTTTGGGTTTTTTTGTTTGTTTTTTGTTTTTTTGAGATGGAGTCTCACTCTGTTGCCCAGGCTGGAGTGCAATGGGGGCAAGCTTGGCTCACTGCAACCTCCACCTCAAGCAATTCTCGTGCCTCAGTCTCCCAAGTAGCTGGGATTATAGGCACCCGCCACCACGCCCAGCTAATTTTTTGTATTTTTAGTAGAGATGGGGTTTCATTATGTTGGCCAGGCTGGTCTCGAACTCCTGACCTCAGGTGATCCGCCTGCCTTGACCTCCCAAAATGGTGAGATTACAGGCTTGAGCCACCTTGCCCAGCTGTTTTTGTTGTTGTTTGTTTTGTTTGAGACAAAGTCTCACTCTGTCACAGTCTGAAGTGCAGTAGTGCAATCACAGCTCATTGCAGCTTCAACCTCCCAGACTCAGGAAATCCTCCCACCTCAGCCTCCAAGGTAGCAGGGACTATAGGCAGACACCACTATGCCCAGCTAATTTTTGTATTTTTAGTACAGACAGGGTTTTTCCATGTTGCCCAGGCCAGTCACAAACTTCTGGGCTCAAGCCTGTCTTAGCCTCCAAAAGTGCGGGGATTACAGGCATGAACCACTGCTCCTGACCAAAAATACATTTTTAATACTCACAAATTCTTAATTATTTCACTAAATTTGCTTTCATCTATGTTCTTGAAGTCATTTATGCCATTTGTATCTATATGTTGAAAACAGTATATAATGATATGTTGATGTGCATTTCTTCCCAACTCTGCCTTCAGTGATATTATGTTAGTGATTTGTAATTGGCATAACGTGTTTACATCACAGAAATTGGAAATAATAAAGGCATGATTTATTATGTTGATTGTCTAGATTATGAGCTAGCAAACTTTCTGTAAAGTACTAGATAGTAAATATTTAAGGCTTGATGACTATGCAGTTGGTCTTTATTACAACTACTGTATTGCTGTTGAGTGAAAGCAGTCGTAGGCAATACATAAATAAACAGGCATGACCGTGTTCCAGTAAACTGCATTTTCAAACCAAGAGGTCAGCCCACTGGCCATAGTTTGCCTATGACTGGTCTAAACCAAAGAAAGCAATAGAAAAGTGTTTGTTAATCATGCTGATTAAACTAAAAATGTGCCATATTTGTAGCTATTACAAAGTGAATAGCACAAAATTTTGAGAAGTTATTCTTTCAATGTTTGAAAATTATTGTGATTCAGTAAAAAATTAGGTTAATAAGACTCAGAATCAATTTGAACAGCCTTAGTCAGAGGGGAAATTTGGGAATCATTAAAAATAATGTAATGGGTTGAAATCCATCATATTTATTTACATCCATTTGTTTATAACAGTATTAAAATCAACATTGGTAGGTGACCTTTGAGGATACTAAGGAACCAACTTATTATTTTGAAAACTCCCATATAATAAAAAATAGTCAAGATTTTTTTTCAACTTTTTCTGAATGAACTATACTTCAGGATGAGAAACTAGTTTATAATGTAGGTTACATTTTGCTCTGGGATTATTTCAGTTAATACATGAGAAATAAGTAGTGGAATGTCAAGATTTTATAACTCCTATAAAGTTAACAGATCTAGGCAATTATCACAAATTGCTGGAAAAAAAATAACAAAATGAGAGACCACTGATATGCAAATCCTGATTTGGTTATACAACACCACCTATGAAAACAAATTACTCAAATAAACCAAAATATGATCGAACCACCAGATCTACCCATCAATTTATAAAAAATAAAGGAAACAGAAGAAGATATGAAACCCACCATGAACATGCAGTGATCAGCAAATTTCAGAGCGTGACAAACTAATCCAGTTTCTTTAACAATAATAGAAACAAATTGCAAAGAAATATAATAAGATGGATGGCAAACTATAGAATTAAAGATATATTAAAAAATCATTCAATGGCAAAGCTGTGATCTTAATTGGATCCCCACTGAAGCAAACAAATTGGTACAATGTGAACAATGAGCAGTAAATCAATGATAAAGAATCATTGTTATTATATTTTAGGTATCATAGTGGCATATTTATAAAAATGAGTGCCTGTCATCTAGAGATACATCTTGAAATGTTTGCAGCTTAAATAAAATGATAGGTTAAAAGATTATATATATTGATTGTTTTAAAATATTCAATGAAAAAAAGAGGGTATAGTTGTATAATGAACCACAATTAGCCTTGAGTTGATAATTATTAAAGCTGAGTGATCAATGCATAACCATTCATTATATTAGTTACTCTACTTTTTATATTTTTGACATATTCTATTATAAAACTGAAACAAAAAATAAAACAGTCTCTAATTTTATAGTAGAGTTAGGCTTCTTATAACTCTCTAATCTTGAAGATTTTCTTAAACTGGAGGCACTTTTTCAGTTCTGTTCAAACCAGTTTGCCAGGCACTAAGACAAATCTCTAGTTCATTTATGTTATGTTTTTTTAGAGACAGGATCTCACTCTTTTCCCCAGGCTGGAGTGCAGCAGTGTGATCACGGATGGCTCATTGTAACCCTGAACTTCTAAGCTCAAGCAATTCTCCTGCCTCAGCCTCCCAAGTAACTGGTACTACAGGTGCATGCCACCATGCTCAGCTATTTTTTTTAACTTTTAATTTTGTAGAGATTAGATCTTGCTATATTGCCCAGGCTGATCTCAAATTCTCGGCTTCAAGTGATCCTCCCACCTCAACCTCCCAAAGTGTTGGAATTACAGGCATGAGCCATTGCACCCAGTCTCTTCAAAAACTAATACCTTATGCTTTTGTCTCAAAACCTCCCTTTTCACCTTTATTCTCAGCCCTAGAGCATTTAAATCAATTCTAAGAGAATTTCTGTAGGCTTCTACTGCCATATTCCCATCCACCAGAGCTGTCTCTGTGTGCTTTTCCTTCCATCTTCCTATCCAAATGCAGTTCTTCAACTTGTGCACTAGATATCAACCTCCTTATGTCCACTCAGACGGGTTCATAAATTATCCCCTCTTCTCTATTATTTTCATGCTATCATTGCTCTCATCTTAAATAAGAATGTCTCTTAACCACCTCTCCCCTAATGACTACCATCACATTTCTTTGCTCTCCTTCACTGTAAAGGTCTTCAGAAGAGATATGCAGATGTATTGTCTCCAAGTTCTCTTTTCCTATCAATCATCTCTGAAATCCACTCAATTTGAGCTTTTACTCCCACTACTCCACCAAAAAATGATACTGTTGAGCTTACCTATAACCTTCACATCACTAGGCTAAATGGTCAATTTTTGGTTCTCATGTTACTTAACCTCACAGTACCATTTCACAGGCTTGCTTACTCCATCTTCCTTAATATGACGGCCTCATCTGTGCCCTCCAAACTGAGCATAGCCTTATCCAACTCAGCCGATGGCAACTACATTCTGATTGTTCAAGACCTTTGCATCATCTCCCATTACAAAATTCTGTTGGGTCTTTCTTTAAAATATGTCCTGTATTTGATCACTTCTCACCAACTCCTTGGCTATCACTCTGTTTTAAGCCATTATTTCTCACCTGGGTGACCGCAATATTCATTCAACTAGGCTCCCTGGTTCTACACTTGTTTCCCAGCAGTCTCTTCTCAAGAGCTCAAGTGCTCTTCTGAAGATGTGAGTCATGTCATAGCACGCCTCTGCTCTAGACTCTGAAACGACTTCCTATTGTACTTGGAGAAAAAGGGAGAGTCCTTGAATATGCCCAAAGACCCTGCGTGATACTCTGCAAACCCCACCAATACCACTCTGACCTTGCCTATGGGTCTCTCACTTACTCCACCATTGCCAGAAACCCCCAAACATCCTCATCATTCCTATTTTATTCACCTTTCTTCATCTATTGCTTTAGCTATTTCCTCCCCCTGAAAAGTTCTTTCCTCAAATATGCTCATTTAGGTAACTCCAAAATCTCTTTCAAGTCTTTGCTTAAATTTCACTTTTTCAATAAAGCCTGGCCAGCCCACTCTATTTCATACGACAACATGCATCTTATTTTTCCAACCTGCCCCACTCTTGATTCCCCATTCTCTGTTTTCCTTTTCTTATATGTAGCACTTTTCATTTTCTTGCCTATTTTATATTTTTCTTATTCTGTTTATTGTTTGTTTTCTATCTCCTCACTTGGATATGGCAAGAAATTCCTATTTGTATGTGTCTTCACTTATTTATCCAAAATACTTATAAAAGCTTCCAACAGATAGCAGGTAATCCACCATGATGTGTTGAATTAAATTTTCAAGGTTCAATAAAAATAGCCAATCAAAAGTCCACAGTTGTGTCCCTTTTCATGTAATCATCTTTGTAGCAGTCACCCAAAAAAGAAGATATATCAAATAATAATTTAAACTTGACTGAATAATTATTATGTATTTTCCCAGCAAAGTTAAGTTTCTGAAGTGAGAATTTATTCATTTATTACAAGTTTCCTATATTTTCTGTGTACACAGTGGTTGAGAGTCAGGAAAAAGATATCAGGAGAAAACTAAGTTGTTGGGAAAGATCTGACTACAGAAAAAATGTTTGCCCCAGGCATTTAGAAGCAATAATATATGGAAGATATTCTTATAATTCCCTTAAAATAGGAGTTTGAGACTGAATTAGAGAAGTAATGACAAAATAAATCTTTGACGTCACGTTATCCATCATCTCCATAATTTTTCTTAAGAAACTGCTGATTGCAATTGTCTCTGTTGACTCAAGGATTAAAAGTTCTAACATTTTTCTTGTGAAGTTATGTTCGCTATATAAAATTATTAACTTAATTGTAAAGCTATCTTCACACTCTTTACGTTAATCAGTAGAGTCCTATTTATCTCACAATCACCTAATGCAAAAAGAACAAGTTCTTGTGGGGAAATATTATTTTTCAACTCTAAATAGGATGGAATTAACTTCAGGAGTTATTTGATATTCTAAATGAGGAGTGAAGTTGATTGTTTTAAGGTACTATCTTTCCATAGCTGAAATAGGGGCTTATAATAGTATTTTAACAATTTTAATAAAAGTTCAATTTATATTTCCTTAGTATGAATTTTTTCCTTACCCTGCTGGTAAAATATGGGATTATCATTCAACATTTGTTATCTCTTAGTAATACTGGTTAGACTAGCTCTAAATAGGACAACCACATTTAACCACATATAATGGGATGTTATGCATTGTAAAAGAAGATTTGATGGATACCAAGCTAGTCAGCAAGCATGTGGTTAGTCAAGATGAATCATCAATGAAGATAATGTTTGATAATTGCTTTGGTATTGTGGTGTGAGGATGGTTTTTCTGGCTTTGTCTCTTCATTCCTAATCTCTTGGAGAATTTAAAAAAGTGTTTACATCCTATGATTATAGTCCAAGCTCTACACCAAGTTGTGGCTACATTTAAAATTTTAATCTCTTCTGGAGTACTGTTGGTTTATCTTTTTCAAGATTTGCCTTGAGAGCTCTGCGTTTTAATGCTGATTAGAGAGATTCCTTAATTCATAGTCTGAAGGGAAAGAAAAAATTCTGAAACCCTTAACCATAATAAACAGGTTTTATAAAAGTTTAAATTCCACTGTAGTTAATCAGTTTGAACAAGACATTTAGGCTGTAAATAGTATTTTAAAGTAAACAGAGCTTTACACAAAGTGACAGCTAGAATCACATTTTCTGCTTCTGAGTGTGAGGAAATTAATGTACCAAAAAAGTGCCTACTATTTAAAGACGTCTTGCTCCAGACATATTTAACAACTGAGATTTGCAGTGGGTAGACCACTGAAGTGTCTCGTCATTAAATTATGCACTGTACATTAGAAACAGATGCACTCCTGGAAGTCTTGCAATGACAACATTGTTTTGCCATTTTCCAATTAAGACATTGCTAAAACTGAAATCAGAAGTAAACTAACAGGTCAGCTATCTTGATCATGGAGAAATGGTGTAAGTTTTGAGAAGACCTAGTGGTTTTCATTTGTATCCTGATATAAATTGGAAAGCTAATCCTTCACCTTGTTTTTCTCCAATATCTAGACAATTTACAAATTGATTCATTTTAAATATTGCTCAAATTTTGTTCAAATATTTAGATTTTAACATGCCAATATTATACAATACTTTGGCATATTTGGTCACAAGAAAAATCTTACAAAGCAAATAAAACATAGCAGTGGGAAAAAAGTTGTGCCTATTCTTTCTAATCAGTGGCAAAAAATAGCTATATAGCTCTCTGGAAATGATCTGTAGAAAACAATATTTGAAGGAAAGTGGAATTGCAGTGAGGCATATTTATTTGGATGGTATAGAACAAAATAAGTGTACAAAAAAGGAGAAGGGTTATTGCCCTGGATAAAGCTGCTATGGTTCACATTAGACATGTGATATCACTATTACTATGAATCCTATTTTATTAACCACAACAATTTTCTGTTGGTCTTTCTTTTGCAAAAGAAAAAAATGTTGAAAATAAAATTCCAATACACTATTCTCTGCAACTCCCTTACAGGGAAAATTTATATTCTGATTACTTCAGCCAAACAAACATTTTACTGAATCAAAGGGAAAAGAAAAGCTGCTAATTGTCCTCATTTATGGTTGCTATTCCAATATGAATCAAGAAAAATAATTTTTTTTCCAATTTTAAAAATTGTGGGCCACATGTTCTTTTGCCTTCCATCTGTTTATTTTTATATAAATTTCTACACTAGGAATTTTATACTTTAAAAAACAAGCTCTAAAATTGTTCTACACCCACAAGTAGGCTTCTTGGGTCTATACATATGCATTAGATATATAAAATCCAAAGAGATAAACTAAAACATCACTTTCCACTGAAAAGATTGTTAATTTTCAAAATGGCTTCCTATGACTGATTCTTTTTTAGCCACTGCCCAGTTGAAAATCTTTGAGAGAGAAAAAATTCTTCATTCATTTCTCATTCCTTACAAACATAGAGCGGAACAGTCTGAGCCTCAGAAAATTAGTCCCAGGTGATATTTTGCTAACCTTAATTTTGAAGTAATGTCAAATGAAAAACTGTATCTATTTAGTTAGTTTATACATGTCTAAATTTCTTTGGATTACTGCAGTTTTATTAGTTAAAAATACTGTTATACATGAGTTGAGGTTTTTATGGGGAGGGAAAACATGCATCATGTTATGAAAGACAGACATATTTAAAGTGTTGCCATTTGTTATACATGAATTAGAAAAGGATGACACAGCTATGTTTTGAAGTCATGTCTTCATAAATTATTTTATAAATAATAGTTAAAATAAAACATCAAATTTATTTTTTCAATACTTTTTTTCCCTGTAATCTTTAAATCCAGGCATATATTAAAGAAAACTAGATCCTTAAATTTCTAAGTTATGTATACTTGTGCAACCAAAAGAGATTTATATGGCTTTCTTATTTTTTAGTCCTGCAAGTCTTTTTAATATTTATGTGTTTATTTGCTCAGAAAGTATTTAAGTCCATATTTTTTTGTCGAAACTGGAAATTGTGCTTTGTTAAGTGTAAACAACATAAAAAACCAAAAGTATTTCCTAAGTTTGGAATTAATCTCCCAATCCATGAAAATGGAGAAACTTCTCACATTGGCAAAATGTGTTCCTACCCTGGCTACCAAAGAAGAAGAATGGGCCAACAAGTAGCTTTAGAATTTTTGCCAGCAATTTACATATGAATCAAATGTGATCTTTCTTTAAATTGCACTTAATATAGGAAGTACAGCCATGTTTGATTTCAAGCTGAATTGATATGTGAGCAGTCATTGGCTGTCCATAATTAAAATCTTACAGAAAGCCCACCTATGATGAGCAATTTAATATTTGTGGTCTTAGTTGGTAAACTATGCCAATTCCATGAAAAGCATATTTTCATAGTTAGAGCCAGGCTAACCACATAGAGCTCTTTCTTTCTCTATCCATAATTATATAATTAGATTATTTTTATCTTAAACATACTTTGAAAACATTTTCTTTATGGTACATTATTAAAGAATCATGCCTTCTAAAGGTCTCTTCCTAAGCCAAGAAATCCACATGTTATGTATTATGCAGAAGAGATTTTCATGAGTAGATTTCTGTAAAGCTTTGAACCAAGGTCCAGGAATTATATTACAGTTTGCCAGTGATATTTAAAAAGTGAGAGTAATATAGTTGCAAAGCAAACTTTAGTAAGATAATTGATGGGAAATGATATTGAATGTTAGAAAAAAATGTTGTTATTACTCTTAATGCCAAATCTGTGTTTCTCATGAGTTAGACTTAAACATTTAGGATGAGATAACTGTACCCTCTATATAAGAACTGCATTTACTAAGGAGGGATGAGAGGAGGAGGCAGTCGTAATCTGTAATAAGTCTATTCTGTCTCTATATTTGGTAATGAATGTATATGTCATCTTTCATTTTCAGGTCTCTATTTTTCTCATTTTATTTTAAAAACTATTTATTTATTTATTCATTTTTAGACAGGATCCCACTGTGTCACCCAGGCTGAAGTGCAGTGGCACCATTATAGCTCACTGCAGCCTTGAACTCTTGGGCTCAAGTGATCCTCCTACCTCAGCCTCCCGAGTAGCTGGGACTACAGGTGCGTGCCACCATACCTGTATGTATGTGTGTGTGTGTGTGTGTGTGTATGTGTGTACATATATATTACATTACACATATTATATATTATATATATTACACATATTATATATAATATATATTACACATATATATTATATATTACACATATTATATATATTACACATATATAACATATGTATATTATATAACATATATTACATATATAACATATATTATGCATATTATGTAACATATATGTATTACACATATTATATATAATATATATTATATATATTACACATATTATATATTTTATATATATTACACACATATACCTATATGGTTTTTTGTTTGTTTTGTTTTAGAGACAGGGTCTCGCTATGTTACCCAGGCTGGACACAAACTCCTGGCCTCAAGCAATTGTCCTGCCTCAGCCTCCCAAAGTGGAAAGTGCTGGGACTAAAGGTGTGAGCCACTGTGCCTGGCCCTTGTCTCTATTTTATATATGCCCAGGAGATAGTGCAAATATGTGAATAAATAAACAAACTAGGAATACAGAGTTTGGTAGCTATGATTATAAACTCTGGTAACTTGCTTATTTTTATTGTGTCTCTATTTTCTCTTTCATTACACTAGAAATGTCAATTGCCTACCTGATGGCTGTGAAAAACAGAAAGAAGAAACAAAGACATATCTGTGTAAGGACAGAATGGCAAGGGACATAGAAGCATGTGATATGATAATCCTACTCAACTAAATAGACAATATTAGTGAATGGCAACTTGTAAATGGTTTTGATTATATTTATTTTATTTTCTGTCTATCTAGATGTAAAGGTTGAGCTTGAAAAAAGAAAACTACTCTTGACGCTGAAGAACGCAATCCAACATGAAAGAATGCTTATTTCAAGTTTTACCTGAATCTACCTAGAGCTGAATTTCTTATCTATACTTTACTACAGATATTCTGCTTTGTGCAGATCTACAATGGATCATTAAAGTCAAAGGACAATTACTTATCTTTCTACTCCTCCCAGTACCCAAGACCTGAGAGTGAGATATTAAATTCGTCCTTAGATCTTTCATGCAATGTTACAGCTCTTTGGAACTCCTCATGAAGCTCCTCCTCTCCATGGTGGAATTTTACTCTGAGGAGAGATAGGCTAAAATGTTTCAGTCCCCTATATGATAAGTCCAAAATCACCGTTTCACATATATGCTGACCTGATACATTGAGTCACTGATACGTGTCTTTCCACCTTCAGTATATTTTCTTTGACTAGCTTTATTGCTTCCCTGTGATGCTGAATTTTGAGCATGGATGTGTGTGTCCATAACAAAACCATCCTAGGTAAACTGAATTTGGTTATTTGAATTTCATAATTACTCTTTACTCCAAGTGTTGTGGATTCATGATGCAAATTTACCCATTCCCATTGCAATAACTTAGAGCCAAATATCAATTATTTTAAAACTTGGTTCTCATCACTGAACTAACAGTGTTGAAAAAGACAATTTGCCTATATTTAATAGTTTGCTAGTAAACTTTATTTTGGGTTACATCAAACTTGTAATAAGTAGTGACTGGATTGGGAAGGTGAGGTGTGCTGATTTAAGGATGCCTCTCCATCTATTTTATGTGCTAGAAAATAGGTAGCAAAAAATAAATCTTGCAGTACTCTCTTTTGATTAACTACACATTTTCCATCTTGGAGTAAAAAGTAATTATGAAATTCAACTCTAATTGTATAGTTTTTCTGTGTAAAATAACTGATGAAAATAGAATAATTTAGATGCTTTTTCTTTTATTTTTTATAGTATTGAATAGTGGAGCATAACAAATAGTACCTTCAGTTTGCTTTCTCTGGAAAAAAATGATTTGGTAAGATTTTACATGTCCCACAAATGCTCTTAAACAAAAGATATGTCCCCAAGTGGACAACAGATAAGTTTTTATTTTAAAAAGGAAAGGAAGAAATGTATATTTCTAGAATTTTCTAGCTTATAAGAAAAATAAGGAGAAATCTTCTAATGGCTGGTTGGCAGCTAACTCTCCAGTTCCTCTACAGTGTGCAAATTATATTAAATGAATTCATTGCATTAATGAAGACAAACTTCACTGATATTTGAACAATGAATATAAATGGTTTGGAATCAAGAATTACCTTTATTCATTATCAACAATTATCAGACAAGACCAGTTTCCAAATAACATTTTTTCCTAAATTAACAGGATGACCACACATCTAGATGGTTGTTGTATGTGAGGACAGAGACATCGCCAAAGGTCTGTGAAGGACTAACTGCTATAGGAATAGGCCATAACTAGAGACCAGAAAAAAAAATTTACAAGAGTGTTCAGACTTCTAGGAGCATGAAATTGTGATAGAAGAAAACGTATGAATTGACCATTACCGTTACCATTACCCTAGCTTGATTACTGAAGCAGAGGCCAGGGGTAGAAACTCAAGCAGAGCCATGTAATCCCACAGAGTTAAGGAGACAGGGATCAAGGCACTGGAAAGCTGGAGTGTCAAGAACTTATGGGGAAAAATATGAGAGCAGAAGCTGCACGATGAGAAGGGTTCAAAGACCTGCAGAAGGTTAAAAAAACAAAAAAAAAACATGAGTTTTTAGCTGAGCATTGATCTGCATAAATGTTGGATAAAATGTCATGAAGTTCTAGAAAGAACAATAGGAAAAGCCAGAGGGTAAAGAATTTTTGGAATTCACACAGAAAGATGGAAATAATTTGTATTCTCAAGAGCAGACAGGAGAGACCTAATTCATAGGGGAATTGGGTAGAGTACTCAGAAACATTGGGCCTTGGTAATAAAGGAGAATTAGCCTTAAAACCAAGGTTCCTCTGAACACATTAGCAAAGGTTAAAACAATGGATACACATGGACATCAAGATGGAGCTAATAGACATTGGAAACTACAAAATGGGGGAGAGTGAGAGCAGATGAGAGTGGATAAATTACTGATTGGGTAAAAAGTTCAAAAAACAAAAACAAAGGTCAAAAAGAAGCCTTGAAAGGTAATCAACATCATTAATCATCAGAGAAATGCAAATCAAAACCACCATGAGATGTCATCTCATACCTGTTAGGAGATGATTTAACTTGTTATCAAAGTGAAAGGATAACAAATGTTGGCAAGGATGTGTAGAAAAAAGAACTCTTATATATGGTTGATGGAATGTAAATTTGATACAGTCATTATGGGAAAGAGAATAGAGTTTTCTAAAGCAATTAAAAATAAAACTACCATATGATTCAGTAATCTCTCTTCTGGGAATATACCCAAAGGAAATGAAATCATCACCTCATAAAAATGTCTGCACTCCCATGTTCATTGCAGCATTATTCATAATAGCTAAGATATGGAAAAGCCTAACTGTCCATCAAGGGATGAATGGATAAAGAAACTGTGGTATATTTCTATATATCCCATAAAAATAATAATGAAATATTATTCAGCCCTAAAAAAGAACAAGATCTTCTCATTTAACACAACATAGATGAGACTGGAGGACAATGAAATAAACCAGACAAAGAAAGAAAAGTATTACATGATTGATTTCACTTAAATGAGGATTCTTAAAAACTCAAATATAGAAAGAGAACAAAACAGTGGTTCTGGGGCAGAGGAGGAAGGGAGAAAATTGGGAGATATAAGTCAGAGGATACAAAGTATAAGATATATACCATGAACAAGTCTAGAGGTCTAATATACAACAGGAGGACTATAGGAAATAAAATTTTACCATACATGGAATTCATGCTAAATGAATAGATTTTAACTGTTATTGCCATAAAAACAAAAACAAAAAATGGGTAACTATGTGAGAGGATAGATATGTTCATTTGTTCCACTATGGTAACTTTTTACAATCTACATATATTTCATAACATCACATTGTATACCTTAAATATACGTAATAAAATTTATTTTAAAACAAAGGTTTTTTTTAAAAAATTAAATTTTCTCAGAAAAAGAAAAAAAACTTGATAAGTATCACCTACATGTAACTGCCTGATCAAAGTACAAGGATCTTTAAAAGAAGGCAAGAAGTCTATCATTGGAAAATAAGAAATTAACAATGTCCAGAATTCAGTCAAAAATTACTAGGCAATCAAAGAAGCAGAAAAAAACAAACTTGGATTAGGAGAAATATAATTCAACTGAAACAAATGCAGAAATAAGATAAAGGAATTAACATACAAAGGCCTAAAAAACTATGATCTAGTTTCCAGTCCAATGTGTAGAGAGATTGGATTGTCAATTTATACATTCAAAAAGAGAAAAGATGAACAAGCTAAAAATCAACAACGTTTATAGATTCATCAGAGAATTGAGATCACAGGATAAACCACAATGTAACTTGAAAACTGGAGAGAGAGTCATATCCTATGAATCACAGTTTACTAGGAGCAGACACTCTAGAGCAGAAGCCCGCTGCAACCCAGTTCTGGTAGGAATGTTTAAACCATAATTGATGAATTGTCAGAGGCCCAGTGAGGACTAATTTGAAAGTTAGAAACTGCATGAGAAACAGCTTTATAAGATACCCCACATTGATGAGCATTTTTACCTTTAGTAGTCCCATCAGCTTCTCAGGGTGAACATAGGGGAAAATTTCTCTTTTGCTTCCATAGTGGAAGAGGAAAGTTTTTAATCTGAAGTAAGTCCAGAACATTCTGTTCTACTTAACAAAGGACTACCCTCAAAATAAACTATTTTAACAGAGCCAATTGCCTTGGGTTTTGCCACAGCTTAACCAATTTAGAGAAAGGGAATATCTAATTCTAGCTCCCTCTGGCCTTTGATATGGGAGAAGGGAAATACCCAAGTCCTGAGTCCCTCAGCCATTTTGTCTCCCCTGAGGGCATGGGGGAAATTTATAGGCCAGAAACACAGGCTCAGTAAAAGACTGGAACCAAATTATAGGATTGAATTGTAACTTCCCTAACCCCATAGTTTACTGACATGTCAACCAGGCTCCTGTATAATAACAGTGGGTTACAGATAAAAGAAATCTGAGGCTCACATGCTCTTTTAAGAAGGAATCTCCAGTAAAACCCAAAGGTAACATGTGAGACAAAAACAAGGACAAGAAAGGGAATTCTAGCCGCTGACCTCTATATGTATAGCAAACAACAAACACAGCCTAACTCAGCCAGATAACCATAAAACTTCACACTAAAGGCCTCTTTATCCCAGTTCATTTTACTCAGTTCATCATGTATGGCTTTCAACAAAAAATTACAAGAGATTCTAAAAGATACAAAAAAAAACGCAGTTTGAAGATACAGCAAAAAGCGTCAGAAATAGACCCAGATGTGGCAGAAACACTGGAATTATCAGGCCGGGAATTAAAAAATATATAATTACTATGTTAAGAAATCTAATGAAAAAAATGATGACATACAAGAAAAGATGGATAATGTAAGCAGAGAGATGGACACTCTAAGAATGAATAAGAAAAAAATGTTAGAAATCAAAACAGTATAATAGAAAGGAAGAATGCCTCTGATGAGCTCATCAGTAGACAAGATATGGAAAAGAAAAAATTTGAGGGCTTGAACATACGTAAACAGAAACGTCCAAAACTGAAATGAAATGAGAATAAAGAATAAAAACCGTGGAGCAGAAGATCAAAAGAACTGTGGGTCAACTGCAGGTGAGCTAACACATACATAATGTGAATCCCGAACAAACAAAAAGTGAGGACGTTTGCTACTAGGAGACTGGCCTTGCAAGAAATATTAAAAGAAGTTTTTCAGGGTGAGTGAATACAATATAGGTCAGAATAATATAGGTTGGAATATTTACTTTTAGGGAGAATGAAAATAAGGTTGGAAACAGAGCTATGGGAAGGAAGGGAGGGAGGGAAAGAAAAAGACAGACACTAGAGAAAAAATAAAATAAAATATATTTTTTTCTTATTCTTAGTTTATCTAACAGATAATACTTTGTGTCAAACACTAATAGCAACAATATATATGGTGATTATTGGTTAAGGATAAGTGAAATTAGTGAGGTCCATATTATAAGGAAGGGAGAAAAATAGGAATGTATTGTTATACAATTTGTGTACTACACATGAAGTGATATAGAGTTATTTGAAAATGTATTTAGTTGTAAGTGTATATTGCAAAATCTAGGAAAAGCACTAAATTTTTTTTTAGAAAAGCAATATAATTGATGTGCTAAGAGAGGAAAGGAAGTGAAATAGTGTAAAATGCTCAATTAAAACTAGAGAAAGGACAAAAGGATAAAAGAAGGAAAGAAGGAAAGAAAGAAGAAAGAAAGAAGAAAGAAAAAGAAAAACAGGAGTGAATAGAAAATAGTTACAAGTATGGTAGATATTAACTCAACCATATTAGTAATCACTTTGTTATAAACGGTTAATACAATAATTAAAAATAAGTATTATCAGAGTGAATTAAAGAAAACTACATGTTTTCTACAAGAAAGGACTTTAAATATCAAGACATAAATAGATAAAAAGTAATGGAATGGAGATGGATATATTATGCCAAAACTAATGAGAAAAAAGCTGGAGTTGCTATACTAATTTCATACAAAGATGATATCAGAATAAGGGAAATTATCAGTGATAAAGAAGGCCATTACATAATGACCAAGTGGTCCATTCTCCAAGAATATATAAAATCTTTAATGTGTATGTGCCTAACAATGGACAGTCTAAATATGCATGGCAAAAATGATAAAACTACAAGGAGAAATGTGCAAACCCACTATGATAGTTGGAGACTGTTTATCATTCTATAGGTAATTGACAGATGCAGCAAGCAGCATTATTACTTTTTTCCCTTTACTTTTTATTTAATTTTCTCCTTTTTTTAAGTTAAGTTTTCTCAGATAAAAGCTAGGATTATTGATTTGAGATTTTTCTTGTTTTCTAGTATATGCATTCACTTCTGTAAATGTCTCTTGAAACAGTGCTATTGCTACAGCTCACAAATTTTGATGAGTTGTATCTTCATTTTTATTTGGAAGACAGTTTGGTGGTTTCTTAGAATCCTAAAGATAGTCTTACCATATGATCTAGCAACTGTGGCCCTAGGTATTTACCTGATTCAATTCAAAATTGATTTTCACACAGAATCCTGAACATAAATGTCTAAAATAGCTTTCTTATTGCAAAAATTTGGGAGCAACCGATAGGTGGACAGATAAACAAACTGTGATATACACTTAAAATGGGATATTATTCAGCAAAAAAGAAAATAAGCTATCAAGCCACAAAAATACATGAAGGGTCCTAAATACATATTTGTAAGTGAAAGAAGCCAATTGAAGGCAACATATTGGATAATTCAATCTGTATCACATTCTGGAAAAGGCAAAACTAAAGACAAAGTAGAAAGAGCAGTGTTTACCAGGGATTCAAGGAGGGAGGGAGGGATGAATAAGTGGAGCAAAGAGGATTTTTAAAGACATCGTAACTATGTTGTAGCAAGCAGTAATGGTGGATACATGTCACAATACATTTGTCAAAAACTGTAAAACTGTACAAGAGGGAACTCAAATTTAAACTATGAACTTTAGTTTATAATAATGTATCCATATGGGTTCATCAATTATAACAAGTTAACCACACTGATCTAATCTAATACCACACTATTAAGAATAGGGGAAACTTAAAATGTTGGGGGAGAGGGTATATAGGAACTTTGTACTTTCTGCCTACTTTTTTTTAATAAACCTAAAGCAGTTCTAAAAAATAGCCTGTGAATTTAAAAAATAGGTGTCATTAATATGGAAATACGGGAAAGAGCATAAAACAAAACATGCATATAATGAGGTCTTAAACAGAAAGAAAGATCATAATGAATTTGTAAACAAAATTCAAATTGAATGGCTAGAGATAAAAATTCCATATATGGAATGAAAAAAAGAAACATTGAGTGGGATTAAAAGCAAATTAGGCACTAGAGTAGGAAAAGTCATTGAACTTAAAGAGGAAAAAATATGTAATGACATTATTAAGCATGCTATCAGATTTGTAATAAGAATTCCAGAGAGAAGGAAATGAACAAGGCAGGAAAAAAGTTATACAATTATGGTAAAAAAAAATTTACAAATGTGATGACCATCATAGACATACAGCTTCAGTAAATCTGAAAAAAAAAAACATAATAATGATAGAAAGCAATACCAAGGCATGTGGTAATAACATCACTGAAAAATCAGTGATAACGAATAAGTCCTAAAAGAAACCAGAGACAAAAAGACACGCATGCCTAAGAGAGAAACAAGAGGCAAAATTAAAGGAGACCTGTTGTCAGAAACTGTGAAAGCCAGAAGACATTGGAATGATATTTTAAGATACTAAAAAAAAGAATGCTACACCCATGACAATATCTTTCAAAACTGAAGGCAAAATAAAGACTTTTAGACCAACGAAATTTGAGAAAATTTAAGAAGACCTGCACTGAAAGGAATGCTAAAGGGAAAATTTCAGACAAAAATTAATGGATACCAAATATATAGTTCAATCTGCAAAAGGGATAAGAGTGCAGGAAATAGCGAATATACAAAAAGAGACTTTTTTTACTTTAAAAAACTTCTTTAGAAGATAATTTTCTGTTTAAAGCAAAAATAATAGCAATGCATGGTGAGCTGTATAGCATTAGTGGAATAAACTATACGACAAACAATAACACAGAAAGGAAAAGTGGAAATGAAGATACACTCCTATGAAGGTCTAACACTGTATGTAAGTGATAATAGTGTCTTAACATAGACTAACAAGCTAAGCATGTATATGATAAACCATAGAGCAATCACTGAAAATAAAACGTGTTATAGATAACAGCAGAGGCACAATATAATCATTAAATTAATTTCCTAAGCTCACCAATTGGAATACTGGGGGAAAAGTAGAGAATACATGGAACAACTATAAAATATAGAGCAAGGTGAAAGAATTAACCTCCACATAGTTGATATCCACACTGGATATAATGTGCTATCCAACACTATAGTCACATTTGGCTATTAGGTGTATAATTTGTGGCTAGGCTAAATTGAAATGTGAAATAAGTGTAAAACACTCATTGAATTTCAAAGATTTAGTGTAAGTTAAAATATTGTTACATATCTCATTAATATATTTTTTCCATTAATAACATGCTTAAATGATAATATTCTGAATATGTGTGGATAAAGTAATATATTAATTTTTCACTCGATTTTTGTGTATCTACTAAAGTTTTTTTAAAATTACATATGTGACTTATATTTGTGATTCACATTTTTATTGGATAGCACTGTTCCAAGCACTCCAATAAAAGTAAAGATTGTCAGATTGGATGGAAACTATGACCTACATATGTATGCTGTCTACAGGAAACCAACTTTAAGTATAAAGACATAAGCTAAAAATTAATTAAAGAATGGAAAAAGTTGTACCCTGAAAACTCTACTTGAAAGAATCTTGGAATGGTCCTATTAAATCAGACAAAGCAGACTTCAGAACAAGGAAAAATTTCAGGGACAAAGAGAGGCATTTATAATAAAAACTAGGTCAACTCATCAAAAAGCTATAATAATTCTAATGGTAACCAGTAAGAGAATTTCAAAATACATGAATAAAAATTAACGGCAGACTGGCATCTTAAGAAATGCTAAAGAAACTAAATCAGTTTATTGAGGCTGAAGAAAAATTGTAGTAGATACAAATTGGATCCTCAGGAAGAAATGAAGAATGTTTAAAATGGTAAATATCCAGATGAATACAAAATGCTCTTTTTTCCAATTATATATATAAATATATCTGTTTTAAGCAAAAATTAAAACTTATATTATTGTAGTTGTAACCTGAGTACATATAGTATATATAAACACTTTAACATAAGTAGTGGGCCCTTGGTAATAAGGCCTATATACTTGCAGTGCTTCTACAATTTATGTAAAGAGGTGCAATATTAACTTTACATTGGCTATAAAAGGTAAATATGTGTACTGTAATCCCTGGAGTGTAAAGGAAACAGATAATGAGGTAAAAGATAAAATAAAATTTGAATGTAAACAGCTAATGAAAGATAAAATAAAATGTGAAAAATATTCAAATAAGCCAAAATAGAGAGTAAAAAAGGAATGGAGGAAGAAAAAAAAATAATAAAAGGGATAAATGGAAAACATGCAATAAAATGGGAGATCTAAATCAAACCATATTGATGATTACATTAAATATAAAGAATATAAACACCCAATTTAAAAACTCTGGACAAAAAGTAGACGCAGGACCCAACCATGTGCTGTCTGTTAGAGGTGTACTTTAAATAAAAATACTTACAAAAATGCAGAGATTCTAAGACAAAGCATGGGAACTATATGTTGTTAATGAGAGTTGCACTTTAAACTTAAAGACACAAATAAATTCAAAGTAAATGAAGATAAGAAATTTATGTCATGCAAATGCTAACCAAAAGAAGGTTTCATTGGCTATATTAATAATACATAAAGCAAACTTCAAGACAAAGAATATTACCAAAGATAAAGAAAGTTTTGAAAATAATACAAGTTCTCCCAGTGGGACGACATAATCATAATTATGTATGTTTTTATGAATAGGAGTTCAAAATAGATAAAGCAAAAACTGACAGAATTAAGCAAAGAAACAGATAGATACAAAATTAAAAGAGATTTTAAAATGGAAAGATTTTCTCCTCTTTCAGAAACAATAGAAAAACTAAATTTTATAAGTCAGTAAAGGGCTGGGTGTGGTGGCTCATGCCTGTAATCCTCCCAGCTCTTTGGAAGGATGTGGTGGGAGGATTGCTTGAGGCCAGGGGTTCAAGACAAGCCTGGGCAACACAGAGAGACCCCTAGCTCTACCCCCAAAAAAATTAGTAATGATATAGGTAATTTGAACAACACTATTAACTATTAACTACCTTATTCTAACTGACATTGATAAAATACTCCATCCAACAGCAAACAAAAATACTGTCTTTCAAGTGTACATAATATATCCACCAAGATAGATCATGTTCTGGGCCATAAAATAAGTCAATAATGTTTTTAAATTGAAACAATACCAACAAGCATATCACATACTAAACTTGTTTTAAATTAAGACAGCATTGTTTTTGTGGGCTATGTTCTGTACCAACAATAAAATTAAGTTAGAAATCAATAACAATCAAATATCTAGGAAAACTCCAAACATTTGGAAATTAAACAAACCATTTCAAATAATTCATGGGTCAAAGAAGGTATTATAGAAAGAATAAATAAAAGTATTTTGATATTGGCTTCTTTTTTCTTTCTTCAACTCCAACTCACTGGGCATGCTCTCATCATGGGGCCTTTGACATAGCTGTTCCTTCTGCCTAGAAAACCCTTCCAGCAGACATCCCTATAGCTTTGCTCCCTTGCTTCCTTAAGGGATTTGCTCAGCTCTCACACCAATGAAACATTCTCTGGCAACTCTATTTAAAACAGCATCTCCAGCATTTCCTATCTCCCTTGCCAGCCTTATTTTACTCCTCAGCACTTATCACTCTCTAACATATTGTATATTGTTTTTGTTTTACTTTTGTTGGGCTTGACCAGCTAAGCTTTATAGGGCAGGAAATTTTGTCTGTTTCCTTCTCTGATGTGTCCTTTGAATCCTAGTAGACACTTAATGAATGAATACGTATACATATACATATACATATACTCGTCTATACATATGCAAGATACACACCAATACATTAAGAGAGAATATTTTTGTGTTTTGGGAGTATATGCAATGTAAAATTTATATTTTCCACTTGCTCATCTGCATTTTGTAATTCTTCTATAATGAGCATGAATCTGTTGTGTAATTGTTTAAAGATAAAAATCTTGTACAGAAATACCCAGAGCTGAACTCTGAAATATTGTTTCTTTCTTGGCACTAAACATGCAGAAGGAAGGGAAGCAGGAGGCATACATTTCCAGAAAACCTTTTCAGAAATGATTTCATCATTTTCATCCCCAACAAAAAAATTTTCTACACATTATGAGAGAGATATTTCTATCTCCTAATGTGTGTGTGTATATATATATACGTATATATATACACACATATATACACATATATATGTATATATACACACATATATATATATATTTGCCTTGCAAATGAATTTACGTCACAATATCTAAGCAGTTATGAGTATTACTTTGTCTCCAACTTTCTTTTGTTCAAGCTAACTTATTATCAGGTAGTTGAAAGTGACTGGACAGTATCCATAGCATCATAATTTCCTTGTCATGTAATAACTTTGTTAACTTTTTGTGTCCTTGTATTATGTGGAATCATTGATGCATCTGCTTATCTACTCCAAACTTCAATATTTAACCCCCAAACTAATTCAGCTTCAAAGAGGCTGAACTATCAAATAATTCACCACAAGCATGTGAAGATGTGCATAGAAAACTAAAAATTAAAATTAATCCTCGAAAATTTTGTTTCTCAATTCTTTATGCTGGATATCAGAAGATAAAACAATATCTCTTTCACATAGAATTTCAAGAATTTTATTTACTTTCTTTTACTTTGAGCTCTTTGCCAAAGGCCGTTTTCTGTTTTATCTTTGAAAGCAAACATTCAGAATAACGGCAGAATCACTAGCAAATGTGACATTTTATTAAGTCTCTTTGTAAACTAAGTCAACACCACCTTTGCTTCACCATCTTATTTTAAAGGCAGGGGCATAAGACAAAAATCAATGGCTAACCTGACAGTATTTTTTTGAAAATTAAAATTACCAAAAAACATCTTAAACTTAAAATCTGTCAGGCATGGAAAATATGACTTTGTTTTATGTTTTCTCCAGTTGCAGTATTTGCTTTTCACTGCTTAAGTCTGGGATGTGTCTGGTTGTTGCTATGCACCATGAAAGTTTTATATGGAAAAAAATGGAAAAATTGGTTTCATATGATGGTTAGTATTCTATGACATTTTAGTAGACAGAAGGTAATAAAATATATTTCTCAAAAAATCATTAATCCATAACACCACCAAAAATTGACATAATGGGGCAGGCAATCTGTATTGGTAACTAGGCTCAACACTTCTACAATTTTCTTGTAATCTGATTTCTTTCTTCTCTTACCTATGCGATTGACATGAACATGCCCCTCTTTCATCCTCTTCCAACCAATTCTCCCTCTTTTGCTCTTTGAGAAGTAGCATTCCTTGTTGGAGATTTTCATAGGAATGTTCTGTCACCAGTCTAAAATCTGGCATTATTTCTGACAGTAATTTAAACTGGATTCAACACAAACATGTTAGAGGACTCAAGTAAATTAATCATGTTGTCTATTTCAATAAAAGAGCCAACATAGCCAAGCCAGCATAAACAGGCTATAACAGTAATGGCCAATTTAAAGGTTCATTAACAAATACCAGTGGTAGCACTGTAATTCTCAAGCTCTCATCACTGAAGTGTTAAACAACAGGCATTGAAGATACCAGAAAGACACCACACAATACTAAACAGATTGAAGTGGATCCGATTATTTCCTTATCATTATAAACATCCAAATCCAAATTCAGTTCCAGCTCCCCTGCATATTTTCCGAATTAATCATGTCTCCCAAATGATGAAAATATTATGGGTTTTACTTTTTGTCAGTTTCTGCTCTCCTTTTGTCTTCTCCAGCAACATTCTCCTTTCTCATGATTTTCCCATTTTTCCTTCACTACTACTTCTTAATTGTTTAAGATGTTTCATTTCATTTGAAATGACTTTGGAGCATCAATTTTACTTCATTTGTTCACACAGTGTTAGCAGAAAGATACAGAAGAAACAAAAATTACAGGAGTCTCCTAGGACCGGGACATTGTTTCTGCCCACTCTCCTGGGCAGAAAAGAAGACACAGCTCCTGTGATTGCCTGGTCGTAACTTGTGCCCAAAAAGCAAAAAGAGTAAACATTAAAATGACAAATTGGGAAAAGTTCTGTATAGAGCTCTATTAGCTAAATTGTTTATTAATCTATGGAGTTTTAACCATTTGGGTGGTAAAACTAATATCCTTAAGAAAAATGTGAGTAAAGATTATTAAAAATACATGGATGAAGAAATACAAATAACCTATAAGCATGGAAACAAATGTTCACCTTTATCCATCCACACCTTCATTTGCAATTTATAAAAAATATTATTTCACTCCTTTTAGAAATGAATTTTGAGTGACAGCACTTTGTGTCATTGAGGGTGAAATGAAACTGGTGGAAAGTCAGGATGGATGGCATCCAAGACCAGCGGAATCTTTTTGTTTGCAAACACTATTCCTACAATGAGATAATCATGTTTATTAACAATTGTTTGAGGTGTGGATATGTACAATATTTTGGAAATCAGTTGGCAATGTGCTGTGACAGTCAATACAATAAAAAGTTCTAAAGAAATACTGCCAACAGAAATCAGACAACACAAACAAACGTGAGTATGGATACTCATGGATTGGAAGAATCAATAGTCTTACAACGGTCATACTGCCCAAAGCAATTTATAGATTCAATGTTACTCTTACCAAACTACCAATGACACTTTTCACAGAATTAGAAAAAAACCTTTAAAATTCGTATGAAACCAAAAAAGAACCTGAACAGCCAAAGCAATTCTAAGCAAAAAGAAGCAAGCTGGAGGCATTACACTACCCAACTTTAAAATATATTACAAGGCTATAGTAGCCCAAACAGCATGGCACTGGTACAAAAGCAGACACATGGACCAATAGAACAGGTTAGAGAATCCAGAAATATAACCACACACCTACAACTATCTGACCTTCAACAAAGTTGACAATAACAAGAATGAGGAAAAGACTCCCTAATCAATAAATTATGCTGGGATAACTGATTAGCCATATGCAGAAGATTGAATCTGGACCTGTTTGTTTCACCATATACAAAAATCAACTCAAGATGGATGAAGGACTTAAATGTAAGACCTAAAACTATAAAAACCTTCGAAGAAAACCTAGGAAATATCATTCTGGACATAGACGCTGGCAAAGATTTCATGATGAAGATTCCAAAAGCAATTGCAACAAGAATTGACAAGTGGGACCTAATTAAACTAAAGAGCTTCAGCACAGCAAAAGAAGCTATCAACAGAGTAAACAAACAACCTATGGAATAGGAGAAAATATTTTCAAATTACGTATCTGACAAAGGTCTAATATGCATCATCTATAAGGAATTTAAATCAACAAGCAAAAAATAAACCCATTAAAAATGGGCAAAGAACATGAACAGACACTTTTCAAAAGAAGACTTACATGTGGCAAACAAGCATATGAAAAAATACTCAACATCACTAATCATTAGAAAAATGCAAATCAGAACCATGAGATACCATATCACACTGGTCAGAATGGCTATTATTAAAAAGTCAAAACATAACAGATGGCAGTGAGCTTCTGGAGAAAAAGGAATGCTTATACACTGCTGGTGGTGATACAGACAGGAGGCAAGGAAATACTGGGTAGAAGAGGGTGGTTCCCTGGCAAAGTCCCCACCCTCGAGCCTGGAAACCCATGGCCCTAAATGGGGCATTCTTGCTTTTGCACCCAAAAGTTGCCTTTTGGCCCACCACGCCCTCCTGTCCTGTACCCATATAAACCCCAGACCCCAGGCTCCAGAAGCAGACAAACAGATGAGGAGATGAACAGAAGAGCAGAAGAATGGCAGAATGATGTGGCAGAAAGAAGAGAAGGAGCATCTGAATGCCAAGAGGAGTTTGGCTGGCAGTGATTGGAGAGGAGATCAGCCTCTGGATGGCAAAGCTCCAGGGAAAGATCATCTTCCCATTCCATCCCCTTTCCGGCTCCCCATCCATCCTGCTGGGGGCCACCTCCACCACTCAATAAAACCTCCATATTCACCATCCTCAAGTCTGTGTGCAACTTGATTCTTTCTGGATGCTGGACAAAGACCTGGGTACCAAGAGGGCACTGAGCTGGTTAACACTTAAGCTGTCTGTGGATGGCAAAGCTAAAAGAGCACACTGTAACACACACCAACTTGGGCTGTGGGAGTCACAGGCATTCCCACCCCTAGACACTACCATGGCCACTTGCCCTGGCTTTTGCACCTGCCTGTCTGCATGCCCTCCCACCTGGAAAGGGGTTTGACACCACACGTGATAGCCAAATAGACAAGCCACACCCCTGCTGCACATCCTGCAAAGGGAGTCAGGGAACTCTCCAGTTTCCTCAGAATGTAAATTAGTTCAGCCACTGTGGAAAGCAGTTTGGAGATTTCTCAAATAACTTAAAACAGAACTTCCATTCAACCCAGCAATCCCATTACTGGGTATATACCCAAAGGAATATAAATCATTCTGTCATAGACATATGCACACATATGTTCATTATAGCACTATTCACAATAGCAAAGACATGGAATCAACCTAGATGCCTGTTAACAGTAGACTGGATTAAAAAAAATGCAGCACACATACACCATGGAATACTACATAGCTATAAAATAGGATGAAATAATGCCTTTTGCAGCAACATGAATGGAGCTGGAGACTGTTATTCTAAGCGAATTAATGCAGGAACAGAAAACCAAGCAAACACTGCATGTTCTCACTTATAAGTGGGAGCTAAACATTGAGTCCACACAAAGAAAGGAACAATAGACACAAGGTCTATTGAGGGTGGAGGGTGGGGGAGAGTGAGGATCAAAAAACTCCCAGTTAGATACTATGCTCACTACCTGGATGACTACATAATCTGTACACCAAACCCCATTGACACACATTTTACCCATGTAACAAACCTGCACATGTACCCCCTGAACCTAAAATAAAAGTTGGAAGGAAATAAAGTTACAACCAACTCTTGTACTCTGTTGTGAGAAAACAATCATATGTGTTGACAAGAAGTCAACTACTAATAGATTTATAATAGTATATATGTAGCAGGAAAATATCAGATATAACTTATATACCCAAAAGTATGGCTTAAAAAGGGCATGACAATCTTTATGATGGGATTTTGTGCAACTACTACAAGCATATTTTCCGAGATTGTTTATTAACATATGATAATGACTACACTGAGTGATGGCTTTTAGAAGCATGAATTGAAACTATGTATAAGCATGATTTATTGTTACACACATTTATATAATTATACAATAAACATGCTTATGTTCATATATTTATTTTTACTTATTTATATTCATATGTAAGGCCAATAGGAAGTAACAATCTCTATATCTGAGTGATAATTTCATAGATAATTTGTTTGTTCGCTTTATAGCCCAATTATATTTTTCCTAATGTATTGCAAACAAAACTTGGGGAAAAAAACAGAAGCAAATAGAGAAAACAAGTTATATCAGCCATATCTCACAATCCACAAGTTCATCCTATTAGAGGAGGAACCATGTAAAACAAATTTTATTGGTTGAATGTCCTAATTTAGTTAATTGCAAAACTGTATGAGAACATGCTTGTGACTTAGTTAGCAGCTAGTTTGTTTCCTCTCCACTGGCTTCATGAGTGTCCTTTGGAAAGAGAAAGTACATTTGGAACCCTGTACACCTTTTCTTTCTCCAGTACCCTCTTCTCACTTCTATCGCTAAGGTGTTACAAGCAACTGGGGGCAATGCATTTGTAGCACACCTGGGCCAGAGGTATCCTCCAGGGAAAGGATCAGACCTGCTTGAAAGCACATTGTTGGAATTGGGAGGCTTCTAGTAGCTATAACATAAGCACTGATGTTTACTGTTTCCTGCCCTCCACTTTGATCACTTTGGGAAACGCTTTTTTTAAAAAATCAATTGTACTGAACCATAATTTACCTAAAATAAATACTCCTATTTTAAGTGCACAGTTTGCTGAGTTTTACCGATGTAATCACCCAGATGAATAGAATTGATTAATTAATTAAATTGATTTTTCAAATAATAAATTAACCTTGCAATCTTCTTAGAAATTTCATTTGCTCATGGTTTATTATCCATTCTATGTACTGCTACATTTAATTTGTTATTATGTTTTAAGGACTTTTGAGTCTATTTATGAGGGCTAAACATAGAAGTTGTATTACTTATAATGCCCTTGTCTTGGTTTGGAATCAAGGCAATACTGGGTTCATAAAATAAGATAGGAAGGGTCCCTTTAAATTCTATCTTTTTTTTTTTTTTGAGATGGAGTTTCGCTCTTGTTGCCCAGGCTGGAGTGCAAAGGCGCAATCTCAGCTCACCACAGCTCCGCCTCCAGGGTTCAAGCAATTCTCCTGCCTCGGCCTCCCGAGTAGCTAGGATTACAGGCATGCACGACCATACTCAACTAATTTTTTTTTTTATTTTTTAGTAGAGATGGGGTTTCTCCATGTTGATTAAGCTGGTCTCGAACTACTGACCTCAGGTGATCCACCCGCCTCAGCCTCCCAAAGTGCTGGGATTACAGGCATGAGCCACCGTGCCTGGCCTGCATTAATTGAATTTTTTCTTCTGTAGATTGTAATCTATCACTATTGTTATTTATTTTATTGCCCAAATTTTCACAAATTTGGCTATGGAAGTTTATTCAAATTGGGTTCTGTTTCCTTTTCTTTTCACATTTTCCCATTGTTTTGTGAGCATTTCCTTACTTTATGGCATGACAAAATATTTCAAACTAATCTTGTATTTTCCCTGCCCAACCCTGATGTCAGACATGTCTCCAAGGAGCCTTGGTTCCTTTAATTGGAGAATGGTGTTCTCATTGTTACTGGGATGGTAGTGTCTCTAGGCCCTTTTGTTAGAAGAGCTAGAAAATGTATGTATGTATACTCACACATTTATACACATCTATATTTATTTCTACAATTTTCCATCTGCACATATACTAAAAACAATGATTTCATATAATACTTTTGATTCCAGTCCAACACTACAGGATGCATTATAGCCTTTCTCTTTCCCTTATTTGTAACTCCATGCTCTGATGGTGGAAAACCTGGCTCCCATTATCCACAGTATATTTACATTTTGTTCAATCCTAGCATACACATAAAATAATTTCATATTTGCAAACTCATACCCTTGTGAAAACACATTTGTAAACTATAGTAAAATATTTGTGCATAGTTCTTTTTGTCTTTAGCCTTAAGGATACAGTCAAAAACTTGCTTTTTTTGTTTTAGGTTACTTTGTTTAGCTCTTTTCTGCCCCAATTCTATTTGTGTGGTTGTAATTATCATTTGTAAAAGAGTTGAGTTCATTTGTTACCATTTGTATTCCATTCCCCCACATCCTGGTAAATTTTAATTATTTATTTGTTTGAAGGCATGTGAAATATTATTATAGCTCTAAGAATTAGAGCTCAAAAAATGCTCAGCAAAGTGTCATTCTTCCCTCTTTTGTGGTATAAGGTTTCTGTTATCCCATTCTTTCCATCCCATTCACACCTACCCTCTGTAGGTAAACAATCTCTTGTTTCTGGATTTTGTTTCCCTGTATTTATTTTGCACAGAAGATCATATATGCATATTTCCTTAAATGCTATCGTTTTCTACATGAAGCATAGTATACTATGGATATTCTTTTGCACTTTGTTCTTGCTTTTAACACTAAAAGCAAGATATTCACTTTTAAAATAGTAGTTTATGATATTCACTTTTAAAATAGTTTAACATAGTTTTATGAACTCTAATAACATTTTTATCTTCTAGTTTCAAGATCCTTCATATTTCTGATTTTGTTTCTATTGTCTAATTTACTCCTGATTATGCTTCACATTTTCGTGCATCTTGGCAGGTCTAGTAATTTTTTTTTAATGCTGGAAATGTGAGTGGTTGCATTGTTGCTGTTTTCCTTTAAAAAGTGCTGCACTTTCCTCTGGCAAGCAGTTTGAGTTACTTGTAGATCAGTTTGATCTTTTAAGGCCTCTTTTTATGCTTTATTATGTTTGGCATATGACGGCCTTCATTCCTGGTGTACTTTAGCTTGACTACTAAGGCATGGCCCCATGAGCTATCACCAGGGACTCTCAGTAGCCAGATTGCATGTATCTTTCCTCTTTGTCTGAACTCTGGGTATTGTTGAGGTTGCATATTCCTAGTTATCCTCTGCCAGTCTCATGGACTTGAACTCTATGCATGCACTGATTAGTTCTCTGCAAAAATGCAAAGGGTACCCCAAGCATATTTCAGGAGCTTTTTCTCTTCATACCTTCTTCCTTTCTGGAGCTCTGCCATGTAACCTCTGTCTCTCCAGTCTCTGGTTTCTATCTCCTCAATTCAGAAAGTCTTTGAAATTCTATTTGGGCTCCTTTCTGTGCCTGTGATTTAGAAATTGTAACTATGCAGAAAACTGTAGTGACCATAAAACTGGCCTTGTTTGTTTTCTTTCACTGTTTTGTTCTGTTGTTCAATGCCTGAAACTAATTGATAAATATATTTAGTCCAGTTG
The DNA here is from genome assembly GCF_000001405.40 of Homo sapiens. NCBI lineage: Eukaryota > Metazoa > Chordata > Mammalia > Primates > Hominidae > Homo > Homo sapiens. Next base: position 80,850,760 of record NC_000009.12, on the reverse strand, counting down.
TCTAGTTATTTACTTCAGAAAAGCTTGGTCCTTGTTATTCCATCAGACCCGAGGGCAAAAATTTGGTCATTCTTATCAAATTATAAGTTTTTGATATCAAATTTTAAGTAGCACTCACTGGCCAGAATGCCACCGTTGTGCAATGTAGGAACAGTTGACCATTCTTAAGGTACTTAGTTACCATCTTCAAATTGCAGCAGTTGGTAATATGCCAATCGGTAATATGCCAATGACTCTGAGGTAAACAGTGCCCCTGGAGCTGTGCAAAGTACAACTTACATGATCATGAACTGCAACTCTGGGAGAATTCTAGAAATATGGAATAAAAAATCCTGCTGCATATCTGTTTGCGGAAGAAAATGAAGTAATGATCATACTTTTTCATTTGAGGCTAGAATGGCTTGAAGGGATTCTTAAGATAAATTAGAAACATGTTGACTACTGAGGGAAACAGAAATATAATTCAAGAAGTATGACAAGCTGGTGAATGTATACACTGAGAAGAACATTATGAAAGACCAGTCAAATGATTGGATGCTTGACACTAAACCACAGTGTGTGATACAATCAAGAAATTAGAAATCATCAGAATGTATGTAATTACACAGTATTTGTACACACATATGTATATTTAGGGTATATATCTACAAAATAACACATAATAATTCCTCCTTTATCTGGAAAAAAACCACTTAAGTAAGCAACAGGAAAGCTGCTTAACGGGAAAGAGAAAACAAAACCTGTGTATGAGAGTATGGAGGATCTATTCTCCTGATACTCACAGGGATGATAGATAAGACATGGAGCTAAGACCTTTTTTAGACTCAGTAGCAGAGTTAAATAATTATCTCTAGGGGAGAGTCAAGTTCCATGCCTTTCCATCTGCTAAAGCCTGCCCATATTCCATGGCTCACAGCCTCCTTCCAGCTTCCAAGCCAGAAATCACATCACTCTGACTTCTGCTTCTGTCATCACATCTCCTTCTCTGACTCTATTTCATACCTACCTCTTTCTCTCACAAATATTCTTGCAATTACCCACCTAGGTGATCTTCCCAACTCAATCACATACGCAAAAATCTCTTTTACCAAGTAAAACACCATAAACGTAGTTTTAAAAATGTTTGGGATATAATTACATGCTAAAGTCTTTTGATTATGAGGAGTATTGTGTGCCTCTACATCATATGCTAAATTAAATGAGTATCTTCCAAGGATTTCTCCAAAAGTGGACAGCAAAGTATAGCCCCTGAAACCTAGGAATACGTTACCTGACATGGAAAAGGAGATCGTGTAGATGTGATTATCTTAAGCACCTTGAGATGAGACTACCCTGGATTCTTCAGAAGGGCCCATTATAATCACAAAGGTCCTTTGAAGAGAAGGAAGGATGCATAAAAGAGTCAGAAGGAAATATGACTAGGAGGAGGTTTAAATTGATAGATGTGATCTAAGCAGGACTCAACCTGGTGTTGTCTCATTTGAAGCTGTAGGAAGTGGGGGCCATGAGCTAAGGAAGGTAATCAGTTCCTACAAGCTGGAAAAGGCATGAAAACAGATAATTCTCTAGAGCTTCCAGAGGAAGCCCAGCCCTGCTGACACTTTGATTTTAGTCTCATAGAACCATTTAGACTTATGACCTCCAGAACCAAAAGATTAAAAATTTACATTATTTGCATCTACTAGGTTTGTGGTGATGTGTTACATCAGCAATAAAAAACTAATACACATGAACAAGAATATATCAGAACGATTAGTATTTAGTTTAAGTATTAGGAGTGGTAAAATCAGTTGAAAGCAATTTATAGAACCATTAATTTGTTCCAAGGGAAAATAAACCTCTGAAATTTACTTGCTTTACATTCTTTTTTAGTTTTCAAAGAATTAGAAGACTCACACAAGCCAAGTTTTAAAACTAACTTAAATTTAGAAAGTTATGAATTTCTAACAGCATGCAAATATTTTGAAATTTCAACTCATTTCTTTCCTACAAATGTGATTTACTGCTCACAAGACATTCATGTTACCAAATCTTCACATACAATCTTACAAACTTATGTTTTCCAGTTTTTAAATAAGTCAAAGTTGATCGATACTTTTTTTTTACTATAAACCATTAGTGCACACTTTTTTAAGTCTCAGCCAACAAAGCTTGTTCTTCACCTGTCCCTTCAAATTTTGTTGATTTCGGAAGCACACTTGAAGATATTTTTGAGAATGAAAATACAAGTACCCTTTTCTGGTTCATTGGTTTGTTTGCACATACAAGTTTTTATTTACTGGACTCAAGATTATTACGAGAGGATAGGATTTTTCTTTGAAAGCATTGTTTTCTTATTTTGGGGAAAAGAAGTAAAGAATTGCTAGGAAATTTTATTCTAAGCATAGTACTCTAGTTATAGGCACATTGTGAGAAGATGAAAAATGTATCTTTTCAAATGAATAGAGAGCATTATCATAGTTTCAATCTCATTTTATCCCCTGCCTTGTAAGAAACACTTGGCTTTTAAGTCCCTATCATCATAACTCTCTAATTTTATTACCCACCTATGGATTAGGAGTAAAGGATGATGCATGCATACTATAGGGGTAGACAATGAGGAAGTTATAAATCTTTATCACATTCATGACTTTCCAGGTGTCCTAAAAGTCAAACTGAATCTAGACTTTATACTTTATGTTTTCATTGATTTCTTCATCCTTCTTATGCCTTCAAGTTGTTCAGACACAGAGAGGGGGTCATTGGCATAGGAAAGATAATGTTGTTAAATAATTGATTAACTCAAGGGATCAGTCATGAGATGATTAAGATTTTTTTCTTCATGCAGAGTTTGCTCATTTCAGGATCAGGTGATTCCTACTCTGTAGTTATTGTTATTTGCACATATTTCAAAGTGAGTAGCCATTTCTGGATTCACTAGTTGTTCTAAGGCAATAACTTAGGTCATCCACTGAGTTTATCATCATAATGACTGAGAATTGAAAAGCAAAGAGATTGACTCCTCATTTCACAAATTTAATTTCTGTGCCAGAGTATGGGGAATTTTTCAACTAGCACATACTATTTATTTCATGAATAAAACAATGCAAGATCAAGCATTTCTATTTTTCTACTTAAAAATCTAGTTGTTTCATTAGGATTGTGCTTACTTCTTTACACATGTCTTAATACATCTGTGGAGGGGCAGTTGGCTATAGGGTGAAGAAAGAAAAAGTATGGTGTATTGTCCCTAGCATTATTTCAAAGGTTAGTTCTCTCTACTGAGTCTGTAATTAGAAAAGATCTTAAAACTTTTATTATAACCATCTACATTGATAAATTTCAAGAAATATACTACGAATGTACTTATTTTGATATTTTGGTCTTGCCTTCAGAAAAAAATGGAAGTCTCAGATGATGTAGCCCATTATAAAAATAGTAAAGGTTGGCAAATCAGACAGCAAATGTTTGTGTCAGGATCTCTAGGCAGTCACGAGTCATGATAAAAAACATCTTCTGTGCAATACATTTGGGATATTTTAACTTATATGAGCTGACAAAATTTCTAGTTTGAGAAAAATTAATTACTATATTGTAAGAAGCTATAATAGGTATCTCACATGAATAGGAATTCATGAGAGATATTCTCGTAAACTTGGAGAAAGTTTTCTCAACTGAGTTTTGGTAGATTTAGGTGTGAAATAAAAATGCATATTGCATGAATAATGATATGGGCATGATTATAATTTTGAATAATATCAGATAATATTAGAAGGGGATGAGAAAATAAACGATATTCACTTTGATATTAAAGGGAGTAAGGGCTCACTATGGATAAAAATTGCTTACTAATTCTTATTGAAAGTAGATGATTAAGGAGAAGAATTGGATGATCTTTTGATGACACATCATGGTCCTGTCATGTGGCTACTGAGACTAAGCAACAAGGCTTTTTATTCCAATATGCAAAGATAACTCAGGCAGTGCAATTTCACAAACACTAAAATAATGATAATCTTTAAAAAGTGCATCAGGGAGCTTGTGGTTAAAAATTTCTTCTATGATTCCATACCTTATTGAAACTAGCTGAGAGTTAGAAAGCCAGGGTTCTTCTGTCAATTCAAATATTTTCTATCTAAGGCCACAACTTGCAGAAACTTATTATATTGGCAGAGGGGAATTGTGCCAATGAGATTAGCTTTTACAAATGGAGAGAGGAGTTTTGATAGGTTTAAGTGTAAAATAAAAATGGATATGGCATGAATAATGATATGGGCATGATGGTAACTTTTGAATAATATGAGATAATGCTACAAGAGGATGAGATATATAATTTATTTTATATGTCAAGCCCTGTAACAGGCATTTGACATATAGTATCTCATTTAATCCACATAAAAGATTAAGTAAGTAGTTCTATCTTACTCTGTATCTGTCAGGAACCAGTAAGGGAAATGGAAACCACACTGGGTAATCCAATGGAGAGAATTTAGTATAGGTTGTTGGTACACAGGTGTTGGTTTGCTGAATGAGGAAAAAGGAAGATGGAAGTAACAAGAAAGTCACTATGACCGCTAATACGAGAGCAACAAAGGAAAGTAATTAAAAATATCAGAATGTAGAAGGTCAATGAATGGGTGCCAAGAAGTTGGAACTTAGGCTTCTGAGGAGGAGTCATTGCCTGTCTGCTGCTGATACCTCTATGGGACTGTGAACCTCATTTTGTGAATGCCAATAGGACAGTAAAAACTGGGGCTGCTGGGTGCAGGGTCTCACCCTTGTGATCCCAGTACTTAGAGAGGCTGAGGCGGGTGGATCACAAGGTCAGGAGTTCAAGACCAGCCTGGCCAACATGGTGCAACCTTGTCTCTACTAAAAATACAAAAATTGGGTGGGCATGGTGGTGCATTGCCTGTAATCCCAGCTACGTGGGAGGCTGAGGCAGGAGAATTGCTTGAACCAGAACCCGGGAGGCAGAGGTAGAAGTGAGCTGAGATCTCTCAACTGCACTCCAGCCTGGGCAACAGAGGGAGACTATGTCTCAAAAACAAACAAACAAACAACAACAAAAAAAAAAACTGGGGCCAACAGTTCCCCTGCTGGGGAAGACTCATGGCAGATGAGTCACTGAGAACTGAAAGAAAAAGAGAAGAAGGAAGGTCTCCCCATTCCCTTCTTCCGAATAACTTAACAAGAAGCCAGCTAGCACCAAAGAAACGTAGTTGGTAGAGTCCCAGCTTCAGTCACACAAAGCAGAATGTAGTGAAGTGAATTAGGATCTGAGAGACATAGCAGACTGACCAGCACAATCATTTTACTCAAAATGTGCGATACTTAGAAAAATTTAGCAGTACTCTAGGGTCATGCAATCAATACATAGCACAGTCAGAATTGAAACTTGAGGTTGTCTCACACAGCCTATCCCTCCCATGCTTCTTTCCCTTATAACAGTTGGTATTATTTGGGTGAATGGCTCATTAAATGCTATTGTTATAGGGCACTCAAACCTGATCCCAGGCCCCCATCAGGGAACCTAGCAGCATCAGGCTATAGGAGGTACCACTGTTGGCCAGATACTTACATTCACACACCTTACAGACTCCTGGCAGCTAATAGGTGCCACTGGGATTTGAAAAGCCCTTTGAGGCTCTGCTTGGATAGAGAACAGTTTGACATGGACTCTGATCCTGAATCAGAGACAGAGATTTGCTCACCTCCTCTGGGATTCATCTTCCGCATCTGGCGTGGGACTTATTCATAAAACACCTTACGTCCCATAGAAAGTGTTCCTAAATACTATATAAAAATGATTTTTGAGAATGATGTCTTACTTCTAAGGATGTGTTCTAGCCAAATTACATCTCTAACACTAGGAGAATAGGCTGGTGTATTTTTATTCCATTTGGGTGAATCGCCGAGCCCAGCTGAATGAGCATGCATTTTGCCAATGGTTTTAAAAATACAAGATCAGACAAGTTTTACGTAAGTTCCTTTTTTTTTTTTTTTTTTTTTTTTTTTTTTTTTTTTTTTTTGAGAGGGAGTCTCACTCTGTCGCCCAGGCTAGAGTGCAGTGGCGCGATCTCGGCTCACTGCCAACTCCGACTCCCGGGTTCACACCATTCTCCTGCCTCAGCCTCCTGAGCAGCTGGAACTACAGGCGCCCACCACCACGCCTGGCTAATTTTTTTGTATTTTTAGTAGAGACGGGGTTTCACCATGTTGGTCAGGATGGTCTCGATCTCCTGACCTCGTGATCTGCCCGCCTCGGCCTCCCAAAGTGCTGGGATTACAGGCGTGAGCCACCGCGCCCAGCCCCTAAGTTGCTTTTTTTATATGAAAGACAACTTCAGACAACTTGAAACACCCTTATTGGAGAAATGGCAAGGAGAGACCTTGGCATCTAAGAATCATTCTTAAAATTTTCTCATTCTTAACGATTCTTTTCTTACTACGTGGTATTCCCAAGTAGAAAATAGAAAATTCATAGTATCTGAAAGGTTGGATCACTTACTCTATCACCTTATTATGGTAACTCTAAGAGAAATAGCTAGTGGTTTAACAATTGCCCATTTATAAATGTGAATGTTCAAAAGAAAACACAGAGTTAGAATTTCAAGTTATAAGGAAAATTTTCATAAGCAATAACATTAGTCAAAATGTGTTTGCCTTCACAGTTGGTGGAAATGTGTGTGGTAGAATATTTGAGACAAGAACATGTATTCAAGCCACATACATTGCACATTTTCAGTCAAAAGAAAAAACAGCTATAAATCAGATTGAATATTTACTGTTTTAATGTCACTAGAAAGTAATTTCTCAGAAGTTATCCCAGTTGCTGCTGTACAGAATTTTTGTTAACTTTTTTGTTGTTGTTAGACTCAATACCTTGATTTGTTCCAAGGAATAATATTTACTCCAGGAAAATGCTTCTTCTCGTCATTTTTCCAAAACCTCTAAGTACCAAAAGCCCTTTTAGAAGCTGTTTTCTTTTGAGATTCTCGCTGAGCCACCTACTCATTGGAGGAAAACTACTTCAACACCAAAACCAAATAAAGTCAATTAAGAAACACTGCGGCTGAATGATTGGTCTCAACGTCTAGAAGCTGGTGATTCGTCCAGTACAGCCACTGACTTGTGCAAAGGTCTGCATAAAGATACTTTTCTTTACAACACATCATTGCTACGACTGATCCTACAGTCCAAGTACTCATCTTTAAAATTCATGAACTGCCCGGATCCCTACACACTTCTCTTTAACCACTCAGGGAGTGTAGTATGGATTTGTTAATTAGTATTTACAATGTACTTCAAGATTCCACCAGGAACTAGATTCTGGTTACAAACTACAGAAAATAAGGTTGTTTACATAAGAAGTTTATAACATTGTTTCATTTCAAGTGGCTTTCTTATTTTTTTCTTTTTTCTTTTTTTCTATTTGTTTGTTTTGTTTCTTGAAGGTTTTTTTTTTTTTTTAACTTTAGCTGTGGACAAGTTTTCTTTGTACAGGCATTTTAAAACTGTCACTACTACTTTGATAATGTTACTCAACTAACATTTATTTTGTGTGGCTTGTAGTTGGACCTCATGCTGTTTTATGGGAATAAGTTCAACATTAATCTTCTGATTCTGTGTACATGTAGGTCAATTGCATGATGATGAGATGCGTGGAATGAAGAGCTTTTTATCTGGATCATGAAAACTTAAGAAAACAGATGTTGTTTTTAAAAAGTGAAAGAAAGCTAAACAAAATAAATAATTGAGCTGATATCCTTCATAGAAAAGTATTCTATCTTAAAACAAGATTTGTGATCTTAATGTATTAATTACCAAGGTCTGAAATAAATACAGGAATATTTGATAATGTGACTGGAAAAAATGAGAGTATTTAATTACACACATAAAAAGTTAAAGCTTCTAATACACATATACACTCACACACACAAATAAACACACACACACAAACACATACCAAATAATCTCCACTTAGTTAGTGATCATTATAAAATAAGTACGCCTCAGTCACTGGAGGAGTTAACATAGTCTGGCCTCTTGCAATGCCAGCATTTCAGCATGCATAGCTATGCCAAGATAAAGCTAAATACACACATGCACGTGCGTGCAGACACACGCACGCACACATACCCCCCTACCTCTGAGGTCATGGTTACCTTTTGATCAGAGGTTTTGCAAAATATTCAAAGCTCTAAAAGAAACCATGAAGTCTGAGAAACATTTGTAGGTTCTGACAAGCTTCCAAGCTTCCTGGTGGGAATACTTTGTGTTCTTTTCCATCCTGCTAGAGGAGAGTGGTGGTTTATGGACAAACTCCTAGGCAATTAGAATTTCATAATTCAAATGAATAACCTCATAAAACACCGCAGATTATGTACCTTTTTTTTAAACCTATAACCAAAGTACTATTACGATAGCAATTTTGAGGTTACTTGGAATTCATCCTGGGCTTGCTAAAAATAATTTTTTTTAATGTTAAAGACATTTGAAATAAAAAGAGATTTTATATAATGAAGAGGTTTTAAAAAAATTTACAATTAGATTTTCAGATTAGTAGGACATGGGAAAATAGTTGCTTTCACTGGTTTCGTTTTACTGGGAAGTAGATTTTAAGGTCAAGTTTTTCTCACGCTGACCTTTTCTAAGTAGAAAAGGGGAAATGGCAGGAGGAGACAGGGAACACAACTTCATGTTCTCGTGTTCCTGTTATGCTTCATCACATTGTCTAGTGAAATGAATGAATAAATTAGGTTTTTGGTTTCATGTGCTGGATTATGTGTTTTATATATTTCCCTACTTTTAATTTAGTAGGGCAGTCCTTTCCATTAGAAGATGGGTCTCATTAAAAGAGATGTTACTATGGAACTGTATGCATTAGCTTTAATTTTCACTCAATTTAAAAAGAATACTTGGGAGAGCAGTGCATTGAAGCACATGAAAATGATTAGTTGGGGGTCCTTCTAAAGAGAGGAGCCAAAAGTGTGAGAAGTAGTGCCTCTGGGCAAATAAAACAATCAAATAGTTGGAAATGAGGTTGCAGGCTTTGCATAAATGACAGCACTGCTCTATTTTCAGACCTTCTGCCTTTCATTAATGACCATTCCTCTCTTTCTTGAGGCAACTGATGAAGAAGTGCTAGGAGTAGAGTGAGGAGGAGGGCTTTGGCCCAACTAGGACAAGACCCCTAAAGGGATGCCTTTAAGAATTTCTTATATTCTCTGGCCATGAGAAAAGTCATAAGCTACTGAGGTGAGGGATCTCATTCCAGTCCAAGACTTTAACCCAAAGATACTTAAATTTCAGTAAGCATCAGAAGCATCTAGAGGGCTTGTTAAAACACAGATTGCTGGCCCAGCCCACAGAGTTTCTGATAGAGTAGGTCTGGGAGTGGTACCCAAGCATTTGCTCTTTTAACAAGTTCCGAAGTGATGCTGATGCTGCTGGTCCTGGAACCACACTTTGAGAACTGTTGACCCAGAACATGCTATGAAGGACCAAATGGCTCCAAATACATAAAAGGTATATTTACATACAAATATGAGTAAAGTAGGTTTTTCTCATAGATTAGTTGACTATGTAATCACATCTGAGGATTGCAGTTGTAACTGTTCAGCTGATTCTCAGTTGCAGGAAGAGTATCCCTGCATAGTTAAATCCCCCTCATTTCTCCTAATGCCTCATTCGGGAAAATTCTTTTGCTTGGCAAAGAGTATTTTCACTCTCAGTTGGCATACGGATGATAGGGATTATTGAAAGAAGCAGGAGGATAGCCATACACAGATGTTAATTGTCTGAAGACTTATAAATTTGTGTAGTTTGTATTGTTAGGATTTTTTTTTTCTCATTCAGGTAACAGAAGCTAACTTGAGATAACTGAAGAAAAGGGGACTTCATGAGAGTCCCCACTCATGAGAGTGCTCCCAGATCTGAATGAAAGGATGAAAAAGCCAAGCTTAAGAATGATAGGCACCCAAACAGATGGTGTTCTTGATAGCAGGCAGTAATTCTTTGGGTGAATGAGTTCCAATGTGGTATTTTTTTTTTTTTTTTACTTTGGTTAAGATGCAGATTCCAGAAAGAGACTGTTCACTTAGCTCAGCATAGTTGAAGTGTCTGTCTCTTCAGAAGGGAGACCCGAATGTTTTTTTTTTTTCCATAATTCACTGAACTATGCATGCTGGGGGAAATATTCTCCACCAAAGTGTAGAGTGTTTTTATGAAAAGTAGGGGACTAGCCCCTGGGTGGCCATATATGTCTGCCACATCATTTGTGAGCCTTCTACTAAGGGGGCCAGCTATTTTTCAAAGGCCAACTCTAAGTGTTATCATAAAACCACAAAGTTGGAAGACAGTGGAAAATAACCTCACAAGAGACTCACTTTTAGAAAGGTTAACAACTAATGCAGTGGTTTCCACCTCATCCTCTCCAAAGTGGAAATGGAAATCCATAAGAAATTTTCAGTATTTTGAAATCTAACCAAAATTATGCATTTGCTTTCAGAATGGAAATGTCAAGTTTCTTCGTGTGGGATCAAATACACATCTATTCACCATAAAAACACTTTTTTCCCCATGATGTTAAGCAACTCTCATATGTAGTTATAGCTGTCCTAATTTGAAATCTGGTAAACAATGTAATTAGATTTTTAAGCATATGGTTTGGTAGGTTAAAATTTCGAAAACACGGGCTGTGTGCCCGTGTGTTGGGGGTAGGACAGGGCAGGGATAATGCAAGAGATCTTTGGTGACTCATGGTTACCATCACTGGTTAAGCCATCTGTTACAGGCTAAACTGTGTTCTCCCAATATTTATATGTTGAAGCCTTAACCCCCCTGTAACTCAGAATGGGACCTTATTTAGAGATGGTCTTTAAAGAGTTTGGTTAAATTAAAATGAAGCCATTAAGGCGGGCCTTCATCCAATTTGACTGATGTCCTCATGAGAAGAAATTTGGATGCAGAAAGCAAGACCAGGGATGTACGCACAGAGAAAAGGGCATGCAGGCACACAGCGAGAAGAGGAACATCTGTGCACCACGGAGAGTTCTCAGGAGAAACCCAACCTGCTGACAACTTGATCTTAGACTTCTAGCCTCTAGAACTGTGAGGAAATACACACTCCTTTTGTTTTAGCCACCCAGCCAATGGTATTTTCTTATGAAAGCCCTAGCAAACTACTGATAATACACCATCTCAGGAAGATGATTGACCACTGTCTTGATAGCAGAGTCAAGGTTCCCATAATATATCTTTGTAGATTTTTACAAAGCTTTGTCACAAGGTTTTCTTTTTTTATAAACAGAAATATATCTAAGTTTATTTAAATGCATCTATCTTTTGAGTCTTCTATGAACATTAAAATCAGCTGTTTGCCAAATCTCTCGTATTGTACATTCATTGAAGTGCTTGAACTAATAATGATTCCCCTTTTATCGAGACATAACAGCCATTATACTTCTAATTGGTCCTCATAGGACATATTTTGTATTATCCTAATCACTTATTTTTCTCTTTCTCTGGATTTCTCGAGTTCCCCCAGGACACACCCCAAGTAGCCTGCTGTATTGTTGATCCTTTGAATAGACCCAAATTGCCCATGTGTCACATGGTAGAAAAGATGTGAAAAGCCAGAAGCAGGACTGCCCTTGCTTCTGCTGATTCCGAATTTTGCAGACTGTCATCTGTGTACGTACCTTTTCCTAATAATTTCTAATCTGAATGTTTATTCAGCCTTCATATTTCAGTTATTTCTTCTTTCTCAGGTTCTTTGTGGTTTGATAGGTGCCTTGAAGCCCATTTCCATTGTACTAATCTCAGACTTCCTTCTAAATCTCCAATTTCTCAAGCTCACTTCAGTTTGGAGCCTTTGCGACTCTGGGATGAACTTGCTCCTGTCTGTATTGATAACTGTAGGCCCCTCAGTACTGTACTATTACCTCTTCTCCAGGCTTGACATCTATGGGCACACCTGTCTGTGAAGGGTCTTCCTGGCATAGAGGAGAGGAACAATACATTTACTGTGCTGAAACCTCACATCGGCATTATTATATCCCGGGGTTCTTCCCAAACGGCGTTTTAAAAAATGCTACCTTTTATGGAATACTTAATCTGTGTTAGTCACGGGACTAAGCACTTTGCATACATGATCTAAAATAATCACACAAAATCAGCCATATGGCAGTGATTACATTATGCTCATGTGATACATGAGGAGGTAGACACACAGACAGGTTAAGTAATTTGAAATCTGGTAAACAAAGTAATTAGATTTTTAAGCATATGGTTTGGTAGTTTACATTTAGCAGTTATCAAACTATAATTTCCTCTCCAAACTGTATCTGGCGTTTAGGCTTTAAGCAAAACTGGGCTACATCCACAATGTTGTTCCTTTATTCACTAACTTTTAACTTCCAACTTTTTCATGCACACGTACGTTTATTGCAGCACTATTCACAATAGCAAAGACTTGGAACCAACCCAAATGCCCATAAATGATAGACTGGATAAAGAAAATATGGCACATATACACCATAGAATACTATGCAGCCATCAAAAAGGGTGAGTTCATGTCCTTTGCAGGGACATGGATGAAGCTGGAAACCATCATTCTCAGCAAACTAACATAGGAACAGAAAACTAAACACCACGTGTTCTCACTCATAAGTAGGAGTTGAACAATGGGAACACATGGGCATAGGGAGGGGAATATCACACACCAGGGCCTATCGGGGTTGGGGGCTAGGGGAGGGATAGCATTAGGAGAAATACCTAATGTAGATGACGGGTTGATGGGTGCAGCAAACCACCATGGCATGTGTATACCTATGCAACAAACTTGCGCGTTCTGCACATGTATCCCAGAACTTAAAGTATAAAAATAATATTAAAAAAGAGAATTCACTGAAGAAAATAACTTTGCTATCTTAGACCAAGAGACTGAGTTTTTCCCAATGCTTAGTGAGATTCCTTAAAGGTTATCTTTTCTTTCTAAATATATGTTTAATAAATAGTTAAACCAGAGACATGAATACACTGAAAGAAGTTTATGTTATTAGTTATATTTCATTTTATTTAAAAATGATGATCTCTTCAATTCGCTTATGAACAAAAAATGATGTGTCTCATCTTGTGGAGAAAACCTTGTTGATTAAAATGATCAAATCTTTCATTTATATTGATTTTTCTAAACATCAACATCTCATTTGAAAACCACTTTTCACAGCGGAAAGTGACTGAGAATATGTTGGCCACTTCTGTGGCTAGCTTACTAGAAATACACGGAAAACACAAGCATCACAGTTGGTTAAATAATGCCAAACTTCACAGGCTTTTCTTCCTAGTAGCCCTAAAATAAGAGGGAAATATGTCCTGGGTGTTTTGGTTGACACTTCAAAGATAATAGCTCCCGTATTTTATCTTAATGATTCTTTCAAATTTTGCATTCTATTCAATATTTGTGCTTGCTTTAATGTAAATTATTTATGGCTTTAAATGCCATTGCTTACACTTAGATAAATTGTTTTCCGTATTTATTGGTTGTTGGATAAGATATTGCACTGAGTTGATGAATTTTAAAAATTAAATGGACTGAAATGAGGATGGTCCCATGACCGGGAAATCCATCTTGGTGTTACCTTCAGGAATATAAGTATGGGTATGTATGCAAAGCCAGACCATAGCTCTTTTCTTTTACTGATGGATAGGTTGTATTATAATAATCACTGGATAAAAATGCCAAGAATGTTGCCAAAGAGACAGTTCAAGACAATGTATATTCACACTGTTATTTGTTAGAAATTTTATAAATTGTTTGTATATTTGAGTAATATGATGGGGCTGAAAATTCTCTGCTCCACAGGCAGGCATTCCATTTTACTATCACTGGCATACACTCATCAAAGAACTCTTTTCAGTGAAGAAAGATGAATGATGATGTTATTCTTATCTTTAACAAAGATATTGTAAACATCATTAGTTTTAATTGAACTAAAATGCTCAAATACCTCATCATTCCCACAAGCAATTCTCCTATTTCATCTCTCGGCATTCGTTTTAATTGCAATGATCTTGTCATAGACAATAACAACCTTGAGAGTTCTTGCCATTATTGATTGACATTATTTAGCCTTGAAAAAGTATATGCTGGATAAGCCAATTTTGTTAAACATTCTTTATCATTCAGGACAAAAAAAGGAATTAATTCATCTTATTCAAAGCCTGACCTTTTGTTGGATGTCTTAATTCCCCTTTCCTGTGAGGAAAACAATCATTGAAGCCAGAGTTACAATGCTGTGGCACCCTGCTGCACACGTGGATTGCAATTTTCCAGATTAAGCTAGAGTTCATCTGTGAAGTAAGTTTTCAAAGTCACTTCCTATTGTTTTTTAAAAAGTTATTCAAATCACCAGAGTTTTTGTTAAATGAAAGTTTCCATTTTTGCCACCCCATTGAACACACTGAGGAAATCAGAAGGCATATTGCTTGAGGTGAGTATTCTTGGTAAATGATGCAGAGGTGCTGGGTCATTCAGAATGAGCAATGTCCTTGATGTGGGTTGCCACTCCCAAAGTTTGATATGGGCACCTTTTTTCAGCTTGGCTGCCTCTTTTTGATCCAAAATAGATTTAGTCATGCCTATAGCATGAGTGCCATCAAATAGTCTCCTGTTACATTAGCTTCATCTTTTACAGTATTTTGAAAATGCCCTTGAAGTTAACTTTGAAAGATATTTCATTTCCCTGTTTATATTTTTATTGAATTCTCCCTAGCACAGTGTTCTACTTTTTTTAATTTGAAAAAGATCTCTAATAATTATTCTTCAAAATTTGCTAATTGTGTTTTAAATGCTTCTGCAAAAGTGATAGTATCAGACTATTTTGTCCCAGGGTTTTTTAGCAAAAGGTTTCACAGGTGTTAGGTTTGTTATCCCTCCATCGTAAAAACCCATATTTTATATAGACATCAAAATATATTTCATTTTGCTGATGCTTACTATTTATATGGTAGCATTTTAAATGTACTAAACATCATATATACTGTGAGTCTCTGGAACACAATTTCTGAGATCGCTCTCAATACCTTCAGAGTTTTCTAATTTTATTTTTCTAATTTTGTATAAATTCACAGTCACAGGTTTCAAAGCTTCTGATTAAGTCTTTCTGGTTTAAGCCAATATTTTATACATCCATTACAAAATGTAATTTCAAACAACAATAATGATACTATAATAAAAAGTAACATTTTGGCTATTTTGTAATATTGTGGCAGTTACTGTGGTGGAAATTACAGCTAAATTTGGTTGTGTTCATATAAAGTTATTTGAATCATAGATTGAAATATTTATCTTTGTGCATTTTATTTCCAACTTGAATGTGGCCTTTGCTAATTAGTGAGAGATATCCCTATTGCCTTGAGATGTTTTTATGGGCATTTAAAAGAGCTCTAGGTGTTCAGGTTTTTTGACATCCAGAACAGGATTTTGAAAATCAGAAGGGGAGACTTGAGAGAAGGAAGGGTTCAATCCATGTCAATGGAATTAGGAAGAGACAGATATAAGAATTCCCTCTTTCTCTGAAGTTCATATGCCTGGGGGTGATTGAGCTGGAGGGAAAAATGAGAAGTCAAACATGGGAAAGATTCAGCCCACAGGGAACTATGTGAACAGGTTCAGGGGCAGCATTAGGAGACTCACCAACGTTCATTTTCACGAAGCTGCCGAGACGGTCCACCAATTCCTGTGGATCATCCAAGGCCCTTTGAGAAAGCACCAGCCCTGTGGGGTATGCCCTTTTTATCCTTAGCAGCAGGCATAATATACTAATGCACCATCCAGCAGAGAATGTATCTGCTCTGATACTTTGCAGACATCTGATCAATTTTCCCTGGTAGATACATTTTCAGCAGCCTCCATTTTTAGCAGCTCAGATAATTTATAAGGCCCCTGAAGATAGAGGGTGAGAGTTTTATGCAATCTAGGAACAGAGATGAATATAAAATGGAAAGTACATGGGAGAAACTTTTAAGATCATGAAATCCATCCTCAGTACATAAAACATTTTATTGAATGTGGTTGTGTCAGGAAGAAACAATGATTGTATATGAGTGTATATATTCAAAACAAAAATGCCAAACAGTCAGTTAACACACAAATCTATAAAATAAAAGGAAAGCCCAAATGGGTTGCCAGTGAGAATTATTTTCAAATTTGCATGTTTTAACTTATTTGGACAGACAAGAATTAGCCTTGAGGACCAGTGACTAGTGACCATTCTGGTCTTGTCACAGCAGTGTTTGCTGTTGATGATGTAAACGGCATGCTAGGTTTTCAATTATCACAAAAATACTAGATTTCTTATTCAGCACACAAAAACCTTTTGTTCTTTGGACTTTCATGAAAAAGCAAAGGATTAGCTGACATGGAATATACATTCTGTCGATTCTTGTGTATGTATGCGACAAACCTCTCAAAGACATCAACAACACAACAACACCAAAAAAGACTCTGCCCCAGTTTTGCAGTAAAATTAATTTCATGGGTACATACGCCATGCTTATTCTATGGGTTGGGTGCCTAAGTGTGCAACACTAGGGGATATGCAGGCCCTAATTTAAGAATGACTATTTGGTTTCATGTCATTATTACAATTTATGGAGTATACCTAAAGATTAAATTGCAGCTATTTTTATCAGTCTCCTCAGCAAAACTATAAATTTCTGAGAGATTATATACCAATTGTAAAAAATACTTAAAATAAATCTTAATTGAAACTGAATCTTATTGAAGCAGGGCTAATGACTGAGGATGAAAAAAATAAATGAATCACATGATTTTTCAGTCCATATGCTGTAAAGCCAGTTTTCTTGTTTTGTAATCTAGGTATCCATTGCTTCTTTGATTTATTTAGTTCCCTGCATATATTAATTCTACCCATATTTTACTGTCCCATTAAAATGCCATCTCCAGCAAAGTGGTTTCCAGAATGCCTTAGCTGAAAGAATTCATTACTGTCACTATTTCTTCATTTAATGCTATTTGGTATTTTTCATAGGGTATGTGATTTTCTAATTCACATTTTACTTATTTATATGTATGGCTGATTTGTTTGACCAGAGTGAAAGGGCCTCGAGGACAGGGAAAATGTGTTACCCATCTTTGTATCCTCCAGACATAGGGAGTAGGGAACATTTTCTATAAAGGATGTAAAAGTAAATATTTTTGTTTTTTTGGGCCACAGGTGGCCTCTGTCCCAAAACTCCACTTTTTTTAATAACGATTAAGAAATGTGAAAAACATTCTCAGCTTGGAAGATGTACAAAACCAAGTTGTGAACCAGATTTGGCCCATGGACCAAAAAAACAACCCCTGCTTCAGAGTATCTGGCAGTGCATATATAAAAACAAAATGTTTGTAAAAAGAATGAGTAATAATAAAAACTAATAATGACTAAGTAATATATTGGAGTATTCAACAATATCCCTATTCTAATCCACACATGTAAAAGTAAAAAAAAAAAATTCTATTTCCATTAAACCAATTTACCAGGTCATCTTCTTTCCTCCAGAAACGGTTTATTCAAAAAACAAATAGAATTGACATTTTTCTACTACTGAATTTTGCTTAACTGTCATTCTCCCTGGGTGTGTGGGATGTTAGATATTTTAAAAAGCCATATTCACTGTGTGTAAGATCCATATGCAGGAAAACAATAAATAATATGAAATACACTATTGTAAAGGAACAAGGCTTAAAGTCTGTGAGTTCTCAAATAATGTATCTATCACTAAATATTTATTGAGTCATTTCTCCCCAAAGAGGAAAGTACTATGAGTGCTTCTGCTTACGATGTAGAAAGACTCAGGAATCAGTCCTTCCTACTCTAAACATGAGAGAGTGCCAGAAAATTTAAGAAATTATAACTAGCTTCGAACCCATCCAAGACTTGAGATTGTAACACAAAGAAGGAAACTGAATTCCAGAGAGGGCAAAGATCTCCTGAGGAGAGATGGGAAACATGACCTGTTTCTCCCTTGGAAGAACTGAAGAGGGGAAGGCGGTTGCCTTAGACGCAGGTGAGAGGAAATTAGCTAAAATATTGATGAATTTTTAAAGGCTAAAGTGTAAGCTAGTGCATCAGTTTAGAATACCTGGAAGGCCCAAAGACACATTCACTCCAAGGCTCTGCTTCATGAACCCTGCCGAGTGCTGTCAAGAAATATTAGAGGCAGAGCTGGAGGCTGCTGCAAACCCCTCAGTGGCTCAGGCATACAGAAAGCCAGTGTTGCATTGAGGTAGAGTTATTGTCACAGGATTGTCATCTTGTAAGTGAAAGACTTACACCTCTGGGAAAGGGGCGGAAAACTGTATTGTCCCCAGGGTTATTGTGGAGGGATAGATATAAAGCCCCTCTGCCTCTTGAAGAGGGATAGCAAGCTCTACTTCATGCCATCAGAAATCAAGAGAAGATCTATTGCTTCCAATGAAAGCATTCTGCTTCCAGGAGAGAAACAAGAAAACCTCTTGGGCCAATGATACTGCAACAATACAAAGCAGATTCTCTCTGATGCTAAGGGAAGAAATGACAATTCTCTCCTGCTCTAGAACCTCAAGAGATATAAGATAGAATTTGGTTGCTTTGAGGACAAAGGAGCAAGAAAAATGAGAAAGCCCCACCCCCAAATGCCCAGATTCAAGAACTTTCCTAATATTAAAACTAGAACAAGGAAACAGAGGATCTACCTAGCTCCACCATGAGCTTGGCATTGAAATAGTCTACCCAGGGAGATAGAGTAAGAGAAGCAGTTGGCAAACAACAAACAGTCTGTGGGCCAATTCCACTCAGCAGTCTGTTTCTGTAATGCTTGTGAACTAAGAAATGGTGTTTACAGTCTTAAAAGATTGTAGAATAAAACTAAGGAAAAATATGGGTCGGAGACCATATGCAGCCTAAAAAGCCAGATTATTTAGTATCTTACAGAAAAAGTTTGCTGACTCCTCTATTGCACAATTGTATAAAAACATCTAAACATGAGGATGGAGTTGGAAGACAATGAAAAACCCTATAGCTTGCCAGGCCCCACTCATTAAGCCCTATAATGTGAGGCAACCCCTGAAGGAATTTGAAGCTTAGGTGCACCAAAGTTAATAGTAGTGACACAAAACCCATGCCTGGCTCATCTAACTCAACTACAAACTAAATTGACATAACGCCTTCACATTAACAGCCTAGCAGAAGAGGCATGTCTATTTCTAGGTATAAAAATTATTTATTTCATTGTATTTTTACCTCACATTGCAACGTACATATTTCTTTTTTTAAATATAAAACACAAAAAGTAGCAAGAAATAAATAATCTATTTTAAATGATAAAGCAGTCAACAGAAGGAGACTTGGTGAAGACTCACATGTTAGAATAATCAGAAAGTAACTTAAGTAATAACTACAACTAATATCATCAAGTATCCAGTCAAAAATATAGAAAATATGTATGAACAAGAGCTGAAAAAAGCATGGAAACAAACTCTCCCCTAGTCCCTCTAGAAGGGATACAACTCTGTTGATACCTTTATTTTAGCCCAGGACAATCTATTTTGGACATCTGATGTCTAGATAATCAATTTATGTTGTCTTAAGACATTAAGTTTGTGGTAATTTCAGACAGCAGCAGTAGGAATCTAATAAAAACACAGATACAAAGTCTTTGAAAATATTAGCACATCAAATCCAGCAATGTGAAAGAAAGATACTATATCATGAGCAAGTATGATTTATGCCATGAATGTCATCTTGATTAAACATTTGCAAATCAATGAATATGGTTCATCATATAGAGGCTAAAACCAGAAATAAGGCTACACATAATCATCCCAGTAGATGCAGTGAGAAGGTTAATTTTATGAGTCAAATATGCAAGGTCATGGTACTTAGAACCACTGTTTATTTCTCTGAAGATATTTTTTAAGATGAGTTTAACAAGTAAATCAATAGATTTTGAGTAAAACAGGTTGCCTTCCCTAATGTGGGTGGGCTTCATCCAATCAGTAGAAGGTCTTAAAAGAAGGGATTTCTGCCAGCAGACTGTTTTCAGAGTTGAGCAGCAACGTCAACTCTGCCTTGGGTCTCCATTCTGTGGGCCTACTTTGTACTGGGGGTCTTAACATTTGCAGTTAGATAAGAAAAAGAAACTAACAGCATCAATATTGGAGAGGAAGAAGAAAAACTTTTCACAGATAATATAATTGTCTACAGACAAAATACTCCCAAATCTACAATTAATTACAATCACAAAAACTAATAAGAATGTTATTAAAAAGTCAGGAAACAACAGGTGCTGGAGAGGATGTGGAGAAATAGGGACACTGTTACACTGTTGGTGGGACTGTAAACTAGTTCAAACACTGTGGACGTTAGTGTGGCGATTCCTCAGGGATCTAGAACTAGAAATACCATTTGACCGAGCAATCCCATTACTGGGTATATACCCAAAGGATTATAAATCACGCTGCTATAAAGACACATGCACACGTATGTTTATTGTGGCACTATTCACAATAGCAAAGACTTGGAACCAACCCAAATGTCCAACAATGATAGACCGGATTAAGAAAATGTGGCACATATACACCATGGAATACTATGCAGCCATAAAAAAGGATGAGTTCATGTCCTTTGTAGGGCATGGATGAAGCTGGAAACCATCATTCTCAGCAAACTGTCGCAAGGACAAAAAACCAAACAACGCATGTTCTCACTCACAGGTGGGAATTGAACAATGAGAACACATGGACACAGGAAGGGGAACATCACACTCCGGGGACTGTTGTGGGGTGGGGGGAGGAGGGAGGGATAGCATTAGGAGATATACCTAATGCTAAATGACGAGTTAATGGGTGCAGCACACCAACATGGCACATGTATACATATGTAACAAACCTGCACGTTGTGCACATGTACCCTAAAACTTAAAGTATAATAATAATAAATTTTTTAAAAAAAGAATGTTTGGCAATATTACAGGGTATGAGATCAATATACAATATCCGAGTGCATTTCTAACACTATAATTGAAAAATTGGAAATTGACATTAATTTTTATTATTTTTATTTAAAATGACATTTAATTGATATGTGTGCAATAGCATCAAAGCATGAAATATGTATGAATGTAACAAAATATATGTGCGAAACTATAAAACATTGATGTGGAAATTTTAATTCGGCAATATACCAGGATAATCAATTGGAAGACTCAATATTGTTAAAATACCAGTGTTCCCCTAGTTGATCTACAGATTCAGTGTAATCCCAATCAGTCCAGCATGCATTTTAGTGGAAATTAGCAAACTTTTTCTAAATTTACATGAAGAAACAAAATATCTAGTAAAACAACAATTTTGGACAATTTGTACTACCTAATTTCAAGACTTCAAAGAAAACTATACTAACCAAGACAATGTGGCATTTGGATAAGGCAAATATTTATATTAATGGAATAGAGAAAACAGTCCAGAAGGAAAGCTACACATGTATGGTGAGTCCATTTTTTGTACAGCTGCCCAGGTAATTAAATATAGAAAGGATAGCTGCTTAAATTAGGTGCTGCTTTAAAATGAAACATCCAAAGCAAAAAATGAGCCTTAACTTACACCTCGCCAATTACAAAAATCAAATCAAAATGTATCATAGACCTAATTGTAAAAACTAAAACAAACTTCAAGCCAAATATTTTTTAAACAGAATACCTAAAGCATAAACGCAAAAGAAAACATTGAGAAACTGGAATTAGTCAAATTCATAACAGCTACCTTTAAGGAGTGGAGGGAACAGTTCACAGAGTATGAGAAAATATTTGTTAACACAAATATATGATAAAGGATTTCCACACAATATGTGATGACTTCATAACTCCATAAGAGGCTCCATAAAATAATACGGGAAAAATATTTACGCAAATGTTCCACCACGGAAGAGATATTAATGGCAAATAAGTATATAAAATATGCTTAACATCTTTAGTCATTAGGGAAATCCAAATTGAAACCATGGTGAAATACCACTACACATGTACTCTGATAGGAAAAAAAGGCAAGCCACATATTAATATAAACATGGAGTTATTAGAATCCTTAAATATTTCTGGTGAGTATGCAAAAAAAATGGTAGAGGCATTTTGGAAAACATTTGCCAATTTTGTATAAATTTCAACATACATTTAATAAACTATTCAGTCGTCACACTTCTAGATGTTTACCTAAAATAAAGAAAAACATATGTCCACAAAACATACACAAATACACAAATGTTTATAGTGGCTTTTATTTATAATACTCAAAAACTGGAAACACGCAGATGCCCATTAACTACCATTCAGTAATAAAAAGGAATGAATTACTGAAACGTGCAACAAGGATGAAACTCAACAGCATTACACTGGACAAAAAAGTTACACTAGACGAAAAAAGTTATATATTGTGCAATTTCATTTATATGACATACTGGATATGGCAAAATTATAAGAACAGAAATCGGATCAGTGGTTGCCGGGAACTGGGAATTGTGAGGAGCATATTGACCCAAAAGGGAACAAGGGAACTTTTAGTGAGGATACACATATTCAGTAGCTCAATTGTGGCGATGGTTTCATGACTGCACACATTTACTAAGAACCCATCAAGCTGTAGATCTAGAAAGACTGAATTCCACTGCATGTAAACTGTATTGCAAGAAATCTAAATTTTCAAAAAGGGGGAAGAAAACAGCCTAGGGAGAGCTGAAGGACTGGTTTGAGGGGGTAGAGGCATTTACTTTGGATATTTAAAACGTGCGCAACATAGTGGGAGGATTTGTAGCACAAGGAGAATAAGGATGTTCTTTAAACAAGATATGTGGCTTCAAAGACAGAGAAATGTTAGTTCTGAATGAAACTTTGGGGGATATCCTGTATGATTTATTTATTTATTTATTTATTTATTTATTTATTTATTTATTTATTTATTTATTTTCAGACAGAATCTCGCTCTGTCGCCCAGGCTGGAGTGCAATGGCGCGATCTCGGCTCACTGCAAGCTCCGCCTCCCAGGTTCACGCCACTCTCCTGCCTCAGAGTAGCTGGGACTACAGGCGCCCGCCACCACGCCCTGCTAAATTTTTTGTATTTTTAGTAGAGACGGGGTTTCACCGTGGTCTTGATCTCCTGACCTCGTGATCCGCTCACCTTGGCCTCCCAAAGTGCTGGGATTATAGGCGTGAGCCACCATGCCTGGCCGTCTGTTATTTTTTATAGAAATAAGCTGAATACACTTAAGTGTGGTTAAGTTAGATGCTCAAGGTCACATAGATGGTCAACGGACATTCTTAAGTTCTTCCCATGCTGTCTTCTCTAGATGAAAGTAATGCTTAAGATTGACTTGGGCTTTGATCATGAAAGTGGAAACATGTTTTGGTTGAAAATGGTAGGCAAAATGAATTGAACATGGGAACAATGAGAGTCAAGGAATCCAGTAGACATTAGCAATCACACTATATATTATTTTCTACAAGGCCTAGAATTTATTTTTCCTGATTTCCAATCAATGCAGCTTATACAAGAGTGGAAATGAACACCTTCATAGTAGTTGTGGAAGTAACCTGGCTGATTATAATGAGAAAACAATATCAGGTTCCCATAAAACATGATCCCATGTTTTATGGGATCCTGATATTGAGTTGGTGGTCTGCACCTATGTATGCCATGGCCCCACGTAGCTATCAACATCAGGTCTTGCCAATGTTAATAGATTTTTCTCTATGTATCTTTCCTTTTATAAAATTTGTTTCATATTTTAAAGTGATTGCTAAAAGAAATTTTAAAAATCAAACAGTGAAAAAAACCACTTCCTTCATTCCTCTTCACCTTAGACATGAACTCCTGTGTTATTTTTATGGAGAAATTGGGAGAGTGCATCCTTCCAAAATTTTTTGTGCATAAAAGCAAACAAGCACTTTGGAGTGGCTAATGCCAAAAAATTGTTCAAATCTATGCAACTTTTTGTCTGTATATATTTCATTAACATATAATTCATGTACTCAAAAATTCATGTACTCAAAACAACTCAATGGTTTTTACTATATTCCCAGAATTGTGTGTGACCATCACCATAGTAAATCCTAAAATATTTTCCTCATTCCTAAAAGAAACCCCCCCCACAGTAGCATTTCCCACAGTAACCCTAGCCCTAGGCAACCACTAATTCACTTTCTCTTCCTATAAATGTTTCTACTTTGGACTTTTTATATAATGGAACTCATACAATATATGATTTTTCTTGATGCCCTCTTTCAGTTAAAATACTGTTCTCAAGGTTCATCCACGTTTTAGCATGTATTAGTACTTAATTTTCATTACTGAATCATATTTTATTGTATGGATATGTCTCATTTTATTTATCCATTTATCAGTTGATGGTCATTTGGATTGTTTCACTTCATCCATTCATGAATAAAGCATCTATGAACATGCCTGTACAAGATTTTGTGTGGACATACATTGAGGTTTTTGTTGGGTATATACCTGGGAGTGGAATTGCTAGATCATATAACCATATGTTTAAACTTCTGAGGAACCTCCAGAATTTTCAGACTCATTATCTTATATTCACACCAGCAGTGCATGAACATTCCAATTTCTCGAAATCTTCATCAACAGTGGTTATTATCTGTTTTTTTTTTTAATTATAATCATCCTGGCGGGTGTCAAAATGTATCTTATTATGGTTTTGTCTTTAATTTCTCTAATGGCTAATGATATTGAGCATTTTTCATGAAATTATTGGCCATTTGTATATCTTCAATAGAGAAATCTCTATTGAGATCCTTTTTCCGTTATAAATTGGATCTTTATTACTGAGATCAAAAAATTCTTTACAAATTCAAGTCACTTATCAAATATATAATTTACATGTATTTTCTCTCATTCTATGGATTGTCATTTCCCTTTCTTCTTTTGAAAGTATAAAATGAAGTTTATCAGCTATTATAATAAATTATACTGAATGCCAGCTCTATATTTTACTTTATTATTTATTATTTTTTATTTCATTTCAATAGGTTTTTGGGGGAAGAGGTGGTGTTTGGTTACATGAATAAGTTCTTTAGTGGTGATTTCTGAGATTTTAGTGAACCCATCACTCAAGCAGTGTACACTTTACCCAATATGTAGTCTTTTATCTATCACACCCCACCCACCCTTTCCCCTGAGTCCCCAAAGTCCATCATATCATTCTTAAGTCTTTGCGTTCTCATAACTTAGCTTCCAGTTATGAGTGGGAACATACAATGTTTGGTTTTCCATTCCTGAGTTACTTCACATGGAATAATAGTATATGATTCTATCCAGGTTGCTGAAAAGAAGTCATTGTACAAAAAAGATAGTTGCACATGCTGCACACGTATGTTTATAGCAGTACAATTGCAATTGCAAAAATAGGGAACCAGCCCAAATGCCCATCAACTAAAGAGTGAATTAAAAAAATATATATATACATATACGTGTATATGTATATATGTGTATATATATATACACACACACACCGTATGTATATACATATACATATATATATATATATATATATATATATATATATATATATATATACACACACACACACACACCATGGAATACTACTCAGCCATAAACAGGAACAAATAATGACATTTTACTTTCTTGATGGTATTCTTTGAAGTACAAAAGAGTTTATTTTGGCAAAGTCCAACTTAGGTATGTTTTTTCCTTTGTTACATGTGCTTTCAGTGTCATATCTGAGAAACCGTTATCAGCCTAGGTCACTGAAACATCCTTCTATGTATTTTTCTAAGATAGTTGTAGTTTTAGCTTTATATGTAAGTATTTGGTTTAAATAACTTGACGGTTAAACGTTTAAACATTTTGGTTGAAGTTTTGTATATGTTGTGAGGTAGGGATTCAACTATCCAACTTCATTTCATTTCTTTCCTTTTCTTTTTGCCTGAAAAAATTCAGTTTTCCCAGCACTATTTGTTGAGAAGACTATTCTTTCTTCATTGAAGGATCTTGGCACACTTGTTGATAATCTGTTGACCACTGATGTACAGGGTTGTTTTAGGAGTCTCAACTCTACTCCATTAGTCTGTAAGTCCATCCTTAGGCCAGTTCCACACTGTTTTGATTGCTATAGCTTTGCAGTAAATTTTGAAACTGTGAAGTATAAGTCTTTAATATTTGTTCTTTTTCAAGATTGCTTGGCTATTCTGGGTCCCTTAAATTTCTGTAGGGGTTAAGTATGGTGGCTCCTGCTCTGTAATCCCAAGTACTTTGGGAAGCCAAGGCAGGTGGATATCTTGAGCTCAGGAATTTCAGACCAGCACGAACGACATGGTGAAACCCCATCTCTATAAAAAAAAAAAAAACAAAAACAAAAACAAAAATTAGCTGGGCGTGGTGGTGCACAGCTGTAATCTCAATTTCTTGTGGTGCTGAGGTGTAAGGATTACTTGAGCCCAGGAGATTGGGGCTGCAGTGAGCCATGTTTATGGCACTGCACTCCAGCCTGGGAGATGAAAAGAGACCCTGTCTCAAAAAAAAAAAAAAAAATCACCTTTCAATTTCTATAAAGAAACTGGCTGAGGCTTTGATAGAGATTGCTCTAAAAATGTGGATTAATTTGGAAGTATTGTTATCTTAATTATCAGCTGATCCTTTAACTAAAGTATATTTTCATATTTAGGTCTTTAATTTCTTTCAACAATGTTTTGTGGTATTTCTTATTTAAATGTTGTACTTTATTAAATTTTCTAAATATGTTATTTATTTTAGATTCAGGAGTACATATGCTTGTTTGTTACATGTGTATGTTGTGTCATGGTAGAGATTGGGCTTATAGCATAGCCATCACCCAAATATTGAACAATATACCCAATAGGTAATTTTTCAACCCTCACTCCCTCCCACGCTCTCCCCTTTTAGAGTCCTCAGTGTCAATTATCTCCATCTTTATGTCCCTGTGTACCCTTTGTTTAGCTTTCACTTATTAGTGAGAACATGTAATATTTGGTTTTCTGTTCCTGCATTAGTTTACTAAGGATAATGGCCTCCAGCTCCACCCATGTCTTTGCAAAGGTCATGATTTTGTTCTTTTATATGGCTGCATAGTATTCCATGGTGTATAAGTAATACGTTTTTAAAATCCATTCTCTCATTGATGAACATTTAGGTTGATTCCATGTCTTTGCTATTGTGAATAGTGTTGCAATGAACATTATGTGTGCATGTGTCTTTAAAATAGAATGACTTATATTCCTTTGGGTATATACCTAGTAATGGCATTGCTGGGTTGAATGGTATTTCTGTCTTTAGGTCTTTGAGGAATCTCCACACTGTCCTCCACAATGGGTGCACTAATTTACACCTCCACCAATAGTATATAAGTGTTTCGTTTTCTCCACAATCTTGCCAGCATCTGTTTGTTTGTTTTTTAGTTTTTAGTAATAGCCATTCTGACTGGTATGAGATGATATCTCATTATGGTTTTGATTAGCATTTTTCTAATGATTAGTGATGTCCATATACTTGTTAACCAAATGTATGTCTTCTTTTGAGAAGTATCTGTTCATGTCCTTTGCCCACTTTTTAATAGAGCTGTCGTTTTTTTCTTGTAAATTTGCTTAAGTTCCTTATTGATGGTGAATATTAGACCTTTGTGAGATGCATAGTTTCATTTGCCCAGTTGTTAATGGGGTTGTGTTTTCTGAGTTGTTGACATTCCTTGTAGATTCTGAATATTAGTCCTTTGTTGCAGAAATAATTTGCAAATATTTTTTCTCATTACCATTGTAAAATGTATATGTATTTTACACTTTTGTTATTATAAACAAATGTAGTTTTGAAATTTTATTTTTATTTAAAAAATTATTTATTTATTTTTGGGACCGAGTCTTGCTCTATTGCCCAGGCTGGAGTGCATTGGTGTGATCACAGCTCACTGTAGTCTTGATCATCAGGGATCAAGTGATCCTCTCACCTCACCCTCTCAAGTAGCTGGAACTACAGCTGTGTGCCACAACATCTGGTTAATTTTTTAAAGTTATTTATAGAGACAGTGTCTCACTGTGTTGCCCAGGCTGGTCTCAAACTCCTGGGCTCAGGTGATCCACTTGGCCTTCCAAAGTGCTAGAAGTACTGGTGTGAGCCACCATGCCTGAACTCATTTTCTTATTTTTTATTGCAAGTATATAGAAACATAATAGATTTGTGCATATTTGATCTTGTATCCTGCAACTTTGCTGCACTCATTTATTACTTCTAGTAGTTTCTTAGTGGATTCCTTATTATTTTGCACATACAGGATCATGTCATCTGCAAATAGGAATAGTTTTATTTCTTCTTTTCCAATCTTGATGACTTTTATTTTATTTTACTTTTCTAATTGTCTGGGCTAGAATCTCCAAGACCATATTGAGTAGAAATAATGAGAGTAGAGTTCTGTATCTTAGGAGAAAAGCACCCAGTTTGTTATTATTTGATTTGCCTGTGGGTTTTTATAGTGAGGCCTTTTATTATGTTGTTTCTCTCAGACAGTTACCATGATCCTTTTAATTGCTTACCATCACAAGCTCTACTGTTTTGAGAGTGATCTTAGACTTGAACTCATCCACCCTCTGGTGCAAATAATGTCAGTTCCTTTGGGTCCAGGTTCACTTCAGATATGTACACTTATGACTTTCCTCTCCCCCTTGACAAAATATCTGAGCCACAACTTCAGAGATAGGGACAGGGACAGTGGTCCACTTCTCTTGGAGTGATACAATCATTTTGCAGGGCACTGGTTTAGGTGGTAACCCCAGGTGTCCTCAGCTTGCCTTTCCCAGTATGATACTTCTGTTCTAGGAACAAGCTGTGGCACAAATAACTAGAGTGCCAGTGTTCTTGGCTTGCCATGACTGGAGTAGAACCTACAGCGTATGATTGGGAAGAGGGGAGCCTTCTACCTCTCAGCCTCACTCACCTGTAATTTCACCTCTGCAACATGTAGGTGAGTGGGATGAGAAATGCTGGTAGCCTCTACCTCTCAGGGAGATACTGTAATCTCTGACTGAGAGCTGAAAGGAGAAGGAGCCATGTGGTCTTGGCTGCTCTCACCTCCAGCGGAGTTTCCATCATGCTGAACTTGAGAAGGAAGAAGAGTGTGACTCAAATGCCATAGACTTGCTGCTCTTATCAAGTTTTAGCAAATTTAATTGAATACATGCTTCTTTACTTTCTGCACATTCTAGGACTATTTCTAGTGACTTTAATTTCTGTGTTTTCTTTTAAGAATTTTTAACAGTTATGCTTATTTCCCTGGGGAGCAGGTCCATGGATCTCATGTCCCTTACAGACGTGCAACCTTCATATAGCTTATTTTTTTAAATTCAGTGATGTGCTTACTGAGAATTTTCTGTGTCAGAGCACAAATAATTGAACCCTAATCACGTAAATATCTATATATTATACTTTTAATGAAAAATCATACTTTGTAATCACTTCTCTGAGGATAAAACTTTATTTTGATCTCAATTTAAATGTAATACTCTTGTGAAATTTTTTATGCATGCAATGTGTATACATATAGAAGTAAATATATGGAATATATTTTTTAATTGCATATGCATTTTAATTTAGTCAACTATTGCCAATAGTACTTCAGGTATACTGTCAAAAATGTAGTGATGACATGCTCTCTCATGCTGCCATCCACACTGGGTTGTCGAAGTGTTAATTCATTGATAGTGAGAAATGTCTTCACATTTTAAGTTTCATTTTGTTCTTCATAATTAACATTATTTTAATATGCTTCTGAACTTTTTGCCTATTTTTTTTGTGACTGCCTATTCCCCTCATTTGATCAGTTTTTTGGGGTGTGAGGGGAGAAGTCTTTTTATTATTGATTTAGAATGATTATTTACATATCAAAAATTTACAGTTTAAAGATTCTGTTTTAATTTGGCATGTCCCTTTTTATACTTCATTATTTTCTTTTTATTATCTTATTTCATTTTTATTGTTTTAAAGAATAGTTGCAGACATGTGGCATTATTTCTGAGGGCTCTGTTCTGTTCCATTGGTCTATATCTCTGTTTTGGTACCAGTACCATGCTGTTTTGGTTACTGTAGCATTGTAGTATAGTTTGAAGTCAGGTAGTGTGATGCCTCCAGCTTTGTTCTTTTGGCTTAGGATTGACTTGGTGATGGGGGCTCTTTTTTGCTTCCATATGAACTTTAAAGTAGTTTTTTCCAATTCTGTGAAGAAAGTCATTGGTAGCTTGATGGGGATGGCATTGAATCTGTAAATTACCTTGGGCAGTATGGTCATTTTCACGATATTGATTCTTCCTACCCATGAGCCTTGGAATGTTCTTCCATTTATTTGTATCCTCTATTATTTCATTGAGCAGTGGTTTGTAGTTCTCCTTGAAGAGGTCCTTCACGTCCCTTGTAAGTTGGATTCCTAGGTATTTTATTCTCTTTGAAGCAATTGTGAATGGGAGTTCACTCATGATTTGGCTCTCTGTTTGTCTGTTATTGGTGTATAAGAATGCTTGTGATTTCCGCACATTGATTTTGTATCCTGAGACTTTGCTGAAGTTGCCTATCAGCTTAAGGAGATTTTGGGCTGAGACGGTGGGGATTTCTAGATATACAATCATGTCAGCTACAAACAGGGACAATTTGACTTCCTCTTTTCCTAATTGAATACCCTTTATTTCCTTCTCCTGCCTGATTGCCCTGGCCAGAATTTCCAACACTATGTTGAATAGGAGTGGTGAGAGAGGGCATCCCTGTCTTGTGCCAGTTTTCAAAGGGAATGCTTCCAGTTTTTGCCCATTCAGTATGATATTGGCTGTGGGTTTGTCATAGATAGCTCTTATTATTTTGAGATACGTCCCATCAATACCTAATTTATTGAGAGTTTTTAGCATGAAGGATTGTTGAATTTTGTCAAAGGCCTTTTCCGCATCTATTGAGATAATCATATGGTTTTTGTCGTTGGTTCTGTTTATATGCTGAATTATGTTTATTGATTTTCGTATGTTGAACTAGCCTTGTATCCCACGGATGAAGCCCACTTGATCATGGTGGATAAGCTTTTTGATGTGCTGCTGGATTCGGTTTGCCAGTATTTTATTGAGGATTTTTGCATCGATGTTCATCAGGGATATTGATCTAAAATTCTCTTTTTTTGTTGTGTCTCTGCCACACTTTGGTATCAGGAAGATGCTGGCCTTATAAAATGAGTTAGGGAGGATTCCCTTTTTTTCTATTGATTGGAATAGTTTCAGAAGGAATGGTACCAGCTCCTCCTTGTACCTGTGGTAGAATTCGGCTGTGAATCCATCTGGTCCTGGACTTTTTTTGGTTGTTAAGCTGTTAATTATTGCCTCAATTTCAGAGCCTGTTATTGGTCTATTCAGAGATTCAACTTCTTCCTGGTTTAGTCTTGGGAAGGTGTATGTGTCCAGGAATTTATCCATTTCTTCTAGATTTTCTAGTTTATTTGCTTAGAGGTGTTTATAGTATTCTCTGATGGTAGTTTGTATTTCTGTGGGATTGGTGGTGATATCCCCTTTATCATTTTTTATTGCATCTATTTGATTCTTCTCTCTTTTGTTCTTTGTTAGTCTTGCTAGTGGTCTATCAATTTTGTTGATCTTTTCAAAAAACCAGCTCCTGGATTCGTTGATTTTTATGAAGGGTTTTTTGTGTCTCTATTTCCTTCAGTTCTGTTCTGATCTTAGTTATTTCTTGCCTTCTGCTAGCTTTTGAATGTGTTTGCTCTTGCTTCTCTAGGTCTTTTAATTGTGATGTTAGGGTGTCAATTTTAGATCTTTCCTGCTTTCTCTTGTGGGCATTTAGTGCTATAAATTTCCCTCTACACACTGCTTTGAATGTGTCCCAGAGATTCTGGTATGTTGTGTCTTTGTTCTCGTTGGTTTCAAAGAATATCTTTATTTCTGCCTTCATTTCGTTATGTACCCAGTAGTCATTCAGGAGCAGGTTGTTCAGTTTCCATGTAGTTGAGTGGTTTTGAGTGAGTTTCTGAATCCTGAGTTCTAGTTTGATTGCACTGTGGTCTGAGAGTCAGTTTGTTTATAATTTCTGTTCTTTTACATTTGCTGAGGAGTGTTTTACTTCCAATTATGTGGTCAGTTTTGGAATAGGTGTGGTGTGGTGCTGAAAAAAATGTATATTCTGTTGATTTGGGATGGAGAGTTCTGTAGATGTCTATTAGGTCCGCTTGGTACAGAGCTGAGTTCAATTCCTGGATATCCTTGTTAAGTTTCTGTCTCGTTGATCTGTCTAATGTTGACAGTGGGGTGTTAAAATCTCTTATTATTATTGTCTGGGAGTCTAAGTCTCTTTGTAGGTCTCTAAGGACGTGCTTTATGAATCTGGGTGCTCCTGTATTGGGTGCATATATATTTATGATAGTTAGCTCTTCTTGTTGAATTGATCCCTTTATCATTATGTAATGGCCTTCTTTGTCTCTTTTGATCTTTGTTGGTTTAAAGTCTGTTTTATCAGAGACTAGGATTGCAACCCCTGCCTTTTTTTGTTTTCCATTTGCTTGGTAGATCTTCCTCCATCCCTTTATTTTGAGCCTATGTGTATCTCTGCACATGAGATGGGGTTCCTGAATACAGCACACTGATGGATCTTGAGTCTTTATCCAATTTGCTAGTGTGTGTCTTTTAATTGGAGCATTTAGCCCATTAACATTTAAGGTTAATATTGATATGTGTGAATTTGATCCTGTCATTATGATGTTAGCTGGTTATTTTGCTTGTTAGTTGATGCAGTTTCTTCCTAGCCTCAATGGTCTTTACAATTTGGCATATTTTTGCAGTGGCTGGTACTGGTTGTTCCTTTCCATGTTTAGTGCTTCCTTCAGGATCTCTTTTAGAGCAGGCCTGGTGGTGAAAAAAATCTCTCAGCATTAGCTTGTCTGTAAAGGATTTTATTTCTCGTTCACTTATGAAGCTTAGTTTGGCTGGGTATGAATCTCTGGGTTGAAAATTCTTTTAAGAATGTTGAATATTGGCCCCCACTCTCTTCTGGCTTGTAGAGTTTCTGCTGAGAGATCAGCTGTTCGTCTGATGGGCTTCCCTTTGTGGGTAACCCGACCTTTCTCTCTGGCTGCCCTTAACATTTTTTCCTTCATTTCAACTTTGGTGAATCTGACAATTATGTGTCTTGGAGTTGCTCTTCTTGAGGAGTATCTTTGTGGCGTTCTCTGTAATTCCTGAATATGAATGTTGGCCTGCCTTGCTAGATTGGGGAAGTTCTCCTGGATAATATCCTGCAGAGTGTTTTCCAACTTGGTTCCATTCTTCCCATCACTTTCAGGTACACCGATCAGACGTAGATTTGGTCTTTTCACATAGTCCCATATTTCTTGAAGGCTTTGTCCGTTTGTTTTTATTCTTTTTTCTCTAAACTTCTCTTCTCGCTTCATTTCATTAATTTGATATTCCATCGCTGATATCCTTTCTTCCAGTTGATTGAATCCACTACTGAGGCGTGTGCATTTGCTATGTAGTTCTTGTGCCTTGGTTTTCAGCTCCATCAGGTCCTTTAAGGACTTCTCTGCATTGGTTATTCTAGTTAGCCATTTGTCTAATTTTTTTTCAAGGTTTTTAACATCTTTGCCATGGGTTCGAACTTCCTCCTTTAGCTTGGAGTAGTTTGATCGTCTGAAGCCTTCTTCTCTCAACTCGTCAAAGTCATTCTCCGTCCAGCTTTGTTCTATGGCTGGTGAGGAGCTGCGTTCCTTTGGAGGAGGAGAGGCACTCTGATTTTTAGAGTTTCCAGTTTTTCTGCTCTGCTTTTTCCCCATCTTTGTGGTTTTATCTACCTTTGGTCTTTGATGATGGTGATGTACAGTTGGGTTTTTGTTGTGGATGTCCTTCCTCTTTGTTAATTTTCCTTCTAACAGTCAGGACCCTCAGCTGCAGGTCTGTTGGAGTTTGCTGGAGGTCCACTCCTGACGCTGTTTGCCTGGGTATCAGCAGCAGAGGCTGCAGAACAGCGGATATTGGTGAACAGCAAATGCTGCTGCCTGATCGTTCCTCTGGAAGTTTTGTCTCAGAGGAGTACGCGCCCGTGTGAGGTGTCAGTCTGCCCCAACTGGGGGGTGCCTCCCAGTTAGGCTATTAGGGGGTCAGTGACCCACTTGAGGAGTCAGTCTTTCCATTCTCAGATCTCCATCTGCGTGCTGGGAGAACCACTACTCTCTTCAAAGCTGTCAGACAGGGACATTTAAGTCTGCAGAGGATTCTGCTGCCTTTTGTTTGGCAATGCCCTGCCCCCAGAGATGGAATCTACAGAGGCAGGCAGGCCTCCCTGAGCTGCAGTGGGCTCCATCTAGTTTGAGCTTCCTGGCTGCTTTGTTTACCTACTCAAGCCTCAGCAATGGCGGGCGCCCTTCCTCCAGCCTCACTGCCGCCTTGCAGTTTGATCTCAGACTAACCTGACAAAAACAAGAAATGGGGAAAGGATTCCCTATTTAATAAATGGTGCTGGGAAAACTGGCTAGCCATATAGAGAAAGCTGAAACTGCACACCTTATACAAAAATTAATTCAAGATGGATTAAAGCCTTAAATGTTGGACCTAAAACCATAAAAACCCTAGAAGAAAACCTAGGCAGTACCATTCAGGACATAGGCATGGGCAAAGACTTCATGTCTAAAACACCAAAAGCAATGGCAACAAAAGCCAAAATTGACAAATGGGATCTAATTAAACTAAAGAGCTTCTGCACAGCAAAAGAAACTACCATCAGAGTGAACAGGCAACCTACAGAATGGGAGAAAATTTTCGCAACCTACTGAACTGACAAAGGGCTAATATCCAGAATCTACAATGAACTCCAACAAATTTACAAGAAAAAAACAACCCCATCAAAAAGTGGGTGAAGGCTATGAACAGACGCTTCTCAAAAGAAGACATTTATGCAGCCAAAAGACATATGAAAAAATGCTCATCATCACTAGCCATCAGAGAAATGCAAATCAAAACCACAATGAGATACCATCTCACACCAGTTAGAATGGCAATCATTAAAAAGTCAGGAAACAACAGGTGCTAGAGAGGATGTGGAGAAATAGGAACACTTTTACACTGTTGGTGGGACTGTAAACTAGTTCAACCATTGTGGAAGACAGTGTGGCGATTCCTCAGGGATCTAGAACTAGAAATACCATTTGACCCAGCCATCCCATTACTGGGTATATACCCAAAGGATTATAAATCATGCTGCTATAAAGACACATGAACACATATGTTTATTGCGGCACTATTCACAATAGCAAAGACTTGGAACCAACCCAAATGTCCAACAATGATAGACTGGATAAAGAAAATGTGGCACATATACACCATGGAATACTATGCAGCCATAAAAAATGATGAGTTCATGTCCTTTGTAGGGACATGGATGAAGCTGGAAACCATCATTCTCAGTAAACTATCGCAAGGACAAAAAACCAAACACCGCATGTTCTCATTCACAGGTGGGAATTGAACAATAAGAACACGTGGACACAGGAAGGGGAACATCACAGACTGGGGCCTGTTGTGGGGTGGGGGGAGGGGGGAGGGATAGCATTTGTAGATATACCTAATATTAAATGACGAGTTACTGGGTGCAGCACACCAACATGGCACATGTATACATATGTAACTAACCTGCACGTTGTGCACATGTACCCTAAAACTTAAAGTATAATTAAAAAAAAGAACAGTTGCATTTTATAGTTATTTTAGGATTTCATGTCAATAAAAATAGATTGACTTTAACTTTTTTATCACTATCATGTGTTTTGTATACAGAGTTTGTAAACTTTCCACTTTATATATCGGCAGATTGTTAAAACATTGCTAGAATAATCTTTTCCTTCACATTGTAAAAGAGTTGCTCATGTAGGCTTCATGGTGTTGTTGTAGATATAGCTTCTTAATATTATTTTAAACTCCTCCATGGTAGTTATCCTGGTTAGATTTTTCTATCTCCTCTGGTGCCTTTTTCAGTAACTTAGTTTCCTAGAAAACATACTTATTTAGGTTTATCATAATTTTTATAAACTTGAGTAAGATTTTTTATTACTCTGATTTTCATTTACTTATATTATTTCTCCATTGACACTTTACATTTGGGCATTTGTGCTTTCTTTTTATACTTATACATCCACAAATCATTTATGCATTTCTTTTTGTCTCTAACTTCTTACATTTATTTATTAGTCCTACTTTTCTCTCTCATTGCATTAAGTTGTTTTTTAGCTTTATGAAATTCTGTAATTTCCCTTTTGAAGTTGTCTTTGGTTACATTGCTCTTATTTATTTGTATTCATTTACTTTGATTCTTTTTTGTGTATCTATACTATGCTTTACACTAGGAACTGCTTTAACCATATCTCATAATTCTGACACAACTTCATTGTTTCTAATTTATAAGTACTCTGTAACTTTAAGTTTTAGGTTGTCCTTTTTGACTCAAAAGTGATATAACAAAATTGTGGAATGTCAGAGTTGTTTAGTTTCTTTCTCTTTTGTGTCTATTTTTTGAAAAGAAAATTCTAGTTTTATTGGGCTATAATAAAAGAGTTAACAACACTGAAACTTTTTGGAATTCAGTTAGGTTTGCCTTATAACCTGCTAAATGATATCTTTTTTTTTCTTAGTACTTTGTACCATAAGCTCTAGAAAATAACTTTTAGATCCTGCTTCCAGGGACTGATTTTAATGCATGTCTTTACACCAAACCTTTATTTCTTAATAAAAATCAGAAAGCTAGTGCAGTTAACATTCCCCCAGTATCCTCAGCACACTCATAACCTCCTAATTGCAGCTAGACATGTCATGTTTCCTGACATTGTAGGTCTTATAACATTGTATTTTCTTTTGTATTTATAGCTGGTATGTAGCCTTAGCTATTTCCTATTGGGGCTTTATTATTTCTGAACTCTATAATTTGATTCATTTCTTAATTGTCTAGATTCTGTAAATTAGAATGTTTTTCATGAAAAACTCATAAGTATTATATTCCCCGAATCATGATATGTCTCTTGCCTTTGTACTTGAAGAAGAATTTAGTTCAGTTTAAGACTATTGGGTCATACTATTTTTTTTCTGCATAACGTTATAGCCATTTTTAAAGCAATATTCTATCCTTGAATAATGTCATGGAAAAGTTTGAGACCACCCAGATTTTCTAAATTCTGTCCCTCTCCAATTTAGAAACTATTTTTTCTTAAATGTCCAGAAGAGTTACTACCCTTGAAGTAAGGTAACTTTGATAAGGCAGAACTCAGTGTTGACTATTCTGTACCAGATTTTTCTGGGACACAGTGTTTAGTTCCTTCTATGTTAGCATACTCATATTTCATTTAGTAATTTGGCCTTCTTTGTGCTCTATTTCTATGACTTTCTTTGTAATCACCTTCATCTCTGTTTTAAATCTGCCCTTATTTTTCAGTGTCTATCTATCACGAGTGTTTCTAATGGTGAGAAGCCAAGAAACTCTTAGGATATTCTTGAGATAAGGCACACATTTTAATGCATGTTTAATAACACCCTATTTTCATGAGACTGGGTCGATTTTGTATGTGGCGTGTTATCTACAGAAGCCTTCCACCATGTCCTCCATGCACATCTTCCTCACAGTCTGTGTTGTGAGTCTAGATGGGTAAGTCAAGTTTTAAGTAGGTTGGTCATATTGGGAATAGTGAAAGATAAGCTGCATGAGATGGGTCCAGTGGTTTCTACCATTCTAAATGACTTAGAGAACAATCATTAGACTTTCTTATGTAATAGCATCATAGAACAAAAAAAGATAAAAGTTGGGAAATGCTTAGAAAGCTAAGTCAAACTAAAAGAAGGTTTATCATAAGCAAAAAGTGCTTAGAGAGTTACTTATTTCAGCTATTGTCTGTAATATTGTGCAGAAATTGGGCATTTAGCATGTTGAGATGCCTTTAAGAGAAGAGCTAAGACAGAATGCTTGAGTCTTAAGATATTACAAAAACATTACAATTAAAAATGTTGACATTAAACATTTTAACATTTAAGAATATTTGTGAAAAACATAACATCAATAAGTCAACGATATTACAAAAGTATGAATTTTTGAAGAGTAATTCACTTATTAATTTCTTGGATTTTTCAAGTGCATGATTACATAATCTTTTAAATACTTTTATATGCATGAAAAACAATTCACTTAATAAAAAAACAGCAAGGATTGAATGATATAGTTTTGTAAAAATTGTAAATTAATAAGGTAATATCATAAACAGTTTCCTAATATATATTATTAGTAATATAGTTGGTTTGGGGACTACCAATGTGAACTAATTTTATAAGATAAGTAAAAAACACTTTGCAACTCTAACACTCTGCAATAAATGCCATCATAGTAGTCCATGTTTCCTAA
Source organism: Homo sapiens (assembly GCF_000001405.40). Classification (NCBI taxonomy): domain Eukaryota; kingdom Metazoa; phylum Chordata; class Mammalia; order Primates; family Hominidae; genus Homo; species Homo sapiens. The sequence goes on along the minus strand of NC_000009.12, from coordinate 80,812,288 downwards.
CTTCCTTCAACTCTTCTTCTCTTCAGAGTTTTCCTTTTCTTCCCCCAATTATCTCCAAATTTCAAACAAAGCTTTTTAGTCTAGTTTGCTCTTCTAGAAGGTAAGATTGAGATTTTCGTGTGCTAAGACATAGGAATGCTTTTCTGGGCATCAGGCCAAGGTTCAAATGTAGAATTTTTTGAGACCCTACAAATGGTTATCTTGGAAACATTTTCTTCTTGAAAACTCTGGGTAATCGCTGGTGAATGGAGCAAAAGAAAATTGAAAATCTTACAATTTAGTTATCTAAAATGTGCAACATCCCCTAAGAAACTAAAATCAAAGTTTTCCTTTTCTCCCCATGCTGCATGGAGCAGCCAGAATAAGACAGGCAAGGTCAACAGAAAGTCAGGACCCCTAAGGAGAACAGCAGGTAGGGCAGGCTCTTAAAACGAAGGCTGCCCTGCCATATGTGGTCATCTGGCAACCCCATGAATCAGTCACACAAAGACAAGCACCTTTGATCTACTTGAAAGACTAGAGATGTGAAATACAAACTTGAGTGACCTTTTCACTTTTCAGCCAGAGCAGTTCCCCCTTGTTCCTTGAGTACTTTTTTTCTCTAAAATTCCATGCCACTTGGGATGAATCCATGTGATTCTGTGATTTACCTATCTCTGTTCTTATTCAGCAGCATCAGAGTGTGTGTTTTATTTTTGTCAAGATGGTTCTACAAACTCTGATTACAAAAAGAGCACCTGAAAGCTATGTAGAACACCTTTTAACTGGAAGGAGACAGGAAGGAGACACAGACACCGAAAGCTGTGATTTACCAGATGAAAATGGACATTTTCTATACACATGATGTCCAGTATTTAAATACATGCCAACATTCCCTTTAAATTAATATTAATCCTGTCATCTTTCAAAAATTTGATATCTTATTTATATATCTTCAACCTTAATCTCTATTTCTAGAGTAGGAGATGAAAAATACCCAACATAGTTAAAATTTGGGACCTCATTAAAGATGTTGGAGATGTTGAGTTGTGTGGTAATCAGAGTTCATGTATGAATCATAGTGTGTTAATATCAGGACTTTCTTGCTGGTATGAGATAGTTGTTTCAAGAGCCATTGCTTGATCTCTGATTCATATATTTATATAATGTTGTATTGGACAGTTATGTTGTAATAAAAACCTACTGGAGTTTATGTCATACTATAGAATATTAGCCATATTAACATTAGAAGTTTACTTGAAACTGAAATATTAAAAACTCCTTCTGCCTTACTCTTTAGCAAGAGGATAAAAACAAAATAGCTAATAATAAGACAATGGATATATTATAAAAATCAAATTATCATTTTAAACAAACTATAATGGTACTTGATACCACAGAGTATAGTTGGTCAACTTTAGTACTCACCGTCTTCCAAATATTAGTTTTTATTAAAATAAATGCGTAGGTCAATTTAATTTTCTTTTAATTTAGAATGACACTGTCTGGAAAGATATGGAGTTATTTTTTAAAATCTTAATGTCACTCATATTTTTGCATAAATATTAGAACAATAATATCAAAAACATTTCCAAGTATTGCCTTTTGGGAATTTTTTCTTCACAACAAAAAGCATAGTATTTATTCAATGTTTAGCCAAATGATAGTATTAACTTCCTGACCACTTGATGTGACTCTATGTATATCTTACACATACATGAGTGTACAGTCACAGCTATGCATACATGAAATAAAATCTAGCAAACTTTTTCAAATTAGGCTTCAATTCTTTCCATGTAACCAAAATATCTTTTGCTTATATCCTTAATGAGGTGGGCATGGTGGCTGATGCCTGTAATCCCAACTACTTGGGAGAAGCCTTTGAGTCCAGGAATTTGAGACCAGCCTGGGCAACAAAGCAAGACCCTATCGTTAAAAAAATCTAAAAAGTAGCTAGGTGTGGTGGTACCTGCCTGTAGTCCCAGCTACTGGGCAGGCTGATTTGAGTGGGGGGGAGGGAGAGGTGTCCCTTAAGCCCAGTAGTTGAAGGCTGCCGTGAGGTATAACTGTGCCACTGCACTCCAGCCTGCATGACAGAGCAAAACCCCATGTCTGGAAAAAAAAATCCACTTTGCCAAATCCAGTGACCTTTCTAGACCAATCAACAGCAACTGACATAGGTGATCGCTCTCTTTCTTACACACTTGTTTCACTTGGTTTCTGGGACACCAACCTTCTTGTTGGCTTCTTCTGCCTCCTCAGGCTGGCTTCCCTGCTCATCAGCTTGCAGATGACCTATTGTGGGACTTCACAATAGGAAGGACACATACTATATGTCCCAACCCAGTCCTTCTTAAGCCTTTTTGCTCTTCTTTCATCTCTCTGACCAATGAATTTAGATAAAACTAAAGGCAGTCCTTAGACTTCTTTTTTCCTTTATGTTTACAATTTTCCTTGGAAATGTTATCCAACCTCATTTTAAATAATATTTACAGTCTTAGATTTTTCCAAATATATATTCCTAGTTCAGACCTCTCTTGAAAATTGCATACATGCTTGTCTACACCAAATTTTATTTATTTATTATTTTTTGAGATGGAGTTTCACTCTGTCGCTCAGACTAGAGTGCAGTGGCGTGATCTCAGCTCACTGCAACCTCCGTCTCCTGGGTTCAAGCTATTCTCCTGCCTCGGCCTCCCGAGTAGCTGGGACTACAGGCATGTGTCACCATGCCTGGCTAATTTTTTGTATTTTTTGTAGAGGTGGGGTTTCACCGTGTAGGCCAGGATGGTTTCGATCTCCTGACCTTGTGATCCGCCCACCTCGGCCTCTCAAAGTGCTGGGATTACAGGCGTGAGCCACCGCGCCCGACCTTATTTTAGTTTTTAGGGATGTGTGACCATTTCTCACTGCAGCCTGAAACTCTTGGGCTCAAGCAATCTTCCTGCCTCAGCCTCCCAAGTAGCTGGGACTACAAGTGCATGCCACCATACCTGGCTATTTTTTTTTTTTTTTTTGTAGCAAATGTATCCTGCTGTGTTGCCCTGGCTGGTCTCAAACTCCTGACCTCAAGTGATCCTTCTAGCTCAGCCTTCTGAAGTGGTGAGATTGCAGGCATGAGTTACGGTACCTGGCCTACCCTAGATTTTCTTTTGGAGTTAAAATAGACATTTCAAAGTTAACATTTTTGAATCAGAGACCATTTCCACCCTCAAACCTGCTTCTCCTCTAGAACTCCCAATGTTAGTACGTGGACTCTGTATTAGTCAGGGTTATCTAAAGGGACAGGACTAATAGGATAGATATATATGTGAAAAGGAGTTTATTAAGGAGTATCGACTCACACAATTACAAGGTGAAGTCCCACAATAGGTCGTCTGCAAGCTGATGAGCAGGGAAGCCAGCCTGAGTCCCAAAACCTCAAAAGCAGAGAAGCCGACGGTGCAGCCTTCAGTCTGTGGCTGAAGGCCCAAGAGCCCCTGGCAAACCACTGGTGTAGGTGCAAGAGTCCAAAAGCTGAAGAACTTGGAGTCTGATGTTTGAGGTTAGGAAGCATCCAGCACAGGAGAAAGATGGAGGCCAGAAGACTCAGCCAGTCCAGTCCTTCCATGTTCCTCTGCCTGCTTTTATCCTAGCCATGCTGGCAGCTGATTAGATGGTGCCCACTCAGATTGCGGGTGGGTCTGCCTCTCCCAAGTCCACTGACTCAAATGTTAATCTCCTTTGGCAACACCCTCACAGACACACCCAGGAACAATACTTTGCATCCTTCAATCCAATCAAGTTGACACTTAGTAATAACCATCACAGGCCCTGTTCTATATCCTTAGGCCAGAAACATTGGCATCGTTCTTACTCCTCTCTTCTTTCTCTCTCTCTCTCTCTCTTTCTCTCTCTCTCTCTCCTTATATCCAAACCCATCAGCAAATTTTGATGACTTTACCTTAAATGTGTCTGGTGTCCAGCCATTTATCCCCATTGCTCCCTCCAGCACCTTGGTTTAAGCTACAGTCATCTCTTACTTGGTTCATTTCAATAGCCTCCTCATTCTCTGCCTCCTTCTGCCCTTGGTGCCTTTCAGTTGATCTTCAATGTTGCAGCCAGAGCGATAGCCTAGAAATCTCCCACTGAGCATATGTCTCCTCACTAAATCTCTCCAGTAGCTTCAGAGCAAAAAACAAAGCCTCCAAGCCCTCACACAGACACAACATGTACTACCTCTCTGACCTAATTTTGTATTTCTCTCTCCTTCGGGGATCCTTTTCTTGTCATCCTTACTTCCTTGAGGCTCCACAAAGGCTCCTGACACTTTTGCTTTTTCTGTTCACTCTGCATGGAATGCTCTAATGCTTTTCTTCCAATGTGCTCATGACTTGCTCCCTCTCTTCCTTTAGGTTTCAGCTTACATAGAACTTTAAGTGAGGTCGTCCATGATTTCTCTCTTTAAATAGCAGTTCTCCCACTCCAACACTTTTGACCCACTTTACCATGCTGTATTATCCACCTTGGCCTTTATTTGAATCTGATACACACACACACACACACACACCCATATATACATTTGCACACACACATACATTTACATATATACGCACATATACCTACATACACACAAATATATATTATATACATTTATAAAGAAATATATGTTTATTCACTGTCTCTCAAAATGAAGTATGCTATGTTAGCAAGATTTTTTTCTGAGTGGTTCACTGATATAACCCTGACTCCTAGAACGGTGCTGGGCAAATAATAGATGCTCAATAAAATGTGACAAATGAATTAAAAAAGAACGTTCTTAGAATATACTTATGAATAGAATATTGTTTTAAATCGGAAGAAGAAATAAAATTAAGAGAGTGGGGGTGGGTTCTAAGATAGAAATTCTCTTGTTGGCAAAAATGCACAAGGTTATTCACATGCTTAGCTGCAGTGAAGAGCTCACCATTGCTCCCAGAAGCTCTTTCTCTTGTATTATGAGTTTCCTCTTTTCTTGTACTGATTCCTGACATACTGACATACATATTTGTGATTGGAAATGGCTTCTGCATTCTCTGATAACCTACCACGTTTCTGCTGGATATTTAACTCACTCCTCAAGAGGGTCTGGCTTCTGTATCCCTATTAGGGTTTGGTCCATGAGATGAACCACCATTTCTGCTAACTCTCTTCATCTACTTTCTCTTCATTATCCTTTTCTTCACTTAGTACCGCTATCAAGCCAGCACTGTGTTAACCAGATTTTTTCTCAACTCTTCCATGTTGAAGCTAACTTACAAAAAAAGTTCCCAGTTTATCTGCATTTTATATCCCTCTTTTCCCATGTCAGTTTATACTAGATCATTTTTTGAATCTCTTCCAAGCTGAAGCATTCATTTAGAATTCATAATCTTAGAATTTATGTTTGATTAACATGACACACAAAAAATAAACTGCATGATAGACTCAATTCTGATTGTACCAGACTTAAAGGCTCTGTTTACAATTGAGCAAAAACTTTAGAAAGGGCCTTCTTCCAGAATCTTGGTATTAGTTTTAAAGACAATTAAAGCCAAAATGTGTCTTAAAACCTCAGCTTTTAAAAATGACTAAGTAAAAAATTCTGGAAAACAAAACAATACAAACACAAGCCAGAGGTCGCATATTCTTCTTTTTTACCAAACCAGAAAAGACATTTCTTCTGTTTCTTATTACTGAACCTTTATCTACATGTTGTTATAGGAATTTGGACAGTTATCAGAAATGACGTATATAGACTATTGATAATTGAATTAAGACAGCACCTTTGGACAGACACAAGATTGTCAAGTAGTCAGCACAAGACCTTGCTTCTCAATGTGTTGAAAAGAAGGCATGGCCCTGATGGGCATAGCAGAATTTAGGGGGTAGGGAGTCATGTAAAATTAAAAAAGTATTCAACATGTTAATATAGTCTGTGATCTATAATATAACATAATATGTGCAGTATTTGGTTTTACTCTATTTCTGACTCTAAAATAAAACCAAAGCATATTTGGTTTACGTGCCAGTTTGTTTTATGTTTTATACAACCTAGAGGAGAAAATCTTTGGACAATTAAAATTGATACTCACACTATGTGAACAAAGCGGAAAAATAAATTTTTGTCTTTCAAATTAAAATTTTTTCTTTAAAATCCCATTGATTTTATTACTTTGTGGTGTATATTTAATTTATTGTGAAATTTCAAAGAAAATTTAAGAAGACCACTTGGTCTATGTATTTATTGAAAGAGGGTATTGATTTGTTAGGATATACTAACATAAATAATTATGCTGTGTGACACATCAGACTGAAAATTGTACAAGAGAAAAATATAAGAGAAGTGTAGAAAAGTAGTGAGAGGGTCGGGTGTGGTGGTTCATGCCTGTAATCCCAGCACTTTGGGAGGCCAAGGCAGGTGGATCACCTGAGGTCAGGAGTTCGAGACCAGCCTGGCCAACATGGTGAAATCCTGCCTCTACTAAAAATATAAAAATTAGCCAGACATGGTGGCAAGCACCTGTAATCTCAGCCACTTGGGAGGCTGAAGCAGGAGAATCACTTAAACCTGGGAAGCAGAGGTTGCAGTGAGCTGAGATCACACCACTGTACTCCAGCCTGGGCAAGAGAGTAAGACTCCATCTCAAAAAACAAAAAACAACAACAACAAAAAAGAAAAGTTGTGAGATAAGGAAAACGACAGATGGAGATGCAAAGTATCAATCCAAAAAAGATTTATTCAGCATCTACTGTGTGGCAGACACCATTTTGATTTTAGCCAAGGCTGTGTTCAATTTCAAATAACCAAATCTGTGAATAGCAGTAGAGAGCTTAGGTGATAAAGAACAGAAAGTAAAAACTGCTTGGAGCTGGAGGTTTGGGACTGTAGGCTGTGCTTGATTATTAGGGGAGTTCTGTTTTACCGCAGCCCAGCAGCTCTGCTGTCTAATGCAAATCTTGACTTCAGTCATTCTAAATCACTACAGGTATAGGCGTTCTGGGTTGGTCTGCTTGCAAGTTATCAAACCCATGAATATTAACTAGGTAGTTCTAAGGGCTTACTTTATAAATTGGGCAAATCAGTAGTAAGAATTTTTTTATTCCTGCCTGCATGGCCCAGTGTTGATAACAGGGAATGTAGTGTGAGAGAGACTGGTAGGCTTTAGGTAACTAAATAAGGTAGTCAACTCAGATCTGGCCTGACTGGTACATTTATTATAATTGTTGAATGGATGCTGACACATCATTATCACTCCCAGCCCATAGGTTACATTAGCATTCACTGTTGGTGTTGTATATTCTGAAGTTTTTGGCAAATGTATAATGACATGTACCCACACAGTATTATATAGAACAGTTTTGCTGCCCTAAAATCTCCTGTGCTCCACTTATTCATTCCACCCTGCCCCCAAGCCCTTGGCAACCTCTGATTGACTATTTCCATAGTTTTGCCTTTTCCAGAAAGTTATGTAATTGAAATCATACAGTATGTAGCCTTTTCAGAGTGACTTTTTTTTTTCATTTGGTAGTATGCATTTAAGCTTCCTCCATGTCTTTTTGTAGCTTGGTAGCTCATTTCTTTTTAGTGTCGAATAATATCCTGTTGTCGGGATGTACCACAGTTTACTTGTCTATCCATCTACTGATGGGCCACTTGGTGGCTTTCAAGTTTTAGCAATTATGAATAAAGCTGCTATGAACATCCATGTGCAGTTTTTTGTGCAGACATAGTTTTGAACTCATTTTGGCAAATGGAAAGGAGCCCGATTTCCGGATCATATAGTTAAGAATATGTTTTAGGTTTTTAAACAGTTGTCAAATCGTCTTCCTAAGTGGCTATACCATTTTACATTACCACCAGCAGTGAATGAGAGTTTCTGGTGCTTCTTCATTGATGATGTTTTATGTTTCATTTTATTAGCAACAGTTATTGCAGACTTTAAGACAGGTAATGGTATTAATCATGGGAATGATTAGGCTATTTGTTTGGCAAAATAATTTATATTACTTAGAAATATATGTAAATAATAATTATATATTTGTATACATATATTTATATTAATAGTATTGGAGGTAATAAGCAAACAGGTGGCATGTTGGAGGTTTGACATAATTATCAAAGAAGATGCTGTTGCTAACAATATTAGAGGTTATTATATGAAACATATATACTTGGGCTTTATCAAAGCCTTCATAGTAGAGGATTATAGATAGAAGCTCATTCATGTTTGGCCAGCTTTTCTTCTGATGATGCCACAATATCATTCCGTGGGATTTTACATAAGAATAAAGTTGTTATGGTATTTTAAAAAAGCTCTCATCCACTACATCACATCCAAGACAATATATCAGCCTGTTATTTAATTGTATTTTATTTTCTATGACTTAGCTTGTTTTGGTAGCAATATATTTAGGAATAAAGTGACTCACTTATCTTCACTTTTATTCTCTGGTGGTTAGAAAGGAAAGGCTATTTTATAGAGATGTCTAACCTTCAAAATTTGTGCCAAGCAATGGCCTCAACTGTCTTGTCAACACCGGGTAGCTTTAGGGGTATAGAATATTATAACAATCCTTTTAAGTTTTTGGAATTTTTAGTGCCCTTGGACCAAATTAAGAATGGCTCTATCCATTTTCCAGTGAATTATATTATATTAAGGAATATTATATATCATCTACATATAATGTAGATATTTAACTTATTGAATTGACTGTTTGAGCTCTTTAATCCTGAAGAAATAGTTTTTGTTTTACTGTGCTCCTTTCACATCCACTGTATGGACCTGATTCTACCTGTCTCTGTAGAGTAGCCAACAAGCAGTAGAAAGCTTCTACATCTTAGAGAAAACATAGTTAACCCATCAATCATAGTCTAATCACACCTTGTAATAATTTAAAGCAAGAGGAATTTAATTCAGGTAAATGGTGACAGAACTTGGAGTTATATAGGAGATGGCAAGAAAACCCAGAGATTAAACAAATAGGAAGCTGATACCACTCCTCATTGGAAGGGCAAAGAGAAGAGATAAGCTAAATAGGGGCTGCCTTGGGTCCAAGGATTCCAGGAATAATACGGAATTGTGGCAGGTTTTGCCATGTGGGTGATGAAATATGGAGAACACACAGCTGCATTCAAAGGCTGCTAGAGGCAGCCTTGAGGGAGAGATAGAATGTCTCATTTCCCGCATACGTTCTCCAGCCTTCCCTGGGGGTCACCCATTGGTTGAACTCAGGTGGAATCCAGGATTAGTAGGGCCCAGGATACGCAGCCTGCAGTAACTAACATGCCTATGAAACAGAGAGGCAAGGGTAAAGAAAGGGCATACAGTCCAGAGTTCAGCATGGCTAACCACAACCTGAAAACGCCACAGATTTTACCCAATTTCTGTACATATTGAGGTTGTGCAACATTAATTGGCCTGAGTTCTTTTCTTCAACTCTATATTCATCATTTGAATAAGTGAAACAAATGATTCTGATGCAGATAAAACTGTCTTTATGGGAACATTTACTTTGGAGTTTATATTTTGACATTTTTTAACTTAAAATTCATGAAGTGTATTTCTGTCTCCTTTCTATATTTAGTTAATTGTGGGATTTTGCAAGCTTTTTAGCATTTTGATAATATTAAAAAAGGGAGTTTTAAAATGATAAAAAACGTTGTCTAAATATGTATTCTATAATAATTTGATTATCAAAGTAATATAAGGTGCTTTTCAGTAATTTATTCTGTAAATGTAAAAATGTCACTAAATTGGAAGCATAATGTATGTTTTTGTGCTACTTATATGCCAATATCCTTTAAGCGATCACTTGACTCGAGTCTCCTGCTTTATATTGGTTTTCCATAGATGTGAGCACAGATCTAAAGTTTCCTGCCTCCATCTGTTCAGTGAGTATTATAATTTGATACACAGAAATAAGGTTTAAAAATTTTAACTAGTGGGTCTTTCTAGACTTTAAATGTTTGATCTTTAAATTTAGCTTTTATTCCAACAAACTGCTCTTTCGTGATCATAACATATTTTGGTACCATTGCATATTAGTATAACATATTGCTCCCCTCTAAATTTTTCCCAATCATTTCATTGGTTAATATAATGTAATATTTCTTATACTGTATCTGGAGAATTATCCTTGGGTATCCGTGACTTACTGATTCAGTATAAACAGATATATCACCTTATATTTTGACTGTAACAGTTGGCTTTGAGAACTCAAATAACCTTGGGGTCTATGTTATGACTTACAATGAATCTTTGAAGTTAAGATATATTTTACAGCCTCTCCTAGTCAATACATGGATATGATGATAAGGTCTACCCACAATATCTTGGAAACAAAACAACTGAAATATATTTAACCCTAATCCAGGTCCTCTTTCACTGATATCAGGATAGGATAGACTGTATTCTACAAGCTAAAATTTAAAGTTAAATTTTTAGATTGTAAAAATTTAAACAATATTAATACAAAAGGAGTGGTTAATATTATTTCCAGAAAAAAGGGGACATCCTGAAACCAAATTTAATGTGTCCACAATATTGTAAAATGAGAAGTCAATGATGACTAACAGATCCTCTCCATCCTGGTTGGCTTATGGTACATATTTAATTTATTAATATTCACCAGCAGGTTCCAACAATCATTCCTTGCTTTAATCACCTACTGCATTAGTCTGCTTGGCATCAAATTTGCAACAAAGATGAAAGATATATATGTAATTTCTCAGCTTACATTTTGCAATAACAAAATACCATAGACTGGGTAGCTTAAACCATAAAAATTTGTCACAGTTCTGGAGGCTGAAAGACCAAGATCAAGGTGCTGGCAAGATAGGTTTTATTCTGAGGCCTGTTATCTTGGCTTGTAGGTGACTGCCATCTCACTGTGTCCTCACATAATCTCTTTGGGAGTGTGGCATGGAGAGTGAGAACAAGCTTTCTGGTAACTCTTCTCATAAGGGCACTAATCCCATCATGAGGGCCCCACCACCCTTAGGACCTCATGTAGCTTTTTTTTTTTTTTAATTTGATTTAAGTTCTGAGATACGTGTGCAGAAATTATAGGTTTATTACATGGTAAAAGTATGTCATGGTGGTTTGCTGCACCTATCAACCCATCACCTAGGTATTAAGCCCCACATGCATTAGCTCTTTACCCTGATGTTCTCCCTCCCCTTGCTCAGACCTCATGTAATTGTAATGATCTCTCAAAATCTCCATCTGCAAGTCCCATGGCATTGGATATTATTGCCTCAACATATACATTTTGGAAGGACACAAATAGCCAGTTCATTATACCTGCTCAGTCACCTTCTGATTATTATTTAGGTTGAACCCTTGTCCAGATGAGAAGGAATCACAAATACAGGCTTTGATTTGAGACTGTAATGTATTAGGAGTTCAGAACAGTGGAGGACAAGGCAGGAAAAGCCCACAGCCTCAATATACAGAAGTAGGACAGGACATTATGGAGAATTCAAAATAACAAGCCAAGCAGGCCACCCAGTTGAGTCATCAATCTGAGTTGGATGGTCTGAGAAAGTAAGCCCAGGCAGGAGAGAGGTTATAGGGGCAGAACTGTGAAGAGTAAAAGTATCCAGAAGAAGGATGGTACCAGGAACCAGGAAAAATTCTCCAAAGCCTTATGAACAAAGCCACGGTCATTTTTATGGCAATGCAGAAGATGCTATGAGAGGGCCCATCTGACTTAGCCATATATTTGGCTTGCAACTTTGACTTTGCTACATGAAAAGAATGTTTTAGTTAAAATTTGATCTATGTGTCAATTCTATATTTTAAATAAACATATTAAATAAATTGACCTTGCATTTTTTACATGTAGTATCTTTCTTACTTGGATAATGTAAGTTCAGCTCCCTGAATACGAACAATTCTAGGTATACCCTTAGAAGTAGGGTTTTAAATAACAAAGCCAAGGGACAGAGTGTTAGTAGAGATCACACTGCAGGAGGTTCTCCCTGTTGCGACTACTCTTCCAAGATGTCATTTTCCATCAGCCAGGGGTAAAATTACAAAAAAAAAAAAAAAAAAATCCTCCAAATCACAATGACTTTAAGCAAAACAAAGATGCATTTCTTTCTTTCAATCACAGTCTAATTTTGTATCATTGGGAAAGATGACTCTGCTTCACTCTGTTACTCAGGGATCTAGGTTCACTTCCTCTAATGGCTATCTTCTAGAAACTTGGGTTATTTGCTGGATTTTCGGCATCGGATAAAAGAAGAGGAGGGTTATGCAGAAAGTATATGAATGTCAGGTCTTGACATGGAATACATTATTTCCACTCATATTCCATTGGCTAGAACTCAGTTGCATGGTCCCTGCAAGGGTGGTTGGGAAATGCAGTCTAGTGTGTCTAGGAGGCAAAGGCACCAGATAATGGTAAACACATATCTTATGATTGCTATATCTCTTTATCTGCTTATCTCTCTACAGCCTCTTCTCCACCAGTAGGAAAGTTGTAAAAAAGAAGATCTACAACAAAAGATACTCCAAATTATGCTTATGTTTTAATAAATATAATTTCTAAAAAAATTGATGAACAAAAATCTGGACAGTGGTCACAAAGTCAGTTTCAAATGGTTTTGAGCATATCTGTGAACACACCATATGTTCCAAAAACAATTAGTCATTGTTCAATATGAATAGACAGAATTGTAGCCAATAAATTTAAAATAAATTCTTGAATATACTTAGCATTAGAAGATTTGATATTATTTGAAAGCTCTGGTTACAGTTCTTTATGGCTGTTTATTTGTCACGAGAAGCATTAAGTTTTCGCCTAAATCCATATTTCAATAGAGTATTTATGCACTTGGTTCAAGAAAGAACTTGCCAGTGGCCTTCTGAGAGACAGCCTTGGCACTAGCAACTTTGAATAATACATCAGGGAAAAAGCTTTCAAACAAATTCTTTAGGTTAAAAGTAAGCTGTAGCCATAACTAATATGCGATGACTTTTACTTTATATCAGAGGGAAGAAATAGCCTCTTATTTAGTTAATTCTAGAACTACACTCTCTAGGACAATGACAATTAGCCACATGTAAGTATTTAATTAAAATTATATAAAATTAAAAATGTAGGTAGTTACTCTGGCCACATGTCAAGTGCTCAGTAGCCTTAAGTAGCTCGTGGCTATCATATTGAAGACAGAAGACATAGGGCATTTCCATCAACGTTGCTCCTGGGTAGCAGTGATCTAGAAGTTTGCTGACCCATAGCCATGCGAGAGGGAGAAACAGAGACAAAGAACTCTGGATCAGGATGTCTGTTACTTATTCCTTTTTTTCTTTGTGCACAAATATGAATGTGTTCGGTACATTTTAAAAAATCAAGCTTAAACAACTGGGTGTTTGCTTTGATGCCTAAGGAAGGGCAGCTAGCTCATTGGGGACTTTTATTTATTGCTTTTGTGCTAGCAAACAGACTACTAAAACAATTGAAAAGAAAGCCATTCTGTTTGGTGTGAATGGGCATAATAAATTAAATACAATGCAATTTAACCTATGATACTTAAGTAACAAAATATATCTGTATACATTTTAAAATATGAAAGCCAAATAGGCTACTAAAGTTTCTTTCTCTCTCTCTCCTCTCCTTTCCATACACTCTCCCACATCCTTCTATTTTTTTCTGGTTCCTGGAACATTCTGTTTTTTTTACAAGCTAACAAGTTTGATGTGGCTCTGTGTCTTATTCCCTTCCAGGCTTGCAGCTGTTTTGGCAACAGAAGAAAAAATCCCCATAACAAATCAAATAAAAGCCCTTTATGTGAAGAGGAATTGAAAACAGCAGGCCTCAAAGAGGACTGCACATGAGATGCCTTGTTCTGGCTTTCAACACAACTCAAATCAGAAACACATTACCATAATCTGAAACAGCCCACTGCTAACACAAGACAGATGGTGGGTAATAACCCATGCATCATTAATAAATAAATTCCAGCATTAAAGGCTTTACAAAGTATGACAACATTATCTGGGCACAATTACTGCCCCTCTCCCACCCCCAACATCATTTCAGTGTGTTATGGGATATGCTAGGTTTATTTTTTTTTTTTTTTCCCCTCCAACTCCATGGATCTGAAGGAAGTTTAAATACGACACAAGTTTTAACCAGATGAAACCTATCTCAGTGTACAAGACAGGTCTGAAACTCCATAAGGGAAAAATAAAATAGCTGCCAAAGTTTAATAGCTCACATGTTCTGGTGTTGGATCAGCCCACAGCAATTTATTGCACTGCCCTCCATGCGCTGGCCTCACCCTTTCTGGTACGCCTCTGTGCCTGTATTGCAGTATACACTCCAAGCAAGAATCTTGGCATCACATTTGCCACAAAGCTGAAAGATATATGAGTAACTTCTCAGCTTTCCTTTTGCAAACGATACCATCTGTCTCTTTTCCCCCAGCTCCCCCCACCAAGGGGGGAAGAAAAAACAGCCTCTGATTAAATTGAAAAAAGGAGAGAGAGAGAGCATTTTAACTCCATAAATGTTGGAAATTTAAAAAAATTATTTTGTTTTGTTTTAATTTGTTTGTTCAATGGGATAATGTTATTCCAACAGAATGTGAGGAGTATAAGAATGCAGCAATGTGACACAGAACTGTGCAGACCTCTTTGGGTGATGTTGTCTGGAATTCCCCAGGGTAGCAGCGTTCCTGCAAAGCCTAAGTGCCTACTTCCTATGCGTGCCATCCTAAGCCAAAAGTCAAGCATGGTCCTGGCCATCAGTTCTGGAAAAATACAGGCCTTAGGAGAGCAAATATTATATTAGATTCATCCTATATAAATTACATATTCCTCCTCAAAAGTGGGTAATATAAGCATTTTTGTCAAACAGACCAGCATCATGTTTTTAATGAAAGAGATAAACTATTTTACATTAACTCACTTGACAGGTGAAGAGCTAGGAACAGAGAAAATAATACATGCTAACCAGGCTAATCCAAGATTACTAGAAGGCCAAGGGAAAGTATCTCCGTGGCATCATCCATTGACCCAAGTGGTCAGTCATGTGGATGTGATTTATAGTCCGTGAGTACAGAGTTGCTTCTCCTGATCCAGGCCCTGTGGGGGTGGGGGAAAAGAAAGAAATCCCTCTCTGGAACAGCTGTCCCTTTTCTTTCAGCACACAGAGAATTTTCCTTCCACTTAGACTCATGTGAAGGCTGATCAGCAAGACTTTTCTAATTAGCATCTAAACCCTTTGCCTCTATGTCCTCTTCTTTCCCAAACTTAAATCAATATTTTTTATGTGTACATATGTATCTACTTTCTCTTAATTCACTGTGTGTTTATCTTATTTCCTCCATTAAACTGTGAGATTCCTGAGGGTAAATACTATGTCTAATCTATGCCCTAAATTCCCCTTAGCACCCAGTACAGAACACCACACTCAGGCTAAATGAAATGACAACTCAGAGACAGACGCCAAGGCCCCTGGCAGCGCAGACTCGGATGGAGTCTATGAGTTCCAGGTGAGTCTGTTCCAAGGCAGTTTTTCTTTGAGCTCTCTCCAACTTTCTCTGGGAACAGCTGCTGAGGGACGGTCAGAAGAAGGTGAGTTAAGCTTTAATTGGTTCCTGAGGTACGCAATTTCCTCTATGATCTTAACGTGATGAAGGGAAATTTAAATGGACTCGCATATTGAATCGATAGACAGAGAATAGAGCAAAAAATCATACTGATCAAGGAACTTTCTACAAACAGCACATTCTGTAAAAGTAAGGATTATTTTCAAAATGTCTTGGTGTATTTCCAACTCTATAATTTCTGGATTCACATTTGATAGTCTCCATCTTCTATCTTGTGGTAATTCCCAAGCAGGACAATTTACTAAGCTATTATTTTTTCATCATCATCATCCAGGTCAAATAAGTGACCAATACACTTCTTATTTTGCCCATTTTGAAGCACAGGCTATGGTTTTAAGTTGGTTAACTATATTTAACCTCTGTTCTCTGAAGTTTTAAGGCCAAAAATCAAATTCCATGACTACAAACATTAAAACTGTGAAAAACAGTATGTAATTGCACATTCATGCTGTAGTTTAGATTGTTATTTTTACTTTTACATGTAGCAAAGAGCAAAATATAGCATGAAACATATGAAGGACGAGTTACTTTTTTTTGATAGTCAAGAAAGTCTTTGTCTAGGAAATTAAGAGGTGATGTGTTCATTAACGAATGAATATTTTTGTGTGTCAGGACTTGCACCAGGGATTTAGGTTAATGTGATGAGCAGACCTTAAAGTAATGGAGCAGAAGAAATAAATCAGAACAGTGGGCTGGCTGAACAAAGGGGGTATTTCCACGTAGACGACTATGATGAGGAAGCAAAGGGTAGATAGACATTCTTGTGAGACCAGGTAGAGGGTAGATAGACATTCTTGTGAGACAGGTAGAGGGCCCAGGAACACAGAACAGTTTTCTACAGACCTGTACTAGTTGAATGGAGGGAATACACACTTAGCACACTGTATCCCTAGACATGGACAGAGTTGGGGTTTGCCACCTCTTTGAGGTATTTCCAGCCCAGTATTAGTAGCTATTCCTCTTCATTTTTCTGTATGTCTGCCGTTAGAGCATATGGTTCAGTTTAACAAATACTTGTGAAGTTTCTAGTGCCTCATTTTCCTTATCTGCAAAATAGGGGGAAATTCTAAATCTCACAGATCATTGAAAGATTAAATCACACATGTAAGGGTCTTAAAATGATGCAAACATTTATGGAAAATGATATGTTTTAGCTTTTATTCTTACAAAAATTGAATCCCTGGGCTAGGCACTCTAAATACAAAATAATTCCTTTTCCTTGCCATCTGGAAGCTTACCATGTGGGGGTAAGATCAATGTAGGAAAATGATTTTTATGTAATAAGGTAAGTGATACTTGCATTCACTCATGCAGAGGTATTTATTGAGCACCTACTCTGTGCCAGGCACTCACTGTATTAGGCCCTGAGTATGCCCTCATAAAAAAAAGAAGACAGGATCTCTGCCCTCATTGACTTTACACTTTAGTAGGACATAGGGAAAGACAGAGATTTTAAAAATTCACAGAAGTAAAGCTAAGTTATAATTGTATATGACTACCACACACAAAAAAAGATGCTTCCAGAAGATTGTTCAGTTGTTTCTAAGTGTGCAAGGCAGTCAAGTGAGATAAGGACTTATAAATGTTCCTTGAATGGGTGCTGTTCATAATTACAGTTTCTTTTGAGAGCTAATTCCAAAGACTGTTGATTGAAGCCAGATTGAAGTGGGCTGAAGAAGAAGGGGAGATAAAGAAGTGAATACATTGATTCTACTTACGGTACACTTTTGAGAGCTAAAATAAAGATATGCCCAGGAAACTCAGTGTAAGTTCAGCATCCATTTCCTGGAGGAGCTAACATCTTGCCCTGAATCTTAAAGAATGAGTTATGCATGTAAAGAAAAATGAGAAGGATATTATAAACAGAAGGATAGCATCCCTGCCCGTCTCTAGAGATATACATTGCTAAAGTCAAAGATGTGTGAAATGGCAATATATATGTAGTCTGATCTATAAAATTTCCAGATTTGATCATTTTCCAAAGGTCTGGGCTATGCTCTTGGCTTAACATATCTTAAATATAATCCTAGTTTACTTTGTCTAGGTGATAACAATGTTCTGGCTGGTTATCTCAGTCATCTTTTGCCATAATAATGATGCCTAAATAATAACCACATACCCATGACATAGAACAATAAACATTTATTTTTGTTGTAAAGTCTATGGATCATCTACATCATCCAGGGCTTGGCTTTGCTGATTTCAGCTGGGCTTGCTCGTTTATCACTGGTCTACTCTGGGCCAGCTATGGACTGGCTGGCATAATATATAAGGCTTTACTTGGAATGACTCAGCTCTTTTCATAGTTCCTCATACTCCACCAGGCTAGCATGGGTTTGTTTTCGTGAGGGTGGCAGAGTTCTAATAGAATGAATGGGGACGTAAAAGGCCTATTGAGGGCAAGCTGAAACTGACACGCCGTGTCTTCTTCTTCTTCCTATTGGCCAATGTATGACACATGGCTAGCCCAAATGATTAAATTCTCTACTCCTCCTGTATCTAGGAGGAGTATCTAGTACTCCTGTCTAGTATCTAGTATCTAGTACTCCTATGCAGTATCTAGTATCTAGTACTCCTCCTATATATAGGAGGAGTATTTAACCATTTTTGCAATCAGTTTTTCTCATAGGTAATTAATGCTTTTGGAGCATAGTGATTCCTTTGCAGATCTCTCTTCAAAAGAAAGCTGAAACCACAAATACTTCATATTGAGATATCTTATTTGTCAGAATATATCTGTCAGGGTGCATTTGGCATCTTGCTAGTTAGTTTTTGGAGATTAGCCATTCTACCACCACATCTTGCCAATCTTTAGAGTGGCATATGTTAAATAATGAATGTTCTTGCCCCTTGCCAGCTAGTTACTCATATGCTCACCTATTTATCTAGTTTTCCCACCCACCCTGGAAAGGTGGGTTGCTATTGTTATGGTTCCTATTGAGTTTGGCTACCAATCATGTGGGCATGGTAAAGTTTCTGGAACAATCTAAATCTAGGTCCCATCCATCCTGTCTCATGAGATTTCCATTTTCTAAGTCAATAGAATAAACAGATCTACTGGGTCAAGCTTATGTGTTCTTTTTCCCAAATCTACTTTACAGATATTATTCATAATTTGTGCCATAACTTTCTCTAAAGCCTGACCCCTCTTCTCAGGATTTAGATTTGAGGAATAGAAAGTATGTTGGTAGGAAAGGAAGGGAATGAAATCACAATTTGTTCTCAAACTCAAAGTCTTTGCTATAAACCAACTTATACCAAGCAGGCCTATGTAAGTGGTTTTGAGTTCTAATACAGATATTAATAAAGTGGTGCTTTAATTCTTATTCTGTTACTGCTTTTGCCCATGATTCTCTAAAGGGCCTTGTAAAGGCACCAGAACCTTACCATAATTTCTAAGTCTCCGTAACAGTCTTTTTGAGCTTGAGCTTCTCAGAAGCGATGTAAATAGGGTTGTCAACTGAAGGCAGCAGGAAATGCTGGGGAGAGAAACAAAACAGAAGATAGTGCTCATATTAGAAAACTTTCCCATCCATGTGATAACTTGATTTCTGTGTGCTGGCCAGAATTTTTCATCATTTCATTGTGCACGGTTTCATGCTTTCTTCCATTTCCTTTGAAGATTCCTGAGTTCGAAAACATGAGAACAAAAATGAAGAAAAATCTGTTTCTGTGAACTTCCCCTATTCCAGCCAAAAACTCTTGGGCTTGCATAGCTCCTATTTGATGATGGCTCCAGGGACTGACAGATGGCACTGCTCTCCGTTGCCTGATATCTCTGTGATGTGGCTTGGGAAGTCAGAATGTTCTAGGCAAAACTCTACAAATTCCCAGTATCAGTAGCTTCAGAATAAAGGCAACATGGGCCTCTTGTAGTCATTGGATGAGTTATTTCTCTAGCTAAACTTTATGTGTGATTTTTATTCATTGTAGGAAAATAGAAAAAAAAAAACAAAACATTTTAAGATTTTAAACTACTAAATAGGATGATGTTCAACTATTATGAAAATAAAATTTTTAAAATAAATCTATTTTGAAAACAAAATTTTAAAAATA
Organism: Homo sapiens; assembly: GCF_000001405.40. Classification (NCBI taxonomy): domain Eukaryota; kingdom Metazoa; phylum Chordata; class Mammalia; order Primates; family Hominidae; genus Homo; species Homo sapiens. The sequence continues at coordinate 80,792,631 of NC_000009.12, read as the reverse complement.
AATCTATTTTAAAAATAGGTTAACATCCTATTTGTAGCAGCAGGAGGAAATTGTTGATATCATCTGTTGGTTTGCCTCCACGTTTTTAAGCTAACTTGCTCTCATGTAAAAATGGCAAGATAGAGAATCATCCCCAAAACCAGCTAACTTTGTACAAATATATTGATTCTAGACACTTTGGGGTCAAAGTAAATGAAGTTTAAGTAAGAGGCAGGGTGGTGGAGGAAGAAAAGACATACTTTAGCAAACCACATTGTGGAATTTGGTGTAAAGATGTATTGTTTTATTTAGTTAAGCACAGTCCAGACAAGTGAGACTGATAAAGGAAAAAAAATTCTGGACAAAAAAATAGAATTCAATTCAACACTCATTTTTTGGAGAAATGAGCTTTTGTCTTCCTTGAGGAATGAATGGATGGTTAGTGAAGTTCAAGGAAACCCAACAATTGTACCTGATTCATATTCTAAGTCTTTTCTTGATGAATTTAGCAGGAACTGGATAAAAGTTGATTATAATTTAAATTCCCACTGCTATTTTGGAAACTAATCAGAGGAAAGAAGGCCAAAATATTCTTTCAAGACTTGTAAAGAAAAAAAAAACGAGAGAGACTTGGCTAAACTGAGTCCTCCAGGCAGATGTTTCTATTGGCAACCAGTGAGGCAAAGGAAAAAATGTTTATTGAAGAAAATATTCATAGGTGGAAGCTTTGAGCTCTGAAGAACTCACTACGGTCTAATCACACCAGATGTAGGGTTTCTGGAAAAAATAACTGCCTTTATTCTTCTTTAATCAATTTCATTTTATTAATTTATTCATATATTTAATACATATTCTCCCCATATTTTTAGTCACATCACACAAAGATTTACATTTGGGAATTTTCCCTCTCTATAGCAATATTCCTGTGCTCCAGCTCCAGCACTCTGAAATATGATCTGTTGCTCAGTTTGTACTGGAACTTAGTATTTACTGTGATTGGATAGGTACCTGGCTTACCATCACTCACCTTATCACTGAATAAATTAATCTTAAGAGAGGGGCACAATATGACTTCTTTTAAGTTCACAGAGTCAGTAAAAGTTCAAACTGAAGGAAGCCCTGGATGTTATGTTGCTGTAGTAAAGCTCAGACAAGATGCCTTGTCACCAACACTGTGCAACAGTTGTCTCTTTGATTTAAAACACAACCACCAATGCATTTTCACAAATATAAGGTAAACTTAGCTGGTCTACAGATTTCAGAACCCAAGCCCTTTTATCATTTGTGTTAAACAAATACTTCCTCAGCATTACAGATAATTATTATCTTCTTCTTAACTACCTCGTATAGACAGGCTTTTTAAAGTTATTTTCTTGTTTGAATTCTGCCATTCAAAAGCACTTAATATAAGCTGACAACCAAGTCTCTGATGCTCTATATAATAAAATATCTGCAAGAAAACTTAAAATTGCAATTTTAAAGCATAAATGTTATCAAGAGTTTCAGAGTAATTTTTGAAGCTTTATTTCTAGCCATCTATTATTGCTGTTTTACTTGCTGACTTGAGATGAATCTGAGTTTTGTGGTCTAAATTGAGAACTGGGAAATGACAGGTAAAGTAACAAATATTTCAAACTTTTCATTTTCTTTTTAGAAGGTCCCTGGAGTAATAGCCCTTAGTGACTCTCATGTTCTGGCTCAGTAGTTCTCAAATTGGCAGTTACCAATCAGCTCCAACTTTATGGGTGTTAGATCTGTGCAATCTCATAGGGCTTCACATATATAACAGCCCCACACTTGTTTTAATGTTCCTCTATAGCCTTATTAAAATTCTAAATTTTTATCAAGGGCTCCACATTTTCATTCTGCACTAAGGCCTGCATACTATGCACTTGGTCCTATTGCCGATCTCCCACCATCTTAACCACTAAGAGAATTAGTTACAGGACTATCACAAATCCAGGGAAAGAGACAGAAAGCAAGAGAGAGAGACTCAATTTATAGGCAGCACTGTCCAATCAAAATGAGACACATAAGTAATTTTAAATTTTCTACTAGCCACACTAAAAAGTAAAAAGAAAAAGATGAGATTATTTTAATAATATATTTTGTTTATCAAAATGTATCTGAATATACTTTTAATATATTTATATATTTAAATATTTGAGAAGTATTACATTTTTTCTTAGTTTTTGAGATTCACTGTATTTTACACTTTTAGCACATCTCATTTAATTAAAAATTCAGTTCTTCAATCACAATAGCAACATTTCATGTACTCAATAACCATACCTGTTAGTTAGTGGCTACCATATTAGACAGGACAATAACAAAGTAATTGTGAAAGAAAGTTGGTTCCATGCTAACAGAAATACAGAAGCATGGTGAAAAGTTATTGGCTTTGAAAAGCATTCTACAATTCTTTGCCTTCTGTGTTTCTTTCTCCCTCGCTCATTTTTTTTTTAACGGGACTAAAAAAGGAAGAAGATATTCAGTATAATGATCTTAACAATTCAAGTGTGGTTTACTATCTTGCAGAGGCCAGCAACCACAGTAAATTGGAAGATCCTGGGTATTTCTGGTGCTCAGAGCAAGAATGGTTCATATTTGGCACAAAAGCTGGAATCCCACAGTGAGGAGAGATGGAAAACAAGAATACTGCTCTTGTACAAATAAGTGGACTGGAGCAACGATCCGTGAAATGGTGTCCTGGAAACTCCATCCCAGGCGCCCTCACTGTAATTGTTTTTAAAATGGTGGTGAAGCAAAGAGCATTTTGGAAATCTTTTCCTAACCCCTCACAGGAAAATGTGAAGGCAGCAGTCACCACCTGCAAACAAACAGATCATTGGTGACTGACTGCAGCATCAAACTGTACCTGAGCTTCCCAGAGAAATGGGCTCTTTGTTTCAGGTAATTGGCAGAATTAGAAAAATGGCCTTCATTACAATCTCTCTATATAAATTTTTGATTTATAGGTTTGTGATAAATTAATAGCTTTGAAGTTTTACAAGGGTTGCCATGTATCTCATATCAAACCAAACAGCCCAGGACCAAGACTTTGATCAAGTATTGAATTTGCTTTTATCAATGGGTGTCCAGGGTTGCTTGGGGTCCCAAGAATCTCTGGCATTTAAAGATGCCTGCTGCCCCTGCTGGAATATTTGGAAATGCTATTAAGAATTGGTGCCCTGAAGGCAAGTAGATTACCCAGATTTCCTCTTTCAAAGAGATACTGTGAGACTTGGAAAACAGTATTTATTTTTTACTTCAATTTAATATGAATAATTGAGTCCTAGTATATAAATAATAGAGTCCTCAGCTAGAAAAAAACCTTAGTTGCTATTCAGGTTGTGGCAGTCTCCAATCGTATAGGAATGCTCTTTGCAAACTTCTGTAACTAACACTTCCAGTGATGAAAAGCTAATACTCTTTGTAATGCAGACTGTTTCATTGTGTGTACAATTCTGAATCCCAGATCCTTTTCTCTCCACTCTTCTAATATAGAGCTCAAATCTATTGTGTCCAAATTCCCATCCGTCTTTTTTCTAAGTCAACATTTTAGAGACTTAAAGAACATAAACATCATCTTCCACATGACAACCCTTAAAATACGTGACTCAAACCATTCCTGAAAAGTCCTTTTTTGTCCAAGCTAAATGTCCACATTTTTCTCAGCTATTGCTGTTTTAAGTGTGATTTTCATATCACTCACTGGTCATTTGAGTTTACATAATCTTCAGAATTTCAGAATATCTTTTAAAATATAGAATTAATAACTAAACATAATACCACAGATTATGCTATGACTGAAAATGCTGTGAAGGTATTTTATTGGATTTATCTATTTTTATAATAATGCAGCTTCAGATTTCATATAATCACAGCAATGATGGATCTTCCCTCTTCTGATCTTTATTTATCATCTGATTTTTGTTTTCCTTAGGTACATTTTCCCTTTTTCACTACAAAATAATTTTTAAAATACAGAAAAATATATATATATATTTTTTGAGACGGAGTCTCGCTGTATCGCCCAGGCTGGAGTGTAGTGACGCGATCTCGGCTCACTGCAAGCTCCGCCTCCCGGGTTCATGCCATTCTCCCGCCTCAGCCTCCTGAGTAGCTGGGACTACAGGCGCTTGCCACCATGCCCAGCTGATTTTTCGTATTTTTAGTAGAGATGGCGTTTCACCATATTAGCCAGGATGGTCTCGATCTCCTGACCTCATGATCCACCCACCTCTGCCTCCCAAAGTGCTGGGATTACAGGAAGTCTTAATATCTAAGAGGGAGGAACCCAGCCTGTATTATTCACCTTGAAAATTTTCATCTTACAAATTACTTGACCTTCCCCTTGTTCTTATACATAAATTTCTGGATCAGTTTGTTAAATTTCATCAAAAACAAAAGCAAAACCCTTCAGGGCTCTTGTTTGTAACTGCACTGAATTAATTGATTTTAATGGGGAGAATTAAAATATTGGTTCCTAACTTTTAAATGCCAGACAACATGTTTTCTCCTGAGCATTTTATTTCTCACCCTGACCATGAGACCCAATAAATAAGGTCAAGTCACATCATACCCTAGCAGTCAAAAGCAGAGTTATCATACTGGGAGTGGTAAGAGGTAGGACTGTGGTTACACAATGAAGGCAAGGTAGAAAACAGTTGACAACCGCAGTGTCTCTTATTACTCTCTCACTCAATCATGACAATACATGGACAATAACAGCCACAGCAGTGTGAGAAGAACATGGTAACCAGAGGCTCAGAACCCTCACAGATAAAAGTGTGTTAACCTGACTTGATAAACCAGTAATACCAGTTCAGTTACTAACTGAGGATGTGGGCAATTTCAAATGGGTACTAGAGGAGGAAGATGATGAGCACCTATGATAATCTGAGACCAACTATTGTAGTAGGGACTGCCATTTGTTTTACTACCTTTTCTCTTTTATAATTTCTAGAAAAAGAGACTAACAAGAATCATGGAGAAGCTTTTTCCAATTGGAGTGAACTTATTATATGGAACAAATAGATCTGAGCAGTGCTGGGGTGAACTGTAGTGGATGCTGTGTTTTGTGACACAGATGTCCTTTGTGACTAAGGCACTCATTTCCCCAGGTTCGAGACTGTTGGTTGCTGATTGCTCCCAGCTGAGTCAGTCTCCAAGCAATTTTTTCAGCCAAGGAAATCATCCTATCCCAAAAGTTAAACTCCATTCCCTGATGAAAGCTGTCATATAATAATTAGTTGTTGGGGACAGGGAGAGTTAAAAAAAGCCCCACATTGTTGCCACAATTGAGAAATCTCTGAATAGCCATCCCAACCACTGTTGCCGCTGAGAGTTGTGAGACCTCTGTTAGAACTGCATGATTACAGTTCAGTTTCTCCTGTGTTTAATCCTGCTTTCTTCACTCTTCATTGGTGTTGCTCATCAGAGAACTCCCCAAAAAACTAGCTGCATGAAAACTCAGAGCCTCAGACTTTTGTTCCTTTGGGATATCTGACTTCCAAAAATTACTAAAATTTCCATTAATTATACCTGCACATAATTTCAGTAACCAAGGATTATAATTCAAGTTGACTGTGGGTATTTGAAAACATAAATCATATATTATCTTGCCATCTCACTGGAGATATTAAGATTGAATTCCATACTAAATATATTTTAGAAATATTTTCTCATTCTAATTCTGTTTCTATGAATAAAAGATTTTCTCTTTTCCCCTGACATTCTGGAATTTATCAGTGATACCCATTTAATTTTTTTCAATTAATTTTACTGAGTAGTCAGTTGCTTTAAAAATGAAAACATATATTTTTCCATTTGAAAAAAAATGTACCTATGTCTTTGATAACCGCCTTTTCCCTGTTTCCTTTGTTCTCATTTACTAGGACTCCAGTTAAGTGAATGTTGGACCTTCTAGATGAATAATTTAACTTCTTAACGTTTCTAAATTTTATCTCTTTGTTATTTCGTCTACTTATTGAGAGACTTCGTCAACTTTTAACTTCCAAATTTTTGAATTGGAAGATTTTTAATTTCTATGATTTTCTTATTTTACTCTGATGATTCTTCTGTTGATGGTGCTTTGATTTTTTTCTTAAAATTCATTATAATTTATATTGTTAAAAATGTCCTCCTGTTCTTGCGTTGTGAATGCTTACTTTCAGTTATTTATTTCATTATACTTTAAGTTCTGGGATACATGTGCAGATCGTGCAGGTTTGTTACATAGGTATACACATGCCATGGTGGTTTGCTGCACCCATCAACCTGTCATCTACATTAGGTATTTCTCCTAATGCTATCCCTCCCCAAGCCCTCCCACCCCCCAACAGGCCCCAGTGTGTGATGTTCCCCACCCTATGTCCAGGTGTTCTCATTGTTCAACTCCCACTTATGAGTGAGAACATGTGGTGTTTGGTTTTCTGTTCTTGTGTTAGTTTCCTGAGAATGATGGTTTCCAGCTTCATCCATGTCCCTGCAAAAGACATGAACTCATCCTTTTTTATGGTGGCATAGTATTCCATGGTGTATAAGTGCCACATTTTCTTTATCCAGTCTATCATTGATGGGCATTTGGGTTGGTTCCAAGTTTTTGCTACTGTGAACAGTGCTGCAATAAACATAGGTGTGCATATGTCTTTATAGTAGAATGATTTATAATCCTTTGGGTATATACCCAGTAATGGGATTGCTGGGTCAAATGGTATTTCTGCTTCTAGATCCCTGAGGAATCGCCACACTGTCTTCCAAAATGGTTGAACTAATTTACACTCCCACCAACAGTGTAAAAGCCTTCCTATTTCTCCACATCCTCTCCAGCATCTGTTGTTTCCTGACTTTTTAATGATTGCCATTCTAACTGGCATGAGATGGTATCTCACTGTGGTTTTGATTTGCATTTCTCTAATGACCAGTGATGATGAGCTTTTTTTCATATGTTTGTTGTCCTCATAAATGTCTTCTTTTTAGAAGTGTCTGTTCATATCCTTTGCCCACTTTTTGATGGGGTTGTTTTTTCCTTGTAAATTTGTTTAAGTTCTTTGTAGATTCTGGTCTCCTTGAGTTTTCTAAATTATAGTTTATAATAGAAGCAAAAATCATAATGTTTAATCTAATTATAAATGGACATACAGAAAATATTTAATATAATTAGATTATAAATGGGAGAGGGTAACAGAACATAAAGGGAGATAAGATCTCTATATTTCACTTGAAATAGTAAAATGTCATATTACTAGATTGTAATTACTTATAGATATATAATGTCATACCTACAGGCAGGAAAAAGAAAATAGAAACAAACAAGAGAGAAAAACAGAAAAAAAATGGCATATTTAAGTGTAATATATCAATAATGAAATTAAATAAAAATGGTCTAAATTTATGAACCGAGAAACAGGAATTGGCAAAGTAGATTAAAATGCATGACCTATAGTGCCAGAAAATAAAAGTGTTTTTTAAAAAGAAACTACTGTGCAAAAACATGTACAGAGATGTTTATGGCAACTTTACTTATAATTGCTCATGGAGGCAACCAAGATGACCTTCAGTAGGTGAATGGATAAAGAAACTGCCAAATTCAGAAAATGGAATATTATTCAGTGCTATAAAGAAATGAACTATCAAACCACAAAGAAACATGGAGGAAACTTAACTGCATATTAATGAAAGAAGCCAATTTGAAAAGGCTACATACTGCATGATTCCAATTATATGACATTCTGTAAAAAGCAAAACTGGAGTCATAGTCCAGGGTCAGAGGAGAGGGATGAATAGGCAGAACACAGATGGTTAGGCAGTGACAAAACACTCTGTATGATAGCATAACAGTGGATATATTTGGCCAATATGAAATGGAATGTGCAAAAGGAGTGAACCCTAATGTAAACTATATAGACTCTGGGTGATAATGATGTGTCAATGTAGGCTCATCAATGATAACAAATGTACTACTCTGGTGGTGGATGTTGATAGTGTAAGAGGCTATTCAAGTATAGAGTCAGGAGGTATGTGAGAATTCTTCATACCTTCTACTCATTTTTGCTATGAACCTAAAACTGCTCACAAAAAAAAAATGTCTACTTTAAACAACCCGCTAAAAATTAAAGGACATTTTTAAAGAATGAATAAGTAAATAAATAAACTGCAGATAATGACAGGAAACTATCAAAGGGATATGAGTACCATCTGAAAGAGCTTCAAATGGCCAAAAACTGGAATATTTTGAACAACAAAAATATAGTAGTGTTGATTCATACCCCAAAGTACAAAATAAATAATCATGAGTCCATACTGATATAACTTAATGATTTAATAAGTAAATTAATGTAAGAGAATAGACAAATCTCCCATCCAAAAAATTCTAAATAATTAAAGTAGATACTTTCTTCTTCAGCAAGCAGAATATAACTTCCCACTTTTTATTTGTGGATTGCAAATAGTGAGTTTCTTCCCAAGGGTACAGTATGAAAATGAGAGAAATACTAAATTTACAATGGGGAACCTTCACAAACACTGTTTCAGTCAGGTAATCAAAGTTAATATCGACAATCACAAATCATGTCAATAGCATGGAGCCTTAGTGTGATCTGGTGAAAATGACACATTACATCTATGGTGGTCCTCCCAAAAACATATTACTCAACCTAATCATGAAGAAAACAGTCACATTCCATTGAGGAACAGTTTATAAAATACATGACCATTACTCCTTAAAATTGTCAAGTTCATCAAAAACAAGGAAAGTCTGAGAAACTCTCACAAGAGGAGCCTAAGGAGACATGACTATTAAATTCAATGCGGTTTCCTGGATGCAATCTTAGAAGAAAAAGAAGACCTTAGCGAAAAATAAAGGAAATCTAAATGATGTATGGACTTTGGTTAATAATACTGTATCAATCATGATTCATTAATTGTGACAAACGTGCAATACCAATATAAGACTTTAATGGCAGGGAAAACCGAGGGTGGGTTATAGATCAACTTCCTTTTCTGTCTTCATGATAAATCTGTAAATTTAAGATAACTCTATAATACAAAAATTTATTAAATTCCTGTTTTAAATGACTTAATTTTAGGCTATCTACAAAAAACTTCAAATATAAAGATAAAGGCAGATTAAAAATAAAAGGATGAAAAAGATAGATCATGCAAACATTAATCAAAAGAAACAAAAAGTGACTATATTACATATTAAAGTATATTACAGAGCAAATACAGAATATTTTGTATTTGCACAGCAAATCCAGAAACAGAGAGATATATTACATAATAATAAAAGGGTAAATCCAACAAGAAGACATGACAATGCTAAACATGCATGCACCAAACTACAGAAATACAAAATATGTTAAACAAAAATTGATAGCACTGAAAGGAGAAATTAAGAACCCAGAATTATACTTGGGAAACTGAATACCATGTTGGCAATACTTGCTAGATCTAGCAGGTAGAAAATTGGAAAGAACAGAGAATAATGCAATATCCTCAACAATAGAATCTAATGGACATATATAGACTACTCTATTCAACAATAGCAGAATATACATTCCTTTAAGTGCCTGCAGAACATATAACAAGATGGATCATATCTTGGACCACAAAATAAACTTCAAAAAAGTTAAACAAATAGAAATCACACAGAGTGTGTTTTCTGACTACAATGGAATTAAATAGAAATTAATAACTAAAAGATAAGTGGACTATTTCAGACACTTGGAAATTAGGCAGCATGCTTCTAAATAATCCATGGATAAAGGAGAATGTATCAGGGAAATAAAAAATATATTTAACTGAATTAAAAAAAGCAACATATCAAAATTTCTGAAACACAGTTTTTCCTTTGGTTGGTAGTGTGGAGGCCACACCATACCTGGAGTCACTGTAAAAGATGTGAACTGGCAGGAGTTCTTCAGACCTCTGGCAGCCTTCCCCAAAAAGTCTGGAAGTTGAAAGTCCCAAGACATGTTCAAGCTGGCCAAGCGTAAAGACCTTGCTCCCTATAATGACAGTTGATTCTACACATAGCAATAGGTGTAGACATAGCTTCCATAGCACAATATCTGTACCTCCCAGGTGGAGCTGGGGTCGGCTCCATGACCAAAATCTATGGGGGATCTTGAGAAATGGCCTCAGGCCCAGACACTTCAACCAAGGATCCAAGAGTATGGCATGCTGGGTCCTTGTCCTGGAAGTGCTGAAAATAGTGGAAGAGGACCAAGACAAGGGCTACAAACTAATAACTTCAGTGCAAAGAAATCTGGACAGAATTGCAGGATAGGTGGTGACTGCCAACAGGAAGCATTAGAATAAAAGATGCTGAGTTAATAATTGCCTCATTTAAAAAAATCTAAAACACATCTTATGCAGCATTGAGAGGAAAATCTGTAACTTTACTTATATTAGAAAACAGAAACATTTTTCAGATTAATAATATAAGCTTCCTATTTCTCCACATCCTCTCCAGCACCTGTTGTAAACTAGTTCAACCATTGTGGAAGTCAGTGTGGCGATTCCTCAGGGATCTAGAACTAGAAATACCATTTGACCCAGCAATCCCATTACTGGGTATATACCCAAAGGATTATAAATCATGCTGCTATAAAGACACATGTACACGTATGTTTATTACGGCACTATTCACAATAGCAAAGACTTGGAACCAAGCTAAATGTCCAACAATGGTAGACTGGATTAAGAAAATGTGGCACATATACACCATGGAATACTATGCAGCCATAAAAAATGATGGGTTCATGTCCTTTGTAGGGACATGGGTGTAGCTGGAAACCATCATTCTCAGCAAACTATCACAAGGACAAAAAACCAAACACCGCATGTTCTCACTCATAGGTGGGAATTGAACATTGAGAACACATGGACACAAGAAGGGGAACATCACACACTGGGGCCTGTTGTGGGGTGGGGGGAGGGGGGAGGGATAGCATTAGGAGATATACCTAATGTTAAATGATGAGTTAGTGGGTGCAGCACACCAACATGGCACATGTATACATATGTAACAAACCTGCACATTGTGCGCATGGACCCTAAAACTTAAAGTATAATAATAATAATAATAAATAATAATAACATAAGCTTCCTTAAGTTCTTCTTTCAAAACTTGTAAAAGGGAGAGCAAAATAAATGCAAAATAAACAGAAGGAACAAATAGTAAAGGTAAGAGCAGAATGCAGTGAAATTGACACACCAAAACAACAGAGAAATTTGATGAAAACCAAGTTGGTTCATTGACAAAATAAATAGAATTATCAATCTTTTAGCAAGCCTGACAAAGAAAAAGTAGAGAAGATACAAATTACCAATATCAGGAATGAAACAAGATATCATTACAAATCCTGCAAACAACAAACAGCTAAGGGAGTGCTACCAACAAATCTATACATCCAAATTTGATAACTTAGATGAAAGGGACCGATATCTTGAAAACTACGAACTTACACAACTAATACTATATGAAATTGATAATTTTGAATAGCTCTATAACCATTAAGCAAATTAAATTCATAATTATAAAACTCCCCAAAAATTAAATCTCCAGGACCACATGGTTCCAATGGAGAATTCTACCAAATGTTTAAATAATAATTTACACTGATTCTAAACAATTTCTTTTATAAAATAGAAGAGAAGAGGAAGTTTTGCAAACACAGTACAAGAAAATAAAACTACAGATGAATATTCCTCATAAATATAGTTGCAAAATCCTTAACAGAATATTAGCAAATATAATTAAGCAATATAAAAAAGAAATTATACATGATGACCAAATGGAGTTTATTCCAGGGTCGCAAGGATGATTTAATATCCAGAATCAGTCAACGTAATCTACCATACTAACAGTTTAAGAAAAAAAAAGTGGTGCAGAAAATCATTTGACAAAATTGTATGCACATTAAAGATAAAAATGCTCTTAAAAATAGGAATAAAGGGAAATTAACCTGATAAAGAACATCTACAGAAAAACAAAAAACCCTACAGCTAACATTGTACTGAATGATGAGACACTAAATGCATTTTTCTATTGTTGGAAACAAGGCAAAAATATCAACACCGACCACTCTTACACAATATATTACTAGCATCAAAAATGCTATCCAATGCAGTTAAGACAATGCAGCTAATACAAGGCTTATTAATTATATAGGAAGAAATAAAAGTGCCCTTGTGTATAGATAGCATGGTTGTCTGCATAGATAATCCCAATAAATTTGCAAAAAACATTTAGAACTATTAAATGAGTTTAGAAATGCCACAGAATACAAAGTAAACATACAAAAATCAATTTTATTTCTGTATACTGGAAAATGAATTTAATAACACTATAAGTAAAAATACAAAACCATTTGCAATTGAGGAAATAAACTCAAAAGATATTTTAAATCTAAAAAGTATGTAGGACTAATGCTGAAAATTATGAAGTACTGGTAAAAAATCAAAGAAGATGTAAATAAATAGAGATACATACTATCTTCATGGATTAGAACATAGATGTCAAATCTTTCCAAATCAATACACAAGATTAATGCGATTCTTATGAAATCTCAACAAGCTTTTGCATATATAGGGTTATTCTAGAATGTATACAGAAAGGCAAAGTAATTAGAATATCAAAAACAATTTTGAAAAAGAAGAAAAATGTGGGAGGAATTAGCCTACTCTCTTTTAAAACTTATTACAAAGCTACAGTAATCAAGACTATGTAGTACTGGTGAAGGCATAGGCATGTAGATCAGTAGAACAAAATAGACAACCCATAAATAGGTCCACACACACATGTCCAACTGATTTTTTGATAAATGTCTAAAAGCAATATAAAGAAAAAACAATAGCCTTTCTGCAAATGATGCTGGAGCAATTAGACATTCATAGAGCCAAAAAATTAAATAGAAAATAAACTTAAACCTCACTTTATTTAAAAGTTAACTCAAAATGGATTATGGATTATATGCAAAAGATAAACTAAAACTTTTAGAAAAAAATAGGATAAATCTTTTGGATCACAGTTCTTAGAGCTCACATGAAAAGCATGATTGATAAAAAGAAAAAAATAATAAATTTGACTTTGTGTTAGTCCGTTTTCATGCTGCTGGTAAAGACATTTGTGAGACTGGGTAATTTACAAAGGAAAGATACTTAATAGGACTTATAGTTCCACGTGGCTGGGGAAGCCTCACAATCATGGCGGAAGACAAGGAGCAAGTCTCATCTTATGTGGATGGCGGCAGGCAAAGAGAGGAGCCCTTGTGGATGGAAACTCCCCTTTTTATAACCATTAGACCTCATCAGATTCATTGACTATCATGAGAACAGGACAGGAAAGACTTGCCCCCTTGATTCAATTACCTCCTACCGGGTCCCTCTCATAACACGTGGGAATTCAAGATGAGATTTGGGTGGGGACACACCAAACTCATATCAGACTTTAAAATTTATAAATTTGTTATGCGAAAAAAAGACAAACACTGACTGGAAGAAAATATTCGCATATGGTGTATCTGAAAAAAGTCTTAGATCAAAATATATAAAGAAGTCTCAAAACTCAACGGTAAAAAAAACAAACAAAAAAACAAAATAATCCTTTTAGAATACAGGCAAAAGACATGAACAGATATTTCACTGTAGAAGGTATAGTGAATAAGTACATAAGCACATGAAAAGATTTTCAACTTCATTACTTATTAGATAATTGTAAATTGAAGCCACAATGAGATATAACTGCACACCTATTAGAATGTCTAAAAAATTGTTTAAAAACAAAGTGATGAAAGAAAATGTTGGGTGAGAATGGAGAGAAACTAGGTCATTCATTTATTTTTGATTGGAATGTAAATGGTAAAGCCTCTCTGAAGAACACTTTGGCAATTTTTTAAAAACAAACTAACATGTAACTAACATGTCACTCAGCAATTTCACTCCTAGAAATATTTATTTCAGAGAAACGAAGACTTATCTTCATATAATAACTTGTATGTGAATATTTATATAAGCTTTTTTTTAGTAATAGCCAAAAACTTAAAATAACGCAGATGTCTTTCAATTGATAAATGGTTAAATAACCTGTGTTTATCCATACCATGTTATACTAATCCGTAATAAAATGAAATACTTAAGTATAAAATGAAATACTTTAGTGAAATTCTTTAGCATTTCATTTTATACTTAAATATTTCATTTTGTCACATAAGTATTTCATATTATATAAGTATTTATTTCATTTTATTATCTAAGTATTTCATTTTATTACATAAATATTTCATAAGTATTTCATTATATTTAGTATAAATACTAAAGTACTTCATAACTGATTAGTATAACACAGTATGGATAAACACAGTTTATTTAAGTTTAATTTTAAAAAATATAAAAATATACATTTATGATGATTTTACTTGTATTTCATGGCAAAGAGTAATGGATACATGTCATCAAACCACTATCCAAATAGTGCCCCTGCTTTTTATTTCTCCAAACACAGTTTAAGGCCATATGTTTCAATGTAGTTGCTCATAAAACTCAGTTTATTTTTTCACTGTCTCACAAATATATATAGAGTGCTGCTCCATATCAAGCACAGTATTATGATAGAAACAGTAGTGAGCAAAAATGACATAGTCTCATCTCTAATAGGGCTTTCAGAAGTGAATGAGCTAATAAAGAAATAATCAAATTTTTATGACATGTAATATAAAAGAAGAATGTCTTAGAGAACATGAATAGGATAGAATAGTCAGAAATGGCCTTTTTACATATTATTTAAACTGAGATCCAAAGAATGTAAAGAAATCAACTGTCCAAATGTATTTGCTTTCAACATATTTCATGAATCTGTCTACTATTTTTTGTCTCCTCAACACAACCTAGTTTAAAACACTGTCTAACTGCACTCACATGGATCATTACAATGGCCTTTTTCTTGAGCTCCCCAGATCATTTCTGTTTCCATTATATCCTAGGATCCATATGATTAAAAGGAAAATCAGATAATCTAATTTTTCTGCTTAAAACTCTTCCATGACTTCTAGGATAAAGGTTAAATCTTCCACTAGCCCTTTACATTTGCCTGATCTCACCTTGCCTTTCACCATGGCCTGAGGTTGGGCCACTATCCATCTCACTCTCTCCTTTCAGGCAATCTGGCATTAGGGGCTTAAAAATAGTACTATGTGGTCTGCAGCCTTAGTGCTGCACCGAGCTCTGGCCTCTGCCCCATGTGCTAGTATGTTTGCCTTGCTAGATCTCAGCTCAAAAGTCTCTCCTGAACCTCATCCTACAACAGATGCTCCATGTAACAAACCCATGACATCCTTTATCTTTTCTTTACAGTATGCACAAAATGTGGCTATTTTAATAAGTATCTTTTCTGCTCCACTAGGTTGAAGACAGAAAGGATCTCTCTTTCTCAACGTTATATTTCCAAGCAGAGTATACTGGTTGGCATATGCAAATGTTTAATAAATTTGCTAATTGAACGAGTAGGTAAATGAACTATTAATTTTTTGTTAAATTTACTAAGATTCTTCAAAACATTATGATTGAATTAAATAGAGATGTGATTGTTAAAAAAGGTTGACCCTGGAAATATTCATAAAATGATTTTGTGCTTCATTATGGCCTTAAAATGCCTCAGTATTTACTTCTTTTTTTTTTTCTTTTTTTGTATTTTAGTAGAGATGGGGTTTCACCGTGTTAGCCAGGATAGTCTCGATCTCCTGACCTCATGATCCACTCGCCTTGGCCTCCTGAAATGCTGGGATTACAGGCGTGAGCCACCGCGCCCAGCCTTTACTTCTATTTTAAGTGTGTAGTTTTTCTTTTCATGATTTTTATATTGGCATATAAATACTAGAAAAACATTTCCTGAAAACAAAAATATTGACAATTAAATACAAGATTAGGTCTCATTATCAACTCAGAATTTCAGCTAATGTGAATATGAACAAAGTTTTCCTGTGTGTTTTTAAAGGAAAAAATGATATCTGCGTCTGTGTAGTAGAATGGTTAACAGAACAGGCTTTTGATTTGACAGTCTAGATATGAAATACTGGAAATATTAATTATTTATTTGATCACTTTATTTTTTCACATATAAAATGCAAATATTGCTCAGAAAATAATCGTAAGAATCTGTAAAATAACATTGATGATTATAACTGGAACATAATGCTTCTTGTATTAAACTTATTGTAAGTTTATTATTGAGCTTACTGTAAATAAGCCATAAGTAGTAGATATTATTATCAAGTTAATGAAGAATGCAAACACTATTGCAAGAGAAAGTTTTAAGAAAATGAAATGTGTTCAAATAATACATTTGCTGATTTTAATTTACTAAAATTAACATATTACAAGCTCATTCATATTTCAAAAGTCCTCAATTTGACTGTTATATTATTATGAGGGGTTGGCAAACAACAGCCCACAGGCCAAATCTGGCCCACCATCTGGTTTTATATGGCCTGCCAACTAAAAATAGGTTTTACCTTTTTAAATGGTTGAAAAGATCAAAAAAAGAATATTTTGTAACATGTGAAAATTATACAAAATTCAAATGTCAGTGTACATAAATGAAGTTTTATTGGAATACAGTCATGCTTATTCATTTACATATAATCTATGGCTGTTTTTGCACTACAGCTGCAGAATTGAGTAGTTATAACAAAGACTGTATGTCCTAAAATATTTGGTATCTGACTCTTTACAGAAAAATTTTGCCAACACTTGTTATTATTAGGGCTTCGTAACATGTCTATCACAGATTTTGATCCTTACTGGAATCTCTCTTTCCTTAATCCTGCATTTTTGTGTGTTGACCTGTTCTGACATTAGAACATATCCTTGCTCTACTAATTTTAGACAAATAAAGTTGCCTAAATCCTTTGCTGTTTTTCATTAGTCACCTAAGTGATCTCCTGGTTCCTAGGCCTCCTCTACCACACAACTAACCCCAGTCTGCCTGGGTGTCTGGTCTTAAGTCTTAGATAAGGTAATCTGAGAGCGCTTCTCATGGATTGCCCAACCACTTCACTTAAGTGTGTAAGTGAAAATTGCACTATAAATCAAATTATTACAGAGCAAATCATAGCCTCCCTGAGGAAACTGCTATAATATAAATGAGCTTTGTTTTTCTGAACAAGAATCTAGCATGGAGGGAAGTAATGATCCAGTACAAAAACATAGTAAATTTGTGTGAACGGTTAAAAGTATCAAAAACATATGTCACATTATAAGCTTTCAGAACTGGAAATATCTTTGGAAATGATTCAATTATGATTTTTAGATGACAAAACTGAGGGCCATATGCCTTCTTTCCCAAGGTCAGATAGTTAGTGGGTATCATAGACTGCACCAAATCTCACATCTTCTATTCCCAGCCCAGGCCACTAGCTTCTTTAACAACATGGTAATGAGTGTATTCTCTTATTATAGAAAAATTATGTATTATGTAAGGAGCATAGAAGATACGAAATGCTATTATATTTTATTGGAAGTTTAATGGGTCCAAAATTAATCTTAACTTAAAAGTCATTAATTAAAATTAATTTATTTTTCTTTGCCTACCTTCGAGAAATGTCGAATTCTGTTCTAAGCTGTGTTTGTGAAGGTGGGATTGGAGAGGGTTAGCCAGGAGTGGGGAAATTGATTTAAATAGCTGAATAGAATCAGATTTATTCCACCAAAATTTTAATTTATGCCATTTTATAGGATTTTTTTCTAAGTTTCCCTGTCTGAGGCAGAGACTTTCACAGATATATTACCAAATTCTCTTTCAAAAATAAAACATAAATGACCAAAGACTTTTGCAATTTAGTTTTATGAATGAGTAGTCTCTACAATCAATTCTTCTTGTTTGCATTTTATCTATTCTCTGATAACAGCCAGAAATATCAAGAGAGTGTAATTTAATTTTGCATTTTTAAGTACAAAAGAAACACAAAGGGAAATGTCATGAATGTATATGGAAGAGGAAAAGATTGTGGACATAGTCATATTTTTGCTTATATTTGTTGTTGTAAGAATTATTTATGGTTAACTGTATATAATAACACAGTTATACATATTTTAAAATAGTCCAGCATTAAAACCATCACTCCTTCCTCTTCTATTTTTTTTTTTTAGAGACAGTGTCTCACTCTGTCACCCAGGCAGTGGTGTGATCATAGCTCACTGTGGCCTCAAATACCTGGGCTCAAATGATTCTTCTGCCTTGGCCTCCCAAGTAGTGGGAACTGCAGGCATGCACTATCATACCTGGACATATTTTTAAAAATTTTTTGTAGACACTGGGTCTTATCCAGGCTGGTCTTTAACTCCTGCCCTCAGTCAATTCTCCTACCTTGACCTCCCAAAGTGCTGGGATTACAGGTGTGAGACACATGCCTGGCCTCCCTCTTTTTTAACCTTGGCAAGTTCCCAGAGTAACCAAGGAATGACCATGGGAAAAGTGATGATTATTGGAAACAGTAATTAGACAAATGTAAAATGAGGAAAATGTAGGAAGAGTGAGGTGCAGTGTGTTGGCTACCTGTAGCAGAGAGTAAGTTTTCTTGGTAATGAATTATTATTTTCAAAGTATTAATTTTTCACCAAGATGAACATTTAATTTCATAGCTGATTTAAGTTCTGGGGCCTTCCATTCATCTGAGTGATGACACAGGTGTGACCTGGCACGTCTCAGACTGAGGTAACTTTGGTGTGGGTGAAATGTGAGAACAGTGGGCAGAGTTTTGGGAGCAGAAGATCAGATGTGGGATCAGGTAAGCGTGGAGTGTTTAAAATGGGTAAGAAATTTTAAGTTTCAAGTGAAATTTGAAGCAGTTCAATTGAAAATGCGTGTGGTATATGGGTGAAAATAATCAATTTAAATGAAATTTCAGGAAGGAGAACACATTGATTTTACTCTTTCTCACTGAACTATCATGAAAACTGAAGAAAAAGACCACAGGTCTCCCTGGAATAATACTAGTACCACAGCCATAAATATTTGAAGAATTATTTAGAGTAAGTTTAGAAAAACTCGCTTCATTGTTTTCCATTTACTTTCTATCTACATACTTAAGAAGGATATCAATAATTACCATTAAAATGCACGTATTGGAAAACAGAAAAAAAAGTAGTTCTGGAGAAATTAAAGATGTTTATGGAGATATCCAAAGCAAACACACACTCTAACTTTTTTCTATGTTGACAGGATCTCAAAATCATTCTTCTACCCCCCAATATTTTAAACTTAGATAGTAAATATTTTTGTCCTACATATTGAAATTCTGAATATATTTCCTACTAGAAATATATCCAATATAATTAAATTTTCCCTGTGCTAGGATGTAGTCTTGGCTCAGCAGGAGACCAAGAAGACTTCAAAACAGACTTGATAAGTCAGTTGATTTGCAAAATTTCTGATTCAATTCAGTGCTTCATACCGATTTTGAAAGCTGCACAATGTCATTGCATTCTAATACCAAATAGTCTCTATAAAGTATCTGTGATACCCTCAAATCTACTTGTTTGGAAGACTTTCAGAAGTCTCTCATATCTACACTTGCACATAAAAAAGAATAAAATTATAACGTACTTGGATGGAAAATCTCCATTTTGCCAAAAATATTTGTTTTTTTCTTCAGTGTTTATACCTTCATATTAATTTTCAGAATCAAAAGATTAGAAATATTTCACATCTAGTTATGACTAATTGATGTTGTCTATATTGCTCTGAATCCAGGTGTGTACATGTGTGTATGTGTGTGTGTGTGTGTGTGTGTGTGTATGAGAGAGAGGATACAGAGAACCTTCCAGCAGGGTTTGCCCCCAAAATTGACGTCAGCTCAAATTAATTAATATCATCTTATCTGATTCATTTAGCATAAATGTGTAAATTGTCACAACTGTCAAAGTATTCACTGGCTCATGTGGCTTAATCACTATTTACAATGATTAATTTTGAGATTGTGGAATGATTATCTTTCATCTATTGTACCCTGTTTCAAGAGTGAAAGAACTGTGTGTGTTACGTTTGACATTGTACTCTCAGCATCTCAAACAATTTTTGGCACATAGTAGGATTTCAGTACACATTTAATAACTAAAATACAATGTGTAAAATTATGTAAATAGAAACATAAACATTGTTGAACTAGTCATCACAATGCCCCTAGTATTTCTTTCTAACCCTGTTCCTTCCTTGCACCTTCCTCACCCCACGCAGGCTGCAGCTGCCCTGCTCAATGCTGATGGCAATGAATGTGTAGACATGAATAAGCCTCTTGGAAGGGATGGTCCCTGATTTTGCTCCCCAAGCTAGCTGTGGGAAGAGTATTGGTCAGCAAAGAACCCAGCATAGAGAGATCACATATTCTCTTTCCGATATAGAGCCCTAGGAAACTCCCAGAGAATATGGTTGCGTGGCACATTCTAAGCAGAAAGATCCACAGCTCCTGGAGTGCCCCAAGTTTTAGCATGATGCAAACACAAGAATAACATGTGCATACAACAGGGAAGGAGGAAAATGCCTTGTTAACGGAAATAGAAACTAACTCTGCAGTTTTCTGTTTTGATCATTAACACACATGGACCAAGGAGCATCAACCTCCCGGGAGAGATCAGTATGGGTAGATGACAACTAGGATCAGATAATCCCCTCTTCATACCTAGACCAAGGTGCTTTAGCATTGCCAGCTTCTAACAACTTCAACCTCAATGCCAGAACAAATGGTTTTTGTCATGTTAGCAGAAGGGATGATTGTGACACTAATTTATTATTAAGGAGGAATCTACAAATGTTAGAACTTTTGCACACTTTATTTCTGTACTACAGTTCATACCCACCACGTGTCTAATCCATGGGTCACGAACTACAGCCCTGAGGCCAGTTCTACCCTGCTGCCTGCTTTTGTACAGCCCATAAATTAAGGATGGTTTTTACATTTTTGTAAATTGTTGAAAACAATAAAAAAGAATGCTATGTCATGACACATGAAAAATTATGTGAAATTCAAATGTTAGTGTCTATAAATAAAATGTTACTGGGAAACAGCCATGCTTATTTGTATATACATTGTCTATGGTTGCTTTTGTGCTACAGCAGCAGAGTTGAGTGCTGGAGATGAGACTGTATGTCCGTCACAGCATGAAATTTTCCTATCTGGTCACTTACAGAAAAAGTTTGTCACCCCCTCTGGCCTAATCTAAGAATACTTAAAAAGCAGCAAGCTTTTTATTTCGTGCATTTCTTGACAATACCTGTTGGTGTATCCTAGGATTCACTTTCATTTTTGTTTGTTAAATATTAAAAGGTAAAGCAGAGAAAGTGGCCCTAGAGCAGAAGGCAAAAGACATTTCACAATTTTTAAAAATGTTTTTTAACCAAAATATTTATTGGTTAAGAAAACAGCATTTTTAAATTTCTAATTCAAAATATTACTCTGACAATAAAGATAGTGCTCACGAAGGAGAAGTAATATACCTAAGCTCAAATCTTTCACAAAAGGAAATTGGTGAGGGCTGGGTGTGGTGGCTCGTGCCTGTAATCCCAGCACTTTGGGAGGTCAAGTTCGGAAGATATCTTGAGGTCAGGAATTCAAGACCAGCCTGGGAAACACAGAAAGACTTTGTCTCTACAAAAATAAATAAATAAATAAATACATAAATAGATAAAATTAAAATAAATTGGTAAAACTCAGAATGCCACCAGGTGACCAGATAAAGGGTACAATATGTGAGAAGACTAATCAATGCTTCACCATTGCAATGGAGACTCTAAGATAGTACATATTATCTTTCAAAAGCCACGAAAATAATTCTGCAAACCATAGTGAGTTGTCTTTGATGCTTGTTTGGTGATCTTAAAATGCTTATGGCTGCTTAAAACAAATAATCTGTATCTAACCTCATTAGTTCATCTCAAATTTTCCATCCCAGTGATAGGGAAGTACAATTTGTTTTGAGGTAGGTAACCTCATTATCAATGATCTGATAAGATTTGTCACTTAAAAAAATCACTTTTAGTGCCTCAGCATAAGAGAAGTTATAAAAATACCTTTCTGTATTGGAGAAAAAAAATGCTGTATTTGCGCTACTCATTAGTTATTTTATGTTTTTAGGAGGTCTTTAGTTTTGCATTTTATTTTATTTTTTTATTTTATTTTATTTATATTTTATTTAATTTTATTTAATTTTATTTATTTTATTTATTTTATTTATTTTATTTTATTTTATTTTATTTTATTTTATTTTATTTATTTTATTTTATTTTATTTTATTTTAGAGGGAGTCTTGTTCTGTCACCCAGGCTGGAGTGCAGTGGAATGATCTTGGTTGGCTCACTGCAACCTACACCTCCTGGGTTCAAGCAGTTCTCCTGCCTCAGACTCATGAGTAGTTGAGATTACAGGCATGCACCACCACGCCTGGCTAATTTTTTGTATTTTTAGTAGAGACGGGGTTTCACAGTGTTAGCCAGGGTGGTCTCAATCTCCTGATCTCATGATCCCCCAAGCCTCAGCCTCCTCAAGAGCTGGGATTACAGGCATGAGCCACCACGCCTGGCCTCTTTGTTTTTATTTTCTAATATCCAATCTGGAGGGGTTATTTTTAATGGATTAAACCATTAAATAACTGTGTGTTACCAGATGAGTAATTTAGAATCCATGAATTAATGTTTGGCTAAAGTTAGTTCTACTGAGCAGCACTAATTTAGATATTTAAGGCTAAATGTATAATTTTTAAAAATCCAGGTTTTAAAATTTTTCTTCATTGGTTAATTCATCTTTGCTTTCTTACATATTAAAAGGAGAAAAGTGTGGTTACTCCAGACACATGTTTTCCTTTTCTGCTATAATCCCCTCAGTTCAAGAACTAATGTCACATTCATATTCTCTTAAAAAAGAATATACTGAAATTGCCCCTTTTAATTTTCAAAACATTAAACTCAACTCTATTGGTATAAAAATGGTACTAGATTTCCCTTTTCCCAACTGAAGGCTTATTTTTCCACATTTCTTGAGGCCAACTGATTACATTACTGCTTATTTTAAATATTCAAAGTCTCCCAGAGCCTGCAGGTATATGAGCTCTTTAAAATCTCTCTGAACTACTGTCTTGGTAGTTTCTTACTATGCTCCCCGCTATACAGATGATATACTCAGTCAGTCTTCCTAGAGCATACCCTTTTGACTTCTGGATTTTCATTAGCTATCCATAGAAAACCCCACATTTTTCTGTAATGTAGACTCTACTTAGCCTTCGAAGCACTGTTTGATAGAGATTCTCCTTTAATAGAGTATCCCCAGCTCCTTTAGATAACATCAGATGCTTTTCTTTGTGTTCCCATGACACCTTACATCCATGTCTATTTTAGTTTTTCATGCAACGTGTTTTAATGGGTTTACCAGTGCTGCCCTTCCCCTTGACTTTGAGCTCCGTGAGGGTGTTCAACACCTTCTCCAGAACTAAGCATAGTGTCTGACAAAGGAGATGCTCATTGTATGTCTATTGATGAAAAACAGGTATATTTGAAATTCTCCTATGTTCTTCCAGCATTTAGCCTTACTCTGATAATGTTATATCATGGTAAATCTTTTAATTTTATGTTATTTATCTACAGAATTCATACACTTTTCTAAGAATTCTCAAACCCGCTGGTTGAGTATTGCTTCCGTGCATTAACTACTTGCTTTTCTGGGCTACCCACGCAACGACCAAAGGCTTTTGTGCTTTCTAGAGAAAGCCCTAAAGCAGGAACGCAGGAGAATGCCCAGCCAAATGCTTTGGGTGAGATTAAAAGTACATGCTGCTCTGAAATCAAGAAGCAGGGCAACAGAAGCATCTCCTACAGCTTCCATTCTAGTGTGTTAGAGGTTTTATCAAGAAGGAATGCCAAGCTTTATCAAATAATTATTCCCATATCTTTTTAATTCATTAATATGATAATTTACATTAATTGATTTGCTGATGTTCAACCAATCTTTGATTGCTGGGCTAAGTCCTAATGTTCAACCAATTTCTGATTGTTAGGCTAAGTCTAAGTTGGTCATAATGAATTATCGTATTCATATGTTGCTGGATTCAGTGTGCTAATCCTATGTTTGGAATTTATATAATTTATGCAACTAAATTCAGGAGTAGTATTTTTCCTTTTTCACTCTCTTCTTATCAGGTTACGGTATCAATGTTAAAATTAATGTTAGATTTCTCCGTCTTCCTTCTGACTCTCTGAAAGAAATCGTATAAAAATGGAATTATTTAGTTCTTTAAATATTTCATCAAACTTGTCAGTAAAACTACTAGGCCTCAAGTTCTTGGCAGAAATATTAACAATAGTAGATTCTATTTTTGTTAATGGGCAACTATTTTTTGATAAGTTATGTTTTTCTAGTAATTTATCCCCATTTCACTAACATTTTCAAATTTATAGTTTGCTTACTCTCTTCTTGTTTATAATTGTTATATTTATTGTTCTGTCATGTCTTCCTTTTATTTGGTTACATTTTTCTTTTCCTTAATCTCATCATGGAATTTTTTTTTTTTTTTTTTTTTTTGAGATGGAGTCTTGCTCTGTCGCCAGGCTGGAGTGCAGTGGCGGAATCTCAGCTCACTGCAACCTCTGCCTCCTGGGTTTAAGCAATTCCCCTGCCTCAGCCTTCCGAATAGCTGATACTATAGGTGCGTGCCACTATACCCGGCTAAATTTTTGTATTTTAGCAGAGACAGGGTTTTGCTATATTGATCAGGATGGATGGATTTACTTTATTAGACTTAAAGACAACTGACATGGTTTGGATATGTCCCCACCCAAATCTCATCTTGAATTGTAGTTCCCATAATCCCCACGTGTTGTGGAAGGGACAAGGTGGAGATAATTGAATCATGGAGGTAGACTGCCCCATCCTGTTCTTGTGATAGTGAGTTACTTCTCAAGAGATCTGATGGTTTTATAAGGGGCTTCCCCCTTCTCTGGGCTTTCATCCTCTCTCTCTCCTCCTGCCACGTGAGGAAGGACATGTTTGCTTTCCCTTCGGCCATGATTGTAAGTTTCCAGAGGTTTTCCCAGCCATGCTTAATTATGGGTCAGTTAAACCACTTTCCTTTATAAATTACCTATTCTCAGGCAGTTCTTTATAGCAGGATGAGAATGAACTAATACAACAGCTAACGCTTGGCTTTGTTGTTTCTCTCTATCGTGTCTTATTTTCTATTTTGTTGATTTCTGCTTTTTCATTTTAGTCTCCCTCTGATTTCTTTGAATACTTTTGTTATTCATTCTTACTTTTAAATGAGATATGTAACACCTAATTTTTAGCCTTTCTACTTTTCTCATAAGAGCACATAAGGTTATGCATTTATCTATAAAGAATGCCTTAATTGGATTCCATGTTTATAAATATATAATATTTACATTTTTATTCAGTTTTAAATGTTCTATTATTTGAATTATAATTTCTTCTTTGATATGGACTATTTAGCAGTGTTTTGGTAATGTTCAAACAATGTAGTCTTTCTAGTTATCTCTTGTGTTTGCTTTCTAACATAATCACATTGCACTTCCAGAACACAATCTCTTAAATTTCTTGAGGCCTTTGTTGTGCCAATATAGGTTCAATTTTTATAGATTGTTTAGGTCCGTGTTTGAAAACACTGTATATTTTGCAGATGATGAATACATATCTTTTAGTTCAAGCTTTTGGATCATGTTCAAATGTTCAATGATTTTATTTATCGTGTCTGTTTTATCTATTAGGTACGAGAACATTATCTGAAGATCTCCCACTATGTTTGTGGATTGGTTGCATTTCTTGTATAATTGTGGAATTTTGACAATTTTTGCCTTCAGATCTGTTTTGTGTGATGTCAATATAACTGCAATAGTATTTCTCTGATATATTGTTTTACTCATATGGAGTTTCAACCTTATTGTACACTTTTCTGTTACAGATACCCATTTGTGGATGTGGTATACACCTCCCCTGTTTTCTTTCTGTAGTACAAATGCTACAGTTAGGGGCCATCCTGTAAATGAAAGCCTTATGGTACAGATTATTCGACAGCAATAAAAGGAACCTGAATTCCTGAGCACTATGGAATCACCTTTCTACCCTTTAATATTTATCTTTGGGTGTAAACCATTTGTTTTGGTTTTCTCCTATATGAAATTAAGTTTAATCTTAACTAATACTCAGGCATATGTTCTATGGAAATGTTAAAGATTAATTGAACACAACTCCATCTAAGTGAATTTATTGTCCAGTTATGATCGATATATTTTATATACATAGAACCTAGGTATGTGCTTATTTCAATAACACACAATTGTGAAATGTAATATTTCCATAAGAAATGTTTAAAGTATTATGGTATGTCAAACTGAATATTTGTTACAATATGAAAAAAGTTATCTTCAGGGTGATAGTTTTTTAGCTGAGCTTTAAATAAAAAAAGGTAGAACTAAGACATAGATAGAAGGGAGAATTATTACAGTTATAGAGAAAATACAGGGAAAAAACTCAGAAGGAGAGAGATATCTGTATAAGTAATTTTTCAAAATTAAGTTACTAAATTTTGGAGTATTTGAAGGGAAATAGTAGTAACAAATTTGGTAAGGTGGCTTCAATTCAAAATGTTAAAATCCTTGAATATTAAACTTAAGAGTTTGAATTTTCCTTGTTTGCAATGCAGTTTTGTTGTACCAGGAAGGACAAAATAATCTTGAAATTTGAAGAACTTGTTTAAAAAAATGCTTTATTGAAGTTGTATGATTTTAAGAAGTCATTTAGTTTCTCTGAGTCTCAGTTTTCTCTTATGAAAAGGAATATTAACTACATCTACATAAAATGCAAGCATTTTAAAAATTTTTGAAGGGCTACATGAATGTAAATCACTGCATTCATTAGATAAGACACTTTTAGACATTTATTTTCTAGTGAAGGAGATAAAGAATTTGGTAATTTGAAACAGTTCTACAACAGCCTTACAAGTTCTGTAACAGACTTATATCCAATACGTGCACAGGTGTACAGAGGAGGCACTCCTAAAAGAGCAATGAAGAATTAGCATTGACTATTCTGAATATAGAGCTGACGCGGCTGTCTGGTGCTTCAGGAAGTTTAGTCCGAAAGTAGGTGTAGGATGACTACAGTGGAAGACCAGTGAAAGGTGTACATCATAAACAATGAAGATTTGAATTAAGGTAGTGTTTCTGGGCTTTGGTAATAGTGGTGATACACTCATTCATTCATTTACTTTTTGCAACAAATAGCAATAAACACTTGCTAAGTAATAGAAAATCTTCTAGATATTGATATGGTGATAAATAGATAACATTCTTTTTCTCTCAGTGTTTTTAATCTGTTGAGGGAGATCAAAAGTAAATAGATGCATATAAAATATATCAGATAGTGAAAAGAAAAAGCAAGAAGAAAAAAATTAGCAAGAAGATGCAAAATGAGAAGATCAGATTATTTTGGACAAAGATATCGGGGAAGATCTCACTAAGAAGGTAGAGGCTTGAATAAAATGAGGAAGTAAGCCATACCAAAAGATATGCAATCCATGAAGAGAGAATAGGCAAAGCAAAAGTGTAAAAGCAGAATGAGCAAGGCATATCCAAGAACCAGCAGGAAGGCCAACAGGTTAAGGAGTAGGTAGCAGGAGGTGAAATTCTAAAAAGAGACTTGAGTTGGTTCATTGGAGTGGTACTTATTGTGTTAAGTTGTTTAGATTTTATTCTAAATATATGGTTGGCCACTGGAGAGCTTTGAGCAAAGGAGTGAAAATATGTAGTTTGCATTTTGGAAAGGATTACACTGTTTGCTATATGGAGAATGGATTAGGGCGAACAAGAGTGGAAACTGACTCAAGACCAGATAAGAAGCATTGGCTGTAGCCAAGTGAGATAGAGTGGTTAGAATGGGGTGGTAGCTGTGATAATGGTAAGAAGTAGTCATATTCTCAGGATCATAATGAATATACTAAAAATAATTTGTAAACATAAGAGGATGTTAATAAAAGGTAAGGCTTTAGAAATAAAAATTGTAGTAATTTACGAGAATTACAAATCAATGCCCAAAGGACTAGATTTAGTTTACAGATGTGTTTTGTTTAATGTGACTATATTTTTAATTAATGGTTTGCTAACATTTAAAAATCAGGATATTTCACGAAAAATCGTATTTGCTTCTTTTTTTCTGAAATATCAGAATATTTGGCAACGCTTACACTTACCCCCATGCTCTAAAGTTTTACACCATGGCTATAACCGATGGATATTATTAGAGGCTGCCCCTACACACAATGCACTGTGCAGAGGGGTTCATTTATTTACATTAAATTCTTATCTGTAGACATTTGAGGTTATGACCACTGACCTAGATAGAGCATTCAAGAAAGCAGACAGTCAAATCCAAACACAACTCCATTCATTTCCTACTGCAGTGGTTTTTAATGGTGTCTGTTGATATGAATCCTTACTTTAGCATTTACTTGTCTTATAAACAAAGGTTCTAATATTTAATTTGATATAAAATATTTTTTAAATATTATTTCTTTCTCAACTGATGATATTCCTCAATAGGATAGACACCAACATTTATTTTTGAAATTTTCAAGACTTCCGCCATATTTCCTATTTTCTTTGCATTCATAATCACTTGCAAACAGAACACATGGGGAATTAGAACTTGGAAATTACACTCTGGTAGTGGAGACTCAAACCAACATTTTGAGACAAGGAAAGCCTAATTAGATTTGTAAATCAGGATTTAAACATCAAAAAATAAGTTGTGTTGTCAGGAGACCATAACTGATGGGAAAAGGCCTGGAGTCCAGGGAGAGAAGATACAGCCTCATTTATACTTTGGCAGGAAAAACTCCTTTGGCCATGAACGGATCCAAGGGATGCAGAACTGCAAAACCAGACTGTTTAGCCTGAGCAACACTGTGGACACTAAACGTTCCTGGCTGACAGTGCTTCTTCAGGATACCACTTGGGAAAAACGCTGTTGCTAGGATTTTAAATGTCTTGGAAAGCTACAAAAAGCTTCTTATATTTTCTTTGCAGGCACCGTCAGGATGGAGTACAGAGAACTTGGTAGTTCTCCACAGTCTGTCTAGGTTCTGTCTAAGAAATCGCAGGTAGTAATGCCACTGTGACACAGTTTTGGTATTCTGAGGACAAGAACTCTGGGAGGATTTTGCTCTGTCCTGGATGGTGCACTCTGAAAAGCTTAGGGTTGCAACAACCTCAAATTCTTCCTAAAAACAAGCCTCCTAATATCCTGTATCAAAACCTTTAGTAATATCACCTACAAATATATGTGAGCTTTAAAAAAGCCATTTACATGAAAGCATAACAAGTGACATTGTAAGTGACACCCAAATAAGTATTCCCTGCTGAATGAAAAGTCATCTCTTTGTAGAGCAGAGGAAGACATTCTTTACTTAGAGATGAATATAATGATTTGTAAAATAATTTTGCTTTGTGATCCTATAGAAGTTTCTGATCCTTCTGTTGAAACCACATACAAAGAGAGGGAGGATTTTTTTTTTCTTTCTTTCTTTTTTTTTTTTTTTTTTGAGACGGAATCTCACTCTGTCGCCCAGGCTGGAGTGCAGTGGCACAATCTCCGCTCACTGTAAGCTCCGCCTCCCGGGTTCACACCATTCTCCTGCCTCAGCCTCCGGAGTAGCTGGGACTACAGGCGCCCGCCACCATGCCCGGCTAATTTTTTGTATTTTTTTTTTTTTTTTTTTTAGTAGAGACGGGGTTTCACCGTGTTAGCCAGGATATTCTCGATCTTCTGACTTCGTGATCCACGCGCCTCGGCCCCCCAAAGTGCTGGGATTACAGGCGTGAGCCGCAGCGCCTGGCCGAGGGAGGATACTTTTTAATGAAGAATTATGGAGACTGTGAGGATTTTCTCTTTGCTAACTACACCTTTATCAGTCAGACACAGACAGCCTCACTGAGAGATGTAATCAGCCGTTAAAACAGATGCTGAGGAAATTCATCTAAGGAGAGCAAAAAGATTGGGATGAGTGATTGCCCTATCTCTAGTTTCCTACAGGGAAGTTCTCGATGCATCTATAGATTATTTATTATTTGAACAGTTGCATAGGAGATTATTCCACATGAAATCATTTGTCAGGCAAAAAGGAAATAGCCCAGTAAATATCAAGAGGACATTTACTTGCTAAAAATGAACAGAGATTGTACAAAGCCCTCCTGGGATTCACCCATAAGTTATCCTGTGATGCAAAGGCATGAGAACAAGTACAGTATATTAACTATTCTCAAGTTATGCACCCCAAATGCTAAAGTAATTGCTTTGGAAAGAAACTATCTGCTGGGGCACAATTCAACTTGAAGTTCCAAAATGGTGCATTGTTTCACTATATTGGTTTTTCTAAATGAAATAGTTGTTTAGAATAAGTTGGCTCTGTATTGATACACGATATGCATGCATGCATGCTGGCACAGGCGGGTTGGCAAGCTCTTATTACTATGGCTGACACTGGAGATTCGGTTGCCTTCAGTTCCTTACATAGCTGTACAGTGCCTGATCAGTGATCTGGAAATGCTTTTATTGTTTCCCTTCCTAATGTAACAATTGTCCCTCCTTCTCTGGCTCTTTTACATTTTTGTCACTGTTTATGATTTTTGTCTTTTTGAAGAAGATGATCTGCCATTGGAATAGAAATGCTTGTGTTTCTTTTAAGCATAGATGTGCTACTTTACCTGTTTTAGGTATACAAATATTATCAGGTGAAACCTGTTAAGATTTTTAACGACTATTCAAAAGCATTAGCCCCTCTGAGCTCAGAGGACTATGGACCCAACAGTTTAATTTTTACTCATGTGTATCTCCTGACTGCCACTGGAGAAAAATTTGTATGGCCAACACTGAGGAAAATATTACAGTCTGGTAAAACCCACTGCTAGAATAGCATCCTTGCAATACAAAAATTAAGCAATGACATATTGTTGCTTTAATATAAATTGTAATGCCTTTCCTGATATTGATTAGCTATATTATGTATTGCATTAGTAAATTGTCTGTTATATATTTTCATGGAAAGTTTGCACATAGCAACATTACAATGCCCAAGGAAAATACTGATGAAGTGAAAAATCATGTAATTCTTAAAAAATAACAATTGGAAATATATTGTTTTCCTCCATATTTTTCTAAGTTCTCGCATCAGTGCTACATTAAATGCAGAATTAAGCTGTCTATGTTTGTTTATTTTTACACTTTATTCAAATGTATAAGCATTTTATGAAAACTATAGTTATTATGTATATCACTTCTCAAAAAAATTTTGAAATGTTAATATAGTCAACCTTAACTCTAAACTGGCAGAACTCACTGCAATACATTGATTATATAATATGTTATAAAATGTGCTTTACTTTCAAACAGAGCTTTCTGAGCAGGAAGAGTTTCTATTGATAGCAAGTGAAGCTTACAAAATTAAAGAAGACAAAAATTTGGTTTTTTTATTAAAAATAAACTTGGAAGATCGAAATGGAAAAAAAGAATGAAAACAATAGTAGAATAATCCATACAAAACTTAACATTTAGCTTTGTGTTTTATTTATACAACCTTGAATTATTAAAAATTCCTCAACTAAATATTTGAATAGCTGCATAATATCAGTTTGTATATATATAAAACAAAGTTAATTTTGTCCTTTTTTCCTATTGATAACATTTGCATTTTTAGTTTTATCTTATTATAGACAAAATATAATAAATACCCCTCTATATAAAATATGCTTTTACTCTCTGATTACGTTCTTAGAAGAGATTCTTAGACATGGGTCAGAAATTACGAACATTTTTTATACTCATAAGATTTTGAAAATCTATATTCCACAGTCTTCCTACATACTTCTAGTAGTGCCTCTAGAAATACTGTACCAGGCCTTTTCCAGTGTGAAAACTAAACATAATACATTCATGTTGTCCTAAAGTAGATTTTGTTTTTTCTATAATACATCTGAATTTTTCCATATTTATTAACCATTTATAGTTCATTGGTGAGTTACCTGTTTTATACTTAAATAGACATACAGTTTTCATCTGTGTAGCACACTCTCCTTTGGGAAATATCTCCCTCCCTGAATCCACAGAAATATGTGGCTTAGTCCCAAGTCAACCCTGCCTGCCCCCATTCCCAACCCTCACGCAGCCCCACCAAATAACCACATGTTCTAAGTAGATGCAATCAGAATTTTTGTCTATTGATGTATGGATACTGAAAAAAGAATTATCCCCCTGTTCTGTTAATAAAAGTTCTAAAAACAATAGAGGCTTGGGTCAACCTATGACGGTTTTCCTGACATCATAATGCCATGTTGAAGAAGCATGTCTGCGAATGAAGGCAGGCAGAAGCAAATAGGACTAAAATATAGAAAAAAGAAAACACGTTCATAAACTTGATAGTACCCTTGGATTTAACTCTGCTTTAATCAAATTGCACCACATAGATGTTTCCAATAACAAAAGCTAATAAACAATGTTTTTTCGTTTTTGCCCATCTAGATTGAGTCATGTTTCTGTAATATGTAACCAATAATTTCTAAATATTTAAGCTCTTTTTAAATTTTCTTGCATGTGATTTCTTATTTTGATATGCAAGATTATGTCACCATTGTGGATATTAATTTATTAACTCTTCTAATTGTAAGAATTACTTTCTCGGTATCATATTTTCAGTTTTAAGATTTCTACTATTTGAAAACTGTAAAGATTTATGTTCAATAAATAATATTTTCTTTCATTGTTAATCCCTTTGCTTTTTCTTCGGCATAAGCAGTACATTTCCCTCCAGAAATCTGTTACACATTTGCTTACGTATTCTTCTAGGCTTCATCCTTTGTATTTAACTCTTTAATTCACTGTGATTTTTGTAAGCACAGGCTTTGTCATTATATTTTCCCCATAAATAATCTATTTGCCTTTAAAATGTATAGAATATCTCATAACTCAAACTCTTATATTTTGAAGATTCTCTTTATTACATGTGAAGATTTTTGTGTACTAAAACATGTTTCTTTTATTGTTTGCCTGATTTATTCTAGAAGTTCCTTTAAAAGAATTAACATATAACATTACTATGTACCAAGATTTTATAAGGACATTTACAAATACTAGCATATTCCTATACATCTTATCAGTTATGTACTGTTACTGTCATTTAACAAATGAGGAAACTGGAGCACAGAGAGGATAAATATATTACTCAGGGTCTTATTACAGGTAATGGCTCCAAATGCAAACCTAGATAACATGGTCCCATAATTCATGGTCTTAGTCACTGCATTCTGCCTCTTATTACAGATGTAATACAATCACGATGATAGATGACACCAAAGAAGGGATATATATGATAGCTAAGAAAAGCCAACAAATAACAGCCTGGTCATATTTTTGAAGATATTAATTGCTATAAATGCAATAGGTGTATTAGTTTAGGTATTATGTGTAGCCTGGCTCTACCTCTGACTTTATATCCTGAAAGAGGATGAATATGTTGATATTTCATAATAAAATAAGGAATTAAATGATATATTTCAGAAGTCCTTTTATTTCAAGTAACAGATATCACTGCAATAAAATTAAAGCATCAAAGATATTCACATATTCCTCCCAATTCACAGTGACATTTTAACTTTTCTGATATTGCATATGTTATAAAAATGACATACTTCTCTACCATTCTTTTTCTTTCTGGAAAATGAATTTGTCTTACAAATTACAGCTTCTTGAAATAAAGAAATAGGTATAAGGATTAGAATGGTATCTGCCTCAGGAAGGCATTGAAATCAGGGACTGGAAGCCTGTCTGGACCTTTTCATCTACTTTTATTTCAATTCCTCTCTGCTTGTCTATATCTTTCCGTTGTTTCTTTAGTGTGGCTACTGCTTTTCTCTAATACATGGGGTAGGTGTAAGAAGTGTGTACCATGGGTACTAAGCTTATGTATTCACCTGAAGAAAGTCTCACTCCTTCTCTCTTTATTGATTTCTCTCTCCCTCTCTCCATCCCCTCCCCTGCCTCATTCATTCTCTCTGTTTTTCTCTTCTTCAATTACAAATTCCAGGGAACAAGACTTTGATTTACCTACCTTAAGTCCTGGGCCCATTTCTAGACCAACCACTCAGGGCTATTAGGCAGAGCACAATTTGCCATTGTAAATAGTTGTAGGAAAGTTAAAGGATTCTGTGAGCTGGGAGGGCACCTCTAGGAAGACCCACAGGTGCCTACTTGAAATATATATATATGTATGTATACACACATATATGTGTGTGTGTATATATATATGTATATACACACACACGTGTGTGTGTATATGTATATATACACACATGTGTGTGTGTGTATACGTATATATACACACACATATGTGTGTGTATATACGTATATATACACACATATGTGTGTGTATATGTATATATACACATATATATGTGTGTATATATGTGTGTGTATATATACATATATGTGTATATGTGTGTATATATACATATGTGTGTATATATATACATATATGTGTATATATACACACATATATGTATATATATACGTGTATATATATATGTGTGTGTGTATATATATATATATTTCAAGTAGGCACCTGTGGGTCTTCCTAGAGGAAGACTTCCTAGACTATCTTGGCTTTAAAATAATGGCATATATATATATACATATATATATATGTATATATATACGTGTGTGTGTGTATATATATATATACACATACGTGTGTGTGTATATATATACACATATATATACACATACATATGTGTGTGTATATATATACACATATATACACATACATATGTGTGTGTGTATATATATACACATATATATGTTTGCCATTATTTTAAAGCCAAGGTAGTTCAAGTTTACTGATATCACACTATATTTCTTACTTGTCCATTGCTTGTTCTTTATCCCAAGTTTTGAATTCTTATGGCATAAAACAACCTATGACTGTGTTTTCCAGGAGCAAAAGATAAAACGTACCCTTTTCCATGTAGAAAATCTGTATAAGGATACAGAAAAGGAATATGTATTTAAATTTTAAATATTTGTATTAGCCTGTATGTTTATTAGAAAATCTAGATAAAAAAATTTTATCTGGATGTTTGTCATTATATTGGTATAACCAAAATATCTTCATATTAAATAGTGATATAACTTTCAAAAGTTAAAACTAAAATTAGAACTCCTATTTTTTGTTTATTGATCTCTCTCTCTCCCTCTATCTCCATCTGTCTCATAAATAAAATTTTAAAACATGGCCCCCTTCACCATAGATTGATTTCCTTGAGTTATAAATTACTCATGTTTTCAAGAATTTTACTGCGTATGTTTATTTTATGAAAGAGACTTACATGGTTTGAATCTGTATCCTCACCCAAATCTCATGTCCAGTTGTAGTCCCCAGTGTTGGAGGTGGGGCCTGGTGGGAGGTGACTGGATCGTGGGGGTGGGCCTTCATGAATGGTTTAGGGCCATCCCTTTGGTGCTGTTCCTGTTCTGTGGATAGTGAGTAATTTCGAGATCTCATTGTTTAAAAGACAATCTCTCTTGCTCCTGGCTCCTGCCATGTAAGACCTGCCTGCTTCTCCCTTACCTTCCACCATGATTGTAAGTTCCCTGGCACCTCCCCGGAAGCCAAGCAGATGGCAGAATTATGCTTCCTGTACAGCCTGTGGAACAGTGAGCCAATTCAACCTCCTTTCTTAACCCGGTCTCAGGTATTTCTTTATAGCAATGCAAGAATGAACTAATACAGGAAACATGGGTAGCTTTGCAGAACATTAACCAAGACTCAAATGCAACTGCTACCTTCTTTTACATACTGGCATTCCATGGGATCTCTTTTATATAAGTTACTGCCAAGCTGGCAAGCAGGGCTTCATGTGAAGCCCAGTGCAAAACAAAAATGAGGGACTCCCTGTTCAAAAATTAACTCTGTTCAAAATTAAGAATTTCAAGATGGTGGCAGAGCATTAAACCAAGCAATCACTGGGGCCCTTCTACGGACAGGGCTTTGTGTGACTGCAGAGTTACATGTCTAGGAAGCATGACCTGTACCCAAGTGTTAGATAAGACGGGCAAAATTCACCTTTGGGTTTCATCAATTCATCTTTAAAATATATCCTCACAATAAATGAACAGAACATTAATTTTTTTAATTTTAACAATTATTTTTCAGTGAAAAATACAACTTTATAATCAAAGCAGAGTGAAAAAAGTATAACTTGCAGAATATTAAATTCACATATAATTTGTGAATAAGTAATTTAATTATTATGTTTAGATTCTATACAATTGCATGGTGCTTGTGTTACATAATGTTTACTTCTGGAGTTATTGTAAAATCATTATCATGAAACTGCAGTAGAAAAAAATATCCCAATCACAGGAAAATAATTTGATTAAAAGATAAAATTTAATTTCTTAATATTTTTCCAATAGAAAAAGCAAAATTCAGTGAAAATAGTTTCTTAGATAATTTTAATCAGGGAGAGAAGCAAAATATTTTTAATTCAGGTCTCAAAACGGACTTATCAATTGTGATGCTCAGGAATACCTCACCATTGCATTTTATCTGTAGCAGCAAATATGCAAATGTAATAAAATATTTGAAGTTAGTAATCAGAGGTAAACTTTAATAGTACAAGGTAAGAACTAAAGCCTTATCCTGATTGGTAGCTCTTATCTATAAGATGAGGAGGAAGGTTTGATACAGAGTAACTCCAGGCTTTCATTAGATGTAAATTACATGTCAAGAAACAGTGCCCCAGTCCTCTGATAAGGAGAGTGAGACTACCTAGATAAGAAAGAGAGAAGGCAGATAAGAGGGAGCAAAAAAGAGGAGAAAAGAGCACAAGAGACTTAGATCACGATGCTGAGGTTTTCTGTGTAAATACCACGCCATTTAATTTCTGAGAAAAGCAAGACATTGGAATAATAAATCTAGACAAAAGACACAGGTGGGTAGCAGGAGACCTGGATTTTAATTCAAGTGCTTCTATTAAATGTGTATCTTTGTGACAGCATTCTATTTACCCCTACTTCAGCTCCCTCTTGTGCAAAGGGAGGAATTTAGAGTAGAATACTTTTAAGACTTTTATAGTTTTAAATTTATGTATCTAGCACTCATAAGAGTTAGATAATTTTGTAACAAAATATCCTGGTTTTTCCTAGCTCTTTACCTTGCAAATCTATTGACATCTGTTTTATTCAGCGTTCACTGATTGCCTGTTTGATCTAGATACTTACTGCTAAGTCCTAGAAATGCAGTGGCAATTAAAACACAGGACCCATGGTGATAGGTCTATGTAAGATTATTGAAATATGCCTCTTCATATGAAAATAAAAGAGAAGAAATTCAATTTTTCTCCACTTAACTGCTTATACCCCTGGATAAAAGGAACTGATTACTGGTATTTTAACTAATGTATCAGGTATCTTCTCTGTGTGTTTAAAAAAATAGAGTTTCAGATTAAGATCTACAATCTGGTATTTGCTCCCTAAATTTCAAGGATGTAACCACTTTCTCTCACCTTTGAACTTACGTAAGTGGAAGCAGTATGCTATTCAAAAATGATGATGTAGTCTTCTCAATGAAACTGAAAAGGGTGATAAATTCAGAGAATTCTATAACTAGACAGGCAATTAAGCTGGCAAAGTAAGTAATTTAAAAGGGTAGGAAATTGAGTCCTTGAATTTCAGAACCAGGAGTCTCTTCAAAGTTCATTATTCTAATCTCATTTTATGGGTGAGAAAACTGATGTCCAGAAAGGTCATGTGTTTTGATCAAGGCCACCCACTTGTAGGTGTGAAAACCAGAATTTTAAGTGATACCTGTCCCTGTCTACTGAAGGTATCACTTTTTAAGCAGGTATTTTAATACTGGAGTAAAATGCATATTAATGTAGGATTGACATAGGGTGTGACAGGAGAAGGCTTAACACATGTGTGCAGAGAGTTAGATATAAAAAACCTACCCTGATTGAAAACCTTGTCTGAAACTTCTAAGAGGAAGGAGCAGATTCTCGTATACCTAATCAAGATTAGCTCCTGAGAAAGTATAGAGACCACATGTAGAGCTACAAGGATGAGTTTTGGAGTCCCTGTCCTATTAACTGATGTGTCAGTGACACCTTGTTAAATTCCTAAAGTTTCTTGGAGGGTCCAGACTTTTTAAAAAAATTATTTTATCTTCTCTCTGAAACATTAAACTTCTACACAGTTGGTGAAAAAAGTCTAACACTGACACAAATATATGTTCACCAATAAAATGAAGATATGAAATATTTTAATTTCAAATTGTTTTCTGGAAAGACCTAGAAAGAAATGTCATATGCAATGCTGCCATGGGTTCTAAGAAATACAGAGCTATCTATCACTATTTGGGACTCAAATAAGATTATTAGGCACTATTTTTTTATTCATTATATTTCTAAAGGCATATCTAATAAAATAAGAGAAAAAAGTCAGAGAAAACTTGAATTTATGTTAATTAATTATTCTTAGATAACTTACCCTGGAGTAAATGAAAGGACCACAAAAGGTAAAGATGGATCATAGATGTAAATTAGAGCAACAACTCTAACCCACTTTCTATCTTAGCTACAGACAAGGTGATGGAAACCATTTCAAATATTCCTCAGAACTTTCTAGATATTTCTAGAAAGACAAGAGCTGTCATCAAGGGAAGACAGAGAGAATAGAAGTCATTTTTTTTTTTGCTTTCTTTATAAGGGAAGAGCTGTATA
The DNA here is from genome assembly GCF_000001405.40 of Homo sapiens. Lineage (NCBI taxonomy): Eukaryota > Metazoa > Chordata > Mammalia > Primates > Hominidae > Homo > Homo sapiens. Next base: position 80,753,828 of record NC_000009.12, on the reverse strand, counting down.
GATATATTCAAGGGAAATGTATATTGATATGGTGTAGTAGAACATCAACAATTGCTTCCAAGCTGAAGGAACCCTAATTGACAAGAATGATTTCTTGTAGGACTATGCTTTTGTATTTCAGAAGTCAGACCTTCAACATCATATGCTATAGCCCTTGATGCTATGCCTGCAAAACATAAAAAGATAGAGATGAAATAATTTATGGATCATATTCACCTGCCTCTTACTTTTACAGTTCAGGAAATTGAGGCCCAGTAACGTAACATGTCATACTCCAGGTCACATAGCTTATTATTAGCTGAATCTAGAATAAAATACAGTTAAGTGCTGTGGTGGCCTGAATAATGGCACCCCAAGAATGGCTATGTCCTGTACCCTAGATCCTGTGAATATGTTGTCTTCCATGGTAAAACAGACTTTGCGGAAGTGATTAAGTTAAGGATCTGGAGATGGTGAGATTATCCTAGGTTAGCTGCATGAGCCAAATGCAACAATAGAAGAAGATGTGACAATAGAAACAAAAAGTGAGAGTGGTATAAGGAAGAGGCCATGAGTTGAGGAATGCAGATGGGTCTAAAATATGGAGAAAACAAGGAAATGAATTCTTCCCCAAAGCCTGCAGAAGAATGCATCCCTGCTAACACCTTGATTTCAGACTCTGACATTCAGCAGTGTAAAAGAATACATTTATATTATTTTAAGCCTCTAAAATTTTGATATTTTGTTACAACAGCCAGAGGAAACTAAAACAATTGTTCTTTGTAAAACATCATGATCCTATCACACTCTGTTCCTATCTGTATTAATCCACTTAATGCTGTATATTGCAAAATGCGTTTGTATATCTTACTCTTCGACTTCCCAGATCTTAAAGACAAAGTATGTTATTTCTCTCTTTATCTCTGAAACCTAAAGAATTGAATAAGACTCTATGCATGTTAAATAAATGAATGAATAATCATGATGCTAACATTTATTAAAATATGCCTGAACTCCACTCACAAGATGATTGGCCAGTTACTCAATAAATATTTACCAAGAGATTTCTAGTTGTGAGGCATTGTACTAAGCACACATTCATATTTGAAGACTTAGGCAATACATGTGTACTAGGCTGTTCTTGCATTGCTATAAAGAAATACCTGAGACTGAATAATTTATAAAGAAGGGAGGTTTAATGGCTTATGGTTTTGTAGGATATACAGGAAGCATGGTACCAAGCATCTTCTCGGCTTCTGACAAGGCCTCAGGAAGCTAACAATTGTGACAGAAAGCAAAGGGGAAGGCGGTAGATCACATGGCAAGAGTGGGAGCAAGATGCCACACATTCTTAAACAGCCAGATCTCGTGAGAACTCACTCACTGGGGTGAGGACAGTGCCAGGCCATATGGGATCCAAAACATTGCCCACTAGGCCCCACCTTCAACATTGGAGATTATGTTTCAGCATGAGATTTAGAGAGGACACATATCCAAACTATATCAACATTTTTTTTTTTGGTAAACTTTTTAGTAGCTGAAGTTTTGTTACAAGATGACAGGCTTGATCTTAAGCCAATTAGAATACTGATAATCCTTAACTATCTATCATTCCATGATTTAAGTTGCAAGAAAGTGGAACACTTTCTCATAGTAAATCCATTTCCTACCTTGGTTGCCCAAATTATATGTACCATTTTTTTTCTCTCTCTATATAAGAGTTTTGTTTTTCCTTTTAAAGATATTTCTGCCTGTCATAATGCAACTATTTCAAATAATACTGAACATATTCTTCCTTCTTAGAAGGAAATAATCCAAATCATGTCCATTTTTCCATCCAGACCATAATTCACTATTTTTGGTAAATGTGCTTTGGCCTGAATGTGGCTATTCATGATCATAAACCTGGATTATGATGAAAAATGTAACCATGCCTAGATGAGTAATATACAATAGTAAAGAGAAAGGAGGAAATCAGCAGTTAAGTTCCTACCATTGGGTAAAGGAAAGGAGAAAAAGCACATTGTGGGGTGGTAATAATAAGAACTTGCTCTTGTCATGGCATAGATTTCCTAGCTAGTTTGGTAACCTGAGGATACCAAAATCTATGTATGCTCAAATCCCTTATATAAAATGGTATAGTATTTGTATATAACATATTCGCTTCATCTGATATGCTTTAAATCATCTTTATACTACTTATAATAGCTAATACAATGTACATGCCTTGTAAACAGTTGTTATACTGTGTTTTCTTATATGAATTGTTTTTCTTTTTCAAATATTTTTGAACTATGGTTAGTTGAATCCACGCATGTGGAATCCAGGGGTAGGTAGGGTTGACTGAAGTTGTTTCTTCTTCTGAAGAAAAGATTTTTATCCTTGAATATGAGAGATAATTTTTTTCTGGGGTGTTCACTGCTCTATTAACCCACACCTTCAGGCAAAATTATGACCTGGGGATTATGTTTCAGTTTGGAAATCAGGAGCCCTGCTTGTTATTCACTAAAAAATAAAATAATTTGCTTGATTTCAGTGGATTACATGCTAGAAATTTCATTCACTTGTGGGCCTTTGTTTTGAGTCAGACCTTATGATAAGTTTGATTTCCTAACATCCTAAAGGAATACATGACTGGAACCCAGTCAAAACGTGCTTAAATATAAAGAGAATGTGCTAGTCCAAATAACTAGAAAATCCAGAGCAAAGCTGGCTCCCAGCAGATCTTGTAAAAACTCAAAACTATATCAGATCACTTCTTCCTCTATCTCAAACCTTTTCTTGTTACATCTAACTTTTTTTTCTTCTTCTTTTTTTTTTTTAATGCCAAAAAGTTACCACATAGCAAGAAAGATGGTTGCTAATGGGTCCCTGTCTCACCTTCTCAGGTCCCATCAATCCTAGAGTAAAGTTTCCTGTTTCTCCAACCTTTGTATATAAAACTGGGAATGAGTTTCCTGTTTCTCCAACCTTTGTATATAAAACTGGGAATGATCTTATGTTGATCCTATCTGACTCTTGTGACCACTTCTGTAAGTAAGCAGGGCTGGTAGAGGGCTATAAGAGGTGCTTCTTTAAAAGAAATTGGCATGCTGAGAGGAAGGGAGAAAAAGAAAGGCTCATAGACCAATGGAACAGGATAGAGAACCCAGAAATAAAGCTGCACAAATAATGAAGTCAACAATAACAAGCAATGGGGAAAGTACTCCTGAAGCAATAAAAGGTGCTGGGATAACTGACTAGCCATATGCAGAAGACTGAAACCGGACCCCTGCCATTCACCATGTACAAAAATTAACTTAAGATGGATTGAAGACTTAAATATAGACATAAAACTATATAGCACCTAGTAATGTTCTGTAGAGCTCCAAAGCTAATGCAAAACACATTAGTTGTAACACAGCCGACTCAAGAGTGATGGATCTGATGGTGTCAATAAGTTTGAAGTATGCATAAATCTTTATTAATGGTAAATACCACAAATGCTAATACCATTAGCATTTTGTTGATTGTGAATTATACAGAAGAGAAATAACACATTGTAAATTATATTTTTATATTGCATCTCAGATAGAAACCATAAAACTAATCAATGGTTGCGATGAGAAATTAAGTCAGGCAAACAAAAATTATTCCTATTAATACTGGGAGAAGATAAGGATGCCAGATAAAGTTACCTCTGAATATTATAATTGTGGTTTTAAGACAAATTATTTTAGTAAGGAGCTCATAGTAATAATCCAAATTTCTGTCCTTTGATGGACATTTGGAAATGCTGATGAGCCTCTATATTTAAATGGTGAGGATGGCTCCATTAATGGAAAGCAATACATACATTATTACTAATTAGAGCTGTTTAATATTAAGATGTGCACTTTCAACATTTTTTGATATTGAAAATCTTTGACTAAAAGCAACTTTTGTCTTAATGCAAGTTCCTAGAAATGAAAATTTCACCCTTTGTTTTCTGATCTGTTTACTTTCAGCTATTTTTTTACAATGATCACTTGCATAATTTTTGGCAGAAATGTGTTTCATTGCTATTTGCGTAGGTTATAAATATTTGTTTTGTACATTTACATTAAAATTCAATAAAGCAAATTCAATAAATGTTTGTTGAACTGAGTTAGAACACACACACCTATCAGATCTATATGTACACACTCATATTGACTGACTATTCCATTTTGGCTATTAATGTTTATCTTAGAGTCAAATCTCTGAATTGGCTGCATTAATTACTAAGTGCAAAACCCTGTATTTTTAGCAAATAAAGGCTTAATAATTAAATCTTAAAAGTTAATAAAATTTGTATATTCTTAAGAAATCAGAAATTGAAACTAAGTTGTGTCTCACTGTTGGCCTGAAAAGAAATAAAAAATACCTGCATAAATAATTGCCTTCGGCCAGGTGTGGTGGCTCACACCTGTAATCCCAGCACTTTGGGAGCCCAAGGTGGGTGAATCACGAGGTCAGGAGATCGAGACCAACCTGGCCAACATAGTGAAACTCCATCTCTACTAAAAATACAAAAATTAGCCAGGCGTGGTGGCGCGTGCCTGTCATCCCAGCTACTCAGGAAGCTGAGGCAGGAGAATTGCTTGAACCAGGGAGTTGGAGGTTGCAGTGAGCCGAGATCGTGCCACAGCACTCCAGCCTGGCAACACAGTGAGACTCTGTCTCAAAAATAATGATAATAATAATTGTCTTGGAACTGTCCAGCCTTTATCTCACGTAGAAGGCCACTTTTTTTATTTTAAATTTGCATTTATTTTTAATATTTCTTTTTCCCAAATATAAATACGTTACATGGTTAGAATGAAGATATATATAAAGTATACAATATGGGAAGAATTATCTACCTTCTAAAATTTCAGAGATAGACATTCAATTTTAACAATTTGTTAATGCTCTTTATCAACATATTATTTTTGTAATTACCAAAGAAAGAAAAATATTTTTATTTTGACAATTTAGTTCCTGAGATAAGGCCGAAAGATGGGCACTGTGGGGAGGAGGCAAATCAGCTAGGGCCTGCAGAACTTGAGGAATGACCTAGTAGTGAGTTATCTGAGGTTTTTTGTTTTTTTTTTCTAATTCCAGCCTGGTTGTTGGAGACGCCTGCAATCAGGAAACAAAAATAGGCACAGATAAAAAGTCCCACCAGAAGCCTGCCCTCTCTAGCCAAAGGATGGTGAAAAGGGCATCTAAGCCAGACAGAAACATCCTAACTATACCTGCTTTATTCCAGGTGAGCAGTCTAAAAAGTCATGGCCCTACCCCTTCCCATCAGGCACTAAGCCACTGGAAACTAAAAGCAGAGCCCGGCCCCATCCCATCTCTGCAGCGTCATAGTGGCACCACTTTCCTTCCCCACTGGGAACTGCAAGTTTGGAGACTATAGGCAGAGCCAGACTCACCATTCTTGCCCCAAATAATGAGGCAATAGCACCCTCTTCCCTCCCAACTAGACAGTGGAAGAAAGACCATGGAAAGAACAGAGTTAGATAAAGTGATTTTCTAAACCTCTGTATGAAATCCTGAGCCAAACTCTAAGCAGCCCATTTGTGAAAGCCAGAAACAGCATAGCAAAGGTTTGATAACTCAACTCCAGTGTGGAATACTACTCAGATTTCAGATTACAGCCTGGGTAGACTGCAAATGGACAGACTAGAATAACATGGCAAAGGTTTGAAAAACTAAACTTCCATTTGAACAATCTACTAACCTACTAAAGTAATCATGATGTGTGTTCTGTCGACTGCCTGATAGAATATTTAAATGGAAAAGAGAGTCTCATAACATACTTATAATCTACCATATGCAGTTCAAAATTACTCGATGTACCAATAATCGGGAAAATCTGAACTCAAATGTGAAAAGACAATCAACAGACCCAAACACCATGTAAACACAAATTATCAAACACAATTATCAAACAAGGAATTAAGAGGCCCCACTTCTTAAAATTATCACATTGGCAACACCTAAGTTTTAGAGGGGACACTTTCACACCATAGCAGGTCCACTGCGATCTCATATGAATTTGAGGATAGATTATTCATTTCTGCAAAAACAGCCTTGTTGTGATTTTGATAGGGATTGCATTAATTCTGCAGATTACTTTCGGTAGCATTGAAATCTTAACAATGTTAACTCGGGGGGAGGAGCCAAGATGGCCCAATAGGAACAGCTCCGGTCTACAGCTCCCAGCGTGAGCGACGCAGAAGACGGGTGATTTCTGCATTTCTATCTGAGGTACCGGGTTCATCTCACTAGGGAGTGCCACTGGGCGCAGGTCAGTGGGTGCGTGCACCGTGCACGAGCCGAAGCAGGGCGAGGCATTGCCTCACTTGGGAAGCGCAAGGGGTCAGGGAGTTCCCTTTCTGAGTCAAAGAAAGGGGTGACGGACGGCACCTGGAAAATCGGGTCACTCCCACCCGAATACTGCGCTTTTCCGACGGGCTTAAAAAACGGCTCACCACGAGATTATATCCGGCACCTGGCTCGGAGGGTCCTACGCCCACGGAGTCTCGCTGATTGCTAGCACAGCAGTCTGAGATCAAACTGCCAGGCGGCAGCCAGGCTGGGGGAGGGGCGCCCGCCATTGCCCAGCCTTGATTAGGTAAACAAAGCAGCCTGGAAGCTGGAACTGGGTGGAGCCCACCACAGCTCAAGAAGGCCTGCCTGCCTCTGTAGGCTCCACCTCTGGGGGCAGGGCACAGACAAACAAAAGACAGCAGTAACCTCTGCAGACTTAAATGTCCCTGTCTGACAGCTTTGAAGAGAGCAGTGGTTCTCCCAGCACGCAGCTGGAGATCTGAGAACGGGCAGACTGCCTCCTCAAGTGGGTCCCTGACCCCTGACTCCCAAGCAGCCTAACTGGGAGGCACCCCCCAGCAGGGGCACACTGACACCTCACATGGCAGGGTACTCCAACAGACCTGCAGCTGAGGGTCCTGTCTGTTAGAAGGAAAACTAACAAACAGAAAGGACATCCACACCAAAAACCCATCTGTACATCACCATCATCAAAGACCAAAAGTAGATAAAACCACAAAGATGGGGAAAAAACAGAACAGAAAAACTGGAAACTCTAAAAAGCAGAACACCTCTCCTCCTCCAAATGAACGCAGTTCCTTACCAGCAACGGAACAAAGCTGGATGGAGAATGACTTTGATTAGCTGACAGAAGAAGGCTTCAGACGATCAAATTACTCTGAGCTACGGAAGGACATTCAAACCAAAGGCAAAGAAGTTGAAAACTTTGAAAAAAATTTAGAAGAATGTATAACTAGAATAACCAATACAGAGAAGTGCTTAAAGGAGCTGATGGAGCTGAAAACCAAGGCTCGAGAACTACGTGAAGAATGCAGAAGCCTCAGGAGCTGCTGCGATCAACTGGAAGAAAGGGTATCAGCAATGGAAGATGAAATGAATGAAATGAAGCGAGAAGGGAAGTTTAGAGGAAAAAGAATAAAAAGAAATGAGCAAGGCCTCCAAGAAATATGGGACTATGTGAAAAGACCAGATCTACGTCTGATTGGTGTACCTGAAAGTGATGGGGAGAATGGAACCAAGTTGGAAAACACTCTGCAGGATATTATCCAGGAGAACTCCCCCAATCTAGCAAGGCAGGCCACCATTCAGATTCAGGAAATACAGAGAACTCCACAAAGATACTCCTCAAGAAGAGCAACTCCAAGAAACATAATTGTCAGATTCACCAAAGTTGAAATGAAGGAAAAAATGTTAAGGGCAGCCAGAGAGAAAGGTCGGGTTACCCTCAAAGGGAAGCCCATCAGACTAACAGCAGATCTCTTGGCAGAAACCCTACAAGCCAGAAGAGAGTGGGGGCCAATATTCAACATTCTTAAAGAAAAGAATTTTCAACCCAGAATTTCATATCCAGCCAAACTAAGCTTCATAAGTGAAGGAGAAATAAAATACTTTACAGACAAGCAAATGCTGAGAGATTTTGTCACCACCAAGCCTGCCCTAAAAGAGCTCCTGAAGGAAGCACTAAACATGGAAAGGAACAACCAGTACCAGCCACTGCAAAATCATGCCAAAATGTAAAGACCATTGAGACGAGGAAGAAACTGCATCAACTAACGAGCAAAATCACCAGCTAACATCATAATGACAGGATCAAATTCACACATAACAATATTAACTTTAAATGTAAATGGACTAAGTGCTCCAATTAAAAGACACAGACTGGCAAATTGGATAAAGAGTCAAGACCCATCAGTGTGCTGTATTCAGGAAACCCATCTCACGTGCAGAGACACACATAGGCTCAAAATATAAGGATGGAGGAAGATCTATCAAGCCAATGGAAAACAAAAAAAGGCAGGGGTTGCAATCCTAGTCTCTGATAAAACAGACTTTAAACGAACAAAGATCAAAAGAGACAAAGAAGGCCATTACATAATGGTAAAGGGATCAATTCAACAAGAAGAGCTAACTATCCTAAATATATATGCACCCAATACAGTAGCACTCTGATTCATAAAGCAAGTCCTGAGTGACCTACAAAGAGACTTAGACTCCCACACAATAATAATGGGAGACTTTAACACCCCACTGTCAACATTAGACAGATCAACGAGACAGAAAATTAACAAGGATACCCAGGAATTGAACTCAGCTCTGCACCAAGCAGACCTGATAGACATCTACAGAACTCTCCACCCCAAATTGAGAGAATATACATTCTTTTCAGCACCACACCACACCTATTCCAAAATTGACCACATACTGGGAAGTAAAGGTCTCCTCAGCAAATGTAAAAGAACAGAAATTATAACAAACTATCTCTCAGACCACAGTGCAATCAAACTAGAACTCAGGATTAAGAATCTCACTCAAAACCGCTCAACTACATGGAAACTGAACAACCTGCTCCTGAATGACTACTGGGTACATAACGAAATGAAGGCAGAAATAAAGATGTTCTTTGAAACCAACGAGAACAAAGACACAACATACCAGAATCTCTGGGATGCATTCAAAGCAGTGTGTAGAGGGAAATTTATAGCACTAAATGCCCACAAGAGAAAGCAGGAAAGATCCAAAATTGACACCCTAATATCACAATTAAAAGAACTAGAAAGGCAAGAGCAAACACATTCAAAAGCTAGCAGAAGGCAAGAAATAACTAAAATCAGAGCAGAACTGAAGGAAATAGAGACACAAAAAACCCTTCAAAAAATTAATGAATCCAGGAGCTGGTTTTTTGAAAGGGTCAACAAAATTGATAGACCGCTAGCAAGACTAATAAAGAAAAAAAGAGAGAAGAATCAAATAGATGCAATAAAAAATGATAAAGGGGATATCACCACCGATCCCACAGAAATACAAACTACCATCAGAGAATACTACAAACACCTCTAGGCAAATAAACTAGAAAATCTAGAAGAAATGGATAAATTCCTGGACACATACACTCTCCCAAGACTAAACCAGGAAGAAGTCGAATCTCTGAATAGACCAATAACAGGAGCTGAAATTGTGGCAATAATCAATAGCTTACCAACCAAAAAGAGTCCAGGACCAGATGGATTCACAGCCAAATTCTACCAGAGGTACAAGGAGGAACTGGTACCATTCCTTCTGAAACTATTCCAATCAATAGAAAAAGAGGGAATCCTCCCTAACTCATTTCATGAGGCCAGCATCATTCTGATACCAAAGCCGGGCAGAGACACAACCAAAAAAGAGAATTTTAGACCAATATCCTTGATGAACATTGATGCAAAAATCCTCAATAAAATACTGGCAAACCAAATCCAGCAGCACATCAAAAAGCTTATCCACCATGATCAAGTGGGCTTCATCCCTGGGATGCAAGGCTGGTTCAATATACACAAGTCAATAAATGTAATCCAGCATATAAACAGAGCCAAAGACAAAAACCACATGATTATCTCAATAGATGCAGAAAAAGCCTTTGACAAAATTCAACAACCCTTCATGCTAAAAACTCTCAATAAATTAGGTATTGATGGGACGTATTTCAAAATAATAAGAGCTATCTATGACAAACCCACAGCCAATATCATACTGAATGGGCAAAAACTGGAAGCATTCCCTTTGAAAACTGGCACAAGACAGGGATGTCCTCTCTCACCACTCCTATTCAACATAGTGTTGGAAGTTCTGGCCAGGGCAATTAGGCAGGAGAAGGAAATAAAGGGTATTCAATTAGGAAAAGAGGAAGTCAAATTGTCCCTGTTTGCAGACGACATGATTGTATATCTAGAAAACCCCATTGTCTCAGCCCAAAATCTCCTTAAGCTGATAAGCAACTTCAGCAAAGTCTCAGGATACAAAATCAATGTACAAAAATCACAAGCATTCTTATACACCAACAACAGACAAACAGAGAGCCAAATCATGAGTGAACTCCCATTCACAATTGCTTCAAAGAGAATAAAATACCTAGGAATCCAACTTACAAGGGATGTGAAGGACCTCTTCAAGGAGAACTACAAACTACTGCTCAAGGAAATAAAAGAGGATACAAACAAATGGAAGAACATTCCATGCTCATGGGTAGGAAGAATCAATATCATGAAAATGGCCATACTGCCCAAGGTAATTTACAGATTCAATGCCATCCCCATCAAGCTACCAATGACTTTCTTCACAGAATTGGAAAAAACTACTTTAAAGTTCATATGGAACCAAAAAAGAGCCCGCATCACCAAGTCAATCCTAAGCCAAAAGAACAAAGCTGGAGGCATCACACTACCTGACTTCAAACTATACTACAAGGCTACAGTAACCAAAACAGCATGGTACTGGTACCAAAACAGAGATATAGATCAATGGAACAGAACAGAGCCCTCAGAAATAACGCCGCATATCTACAACTATCTGATCTTTGACAAACCTGAGAAAAACAAGCAATGGGGAAGGGATTCCCTATTTAATAAATGGTGCTGGGAAAACTGGCTAGCCATATTAGAAAGCTGAAACTGGATCCCTTCCTTACACCTTATACAAAAATAAATTCAAGATGGGTTAAAGACTTAAACGTTAGACCTAAAACCATAAAAACCCTAGAAGAAAACCTAGGCATTACCATTCAGGACATAGGCATGGGCAAGGACTTCATGTCCAAAACACCAAAAGCAATGGCAACAAAAGCCAAAATTGCCAAATGGGATCTAATTAAACTAAAGAGCTTCTGCACAGCAAAAGAAACTACCATCAGAGTGAACAGGCAACCTACAAAATGGGAGAAAATTTTCACAACCTACTCATCTGACAAAGGGCTAATATCTAGAATCTACAATCAACTCAAACAAATTTACAAAAAAAAAACAAACAACCCCATCAAAAAGTGGGCGAAGGACATGAACAGACACTTCTCAAAAGAAGATATTTATGCAGCCAAAAAACACATGAAAAAATGCTCATCATCACTGGCCATCAGAGAAATGCAAATCAAAACCACAATGAGATACCATCTCACACCAGTTAGAATGGCAATCATTAAAAAGTCAGGAAACAACAGGTGCTGGAGAGGATGTGGAGAAATAGGAACAGTTCTACACTGTTGGTGGGACGGTAAACTAGTTCAACCATTGTGGAAGTCAGTGTGGCGATTCCTCAGGGATCTAGAACTGGAAATACCATTTGACCCAGCCATCCCATTACTGGGTATATACCCAAAGGACTATAAATCATGCTGCTATAAAGACACATGCACACGTATGTTTATTGCGGCATTATTCACAATAGCAAAGAATTGGAACCAACCCAAATGTCCAAAAATGATAGACTGGATTAAGAAAATGTGGCACATATACACCATGGAATACTATGCAGCCATAAAAAAGGATGAGTTCATGTCCTTTGTAGGGACATGGATGAAATTGGAAATCATCATTCTCAGTAAACCATCGCAAGAACAAAAAACCAAACACTGCATATTCTCACTCATAGGTGGGAATTGAACAATGAGATCACATGGACACAGGAAGGGGAATATCACACTCTGGGGACTGTTTTGGGGTGGGGGGAGCGGGGAGGGATAGCATCGGGAGATATACCTAATGCTAGATGACGTGTTAGTGGGTGCAGCGCACCAGCATGGCACATGTATACATATGTAACTAACCTGCACAATGTGCACATGTAACCTAAAGCTTAAAGTATAATAATAAAAAAAAAATGTTAACTCTTCCTAACCATGAAACAGTGTATTTTTCCACTCATTTAGTTTAAAATTCTTTAGGCAATGTTTTGTATTTTCATTGTACAAGTCTTTTATCAACTTTGTTAAATTTATTCCTATATATTTTATTCTTTTACATGTCATTGCAAATTAAACTACCTAAAACTTTTTTTAATTGTTTATTTTGGTATATAAAATCACAGCTATTTTTTCTGTGTTGATCTTGTACTCTGAAATTTTCCTGAATTTGTTTATTAGCTCTAGTAGTTTTCTTGTGGATTCTTTGGAATTTGTATGTATAGATTATTCCATCTAAAAATTGAGATACTCATACCACTTTCTTTCTCATTTGGATGCCATTTGTTTATTTAGTCATTTGTTCATTTGTAACAGCCCAGTGGGTTCACCTCGCCCACTGCCTAGAGAGAACCAATTTATCAAGGCAGGGGAATTGCAATGGAGAAAGAGTGAATTTATTCAGAGCCAGCTATGCAGGAGACTAGAGTTTTGTTGTTACCCAAATCAGTCTCCCGAGCATTCCAGGAACAGAGTTTTTGAAGATAATTTGGTGAGTAGGGGCTTGGGAAGTAGGGAGTGCTAATTGGTCAGGTTGGAGATGGAATCATAGGCGGTTGAAGTTAGGTTTTCTTAATGTCTTCTTTTCCTGGGTGCGATAGCAGAACTACTTGAGCCATGGGTGGCGTCTGCTGATCCATATATATGATATATATATATATATCATATATATATATGATATATATATATCATATATATATATCATATATATATGATATATATATATGATATATATATATGATGTATATATAAATGATATATATGTGATATATAAATGATATATATGATATATATAAATGATATATATATAAATATATATGATATGTAAATGATATATATGATATATATGCTATATGTCATATATAAATACCATATATAAGATATATATGTAAATATAGTAAATATTTTAGAGACAGAGTCTTGCTCTGTTACCCAGGCTGGCGTACAATGGTGCAATTACATCTCACTGCAGTTTCAAACTCCTGGGCTCAAGTGATCATCCTGCCTCAGCCTCTCAAGTAGCTACGACTACAAGCACAAGTCCCCATGCTAGACTAAGTTTTTTTTCATAGAAATAATGTCTCACTATGTTGCCCAGGCTGGTCTTGAACTTCTAGCATCAAATGATCCTCCTGCCTTGGCCTCCCAAAGCATTGAGATTACAAGTGTTGACCACCATGCTTGACCTGCTTTATTTCAATTGTAAGTGGTATTTTTACTTCAACTTTTTTATTGCTGTTATATAGGAAAGCAATTGACTCATGTGTATTCAGCTTAACTCCTGAGACATTCCTAACTTCATTTATTAGCCTAGGATTTTTTTTTGGAGTGTTTTGTAGGCAGTTTCTACAAGGACAATCATGTCATTTGCAAATAAAAACAGCTTTATTTCCTACTTTCTAATTAGTATACCTTTTCTTTCCTTTGTAAAATTTATTTTACTAGCTAAGATTTCCAGTATGATGTTGAATAGGAGTGGTGAGAGAGGACGTCATTAACTTATCCTCTATCTTATAGAGCAAGTGTTCAGTCTCTCGCCATTAAGTATGATGTTAGTCGAAGGTATTTTGTATTTATCTTTTAATGGTGTAAGGAAGTACCCTTTTATTCCTACTTATGCTGACTTGTTATTCAACTTTGTCAAATGCTTTTCTGCAACTATTGATATAAACATGTTTTTCATATTAATTTTCCAGTATAATTTACATTGATTATTGTATGTTGAAGAAGACTTGCATTTTTGTAATGAATCCTACTTGTGAGGTAATATATTTTTCTTTAAATCTGCTTCTGCATTCAATTAGAATCAAAGAAAATATTCTGTGTGATTTCAATTATCTTGAACCTATTAACAGTTATTTCATGACCCAGAATATGGCTTTTCTTGGTGAATATTTCATTAATAATCTTTTAAAGAAATTTAAACATTTTATTTAAAATTAGATTTACCCACATGGTTACCATTGCTAACTTCTTTTTTGCAGATCCATACTTTCATTTGGTATCATTTTACATTTTCCTGAAGGAATTTTTCTAATACTTTTTAAGGTGCAGTTCCAATGGTGATGAATGCTTTCATCTATAGTTTATTTGAGAAAGTTTTTATTTTGCCTCCATTTGTAGGAGTTTTTGCCACATATAGAATTATACACTTAACTTCTTTTCTTTCAGTACTCTAAATATATTACTTCAACATCTTCTGGCGCCAGCTGTTTCTGATGAGAAATCTGTCTTCCTTACCTTTGTTTCCCTGCATGTAACATGTCTTTTATCTTTGGCGGCTTTTAATTAAGATTTCTAAAATTACTACTTTTAAGTGATTTGTTTATGATATGCCCTGGTGTAGTTTTTCTCATGTTTTTTATCTGGAGTGTGTTGACCTCTCAAATGCATGAGTTTATGGGTTTCATCATATTTACAATATTTTAATTCTTATTATTTTCAAAAAAAAATTTGTCCCCTTTCTCCTTATGGTCTTCACAAATATAATAGGCAGCTGGAAGTTGCCCTGTAGCTCACTCATGTCTTGTTTACTTTGATTATTTGTTTCATCTGTTTCCTTTCTGTATTTTACTTTGATTAGTTGTTGATGAATCTTTGAGTTCACTAGTTTTGTGTAGTCTATCTGTTGTAGCCTCTATCTGCTGTTAATCTCATTGGTTTTTTTTTTTTATTATACTTTAAGTTTTAGGGTACATGTGCACAATGTGCAGGTTAGTTACATATGTATACATGTGCCATGCTAGTGTGCTGCACCCATTAACTCCTCATTTAGCATTAGGTATATCTCCTAATGCTATCCCTCCCCTCTCCCCTGTCCCCACAGCAGTCCCCAGAGTGTGATGTTCCCCTTCCTGTGTCCATGTGTTCTCATTGTTCAATTCCCAGCTATGAGTGAGAACATGCGGTGTTTGGTTTTTTGTCCTTGCGATAGTTTACTGAGAATGATGATTTCCAATTTCATCCATGTCCCTACAAAGGACATGAACTCATCCTTTTTTATGGCTGCATAGCATTCCATGGTGTATATGTGCCACATTTTCTTTTAAGATGGAGTCTCGCTCTGTCGCCCAGGCTGGAGTGCAGTGGTGCTATCTCGGCTTACTGCAAGCTCCACCTCTCCGGTTCACACCATTCTGCCTCAGCCTCCTGAGTAGCTGGGACTACACAGATGTAGTTTTTATGCCAAAATTTAGAGTGGGTTTTTATTATATCTTTTATATTTCTGCTTATGTTCAATTTTCCTCTAGCTTCTTGAACATATAAAATCTTGTTGTAGAATTGTTTTAATGTCCTTGTCTACAAATTCACACATTGTTTTTATTTTGGCATCATTTTTTATTGATTATTCTTATCATTACAAGTCTGTTTTTTAAAAACTGGAGTTTTTTTTTGCATGACTTGTAACTTTCATTGGATGCTAAACATCGCATATTTTACAATATTGTATACCCGATTTTTTTAAATTCCTAGAAATATTCTTCATTTTTGTTTTCAGTAGTTTAAGTTCCCAAAATCAATTAGGTTCTTTTCAGTATTGCTTTTAAACATTTTAAAGGTAATACCAGAGGAACACTTAGTACAGGGCTAATTTTCACTGCTAATTCTCAGTCCAATTCCAATGTCCCATGAATTTTGAGGGATTTAACTCTGGCTAGTGAGAAAATGAATTATGCCGACTATGTGTGAGTTTCAGAAATGTTTCCCCCCCATCGTTTAAGTGGTTCTTTCCTGGACCTTGGATAGTTTCCTCACTTCCGTGTGCTGCTCAGTCCTCAGCTGAAAACTAAAGAAGGCCCTCTGCAGATCTCTGAGGCTTTCTTTCAGCGCAATTTTTTCCCGTCTGGGACTCGGCCCTGGCAAACTCTATTTATCTTGGCTTATCCAGGCTCCCAACTCTGTTTTCTACATCTCAGGGATATCACTGGGCTCCAGTTGTGTTTCCATTCCCCGGTCCATGGCATTCAAATTCTCCAGACAATAAACTGAGACAAATATAGGACTCAACACATTTTTTTTTTCTCTGTCAGGTATGACTCCAACTTGTCTGATGTCCAATGTATTGAAAACTTTATTATATTTTTTACAGTCTTTTTGTTGTTGTTTTACACAGGAGGACAAATACAATTCCTTTTACTCCATCTTGTCTGGAAGCAGAATCCCTGTTAAATTTTCTGTTGCCCCAATCATGACATGAAGCTATCTTGTTTATATTTCTATAATTAACTCTACAAATATCCCCATATTATTTTTATGTTATGTCAGATAACTTTTTCATGCATTATTAGGATGAATTTCTTCATATTCTTTTGCTGACTAGCAGGGCTAAAAAATTTTTCCAGCTATTTCAAGCAGTTGGAGCAATCTTCTTTTTTTATTCTGTCTAGAGAATGCAATTACTCTTTCACCCAAATTTCAGACATCACAAGAGACTATAAATCTAAAGAGTATCCATTAAAAGTTTTTGATACAGTAAAATAGAGAGTATCTTACAACTAAAGAAGCCTAGGGCCTTTGTCAGAGTGTCTTACAATTCACTGTCCTATCCAGCATCCGGCCTGCTATGTGGCATGGCGAGCTTATTTAATGTGATCATCAAAAATGAAGTGCCATTTATCCTGTCATTTTAAAACCTAAAAACCAAACCACAACTAGGCCAAAGAATAAGGATTTTGCTTTTCTTTAAGAAGTTCTAAAACTATCTCAAGTCATTTTTCCTTGTCCCTGGATTAAAGTCTTTCAGAATGATTGACATTGGAATATCAATCTTCTGGAAAAGAGCAGGTTGCAACTTACAGTACAAATAAAACCATCATGTAGTACTTGACATCATCAGAACATTTTCCAAAATTCTGTTAGGGCTGTTTAATCATCAGTCTAGATCTTTCTGTAACTGTGCCAAAGCCCTTAAGTCTTCAGGGTCTATCTGATATTCTATAAATACTTTTTCAAATACAAAGTTCAAAAATTCCATAAAGGCAAACAATAATTTACAGGTACAAGTTAATCTAAATCCAAATTTTAAAGAAATGTATTCAAACAGAAATTATCTGTTTAAGTATAAACTTGTAAAGAGACTAATGTTAATTTTTATTAATGCATAATTAAGATCTCTTCCATGGCTCCTCAATATACATACATACTTCATATCATTGTCTTTTACTTGACTATTAGAATCAAAATTTTATTTCTCAGTAGGGTCAAATTTAAGTAAAATTCTTACAGAAATTTGTTTTAAAAAGCTTTATTTCTATCTAAAATTTACCATAGTGTTTCCTGTATTATTTCTCCGATTAAAATTATTAAAAAGAAAGTATGTCACTTTTTTTGGTTCATGGAAAATTATTATAGTAACAATTCATGTTAAATATCTATGCTTTTTGATGAATACAATGACCATTATAATGTATTTTCCAGATAGGGAAAATTTGCTGAAAGCGAAAGAGGCTGTTACTAATTATATGAGAACATAAACTGGGACAAAATACTATAATTGATAGCAATCATTATTTGATTTTGGTTTCTTTATCTTACCTTTAAAACAAAAACATTATTTTAAGCTAATAAGAATGAGTTGATCTGATCCCCATGGATTTACTTGCTCTTTTTTTTGTTCTCTAGCACTTAGTGGCACCTATAGAGTTGTCCCCAACTTCTCTTTGAAGAAAGAAATATATTAATATAAATGTATTATTTTGGTATGGAGTTATGGTATTTAATATGCCTATTTTAACTATTTACAGAAATTAGGAAAATTGGAGAATTTTAAGGGAAATTCTCTTGTCTCCAGGATTTCATTGACCAACAGCTCAATAACAAAACCTGTAAGTCATATTTATTCTTTAGCTGTCATTACGAATTATTAATATAGGTGACACTGAGTTTTCAAAATGGCCTTCCTTAACAAGCCAGGGTAAATTTTTTACTGAGAGTAAAAGTAAGTAACTGAACATTGCCATCCCAATGTATTTTACTAATTCTCATGCTCAAGTAATTTAAACTTGAAAAGTACTTGAAGAATAACAGTGGTTAACACTGTTTTCTTTCTAGAGTATCCACTTGATCTGAGATAGCAGATAGCCTTGGGAATATTGTATTGGGTGTATTTAATGCCAGTTTGGCACATTCCATGGTATTATTAGTGGAATGCTAAATAAGATACTTCCTCATAATAATTCCTTAGATCTCTCACAACTTTTTATTTCCAAAAGACCTGGAAACAAATGTGTTGGCAATTCAACTTCTATTTATTTCTTTCATTTTCAAAATGGCATCCTTCACTAGCTAGCCTCAGGGTGCAAATGTAATAAGTTAAAAAAAATACAATAAATTAAAATGCTTCAGAAAACAGCTTAGAGAAATATTAGAACAGCATGACAAGAATCATTAAAATGTGAATATCCATTACATCTTGCTGCATCACTGCATATGACAATCTGGGAGCATTTTGGGGGATGATTTTCTATATAGTCAACACAGAGAATTTATCAAACAGTTTCTAGCAGGTACTCAGTAAGTGCATATGGGTAATAAATAATTATATAAACACATTCTTTAACATTTAAAGGTATAAATTGGAAGGGAAGAAGTTTTATATGTGCCTTAGTTACCCTAAACAAATTGAAATCCTAGTTTTCAAAGGAATTGAAACATTGATTTGTATCAGAAAACATTTTATTTCAGTTAAATATCAATTAAATATTTCATTTCAGTTAAATTTAAGAATATATACTAATTCCATTAATCATTGGAATATTTTATGTAATATGTTTTACTTAAGGTAAAATAGCAGGGATAATGATCTATTTGTGGCATTTTATACTTTTAATAACATGTCTTAAAATATATAAGAAAAAGTAATACTTTGAAGAACAGCACACAATTTATTGATTAAAAGCAGAAATAAAATATATAATGGAGAAATTATAAAAGGCAGAGACTTTGTATAGAAAAATTTTAACTGAACCCGTTAAAAATATTTCTATTTTAGACAATATATCTAAAAATTAATGTATATCATTTATTTTGAGCCTAGATAATGGTTCACCACTTCTCTCACATAAGTGTCAGATTATGACACTACTTTGCTCAAATTCTTTCCATGGATTCTCAAACTCAGATGAAATGTCAACATTCTTACAGTGATCTACAGAACTACAGATGACCTTGACTTCTTAATTCTCTGACCTCATTGCTTAGCATTTTCACTGTGGTTCTTTCAACTCCTAGTTTACCTTTAGGTTACTCTGAGGATTATTAGGTGGGTGCAAAAGTAATTGTGGTTTTTGTCATTACTTTCAATGGCAAAAACCACAATTACTTTTGCACCAACCTAATACTAAACATTTTTTGCACCAGAACCTTTACTTAGTGTTTCCTGTTCTTAGAGTATTTACAACTATCTCCATAGCATATTCCATGACTTGTTTCACGTATTTGCTCAAATGTCACTTCATCAGTAAAACTTTTCTTAACCACACAATTTAATATTTTATATCCTCTCCCCAGCATTTCTGGTTCCCCTTCCTGCTTTATTTTTTCTCCATTGCAGTTTCCATCATCTAATATATTTGATATTTTGCATGTTTTTTATGATCTCTGTCTTTCCCTGTTAGAATATAAGCTTCGTGAGGGCAAATAATTTTTTCTGATTTCTTCATTCCTCTATGCAAGATGCTTAGAACAGTGAATGA
This sequence comes from Homo sapiens, assembly GCF_000001405.40. NCBI lineage: Eukaryota > Metazoa > Chordata > Mammalia > Primates > Hominidae > Homo > Homo sapiens. The sequence goes on along the minus strand of NC_000009.12, from coordinate 80,733,890 downwards.
CCTACTTTTGGCACACATTAAATATTTATTGAATAAATGAATAATTCTGCATTCTATCCAACTCTATTACTTACTTTACATTTGTTATGTAAATCTGGATTCAACCGCATTATGCATTTGCTTCAGAATTTTGATGGTCATTCTTCTTTGTTTCTCATATAAAATTTAGAATAAGCTTATCCACTTCCAAAAATACCTTTGGTATTTTTGTTAAAATTACATTAAATTCAGAAATTCATTTGGGAAGAACTGGCCTTTGTACATTTTTTCTTATATTCAACCTAAGTATTTTTCTGATCTTATTAAAATGTATTTTTCCATAATATATTTGAATTATATGGATACAATATATAGATACAAATATAAAGGAATATTTATGTATAGTTAGTTTCAGATTTATCTTCAATATGTAAAGAGTTTGAAAGCTGTCAAATTCTGTTTTAAAAGAAAAAGTTGAAAAAAACCTGAAGATCAATGACTTTCATGAATCCTTCAGAAAGTTGAGTTTGCAGGATAAAACAACACCCTATAGTTAGGGAAGATGGGAAAATCATAGTCACAAGTAAGCTGTTTTCATGTGGAGCAGGCCGCTGGAGCCATAAACCAGTAGGTGCACTTAAATGGTGATTTTGATGAAGTGCCTGGAAGCTGAGTGTGAACTAGTGCAGTTGAGAAACTTCTAAAAGCCTTAGCCTTAGGAGATGCACTCACCCTTTTATAAATGTTACCTCTAGAAACTAGGGTTTCATGATAAAGGGTGAAAAAAAAATTCCCCTCATGAATCTGGCATGGTAGAGGGTAGAAAAGAAATCCCCTCATAAAGAGTAATCTTTATGAAATACACACATAGCATTCTCCATAACGAAGGCCTAATTTCAGGAGAAAGTAATTTACCAAGTCTTATCTCACCTATGGCAGCAGGTCATTTCTCCCAGTCTAGTGCTCCCTAGTCTTCCAGGCTTGTGGACTGTGGGGTGGGAGGCGGGAAGGAACCTAAGATATACTTGTGAAGGTCACAACCCAGAGACATAAACACAGTAGAAGACCGAGATTTAATCATAAGATGTTAAACACTCCTCCCTCCCACACACAACTTGTTTTCAGATGAAAAATCTTCAATAAACAGACTCTGAAACTCCAAGTCAAAAGGGAAGACAAAAACAACAATACAATAGGAATTTAAAGTCTCTGGCACCTACAGCAAACACTAAACGTAGCCAAACTCCTAGCAAGATTAACATAAATACTCACACTAAAACCTCTAAAAATAATACAATAAAATACATTAAAAAAATTCAAGGCATGCCAAAAGACAAGAAAAAACACAGCCTGAAGAGACAAAGCAAGCATCAGAACCAGATTCAGATAGAAGTTCAAAGTTGGAATTATCAGACATGGAAAATATAATTAATAACTATCAATTAATGATAATTCATAATTAACTTACTAAGTGCTTTAATGAAAAAAAGGAGACCACATGCAAGAACAGATGGTTAATATAAACAAGGAGATGGAAATTCTAAGGAAATGTTCAAAGAAACTACTAGAAATAAAAACATTGTAACATAAATTAAGAATGACTTTTATGAGCTTATGAGTAGACTGAACATGGCCAAGGAAAGAATCAGTGAGCTTGAAGATAGTCAATACAAACTCCCAAAACTGAAATGCACAGAGAAAAAACAATAAAACATACACACACATACACATGAATACACACACATGCATGCACACTCACATATACAGCAGAACATCCAAGAATTATGAAAAAATTAGAAGTATAATTGAATTACTAGAAGAAGAAAGAATGTATTAAGCAGAAGAAATATTTGAAGTTATAATGACTGAGAACACCTCAAAATCAATGACAGACACCAAACCACAGATTCGTGAATCTCAGGAAGTCCTAAACATGACAAATATAAAAATAAACCAAAAAAAGCAAACAAAATATAAGTGTGTATCTCAGCCTATCATATTTAAATGCAGAAAATCAAAGACAAAAAAATCTTGAAAGAAGCCGGAGAGAAGAAAACATCTCACCTATAAAGAAACAATAAGAATTACTACAGGAATTAAATATTTCACTTCTCTGTCTTCTTTCCTGCTTCCTTTATCAAGCAGGAAAGAAGAGAGAGAAGTGAAATATTTAACGTAATGAAAGAAAAAGACCACCAATCTAGAATTCTGTATACAGTGGATTTAATCTTCGCAAGTGAAGGAGGGAGTGATGGCAACAAGATGGTGAACTAGAAGCCCTTGGCAGTCGTTCCTCCAGAAAGGCAGCCAAAACAAGAAATAACCAACTACATTTTTATGAAAATAATTAAAGGAGAGTGCTGGAGCACATCAAAGCTGCAGCAGAAACCCTGTAGAATACAGAAACCCAGGATGGCCACATAGAGAACAAAAGGAAACAGCTGGCCTCCACTGCCCCATTCCCCAGCCATGATCAGCTCAGAACCAGGAGGGACTTCTTACTCCAGGGAAAAGGTAAGCAAGGGAACCCCAGCTGCCCCAATCAATACCTTGTAAACCTACAGTATTCAACACTGGGGGACTCTGCAGTCTTCACAGGCTCTAAATCTAGCTGAGCGAGCTGTGTGGAGTCCACACAACTGTATTCCCCCTAGACAAGGAGCCTACACTGTGCTATACCCACTGTGGTTCATGTGTCTATTGTGCCATACCATCTGCCATCTTGGGACTACAACTACTGCTGGAGTATGTCCTGCTCCAGGGCTGAGTGACCACAGTATCCTTCCATCTCTGAGGCTTTGCTGCGGCTGAACCACCCCCACCTAGTGGCCCACCACCCCACCGAGCTGCTGCTACATCCTACTCTGTGGGGTCAAGCTATACAGCCACTATATCTACCCCTCTGGGTTGCGGCTGTGCCTTGCCCCCGTGTGTCAGAGCTGCAGCAATGCTTGGCATCCCTGGGAAATGCTGCCTTGATTGCCCAGGGCAGTCCCACCTCCCTGGGCCTGAACTGAAGAGTTGCCCTGCCTCCTAGGAAAACAGAACCTTTGCCACCCAGAGCAGTCACAGTCCACTCTTCCCAGTGCCTAAGTTGAAGCAGCATCCTGCCTCTCAGGAAATGGTGCCTTGGCCACCCAGAGCAAACAGGCTCCCAGGTGCCTAAGCTGAACCAGTGCTTTGCATCCCGAGGAAAAGGTGCCCTGGTCAGCCAAAGCAATTGTGCCCCCAGGCCTAAGCTAAAGTGGGGCATCACTTGTTGAGGAATCAAGTGTTTTGGCTAAGCTGAAAAACCACACACCTGAGGAGTGAGCTGATATAGTACTCTATGTCTCAGGGAAACAGAGCAGTAGCTGAGCTGAGACACTCTGCCCTACAGGCCAAATAACCCTAGTACTCTACTTTCCTGTATCTGGACTAGCTCACTTAGAGTCTGAGATGCTGAGACACCCACCTCTTTGGAGAGTGGAGTCATTGCTGTGCTGTTCCCTGCCCAGCAGGGCCCAAGTAATAGCTGTTATGTACCATTCCAAGGTTCTGGCAGATGCTGAAAGTGGCCTCACAGAATCTGGCATACTGCTATGTCTCAATCCCAGGGTCCGGAGTTACCACTACGTGGTGCCTCATCCCCTTGGACCCAATTTGCCACTATGCCTTACTGGCTCTGATTCCTGAATTACAGCCTTGCCCTGTTCCCCAAGCTCAAAGCCCCAAAGCACTCCTTCCCTTGAACAAAGTCATTGCTGTTCCCTGACCCCAGGGTCAGAATCAAAACTGAAACCTGGTGCCCTGAACCAAAGCTGCTAGGGGGTGCCTGAGAGTCACAGACTCCAACTCTGGGGCCAAACTTCATCCAACCTGGCCTCATAGACTGAACCTGCATCCCAAGACCCAGTTGCCACAACAGGTTAATGGGACCCTGAGACTGTGACCTCAACTCCATATTCTCTGAGCAAATGCCCCCTAAGATCCAGTGCCACTGTAGTTGCCTGTAAGCTATGTCAGATCTGATACCAAGGGGGATCCCTTTGGGAAAAATGGGGAAAATAAGAATAGGAGTACCCCAAAAGCACTTGACACTGAGGACCTTAACAACCTACATTACTACCACTGCTGCCACAAACTCCTATAGCCTAGGACACTGAGGCACCCACAGTTACTATGATGACCACAGCTGAAGAAGCTGCACAAAGGCTGTATCACTGGATCTACTCAAAATCAGAGTCATCACATCCTTCCCAACTGCCACACTAAGACTTACCTACAGGTGAAAGACATTCTCTATGAAAGCCACTCTGCAGAGTTTGTAAGAGGTGATTGTTCTACCAGATGTGTGGATATGAATTCAGGAACACAAGAAACTGGAAGAAGCAAGAACGCTAAAGGAACTTAATAACTCTCCAGTAACTGATATCAAAGAAAAAAATTTACGAATTGCCTGGAAAGGAATGTAAAATAATAATCTTATGGAAACTCAGCATGACACTAAATAATAGAGACAATTCAACAAAATTAGAAAAATAGTTTATGATGACAAATTTAACAAAGAAATGAATGTCCTAAAAAACAGAAATCTTGGCTGAAGAGAATCCAATAAATATAACAAAAATACAATAGAAAGCTTCAATAGCAGGCTAGCTCAAGCAGAAGAAAGAATCTCTGAATTTGAAGATAGGTGTTTTGAAATTACCCAGTTAGAGTTAAAAAGAAAAAGAAATGAAAATGAGTGAATGAAGACAGCCAACAAGACTTATGAGGCACTATTAAATGACCAAATGTTTACATTATGAAATTCTAGAAGTAAAAGAGACAAAGATAGGGACAGAAAGCTTATTTAATAAAATGATTGCTGAAAACTTCCAAAGTCTTCAAAGAGATATAGACATTCAGGCATATGAAGCTCAGAAGTTTTGAGCTATATATGGTATATTTCAAAATAGCTAGAAGAGTAGGTTTTGAATGTTTTCAATAGAAAAAAACATAAATGTTTGAGGTGATGAATATGCTATTTACCCTGCTTTGATAATTACACAATGCGTACATGTATTGAAACATCACATTGTACCCTATAAATATGTGCAATTATTGTGTCAATGAAAAATAAAATAAAACTTTAAAAATTGAAGGAGAAATAAAAACTGTTAATGATCTATATGTTCCCAGCAAACCTACTGCATTTTTATGGCTTCTCACTTAGTTGTCTTGGGTTTTCCGCATAAGCTATAATATTTTCTGTCATTTATTGTGCTTATCTCCCAATCCTATCCTTACTATCTCTATTTTTTAATAGCATTGCTACAAAACTTAAGAATAATAAATAATATTAGTGATAAAGAATGTCTTCATCTTCCTCCTACTTTCAGTAAGATTATTTATAGTATTTACTAGTTGAGTATGATACAAGTTTTTGAGGTCAAAACTAGTATCATACTCCATACACCAATAACAGACAAACAGAGAGCCAAATCATGAGTGAACTCCCATTCACAATTGCTTCAAAGAGAATAAAATACCTAGGAATCTAATTTACAAGGGATGTGAAGGACCTCTTCAAGGAGAACTACAAACCACTGCTCAATGAAATAAAAGAGGATACAAACAAATGGAAGAACATTCCATGCTCATGGGTAGGAAGAATCAATATCGTGAAAATGGCCATACTGCCCAAGGTAATTTATAGATTCAATGCCATCCCCATCAAGCTACCAATGACTTTCTTCACAGAATTGGAAAAAACTACTTAAAGTTCATATGGAACCAAAAAAGAGCCTACATTGCCAAGTCAATCCTAAGCCAAAAGAACAAAGTTGGAGGCATCATGCTACCTCACTTCAAACTATATTACAAGGCTACAGTAACCAAAACAGCATGGTACTGGTACCAAAACAGAGATATAGACCAATGGAACAGAACAGAGCCCTCAGAAATAATGCCACATATCTACAACTATCTGGTCTTTGACAAACCTGAGAAAAACAAGAAATGGGGAAAGGATTCCCCATTTAATAAATGGTGTTGGGAAAACTGGCTAGCCATATGCAGAAAGCTGAAACTGGATTCCTTCCTTACACCTTATACAAAAATTAATTCAAGATGGATTAAAGACTTAAATGTTAGACCTAAAACCATAAAAACCCTAGAAGAATACCAAGGCAATACCATTCAGGACATAGGCATGGGCAAGGACTTCATGTCCAAAACACCAAAAGCAATGGCAACAAAAGACAAAATTGACAAATGGGATCTCATTAAACTAAAGAGCTTCTGCACAGCAAAAGAAACTACCATCAGAGTGAACAGGCAACCTACAGAATGGGAGAAAATTTTTGCAATCTACTCATCTGACAAAGGGCTAATATCCAGAATCTACAATGAACTCAAACAAATTTACAAGAAGAAAACCCCATCAACAAGTGGGCGAAGGATATGAACAGACATTTCTCAAAAGAAGACATTTATGCAGCCAAAAGACATATGAAAAAATGCTCATCATCACTGGCCATCAGAGAAATGCAAATCAAAACCACAATGAGATACCATCTCACACCAGTTAGAATGGCAATCATTAAAAAGTCAGGAAACAACAGGTGCTGGAGAGGATGTGGAGAAATAGGAACACTTTTACACTGTTGGTGGGACGGTAAACTAGTTCAACCATCGTGGAAGTCAGTGTGGCAATTCCTCAGGGATCTAGAACTAGAAATACCATTTGACCCAGCAATCCCATTACTGGGTATATACCCAAAGGATTATAAGTCACGCTGCTATAAAGACACATGCACACGTATGTTTATTGTGGCACTATTCACAATAGCAAAGACTTGGAACCAACCCAAATGTCCAACAATGATAGACTGGATTAAGAAAATGTGGCACATATACACCATGGAATACTATGCAGCCATAAAAAATGATGAGTTCATGTCCTTTGCAGGAACATGGATGAAGCTGGAAACCATCATTCTCAGCAAACTATCACAAGGACAAAAAACCAAACACCGCATGTTCTCACTCATAGGTGAGAATTGAACAGTGAGAACACATGGACACAAGAAGGAGAACATCACACACTGGGGCCTGTTGTTGGGTGGGGGGAGCGGGGAGGGATAGCATTAGGAGATATACCTAATGTTAAATGATGAGTTAATGGGTGCAGCACACCAACATGGCACACGTATACCTATGTAACAAACCTGCACATTGTACACATGTACCCTAAAACTTAAAGTATAATAATAATAAAAAAAAGATGTTTACTTATAGGTAGGTAAGTAGGTAGGTAGATAGATATACATATACATATTTCTATATCTATATATGAATAACATGTTTTCTTGGTCTGGAGTTTGTATTTCAGATGGTTGATAAAGCAACCATAAATTCCTGTCCTTAATTTTGATCAATTAAAAAGTTGTATTTGACAAAAAGCAGAGATCTTGGAAGATGATAGCAGTATTATTTAACATTAGTAAATAACATCTACCTGCCAAGAAAAGGACAATGCTGTTGTCATATATAAAGCAATTGAAAATGTATATATTAAAAGGGAAGAAGACTAAAAATCTTTAAAACTGTTTCAACAAAAATTCATATATTATTCTGCCTAAAAAATAAAGGGTGCCAAAAACTAATATTGCTGCACAGCAAGAGACCACTTAGATTTTCAAAGGGCACATGCCAAAGACAAAATAAACTGAATGATCAAGGATAGGCCTGAGACTTATAAATCAATGTTCAGATAAATTAGAATAAGGAAAAGTTCAGATAAATTAGAATAAGGAAAATTTTATCTTTATTACTTGAGGCAGATGAAAAAATGTTTATGAATGAGAGATAGAAGTCAGAAAAACTCATTTGCAATTTTTCTTTTTAAATATTTTATCAAAAAATGATTTTCAATCTAGGATGGATGAATTAAAGTTGATTGCACAAACAGAAACAAACGATACTTAAAAATGGTAAATATTTCTTTAAAATTATTTACTCACTCATTTATTCAACAAAATATTTGTCATTTTCGAAACCCTATTTAGGCCATAGAAAGAATAAAAATAAATAAATCAGAATGGATTTTGATATCAAATAAATTATCATCTATGAAAGATAAGTCCTATCTCAAAATAACTATAACACAAGGCAGAAAGTGATTAGTTCCAGAAGAAAGAATTAAGAGTAATGGCAACTGATATAGTTTGGCTGTGTCCCCACCCAAATCTCATCTTGAAGTGTAGCTCCCATAATCCCCATGTGTCATAGGAGGGACCCAGTGAGAGGTAATTTAATCATGGGGGCAATTACCCTCATGCTGTTCTTGTGATATTGAGTGTGTTCTCATGAGATCTGATGGTTTTATAAGGGGCTTCCCCCATTTTGCTCAGCACTTCTCCTTGCTTGTCACCATGTGAAGAAGGACATGTTTACTTTCCCTTCTGCCATTATTGCAAGTTTCCTGAGTCCTCCCCAGCTATGGTTAACTGTGAGTCAGTTAAACCTATTTCCTTTATAAATTACCCAGCCTTGGGTATGTCTTTATTAGCAGTGTGAGAACAGATTGATATAGTAAATTGGTACCAAGGGTAGGGTGCTGCTGCTGTAAAGATACCTGAAAATGTGAAAGCCACTTTGAAACTGGGTAACAGGCAGAGGTTGGATCAGTTTAGAGAACTCAGAAGATAGGAAAATATGGGAAAGATTGGAACTTCCTAGAGATTTGGAAAGCTTAGAAGACAAGAAGATGTGGGAAAGGGCCAGGCATGGTGGCTCACACCTGTAATCCCAGCACTTTGGGAGGCTAAGGTGGGCAGATCACTTGAGGTCAGGAGTTCAAGACCAGCCTGGCCAACATGGTGAAACCCCATCTCTCCTAAAAAAAATAAATAAATACAAAAATTAGCTGTGCCTGATGGTGGGTGCCTGTAATCCCAGCTACTCAGGGAACTGAGACAGGAGAATTGCTTGAGCCCGGGAGGCAGAGGTTGCAGTGAACAGAGATCATGCCATTGCACTCCAGCCTGAGTGACAGAACAAGATTTCGTCTGGAAAAAAAAAAAAAAAAAGATGTTGGAAATTATGGAACTTCCTAGAGACTTGTTGAATGACCTTGACCAAAATGCTGAGAGTGATATAGACAATAAAGTTTAGGCTGAGGTGGTCTCAGATGGAGATGAGGAACTTGTTGGGAACTGAAGTAAAGGTCACTGGTGGCATTCCTGCCCTGGAGATCTGTGGAACTTTGAACTTGAGAGAGATGATTTAGGGTACCTGGCAGAAGAAATTTGTAAGTGGCAAAGGGTTTAAGAGGAAGCAGAGCATAAAAGTTTGGAAAATTTGCAGTGTGATGATGCAACACAAAAGAAAAACACATTTTCTGGTGAGAAATTCAAGCCCACTGCAGAAATTTGCCTAAGTTCTGAGGAGCCAAATGTTAACCACCGAGACAATGGGGTAAATGTCTCCAGACCATGTCAGATACCTTCACAGCAGCCCCTCCTATCACAGGCCTGCAGGCCTAGGAGGGAAAAATGGTTTCATGGCCCAAGCCTAGGCACTTCTGCTGTTTATGGCCTCGGGACATGGTGCTGTGCATCCCAGCTGCTTCAACTCTAGTTGTGGCTAAAAAAGGCCAAGGTATAGCTCAGGCCATTGCTTTGCAGGGTCCAAACCTCAAGCCTTGGCAGCTTACATGTGATGTTGAGCCTGTGGGTGCAAAGAAGTCAAGAATTGAGGTTTGGGAACCTCTGGCTAGACTTCAGAGGATGTATGGAAATGCCTGGATGTATAGGCAGAAGTTTGCTGCAGAGGTAGAGCCCTCATGGAGAAGCTCTGCTAGGGCAATGTAGAAGGGAAATATGGTGTCGGAGACTCCACACAGAGTTACCACTGGTGTGCTGCCTAGTGAAGCTGTGAGAAAGGACCACCATCCTCCAGAACTCAGAATGGGAGATCCACTGAAAGCTTGCGCTGTGCACCTGGAAAAGCCACAAACACTCAATGGCAGCCCATGAAAGCAGCCAGGAGGAGAGCAGTACCCTGGAAAGCCACAGGGGCAGAGCTGCCTAAGGCTGTGGGAGCCCACCTCTTGCATCAGCATGCCCTGGATTTGAGACATGGATCAAAGGAGATCATTTTGGAACATTAAAGTTTAATGACTGCCTTACGGTATTTTGGACTTGGATGGGACCTGCCCCTATGTTTTGGCCCATTTTTTCCCATTTGGAATGGGTGTATTTACCAAATGCCTGTATCCTCATTTTATCTAGGAAGTAACTAAATTGCTTTTGATTTTACAGGCTCATAGGCAGAAGGGACTTTCCTTGTCTCACATGAGACTTTGAACTTGGACTTTTGATTTAATGCCGGGATGAGTTAAGACTTTGGAGGATTGTTGGGAAGGTGTGGGTGTGTTTTGAAACATGAGGACATGAAATTTGGGAGGGGCCATAGGTGGAATGATATGGTTTGGCTGTGTCCCCACCCAAATCTCATCTTGAATTATTCCCATAATCCCGATGTGTCATGAGAGGGGCCTGGTGGGAGGTAATTTAATTGTGGGTGTCAGTTACCCTCATGCTGTTCTCATGATACTGAGTGAGTTCTCATAAGTTCTGATGGTTTATAAGGGACTTTTCCCCCTGTTGCTCAGCACTTCTCCTGTGCCATGTGAAGAAGGATGTGTTTTCTTCCCCTTCTGCCATGATTCTAAGTTTCCTGAGGCCTCCCCAGCCACGCTTAACTGAGTCAATTAAGCCTCTTTTCTCTAAAAAGTTACCCAGTGTTGGGTATGTCTTTGTTAGCACCATGAGAATGGACTAATACAGTAAATTGGTACCAGGAGTGGAGCACTGCTATAAAGACACCAGAAAATGTAGAAGCTACTTTACAACATGGTAACAGGCAAGTTGGAACAGTTTAGAGGATTCAGGAGGAGACAGGAAAATGTGGGAAAGTTTGGAACTTCCTAGAGACTTGTTGAATGGGTTTGACCAAAATGCTGATAGTAATGTGGACAATAAAGTCCAGGCTGTGGTGGTCTCAGAAGGAGATGAGGAACTTGATGGGAACTGGAGCAAAGTTGACTTTTGCTGTGCCACCATGTGAAGTAGGATGTGTTTGCTTCCCCTTCTGCCATGATTTTAAGTTTCCTGAGGACTTGCCAGCCATGTTGAATTGTGAGTCAACATGGTTTTTTTAAAAAGGTTTTTTAAAAGGTTTTTTAAAAACGTTTTTTAAAAAGGAAAAAACCTTTTTCCTTTTTAAACTACCTAGTCTCAGGTATGTATTAGCAGCATGAGAATGGACTAATACAGTAAATGGGAAAATTATTTGTTTGAAAATAAGCAAGGGTTTAATAAATAGAGCAGATGGCATGGGGAATAACTAATATGGTGAGCGAAAGAATCAAAACTCAAAACAATATAAGTCACATTGATGCACTGAGATTGCACAATAATATAGATTTTCTTCGTTAGGTTAAAATAATATAACTGCTTGAATACAAGTTAAAAGAGAATGCTTAGTGCAATATAACCTCAGGATGTTAGGCCACTGCAAACTCTACTTAGTACCAATTACAGTATGAAACAACTGCCTAAAAAAGAATGGAAAATACAGAGGGAAGCAGAGAGGAAGGAAGAAAGAATGAATGAACAAAAGAACAAAGGAATTAAGAAATGAAGGGGGAAAGAAGATCATGCCATTTCTGGCTCTACAACTAAATCGACAGTCTTCAGATCCAAGGACCTTATTCTTCTGGGCTGTATGCTAGCCAGCCCACAACTGGAGTTCGATGGGCTACTGGATTTTAAAAGAAGTATTTACACATAAGTATATTTAGAAAGGCATAGTCAGGATGGAGAAATTGTTAGATAACATGTCATTTAAGAAATAATTTAAACCTGGGCTCAATTTTACCTGGAAAAAAGTTAAGATGTAGAGATGATAGTGTAGCTGTATTTACATATCAGAAAGGATGTTATATAAAACACTGGTTTATTTTTTATAGTTTCTATAGAAAAAATTAAAGATCATGTTTCAGAGATGTAGAATTCAGCTTCATATGAACATTTCAAAAAATAGATTGTCTATCCTGTGGGGTAATGAGTGCACTCACACTGAAAATAACCAAATAAAATGTAGCTTATTATTTCTTTTCCACTTTTATGATATTCTATTAGTTGCAAAATTTGGCAAATTCTATTTCCTTAATAAAACTGACTAACCAATTTTCACCTGGATTACCTCTTGTGTTCCTATTTCTCATTTGATTATCACGCTCTGCTTCTATCCAACTCCTGCACTATAGATTGAGCTAGATTTCTAATACAGTCATGTGTACCCTAAGAATCTTTTAGTCAACCACAGACCACATATACTATGGTGGTCTCATAAGATTATAATGGAGCTGAAAAATATCACTTAGTGATGTTGTAGCTGTCCTAACATCTTTTAAAAAGCAATGCAATTACTTTTAAAAAATGCAATGTAGCTTTCCTAACATTTTAAAATAGCAATGGAATTACTTTTTAAAAATAAATTTAGTGTCACCTAAATGTACAGTGTTTATAAAGTCTACAGTGGTATACAATAATGTCCTAATGTACAATTTAATAAATTGTAGCTGTCCTAACATCTTTTATAAAGCAATGCAAATACTTTCTAAAAATGCAATGGGCCAGGCACAGTAGCTCATGCCTGTAATCTCAGTACTTTTGGAGGCCGAGGCAGGTGGATCACCTGAGGTCAGGAGTTTAACATCAGCCTGGCCAACATGGTGAAACCCTGTCTCTACAAAAATACAAAAAAATTAGCCAGGCATGATGGCAGTTGCCTGTAATCCTAGCTACTCGGGAGGCTGAGGTGGGAGAATCGCTTGAGCCCTGGAGGCAGAGGTTGCAGTGAGCTGAGATCATGCCATTGCACTCCAGCCTCGGTGACAGAGCAAGACTCCATCTCAGTGAGAATAACAAAAACAACAACAACAAAAATGCAATGTAGCTGTCCTAACATTTTAAAAAAGCAATACAATTACTTTTTAAAAGTAAATTCAGCATAACCTAAATGTACAATGTTTACCAAGTCTACAGTAGTATACAATAATGTCCTAGGCTTTCACATTCATTCATTACACAATCACTGACTCACCTAGAGCAACTTCCAGTCTTGCAAGCTCCGTGTATGGTAAGTGACCTATATAGGTGTGCCATATTTTTAATATTTTATTCTGCATATAGACTATATCTTTTCTATGTTTAGATATGTTTAGATACACAAATTTACCATATGTTGCAATTACCTCCAGTATTCAATACAGTAACATGTTGTATGGGTTTGCAGCCTCGGAGCAATAGGCTATAGTATACA